>NC_000009.12:5010000-7510000 GCF_000001405.40 Homo sapiens
GGCTCAAACGATCCTCTCGCCTTGGACTTCCAAATTGCTGGGATTGGAGGCATGAGCCATCGCACCTAGCCTATGTATGTTTTAAATAGAGTCTATTTCCTCTACTCTGTCATTCTAGTCCTATCTACTTTTGATCTTCCTGGAATTACTGTAAATTTCTGATTTGCTGATAGCACCTTTTCTTATTTGTCGGAGCCGCCATGAATTCGTTTATATAAACTTTTAATTTTACTCCTTTTAGCTACTGTTGTTACCTGTTTTACTTTTATATCTATTTTAAGCCCTACCATACACCGTTATTATTCATGCTTTAAACAATTGTCAGTTGTCTTTTTTTTTTTTAGACGGAGTCTCGCTCTGTCGCCCAGGCTGGAGTGCAGTAAACATGACCTCCGTTGCAACCTCTGCCTTCGGGGTTCAAGCAATTCTCCTGCCTCAGCCTCCCGTGTAGCTGGGATTACAGGCGTGTACCACTATGCCCGGCTAATTTTTATATTTTTAGTACAGACAGGGTTTCACCATGTTGGCCAGGTTGGTCTCGAACTCCTGACCTCAGGTGATTCACCCGCCTCGGCCTCCCAAATGCTGGGATTACAGGCGTGGGCCACCACGCCTGGCTGTCAGTTGCCTTTTAATACATTTAATAAATGGAAGAAGAATAATATTATAATTAATCACATATTTACTATTTTTGAGCTCTTCATTCCTTTCTGTAAACCTGAGTTTACATGTAATATTTCCTTTAATCCACATGATTTTCTTTATCAGTTCTTGAGTGTGAGTTTGTTGGTGATGTACTCTCTCAGCATCCATTTATCTGAAAACATATTTGTTTTGCCTTGAATTTTGAAAATTCTTATTTTTTATAATACAACAGATCCAGTAGTATGAGAATTATTTTTCAGGATTGTAGAATTCTGGGTTGACAGCTTTCCCCCTCTCCCTACCAGTACTTTGTCTTCTGGCCTCCATTACTTCTGAAGCGATGTCAGTTCTATTTCTTGTCTTGGTTCTCCTGTATGTATGTGACTGCTTTTAAGATTATCTTTTTGTCTTTGGTTTTTAGCAGTTTGGCTATAATGTGACTTAAGTATGGATTTGTATAGATTGGATTCAGATGAACTTTTTGGATCGGTGGTTTGATTTTTTTAAACAAACTTGGAAAACATTTAGCCAGTATTTTTTCAAGTATTTCCTCTGTTCCACTTATATGTATCAGACTTTGTTACTCTTGTTGTTCAGTGGTGTGATCACGGCTTTCTGCAGCCTCAAACTCCTGAGCGCAAGTAATCCTCCTACCTCAGCCTCCCAAGTAGCTGGGACTACGGGCACAGAGCACCATGCCCAGCAAATTAAAAAAAAATTTTTTTGTAGAGATGGGGTCTTGCTATGTTGCCAGGGCTAGTCTTGAACTCCTGGACTCAAGCAATCCTCCTGCCTTGGCCTCCCAAAATGTTGGGATTAAAGGCATGAGCCATGACTCCTGGCCTAGATTTCTTGATATTGTAGAGTTTACATATGGCTTCTTTATCTTCATGCATTATATTAATTTTTTACTGTAAATTCTATTACATATGTATCATAGTAAACAAAGTCTTTAAAATAAATTCTAATATTTGGGTCTGCTTTGGGTCCATTTCTATTATATATATTCTTCTTTTCATGTTTAATAAGTTTCAGCTGACTATTGTACATTGTGGGTGATACAGTGTAGAAACTCCGGATGATGTGGATTTCAATCTTTCTCTGAAGTAATGAGTTTTGTTCTAGCAGGCAGTTAAATTTACTAGCAGACCAACTTGATCCTGCGGAGGCTTGGTTTTAGGCTTTGTTGGGACAGGTCTATTTCAGTTTTGCCATTACTTCTGGTAAGTGGCTCTTATTCTTCAAGTGTGGCTTTTCTGGCGTTTCAGTGGAAAGCCTGAGATATTTACCAGTTCCCTCTAACACTAAATCCTGACTCTCCAGGACCAGATAGCTGTTGAAATCTCTTCCCAGTTCTTTCAGATTTCTAGCTATTGCCTGTCCCTGGGCTTCGATTTTCATCCTATGGATGGGAATTCAGGAGTCAGGCCCCACTGACTCCCATTTTCCTGAGATTTCTGCCCTCAATTTTTGGCTTTTCTAGCAGCTCCAAACTTCATTCTCTGATACTTTCACCCAGTAAGACTGCAGCTTTTTACAAGAGCTCTGTCCCCTCCTCTGGCCCCTGCCTGTACACAACAGACTGTGTATGTAGTTGTCTCAGGATGGAAGAAGAGTAAGTATGGGCCTCATTCAGTGTATTCCCCTTCTTTCAAGGGTCATATCCCCCCGATTTGTATCTGCTTTTGTTTCTTTGACAATGCCTTCAAATGGTGTTTTTATAAATATATATTTTTAAAAAGTTTATAATTGTCGTCATCAGGAACATTAGTGTAGTATAAACTACTCTCTCATTATCAAAAATCTGTATGTTAAAAATTACTTAAAATTGTTGTTATTTATCATTTCCTTGGTGTTTGGGGCAGAAGGGAATGCACATGATTTTTCTGAACTTCTCATTAAGGGAGGCAACCCAGCCTTGGTCTGGAGATCCCGAAATTATACCGTATGTATAATAAAATAATTATTTTGTTATTTTTATGAGCATAGCATTAATAAATTAAATATTTAGTAAGATTTGTATCTCAGGATTTTTCTACCTGCTAAGAATAGATCGTTTGACAAGGCAGATGAGGTTCTTTGTTGAATTATAAGGTATTGAAGCCTATAATTTAGTAGTGGAAAGAGCACATAGCAAGAGTTGTATGATGAGGTTGGAGAGGTAAGCAGCAAACAGATAATGGAATTTTAGTCTAAACATTCGTAAAATATGAGGGTGGCTCCTGTGGGAGATTAGGTTATTGGGAGGCAAAGTAGACTTAGGGAAAATAGTTAGGAGGACATTGCAATAGTTCAGGAGAGAAATAATAGCTGTTTAGTGTATGATGGTAGTTGTGGAAAAAAAAGCCAATGGATGGATTTGAAATATAGTTTGGAAGTAAAACTATCAGTACATATTGATGGACTGGATATAGGGGTGAAAAAAGAGAAGAATAAAGGTTGACCAAATTCTTTATTATCTCAAAGTATGAAAGCTTGTTAAGACCTCTTTTCTGTTTGTATTTTCTTTCTTGCTCAATAAGAAAACAACCCAAAGCACTTTTTTTCTAATAACTTATATCTTCTTCTTTTGTGATAAAAAAAAATAGGAGTGGTCTTTAGAGTACAATACAAAATTCTTTTACATTTCACCTCACCATATTTAGGTTTACCAAAGTAGTATAGGAATAATTGTAGGAAAAACATAGTATATCTACTTGGACTATAAAATTTTGGTATACTAAAGAAAGTAAATCAAAATGGTTATATCTTGCAATAGAATGCAAAATCACATGGATATTAAAGGTAAACATTTAAATGTATTTTATATTCTTGGCTTCTTCTTCAGACCACTCCATTGCCTTTTGGGACATTTCTGTGGAAAAGTTGAGAAGCACTGACCTATCTGAACCTTCCAATCCAGCCAAACTTGTCTCTACTTTGTTCCAGGAACATGCTGTGTACATTCCTCTTTCCATGTTTTGCATGCTTTTCTCCCTGCCAATAATGCCCTGTTTTTCATTACTTGTCAAAATTCTATTTTCCTTTTAAGGTCCAGCCTATGTTTTAATTGTTGTGTGAAACTTCTAAAACCTTTCTTTGTTTTAAATAATTATGATCATTTTCTTCTTGTCATTTTGTAGCACTTAATTTTTAAAATTTATTTTGTACTTAGATGATGTGTAATTTACTATAAATCATAGATTTTTAAGAATTGGGAGGAACAGCGGAAATTTAATTAAGTAATTTTATTATACAAGTGAGGAAGCTGAGATTCATTTGTCATGTAAGTAGTTTGCAATAAGAAAGGATGAAACTTATTTTTAGGTCTCTTGGCTCCCAGGTTAGTAATTTTTCTAATCTACTGCATTACTTCTTCATGTATATTTATTGATCTGAAAAGTTGTGTCTCTTAGAATTATGTAGTATATGAGTAAAGTTTGAAAATATGAACTTTTAAAATGTGATATTTGAGGTACTGGTTTTTGAGTGTATGTGTACAGTTGATTAAAATTTATTATAACTTTTATTTACTCTTTCTTTTTTTTTTTTTTTTTTTCGTAGAGACAGGTTCTCACTATGTTGCCCAGGCTGGACTTGAACTCCTGAGCTAAAGTGATCCTCTCACCTTGGCTTCCCAGAGTGCAGGGATTACAGGTGTGAGCCACTGTACCCAGCCTCTTATTTACTCTTTATTCAACAGATTTGTTAATCAACACATGTTGACCAGACTTAATTACAGCTTTTATATACTCTTCATTTATTCAACAACTTTCATGTGTCAGAGAGTATCCTAGGCACTGAGTGCAGTAGTAAATAATACATTAAGGTTCTTACCTTCAAGAAACTTTCATTCTAGTGGTACAAGACAATGAGCAAAATCATAATCTAATCTATGGTGGGAAAATATCAGAACAGCTGTGGCCACTTGAGTGGTTGGAGCAGGGACTGATGGAGAAGGAGCATGGAAGAACTTTCTGGGATGCTGATAATTTCTTAGGGCTTTGGGTTACATAGGTATATGCAGTGTCCAAACTTATTGACTGGTACACTTAAGATTTGTGCATTTGATTGTATTTAGGAGGGAAAATCCTGTAAAACTAGAATAGATGTAACTTATATGAGAGTTATAAATGACAATATGTTAAACACCCATGAAACTACCACCCACCCCAGGAACTAGAATGTTGCCAGCAATTTGCACCTACATATGTGTTTCTCCCTAGCTATTCTCCTGTCTATCTTGCAGAAGTAACCATTGTGTATTGTATTTTGGGATTAACATTTCCTTGATTTTTTATTTTTTTTTTGCGGGGGCGGGGGGAGATTTGTTTAACACATGTATATGCCTAAACAATGTACTATTCAGTTTTGCTTGTTTTTGAAATTTAGAAAAACGGTATTTTACAGCTTACAGTTTTCTATAATTTACTGCTTTTGCAACATTGTATTTTTAAGATTTATCCATGTTGCATAAAGCTATAGTTCATTTATTTTAACAACTGAGGAACAGATTCTGTAGTATAAATGCACAAAAGTATTTACCTATTTTCCTGATAGTTTGGGTTGTTTGCAGTTTTTGCCATTGGAAGCTGAGGCGCAATGAATATTCTTGTAATGTGTCTCTTGGTGTAAATATGCATGAAGTTTGTAACTAGACGTAGAATTGTAGCAGTTCTCAGAACGTGGTCTCTAGAGGATGCCTGGGTATCCTAAAAACCTATTCAAGGGTTTAATGAAATTAAAATGATTTTCATAATAATGCCAAGATGTTAAATGTCTTTTTCATTGAGTTGACATATGCACAAATGGTACAGAAGTAATAGTGAGTTAAACGGCTGGCACCTTAGCACAAATCAAAGCAGTAATGCTGGTTGTAGTTGTGATCATTGTATTCTTTTTCTTTTTCTTTTCTTTTTTTTTTTTTTGAGACAAGGTCTCACTTTGTTACTCAGGTTGGAGTGCAGTGGCATGAGCACAATCACTGCTCACTGCGGCCTCGGTCTCCTGGGCTCAAGTGATCCTATTGTTTTCTTTCTCGTCATGTACTTCCAGGAAAAGAAAAAAGCCAATTCGAGTCACTTATTCTTTTGATTCTTTTTCGTAGCAAAGCATCAATGCATTTTCTAAATGATTGAATTCATTTAAATTCGGGAAACATTTACTGAGTGCCTATGGAATTCTGGGATATGAGTGTATGTTTAAGGCAGTGTGATTTCCAGTTACCATCCTTTCTGTTCTAAACACGATTGTGTCATATTAAAATATAAAAAGAGTAAAAAATATCCTGAATAAAAATAGATCAAGCTGTACATATATATAGATTATAAGTGCAAAATACTGAGTGTGGTTAAAGCCTATGCTATGCTTGCTGGGTTTCCTGTACAGAAGTAGGCATTGGAGACAGTTTTGCTCTTGTGGTACAACATGGATGACTAGAGGCAGGTCCAGGATGTTACTTTTACTGCCAGCCGTCGCTTCCCTCCAAATAGACTATTGGAAGGGGAACCTCCCGCCAAACGCTGCCTACTGCTATAGTGTTGGATAAGTTGCAAGCTTAGGAAGATGAGATGACATGATTTAGGAACTTCAGGATGAAGTGAAGTATCTCCTGCCTTGTGACTGACTGGATCTGCATCGTATCAGATACCTCCTCAAGGCAGGAATTTTAACCTGCTGTTATAAGACCTGGTTCTATATATGGATAGCCCAGGTAGGCTAAGTTGTGGCAGCCACAGATTGTTAGATGAGGAGGGACACCACAGACTGTGTATGTGTGTGTGTTGAGGGCAAGGTGAGGTGAGGAATGGTGCAATGAGCCTGCAAACCAAATTGCAAAATATATGAAGAAATGTAGTGCTAAGAAAAATAGTCAACAAAATTAAAAATTGAAAAATGAATTTTTTCCTGATAAAATTTAAAAATGTAAGTAAACCTCTAATTGAAGTGTAACACACAAACAGGAAAGTATGCTACTCATAAATGCACAGCTTAACAAATTTTCATAAAGTGAACACACCTTTGTTAACCACTACTTAGATCAAGAAATAGAGTATCACCTGAATTACTGGCAGGAGGCACCCCAGAGGTCTCCCTGTACCTCCTGCCAGTTATTCTCCATGCCCTCCCACTATCCCAACCCTGCCAAGCTAACCATTATCCTAACTTTTTTTCACCATGAGAAAGAAATGGAAGGATATGGAAGTGAGCTTGAGAGGCCTCCATGGTCAGTGAACAGTTCTGCTAAAATAATTTAGAGGGAATAACAAAGAAGTAGCATTTGACGGCATAGTAGCTGAGAATTTCCTAGAATAGAAAAAAGACATGAATCTTTAGATTAAAAGTATGTAGTCATTTTTGATCAAGATAAAGAAGAATCTACATCAAAACCTTTCCAAAAATATTGCAGAACATTGCTGCTAATGCAAACAAGTTTTAAACTACTTGAGGGAAAGCCATGACATGTAGGAGTGATAGCAGACTTCATATTTATGTTAATAGATACCACAAAACAATGCAGTAATATCTTTAAAGTTCTGGGGAAAGAAAATTATAAATAGGATTTTGAGAGTGAGGGCAACATATTTTTTTCAAAGACTACAACTTAAAAACCCACAGAGCCCCACTGAAAGGTCTACTAAAAGATACATTTCAGCAGGAAAAAGTGAGTCCTGAAGGAAGACCCAAAACAATGATGAGCACAAAACAATCCAAAGTCAGTGGTGGGCACAAACTGATAAAATTCTAGCAAATTTACTCCTTAATGCTAAGAACTTCGTTTAAATTAACTTTCTATCTTTTCAGAAAACCAACTCTTAGATTTGTTAATCTTTTCCATCATTTTTATAGTTTCTATGTCATTTATTTCTGCTGTGAACTTCATTTTTTCCTTCCTTCTGTTAGCTTTGGGCTTTGTTCTTCTTTTTCTAGTTCCTTGAGGTGTAATGTAATGTTGTTTGACATCTTTCTTCCTTTTTGATGTAGGTATTTATTGCTATAAACTTCCCTCTTATAACTGCTTTTGCTGCATTTAATACTGACTATAATAAGATACGATGTAATAGATTTCAAGGAATTATGTATTTTTGAATAAATTAATTCTTTAAAGTTGCATATCCAGTTGCAGATGAACTTCAAAAATCTTGCAGTTTTATATCTGTTACAGTAATTGCCAGGTTTTGTTGTTGTTGTTTTGATACATTAGAAGTTCTAGAATTGTTATATCCTCTTGATGAATTAATCCCTTTATCATTCTAGAATTACCTTGTCTCTTTACTGTTTGTGACTTAAAGTCTGTTGTATCTGATATACCTTTGCATGGAATATCTTTTTCTATCCCTTTACTTTCAGTCTATGTGTATCTTTAAAGGTGAGATGAGGTTTTGTAAGTGGCATGTAGTTGGGTCATGTTTTTTAGTCCATTTAGCCATTCTCTATCTTTTAAGTGGAAAGTTTAATCTATTTACATTCAAGTTTATTCTTGATATGTGAAGGCTTATTCCTGTCATTTTATTAATTGATTTCTGGTTGTTCTGTAGGTCCTTTGTTCTTTTCTTTCTCTCATATTGTTTAGCATTGTGGTTTGTTGGTTTTCTATAGTGATAACATTTGAATCCTTTCTTGTCTGTGTGTGTTTGCTTTACCAGTGGGTTTGATACTTTCGTCATCTGTTTTTCATAATGGTAGTAATTGTCCTTTTTGTTTGTTTGTTTGTTTCTTTTTTGAGACAGGGTTTTGCTCTTGTTCTGTCCTCCAGGCTGGAGTGCAGTGGTGTGATCATGGCTCACTGCAGCCTCGACCTCCATGGTCTCAGGTGATCCTTCTGCCTCAGCCTCTCAGGTAGCTGGGACTACAGAAACCTGCCACCATGCCTGGCTAATTCTTTTGTATTTTTCGTAGACATGGGGTTTTGCCATGTTGTCCAGGCTGCTCTTGAACTCCTGGGCTCAAGCAGTCTGCCTGCCTCAGCCACCCAAAGTGCTAGGATTACAGGCTTGAGCCACTGTGCCTGGCCTGACATTGTTCTTTGACTTCCATATGTAGAACTCCCTCAAGCATTTCTTGTAGGTCTGGTCTAGTAGTGTTGAATTCCTCAGCTTTTGCTTGCCTCAGAAAAACTATTTTTCCTTTGCTTAATGAAGGATAATTTTGCTGGGTATAGTATCCTTGACTTGCAGGTTTTTTTCTTTCAGCACTTTTCATATATCGTTCCATTCTCTTCCTGGCCTGTAATGATTCTGCTGAGAAATCTGCTGTTAGTCTGATGGAGCTTCCCTTAGAAGTGACTAGACTCTTTTTTCTTGCTGTTTTTAGAATTCTCTCTTTGTCTTTGACAAGCTGTTGTCTCTGACAACAGTTCTCTCTTTGTCTTTGACAAACTGTTGACAGTTTGACTCTAATGTGTTGTGGAGAACCTGTTGGAATTTTGTCTTTTTGGGGATCTCTGAGCTTCTGTATCTGAATGTCTAAATCTCTTGATATACTTGGGTAGTTTTCAGCTATTATTTCATTAACCAGGTTTTCTATTCCTTTTGTATTTTCATTGTCTTCTAGAATACTGAAAATTCTAATATTAGTTTGCTTTATGGTATCCCATATGTCATGCAGGCTTTGTTCATTCTTTTTTCTTTATTTTTGTCTAATGGGGTTATTTCAGAAGACCTGTCTTCAAGTTCAGAAATTCTTTCTTCGTAGATGCTCTAGAATGTATTTTTTATTTCATTAAATGAATTCTTCAGTTTCAGGGTTTCTTGTTTTCTTTTTAAATGATATCTCTCTCTTTGGTAAATTTCTCATTGATATCCTGAGTTGTTTTTCTGGTTTCTTTGTATTGTTTATCTGTATGCGTTTGTATCTCCCTGAGCTTCTTTAATATCATTATTTTTAATTCTTTTTCTGGCATTTCATGAATTTCTTTTGCATTGGAATCTTTTGGTAGAAAATTATTTTGATCCTTTGGAGATGTCATATTTCCCTATGTTCCCATGTTTCTTGTGACCTTACTTCTTTGATATCCACACATCTGGTGTAATCATCACTTCCATTTTTTTGAATTTGCTTTCATAGGGTAGGACTTTTTCCTGAAGATTTGACTGGGGTGTTTGTTGGCCAGGGCACTTTGGGTTTGAATCTGGGTGCATGCAGTAGTGTAGTCTCTGTAAGATTTTTTTTCCTTTGTAAACAGCATCAGTGGTGTCTGTGATTTCCTCAGTGGCATAGTGTGTGGTTGTGGAGGCTGTGGTGAACTTTTGCTGGGGATGGTGACACCAGCTGGACTGATCCTCAGTCCTCAGTTGTGGCAGCAGTTGGACAACCATGCCTGTACATTAGCCCCAGGGTGGCTTACATTAGTAATGGTGTTAGTGGGTCCAGGCAGTCCAATTTTTGGGTCTCCAGGTGACTTGTTTGGGTACCAGGAGTGGCAGTGATGGGCTGGGCAGCTGAGTGGGTCCACAGGCCCCTGGGCAGTGAGCATGGCATGGGTTATGTCAGTAGCAGTGGTAGGAGAACCTCTGGCTGTCCAGTTGTCTGTGCTTATGTCGGCAGTGACGGCGATTGGCTGGGTAGGCAAGTCCTAAAACCTGCAGGTGGCAAGTGTGAGTGGGAACCAGCTGTGGTGGTAGTGGCAGGTTGGGTGGGCCACATCCTCAGACCCCCAGGTGGAATGCTCAGTTGACACTGGACGTGGACAAACTGGTGCGATCCCAAGGCCCCCAGATAACATGCTTGGATACGTGGGAGTGGGGTGCTGAGCTGGGCAGGGTGAGAGTATCCTCAGGCCCTCCAGTGGTGTTAGCAGGTGCTGTTTGTGGTGGGCAGGAGCAGGATGATTTCCAATTTCCTGGTGGAATGTTCAGGTGGGGGCAGCAGTGGCTGTGCTGTGCCCTGATGCTGGGGAGGGTGCAGTTGCTGTCAGTGGGAGCAGTTGTAGGGAGTTGGCTAAGGAGTGTGCACTGCAGCTGCAGGTGGAGGCTGTAGATGTGATGAAGCTGTACTCAGGGTGCATGCAAATTTGCATTTTGACACCTAGCGGCAGCAGCCTGCAATGGTGGCAGCTGTAGGTGGTAGAGCTTGTCCTCAGGGCACATACCAATATATGGCAGCCCTTCTGCTGGGAGCAGTGGGGTTATTGCCAATGGCTTGTGCTTTGGTCCCAGAGGCGGCAGCCAGCAATGGAGGTGACTGTCGGTGGAGGATGTCAGTGGGGCTCTAGGGGTGTGGATATGCAGGGGCTGTTGGGCTCCAGGGTAGGAGGCATTCTGGTGTGGGTTGGGCTTTAAAAATGGCACCGTGCTGTAGCTGCTTAGGACTCAGGGGTGTGTTGGACCAGCATAAGCTCCCTCTCTAAAGCAATGTCATTGTGCAGTCTCCAGGCAGCTCCCTATGTTACTCCCAGGGCCCATGAAAGTTGACGGGCTCTCTTGTGTCTGGGATTGCAGGAGTTTGCAGTGAAAATGTGGGCCACTGGGAGTCTCTCACTTACTCTTTCCCCACATTGTGCAGGCTCTCTAGGCTTCTGGCTGATCCTGGCTGAGCAGGCTGCCCCACTTCCCTCTCCTTCCTTGCATTAGGTGTTTTCTATCACTTCTCTGTTGAATTTCCGTGTTCTCTCTTAGATGACCTATTCAAAGTGTGATTATCTACTCGCTATTTTGGTTCTTCTTTGTGGAGCAGGTGAGTACCAGATAACTCTAGTCAACCTTCTGGACCCCTCTTCCCCCAATTTGAGATCTCTTCTTCTGTTGTCTGTAACTGAGTTTAATGCTTGTTTGTTCATGTTAGGATTTTATATCATCGTCCTCAATTAGGTTGTTAACTGGAATTTTATAATCTTTGTCCACAGGAAGTTTAAAATGTATGATTTCTTGCATTGTGCTTTGTATGTAGTAATACACGATATTTATCCAGTTAATGGATTTGACAGCCATTGCTGTCAAGGAGCAGTCCTTCTTTGTGTATGAAGGGTGCCTTATCAATATTATTTCCATTTGTAACTTTATTTATTTATGTATTCATTTTTGAGACAGGGTCTTGCTGTGTCACCCAGACTGGAGTGCGGTGGAGTGCGGAGGTTTGCTGCAGCCTCATCCTCCCAGGTTCAAGCAATTCTTCCGCTCCACTCCCAGAGTAGCTAGGACTACAAGTGCGTGCTGCCACGCCCAGCTAATTTTTTTCTTTTGTATGTTTTTGTAGAGATGAGGTTTCACCATGTTGCTGAGGCTTGTCTCCAACTTCTGGGCTCAAGCTATCTGCCCGCCTCGGCCCCGCAAAGTGCTAGGATTACAGGTGTGAGACACTGCGCCCAGCCCATTTGTAACTTTATTGTTTTCTCTTACAGGCAAATGTTCTGAAAAAGACTCTGCATGGGAATGGCCTGCCTTACGATGACAGAAATGGAGGGAACATCCACCTCTTCTATATATCAGAATGGTGATATTTCTGGAAATGCCAATTCTATGAAGCAAATAGATCCAGTTCTTCAGGTGTATCTTTACCATTCCCTTGGGAAATCTGAGGCAGATTATCTGACCTTTCCATCTGGGGAGTATGTTGCAGAAGAAATCTGTATTGCTGCTTCTAAAGCTTGTGGTAAGTATTAAAAAACAGCATTTTCCTTTTTATGCATGGATTGTTTTAATTATGCTATGCTAATACTAGGTACATGCATAATATATATTTTTATTTTTTTAATGCTTGTATGGCTGGCGTGTGTGTTTTCACATGCATAGAAAATGAAAGTGTTACTGGAGTACAATTTATGGTGAATCTGCCTTGGGCTAGGTATCAAAACAAATTGATGCCCATAAATGTTTGCTGACTATTCTTTATAATTACATATAAGGTGGTTAAAAAATCCTGTCATGGGCTATCTCATGACATAAGGTAATATTAAAGCTAGATCCTGAGAGCAACATGAAAGCAAAAAATTAATGTTTTGAAATATGTATTTGATTTAAAATCTTGATTAAATGGCTGACAAACCATCATTTTCTTCTAGTTAGCTTCTGAAGACCTCTGCCAATCTTTCCTCATATATATTTCTTATGTCTTTGGTGTATCTTGAAATCATTTTTACTCTTGAGACCTGATTATATTATCTATGGACCAAAACTGTGAACCAGAGAACTCTTTCTATAGAGCTAACACATTTTACTAGACCACTGAGGTTACTATAGAGCCTACTATCATGGTATCTCATTTTTAAATGTTCTTTTAATAGAAAGACTAGTTGACACTATTTTGAAGAATAGTCGTATGATTTTATTTGTAGAGGCAAATTAAATGTCTAATATAGTATTTATAAGAATGTATGATTACATCAATTTATTCTCTTATTTAAGATCAGTATAGGTCAGAATAACCATTAACTGTAAGTTGGAGGAAGCTAGGTACATTTCAAGTTCCTTCTAGCTATTTTGAAAAATACAATACATTGTTGTTAACTATAGTCACCCTACTCTTCTATCAAACATTTGAACTTGTTCCTTCTGTCTGTATTTTTGTGCCCATTAACCAACATCTCTTCATTTCCCTCTTCCCACCCATATAACCTTGCCAGTCTCTGCTACCAATCCACTCTACCTTCATGTGATCAACTTTTTAGCTCCCACATATGAATGAGAACTTGTTATATTTGTCTTTCAGTTCCTGGCTTATTTCACTCGACATAATGACCTTCAGTTCCATCCATGTTGCTGTGAATGACATGATTACATTCTTTTTTACGATGCCACTGGGCCCCAGGGGAGTACGCATTCTGTTGTGAGCTGGGCTTCAAAATATCACCTTGCTGTAGCTGCTTAGGACTCGGGGGGAGCGTGGGACCCAGTGTGAACTTCCTCACTGGAATAGGAAATGCTTTTGTGCTGTCTCTGGGCAGCCCTCTATGTGAATTTTTTGTCCTGCAAGGGGCTAGGGTCTCTCCTGTGACTAAAATTCCAGGGGTTCACAGTAGGAATGTGGACCATTGGGCATCTCTAACTTAACCTTTCCCTGTGTGGAGTCTCTCCTAGCTTCTTGCCAATCCCGGCTGGGCAGGCTGTCTTGTTTCGTCTCCTTCCTTGCTTTTCTGTTGAATACCAGTGTTCCTCTTGGATAATCTACTCAAAGTGTGATTATATACTCATGGTTTTAGTTTTTAGTGGGGAAGTGGATATGAGAGACCTCTGGTCAGTTATCTTGACTATATTGTAAAGTCTGTATTTTTTGTTGTGTGTAGTCTCTGAAATCTCTGATCCTTTAGCTTATAGTAAGATTTTAGCTTGTAAGATTTTTTTAGCTTTTAAGATTTTTTAGCTTGTAAGATATTTTTTAGCTAGTAAGATTTTAGCTTGTAAGATTTTTAGCTTGGGCCGGGCACGGTGGCTTACACCTGTAATCCCAGCACTTTGGGAGGCTGAGGCAGGCAGATCACAAGATCAGGAGATCGAGATCATCCTGGCTAATATGGTGAAACCTCATCTCTGCTAAAAATACAAAAAATTAGCCAGGTGTGGTGGTGGGCACCTGTAGTCCCAGCTACTTGGGAGGCTGAGGTGGGAGAATGGCATGAACCCAGGAGGCGGAGCTTGCAGTGAGCCGAGATTGCGCCACTGCACTCCAGCCTGGGCGACAGAGCGAGACTCCATCTCAAAAAAAAATTTTTTTTTGGCTTGTAAGATTCATTTTTAGCATGTAAGATTTTGCTTTAGCTTGTAAGATTTTTTTTTGACAGATTTTATTGAATTCCTAGGGCCAAAAGAAAATAATAGAAAAGAACAAAAAACTCTTTCAGTCTTTGCAGATTGGCTCTGTGTTGGGGCTCTCATTCAGTGTTTACCCAGTCCATTTACAACTCTGCCTTAGCCTTCCCTTCCTGCTTGTGCTGACTCTAAAGAACAGCTTGAGGTGAAAGCTTAGGGTCTTTTCTTCTAAGTTCTGTTCCTTGGGCATGCATATGGCTTTTCTACTCTCCAATACATAGAAATGCTTTTCAGTGCTGTCATTTCCCAAATAAACTCTCCTCTGTCATCTCTGTTTTGGTTTTCAGTGTGTTTATTGTTTGCCTCAACTTTAGACCTCTGCCCCAGATAGCAACAGCTTGTTCATTTGCAATGTTTTCAATGAATATCTTCTGTGAAGCTGCTTTTCTGCCCTGAGAAAGTCCTGAATTAAGTGGAACATAGGTGTGCTCTTTGCATCATTTCTTCAGTCAGTCCCCAGTCAGGGCAAAAGAGAGAAAAACAGTTTTTTGAGATTAAGGTTGGCTCTGTTCACTCCAGAGCCAGGGACCAGAGTTTCACACTGGGAGCACCAATTGCCATCTTCAAGACTTTGCTTAACTAGGGGGAGTGGAGCCGGGGCTGGTGGGCAGGACATGGGCGTAGTGGGTGGTTAAGGGAAAGTAAAAATGCTGCACAACTTTCCTGCCATTTTTAAGTGGCTGTTTTCTTGATTCAGCATTTATCTGATTGCTGCATATCTTTGCCTATTTTCTGTAGTTTATATGAAGTTCATTCTGACAGTTTTTACTCATTTTTTTTTTCCTGTTTCTGGGAGAAGGATAGGTCCTTGGAACTACCTACTCCACCATTTTCACTGATGTTACTCTTTTACTTTTCTAATCATGGAAGTAAAGTTTAAGATTTTTCTATCTATATTGGTGAGATTACCCTTGGTATCGTAGTCAAACTAAATTCACAAAATGTGTCAATTTCTCTGTTCGCTCTTGGTCTATTCTCTGTGATAGTATACTTAAGATGGAATTGTCTTTCATGTTTGGTTGAACTCAAATATAAATCTTGTCTGGGCCTGATGGTGGTTTTTTCTTTCTTCATTGTTATTTTGTTATTCTTCTTCCTTCCCTTCTTCTGTCTCTTTCTTGCTCCTTCTTTCTTTTCTTCTTCTTTTGTTTAAGTGGATAGAGTTTGTTTCCTTTTTTTTTTTTTGAGACTGAGTCTTGCTCTGTTGCCCAGGCTGGAGTGCAGCAGCATGATTATGGCACACTGCCACCTCCGCCTTCCAAGTTCAAGTGATTCATTTCCCTCAGCCTCCTGACTAGCTGGACTACAGGCACCCACCACCACACCCAGCTAATTTTTGTATTTTTGGTAGAGACGGGGTTTGCCATGTTGGCCAAGCTTATCTCAAACTCCTGACTTCAGGTGATCCACCTGCCTCGGCCTCTCAAAGTGTGTGAGCCACTGCACCCAGCCAGAATCTATTTCTTTAATGGTTATAGTTCTGTTGAAGTTTTAAATTAATGAATCTTTTTAAAGTTACATTTTCACAAAAATTGTCCATCTGTCTATATTTTCAAGTTTATTGGCATAATGTTGTTCTAGCACTCTTTGTCTTCATAACTTATAATTATGCTTTTTAAAAGTTCTTAGTGTTTATCTGTGCCTCTTTTTTTCTTATTATCCTTGACAAAGATCTATTTTGCAAAGAATCATCTTTTATTTTGTTACTTCTCCCTATTGGATTTTTATCATGTCCATCTCTAACCTTTCTTTGGGATTACTCTATTGTCTTCTACTATATTGAGTTAGATACTTAGATCATTTGCTCTTATTTTCTAATATAAGCAGATAAAGCTACAATTTTTCCTCTTGAGTTTCACCTTAGTTGTATTCCACAATTTTTAGTACATGATATTGGTAATCATTATTCATTATAAATGCCTCCCAATGTATTTTTCCTTTGACTTCTGAGTTATTTGGAAGTTATTTGTAAATAAAAGAATGAATGCAAGTATACTGTTTAAAAGTTGCTGCTAAATAATGTTATTATAAATAACTTACCGAAATTATTACACATCTGTAAGTAGACGGTCGTGTTAATAATTTAAATTAAGAATTTAAGTCTTTCTTGTCAGTTTGTCATTTGTGCCGTTTCTATCTACAGTGGAAAATAGTGAAAACATAACTAGAATAAAATACTTTTGTGTTCTGTGAGCCTTATGTTTTAAATATATAGGATTAAAAAAATTTTACATATTCATTTCTGATTTAATTGAAGTGTGGTTAGAGAACATGGTATGAATGGTTATTCTGTGGAACTTCTAAAGACTTGTTTTGAGTTCACGTGATTGTTGTGTTTGTGCTTGTGTGTGTACGTGTATGCGTATGTGTGAATGTTCTATATATGCTTGAAAATAGCTTGTATTATTTACTTGTGTGGTTTAGGTATTCTCTTGGTTTTTTAGTTCAGTGGCTTTCAACCATTTGTTGATGTACCTTCTAAAATATCTTTTAAGAAATTACATATGCACTCACATTTTAAGTTGATATTTAAAATTTTTCATTGTAAATTAAAATAGCCCAAAGGACATAATTATTAATGTATTGTGTAAAACTTGACACATTGTTCTTTTAAGAGTATTCATGACTTCTAAATATTTTTGTGATTTGATACCTATTAATTAAAACAACTCCTTCTGTGCAACCACATGCAAGCATGGATTTTTATTATACCTCCAGTTCAGGGAAACTTGAAAATTTGAACCAACCTTTCTATAGAGGACAACTGAAGAAACCAGATGAAATGTTTTAAAAATATCTGCTTGAAAGAGTCTCAGCAGTTATATTTTAAAATACTGACACACCTCGGAGATATTGTGGGTTTGGTTCCAGACTATCGCAGTGAAGCAAATATTGCAATAAAGCAAATCACATGAAGTTTTAGGTTTCCCAGTGCATATAAAAGTTATGTTTAAATTATTCTGTAGTCTGTTAAGTATGCAATAATATTATGTCCAAAAAAGTACATACCTTAATTTAAAAATACTTTATTGTCAAAAAGCACTCATAATCATCTGAGCCTTCAGTGAGTCATAATCTTTTTGTTAGTGGAGAGTCTTGCCTTGATGTTGATGGCTACTGACTGACCAGGGTGGTGGCTGCTGAAGGTTGGGTGGCTATGGCAATATCTTAAAATAAGACAATGAAGGTTGCTGCATCAGTGGACTCTTCCTTTCGTGAAAGATGTCTCTGTAGTATGCAATGCTATTTGATAGCATTTTACCCGCAGTAGAACTTCTTTGAAAATAGGAAGTTGATTCACTCAAACCCTGCCACTGCTTTGATTAAGTTGATGTAGTATTATAAATCCTTTGTTGTCATTTCAACAATATTCACAGCATCTTCACCAGGAATAGATTCCATCTCAAGAAACCACTTTCTTTGCTCATCCATAAAAAGCAATTCCTTATATGTCCAAGTTTTATCGTGAGATTACAGCAATTCAGTCACGTCTTCAAGCTCCACTTCTAATTTTAGTTCTCTTGTTACTTCTACCACATCTGCAGTGACTTCCTTCACTGAAGATTAAATCCCTCAAAGATACCCATGAGAGCCAGAATCAGCTTCTTCCAAACTCCTGTTAATGTTGACATTTTGACCTCCTCTCATGAACTACAAATGTTTTTCATGACGTCTAGAATGGTGAACTCTTTCCATAAGTTTTTTTATTTACTTTGCTTAGATCTGTGAGAGGAAACACTGTGACAGCCATAACCTTACTAAATGTGTTTCCCAAATAATAAGATTTGAAAGTCAAATTGCTCCTTATCCATGGGCTGCAGAATGGATGTTGTGTTAGCAGGCATGAAAACAACATGAAATTCAATGTACATCTTCATCAGAGCTCTTGGGTGACCAGGTGCATTGTCAATGAGTAATAATACTTGGACAGGAATCTTTTTTTCTGAGCTTTAGGTCTCAACGGTGGCTTAAAATATTCAGTAAACCACGCTATATACAGATGTGCTATCTTCTAGGCTTTGTTGTCCCATTTATAGAGCACAGGCAGGGTAATTGAGCATAGTTCTTAATGGCCATAGATTTTCAGAATGGTCAATAAGCATTGGCTTCAACTAAAAGTCACTTGTTGCATTAGCTCCTCAGAAGAGAGTCATTCAGTTCTTTGAAACTTTGAAGGCAAGCACTGACTTCTTTCTAGCTATGAAACTACTCCTAGATGGTATCTTCTTCCAATAGAAGGCTGTTTTGTCTACACTGAAAATCTATTGTTTATCAGTGATCTTTGTTAGATCTTTGGATAACTTGCTGCATCCTCTCCATCAACACTTGCTGCTTCACCTTGCACTTTTATGTTAGGGACATGGTTTCTTTTCTTAAACCTCATGAACCAGCCTCTACTAGCTTCTTGCTTTTCTTCTGCAGCTTCCTCACCTCTCTCAGCCTTCACAGGTTTGAAGACAATTAGGGCCTTGCTCTGGTTTAGGGTTTGGCTTGAGGGAATATTGTGGCTGGTTTGATCTTCTATCTAGACCACTCAAACTTTTGTCACATCATCAATAAGGCTGTTTTGCTCTCTTATCATTTATGTATTTACTGCAGTCGCATTTTTAATTTCATTCAAAAACTTTTTCTTTGCATTCAGAACTTGATTGACTGGTGCAGGAGGCCTGGCTTTTAGCCTCTCTTGGCTTTTAATAATACCTTCCTCACTTAGTTTAATTATTTCTAGCTTTTGATTTAAAGTGAGAGATATGAAACTCTTTAATATATGAAACTCTTCCTTTCCCTTGAATGCCTAGAGGCCATTGTAGGATTATTAATTGGCCTAATTTCCATATTGTTGTGTCTCAGGGAATAGAGAGGCCTAAGGAGAGGGAGAGACACAGGAATGGCTGTTGCTGGAGCGGTCAGAACACACACAGCATTTGTTGCTTATGTTTGTCATCTTATATGGGCACGGTTCATAGCGGCCCCAAATGATTACAATTGTAATGTCAAAGATCACTGATCACAGATCATCATAACTGATATAATAATAAAAAAGTTTGAAGTATTGCAAGAATTACCAAAATGTGACATAGGGACACAAAGTGAGCACGTGCTGTTGGAAAAATGGTGCTGACAGACTTACTAGATTCACACTTGCTCTAAATCCTTATTTTGTAAAGAAAAAAACCCCACAATATCTGCAAAGTACAATAATGCAGGGTGCACTAAAATGAAGTATGTTTGTATAAAAAAAGATTGTGATTAATAATTCAGTTGTAGGGGTTGGTATATCAAAAGATTTCGACTGCTATTACATTTTGTTCCGATTTTAAGAGTTGTTACTTTAGCTTCATTTCAAATTATAGGTGCTATGTAAAAATATTCTGTTGTGTACCTTTAATAATTCCTTTCTCTGCTTCTTTTCTAGGTATCACACCTGTGTATCATAATATGTTTGCTTTAATGAGTGAAACAGAAAGGATCTGGTATCCACCCAACCATGTCTTCCATATAGATGAGTCAACCAGGCATAATGTACTCTACAGAATAAGGTACTTTCTTCAGTAAAGTAACTCACTTAATGCTAAAAGGCAAAATGGGAGAAATTATCAAATATTTTTTAATTGCAAGGTACTTAATACCAGATACCTGAACCAATTAGTTAGCACTCATTTAAGATTTCATTTAAGATTCTATTCTGTTTCTCCATCAGAGAAACTGTTTATACATGTTGTGTAAGTAGAATACTCTGAGAATAAAGCTGTTTTGGTGGGATGCCACTTAACTCCTTATGATTATAATTAAATAAGTAAACAAAATCACAGTGGCCTTTATTAACAAAATCCTAAATGTTTGGGATATTGCTGGTTTGTGCAGCGTTTTGTGCAATAGAATGCAATTTCACATCTTATCTTTATAAAGAACTTTTTAAAAAGTTGACGTGAAGAAAAGAGACTTTTCCCAGTGTGTATTTGCAGCCTCAAATTGTAAGTTAATTTATATAATTTATGGTAATGTGTAATGCCTATTTAGAGAAATCTAGAAGTATTTTTTTGCTCGAAAGGATGAAACAAAGATACGTTTGATTTGTGTCTCACAAATACCTGTGATTTTTCTAAGCATTTATATACATATATATATAATTCATCATAACTTCATGAGGTGTTAAGATTTCCACATTAAAGATAAAGAATTTGGAGCACTGAGAAGTAATATTACTCAAATTTATTCATGGTCACACAGGTAGGAATTGGGAGTCAGGTTCAAATCCAAGCCTGGTTTGCTTCATAAGCTTGCCTCTTAATCACCTCATGTGTACTTCATTAAAGAGATAATGTATATATAATATTTATTATTGTGCCTATCACTTGGTGCTCTCTCAATAAATTTTAGTATTGTTTTGCTTCTTTCTCTTCCCCTATTCTATATAAAAATATGCAGTTGGATGTGTTTGCATTTACTGATGTCTAATGTATAATTTGCACTGAGTTCAAAAAAATATTTTTTATATAATTATTGAAAAGACAATTGGTGAAAAAAATAAATGTTCAAAGAAATAATAGATGTACAAAAATCAACAGCATTCTTATATGCAAGCAACCAGTTATATAATAGATAAAGAAGATCCTATGCAGTGTAGCTACAAAAACCCTTAACTAACCAGGAATGGTCTTAATAAGAAAAAACAGAAGACAGTATAGGAAAATTAGAAAGTTATTTGAAGAATATGAAGAATTAGGACATAACATTGGAATGGGGAGATGGAATATTACAAAGATCAATTTCTCTTATGCTATATCCTTAGCTCTAAGCCAATCAAAATCCTAACAAAGGCATTTTACGGAATTTGACACATTACTATGTAAATTGAGAATTATTAAATAAGATAGCCATGAGAAAGAAGACTTACCTGGCAATTGTAAAATATTTTGTCCCAGGAGATATTTTCACATTATATGAAACTACAAAATGGTATCTATTATTAAAGCCACATAATTAAATTCAGAATCATAAACTAAATAATGAGAATGATGGGGCCAGTATATCTTGAAAGTACTCCTTCATACATATAGAAACATAATAATATGAAGAAATCTTTTCATATTAACGTGGAAGGGAGAGATTAGTCAACAAATGGTGGTAGAATAGTTGATTAGCTGTTTGAATAAAATTTTAGCTTCTTACTTTATAATGTATATCAGATAAATTATAGATTGATTAAAGATCAGATTGATATGTAAATAGAAATGTAAAGAAAATCAAACTATAAAAGTCTGAATTGGAACTGAATTCAAGTCCTTGGGAAAATACCATTTAAGTTGCAAAACAATAGAAAAAATCATATGGGAATGACTGCAATTGTCAACTATAAAAATTTTCAAATGTCTGAAGGTTTCCTCTTAAAATGAAAAGGCAGGAGGGTGGAGCCAAGATGACTGAATAGGAACAGGTCCAGTCTACAGCTCCCAGCATGGGCGATGCAGAAGACGGGTGATTTCTGCATTTCCAACTGAGGTGTACCGGGTTCGTCTCACTGGGGAGTGTAGGAAAGTGAGTGTAGGACAGTGGGTGCAGCACACTGAGCATGAGCCGAAGCAGGGCGAGGCATCGCCACACCCGGGAAGCGCAAAGGGTCAGGGAATTCCCTTTCCTAGTCAAAGAAAGGGGTGACAGACGGCACCTGGAAAATCGGGTCACTCCCACTCTAATACTGCGCTATTCTAACGGTATTAGCAAATGGCACATATCCCGCGCCTGGCTCAGAGGGTCCTACGCCCACGGAGCCTCGCTCATTGCTAGCACAGCAGTCTGAGATCAAACTGCAAGGTGGCAGCGAGGCTGGGGGAGGGGCGCCCGCCATTGCCGAGGGTTGAGTAGGTAAACAAAGCAGCCAGGAAGCTCAAACTGGGTGGAGCCCACCACAGCTCAAGGAGGCCTGCCGGCCTCTGTAGACTCCACCTCTGGGGGCAGGGCATAGCCAAACAAAAGGCAGCAGAATCCTTTGCAGACTTAAATGTCCCTGTCTGACAGCTTTGAAGAGTAGTGGTTCTCCCAGAATGCAGCTGGAGATCTGAGAACGGACAGACTGCCTCATCAAGTGGGTCCCTGAACCCCGAGTAGCCTAACTGGGAGGCACCCCCAAGTAGGGGGAGACTGACACCTCACATGGCCGGGTACTCCTCTGAGACAAAACTTCCAGAGGAACAGTCAGGCAGCAACATTTGCTGCTCACCAATATCCGCTGTTCTGCAGCCACTGCTGCTGGTACCCAGGCAAACAGGGTCTGGAGTGGACCTCCAGCAAACTCCAACAGACCTGCAGCAGAGGGTCCTGACTGTCAGAAGGAAAACTAACAAACAGAAATGACATCCACACCAAAACCCCATCTGTATGTCACCATCATCAAAGACAAAAGGTAGATAAAACCACAAAGATGGGGAAAAAACAGAGCAGAAAAACTGGAAACTCTAAAAATGAGAGCACCTCTCCTCCTCCAAAGGAACGCAGCTCCTTACCAGCAACGGAACAAAGCCGGATGGAGAATGACTTTGACAAGTTGAGAGAAGAAGGCTTCAGACGATCAAACTACTCCAAGCTAAAGGAGGAAGTTTGAACTCATGGCAAAGAAGTTAAAAACCTTGAAAAAAAATTAGACAAATGGCTAACTAGAATAACCAATGCAGAGAAGTCCTTAAAGGACCTGATGGAGCTGAAAACCAAGGCACGAGAACTACGTGATGAATGCACAAGCCTCAGTAGCCGATTCAATCAATAGGAAGAAAGGGTATCAGAGATGGAAGATGAAATGAATGAAATGAAGTGAGAAGAGAAGTTTAGAGAAAAAGGAATAAAAGGAAACAAACAAAGCCTTCAAGAAATATGGGACTATGTGAAAAGACCAAATCTACGTCTCATTGGTGTACCTGATGGGGAGAATGGAACCAAGTTGGAAAACACTCTGCAGGATATTATCCAGGAGAACTTCCCTAATCTAGCGAGGCAGGCAAACATTCAAATTCAGGAAATAGAGAGAACGCCACAAAGATACTCCTTGAGAAGAGCAACTCCAACACACATAATTGTCAGATTCACCAAAGTTGAAATGAAGGAAAAAATGTTAAGGGCAGCCAGAGAGAAAGGTTGGGTAACCCACAAAGGGAAGCCCATCAGACTAACAGCAGATCTCTTGGCAGAAACTCTACAAGCCAGAAGAGAGTGGGGGCCAATATTCAACATTCTTAAAGAAAAGAATTTTCAACCCAGAATGTCATATCCAGCCAAACTAAGCTTCATATGTGAAGGAGAAATAAAATCCTTTACAGACAAGCAAATGCTGAGAGATTTTGTCACCACCAGGCCTGCCCTAAAAGAGCTCCTGAAGGAAGCACTAAACATAGAAAGGAACAACTGGTACCAGCCACTGCAAAAACACGCCAAATTGTAAAGACCATCGAGGCTAGGAAGAAACTGCATCAACTAATGAGCAAAATAACCAGGTAACGTCATAAAGACCGGATCAAATTCACCCATAACAATATTAACCTTAAACGTAAATGGGCTAAATGCTCCAATTAAAAGACACAGACTGGTAAACTGGATAAAGAGTCAAGACCCATCAGTGTGCTGTATTCAGGAAACCCATCTCACGTGCAGAGACACACATAGGCTCAAAATAAAGGGATGGAGGAACATCTACCAAGCAAACGGAAAACAAAAAAAGGCAGGGATTGCAATCCTAGTCTCGGATAAAACAGACTTTAAACCAACAAAGATCAAAAGAAACAAAGAAGGCCATTACATAATGGTAAAGGGATCAACTCAACAAAAAGAGCTAACTGTCCTAAATATATATGCACCCAATACAGGAGCACCCAGATTCATAAAGCAAGTCCTTAGAGACCTACAAAGAGACTTAGACTTCCACACAATAATAATGGGAGACTTTAACACCCCACTGTCAACATTAGACAGATCAACAAGACAGAAAGTTAACAAGGATATCCAGGAATTGAATTCAGCTCTGGACCAAGCAGACCTAATAGACATCTACAGAACTCTCCACCCCAAATCAACAGAATATATATTTTCAGCACCACACCACACCTATTCCAAAATTGACCACATAGTTGGAAGTAAAGCACTCCTCAGCAAGTGTAAAAGAACAGAAATTATAACAAACTGTCTCTCAGACCACAGTGCAATCAAACTAGAACTCAGGATTAAGAAACTCACTCAAAACCACTCAACTACATGGAAACTGAACAACCTGCTCCTGAATGACTACTGGGTACATAACGAAATGACGGCAGAAATAAAGATGTTCTTTGAAACCAACGAGAACAAAGACACAACATACCAGAATCTCTGGGACACATTCAAAGCAGTGTGTAGAGGGAAATTTATAGCACTAAAGGCCCACAAGAGAAAGCAGGAAAGATCCAATTGACACCCTAACATCACAATTAAAAGAACTAGAAAACCAAGAGCAAACACATTCAAAAGCTAGCAGAAGGCAAGAAATAACTGAGATCAGAGCAGAACTGAAGGACATAGAGAGACAAAAAACCCTTCAAAAAAATCAATGAATGCTGGAGCTGGTGTTTTGAAAAGATCAACAAAATTGATAGACTGCTAGCAAGAATAATAAGAAAAGAGAGAAGAATCAAATACATGCAATAAAAAATGATAAAGGGGATATCAACCCGATCCCACAGAAATACAAACTACCATCAGAGAATACTATAAACACCTCTACATGAATAAACTAGAAAATCTAGAATAAATGGATAAATTCCTGGACACATACACCCTCCCAAGACTAAACCAGAAAGAAGTTGAATCTCTGCATAGACCAATAACAGGCTCTGAAATTGAGGCAATAATTAATAGTTTACCAACCAAAAAAAGTCCAGGACCAGATGGATTCACAGCTGAATTCTACCAGAGGTGCAAAGAGGAGCTGGTACCATTCCTTCTGAAACTATTCCAATCAATAGAATAAGAGGGAATCCTCCCTAACTCATTTTATGAGGCCAGCATCATCCTGATACCAAAGCCTGGCAGAGACACAACCAAAAAGGAGAATTTTATACCAATATCCTTGATGAACATTGATGCAAAAATCCTCAACAAAATACTGGCAAACCGAATCCAGCAGCACATCAAAAAGCTTATCCACCATGATCAAGTGGGCTTCATGCCTGGGATGCAAGGCTGGTTCAACATATGCAAATCAATAAACGTAATCCAGCATATAAACAGAACTAACGGCAAAAACCATATGATTATCTCAGAGGCAGAAAAGGTCTTTGGCAAAATTCAACAACCCTTCATGCTAAAAACTCTCAATAAATTAGGTATTGATGGGACGTGTCTCAAAATAATAAGAGCTATCTATGACATACCGACAGCCAATATCATACTGAATGGACAGAAACTGGAAGCATTCCCTTTGAAAACTGGCACAAGACAGGGATGCCCTCTCTCACCACTCCTATTCAACATAGTGTTGGAAGTTCTGGCCAGGGCAGTCAGGCTGGAGAAGGAAATAAAGGTTATTTGATTAGGAAAAGAGGAAGTCAAATTGTCCCTGTTTGCAGATGACATGATTGTATATCTGGAAAACCCCATCGTCTCAGCCCAAAATCTCCTTAAGCTGATAAGCAACTTCAGCAAAGTCTCAGCATACAAAATCAATGTGCAAAAATCACAAGCGTTCTTACCCACCAATAACAGACAAACAGAGAGCCAAATCATGAGTGAACTCCCATTCACAATTGCTTCAAAGAGAATACCTAGGAATCCAACTTACAAGGGATGTGAAGGACCTCTTCAAGGAGAACTACAAACCACTGCTCAATGAAGTAAAAGAGGATACAAACAAATGGAAGAACATTCCATGCTCATGGGTAGGAAGAATCAATATTGTGAAAATGGCCATACTGCCCAAAGTCCTTTATGGATTCAATGCCATCCCCATCAAGCTACAGATGACTTTCTTCACAGAATTGGAAAAAACTACTTTAAAGTTCATATGGAACCAAAAAAGAGCCCACATTGCCAAGTCAATCCTAAGCCAAAAGAACAAAGCTGGAGGCATCACG
Source organism: Homo sapiens (assembly GCF_000001405.40). Classification (NCBI taxonomy): domain Eukaryota; kingdom Metazoa; phylum Chordata; class Mammalia; order Primates; family Hominidae; genus Homo; species Homo sapiens. The sequence continues at coordinate 5,036,459 of NC_000009.12, forward strand.
CTACCTGACTTCAAACTATACTACAAGGCTACAGTAACCAAAACAGCATGGTACTGGTATCAAAACAGAGATATAGACCAATGGAAAGAAATAATGCTACCTATCTACAACCATCTGATCTTTGACAAACCTGACAAAAACAAGAAATGGGGAAAGGATTCCCTATTTAATAAATGGTGCTGGGAAAACTGGCTAGCCATGTGTAGAAAGCTGAAACTGGATCCCTTCCTTACACCTTATACAAAAATTAATTCAAGATGGATTAAAGACTTAAATGTTAGACCTAAAACCATAAAAACCCTAGAAGAAAACCTAGGCAATACCATTCAGGACATAAGCATGGGCAAGGACTTCATGTCTAAAACACCAAAAGCAATGGCAACAAAAGCCAGAATTGACAAATGGGATCTCATTAAACCAAAGAGCTTCTGCACAGCAAAAGAAACTACCATCAGAGTGAACAGGCAACCTACAGAATGGGAGAACATTTTTGTAATCTACTCATCTGATAAAGGGCTAATATCCAGAATATACAATGAACTCTAACAAATTTACAAGAAAACAACAACCCCATCAAAAAGTGGGCGAAGGATACGAACAGACACTTCTTGAAAGAAGACATTTATGCAGCCAAAAGACATGAAAAAATGCTCATCACCACTGGCCATCAGAGAAATGCAAATCAAAACCACAAAGAGATACCATCTCACACCAGTTAGAATGGCGATCATTAAAAAGTCAGGAAACAACAGGTGCTGGAGAGGATGTGGAGAAATAGGAACATTTTTACACTGTTGGTGGGACTGTAAACTAGTTCAACCATTGTGGAAGTCAGTGTGGCGATTCCTCAGGGATCTAGAACTAGAAATACCATTTGACCCAGCCATCCCATTACTGGGTATATACCCAAAGGATTATAAATCATGCTGCTATAAAGACACATGCACACGTATGTTTATTGCGGCACTATTCACAATAACAAAGACTTGGAACCAAGCTAGATGTCCAACAATGATAGACTGGATTAAGAAAATGTGGCACATATACACCATGGAATACTGTGCAGCCATGAAAAATGATGAGTTCATGTCCTTTGTAGGGACATGGATGAAGCTGGAAACCATCATTCTCAGCAAACTATCGCAAGGACAAAAAACCAAACACTGCATGTTCTCACTCTTAGGTGGGAATTGAACAATGAGAACACATGGACACAGGAATGGAACATCACATACCGGGGCCTGTTCTGGGGTGGGGGGATGGAGGAGGGATAGCATTAGGAAATATACCTAATGTTAAATGACGAGTTACTGGGTGCAGCACACCAACATGGCACATGTATACATATGTAACTAACCTGCATGTTGTGCACATGTACCCTAAAACTTAAAGTATAATAGAAAAAAATGAAAAGGCAAATTGTAAAGATAGTTTCAACAAATCAAATAAACATAAGGTTAGTATTCTTGTAAGTATGAAATTTAAAACAGTGTATCCATTTAACAATTACTTAATGTACATGAATATATAGCGTCACTAGTTATGAGAATAATGAACGAGATTGCTTGCTTTAGCACATAGTTACAACTATTCATTATTCTTATAACTAGTGATGCTGAGAATTTTTTGAAAAGGCCATTAATGATTTGTTCTTCTTTTGTTAAATATTTCTTCATGTACATTAAATAATTGTTTAATGGATACAGTGTTTTTAATGCCAACAAATTAGAGGATCAAGATGAAATGGACAAATTCCTAGAAAGACACAAGTTATAGGAACTGCTAAAAGAAAGAACAGAAAGTTTGAATAGGTCTATGACAAATAAAGAAATCAAATTAGCAATTTTTATAAAAGCCCAGGCCCAAGTGGCTTCACTTGTGAATTCTATCACACATTAAAAAAATTATTACTAGTTATTCACAAAAAATAGAAAAGGAAGGAGGATTTCTGAGCTCTTTCTGTGAGTTCAGTATTACCCTGATAACAAATTCAGACAAAGATGTCTAGAAGAAAAGAAAACTACAGACCAATGTTGTAGGTAGAAAATCAACAAAATACTTGCAAACCGAATCCAGCAATACAGCTTGAATATGTCTTATCTGAAATGCTTGGGACCAGAAGTGTTTTGGATTTTAGATTTTTTTTTTTTTTTTTGGATTTTAGAATATTTGCAGAGTATACGCTGGTTGAACATACCTAATATAAAAATCTAAAGTCTGAAATGCTCTGATGAATATTTCTTTTGCACATCAGGTTAGCGCTCTAAAGGTTTTGAATTTTGGAGCATTTCGGATTTCAGATTTTCAGGTTAGGAATGCTCAGTTTGTTTATAAAAAGATGAAATACTATGACCAGGTGGGATTTATCCCAGGAAATACAAGGCTAGTGTAACTTCCAAAAATCAATCAATGTAATACACCACATTAATAGAATAAATGACCAAAACCACATGATCATCCCAAGAGACACAGAAAAAGTATTTGATAAAATCCAGCATCCCATCATTATAAAAAAACTCAACACAATAGGAATGGCAAGGAACTTCCTCAATTTGTTAAAGGGCATCTGTAAAAAATTCAAAAGTAATGTCATACTTATTAGTGAAAGACTGAATGCCTTTTCCCTATGATCAGGAATGAGATGAGGATAGCTACTTTTACCACTTTGATTTAACACTATACTGTAGATTCAGGGTAGGGAAATTAGGCAAGAAAAAGAAATAAAAGGCATTTATATTGGAAAATAAGAAGTAAAATTGTAGTCATCCCGCTGTATCCATGGGTTTCACATCCATGGATTAAACCAACTGCAGATTGAAAATACTTGGAAAAAAAGTTGTGCTTACACTGAACATGTACAGACTTTTTCTTGTCATTACTCCCTAAAGAATACGGTATAACAACTATTTACATAACATTTACATTGTATTAGGTATTATAAATAGTCTAGAGATTTTAAAGTATACTGAAGGATGTGCACAGGTTATATGCAAATACTATGCCTTTGTATATCAGGAACATGAGTATTTGCAGATTTTGGTATGTGTGGGAGGTTCTGGAACTAGTACTGCATAGATACCAAAGGATGATTGTGTATTCACAGATTACATGATCTTGCATATTAAAAATCCTAAGGAATTAATAAAAAAACTATTAGAACTAATAAATGAGCTCAGGTCAGTTGCAGAATAGAAGATCAATATATAAAAATCAGTTGTATTTCTATACAGAGACAAAGAACAATCCAAAAATGAAATTAAAAAAATTTCATTAACAATAGCATAACAAATTTTTAGGAATAAACTTAAAGAAGTGTAAAATGTATACACTGAGAAATATAAAACATCATTGAAAGAAATTAAGGAAACACCTAAATAAATGGAAAGATATCTCATAGAGGACTTCATATTTTTAAGATGGCAATACTCCTTAATTGATCTGTATGTTCAATGCAATTCCTACTGAATTCCTAAATGTCTTTATTGCAGAAATTGACAGGTTAATCATAAATTTATATAAAAAGCAAAGGGACTTAGCATAGCTAAAACAATCTTGAAACAATACAAAGTTTGAAGACTTATACTTCCTAATTACAAAATTTATTACAAAAGGACTGTAATCAAGACAATGTGATACTAAAGGATGAATATACAGATTAATGGAAAGGAATTGACAGTCTCAATATAATTTCTCACATTGATGGTGATTGATTTTTGATCAGGGTGCCAAGACAATTCATGGGCATAGAATAGTCTTTTAAACTAACAGTGCGGGGACAACTGGATATCCACATGTAAACTAATGAAGTAAGACAATCTACTTCACACTATATACAAAAAAAAAAAGCTTAAAGTGGATCATAGGCCTATATATGAGAGCTAAACTTATTAAAACTCCAAGAAGAAACACAGAAGTCTTTGTGTACTTAGATTAGGCAGTGGTTTCTTAGATATGACACCAAAAGCTCAAGTGACAAAAGAAAAATAGTTAAGTTAGGCTTTATCAAAGTTAAAAACATCTGTGTGTCAAAGCACACTATCAAAAATGCGAAAAGACCACCCACAAATGGGTTCCACAAAATGGAAGCAAATGTTTGGGAATCATATATCTGATAATTGTCTTATCTCCAGAATATAAAAGAATTCTTACAGCTCAACAAGACAATGACAACTTAATTTAAAAAGTAGGCAAGGGACTTGGATAGACATTTTTCCAAATAAGATATACAAATGGCCAAAAAGCATGTAAAAAGATGCCCAACAGGTGGGCCCCTGAGCGGGCGTCCGGGACCGTGGTGTGCCAGGCGCCTTCCGCCCTTAACATGCGGTGGCTGGCCCAGGCGGTGCAGGAGCTGGAGCGGGGCCCGAGTGGGGCGCCAGAGCCCCAGCGCGAGCAGGAGAGGGGCCGGAGCGCGGATCCGCGCCGCGCTGCTGAAGCCTGGCCGGCCACCCAGACGCTGCCGGCAGCCTGGCCATGGCGGAGCCAAGGAAAGAATCTCTATACAAACAAATATGTGGCTATCAAATTGGAGCTGATCAAGTTCCGGACCCCGCAGCTGCACCTGGGTACCGGTTCTACAAGCAGCTCAGCGCCATAGAGGGCGTCCCTCAGGTCTACTACCTACTACAGCCTGGAGGACCTGTTCGACCTTCACGCCCAAGACGGTGCTCCTGATCGCCATCCGGCTGATCACGCGCATGGATTATGTGCACACCAAGAACCTCATTTACCAGGACGTGAAGCCCGAGAACTTCCTGGTGGGGCGCCCGGGGACCAAGCGGCAGCACGCCATCCACATCATCGACCTCGGGCTGGCCAAGGGGTACACTGGTCTCAGGACCAAGAAGCACATCCCGTGCAGCCAGCACAAGAGCTTGACAGGTACGGCGTGCTACATGAGCATCAACATGCACCTGGGCAAGGAGCAGAGCCACTGCAACAACCTGGAGGTGCTGGGCCACATGTTCATGTACTTCCTGTGCAGCAGCCTCCCCTGGCAGGGGCTCAAGGCTGACACGATCATGAGCGGTACAGAAGATCGGGGACACATAGCGCGCCACGCCCATCGAAGTGCTCTGCGAGAACTTCCCAGAGGAGATGGCTACGTACCTGCACTACGTGCGGCGCCTGGACTTTGAGAAGCCCGACTGTGACTACATGCGGCGCCTGGACTTTGAGAAGCTCGACTACGACTACCTGCGGAAGCTCTCCAGCTACCTCTTCGACCGAAGCGGCTTCGTGTTCGACTCTGAGTACGAGGGGCTCGGGAAGCCCTTGGCGACCCCCATCAGCAGTGTCCACACCGACCTGCCCTCCCAGCCTCAGCTTCGGGACAAAGATCAGCCGCACAGCAAAAACCAGGCGCTGAACTCCACCAATGGGGAGCTGAACGCGGACGACCCCATGGCCGGCCACTCCAGCGCCCATCAGGGCGCCTGCAGAGATGGAGGTGGGCGATGAAACGAAATGCTGCTGTTTCTTCCCCCTGAATCTTCTCCGTGCGGCCCCTTGGGGAGCGAGCTTGTGTGAGGGCCTTGGGGCCCACCCACAGCGGCCCAGGGCCAGACGCTGGCTGGAAGCCAGGACACAGACTGCAGGGTCTTGGCCGGCGGCCCCATCCCCGGGACGAGGGGTCACTTCCTTCACGTAAGACTGGCCAAAATTTCTTTTTTTTTTTTTTTTTTTTTTTTGAGACGGAGTCTCGCTTTGTCGCCCAGGCCGGACTGCGGACTGCAGTGGCGCAATCTCGGCTCACTGCAAGCTCCGCCTCCCGGGTTCCCGCCATTCTCCTGCCTCAGCCTCCCAAGTAGCTGGGACTACAGGCGCCCGCCACCGCGCCCGGCTAATTTTTTGTATTTTTAGTAGAGACGGGGTTTCACCTTGTTAGCCAGGATGGTCTCGATCTCCTGACCTCATGATCCACCCGCCTCGGCCTCCCAAAGTGCTGGGATTACAGGCGTGAGCCACCGCGCCCGGCCAAGACTGGCCAAAATTTCTACACCTGTGTCTAGTCCTCCCCTCCAAGAGCATTAACTATTTAAAACAAGGAATAAAGGAAAAAAAAGAAAGGCCCCCTCCACCCCCACCCCTCCATTACTTTGCTGAAGTGAGTAGTGGGATCCTGGAGGCCCCCAGGGCTGAGGCCCAGCCAGCTGCCCCCGTTAGCGTCATAAAGTCCAGCTTGTCTCCCTCATCCAAAGGCCGTTTTCTCAGTGGGAGGGCAGGCCTGGCCTGGAGGGGTGCTGTGGGGCCATCTTGCCCAGGCCCACCTGGGAGGGACACAGGCATTGCTGCCAGGGGTGAGGCTGTGCCCCAGGCCTCCCCAAAACTAAAGGGGAACGGAGGGGTGGGGCCGCGGCTGAAGCCAGCCCCGCAACCAAAATGCTGCACCAAAGCTCGGTCGCCACAGGCACGGCCACCGCAGCCTTTCACAGCCTGGCCCCGGCGAGGGGCAGGTGGGCCCTGCTAGGAGGGTGCTTCTCGAGGCACCTGTTCCCCGAGGCTGTGCTCCGACCCTCAGAAGCTGAGGGGGGTGGGCCGGCTGGCGTCGCGCGGCTCGGCCCCTGGGCCCTGCTGTGTGGAGGCGCGCGGGCTCGTGGCTTCCTGTCTCTGTGCTCCGCCCCCTGGCAAGCAGCCGCAGACAAAATGCCTTAAAGCCCCCGACCCAGCCCCGCAGGTGTATGTGCAGGGGGGTCTGCGGGCGGCCCTGGACTGGCTGGCGGACTCCCAGCGGGTCAGCTTGAGGCAGTGCCCAGGGCGGTGGCCGTGAGTCTGGTTTTTGCTTTACCAAGTGTACGGAAATGGCGTTTACGTTTCTCTGATGCTCTTTTGAAGCCATACAACTTAGGGGCTTTAAAAAAAAAAAGGAAAAATGAAACCCTCCGAAAAAAAGATGCCCAACATCATTGGTCATTAGAGAAATACAAATCAAAACCACGATGGGATAATAATAGGTCTACAAGGATGGCAAAAATCAGAAAGACAAACAATAACAAGTGTTAGAGAATTTGGACTAATTTGGATGCAGTATATTGCTGTTGGGAATGTAAAGTGGTGCTGCTACTTTGGAAAACAGTTTGGCCATTCCTTAAAAGGGTAAACAAAGAGTTACCATATGACTCAGCAATTCTACTTCTAGATATATATGCAATAGAAATGAAAACATATCCACAAAAACTTGTACATGACTCTTCATACTAGCGTTATTCACAATAGAAAAATAATAGAAACAAACCCAAATGTCTGTCAGGCGATGAATGGATACAGAAAAAGTGGTATATTCATACAATGAAATATTAATTTGGCAATAAAAGGAAATGAAGTAATGATACATGCTCTAATGTGGATGAACCTTGAAAACATTATGCTGAGTGAAAGAAGGCAGACAGAAAGGCCACATGTTCTAAAATTAGATTGTGATATTTGTACAATGCTATGAATAAACTAAAAACATTGAATTTTACACTTTAAGTGGGTGGACTTTATGGTATGTGAATTATATCTCAATAAAGGTGTTACTAAAAGACAATATAGAGTGTTCTTTGTTTCTCTGAAGGACAAGTTTTTAACTTCCATTTCTCCAAATAAGCAATTATTTGTTTTTATACCAAATTAGCATTTTCAGATTCCCTACTGATGTTACTGGATTAAGCTATGTTTTTAACTTTTTGTTAATTTCTACATTTTTTGTTTCCTACTATTGCTTCTACATTTTGTGCACTGAAGGAGGTAGTATATTGATTTTACACTTACATTTCTTGTACTTTCTGCCTATATTAGTGTTATCCACATATCCTTTTGTCTCACATTTATATTTAATACTGTTAGCTGTGTTTTCTAAGTATGGGATAATACCTTTCAGTATGCTGTAGGTGACTATATATAGATAGTACGTTTGTATTTGAACTATTTGGAAGCTGACCAAATGTTTTTATTATCTTGTAGATTTTACTTTCCTCGTTGGTATTGCAGTGGCAGCAACAGAGCCTATCGGCATGGAATATCTCGAGGTGCTGAAGCTCCTCTTCTTGATGACTTTGTCATGTCTTACCTCTTTGCTCAGGTATGATTATATTATCTTACTTGTACATGAGTTAAATGATAAATATCTTGCTGTTTAATAAGTCACTTAATCAGGAAAAACTTTACATATGGGAAAATTGCAGTTCTGTCTTGCACAGCAGGTGCAGAGAAGTAACAAAATTGAGTCTTTTAGCACTAGTTTTTAATCCCATGGTTTATGGATAATAGAATCTATTTTATAAAGTTTTTTTGGACTGATCCTTTTGAATTTCTTTCTTTTTTAGGACTTTAGATCATTTTAAGGATTTCGCAAAGTATAGACTGAGGTTTACAACATGATTCATGTAGACATACGTGGCTAAAATATTAGTAACATTTCTTTATGGTTTTTAAAAAAATTTTTGGACAATTTCAGGCTTACACAATGGACAATGAACTGTAGAGAAAGTAGGTTACATAAAAAAATGAGCTCTGATAGTTTGTTTAGCTGTTTATAGGAAGGTGACTGGATGTTGATACTTAGTCTAAGAGCTATATTCAAGTTATTTGTTCACTAATACAGTTATGTCAAATTTTTGTATTGTGTTGGTATTTCATAATGCTTTCTTCTCTATTACCTTGATTTAAACAGTAATTGAAATATTTTGTCATTAAATAACTTGTTTTTATGTGCTGCTAGACTAGTAGGAATAGAAATTAAAGGAAGAAAATATATTAGTGCTCTTGGGTAAAAATAGGCACTTGGTATCCCCAAGGTATCAGGAGTTCTAAATCAGATTTGCTAATATTGTAGGAAACAAGCCCACAGATCCTCATGGCTCGCATTTCTGAGAGGAAGCCTAGTAAGCCTAGTTCAGTTTATGAACAACAAAAGGAAAAACATTTCTCTATTGGGGTATGAGACCAACAAACTTTATTTTTATTGTGGTAAGAGATATATAATAAAAATGACCATTTTAACCATTTTAAGTGTACAGTTCAGTTGTATTAAGTACAAATACATTGCTGTACAACCATCACCACCATCCATCTCCAGAACATTTTTCATCTTCCCAAATGGAAACTTCATACCCATTAAATAATAACTCTGTATTTCCCACTCCCAATGGCCTTTTGCAATCACCATTCTACTTTCTGAATATAAATCTGCCTTTTCTATGTACCTCATACAAATGGAGTTATATAGCATTTGTCCTTTTTTGACTGGCTTATTTCACTTAGCATAATGTCTGTCAGGTTCATCCATGTTGTAGCATGTGCCAGAATTTCTTTCCTTTTTAAGGCTGAATAATATTCCATTGCATATGTATACTGCATTTTATTTGTTCATTCATCTGTTGATGGATACTTGGGTTGCTGCTGTGAACATGGGTAAACAAATATTTCCTTGAGTCCCTGTTTTCAGTTCTTTTCAATATATACCCAGAAATGGAATCGCTGGATCATATGGTAAATTTATAATTTTTTTTGAGGAACTGCTACATTGTTTTCTGTAGTGGCTGCACTATTTTTCAGTCCTACCAGCAGTGCACAAGTGTTCCAATTTCTCAACATCCTCAACAATGCTTTGCTTTGTTTGATAATAGCCATCTCTATGGGTTTGAGGTGGTATCATTGTGATTTTGATGCATACTTCTCTAACAACCAGTGATCATGAGCATCTTTTCATATGCTTGTTGGCCATCTGTTTATCTTCTTTGCAGAGATGTTGCTTGTTGGCTATTTGTTTATCTTCTTTGCAGAGATGTCTACTGAAGTCCTTTGCCCATTTTTAAATCAGGTTGTTTGTTTGTTGTTATATTATAGAAATTATTATTCTGGATCTTAACTCCTTATAAGATACATGATTTGTAGATAGTTTTTCCCATTCTCTAGGTTGCCTTTTCATTCTGTTGCTTGTCTTTTGATGGACAAAAGTTTTAAATTTGGCTGTATTCTAATTTATCTATTTTTTGTTTCCTATGTTTTTGGTGTCATATCCAAGAAATCATTGCCAAATCCAATGTTATGAACCTTTCTTTCTGTTTTCTTGTAAGAGTTTTATCATTTTAGCTCTTACATTTAGGCATTGGGTCCATTTTGAGTTAATTTTTGTCTATCGTGAAGGTAAGGGCCCAACTTCTTTTGCTTGTGAATATCCAGTTTTCCTAGCACCATTTGTTGAAAGACTGTCTTTTCTCCATTGAATGGTCTTGGCACCTTTGTTGAAAATCATTTGACCACCAACCTACTTTTTTATACAGCTCCTTTATCTGTATAGCCATTATGAAAAGAGAGGGGAATGGAGAGAGGCTTCTAAGAATAGCCTTTTGAAAACAGGATATTATGAGGTTACAACTTTCTGTTGCTTTTACGGGTATATTATTTCACCTGTGCTGCAGAGCTAGTATATTTTGGGGGTAGGCTAGTTAAGTCCCATTTATAAGCCAAGTTTTCCCAAACTATTCATTCAGCTACTTTAGCCTAATATTAATACTGCAATGTCTAGTATTTTTGATCTAGAAAAATTTTGGGTGATTTCAGAATACTCAATTTTATCCTTCTAGGAAGGATTGTCTTATCTAGCATGGCAAGGTAATTCCACCATATAATTCTAAATTATGTCTAGATAGTACCACAAGCAATTTTCTATTTTTTAATGTTTTTACTTCTCTAAATTTGTGCCCAGAAAATATGATAGTATTTAGATTACTCTAAGATTGTACTGTTATCATTTTATATTATATGCATGTTGTAGACTATATATAGCAAATGTGACCAGTGGCATTACCAGAGTGTAAGAATATCTTGACATCTTTAAATAACCAAAAAATAGATAAGCCACTGAACTGTCTTTAAAGTTCTTAAGACAGTACCTGTAGGAAGACAGATTTGGAAAAGGTAAGCAAATAAAAATCAAAAGTAAGATGGCCCTTTTAAATTCAGTTTCCTCTGGGAATTAATTGCCTTTATATCATCAAATATGGCTGCTAAGCAAATAAACTGCTGACATGTGAACAACTTTTAATTAATTCATATCTATTCAACAACAATTGGATGTTTACCTCATGTTCTTGGCATCATTTCTGATTTTGTGACTGTGACTGTTTTTTATTTCCCTGGCTAATGAAGATGTAAATTTCTTAAGTTCAAATTTTGTCAGCTACTCAAATGAGAAAAGGTTTTCTTTCTTATTTTATTTTTTTATAGAGATTGAACTCCTGGGCTCCAGTGATTGTCTTGCTTCAGCCTGTCAGCCTCCTGAGTAGCTAGGTACAGGTGTGTGCCACTATGCCTGGCTAATTTTTTTAGTTTTGGTTTTGTGGAGATGGGGTCTCGCTCTATTGTCCAGGCTGGTTTCAAACACCTGGCTTCAAATGATCCTCCTACCTCAGCCTCCCAAAGTGCTGGGAGTACGAGTGTGAGCCACCACACCTGGCCTGAAATTTTTCAGTAGTTCTAATTAAATGAAATTTCTGAGGGTACATACTATAATATTTAAGGAATAGTATTTATTATGTTTTGGCATTTGAGACTCTTCCATTTGTAACTTTTCTCTAGTGAATAGTTTATTATGTTTTTAGTATTGCCATCACTCATTTTTCATATATTTATTGTCTTCTGATCATGACTTCCATAGAATTTCCACATGAGCAGAATTTGTTATCTACCAGTTCTTTTCTTTTCTTTCTTTTTTTTTGAGATGGAGTCTCCCACTGTTGCCTGGGCTGGAGTGCAATGGCGTGATCTCGGCTCACTGCAACCTCTGCCTCCCAGGTTCAAGTGATTCTCCTGACTCAGCCTCCCTAGTAGCTGGGATTACAGGTGCCTGCCACTACGCCCGGCTAATTTTTTGTATTTTTAGTAGAGATGGGGTTTCACTATGTTGGCCAGGCTGGTCTCGAACTCCTGACCTTGTCATCTGCCTGCCTTGGCCTTCTAAAGTGCTGGGATTACAGGTGTGAGCCACTGCACCCAGCCCATCTACTAGTTCTATAGGGAACCAAGGCAGGCTATTAAAAAGAATCTACCAAGTCATTGATCATCTTCTACTTAAACAGTATAACTTACTTGCCTGTTCTCAAAAGTGTGGTGAAATAAGTGTTTAAAATTGAGCAAAAATCTGTCTCCTACCCTGAATTAATTTTGTATTAGCAACGTTTAGGCCTTTGTTTTGGGTGATACTGATTATTTGATGGTGTGGTTCTTAATAGTTTATTTTCTTATATGAAAATATCTTCTATATTTTATTAATAGAAAAGCAAATATACTTTTAAATATGTTTCTTTTAATAAAATTAGTTTAAAAAGGTTCCAGTAAAGCTTTAATTTCATGAGACAAGTTATTACATCAAGAGAAGAGAAATACAGATGTAGAGTATAGAGGGCCCTTGTCCGGTTTAAAACCTTGATTCGCATTGTTATTTTAGGTAATATGGCTCTTACCTTTTTTTCTACAAAGAAAATTGGTATTATGTTTAGAATATTTGTACTTCTGCTTTCTTTTTCTTTCTCCCATTACATGTTCAGTCAGATTTATCTGTATTCCTAAATCCTCCAGGTCAAAATCGTAGAACCTCTGTGTTTCTCTCTTCTTCATTCTTTAGACAATATATAGTTAATAAAGTTATCAGCCTTTTTTCAGAATCTTTTAGTATCTTCTGTTTCCTGGATCAGATCCTTATTATTTCGTATCTGAGCCATACACCAGCCTCTTAAAGAGCCTCCGTAAATACACTTTATTTTCTTCAAGCACTTCTATCATTGCTACTACTCTGCCAATGGAAGAGACATGATGAAAACAGATCTCCATAGTTTCTAGGATCAGGTCATTCAAGGGTACCTGCAGTCGGACCCCAACTTACTTTTCTAAGTTTTAATCCACATTATTTCTTCACATAAACTTCAGGCCCTAATCAAATTAGTTTATGCATCTGAACATATCTGGTGCTTTTGTGTGTGTGTCATTCCTTCTATTTCTTTACCCTGTTTTGTGTCCATCATACATTTCTTTATTTTTAAACACACTGTGAAGTTTCAAATCTTCCATGAAACCCTCCTTGATTACTCCAGCTGAATATAATCTTAACTTTCTCCAAGTTCCTGAAGGAGCTTTTGTGTGGTGCTTCCTATATCATGTCTGGTGTTATAATTATTTGCTTCTGTTTCGCTTCTAAGCTAAATTTTGGTCCCCTTGATGACTGAGACCACATCTTATACAGTCATGTGTCACTTACTTATGGGGATATATTCTGAGAAATATGTCGTTAGGCAATTTTATTGTTCTGTGAATATCATGTATTGTACTTATACAAACCTATATGTTATAGCCTAGTATATGCCTAGTCTGTATGGTATAGCCTATTATTGCTCTAGGCTACAAACTTATATAGCATGTTGCTGTACTGAATATTGTAGGCACTTGTAACACAACGGTAAGTATTTGTGTAGTTAAACATATCTAAACATAAAAAAGATACAGTAAAAATGCAGTATTACAATCTTATGGAACCATCGTTATATATGTGGTCTGCCATTGACCAAAACATTGTTATGGGGCACATGGCTATTTCTTTGTATCCAACACCACTTGTAGTATGATACTTCCAACATAATTGGAGTTCAGTATATATTTAACTCAGTAATATCTACTTTAATTTAGGTAATTTTTATGTAGAAGATATAATTTGAAGATATATTTAATGAAATAGGTTGATGTTATATGTACTCTGTAATTGGGAACCCAGTGTAAATCAGTTTCCATTTGCAAATGAACTTTTATTAAAATTGTATCGCAAAATGAATGAAAATTAAAGGAGGAATTTATGCCATTTATTTATTTATTAATCATTTTAGAGACTGGGTCTTGGTCTGTTACCCAGACTAGGGTGCAGTGGTGTGATCATAGCTGAAGAGATCCTCCTACCTCAGCCCCCCAAGTAGCTGGGACTGCAGGTATGTGCCACCATGCCTGGATAATTTTTAAATTTTTTGTGGAGATGAGATCTTGCCATGTTGCCCAGGCTGGTCTCAAACTCCTGGGCTCAAGTGATCTTCATGCCTTGGCCTCCCAAAGTTCTGGGATTACAGGCATGAGCCACTGAGCCTGGCCAATTTGTATCTTGTAAATGCATATGTTCTGAAAATTATGATTAAAATATAATCATAGATTAAAACATGATAATGAAACTTACGATGAGATATTTCCTTCAAATTTTTGGTTTTAGTGGCGGCATGATTTTGTGCACGGATGGATAAAAGTACCTGTGACTCATGAAACACAGGAAGAATGTCTTGGGATGGCAGTGTTAGATATGATGAGAATAGCCAAAGAAAACGATCAAACCCCACTGGCCATCTATAACTCTATCAGGTAATTTTCTTTTGCAAATCCTTACACATAAGTGTGAGTAGAGATTTTATATAATTCGTATATATTTTCTGTGTTTACCCATGCCTTTTGATTTTGTAATACTAGTTAAGTACTCCTTATCTAAAATGCTTGGAATCAGAAATGCTTCAGATTTTGGATATTTCCAGATTTTGGAATATTGGCATTGAACTTACCAGTTGAGCACCCCTAATCCAAAATGCTCTAATGAGCATTTCCTTTGAACATCATGTTGACGTTCAAAAAGTTCTGGATTTTGGAACATTTCGTATTTCAGATATTTGCAAGAGGGATAGTCAACCTATAATAAAAAATCATATGGGTAAGTTTTATATCTTGGGAGTAAAACACACTTTGTAAGGTGAAATTATTTAAAGAGTTGTACTACAGGAAATATCATAGGTATTAAATATCTATTATTTGATTTCATTTATTCTGAGAAGGCTAGGGAAGTTCAGAGGAACAGAAGAAACACCTGGAGGCATACTTTTTGATAGAAGATCCTCCAGTTGGCTATATAAATGACCTGAATAAGTATTTCCCAAATGGTGGTGTATATTTTATTTGCATTAGACTCACGTGGGGGAGCCTGTTAAAATCAAAGATTTCTGGGTCCTAATCCAAGAGATTTGGATTCAGTAAATCTGAGTTGAAGCCCACAAATATGAATTTTTACAGATGCTCTAGGGTATTCTTATACAAATGGTCCAAACTCTGCATTCTTCAAATTATTCTTCTGCATATTGAACTTGACAATCATGGCTAATATAAAACTGCTTTTTAAAAAGGTATATATAAGAATGGTTTAAGTTTGAAGGCAAATATGTATTTTATATATTACATACTTCCCAGATTAAAAATTTGAGTACATCATGAGTGTGGTTAAAGCTTCCTTTTTTGAAATTGTTCTCCCAATAACTGGCTTCAGTCATTTCTTTGCCATGTCATCAAAACAGTTACATACCCAATTTGCAGAGTATCAATTTCTGTATTTCTCTCTTTGGTTTTAAATATTCTTGTTTTACTTTCAGATGTCTGTTAGGTCTTAACCTAAGGGTGTAGGCCATAGGGTATAATTTTAGGAACTCAGAAATCTAGAAGATTCCAAAGCCCAAAGGAAAAAAAAAACACATTCATTCATTCAACAGCTACTTATTGAATACTTGCTGTATGCCAGGCTATAGTAGAACATAGTTGGAGGAAGAGTATCTTAGATGTCGTTACATAGAAACTGAAGGAATTCAGGGGAACACAGTTGAAGAACAGAAGCTTTGACCCATTGAAGATGAATGTTATAAATATGAAGCCATCTCTAGACTTAAGCTATCGTGGAATATTTCTGCTTTGGAAACCATGCTGTCATCCAAAGTCTTGGCACAATCTTTCTATGTAGATTGTAGTTTCTTCCAGTTTGAGAATCATGTCATCTATTGCTCTTATCCCTACATTATTTAGTCTAGTGTCCTAAACCTAATGACTATTTAGTAACTATTTATCTGATTCTTTTAACTCATGCTCTTAGCCAGGATATAAACACAGATGCAAAATGCTGCATCATTTTTTTTTACTGCTTTACTTTAAAAATAGTGTAGATATTAAACATTCATATAAGATTCCATGATATTTTAAAAGAGTTTATTGAGATAATTTACAAATCATAAATCTCACCCATTTAAAATATACAATTTAATATTTTGTATTATATTCACAGGGTTGTATAAAGATGACCAGAATCTAATTTTAGAACATTTGCATCCTTTCTGAAAGAAACCCCATGCCCATTAGCATTCAGTCCTCATCCCACTTTCCCCCAGCCTCTGGAAACCACTTATCTTTTTGTTTGCGTGGATTTTCCTGTCTCAAACATTTCATATAAATAGAATCATGCAAAATGTGGTGTGGCATTTTTTTTGTCTGGCTTCTTTCACTTAATATGATGTTTCCAAGGTTCATTCATGTTGTAGAATGTATCAGTACTTCATTTCTTTTTATTGCTGAATCATTTCATTATATAGATATACCACATTTTGCTTATTTGTTCTTCACTTGATGAAAATGTGGGCTGCTTCCATGTTTTGGCTATTGTGACTAATGTGGCTATGAACAGTTGTATATGAGTAATTTTGTGGATGTATTTTTTTCATTTTTTCTTGTGCATATATTTAGGAGTGGAATTCCTGGAACATATGGTAACTGTTTAACTTTTTGAGGAACTGCTTAACTTTTCAAAAGCAGCTGTGCCACATTACATTCACACTAGCAGTACATGAAGAGTTCCAACTCTTTCCGCACTTGTTTCTGTCTGTATTTTATCCATCCTAGTGGGTGGAAGTGCTGTCTCATTCTAGTTTTGATGTTCATTTCTCTAATGACTACTGATGTTTGGCATCTTTTCATGTACTTTTTGGCCATTTGTATGCCTTCTGTAGAGAAGTGTCTATTTGAATTCATTGCTCATTTTTTAATTGGGTTATTTGTCTTTTAATTATTGAGTTTAGAAAATTCTTTTTATATTCTGGATACAAGTCTCCACATATAATCATATTTATGATTTGCCATTATTTCCTCCCATTCTGTGTATTGTTATTTTACTTTCCTGAAGGTATCATTTGTAGCACAAAAGTTTTAATTTTGAAGTAGTCTAATTTGCCCCATTTTTCTTTGTGTCTTGTGCCATGTGGAAATGTGGTTTTAGCAACATGGATGTCTTTCTTGGTTTTAGCAAGAGCAGTTTCTCTTGAAATAATGGAACAGAAGCCAAACTGGAATGAGTTGAGGGATAAATGGAAGGCAAGAAAATGGAAATGGCTATGTACATGCTTTCAAAAAGAGGCCAGATAGGCTGTGGCCAGAAGGAAATGTGGGATTAAGAGATTTTACATTTTATACGGGACGGACATTAATTTAGCAAGTCCTTTGTGCCTGTGGATTCTACATCTAATATGCCACAGAATGAGGTCCAGAAAGGCTTCCTGGATTAGATGGTACTTGAGCCTTGTCGAATGAGTAACTAGATAGGAGATGGATGATTGGAAGAAAGATTAGCATATATTACGGCATGGAAAATTATTTAATGGTACTTCAGAAATAAAATGTTCCTTAGAAGCACAGAAATAAATTACCTTCTTTAGAATATTGTACATAGAGATGAATGTACAGAAAAGTCAGAATATTTCTAAATGGAATTGTTTTGATCACAAAGGAATTATTAGGAGTTGAAGCTGGCCTAACAAAATAATATACAGAAGTATGTTTGCATAATGAAAATGGCTTCCAACAAAATGTAACAATTTCCAAAATTCAGGTAAATGTTGGAGCACAGCATCATAGGAAATATTTGTAGCACAGTTCAATATATGCCAAAATATTATCTTATAAACCATTAACTCTGGTATGTGAAATAGAGAAAAGGAATTTTTAGAGATTCTTATTAACTAGACTGAGGATTCATTTCATTAGGGGAAGAAGATTAACATCTTCTTTTGTAAACATTGATGATAACTTAGAGTGTGTGGATATATTTATATCATCAAACAAAATCTTAAAGTTTTATACTGTATGGATGGGGGTTATGTCAACTTACGCCACTTGGCCACTGTGTTGTAAGGCCTACTTAATCATGGAAAAAGGTGGTAACTTCTTTTTCAATTTTTAGATTTATCTTCCAATTTTTGTTTTGTTTTGTTTTTCTGTATGTGCTTTTTTATCCCTAGCTACAAGACATTCTTACCAAAATGTATTCGAGCAAAGATCCAAGACTATCATATTTTGACAAGGAAGCGAATAAGGTACAGATTTCGCAGATTTATTCAGCAATTCAGCCAATGCAAAGCCACTGCCAGAAACTTGAAACTTAAGTATCTTATAAATCTGGAAACTCTGCAGTCTGCCTTCTACACAGAGAAATTTGAAGTAAAAG
Source organism: Homo sapiens (assembly GCF_000001405.40). Taxonomy (NCBI): domain Eukaryota; kingdom Metazoa; phylum Chordata; class Mammalia; order Primates; family Hominidae; genus Homo; species Homo sapiens. Next base: position 5,054,769 of record NC_000009.12, read on the forward strand.
AACCTGGAAGTGGTCCTTCAGGTGAGGAGATTTTTGCAACCATTATAATAACTGGAAACGGTGGAATTCAGTGGTCAAGAGGGAAACATAAAGAAAGTGAGACACTGACAGAACAGGTAATCCTTAATGATATGTTCTTGTTCTTTGTTATTTTAAGTACAATGGAAATAAAAACAAAGTAATTTTAATCATTTGCAACATGGTATTGCACTTCTCCCATTTGATAGAAGTGGAAGTTTTTAATAGCGTGAACCTATCAAGGTCATATAATTCTTTGCCTACTATTCTTAAATGGTTTTTTCATTTAATTTTTTATGACAAAATAATTACCAATGACTATATTATAGTTTCAGAAAGATGTCAAATTCTAAAAGTGATTTTAAAGGAGTTTTGCCTTTCACTACTAGTGATAACAGAAGGCATAATTATAAAACTTGTTAACTAGAAAAGATTGATATTAATTGATTTTATGATAATATATACCTGCTAAATAATGAATTTATTTTAGGTTTGCATTGCAAGTTTTGAATTTGTTAATATCCGTGTTGTTCATAGATTGTTACTAGAGATTTAGAGGGATCATTTTTTAATTTTTCATCTTTGGTAGTCACATTTCCAGTTTTCTGGCAGTGGTTTCTACTAATGTTAATTGAATTGAAGAGTGCCATAGCACATTTTAGATTCCTGGCATCATTTAATGCCCTCATTTTTAAGTCAAGCAAGATACAGCATAGTCTTAGGGTTAGATTGATAGAGTAAATCACGTTTAATGCTTATCTATTGTTATCAATACCTTTTTTATTTTAAAGAATTTGGAAAGAATGTTGTCTTCTTAAGTCTTGTTTTAAAATGGCTCTGTAAATTCTACCCGTTTTTAATTTTACATGCTTTTAATTATAGGATTTACAGTTATATTGCGATTTTCCTAATATTATTGATGTCAGTATTAAGCAAGCAAACCAAGAGGGTTCAAATGAAAGCCGAGTTGTAACTATCCATAAGCAAGATGGTAAAAATCTGGTAAGTTTGCTTTATGATTGAATAATGGTTTCATTTTATAGTTCTCAGAAATGTGTATTTTAGAATCTTAGTACCAAAATTATTTTCTGGTAGGAATTTTGATTGTAGTTTTAAATATAACTCTAAACATCAGTTCAGTAAACTTTTTGATAACATCTAGCTTTTTGTATTACTATCAACACCATCTTCCTACAGAGTTTCTTGTACATTACTGTACTTTTTTTACTCATTTTTATGATTAGCAAAGCACCAGTTACTTTCTCCCCCATCCCTACTCTAGATTATACTAGTTCTCTGATGTAATGCTCACCCCTGACTAAAATATTTTATCAACAGGGATGTATATGTGCCAGTTATACTGCCTAATTAAAGGAGAAAAAATAAATCAATGATGTCTGGAATTTATATAACAAAATGTAAATCAATCCCAGGTCAGCCCCACCCAAGCTGTAGGACATGGTTGATTCTAAAAGATTAACGCTTTCTCTTTTTTTAAATAGCTTCAGAAATCTAATTTATTTTAATGTAAATAGGAGAAATGAATTATTTTATACTTTGCTCTTAAGTTTCTCATTTATCTTCTCTGTCTTCTTTTTAACTCAGATGCTTCTTGACCCTTCCTGGCTTAAACTAGTCCTATTAATGTTATTTGTCTATTTATCTTAAGTATTTATATGGCTTACCTGTCTGGCTGTTCCAGGGTTATATTACCAAAATTGTAACTAACTTGCAACTCACTTAATTCAGCATAGTTTTCTGTTCTTAGATAAAAATATGATAGTACACCTACTGCCTAGTAGACTGTGAGCCTTTTGAAGGTAAGGATCATATTTTTATGTGTGTTTGTACCCCCTACACCTTGCACAGTACTCAGGGCCTAGTTTAGAAAAAGCTTGATAAATATTTTATGGATGCATAAAAGGATGATTAACAATTATCAACCTCAATGTGGATATATAATAAATGTTTCTGGGAGAGTTTATTGATCTTAATGTGAACAAACTGTAGTAACCCAAAGAACTTCTCCATGGGACTGTATTTGGACTTGGCTTAATTTTAAGTCTGCAATACAGAGAAGTTAAGTAACTTTCCAAGGGCACAGTGTTAGTTAAGTGGTAGGGCTATTTAAACTCAAATGCATGCTTTGAAAACCTAAGCTCTTAAGTGTGACACTAACTTCTTTGCTAAGTATCCGTAAAGCTCCTTAAAAATATTATACTGACATTTTGTTGGAATTGTGCAACAAACTGGGAAGAGTTGACATTTCTTTCTCATATTAAATTTTTTATTTTAGGGATACATTGTATTTCTCCTTGTATACAAGTATTATTTTATGTTTTTCAGTAATTCTTGATCATTTTATTCATATTGATACATCATGTTTCTTGCTGAATTTTATTCATGATATGTTATGCTTTTTCTGTTGTTTATTAAAATTAATACTTCTTCTCTGTGTATTTTCCTACCAAATTATTTATGGATATAGGAAAGTAATTTTTGCTTATTATTGCATTTTCCCAGTGTATTATGTGTTAGTAACATTTTGTTTTTACTGTCATTTTCCTCTTCATTCTGGCATTTATTTCTCTTTATAATTTTGGTAAAATATATATAAAATAAAATTTAGCATCTTAACCATTTTTAAGTGTACAGTTTAGTAGTGTTAAGTATATTCACTTTTGCATCCAATTTCCAGAACTCTTTTATCTTGCAAAATTGAAGTCTACACCCATTAAATAAAAACTCACCATTTCCCCCTCTTCCCAATCCTTGCAACCAGCATTCTACTTTCTTTTTTTTTTTTTTTTTTTTTGAGATGAGTCTTGCCCTGTCATCCAGGCTGGAGCACAATGGCGCGATCTTGGCTCACTGTAACCTGTGCCTCCTGGGTTCAAGCAATTTTCCTGCCTCAGCCTCCCGATAGCTGGGATTACAGGTGCACGCCACCATGCTTGGCTAATTTTTTGTATCTTTAGTAGAGACGGGGTTTCACCATGTTGGCCAGGTTGGTCTTGAAGTCCTGACCTCATGATCCGCCTGCCTCATCCTCCCAAAGTGCTGGGATTACAGGTGTGAGCCACTGTGCCCAGCCCCTCTACTTTCTTATTCTATGAATTTGACTACTCTAGATACCTCATAAAAGCAGGCTGAAACAATACTGTCTTTTTGTGACAGGCTTATTTCAGTTAGTATAATATACTCAAGGTTCATTTGTATTACAGCATGTATCAATTTCCTTCATTTTTAATATATGTATGTATTCTGTGTCATGTATATACCACATTTGTTCATTCATCCATCAATGAATATTCAGGTCACTTTTTTACTTTTTGACAATTGTGAGTAATGCTGCTGTGAACATGGGTGTACAAATATCTCTTGAAAACTCTGCTTTCAATTCCTTTGGATATATACCTTCTATTAGTCCGTTCTCACACTGCTATAAAGATACTACCTGGGACTGGATAATTTATTTAAAAAGAGGGTTTAATTGACTCGCAGTTCGGCATGGCTGGCCCAGGAAACTTAAAATCATGGCAGAAGGTGAAGGGCAAGGAAGCCATGTCTTACATGGCAGCAGAAGAGAGACAGTGTCCAGGGGAAAGTGCCACTTTTAAACCATCAGATCTCATGAGAACTCCCTCACTATCATGAGAACAGCATGGGGGAAACAACCCCCATGATTCAGTCACCTCCCACCATGTCCCTCCCTCGACACATGGGGATTACAATTAAAGATGAGAGTTGGGTGGGGACGCAGAGCCAAACCATGTCATACCTAGAAGTAGAATTGCTGGATCATATGGTAATTCTACTTGTAATTTTTTAGGGAGCCACCATGCTGTTTTCCATAGCAGCGGCACCATTTTACATTCCTACCAGGAGTACATTCTCCACATGCTCATCAAAACTTGTTATTTTCTGTTTTCTGATAGTAGCCATCTGATGGGTGTGAAGTAGTATCTCATTGTGATTTTGATTCACATTTCCCTAATGATTAGTGTTGCTGAGCGTCTTTTCATATATGTATTGCCATTTGTATATCTTCTTTGAAGAAATATATATTCAAGTCCTTTGCTCATTTTTTAATCAGGTTTTTTTTGCTGAATTATAGAAATTATTTATGTATTCTGGATATTAATCCCTTTTCAAATATATGATTTGCAAATATTTTCTCCCATTCCATAGATTGCTTTTCACTATGTTGCTTGTGTCCTTTGATGCGCAGATGTTTTAAAGTTTTAGCTAGTTCAACTTTTGTTGCCTATTTTTCTTTTTACTTTGTTGAGATATAACATGAACCCAGTAAAGCACACTAATCTTACGTGTATAGCTCAATGAATTTTTACATATTTGTACATCTTTGTAGCCACACCCACCTCAAAAAACAGAATAGTTCTCTTACTCCTAGAAGGTTTCCACATGCATCTTCCCACATATTCACCTCCACCCCTAACTTAAGATACCTATCATCTACCATCACTTAGTTTTATCTATTAATAAAGGTTGTATAAATGGAATGATACTGTATGTATTCTTTTAAAATCTAGATTCTTTTAGTTAGTATAATGTTTGGAGATTCATTTATGTTGTTACATGTGTCAGTTCATTCCTTTTTATTGCTGGGTAGTATTGAATTGTTTGACTGTACCTCAAATTTTAAATGTATTCTGTTGATGGACATTTGGGTTGCTTTCACTTTGGGGATTTTAGGGATAAATTTACCATGAACATTCTTATACATATTTTTTGGTGGACTTATGCACTCTTTTTTTGTATATATATATCCTAGAGATAGGATTATTGAGTCATAGTGATAGCTTTAGTATACTGCCAAACAATTTTTTGTAGTTCTATCAGTTCACTCTTCTTTCAGTAATGCATGAAAATTACAGTTGTCTCATATCCCCATCAACTCTTAATTTTGTCAGTCTAAAAATGTCTTAGTTTGTCTGGTGGATGTGTACTGGTAGCTATTGTAGTTTTTATTTTCATTGCCCTGGTGAGTAATGATGTTCAATACTTTTTCACTTACTTATTGTTCATCTGAATATCCTTCTTATGAAGTGCCTGTGACAGTCTTTTGCACATTTTTCATTGACTTGTCCCTTTCTGATCAATCTGTAGAGTCTCTATAGATTCTAAGTCTTTTGTAGGATGTTTGTAAAACGTATATAGACATACGTCAGAGATATTTCTAGTTCAGTTCTGGACCACTGCAATAAAGCAAATTTTGCAATGAAGTGAGTCACATAAATTTTTTGGTTTCTCAGTACATATAAAAGTTATGTTTACACTATAATCAAGTCTACTAAGTGTGCAACAGCATTATGTCTTAAAAATTAATTTAAAACACTTTATTGCTAAAAAATCCTAATGATAATCTGAGCCTCCAGAGAGTTATAATCTTTCTGCTTATGAGGGTATTATTTTGATGTTGATGGCTGCTGACCGATCAGTGTGGTGGCTGCTTAAGGTTGGGTTGGCCAAAGCAATTTCTTAAGATAACAATGACATTTACTGCATCAGTAGACTCTTCATTTCGTTAAAGTTGTCTCTGTAGCATGTGACATTGTTTGGTAACATTTTACCCACAGTAGAATTTCTTTAGAAATGAGTCAGTCCTCTCAAACCCTGCCACTGCTTTATGTACTAAACTTTATTCTAAATCCTTTGCTGTCTTTTCAACAACATTCACAGCATCTTCACCCAGGACTAGATTCCATCTCAAGAAACCATTTTTTTATGCATAAGAAGCAACTTATCTGTCCAAATTTTATCATGAGATTGTAGCAATTCAGTCACATCTTCAGCTCTACTTCTAATTCTAGTTCTCTTGCTATTTCTACCACATCCTAGTGACTTCCTCCATTGAAGTCGTGAACCCCTCAAAGTCATCCATGAGGGTTGGAATCAACTTCTTCCAAATTCCTGATAATGTTAACACTTTGACCTTCTTCCATGAATCACTGATGTTCTTCCTGGCATCAAGAATGGTGAATCCTTTCCATAAGTTTTTCTATTTACCCAGCTCCATCAGATGAATCACTATCTATGGCAGCTTAGCCTTACAAAATGTATTTCTTAGATAATAAGACTTGAAAGTTGAAATTACTCCTTGACCCATGGGCTACAGAATGGATGTTGTGTCACCAGGTCTGAAAATAACATGAATATCCTTGTACATCTCTGTCAGAGCGCTTGGGTGACCAGGTGCGTTGTCAATGAGAGTAATACTTTGAAAGCAATCTTTTTTTCTGAGCAGATCTTAACAATGGGCTTAAAATAGTCAGTAAACCATGCTATAAACAATAGATGTGCTGTCATCCAAGCCTTGTTGTTCCATTTATAGAGCACAGGCAGAGTAGACTTAGCATAATTCGCAGAGCCCTGGGATTTTTGGAATGGTAAATGAGCGCTGGTTTGAATTTCAAGTCACCAATGGCATAGGCCCTTAGCAAGAGGGTCAGCCTATCCTTTGAAGTTTGAAGGCAAGCACTGACTTCTCCTCTCTAGCTGTGGAAGTCCTAGATGGCATATTCTTCCAACAGAAGGCTGTTTTGTTTACATTTGAAAATCTGTTTGTTAGTGTCACCATCTTCATCAATGGTCCTTACTAGATCTTCTGGATAACTTGCTGTAGCTTCCACATCAGCATTTGCTGCTTCACCTTGCACTTATGCTGTGCACATGGCTTCTTTTCTTAAACCTCATGAACCAACCTCTGCTAGCTTCCAACTTTTCTTCTGCAGCTTCCTCACCTCTCTCAGCCTTCATAGAATTTAAGAGCATTAGGGTCTTGCTCTAGATTAGGCTTTGGCTTAAGGGAATGTTATGGCTGGTTTGATCTTCTATCTAGAACTTTCTCTGTATCATCAATAAGGCTGTTCACTTTCTTATAATTTATGTGCTCACAGGAGTAGCACTTTCAGTTTCCCTCAAGGACTTTTCCTTTGGATTCATAACTTGCCTTTTTAGTGCAAGAGGCCTAGCTTTCAGCGTGTGTTGGCTTTCAGCATGCCTTCCTCACTAAGCTTAATCATTTCTAGCTTTTGATTTAAAGTGAGAGATGGGTGAATCTTCCTTTCACTTGAATACTCAGTGGTCATTGTAGGATTATTAATTGGCCTAATTTCATTATTGTTGTGTCTGAGGGAATAGGGAGGCCTGAGGAGAGGGAAAAAGAAAGGGAAATAGCTATTCGGTGGAGCAGTCAGAACATATACAAATTTATCACTTAAGTTCACCATCTTATATAGGCCCAGTGTGTGGTGCCCCAAAACAATTACAGTTGACCCTTGGACATCACAGGTTTGAATTGTGTGGGTCCACTTATATGCAATTTTTTTTCAGCCAAACATGGATGGAAAATATAGTATTCACAGGATGCAAAACCTGCATATGTGTAGGGCTGACATTTTGCATATATGGGTTCTGCAGGGCTGATTTCAGAACTTGAATATGTTCAGATTTTGGTATATGCAGGGGTCCTGTAACTAATCCCCCTTGTATTCTGAGGGACAACTGTACAATAGTTACATCAAAGGTCATTGATCACAAATCACCGTAACAGGTATAATAGTAATAAAGTTTAAATTTTGTGAAAATTACCAAAACATGACACATAGGAAGTAAGCATATGCTATTGGAAAAATTGCACTGATAGACTTGTACTTGCTCCACTTAAGTTTGTCAGAAACCTTCCATTTGTAAAAAAAAAAAAAAAAAAAAAAAAAAAAAAAGGTCATATCTGCAAGGAGCAATAAAGGGAAGTGCAGTAAAACAAAATGTGTCTGTATATCAATAAGAGGGATACTAGTTAGTGAACTGCTAGTTCAAAGGGTATGAATATTTACAACTTTGATAGATTATTAAAATACTTCTCAAAAGGTGTTTCCAATGTATCTGTACACCTGTTTTCTTGTATCCTTTGCCAACACTGGATGTTATCAATCTTTTAATTTTTCTGCCAAATCAATGGGCAAAATAATGCTGTCCTGTTATATTTCATTTCCTTAATTAGAACCTGAGATTGAGCAATACCTCATGTGTTTATAGGTCAGCTTTAATATTTATACTTCTGTGGATTGCCTTTTCATGTCCTTTGACTAGTTTTCTTTTTTTATTTTTAATTGTTTTATACGTTTTATTCCCACAATGTATGTTAGGTATATTCCTTTGTTATACATGTTTGTAATCTCCAAGTCTTTTAATTTTGTTTAGGATACCTTTTATAGTACTTGTTTTTTTGGCTATTTGTGTTAGCTAAATACCTTTTATAGTTCAAACATGTCACATGCTTGTCTCTTTATTATAATTTTTGGTTGAGGACTCTATTCTGTGTTCTCTTTATGATTATGTAAATATTGTTCATTGCTGGGCCAAGAAATATGCTGTAATCACATTTTCGTTCTTATATAACTTTTTCCAGGAGTTAATTATTGCTTTATGATTTTTCCTTTGTATCTAGCTTTATTTTCATTTTCTACAAGAACTCTGTAAAGTAGTGGACTTCTCAATACAAAATTTCACATAATCAAACCTGTCATATATGATAGCATTTTTACTTCTTTTCTGGAGAAGTACCTCTTCGATCACAGCATCTTACTTTGTAGTGTGGACTGGAAGTTTTCTGGGTACAGCTATTATTTTGTCAGCTGTAATTTTTGGTCATTCCTTTCTTATCCTGGTAACTATGTTTTCATCTCTCTTATATTGGATCTGATTTTCTAAATCTCATGTTTGCCCTGTTTTTCTAGGTACAGCCTCTGGTATTTGTTGGTATCTTTAATGTGATTGAGACAAATTAGAAAATTAATTTAGAGAGGATTTTTACATTTTTATGATATTGAATTTTCCTACCATGGTTAATCTTCTATATATTTAAATAAAAAGTTGCATAAGAGTGTTTTGAAGTTTTTGTTAATTATTGATATTGCATCCTCTTTGTTACAAATGGGGCTTTTTTCATTATATAACTGACTTTTTGTATGTAAAAATATAATACGTCTATATATTTTCCCATGTAAGTAACATGCTGCATTTTTGGCTGACTACATGTTCACATATGTATTAAGATACAATCAGGCCGGGCATGGTGACTCACGCGTGTAATCCCAGCACTTTGGGAGGCCAAGGCGGGCGGATCATTAGGTCAGGAATTTGAGACCAGCCTGGCCAACATGTTGAAACTCTGTCTCTACTAAAAATACAAAAATTAGCCGGGCGTCTTGGCGTGTGCCTGTAATCCCAGCTTTTTGGGAGACTGAGACAGGAGAATCGCTTGAACCCAGGAGGCAGAAGTTGCAGTGAGCCAAGATCGCGCCATTGCACTCCAGCCTGGGCGACAGAGCAAGACTCTGACTGGGCGGGGGCCACAAAAAAATCATAGCATAGCTACATATCCTAACATTTTAGTTTGTAGCATGAATACTTTAGCAGTATGTAATTGGTATGTAGGGCTGATGCCGTGGCTCACGCCTGTAACCCCAACACTTTGGGAGACTGAGGTGGGTGGATCACTTGAGGTCAGGAGTTGGAGACCAGCCTGGCCAACATGGCGAGAACCTGTCTTTACTAAAAATACAAAAATTAGCTGGGCATGGCGGCATATGCCTGTAATCCCAGCTACTCATGAGGGTGAGGTGGGTGGATCGCTTGAGCCTGGGAGGTGGAGGTTGCAGTGAGCCAAGATTGTGCCAGTGCACTTCAGCCTGGGCGATGGAGCAAGACTCTCAAAAAAAAAAAAAAAGAAAAAAGGAAATGCTCATGATTTCTAATGTCAACTTTTATATCATATTAAATAGATTTCTAGCTGAGATAACTGGTATATTAGTCTAAGAAGGACATTGGAAAATAAAGTAAAATGATGGCTATAGAGTGAACTATAACTGGGAAGGTATGATAATCTGTATTTAGGAGGATCTTAAATATCAGACATGAGAATTTGTAATTCATATTGAGTACTGAGCCATAAAAGATATGAGCAATTTAGAAGAAAATTGTATTTAACATGGAATGAAGAAAATTTTCAATATTTAACATGGAGTTGACTTTCTAAAAGGTGCTATTTCTTTTTCTTTTCTCTGCTTAGGAAATTGAACTTAGCTCATTAAGGGAAGCTTTGTCTTTCGTGTCATTAATTGATGGATATTATAGATTAACTGCAGATGCACATCATTACCTCTGTAAAGAAGTAGCACCTCCAGCCGTGCTTGAAAATATACAAAGCAACTGTCATGGCCCAATTTCGTGAGTAATACAGACTTAAAAGTAAATTTTTAGAAAAGTAAATGCTGTATTTACAAAGAAGATTTAACAGAGTGATACATGTATGTTTAGAAAAAAATAATTTGACAAGTTTTTTTTAAACAAAAGGCTATTTGCAATCAGATTACATAATAATTAGAATTATTTAGTGTATAATTTACCATCTGTATCCCAATCTATAATATTTATAAGTTGTACAAGTTTAACATTTGTTAATCATGCCTATGTGTGATTCACTCCTGCATGTTACTAAAAAAGAAAGATCTCCAATTTATGTTTTATTAATTTTAAAATACTGCAAGGAAGCCACAGTGCAAAATTTGAAAATTCTTTATGTTTGGATAGTCCATCTCCTTCTACTGAAAGGTTCAAACACAAGATATATATGATGTCCACATTTCTAGACTAGTGCTATGTAGAACTTCCTGCAGCGATGAAAATATTCTATATCTGTGCTGTGTAACACAGCAGCCACTAGCTACATGTGGCTGTTTAGCATTTGAGATGTGGCTAATGCAACCGAGGAACTGAATTTTAATTTAATTTTAATTTCTTTACATTTAAATAGCTACATGTGGCTAGTAACTATCACATTGGCTCACACAGTTGTAGATCCTTACTTTAATACTGGGTAAAGCTAGCTATCATGCATAACATCTATTTAGCTTAAGTCCTAATGATCTCTTAGCTAGGATGTGGTTTATGTTGACAACAGATTTGAATAACTCGAGCAAAGGGAAAATCTGGGATCATGAGCATATTATGTTCTTTGCATTTAACCTACCCCTAAATATTTGAGAAAATACATCTTGGGTAATATAAAGAGTTGATTTAGTCTATGCTTAATATTTATTTAGTAATGAATATTGTTGCTATGAAAAAGTTGTACTACTTGAACTTTATGTCTGTAATTTACATGTTTAATATTTTTAAAACTCCTTGCCTTTATTCATGTATCCATAAATTCATTCAAACATTCTTTTATTTATATTTACTGAGTAACTACTATGTGCAAGCATTGGTTTGTATATTAGAAATATGGTGATAAGTGAAACAGAATGATTCTTTCTTTTGTATAGATTATATTTTGCTTTTCTTTCAGGGTGTGCAGCTTCAGAAAACATAAAAAATTTTAAAAACCAGTAGTCTTTGTCAGTTGCCATGGTTCTTCTCTTAGACTTTGTTATCGTACTGAATAATAAAATCATGCATTCAGATTTTTATGTCAGTAACTGCTATGGTAGTAGAGATATAAGTATTTTCTGATATATAATCTTTATAGTTAAATGAAGGTTTCTGAGAGTATGGTTTTAAAAATATTAACTTTGTAATCAGCAGGCAGAAAAATCAAATGAACAAATTGTTCTTTGTGATTTTGTCTTATAAATACCTTTTATTGGTTTTTAAAGCTATATAATTGTCCCTTGAAGTGGTTTGAACTTACTGCAAAATAGCTTGGTACTTTGATTTTTTCCTTTGAAAGATTATTGCTAAACATATAAAGTAGAGGAGACAATTCTGACAGTTTTAGATTTGACTTTTGATTGTTTTAGATGACACTTGGTCATAATATTATGGTGCTTGATATATTATTCAAATTGCTTCTTCTTTACCTTTAGGATGGATTTTGCCATTAGTAAACTGAAGAAAGCAGGTAATCAGACTGGACTGTATGTACTTCGATGCAGTCCTAAGGACTTTAATAAATATTTTTTGACTTTTGCTGTCGAGGTTAGTATGTCACACTTATTAGTGGTAACACTTTATTTAGTTCATTTAATTTCCTCTCCATATTTATTTACCATATTTCCTTTTTAATACTGAGAATTATAGCTTTGGATATGATAACTAGTATAATGCTTAATTTCCTCAGAGATTCTGTACAAATAAACAAGTTATAATTCCCAGGGTTTATATAAAAATATAAAATAATTTATAATGTCTATCTTTTTATTTTGCATTTATTTTATTTTCTGATGTTTTGGTGTTACCAGTGTGTTAAAAGGTATTTCATCAAGTGTCTTGATGTTTCTTTGTTTGCAAAACTGGAAATCTTTGCCACATCATGTAGAACAAAATAAATCGGAAGCAAATTTTCTGTTTATTAACAGTGGTTGCAGAATTAGAGGAAACAGAATTAGAGAAAACTAGGTCAATAACAAACAAATAGAAACATTAAAGCACTTTTAACTGATGATTTTCTAATATTTTTAAGAATAGTGGTCTACAATGCATGTTTCAACGGTAAAACTGCAATGAAACCCCACTGTTAATACAGATCATTTTGGATCTCATCTATGATTATATACTATCACTTATGAGGCAATTTCATGGTATAAATCCTAAGAAACTATAGAAGCTTGCAAATTTATCTTGCTTTTTTAAAACAGAGAAAAATAAGAACTTTGTTATTCAATTATTTTAATTTTTATAAAATGCAACTTATATTTGGCATATGTAGAGGGTAGATTACTTACAGAAGGGAGGTTATGCCATCACTTTACCTTTGTGTAAAACTGGTAATCTATCCTAATTTCAAAGTATCCTGTTACTATAACAGATAATAGTACATTATATTCAAGTATGAATTCAAAAAAATATATATATATATTTTATGTTCACTGTATGTGCCAAGCCTAATATGAGAGCTATGTATTATAGAGTTTATGCTACAGCCCTACCTTCAGGAAACTTATCTACTGGACAAACAAAAATTTTCAAATATACAAAAAATTCTAAATCGAACATTGTAATTATCTAGCATAGGCAAATATAGACAGTAACAGACAGGTTTACAATTATTAAGAAAGGGCAGCCAGGTGTGGTGGCTCACACCTGTAATACCAGCACTTTAGGAGGCCAAGGCGGGTGGATCACGAGGTCAAGAGATTGAGACCATCCTGGCCAATGTGGTGAAATGGTGAAACCCTGTCTCTACCAAAATTACAAAAATTAGCTGGGCATGGTGGTGCGCACCTGTAGTCCCAGCTACTCGGGAGGCTGAGGTAGGAGAAGCGCTTGAACCCGGGAGGTGGAGGTTGCAGTGAGTCAAGATTGTGCCACTGCACTCCAGCCTGGCGACAGAGCGAGACACGGTCTCAAAAAAAAACAACAACAAAAAAAAAAAAAAACAAGAAAGGTTATTTGGCATAGGAAGAACCTGATTGACCTTGAGGTATTGGTAGATTTTATATAAATGTTTCTGAGTAGAATGAATATGTTTATAAAATGCACCTTAAAAATAGGTGAACAAGTTCATAATATAGTGCATAAGACAAATATTTAAAAACTGCAAAATATTAAAAATGTAATATTAAAGATAATTATACAAATACAATGGTGGTGCAGTGGAATGGCTGTATGTTCACCTTTGCTTGTGCAAAGAGGTGAGCATTAGAGAGGACCTCTTAGAAACAGTGGTACTTGAACTGAGTTTTGATGAATGAATAAAGGTTCATTGCTCAGAAGAAGTGGGTATACATTCTTAGGTAGAAAGATAGCATGAAGAATTATCAAGGCATGAAGCAGCATGGCATTTGCTTGAAATGATTTAAGTCATTTAATATGGCTGGAACGTAGGTTGTATGTTGGCAGTGGCAGGAGCTGAGATTGGAGATGGAGGCAGAAACCAGCTCATGGAAGGCTCTATATGCTACATTTGTTTTAGGCTTTATCTTATAAATGATGGAAAACTATTAAGGATGGTATTGTTGCTATTAATTATCATTGCCTTCTTACATGCTTTTTCATAAAATCAACTTTTAAACCACTTTTGTAGGCTGAGAAATTGTAAATTGCCCTTTTGAGGAACTAAGTACTTCTATCACTATACTGGCACTACATCGGATTCATGGTTCAAATGTTTATTCTGTTGCTTGTTCTTGTGATATCATTTTGTCAGAATAATCACTGTGATGTCCATTGTGACTATCCCTCCCTTTCTTTATAATTAAACTTATACAGCGAGAAAATGTCATTGAATATAAACACTGTTTGATTACAAAAAATGAGAATGAAGAGTACAACCTCAGTGGGACAAAGAAGAACTTCAGCAGTCTTAAAGATCTTTTGAATTGTTACCAGATGGAAACTGTTCGCTCAGACAATATAATTTTCCAGTTTACTAAATGCTGTCCCCCAAAGCCAAAAGGTAAGATAATTTTCTAGTTATTTTTAAATTACTGGTCATGGATTGTTTATGTGGCGTGAAGTATCTTCAGTACATTGATTTCAAAGGATATATGAAAGAAGCAGCTCTAAAAGTTAATTTTATCTTATTCTATTGTACAAGCATCATCAAATAAGATTGTTTACTTTGGTTTTGGTGGTCTAGAAGTGACTTGAAGTTCAATTATTCTAAAATGAGATTTTAAACATAATGTGTGGTATGATGTCATTTATTGAACTGGAAGATCTCACTACTAAATTCTTATGTTGTTTTAAGTAAAAATTTTCATATACTTCGAGGATTTTAATTTCTGTATTTTAAAAATAAAGACAGTAAAGTTGGAAATTCCTTGAAATAATGAGCCTTACTATTAAAAATTATTAAAATTCCTGAAAAATTGTATGAGTTAAGGAAGTTACTATAATTTTGAATTAATGAAATAACTGGCAGGAATACATCAAAATCCAAATTACATTAGTTAAGGAAGTGATTATAATTTTGAATGTATGAAGTAACTAAGAAGAAATATCAAAGTTCAATGAGTTGACCCCTAAAATAATTTTCTATTATAAAAAAAGAACAATTAGGAGTTATTAAGCATTTCTTATACGTAGAACACATTTCATTTTACTCCTCTTTGGAGCAATTCATACTTTCAGTGTATTTTGAAGTGATATATATGTATTTTATTTTTTCAGATAAATCAAACCTTCTAGTCTTCAGAACGAATGGTGTTTCTGATGTACCAACCTCACCAACATTACAGAGGCCTACTCATATGAACCAAATGGTGTTTCACAAAATCAGAAATGAAGATTTGATATTTGTAAGTCATTAGATACTCATTACTGTCTTTTTTGTCCTTTTAAAACAACATCTGTTTTCTTGATTTACATTCATGTGACATTGGAATTATTTTGTTATATACAAATTTAGTTGTGATTTAAATATTTTTCTTATGAAAAATATGCCAACCTTGTGTTAGATGTTAGCAAAATTAATTATCTTAATTATCCTAAGAATGGAATCTTAATTTTCTTTTTGGAAATTTAAAAATGATTCTTCACAAATCTCAAATTAAAAATTAAAAATCTACAAAGACCTATATCGCAACTCCCAAGTTCTCAAGAAAGTAAGGGAAATTCAAGGGGTTAAAAATAAAGAAGAAACTGAGAAAAAAATCCAGCCATCTCTCAGTGTCCATGAGGGATTGGTTCCAGGACTACCCATGGATACCAAAATCTGAGGATACTTAAGTGGAACCTGTGGATATGAAAAGTTGGCCCTCTATATACATGGGTTTTGCATCCTATGAACACTGTATTTCTTTTTTTAAATAACTAATTATTTTTTAAAATTATTTATTTATTTATTAGAGCAGGACTTGCTGTGTCACCCAGGCTGGAATGCAGAAATACTATATTTTCCAACTGAGTTTCCTTGCAGATGCAGAACCCGCCCTGCCAGTACAGAGGGCCCACTGGATTTATTGAAAAAAACCCACATATAAATGGACCTGTGCAGTCCAAACCCATGCTGTTCAAGGGTCAACTGTAGTACATAAGATCTGATAATCTGGCAGTCAGGTGGTGAGGGTTGATGATCAGCCACATTTATCAAGGGGGTTAAGATTTAAGAGCAATTTAAAAGGGCCAGGTCTCAGACCTGTGCAAGGCCACGAGTTAAAAGTGAGACTATCCCTGAGTAAAACCAGGACACTTAAGTAAATACATCCTCAGTAAAACAATATATAGAATGTGAAAAATTCACCCACTAGCAAGCAGAGAAGAAAAGGAATATTGTCATTTTTAACTGCGCTTCTGGTGAGGAAAAGGAGTCTCTCCTAAGAATTTGTCATCATAAGCTTTGGAATTTGGGCTTCATTATACTACCTACATAGACTGAGAAATCCTAAATTAAAAGTGGTACTCTCCTAATATTGTGTGGTGCTTGGAAGAAACAAAAAAATCTTTTCGGAACCACATACTCTTAACCTAGGCAACCCATAATTCCCACAGATAAAAGCATTGCAAACACAAGCTTTTAATAGAAAATTTAGAAACATACAAGGAAATAATGCAGGATTAATTAAGAGTCAGTAGACCAACAAACATCAAAATTAGAACTCCAGGAACTTCCTATCACAGAATTTTCAGATACAGACTATAAAATACATATACATGTTTAAAGATAGAAAAGGAATTGAAACCACGGAGAAATAACAAGACATTGTTTTAACAAACAAAAAAGATGTCAGGAAAAAGGCATAGAAATGATAAATATCCTCATTGACATTAAAACAGAATATACAGGATGAAAAGTAAATTACTTATAGCTGAAGAGAGATGTAGTGAACCTCAAGACAGATCTGAAGAAATTAAGAATGCAGCAGTTAGGGAGAAAGAAATGGATTATATGAAAGAGGGATTAAGTGGCATGGAAGGCAAAATGAGAAAGACCCAACTCATATCTGAGCTCTATAAGGAGACAATAGATAGAATTAGCCAGAATGGTAAAGACAAGCATCTTCATGTGAGTAACAGGAAACAGAGTGGCCAGGTAACTTGACTAACATTACAAATCTAATAAATAGTAGACCTTGGATTTGAACACAAGCAGCCTTACTGCAGAGTGCAGGCTTTCAACAATTACTTTGTAAAGATATGCAAGAAATACTAGTATTAGTAGTAATAGCTGATACTTAATGCACATTTACTATGTGTCATGGACTGTGCTAAGTGCTTTTATGTATTTATTCACTTATTGATCATAACAATCCTATGGGAAAATAGTTATTATTCTCATTTTTCAGATGAAGAAACCACGACAGCTGCAGCACAGAGATTAAATAGCCTGTACAAGGTCATACAAGTGGTAATAAGAGAAAGTCAGATATTCTGCCTCTGCAGACCACATTCTCTAGTGTGCTAGTAGGAAAGGCAAAGAAAATGATTCCCATGTAAGCAAATGTAGGTAAACACTGACTCTATTTTTAAAAAGTGACAATTATAGCCCATTCAGGAGATTTCAAAACCGAGTAGAGCCAAAATACACTTAATTCATTAATCCTTGTTTTCTGTCTCTTATTACTATTTAAGGAAGCAGAATAAAAGCATTAATTTGGAGTCTTAAATCTGGATTTAGATTCTAAGGAAAATACTTGCTTATGGATTTAAAAAAATTCTTCCTCATTGAATGTATTTTCTTGTTCCTACTTCGTTCTCCATCTTTACTCATTCTTTTCTTTTACCTTTTTCTCTTGAAGAATGAAAGCCTTGGCCAAGGCACTTTTACAAAGATTTTTAAAGGCGTACGAAGAGAAGTAGGAGACTACGGTCAACTGCATGAAACAGAAGTTCTTTTAAAAGTTCTGGATAAAGCACACAGAAACTATTCAGAGGTGTGTATGTTCTTTATATTGTTCATGTAGTTTATGCTGTTTAAAGATGTGCTCTCATATGCATACAACGTACTCATGTGTGCAGCTTTTCAAAATTGTAATTTTTAAATGTGTCAAGGACTTTTCTGAGGATACATTCTTGTGGGGCTATAGAATTACAGGGTTTGAAAATTACCGGATTAAAAAAATTAATTCCAAACTAATTATGTTTAGCATTATGTTAGGAGTGTTATTACATTTCTGCATATACTGTGGCCTTGATTTTCAAACTTGGCTCCCCAGAGCTTTATGGGTTACACAGAGGCTCCTCTACAATTACATTTATTTGAAAAAAAAACAAAAAACCAAGTTTCAAAGGCACTGTACTAAGGAACATGCTTAGTGAAATCTAGATGCCTCTGGGCATCATCCAGAGATGCTAGCTGGCAGACCCCGTGGCCAGTTGCCAGAGCTCTGAACATAGCAAGATATGATACTTACAATATCTTAAAGGGTGTTGGTGTTAGAAGATGATGTGAAAAGTTCAAGCCAAAGAGTTGTTCTAATCCAGAATACCACAGTATTGGTGATTGTGATTCACTAATCATACCCAGGGGTTCTAGTCACAGTTTAGTTGAATTAGAGTGATGTTAAAACTATGCTAGTATCCTGACACAGATGTCGTGATATTTTATCTGCACATTCTTAATTCTTTAGCAAGTGTTATTTAAAGGCTACATCCATCTACCTCAGTTTCCTATATCTATCTCTGACATCTACCTCTAGTTGTACTTCTGTCCTCTATTTCAGGTGTTATGGGTCAAGCCTGTTTGACTGGCATTATTCATGATTCCTGTACCACTCTTGCTCTCTCTCACTTTGATCTCCATATTCCAGGCTTACACAGGGGTTTCCTCAGAACGTTGATGGCAGTTGCAGGTCCATATAAAGGGACCAAAGCACATTGTATCCTCATCTATAGTCATGCTGAAAGTAGGAGAAAGTGCATCTTTATTATGGCAGAGAGAATTTTCTGAACTATTTATGGACAACAGTCAAACAACAATTCTTTGTACTTTTTTTTTTCCTTAGTCTTTCTTTGAAGCAGCAAGTATGATGAGCAAGCTTTCTCACAAGCATTTGGTTTTAAATTATGGAGTATGTGTCTGTGGAGACGAGAGTAAGTAAAACTACAGGCTTTCTAATGCCTTTCTCAGAGCATCTGTTTTTGTTTATATAGAAAATTCAGTTTCAGGATCACAGCTAGGTGTCAGTGTAAACTATAATTTAACAGGAGTTAAGTATTTTTGAAACTGAAAACACTGTAGGACTATTCAGTTATATCTTGTGAAAAAGGAAAGCAATGAAGTTAAAAGTAGAAGGTTACAATGCCCAAACAATAGAGTATTATAGTAAACAAATGTCTATAAAACATTTTGTGTTCATGATAGCAAAAGAGATTATGGCAGGTTCAACATAACATTGGAATAACTGGCCTTTTCAGTACAAACTTATCTGGAATTATGAAGACAAAGCATATAAATGATACACTTAATTTTTAATGGAACTGACAGAAATGATTATGTTGATATGATACTAGATATATTTTTTGGCTAAATTTAGGTGTTCACAGAAACTACTAAAAGTATAAATCGTACCCCATGCTTTAATACTATACAGGCATGCCTCATTTTATTGCACCTTGCTTTATTGTGCTTCTTAGATATTGTATTTTTTACATATTGAAGGTTTACGGCAACCCAGTGTCTAGCAACTCTGTCAGCAACATTTTCCCAACAGCATGTGCTCATTTCATGTCTCTGTGTCATATTTTGGTAATTCTAGCAACATTTCAAACTTTAAAAAAATCATATGGTGATCTGTGATCAGTAATCTTTAATGCTAGTATTGTAATTATTCTGGGGTGTCCCAAACAGAGAGAATATAAGAAGGCAAACTTCATAGATGAATGCAGTGTGTGCTCTGACTGCTCCATCAATGAGCCATTCCTCTGTCTCTCTCCCTCTCCTGGGGCCTCCCTATTCCCTGAGACAACAATATTAAAATTAGGCCATTTAATAATCACACAATGGTCTTTAAATGTTCAAGTGAAAGGAAGATTCACCCGTCTCTCACTTTAAATGGAAAGCTAGAAATGAAGCAGCAAACGCTGATGTGGAAGCTGCAGCAGTTATCCAGAAGATCTAGCAAAGACCATTGATGAAGATGGCTTAGAGAGGAAGGCATGCTGAAAGCCAAGACAAGCTGAAAGCTAGGCCTCTTGCACTAAAAAGGCAAGTTATGAATCCAAAGGAAAAGTCCTTGAAGGAAACTGAAAGTGCTACTCCTGTGAGCACATAAATTACAAGAAAGTGAAACAGTCTTATTGATGATACAGAGAAAGTTCTAGATAGAAGATCAAACCAGTCACAACATTCCCTTGAGCCAAAGCCCAATCTAGAGCAAGATCTTAATGCTCTTAAATTCTATGAAGGCTGAGAGAGGTGAGGAAGCTGCAGAAGAAAAGTTGGAAGCTAGCAGAGGTTGGTTCATGAGGTTTAAGAAAAGAAGCCATGTGCACAGCATAAGTGCAAGGTGAAGCAGCAAATGCTGATGTGGAAGCTACAGCAAGTTATCCAGAAGATCTAGCAAGGACCATTGATGAAGATGGTGACACTAACAAACAGATTTTCAAATGTAAACAAAACAGCCTTCTGTTGGAAGAATATGCCATCTAGGACTTCCACAGCTAGAGAGGAGAAGTCAGTGCTTGCCTTCAAAGCTTCGAAGGACAGGCTGACCCTCTTGCTAAGGGCCAATGCCATTGGTGATTTGAAATTCAAACCAGCGCTCATTTACCATTCCAAAAATCCCAGGGCTCTGCGAATTATGCTAAGTCTACTCTGCCTGTGCTCTATACATGGAACAAGAAAGCCTAGATGACAGCACATCTGTTTATAGCATGGTTTATTGACTATTTTAAGCCCATTGTTGAGACCTGCTCAGAAAAAAAGATTGCTTTCAAAGTATTACTGATCATTGACAATGCACCTGGTCACCCAAGAGCTCTGATGGAGATGTACAAGGATATTCATGTTATTTTCAGGCCTGGTGACACAACATCCATTCTGTAGCCCATGGATCAAGGAGTTATTTCAACTTTCAAGTCTTATTATCTAAGAAATACATTTTGTAAGGCTAAGCTGCCATAGATAGTGATTCCTCTGGTGGATCTGGGTAAAGTAAGTAGAAAAACTTATGGAAAGGATTCACCATTCTAGATGCCAGGAATAGCATTCATGGTTCATGGAAGGAGATCAAAATGGCAGCATTAATAGGAATTTGGAAAAAGTTCATTCTAACCCTCCTGGATGACTTTGAGGGATATGGTACTTTAATGAAGGAAGTCACTGCAGAGATGGTGGAAACAGAGAACTAAGAAGTGGAGCTTGAAGATGTGACTCAATTGCTACAATCTCACGATAAGCCCTGAAAGAAGGAGGAGTTGCTTCTTATGGATAAGCAGAGAAAGTGGTTTCTTAAGATGGAATCTACTCCTAGTGATGATGCTGTGAACATTGTGAAATGACAACAAAGGGTTTGGAATTTTACATAAACTTGATTGATCAAGCAGTTGCAGGGTTTGAGAGGACTGACCCTGTAAAGTTCTACTGTGGGTAGAAGGCTATCAAACAGCATTGCATGCTACAGAGAAATCTTTCATGAAAGGAAGAGTCTGCAGTGAATTTCATTGTTGTCTTATTTTAAGAAACTGCCACAGCTACCTGAACTTTAAGCAGCCACCACCATGATCAGTCAGCAGCGATTAACATCAAGCAAAAAGATTACAACTTTCTGAAGGCTCAGATTATCATTAGCACCTTTTTTGGCAATAAAGTATTTTTAAAAAGATATATTCTTTGTTTTTTTTAAGATATAACGCTGTTGCACACTAAATAGACTCCATTATAGTGTATATACAAGTTTTATATGCATTGGGATACCAAGAAATTCATGACTTGCTTTATTATGGTAGTCTAAAACCAAACTGGTAATATCTTCGAGGTATGCCTTTATTTTAGTGCCTCACAAAGTTTACATTCAAGAAAATTGTTTATATAATTCCCTATTTTCCACTAGTAATGCAGATTAAATACACATCTACACTTGTATGACATTTTTTCATATCTTTGAAAATTGATAATCTTCTCAAAAGCAGTGGTTTGGAACCTGTTATATGGAGGTATCTGAGAGGCTCCTGTGGACCATGAAGGAATCCAGGATTGTTTTTGGAAGCCAACACTTGTTTTTCTGGCAAAATATGTTTTATATATTTTTTTAAAAAAGTTTTAAAGATAAAGCAGCGCAAAACATTTCTGTATTTTTTGCAGAATTAAAAGATTAAATGGAGCTAGAACTCAAATTCTCCTTTATGTCTATAGTACTATAGACAATTGTTAGTAATTTTTGTGTGTAGAAGAACTTCAGGAAGGTTTGAATGTCTAAAAAGTTATGTGGAAGAGAAATTGAGAAATTTTCATTTATTTTTAAAAACCAGCCATAATTCAGTACTAATATATAAAGGTGTGCTGGTATATTATATATTATACATTTATGTTATATATAATAATATATAATTGTTTAGACTCCTACTCTTGCTGTTGTAAGTAAACTAAAAACCAAAAATATAATGCTGTGTATCCATTAAGTTTTCTTTAAAGTTGTGAGTTTTGCCAATTTAATTTCTTTACCTATAATGGTCACATGTAAGTATAAAGATTTAAATTACATATATTTAATTATATTTATACTTAAGCCTTATTATTATTACTTATATTTTAATGCAGATATTCTGGTTCAGGAGTTTGTAAAATTTGGATCACTAGATACATATCTGAAAAAGAATAAAAATTGTATAAATATATTATGGAAACTTGAAGTTGCTAAACAGTTGGCATGGGCCATGCATTTTCTAGTAAGTAGTACAACCTTTTTATCAAAAGATACTATTTTATTTTATAAAACAATATACAAATTATCTTTACCTGGAAACAAAAAATAAATCTGTAATTGGATGCCAATTCATGTAAAATAGTCTGTGTTAGGTGATAAAAAGAGATTACTTTAGGCATATGTTTATGTATGTAAAATCACTTTTGAAAAAAAAGTTTTGTCATCCCATCAATATCTTAGAACTACTAATAGACAATCTGTATGTTGTGTCTTTTGGATTTAGAAAATTCAACCAAAAATTATGCAGAAGTATGTGCTTCTGTATTTTTGGGCCATTGTACATTATGGTCCATGAGAAAGCGGTGTTGACAGAGAAGAATACCAGGGGGACTGCCAGTCATCAGACCCCTCAGGGTGCACCTATGTCCTGCTGCAGAACTGAAGTAGTATTTCTTAATGTCAGCTCCCATCCAGAAACACAAACCATGTCAGCCTTAGAACTCATGTGAAATGGCATTGGTAGTTTTAATTTATTCATTTCATCACAAGCATAGATTATTGTGTTATTTAAAATGTAAAACAGGAAGCATAGGAGTCATAAATTTCCTTTTTTCTCAATGCATGCCTCCAAATTATTATACTATCATGTATTTTTCTTCTTTAAATCTGTTTTGGGGGCTTGAACATACTAAATGCTCCAGTACTTGTGGACTGATATTTGAATATATGTGCGTTTAACTCTAATAGGAAGAAAACACCCTTATTCATGGGAATGTATGTGCCAAAAATATTCTGCTTATCAGAGAAGAAGACAGGAAGACAGGAAATCCTCCTTTCATCAAACTTAGTGATCCTGGCATTAGTATTACAGTTTTGCCAAAGGACAGTAAGTTCTAGAAGGATTATATATAATGTTACTAAGCTTTACTTGGGCAGTGGTGTAAAGGGCATGTTGTTAATTTTCCTTGAATTCCATTTAATTTGTATGTTCCTGATTAATAATAAAATTATCACTTTTAGCAATTTAAATTGTTAGTTAAATCTTAGTCTCTATTTTTCTTTCTTATAAGCATATAACCATGGACTGTGAGGTGATTTTTTAAAAACAGTTTTAATCTCTAATTATGTATGAAGGATAGGATTTTATCCATTTTTAGTATGAAGTTTTGTAATATTCCTTGAGCCACAAGTAAATTTTCTAAATATTCTTTTCTTCTCGTCACTAAATAAAAATTTAGCCTGAGATTTTAGGATTTTTTTCTATCCTCTGTGAAGAAATTAGTTTAATTATCCAGCTAATTCTGACTTTTTAAAACCTTAAAAAAACTTTGATTTGTGTTTGTTCATCTTTACTACTTAACACAGTGGGTTAAAAATACAAATTTCAGTCAGATAGTTGAGAGGGGTTTTTTGGGTCTAGATAATTATAACTGAATTTTGTTATCTTAGATAATTTCTCTAATTGGATGTTCTAAATTTAGATTCTAAATTGATCAATTTTTGTGCACTGATGTGTCCTATTTAAGCTAATAGTACTTAAACTTAATGACTTATCTGACAGTGAAGACAGTGATAACTGGGCAGTAGTACAGGAGTAGGGAGTATGGCAGAAAATTCTTACAGGGTCTTACATCTGGTATCCTGGAAAATTTTATCCTTTGGAATCGGAAGTGAAGATGGAAAAAAATGTATTCATATGGTGAAGGTATTTGTCAATCAATCTATTTGTCTGTCTGTCTATGTCAGAATACCAGAAAGTAGGGTTATATTGCTTCTTCCTTTCTTGAATACAGTCCTTCTGGTGGAATCAAAGACCACAGAAACTTTACTTGAGAAATTCCGTGATTTGAGCAGAGCCCACCTATATCAATTCCATATATCTAGAATATTTTGGTGCAATTTAGCCTTCCATCTGCCATAAATGCTTGTTGGTCCTTGGGTTTTTTTTTTTATCTGCAAGTGGGAATTGCCATGGCTATTAAATCATTAGAACATCTCTGAATGATGTAACATTACCTTTACTACTTACGCATTATGAAGAAATACCAAAAAGTATCATGGGGCAATTTTAGGATAAACTATATAAAAAAAAAAGATTTGGCCAGGTGCAGTGGCTCATGCCTGTAATTCCAATGCTTTGGGAGGCTGATTGCTTCCTAAAGCGCTTGGGTGGATCACTTAAGCCCAAGAGGTCAAAGCATAGTGAGCTGCAATCGTGCCATTGCACTCTAGCCTGAGTGACACAGTGACACCCTGTCTCAAAAAAAAAATTTTTTTTTTTTGAAGGTAAAACTAATGGAAAGAGGTTGAGAAAATGGTATGCCAGTTGAGACACTATGGTTTAATGGAAAGATTAGTTGATTCAGAACTCACTGTACAGGATTCTAATTCTGTCTCTGCTGCTAACAAATTGTGTGGCTTTGGGCAGATTACTCAATCATATGTCTCCATGTTGTCATTGTTAAAGATGAAATATTGAATTAGATGATCTTGAAGGTCCCTTCTGGTTCTTAAGCTTATGCAGTCATGTGCATGTGCACATCCAACCCCTCCAAAATAAAGAAAATAGGCCTGATTATTCAAATGATTTGAACTTTAAAGCTATTTACATATAAAAGATTGGTTTACTTGTGAATTATTTAACCCTACTCTGTTCGTATCATTTAAAAGTTCTTCAGGAGAGAATACCATGGGTACCACCTGAATGCATTGAAAATCCTAAAAATTTAAATTTGGCAACAGACAAATGGAGTTTTGGTACCACTTTGTGGGAAATCTGCAGTGGAGGAGATAAACCTCTAAGTGCTCTGGATTCTCAAAGAGTAAGTTTATATAGACTAAGTTAGAATTACTCTATCTCTGAACTTTCATATTTCTTTCACATGATTTGTATTTTTTAGCCCATCTAATTTTAAAAAGAAGGTTGGTGTGGCATTACACAATTTATTCTCAGTTTGTGGTTCTTTAATTATAGAAGCTACAATTTTATGAAGATAGGCATCAGCTTCCTGCACCAAAGTGGGCAGAATTAGCAAACCTTATAAATAATTGTATGGATTATGAACCAGATTTCAGGCCTTCTTTCAGAGCCATCATACGAGATCTTAACAGTTTGTTTACTCCAGGTATGTATTTGAATGATCTTATTGATTTTCCAGCTTTCTATCTTTATTGTATTTAATGAATCATTACTAATTTTTAATTCCTTTAAAACATTTTCTTGATGTCATTTGGGCCCTCTTAATTTCTTATGTTCATATGGCTTTTCATGCTTTATACATATTCTAATCTCCTTGACTGAGAATTATTTTCATTTTTATAAAAAGACCTTTTCTTTTTTTTTTTTTTTTTTTTTGAGATGGAGTCTTACTCTGTCGCCCAGGCTGGAGTGCAGTGGCGCGATCTCGGCTCACTGCAAGCTCCACCTCCAAGGTTCACGCCATTCTCCTGCCTCAGCCTCCTGAGTAGCTGGGACTACAGGCGCCCGCCACCACACCCGGCTAATTTTTTGTATTTTTAGTAGAGACGGGGTTTCACCGTGTTAGCCAGGATGGTCTCGATCTCCTGATCTTGTGATCCGCCCGCCTCGGCCTCCCAAAGTGCTGGGATTACAGGCTTGAGCCACCGCTCCCAGCCAAAAAGACCTTTTCTTTCAGTAACCTAATTTTAGTTTTCCATTTAGTGAGTTGTAAATTATAGTATTTTTTTTTTGCTTAAATTGACTTTTAAAAAACAATTCTCTTTAACATTTCTCATATTTTATAATTGATTGATTCTCTAAACATGAGCTGTATTTGTTTTGCTTTGTTCTCTCCTTTTTCAAAATACTGAGCTGAAATGCATGTGTTTGACCTATAGGTGCTTTCTACCCCAGTACTACTCACCTTTCTCACAATAAGTATCAGTATATTACCTTACTTTATGAATACTAAAACTTCTTATTTTGGAAAACAAAATTTTATCCTTTGCAAAGTCTCTCTTGAAGGCCTGTCAGATTATGGGTAATGATTAAAGGCTCCCATTAATATAATTGAAACTATTTGAGTTTCCCTGTATCATTTAGTATTTTTAACTCACGATTATTTTGGTCAACTTGAATGTATATCAGTTTAGTCCAGAGAATGTTATTTGCTAATTTAAGGTGATAATATTCTTTATTTCTCCAGATTATGAACTATTAACAGAAAATGACATGTTACCAAATATGAGGATAGGTGCCCTGGGGTTTTCTGGTGCCTTTGAAGACCGGGATCCTACACAGTTTGAAGAGAGACATTTGAAATTTCTACAGCAACTTGGCAAGGTAAATTGTCAGAATTTTTTCAAATAGAGTATAATCATTTCATTTAGGAAAAACTTAAGAGCGTTTCTAAAGTTCACTTTCTACAACATTTTAAGGAGTGCTTGTAGAAAAAAAAGGTTTGGTTGTCAGATGTTGGAGAAATGCTGTGTTAAATAAACAGCTATCTTTACTGAATGAAGGGGGCCAGCCCCTCCACACCTGTGGGTAATTCTCGTCAGGTGGGACCAGAGACTGAGAAAAGAAAGAAGACACAGAGACAAAAGTATAGAGAAAGAAAAGTGGGCCCAGGGGACCAGTGCTCAGCATATGGAGGACCCGCACCAACACTGGTCTCTGAGTTTCCTCAGTATTTATTACTGTTTTCACTATCTCAGCAAGAGGAATGCGGCAGGAGAGCAGGGTGATAGTGGGGAGAAGGTCAGCAAGAAAACATGTGAGGAAAGGAATCTGTGTCACAAATAAGTTCAAGGGAAGGTACTATGCCTGGATGTGCACATAGGCCAGATTTATGCTTCTCTCCACCCAAACATCTCAGTGGAGTAAAGAATAATAAAGCAGCATTGCTGCCAACATGTCTCGCCTCCCGCCACAGGGCAGTTTTTCTCCTATCTCAGAAATGAACAAATGTATAATTGGGTTTTATACCGAGGCATTCAGTTCCCAGGGGCAGGCAGGAGACAGTGGCCTTCCTCTTTTACTAATCCTCCCCAGCACAGACCCTTCACGGATGTTGGGCTGGGGGACGGTCAGGTCTTTCCCATCCCACGAGGCCATATTTCAGACTATCACATGGGGAGAAACCTTGGACATTACCCGGCTTTCCAGGGCAGAGGTCCCTGCGGCTTTCCGCAGTGCATTGTGTCCCTGGTTTATTGAGACTGGAGAATGGCGATGACTTTTACCAAGCATACTGCCTGTACACATTTTGTTAACAAGGCACATCCTACACAGCCCTAGCCTTAAACCTTGATTCCATACAACACATATTTTTGTGAGCTTCAGGTTGGGGCAAAGTTACAGATTAACAGCATCTCAGGGCAAAGCAATTGTTCAGGGTACAGATCAAAATGGAATTTCTTATGTCTTCCTTTTCTACATAGACACAGTAACACACTGATCTCTCTTTCTTTTCCCTATAACTGAAGAACTTTTCAGAGGCTTTAACATGTAATGTGCATGAACATCTTCAAGAGGAAGATGAATTAGGCAGTATTATTCAAATTGACTTGACCAAGAGACTGTTCCTTGGTAGCAGGAGTTCATTGTTAAGTGATTCAGTGAAATACAGAAAGGAATACATAAGCTTTTCTGCCTGCCTTTCTGCCTTTAGTTATCTCAGGGAGAATTAATCTTATTGCTTAGGGTCTAGGATTTTGACTGTGCCATATTCACTAGCAGAGACTCTGTCTATTAAAACGTCACACAGTCATGTATAACCTACATATTATAAGTAAGACCAGGGAATGCTCAGTTCTTAGTAGGTCCAACCATAGTGGTAAGCTCTTTCTCGCATAAGCTTGCTAGGATAAGGTTCTCACTAGTAAGTACCATGTTAGTGTTGTCTGTTATTATCAGCTATTCCTAAATTCATATTTTCCTGAAATATCTCCAGATGTCATTGATTTTCCTCTTTTCTGGGAACTTATAGCATTTATTGTTTCTTTTATACAACTTAATCACAGTCTTCTGTTGTTTATTAGATCTTGGTTTTTGTTTGCTTGCCCTTTTTTTCCTTGACTTAAAAAAAGTTCCTTTAGATCCCAATAGATTACTAGGCACACAATTTTGTCATATATTGTCAAAACAATGGAATATATACTGGTATTTAAGAAGTAGACATAACAAAGAATACATCAAAAGATCACTAATTTAGATTAACAAAAGGGAAACAGCAGACTAAATTATAAAGTTATCTTTTCAAGTAATTTTTCTAGTTATGAAAGTGATATACTGCTTATAGAGAAATTGGAAAATATTACAATGAAGATACGTTCCATTTGTTGTAGTCTCTGCACAACTACACAATTTCTTTCAATAGTGAAACCATTCTATATATACAATTCTATATCTTGCTATTTTTCATATATCAAGATTTTCCCATTATTAATATTCTTTTGAGACATAATTTTAAGTGAATATACCATAATTTATTTACAACATTCCCCTTTATTGTAATTTTGAGTTAATGTTCTTTTGCTTTTTAACATTTTTAGTGTTTTCCATAGTTCCGTGAGCTTAAAATTCTTTTAAACATAAGTAAATTGAAGAGACTCTAAGGAAGGCGTTTTCAAAATACATGTACAATGAAATATATTTCTTAGTAATTTAGTTTGTAGGAAATGAAAGGTAAATGGTGTAATCATTAGTCAGTCATAGATATTTTAATGTGGATATTTCCTATCTGTATTTAACACCATAATTTTACTTTCATCTTTGTTTGTTTGAAGTAATTGATGTGTTCAGTGGTTTGTCTAGATATTTGTACTGCCTTACTGAAACAATCAAAATGCCATTCCTACAAAAATGATTGCATGTCACCTTTCCATTTTATAAAAATTAGCTACTGTATCCCTTTGTTATCCTTTTCAATTAGTGGTATGGTGAAAATATTCCAAAGAGGGATATATATTTAAAATTATTTTCATATGTTTTAAGCCAAGAGAAATAATGGTATATTTTTTTATTTTTTAAAAAATATTTTCATACTGTTGTAAAAGGAGCCAAGAAACTATTGTGAAATCTTTTCTTTTGCTATTTGAAATCTAGAGTGTTTTTTGCTTTCTTCCTTTATCCTCATGCCCACATATACTTATATTCTTTTTTAAATTAATTTTAACATGGATTATTTGTGTAATAGCCTTACATGTGGATATTAACAGTGTAAACAGTACCACATATAACCATCAAGACACCTCAATTAGAATTTATAGGACTAGAATGACAGATTCAGATGGTTTAATTACATTTAAAAAGTTTTCTGAAAAAACTTTTGCAATAAAACAAATTGCCCATCAATAAGTTTGATATCTTTTAAAATGATTTTTGGTTATCTGCACATGAAGCAAACAAAGTGTATTCCACAAAATTCTTAGGCACAGTCTGAGATAGCTGCCAGAAAGAACAGAAAGAGTTGTCATTTATGTCTTGTGAGTACAATTTCTGAAAGTTGAATGAGGGCGTCTCTTTCTGGGGATGAGAAGTTTACTGCTCTCTCTTATTGCTTCATGGCAGTACTGCTGGGCAAGGTAGGTTGTTTGTTTTACACCATCACTCTGTAATACATACTGTGGAGCTCTGTCTACATCTCCCGGCAAACTGAACCATCTCATGATCATAGCATTCATTTCTGGGAACTGCTGACAGGCAAATAGGACAGGACCAGTGGCTAACCTGAGATTCACATCAGCTGATGTTGGTTTGCCTATGTTAGAACATGAGGTGAAGTCGAATACATCATCTATTAGCTGAAAAGCTATTCCTACATTTTTTCCGTACTGATAGGTGATCTCATGCACCACTGGGTCGGGGCATCCTAGAACAGAGACTGCTTTACAACTGTTGGCTATCAGGCTCGCAGTATTCTTGAAGGTCTTTTCAAGGTATTGTGCAAATCTCTCATGCTCATTTTCTTTTGACCCGAGCTGAAGAAATTCACCACACACCAAATCTTCAATAACTCGGGTTAAAATAGATATAACAGCTGTATTTCCAGTTTGTGCCCCACCTATAGATACTACAGAAAGAATTAAATCTCCAGCAAGGACAGCCTTCTTTTCACCCCAGATCTTGTGTGTTTTCCTTTTCGAGAACGTGCATTATCAATAACGTCATCGTGAACAAGACTAGCAGTGTGGATCATTTCTGCAATTAAGGCTGTGGCGCGCTGGCTAGCTTGCACATGTCGGGAGTTATTATGATGAATATTACATGCTCGGGCCATTAGTACCACAATAATTGATCGAAAGGCTTTTCCTTTTACATCAAAGTAGTACTCAGAGATTTCCTTAAGTTCTGTTGTTGATATGAGCGGTTCCTTTCTAATACCCTCATACAGACCTTTCAAGTCTCTCCAACCGAGTTTGAAAGGATCGGTGTATTTCTCACCACTGTGTGTTTTGCTGTACGGGGTTGTGTGATGAAACTGTGATATACTATATACATTTGGACAGGCAGGTGTTAAATGCTTCACAAGATTAAAATAGGGTATCTGAGACAAGTCAAGTCCCTTCTGCCTATGAGCCTGCGCGGGCATCGGCAGCGGCGCGCGGCCCCGGCGGCCCCGCAAGGCTCGGGGAGCGGTCTCCACGCCGCCGGTCTCCAGCAACAGCCGCGCCGCCCCCGCCACCAGCGCGAGGCCACGGTCGGAGTCTGAAAGTCGCGGTAGGATGGTGGCTCCGCCTCTGGCCCGCGATCCTCCTGCCAGGACCTGGAGCCTGAAACCTCTTATATTCTTTATATCCTTTACCTTCTCGCTTCACTCCTAGCGGTTTTGAAATCCTCTTTATTCCTTTTTCCTCCATGGTGCAGATATGGGATTCAGAGATCAGGATCTTAGTGCGACTACTTTGAAATTATCAGCATCATTCTCAATCTTCTCTGAATATGATTCTTATTTTCCTCTCTTCCCATCATTAGCTAACATCTTGGTCCACATTCCTTGAATACTTTTAGTACTCATTGTTTTCTCATCACCTTACCTCCTGCCATTATTTTGGATGCCCTTCCAATACTTAAAAAAAAAATTCCTTGGCTTCTCTACCCCAAAGTTATGATTATGTTAAATGAGTTCCTTTGAACTCTATAATCCCATGTAATAACCTTACTTAGAAAATTTCCTACCCTGAAATCTCCCTGTCTGACTATAACTTTATAGCCTTTGGCTTTTTTCAACATAAATGCCTTCTTTTTGATATCTTTGGTATTGCTAGTGTCTTTCACACTTTCTTCTTATTGGAACGTAAATTGGTGACCCTTTCTAGAGAGCTTCTCATAGAGCAGTTTGTATCAAGCGCGTTTAAATGTTCATATCTTTTAAACTACTTTCGCTGGTATCCACAATTATATCACCCCCCCTTCCCTTGATTATCTGCTTCACTTTCCCTATTATTTCCTAGTACGGGAACAATACAACTTAGCATTTTTAAATTGTGCTTCCATCCCTCAAACACTAAAAGAAAAAAATCAGATATAAATCTTTATTGTTTTCATTGAAAATTGGTTTCCAACATTGGTTAGGCACTTATGACTCTTACTGGTTGTATTAGTCTGTTCTCACGCTGCAAATAAAGACATACCCGAGACTGGGTAATTTATAAAGGAAAGAGGTTTAATTGACTGACAGTTACCCATGGCTGGGGAGGCCTCAGGAAACTTACAGTCATGGCAGAAGGCACCTCTTCACAGGGCAGCAGGAGAGAGAATGAGTGCCAGCAGGAGAAATGCCAGATGCTTACAAAACCATCAGATCTCATGAGAACTATCACGAGAACAGCATGGAGGAAACCACCCGCATGATTCAGTTGCCTCCCACCAGGTCCTTCCAATGACATGTGGGGATTATGGGGTTTACAATTCAAGATGAGATTTGGGTGAGGACAATGCCAAACCATATCACTCCCTTACTTGATTTCTTTCCTGGTCCTATCTCAAACCCTTCTGGTTTTCTATCTTAAATCTTTCTTTTCGCTGTATTTTTCTTCATCTCCTTCTTCCATAAGAAAAATAGAGGCATTCCGAATTAAAAGTGAGACTGATTTTTGCCTATCAAAGTGACAAGGATTTAGAAAAAGTATAATGATCATTGTTGGCAGGGATGTGATAAAATATACATTTTCCCACTGCTTATTGGAACATCAAATGGTAACCACTGCCAGACAGCTTCTAATGCAGTGTGTATCAAGTCCCTTTGAAATGTTCTTATCTTTTGAACAGCTAATTAAGTATCCTTAATAGAGATGTACACAAATATTTATTTATAAGAATATTATTGCAATGACATGACTGTATTTAAAAATTTTTCTTAGTGTACATTTATGTTTCCAATGTTAAAATTAGTGCATTCGTGTGACAATATACAATAATTAAAAATTATTAATTTCAAGGA
Source organism: Homo sapiens (assembly GCF_000001405.40). NCBI lineage: Eukaryota > Metazoa > Chordata > Mammalia > Primates > Hominidae > Homo > Homo sapiens. Next base: position 5,087,965 of record NC_000009.12, read on the forward strand.
ATATATAGTGGCACTAGAAAATAAATTTTATGAACACATTGTTAAGTAGAGGGGAAGAAGATAAAACTTATTTCCTACTTTTGTTTTCTAAAATGTGTTTTGGAATAATTTCTCACAACAGCCTCATGAGATAGACATTTTATTATTCTCCACTTTAAGGATGAAAAACCTCATTTTAGGGAGTTCTGAATTGTCCGCGGTCACAGAGAGAGCAAGTTGTGGATCAATATTCTAGTTCCAATCTGACTTGAGAGTCCTGGGTCTTGAGAGTCCTGGGTCTATCCACCTTATTGTGTGGCCTTCTAAACTGTGTAATTAAGAGATTTAACTTTGAGCCTACATGGTCTAGGTTTTTTAAAAAACTGACTTCAAGTATATAACTGAAAATATAGTCACTTAGAATCTTGTAACTCAAGAACTACATTGTTTTATCCTGTAAGAATGCAATAATATCCAAAATACACTAATTTGATTAATATCAAAAACCTATACTTTATTTAAATGTTATAGCAACTTACCAATTCTATGTACTTAATGAGTTTTAGGTAAAAAGAGTGGATTTCTTTAAAGACATCTTCAAAAAAAAAAATGTAGAGTCATCCCATAGGCTAAAAGTTTCTTACTTCTTAATTTGCTTTGGCTGCTATAACAAAATACCATAGACTGGGTAGCTTAAACATCAGACATTTATTTCTTTGAATTCCAGGGCCTGGAAAGTCTGAGATCAAAGTTCTGGCAGGGATTGGTTTCTAGTGAGGTTTCTTCTTGGCTTGCAGATGGCCATCTTCTTGCTGTGTCCTCACATGGGAGAGAGAGATTGCTCTAATGTCTCTTCCTCTTATAAGGGCACTAGCCTTGTCACATTAGAGTTCCACCCTTATAACCTAATTTAACTTTTATCACCTCCTCACAAGGCCCTATCTCCAAATACAGTCATATTGGGGGTTAAGGCTTCATTATATAAATTTTGGGTAAGGGGTCACTGACATTTAGCCCATAACAGACACATTCCATCCAGATCACTGACAGTGATAGCAAAAGGTATTTTGTAAAAAAGGAAAATTCTTCCTGGAAGTTAGTGACAAAAGTTTAGGAATCCTCAGCATGTCCCTTGGCTTATCTTGACAATTAATGCTCATCATTTATTTAAATGCTTTTTTGAAGTAATTTATATTTCAGCCTATAATTCCTTTTGAAGAAATTAAATTTACAGATTTACTACCCACCTGTTGAGATAGTATTTCCTTTTCTTGTTCTAAGAGTTCCTTAATATAAGCTTAAAGATAGTCTGCTGCTGGGCATGGTGGCTCATGCCTGTAATCCCAGCACTTTGGGAGGCCGAGTTGGGTGGATCACCAGGTCAGGAGATCAAGACAATCCTGGCTAACACAGCGAAACCCTGTCTCTACTAAATATACAAAAAATTAGCTGGGCGTATTGGCGGGCGCCTGTATTCCCAGCTACTGGGGAGGCTGAGGCAGGAGAATGGTGTGAACCCAGGGGGCGGAGCTTGCAGTGAGCCGAGATCGTGCCACTGCACTCCAACCTGGGTGACAGAGCGAGACTTCGTCTCAAAAAAAAAAAAAAAAAAAAAAAAAAAAGACAGTCTGCTAATTCCAGCTACTAGAATTTTCTATATAATTATAAAATTTATTTGTAATTTGCCTTGAAAACTTGGTATTTCCATCCTAATGTGATGTGTCATTTAGGGTAATTTTGGGAGTGTGGAGATGTGCCGGTATGACCCTCTACAGGACAACACTGGGGAGGTGGTCGCTGTAAAAAAGCTTCAGCATAGTACTGAAGAGCACCTAAGAGACTTTGAAAGGGAAATTGAAATCCTGAAATCCCTACAGCATGACAACATTGTAAAGTACAAGGGAGTGTGCTACAGTGCTGGTAAGCTGCCCATTGAAACCTATTTTAAATTCAAGGTATGTGTTTGGCATCCTGTGTAATATAAATGTACAATGTCTTAACGATCTGGACTTATGCCAATGCCCAGAGGGAGAGGCATTCTATAATGACTAGAGATTGTGTTTGGTGATCATAGACTATAACTATAGGAAGTATTTGGCTAGTTGGTTAAACATTCTTTTCACCTCTTGCTTAAGCTTACCAAGAAAGTATCATTTTTAAAGGAATTGTTTTTGTTTACATTTTCTATAAAAATATTTTTGAATTCAATGTTTTTTGTTCGATATCAATGAGGAGAAAGGAAGTTTTCTCATCAGTTTATTTTGGTTTGCCTGAAGAGTTATAGAAAACTGAAACGCAAATAGTTTCAAAGCTTTTATTCATTCAAAAGTTTTTGATTCAAAAAGACTATGTTCTTAACAACTATATCACCTTTAATGTATAATAAAGTTTTGTCATCTTAGATTTCATATATGTTTAAGTCATTTATGTATGATAGTTTTCTAATATTTAATCAGTATAATATGGCAGAGTAAAACATTATTTCCACCTTTATGTTAAAAGGTCGGCGTAATCTAAAATTAATTATGGAATATTTACCATATGGAAGTTTACGAGACTATCTTCAAAAACATAAAGAACGGATAGATCACATAAAACTTCTGCAGTACACATCTCAGATATGCAAGGTAACTAATATCCTGATTATTTGCTGTAGATGAAGCAACCGTGTTGAAGTAGACATTAGGAAATCATCTAGACGTTTTCATAGATAATAAAGGGAATATATAGGGTTAAGACCATTTAAATTGTTTATATTTATAAAACTAGCTGAAAGAAAAATGTTTTATCCATAGGGTATGGAGTATCTTGGTACAAAAAGGTATATCCACAGGGATCTGGCAACGAGAAATATATTGGTGGAGAACGAGAACAGAGTTAAAATTGGAGATTTTGGGTTAACCAAAGTCTTGCCACAAGACAAAGAATACTATAAAGTAAAAGAACCTGGTGAAAGTCCCATATTCTGGTGAGTATATTTCAGTATGATAAATGAAATTTTAGAGCACAGACTTCAAACTTTATTGTTGTTATTTAATAGTTTGCCATTTCTATATTTACAGTAACAGTGAACATTTAAGTCTTTTAAGTCTTACATTTAACTTTTTTTTTTTAGGTCTTATAGTCATGGTTATAGTCCACGTGGGAAAATGGCATATGCTTTATTTCTATTAAGTGTTGTCTTATTTATAGGGATTGTAGGTTTTTCTTCAAAACTGTCTCCTATTTATTGAGGCTTAGGGGTAATTATTAGTGGTGCTGTGGGTTGTGGTATTGTGTTGAATTTTGGTGGGGCTTTCATGGGGTTAATAGTCTTTTTTATTTACTTGGGTGGTATAATGGTTATTTTTGGTTATACTCCAGTGATAGCTATTGAGGAGTATCCTGAAACATGAGGGCCAAGTACTGATATTTGAGGGGCCTTATTATTAGGATTATTAATAGAGTTGATACTGGTTTGGTGAATAGTTGAATATGATGGGGTGGTGATCACGGTTGATTTTAATAGCATAGGGAGTTGATTTAATTTTTGAGGGGGAGGGGTTGATTCATGAGGATTTTGTAGGTGCAGCTGCCTTGTATAATTATGGGTGTTGGTTGGTGGTTGCTGGTTGATCATTGTTAGTATTTTTGTCGCAATTGAAATTACTCAGGGTAATAGATTAGATAATTAATAGTAGAGTTTAGGCCTTTTTGGTCAGATACAGTAATGGAGGCTGAAGTTTGGGTTCGTGAAATGGTTTTTGGTATAGACTTTTCTAGTCAAACTGGGTCTAGTAGAAGTGAAGCTAGATTTTGGCTTATGAATAGGCTTAAGTCGGGGGGCTGAATGGTGAATTGTAGCTGAATAAAAACCTAGTATACTGGAGAAGTTAAATGTCTATAATGGGTACTTTAAGGTTGTTAGTTATGAAATTAAGCTCTATTGCTAGTAAGAGACCTAGGGTGGTTACACCTAGGGCTGTGAGCTTTAGGTGGAGTGGTATAGTTGTTTGGGGGGATGAAGTAGGGATAATACTGTTAGTGATGAGGAATCCGGCGAAGATACTGCCGATTGCTAGGTGCTGAACTGAGTTAATTCGGAGAGGATTATCATTAATAACAATCAGAATTGTAAAACAAGGTTGTCCTATTACAGCACCTAAGGTTATAAAGTAAGCACAAGTAAATACATAAAAACGTTAGGTCAACGTGTAGCTCATGAGGTGGCAAGAAATGGGCCACATTTTCTACCCCAGAAAATCTCACGACAACCTTTATGAAATCTAAGGGCTCAAGGAGGATTTAGCAGTAAACCAAGAGTAGAGTGCTTGGTTGAGGTTGAATAAGGCCACGAAGCACGCACACACTGCCTGTCACCCTCCGCAAATATCATTCTAGAAATATTATTTAAATTCTCTATACATGAATAGAGGAGATAAGTCGTAATATGGTAAGTGTACTGGAAAGTGCTCTTGGACAAACAAAGTGTCGCTTAACCCAAAGCATCCAGCTTACACCCGGAAGATTTCATCACAACCTGGTCACTTTGAGCCAACCCTAGCCCCAAACCTCACTAAAAATACTATTAAACCATCGTAATCAAACCATTTACCTTAGACAAAAGAATAGGCAATAGAAATTCTTATCTTGGCACAATAGATACAGTACCGTAAGGGAAAGATGAAAGAACTGAGCAAAGACAAGCCCTTATACCTTCTGCATAAAGTATTAAGTAGAAATAACTTTACACAGAGATAGCCAAGTCCCCCGAAACCAAATGAGCTATGCAAGAATGGCTGAAAGAGCGTACTCACCTACGTGGCAAAATAGTGGGAAGATTCATGAGTAGTGGTGATAAGCCTATCAAGCCTGCTGATAGCTGGTTGTCCAAGATAGAATCTTAGTTCAGCTTTAAACTTACCCACAGAATTACTTAATGTCCCTGTAAGTTTAACTGTTAATCTAAAGAGGGACAGCTCTTTAGACCCTAGGAACCAACCTTCCTACAGAGAGTACAAAATAACATCGCCATAGTTGGCCCAAAAGCAGCCAACAATTAAGAAAGTGTTCAAGCTCAACATCCAAGTATCTTAAATTCTAATCACTCTACGGAACTCCTAACATTACACTGGTCTAATCTATTATTTAATAGAAGCAATAATGTTAATATAAATAACATGAAAATATTCTCCACCGCATAAGCTTACATAAGACTGGAATAACCCACTGACTGACAGTTAACAGCTAGATATTTTACAATAAGCATCCTATTATTTATACTGTTAATCCAACACAGGCATGCTCTAAGGAAATATTACAAAAAGTAAAAGGAACTCGGCAAATCTTACCCCACCTGTTTACCAAAAACATCACCTCTAGCATTACCAGTATTAGAGGCACTGCCTGCCCAGTGACATATGTTCAACGACCACCATATCCTGACCTTGCAAAGGTAACATAATCACTTGTTCCCTAAATAGGGACTTAGAAGAATGGCCACATGAGGGTTCAGCTGTCATGAGGGTTCAGCTGTCTCTTACGTTTAATCAGTAGAATCTGACCTATTGGTGAAGAGGAGCTTATAAGCAAATAAGATGAGAAGACCCCATGGCACTTTAATTCATTAATGCAAATAAAAACTCAAAAAGCCTATAGGCCTTAACCTACTATCTCTGCATTAAAAATTTTGGTTGGGGTGACCTCATAGCATATTCAACCTCCGAACAACCTAAACTAAGACCACAGTAGTCTAAGCGAGTTAATACACATTGACCCAATAATTTGATCAACAGAACAAGTTACCCTAGGGATAACAGTGCAATCCTATTCTATCATATCAATAATAGGGTTTACGACCTCGATGTTGGATCAGGACATCCTAATGGTGTAGCCGCTATTAAGGGTTCATTTATTCAATGATTAAAGTCCTATGTGATCTGATTTCAGACCAGAGTAATCCAGGTTGGTTTCTATCTGTTTAACATTTCTCCTAGTATGAAAGGACAAGAGAAATACGGCCCACTTCATAAAGTGCCCTCCCCCCATAAATGATGCTATCTCAATCTAGGAAATCACCACACACCCAAGAACAGGGTTTCTTAAGATGGCGGAGCCTGGCAATAGCATAAAACGTAAAACTTTACAATCAAAGGTTCAACTCCCCTTCTTAACAATATGCCTATAATTAACCTTTTCCTACTTATATTCCCACTCTAATTGCTATAGCATTCCTTACACTTAACAGTTACGCAAAGGACCTGATACCGTAGGCCCCTGTGGACTGCTTCAACCATTTGCTGACCCAATAAAACTTTTCACCAGAGAACCCTTACGACCCTCAACGTCTACTGTTACCCTTTATATCATTGCCTCCAACCCTGGCCCTTTCTATCACCCTCCTCTTCTGGACTCCCCTTCCTATACCCCATCCCCTAATTAATTTTAATATAGGCCTCTTATTTATTCTAGCCACATCAAGCCTAGCAGTCTATTCCATTCTATGATCAGGATAAGCATCCAATTCAAATTATGTACTGATCGGCACACTACGAGCTGTGGCCCAGACAATTTCATATGAAGTCACCCTAGCCATTATCCTGCTATCACTACTACTGCTAAGTGGCTCAACTTATATGCATGCATCACAATGCCAGAATTACTCTGACCGCTCCTACCATCATGACCCTTAGCCATATTATGATTTATTTCCACACTAGCAAAAACTAACCGAGCCCCTTTTGACTTAACAGAAAGAGAATCAGAACTAGTTTCAGGCTTCAATGTCGAATATGCTGCAAGTTCATTTGCCCTCTTCTTTATAGCAGAATATATGAATATTATTGTATAAATGCCCTGACTACTACTATTTTTCTAGGAGTACTACACACTATGTATTCACCAGAACTCTGTACCATAAATTTCATTACCAAGACCCTCCTTTTAACCACCGTTTTTATGAATCCGAACAGCATACCTCCAATTCCACTACAACCAACTCATATACCTTTTATGAAAAAATTTCCTACCACTTACATTAGCATTCTGCATATATCTCAATGCCTTTCCTAATTTCCAGCATTCCACCCCAAACATAGGAAATATGTCTGACAAAAGAATTACTTTGATAGAGTAAACAAGAGAGGTTAAAATCCTCTTATTTCTGGAACTATAGGAATTGAACCTATCCCTGAGACTCCAAAATTCTCCATGCTACCTATTAAACCATATCCTAAAGTAAGTTCAGCTAAATAAGCTATTGGGCCCATTCTCCTGAAAATGTTGGTTATACCCTTCCCATACTAATTAATCCATTAGCTCAACTTATTATCTCTCTTACTATTTTCACAGGAACCCTCATCACAATGCTACGCTCACACTGATTTCTTATCTGAACAGGCCTAGGAATAAATATAGTAGTTCTTACCCCCATCTTGATTAAAAAAACAAATCTCCACTCTACAGAAGCAGCCACCAAATATTTTCTTACACAAGCAACTGCATCTATAATTCTCATGATGGGTATCCTTTTCAACAACCCGTCCTCCGGGCAATGGACAATAATAAACACTACTAATCAATTTTCATCCTTAATAATAACAGCCCTAGTAATAAAGCTAGAAATAGCCCCCTTTCACTTCCGAGTCCCAGAAGTAACCCAGGGAACTTCTCTAATGTCTGGCATACTTCTCCTCACATGACAAAAACTAGCCCCTATCTCAATTATATTTCAAATTTTCCCATCAATAAACACGACCAGTCTCCTATCTATCACAATCCTATCCATTAACGTAAGCGGTTGAGGAGGACTTAATCAAACACAATTCTGCAAAATCTTAACCTACTCCTCAATTACTCATATAGGTTGAATGATCCCAGTACTAACTTATAATCCAAACGTTACCATTATAAATCTGATTGTTTACCTTATTTTAACAACTACCACATTTCTAGCACTTAGCCTAAGTATAAGCACTACAACCCTGTCACTGTCTCACACTTGAAACAAATTAACATGATTAACACCTATAGTTTCACTAATTCTACTATCCCTAGGAGCTTTACCTCCATTAACAGGATTTCTGCCTGAATGAGTCATCATTCAAGAATTTTCAAAAAACAATAGTCTTATTACCCCAACCATTATAGCTATCATAACACTACTCAACCTGTAGTTTTATATATGCCTAATTTACTCCATCTCAATGACAATATTCCCCACATCCAATAATACGAAAATAAAATGACAATTCAAAAACACAAAACCCATATTACTCCTCCCTCCACTTATTTCTTCTACCTTCCTCTTACCCATCTCTCCACTGATTCTAGTTATAACTTAGAAATTTAGGTTAAATAAGACCAGGGACCTTCAAAACCCTTAGTAAATGAATTATACTTAATTTCTGTAACAAACCCAAGGACTGCAAAACTCTATTCTGCATCAGTTGAACGCAAATCAACCACTTTAATTAAGCTAAGTCCTTGCTAGATCGGTGGAATTCAAACCCACAAAAATTTAGTTAACAGCTAAATACCCTAATCAACTGGCTTCAATCTACTTCTCCCTCCATGTGGGGGGAGGGTGGTAGGCCGGAGAAGCCCTGGCAGCATTGAAGCTGCTCCTTTGAATTTGCAATTCAACATAAAAAATTACCTCAGGGCTGGTAAAAAGAGGTCTTGACCTCTGTCTTTAGATTTACAGTCCAATGCTTACTCAGCCATTTTACCCTTTTTTCCACTTATGTTCATCAATTGTTGATTGTTTTCAACCAATCACAAAGCTATCGGAACACTATACCTGCTGTTCGGCGCATGAGTGGGGATAGTGGGTACCTCCTTAAGCCTTCTAATTTGAGCAGAATTAGGTCAACCAGGAACTCTGCTAGGAGATGACCAGATCTATAATGTTATTGTTACCGCCCACGAATTTGTCATAATCTTCTTTATGGTCATATCAATTATAATTGGGGGTTTCGGCAACTAACTAGTCCCTCTGATAATTGCTGCCCCTGATATGGCATTTCCACGGATAAATAATAATGAGCTTTTTACTTCTCCCCCACTCTTTCCTACTCCTACTTGCATCCTCAATAGAAGCCGGTGCTGGAACTGGCTGAACAGTTTATCCCCCTTTAGCTGAAAACCTAACACATGCAGGATCCTTTGTGGGTCTTACCATCTTCTCACTTCACTTGGCAGGTATTCTATTTTAGGAGCCATTAACTTTATTACTACAATTATTAACAAAAAGCCCCCAGCCATATCCCAATATCAAACACCCCTTTTCGTCCAACCATTCCTCATTACAGCAATCCTACTCCTTTCTCTCTCAGTCCTAGCCGCTGGCATTACCACAATATTAACTGACCGTAACCTCAACACTACTTTTTGACCCTGCTGGTGGGGGTGATCCTATCTTATATCAACATTTATTCTGATTCTTTGGTCACCCTGAAGTTTATATCCTTATTCTATCAGGCTTTGGGATGATCTCCCATGTCGTGACGTATTACTCTGGAAAAAAGGAGCCATTTGGGTATATGGGCATAGTATGAGCCATAATATCTATTGGCTTCTTAGGGTTTATTGTATGAGCACACCATATATTTACAGTAGGAACAGACATAGACACAGACACATGAGCATACTTCACCTCCGCTACCATAATTACTGCTATGCCTACTGGCATCAAGGTCTTTAGCTGATTAGCTACACTGCGTGGTGGTAACATCAAATGATCTCCCGCAATGTTCTGAGCCCTAGGATTCATCTTTCTTTTCACAGTAGGAGGTCTAATTGGCATTGTACTAGCTAATTCATCACTAGATATTATTTTACATGATACATACTATGTTGTAGCTCATTTCCACTACGTCCTATCACCAGGAGCGGTGTTCGCCATCATAGGAGGCTTTACCACTGGTTCCCCCATTCTCAGGTTATATGCTTAATCAGACCTACGCTAAAATTCACTTCACCATTATATTCATAGGTGTTAATTTAACCTTTTTCCCACAGCACTTCCTTGGCCTATCCGGTATGCCGCAACGTTATTCCGATTATCCTGATGCATACACCGCATGAAATATTATCTCATCCTTAGGCTCATTTATCTCATTAGCAGCAGTTATGCTAACAATTTTTATAATCTGAGAAGCCTTTGTTTCGAAAAGAAAAACTATAACAATTGAACAACCATCTAGTAATTTAGAGTGACTTTATGGCTGTCCACCACCTTACCACACATTTGAAGAGCCAACCTACATTAAACCCTTAAATGAAAAAGAAAGGAATTAACTTCCAGAAACTGGTTTCAAGCCAATCAAAAACCTCTGTGACTTTCTCGATAAGATATTAGCAAATTCATTACGTAACTTTGTCAAAGTTAAGTTATAGGCTAAATCCTATATGTCTTAATGGCTCATCCAGTTCAATTAGGCCTTCAAGACGCTACATCCCCTATCATAGAAGAACCGCTCACTTTCCGTGACCACGTTCTTATAATTATTTTCCTAATTAGTTCCTGGTTCTATACATTATTTCCGTAATACTCACAACAAAATTAACTCATATTAGCACCACAGATGCCCAAGAAATTGAGACTGTTTGAACTATCTTACCTGCCATTATCTTAATTTTAAGGCCTCTCATCCCTACGTATTCTGTATAAAACAGATGAAGTTAATAATCCTTCCCTTACTGTCAAAGCAATTGGTCATCAATGATATTGAAGCTATGAATATATAGACTATGAAGAATTAAGCTTCAATTCCTTTTTTTTTTTTTTGAGACAGAGTCTCGCTCTGTCGCCCAGGCTGCAGTGCAGTGGTGTGATCTCAGCTCACTGCAAGCTCTGCCTCCCGGGTTCACGCCATTCTCCTGCCTCAGCCTCCCGAGTAGCTGGGACTACAGGCGACCGCCACCATGCCTGGGTAATTTTTTTGTATTTTTAGTAGAGACGGGGTTTCACCATGTTAGCCAGGATGGTCTTCATCTCCTGACGTTGTGTTCCACCCACTTCAGCCTCCCAAAGTGCTGGGATTACAGGCGTGTGAGCCACTGCGCCCGGCTTAAGCTTCAATTCTTATATAACCCCAACACCAGACTTAAAACCAGGAGAACTTCGACTCCTTGAAGTTGATAACCGAACAATTCTCCCAACAGAAATACCCATCCATATATTAATCTCATCTGAAGACATCCTGCACTCATGAACTATCCCCTTATTAGGCCTCAAAACAGATGCAATCCCCAGATGCTTAAATCAAACTACCTTAACCACTGGGCGACCAGGTCTTTACTATGGACAGTGCTCAGAAATTTGTGAATCTAACCAGTTTTATACCTATTGTCCTAGAACTAATCCTCTTAAAATATTTCAAAACCTGATCCACATCTACACTAAAATATCACTGTAAAGCTATTCAGCATTTACCTTTTAAGTTAAAGATTGACGGAGTCTACACCTCTCTGCAGTGAATGCCTCAACTAGATACTTCCACATGATCCATTATTATCCTGTCAATAATCATAACTTTATTCTCCATTATTCAGTTAAAATTATTAAATTTCATTTATATTATCCCTACACCAAAAATAATCAAAACACAAAAACACAAGGCTTCCTGAGAATTAAAATGAACGAAATCTATTCATCTCTTTTGCTACCCCTACAATTCTAGGCCTACCAGCAGTAGTATTAATCATTCTGTTTCCCACTGTTTCCAACCTCTAGTCATCAAATTAGTAACCGATTATTTTCTATTCAACGATGATTAATCCAACCTGCACTAAAACAGATAATAATTACCCATAACATTAAAGGACAAACCTGATCCCTTATAATAATATCCCTAATTATCTTCACTGCCTCAACCAACCTCCTTGGGCTTCTACCCCATTCATTTACACCAACTATCCAATTATCAATAAACCTGGGTATAGCAATCCCCCTGTGAGCAGGCGCAGTAATTACAGTCTTCTGCTTTAAAACGAAAAACTCCTTGGCTGGCTTTTTACCACAAGGCACACCTATGCCACTTATCCCTATACTAGTAATCATTGAAACCATTAGCCTATTTATTCAACCAATAGCATTAGCTGTGCAATTAACAGCCAACATTATAGTCAGTCATCTACTAATACATTTAATTGCAGGAGACACACTAGTACTATTAGCTATTAGTTTTCCCACAGCTTCAGTTGCTTTTATTATTCTAATCCTACTGACTATTCTCAAATTCGCCATAGACCTTATTCAGGCTTATGTCTTCACACTACTAGTAAGCCTTTATCTATATGACAACACATAATGACCCACCAAACACATGCTTGCCATATAGTCAAACCCAGCCCCTGACCACTAACAGAAGCTCTCTCAGCTCTACTAATAACATCTGGCCTGGCCATGTGATTTCACTTTAATTCTACTACTCTTTTAACCCTAGGCCTATTAATCAACACACTAACTGTATACCAATGATGATGTGATATTATCTGAGAAAGTAAATTTCAAGGCCACCATACAACAGTTGTCCAAAAAGGCCTCCAATATGGAATAATTCTATTTATTATCTGAGAAGTATTCTTCTTTGCTGGTTTCTTCTGGGCATTCTATCACTCTAGTCTAGCCCCAATGCCAGAATTAGGAGGACACTGACCCCCCAACAGGCATTTTTCCCCTCAAACGCTTAGAAGTACCTTTCTGAATACATCTGTATTATTTGCATCAGGAGTTTCAGTTACTTCGGCTCATCACAGCCTGATAGAAGGAAATCGAAAGCAAATAATTCTAGCACTATCCATCACGATTACCTTAGGTATTTACTTCACCCTCCTACAAATCTCAGTACTTTGAGGCCCCTTTTACTATCTCTGATGGGATCTATGGCTCAACATTCTTTACAGCCACAGGCTTTCATGGATTTCATGTTATTACTGGATCAACATTTCTCACTATCTGCTTCCTCCGCCAATTAAAATATCACTTTACAAGATGTCTGAATAGGAATAGCTCCAGTCTGCAGCTCCCAGCATGATCGACGCAGAAGATGGTGATTTCCGCATTTCCAACTGAGGTACCTGGTTCATCTCATCGGGACTGGTTGGACAGGGGGTGCAGCCCACAGAGGGCAAGTTGAAGCAGGGCGGGGCATCACCTCACCCAGGAAGCACAAGGGGTCAGGGGATTTCCCTTTCCCAGCCAAGGGAAGCCATGACAGACTGTACCTGGAAAATCAGGACACTTTTGCCCAAATACTGTGCTTTTCCAACAGTCTTACCAAATGGCACACCAGGAGATTATATCCCATGTCTGGCTTGGCAGGTCCCACACCCACGGAGCCCTGCTCACTGCTAGCACAGCAGCCTAAGATCCACCCGTGAGGCAGCAGCCTGGCAGGCGGAGGGGCGTCCGCCATTGCTGAGGCTTGAGTAGGTAAACAAAGTGGCCAGGGAAGCTCGAACTGGGTGGAGCCCACCACAGCTCTGCAAGGCCTGCTGCCTTTGTAGACCACACCTCTGGGGGCAGGGCATAGCTGAAAAGGCAGCAGAAACTTCTGCAGACTTAAACGTCCCTGTCTGACAGCTCTGAAGAGAGCAGTGTTTCTACCAGCATGGTGTTTGAGCTCTGACAATGGACAGACTGCCTCAGGTGGATCCCTGATGCTTCTGTAGCCTAAGTGGGAGACACCTCCCAGTAGAGGCCAACTGACACCTCATACAGGTGGGTGCCTGTCTGGGACGAAGCTTCCAGAGGAAGGATCAGGCAGCAACATTGGCTGTTCTGCAATATTTGCTGTTCTGCAGCCTCCACTGCAGATACCGAGGCAAACAGAGTCTGGAGTGGACCTCCAGCAAACTCCAAGAGACCTGCAGCTGAGGGACCTGACTGTTAGAAAGAAAACTAACAAACAGAAAGGAATAGCATCAACATCAACAAAAAGGGCATCCACACCAAAACCCCATCTGTAGGTTACCAGCACCAAAGACCAAAAGTAGATAAAACCACAAAGATGGGGAGAAACCAGAGCAGAAAAGCTGAAAATTCTAAAAACCAGAGGGCCTCTTCTCCTCCAAAGGATTGCAGCTCCTTGCCAGCTGGATGGAGAATGACTTTGACGAGCTGACAGAAGTAGGCTTCAGAAGGTTGGTAATAACAAACTTCTCCAAGCTAAAGGAGGATGTTCAAACCCATCGCAAGGAAGCTAAAAACCTTGAAAAAAGATTAGACCAATGGCTAACTACAATAAACAGTGTAGAGAAGACCTTAAATGACCTGATGGAGCTGAAAACCATGGCATGAGAACTACAGGACGCATGCACAAGCTTCACTAGCCGACTTGATCAAGTGGAAGAAAGGGTATCAGTGATTGAAGATCAAATTAATGAAATAAAGCGAGAGGAGAAGTTTAGAGAAAAAAGAGTAAAAAGCAACAAGATAAAGCCTACAAGAAATACAGGACTATGTGAAAAGACCAAATCTACATTTGATTGTTGTACCTGAAAGTGACGGGGAGAATGGAACCAAGCTGGAAAACACTCTTCAGGATATTATCCAGGAGAACTTCCCCGACCTACCAAGGCAGGCCAACATTCAAATTCAGGAAATACAGAGAACTCCACAAAGATACTCCTCGAGAAGAGCAACCCCAAGACACGTAATTGTCATATTCACCAAGGTTGAAATGAAGGAAAAAAATGTTAAGGGCAGCCAGAGAGAAATGTCGGGTTGCCCACAAAGGGAAGCCCATCAGACTAACAGCGGATCTCTCAGCAGAAACTCTACAAGCCAGAAGAGAGTGGAGGCCAATATTCAACATTCTTAGAGAAAAAGACTTTTCAACCCAGAATTTCATATCCAGCCACACTAAGCTTCATAAGTGAAGGAGAAATAAAATCCTTTACAGACAAGCAAATGCTGAGAGATTTTGTCATTACCAGGCCTGCCTTACAAGATCTCCTGAAGGAAGCACTAAACATGGAAAGGAACAACCAGTAGCAGCCACTGCAAAAACATACCAAATTGTAAAGACCATCGATGATAGGAAGAAACAGCATCAACTAACGGGCAAAATAACCAGCTAACATCATAATAACAGGTTCAAATTCACACATAACAATATTAACCTTAAATGTAAATGGGATGAATGCCCCAATTAAAAAACACAAACTGGCAAATTGGATAAAGATTGAAGACCCATCACTGTGCTGTATTCAGGAGACCAATCTCATGTGCAGAGAAACACATGGGCTCAAAATAAAGGGATGGAGGAAGATCTACCAAGCAAAGGGAAAGCAAAAAAAAAAAAAAAAAAAAAAAAAAAAAAAAAAGCAGGAGTTGCAATCCCGGTCTCTGAAAAAAAAGACTTTAAGCCAACAAAGATCAAAAGAGACAAAAAAGGCCATTACATAATGGTAAAAGGATCAACTGGGCAAGAAGAGCTAACTATACTAAATATATAGGTACCCAATACAGCAGCACCAAGATTCATAAAGCAAGTCCTTAGAGACCTATAAAGAGACTTAGACTCCCACACAATAATAATGGGAGACTTTAACACCTCTCTGTCAATAATAGACAGATCAATGAGACAGAAGGTTAACAAGGATATCCAGGACATGAACTCAGCTCTGCACCATGTGAACCTAATAGACATCTACAGAACCCTCCACCCCAAATCAACAGAATATACATTCTTCTCAGCACGACATCACACTTATTCCAAAATAGACCACATAGAAGTAAAGCACTTCTCACCAAACGTAAAAGAACAGATATCACAACAAACTGGCTCTCAGAGCACAGTGCAATCAAATTAGAACTCAGGACTAAGAAACTCACTCAAAACCGCACAACTTCATGGAAATTGAACAACCTGCTCCTGAATGACTACTGGGTAAATAATGAAATGAAGACAGATATAAAGATGTTCTTTGAAACCAACGAGAACAAAGACACAGCATACCAGAATCTCTGGGACATATTTAAGGCAGTGTGTAGAGGGAAATTTATAGCACTAAATGCCCACAAGAGAAAGCAGGAAAGAGCTAAAATCGACACCTTAACATCACAATTAAAAGAACTACAGAAGCAAGAGCAAACAAATTCAAAAGCTAGCAGAAGGCAAGAAATAACTAAGATCAGAGCAGAACTGAAGGAGATAGAGACACAACTCTTCAAAAAATCAATGAATCCAGGAGCTGGTTTTTCAAAAAGATCAACAAAATAGATACACTGCTAGCAAGACTAATAAAGAAGAAAAGAGAGAAGAATCAAATAGAGGGAATAAAAAATGGTAAAGGGGATATCACCACCGATCCCACAGAAATACAAACTACCATCAGAGAATACTATTAACACCTCTACACAAATAAACTAGAAAATCTAGAAGAAATGGATAAATTCCTGGACACATACACCCTCCCAAGACTAAACCAGGAAGAAGTTGAATCTCTGAATAGACCAATAACAGGCTCTGAAATTGAGGCAATAATAGCCTACCAACCAAAAAAAGTCCAGGACCAGATGGACTCACAGCCGAATTCTCCTAGAGGTACAAAGAGGAGCTGATACCATTCCTTCTGAAACTATTCCAATCAATGGAAAAAGAGGGAATCCTCCCTAACTCATTTTATGAGGCCAGCATCAGCCCGATACCAAAGCCTAGCAGAGACACCACAAAAAAATAATTTTAGACCAATATCCCTGATGAACGTCGATGTGAAAATCCTCAATAAAATACTGGCAAACCCAATCCAGCAGCACATCCAAAAGCTTATCAACCACGATCAAGTCGGCTTCATCCCTAGGATGCAAGGCTGGTTCAACATTTGCAAATCAATAAACGTAATCCATAACATAAACAGAACCAATGACAAAAACCACATGATTATTTCAATAGATGCACAAAAGGTCTTTGACAAAATTCTACAGCCCTTCATGCCAAAAACTCTCAATAAACTAGGTATTGATGGAATGTATCTCAAAATAATAAGAGCTGTTTATGACAAACTCACAGCCAATATCATACTGAATGGGCAAAAACTGGAAGCATTCCCTTTGAAAACTGGCAAAAGACAAGGATGCCCTCTGTCACCATTCCTATTCAACACTGTGTTAGAAGTTCTGGCCAGGGCAATCAGGCAAGAGAAAGAAATAAAGGGTATTCAATTAGGAAAAGAGGAAGTCAAATTGTCCCTGTTTGCAGATGACACGACTGTATATTTAGAAAACTTGGTCATCTCAGCCCCAAATCTCCTTAGGCTGGTAAGCAACTTCAGCAAAGTCTCAGGATACAAAATCAATGTGCAAAAATCACAAGCATTCCTATACACCCATAACAGACAAACATACAGCCAAATCATGAGTGAACTATTCACAATTGCTACAAAGAGAATAAAATACCTGGGAATCCAACTTACAAGAGATGCGAAGGACCTCTGGACCTCTTCAAGGAAAACTACAAACCACTGCTCAATGAAATACAAGAGGACACAAACAAATGGAAGAACATTCCATGCTCATGGATAGGAAGAATCAATATCGTGAAAATGGCGATACTGCCCAAAGTAATTTATAGATTCAATGCCATCCCCATCAAGCTACCAATGACTTTTTTCATAGAACTGGAAACAACTACTTTCAAGTTCATATGGAACCAAAAAAGAGCCTGCATTGCCAAGACCATCCTAAGCCAAAAGAACAAAGCTGGAGGCATCACACTACGTAACTTCAAACTATACTACAAGGCTACCGTAACCAAAACAACATGGTACTGCTACCCAAACAGAGATAGACCAATGGAACAGAACAGAGGCCTCAGAAATAACACCACACATCTACAACCATCTGATCTTTGACAAACCTGACAAAAACAAGAAATGGGAAAAGGATTCCTTATTTAATAAATGGTGCTGGGAAAACTGGCTAGCCATATGTAGAAAGCTGAAACTGGATCCCTTCCTTACACCTTATAGAAAAATTAATTCAAGATGGATTAAAGACTTAAATGTTAGACTTAAAACCATAAAAGCCCTAGAAGAAAGCCTAGGCAATACCATTCAGGACATAGGTGTGGGCAAGGACTTCATGATGAAAACGCCAGAAACAAAGGCAACCAAAGCCAAAACAGACAGATGGGATCTAATTCAACTAAACAGCTGCACAGCAAAACAAACTACCATTAGAGTGGACAGGCAACCTACAGAATGGGAGAAAATTTTTGCAATCTACCCATCAGACAAAGGGCTAATATCCAAAATCTACAAAGAAATTTACAAGAAAAAAACAACCCCATCAAAAAGTGGGCAAAGGATATGAACAGACACTTCTCAAAAGAAGGCATTTATGCAGCCAACAGACATATAAAAAATGCTTATCATCACTGGTCATCAGAGAAATGGAAATCAAAACCACAATGAGATACCATCTCATGCCAGTTAGAATGGTGATCATTAAAAAGACAGGAAACAACAGATGCTGGAGAAGATGTGGCGAAATAGGAACACTTTCACACTGTTGGTGGGAGTAGTGTAAACTAGTTCAACCACTGCAGAAGACAGTGTGGCGACTCCTCAAGGATCTAGAACTAGAAATACCATTTGACCCAGCCATCCCATTACTGGGTATACACCCAAAGGATTATAAATCATGCTGCTATAAAGACACATGCCCATGTATGTTTACTGTGGCACTATTCACAATAGCAAAGACTTGGAACCAACCCAAATGCCCATCAATGATAGACTGGATAAGAAAATATGCCACAAATATCCCAAGGAATACTATGCAGCCATAAACAAGGGTGAGTTCATGTCCTTTGCAGGGACATGGATGAAGCTGGAAACCATCATTCTCAGCAAACTAGCGCAAGGACAGAAAAGCAAACACTGCATGTTCTCACTCATAGGTGGGAGTTGAACAATGAGAACACTTGGACACATGGCAGGGAACATCACACAAAGGGGCCCGGGGGAGGGATAGCATTAGGAGAAATACCTAATGTAAATGACGAGTTAATGGGTGCTGCAAATCAACATGGCACATGTATATCTATGTAACAAACCTGCACATTGTGCACATGTACCCTAGAACTTAAAGTATAATAAAAATATATATACATCACTTTACATCCAACCAGCACTTTGGCTTTGAAGCCACTGCCTGATGTTGACACTTTGTAGATGTAGTATGACTATTCTTATATGTCTCTATCTACTGATGAGGATCCTACTCTTTTAGTATAAAGAGTACCATTGACTTCCAATCAACTAGTTTCGATAATATCTGAAAGATATTAAATAACCTGACACTAGCCTTAGTAACCGACACCTTACTGGCCCTACTACTACTACTAATTACATTTTTACTTCCACAAATTAATATTTATATAGATAAATCCAGCCCCTATGAAGGCAGATTTGACCCAATAACCTCCAACTGCCTCCCCTTTTCCATAAAATTCTTCCTAGTAGCCAACACATTTCTCCTCTTAGACTTAGAAATCGCTCTAATACTACCCCTGCCATGAGCTATTCAAACAAATTACCTAACAACAATAATCACCACAGCCCTTATACTAGTTATCATTTTAATCCTAGGCTTAATTTACAAAAGAACTCAAAAAGGGTTAGATTGAATTGAATTGGTAAATAGTTTAAGTCAAAAGAAATGATTTCGATTCATTAGATTATAATAAACCATATTTACCAAATGCCCTCTATTTACATCAACATTATATTACCATATACCATATCACTACTGGTAAAATTAATCTATCAAACCCACCTAATATCATCCCTATGTGCCTAGAAGGCATAATACTGTCAATATTTATCATAATTACCCTTATAACTTTAAATATACATTTTACTCTAGCATCTATAATACCCATTATCCTCCTAGTATTTGCTGCCTGTGAAGCCGCAGTGGGCCTTGCCTTATTAGTTTCAATCTCCAACACATACGGCCTAGATTACACACAAAATCTAAATTTACTTCAGTGCTAAAAATTATTCCGACAATTATGCTGTTACCAATAATATGATTCTCTAAAAATTCTATAATCTGAATTAACATGACCATCCACAGCCTACTTATCAGCCTCATCACCCTATTGTTTTTTAACCAATTCAACAGTAACTCATCCAACTTCTCACTAGTTTTCTCTTCTGATCTGCTGATGTCACCCCTCCTAATTTTAACAGCCTATTACCTTTTATAATCCTAGCAAGCCAATATTAACTGTTCAATGAATCACCCCCACAAAAAAGCTCTATATTTCTATATTGATTTCCCTGCAGATTTTTTAAAATTATAGCATTCACAGCCACAGAACTAATTATATTTTATATTTTCTTTGAAGCCACACTAATTCCTACCCTAATTATTATTATCACCCGCTGAGGGAACCAACCAGAACGCCTCAATGCAAGCTCATATTTCCTATTGTACACACTAGTAGGGTCCCTTCCTCTACTTGTTACACTTGTCTACACTTTAAATACTTCAGATTCTCTAAATATGCTAGTAATGATATTTACTGACCAAGAACTGTTAGCCTCCTTATCCAATAATCTTATATGACTAGCATGTATTATGGCCTTTATAGTAAAAATAACTCTATTCGGACTTCACCTGTGACTCCCAAAAGCCCATGTAGAAGCCCCTATTGCCGGCTCAACAGTACTTGCAGCGGTACTCCTAAAACTAGGCGGCTGCGGTATAATACGGCTTACCCTTATCCTCAGCCCCCTAACAGAATATATAGCCTACCCCTTCCTCACACTATCCCTATGAGGGATAGTTATGACAAGCTCCATTTGTCTACAAACCGATGTAAAATCAGTTATTGCCTACTCCTCTGTAAGCCATATACCACTTGTCATCATAGCTCTCCTAATCCAAACCCCTTGAAGCTTTACAGGTGCCGTCACCCTTATAATTACCCATGGAGTCACTTCATCCCTGTTATTCTGCCTAGCAAATTCCAACTACGAGTGAGTCCAAAACGGAATCATATACTTACCTGAGGCCTTCAAATACTCCTCCCACTGATATAGCCTCATGATGACTTCTAGCAAATCTCACTAATCTTGCCTTACCCCTACCATTAATCTAGTAAGGGAACTCTCTGTGATCATGGCTTCATTCTCCTGATCAAACATCACTATTATGCTTACAGGACTTAATATACTAATTACAACCCTCTACTCCCTACATGTACCAATCACAACACAATGAGGGACACTTACATATTACATTAACAGTTAAACCTTCCTTTACACGAGAAAATACATTAATATTTATACATGTTACACCTATTCTTCTATTATCCTAAATCCTAAAATTATTATGGGCTTTACATGCTGTAGCTATAGTTTAACCAAAACATTAAATTGTGGATCTAATAATAGAAGCCTGCAACTTCTTATCTACCAAGAAAGTATGCAAGAACTGCTAACTCATGCCCCCATGCCTAACAATATGGCTTTCTCAACTTTTAAAGGATTGGAGTCATCCGTTGGCCTTAGGAACCAAAAACATTGGTGCAACTCCAAAGAAAAGTAACAAATATGTATTTTTCCACTACTATAATAGCCCTAATCGCCTTAATCACACCAATTATTACGTTAGTCAACCCCTGCAAAAGAAGATTCATACCCAAATTACATAAAAATAGCCATCACATGCGCCTTCACCATTAGCCTCATCCCAACGTTTATATATACAGACCAAGAAGTCATTATCTCAAACTGACATTGAATGACAATCCCAACTCTTAAACTCTCACTAAGCTTTAGACTACTTCTCCATAATATTTATTCTAGTAGCACTATTTGTTACCTGTAGAATTCTCAATATGATATATAAACTCAGA
Organism: Homo sapiens; assembly: GCF_000001405.40. Classification (NCBI taxonomy): domain Eukaryota; kingdom Metazoa; phylum Chordata; class Mammalia; order Primates; family Hominidae; genus Homo; species Homo sapiens. The sequence goes on from NC_000009.12 coordinate 5,109,804, forward strand.
CCCTAACATTAATCAATTTTTCAAATATTTTCCTCATCACAGTATTCTTCCAATATTCCACCAACAAACTCTTTCAACTCTTTATCGGATGAGAAGGTATAGGAATCATGTCTTTCTTACTAACTGGCTGACAATATGGCCGAGCAGATGCTAATACAGCAGCCCTCCAAGCAGTCCTGCACAATCGCATCGGCGACATTGGTTTTATTTTAGTTATAGCATGGTTCCTCTTTTCCTCCAACACATGAGAGATTCAACAAGCATTCATTCTAAACCCTACCTCTAATCCCCTTCCATTAATTCGCCTTCTCTTAGCAGCAGCAGGAAAGTCAGCTAAATTCGGCCTCCATCCCTGACTTCCATCCGCCATAGAAGGCCCAACCCCAGCCTCAGCCCTGCTCCACTCCAGCACTATAGTTGTAGCAGGAGTTTTCCTGCTCATCCGCTTCTACCCTTTAATAGAAAATAACCTCTGAACCCAAACCTTTACATTATCTCCAGGGGCTGTTACCACCTTATTTACAGCAATCTGCGCTCTAACACAAAATGATATTTAAAAAATCATAGCATTCTCCACCTCAAGTCAGCTGGGCCTTACGATAGTCACAATTGGCATTAATCAGCCACATCTAGCATTCCTTCACATGTGCACCCACACCTTTTTTAAAGCTATATTATTTATATGCTCAGGCTCCATCATCCACAATCTCAATGATGAACAAGATATTTGAAAAATAGGACTATTCAAGACTTTACCCTTCACTTCCTCTTCCCTTATTATTGGTAGCCTTGCACTTACAGATATGCCTTTCTTCACAGGCTTTTACTCTAAAGACCTTATTATCGAAACCACAAATACTGTCATATACCAACGCCTGAGCCCTTTCTATTACTCTTACTGCCACCTCCTTAACTGCTGGCTATAGTACCCGTGTTATTTTCTTTGCTCTGCGGACTGGCCATGCAGGAGTGGTAAGGGCCCGGGCCACGCGCGACGCCTGGGGGCCCTGCTGCATCGCCCGTTTGTTCGGGGAAGGTGGGGGGGACGCTTCATGCCGCCGCGCCCAGCAGGGTTTCCATGTCTGAGATGCCCGCTCTGGCCCCAAGAGAATGAACCAGCCGCAGAGGATGGCATCCGTGGACACGGACAAGGAGCTCAGTAACCTGGACTTCAGCATGATGTTCCCGCTGCCCGTTGCCAACGGGAAGGGCCGGCCCGCCTCCCTGGCCGGGGCGCAATTCAGAGGTTCAGGTCTTGAGAACTGGCCCAGCTCAGGCTCCTGGGGCAGCGGCGACCAGAACAGCTCCTCCTTTGACCCCAGCTGGACGTTCAGCGAAGGCGCTCAACTTGCTGAGTCGCACGGCAGCCACTCTCCATTCACATTCCTGGGACCGGGACTCGGAGGCAAGAGCAGCTAGCGCGGGCCTATTCCTCCTTTGGTAGAGACGCAGGCGTGCGCAGCCTGACTCAGGCTGGCTTCCTGCCGGGCAAGCTGGCCCTCAGCAGCCCCGGACCCCTGTCCCCCTCAGGCATGAAGGGGACCTCCCGGTACTACCCCTCCTACGCCAGCAGCTCTGGCGGACAGAGGCGGACAGCGGCCTGGACACGCAGCCCACGAAGGTCGGGAAGGTCCCGCCTGGTCTTCCATCCTCGGCGTACCTGCCCAGCTCAGGTGAGGAGTACGGTAGGGATGCCGCCGCCTATCCATCCGCCAAGACGCCCAGCAGCGCCTGTCCCGCCCCCTTCTACATGGCAGATGGCAGCCTGCACCCCTAAGCCGAGCTCTGGAGTTCCCTGGGCCAGGTGGGCTTTGGCCCCATGCTGGGCGGGGGCTCATGCCCCTCGTCCCTCCCGCCCAGCAGCGGCCCTGTGGGCAGTGGCGGAGGCAGCAGCACGTTTGGCGGCCTGCACCAGCACGAGCGCGTGGGCTACCGGCTGCACGGAGGAGAAGTGAACGGTGGGCTTCCGGCTGCATCCACCTTCTCCTTGGCCCCCGGAGCCACGTAGGCGGCGTCTCCAGCCACACGCCTGTCGGCGGGGCCGACAACCTCCTGGGCTCCCGAGGGACCACAGCCAGCAGCTCTGGGGACGCCCTCGGGAAGGCCTGGCCTCAATCTACTCTCCGGATCACTCAAGCAATAACTTGTGGTCCAGCCCCTCCACCGCCGTGGGCTCCCCCCAGGGCCTGGGAGGGACGTCGCACTAGCCTGGAGCAGGAGTCCCTGGTGCCTTATCACCCAGCTACGACGGGGGTCTCCACGGCCTGGAGAGTAAGATAGAAGACCACCTACCTGAACGAGGGCATCCACGTGCTCTGCAGCCACGCCATGGGCACGGCTAGCAACGTGCACACGCTGCTACCCGGCCACCGGGCGCTGGCCTTGGGCTTCGCCGGCCCCATGCTGCTGGTGGGGGCAGCACGCAGGCCTGGTTGGAGGCGAACACCCTGAGGACGGCCCTGCGGGCAGCGCCAGCCTCATGCACATCCATGTTGCCCTCTCCAGCTAGCCAGGCGCCCTCCCCGACCTCTCTTGGCCTTCCGACTCCTGCAGTGGGCTAGGGCGAGCAGGCCACTGGGGAAATCAAGCGGGAGGAGGAGGATGAGGAGAACACGTCGGCGGCTGACCACTCAAGAGGAGAAGAAGGAGCTGAAGGACCCCCGGGACCGGACCAGCCCAGACAAGGACGAGGAGGAAGATGACCTTTTCCCCCCAGAGCAGAAGGCCGAGTGGGAGAAGCAGGTGGCCAATAACGCCAGGGAGCGGCTGCGGGTCCCTTAAGAGGGCTCTTAAGGAGCTGGGGCGCATGTGGCAACTGCACCTCAACAGCGAGAAGCCCCAGACCAAACTCCTTATCCTGCACCAGGCCGTCTCGGTCATCCTGAATTTGGAGCAGCAAGTGCGAGAGCGGAACCTGAATCCCAAAACAGCCTGTTTGAAACGGCGAGAAGAGAAGGTGTCGCGCGTGTTCGGAGGCCCCCAGATGGTGCTTTCAGCTGCCCACCTGGGCTTGAGTGAAGCCCACAACCCCGCTGGGCACGTGTGAAAGGTACGCCTCCGTGGGACGAGCCACCCGCCCTCAGCCCCGTGGGCTGGGCCCAGAACGCCCACTTGAGGCCCTGGGCTTCATCCACATCCACACCTCACACAACTGTTGTCAGCATTGAGCCAACACCGACCTGATGAGGCTCAGAGTGATGGGGGCAAGGAAGGTGAGTGATGGGGGTGAGGAAGGTGACGCTGGGTCCAGGAGCTCCCTGGGACCCCGGCTCACCCCTCACTGCCCTCGCTCCCCCTGCCCCCGTATCTCAGCCACCATGTCACCCTGTGACCTGCCCCATGGACCCTGAAACTGCATCTTGGCCCTGTTGTCTGGGCTGGCAGGAGCTTTTTTTTTTTTTTTTTTTTTTTTTTTTCCAGTAAACAAAACCTGAATGCAAGCAACAAAACATACACTTTGTCAGAAAAGAAAAAAATGCCTTAACTATAAAATGTGGAGAAATCGTAACATATCACTTGAGGGAGATGCTGTGGAAACTTGGCTTATTCTTCAAAAGCCAGCAGCAAATTGTGCCTAAGCGTAATTTTTTTTAAGGAAAATAAAAAGAACATTAGTTATTTAAAAAAAAAAAAAAAAAAAAAAAAACCCGGACTGACCTTGGCCAGGCTGGATCAGACTGGCCTAGAGTAGACTTCAGAGGGTGACTCCCCTGGTGGGCTGGTCTCAGCTGATCTTGACTGTCCCGCCTCCACACAGGGCCCATCCATCTTCCCCTTGATCCCCTGCTGCAAAGACATTGCCTCTGATGCCACCTCCATGAACCTGGGCTGCCTGGCCACAGGCTACTTCCTGAAGTCAGTGACTGTGACCTGGGACACAGGCTCCCTCAACAGGAGCGCTGGGACCTTCCCAGCCACCACCCTCACGCCCTCTGGCCATTACGCCATCACCAGCCAGCTGACTGCCTCGGGTGCGTGGGCCAAACGCTCACCTGCAGCGTGGCACACACTCTGTGGTCCGCAGACCAGGTCAGTACCTTCAGCATCTACTCCAGGGACTTCACCCTCCCCACCGTGAAGATCTTACAGTCCTCCTGTGATGGCAGTGGACACTTACCCCCGACCATCCAGTTCCTGTGCCTCATCTCTGGGTACACCCAGGTGCCATCAGCATCACCTGGCTGGAGGATGGGCAGGTCGTGGATGTGAACTGGTCCATCGCCTCTCCCATACTGGAGGATGAGCTGGCCTCCACACAAAGCAAGCTCACCCTCACCCAGAAGCGCTGGCTGCCCGACCACACCTACACCTGCCAGGTCACCTATCAAGGTAACACCTTTGAGGACAGTGCCAAGAAGTGTGCAGATTCTAACCCGCAAGGGGTGAGCACCTACCTGAGCCGGTCCAGCCCCTTCTACCTGTTCATCCGCAAGTTGCCCACAATCACCTGTCTGGTGGTGGACCTGGCACCCAGCAAGGAGAACGTGAAGCTGACTTGGTCCCAGGCCAGTGGGAAGTCTGTGGCTCAGGTCATCCTAAGGCAAGAGAAGCAGTGCAATGGCACGTTCACCATCACGTCCACCCTGCTGGTGGGCACCAGAGACTGGATCAAGGGGGAGACCTACCAGTGCAGGGTGACCCACACCCACCTGCAGTCCACGACCAAGATCAGCGGCCCATGTGCTCCCCCACAGGTCTACGTGTTTGCAACGCTAGAAGAGCCGAGGAACCAGGACAAGCGCACCCTCACCTGCCTGATCCAGAACTTCTGGCCCAAGGACATCTTGGTGCAGTGGCTGTACAACGAGGTGCAGCTCCCGGACACTTGGCACAGCATGACGCAGCCCCGCAAAACCAAGGGCTCTGGCGTCTTAGTCTTCAGCTGCCTGGAGGTTACCAGGGCTGAATGGGAACAGAAAAACGAGTTCATCTGCTCTGTGGTCCATGAGACAGCGACTGGCTCACAGACCGTCAAGTAACTGTTGTCTGTAAATCCCATTAAATGTCCTCCTGCCTTCCTCCCCACTAGGGCTCTGTCCAGCTGTGTGGTGGGAAGGGCTGGCCAGACCTTCTGTCCACTGTTGCAATGACCCCAGGAAGCCACCCCCAATAAACAGTGCCTGCTCAGAAAACAAACAAACAAACAAACAAACATAAAAACCCTAGAGGAAAACCTAGGCAATACCATTCAGGACATAGGCATGGGCAAGGACTTCATGACTAAAACACCAAAAGCAATGGCAACAAAAGCCAAAATAGACAGATGGGATCTAATTAAACTAAACAGCTGCATAGCAAAAGAAACTGATCAGAGTGAACAGGCTACCTACAGAATGGGAAAAATTTTTTGCAATCTAGCCACCTGACAAAAGGCTAATATCAAGAATCTACAAAGAACTTAAACAAGTTCACAAGAAAAAAACAACCCCATCAAAAAGTGGGTAAAGGATATGAACAGACACTTCTCAAAAGAAGACATTTATGTGGCCAACAAACATATGAAAAAAAGCTCATCATCACTGGTCATCAGAGAAATGCAAATCAAAACCAGAGTGAGGTACCATCTCATGCCAGTTAGAATGGCGATCATTAAAAAGTCAGGCAACAACAGATGCTGAAGAGGATGTGGAAAAACAGGAATGCTTTTACATTGTTGATGGGAGTGTAAATTAGTTCAACCATTGTGGAAGACAGTGTGGCAATTCCTCCAGGATCCAGAGTTAGAAATACCATTTCACTGAGCAATTCCATTACTGGGTATATACCCAAAGGATTATAAATCATTCTACTATAAAGACACATGCACATGTATGTTTATTGTGGCACTTTTCACAATAGCAAAGACTTGGAACCAACCCAAATGCCCATCAATGATAGACTGGATAAAGAAAATGTGACACATATACACCATGGAATACTATGCAGCCATAAACAAGGATGAGTTCATGTCCTTTGCAGGGACAAAGATGAAGCTAGAAACCATAATTCTCAGCAAACACAGGAACAGAAAACCATACACCACTTGTTCTCGCTGATAAGTGGGAGTTGAACAATGACAACATATGGACACAGGGAGGGGAACATCACACACCAGGGCCTGTTGTTGGGTGGAGGGCTAGGGGAGGGATAGCTTTAAGAGAAATACCTAATGTAGTTGATGGGTTGATGGGTGCAGCAAACCACCATGACACGTGTATACCTACGTTAACAAACCTGCACCTTCTGCACATGTATCCCAAAACTTAAAGTATAATAAAATTTAAAAAAAAAACAGTGAACATTTATTGTAGGCTTACATTGGGCTAAATGCATTTTATGGATAATCTCATTTAATCCTCATAACAACCCTTGGAGAACATGTATGATTATTATCTCTATTTTAAGCATGGAGAACTGAATAGCTTACCCAAGGTGGCATGACTAGTAAATCACTGGACCAGGATTTAAACCCAAAAAGTCTGATCCCAGAGTTCATGCTTATAAGCCTTCCTAACCATGATAATGCTTTAATCTGGCATTAATTGTTCTCTAATTTGGGTAGGTTTGAAATTTTTCATAATAAATATTAAAAATACTTTTTGAGGAAATGTCGTCATGATAAACATTAGAACTGCGTTCATCTAATTACTTTTAGGGTATGAGTGAAACTAAAAAGTAAGACTCATCTAAAAATAATCATCTGTTTTGGCCATATCCCCAGTGATACATGAATTTAATTGTTTTTATTGTTTTCAGAATGAAAAATTAAAGAGGTTAAATAAAATTAGCTGGCAATCAAAAAATATTAGTTATATGAAGATTCAGAGATTTGGTTATACTTAATGAATACAAGCTAATAAATATTTATTAAGACTCTACTGTGCTCCAAATACTATACAGGGAGGTAGGGATATGAAGATAGGCTTAGCATCAGAAAAGGACTGTCCCTTAGTAGAAAGGCTGAACTAAAAGGAAAAGTTTGACGTGATAGGCAAATTCAACTGACAGGTCCACTACCCATAGTCCCTTCAAGAGCTCATAATTAGGAAAAGTCATATGTATAATATGGCACTTTCAATAATTAAGTGCAATAAGTGTAAGTGCAATAATTAAGGTACTGGGAAAACATAACAGTACAAATAATTCAGCTGAAGATTTATGTAAGATAACTAAGATGACATTTCAACGATTGGTTGAATTGACCTCTCCCTCATGAATGGGATTAAGGCCCTTATAAGAGGCTTCATGCAGCATTTGGCTCCTCTTGCCTTTCCACTTTCATCCATGTGAGGACACGGCATTCCTCTCCTCTAAAAGATGTGGCAACAAGGCTCCCCTTGGAAGCAGAGAGCAGCCCTCACCACACACCTGAACCTGCCAGCACCTTTATCATGGACTCCCAACCTCCAGAAGTATGAGAAATAAATTTCTGTTCTTTATAAATTATCCATTGTCAGGTACTCTGTTATAGCAGCATACATGGACGCCCAGTACATCATGTTAATGAGTTCAGACCTTCTTTAGTAGACAGTGCGTAAGGTGGGAAATTAGAGGCTTTATCCAGGGGAATAACATGGTGAGATTCATATTTTAGAAAGATAGCTCTACTTTTGTTATAGAACAGCAGTTCTGAAAGTGTGGGGACTTTAGGGTGTCTGTGAAGTAAAAAATATTTTCATAATAATGGATGTTATTTGCTCTTTTCACTCATTTTTTCATAAGTATAGTTTTCCAGAGGCAATAAGATATGTTTTCTATTTAACCAAACATTGAAGAGACTTGCAAAAATGTAAAACAATGTGACTCTTATCAAAGTTTATTTTGGAAATAGTTGTTTTCCATAAAATACATTACTTATGTTAACAGGTAATGGTTTTATCTTAAATAAATTAATAAATATTTTTATATTTTATTAGCTTTAATATTTAATATGGTAAATACTGGTAGATATAACTCACAGAAACAAAAGTTTTTTGGCAACCTCAGTAATTTTTAAGAGTATACGAGGAAGCCTGAGATCAAAAGCTTTGAGAACTACTGACAGAGGGGACGTTGTATTAATGAGAGGCTAATAGTAGAGAGGCAGCTAATTAGATTTTATGAGGATCTAGGCCACTGGTTTTCAAACCTTTTAAGTATATATGCTCACTAAAAGAATTTAGAAAAACCACATCCTCTTACACATTTTTAAATTGATAGCTAATTTTTTTCTTTGTAAGTAGTTATAATGTATTTTCTAAAGTACTGTAAATATTGACATTTAAATAACAGCTATGTCAATCCTTTAAATGTGTCCAACTGAATCTAAATAGTGCTTGCAGTGAGCGGAGACCTCGCCACTGCACTCCAGCCTGGGCGACAGAGCGAGACTCCATCTCAAACAAACAAATAAATAGTGCAGCAATTTGATACCCACTTATCACCCACTTAAAAAGATTATATGAATAGACTTTTATTTTTTTGTACAAACTTTGTATCATTCCTTTTTCTCTTTAAAATAGTATTCCCACTTCCCTTCTCATTCCAAATTTTGCATAATATGTTACACTTTGTATTTGGATAATCTTATGATCACCTATTTTCTTTGTAACCAAGATATGTATATAAGTAAGTTGAAATTAATTAAAAATTTTCCTGTGACCAACAAACTTGTAACTATTCACATTTTTCTTCTGGGTTATCATTGAAGTTACTAGGATACAGTTTTCCAAAGCAATGTAAATAACAAATTTGGATAATTGCTTTAAAAATTTTATTGGTGAATGGAACAATCCCTCCCCTCCAATTGGTTTGTATATCCTCGGATGAATATTATTTATTTCTATAATGGGACAAGATTAAGCATAAATTCTGTGTTCATTTTGCACTTTACAGATGTAAACGCTGAGAAAACTTGTTTGTGTAAGTGAGTGGACAGGAATGGAAGGAGTTTTGTTATAATAGTATCATTCATTTCTATGACGCCTTCTGAGATATGCAGGAAAAAAGTACAGTAATATACCATTAAAAATTATCTGTTATTGGGCAGTTTCATTTGATCAGATCCATTATGTTTCAATTTTATTAAAAGCAGAGAATTAAAACCACTTGACTTTCAAAAATGAGTTTACTAACCAGTCATCAGGTTCATCTGTTTTCTCAATTTCTGAAAAGTATACCAAAAAGCTTTTAAAATTAATTCCAACTATATGTTACACTTTCACGTGGATGTACCTTGTTTAAACTAATACATTCAGAAAAGTTTGAAAAAACAGACTATTATTAATACATTATTATTAACATATTTTATCATGTTTTAAATATATGATTTAAACACAGCAAACCTCTCAGCTACCTCAAAGGTTGAGTAGATTTTGTGAAGAATGTCCTTCATACAACCCATTTGGTAATGCCAGGCATCAAACAAATCACTTAATTTCTGGCAGAAAAACTCAGACTTCATTTTTCAAGTCACTAAATATATTAATAATATGTGATTTTTTTAAAACCTGAGAAACAAATGACAGAACAAATGCATGGAGGTATGTTTATTATGAAGCTAATGAAGCATATCCAGAGGTCCTCCTTCCAAGGTTCCTTTCTAATTTTAAATAGAAAATTATGCACTTTCATGTATAATTTTGTATTCTTTGTCATAATGAAAGCCTAAAAAAAAAAGGCTTCAAATTATATAAGCTTTGGGACCTGTATCTCTGCCTATACATGTGAAAAAATCATGAGGGCAGTCAGGATAAGCTGAAGATGATATATATATCTGGCATAATTAATTTCATATTATGAAAATAAGATAATTTCTCATTACTTAATTTGCAATAAATAATACAGAGTAAAATATGGCTAAGATTATAACTTATGAAGTAAGGTATATGGTACATGGCATGGTCATTCCTTCAGTAAATGTGTTAGGGGGAGGTATGAAGTGAATTCTGACTTTGGGGAATAATTAGAAGCAACTTGTATGAAAATCAGAAATAACTTATTTTTCCTCATGATCAAAATTTTCATATGTACTTAATGAACACAAAAAATATATACTGCTAAAAGCAAATCAGGCAGTTAGCATATAGTTTTATTTTTATATTTGCAAGTAGAAAATAAATATTTTATACAATGAAATGAAGTTCATTAAATTTTATGTAAATATTTTAGAATATGAATTGATAAAATAAGTTTGAGCTAACTTATTGAATAATAAACACTGTCTTAGTCCCTTTATGCTGCTATAACAGAATACCTGAAAATGGATAATTTATAAAGAACAGAAATTTATTTCTCACACTTCTAGAGGTTAGGAGTCCATGAAAAAAGTGCTGGCAGGTTCAGGCGTCTGGTGAGAGCTGCTCTCTTCTTTCCAAGATGGAGCCTTGCTGCTTCCTCCTTCAGAGAGGAGGAACACCATGTCCTCACATGGACAAAAGTGGAAGGGCGAGAGGGGCCAAATGCTGCATGAAGCCTCTCATAAGGGCCTTAATCCTATTCATGAGGGAGAAGCCCTCATGGCGTAATCATCTCTTAAAGGCCCCACCTGTTAATACCATCACATTAACAACACCTGAATTTTGGAGGAGACACATAGCAAACACTAAATCTGAAGTCTGAAAGAACTCAATTTTTATTCACAGGATTTTGCCCATGATATCATTTTTTTAAAAACTCAATTTCATTTAAAAGAAACTTTGTTATCTATATTGTTTTTCTTGTTCGAAAAGGCTCTTTTGTTTTAAGCTAACAATATGGTTGACGGTAATAACTGGGGGAAAAAGTGCCTCTGCTTAAATGTTGTAAAAAATCGGTGAAACAGGATTTTGGACTCCTGGAGGATCCTTTACTCTTTTTACTACAGAAGTACCCATTGGATGATCTTTGTACATTATTCTTCACCTTGTGTGAAGACCTCTGTGCTAGTCATGAGATAAGGATGTGATGTAAACTGTAACAATGGGTTAGGAGACTGATTGGAGATATTTCTAAGCTATACTCTAAAGGGACTTAGTGGGTCATTAGACACTGGAGTGAAAGATGCGTCAAAAATAATTAAGATTTTCAAATTGAGCAGCTAAATAGATTGTGATGCTATTTATTGCATAAGAAACAAAATAATCAGCAAGTTTTGGAAAGAGGATGGAATTCTGTTTGCCTATAGATCTTTAATGTGGAAATGTTCTAAAAGTCTGGAGCACTAAACAAAGGTCAAAGATATGGTTATAAATTTGGGAGACTTTAGTATATAGGTGGATGATACTATCTAAGGGAAAGTTTTTAACCAAGAGAGGAATAAATCTGATGAAGAGACCCTGGGAAACCTTCAATTTAGAAGAGGCAGAATAGTAGTAGTAGTGTTGGGAAAGTATAATTGAAAACAAAATCTTCCAACCCAGAAAACCTTTCCACAAAGATAGAAGGAAAACAATTTTATGATTGAGTAAGCATTAGAGCAGGATGTGATGTGTATCACAAGCAGTCCCCTAAGAGATTTGCAAAGACAGAAGGAAATCTCACCCTTTTATATAGCCAACCTGATATAACCCCTTTCATTCAAGTTCTTAGGATAAACATTAACTAGTCCTCAAGTAAGAAGACTTGACAGCACTATTTGCCACATACGTAGTTTATTCTAAATTCACTTGGTAATTGGAGTGACTTTGCTAATTGGCTTTATACAAAGGAAAATACACTTTTCATATCTTCATGACAGGAGGTAGTTTTGCAGCTTGGAAGGAGGCTCCTGCTGAAGTTAGGCTTCTACTCCCACAGAAACTGGGAGTAAGGGTGCTATCTTCCTTGATGACTGAATTCCCAAGAGATAGTTACACGTTCTTGAGAAAGACATTCATGGGTCACAAAACTGGCAAGAGGCTTTGAAGCAAGAGATTTTTAAAAGATTTACATACACTTCAAAAAGACAAAGAATTTACAAGTTTTCTGAATGCTCTAAGAACAAAGAAGGAGGAGTCTTTCTTCTTATTTTCAACAAGGGGAATTAATTTTGTTCTTTTTAAATTTGTATTTACCCTTACATAAGTGATAGAACAGACAGAAAAAAACAGCTGTGGAAATGTGCGGGAAATTACAATGAGTGCTATATGAAAACCAGAGGAAGAGCATATTTTGCAAGGAGTGAGGGAATAGTGCTGTCTTCAAGAACTTTGCATTCCCCTTGTGGAATAAAACTAACATACATTTGATAATAACATAACTAGATATGTAAAATTTGTAAAGACTAAATGTAAAAAGAATATAGCATTAGGATGTTTAATTACGTAGTATGGACTGCCAGTACTATAGGAATTCAGTGGCCTGAGGGCAATAAGACCTGGAGTAGGCAGGGAAGGATTTGTGGAGATTAGGAAACTTAAATGGGATTTTGAAGGAGAGATTAAATCTATGTAATTCACATTTTTAATATCAGTCTAAAACACATCTCTGTAGCTGTCTCTATAATAAAGATAAACTTAGCAATGGAACCATGATACTCACAGTCCACTAGGCCAAAACGTTCCCTTGGATAGTGTTAATGCTTGAGTGAACAATGACACCATTGCTGTGACTTTTTCCTTTCTGTATTCCTTAGTCACCCCTCTTCTGGTTAACAGGTTCTTTCTTTTATAGCTTTAAGTCTTGCCTTGGAACCAATTTTTTTCTCCAGCATATTTATATGGATTCATTTAAAGCTTAACTTGCAAAGAGCAGCTTATTTTCACTTCTTAGAAGGTACTCTGCAGTTAACCTTGGTGCTGTCTACAGAGACAAAAATAAATTTCTTTGGATTTTAGTTATCTTTCTATGTCAGAGATTCCCAAGACCATCCCCAGGTTGACGATTTGCTAGGAAGACTCACAGGACTCAGCATATATCCATATTCATGGTTATGATTCATTATAGGGAAATAACATAAAGCAAAATTAGGCACTCTCCGCCTGGCACATACTAAAGTTACATACTCCCAGAAGAAAAGTAGATGTCAGCATAAACCGTATTGTTTGTACAAACAATCTAGGCATAGTGAGTCACTCTTATTTAGGGAATTGTGGAATCCCTCCTGAAATCTAAGTTCACAGGTGCCAGGCAAAAAGGCCCTTTTAATCATAGAAGCCTCAGGCCTGCTGTGATAACTCTTTTCTCTACATGTTTTTTTTTTTAATTTATACAATGATTTGCAGGTAAAATCAAGAGTCCACATATCAAGTAACTGTCTTTTAAATGTTATTCATATATTTACAGGTATGCTCCAGAATCACTGACAGAGAGCAAGTTTTCTGTGGCCTCAGATGTTTGGAGCTTTGGAGTGGTTCTGTATGAACTTTTCACATACATTGAGAAGAGTAAAAGTCCACCAGCGGTCAGTGTGCTTTTTATTTACTTTCAGTTTTTTGTTTGTTCGTTTGATTTTTATAAATTTATGGGGTACAAGTACAATTTTGCTACATGCATACATTGCATAGTGGTGAAGTCAGAGCTTTTAGGGTATCCACCACCTTAATAACATACATTGTATCCCTTAAATAATTTCTCAGCATCTACTCCACCAATGGCTCACCCTTCCAAGTCTCTATTGTCTATCATTCCACATTCTACGTTCATGTGTATACATTATATAGCTCCCGCTTATAAGTGAAAACGTGGTATTTGTCTTTCTATGGCTGATTTGTTTCACTTAAGATAATTACCTCCATCCATGTTGCTACAAAAGACATAATTTCATTCGTTGTTATGGCTGAATAGTATTCCATTTTGTATGTATACCACATTTTCTTTATCCAGTCATCCACTGATGGACACTTAGGTTGATTCCATGTCTTTGCTTTTGTGAAGAATGCTGCAATAAACATACAGGTGGAGGTATCTTTTTGATACAGTGATTTCTTGTCCTTTAGGTAGATACCCCATAGTGGGAATGCTGGATCGAATGGTAGTTCTATATTTAGGTCTCTGAGAAATCTTTATAATGTTTTCCATAGAGGTTGTACAAATGCACATTCTCACCAACAGTGTATAAGAGTTCCCTTTTCTCCACACCCTTGCCAACATCTGTTATTTTTTCTCTCTCTCATTTTTTTTTCCATTCTGACTGGAGTCAGACATATCTCACTGGGGTAATTTTTTCTCTTTTTTTTTTTTGTCATTCTGACTGGAATAAGGCATATCTCATTGTGATTTTAATTTGCATTTCTCTGGTGATTAGTGATTAGCATTTTTTCATATGCCTCTTGTCAGTTTGGGTGTCTTCTTTTGAAAATGTCTATTGATCTCCTTTGTCCACTTTTTAACACGATTATTAGGGGGTTTTGGTTGAATTGCTTGAGTTCCTTATAAATTCTGGATGGTAGTTCCTTGTCAGATACAAAGTTTGCAAATATTTTCTCCGATTATGCAGGTTTTCTGTTCATTCTGTTGATTATTGATTTTGCTATGCTGAAATTTTTTAGCTTAATAAAGTCTCATTTGTCTATTTTTGGTTTTGTTGCCTATGCTTTTGAGGTCTTTGCCATGAATTCTTTGTTTACACTCATTTCCATTAAAGTTTTCTCTAGGTTTTTTTTCTAGTATTTTTCTAGTTTCAGATCTTACATTTAAGTCTGTAATCGATCGAGTTAATTTTTCTATATGGTGATAAATATGGGTCCAGTTTCATTCTTCTGCATATGGCAATCCAATTTACCAGCACCATTTATTGAAAAGGGTGTCCTTTCCCATACTGCGCAAAGCAATCTGCAGATTCAATGCAGTTCCTATCAAAATACCAATGTCATTTGTTCACAGAATTAGAAAAAACAATCCTAAAATTCATAGGGAACCAAAAAGAGCCCTAATAGCAAAAGCGATTCTAAGCAAAAAGAACAAAGCTGGAAGCATCACATTACTTGACCTCAAATTATATTATAAGGCTACAGTAACCAAAGCAGCATGGTACTCATATAAAAAACAAACACATAGATCAATGGAACAGAATAGAAAACCCAGAAATAAAGCCACAAATTTATAGCCAACTGATCTTTGACAAAATCAACAAGAACATACATTCAAGTTTTTTTTTAACATGAGAAAGGATTTATCCAAAGAATAGTAAGCCTAGGACTCACTTTAGAGCTTTTATTGCTTATTTTTAAGGCAATATCAAACAAAATAATCCCAAACCTATTCCTAAACTAGCTTGAATTTTTAAAAAGGGGATATTGGGAAGCTAGTTAGTACAGTCTCTTAATATTACTTTTATTAAATCCAGTAAGCTAATTCATTCTAGGAATTATTGCATAAGTTAAAATAAACCTTCCAAAGTAATTTTTCTCTTGGTCATCATAGAATTTTTTTTAATATGGAAAAGTATGAAAAAATAAAAATCATCTCTAATGCAATTACTCAGAGAAGACCACCTCAATATTGTGGTATGTTACCTTTCAGGCTTCATTTTGTGTATAAAAGTATATACAAAGAAGTATATAAAACTTTTATAACTTTTATAAAAGTTCACTTATATAAATATATATTATTTTATAAAATTAAGGTCATACTGTGCAGTTTGCTCTCCTTCTGTTTCATGAAGTATTACAGCATGGGTAATTTACTGTATTAGAAAAATGTACTGCAAATATGTTTTCTAATTGCTGAGTAGCATTCCATCATAAGGCTATATATGTCTGAACAATCATTTTCCATTCTTCAGTCTTTTAAGTAACACTTCAGTGAACATAGTGAACATCCTCATGCATAAATATTTATATTTATCTCTGATAATTATCTTAGAATAAAAGTATAAGTAAAAGTTATGAACTATTTTAAAATTTTTTTAATTTCAAAATGCTTTCTAGAAAAGCTGTGCCAAATTATATCTCAACAGCAATGCATAGGGATGTACATTTCATCATTTGCCACTATTGGTTATTATATTTTTATGTACTTTTGCCAAGTTGATAGGGGAGAAGTTATATATATTTTAATTTCCATTTCTTTTCTTAATGTGGTTGACTATATATTTGTTGGGTGTTTAGGGTGGGTATGTATATATGTGAATTATCTCTTCTGTGCTTTGCCTATCTTTATATTTGTAATTTTTTTTCCCAATTTATAAGAGCTGTCTATATTGAAAATAAGTAAATGATGTTTAAGTATTTTCCTAGCTTATAATTCAGATTTTAATTTTATAAACTTTGACATATGAAAGTTTTCTTTGTTGTATTTATGCTTATTCATTCATTTTTTCTTATATTCTCTTTTATATTCAACTTTTTATTTCAATTGAAATGTAATATGATAAAAATATGAGTTTTTTAACAACAAAAAACTCAAAGGAAATATGTTTTTAGTTCATGTGTTTTGAGCCCTCCTCAGGGGATTTGTGTTGAGTTTATTACAGCTATGGAAATGGAAATTATAGAAGTTCCATATTTAACAGCCTTATGTTTTTGATCCTAAAAGTAGTTTGTTTTGAAAAGGTTTGAAAACATACAAAAGCACACATATACTAAATTTTTTCCCATTGACTGGAGGAAATTGAGAAAGAATTTTGCTACAAATTAAATGTACAAAAAATATTGAAAGTGGGTTTGTTTTAGGAATTTATGCGTATGATTGGCAATGACAAACAAGGACAGATGATCGTGTTCCATTTGATAGAACTTTTGAAGAATAATGGAAGATTACCAAGACCAGATGGATGCCCAGATGAGGTAACAATTTTTTTTTAATCCAGGGTAGTCATGCATTTTCTTTTACTTTTTACTCAAGGACTTCAGTTCACTTCCTGAAATTTAATGTGCGGAGCTTCCAGATAAACAGCATAATCAGATGACTGTGGAACAAGGCATGGTTATGACATGTGCCCTGTATTGAAAATTAATGTCTTCCACCAATTAAAAGATGGCCCTTAGTGTTCATTTAATTTTGGTTTATTTTCTCCTTTACAGATCTATATGATCATGACAGAATGCTGGAACAATAATGTAAATCAACGCCCCTCCTTTAGGGATCTAGCTCTTCGAGTGGATCAAATAAGGGATAACATGGCTGGATGAAAGAAATGACCTTCATTCTGAGACCAAAGTAGATTTACAGAACAAAGTTTTATATTTCACATTGCTGTGGACTATTATTACATATATCATTATTATATAAATCATGATGCTAGCCAGCAAAGATGTGAAAATATCTGCTCAAAACTTTCAAAGTTTAGTAAGTTTTTCTTCATGAGGCCACCAGTAAAAGACATTAATGAGAATTCCTTAGCAAGGATTTTGTAAGAAGTTTCTTAAACATTGTCAGTTAACATCACTCTTGTCTGGCAAAAGAAAAAAAATAGACTTTTTCAACTCAGCTTTTTGAGACCTGAAAAAATTATTATGTAAATTTTGCAATGTTAAAGATGCACAGAATATGTATGTATAGTTTTTACCACAGTGGATGTATAATACCTTGGCATCTTGTGTGATGTTTTACACACATGAGGGCTGGTGTTCATTAATACTGTTTTCTAATTTTTCCATAGTTAATCTATAATTAATTACTTCACTATACAAACAAATTAAGATGTTCAGATAATTGAATAAGTACCTTTGTGTCCTTGTTCATTTATATCGCTGGCCAGCATTATAAGCAGGTGTATACTTTTAGCTTGTAGTTCCATGTACTGTAAATATTTTTCACATAAAGGGAACAAATGTCTAGTTTTATTTGTATAGGAAATTTCCCTGACCCTAAATAATACATTTTGAAATGAAACAAGCTTACAAAGATATAATCTATTTTATTATGGTTTCCCTTGTATCTATTTGTGGTGAATGTGTTTTTTAAATGGAACTATCTCCAAATTTTTCTAAGACTACTATGAACAGTTTTCTTTTAAAATTTTGAGATTAAGAATGCCAGGAATATTGTCATCCTTTGAGCTGCTGACTGCCAATAACATTCTTCGATCTCTGGGATTTATGCTCATGAACTAAATTTAAGCTTAAGCCATAAAATAGATTAGATTGTTTTTTAAAAATGGATAGCTCATTAAGAAGTGCAGCAGGTTAAGAATTTTTTCCTAAAGACTGTATATTTGAGGGGTTTCAGAATTTTGCATTGCAGTCATAGAAGAGATTTATTTCCTTTTTAGAGGGGAAATGAGGTAAATAAGTAAAAAAGTATGCTTGTTAATTTTATTCAAGAATGCCAGTAGAAAATTCATAACGTGTATCTTTAAGAAAAATGAGCATACATCTTAAATCTTTTCAATTAAGTATAAGGGGTTGTTCGTTGTTGTCATTTGTTATAGTGCTACTCCACTTTAGACACCATAGCTAAAATAAAATATGGTGGGTTTTGTGTGTGTGTGTGTGTGTGTGTGTGTGTGTGTGTGTGTGTTATTTATACAAAACTTAAAATACTTGCTGTTTTGATTAAAAAGAAAATAGTTTCTTACTTTATTTTTACTGGTATGTTCTACTTTTTTGAAAGTTGTACTGAAGACTTCTGATTTTGGGTTGAAGGGAAGGAAAAGGAAGAAATGTTTTTTACATTCATTATTATACTTAAAGCATTTTTAAAGCATTTTAATAGTTCTGGATGCAGAAATCATCTAAAATGACAGTGAATTAGGTTTTAAAAAGATTTTAGATTTTTTTGAAAGTTTAATTTTTATTTGTAAAGACTCCTCAAGGATTTGTATATGCAACACAGTAAGGAGATCTTCCATTTTACTACCTTTCAAGTGAAAAATAGCCTATCATACAATATGCTTGATTTCAGATTTTCATACTAAAACTTAACTACATACTTAAAAGTAGGTTCTTATCAAGGGTCTCTAACATTGCTTTTTAAAACAAGATGTGAACTAACTTTTCTTAAACATTTTTTTAAATGCTTCATCTTTTAGTTTTATATAAAGAATCCCACATGTACATTCTTGTTTTTAGAATGGGGTGACTACCTTATTATAAAATTCCAAGTTTCCAAGAGACTTCTTTTCATTGAGGCTTCGTAAAGTTTTCCATTTTGATTCTGACTACACATAAAAATAAGATAACCCTGTAGTTATTAAGTTGGTTCTGTACAAGAAACAGGTAAGTAATTATTGTACCAGTTAATGCCAAAATATTTTTCACGTTAATATTCTTCAGAAACAAGGGTAAAGGTATTCTTAGAATTATGTAATTCTGTAACTATTCCAGTATATTAAGTTATACAATCTTTATATAAATGACTTTTTCCATGGGTACTTGTTTGGAAAATAGTCACTTTTTCACGCTATTTATATATGCTGCCAGTAACACTATAATTTGCTATGGAAGAGTGTTCTTTTAACCTAAGGCTTCTAGTTTACAGTCAAGTGTAATTTTCATCACAACTATAACTTCTGGTATTTAAATTTTATTTAAACAGCTACAAAAGAGTTAGCAAATACCTACAGTTCTGTATCTATAGAGCCAATCTTGATGGTGGGTGTGGCATTATGTGCTCACTTTATTGAGCCTATGTTAATTTCTTTAGCATGCTCCCCCTAAATTGAAATAGTGATGTAGTAAATATTCAGAAGCGATTTTCTTTTGCATTTTTACCTAACCAAGGAAACGGGCCACACACCTTGGTTTAGGGATGTTGTGATAGCTTACCTTCCAGTTTTTAAGAAATGCTTCCTACAACTGCTGTCAACCACTGTATTGTCTTTAATGAACACTGTTGTATCCCATCCTAATTCTTGTACTGAAATTATTTCTCATGAAAGTTTCTCTAATATTTCTAATGAAAGTTTCTCTAATTTGGGGGCATAATGTACTAAGAATCAGTTTGCTGTATATTAGAATAAATAGTAACAGTAAGTCAGCAGGATTATCCAAACAAAAGACTAGGTTTTATGAGATAAGCTTGATTTAAGAAAAAAACAATTAAAGTATGAATATCAGAAATACTGTGTGTTTACTCTCAGATTTTAGTTGGTTGGATTTAATATCAAGATAACTAGCTGCTAAGCGTTTCATAATTCTCACAGTGATATTAGATTTCAAAATGACACTGAGAGAACTGAAAAACTACATCAGTCAAATTCATGTATGTATATCATATAGCCTTTAACTTTTTACATTAATCAGATTCTTAGTAAAATGCAGACTGTATACCTAAATATTAAAATATTTACTTTTATAATCTTACCTTTTATTTCAATATAAATAAAATTCTTCTTAGGTTAAAAAATTAATTTCAGTTGTGTTTATGCCAGATGGCATTGCTTAGTTGGTGCAAGCTCTCAATATGTTTCATTCTTTTTTATAGTCTTTCACATTTATAAGGAAAAGCCTTATCTCCAACTGAAACACCAGTCTTACTACTACGGTTTTAAAAGTTGTTAATGATCATTATCTATTATAAGGCCTTTATTTACATAGCAAATTGCTTAACATTTTATTTTGAATATAACAGATTTTTAAAACGAGACCTTTAAAGGAGCTCTAAGAGTCCCTGTTCTAGTTATTTGTATTATAAGCTTCTGTGAATGTTTTAATTTTAATAGCAGTAGTAGGAAGATATATGGCAGTAGAAGCACTCATATACATGCTATTTATTGAGGTAAAGTAAATCATCTTTGAGCAGTGTGAACAGACAGAAGCATAGCTTTTAGATCTGAATTATTGGTAAATAACAGATAGATCAAGGTGGTATGGAAAAATGGTAGAGCAGGCATATTACAGAGACAACAGGCAGCTAAGAAGGCAAATTATCAGTTGCAGATGATAAGACTTGTCACAATAAGCACTAAAAACACAAAGTGTGAAATGGAAAAATCTGTTACCAGTTATTTATTTTCAAACACAGTTGTATACATAGATGAAAATGTTTAGGTGCTTTTCATACACAGATAATTAAGTACATGGTATTTAATAATAAAAAAGTTTAAGGTCCTCCAAATACTTGAGGTATATATTATGGAAACTCAGAGTATGAATTTTCTTTTTTTTATTTTTTTTATTTTTTATTTTTTTTTTTATTTTTTTTGAGACGGAGTCTCGCTCTGTCGCCCAGCCTGGAGTGCAGTGGCGCGATCTCGGCTCACTGCAAGCTCCGCCTCCCGGGTTCATGCCATTCTCCTGCCTCAGCCTCCCGCGTAGCTGGGACTACAGGCGCCTGCCACTACACCCGGCTAATTTTTTGTATTTTTTAGTAGAGACGGGGTTTCACTGTGTTAGCCAGGATGGTCTCGATCTCCTGACCTCATGATCCGCCCGCCTCGGCCTCCCAAAGTGTCGGGATTACAGGCGTGAGCCACCGCGCCCAGCCCGAGTATGAATTTTCTAAGAGCATGTAGTATAAGATTGTGAGTTGGAATTTATTTACTGAAATGAAAAACAATGAAGTTAAAGAAATCAAAGATACTAAAGCAAATGGAAAGATAAACCTAACAAGGCACTCAATAATGAAAATACTTAGTGGAATACTACTTGAAGTATACATATCATACTTTCTTCCTCTGCTTAATAATTTTGTTGAAGGCTGTTATTACAGTGAGCTTTTATTGGCTATCCTAAATTTTAAGTATATTAGAACAAAATTTATTATTATGTCCTTAGTAACATTTAAGACCCCTCAATTTTTTATTAGAGAAAAAAAGTTGTTTACAGAATCAAAGACTTCATCTTGATTTTTAAGAACAAATAGCTGAATTCTTTAACACCACCAGTTAACAATTTTTTTTTTTTTTTTTTTGAGACAGAGTTTTGCTCTTGTCGTCCAGGCTGGAGTGCAATGGCGTGATCTCGGCTCACTGCAACCTCCACCTCCTGGGTTCAAGTGATTCTCCTGCCTCAGTCTCCCGAGTAGCTGGGATTACAGGTGCCCGCCACCACGCCCGGCTAATTTTTTGTATTTACTAGTAGAGACAGGGTTTCACCGTGTTGGTCAGTCTGGTCTTGAACTCCTGACCTCAGGTGATCCAACCGCCTCAACCTCCCAAAGTGCTGGGATTACAGGCATGAGGCACTGCGCCCGGCCCAGTTAACAATTTTAATCTGCATAACCAAGGTATATAAGCCGTCATGTGCAGGCTGTAGGGAGCCCACAGCTAAACGACAATAATTGGATTGTATTGATTGATAGCACTTACTGACTACAGTTAAGAGGCATTTAAAAATTAAAATAATAGTATTTCCCACAAATTCTGCCAGAATTGTTTTTTTAAAGGCTGTTATAAATCCTTGTTTCTATCAATAATTTTGAAGACAGTGTGAATCTCATGGTACCACTTTTTTTTACCTTTATTACTTTTATAACTGCTTTGCAGTTTGTTGAATAGAAATTCTTGGTAATAGGAGTAAAGGTTGTTGTTGACAAAGAAACTTGAAACTGAGTTTTACCTTCTTATTGAAGGACTTTGAAAAATGTTGAAGTTGAATCCTAGAACAGTGAGCATACCATTATTCCTTAAGAAGGCACCATTCATTTTTAAAATTATTTCAGAGGAAGAAAATTCTAAAAATTGAGACTTTACTGTACAGAACAATCCTTTTCTAAAACATAGTTTGGAAATCTGAGATCTAAAGAATGATGAACATGGTGCTAGGAAAAAAGAATTTCAGTTTCTATCATCTAAGATCATTCACATTTAATGGGAATTTTTTTCAACATCTTTAATTTCTCTTATTTTAAAACTACTGTCCTAAATGTGGAAGGTGAGAGTATGGACAATACAATCAAATGCCAAAAATACCTTGGTTCTAGTAATTGCCTAGGCCATTCTCTCACAGTTGCTCCAACAACTTAGCTGTTTAACAATCAGATTCTTAGTAAAACATTTTTTCTTTTTCTTAAAAAAAAAAAAGACTATCCATATTGCATACCACTTCAGACTTTTCTACATAGACATTCACCCATCAATACTGACAGTGCAAGCTACGTACAACTTCAAGTTGCATCAGATAACTCATATTAATGGTTGTAGTAGTGAAACTGATCTCCTAAGTATGTTGATAAAGTCCTAAATCTTGTTCAACATATTAAGAATAAAGAAGAGTAGATAAACCAATTATGGATGTAGCAAAGGAATCCTGGATAATCTTACTTGAGGGTGAATCCTGATGGTGTATCAATTTAAAATTCCCTGTTAAACATTCAGACAAAATTAGAAGATTACAACTTTCAGTTCTGCTACCGCTCTGGGAATATGAGCCCTAATCATAGTTTTCAGGGAGCCTAATTTGGTGTGGCCTCAAATAATCTCATCATCCATAAAGATCCCAGAGGAAGGGTATGTTGGACCTGGGGTAGTGAGAGTTGGAATTTCATATATTCTTTCTAGGGCATGATTTTTTCAGCAGAGGTGTTATGCCTCCAAGAGTGTGAAAACTGATGTTGGAGGATGAAAAAATCATATAAAGCACAGAAATACAGTACATAAACAGATATGCAGTGATATTAGAGTGTCATGGTAGAGGAAATTAGGGAAAGATGTCTAAAATGTTCCTGGTGGGAAAGTTGGGGGAGGATAATGCAAAAAAAAAGTTGAGAAACACTACTTTAGAGTGTGCTCATATAGACATAGGTCAAACCAGCACTACCTCAGAAATAACCTCAATATGATAAGCAGATACGACAGTGTCAGAAAAGCTAAGAGTACTAGATCTTTAAATAAATACTGAGCCAAAAAAAATAGTTTACACATAATCTTTTTAAAAAGTTACCTTATGTCACTCATACAGGAAAGCTCTGGCTGGCATCTAGTGGGTGCCCCTCTGGGATGAAGCTTCCAGAGGAAGGAACAGGCAGCAATCTTTGCTGTTCTGCAGCCTCTGCTGGTGATACCCAGGCAAACAGCATCTGGAGTGGGCCTCCAGCAAACTCCAGCAGACCTGCAGCACAGGGGCCCGACTGTTAGAAGGAAAACTAACAAACAGAAAGGAACAGTATCAACATCAACAAAATGTCCACTCAGAGACCCCACCCAAAGGTCACCAACATGAAGACCAAAGGTAGATAAATCCACTAAGATGGGGAGAAACCAGCAAGAAAAGGGTGAAAATTCCAAATGCCAGAATGCCTCTTTTCCTCCAAAGGATCACAACTCCTCGCTAGCAAGGGAACAAAACTGGACTGAGAATGAGGTTGATGAATTGACAGAAGTAGGCTTCAGAAGGTTGGTAATTACAAACTCCTCTGAGCTAAAGGAACATGTTCTAACCCAATGCAAGGAAGCTAAGAACACTGAAAAAAGGTTAGACAAATTGCTAACTACAATAACCAGTTTAGAGAAGAACATAAATGACATAATGGAGCTAAAAAACAGCACGAGAACTTCATGAAGCATACACGAGTATCAACAGCTGAATCGGTCAGGCAGAAGAAAGGATACCAGAGATTGCAGATCAACTTAACGAAATAAAGCAAGAAGACAAGATTAGAGAAAAAAGAGTGAAAAGAAACTAACAAAGCCTCCAAGAAATATGGGACTATGTGAAAAGACCAAATCTACGTTTGGTGTACCTGAAAGTTGACAGGGAGAATGGAACCAAGTTGGAAAACACTCTTCAGGATATTATCCACGAGAACTTCCCCAACCTAGCAAGGCAGGCCAACATTCAAATTCAGGAAATATAGAGAACACCACAAAGATACTCCTCGAGAAGAGCAACCCCAAGACACATAATTGTCAGATTCACCAAGGTTGAAATGAAGGAATAAACGTTAAGGGCATCCAGAGAGAAAGGTCGGGTTACCCACAAAGGGAAGCCCATCAGACTAACAGCGGATCTCTCTGCAGAAACCCTACAAGCCAGAAGAGAGTGGGGGCCAACATTCAACATTCTTAAAAGAATTTTCAACCCAGTATCTCATATCCATCTAAACTAAGCTTCGTAATTGAAGGAGAAATAAAATCCCTCACGAAGAAGCAAATGCTGAGAGATTTTGTCACCATCAGGCCTGCCTAACAAGAGCTCCTGAAGGAAGCACTAAACATGGAAGGAACAACCGGTACCAGCCACTGCAAAAACATGCCAAATTGTAAAGACCATCGACACTATGAAGAAACTGCATCAACTAAAGGGCAAAATAATCAGCTAGCATCATAATGACAGGATCAAAGTCACACATAACAATATTAACCTTAAATGTAAATGAGCTAAACACCTCAATTAAAAGACACACACTGGCAAATTGGATAGAGTCAAGACCCATCAGTGTGCTGTGTTCAGGAGACCCAG
The DNA here is from genome assembly GCF_000001405.40 of Homo sapiens. Classification (NCBI taxonomy): domain Eukaryota; kingdom Metazoa; phylum Chordata; class Mammalia; order Primates; family Hominidae; genus Homo; species Homo sapiens. Next base: position 5,134,943 of record NC_000009.12, read on the forward strand.
CTCACATGCAAAGACACACATAGGCTCAAAATAAAGGAATGGAGGAACATTTACCAAGCAAATGGAAAGCAAGAAAAAGCAGGGGTTGCAATCCTAGTCTCTGATAAAACAGACTTTAAACCAACGAAGATCAAGAGACAAAGAAGGGCATTATATAATGGTAAAGGGAATCAATGCAACAAGAAGAGCTAACTATCCTAAATATATATGCACCCAATACAGGAGCACCCAGATCCATAAAACAAGTTCTTAGAGACGTACAAAGAGACTTACACTCCCACATAATAACAGTGGGAGACTTTAACACCCCACTGTCAATATTAAACAGATCAACGAGACAGAAAATTAACAAGGATATCCAGGACTTGAACTCAGCTCTGGACCAAGCAGACCTAACAGACATCTACAGAACTCTGCACCACATAATTGGAAGTAAAACACTCATCAGCAAATGCAAAAGAACAGAAATCATAACAGTCTCTCATATCAGAGTGCAATCAAATTAGAACTCAGGATTAAGAAACTCACTCAAAACCACACAACTACATGGAAACTGAACAACCTGCTCCTGAATGACTACTGGGGTAAATAACAAAATGAAGGCAGATATAAAGATGTTCTTTGAAACCAATAAGAACAAAGAAACAATGTACCAGAATCTCTAGGACACATTTAAAGCAGTGTGTAGAGGGAAATTTATAGCACTAAGTGCCCACAAGAGAAAGCAGGAAAGAGCTAACATTGACACCCTAACATCACAATTAAAAGAACTAGAGAAACAAGAGCAAACAAATTTAAAAGCTAGCAGAAGATGAGAAATAACTAAGATCAGAGCAGAACTGAGCAAGACAGAGACACAAAAACCCTTCAAAAAAAATCAATGAATCCAGGAGCTGGTTTTTTGAAAAAAATCAACAAAATAGATACACGGCTAGCCAGATTAATAAACAAGAAAAGAGAGAAGAATCAAATAGACTTAATAAAAAATGATAAAGGGGATATCACCATCAATCCCACAGAAATACAAACTACCATCGGGAATACTATAAACACCTCTATGCAAATAAACTAGAAAATCTAGAAGAAATAGATAAATTCCTGGACACATACACCCTCCCAAGACTAAACCAGAAAGAAGTCAAATCCCTGAATAGACCAATAACAACTTCTGAAAGTAATGAATTAATAGCCTACCAGCTAAAAAAAAGTCCAGGACCAGATGGATTCACAGCCAAATTCTACCAGAGATGCAAAGAGGACCAGTACCATTCCTTCTGAAAGTATTCCAAACAATTGAAAAAGAGGGAATCCTCCCTAACTCATTTTATGAGGCCAGCATCATCCTGATACCAAAACCTGGCAGAGACACAACAAAAAAAGAGAATTTTAGGCCGATATCCCTGATAAACACTGATGCGAAAATCCTCAATAAAATACTGGCAAACTGAATCCAGCAGCACATCAAAAAGCTTATCCACCATGATCAAGTCGGCTTCATTCCTAGGATGCAAAGCTAGTTCAACATACTCAAATCAATAAACGTAATCCATCACATAAACAGAAACAATGAGAAAAACAACATGATTATCTCAATAGATGCAGAAAAGGCCTTTGACAAAATTCTACAGCCCTTCATGCTAAAAAGTCTCAATAAACTAGGTACTGATGGAACATATCTCAAAATCATAAGAGCTATTTATGACAAACTCACAGCAAATATAATACTGAACGGGCAAAAACTGGAAGCATTCCCTTTGAAAACTGGCACAAGACAAGGATGCCTTCTCTCACCAGTCCTATTCAACATACTATTGGAAGTTCTGGCCAGGGCAATCAGGCAAGAGAAAGAAATAAAGGGTATTCAATTAGGAAAAGAGGAAGTCAAATTGTCTCTGTTTGCAGATGACATGATTGTATATTTGGAAAACCCCATCGTCTCAGCCCAAAATCTCCTTAAGCTGATAAGCAACTTGAGCGAAGTCTCAGGATACAAAATCAATGTGCAAAAATCACAAGCATTCTTATACACCAATAACAGACAAACAGCCAAATCATGAGTGAACTCCCATTCACAATTGCTACAAAGAGAATAAAATACCCAGGAATCCAACTTACAAGGGATGTGAAGGACCTCTTCAAGGAGAACTACAAACCACTGCTCAAGGAAATAAGAGAGGACACAAACAAATGGAAAAACATTCCATGCTCATGGATAGAAAGAATCAATATCATCAAAATGGCCATACTGCCCAAAGTAATTTATAGATTCAATGCTACCACCATCAAGCTACCTTTGACTTTCTTCACAGAACTGGAAAAAAACTACTTTAAATTTCATATGGAACCAAAAAAAAGAGCCTGCATAGCCAAGACAATCCTAAGCAAAAAGAACAAAGCTGGAGGCATCACACTACCTGACTTCAAACTACATTACAAGGCTATAGTAACAAAACAGCATGGTATTGGTATCAAAACAGATGTATAGACTAATGGAACAGAACAGAGGCCTCACAAATAACACCACACATCTACAACCACCTGATCTTTGACAAACCCTATTTAATATATGGTGGTGGGAAAATTGGCTAGCCATATGCAGAAAGCTGAAACTGGATCCCTTCCTTACACCTTATACAAAAATTAACTCAAGATGGATTAAAGACTTAAATATAAGACCTAAATCCATAAAAAACCTGGAAGAAAACCTAGGCAATACCATTCAGCACTTAGGCATGGCAAAGACTTCATGACTAAAACACCAAAAGCAATGGCAACAAAAGCCAAAATTGACATATGGGATCTAATTAAACTAAAGAGCTTCTGTACAGCAAAAGAAACTATCATCAGAGTGAACAGGTTACCTACATAATGGGAAAAAATTTTTGCAATCTACCCATCTGACAAAGGGCTAATATCCAGAATCTACAAAGAACTTACACAAATTTACAAGAAAAAAAACCCATAAAAAAGTAGGTGAAGGATATGAACAGACATTTCTCAAAAGAAGACATTTATGTGGCCAAAAAACATATGAAACAAAGCTCATCATCACTGGTCATTAGAGAAATGCAAATCAAAACCACAATGAGATATCATCTCATGCCAGTTAGAATGGTGATCATTAAAAAGTCAGGAAACAACAGATGCTGGAGAGGATGTGGAGAAATAGGAATGCTTTTACACTGTTGGTGGGAGTGTAAATTAGTTCAACCATTGTGGAAGATAGTGTGGCTATTCCTCAAGGATCTAGAGTTAGAAATACCATTTGACCCTGCAATTCCGTTACTGGGTATATACCCAAAGGATTATAAATCACGCTACTATAAAGATACATGCACACATATGTTTACTGCAGCACTGTTCACAATAGCAAAGACTTGGAACCAACCCAAATGCCCATCAGTGATAGACTGGATAAAGAAAATGTGGCACATATACACCATGGAATACTGTGCAGCCATCAACAAGGATGAGTTCACGCCCTTTGCAGGGACACAGATGAAGCTAGAAACCATCATTCTCAGCAAACTAACACAAGAACAGAAAACCAAACACCACATGTTCTCACTCATAAGTGGGAGTTGAACAATAAGAACATATGGGCACAGGGAGGGGAACATCACACACCTGGCCTGTTGGGCAGTGGGGGGCTAGGGAGCTATTGCATTAGGAGAAATGCCTAATGTAGATGACAGGTTGATGGGTGCAGCAAACCACCATGACACATGTATACCTATGTTAACAAACCTGCACTTTCGGTACATGTACCCCAGAACTTAAACTATAATAAAAAAAAATAATAAAAGTACTGAATCCCACTGATTTAATATCTAAAAAAATAGTTACCTAATTACAATCTCTAGAATTTAAAGATCTCCTTCCTAGATGCAAAAAGTGCCTCTTTTTTCAATTGAAATACATCCCCAAGTACTCTTCTGTCGGGTTGTTTTTATATAGTCACAAAAAAAATAAATATAATAATCCTCTCAAGAAAAGCAGGAGATTTTAACAATATGCACCATGTTAAAAAACATTTCTTGGTTGTTCAAGGAGATAATAAAGTATCTTTCACTATTAAAACCATATGTTATATTACTGTGTATTAAAATAAAAATAAAATTTCCTCAAACAGAACATTTTTGAGAAATAGGAAAGAAACTAATAATGCCAAATAAAGGTCATATCTTTGCTATGAAATTTACCCAGAAGACAATGTGCTCTTCTTCTTTGACTTAAAAATGCTGCCTTTTAAAAGAATTGGAGGCATTCTAATGGGTGTGTAGTATAGCATTGTGGCTTTGAAGTATATTTTTTTAATGATAAGCAATTTTTTCACGTGCAGTTTAGTGGCCATTTGTTCATAGTTGGATTACTACATCCTATCCATCAAACAAATTAATTGCACAACAATTTGATAAAATGTTGACAGTCTTTGTAGAAGGAGCAATGTAGGGGATAATACTGCCTTTTGCTAGATGACAAAGAAAGTTGAAAGTAAATGAATTTTTAAAAAGCTTGAACTGGATGACTTTTGCCTCAGAGTATTGGGTGAAAATAAAAAGAAGTGTTATTTAAATTAGACACTCTCAAGTCTAGACACATCCCTGGTTGCTTGAGGAAAGGAACCATATTTTCTAAAAGGTATCATATCTGCTACATGAAATATAACTAGAAGAGTGCTACTGGAGTGGTAGAAGAGAATCAGAGATTTAGTTGAAACCATTTATGAGCTATCTGAAGAAGCTAAGTCCAAAGAGGTTAGCTTGACTTGCTCACATCAAAGATCTGCTCAGGAACACAGCCAGGCTAGAGCCCAGCTCTTCTGATTCTGATTAGTGCTCATTATACAACAACATGCTAAATTATTTTATTTTTAAAGAAATGAGCCTAGGTTGTAAACAAACCACAAATTTTAATCATTTAACAAATCTTTTTTGAAAGCTTGTAGTGAACATGGCACTGCTAAATACTTTTGGTGAACAAAAATGTGTCAGATGTCTTTTCAAGGGATTGTTAGTTGAAAATAGACTGAAATGTATCTTTAGAAAGCATTACAAAGATGACTTGCAAATAACTGGGAAAAAACCCACAACATTAAATAGTACATTTCTAAAAAGAAGTTTATTCTGATGAATTTACAGAAGCAAATGACAGGTAAAATTGAAGCAGCATTAGTTATGCATTTAGGAAATATATTTAATCTATTTAAGTCAAATCAATAACCTGGGAAATATTAACCTAGAATCAATACTGCAAAACCATTTTGTATAAAAGTGAATGACACCAACTAAAGCCATATATAAGAACATTCACAGCTATCAGATCAGAACTCTCAGGCAGAACTCATCATATTTTCTCCAAAAAGCAGCCACCATCCCTAATGTACCTAATCATAATAATGACACCACACTTATATTAGTCATCAGAGCTCCGAAACCCTAAGTAAAAACTTTTGACTCATTTTTATTACTTGCACTTTCTTTCCATTCTCTTTCAATGCTTCATCAGTCTCTTCTTTTACACTCCCCCATAATTTTGTGTTGTGATTATTATGATAACCTTCTAATTAGTCTTCCTACCTTCTCTCATTAGTCTTGCACATCACTATTAGGTCATTCTTCCCAAAGCACTATTATAACCATGTCATTCTTTTGCTCAAAAGCTTTCCAACTTTCTCCATTTCCTACAGGATAAAGTCCAACATCCCAGACTGTCACCAGTGGCAGAGCCAGATATTAACTTCAAAAGTAAGGAAACCTGGGGTGGGGATTCATTTTTTTTTCCCCTTAATTTTAAGTTCAGGGTACATATGCAGGTTTGTTACACAGGTAAACTTGTGCCATGGGGGTTTGCTGTACAGATTATTTTGTCACCTAGGTATTAAGCCTAGTTATTTTTTCTGGTCTTCTCCCTCATCCCACCCTCCACCCTCTAATAGGCCCCTGTATGTGTTGTTCCCCTCTTTGTGTCCCTGTATTCTCATCATTTAGCTCCCACTTATAACTGAGAACATGCGGTATATGGTTTTCTGCTTCTACATTAGTTTGCTAAGGATAATGGCCTCTAGCTCCATCCATGTCCCTGCAAAGGACATGATCTCATTCCTTTTTATGCTGCATAGTACTCCATGGTGTATATGTACCACATTTTTTTAATCCAGTCTATCACTGACGGACATTTAGGTTGATTCCATGACTTTGCTATTGTGAATATGTTGCAATGAACATATGCATGCGTCTTTATAATAGAATGATTTATATTTCTTTGTGTATATACCCAGTAATGGAATTGCTGGATCAAATGGTATTTCTGCCTCTAGGTCTTTGAGGAATAGCCACCCTGACTTCCACAATGGTTGAACTAATTTACACTCCTACCAGCAGTGTAAAAGTGTTCCTTTTTCTCCACAACCTCACCAGCATATGTGTTTTGACTTTTTAATCATAGCCACTCTTATTGGCATGAGATGGTATCTCATCGTAGTTATGATTTACGTTTCTCTAATGATCAGTGATGTTGAGCTTTTTTTCATACGATTGTTGGCCACATGTATGTCTTCTTTGAAAAGTGTCTGTTCATGTCCTTTGCTCACTTTTTAATGTTTTTTCCCTTGTAAATTTAATGGGTTTTTTCTTTTAAATTTGTTTCTAAGTTCCTTATAGATGCTGGATATTAGACCTTTGTCAGATGCATAGTTTGCAGAAATTCTCCCCCATTCTGTAGGTTGTGTGTTCACTGTGATGATAGTTTCTTTTGCTGGGCAGAAGCTCTTTAGTTTAATTAGATCCCATTTATCAATTTTTGCTTTTGTTGCAATTGGTTTTGTCATCTTCACCATTAAATCTTTGCCCATGCCTATGTCCTGAACGGTATTGCCTAGGTTGTCTCCCAGAGTATTTACAGTTTTGGGATTTATATTTAAGTATTTAATCCATTTTGTGTTAATTTTTGTATATGGTGTAAGGAAGGGGTCCAGTTTTAATCTGCATATGGCTAGCAAGTTATCCCAGGAGGATTTATTGAATAGGTAATCCTTTAGCCATTGCTTGTTTTTGTCAGGTTTGTCGAAAATCAGATAGTTGTAGGTGTGAAATCTTATTTCTGTGTTCTCTATTCTGTTCCATTGGTTTATGTGTCTGTATTTATACCAGTACCATATTATTTTGGTTACTATGGCCCTTTAGTGCAGTTTGAAATAGGGTAGCATGATGCCTCCAGCTTTGTTCTTTTTGCTGAGGAATGCCTTGGCTATTTGGCTCTTTTTTGGTTCCATGTGAATTGTAAAAGTTTTTGCTAATTCTGTGAAAAATGTCAATGGTAGCTTAACAGGTATAACACTGAATCTGTAGATTGCTTTGGGCAGTAGGGCCATTTTAACTATATTGATTCTTCCTATCCATGAGCCTGGAATGTTTTTCCATTTGTTCATGTCATCTCTGATTTCTTTGAGCAGTTGTTTGTAGTTCTCCTTACAGAGATCTTTCATTTTCTTAGTTAACTGTATTTCTAGCTATTCTAACTGTGAATGGGAGTTTGTTCCCGATTTGGCTCTCAACTTGAGGTGTTGTTAAGTGTACTGAAATGCTAGTGATGTTCTGCAAATTGATCTTGTATCCTGAGGCTTTGCTGAAGCTGTTTATCAGCTTAAGAAGCTTTTGGGCTGAGACTATGGGGTTTTCCAGATATAGGATCGTGTCATCTACAAACAAAGATAATCTGACTTCCTCTCTTCCTATTTGAATACTCTTTCTTTTTCTTGCCTGATCACCCTGGCCAGAACTTCCAGTACTATGTTGAATAGGAGTGGGGAGAGAGGGCATCCTTGTTTTGTGCCAGTTTTCAAGGAGAATGCTTCAAACTTTTACCCATTCAGTATGATATTGGCTGTGGGCTTGTCATATACGGCTCTTGTTATTTTGAGGTATATTCCTTTCAATACCTAGTTTATTGACAGTTTAACATGAATGGATGTTAAATTTTCTTGAAAGCCTTTTCTGCATCTATTGAGATAATCATGTGGTTTTTATCTTTAGCTCTGTTTATGTGGTCAATCACATTTACTGATATGCTTGAACCAACCTTTCATCCCAGGGATAAAGCCTACTCGATTGTGATTGATTAGCTTTTTGATGTGCTGCTGGATTCCGTTTGCCAGTATTTTGAGGATTTTTGTACTGATGTTCATCAAGGATATAGGCTTGAAGTTTTCTTTTTTTTGTATTTCTGCCAGGTTTTGGTATCAGGATGATGCTGACCTCATAGAATGAGTTACAGAGGAGTTCCTTCTCCTCAATTTTTTTTTTTTAATAGTTTCAGTAGGAATGGTACCAGCTCTTCTTTATACATCTCGTATAATTCAGCTGTGAATCCGTCTGGTCCTGGGCCTTTTTTGGTTGCAGGCTCTTAATGCTTCAACTTCAGAGCTTGTTAGTGGTCTATTCAGGGATTCAATTTCTTCCTTGTTCAGTCTAGGGAGGGGGTATGTATCCAGGAATTTATCCATTTCTTCTATGTTTTCCAGTTGATTTCCATAGAGGTGTTCATAATATTATCTGATGGTTGTCTGTATTTCTGTGGGGTCAGTGGTAATAACCCCCCTGTCATTTCTGATAGTGCATATTTGAATTTTCTCTCTTTGCTTCTTTTTTAGTCTAGCTACTGGTCTATCTATTTTATTAGTTTTTTCAAATAAACAGCTCCTGGATCCTGGATTTGTTAATCTTTTTTTTTTTTTTCAGATGAAGTCTCACTCTGTTGCCCAGGCTGGAGTGCAGTGGCATGATCTCAGCTCACTACAACCTCCACCTGCTGGGTTCAAGCGATTCTCCTGCCTTAGCCTTCCAAGTAGCTGGGATTACAGGCACCCACCCCCACACCCTGCTAATTTTTGTATTTGTAGTAGAGACAGGGTTTCACCATGTTGGCCATGCTGGTCTCGAACTCCTGACCTCAGGTAATACACCCGCCTCAGCCTCCCAAAGTGCTGGGATTACAGGCGTAAGCCACTGCACTGGCCAATTGGTTGATCTTTCGAATCATTTTTCCTGTCTGTATCTCCTTCAGTTTAGCTCTGATTTTGGTTATTTCTTGTCTTCTGCTAGCTTTGGAATTTGTTTGCTCTTGGTTCTCCAGTTATTTTAGTTGTGATGTTAGGTTGTTAACTTGAGATCTTTCTAACTTTTTGATGTGGGCATTTAGTGCTACAAACTTCCCTTTTAATACTGCCTTAGCTGTGTCCCAGAGATTCTGATATGTTGTTATCTTTCTTCTCATTAGTTGCAAAGAATGTCCTGATTTCTCCTTCATTTCATTATTTACCCAAAAGCCATTCAGGAGCAGGTTATTCAATTTCCATGTAATTGTATGGCTTTGAGTGAATTTCTTAGTAGTGATTTCGAATTTTATGGCACTGTGGTACGAGAGACCGTTTGTATGATTTCAGTTCTTTTGTATTTGCTCAAGAGTGTTTTACTTCTGATTACGTAATTGCTTTTAGAGTATGCCAAGTGGTGATGAGATGAATGTATATTCTGTTGTTTCGGGGTATCTATGAGGATCCATTTGATCCGGTGCTGAGTTCAGGTCCTGTATATCTTTGTTAATTTTCTGTCTTGATGATCTAATATTGTCAGTGGGGTGTTAAAGTCTCCTATTATTGTGTGGCGGTCTAAGTCTCTTTGAAAGTCTCCAAGAATTTGCTTTATGAGGGTGTTCCTGTGTTGGGTGCAAACATATTTAGGATAGTTCCATTTTCTTGTTGAATTGAACCCTTTACCATTATGTAATACCCCTGTCTTTTTAAATCTTTGTTGGTTTAAAGTCTGTTTTGTCAGTAACTAAGATTGCAACCACTAATTTTTGTTTTCCATTTCCTTGGTAGATTTTTCTCCATACCTTTATTTTCAGCCTATTTGTGTCTTTGCATGTGAGATGGGTCTCTTGAAGATAGCATACCAATGGGTCTTGGTTCTTTATCCAGCTTGCCACTCTGTGTCTTTGGGGGCATTTAGCCCATTTATATTTAAAGTTAGTATTGTTATGTGTGGATTTGATCCTGTCATTATAATGCTGGCTGGTTATTTTGCAGACTTGTTTATGTGATTGCTTCATAGTATTACTGGTCTGTATACTTCAATGTGTTTTTGTAGTGGTTGGTACTGGTCTTTCCTTTCCATATTTAGTCCCTCCTTCAAGAGCTTTTGTAAGGCAGGTCTAGTGGTAACAAATTCCCTCAGCATTTACTTGTCTGAAAAGGGTCTTATTTCTCGTTCACTTATGAAGCTTAGCTTGGCCAGATATGAAATTCTGGGTTGGAATTTCTTAAGAATGTTTAATACTGACCCCCTATCTCTTCTGGCTTGGAGGGTTTCCACTGAGAGGTCCACTGATAGTAAGACAGACTTCCCTTTATAGGTGACCTGGCCTTTCTCTCTAGCTGCCTTTAATATTTTTCCTTCATTTTGACCTTGGAGATTCTGATGATTAAGCATCCTGGGGTTGATCTTCTTGTGGAGTATCTTACTGGGGTTGTCTGCATTTCCTGAATTTGAACGTTTGCCTGTCTTGCTAGGTTGGGAAAGTTCTCATGGATGATATCCTGAAATATGTTTTCCAAGTTGGTTCCACTCTTCCCAGCTCTTTCAGATATACCAATCAGTTGCAGGCTGGGTCTCTTTACACAATCCCATATTTCTTGGAAGGTTTGTTTATTCCTTTTCACTCTTTTTTCTCTATTCTTGTCTACCTGCCTTATTTAAGAAAGGCAGTCTTCAGGCTCTGAGGTTCTTTCCTCTGTTTGGTCTATTAATACTTGGGATTGCATTATGAAATTATTGTAGTGTAGTTTTCAGCTCTATCAGGCCGGTTACATTCTTTTCTAGACTGGCTATTTTGTCTTTCAGCTCTTTTTATTATGATTTTTAGCTTCCTTGCATTGGGTTACAATATACTCCTGTGGCTCAGTGAACTTCATTCCTATCCATATTCTGAATTCTACTTCTGTCATTTCAGCCATCTCAGCCTCAATCAAGTCCTTAACTCTTGCTGGAGAAGTGATGTGGTCATTTGGAGGAAAGAAGGTACTCTGGCTTTTTGAGTGTTCGCATTCTTGTGCTGATTCTTTCTCATCTTTGTGGGCTTATCTACTTTCAATCTTTGAGGTTGTTAACCTTTGGGTTTTTTTTTTCTTTTATCCTTTTTGATGACCTTGAGTGTTTGATTGTGGTATAAAGTGAACTCAGCGAATTGGCCTTGTTTCTTGAAGATTTTAGGGGGCCAGTATTCAGCTCCCAAATCCTGGACTGTGTGCTCTGAGAGACTTGAATTGGGCCCCAACATTGTTCTCTGGCTCCTCAATGTTTGGAGTCTACTGTGCTGGGTAGACCAAGGTGTGGCAGCTGCATCGGAGTGCTAGTGGATTCAGGGGTGCCTGCCTCCCTGCAGGCATTCACCACAGCAGTGGGAGCAAGGCATTGGTGAGGAGCAGGGGGCCCCTCCTGGAGACTGTGTGCACTGCTGCACTGGAAGTAGTGTTGGTTTGGGGTGGGGTGCTGGATAGCACAGGTGTGGGTGGCCTTCTCTGTGCCCCATAAGCAGGAGTGATCACTCAGGGTGTGGGAGGATACCCTGTTCTCTGTGCAGCATTAACACAAGGGTGGAGCACTGGTGGGGGTGAGGCTTGCTGACTCTGTGCCCACCAAGGCTCCATCTGCAACGGCAGTCAACAGGGGTTGAGAGGAATACTGTACTCCTGTGTGCTGGTGGGGCAAGTAAAGCAAAACCTGCCTATGCAGACATGTGCCAGCAAAGCAATGTAGGCAGTTGTGTGGGTTTGGGGGAAGCTTCAGTATGGGGATGAAATGTGTGGGCTGGTACACAGCCATAGGGGCTGCCTCATTGGAGCTTTCCACCAGTCAGGCATGGTCCACTGGTGCAAAAGCTATGGTGTGGGCCTCAGGGCACCTGAGACTTCCCTGTTAGCAAGCATGACCAGGATGGGGCCCCAGGAAAGGCCAACAGCAAGGAGCGTTCAGGTAGGACCAGCCCTATCTGATGTGCAAGATTACCCTTCAGAGACCAGGTCCAACAGTTTCCCTAGAACTAAAGTCTCTTATGGGAGCAAGCCAAGCCTAGAGGGGTGGTCATCTCTGGCCACATTCTGCTACAGATGCTCCTGCAGCACATCAGTTAGTTGCTGCTCTACCACTCTGCTTGTCTCCTGGGGGCTCTACCCCAGAGTGATGTGGGTCAACAATTTCTCAGTGCAATCAGCCCAGGATGGAGGGTCTGTGCTGTGGAACTAAACCAGGGGGTTCCCTGTTTGATGACAAGCAGTGGGGGATATGTGGGGCCCACAGGAGACAGTCTGGACTCCTCTCCTTGGGTCGACTGCAGCTTGCTGGAGGTGTGGATAAGGTGCTTAGGGTTTTTGCTCCTTTGTTATTCCAAGGGTAGCAAGGAAGGTTCTGCTGCAGAGGCAATGGCAGAGAACTTTCAGTTGCCCCTGGAGGCTCTGTCCAGGGAGTTGCCAAGTTGCTACTGGCTTGATAGCTCTGGCAGGGAGTAGCTAGAGGCCCAGGCCTGGAAGACTGCCTGGTAAGGAGATTTCGGAATGGGGTTTCTTGCTGGAGTTCTCTGTATTTCTTGGATTTATATGTCAATCTCTCTAATGAGACTGGGGAAATTTGAATAGACCATCTTCAAATATATTTTCCAAGTTTCTTATTCTCTTTCTCTCTCAGGAATGCTGATGAGTTGTAAATTTAGTTTCTTTACATAATCCCATATTTCTTGGATGTTTTGTTCATTTTTAATTCTTTATTTTTGACTGCGTTGATTTGAAAAACTGGTCTCTGAGCTCTGAGATTCTTTCCTCGGGTTGGTGTGTTCTTCCATTAATACTTCTGATTGTATTATGAAATTCCTGTAGTGAACTTTTCTCCTCAATAAGTTCAGTTTGAGTCTTTCTTAAAATGGGTGTTTTGCCTTTCAGCTCTTAAATTGTTTTACTGGATGCCTTGGCTTCCTTGGATTTTCAATTTTCTCAATCTTGATGAGCTTCCTTGCCATCCAGATTCTGAATTCCATATCTGCCATTTCAGACAATTCAGACTGGTTAAGAACTCACTGCTAGTGAGCTAACAGGCTCCTTTGGAGGTTAAGGGGATACTATTTTTTAATTGTCAGAGTTTTTATGCTGATTCTTTCTCATCTGGGAGAGCTGGTATTCCTTCAATTGTGGTATAAACTGAGTATAGTCCACTGACTTCATTTCTGGAAGTTTTCACAGGACTAAGGGTCAGTACAGGGTCTTTGTTGAATTTTTGCACATGGTTACGTAGAGAGGAGAATTAATGATTTTTGGTGTTATAGTTTCGGCTGTGATCCAGGAGATGGTGCTTGAGAGCAGTAGGTTCTTAGTTACCAAGTTCCTGGCTTTTGCAGCTGTATTCTGCCATGTGAGGGAGAGAGAGGTGACCCCCCTCACCCGGTCGGCTCATGGACTTTGGGGGAGCCATCTCTGATCACTGGCACTGTGCTCACAATTTTGCTGTCAATATTATTAGGTATTTCGGGGCCACAGGGCTCCCTTGGGGAGAGGCCAGTTAGGGAAATAGGCCATACCCTTACAGGACCAGCCCTGTGGAAGGAGGTACACCTAGGCCCCATACCAGCCTGCAAGCCTGTGCAACTCATCTGTTTCCTGAGAGTGTGGGCTCCTTCCCAATTCAAGTGTCCAGCAGTTCCTGGCTTGGCACTCCTGAGCTGCAGACTGCAGCCCTGGGGCACCAGGACCTGCTCGTGGCTCCCTTTTCCAGACATTTGGGGTTGGGTTCCTGGTGTGGTGGGAGATCCAAAGGTTTCCCAGGCTGTCAGAATGTACTCAGGTAGAGCAAGGCACCAGGCTGTGCATCAGAGGCTTCACTGATTACACTACATACTCCTACAGGGCAGCCTGGCAGGGACCCTGGGAGGTGCTGGTGGGCAAGCTGGCCTGCAAAACAGACATGCTGCAGGCCCTGTTCTCTCCCCAGCAGTTAGCTGGGGCCAGAGTCTCTCAGAGGGAGACAGGCAGCCTTGAGGAGTAGGCACTTATGGCCAGTCTCTGCCAGAGCTGCCCCAAAGTCAAAGGTCCCTAGCTCTGAGCTTGCTTTAACTCCATCTCTGTCGAATCTCTGGGGAGATCCCCCTGCCACTTCACACATCTGTGGGAGTGTGGGGTCCCCTGTAGCAGCTAAGATCCTAGAGGTACATGGCGAGAGTGCCTTTTGGGGCCAGGAACCAGCCATAGCATTTAGGCACCCCAAACGGGATTCCCAGCTCCCTCCCTTTTCAGCCTCAGCAACTGTATCTTTTTTCTATTCACCTTCAGTGTTTTCTTTCTGAAGATCTGTTCAAATTTTGTTGGTGTAGTCTCTGTGTAAATGACTTTTCACAGCTGCATCTACTCAGCCATCTTGCTTACCTTCCTACCCACCATGATCTCAGCAGCATTTCTATACACCAATAATGATCAAGCTGAAAACCAAATCAAGAAGGCAATCCTATTTGCAATAGCTACAAAGAAAAATACCTACAAATACAGTTAACTAAGGATATGAAAGATCTCTATAAGGAAATCTACAATGCAGTGATGAAAGAAATTATAGATGACACAAACAAATGGAAAAACGGCTGATGCTCATGGACTGAAATATCTTTAAAATGACCATATTGCCCAAAGCAATATACAGATTAAATACAATTCCTATCAAAATAGCAATGTCATTTTTTCACAGAATTAGAAAAAAAAATCCTAAAATTCACAAGGAACCAAAAAGAGCCCATGTGGCCAAAGCAATCTTAAGCAAACAATAAAATAAAAATTTAAAAGCTGGAGGTATCACATTATGTGACTTCAAATTATATTACAAGGCTATAATAACCAAAGCAACAGGCTACTCATATAAAAACAGACACATAGATCAGCAGAACATAATAGAGAACCCTGAAATAAAGCCACATACCTACAGCCAACTGATCTCTAACAACGTTGACAAAAGCATACAATGGGGAAAGATCAGTCTAGTTTAAAAATGGTGCTAGGAAAATTGGATAGCCCTGTGCAGAAGAATCAATCTGGACTCATCTCTCTCACCAAATACAAAAATTAACTCAAGATAAATTAAAGATTTAAATGTCAGAACTGAAACTATAAACATTCTAGAAGAAAATCTCAGAAAAACTTTTCTGGACATAGGTTTAATCAAAGAATTCATGACTAAGTCCTTGAAAGCAAATGCAGCAGAAACAACAAAATACAAATAAGACATAGTTATAAACTAGAAAGCCTCTGCACAGCAAAAGAAATAATCAACAAACATACAACCTACAGAATGGGAAAAATATTTGCAAGCTATGAATCTGATAAAAGACTAATATCCAGAATCTACAAGGAACTCAAACAATTCAACAAGGATAAAACAAATAATCCCATTAAAAATTGTGCAAAGGACATGAACATTTTTAATGGTCAATACGCATATGAAAAAATGCTCAACATCACTGATGTTCAGAGAAAAACAAGTTGAAACTACAATAAGATGACATCTTACACTAGTCAGAATGGCCATTATTAAATCGTCAACAAATAACAGATATTGACGAGGATGTGGAGAAAAGAGAACACTTATTATTTTGGAATGTAAGTTAGTACAACCTCTATGTAAAATAGTATGAAGACTTCCCAGAAAACTAAAAATACAACTACTATTTAATCCAGCAAACTCACTACTGCATGTCTACCTAAAGGAAATCATTATAGCAAAAAGATACCTGTATTTGCATGTTTAAAGGACCACTCTTCACAAAGGCAAAGATAGGAAATCAACCTAAGTATCCATCAACAGATGACTGGATAAAGGAGACACACACACACACACACACACACACACACACACATCATGGAATACTACCCAGCCATAAAAAGAATAAAATGTATTTTGCAGCAACATGGGTGGAACTGGAGGCTATTATCTTATATAAAATAACTAAGAAACAGAAAGTTAGATGCTGCCTGTTCTCACCTAAAAGTGGGACCTAAATAATGTACACACATGGTTGTAAAGTATGGAATGACAGACAATGGAAATGCAGAACTGTGAAAGAGGAGGGGGTGGAGGTGGATGATGAGAAATTAACTAATGGGTACAGTGTACACTATTCATGTGATGGTGATACCAAAGGCCCAGACTTCACCACTATGCAATATATCCATGTAACAAATCTGCACTTATACCCCCAAATCAATATTAACAATTACATAGATTCAACATTCAAAGCAAAAATGACTGTATAAGTAGAAAAGCATGAAAAAGACACTGCAGGAAAAATCTGATATTAGAATAAATATTTTCCTTTGGAAGAATGAAAAATAAGAAAATAATGCGTGTACATGGCAATAATCTCATTAAAAGTATATAAATAAAAAGACAATTGATTAAAACAAAGTAATAAAAATGTTTGTGTGGTTTATAATGCATGCAGCAGTAAAATGTATGGCACAAACACCAGAAAAAAATGGACGGGGGGTGGGGATGGAAAGAAAATTGAAGTATACTATTGTAAAGGTCTTAAACTGCCTGTGAAGTGAGATCTCATTATTTGAAGTTAGTCCGTGATATAAAGATGTATATTGTAAATGCTGAAGCAATCACCAAAAACGAAAGTTTAAAGATAAATAAATAACCAATAGGAGAAACAAAATGTAATTATAAAAAAATTCAACCCAATAGAATGCAAAAAAGGACAAAATGCAACAGATCAGATGGAACACATAAAAAAGCAAGATTGTATATTTAAACACAAATCATATTGATAATTACATCAATAAAATATTAAACACTCCAAATGAAAAGCATACACTGTGAACTTGATGAAAAAGCAAGAACCAATGACACGTTGTTTACAAGAAACTAATTTTACACATGAAGATACAGATAGGTTAAAAATAAAAGATTGGGAAAATGATATATGATGGAAACACTAATTATAAGAAAGCTGGAATATTAGCAGTGATAAAAGGAAATATAATGACACAAGAATCAATTTACCAAAAAAATGATATGCAGCTAGCAAAATAATTTTGAAATACATTAAGAACGAATGCATGAAAAAAATATAAATGACCTGAGAAGGCAAATAGGCAAATCCATTATTACAGAGATTTCAACACTTTTATCTCACTAACTGAGAGAACAAGAAAGCAAGATCAGTAAAGACATAGAACAATGAATAACACTGTCAACTAACTTTACCTAACATCTACAGAATATTCCATCAAAAAATAGCAGAATACACGTTTGTTTCATGCACACATGGAATAATTACCACAAATTATTATTTATGGAACATAAAACAATTCTCAAGAAATTTTAAAATATTGTCAACAACATATTAAATTAGAAATTAATATAAGAAAGATATCTAGTAAATACTGAAACATTAGCAATTTTAAAACAAACCTATATAACCCATGGGTCAAGAAAAATCACAAGAAAAAATGGAAAATATTCTCTAATGAATGAAAATGAAAATGACATGTAAACTTAAAGCTGTGAGTACAGTGAAATTTATAGCTTTAGATGCTTCTATTTAAAAAGAAGCGTCTAAAACCAGTAATTTCAGAAACTAGAAAACAGCCTTAATAAGACTATTAACTTGATAATCAGGAGGAAATAATAAAGCTAGAAGCATAAAACAACAAACGAGAAAAAGGAAATGGAGAATATCAGTAAAGGCAAAAGGTGATGATCTGAAAAGACCAAGAGTTGCTGGTGAGATGGCCAAACAGGAACAGCTCCAGTCGGCAGCTACCAGCAAGATCGACGCAGAAGGCAGGTGATTTCTGCATTTCCAACTAAGGTACCACATTCATCTCATTGGGACTGGTTAGAGAGTGGGTGCAGCCCAAGGAGGGCGAGCTGAAGCACAGTGGAGCGTCGCCTCACCCGGGAAGCACAAGGGGTCAGGGAACTCCCTCTCCAAGTCAAGCGAAGCCATTAGGGACTGTACCCTGCACTCCAGCCCAGATACTGCACTTTTCCCATGGTCCTCGCAATCCGCAGACCAGGAGATTCCTTCCAGTGCCTACACCACCAGGGCCCAGGGTTTCCAGCACAAAACTGGCCAGCTGTTTGGGCAGACACTGAGCTAGCTGCAGTTTTTTTTTTTTTCATACCCCAGTGGCGCCTGGAATGTCAGTGAGACAGAACCGTTCACTCCCCTGAAAAGGGGGCTGAAGCCAGGGAGCCAAGTAGTCTGGCTCTGTGGGTCCCACCCCCACGGAGCCCAACAAGCTAAAATCCACTGGCTTGAAATTCTCGTGCCAGCACAGCAGTCTAAGCCCCACTTGGGACACTCGAACTTGGTGCACGGAGGAGCATCCGCCATTGCTGAGGCTTGAGTAGGTGGTTTCACCCTCACGGTGTAAACAAAGCCACTGGGAAGTTTGAACAGGGTGGAGCCCACGCCAGCTCAGCAAGGCCACCGTGGAAAGACTGCCTCAGGCAAGAGAAAGAAATAAAAGGTATTCAATTAGGAAAAGAGGAAGTCAAATTGTCTGTTTGCAGATGACATGATTGTATATTTAGAAAACCCCATCGTCTCAGCCCAAAATCTCCTTAAGCTGTAAGCAACTTCAGCAAAGTCTCAGGATACAAAATCAATGTGCAAAAGTCACAAGCATTCTTATACACCAATAACAGACAGAGAGCCAAATCATGAGTGAAGTCCCATTCACAACTGCTACTAAGAGAATGTAATACCTAGGAATACAACTTACGAGGGATGTGGAGGACCTCTTCAAGGAGAACTACAAACCACTGCTCAAGGAAATAAGAGAGGACACAAACAAATGGAAAAACATTCCATGCTCATGGATAGAAAGAATCAATATCGTCAAAATGGCCATACTGCCCAAAGTAATTTATAGATTCAATGCTATCACCATCAAGCTACCTTTGACTTTCTTCAGAGAATTGGAAAAAACTACTTTAAATCTCATGTGGAACCAAAAAAGAGCCTGCATAGCCAAGACAATCCTATGCACAAAGAACAAAGCTGGAGGCATCACACTACCTAACTTCAAACTATACTACAAAGCTACAGTAACAGAAACAGCATGGTAGTGGTACCAAAACAGAGATACAGACCAATGGAACAGAACAGAAGCCTCAGAAATAATACCACACATCTACAACCATCTGATCTTTGACAAACCTGACAAAAACAAGAAATGGGGAAAGGATTCCTTATTTAATAAATGGTGTTGGGAAAACAGGCTAGTCATTTGCAGAAAGCTGAAGCTGTATCCCTTCCTTACACCTTATACAAAAATTAATTCAAGATGGATTAAAGACTTAAATGTTAGACCTAAAACCATAAAAACTGTAGAAGAAAACCTAGGCAATACCATTCAGGACATAGGCATGGGCAAGGACTTCATGTCTAAAACACCAAAAGCAATGGCAACAAAAGCCAAAATTGACAAATGGGATCTCATTAAACTAAAGAGCTTCTGCACAGCAAAAGAAACTACCATCAGAGTGAACAGGCAACCTATAGAATGGGAGAAAATTTTTGCAATCTACTCATCTGACAAAGGGCTAATATCCAGAATCTACGATGAACTCAAACAAATTTACAAGAAAAAAAGCAAAGAACCCCATCAACAACTGGACGAAGGATATGAACAGACACTTCTCAAAAGAAGACATTTATGCAGCCAAAAGACACATGAAAAAATGCTCATCACCACTGGCCATCAGAGAAATGCAAATCAAAACCACAATGAGATACCATCACACACCAGTTAGAATGGCAATCATTCAAAAGTCAGGAAACAACAGGTGCTGGAGAGGATGTGGAGAAACAGGAACACTTTTACACTGTTGGTGGGACTGTAAACTAGTTCAACCATTGTGGAAGTCAGTGTGGCGATTCCTCAGGGATCCAGAACTAGAAATACCATTTGACCCAGCCATCCCATTACTGGGTATATACCCAAAGGACTATAAATCATGCTGCTATAAAGACACATGCACACGTATGTTTATTGCGGCACTATTCACAATAGCAAAGACTTGGAACCAAGCCAAATGTCCAACAATGATAGACTGGATTAAGAAAATGTGGCACATATACACCATGGACTACTATGCAGCCATAAAAAATGATGAGTTCATGTCCTTTGTAGGGACATGGATGAAGCTGGAAACCATCATTCTCAGCAAAGTATCCCAAGGACAAAAAACCAAACACTGCATGTTCTCACTCCTAGGCGGGAATTGAACAATGAGAACACATGGACATTGGAAGGGGAACATCACACACTGGGGCCTGTTGCAGGGTTGGGGGAGGGGGGAGGGATAGCATTAGGAGATATACCTAATGTTAAATGATGAGTTAATGGGTGCAGCACACCAACATGGCACATGTATACATATGTAACAAACCTGCACGTTATGCACATGTACCCTAAAACTTAAAGTATAATTTAAAAAAAAAACCTGGAGGTACCTAGCAGAATAAATACATAGAACTACTAAATAAAAAAAAAAAAGAAAAAAGAAAATGTGGCAGATATACACCATGGAATACTATGCAGCCATAAAAAAGGGTGAGTTCAAGTCCTTTGCAGGGACATGAATGACACTGGAAACCATCATTCTCAGCAAACTAACACAAGAACAGAAAACCAAACACCGCATGTTCTCACTCATAAGTGGGAGTTGAACAATGAGAACACATGGACACAGGGAGGGGAACATCACACACCGGGGCCTGTTTGGGGGTGGGGGGATAGGGGAGGGATTGCATTAGGAGAAATACCTAATATAGATGATGGGTTTATGGGTGCAGCAAACCACCATGGCACGTGTATACCAATGTAACAAACCTGCATGTTCTGCACATGTACCCTAGAACTTAAAGTATAATTTAAAAAAAGAAAAAAAAAGACCAATACATTTGTAAACCTCAGCTAGAATAATCAAGAGTAAAAAAGAAAAACCACACATTATCAAAATCAGTAATAAAAAAAGGATTAGCATTTATACAGATCCTATAGACATTTAAAGGATGGTCAGGGAATATGATGAAAAACTTTATGCCAATAAATATGACTAAGAACTTTCATGCAATTGACAAATTTCTTAAAAGGAAAAAAAGGCCAAATGAACTTAAGATACAGAAAATCTAAGTAGATCTATAACTTTTCAAAAATTTAATTTGTAATTAAAACCTGCAAGCCAAAATAACTTTATTGGTGAATTTCAGCAAGCAAGAAATAAATCATATAATCCTAAACAGATTCTTTATGAAAATAAAGGAGGCAACACTTCACAGCTCACTTTAGCAGGCCCCCATTACTCT
Source organism: Homo sapiens (assembly GCF_000001405.40). Classification (NCBI taxonomy): domain Eukaryota; kingdom Metazoa; phylum Chordata; class Mammalia; order Primates; family Hominidae; genus Homo; species Homo sapiens. The sequence continues at coordinate 5,156,354 of NC_000009.12, forward strand.
GATATCAGAACCAGATAAAGACATAAAACTGTAAATGAATATCTCTATGGCTATTGATGCAAAACCCCATTCCTATTAGCAAACATATCTGGATTCCTCAAATGATCAGAATAAAGAAGAAAGCCCCCTACAGGGATTTCCATATATGCAGAAAAAGCATTGGACAACATTCAACACCTACTCATGATTAAAAAAAAATTCTCAGCAAACAGAATATAAAAGGAAACTTTTTCAGCTAGATAAAATGTATCTACAAAAATCCTAAAACTTTGCCTAGTTAATATTGCATTCTCTAGTTAATGTTGCACTGGAAGTCCTAGGCAATGCAATGAGTCAATAAAAAGAAATTAAAGACATTATATTGGAAAAGAAAAAATAAAAGTCTCTATCCACAATAACAGGACTGTTTATAAAGAAAATCCCAAGCAATCTAATGAAATATTAACAAGTTACAAGAATAAGTGAATTTACAATGTTACAGGATACAAACACATACTAGCAACAATGAAAACATTAAATTTTTAAAATACCATTTACAATAGCATTAAAAAAATAAAATACTTAAAGGCAGGAGAATTTCTTGAACCTGAGAGGCAGAGGTTGCAGTGAGCTGAGACTGCGACACTGCACTCCAGCCTGGGTGACAGAACAAGACTGTTTCAAAAAATAAAATAAAATAATAAAATGCTTAGAGGTACATTTAACAACATATGTATTATAACTGTACATTAAAACTACAAAATATTGCTGAAATTAAAGAAGACCTGCAAAAATGGAAAATATATAATACCATGTTCATGGATCTGAAGGCTCAATTCTCCTCAAATTGATCTGTAGATTCAATGCCATCCTTATCAAAATCCCCAAAAAGTGTTGTAAAAAATAGTAAACTGTTTCTAAAATTTATATGAAAATACAAAGGCTCAACAATAGCCAATACAACTTTGGAAAAGAACAAAATGGTTGGAGAACTTACACTATTTAATTTAAAGATGTAATATACATCTATAGTAATCAAGAAAGTATGGTATTGGCATAATGATTAATGGAAAGATTAATGGAAAAAAAGAGACTGTCAGAAATAAACCCACTCATATATATAGTCAACTGATTTTTGTAAGGCATAGCCTTTACAATCAATTTGCTGGAACTACCAGTTAGGAATTTGCAGGAAAAAAAAAGACCCTGACTTCCATTTTCACCACACAGAAAAATGAACTCAAATGTATCACAGACCTAATATAAATGCTAAAATTACAGAACTTCCAGAAGAAAATGTAGGGGAAAATCTTAAGAAATTTGTAATAAGCTAAAATTTAAGTGAAACACCCAAGTTCCTTCAAATAACTGGAAAGACTTCCCAAGACGGACTGGTACAAATAAACCCAGACTGGGAAGACTACAATAAATACCTCACTCTTGAATGCTCAGATACTAATGAACATCCACAAGCATCAAGACTACCCAGGAACACATGAGCTCACCAAAGGAACTAAATAAGGTACCAGGGGCCAATCCCACAGGGATAGAGTTATGTGACCTTTCAGATAGAGAATTCAAAAGAGCTGTTTTAAGGAAACCCAAATAAATTAAAAATAAAACAGAAAAGAAATTCAGAATTCTAACAAATAAATTTAACAAAGAAATTGAAATAAAAAGAATAAAGCAGAAATTCTGGAGTAGAAAAATGCAGTTGACATACTGAAGATTGCATCAGTCTCTTAATAGCAGACTTGATCAAGCAGAAGAAACAATTAGTGAAACTGAAGACAGGCTATTTGAAAATACAGAGTCAGAGAAGACAAAAGAAAAATGAATTAAAAAAATAAACCATGCCTACGGCCTCTAGAAAATAGCCCAAAAAGGGCAAATCTAAAAGTTCTTCGCCTTGAAAGGGTGGGGGGAGTGGTCTAGAATGTTTTTCAAAGAGATAATAACAGAGAACTTCCCAAACCTATAGAAAGGTATCAGTGTTCAAGTACAAGAAGGTTAGAGAACACCCAAGTGAATTTAAGAAGGTTAGAGAACACCCAAGTGAATTTAAGCCAAAGAAGACTGCCTCATGGTAATTAATAATCAAACTCCCAAAGGTCAAGGATAAAGAAAGGGTCCTAAAAGCAGCAAGAGAAAAGAAACAAACAAGATATTAATACAATGGAACTTCAACATGTCTGGTAACAGACTTTTCAGTGAAAACCTTACAGGCCAGGAGAGAGTGGCATGACATATTTAAAGTGTTAAAGGAAAAAAAATCTTTTGCCCTACAAGAGTATATCCAGCAAAAATATTCTAGAAACATGAAGGAGAAATACTTTCCCAGCCAAAAAAAGGAAGAAAGAAAAAAAGAAAAAATGCTGAGGAGCTGCATCAACACCAGATCTGTCCCACAAAAAATGTTAATTCTTCAACCTAAAAGAAAAGGATGTTAATGACCAGGAAGAAATCATCTGAACATACAACACTAACTGGTAATAGTAGGTACACAGAAAAAAAATAAAATATTATAACTGTTACTATGGTGTACAAACTACTCATATGTAGAAAGATGAAAGATAAAATCATCAAAATAATGACTACAAGAACTTTTCAAGACAGACAGTATAATGATATAAATAGACACAACAAAAAGTTAATGAGGAGACAAAGTTAAAGTGTAGAATTGTTATTAGTTTTCTTTTTGCTTGTTTGTTTATGCATCAGTATTACATTGTCATTACTTTAAAGTAATGGATTATAAGATATTATTTGCAAGCCTCATGGTAACCTAAAATCTAAAAACATACAACAGATACACAAAAAATCAAAAAGCAAGAAATAAAAATATACCAACCAAGAAAATCACCTTCCCTAAAAGGAAGACAGGAAGAAAGAAAAGGCAGAGAAGATCACAAAATAACCAGAAAATATATAACAAAATGGCAGGAATAAGTCCTTACTTGTCAATAACAAAATTGAATGTGAGGGGACTAAACTCCCCAATTAAAAGACACAGAGTGTCAGAATGGATTTTTTTTTTTTAAAAAAAGGATCGAACAACCTCTTGCCTACAAGAAACACGCTTCATGTATACAGACATACATAGACTCAAAATAAAGGGATAGAAAAAGATTTTCCATGCCAATGGAAACCAAAAACAAGCAGGAGTGACTCTACTTATATTAGACAAATTAGGTTTCAAGACAAAAACTATAAAAAGAGAGAAGATCATTATATAATATTAAAGGGGTCAATTCAGTAAAAAGATGTAACAATTGTAAATATATACGCATTCAACGCTGGAGCACCCAGACGTATAAAGCAAACATTGTTGGAGCTAATGAGAGAGACCCCAATACATTAAAACCTCAAGACTTCAACACCCTGCTTTCAGCACTGAACAGATCATCCAGACAGAAAATCAACAAAGAAACATTGGACTTAATCTGCACTATAGAACAAACAGACCTAATAGGTATTTACAGAACACTTCATCCAACAGCTACAGAATACATTTCTCTCCTCAGCATGCGGCTCATCCTCGAGAATAGACCACATGTGGCCAGGTGTGGTGGCTCACGCCGCCTGTAATCCCAGCAGGTTGGGAGGCCAGGGCGGGTGGATCACCTGAGGTCAGGAGTTTGAGACCAACCTGGCCAACATGGTGAAACCCCATCTCTATAAAAAAATACAAAAATTAGCCAGGTGTGGTTGTGGGTGCCTGTAATTCCAGCTACTCAGGAGGCTGAGGCAGGAGAATCACTTGAACCCGGGGGATGGAGGTTGCAGTGAGCTGAGATAGCGCCATAGCACTCCAGCCTGGGCAACAAGAGTAAAACTCGGTCTCAAAAAAAAAAAAAAAAAAAAGTTAGGCCACAAAACAAATCTTAAAACATTCCAAAAAATTGAAATAATATCATGTATCTTTTCTGACCACAATAAAACTAGAAAGCAAAAACAAAAGGAATTTTGGAAACTATACAAACACATGGAAATTAAACAACATGCTCCTGAATGACCAGTGGTCAACGAAGAGATTAAGAAGAAAACTTTAAAATTTCCAGAAACAAAAATAACGGAAACACAACATACCAAAACCTATGCGATACAGGGAAAGCAGTACTGAGAGAGAAGAATGTAGCTAAAAGTGAAGTGCCTACATCAGAAAGGCAAAACTTTAAATACACAACCTAATGATACACCTTAAAGAACTAGAAAAGCAAGAGCAAGCCAAACCCAAAGTTAATAGAAGAAAATAAATAATAAACATCATAGCATAAATAAATGGAATTGAAATGAATACAAAAGATCAACGAAACACAAAGTTGGTTTTTAGAAGTCAAACAAAACTGACAAAATGTTAGCCAGACTAACTTAGATAAAAAGTGACAAGACACAAATAAATAAAATTAGAGATAAAAAGGAGAAATTACAACTGATACGCAGAAATTAAAAGGATCATTAGAGGCTACAATGAGCAACTATATGCCAAAAAACTGGAAGACCTACAAGAAAAGGATAAATTCCTATACACATACAACTTACCAAGATTAAAACATGAAGAAATCCAAAACCTGTGAATAGACCAGTAACATGTAATAAGATTGAAGCTATAATAAAAACTCTCCAAGCAAAGAAAAGCTCAGGACCGATAGTTTCACTGCTGATTTTAACATTTAAAGAAAAACTAATACCAACTCTACTCAAACTAATCCAAAAAGTAGACGTGGAGGGAATACTTCCAAACTCATTCTATGAGACCAATATTACTCTGATACCAAAACTAAACAAAGGCACATCAAAAAAGGAAAACTACAGGCCATTATCTTTGATGAACACTGATGCAAAAATCCTCAACAAAATACTAGTAAACCAAACGCAACAACACATTAAAAAATCATTCATCATGACCAAGGAGTATTTATTCCAGGAATGCAAGAACGGTTCAACATTTGCAAGTCAATCATTGTGATCTATCAAGAGAATGAAGGACAAAAACCATATGACCATTTAAACTGATGCTCAAAAAGCATTTGATAAAAATAAAAACCTCTCATGCTAAAACCCCTCAAAAAATTGAGTATAGAAGGAACATACCTCAACATAATGAAAGCCATATATGATAGACCCACAGCTAGTATCATACTGAAATAGGAAATAGGGAAAAACTGAAAAACTTTCCTTTAATATCTGGAACCTGACAAGGTTGTCCCCTTTCACTACTGTTATTCAACATAGTACTGGAGGTCCAAGCTAGAGCAATCAGACAAGAGAAAGAAACAAAGGACAACCGAATTGGAAAGAAATGAGTAAAACCATCCTTATTTACAGGTGCTATGATCTTATATTTGGAAAAATTTAAGGACTCCACCAAAAAATGATTAGAACTCATAAACAAATTCGGTAAAGTTGCAGGATACAAAATCAATAGACAAAATTCAGTAGCACTTCTATGTGCCAAGAGCAAACAATCTGAAAAAGAAATTATGAAGGTAAACCCAGCACTTTGGGAGGCCAAGGTGGGAGGATCACTTGAGGCCAGGAGCCCGGAGACCAGCCTGGGCAACACAGCAAGACTCTGTCTCTACAAAAAAAATATAAAAAATTAGCCAGGTGGTATGAACCTGTAGTCCTGGCTACTCAGGAGGCTGAGGTGGGAGGATCACTTGAGCCCAGGAGGTTGAGGGTGTAGTGAGCTGTGATCACACTACTGCATTCTAGCCTAGGCAACAGACCCTGCCTCAAAAAAAAAAAAGGATAATTTCTACTTAAGATTTTATTGACATCAGTAGTACTGAGCAAGATGTTAGGATTAAAATCTTGATCCAGTTCTACCACTAACAAGTAACTTAACATGGAGCCTCAATATGTTGCTTAATATCAAGGTATCTCAGATTTTTTTTTTCAATTTGGGATTGCTCTAAGGAGTCTATAAATGTGACTATTCTATCAAAATGTACCACATCATTAGTGCAATTTTAAATATTAAAAGGCTGACATTAAACCAAAAAGCAAATTAAATACAATCTAACATACAAATTATTAAAAAATGTGTAGGGAAGTATATAGCTATGCAAATAACACACTTGGTTAATATCATAATTTTCTAATTGGGACTTTTGTTGTGTGTATATAAGTAAGCTAACAAGCTGCACTTTATTCTTCAACTACAAGTACAGACCTATACCCTTTTAAACTGGATCGTGTACATGGCTGTATTTTAGCCAAAGCATAGACAACATGGAGCATTTTCATCTAATGCTTAGCAGACCTACTCTACCACTGAACCGTAATATAATCTGTCATTTTGTATCTACATGGGTAGCTCCCTATATCTACAGATAACTGAATGCAGACTGTACCCTGAAACTGATTAAAAACATTCAAAAATATTTATTAATGCAAAGTATGTATGACACAGATATAAGTGGAAAAGAACCTTTGTTCTAAGAATTAACAAAGCCAAATAGAAATAAAACATTTAAGAACATTATAGTATACATTTCAGAAAGAAACTAGAGAACGATCTCAAATGTTGCTTATCAACTAATTAATGGGTACGAAGTAGGAATTCCATTTTGGGTTCACTGGGTTCTGTTTTGCTCTAATTTGTAGTACTAAAATTATGTCATGTGTGGACAGGAAAAAAAACACCAAAAATTTAGTATTGTAACATCTATATTGAGTTGAGATATGCAAGCACTTCAACAGTAGGACTTCAACAATAGTCATACATTAACTCCATTACTAGTGGTTCTTGATCTTTAACCTACTTCAGAATAGCCTAGAAGCCTTATTAAACACAGATTGCTGACCCCCATACCTACAGTTTCTGATTCAGTAGGTTTGAGGTGAGACTTTAGAACTGCATTTCTAACAAGTTCCCACGTGATGCTGATGCTGCCGATTTGGTAAGGGACCACGCTTTAAGAATCTTTTCTACAGGTTTCTCAAACATTGAGATTTATGTTGATTCAGATTATATCAGTACCTTCAAAGCAAAGACAGGGTATCTTGGAGAGATTTTAGTTTAGATTCACTAAACTCTCTTTTAAGTTCTCAGTAGAAATTGTGAAGAGAAACTGACTACTATAATAAAACTCAAGGAATTAGAAGTGTAACTACTATTACAGCACAAGGGCTTCTACCAGGAATGGTAGTTGATTCGTTATTTTTAAGTTGGTGGGACAGATGGGTCGACATCTTGGAGTAAGTATAAGCCTAACAGTCATGGGCATCAGTTTGTGTGTCATACAGATGGAAAGCAGAAGGTTCCATAATCCATCTTAAAACACAGCTTAAGAGAGTTTCAACCGTAATGACAAGTGAACAGGTAACTCTTAGATGTCTGCATGGATCAAACCATCTCCAGATCTTCAAAAAGCGTATGAAAACTAAGGAAAACAACAGGGTCACCAAAGAAAATACTAAGATACCTATTACCACTATAAGGTATGGTCAAGTGCTTGCAAGTACATTCAGACATTTTTCACATCATATCACTTATATGCACAATTACAAAAAAAAATAGAGTTAAATAAATGTATTAAGCTTTTATTAGGTTAGAAAAAATTCTAAGATGGTTAGTATATCTTAGTTACAAGTGATGATCTTTTTTCCTTTAGCCTTTTAAAATCAATATATGGAAGACATGCAATGCTAAGTTCTTCTTTTGTACATCCTGTAAGACAACACTTTTCTGAATATCCTCTGCGTTTTCTTTGGGGATGATGCCCCCAAAACAAATTGCTTAAGGTTTTAATTTTGTTTCTACGTTTCTTCTGAAATTTTGCATTCTCATGAATATATACATTGATATTATGTGATGAAGAAAATTCTCTTGTCTTACCAAGGGGTGAATATCCCTTTTTATCCTTATACTCAGGTAGTGACTGCATTTCCCAACTGTTTACTGCTTCTTCCCAAGAAGTAGACACTGTTGAGAGAGAAGAAAATAAATGCTCCTTTATTAAAATCTTCCTTTAGATGAAAATTTAATATTGGAACAGTAAAATCAGCTAATTATTAAAAAACAAGTAATCACATTTTAAATAAAGAATGGAAAGTATGGTTATTCAAAAGCAATATTTAACTAAAGTAGGTGTAGTGTTTTCCTATTAAAAGGCTGTACGCCTTTGTACATTTTTGTATTAACAATTTGAGATATCATTCACATGCTATAAAATTAGTCATTTTAAAGAATACAATTCAGTGGGTCTTAGTATATTCGCAGGGTTGTGAAACTATAAATCTAACTCCAGAACATCTGTATCCAAAAAGAAACCTATGCCCATTAGCAGTCATTTCCATTTCCCTCTCCCACTATCCCCTAGCAATCACCAATCTACTTTCTGTTTCTATGGATTTGCCTATTCCGTATATTTCATATAAATGAAAGCATACAATACATGACCTTTTGTGTCTGGTTTCTTTCACTTAGCATGATGTTTTCAAGGTTCACCTACATTGTAGCATGTATCTTTTTATGGCTGAATAGTTTTCCAATGTGTGGATATTCCACATTTTGTTTATCCATTTATCAATTGATGGACATTTGAGTGGTTTCCACTTTTTGGTCATTATGAATAGTGCTGATGGCCCAGCATAGTGGCTCACGCCTGTAATCCCAGCACTCTGGGAGGCCGAGGCGGGCGGATCACTTGAGGTCAGGAGTTCAATACCAGCTTCGCCAACATGGCGAAACCCTGTCTCTACTAAAAACACACAAAAAATTAGCCAGGCATGGTGGTGCACGCCTGTAATACCAGCTACTTGGGATGCTGAGGCATGAGAATCACTTGAACACGGGAGGAAGAAGTTGCAGTGAGCCGAGATAGTGCCACTGCACTCCGGTCTAGGTGACAGAGCAAGACTCCATCTCAAAAAACAAAAAAAAAGAATAGTGCTGCTATGAGCATTCACACACAAGTTTTTGTGTGAACATATGTTTTGAATTCTTTGGGATGTAACCTAGGGATGGAACACTGCATGATATAAATTTGTTTGATGTTTTGAGGAACTGCCAAACTTTTCCACAGTGGCTGTACAATTTTTCAATCCCAGCATCGGTACAGTAGAGTTCCAATTTTCCCACATCCCCATCAAAACTTGACATTTTCCATTTTTTGATTATCACCATGGATGCACAGTGGTAGCTCACTATATTTTTGATTCGCATTTACCTCATGGCTAATGATGTTAAGCATTTTTTCATATGCTTATTATATATCCTCTTTGAAGAAATGTCTCTTCAAATCCTTTGCCCATTTTCAAATTTGATAATTTGTCTTCTTATGCACATCTTACAACTGAGCAGTAGAAACCATTTTGTTCTTTATTAAAATATAAAGAAATAGAGAAGTGGTAATATGCTCTAGGTACAATGAACTGATTGTCACTGTTATGCTGCTCTTAACTCACTTAGCAATACTGGATACTGGAAACCAAAATAACTCCAGAAGGTAATTATTTGAAGACTTATTGTACTTCCATTATGGCCCTTGCTCATCTACAGTACCTTCTAGGAGGATATATTTGCCAATAGTCTCTACTGTAGAGCCAGCTCTTAGGCAGCCATGTTCTGAACCATGTGACTCCACCCTCTAGCCACAGTGGAACAAACTGGAAGTTGGCACCTGACCCAAAAGAAACCAATCTGTCACAATGGCTAGCAATCCACGTCATGTGAAAAACATGAATCGACCCAATCAGATTTCCTCAGTTTGAAACTAGAACTAAGAAGTAACGAGAAAAAGATGAGTTAGTGAGAACCAAAGCTAGAAGGATTCTATGAGGTTTGTCATGACAAGCTAAAGTCATAAAGGAACATAAACACACGGAAAAGATTCACAGAGAGAGAGGAAGGCAGAAGATTTTTGTTTTTGTTTTTGTTTTGTTTTTTTAAGAGGTAATATGATTTCTTAGGCTTTACAAAGTCTTTCTAGGTCCACTTCTATACCTTGTTTGTTTTTATAATAACTACTATCCCCTTTTATCTTGAGGTTATTTAGGTGAATCTATATTCTTTGCAGTTAGAGGCCTATTAGAGCACTCTTTAATAACTTTTTATTTAATTAAAAAGTTGCTTGTTTAAAAGAATAAGATAGAACTCTATCCAGACTAATCAGGAACAAAAAAGATGGAAATGAACAAAATACAGCAGAAAAAAAGAAATAAGTAAATACAGCCAAGTTTTAAAATAAATATTATGAATGCTTACACATTTAAAAATAAAGATTAAATGGATGAATTCCTAGAAAAATACAAGATGCCTTAACTGGTACACAATGACACAGAAAACCTAAGTGTACCAACAATATTCAAAGAAATGAAAAGGGTAGTCAGAGTTATCACCTTCAAAAAAACACAGATATGGGTGGTTCCACTTATTTTTAAAAAACAGTAAATTCTAATAATATACAAGTTGTTCCAGAAAACGAGCAAAAGCTGCCCAGCTCATTTTATGAAGCTGGCATAATCTTTATTCCAAAACTAGGTAAGAACAATATGAGATTTTAAAATATTTAAAAACTCATTTGACTTTCAAATGTTGATTTCAAACTCCTAAATATTAGTTAACTGAATCCATAAACACGTTTTACAAATACATTAAGAAACGGTTCGGGGAAGCAGCCAAGATGGCTGAATAGAAACACCTTTGCTCTGCAGCTCCCACCGAAAAGGACAAAAATGGCAAGTGGATTCTGCATCTTCAATTGAGTTACCAATGTTCTCTCATTGGGACTGACTAGGAGGTTGGCGTGACTCAGAGAGAGCAAGGAAAAGCACAGTGGAGCTAGGGCCCACCTGGGAGCCAGCCACACAGGGCAAAGGGAGCTCCCTTCCCCAGCCAAGGGAGGCAGTGAGGGATTGTGCTACCCCTCCCTGAAAACCATGCTTTTACCATGAATCCTTGCAACCTGGGGATCAGGAGGTCCCCTCATGAGCCCATGCCACCAGGGCCTTGGGTTCCAAGCATTAAGCTATGCAGACTGATGGTGGCTGCTGAGGTGGGTGGCACTTGAGCAGGCACTGAGACCACGAGTTCCTGGGGGGAAGAGGCAGCTGCCATTACTGTGTCTTCAGTCCACCGTTTTCCCCTACCATGATGCCAGTGCAGTTTGGATGGGGAGCAATTCCCCCACAGCACAGCACAGCGGCTGGGACAGTTTGTGGCCAGACTGCTTCTTTAGGTGGGACTCCAATCCATTCCCCCTCACGGAGCAGGGCCTCCCTGTGGGAATTTTCACATCCCCAGTGGAGGGTTTATGGATAGAACTCTGATATCCCTGAGAAGAGGCTCTAGGAGGAGGGTTGGCCACGCTATCGTGGATCAGCCATTTTAGTCTTTCCTGCCTACTGGCTCTGGAGAGGGAGATTTCTGCCAGCACAACACACCTGCTCTACCAAGGGGCAGCCAGACTGCTTATTTAAGTGGGTCCCTGATCCTATTCCTCCAAACTGGGTGAGACCTCCCAACAGGAGTGTTCTGCTGGCATCAGGTTAGCACCCCTCTGGGACAAAGTTCTCAGAGGAAGGAGCAGCCTGCCATCTTTGCTGGTCTGCAGCCTCCACGGTGATACCTCCTGGGGTGGAAGAAACCAAGGTGAATAAAGTCTGGAATGGACTCCCAGCAAACTGCAGCAACCCTATGGAAGAGTGGCCCTACTGCTAAAATAAAAACAAACAGGGAGCAACAACAACAACATAAACAAGAAAGACTTCACAAAAACCCCATCCAAAGGTCATTGGCCTCAAAGATCAAAGGTTGATAAACCCATGAAGATGAGAAATAATCAGTGCAAAAACGTTGGGAACTCAAAAAGCAAGAGTGCCTCTTCTCCAAATGATCGTAACATGACTCCATGAAGGGCACAGAACCGGGCTGAGTCAGAGATAGATAAATTGACAGAAGTAAGCTTCAAAAGATGGATAATAACAAACATCCCTGAGCTAAAGGAGTATGTTCAAACTTGTTGCAAAGAAGCTAAGAACCATAATAAAACATTACAGGAGCTGTTAACAAGAATAACCAGTTTAGAGAGGAAGACAAGTAACCTGATGGAGCTGAAAAACACAACACGTGAACTTCACGATGCAAACACAAGTTTGAAGTTTGTAGCTGAATAGACCAAGTGGAAGAAAAAATATCAGAGCTTGAAGACTATCTTGCTGAAATAAGGCAGGCAGACAAGATTAGAGAAAAAAGAATGAAAAGGAATGAATAAAACCTCCGAGAACTATGGGATTATCTTACAAGACTGAACCTATGACTAATAGGGGCACCTGAACAAGACGGGGAGAACAGAAACAAGTTGGAAAACACACTACAGTATATCATCCAGGAGAATTTCCCCAAATTAGCAAGACAGGCCAAAATTCAAATTCAGGAAATCCAGAGAACCCCAATAAGATACTTCATGAGAAGATCAGCCCAATGACATATAATCATCAGTTCTCCAAGGTCAAAATGAAGGAATGTTAAGTGCAGCCAGAGAAAGGTCGAGTCACCTATAAAGGGAAGCCCATCACACTAACAGCAGGCCTCTCAGTGGAAACCCTACAAGCCAGAAGAGACGGGCGGCCAATATTTATTTGATTTTTTTTTTTTTTTGAGATGGAGTTTCACTCTTGTCACCCAGGCTGGAGTACAATGGCATCATCTCGGCTCACTGCAACCTCGGCCTCCAGGGTTCAAGTGGTTCTCCTTCCTCACCCTTCCCAAGTCCCTGGGATTAGAGGCATGCGCCACCATGCCCGGCTAATTTTGTATTTTTAGTAAAGACAGGGTTTTGCCATGTTGGCCAGGCTGATCTCAAACTCCTGACCTCAGGTGATCCACCTGCCTTGGCCTCCCAAAGTGCTGGGATTACAGGCATGAGCCACTGCACCCAGCAGATATTCTTAAATAATTTCTAACCTATAATACTGTATCTGGCCAAACTAAGCTTTATAAGCAAAGAAGAAATAAAGGATTTTCCAAACAAGCAAATTCTGAGGGAATTCATCACCACCAGACCTGCCTTGCAAGAGCTCCTGAAGGAAGCAGTAAATATGGAAAGGAAAAACCATTATCAGCCACTACAAAAACACACCAAAGTACACAGACCAGTGACACTATGAAGCAACTACATAAACAAGTCTGCAAAATAACCAGCCAGCATCATGATGACAGGATCAAATTCACACATAACAATATTAACCTTAAATGTAAATGGGCTAATCCCCAATTAAAAGACACAAAGGGCAAGCTGGATAAACAGTCATGATCCATTGGTGTGCTGAATTCAAGAGACTCATCTCACATGCAAAGACACACATAGACTCAAAATAAAGTATGGAGGAAAATTTACCAAGCAAATGGAAAACAGAAAACAGCAAGGGTTGCAATCCTAGTTTCTGACAAAACAGACTTTAAACCAACGAAGATAAAAAAGACAAGAGCGTTACATAATGGTAAACAGGTCAATTCAATAAGAAGAGCTTACTATCCTAAATATATATGCACCCAATACAGGAGCACCCAGATTCATAAAACAAGTTCTTAGAGACCTACGAAGAGACTTAAGACTCCCACACAATAATAGTGGGAGACTTTAACACTCCACTGTCAACATGAGACTGATTGTTGAGACAGAAAATTAACAAAGATATTTAGGACTTGAATTCAACTCTGGATCAAATGGACCTGATAGATATCTACAGAACTCTCCAACCCCAAACAACAGATATAGATTCTTCTTGGCACCACGTGGCACATCACATAATTGGAAGTAAAACACTCCTCAGCAAATGCAAAAGAACTGAAATCATAACAAACAGTCTCTAAGACCACAGCACAATCAAACTAGAACTCAAGATTAAGAAACTCACTCAAAACCACATAAGTACATGGAAATTCAACAACCTGTTCCTGAGTGACTCCTGGGTAAATGATAAAATTAAGGCAGAAATCAAGAAGTTCTTTGAAATCAATGAGAACAAAGAAACAACGTATCAGAATCTCTGGGACATAGCTAAAGCAGTCTTAACAGGAAACTTTATAGCGCTAAATGCCCATATCAAAAAGGTAGATCTCAAATCAACACCCTAACGTCACAACCAAAAGAAGTAGAGAACCAAGAGCAAACAAACCCCAAAACTAGAGAAGAAATAACCAAGCTTAGAGCAGAACTGAAGGAGACCAGAGACACGAAAAACCCTTCAAACAATCAATGAATCCAGGGGCTTTTTTTTTTTTTGGAAAAACTAATAAAATAGACCACTAGGTAGGCTAATAAAGAAATGAAAGAAGAATCAAATAGACACAATAAAAAGGATAAAGGGGATATCACCACTGACCCCACAGAAATACAAACAACCATCAGATAATACTATAAACACCTCTATACCAATAAACCGGAAAATCTAGACACAATGGATAAATTCCTGAACACATACACCCCCACAAGACTAAACCAGGAAGAAGTTGAATCCCTGAATAGACTAATAACAAGTTCTGAAATTGAGGCAGTAATAAATAGTCTACCAACCAAAAAAAGCCCAGGACCAGATGGATTCACAGCTGAATTCTACCAAAAGTACAAAGAGGAGCTGATATTCTTTCTTCTGAAACTATTCCAAACAATCAAAAAGGAGGAACTCCTCCCTAACTCATTCTATGAGGCCAGCATCATCCTGATACCAAAACCTGACAGATACAACAACAAAAAAACTTCAGGCCAATATTCCTGAAGTACACCAATGTAAAAATCCTCAATAAAATACTGGCAAACCAAATACAGCAGCACATCAAAAAGCTTATCTGCCACGATCAAGTTGGCTTCATGTCCAGGGTGCAAGGGTGGTTCAAAATATACAAAATCAATAAATGTAATTAATCACATAAACATATCTAAAGACAAAAACCACAAGATTATTTCAATAGATGCAGAAAAGATCTTCCATAAAATTCAACATCCCTTCATGTTAAAAACTCTCAATAAATCAGGTGTTGATGGAGCATACCTCAAAATAATAGCCATTTATGACAAACCCACGGCCAAATATCATACTGAATGGGTAAAGCTGGATTCATTCCCTTGAAAACTGGCCCAAGTTAAGGATGCCCTCTCATCACTCCTATTCAACATAGTATCTGAAGTCCTGGCCAAGGCAATCGGGCAAGAGAAAGAAATAAAGGGTATTCAAATAGGAAGAGAGGAAGCCAAATTGTCTTTGTTTGCAGATGACATGCAAACATAGACACCCCATCTAGAACACACCATCATCTCTGCTCAAAAGCTTCTTAAGCTGATAAGCAAATTCAGCAAAGTCTCAAGATACAAAATCAACGTGCAAAGGTCACACACATTCCTGTATACCAAGAACAAGAAAGCAGAGAGCTGAATTATGAATGAACTCCTATTCACAATTGCTACAAAGAGAATATACCTATGAATACAGTTAGCGAGGAACATGAAGGACCTCTTCAAGGAGAACTACAAACCACTGCTCAAGGAAATAAGGGAGAACACAAACAAAAAAAAATTCCATGTTCATGGATAGGAAGAATCAATATCGTGAAAATGGCCATCCTGCCCAAAGTAATTTATAGTTTCAATGCTATTCCCATCTAACTACCATCGACATTCTTCACAGAACTAGAAGAAACTATTTAAAAAGTCGTATGGAACCAAAAGAGCTCAAACAGCCAAGACAATCCTAAGCAAAAAGAACAAAGCTGAAGGGAGGCATCACACTACTGGACTTCAAACTATACTACAAGGGTACAGTAACCAAAACAGCATGGTACTGTTACAAAAACAGACACCTAAACCAATAGAATTTCTGTTCCAGAACTCAGAAATAAGACCGCACATCTATGACCATCTGATCTTGGACAAACGTGACAAAAAATAGCAATGGGCAAAGGATCCGCTATTTAATAAATGGTGCTGGGAGAACTGGACCACTTCCCTACACCTTATAGAAAAATTAACTCAAGCTGAATTAAAGACTTAACTGTAAAACCAAAACTATAAAAACCCTAGAAGAAGATCTAGGCAATGCTATTCACAACATAGGTATGGGCAAAGATTTCAGGACAAAATCACCAAAAGCAATTGCAACAAAAGCCCAAATTGACAAATAAGATCTAATTAAACTAAAGAACTTCTGCACAGCAAAAGAAACTACCATCAGAGTGAACAGACAACCTACAGAGTGGGAGGAAATTTTTGCAATCTATCCATTTAACGAAGGTCTAATATCCAGAATCTACAAGGAACTTAAACAAATTTACAAGAAAAAACAAACAATCCGCTTAAAGAGTGGCCAGGCCAGGTGCAGTGGCTCACGCCTGTAATCCCAGCACTTTGGGAGGCCGAGGTGGGCAGATACCTGAGGTCAGGAATTCGAGACCAGTCTGGCCAATGTAGTGAAACCCTGCCTCTTCTAAAAGTACAAAAATTAGCTGGGCGTGGTGGTGTGTGCCTGTAGTCCCAGGTACTCGAGAGGCTGAGGCAGGAGAATTGCTTGAACCCAGGAGGCAGAGGCTGCAGTGAGCCGAGATCATGCCATTGCACTCTAGCCTGGGTGACAAAGCAAGACTCCACCTCAAAAGAAAAAAAAAAAGAGTGGGCAAAGGACATGAAAAGACATTTCTTAAAAGAAGGCATTCATGCAGCCAACAGACATTTGAAAAAAAAGCTCAACATCAATGATCATTAGAGAAATGCAAATCAAAATTACAATGAGATACTATCTCACGACAGTCAGAATAGCAATTATTACAAAGTCAAGAAACAACAGATGCTTTTGAGGTTGCAGAGAAATAGGAACTAATTCCTACTGTTGGTGGGAATGTAAATTAGTTCAACCATTGTGGAAGACAGTGTGGTGATTCCTCAAAGATCTAGAACCAGAAATACCATTTGACCCAGCAATACCATTATTGGGTATATACCCAAAGGAATATAAATCATTCTATTACAAAGATGCATATGTTCATTGCAGCACTATTCACAATAGCAAAGACATGAATTCAACCCAAATGCCCATCAATAAGAGACTGGATATAGAAAATGTGGCACATATACACCATGGAATACTATGTAGCCATAAAAAGGAATGAGATCATGTCCTTTGCAGGGAAATGGATGGAGCTGGAAGCCATTATCCTCAGCAAACTAAGGCAGGAAGAGAAAACCAAACACAGCAAGTTCTCCCTTATAAGTGGGAGCTGAACAATGAGATCACGTGAACATGGGGAAGCAAAAAACACACAATGGGGCCTGTCAGAGGGTGGGGTTGGGGGAGGGCCAGCATCAGGAAAAATAGCTAATGCATGCTGAGCTTAATGCCTAGGTGATGGGTTGACAGGCACAGCAAACCACCATGGCACACGTTTACCTATGTAATGAACTTGCACATCTCGCTCATGTACTGCTGAATTTAAAAATAAAATTAAAAAAAAAAAAAGAATGAAAGGGTTCATCCCAGAAACACGAGGACAGGTCAAGATCACAAAACCTATCAACTTAGTTTACCATGTTAATAGACACCCATCCTCAATCACAGCTGGATTTGCTTTCTACTTCAGGAGAAAATTGATGCAATCTGAAAAAGAACTTGCATCGACTCCCTTTGCCAAATTTTTAAATTCATCTCTTAACAGGTACACCCATATACTCTCCCTTTCTACCTATTTCTACAGATGAACTATACACTCTAAAGCCAATTTCTGCACTTACGTATTACATCTCTCCTCTTGCCTACCCTAGGACACTACTCCAGCAATCCTTCTCCGCATTCTTCATCAGTTTTTAACTTCTATTGAATCACTCTTACCAGAAAACTTATTTCTCCCACTTATAAAAACACACACACAAACCCAAACACATTTCTCTTGGCCCCACTTACCATGCCAGCTACCATCGTATCTATTTTCTCTTTTCTGTAACAAAACTCCTTGATAGAGTTTTCTATATTTACTAATTTGTTCCTCTTCTCTCACTGTCTTAAACCCACTCTAATCAGACTTTCATTTCATCACTCTACCAAAACTTCTCTTATGAAGGTCACAAACATATTGCTAAATTCAACAGCCATTCACATCTTAATTGATTTATGAAATACACCTCTTCCTGACATACTTTCATCATTTGGTTTCCACGATATCACACTCTCTTTTCTTCCAACCTAAGTAGTTGTCCCTTTTCTGTTTCCTTTACAAGTTCTCACTCCCCAACTTATTATTGTTGGTGTTTCTGAGGACTCAGTTCTTAGTACTATTTTCTATGTACACTTACTCTTCTGGTGATCTCCTCTAGTCTTACAGCTCAAAAAATTATTTATCTACCTACGACTTCTGAACTTCTATCTGCAAACAAGATGACTCTTTCAAACTCCAGATTTATATACCTTACTTCCTACTCAACAAGTCCACATTAATGTTTCAAACTCAACATTGTCTAAAACTCCACAAAATTCAACATGTCCAAAACTGAACTACTGATACCGTCTTCCAAACCTGTTCCACTTCGAGGCCTTTCCTATCTCATTTATGACAATCCCATCCTTCTAGGTGTTCCACATACAAAACTTCAGAATTAACAATGTTTTGGAGTCATTCTTTTTTTTTTTTTTTGAGACAGAGTCTCGCTCTGGCGCCCAGGCTGGAGTGCCGTGGCGTTATCTCGGCTCACTGCAAGCTCTGCCTCCCGGGTTCACACCATTCTCCTGCCTCAGTCTCCCGAGTAGCTGGGACTACAGGTGCCCACCACCACGCCCAGCAAATTTTTTGTGTTTTTTAGTAGAGATGGGGTTTCAACGTGTTAGCCAGGATGGTCTCGATCTCCTGACCTCATGATCCACCTGCCTCGGCCTCCCAAAGTGCTGGGATTACAGGCATGAGCCACCGCGTCTGGCCATGGAGTCATTCTTGATTTCTCTTCCTCATATCTCACATCAAATATGGCCCGTGTATAACTAGAATTTAACAGTTTTCACTATCTTCACTTCTATCATCCTCATCTAAGACCCTCCCTAACAGGTCTCTCTGTTTCTACTCTTGCCTTTCTACAGTCTATTCTCAACACAGTAGCCAGAGTGATCCATTTAAAATGTCAATTATGTCACTTCTCTGCTCAAAAATCTTAATGACTCCTTGCATCACCCCAAAACAAAGTCTTTAAAATGATCTAAAACAGGGGGTCCCCAACCACTGGGGACTTAACTGGTCTATGGCCTGTTAGGAACCAGGCCACATGGCAGGAGGTAAGCAGTGGGCAGGCGAGCGAGCAAAGCTTCATCTATATTTACAGCTGCTCCCCATTGCTCGCATTATCACCTGAGCTCTACCTCCTGTCAGATCAGGGACAGCATTAGATTCTTATAGGAGTGTGAACCCTATTGTGAACTGCGCATGCCAGGGATCTAGGTTGCACGCTCCTTATGAGAATCTAATGCCTGATTATCTATCACTGTCTCCCATCACCCCCAGATGGGACCATCTGGTTTCAGGAAAACAAGCTCAGGGCTCCCACTGATTCTACATTATGGTAAATTGTATAATTATTTCATTAAACATTACCATGTAATAGTAATAGAAATAAAGTTCACAATAAACGTAATGCGCTTGGATCATCTGAAAATCATTCCCCTCCCTGGTCCAAGGAAAAATTGTCTTCCATGAAACTGGTCCCTGGTACCAAAAAGGTTGGGGATTACTGGCCTAAAATACCCTATTTTATCATGTCTGCCTATTACCTCTCCTACCTTATCTTCTACTACTTTCCTCATTTTCTCTGCTCCAACCACATTTGGACTCTTTGCTACTCCCTGTATACATCAGGCAGAAGGGCCTCTGCTCCACTATTTCCTCTGCATAAATGCCCTTTCTCCACATATCCACTTGGATAATTCCCTTACCACTTCTTTTTAAATCTCACCTTTTCAATAATTGGTCTACCCTTACCACACTGTTTAATACTATACCCCACCTTTCAACTCCTTGCTCTGTTTATCTCCCTTATCCTGTTTCATTTTTCATTTTTCTGTAGCTCTTACTACTTTCAAATATTTACTTAATAAAGCTCCATAAAGCCTTTGATCTTTGTCTGTTTTGTCCACTGACATATTCCCAAGATTCTAAAATTGTGCCTGGATGCTTAGTAGGTACCCAATGAGTATTTGCTTAATAAAAGAAAAAATCATAAGACTAAGCAAAAGTATGCGAAAAGAAGACCTTAATAAAGTTCAGCCCTATTTACGATGATTAAAAAAAAATCTCTTAGCAAGCTTCCTTACCTTAATGAAGATTATATAGCATAAACCTACAAACATCATACCTAATGGAGATATTTAAATGCGTGCCCTTTAAGCCTGGGAACAAAACAAGAAATCAAAGCAAAAAAAAAAAAAATGGTATAAGTTTAGCAAGAAAGTGATATAACTATCATTTTCAAGTGATAAAAAACCTATAGAATCAACAAACTATTAGAACTATGAAGATAGTTCAGCATGGTTGCTGGATAAAGATCAACCTATAAAAATAAGTTGCATTTCTCTAGCCAAGTCACTAACTAGTAAATATAATTCACAGGTATTTACAATAGCTAAAGAAAAAAAAGTATTAAGCATGAAATTAACCAATGATACTGTAAAAGTTTCCATAAAGAAAACTTTAAAATCATAAGAATAGAATATAAGTAATTTCATGACTTTGATTAGGATGACTTTATGTAATAAAGAGGTCAATGGGGTCGGGGGGAGTTGGGTGCACAAGATGGCCAATTAGATGCAGCTGTGATCCATGGCGCTCAGGGAGAGGAATAAAAGAGTGAATTCAGCACCTTCAACTGAAATATCCAGGTTCTCACATTGGGACTGACTAGGCAAACAACTTGATCCAGAGAGAAAGAAGAAATGCAGGGTGGAGCAATGAATGGCCTACCAAGGAACAGCAGGGAGCCAAAGGAAACTCACCCTCAGCCAAGGAAAGTGGTGAGTGATTGTGCCACCCCGCCCGGGAAATCACATTTCTCCCAGAGATCTCTGAAACCCAGATCAGGAAATCCCATCTTTGATCCCAGATCTTTGCAGATCAGGAGATCCCATTGTGAGCCCATGCCACTAGGGCCTTGGGTTCGACACACAGAGCTGTGTGGAGTCTCAGCAGAGCAAACGCTCAGGCACACAATGAGGCCCAGGAGTTTTACAGATTCTGGCCCTGGGATCCTGGCAAGGCAGAAGATATGACAGTGCATATCCCAAGGAAGGGGGCTGAATCCAGGGAGCCAAGCAGTTGTTCTGCACGTCCCACTTCCACAGCACCTCACAAATTAAGACCTGATTTGGAATTCCAGCCACCCAAAGCAAAAGCTGGAGTCCACCTGAAACGGGACAGAGTTCCTGGGAGGAGGGGCAGCCGCCATCTCTGGGAAAGGTCAACTCAGCTGTTCCAGCCTCCCAGCTTTGGAGAATCCAAACAGTCCAGAGGAGGAAGGTACCCCACAACACAGCACAGCTGCTGTGCCAGACTGTGGCCAGACTGCTTCTTTCTTTTTCTTCTTTTTCTTTTTTGAGTTGGAGTCTCGCTCTGTCACCCAGGCTGGAGTACAGTGGCGTGATCTTGGCTCACTGTAACCTCCACCTCCCAGGTTCAAGCGATTCTCCCGCCTCAGCCTCCCAAGTAGCTGGGATTACAGGCACATGCCACCATGCCTAGCTAATTTTTGTATTTTTAGTAGAGACAGGGTTTGCCATGTTGCCCAAGCTGGTCTTGAACTCCTGATGTCAAGTGATCCACCCGCCTTGGCCTCCCAAAGTGCCAGGATTCCAGGCATGAGCCACCACGCTCAGACTGCTGCTTTAAGTGGGACCCCAATCCATTCCTCCTCCCTGGGTGAGACCTCCTTGTAGGGGCTTCAGCCACTCCAGCCAGGGTTACAGGGACAGAGCTGTGATCTCTCCCTAGGACTGAGCTCCTAGGGAGGAGGGGCTGCCGCCATCTCCACGGTTCCCTTTACTCAGCTGTTCCAGCTTGCTGGTTGGCATGAGAAAGGGTTCCCCAGAAGGCAGTACAGCTGCTTTGGCAGATTGTGGCCAGACTGCTTCTTTAAGCAGGACACTGATCCATTACTCTTCACTGGGCAGGACCTCCATGTGGAGGCTTCAGCCACTCCAGCCAGAGTTATACAGACAGAGCTCTGATCTCACTCTGGAACAAAGTTCCTGTGGGGAGGGGCAGCCACCATCTCTGTGGTTTCCTACATCACACTACCCAACTTCAAACTATACTACAAGGCTACAGTAACCACAACAGCTTGGTACTGGTACAAGAACAGATACATAGACCAATGGAACAGAATAGAGAACTCAAATAAAACCACACACCACACACCTACAACCATACGATCTTGGACAAACCTGACAAAAACAAGCAATGAGGGAAGAATTCTCTATTTATTAAATGGTGCTGGAAGAATTGGCTAGCTGTAGGCTCAAAATTGAAACTGGACCCCTTCCTTACACTCTACACAAAAATTAACTCAAGATGGATTAAAGACTTATGTAAAACCCAAAACCATAAAAACCTTAGAAGAAAATCTAGGCAATAGCATTCAAGACACAGGCACAGGCAAATATTTCAAAACAAAAACACCAAAAGCAATTGCAACAAAATCAAAAACTGACAAACGGGATTTAATTAAACTAAAGGGCTTCTGCACAGCAAAAAAAAAAAAAAATCATGAGAGTGAACAGACAACCTACAGAATGGGAGAAAATTTCTGCAATCTATCCATCTGACAAAGCTCTAATATCCAGCATCTATAAGTAACTTAAACAAATTTACAAGAAAAAAACAACCCCATTAAAAAGTGGGCAAAAGACATGAACAGAGAGTTCTCAAAAGAAGACATATATGTGGCCAACAAACAAAAAATAGCTCAACATCACTGATCATTAGAGAAATGCAAATCAAGATTACAATGAGATACCATCTCATGCCAGTCAGAATGGCTATTATTAAAGCTAAAAAACAACAGATGCTGGCAAGGTTGTGGAGAAAAAGGAACACTTTTACACTGTTGGTAGGGTTCAACCATTGTGGAAGACAGTGTGGTGATTTCTCAAAGACCTAGAGGCAGAAATACCATTTGACCCAGCAATCCATTACTGGGTGTATACCCAAAGGAATGTAAATCATTCTGTTATAAAGATACATGCAAGCATATGTTCATTGCAGCACTATTCACAATAGCAAAGACATGGAATCAACCTAAATGCCCACCAATGATAAACTGGATATAGAAAACTTGCTACACATACACCATGGAATACTATGCAGCTATAAAAAAGAATGAGATCATGTCCTTTGCAGGGACATGGATGGAGTTGGAAACCATCATTCTCAGCAAACTAATGCAGGAACAGAAACCAAACACCACATGTTCTCACTTGTAAGTGTGAACTGAACGATGAGAACACATGGACACATGCAGGGGAAAACACACACTGGGGCCTGCCTGACAGGGGCCCTGGGGGAAGGGAAAGTATCAGGAGGAATAGCTAATGGATGCTGGGATTAATACATAGGTGATAGGATGATCTGTGCAGCAAACCACCATGACACACATTTATCTATGTAACAAACCTGCACATCCTGCACATGTACTCCTGAACTTAGAAGGTGAAGCAAAAAAAAGAAGTCAATCCTCTTCAAATTAGTGTATATATTCTGTTGTGGGAAGTCAGGGACCCTGAACGGAGGGACCGGCTGGAGCCATGGCAGAGGAACATAAATTGTGAAGATTTCATTTTAATATGGACATTTATCAGTTCCCAAATAATACTTTTATAATTTCTTATGCCTGTCTTTACTCTCTTAATCCTGTTATCTTCGTAAGCTGAGGATGTATGTCACCTCAGGACCACTGTGATAATTGTGTTAACTGTACAAATTGATTGTAAAACGTGTGTTTGAACAATATGAAATCAGTGCACCTTGAAAAAGAACAGAATAACAGCAATTTTTAGGGAACAAGGGAAGACAACTGTAAGGTCTGACTGCCTGCGGGGTTGGGCAAAAAGAGCCATATTTTTCTTCTTGCAGAGAGGCTATAAACGGATGTGCAAGTAGGGAAGATATCACTAAATTCTTTTTCCTAGCAAGGAATATTAGTATTAATACCCTGGGAAAGGAATGTACTACTGGAGGGAGGTCTATAAACAGCCGCTTCGGGAATGTCTGTCTTATGTCGTTGACATAAGGACTGATATACGCCCTGGTCTCCTGCAGTACCCTCAGGCTTACTAGGGTGGGGAAAAACTCCACCCTGGTAAATTTGTGGTCAGACTGGTTCTCTGCTCTCAAACCCTGTTTTCTGTTATTTAAGATGTTTATCAAGACAATACATGCACCACTGAACATAAACCTTTATCAGTAGTTCTGCTTTTGCCCTTTCCCTTGTGATCTTTATTGGACCCTTATCAGTAGTTCTGCTTTTGCCATTTGTCCTGTTCCCTCAGAAGCATGTCATCTTTGTTAGACCCTTATTAGTAGTTCTGCTCTTTGCACTTTGAAGCATGTGATCTACTCCCTGTTCTTACACCCCCTCCCCTTTTGAAACTCTTAACAAAAAACTTGATGGTTTGAGGCTCAGGCCAGCATTAGAGTCCTACTGATATGTGCTGTCACCCCCGGCGGCCCAGCTGTAAAATTCCTTTCTTTGTACTCTTTATTTCTCAGCCAGCGGACACTTATGGAAAATAGAACCTACATTGAAATATTGGGGGCGGGTTCCCCTGATAATATTCCACGCATCCCAAATAAAATTCCATGTGGACTTTTAAAAAAGAAATTCAATAAGCATACTTTTAAATATATATGAAAGAATAAAGGTTGAAGATTTAGGTTAGTCAATCCTAAGGGAAAAAATAAACATTGAAGACTTGTCCTGCCAGATAAATGACATCCTATAGAGTCACAGTATCAAAAATAGTAACGATAAAAGGCCAAATAAATGACCAATTAAATAAAATAGAAAGCTCAAACTTATCAGTAATGGTTATCCCACAAATTAGTGAGAAAAATAATTGATTAGTAGAAAGTGTTCAGAAAACTAGCTCCCTATGTAGAGAAAAAAAGACTTACTGAGAAAGTGAGGTAATATTCCTACCGAGACCAGAACTAAAAATTAGCCTAATAATTAAGGACTTAATGTGAAAAGTAAAACTGAAAAGTTAACAGAAGGACAGAAAAGGACCTCTAATACATAAGGCAAAACACTTACTGCTTAATTATATAAAAGTTAAGGCTTTCTGTCAAGCAACAGCAATAGACAGATGTCAAAATGGGAGAACATATTTGTGACATCTAAAACCAACAACTAGTTGTTACTGTATCTAGATTTGATTAACTCCTATAAACCAACTGGAAAATGATAACAATTCCAACAAGAATTGGGCAAAATATATAAACAGGAAATTTTAAGAGAAAATCCAAAAGGTTAACATGTATATGAAAAGATGTTCAGACCCAGAGCAAGTTAAAATAGAAATATAGTGTCATTTTACATCTATTACACTGGTAAAAGTTAATAACTGTATAATGCTAATTGTTGACATAGATATGAGGACACAGGATTGGTGGTGCAACTATACATTGGTGTAGTCACTCTGAAGAGCAATCTGATACTCCTCAGGCAAATTAAACATACACATACTTCATGACACAGCAATTCCACTCTAGATGTGTATCCCAGAAACACTTCTAGGTTCATAAGGGGACACATACAATGATGTTCATGGCAGTGTTATCTGTAGTGGTAGGGAGTTCAAGGCTACATAGGTTAGGTGTTCAAAACTGAATAAATCAGTAAAATGTGAGGAATGCACATGAGTATTATGCAGTAGTTAGAAGCAATGGACTAAATGTTCACATAGCAACAATAAGATATAGATCTTAAATGCCTTTTAGATATATCTTAAAACATATGAACAGGAAAGAATGCATAATTTGCAAAAACTTATAAAAACAAAAAATATATAATAAACACATTACAACAATTGCCAAGGAGAGGAGGAGAATGGGAGTGGAGAAAGGGGCTAAGTGAGGATAATCACCTTCTGTAAATTATAATTTACTTATGTTAATTGTCTATCTTTACTATTCTGTAGGCTTCATGAGGGTAGGAGCCTTCACCGTTTACTCTAACATCCCAATCACCAAGAAGAGTGCCTAACACATGATAGGTACTCAAATTTTGTTGAACTAATATATAAAGAGAAGGGCCCTTTACAGACTAGTTGTGATGATATCTGAAACATAAAGAAACAAAAAAAACAAGAATATGTGACATGAAGACTAAGAATATGGGAATATGATTAATCTAACTGGAATAGGGGTTACAGATTATGAAAAGCTGATTTTGAAACATTAATGATTTCACCTGGCACTAATATCTCGGAAGCACAATACTCAGTCGTAATTTAGAAATATGATGTCAACTTCATGGTGCCACATTACGGGGTAGGTCTTGGAGATACTGCCTCCACCTTCAGGGTCCATTAACAAGAAGCACACAATTACAGATTCAAGATATGTATAAGTAGCTTTGAAAAAAAGCATTTTTTAATAGCAGCGTAGCAAATTATATTTTTCTGTGTCAGACTCAAGTAGATCATCAGGATATTAAAATTTCAGACAACTGACTTGATCTAACACAACAACTTGTCCTGCTGGTAAAAGTGAAATAAAAAGTAATCAACTTTCCAGCCATATTCATATATAAAAATGATGTCATAATTATGTATTCTATATTAGAAACATATACATCTCTGCAACTTCTAAATTATTTCCTAGAAATTAACAGGACAGAATAAATGTCATCTTCCCTTATAGATTAATAATTTTTAAAATTATAATACAATTCATGTTGATAACCTAACCCATTTTTCCTTCCTCTACATATTTCAATACAACTGTGGTTTTACTGTTACATAGTATTTCCACTTCAGCAAACTGTCTTTTACATAGTTTCCATAGTAGCAGGTTTTGTGGGTATAACAATTTTCAAATATTTTCAGATACATTTTTATTTTCTACAAGTCTTGTTTCATTGCAGCTTCCTGCTCATTATTAATGACATTTATTCTTCCAGGGGAGTGTGAATAATACTTAAAACAAAAGGATCATTAACAAGCTGAGTTTTAAGGTTGAACATTTTTATTAAGAAAACTGTCTTTAGAGCACTTTGTTGAGAAAAGGCATTCCAACCTCTCTTTAAATAACAGCCTCAAGCTTGGAGGTCTAAAAATAAAATTTTGACTACAGTATTATAGCATAGGTAGTGAAAGCACAGTATTTGATGTGAGAGAAATGCCCACCCAACATAAAGCAGAAAGGGAAGGCTCTCCTTGCACTCCTGGGAGAAAAGAACAAGAAAGAGGAGTTTAAAAGAAAAAAAAAAGAGAGAGACAGACAGTAAACTGGACCTTGTTACTCAAAAGTGTGGGCCACGAACTAGCAGCACCTGGGAGCTAGTTAAAAACGAAAAATATCAGGCCCCACCCCAGGTCTACTAACTCAGAGTCGGTAAATTAACAGGATTCCCAAATGATTCATATGCACATTAAAGCGTGAGAGTCACTGAACTAAAGTAAAAGTAGAAGACTGGGGAGAGACACTTCCTTCATTATAACAGAAGGACAAGGTGAGGTTTGTATGTGGGTTAGTTTGATGGGTCGGTTTGAAAATGATCATGAATCAGTCTCATGGTTTCTGTCTTTAAAAGTTTTTATTCTTTCAGCAACAGTGACTTTATAAATTCTATTCATTCATTCCAAAAAAGCTAATGAGTGCCTACAATGTGCATTGTTTGACTTTTTTCAGTCCTCTACATTAGGGTCTCTTTTTGGCATGATAGTTTACTCATTTCCTTAATTTCAGAAATCTTCACTTTTACAAGATTTGTCCAAATCAAATCAACTGAATTACTGTAAAAGGCAGTAATCTTCTTCCTATGGATACACTATAAACAAAGTGCAATTTCTTTTAAAATGACAAATCATACTGGGACTAAAATGTCTTAGTCACAAAATGTAAAAACATAGTAAGATATACCAATGAATCTGGAACAAGAATATCCTTCCTGCAGACTGCTTGAAAGCATCAAGTATAAATTCAGCGCATATTAAACACATGCGATGTGCTAGGCCATCTGCTAAGCATTTCAGACAAAAATATGCATGAAATAGTCCCTATAATACAGTATGGTATATAGGGCTGACTTTATGGGACTGAAACCTATGTAGTCACACAGGCCTTGCATTTGGTTTAAATGTTCCTTTGTTGTTCTGAATAAATTTACCTTTGAAACTTTAAGTGAATGAAATACAAGTACGTAAACTCTTAAATGAAGCCTGATAGGAGAACGGACCAGGCCTATCTCCTGGTACGTGACCAGGGGATATGGACAAGTAAGGAAAACAGTTTTATATTTTACTACCTTTATTTTCATGGCCCTTTCCTGCTTTTTTGAACAAGGTACTCTGCATTTTTATCTTCTACAAGGTTGGGCTGATTCTGTAGCCAATGACGACAGTCAAATACAACTATGTGCTAGATACTGTGGTAGAAAGGACAATGGAGCCATTGGCCATGAAAAGGTCAATGATGACTTCACAGGGAAAATGATACTTAAGTTGGGCTTTGAAGGACAAAAAGGAGTTTGCCAGATGACTGGCACTCCAGAAAAGAACAACATTCTTACATAAATATGTAGACTTACAAGTGTACATTTATTTCCTCCAAGTTAAAAAAAAAAGCGCTTCATTGAAGTTTTGTATATTTTCAATACACTGTTTTTTACAATTTTTTAAAGAGCTGTGTACTAGGCACAAATTCCACTTCCTGGGGAAGCTCACCTTCTGGCAGAGCAAATGCAGGAATAAGAAATATACAGAGGTGAACAAACATGCCTTCGGTTTCGATTTTTACCTGGGTTTGTGCCTCTTCCCCGGGCCGGGGAAGCGGTTTGCGGGCTTTCGAACTGGTATGGGCTGTAGGCTTCGACCTTCTCCGAGGCCTGTGCAATCAACCGTGAGAAAGGGGTTTCCTCCTCGAAACGGAACTGGCTCCAGTTGGCATGGCCGCAGAGTTTTTCTATTTCTTTCACCAAGTACCTGCCGCACAGCTTCCTGGCACTGCTGATGTCGCTCAGTTCACGAGAAAACCGAACCAGCAGGAGTCCAAGCCACAGCAGGGACAAGCGGAGGAGCCGCGGCATCCCTGTGACCCCAGGCTAGTCCTCCGCGTTGTGCAATGGCGGTCGGCCGGACCCTGCTCCCTGTCTGCGCCTGCGCCAGGCCGAGCGGCGCGCACAAACACTGCGGAATTCCGAGCGCGTGGGGGCGTCGCCAGAACTTCAAGGGAAGGCGCGCGCCGGCTGCGTCAAGGCTTTCCCGCCAGCTCAGGGGTCTCAGGTGGTCGAAGGTAGCAGGCCCTGGCTCCTAAAATGAAAGCCAAAAATCCCCTCACTACCCCGCCACCCCCTAGTTTGATTCATTTTTCTTTCCTTCCTCAATGGGAGATTCCTCACCAAGCGTGAGAACATAGGATCCCTGTTACCTGATAACGTAGGTTAAAAAGTGTTGCTCCCTCCACCTGGAATGCGTTTCTCGTTCTTGTTTGCCAGGTTGTTAATAAAGCTTCGTCTCCCTCACAGAAACCCCCTGTCATCTCTTTCACGGTGTTAATCGACCTGTTTCCATTTGTGGGCGTGTAACCTCTTTCCTGAGACCCCCGCTTCATGAAGGCAAGGGCCTGCGTCTGTTCTTGCTTTCCATCGTACCCCGGGATCTGGCATTTAGCTGGCAATCAAATATGTGGTGAAACGTTTAAGTGTTGCATATGGCCATGTGCGTTTAGTCAGGTTCAAAGCTTCTTCAGAAAAATCCTACTGGTTCACAGGGAGGCATGGGCCTTAGCCTCAATCTCCAGAAAAAAGAAGTAGGGACGCTGTCTTGAGGTACCTGGGATGGAAATCTGGTTCTTTCGGTTAGATAATGTAGAGGATTGTGTATTACCAAATTAACTTGTGACAGGGACCCCTAGAGGATTTGCCTTGTAAGAATAACAGCATGCAGCATGAAATGCTCATTTAGGTGAGATAATTTTGCTCAGTTAGGAGGGAAGGGGCAGGGAAGCGAAGCGCAATCGGCATAGGTAGCTTTATCATTTTAAATGAAGTTCTGTGTTACTAGTGTGTTGGCGTGGAAGGATGTACTATCGGCCACAAGAGGGCATTCGGTGGCTGTCTCAGGAATAAGGTTCAGGATGCTGAAGCCACAGGTGCAAGCTTATCAGTGATCTCACCATTTCCCTATACAATTTTATTTTTTTCTCCCTTTCTTTTCTGTCTTCTGACTCTATGTCTTTTTCTTAATTTTCCGTTTCCCTATCTTTTCCCTGCTTCCCAGTGGCATCCATGAATGCTGTTAAATTAACTGCCAATTGGATTTTTTAAATGGTTGATATAATATAGATTAGTAAAATTTAATCACCTTCCTTAAAAAATAACTTATGTCCAAACTATAGTGGGCCATGAGTCCTAGTCAGAACTTTATCAGGTAAGGTTTTTGAGAACGGAAAATATTAATCATACTGAGATGAATGTAAGCCTTGTGGTAACCACAAGGCAAAACCTATAGTAGATATATAAAAGATAAAAAAGAAGAAATCAAGCATACCACTACAGGATATCATCTAATCACAAAGAGAACAAGAGAAAAAGAAAAGAACAAAGGATCTACAAAATAACCACTAAACAATTAACAAAATGCAGTAGTAAATTCTAACCCATCAATAACTACTTTGAATGTAAATGGATTATGTTCTTTGATCAAAAAACAGGGCTGAATGGATAAAAAAAAAAAGACTCAACTATATACTGCCCACAAGAGACTCATCAAAAGACTTGAACTATACTTTGGAACAAGTGGAGCTAACAGATATTTATGGGACATTCCATCCAACAGCAACAGAATACGCATTCTTCTAAAATGCACAGAGAACATTCACCAGAATAGATCATATGTTATGCTACAAAGCAAGTCCTAATAAATTTAGAAGAATAAAATAATATCAAATATCTTTTCTGGCCACAATGGAATGAAAGTAGAAATCAATAAAAGGAGGAACTTTTGAAAACTCACAAATATGTGGAAATTAAAGAACATGTTCCTAACTACCAGTGGGTCAAAGAAGAAATATAAAGGGAGTTTAAAAAATATCTTGAGACAGGCTGGGCTCAGTGGCTCATGCCTGTAATCCCAGCACTTTGGGAGGCTGAGGTGAGTGGATCACTTGAGGCCAAGAGCTCAAGACCAGCCTGGCCAACATGGTGAAACCCTGTCTCTACTAAAAATACGAAAAATTAGTCAGGTGTGGTGGCAGGCACCTGTAATCCCTGCTGCTCAGGAGGCTGAGGCAGGAGAATGGCTTGAACCTGGGAAGCGGAGGTTGCAGTGAGCTGAGAGGGCATCACTGCACTCCAGCCTGTGTGACAGAGTGAGACTCCATCTCAAAAACTCCAAAATGGAAACACAACATACCAAAATTTATGGTATGCAGCAAACACAGTGCTGAGAGAGAAGTTTATAGTAATAAGCACCTATGTCAAAAAAGATCTCAAATAAACAACTTAACATTGTATTTCAAGGAACTAGAAGAACAAAGTAAGCCCAAGCTTAGCAGAAAGAAGAAAATAACGAAAGTCCAACAAAAAAATTTTAAAAATAGAGGCTAGCAAAACAATAGAAAAGTTTAACAAAACTAAAGTTGGTTCTTTCAAAAGATGACCAGGATTAGGGACCCACTTAAATAAGCAATCTAGCTGCCCCTTGGCAGGGTGGATGTGCTGCACTGGTGGGAATCCCCCTTGTCTGGGCTGCCCTTACTCTTCAGAGCCAGCAGGCAGAAAAGACTAAGATGGCTGATCCACAATACCACAGCCACTTCTCCTCCCAGGGGCTCCTCTCAGGGATATCAGAGTTCTGTCCATGAACCCCTGGCTGGGGATGCTGAGATTCCCATAGCGGGGGCCCCTGCCTGGTGAGGAGGAGTGGATCAGGATCCTGCTTAAAGAAGCAGTCTGGCTACAAACTGACCCAGCAGCTGTGCTGCACTCTGGGGAATTGCTCCCAATTCAGACTGCTGAGTCTCGTTGGCACCAGTGGCATGGGAAAACTGTGGACTGCAGCCATAGTGATGGCAGCACCCCCTCACTCCCACGAACTCAGTCTTTTTAGGCAGTCTGTAGCCTGCCGTGCTGGCCAGAGAGGATTCTAAGCCAGTAGGTTTTAGCTTGTGGGGTTCCGTGGGAGCAAGACCTCGTGGATCCCTGGCTTCAGCTCCCTTCCCATGGGAGTGGGTGGATCTCCTGCATCGCGGGAGTTTCCAAAGCTGAAGTATGCAAATATTCCTGTGTCTCAGTGCCTGCTCTAGTGGCCACCCACCCCAGCCACCATCATGAGTCTGTACAGCTTTGTGCTTGTGATCCAAGTCCCTCGTGGCATGGACTCACAAGGGGACCTCCTGATCTGCAGGTTGCATTGATCCATGGCAAAAGTGTGGTTTTCAGGGTAGGGTAGCACAATCCATCACTGCCCCAGATGGCTGGGGGAGGGAGTTCCCTTTGCCCCATGCAGCTCCCAGGTGGGCCCTCTCTCTACCTTGCTTTTTCTCACTCTCCGTGGGTCGCACCAACTACCTAGCCAGTCCCAGTGAGAGAATCTTGGTACCTCAATTGACAATGCAGAATTCACTCTCCATTTTCATCCTCCTAGGTAAGAGCTGCAGAGTGAAGCTGTTTCTGTTCCGCCATCTTGGCTGCTCCTGGGTTCAAGGAATTTGCCTATCTTCTGTTTTATTTAGCTCCATTGTAATCTTCATTTTTTATTCTTCCTTCTTCTGGCTTGTTCTTTTTCTACCTACTTAAGGTGTACCTACTTATTAGTGCTGATATGGTTTGGCTCTGTGTCCCCACCCAAATATCATCTTGAATTATAACTTTGCAGAGGAAGGGATGAGGGACATGGGCCAGGGACAGGCTCGATCTGGGAAGCTGCCTTTTACTTCTGGGGCAGCATGTTTGTCTTGTTCTAGCATTAACTTTACTGGGCATTGTCCTCATCCTTTTGGATTGCAATCAGTATTTCAGACAGCACTCTTGCTGGCTTTATCCCAGGTAGCTGATGGTCTCTGAGGTTCTGAAGCTCTTTTCTGAATTCCCTTCCTCATAGCCTTCTATCTGTACCATCTTCCAGTCTCCACTTCATCCAGTCAGAGGTTCTTAGAGAAACTCATTTTGATTTATGATCATATCTGCCACTTTTTAAA
Organism: Homo sapiens; assembly: GCF_000001405.40. Taxonomy (NCBI): domain Eukaryota; kingdom Metazoa; phylum Chordata; class Mammalia; order Primates; family Hominidae; genus Homo; species Homo sapiens. The sequence goes on from NC_000009.12 coordinate 5,189,715, forward strand.
TTTCATGATCAATTTCTTACTAACAACTTCATATTTTCTGTGAATTCCTCACTGTTTTTCCTGACTTGACAACAGGAAACAATTTACATCGAATCCCTAACAACTTCTAAAACTGAAGTTTCTGGTTTTTAACAAATTAAATTTTAAATTTTGTGATAATTACAGATTCACACATGCCAATGTAATAAATAATTACTAGACCCTTTCCAGTTTTGCCAAAAGGTAACAGCTATGAAACTACAGCATGTATCAAAATGAGGATATTGACAGTTGAACAGTCATGATATAAATCTGTTCCACCACCATAAGGATTCCTTAAAGTCATACCAACTTCCAACCTGCGCCCTAACCCACTCCTTAAATTTTGAAAAAAAAGATTTTCCATTTTTAAATTTTATCATTTTGTGAATGTTTTAGAAATGAAATCATAAGCATGTAACTTTCTGGAGTTAGTGAAAAAACTCAGCCTGATCTCTGGATAGTCATGTGGCTTGATGCACTTGTCACTAGTTGGCTGTTTTTATTGTTGAATCTTATTCAATGGTGTGGATATACCACAGTTTGTGTAACTAACATGCATAAAGAACATTTTGTGTAGTTGCAGTGTTTGGCGATTACAAATCAGCCTATATAAACATTCATGTGCAGAATTTATGTAAATATTAATTTTAAATTTCTGGGAAAATGTTCAAGAATATAATCTCTGGTTTGTAAGATGGTTGCATGGTTACATGTTTAGTTTTTCTTAAAAAGTCACCAAAATATTTTCTGGGGTGGCTGTACCATTTTGTAGTCCCAGGAGAAAATTTTGCCTCTGTGTCTTCTCAGAAGAGTGGTTTATTTTTATTTCTGTGTATCAAGGGAGGGAAGAGAGGTAAATGAGCGTATTCTTCACCACCCTGACTGTCCTGTCTGGATTTCTCCAGGCTCTGTTATGCATTGAATTGTGTCCCCGAAGTGATCCACTGAAACCATAAATACCTGTATTTCAGAATGGGACCTTTATAGACCCTAGCGTGGCTGTAGATGTAGTTAGTTAGAATGAGGTCCCTCTGGAGCTGGGCCCTATATTCAGCAGGATGGATATCCTTACACAAAGATAATGTGAAGACAAAGGAACAGAGAGCACCATGTGTCAAGAGGGACAACATTGAAGAGCTGCAGCTACAACCAAGGAATGCCAAAAAGCAGCAGCAATCCATGTGAAGTTAGGAAGAAGAAAAGAGGATGCTCCCCAAAGGTTTCAGAACAACATTGGCACTGCCAACACCTGGATTTTAGCTTGCAGCATTCAGAACCATGAGAAAAAAAAATTCTTTTGTTTTAAACCAGTTTAGGTTCTTCGTTACATCCACCCTGGGAATCTCACAGTAGGGCCTTAGAGCTATTCTAGGAGTCTGTCCTTTTACTTCAATTGTCACACTGATTTATAAAGAATATTAAAACTAAGAATAAAGGGAAATTTATATCTTCCAAATGTCCTCCAGGAAGCAAAGCTTTGAACATTTCTTGGTTAAGAGATTTAAAATTATATATACTAGTAAAATTATGAAACTTCATCTATTATCATTTTTCCCTCACATCTGGACTAATGCCAGGGAGAAGGAAAGGCTGAAAAGGTTAGTGATCAGTGTGTGTGTTAGGATAATTTCTTGAGATGTTATCCTGGCTTGGCATGATACTGTATTATTCCGTCTCACATTTCCATTCCCCAGCCCAGTTCAAGCAGGCTGCCTGGGCCTTGGTTTTTGCCCGTCTAGCTTACTTTTGAAGGGCTATGCTAGAAAGGAGATGCCTAAAGCTGCACTTCCAATTGTTTATAAATGCCCAAAGACATATAAAAAGTTATACAAGTAACCCTGATAGGACTTGAGCCAGAGAGAGAGTGAAATACAGAGACAGACACAGAAAAAGAAACAGAAGGGAGATAATATGATTATTTCCTTAAATTACCCTGAGGTTGAAACTTCCCTATCCAAGGGAAGAGATATGATCCTTGTCAGCATTCTTTCTGTCCCCAGTGAGGGACACAAGTACAGAGGTGAGAGGACCATGTGGGATTGCACTGAGTGTTGCAGCGGTAGCCATTGAGGACAGTGCAGCCCAAGGATCTTAGTGCTTTGGCGCTAAGACCCTGGGTTCAGTGCACACCTTCATGGGTGTCCCCATTAGAACAATGTCTGATGTTGAATTCTCTACTAAGTAACAGAATTGGGATTGCTATTGATTTAGTAAAGAAGAAAGGTGGATATTTTCTGCACGTGAGAGACTGTGCCTTAAAATTGATACCTGTTGCGCAAAAACAGTCTTTGGGAATAAGAAAGGTAGGGGTCATGACACATCTGGGAAACTAGAGGGAAAAATGGAGAGAAAGATAGGCTAGTAGTAGGAGTATGTACTGGTGCAGACTGAGGCAACTACTTCAGTAGATAGTAGATAATAGTGACAGCCCTCAGTGTTATCAGTTAAGGACGAACTTGGAGAAAATGTGTTCTGGAATGGACAGTGAGCTGTGTACTGCAGATAAGTAAGTCTGAATGCAAGAGTTACAATGAGCAACAAAGGTTCCACCATGAAAGCACAACTCTTAAAACATGTTGGCTTTCTCCCCAAACAGTTACATTCTGTCGTTCTCTGCTCTCTCAATGAGAAGAAGCTCTCCAGGAGGGACTAAGAGAGGACATGATAAACCTTAGAGCCTTGGTTATGATTGACCATGTATGGAACTTTGGAATATAGGAACTTCTATGTTAGTCTCCTATAATTCTGTTTACAGACATTTGATTGAAGCAATTTACTTTTTCTAAAGTAAATTTTTTCTAAAGTGCATTTTCTCTGTAAAGGCTAGCTAATATGTATGGATACAGAGGTTGAAGAAACTGACTAAATTTAAAAATGATACCATGATGTTTTACCAACTCTAAGAAATGCTCATATTATTTCATGGTTTGTTTTACTTACGTAAATGTTCTGTAAATTCTAAAATGGTAGACTTGAATCCATTTCCTCGCTAGTTCTTTCTGAGACAAAAAATGAGTTATTTATTCAGTTATCTCTATGATTATATATTTATTTAAAAGCATAAAAAACCTTACTAGAGAAACAGTTGAGTTCATTTGGGCACAAAAATCTGAATATATTTATTGTCAGTTCAGCTTGCTTTCAAATAATATTTCACTAAGCCCCAAACCCTCCCACTTCCAATGAAGTAAAATATTGCAGTGTTTGTGGTTTTGTGTTCATGTAGTATACGTTGACAAAATTGATTAAATAAATGTATAACTGTTACATGTGGTTGGTGTCAGTTATGTATAAAAAGTTATTATGTTGGTTAAAGTAATAAAGCTTTTATAATCATTATATAGTCAATGAGATTCAAAAGCAATTGATTTACATATACTCTCAATAAAAAAGAGAAAGAGACTTTTTCAGCAGAAAAAAGATCAATTTCATAGAAGTACAATAGTGAAAAGACTATGGTGTTACAGAGCAAGTGAAACATGTAAGCATTAATAATGATTTCTCACATTCTAACAATCAGTGGTCACTGAATTGGACATCACTGAATGTTTCATGGAGAATACATAGGAGGTTAGGTGAGAAGTTCACAATTACTTTACTTTGTGCATACTTTCAGAAAAGTCCCTTTGTCACAACATTCTTCACAGCATAGTTTACTGGCATCATCAGCTTCACTTCTCTTTTGTCAGGAAAGTAGTACCTTTCTCAGTGACAGCTACCCCTCAGACAGAATTGCCTTCAGCTCCTGTGACAAATTAGGAATGAATCCCAACGTCATATCTAAGGTCCCTGCATCTTTATTAGTGGTGGATGACATCATCTCTGTGAAGTCAAAAAGGAGGGGTGAAAGGTGAGGAAAAACATTCATTTCAAAGAGGATTAGAAAAATTACAGAATTTTGCCTGGATCGCATTGTAACCATTGCCTCAATGTAATTAAACACCAAAGAGAATCAGCAAGTATCCTAACATCTAAACAACTTAGCTTACTTAGAGTTGGGCACCTTGAAGTACTACAGTATTATTAAGGATCTGCTAACTTCACTCTCCTGTCTGTGGACTCTTTCCGTGACAATCAAGATGCTTGCACCATGGCACTTTTGACTTTCTCTAACGCTATTTTGATTGATAACTTCCAACTGCGTTATGGACTAGATAACACTAAGGAAATTTCTTTCATAATCACAAATTTTCCAATAGAAAGACTCACATATTTAAGTCTCTATTCACATATAACTGTACGTCTATATCTACATCCACCCCAATGCCAGACATTTAACATTGATTTTCTATGTGTGCTTTCCATTTTTCTTGTTAAATTCATCTACAGTTTTCAAAGATTTTTAATGACCATTTTCACTAATTTATTCAGAAAAAGTGAAAATTAAACACAAATTATACTACAATCTACTCTTCCTTGGCTTGCATTAGTAATTTTCCTAAACTCAGTTTTATTTTTCCCTATTTTATAATAAAATAAACAAACTCTGACCAACAATGTAGGAAAAGTAAATAACTCTGAAATCATGCTGTGAATCCTATAAAAAGGAAGCAAGTGTTTGCTGTACATGATGACTTTAAATGGGGTCATTTAGTGATTTAATATGGGTTATGCATATAGTCTACAAGATGTAATTTTGGAAGGCAGCCGTGTGCACCACGATACCACCAATGCACTTACAAGATGTAATTTTGGATTCACACATTGCCTATTCAAAACCTGTTTCCTCTACATTAAATGTAAAACAATAATTAGTAATTTACCTTGGCTTTTCAGAATTTAATGCGACCTATTAGACTGACTAGAGTGGCCTCTATAGCTTTTGAAAGCTGCCCTTGCTAATTCTAACTTAACTTGCAATTTATCTTTATGACTACCCTGTGACTTGGTAAAGTTTAAATACCATTCTGGTATTGAACTACCATTCTGGTATTGAACTATGCTCAACTCTGAAATTTCACTTTTAAAATCCATTGCAGCTTCAAATGTTGAAAACATTAATCAGATCTTCAGCTATAGTGGTCTGAAGGGGTAGCTTCCCTTGTCTCTGGTCCTCTCCAATTTCTCCTCTAATGATCCAGGCATCTTTCTCTTACAACTCTTGTCCCTCAACACCCTATAAGACCCAATTAAAAAATATGCGAGGCAAGGCTCTCTTGGAGTGCATTTAAAACCATTAAAACAAAGAGAGAGATTGGACGCTTTTAATTGCTTAGGCCACAGTCTAGCTTTTGGACAAAAGAAGAGTCATTAAATCTAAGGTCCTTCCTGTCTCCCATTCGAGGACCCTAACAGGTCTCAGAGTCCCTGTGCCTGTCCGGCATGTAAAGCAGCTTGATAACCAGTGCACCACCTCTCTGTTTGCCCACTTTTCTCTCAATTCGAAATTTGCTATCCAGGTGCCTGTCCTCCTCACCCCCGGCACCTTCCTACACCCCCCACCCAGGTTCTACCTCCTCCCAGCTGTCCCACTGAGACTCTTTCAATAAAAGTACATTACAAAGGAAAAGCCCAAACTTCAGGTATCAACCTCTGTGGAGTAAGGACTGGGCAAGAGCAGCTACAGAGCTGTGGAGCCAGGCCTTGCAGGCTGCTGTTCCAATTGATCGGTTGCCCTAATGCAACCAATAGGAAGTGTGGGATGGCCAGGGATTGGGGGGCCATTTGCCTGTGAGTGGTCCAGATACCTGCAGAAGCTCCTCCTGGATGCTGGAGATTCTGTCCTGGGGATCCTTGTACATTGTGGTCTCTTGGAATTCAGTGCCACTTAACTTCACCTTTTCATCACTCACCCATTTCGTGGGGTTCTCTTTGAAGCTGACTTTGCAGTAACCAGAATACTGGCAGACAGGACCAGAACAGTTGAGTATGCTGGAGCTGGTCTGTCCTGTTCTGGGCATTTCAGTCTTTCTTTAGGGAGTGTCCCTGCTGTTGCCTAACAGCTTGTGCTTATGTGCCAACCTGGGCTTCAGACTACTTTCTATATCTCTTCCTAGAGCTATTACTGACCTTTTGAGTCAATGGTCCAAGTTCTACCACTTTTCCACCTACCCACAAAGAACTTTCTCCCTCAGCTCTTATTCACCCACCCTACCTCCACTCCTCATATCCCTTGTCATCTCCCTGCTCCCAAGTTCTACTCTTTGCTCAATTTTAATTTAAATTTTCTACTTCTTTTTTCTTTCCTCCTCCATGAGTATTGTTATGTTTACTAAAATATTTGTAATTTTAAATGTCATTGCTTATTTAAAGGCATGTCCTGGTCATTATGGAAAATTCAGGCAAAATAAAAATGAAATGTAAGCTCATCAGATAGAGACCGTCTCCATTAACACTTGCTGTATAACATTTACTATTCTTCCTAACTTCCCCCACATTTGTTTTTATTTCTTCTTCAAAGCAGTTAGAGATTATAATTAGATTGATTTCTATAGTGCCTTGTTTATTCATCCTCAGTATTGTGATAAGTGGATGGAGCAATTGCTCACAAAAGAAAGAAAACTGATGATATTTAAACAAAGTCCTGCGAACATTATTAAAATTTCAATAACATAACTTTAAGCTTGTATATAATAATATTTAAGGTTTACAAGGCAATTTCCCATTCACAATTGTATAAACCTGAAATCTTTTTCTTCCACTTTTATTTTGGATTCAGAGGGTACATGTGCATGTTTGTTACACAGGCATATTGTGTGATGCTGAGGTTTGGGGTATGGATGATCCCATCACTGAGGTAGTGAGCATAGTACCCAAAAGGTAGTTTTTCAGCCCATGCCTCCCTACTTCTCCACCTCCTCTTGTAGTCCCCAGAGTCTATTGTTCCCATCGTTATGTCCATGTATACTTAATGTTTAGCTCCCACTTATAAGTGAGAATGTGTGGTATTTGGTTTTCTGTTCCTGCGTTAACTCACTTTGGATAATGGCCTCCAGCTGCATCCAAGTTGCTGCCAAGGATATTTTTGTTCCTTTTTGTGGCTGTATAGCATTCCGTAGTGTATATTTGCCACAGTTTCTTTATCCAATTGATTACAGAGGGGCATCTAGGTTGATTCCATGTCTTTGCTATTATAAATAATGCTGCAATGAACATAAAAGTGCATGTGTCTCTTTGGCAGAAGGATTTCTTTTCCTTTGGGTATATACCCAGTAATGGGATTGCTGGGTTGAATGGTAGGTCTGTTTTAATTTTGTTGAGAAATCTCTGAACTGCTTTCACAGTGGCTGAACTAATTAACATTCCTACCAACAATGAATAAGCATTCCCTTTTCCCTGCAGCCTCACCAGCTTGTGTTGTATTTTGACTTTTTAATAATCATCATTTTGACTGGTTGAGATGGCATCTCACTGTGGATAAACTTTAAGATTTCAACTTACAGGGAATTTCAAAGATCCATACTTTTATCTGTCCTCTAGAAATCCTGTCAAGGCTGAGAAAACACAGAGATCATAGATGCTTGACTGTTAAGTCTTGGGAGAGCACCTATGGAGGTCTTCTTAAAGTGGGGGAAAATTGGACTGTTTCTACCAATTTATTTCTTTGAACTCTCTTGGGTGATTGGTGAATTGTTTTGGTTATCTAAATATTTTAATTTGATACTCTAATTATTAGTGATACACATTTTCATGCACAAAAATCTATCTCTTTATGATTGATTTACTACATACTGTGTGTGTGGTAATTCATGAACAGAAATTTTATTTTTTAAACTTAAAAACAAGTCAACACAGTTTTGGGGCAATGGGCTTATTAGATAACTCTCAAAGTATTAGTAAATCTTAAATGCAAATAGTACCACTTGTTTATATGCATTGTTTGGAAAGAAAACCTAGTCAGACCAGATCTGTTCTATTCAAGTAAGCCTGAGGGATTGATGGACATTATGGTATTTTGGAAATAAATTAATAAATCCTCTTTCTTCTCAATAAAAAACATGATCTATGTTCCTCATATTGGAGGAAGTCCCAGTCATCATGCATCAAATGCTGATATTGTATAACTCTTCAAACAATACCTGCTAGGACTACACAATGATCAGAATAAGTGATTTTAGCTGTGTTTTCACTAAGACAAGGTGCTTGGGAGAGGCTTCTCAAAACTGGTGTTTCACATTTCTTTATACAGATTGATGAACTTTGGAGAATACTCTATGTGCAATGCTGTTCTACAACATAATTGATTACATAAAAATGAATTTCTAGGTGTCTCCTCATATTATTCCTTTCTAAAAATTATTTTCTATTTTGTATGTTCAGGATATTCAACCTTTCTGCAGGAAATAATTTATGATTATTTTCCACCATTTTCTAAATTTTCATTTTACTCTTTGGTAGTATCCTTTGACACAAAAGTTTTAAATTTTGACACTGTCAAATATGTATGTTTTCTTTTATTTCCTGCTCTTTTGGTGTCATATTCATGAAATCATTGACAAATCCAATGTCGAGAAGATTTTCCTTTATGGATTCTTCTAAGAAGTTTATGTTTAGCTCTTACATTTTGTCTTTGATACAGTTTAAGTTAAACGTTATATATGGTGTGAGGTAAGGATCAAGTCCTTCTTTTGTGTGTATATATCCAGTTTTCCCAGCACCATTTGTTGAAAAACTGTTCTTTCCCCATGGAATGGTCTTGACATCCTTCTCAAAAATCATTTTACTAAATAGCAGTGACTAATTTCTATTCTCTCTGTTCTATTCCATGGGTCTATATAATTGTCCTCATGACAATAGCTCATTCTTTTGACTACTGGATCTTTGTAGAAAGTTTTGAAAACAGAAAGGGTGAGTACTCCAACGTTGTCCTTTTTTTATCAAGACGGTTTTGATTCTTTAGGAGTCTCTTGAGATTGCATATTAATATTAGGAAGGGTTTTCCTATTTTTACTGAAAAACATCCCTGGGATGGGATTTTGATGTGGATAACATTGATTTTGTAAATTGCTTTGGGTAGTATTGACATCTTAACAATATTAAGTCATTTAATTCAGGAAAATCTGTGAATATATGTGTTTTCTGCTATTTATGTCTTCTTTAGTATGTGCCAGCAATACCTTGTAGGTTCTCCTTAAGTATATTCCTAAGTATTTTATTGTTTTTAATGCTATTAAAAATAAAATTGTTTTCTTAATTTTGTTTCTGGATGTTCATTGGCCATCAATTTTTGCATGCTGAGTTTTAATCTTGCTTCTTTACAGAAATTATTTATTAGTTCTAATACTTGTTTTCAAAGCCTTTGTTCTTTTTACATATAAGTTTATGTCATCTGAAGGCAGACAATATTTTACTTTTTCTCTCTAATTTTCTTGCATTCTCCATGTTTTTCTTATCTGATTAATTGGTTAATCAGTTTGTCTGGCTAAGACTTCCAATACTATGTGAATAGAAGTGGTTAAAGTGAACACTTTTGCCCTGTTTCTGATCTGAAAGGATAAGCTTTCAGTTCTTCATCATTGAGAGTTATGGTAACTGTGGGGTTTTATATGTTAAATAAATTAAGCTTACATGTATAAGTTTCTTGTGACAGTCTTAGGCATGGTTTAGTAGCACTTGAATTATATATTCTAAAGAGTGAATATGCTTCTCTTTTTTATGTCACAATTAATATCTCTCCAACTACCTCATATATCCTATGAATTCCTACTATATTGTGTGGCTGCCAACAACAATTAACCAACACCTAATCCCAATGCCTCTTAGGACTTTGAGGAAGTTTTGAAGTTAATTTTTGAATTTTAAGATAAGGTAGAATCACACATGTGAAGGTCTGAAATAATGCAAAATAATCATATCTATGCTTTACTTGGTTTTTGATAATGATAACTTACTACAATATAACAACTGGGATATTGACATTGATACAACCAAGATATAAAACCATCCTAATACCACAAGAATCTTCATAGTCACACTCACTTCATTCCCATGCTCCACCCTCTAGCCTTAACCCATGGAAAAATTGTTCTCTAATTCTAAAATGTTTTATTTGAATACTAGTTTGTAAAGCAGTCACAAAATATGTAACCTTTGAGGACTGGCTTTTTTCACTCAGCCAAATTCTGTGTTGGTTCTCCCAAGTTGTGTGTATTAGTTGGTTAATTAATTGGTTACTTTTTTTTATCACTGACTACTATTCCATGATATGGATATAACACAGTTTGTTGAATGACTCACCGGATTTTTGATCCACAATTATGTATTAGAAACAAAATAGTAAAGGCCATCCTGTGTATCTGGACACTCTTCCTCAGTGGTCCATTTTCCACCCTCCCACACTAAGCACTAATCCTGCCCAGGGGATTCTCCAGTGTTACAGCACATTAGGTTCCCCTGGAAGCTTTTAATGAAATCCCAATGCCTTTGTTGTATGCTGAAATAATCACTTCATTGTGTCCTGGTGTAAGAGTCAAACATCATTATTTTGAAAGATCCCCAGTTGTCTCCAGTACGCTGAAAGGCAAAAAACCAATGCATAGCCACATCCCAGTGACCCTGTTGCAATATATTAAGAGTATTTCAACTGCTTTTGTTGCCTATACATCTCTCAAGAATTGATAAAGTTACAACCTTTATACATATACCAGTCATTAGCACAAACGGGCAAACTAACAGAGAGCAGTCAGAGGGAATCTTCTTAAAGCTACTCTTCCCATCATTTGCAAATACTTGATCAGCCAAAATGTTATGCAAGTATCTCTAACAAGATATAAGATAAAGAGAAGAAGAGAGAGATACAGATAAAGGGATAGATTTTTCTATCTATATCGAGATTTTTCTATCTATATCGTCTATATCTATCTATCTATCTATCTATCTATCTATCTATCTATATCTAGTTCAGGTCTTGGTTTCTGCTGTATACTGCTCAGTGGTGGTGCCATCGAGAGTTGAAGACTCCAGGGTAGGAGATGTATAGTACCCTAGAGAATAGATGGCAACTTTTGGCAAAATTCCCCTGCAACCAGGAGGAGAGACAAGCCGCAAATGAGAGGACCGTGCAGACCAGCCCTCAGTGTGTTGCAGTAGGAACCGTTGAGCACTATGGGCCCTGAGAGCTTTGATGCTTTGGTGCTAAGACCCCAGGATTCAAGATAAAGCTCAAACGGAATAATTGTAATAAAATAATCTCTGTGAAAAGATAGAGGTTATTCTACTCAGTTTAATGGGTCCTATAAAATTCTGAAAAGCCAAGGTGGATTCCCAACTATTGTTTTACATTTGATATAAATGGTACAAGTTTCACATAGGAAGTAAGTGAATCCAGAACTGCTTCTTGTAAGCCATATGCACGTCCTACATTAAGTCACTGAACGACCCCATCTACAGTTATTGTGCTCAATAAACAAACTTTCATTTTATATGGTACATAATGATTTCAAAGTTATTTCCTTTTCCTACATTGTTGGTCAGAGTTTGTTTTATTTTATTATAAAAATAAGTGAGGAATACAACAGAGTCAAAACACTTTTCTAATGCAAACGAAGGTTAAGCAACTGTACTATAATTTGTATTTAAACTTCACTCTTTCTTAGTAAATAAGTAAAGTGCTCATTTAAAGACTGAAAAATACAGATAAATTTAATAAGAAAAAAAGAAGGTACACATGAATAATCAATGCTAATGTTTGGTATACACCTATAGATAGAGATGTACAGATTTCTGTAGACATAGATTTAAATATCTGAATCTTTCTATTGTTGTTAAAAATCATGATAATAAAAGAAATTTCCCTACTGCTACCCAGAGCATAATGCAACCGGAAGTTATAATATCAATAAACAGTGTCAGAGAAAAGTTAAAAGTGTCACAGTGCAAGCATTTAGAGGGTCACGAGAGGAGTTCACAGAGGGACCACTAGAGATAGCACAAATTCAGTGATGTTCAACTCAATCACCACTGATTATTAGAACATGAGAGATCATCATTAGTGCTTACATATTTCACTTGCTCTGTATTAACATAGTCTCTCCACAATGGTATGTTCTTTCAAAAATGAACCATTTTTCCCTGCTAAAAGAAAGTCTCTTTCTCTTTTTAATTGATGGCATAATTATATGAATTGCTTTGAATCTTATTAACTTTATAATTATTATAAAAGATTTTCACTTTAACCAATATAATAATAATTTGTTTTATACACAAATGACACCAGGCACATATAACAGTGATAAATTTCTTTAATTTACCTTGTCAACATATACTATATGAACACAAAACCACAAACATTGTAATTTTTTACTTCAGTGGAAATGAGAGTTTTTTTGGTCTCAGATAAATATTATTTGAACACTGTCTGAATTGATAAATATATTGGGATTTTTGTGCCCAAATAACTGAATTGTTTATCTAGTAAGGCTTTCTTTTAAAGGTTCTAAGAGATTCAATAAATATTTTTTAAATGACATAAGTATGTGATTGTACGGATAACTGAACGGATAACTCAGTTTTTTTCTCTTAGAACTAGTTGAGTAAGGAAGTGTATTCAAGTTTACCATTTAAAAATTTACAGAACATTTATGTAAGCGAAATAAATCATGAAATGATATGAGCATTTCTTAGAGTGGTAAAGCTTCATGAGATCTTCTTTAAATTTAGTCAGTTTCTTTAACCTCTATACACATAGTTTTTAGCCAGCCTTTACAGAGAAAATACAATTAGAAGTTAATCTCTTTGATTGAATGAATGTCTGTGAAGATAATTATGGAAGATGAGCACAAAAGTTCCTATATCTCAAAATTTCCATACATGGTTAATCATAACCAAGCCTCTGAGGTTTATCGTGTCTACCCCTCGGTCCTCCTGCACAGCTTCTTCCCATTGAGAGGGCAGAGATCAACAGAATGTAACTCTTCAGGAAGAAATCCAATGTGTTTCAAGAGTTATGCTTTCACTGAGGGATCTTTGTTGCTGATTGAAACTCTTGCATTTAGACTTAGTTATCTGCCACACATTGCTCACTGGCAATTCCAGAATTCCATTCACTCCAAGGTCCCCCTCTTCCTTCTAGTCTTCATCTCATACTTAACTGATAATACTGAGGGCTGTCACTACCATCCACTGACTCAGTTACCTCCATCTTCATCAGTACATACACCTACTCTTAGCATATCTTTTCCTGTTTTTTATATGAGAATTACCACCAGAAGGCCACTCCTCTACCTGCCCAGGTATGTTATGGCCCATGCATTTCTTATTCCTGAAAGACTGTTTGTCTGTTAACAGGTATGAATTTGCAAGCACAGGTTCTGGTGTGCAGAAAATATCAACTTCTTCTGCTTTAACCAATCAATAGAAATCCAATTTCTGTCACTTGCTATGGAATTCAGCATCAGAAATTGTTCTAATGGAGATACCCATGAAAGTGTGCACTAAACCCAGGATCTTAGCACCAAAGCACAAAGCTCCTCAGGCTGCACTGCTCTCAGCTGCTACCACTGCAACACTCAATGCAATCCTGCATGGTCCTCTCAGCTCTGTGCCTGCTTCTATCTCTGGGGACAGAAAGAATGTCAACAAAGATGATATCTCTTCCCTTGGGCACAACATTGTCATTTATTCTAAGGTCTTTGCCTCTTTAGGCCATGGGTACTGAACACTGCACAGCAAAACCAGGCTTTCTACCTCAGCAAAGTATAAAGAAATTATCATATTCTCTCCCTTCAGTCTCATTTTCTGTCTCTCCCTGCCTCTATTTCTTTCTCTTTGACTCAGGTCTTGTCAGGGACACTTGCATAACCTTCCGCTTGTCATCAGGCATTTACAAACAATTCCAAGTGCTGCTTTAAGTACCTCCTGTGTACAGCCCTTCAAAGATGGACTAGACAGGCAAAAACCACCAAGACCCAGAGAGTCTGCTCAAAATGAGCTAGGCAAATGCAGATGTGACAGAATTGTAAGATACAATGAGACCAAGCTAGGATAACTCAAGAAATTATACTAACACACATGCCAATCACTAACCTTTTCGGCCTTTCCTTTTCTCTGGTTTTCCAATATTATTTTCATAAACAAACACCAATCATTTTCCTACGACACTTCAAAGTATCTCTCTGAAGTTCTCCACATCTCATTACCTGTGGATCCCACTGTAGATAAGCTTCCCTCTGACACTCTGGTCCTGTCAGATGCCACAATGGTCCCCAGTGCCCAAATCCAGTGGTGACTCTTGGCTCTTGTTCTCCTTTACTCCTCTTTCATATTTCATCCTGTGTTACTATGATTGGTGTATTAGTCAATTCTCACATTACTATAAGGAAGTATCTGAGACTGGGTAATTTATAAAGAAAAGAGTTTTAATTGACTCATGGTTCTGCAGGCTGTACAGGAAGCATGATGCTGGCATCTGCTCAACTACTGGGAAGTCCTCAAGAAACTTCCACTCATGGCAGAAGGTGAAGCAGGAGCAGAACTTCACATGGCTAGAGAAGAAGCAAGAAAGAGAGGGAGGGGGGACTACACACATTTAAAACACCAGATCTCATGAAAACTCACTCACTATCACAAGGACAGTACCAAGAGGGGATAGTACTAAACCATTCATGAGAAATTCACCCCCATGATCAAGTCACCTCCCACCAGGCCCCACCTCCAACACTGGGGATTACAATTCGACTTGAGATTTGGTGGGGGACATAGATCCAAACCATAACAATTGGAGTATACAGTACAAAAAGTTATAATATTATGTAATATGCAGGGATAAATAAGCAACAGATGCAATTGAATTACTCCTAAAAATCTCCCTGTAGGGTCTTTGGGGAATAGCTAGGTGATGTTTCCTGTATTTTTTTTTAGCACACTAGAAGCCATTGGGAATCTTTACAAATGCAGAGGGCTGGTTCAACCGCCAGTCATAATGACTTCATTGCCTCAGCGTGCGGCATAGCAGGTGGAGTTCTTAGAGATCGCCAGGAGATTCCAATGTGCTGCTATGTTGGAGAACCACTGGGCTGGGGTAAGGATGCAGGTTGCAGTGGGGGCCAGGAAAAACTGGCTGATCTGAGAATGATCAGGTGTCATTTTAAGGAAGAGATTCCAGGGTATAGGTGATTGGACTTTACTATAAAGTTAGTTTTCTCTAAGCAGGAGAAGTACAAGCTGTGTCATTCCTAAATCATGTGGAAACACAGCAGTCTTATTGTGAATGCACGGAAGATATGCAGGGAAGACGGTTAACAAACTACTGGAAAAGGCATTTGAAGTCCTACATATATTTACATACAGGCAGATCTGAATATTTCCCCCTTTCTCTTGGGTAGAAAGCATGCAAGAACTGGAATAGGTACCTTCTTTGGTTTAATACTGGAACTAAAGAGTATGAAAAAGAACTAAAAAAGTGATTTGGTGGTGAGAAAGAAATAGGAATGATTACCTCAGGTTACACCACAAGCAACTTTAAAGCCCTATTGCCCTGGACTTTTGCCTAATACAGACCCTCCACTTTCCTCTTGATCACCTTTTCTCCAACTCACAATTCTCTGTGACTTCCTCTTTTACCCACAGCAACTACTTCAGTTCCTCTCTTCAAAGAGGTGAATCATCCTAGGATGGGTCCTCCTGTGGCATACCTAACCTCATCCCTATGTATCACAGAATTATTAATCATACAGGCTTTGCCTTTTTTTAGTTCTACTAATAAGAGCACTTAGTACACTTTTCACTCTGTAGCCAGGTTCTATGGTTCCACCATCTTCCTACCCATCAGCCCCAGAAGCTGCAAATATCTCATGATCAAGTGCAATTTCTTTTAATTAACATGTGTTGAGCAGCTATCCCACAGTCAGCTCACAGGAGCTCACTGTCTAGTGTAAGAAGCTGATAAGTAACAGGGGAATAAGTGCTATGAGATCAGAAGAGCATAATTGAGAACATAATGAACCCATAGGGAATGGGGTCCTCTTCATTGCCATCATGGGAAGAAGGAAACCTAGAGGAAGCAACATAAGGGAAGAAAGTTTGCATAACCAAAGACAACAGGAAATCTTTTAAAATACTGATGCCTGGTTCCCACACTTGGACACACTGATTAATTTTTGCAGCATTCCAGTTGATTCCATAGCAGTTGATTCCAATATGCTACAAATTTGTAATACCAGTGGGATGGGTAAGGGCCCAGGTTTGAAATGGGAGCCATGGATGACTGGCTGATCTAAGAGGTCAGTCATATTACTGAGAAAGAGATTACAGATAATAGGTTATGTGAGTATAATCGAACATTAATTTTATGAAAATGTAAATTGTGACATCAAAAAATAAAAATGTTGGAGAAGGGAGTTAATTTATACAGAATTGAGGTTTTAATTTTTTTATCTATTTCTTTTCTTTTATTGCAATCAAAGCTAACTTGGTATCAGTTTTAAATATTTGGTATAACTATAGGATGATTTTGAAAGTCATATGGTAACCCAAAGCAAAAACTGATATAGATACACTAAAAATAAACAGCAACAAATTAAAACATACTGCTAGAGAAAAATCACTTAATCACAAACAAGTCTCAACAAATTAAAAAATGTCACTGCTATATCAAGTATCTTTTCTGTCCATAAGGGAATAAAACTAGAAATCAAGAAGAGGAAATTTGGAAATTTTACAAATACATAATAATTAAACAATATTTTCCTGAATGACCAATTGTTAATGAAGAAATTAAAAACAGAACAAAAAAAATTTCTTGAAACAAATGAAAATGACAACAAAACATACCAAAACCTCTGGGATACAGCAAAAATGGTACTAAGAGAGATGTTTATAGCAACAAATGCCTACATTAAAGAATAAAAAGACTCCAAATAAACAACCTAACAACACACTTCAAGGAACTAGAAAAGCGAGAACAAATCAAATGCGAAATGAGTAGAAGGAAAGAAATAATAAAGATCAGAGTAGAATCAAACAAAAAAGAGACTAAAAAACACAAAAGATCAACAAAATGGTTGGTTTTTTGAAATGATAAACAAAATTGACAAACCTTTAACTAGACAAACTAAGGAAAAAAGAGATGACCTAAATAAATAAAATCAGATATAAAAAAAGAAAATATTGACCGGGCACGGTGGCTTATGCCTGTAATCCCAGCACTTTGGGAGGCCGAGGAGAGCAGACCACTTGTGGTCAGGAGTTTGAGACCAGCCTGGCCAACATGGTGAAACTCCGCCTCTACTAAAAAAATACAAAAATTAGCTGGGTGTGGAGGCATACACCTGTAATCATCGCTATTCAGGAGGTTGAGGCAGGAGAATCACTTGAACCCGGGAGGCAGAGGTTGCAGTGGGCCGAGATGGAGCTACTGCACTCCAGCCTGGGTGACAGAGCGAGACTCCATCTCAAAAAAAAAAAAAAAAAAAAGGAAACATTACGGCTCACACCACAGAAATACAAAGGATACTTACAGATTATTACAAATAACTATACACCATCAAGTTGGAATACCTAGAAGAAATGAATACTTTTCAGGACACATACAACCTACCAAGAATGAACCATGAGGAAATAGAAAACCTGAACAGACCATTAATGACTAACAAGCAGTAATAAAAACTCTGTTGTTAAAGAAAAGTGCTGGACCTGGTGGATAGTGCTGGACCTGGTGGATTCACTGCTGAATTCTACCAAACATTTAATGAACAAATAATACCAATTCTACTCAAACTATTTCAAAAAATTGAATGAGGGTAAATACTTCCAAACTCATTCTACAAGTCTGGCACAGCCCTGTGACAAAAACCAGGCAAAGACACATAACAGGAGGAAACTAAAGGCCAATATCCCTGATATGTTGCAAAAAATCCTCAACAAAATTCTAGTAAACAGAATTCAACAACACATTAAAAAGATCATTCACCATGGACAAGTGGGGATTCATCCCAGGGATGCAAGGATTTCAACATATGCATATCCATAAATGTGATACATCACATCAACAGAAACAGGACAAAAACCACATGATCATTTTAATAGATGCTGAAAAAATATTCAATAAAATTTAACATTCCTTCATGATTAAAAAAACACACATGACAAACTGGGTATAGAAGTTACATATCTCAAGATGGTAAAGGCCATATGTAACAAACCCATAGCTAATATCATACTGAATGTGGAAAAATTAAAATCTTTTCCACTAAGATCTGAAACAACACAAAGAGGGCCACTTTCCCTGCCTTTATACAGCATAATACTGGAAGTCCTGAGCAGAGCAATTGGGCAAGAGAAATAAATAAAGGGCATCCATACTGGAAAGGAAAAAGTCAAATTATCCTTCTTTGCAGACAACATTACCTTTGAAAAAAACTGAAGACCCCACTAAAAGCCTCTTAGAACTGAAAAATAAATTTAGTAAAGTTGCAGAATGCAAAATCAACATAAAAAATTAGTAGCATTTCTATACACTAACAGTAATCAATCTGAATAAGAAATCAAGGAAGCAATCCCATTTACAATGGCTACAGAAATAAATACATAAAATACCTAGGATTCAATTTAACCAAAGAAATGAAAAGTCTCTCCAAGGAGAATTATAAACCTTTGATGAAAGAAATTGAAGAGGACACAAAACAATGGAAGGCTATCCCATGCTCATGGATTGAAAAAATTAATATTGTTAGAATGCCTGTATTACCCAAAGTAATTTACATGTTCAATGCAAAGCCTATCAAAATACCATGACATTTTTTACAGAAATAGTAAAACAATCCTAAGATTCACATGGAACCACAAAAGGCCCCAAAGCTAAACCAATCCTGATAATGAAGAAAAAAGCTGGAGGCATCACATACCAAATTTCAAAATACAGTGTAAACCTATGGTAAACAAAACTGTGTGATATTGGCATAAAAACAAAAACATAGACCAATGGAACAGAATATAGAACCTAGAAATACATTCATGTACTCATTTTAAATGAAGGTGTTAAGAACATATACTAGGGAAAGGACAGTCTAATGAATGATGCTGGGAAAACTGGATATCTATATGCAGAAGAATGAAATTATTTCCTCATATTTCACCATATACAAATATTAAGTTTTATTTGGTTAAATTGATTCCTAGGTATTTAATTTATTTATCTATTGTAGCCATTGTAAATGGGATTGCTTTCTTGATTTCTTTTTCAAATTGATCACTGTTTGTGTATAGAAATGCTACTGATTAAGGACTTAAATGTAAGACATGAAACTATGAAAATATTAATAGAAAACATTGAGGAAATACTAGAGGACATTGGTCTGGGTAAAGATTTTTTGGTAAGACCTAGAAAGCACAGGCAACCAAAGCAAAAATAGACAAGCAGGATTACATGAAACTAAAAAGGTTTTGCACAGCAAAGGAAACAATTTAAAAAGTGAAGAGATAGTTTACAGAGTAGGAGAAAATATGTGCAAACTATCCCTTCCACAAGAGATTTATAACTAGAATATATAATGAAATCAAACAACTCAATAGCAAAAAGCCAAATAATTCTATTAAAAAATGAGCAAAAGATCCAAATAGACATTCTTAAAAGAAGACATACAAATGACCAACAGGTATATGAAAAAATGCTCAGCATCACTAATCACTTAGGAAATGCAAGTCAAAACCACAATGAGATATCACGTCATCTCAATTAGAATGACCATTATAAAAAAGACAAAAAAGTAAAAAATGTGGACAAGGATCCAGAGAAACGGAAATGCTTGCACACTGTTGGTGGGTATATAAGTTAGTACAGCAGTTATGGAAAACAGTATGGAGGTTCCTCAAAAATCTAAAAAGAGAACTACCATATGATCCAACAATCCCACTGGTAGGTTTATACCTAAAAATATAGGTATATCAAAGAGATATCTCTACTCCCGTATTTATTGCAGCAGTATTCACAATAGCCAAGGTATGGGACCAACCTATGTGCCCAGCAACAGAATGGATGGAAAAAAAGTGGCATTATATGCCACGGAATGTCACTCAGCCATAAAAAAGAAAAAAATACTCTCATTCGCAGCAACATGGATAGAATAGGAGGTCATTATGTTAAGTGAAATAAGCCAAGCACAGAAAGAACAATATTGCATGTTCTCAGTCGTACATGGGAACTAAAAGAGTAGATCTCATGTGGACAGAGAGTAGAGTGGTGATTACTAGAGGATGGGAAGAAAAGGGAGGGAAATGAACAGATGTTGGTTAATGGGTACAAAAACACAGTTAGATAGAAGTAATAAAATATAGTATTTAATAGTATAGTAGGGAAATTATACTTAACAGTAATTTATTGTGGATTTCAAAATAGCTAGAAGAGAAGAACTGTAATGACCCCAGTACAAAGAAAAGATGAATATTTGAGGTGATGGATATCTCACTTACCCTGATTTGATTATTCCACATTGTATACGTGTATCAAAATATCACATGTACAACAAAAATATTACAACTATGATATACCAATAAAAGATTTACTAGAAATAAATTTTAAAACTTTTACACATAGAAGCACATACGTTCACATACACACACTCAGGTCTGCATTTTCCTCTTTTCACACTGGAAAGGATGCAATTGATAAAACATCTAACTGTCTTTACTTTAACATGAGCACATAGCAGGGAGAAAAAGCAGTGAAGGAAATAATTTGTGGGAGAGGCATTAGGCATGTTTGGCCCAAGGTAACCCCAGAAACTTCCCTAAAACTTTACCCAATGCATACTGTCCACCTGCCTCTCAGTGTGCTGTCTTAAGACCTTCAATAATTCTGTAAATTCCTCTTTTATCCCCAGGATTACTCCATGTTCCCTCATCAAAGTGGTGAATCTGCAAAAATATCGGCCTCCTCCCTGTGTGTCTCTAAATCCTAAATCAAAGAGTACTTTTTTACTCCATCAGTGAGGCCCTACTAGTTGTGTTTGTTTGTTTGCAGGCCAACTGACACTGCTACTATCTCATTATCAGGTCCTATTAACTTACTTCAATTAACATGATTTGAGTAGCCCTCTGTGTCTGCCCACAAAGTGCTCTGAGTCTAGTTTGGGACATGGACAAGTAAAGGAGGATAAGTGCAATGATACTTGTAGGTCATCATAGAGACTGTAATGATCCACAGGAATCAGGGTTGTGTTTAATGCCAATGTGGGAAGGAATAAATGTACAGGGAACAGTGTGGGTCAGAGGAAAGAGCAAAATTTCCCTAAGGAAACTGATGGCTGATCTGCATCTTGAAAGACATCTAAGCAGAAGACAGTGCAAAAAGGGACAGGGAGAAGCCCAGGAAAAAGCACAAAGGCCTGGAAGCACAGCATGTGTGGAAACAGCCAGAGTCAGCAGGGCAGGAGGTGGTGTGGAGAAAAGGAATTGTCAAGATCTGGTTGGAATGGAGACGGGAGAGAGGGTCTCAAATGATCCTACACAATACAGCTAAGGGGTATAGGCTGCATCCTGGGGCAAGGAAGAACTGCTCATGATCGTGATGCATCTCTCATAAAGAACTTTTTCCTACCACTACTGTGTTGACGATGAAGAGGGATCATGGGAGTCACAGGGCAGAACTCATAGATTATACTGTACAGTCTGAACTCTACCACCTGGTTTGCCTAGGATCCTCTAGGATATTCTTTGAGAACAAAGGGGAGGAGCACATAGTTGTATTTCTTGACACTAGTGATGATCAATCAATATTTTGGGTATCTACATTATTCATAATCAATGATTAAGTTTCTTCTATGTGCCATTCATTGTTCTGGGACCTTAGGATTAATGAGAGAGAAAATAATAATAATGCTTACATTGAATTTCTACATAGGCACTTGACTACATCTAAACTTTCCCTTGACACCTGCATTCTATACATAATTCTGTTCTTTTAGTAAAAATAGGGGTGTGAGAAGGGGATAATAGAGAAAGCTCCATAATCTTATCTGGTGTCTATTATTGTCAGTCTCTTAACTAAGAAATATCCAAAGACTGCCTCCATGTGGATTTTTAGAAGATGCAAATGTTCCCTCATTCTTTGTGCTATTGTTTATAAAGCTGTATGACAGCCTAATTAATTTATGAATCCATGAATGTATTAATCCATTTATGAGGGCAGAGCCCTCATAATCCATTCACCTCTTAAAAGCTCCACCTTTCAAAACTGTCACATTGGGGATTCAGTTTCCAGTACATGAAATTTGGGAAAACATTCAAGCCACAGCTGTTGACTGGGACTGTAGAATGTCTTTTACAGGAGTTAACTGAACCAATAAGACATCCAAAGGAGAATCTGAGACAGGACAAAAAAGGTGCTAAAAATAAGACACTCATTTACCTCTCCACCCTCCCTCTACAAGTTACTTAGAAATAAAAATAAACCATTCTGCAGAGGACATGGAATACATAAACATTTCTCCCAGGAATATAAAATGGTACATGGAATCTATTTTCTTAAAAAAGAAACCCCAAAACTAATATAAAATACTTTACAACACAGAAACTGCAGTAGATATTTACCAAATGTTTTAAAGCACATGTTCACACAAAATCCTATACATGACTGTTCATAATATTTCATTTGCAGTAATAAAACCCTTGAAACACCTCAAATGCCCTTCATATAGGAAGATTAAATAAAATATGTACATTCATATCATAGAATACTACTCATCAATTAAAATGAGCCAAGTATTAATACATGTGACAACCTGAATAAATTTCCAAGGAACTAGGCTAAGTGAAAAAAACTAATCCCTAACGATTACATACTGTTGATTCCTTTTTATGAAATGTTCTTGAAGGAACAGAATTACAGAAAGAAAGAATAATTATTTCCAAGAATGAGGACAAGGAGTGGGAATTGAGTGGTGAGTGAGTATAATTATAAAAATTGCCTGTGGTGCTGGAATGGAGTCATATCTTTCTTGCATCAAGATCAATATTTTGGTTGTCATATGGTACTGTTGTTTGGCAAGATATTACCATTGAGAACAACTGAGTAGTGTGTACTCAGGATCTCTTTGAATTATTTCTTACAGGCACATATGACCCTACAATTATCACAAAATTAAAGCTTTAGAAACAACAAGAAAACAAACAACCTAGATCAAAAATGAGGAAAGTACTTAAATATATATTTATATATATTAATTATACATACAAAATGAATGTGCTTAATACCCCTGAACTGTACACTTAACAGTGATTAAGATGATAAATTTTATTTATGTGCATTTATTCAGAATTTTAAAATCATCAACATGGATGAAATTGGAGAACATTATTTGAAGGGAAATAATCCAGTCAGTCACAGTAGGACAAATACTGCTTGAACTCACTTATATGTGGAATCTAAAAAACTCAGAATTGTAGCAGAAGAAAGTGGAATACTGGTTAGCATATTATTCAGTGGAGAGAGGGATCTGGAAGATGTTGGCCAAAGAATACAAAATTTCAGACAGGAAAAAGATGTTCAAGAGACCTACTGTATAATATAGTAACTCAAGTTAATAAGGTGTTGCATACTTGAAATTTGCTAAGAGAGTAGATTTTAAATGTTTTCACCATGAAAAATGGTAACTATGTGAGATAAACCATATGGAAATTAGCTCTAGTCATTCTACAAATTTTAAAACATCATGTTGTACACCATGAAATATACAGTTTTTATTTGGAAAATGATGTCAGCAAGATAGTGGAATAGGAAGCTCCAACTCTTGATCTCCTACAGAAACTTAAGAAAACACCCAGAAACTACTGAACTAACTTTATAGGAGCTCCAGAAAAGTCAAAGACTTGCAGCAACCACATGAATGGCCAGTCAAGAAAAAACCAGTTTCAAAATGGTAAAACAGCTTTGCAACAATTTCCTGCCCTTCCCACTCCACCTCACTGGTGCAGCAATAATCTTGGTCTGGAAGTGGTGGCAGCCCAGTTGTTAGTTTCTTCTCCCAAAGTGAAGGGAGCAGAGCAAACCTCATTTTCAAATTCTTGTGTACAGCTGAAGGTTAACTGAATGACAGGACTGTGTTTCCCTAGTTTGAATGTTAGGCAGGAAAAGCAGTGAGCACTGCTCATAAAACCTGTGGGTAGAGAACAGGAATACACACACACAGCTGCCTGGGCAAGAACTACAGATGAATACATGCAAAAGACTATGGAGAAATGGTACAAAACTCGGTGGGAAATTAGAGCATTCAAAAGCAGCTGCTCATACTGGGAAATGGAGAAAATAATACAAACTGCCCAGGCATCACACATGCTCAGACAAGACTCCGAAGACTTTAAATTTTCACTTGGCTTGGCCACTAGGTTCAGTGTAAGTAAGCTCCATGTTGAAGAACTGCAGCAGTATGGAGTCAATCTGCAAAGACTAGAATAGGTGGCTGTTGATTCAAATGTCCTTTTTTTTTTTTTTTTTTTTTTGAGACTGGGTCTCACTCTGTCACCCACACTGGAGTGTACTGGCACGATCTTGGCTCACCGCAACCTCCACCTCCCAGCCTCAAGTGATTCTCCTGCCTCAGCTTTTCTAGTAGCTGGGATTACAGGTGCATGCCACCATCACCTGGCTAGTTTTTGAATTTTTAGTAGAGATGGGGATTCACCATATTGGCCAGGCTGGTCTCGAACTCCTGACCTGAAATGATCCACCCACCTCTAGATCCACCACTCCAGAACAGCGCCGCTGAGGCCCCAGGCATTAGGCTTGTCCCATGCTGCAGAGCAGCAACTACAGATTCCAGATCTAGGCCAACACCCATCATCCAAGGCACCAGTCTTTCCTCAGGTCCAGGCCCACCCCAGGTTCCAGACTGGTCCCCATGGACACAAACTCCAGAGAAACCAGGATCCAGGCCAACTCCAGTAGATTCCCATGCTGGGCCAAACACCATGGACTCAGGCTACAGGACCAACCATATAGACCCAACCTTCAGGCAGATCCCCATGTTCTCATTACTCAGGCATGTCCACAGACTCAGGTTTTATGCTTGCCCACTCACTGACCCAAGTATCAAGTCAGCCCACATGCAGACTCCTGCTAGAAGCATGCCCATGGACTTCATCAGGTGGCCTGCCCAGAATCTCTGGATGGACGGACAGGTGAAGGGTTTTTCCTGCCAAATATAATCTGTAAAGACTGGAGAAGGTGACTACTTCTTCAAATGCACATGTACCAACTCAAATCAGAAGGATCATGACTGATTAAGAAAACATGACACTACCCTAAAACCATAAAAACTCTAGAAGAAAACCTAGGCAATACCATTCAGGACATAGGTGTGGGCAAAGACTTCATGACTAAAACACCAAAAGCAATGGCAACAAAAGCCAAAATTGACAAATGGGATCTCATTAAACTAAAGAGCTTCTGCACAGCAAAATAAACTATCATCAGAGTGAACAGGCAACCTACAGAATGGTAGAAAACTTTTGCAATCTATCCATCTGACAAAGGACTAATATCCAGAATCTACAAATAACTTAAATTTACAAGAAAAAAAACAAACAACCCCATCAAAAAGTGGGCAAAAGATATGAACAGACACTTCTTAAAAGAAGACATTTATGTGGCCAACGAACATGAAAAAATGCTCATCATCACTGGTCATTAGAGAAATGCAAATCAAAACCACAATGAGATACCATCTCATGCCAGTCAGAATGGTGATCATTATAAAGTCAGGAAACAACAGATGCTGGAGAGGATGTGGAGAAATAGGAATGCTTTTACACTGTTGGTGGGAGTGTAAATTAGTTCAACCATTGTGGAAGACAGTGTGGCGACTCCTCAAGGATCTAGAACCAGAAATACCAGTTGACCCAGCAATCCCATTACTAGGTATATACCCAAAAGATTATAAATCATTCTACTATAAAGACACATGCACACATATGTTTATTGTGGCACTCTTCACAATAGCAAAGACTTGGAACCAATCCAAATGCCCATCAGTGATAGACCGGATAAAGAAAATGTGGCACATATACACCATGGAATACTATGCAGCCATAAAAAAGGATGAGTTCATGCCTTTGCAGGGATATGGATGAAGCTGGAAACCATCATTCTCAGCAAACTAACACAAGAACAGAAAACCAAACACCACATGTTCTGACTCATAAGTGGGAACTGATATCCCACTGATAAAAGCATCAGATCTCATGAGACTTATTCAATATCATGAGAACAGTATGGGGGAAACTGCCCCAATAATTCAAATTATCTCCCACTGAATCCCTCCCATAATATGTGGGAATTGTGGGAGTACAAGTCAAGATGAGATTTGAGTGGGGACACAGAGCCAAACCATATCAAGCTGGTACTGTGACCTGGAGGACTGTCAGGTGAGAGTTCCTACTCATGACTAGTTCTGTACTTTCTATTGGTTGCCCTCAAGCTACTGACCAATTGGAATCACTGCTCACAGGGCCCTACTTGATATCTCATTGGCTGCCCACACTTAATCCTCACTCTGCTATTGCTGGTACCCAAAAGTTTGGACTTTTCCCTGTGACTTGCTGTTATTGAAAGGATGTCACCTGGAATCTGATCAGAGGGAGGGAAAATTGCAGAAACAGCAAACAGCCTTACCTGAGAGGCTCTTGGTGCCCTTTTCACCTGGCAGCCAGGGTGATCGGGTAGGGAGAATGGAGAAACTCAGAGGAGGTGATACTATCCTAAGACCCCACAGGAGGAAAGGTGTTCTGCACTGTTTTGATATTTCATTATATTAAGGAAATGCTGTCCTTTTCAACTATAAAACCCGTTATAATTTTCTGACTCTACTTGGCATTAGTATTTTTTTTTCACAAATACCTCTCCCAACTTTTTACTTTTGAGTCAGGGTCTCACTCTCTCACCTAGACTTGAGTGCAGTGGCATGATCATTCCTCACTACAGCCCCAAACTCTGGGCTCAAGCAATCCTCCTGCCTCAGCTTCCCAAGTAGCTGGGACTACAAGCATGTGCCACCACACCCAGCTAGTTTAAAAATTTTTTTTTGTTGAGATGGGGTCTTGCTATGTTGCCCAGGCTGGGCTGGTCTCAAGCTCCTGGCCTCAAATGATCCTTCCACCTAGGACTCCCAAAGTGTTGGGATTACAGGAATGAGCCACTGTGCGTGGCTACCACTTTTTTGACCTTACAGAATTCCTGTGAGCCTCCATCCACAAAAATATGGAAGCCTTAAATATTTTGGTTGAATTCATTCCTAATTTGCTACAAGGTATGAATGCAACATTTTCTGACAGAGAGTCATTACTGAAGGACCTACAACATTCAAGGGACTTGCTATCATTTCTTCTTCCTTTTGGTTTAGTTTCCTGTACAGTAAATTATGTATGAAAAATTAAGAATAAATTATATGATAGATAATAGTAATTATTTATTTGTTATGTAATCATTCTTTGCAATCTCTATTATACCTTTGCTGATGTCCAAGTCAGTCACCATGGGATATTAGAACCATGCAAAATCAGACTTAGTGTTTGCATTTTCATATGTCCGTAAGAAACAGTCTTCCCAAAACTTTGTGTCAACAGTTAATCCTTTTTGCTAAAGAAGTTGTTCTGTCTTTTTATTAATGATATGAAGATATCAATAGTTTTTAAATCATATTTACTTTAAATTAATCATAAAGTTTTTTTAATTACATTAACAAATATAATAACTTTATCCTGCCTAACTCCAGGTGCATAAAGACAACAAAACTGTTTTATGTACTTTGTCAATTTAAATCATGTGAAAATAAAACCTCAAACCTTGCAATTTTCTGCTTGTGTCAGAGTGGACATACTTTGTATTATGGACATATTATTCGGAAACAACCAGAATATTTCCCAAATCTATTTTATTTGGAGTCTCATACCCAAATAAATTTGATTGTTGTTTAAAATAGTGGCCTTTTATGCTTCTAAGAGATCCAAGTCTGTATTGTTATATCAGAAAATCATTAGTCTTAAATGATTGCTTCTGTGTGTAACAGTCATAAATTAATAAGTGTATTCTCTGATGTGTAAGAAATAGCCTACTTCTTTTTAATAAATGAAAGAAATTGAACTCTTCCACTGGGTGAAAAATTAATCTACAGACTTTTTTTTTAATGTTTTCCCTATTGAGTTGTGTCATGAACCCTGGGTCTTAGTACCAACGCATCCAATATCTCAGGGCCCACCATGTTCAATGGCTCCTGCCTCAACACTCTCAGTGCTAATCTGAATGGACCCCTCTCTCAGTGATTTTCTCTCTGCATGGGTGCAAGAAAACTTTGTCCAAAGTTGCTGTCTCTATCCTGGGGTCCTACACATCTCCAACTCAAAGGTCTTCAACTCTCCATGGCTCTACCACTGAGCAGTGTACAGCAGAAACCAGGACTTGAACTAGATATAGATAAGAAATATTAATCTGTTTATATAATCTCTCACCTCCTTTCTTTGTCTTATATCTTGTGAGAGACCATTGCACAACATTTGGCTGAACAAGAATTTACAAATCATGGTAACTGTACCTTTAAGACTCCTTTTGACTTCCCTGTGATAGTTCACTCATTTGTCCTACTGGTTGGTGCATATGTCAAGGTTGCAACTTTTCCATTTCTTGATGGATGTATAGGCAACAAAAGCAATTAAAATACTCTCAATATATTGCAACAGGGTCTTTGGGCTGTGGATTGGATTGGTTTCTCAACTTTTCAGCACACTAGATAAAACAGGGGGTCTTTCAAAATATTGGTGACCAGCTCTGATACCAAGATATACTGATTTGATTGTTTCAAACAGGCAACATAGGCACTGGGAGTTTTACTTAAAACTTCCCCAGGGAATGAAATGTGCAGTAGGAACGGAAAATGACTGAGCAAGATTAGTGACTAGTTTGAGTAGGAGAAGATAGACCATTGGCTGAGCTAAAGTCATGCTATTGAGGAAGGAGAGTTCAGATTAAAGAGGATAGTGTTATTATTCTTTCTGTGAACAAATGTGAACCTGAAAGAGCCAATCTTTCAAGATGTATCCCAAGTGGCTAATTGAGCCTAAATTTTAAAAGAGCTAAGCAGTCATTTTCTGAATAGAGGTCCCACACATATGGCTACTTCTTTAAAAAACTGCACTTTTTCAACTTCGAAAGACTATCAGACCTCACCTCAACCAACAAATCAGAGTTCAGCTACCCCAACCAATAGGGGCTCAGCTGTGTCAACCAATCAGAACTCAACTATTTTGACTAATTAGAAGTAAGCACATTTGAATCCTTCATTTGCATAAACACACTTGATTGGAAATCTCAATGGGAACTTTTGCTATAAAACCCCAACCCTCTCTTTGTTCTCTGGAATCACCTTTCATTTTACACGGGAGGCTGAGTCTTCCCAGTATGCAATTTATTTATTAGAATAAAGTATCTTTTCTCCAAATTCCTTTGCCAGACAACTTTTGTTTACATTTCTTATAATTCTGAACTCAAAACCCAGAGAGTTATTTAACAAATGGTGTTACATCCATATTATGAATAGTTGTCAGCAAGAAGAAGCAACTAAGTATTAATGCACCAGTCAACTAAGGAGAATCACCACAGTTGTAGGCTGAGTGAAAATAGCCAGTCCTAAAAGGTTACATTCTGTATGACTGCATGATAAAATATCTTGAAAAGACATAATTATAGAACGGGAGAACCATTTTACTATGGGTTAAGGCCAGTGGGGTAAAAAGTGGGAGGGAGGAGTGTGCGATTATGAGAACTTTTGTGGTATTGGAATCGTTTTATGTTTTGATAATATCATGTCAATATTCTGGTTCTGATATTGTAATATAGTTTTTCAAGATGTTGCCATTGAAGAAAAGTGGATACAATGTAGACAGAATATCTCTCCACTATTTCAGATCTTCACATGTGTGATGCTACATTATCTCAAAATTTAAAAATTAATTTCAAAAATTTATCAAAGTCCTATGTGTAATAGGTATTGGGTGTGGGATGGTTGATGTTGGAAACACATAAAAAAGTAGCTATTCTAGAAAATATGAGGAAGTAGGAATGAATTTGATTAAGATATGTAAAAGATAAGGAGATTCACCCAAGAATATATAATAGAAGTGCTACTAAAGTATGCCTAAAACTACCATGAGAAACTGATACATCAGCTTAATTTATTTTGCATATATAAATGCACAGTGACTATGACTCTAAATGAGGACAAAAACAAAGAACAAGGCAATAATGTTTGCTTCAACCACTTGTATTTTGCATAGTAGTGGAAGACTTAGCCAGACAAATCAGGTGAGGAAAAAAGGCATGAAAATTGAAAAGGAAGAAATACGTATTCTCTCTTTGCAGATGATATAATTACATATGTTGAAAAACTGAAAGATCTAAAAACAGCTAATAGAACTAATGAACAATTTCCATTAAATGACAGGATACAAATTCAACATGCAAACATTGGTTTCCAATGAACATAAAAAATGAAATTATGGAAAAAACTCCATCTTCAATAGCATCAAAAACAATAAAGTATTTTGTCATATATTTAGAAAAATATTGCTGAATGATATTAAAGAAAACATAAATGTTGGGAATAGGCCTCCCAAAATCTGGCCATAAGCTGGCCCCAAAACTGGCCATAAACAAAATATTTGCAGCACTGTGACATGTTCATGATGGCCATAATGCCCACACTGGAAGTTTGTGGGTTTACTGGAATGAGGGCAAGGAATACCTTGCCCATCCAGGGCGGAAAACCGCTTAAAGGTGTTCTTAAACCACAAACAATAGCATGAACAATCTGTGCCTTAAGGACATGTTCCTGCTGCAGATAACTAGCCCAACCCATCCCTTTATTTCGGCCCATCCCTTTGTTTCCCATAAGGGATACTTTTAGTTAATCTAAAATCTATAGAAACAATGCTAATGACTGGCTTGCGGTAAATCTCTGTTCAGGGCTCTCAGCTCTGAAGGCTGTGAGACCCCTGATTTCCCACTTCACACTTCTGTATTTCTGTGTGTGTGTCTTTAATTCCTCTAGCGTCACTGGGTTAGGGTCTCCCCGACCGAACTGGTCTTGGCACATAAATAAATGGAAACACCTGTCTTATTCATAGGTTTCCTGGATTAGTAGACTTAACATTGTTAAGATGTCAATACTACCCAAAAGGGGTCCACAGGCTTGCTATTATCTCTATCTAAATCCCAAAGGTAGTTTTTCTTTTCTTTTTTTCTTTTCTTTTCCTTTGCAGAAATAGAAAAAAACCTTCCTAATATTCATATGGAATCTCAAGAATTCCCAAATAACCAAAACTGTCTTTTAAAAAGAACAAAATTGGAGACTCACACTTTCTGATTTTAAAACTTTCTACAAAGCTACAGTCATCAAAAGATTATGGTGTTGATATAGAAGACTCATATGGACCAATGGAATTGAATAGAGAGAACAGAAACAAATCTGATATTTTGTTAAGTGACATTTGACAAAAGTACCAAGGCAATTTCCATGGGGAAAGAACAGTCTTTTCAACAAGTGATGCTGGAAAAACTGGATAGCCACATGAAAAAGAAGAACTTGAATCATCACCTCACACCATATAGAATATTTAACCCAAAATATATGAAACACAAAATATAAGAAATAAGCATAATGTTTTAGAAAAATCCATAGGGGAAATTTTCTTGACATTGGAAATTGTCAAGAAAAAATTTGTCAAGAAAAAATTGGAAATTGTCAAGAAAAAAATTTTCTTGATGTTGGATTTTGTAAAGATTTTGCAGATATCATGCCAAAATAACCCCATAAATATTCAACTTCATTGAAAACTTTTGTGCATAAAAGAACACTAACAGAGTGAAATAAAAACACAAAATTAGAAGAAATGATAGCAAATCATGTGCCAGATAAGGATTAAATATCCAGAACACATAAAATAGAAAACAATTTTTAGAAAACATTTTTGCATGTTATGTAGAGACACCTAGGAATTCATTTTTAAATAATCAATTACATTGTAGAACAGAATTACATATGGACTATTCTCCAAATTTTGTCAACCCATAAAAATGCCTTCAAAACATCACTTTTGAGAAGCCTCTCCCAGATACTATGTCTTGGTGAAAACTCATCTAAATCACTGACTCTGACATTCCTGTAGCCCTAGACAGTTATTATTAGAAGAGTTACACATGCTCAATGTTTGATAAATGATGAGCGGGCCATCCTCAAATTTATGAGGACCATAGATAATTTTTTATTGGGAACAAAAATAATTTATTAATTTATTTCAAGTAAGCCCTCCAGCTTATATGAGTAAAGCAGATCTGGTCTGAATAAACTCCCTTCTTAAAGAAAACAGACTTATAAACAAGAAGTCCTATTTGGATATAAAATTTTTCTATACTTTGAGAGTCATCTGATGAGCCCATTGCCCCACAACTTTGCTGACTTGTTTAAAACTTTAAAATGTGATGAGGTAGCTACCATCTCTGTGGTTCCATATCAACTGTTCCAGCCTGCTGGCTGTGAAGAGTGCAGATGGCCCAGAAGAGTAGCTGTCCCCACCCCTACCACCCCATGGTGCAGTGCAACTAACTTTCCAGATCATGGCCAGACTACTTCTCTAACTGGGTCCTGACCCACTCCTCCTCTCTAGGCAGGTCTTTGGTTCTGTGGACAGAGACTTGATCTCTCCCTAGAAGGGAGCTCCTGGAGTGAGAGGCAGCCCCCATTTCTATGGTTCCATAAACTCAGTCATTCCAGCCTGAGCTGTTCAACCCTGCCAGCTGTGAAGAATACAGGTGGTCCAGATGAAGAAGCCACCCCAACCCCACAATACACCTGCTCTACCAAGAAACAGCCAGACAGCTTCATTAGAAGGGTTCCTGATTCTGTCCCACATGTCTGGGTGAGATCTCCCATTGAGGGTCGCCAGCCATCTCCTGCAGGTGCATATATGCCAACAGCAGGTCAGTGCCCCCTAGAATGGAGGTGCCAGAGGGTAGAGTTGGTTCCCATCTTTGCTGTTTCACGGCCTTCACTGGTGATACCTCCAGAGGTGGGAGAGGCAGGAGACTGGGGTCTGAAGTGGACCCCTAGAAAACCAAAGCAGTCCTACAGTAGAATGGCTTGACTGTTAAAAGAAAAACAAAGAACAACAAGAACAACATTAACAGAAATGACCCCACAAAAACCCCTTTCAAAGCTCAGCAACCTTAATGATCTAAGGTAGTTAAGCCCACAAAGATGAGAAAGAATAAATGCAAAAATACCGAAAAGTCAAAAAGGCAGAGTGCCTCTTCTCCTTCAAATGACTGCAACACTTCTGCAGCAAGGGCACAGAACTGGGTTGAGGCTGAGATGGCTGAATTGACAGAAATAGGCATCAGAAGGTGGGTAATAATGAACCTCACTGAATTAAAGAAGCATGTTGTAA
Organism: Homo sapiens; assembly: GCF_000001405.40. NCBI lineage: Eukaryota > Metazoa > Chordata > Mammalia > Primates > Hominidae > Homo > Homo sapiens. The sequence goes on from NC_000009.12 coordinate 5,223,096, forward strand.
CCCAATGCAAAGAAGCTAAGAATCAGGATAAAACAATACAGGAGCCGATAGCCAGAAAAGCAAATTTAGAGAGGAACATAACTGACCTGATGAAGCTGAAAAATGCAACATGAGAAACTCACAATTCAATCATAAGTATCAATAGCAGAACAAACCAAGCAGAGGAAAGACTCTCAGAGCTGGAAGACTATCTTTCTGAAATAAAACAGGCAGACAAGAATAGAGGAAAAAAGAATTTTTTTAAAAATAACAAAATATCCAAGAATTATGGGATTATGTAAAGAGACCAAATCTATGAATGACGGGGGTACATGAAAGAGACAAGAAGAATGGAACCAAGTTGGAAAACATACTTCAGGATATCATTCAAGAGAACTTCCCCAACCTAGCAAGACAGGCCAACATTCAAATTCAGGAAATGCAGACAACCCCAGTAAAATATCCCATGGGAAGATCAACCTTAAGACACATAATCCTCAGATTCTCCAAGGTCGAAATGAGAGAAAAAATGTTAAGGGCAGCTAGACATAAAGGCCAGGTCACCTGCAAAGGAAAACCCATCAGAGTAACAGTGAACCACTCAGCAGAAACCCTACAAACCAGAAGAGATTGGGAGCCAGTATTCAACATACTTAAAGAAAAGAAATTCCAACCCAGAATTTTATATGGAGGAAACAACAATAACAACATTACCAGCCACTACAAAACACATTGAAGTACACAGACCAGTGACACTATGAAGCCCACACAAATAAGTCTGCAAAATAACCAGCCAGCATCAGGACAAGATCAAATTCACACATAACAATACTAACCTTAAATGTAGATAGGCTAAATGCCCTAATTAAAAGATACAGAATGGCATACTGGATAAAGAGCAAAACACCCATTGCTATGCTGTCTTCAAAAGACTCATCTCCATGCAAAGACACAATAAGCTCAAAATAAAGGGATGGAGGAAAATTTACCAAGCAAATCTATAACAGAAAAAAGCAAGGATTTCAATCCTAGTTTCTGACCAAACAGACTTTAAACCAACAAAGATCAAAATAGAAAAACAAGGGCATTACATAATGGTAAAGGGTTCAATTCAAAAAGAAGAGCTAACTATCCTGAATACATATGCACCCAACACAGAGCACCCAGATTCATAAAGCAAGTTCTTAGAGATGTACAATGAGACTTAGACTCCCACACAATAATAGTAGGAGACTTTAACACCCGTCTGTCAGTATTAGACAGATCATCGAGACAAAGTTAACAGATATTCAGGACCTGAACTCAGCTCTGGATCAAGTGGACCTGATAGATATGTACAGAACCCTCCACCCCAAAACATTCTCATTGACACACAACACTTACTCTAAAGTTGATCACATAATTGAAAGTAAAATATTCCTCAGCAAATGGAATAGAAATAAAGTCATAAGTCTCTTAGACCACAACACAATCAAATTAAAACTCAAGATTAAGAAACTCACTCAAAAGCACACAACCACATGGAAATTGAACCACCTGCTCCTGAATGACTCTTGAGTAAATAATAAAATTGAGGCAGAAATCAAGTTGTTTGAAACTAATGAGAACAGAGACAACATACAAGAATCCCTGGGATGCAGCCAAAGCAGTCTTAAGAGAGAAATTTATAGCAATAAATGCACACATCAAAAAACTAGAAAGATCTCAAGTTAACAACCTTACATCTCAACTAAAAGAACGAGAGAACCAAGAACAAACAAATCCCAAAGCTAGCAGAGGAACAGAACAACCAAGATCAGAGTCAAACTGAAGGAGATAGAGACATGAAAAACCCTTAAAAAAATCAAAAAATTCAGGAGCTGGTTTCCTGAAAAAAAAATTAACAAAATAGATATATTGCTAGCTAGACTAATAAGAAAAGAGAGAAGAATCAAATAAACACAATCAGAAATGATAAGGGATATCACTACTGACCTCAAAGAAATACAATCAACTATCAGAGAATACTATAAACACCTCTATGCACATAAACTAGAACATCTAGAAGAAATGGATAATTTCCTGGACACATACACCCTCCCAAAAGTAAACCAGGAAGACACTGAATCCCTGAATAGTCCAAAAATGTGTTCAGTAATAAATACTCTACCAACCGAATAAAGCCCAGGACCAGAAGAATTCAGAGCTGAAGTCTACCAGAGGTACAAAGAAGAGCTGGTACCATTTCTACTGAAACTATTCCAAAAAAATTGAGGAGGAGGGACTCCTCCATAACTCATTCTATGTGGCCAGAATCATCCTGATACCAAAACCTGGCAAAGATACAACAACAACAACAAAAAGAAAACTTCGAGCCATATCCTTGATGCACAATGATGCAAAAATCCTCAATAAAATACTGGTAAACCAAATCTAGCAGCCCATCAACAAGCTTATCCACCATGATCAAGTTGGCTTCATCCCTGGGATGCAAGGTTGGTTCAACATACACAAATCAATAGATGTGATTTATCACATAAACATAACTAAAGACAAAAACTACATGATTATCTCAAGACATGCAGAAAAGGCCTTTGATAAAATTCAACATCCCTTCATGTTAAAAACTCTCAATAAACTAGGTATTGAAGGAAAATACCTCAAAATAATAAGAGCCATTTATGACAAACCCACAGCCAATATCATACAGAATGGGCAAAAGCTGGAAGCATTCCCCTTGAAAACCAGCACAAGACAAGGATACCCTCTCTCACCACTCCTATTCAACATAGTATTTGAAGCCCTGGCCAGGGCAATTAAGCAAGAGGAAGAAATGAAGGGTATTCAAATAGGAAGAAAGGAAGTCAAATTATCTTTGTTTGCAGATGACATGATTCTATATCTAGAAAACCCCATAGTCTCAACCCCAAAGCTTCTTAAGCTGATAAGCAATTTTAGCAAAGTCTTAGGATATAAAATTAATGTGCAAAAATTGCTAGCATTCCTGTACACAACAGACAAGGAGAGAGCCAAATCACGAATGAACTCCCACTCATGATTGCCACGAAAATAATAAAATACCTAGGAACACAGTTAACAAGGGAAGTTGAAGACTTCTTCAAGGAGAACTACAGACCACTGCTCAAAGGAATCACAGAAGATACAAACCAGTGGAGAAACATTCCTCGCTCACGGATAGGAAGAATCAATAACACAAAAATGGCCACACTGCCCAAAGCAATTTATAGATTCAATGCTATTCCCATTAAACTACCTTTGACATTCTCCACAGAATTAGAAAATACTATTTTAAAATTCATATGGAACCAAAAAAGAGCCCAAATAGCCAAGACAACCCTAAGCAAAAAGAATAAAGCTGAAGGCATCATGCTACCCAATTTAAACTATACTACATAGCTACAGTAACCAAGACAGCATGGTATTGGAACAAGAACAGACACATAGACCAATGGAACAGAATAGAGAAGTCAGAAATAAGACCATACACCTAGAGCCATCTGATCTTTGACAAACCTAACAAAAACAAGCAATGGGGAAAGGATTCCCTATTTAATAAATGGTGCTGGGAGAACTGGCTAGCCATATACAGAAAATTAAAACTGGACAGACCCCTTCCTTACACAATATAAAAAAATTAACTTAAGGTGGATTAAAGACTTAAATGTAAAATCCAAAACTATAAAAACCCTAGAAGAAAATCTAGGCAATATTATTCAGGACATAGGCATGGGCAAAGATTTCATGAGAAATATACCATTGGCAATTGCAACAAAAGTAGAAGTTGACAAATGGGATATAATTAAACTAAAGAGCCTCTGCACAGCAAAAGAAACTATCATCAGAGTGAACAGACAACCTACTAAATGGGAGAAAACTTTTGCAATCTGTCCATCTGACAAAGGTCTAGTATCCAGAATCTACAAGGAACTTAAACAAATGTACTAGAAAAAAACAAACAACCCCATTAAAGAGTGAGCAAAGGACATGAACAGACACTTCTCAAAAGAAGACATTCATGGGGCCACAAAACAATTGGAAAAAAGCTCTACATCACTAATCATTAGATAAATGCAAATCAAAATTACAATGAGATACAATCTCATGCCAGTCAGAATGGCAATTTACTACAAAGTCAAGAAACAACAGATGCTGGCAAGGTTGCAGATAAATAGGAATGCTTTTACACTTTGGTGGGAATGTAAATTAGTTGAACCATTAAGGAAGGTGGTGTGGCAATTCCTCAAAGATCTAGAACCAGAAACACTATTTTACCCAGAAATTCCATTAGTGGATATACACCCAAAGGAATATAAATCATTCTATTACAAAGATACATGCACGCTTATGTTCACTGCAGTACTATTCACAATAGCAGAGGCATGGAATCAACTGAAATGCCCATCAATGATAGACTGGATATAGAAAATGTGGTACATATACCATGGAATACTATGCATAAAAGGGAATGAGATCATGTCCTTTGCAGGGACATGGATGGAGTTGGAAACCGTTCTCCTCAGCAAACTAACACAGGAACAGAAAACCAAACACTGCATTTTCTCACTTATAAGTGGGAGCTGAATGATGAGAACACATGGACACATGGTGGGGAACAACACACTCTGGGCAACTGTGGGGGTGGTGGGGCAAGGGAGAGCATCTGGAAGAATGACTAATGGATGCTGGGCTTAACACCTGGGTGATGAGATGATCTGCGCAGTAAACCACCATGGCACACATTTACCTATGTAATGAACCTGCACATCCTGCACATGTACCCCTGAACTTAAAGTTGAAAAAAAAAGGAATAGGAAATAAATAATAAAATGTGATTTAAAAACCCTTTTCACAAACTACAACACACATAGTATACAAAAGTTGATCATAAAGGTATACAATTTTGTGCATGAACATGTGTTACCAATATGTTCTCCCTGAAACTGTTGAATTCTTCTGCTCTTTTCTTGCCTTTTTTGGTGTGTGTGTGTGTGTGTGTGTGTGTGTGTGTGTGTGTGTGTGTGTGTGGCCTCCAGCTCCAGACTCTAGAGACAGTAATTGTAGTTTCAAATTAAGTATTCAGATAACTGGTAACAATTAATCAATCACCCATGGGAGTTCAAAGAAAGAAATTCATGGAAAGATACAATGTGATTTCTCCCAAGTATAAAAAAAACCTCCATGGGTGCTCTCCCAAGACTTAACAGTCAACCCTATAGGATGCCTGTGTTTCTCATCCTTCTCAGGATCAATGGAGGGCAGATGTAAGTACATACCTTTGAAGAAAGTTCCTTGTAAACTTCAAACATTGTTATACAAGCCTAAAGTGATGTTATTGGAATTTTAATAGTGTTCACAGGACCTGGTTTAAACATCACTAGTCGTCTTTCTCTAATGAACAACTGATCCATCCACTCATCAAAATACTATGGATAGATACACAAGACAATATAGAAATCAATACAATATATTTTAATGTTTGGAAGAAAAAATACAAATAAATACGGAGTAAGTTAGGAGAAATATTAAATGTGGGAGTTGAGTCAGGCTGGTGGGAAAAATTTAAAGATAGTTATAAGAAAAAGATGCAAACCTTCTTGGAAGGCTGGAGGTGTTGCATAAGCTCCAGTAATAGATCAGGCTGGAGGCAGCCTAATCCTTACCTTGAGTTAATAGCTTAGGGCACAGATACAAAGGAATGTATAGTAGTTTATCTAAATAGCTTGTTTACACATGTGGTCTTAAGACCAACCTTTGATCAACCGCAGGTGCATAATTGCTCTCTACTCGGGAGGGTGGCAATGTCTACACTCTATTGGGCTCATATCTTAGATCCACTTTTCTTTTGCCCTGTCACTTGGGTATACAACCCCTTCCCAGCCTTTAATAACGTGACTGCTTAGCTAGGAGGGATAGATTTACCCCCAGTGGGGTTCCTCAATAATGGCACACATTGGACTAAGGTGCCAGATAACACTACAGATCACTCTACTATCCTCCCATTGTGTGTAAATTATAAATGTTCTAACCCTTAGTGTGCACCTACTGAAACACAATTATGGCTACATCATGGCAAAAGAAGTGCCTTAACAGTCTTAGCTGCAGGTAGCCTCAAAACGGAAATCAAGTCTGCTTTCCCAAACATTCCTTCCTGTGCTAAAGAACAAAGCCGGAAAAATAACGGATTCCACTTTAGCTGGGAGATCTGTCATGGGGAATAAGCTCATAGCCTCCAGTTAGGCAATTATAACATCCTAGACTGGAGCCCCTGTGGCCATTTGTAGGGCAGCCTTACTGATATCCTCATCCATCATGGCATCGATCACAGTTTCATAGCCTCGTCCCATTCCCTTATGATTTGGGCCGATGGGAGGATAGGATATCCCAGACCCCGAGTAAAGTTGATGCCTCCCCAAGACACTTTATGTTGCCTGGGACATCTTAGCACCTCCCTTGACACCTGGCATGGGACATATCATAATTACAGTAACAACTATACTATAACCTTTATTCATAATCACACTGATCAGTCCCTAATTTGCAACTCCATCCATATGTTTTCCTTATGGGAACTAATATTTCTATTACAACCCAAAATTCCATGTTTGTGACCCGGGTGCAAGGACAGGCTTTGTTTGCCTCATGTACCACTAATTACAATATATCTAATTTAAATACTACTAGTGTCATGGTATTAAGGAGACAATCTGAGGCATTCCTACCCGTCAATTTGACACACTATTGGCAAGGTTCCTCTTCCTTTGCCACCTTAGAATGTGCCCTATCCCAGGTCAGACCCAAAAGATTTATAGGCACACTTATAACCTTTATAGTCTCAGCCATAGTCATCCTAGCAACTGCTAGTGTGGCTATAGCATCTACTACCGAATCAGTGCAAACAGCTGCTTTTGTAGACAATTTGGCCAGAAATGTGTCTAATGAACTTCTCTTACAGCAGGGTATAGATCAAGAGATTCTTGCACGTCTGCAAGCCCTCGAGGCTGCCTTGGAATTTGTGGGGGAGCGACAAGATGCCCTAGCATTCTGATAGCAATTAAACTGTGACTGGGAGCATAAACATATCTGTGTCACATTTTTACCTTGGAATCAATCAATACATAGTTGGGATGAGGTGAAACAACACCTCTGGGGAAACTTTCATGACAATTTAACAGCAGACGTAAAGCAACTTAAAACTAAAATTTTAGAATCCCTTCACATGATAGATCTACATACTCAACAAACAGCCATATGGAAAGGTGTGCAAGATCATTTCTCCTGGTTATACCCCCGATCCTGGGGGTCACACTTTGACTGGAAAGGAATGTTACTAATTATACTCATGATTGTCTTACGTTATTTGCTAATTCTATGATGCAAAGCCGGAATAAAAGCAAAACCTAACAAACCTGTTGCTGCACACATCTGTACTCTTAAGTCAACAGAACCCGATGCAAAGAACAGAAAGGGGGGAGATGTGAGAGTTCAGTCAGGCTGGTGGGAAAATTTTTTCAGATAGTTATAAGAAAAAGACGCAAACCTTTTTGAAACGCCGGAGGGGTTTGTATAAGCTCCAGTAATAGATCAGGCTGAAGGCAGCCTAATCCTTACCTTGAGTTAATAGCTTAAGGCACAGATACAAATGAATGTAGTTTATCTAGTTTGTTTACTCATGTGGTCCTAAGACTAATCTTTGATCAACCGCGGGTGCATAATTGCTCTCTACTCGGGAGGTTGGCAATGTCAATTACCTTCTAGTGGTGTTTACTCAAGACCTTCGTCATTTAATCTATGCTGAATAAATGTGAGCTTTGCTGGCTGATCGGGGCCACGGCTGCAACTCTTTACAGCACCCTCCTTGGTGTCTGTAGGTGGCCCGGACCCTCAGCTGGACTGACAGGCAAACTATCTGTGTCAGTGTATGTTATTCATCCGTCGTTGGGTCAGGGTCTGTGGGACAGACCCCCGCAATTAAAAGCTTATATGCCAAATGTTAACTAAGATAATTTCTAGCCAATGAGCTTACAGGTCAGTTCTATTTTTATTTCATCTAAGCAAAGGACATTAAAAATTACCATTATTTTAGTAAGCATAAAAATAGTATTACAGGAGGAAAGTTAAGAAAAAGAAGTAGAACAACCAAATTCAAAACAAGCAAAGTGCAGCAGCACATTGGGAGCAAAGAGGGATATGAGAGTGTGGGTAGGGCAAGTAGGGAGACTAAATAAGAACTGAGGGAGAAAGTTCCTTGTAGGTGGGTGGGAAAGGGGTGGAACTGACACCATTGACGCAAAAGCTGAGTAATAGCCCTAAGCAAATAAATGCCTGATGAAGGCATGCAGAAAGCAGTCTGGAGCCCAGAAGGGACACACCAGCACAGTCTGGTAGGCTACAGCAGCAAGTCTCTAAAGAAAGGCTGAGAACACCCAGAACAGGAGAGTTCAGGTCCAGGATGGCCAGCCTGTTCCGGTCCTATCTGCCAGCAATCTGGCTGCTGCTGAGCCAACTCCTTAGAGAAAGCCTAGCAGCAGAGCTGAGGGGATGTGGTCCCCGATTTGGAAAACACTTGCTGTCATATTGCCCCATGCCTGAGAAGACATTCACCACCACCCCAGGAGGGTGGCTGCTGGAATCTGGACGTCCCAAAGGTGAGAGCCCTGGACTACCAAACAATCAGAATGAGGCCTGAAAAAACAGGCTCCAGATCTCATTGACTGCCTGTAGTCAACTCAGACTCTACTGTGGCTAGTGCCTACAAGTTTGTGGTTTTTCATTGTAATGTGCTTTTATTAAAAGGGTCTCACCAGAAATCTCATGGGAAGTTGGGGGTAGAGGAGAAGCTGCAGGAAAAACAGAAGAACAGCCTCACCTTGGAGGCTCTTGGTGCCTTTCCCACCTGGCAGCCAGAGATACAGGGTGGAGAAAACAGGGAATCCTCAGAGAAGGTGACTATTCTCAAACACCAGCAGGAGGTGAGGTGTACTCCCAGACCCCCAGGAAAGCTGGGCAGGCCAGAAAACAGGTGTGATTGCAATGAGATGCCTGGGCCAGGCATCTTCAATTAAGAAGAAAGGGGACAAACAGTGAGGTGATGAGCTGATTATCATTTCTGTTTATGCACCTATTGGCCTAGGGGCAGCACACTGAGACCTCTGTTAGGTTCCTGGAATGTGAGATAAAGGGGGCTTAGATTTAATAACTCTCATCCTTTGTCATTAAGCTGGGCAGTGGTCTATGTCACCAAAAACGTCCTCTTACAAAAAAGTTTTTTTTAATGCACACCAACAGAGCACCTTGCCTCCCATTTCTTTGAATCTACTCTTGTAGTGTGTTGAGAGAGATGAGATGAAGAGAAAGAAAGTGGCCTGGATGACTAGAGGGGAAATTGAAGGGGACCAGAGACAAGGGAATTTCACTGTTCAGACCATCATAGCTGATTTGATTAGTGTTTTCAACATTTGAGACTGCAAAGCATTTTCTTTAAAAGCAAGATTTCAGAATTGAGGAAAGTTCAATACCAGGATAGTTTTCAAACTTTACCAAGTAACAAGGTATTCATAAAGATAAATTGCCAGCTAAGTTAAAACTAGCAGGGGCAGTTTCGAAAAGAGATAGAGGCTACTATATTCTGTCTAATAGGTCGTATTAAGTTCTGAAAAGCTAAGTTAAATTACTAAACATTGTTTTACATTTAATACAAATGACACAGGTTTTGAACCAGCAATGTGTGACTCCAGAACTGCTTCTTGTAACCCATATGCATACACTTCATTAAATCATTAAATGACTCTGTTTAAAGTTATCGTGCACAGTGAATGCACTTGGATTTTGTGTGATTTATATAACGATTTCAAAGTTATTTCCTTTTTTTACATTATTAGTCAGAGCTTGTTTCATTTTACTATAAAATAAGGGAAGAATACCACAAAGTCCAAACAATTTCTAATGCAAACTAAGGAAGAGCATGCTGTACTATAATTTCTATTTAAATTTCACTTTTTTTCAGTAAATAAGTGAAAATCCTCATTTAAATACTTTGACAAATATAGATAAATTTAACAAGAAAAATGGAAAGTATTCATGGATAACAAATGTTAACATTTGGTGTCGACACATATAGATGTATGTTGCTTCTCAGCCTTTTAGCTAAGATCCACTGATATAGATGTATAGATTTATGTGGATCAGATTTGAATATCTGAATCTTTCTATTAGAATAACTTGTGATTATAAAAAAAATTCCCTATTGCTATCCAGTACATAATGCATTGAGGTTATCAATCAAAACAGTGTCAGGGAGAGTCAAAAGTGGTATGGTATAGGCATTTAGAGGGTCATTAGAAGAGTGCATAGAGGGGACAGGATGAGGAGTTAGCATATCCTTAATATTGTAGTATCTTAAAGTGCCCTACTCTAAGTAAGCTAAGTTGTTGAAATGTTAGGATACTTGCTGATTCTCTCTGGTGTTTAATTACATGGAGGCAATGGGTACATTGTGGTCTAGGCAAATTGTATAATTTTTCTGATCCTCTTTCACATGAATGTTTTTCCTCACCTTTCATTCCTCTCTTTTACTTCACAGAAATGGTGTCAACCTCCAACAACAAAGATGGACAAGCCTTAGGTACGACATCAGAATTCATTCCTAATTTGTCACCAGAGCTGAAGAAACCACTGTCTGAAGGGCAGCCATCATTGAAGAAAATAATACTTTCCCGCAAAAAGAGAAGTGGACGTCACAGATTTGATCCATTCTGTTGTGAAGTAATTTGTGACGATGGAACTTCAGTTAAATTATGTACATAGTAGAGTAATCATGGACTGGACATCTCATCCATTCTCATATGTATTCTCAATGACAAATTCACTGATGCCCAATTAAATGATTGCTGTTTATTAGAACATGAGAATCATTATTAGTATTCACATGTTTCACTTGCTCTGTACTAATATAGTCTCTCCAAATGGAGGAAGTTAGATAGATGGAATAAGTTCTAGTAGTTGATAGTACAATGGGGAAATTATACTTAACAATAATTCACTGTATATTCCAAAATAGCTAGAAGAGAATTGTAATGATTCCAACACAAAAAAGATGAATGTTAGTTTGGATGCATATCCCAATTACCCTGATTTGATCATTACACATTATATACACGTATCAAAATATCACATGTACTACAAAAATGTGTATAACTGTAATATGTGAACTACAAACTTACTGGAAATAAATTTTTAAAGTTTTACACACATAAACACATACGTTCACACACACTCACTCAAGTCTCTTCATTTTTCCTCTTTTCACACTAGAAGAAATGTAAGAGATAAAGGATCTAACCATCTCTAACATCAGCTCATAGTACGGAGGAAAAGCAGTGAAGGAATGAACTGGTGGGAGAGGTATTAGGCATGTTCACCCTAGGGTAAACCCAGAGACCTCCCTAGAACTTTGCCCAATGCATATCCTCCACCTGCCTCTCAGCACGCTGCCTTTAGACCTTCAATCATTCTATAAACTCCTCTTTTGTCCCTGGCATTACTCCACATCCCCTCATCAAAGTGGTGAATTGGCACAAATACTGGCATTCCTCTGGCTACACATACCTCCTCCCTATGTGTCTCTAAATCCTAAATCAAAGAGTACATTTTATACTCTGTCAGTGAGGTTCTACTAGTTGTGTTTGTTTGTTTGCAGGCTAACTGAAGCTGCTACTACCTCATTATCAGGTCCTATAAACTTAATTCAAGTGGCATGATTTGAGTAGCCCCCTGTGCCTGCCCATAAAGTGCTCTGAATCTAGTGTGGGACATGGAGAAGCAAAGGATAATAAGTGCAATGATACTTGTAGGTCATCATAGAGACTGTAATGATCCACAGGAATCAGGGTCGTGTTTAATGCCAACATGTGAAAGAATAAATATACAGGGAACAGTGTAGGTAAGAGGAGAGAGCAAAATTTCCCTAAGGAAACTGATGGCTGATCTGCATCTTGAAAGACATCTAAGCAGAAGAGAGTGCAAAAAGGGACAAGTAGAAGCCCAGGAAAATGCACAAAGGCCTGGAAGCATAGCATGTGTGGAAACAGCCAGAGTCAGCAGGGCAGGAGGTGGTGTGGAGAAAAGGAATTGTCAAGATCTGGTTGGAATGGAGACAGGAGAGAGGATCTCAAACGATTCCACACAATGCAGCTATGGGGTTTAGGCTGCATCCTGGAGTAAGGAAGAACTGCTCATGATCTTGATACATCTCTCATAAAGAACTTTTTCCTACCAATACTCTATTGAAGATGAAGAGGGATCATGGGAGTCATAGGGCAGAACTCATAGATTATACTGTACAGTCTGAACTGTACCACCTGGTTTGCCTAGACTCCTCTAGATTGTTCTTTGAGAACAAAGGGGAGAAGCGCATAAGGTGTATTTCTTGACAGTAGTGTCGATCAATAAAATATCAATATTTTGGGTCTCTACGTTATTCATGATCAATGATTGAGTTTACTCTATGTGTCTATCAGTTTTCTAGGACTTTAGGATTCAGGAGAGAAAAAATAATAATTATGCTTTCATGGAGCTTCTACCTGGTTACTTGACTGACTCTGAACCTTCTCTTGGCACATGCATTCTATACATAATTCTATTCTTTTAGTAAAAATAGAGGTATGAAAAGAGGATAATAGAGAAAGCTCCATAATTTTATCTGGTGTCTATCATTTCAATCTCTTAACCAGGAAATACCCAAAGACTGCTTCCAGGAGGATTTTTAGGAGATGGAAATATCTCTCACTCTTTGTCCCACTGCTTATAAACCTGCATGACACCCTAAAGTGACAGCAGGACAGGCACCTAGAGTGGTTCCAAGGATGTATGAAGTCCTTCAGCTGCTTTAAGAAAGTACACAAACTGGTGGCTTAAGGCAATTGAAATACATTTTCTCCCAGTTCTGGAGGTTAGACATAGAAAGATGATGCACTTTCCGTAACAGGTACAGTATAATCCTCACTGGCTTCTGGTGGTTTGCTGTCAATCTTTGGCATTCCTTGGCTTGCAGGTGCCAATCTTCAGCCTCCACACTGTCCATACATGGTGTGCTCTCCGTTTCTGTGTGCACATTGTTTTCTTATGAGTACACTAGACATTTTGATTTAAAGGTCCACTCAGGCTATGATGACTTCATCTTAACTAATTATATCTGCAACAATTATTTTTATAAGCATATTCTGAAGGATTATTATCTTAGTCCATTTTCTGTTGCTAATAACAGAACACCTGAAATTGGGTAATTTATAAAGAAAATAAATTTATTTCTTACAATTAAGGAGTGTAGGAAGTGCCAGAGCCTGTCCTGGCATCTCATGAAGACTTTCTTTCTGATGGGAAATCTCTACTGGGTCTTGATGTGTTGCAGAGTATCACACAGCAAAAGTCCAGAGCATGCTAACATACTTGCTTAGGTCCCCCTTCCTCTTTTTATATAAGCTACCATTTCACTCCTCTGATAATCCACCAATCCTTTAATTCATGAAAGGGTTAATCCCCTCATGAGAGCAGAGCTTTCATGACCCAATCACTACTTAAAGGCTCCAACTTTAATTCTGCCAAAATGGAGAGTAAGCTTCCAACACATGAAATTGTGGGACACATTCAAACCATGGCAAATGTTGGTTATGACTACAGTATGTCTTTTATGGGTCCTAGCTGAACCAAAGATACCTGAGGGAACACAGCAATTTACCTCTCCATTCTCTCTCTACAAGTTATTTAGAAATAAACCATTCCTCAGAGGACACAGAACACAAATATTTCTTCTAGTAAATATAAAATGGTACAGTGAAAATGGAAAAGCATTTGATAGTTTTTTTAAAAAAAACTAAATATGAAAATACTTTATAACCCAAAACTTTCACTACTAGATCTTTACCAAATATTCACACAAAATTATTTATATGAATGTCCATAACAATGTTGGATTTTTTGTTAACACTTGGGCATTATGGAATGTCCATCATTATGTCTATAACATAACTATGAATGCTTCTTTATAGTAATGAAACACTGGAAACACCCCAATGCCCTTCATATATGAAGATTTAACAAAGTCTGGTATATCCATATCATAGAACACTACTCATCTATTAAAATGAGCCAATTATTAATACACAAAACAACCTGGACAAATTTCAAGAAAACTAGGCTAAGTATAAATCATCGGTCACAAAAAGTAACATTTTGTGATTCCTTTTTATAAAATGTTCTTGAACAAAATTATAGAAAATAGGAATAATTTTTCAAGGTGAAGGCCAGGGAGTGGGGCACGAGTGGGTAGTAGGTGTGACTATAAGGATTGCTTGAGGTGCTGAAATAGATTTATATCATGCTTCTATCATGGCCAATATTCTGGTTTTGACATGGTACCATTGTTTGAAAAGATATAGTCATTGAGGACAACTGGGTAAAATGCATTCAGAATCTCTGTAAATTATTCCTTACAGGACATATATGACCCTACAATAATCACAAAATTAAAACTCTGGAAACAACAAGAAAACAAACAAGCTAGTTCAAAAATGGGAAAATAACTTGAATATATATCTTGCATAAGAAGATACACAAATGACTTACAAGCACCTGAAAAGATGCTCAATATTATTAATCATTAAGGAAATGCACACAAAAACCACAATTAGGTATCATTTCACATTCATTAGGATGGTCACTATAAAAAGAACACAAAAACATAATAGAAAACAACAAGTGTTTGCACATACATGTAGAAATTGGAAATCTTGTGCACTGTTGTTGGGAATGTAAAATGGTACAGCCATTGTGAAAACAGTATGGTAGTTCTTCAAAATAGAAAATGGAATTATGATATAAGCAGTAATTCCATTTTCAGCTATATATCCCAAAGTATTGAAAGCAGGGCCTCAACTAGATGTTTATAGACTCACGTTCAGAGCAGCATTATTCATATTACCTAAAAGGTGAAAGAAATACATGTATCCATTAATGCGTGAATGCATACACACAATTTGACATATACATACAATGAAATGCTTTTGGTCTTGGAAAGAAATTCAGATACATGCTACAACATGGATGAACCATGAGGTTTTTATGCATACTTAAATATGCTAGTCACAGAAGAATGAATATTATATTATTTCACATATATAAGATACGTAGAATACTAATATTTACAGAGACAGAGCATGGAATGGTGTTTTCCAAAACAAGGAGGGAAAAGTGAATAGGGATTCATTGTTCAATGGGTATATAGTTTCAGTTTTGCTAAAAGAAAAACAATATGAATGTAGTTAATACCCCTGAACTGGACATTTAACAGTGGTTTAGATGGTAAATTTTATGTTACATGTTTCCAATGTATTCACAACTTAAAAACTCATCAACATAGATGAAATTGGAGGACATTATTTGAAATGAAATAATCCAGTCACAGAAAGAAAAATACCGCTTAAACTCACTTATAAGTGAGATCTAAAAAACTCAAACTTACAGAAGGAGAAAGTAGAATACTGGTTAGCACATTATTCAGTGGAAAGAGGAATTTGGAAGATGTTGGTCAAAGAATACAAAATTTCAGATAGAAGAATGATGTTCAAGAGACTTACTGTACAACAAGGTAACTAAAGTTAATAAAGTATTGCATATTTGAAATTTGCTAAGAGAGTAGATTTTAAGTGTTCTCACGACAAAAAAACTATGTAAGATAAACCATATGGTAATTAGCTCAATTCAGTCATTCCACAATGTATACCTCTTTTAAAATATCATCTTACAATTTTTATTTTTCAATTTAAAAATTTAGAGAATGATGTCAGCAAGATGGTAGACTAGGAAGCTCCAACTCTTGTTCTCCTACAGAAACATAAGAAAACACCCAGAAACTCTGGAAATAACCTTATAGAAGTTCCAGAAAATAGTCAAAGACTTACAGCAACCAAATAAATTGTCACTCAAGAAGAAACCAGTTTCAAGATGGTAGAACAATTTTGCAATAATTTCCTGCCCTTCCCACACCACTGGTGCAGCAATAATCTTGGTCTGGAAGTGATGGCAGCCCAGTTGTTAGTTTCCTCTCCCAAAGCGAAGGGAGCAGAGTAAACCTCATTTTCAAATTCTTGTGTAGAGTTGAAGGCTATCTGAATGACAGGACTGTGTTTCCCCTAGCTTGGATTTTAGGCAGAAAAATCAGTGAGCACTGGTCATAAAACATGTGGGGAGAGCACAGGAACACACACACACACACACACACACACACACACACACACACACACACAGCTGTCTGGGCAAGAATTACAGATGGATACATGCAATAGGCCATTTAAAGACCAAGGAGAAGAGGTACAAAACTCTGTGGGTAATTAAGGCATTCAAATGCAGCTGTGTAAACTGGGGAATGGAGAAAATAACACAAATGCCCAGGCATCACACATGCTCAGACAAGATCTCAGAAGGCTTTAAATTTTCACTTGGCCTGGTCACTAGGGTATGTATAAGTAAGCTCCATATCAAATCAATCTACAAAGACTAGGATAGGTGGCTGTTTATTCAAATGTCCCATTTTTAATAAAAAATCAAAAGTTATACAAAGACACTGGAAATATGACACATCCAAATGTACAAAGGAATTGGACGAATACCACCCCTGAAGAAGCTTAGTCATCAGATTCACTACTAAAAGTCTTTTTTTTTTTTTTTAATGTTTTTTTTTTTTTTATTATACTCTAAGTTTTAGGGTACATGTGCACATTGTGCAGGTTAGTTACATATGTATACATGTGCCATGCTGGTGCGCTGCACCCACTAACGTGTCATCTAGCATTAGGTATATCTCCCAATGCTATCCCTCCCCCCTCCCCCGACCCCACCACAGTCCCCAGAGTGTGATATTCCCCTTCCTGTGTCCATGTGATCTCATTGTTCAATTCCCACCTATGAGTGAGAATATGCGGTGTTTGGTTTTTTGTTCTTGCGATAGTTTACTGAGAATGATGGTTTCCAATTTCATCCATGTCCCTACAAAGGACATGAACTCATCATTTTTTATGGCTGCATAGTATTCCATGGTGTATATGTGCCACATTTTCTTAATCCAGTCTATCATTGTTGGACATTTGGCTTGGTTCCAAGTCTTTGCTATTGTGAATAGTGCCGCAATAAACATACGTGTGCATGTGTCTTTATAGCAGCATGATTTATAGTCCTTTGGGTATATACCCAGTAATGGGATGGCTGGGTCAAATGGTATTTCTAGTTCTAGATCCCTGAGGAATCGCCACACTGACTTCCACAATGGTTGAACTAGTTTACAGTCCCACCAACAGTGTAAAAGTGTTCCTATTTCTCCACATCCTCTTCAGCACCTGTTGTTTCCTGACTTTTTAATGATTGCCATTCTAACTGGTGTGAGATGATATCTCATAGTGGTTTTGATTTGCATTTCTCTGATGGCCAGTGATGATGAGCATTTCTTCATGTGTTTTTTGGCTGCATAAATGTCTTCTTTTGAGAAGTGTCTGTTCATGTCCTTCGCCCACTTTTTGATGGGGTTGTTTGTTTCTTTCTTGTAAATTTGTTTGAGTTCATTGTAGATTCTGGATATTAGCCCTTTGTCAGATGAGTAGGTTGCGAAAATTTTCTCCCATGTTGTAGGTTGCCTGTTCACTCTGATGGTAGTTTCTTTTGCTGTGCAGAAGCTCTTTAGTTTAATTAGATCCCATTTGTCAATTTTGGCTTTTGTTGCCATTGCTTTTGGTGTTTTGGACATGAAGTCCTTGCCCACGCCTATGTCCTGAATGGTAATGCCTAGGTTTTCTTCTAGGGTTTTTATGGTTTTAGGTCTAACGTTTAAATCTTTAATCCATCTTGAATTGATTTTTGTATAAGGTGTAAGGAAGGGATCCAGTTTCAGCTTTCTACATATGGCTAGCCAGTTTTCCCACCACCATTTATTAAATAGAATATACATTTTTTTCAGCACCACACCACACCTATTCCAAAATTGACCACATACTTGGAAGTAAAGCTCTCCTCAGCAAATGTAAAAGAACAGAAATTATAACAAACTATCTCTCAGACCACAGTGCAATCAAACTAGAACTCAGGATTAAGAATCTCACTCAAAGCCGCTCAACTACATGGAAACTGAACAACCTGCTCCTGAATGACTACTGGGTACATAACGAAATGAAGGCAGAAATAAAGATGTTCTTTGAAACCAACGAGAACAAAGACACCACATACCAGAATCTCTGGGACGCATTCAAAGCAGTGTGTAGAGGGAAATTTATAGCACTAAATGCCCACAAGAGAAAGCAGGAAAGATCCAAAATTGACACCCTAACATCACAATTAAAAGAACTAGAAAAGCAAGAGCAAACACATTCAAAAGCTAGCAGAAGGCAAGAAATAACTAAGATCAGAGCAGAACTGAAGGAAATAGAGACACAAAAAACCCTTCAAAAAATCAATGAATCCAGGAGCTGGTTTTTTGAAAGGATCAACAAAATTGATAGACCGCTAGCAAGACTAATAAAGAAAAAAAGAGAGAAGAATCAAATAGACACAATAAAAAATGATAAAGGGGATATCACCACCGATCCCACAGAAATACAAACTACCATCAGAGAATACTACAAACACCTCTACGCAAATAAACTAGAAAATCTAGAAGAAATGGATACATTCCTCGACACATACACTCTCCCAAGACTAAACCAGGAAGAAGTTGAATCTCTGAATAGACCAATAACAGGATCTGAAATTGTGGCAATAATCAATAGTTTACCAACCAAAAAGAGTCCAGGACCAGATGGATTCACAGCCGAATTCTACCAGAGGTACAAGGAGGAACTGGTACCATTCCTTCTGAAACTATTCCAATCAATAGAAAAACAGGGAATCCTCCCTAACTCATTTTATGAGGCCAGCATCATTCTGATACCAAAGCCTGGCAGAGACACAACCAAAAAAGAGAATTTTAGACCAATATCCTTGATGAACATTGATGCAAAAATCCTCAATAAAATACTGGCAAACCGAATCCAGCAGCACATCAAAAAGCTTATCCACCATGATCAAGTGGGCTTCATCCCTGGGATGCAAGGCTGGTTCAATATACGCAAATCAATAAATGTAATCCAGCATATAAACAGAGCCAAAGACAAAAACCACATGATTATCTCAATAGATGCAGAAAAAGCCTTTGACAAAATTCAACAACCCTTCATGCTAAAAACTCTCAAGAAATTAGGTATTGATGGGACGTATTTCAAAATAATAAGAGCTATCTATGACAAACCCACAGCCAATATCATACTGAATGGGCAAAAACTGGAAGCATTCCCTTTGAAAACTGGCACAAGACAGGGATGCCCTCTCTCACCGCTCCTATTCAACATAGTGTTGGAAGTTCTGGCCAGGGCAATCAGGCAGGAGAAGGAAATAAAGGGTATTCAATTAGGAAAAGAGGAAGTCAAATTGTCCCTGTTTGCAGACGACATGATTGTTTATCTAGAAAACCCCATCGTCTCAGCCCAAAATCTCCTTAAGCTGATAAGCAACTTCAGCAAAGTCTCAGGATACAAAATCAATGTACAAAAATCACAAGCATTCTTATACACCAACAACAGACAAACAGAGAGCCAAATCATGAGTGAACTCCCATTCACAATTGCTTCAAAGAGACTAAAATACCTAGGAATCCAACTTACAAGGGATGTGAAGGACTTCTTCAAGGAGAACTACAAACCACTGCTCAAGGAAATAAAAGAGGACACAAACAAATGGAAGAACATTCCATGCTCATGGGTAGGAAGAATCAATATCGTGAAAATGGCCATACTGCCCAAGGTAATTTACAGATTCAATGCCATCCCCATCAAGCTACCAATGACTTTCTTCACAGAATTGGAAAAAACTACTTTAAAGTTCATATGGAACCAAAAAAGAGCCCGCATCGCCAAGTCAATCCTAAGCCAAGAGAACAAAGCTGGAGGCATCACACTACCTGACTTCAAACTATACTACAAGGCTACAGTAACCAAAACAGCATGGTACTGGTACCAAAACAGAGATATAGATCAATGGAACAGAACAGAGCCCTCAGAAATAATGCCGCATATCTACAACTATCTGATCTTTGACAAACCTGAGAAAAACAAGCAATGGGGAAAGGATTCACTACTAAAAGTCTTTAAAACAACTGTCTTATATATACTAAAAAAGCCTAAGGAAAATGTGGACAAACAACTAAAAGAAATTAGAAAACTGATACATGAACAAAACAAGTATATCAACAAAGATAAAAATCATAGAAAGGAAACAAACAGAAATGCAAGAACTGAACATTATAGTAACGCATACAAAAAATTCACAAGAGTGGTTTCACAAAATATTCATAGAAGAATTAACAGAGACATTCTCAAACTCTTCCACAATTTTGAAGACATGGGATCACTATCTAACTAAATTCTATGAAGTCATCATTAATGTCACACCAACCTCAGACAAAAACTGTTAAGAAAAACAAACTACAGATCAATATCTGTTATTAATACTGACATAAAAACTAATATTCAAACAAGAGCACATTGAATTTAGTAGCATTTTAAGGCTATTATATATCAGGTTATGTAGAATTTATTCCTGAAAGCATGAAGGTTCAACATGAAAAAAAAATCAATATAAGATACCACATGTGTAAAATTAAGGGAAATAACTACCTGATTGACTTCATTTACAAAAAAATGGCAAAACCAACAGCCTTTCATAAAAAAATTCAATAATGTACAAACCAAATAAAATTTCTTCAACATGACAAAAGCATGAAAAACACACAGCCAACATCAAACTCAATAGTAAAATACTGAAATCTTTTCCTGTACATTAAAGGAGACCGGAATATTCATTTTTCCCTTCTATTCAATAGTTTTGGAAGTCTTAGACAGAGTAATAAGTTTGAAGAAATTATAAAAATGATAAATATTAAAAAAGGAAAAGTAAAATATTTTGGTTGCAGAAGACATGATCTTACATGCAGAAAATCTTAAATATTCAATGCAAAAAAAGTTAGTGTAATAAATGAACTCAGCAAAGATGCATAATACAAAAATCAACATGAAAAAATTAGTTACAGGTCATAGGCTGCTGGTCAGCCCCTCCAATCTCAAACTACAGGTCTGCTCCAGAACATGGCCAGCCCTACAGCTCCGGCTGGAAGGCCAGTCCACAAAGATTTGGAATCCAGTTATGTCTAGACTCTAGAACAGCCCCAGTGCTGCTAAGGCCCCAGGTGTTAGGCTTGCCCCAGGCTGCAGACCAGCAACTACAGATTTCAGATCTAGGCCAGCACCCATCATCCAAGGCACCAGTCTTTGCTCAGTTCCAGGCCCATTCCAGGTTCCAGACTGGTCTCCACAGACACAAGCTCCAGAGAAACCAAGATCCAAGTCAACCTCAGTGGATTCTAGTGCTGGGTCAACCATCACAGACTCAGCTACAGAACCAACCCTGCAGACACAATCTCCAGGCAGATACCCATGTTCTCATTATTCAGGCTTGTCCACAGACTCAAGTTCTAGGCCTGCCCATTCACTGACTCAAGCATCAAGTCAGCCCACATGCAGACTCCTGCTACAAGTATGCCCATGGACCTCCTCAGATGGCCTGCCCAGAAACTCTGGATGGGCTGATTGATGAAGGGTTTTTCCTGCCAAATCCAATCTGTAAAGATGGGAGGAGGTGCTTACTTCTTCACATGTACACGCACCAACTAAAGGTCAGAAGGATCATGACTGATTAGGAAAATATGATACTACCAAAGGAACAAAATAAACCACCAGTAACCTACCCTATAGAAAGGGCTACCTATGAACTGCCTGAAAAAGTTTTCAAAACAGTCATCTTAAAGAAGCTCAATGAGATAAAAGAGAATACAGATAGATGACTGATCAAAATCAGGAAAACAATACATTAACTAAATGAGAAATTCCACAAAGATATAGGAACCATAGAAAGGTGCCAAACAGAATGCTGCTGCTGAAGAACACAAGACTAATGTGAAAAACTTCATAGAGAACTTTAACAGCAGACTTGATAAAGTAGAAGAAATAATGAGTGAGCTCAAAGATAGGTCATTTGAAATTACACAATAAGAGCAAAAAGAAAAAAGAAAGGAAAAAGGTGATGAAAATCTATGAGACATATGGAACACCATCAAATAAAAAAACAAAATATAAATTATGAGAGTCCTAGAAGGAGCAGAGAAAGAGAAAGGAGCACAAAACCTACTTAGAGATTTGAGGACAGAAAACTTCCCTAATCTGGAAAGAGCCATTAACATTCAGATCCACTTAGTCCAGAGAACCCAAGATAGATCAAATATAAATAGATGTCCACTGAGATACACAAAAAAGAAAATTCTCAAAAGTCAAGAAGAAAGAGAGGATTTTCAAAGTGGCAAGAGAAAAACAATTGATCATATACAAGGTAACCCCCATTAGTTTAGCAGATTTCTTGGCAGAAAGCTTGCAGGCCAAGAGAGAGTGGGATGATATATTCAAAGTGGTGAAAGAAAGAACAGTCAACCAAGGATACTATATCAGGCAAGCCAGTCCTTGAGAAACAAAGGCAAGATAAAGATTGTGCCAGACAAACAATGCTGTGAGAATTCATCACCACTAGATATGCTTTACAAAAAATGCTAAAGGGATTTCTACAACTTGTAGCAAAAGTACTCTAACTATGGACATGAAAACATATTGTAAAGGAAAGAATGTAGTCAAATTCAAAATACTCTAATACTATAATAGTATTGCATAAGTTTTTAGACTCTAATATAAAAGTTAAAAGTCAAGACTGTTAAAAATTTCAGTAGTTACAATAATAGTTAATGCATACAAGATATATAAAAGATGTAAATTGTGGCATTAATAGCATAAAATAGGTAGCAGGGGAAGAGAAAGTAAAGAGTAGAATTTTTGCATGCAGTTGAAGTTAAGTTGTATTCAGCTTAAAATAGATTACTGCAACTATAAGATAGTGTATACAAGCTATAAGCCTCATGGTGAAAAAAAAAACGTGTAGTAGGAACACAAGAGACAAAGAGAAAGGAATAAAAGCATACAACTACAAAAATTTCATCAAATCACACAGGAAGACAGCAGGAGAAGAACTGAAAAACAGAACGGCAAAACTTTCAGAAAGCAATGAACAAATTGGTAATAGTAAGTTCTTACCTATCAATAATTACTTTTAATGTAAACACATTAAATTCTTCAATAAAAAGTTACAGAGTGGCCGAATGAAATTTTTAAAGTTATACTTTAAGTTCTGTGATACATGTGAAGAACGTGTAGGTTTGTTACATAGGTATACACGTGCCATGGTGGTTTGCTGCACCCATCAACCCGTCATCTACATTAGGTGTTTCTCCTAATGCTATCCCTCCCCTAGCCCCCGAACCCCCGACAGCCCCTGGTGTGTGATGTTCCCCTCCTCGTGTCCAGGTATTCTCATTGTTCAGCTACCACTTATGAGTGAGAACATGCGGTGTTTGGTTTTCTTTTCCTGTGTTAGTTTGCTGAGAATGATGGTTTCCAGCTTCATCCATGTCCCTGCAAGGACATGAACTCATCCTTTTTTATGGCTGCATAGTATTCCATGGTGTCTATGTGCCACAGTTTCTTAATCCAGTCTATCATTGATGGGCATTTGGACTGGTTCCAAGTCTTTGCTATTGTGAAGAGTACTGCAATAAACATACATGTGCATGTGTCTTTATAGTAGCATGATTTATAATCCTTTGGGTATATACCCCGTAATGGGATTGCTGGGTCAAATGGTATTTCTGGTTCTAGATCCTTGAGGAATAGCCACACTGTCTTCCACAATGGTTGAACTTATTTACACTCCCACCAACAGTGTAAAAGCATTCCTATTTCTCCACATCCTCTCCAGCATCTGTTGTTTCCTGTCTTTTTAATGACCGCCATTCTAACTGGCGTGAGATGGTATCTCATTGCAGTTTTGATTTGCATTTCTCTAACGACCAGTGATGATGAGGTTTTTTTCATATGTTTGTTGGCCGCATAAATGTCTTCTTTTGAAAACTATCTGTTCATATGCTTCACCCACTTTTTGATGAGGTTGTTTGCTTTTTTCTTGTAAATTTGTTTAAGTTCTTTGTAGATTCTGGATATTAGACCTTTGTCAGATGGATAGATTGCAAAAGTTTTCTCCCATTCTGTAGGTTGCCTGTTCACTCTGATGATAGTTTCGTTTGCTCTGTAGAAGCTCTTTAGTTTAATTAGATCCCATAAAAATTAGGACCCAACTCTACGCTGCCTACAAGAGACTCCCTTTATCTTTAGTGACACACATTGGCTGAAAATGAAGAGATAGTAAATGATATTTCATGGAAATGGTAACCAAAAAAGAACAGGGGTGGCTACACTTACATCAGACAAAACGTACCCTAAGTCAACAACGGTCATAATTTAAAAATCATGAGATGTGAGGACAGAAGATGGCATATAGGAGGCAGGACTAGCTTGCTCCTCCTACTTGGATTGACAGAATAGTGTGTGGAGACTCACATTATAAACTTTTGATTTAAAAACTACTGCAGGAACACACCAGAAAGCCAAGAGAATCCACAGATGCTTTGAAGGAACTGGATCACACCTGCAGGATCACACCAAAAAACTGTGAGTCTGCTTGCTTTCTCAGTGGGGAGGCTGGTGGTCTGGGTCAAGTTCTCAGCCCTGGTCACCGGCTGCCTGGAAACAGACTAGGTGCTGTTGTGCAGGTGGGGTGGGGGGTGGCACAGTGGGAGTGAGACTGGCCTTTAGGACTGTGGGTTGCATGGGAGCAAGGTGAGACCTGTGACTGCCAGCTTTCTCCCATCTTCCTAGTGATACATATGGCTCAGCAGAGGCAGCCATAATTCCAATTCCCCTGGGAATAGAACTCCATTGCACTGGAAACCATAACTCCATCTCCTACAGCAGCCGCAGCATGCCCCACCCAATGAGAGACTGAGCTCAGACACATCCATCCTTGCTCCCACCTGGTGGTCTTTCTTTATCCACCCTGGTAGCCAAAGACAAAGGTCATAATCTCTTGGGAGCTCTATGGCCCTGCCCACTACCTGAGAAACCTAAATACTTAACTAGGTGTCCCTAGGGCAAGTTTGCATCCTCCCTGTAGGATTGCAGCTGATGTGCTCTTGAAAGCACCACCTCTCGGCTGGAGGCAACCAACACAAACCAGCCCACTAAACAAAAACACAACCAACGACCAACACAGATTCCACTTCACTCCCCTGCTACCTCTACCAGAGTAGGTGATGGTATCCACAGCTGCAAAGACCTGAAAATGGATCACATCACAGGACTCTTTGCAGACATTCCCCAGTACCAGCCCAGGCCCAGTAGCTCCACTGGGTGGCTATAGACCCAGAAGAACAAAAACAATCACCACAGTTCAGCTCTCAAGAAACCCCATTCCTAGGGGAAGGGGGAGAACACCACATCAAGGGAGAAGCCTGTGGGATAAAAGAATCTGAACAGCAGCCTTCGAATCTCAGATCTTCCCTCTGACATAATCTGTCCAAATGAGAGGAACCAGATAAACATTTCTGGTAACATGGCAAAACGAGGTTCTTTAAAACCCCCAAAGGATTATCCCAGCTAACCAACCCAAGACAAAATCTCTGACTTGCCAGAAAAAGAATTCAGAAGGTCGATTATTAAGCTAATCAAGGAGCCACCAGAGAAAGGTGAAGCCCACCTTAAAGAAATCAAAAACATAATACAGGATATGAAAGGAAATTTCTTCACTGAAATAGAGGGCATAAATAATAAATAATCACAACTTCTGGAAATCAAAGACACACTTAAAGAAATGCAAAATGCACTGGAAAGTCTCAGCAATAGAACCAAATGAACAGAAGAAAGAACCTCAGAGCCTGAAGACAAGGCCTTTGAATGATCCCAATCTGTCAAAGACAAAGAAAACAATTTAAAAAATGAATAAAGTCTCCAAGAAGTCTGGGATTATGTTAAACACCCAAACCTAAGAATAATTGGTGTTCCTGAGGAAGAAGAGAAATCTAAAAGTTTGGGAAACATATTTGAGGGAATAATCAAGGAAAACTTTCCTGGCCTTGCTAGAGATCTAGACATCCAAATACAAGAAGCTCGAAGAATACCTGAAAAATTCTTCCCCAAAAGATCATTGCCTAGGCACATAGTCATCAGGTTATCTAAAGTCCAGATGAAGGAAAGAATCTTAAGAGCTGTGAGGAAAAGCATCAGGTAACCTGTAAAGGAAAACTTATCAGATTAACAGCAGGTTTCTCAGCAGAAACCGTACAAGTTAATGGGATTGGGGTCCTAAACTTTAGCCTCCTTAAAACAATTATCAGTCAAGAATTTTGTACCCAGCATAACTAAGCTTCATACATGAAGGAAAGATACAGTCTTTTCCAGACAAGCATATGCTGACATAATTGACCACTATCAAGCCAGCACTACAAGAATTGCTAAAAGGAGATCTAAATCTTGAAACAAATCCTTGAAATACACCAAAATGAACATCTTTAAAGCAAAAGACCTCTACAAGGAAAACTACAACACACTGCTGAAAGAAATCATAGATGACACAACAAATGGAAACACATCCCATGCTCATGGGTGGGTAGAATCAGTATTGTGAAAATGACCATACTGCCAAAAGCAATCTACAAATTTAATGCAATCCCAATCAAAATACCACCATCATTCTTCACAGAACTAGAAAATACAAATCTAAAATTCATATAGAACCAAAAAAGAGCCTGCATAGCCAAAGCAAAACTAAGCAAAAAGAACAAATCTGGAGGCATCACATTACCTGACTTTAAAGTATACTATAAGGCCATAGTCACAAAAACAGGATGGTACTGGTATAAAAATAGGCACATAGACCAATGGAACTGGATAGAGAACCCAGAAATAAAGCCAAATACTTACAGGCAACTGATCTTCAACAAAGCAAACAAAAACATAAAGAGGGGAAAAGACACCTTATTCAATCAATGGTGCTGGGATAATTGACAAGCCACATGTAGATGAATGAAACTGGATTCTCATCTCTCACCTTATACAAAAATCAACTCAAGATGGATCAAAGACTGAAATCTATGACCTGAAACCATAAAGATTCTAGAAGATAACATTGGAAAAACTCTTCTATTCATTGGCTTAGGCAAAGATTTCGTAACCAAGAACCTGAAAGCTAATGCAACAAAGACAATAATAAATAAATAGGACTTAATTAAACTAAAAAGCTTCTGCACAGCAAAAGAAATATTCAGTACAATTAACAGACAACTCACAGAGTGGGAGAAAATCTTCACAATCTATACAAAGGACTAATATCCAGAATCTACAAGGAACTCAAACAAATCAACAAGAAAAAACAAAAAACAAAAAACAATCCCATCAAAAGTGGGCTAAGGGTATGAATAGACAGTTCTCAAAAGAAGATATCCAAATGGCCAACAAGCATATGGAAAAATGCTCAACATCACTATCAGGGAAATGCATATCGAGACCACAATGCAAACCATCTCACTTCTGCAAGAATGGCCATAATAAAAAACATCAAAAAATAATAGAGTTGGCATGGACGCAGTGAAAAGGTAATACTTTTACACTGTTGGAGGGAATGTAAACTAGTACAGCGACTATGGAAAACAGCGTGGAGATTCCTTAAAGAACTTAAAGTAGATCTACCCCTTGATCCAGCAATCCCTCTACTAAATATCTACCCAGAGGAAAAGAAGTCATTACATGAAAAAATACTTGCACGCACATGTTTATAGTGCATAGGTATAGTGCATAGGTAAAAATATGGAACCAGCCCTAATGCCCCAAAGAAAATGTGATACACACACACACACACACACACACACACACACACACGCACTATAGAATACTATTCAGCCATAAAAAGAATAAAATAATGGCATTCACAGCAACCTGAATAGAAATGGAGACTATTATTCTAAGTGAAGTAACTCAGGAATGGAAAACCAAGCCATAGTTCTCACTTATATGTGGGAGCTAAGCTATGAGGACGCAAAGGCATAAGAATGACATATTGGGCTTTGGAGACAGGGAAAAAAGTGGGGGTGGCAAGATATAAGACTACACGTTGGGTACAGTGTATGCTGCTCGGGTGATGGGTGCACCAAAATTTCAGAAATCACCACTAAAGAACTTATTCATGTAACCAAACACCACCTGTTCCCCAAAACCCTATTGAAATAAAAAATTTAAAAATTAAAAAGTCATTATATAATGATTAAAGGGTCATTTCATCAAGAGGACATAACAATTGTAAAAATAAATGCACTCAACATCAGAGCAACTAAATATATAAAATAAATACTAACAGACCTTAAGAGAGAAATAGACAGCAATACAATAACAATAAGTGACTTTAATAGTCCATTTTAAACAATGGATAGATTACCCAGACACAAAATCCATAAGGAAACAGTACACTTGAATAATATAGACCAAATGGACCTACAGATATATACAGATCTTCCCATCCAACAACAGAAGAATACACATTTTTTTCAACACACACAGAATTCTCCAAGACAGATTGTATGTGAGGTAAAAAACCCAAGTGTTATCTAATTCAATAAGATCAAAATTCATACTAATTATTTTTTTCCAACCACATTGGTATGAAATTAGAAATCATAGGATGAATTTCAGAATATTCACAAATATGTAGAAATTAAACAACATGCTCCTGAAGAAAAATGGACCACAGGAGAAATTAAAAGAAAAATTTTAAAATATCCTGAAACAAATGATTATGGACATACAACCTAACAAAATTATGGAATGCAGCTAAAGCAATCTTAAGAGGGAATTTTATAGCAATAAACACCATAAGAAGAATATGGATCACAAATAAACAACCTAGTCTTTACATTTCAAGTAACCAGAACTCAATAATATGAGGAAAACTGAAAAATTCACAAATATGTGGAAATTAAACAACATCTTCCCAAACAACCATTAGGTCATGCAAGAAATCAAAAGAGAAACAGAAAGTTAACTTGTGACAATTAAAAATAGAAACACAACATACCAAAACTTATGGGATGTAGCAAACACATATCTAAAGAAAAGTTTTTGGCATAGGCCTAAGTCAAAAAAGAATGATACTAAAAAACAATGAAACTTTACTTCTGAAGAAACTAGAAAAAGAGGAACATAGAGAGTAGAAAGAAAAAGTGTGAAAGATCATAACAGAAATAAATAAAATAAAGCTAGGACAATAGAAAAGATCAATAAAATAAATATTTTTTGTGGTATAAACTGAAGGGGTATATATGCAGTTTTGTTACATGGCTATATTGCATACTGGTGAAGTCAGGGCTTTTAGTGTAACCATCATCTGAATAGTATGCATTATATCCACCAAGTAATTTCTCATCTTTCACCGCATCCCCCTCCAGCCTCCTACCCTTTCATCTCCAGTGTCTGTTATTCCACACTTTATGTCCATGTGTACCCATTGTGTAGCTTCCACTTATAAGTGATAACATGCAGTATTTGACTTTCAGTTTCTTAGTTGTTTCACTTAAGATAATGGCCTCCAGTTCCATCCAAGTTGCTGCAAAACGCATGATTTCAATCTTTTTATGGCTGAGTAGTATTCTATTGTGTATATATGCCACTTTTTCTTTATCCAATCATTTGCTGACAGACACCAAGGTAGATTCCATATTTTTGATATTGTAAGTAGTGCTACAATAAACATACAAGTGCAGGTATTTTTTGATATAATAATTTATTTTCCTTTGGGTAGATATGCAATAGAGGGATTGCTGGATTGAATGGTAGTTCTATCTTCTGTTCTTCGAGAAATCTCCATACTGTTTTCCACAGAAGTTGTGCTAATTTACAATCCTACCAAAAGTGTATTAGCATTCTCTTTCCTCCACATCCTTGTTAACATGTTATTTTTAAATTTAATTTTTAATAAGAGCCATTCTGACTCATAAGATGATATCTCATTGTAGTTTTAAAATGCATTTCTCAGGTGATTAGTGATGTTGAGCATTTTTTCATATGCTTGTTAGCCATTTATATGCCTTCTTTAGAAAAATATCTATTGATTTCCTTCACTCACTTTTTAATGAGATTATTTGTTTTTGTTGTTGTTGAGTTATTTGAATTTCTTATAAGTTATAGGTATTAGTCTCCTGTGGGTTGCGTGGTTTCCAAGTATTTTCTCCCATTATGAAGTTGTATGTTAATTTTGTTGATTATTTATTTTGCTATGCAGATGTTTTTTATTTTAGTTAAGTGTTATTTATTTTCATTTTTGTTGCCTGTGCTTTTGAAGTTGTAGTCATGAATTCTTTGCCAAGACCAATATCCAGTGGAGTTTTCCCTAGATTTCATCTAGTATTTTTATAGTTTCAGGCCTTACATTTATGTCTTTAATCCATCTTGAATTTATTTTTATATATAGTAAGAGATACGGTTTCAGTTTCTTTCTTTTGTATGTAGTAATCCAATACTCCCAGCAACATTTATTGAATAGATTGTCTTTTACCTAGTGTGTTTTTGTCACCTGTGTCAAACTCAGTTGACTGTAGATATGTGTCTTTGTTTCAGGGTTTTCTGCTCTGTTCCTTTGGTCTATGTGTCTATTTTTATACCAGTACTATGCTGTTTTGGTTACTATAGCCTCGTAGTATAATTTGAAATCAGGGAATGTGATACCTCTAGCTTTGTTCTTTTTGCTTAGGATTGCTTTGGCTGTTTGAACTCTTTTTTACTTCCATATGAATTTTAGCATTGTTTTTTCTAAGTCTGTGAAAAATGTCATGTGTATCTTGATAGAGATTGCAATGAATCTGTAGATTTCTTTGGGCAGTATGATCATTTTCATGATATTAATTCTTCTGATTTGTGTACTCTACAATTTCTTTCATCAGTGTTTTGTAGTTTTCCTTGTAAGATTTTTTCAGAAGAATCTTTAGAGGTTTCTAGGTATAAAATCATATCAGTGAACTGAGATAATTTGACTTCCTTTTTTTCTTTTTTTTAAATTGTACTTTAAGTTCTAGGGTACATGTGCACAATGTGCAGTTTTGTTACATAGGTACACATGTGCCATGTGGGTTTGCTGCACCCATTAACTTGTCATTTACATTAGGTATTTCTCCTAATGCTATCCCTCCTGCTGCCCCCAACCCCACGACAGGCCTTGGGGTGTGATGTTCCCCGCCCTGTGTCCAAGTTCTCATTGTTCAATTCCCACCTATGAGTGAGAACATGAGGTGTTTGGTTTTCTGTCCTTGTGACAGATTGCTCAGAATGATGGTTTCCAGCAGCATCCATGTCCCTACAAAGGACATGAACTCATCCTATTTATGGCTGCATAGAATTTCATGGTGTATATGTGCCACAGTTTCTTAATCCAGTTTATCATTGATGGACATTTGGATTGGTTCCAAGTCTTTGCTATTGTGAATAGTGCCACAATAAACACACGTGTGCATGTGTCTTTATAGTAGCATGATTTGTAATCCTTTGGGTATATACCCAGTAATGGGATTGCTGGGTCAAATGGTATTTCTAGTTCTAGATCCTTGAGGAATCACCACACTGTCTTCCACAATGGATGAACTAGTTTACACTCCCACCAACAGTGTAAAAGCATTCCTATTTCTCCACATCCTCTCCAGCATCTGTTGTTTACTGTCTTTTTAATGATCGCCATTCAAACTGGTGTGAGATGATATCTCGTTGTAGTTTTGATTTGCATTTCTCTGATGACCAGTGATGATGAGCATTTTTTCGTGTATCTGTTGGCTGCATAAATGTCTTCTTTTGAGAAGTGTCTGTTCATATCCTTTGCCCACTTTTTGATGGGGTTGTTTGTTTTTTTTTCTTGTAAATTTGTTTAAGTTATTTGTAGATTCTGGATATTAGCTGTTTGTCTGATGGGTAGATTGCGACAATTTTCTCCCATTCTGTAGGTTGCCTGTTCACTCTGATGATAGTTTCTTTTGCTGTGCAGAAGCTCTTTAGTTTAATGAGACCCCATTTGTCAATTTTGGCTTTTGTTGCCATTGCTTTTGGTGTTTTAGTCATGAAGTCCTTGCCCATGCCTATGTCCTGAATGGTATTGCCTAGGTTTTCTTCTAGGGTTTTTATGGTTTTAGGTCTAACATTTAAGTCTTCAATCCATCTTGAATTAATTTTTGTATAAGGTGTAAGGAAGGGATCTAGTTTCAGCTTTCTACATATGGCTAGCCAATTTTCCCAGCACCATTTATTAAATAGGGAATCCTTTCCCCATTTCTTGTTTTTGTCAGGTTTGTCAAAGATCAGATGGTTGTAGATGTGTGGCATTATTTCTGAGAATTCTGTTCTGTTCCATTGGTCTATATCTCTGTTTTGGTACCAGTACCATGCTGTTTTGGTTACTGCAGCCTTGTAGTATAGCTTGAGGTCAGATAGCGTGATGCCTCCAGCTTTGTTCTTTTGGCTTAGGATGGTCTTGGCAATGCAGACTCTTTTTTGGTTCCATATAAACTTTAAAGTAATTTTTTCCAATTCTGTGAAGAAAGTCATTGGTAGCTTGATGGGGGTGGCATTGAATCTATAAATTACCTTGGGCAGTATGGCCATTTTCATGATATTGATTCTTCCCATCCATGAGCATGGAATGTTCTTCCATTTGTTTGTGTCCTCTTTTATTTCATTGAGCAGTGGTTTGTAGTTCTCCTTGAAGAGGTCCTTCACATCCCTTGTAAGTTGGATTCCTAGGTATTTTATTTTCTTTGTAGCAATTGTGAATGGGAGTTCACTCATGATTTGGCTCTCTGTTATTGGCGTATAGGAATGCTTGTGATTTTTGCACATTGATTTTGTATCCTGAGACTTTGCTGAAGTTGCTTATCAGCTTAAGGAGATTTTGGGCTGAGATGATGGGGTTTTCTAAATATACAATCATGTCATCTGCAAACAGGGACAATTTGACTTCACCTTTTCCTAATTGAATATACTTTATTTCTTTCTCTTGACTTCCTTTTTTTCTAATTTAGATGTCTTTTATTTCTGTCTCTCGCCTGATTGCTCCGGCTAGGACTTCCACTACTATGCTGAATAGAAGTGGTGAAAGTGGGCATCCTTTTCTTGTTCCAGTTCTTGGGGAGATTGCTTTCAATTTTTCCCTGTTCAGTATGATGTTGGCTGTGGGTTTGTCATAAATGGCCTTTATTAATTTGAGGTATGCTCCTTCTGAGCCTGGTTTGTTGAGATTTTATCATAGCTGTGAAATTTTATGAAACACTTTTTCTACATCTCTTGATATGATAATTTTTTTGTCTTTAAATCTGTTTATGTCATGAATCACATTTATTAATTTGCCTATGTGGAGCCATCCTTTCATGCCTGGAATAAAACTCACTTAATTATGGTGTATTTATCTTGTTGGTGTGCTATTAGACTTCATTTGCTAATATTTTGCCGAGGACTTCTGCATCTGTGTGAATCACAGATATTGGTCTTTAGTTTTCTTTTTTATTGTACTTTTGTCTGGCTTTTGTAACAGGGTAACACTGGCTTTATAGAGTGAGTTAGGAAGGATACCTTCCTGTCCGATTTTTAAAAAACAGTTTCAGGATGATTGATACCAGTTCTTTTTTGTATGTTTGATAGTTTGGCTGTGAATTCATCTGGTCCTGGGCTTTTTTGTTGCTGAAATTTTTTTTTTTATTGCTGATCCAATCTCACTACTTGTTTTGTTTTTTATTTCAGGATTTCTATTTCTCCCTGGTGCCATCTTGGAGAGGCTGTGTATTTTGAGGAATTGATTCATTTCCTCTAGGTTTTCCAGTTTGTGAGTATAAAGATGTTTACAGTAGTCTCTGCTGATCTTTTTTATTTTTCTGGTACCAGTTTTAATGTCTCCTTTTCATTTCTGGTTGTGTTTTTAGGGTATTTTCTCTTCTTTTCTTGGTTAATCTAGCCAAGACTAGTTTATCTTCCAAATAACAAACTCGTCATTTTGTTGAACATTTGTCCCAATTATATTTAGTTCTGTTCTGATCTTTGTTATTTCTTTTCTTCTGCTAGCTTTGGGTTTTTTTTTTTCCTTGCTTTTCTAGTTCCTTGAGGTGTAATGTTTAGGTTGCTAATTTATGACTTTTCTGTTTTTTAAATGTAAGCATGAAATGCTGTAAAATTCCCTCTTAACACCACTTATGCTGTGGCCCAGAGTTTTTTGTATGCTGTATTTCCATTTTCATTTATTTCAAAAATTTTGTAAAATTTCAATTTTAATTGCACTATTGACTCAAAGATTATTCAAGAGAGTGTTGTTTAATTTCCATGTATTTGTGTAATTTTGAGAATTCCACTCAGCATTGGTTTCTAGTTTTATTCCATTTCATTCCATTGTGGCCTGAGAAGATACTTGACACTTGATATGATTCAAAATTTTAAATACTTATTGAGTCTTGTTTTGTGACCTAACATATGGTCTGTCTTGGAGAATGTTCTATGTGAATGAGCTAGATAAGATAAACTTAACTGCTTAACTAAGCAGACTCTTCATTAATCCCCTACAGCTGAACTTCTATAATACCCAATATTTTTGCCATAGGCTGTAAGTGCAGCAGCTGCATGTATACTTTTCCGCTTAGCCATTTCTATCATTTAGCATAACTTTCACAAGAGAATTTAAAGTCTGCTGTGTAACTATTGCCTTTGCAGTAGAATCCGTTATAGAACCTATTATGAGGGATACGTCTCTAATCATTGCCTCTTTTATTCGAAACCACAGAAAAAAGACCTAACAAATGATGCCCTTCTATTATAGAAGAGTGAAGGCCTCCTGGCAATGTTCTCTTTAACTCATGATGCGGGTTAAGAAAAGTGAATCAATGTTCTGTTTCTGACTAATTATGAGGCAACATATATACCATTACAATTTCTCACCTATACTGGGCCTTCATATTTTACATATACATGGTTATCCATGTGTAAGGCTAGCTGAAAAATCCTTCACAAATAAAAGTATACCTTGTGAGTGTATACAACAGATCCCCTTTTCATTTCTATTGTTCATAGAGGCATAAAGAAGAAAAATATTCAAAGACATGAGTCTCCTGATAGTAGAAGTCTTGACCTGTGATCTTGGGAAAAGCTGTTCACATCAAGGATGCCATCTTCTTCTGGGGAGAGACTTCCCTGTTTAGCTTTACCTTAAGTGTTCCAATGAGTGTATAGTTCCAAGAGTGTGGAGGAACCCTTCTCAGTTGTGAGATTATGAACCCAAAGTTCAAGTTTCCAAAGTTTTGCTGTAGTGTGGATGGCAAGGACACTCTTTCTCTGATGTTTTCAGAAGATCCAGTCTTTGGGTTGTGAAGATTGTGAAAGGGTTGATTGTCCTCAGGGAACCATAAAAAGCTTTCTTTACAGGGTGAAAATACACTGTGTCATAATAACTTAGTATTATAATATCAGCCCTCTTGCATAGGAGAGCAATTATACATCCAGAAAGCTTGCATTGAAAATAACAATTAAATGAAATCCCTTTATAAAATGTGTAAGCGGCCCATCAGGTGACCAAATGTACCCAAAGCTTTGATTGTTTTCCCAGGAATATGGGACCAAACATTGGTTATAAACTATTTTAGCGATTTATAAGTCACCACACCAATATATTCAATTTGGATCACTTTATCTTTTCCATGATGCGTCATGGTGTTGTGGGAAGTCAGGGACCCTGAATGGAGAGGGACCGGCTGAAGC
Organism: Homo sapiens; assembly: GCF_000001405.40. Classification (NCBI taxonomy): domain Eukaryota; kingdom Metazoa; phylum Chordata; class Mammalia; order Primates; family Hominidae; genus Homo; species Homo sapiens. The sequence goes on from NC_000009.12 coordinate 5,258,945, forward strand.
CATGGCAGAAGAACATAAATTGTGAAGATTTCATGGACATTTATTAGTTCCCCAAATTAATAGTTTTATAATTTCTTATGCCTGCCTTTACTGCAATCTCTGAACATAAATTGTGAAGATTTCATGGACATTTATCACTTCCCCAATCAATATTCTTGTGATTTCCTATGCCTGTCTTTACTTTAATCTCTTAATCCTGTCATCTTCGTAAGCTGAGGATGTATGTCACCTCAGGACCCTGTGATGATTGCACTAACTGCACAAATTGTTTAAACAATATGAAATCTGGGCACCTTGAAAAAAGAACAGGATAACAGCGATGTTCAGGGAACAAGGGAGATAACCATTAGGTCTGGCTGCCTGAGATCCGGGCAGAACAGAGCCATATTTCTCTTCTTTCAAAAGCAAATAGGAGAAATATCACTGAATTCTTTTTCTCAGCAAGGAACAGCCCTGAGAAAGAGAATGCTGTCCTAGGCAGAGGTCTCTGAAATGGCCGCTCTGGGAACATCTGTCTTTCACAGTTGCAGATAAGGGATGAAATAAGCACTGGTCTCCCGTAGCGCTCCCAGGCCTATTAGGAAGAAGAAATTCCCACCTAATAAATTTTGGTCAGACCAGTTGTCTGCTCTCAAACACTGTCTCCTGATAAGATGTTATCAATGACAACGCATGCCTGAAACTTCATTAGCAATTTTAATTTCACCCTGGTCCTGTGATCTCGCCCTGCCTCCATTTGCCTTGTAATATTTTATTACCTTGTGAAGCATGTGATCTCGTGACCCACACCGTGTTCGTACACTCCCTCCCCTTTTGAAAACCACTAATAAAAACTTGCTGGTTTTGCGGCTTGGGGGGCATCACAGACCTGCTGACATGTGATGTCTCCCCCGGCCACCCAGGTTTAAAATTTCTCTCTTTTGTACTCTTTCCCTTTATTTCTCAGACTGGCTGACACTTAGGGAAAATAGAAAAGGATCCACGTTGAATTATCAGGGGTGGGTTCCCCTGATATCATGGAATACAGAACTATTAATAACAAAAGCTTTAAGGACTCAAGAAGTACAGGGTGGCTATCCTGGTTCTCCATGAGAGCATGCTGAATTAACATTAGACTTATATCCTCTTGAATACCAGTTGTTTCTTTAAATTAGGTACATAGCATTCATAACAGTTGGGTTATCATAGGTAATTTGACTTAGACCATGGAGTTCATTCAAATTGTATATCTAAACAATTTCAGTATCAGCTGATTTAGCACATAAATATGGCAACGTATTTTCTAGATATTTAATTAATTTTTGTTCCTACTTGGGTTAGCAGTTTTATAACACAGTCAGTCTTTTCATTAAAATTCCAGGAATTCTTACCCATTTCAAATGATATGATTCTGAAGTTATTAGAAACCTGTATTCAAGAGTGCTTTTTAGGGTACTTTCCATCCTTTCATAAACCTCCTAAAAGACATCATATTCTAGGATTTTGGATGTTCGTGAAGTTTTTAGAAACTGCATCAGCAGTAAGCAAATAACAGTGGAAATGACTTTAAGTAGTTATAGTTAAAAACACAAGGAAATTTGGTTATTTCTGTGGTCTACAATAACTCAATAACCATAATTATGATTGACAGCATATACTCAGACATATTGGAATTTTACAAATCCCATACAATTTTGGAACATCCATTAACATCATTCACTAAAATATATCAGGAAGAAGATTAAAATATTTTTACGATGCTTCCCATGTAACTAAACATGTCAAATAATTCTGTTTACGTCTCTTTTGGATGCTTCAGGGGCCCTCTGTAGCATGTCCAAGTTAGAGGTCAGAAAAGATAATTTTGAAGCTGAAATTTGATTTTGGGAAGCCTATCAAATATGTTAAAGGTTTAAAACACTTGACATTATGAAACAGAATTCCAAGTTACCATAGTCATTCATTTAGCAAAAATGATGACTCAAAAATTTTTTAAAGGGCAAAAACCTTTACTCAGTGATAGAGGGAAGACTTAGATTTCCAAACAATCTGTCTCTTGTCTTTCCCTTCTTTTTTTCAGTAGTTTATTCAAAAGGCAAACAAAAATATTTCATTATCTTTTAATATTACATGAATATCTTGTTCCAGAGAAAAAGCCAAATTTCACCCTTGTATTAGTGTACTATTAATGTCAATCCCAATTTTTAATAAACCTTATTGACAAATCTTTCTGATCTTAATCCGTTTGACCATAAGGTGAGATTCTCATAAACCTTTTATAACCTTTTACAAATCTTTGTTAAAGAGCAAATCAATGCTTTAAGAAACTGGTTTGTGCTTTTATTTCAATGTTCACCTTACGGAAAACCCAGAAAATACTCCTTTAAATTTAGTCAATATATTCACACACATAATTATTTTTTTAAAGATTAGTTTTTCACAGACCTTCCACAACTTACTTAAACCTTCAGCTTTACCCTAGCTTAAAACAATCCTTTAACTTTCTAAACTTAGGCGAGAAATCCACAGTCCCATGCCTTCTTATAAACTTTTACCAAAAACACATTTCACATTCTTTACTTTGCATGTAAAACTGTTTCTATTTCCCAAAGATTACTTTAGTCACGTGAACTAAAAGGCATTACACTTTTAACTTTTCTGACAAAGTATTTGATTTAAGCTCTTATTATTATTAAACTAATTAATAAAAGCTCTTTTGTATAAAAGCATTACACACACAACACATGTATAACTACACAGAGAGAAGATCCAGTAGTTGTAAGATTTTTCATTTGCCAGTTTTTAAGTTCTTTTAAATTGGATTACTGGGTTTAGTCTAGAGGCCTTGGAAGAACAGGGCCAGGAAAGCATGCATTTTCTAGGGCCTAACAGAATAAGCAGGCACAGCTGGAAGGCAAAACAGATCCCCAAAATTAAGGGTCCCATTTTTATATCAGATGTTGCTTCCCCCACCTCCAAAAAGAAAAACAGAGCCTTAGATTTTGAGGGGGTCTATCCGTTTCCAATTCCTGGGGTTCGTGAGGAAAACAGGATTTTTTTCCAAAATGGGGTCTCTGGCACCTCCTCTTTTCCCCAAGGAGTTCCAGGCTGCTAGAGCTTGAGTATCCACTTTTAATTAAGCTGACTTTTAACTATAGTGTTCTTTTTAAAAAGTCCTTTTAAATCTTTTGTTATCCAACCTTGGCTAGGCCAAATGGCCAATATTTGCTCAGAGAAAGGAAAATTGAAGATGGCTCATGGAGGGGAGGAGAATCAACAAATGGTGTAAAGGTCACACAGGTATCAAATCAGAAAGTACTCATTCCCTAAGCTGGGACTTGAACCCTGAACCCAGGAAACCATTGTGAAAAGAGAAAGCATGGCCACATGGTTACGAGGTTGAACTCCCAAGGACATGACTGACCAGTTTGCTGGGCTGTCTTGAAGAGCAGGCTTATGGGGTCCTAGGCATGCATTTTACCTCATGGTACCCCTCTTTACGACAGAACAATACAGAAAGACATACAAAGCACACCAGATTCACTACAGCTTAAGACCAGCCTCAGAATTCTTTTCTATATTAATCAAAATTTAGAGGAGATAAACAGTGACTTCTACCATTCAATTAACCAGTTTGCACAGACAGAGACAGAGGCCAGAGTCTGACTGGTAAGAAATTATTACCCTTTTGCTGTCATGCCAGGCTTCTGGGTTCCCTTTCCCTGAGTGGCTCTTGTGACCCTGCTTGCCACACTATAGCCCTGGGGGCCAAGTTGCATCATAAAGAAAAATCATCTTTTTCGTTTTGTTTTGTTTTGTTTTGAGGAATCACAGGCAAAGCCCTGTCAGTTTTGCAAGTTACCACCCAAGGGGTTGCAAGGGGTAACCCAATGAACATTTTTCATTCTGGCCAGAGCAAAATACACGTGACAAAACATAGACCTTAGCCACTCTGCTTAGCACTCAGTATTGAACTTGCAAGGCTCAAACTTGCCCCGGGTTGGGCCCCGTCATCTTTAATCCATTTTTAGCCATGAGGGACCTTACTCACGGGAGGGCCTCTAACCCAATCCCATCCTTTACTCTGGTAAAATATACCTCATTACGTATCCAAAGTCAGCCAATTGGTGCTGCGGTCTATTTCCTTTGGATTAGGACAGTAATTAAGCTGAAAGATTAGCAGACTTAATTTTGGGGATCCCTCATTTTCAAATGCACTTCAGTGTGTTGTGTTTTATTTAGAACATTCTGCTATAAGTTACCTTTAGTAAGATTTTGCTGTTTCTGTAAGATTTCGCTGCTGCTGTGCCAAACACGTAAGCCGAAGGAACTCAGTTTTTCAGAAATTAAGGATCCCATTTTTACCTAAAATATTGGCTTTGTTCTCAGGTTTCCTTGATTAACTTAGCCAACAATTTTTTTTCCCTACCTAAGCATGCAAGAAAAATGAAACAAAGGGGGTAGAACACAAAAATTCCTGTGAATTTTTAAAAGCCAAATTTTACACCTCTACTATATTATCATTTGCTACCAGTTTCTTTCTGACCCAGTCAGATGTTAAGAGGCCTCTAACTGGATCCAAGGCAATTAATTCCCATATCAAATCCATTCCTGGACCCAGTCCAGTTTCTGTTGTGACTTCCAAACCCAGTTTGGAGCAGAAATTTGCTCAGAGAAACTCAGAGGGCTCAAAACACAAATCTGTGAAGCTCTGAAATCCAAGAGAGAACTTACTCATGATCCCCAGCTGCTCTGAGATCAGTGGACACAAGTGGGTCCTGAAGGTACCTTCCTCGTTCACTCAGCACTCCTGAGGGTTGTTAGAAGCTCTACTCCGGACCTCACTTCTGACACCTTCTGGTAAAAGAAAAACTTCAGCTGAATTAAATTTAAAGGAGTAACTGAGCAATGAATAACTCACAAATTGGGCAGCTCTCAGAGTCGCAGCAGATTTAGAGAGACTCCAGGGGTGCCTTATGGTGAAAAAAATTTATACACAAAAATAGTAAAGTGACATACAGAAATCAAAAGTGAGGTACAGAAACAGCTGGATGGGTTACAGCTTGGCATTTGCCTTATTTGAACACAGTTGGAACACTCAGCAGTGTATGACTGGTTGAAGTATGGCTGCTGGGACTGGCCAAGACTCAGCGATTGTTACAGGCACACACTCCTAAGTTAGGTTTTCAATCTTGCCTGCGTATTAAGTTAGGTAATAACTTACTCAAATACAGAAGTACAGAGTCCTTCTCAGACCATCAAACTAAATATAGTTTGCTTTTACAATGCTCTGGTGTTGGGTGCATACATATTTAGGTTGGTTACATCCCCTTGTTGAATTGACTCCTCTATCATTATATAATTACTTTCTTTGTCTTCTTTTTTATTTTTTTTACCATTTTGATATAAAATCTGCTTTATCTAATGTAAGTATAACTACTCCTGCTTGCTTTTGGTTTCTGTTTGTGTGAAGTATCTTTTACCACTCCTTTACCTTTCACCTGTAAGTGTCTTTACCACTAAGGTCAGTTTCTTGTAAGGAGAATATAGTTGTTTCATGTCTTTAAATCCATTTAGCCAATCTGTATCTTTTAATTTATTTATATTAATTTATTTACAAATATTATTTACATTTAATTTATTTACATTCAAGGTTAATATTGGTATTTGAGGTTTTATTCCTTCATAATGTTAATTGTTATCTAATTGTTTTGTAGATTTTTTTTCCTTTTCCCCTTCCTATCTGTTTGTAGTTTAGTGGAGTTCTTTCATGTTACCATTTGATTTCTTTCTCTTCCTCCTTTGTGTAATTGTTTTGTAAGACCTATGAGTTTTTACTTTTATGTGTTTTATGATGGTGAATAATGAACTTTCATTTCTATGTTTAGAACTCCTTTGAGCATTTCTGGTCTGGTGGTGAATTCCATCAGTGTTTGCTTATCTGGAAAATACTTTATTTCTTCTTCATTTATGAAGCTTATTTAGGCAGGACATAAAATTCATAATTGACATGTTTTTCTTTAAGCACTAGGAAAATCCTGATCTCTTCTGGCTTGTAAGGTTTCTGCTAAGAAGTCCACTGTTAGTTTCATGGGGTTTTCTTTTTAGGTGACTAGATGTTTTTTTCTCACTGATTTTAGAATTTTTTTCTTCATATTGACTTTAGACAGTCTGATGAATATATGTCATAAAGTCTATCTTGCAATGTGTATTTTTCTGGTGTTCTTTTGGCCTCTTGTACCTGGATGTCTAAATCTTTTGCTAGACTAGGCAAGTGTTTGTCAATTATTTTCCTAAACAGGTTTTCTAAACATTTTGCTTTATCTTCTCCTTCAGGCATACCAACGATTGGTAGGTTTGGTCACTTCATGTAGTCTCATTGATTGATTTTCTCATTTCTTTTTATTGGTTTTCAGATTTCTTTTGGATCTCACTGAGATTCTTTAAAAATAAGTTTTGCATTATTTACCTGGCATTTTGAATATTCCATTTTGGTTAGGATTCATTGCTAGATAATTATTCATTGCTAGATAATTCATTGCTAGATAATTTGGTTAGGATTCATTGCTAGATAATTCCTTTGAGGGTGTCAAGATACTCTGCTTTTTCATATTTCCAGTATTATTACACTGATTTCTTCACATCTAGAGAAACCGTTGCTTCTTCTTATATTTGAACTTACTTTCATTAAAGTAGGGCTTTTTTTTCACTTGAGTATGTGACTATGATGTTCATTAAGTAGTGTCATTTGGCTTTGCTTCTGGGCCTGTCTAGTGGTAAAGACTGTATGATTTACTTGCTTATAGACAGCTTTAGTGTGGTGACCTTCTCAAATGCTGGTTGTAATAGTGATGTACTGAGCAGGTGAGCAGGTGAGCAGCCTCCTGGGTAGCCAGGGTAGCATGAGTGATGGTATTAGCAGAGGTTGCAAGACGCTCATCTCCTTCCCAAGCACTATGCATTTATGTCAGCAGATGTTGTAATGAGCCCTTTGGGTCAACCTCTGGGCCAATAGATGGCACTTGCTGGTGAAAGCCAGCTGCTGTGGCAGCAGTAGGGTTTACACTTGACCTTTGTTAACTAGGAGAAGCATGTGGGTGTCCTGGGGGATGGAATGGGCTGTGGAACTCTCAGTGGTCTGCACTCTGCTTCTGAGGTAGGGAGGGCAAAGCTTGTTGAGGTGGGCCAGGTAAGTCCACACTCAGGCCCCCTAGAGGCAGGCATAAGCACTGGTCCCAAAGGGGTTTGTGGGGCAGTCCTCAGGCCTCCAGAGAAGCGCCCAGCAAGGAATGGAGCAATCACTGCTGTGCCAAAGACATAGGAAGGAGGTGCAGCTCCACCTGAACAGCCTAGAAAGTGGCAGTGTTCTCAAGCTTCAGGCCCAGCAGGTCTCATTTGCTCATGGCTTGACCTCAGCAGTAAGTCTGGACAGTTAACCAAGTTAGATGCAGTTTGCTTTCAGTCAGCAAAACTACTGTCCCAGGCCATAAAACTCACTGCCTGGGCTAATACTATATCCCCTAGGCAAATCTCACTCTGCTCTGGTCCCATTAAGGGGTGGGGAGTTTGCCCAACTGGAGTCCGTGCAGCTGGGGCCCATGCCACACCTGTTCTCAGTTCTGGCTATAGGGGACCCTCCCCTGCTCTAGACCAAATTGCCAAATCCCCTCCTGAGACTCTCCAAACCAGTGACTGTTGACCCTGCCAGCTGGAAGGTTCTTGTGAATCCCTGTATGAGCTATGTTCAGGAATGGCCTCCTATTGGTGTGCATATCTGTGGGAGAACCTGAAGAGCACACCACAGGGCAATTCCTTCTCACAGTCTCCCAACTGCTCCCAAAGTCATATCCAGGGCCTGGTAGGGTCAAGGACCTCTCTCATGGCCTGGATTTCCTGGCTTCTCAGTGAAAATGGGTATCAAGGACATACTGTCTCCCCATAGCATGCACTGGGGATTCACTCATAGTTTTCTACTGGACCCCACCATGTAGGCTTCTGCTTGCCTTATTTTTCCCAGTATCTGAAGTTTTCTTTCATTTTCTGTTGAACTGACAAGCTCCTTCTTGTACAAAAGTTCACAGTGTGAACCCCTACAAACTATTTTGCTATTTCCAAGTGGGTATAGCAAGCTGGCAAAGCCTGTCTTCTGCCATCTTGGAAAAAAACCTGAAGAATTTCTTGTAATATTTAATTCAAGAAAGGTCTAATAGCAACAAATTCTCTCAGTTTTTGTTATCTGAGAAAGTCTTTATTTCTCCTTCACTTTTGAAAGATAATTCCACAGGTTCCAGAATTCTAGATGCATGGTTTTTTCCTCTCAACACTTTTTATATTTCATTCCACTCTTCTTGCTAGCATGGCTTCTATGGATAAGTTAGATGTAATTCTTTTCTTTCCTCTTCTAGAAGGTAAAGTTTTATCCCCCCACTGGACATTTTCAAAAGTTGTTCTTTATCATTGTTTCTATAATTTAAATATAATGCACCCAGGTGTAGCATTTTTTTCATTTATTTTGCATGTTGCTCTCTGAGTTCCTTGGATCAATGGTTTGGTGTCTAACATTAATTTCGGGGAATTTTTAGTCATTCTTGCTTCAAATATTTCTTCTGCTCCTTTTCTTTTAATTTGTCTTCTAATATTCTTATTAAGCAAAAGTTACACCTTTTACAGTTGTCACATAGTTCCTGGATATTCTGTTCCATTTTTTCAACTTTTTTCTTCTTGCTCTTCAGTCTTTAAAGTTTCTGTAAAGACATACTCAAGCTCACTTTCTTCAGCCATCTTCAGTCTACTGTGAGCCCACCAAAAACAATCTTCATTTCTTTTATAGTGTTTTTAATGCCTGGCATTTCACTCTGGTTTTTTTTCTTAGAACTGCTATCTCTCTGCTTTCATTACCTATCTGTTATGCATGCTGTCTACTTTATTTATTAGCACCTGTAGAATATTAATCAGAGGTACTTCACATTCCCAGTTGTTCACATTCTGAGAAAATGGAGGTGAAATTTTTAAAAATTCCCCATTGTTAATTCCAATTTCTTGTCACACCAGGTTCAATTCTAATGGGTGCTATGTCTCTTCAACTAAGTATTTGCCTTTTAGTATGTCTTATAATTTTCTCTTGATAGGCATAATAAACTTGGTAAAAAGAACTATGGTAATTATTAAGAATTGTTGTAGTAAGATGTGGGGGAATTTGAGACTGGAGTTGGGAAGGTGAACAAGAGCTGAGTAAAAAATTCTAAGAAGGCAAGTGGTGAAAGAACTGGAGCTGGAACCACTGACTCAAGTTGAGTGACAGACTGAAGGTTATAAAAGCCCAGTTGAGCCAGGAAGAGAGAGCAGCATTAGGCCCAGGATAGGCACACACACACAGGTTGGTAGGTGACAACAGCAGTTCCCAGAAAAAGGCTGAAGGTTCAGAGCAAAAGAGTCTAGGCCCAGGAAGCTCAGTCTGTTCTTGTCCAACCTGCTAAGAGTCTGGGTGCTACTGAGCCAGTTAACCATTTAGATCAAAGCCAGCTCAATTAAATGTCTGCCTAAATGGTCATGTAACAACACAATTGTGAGTGGCCTTGAGGTCTTCCGCAGGAAAACTTAATGGAGGATCTTCAATATCCAGGAGAAGCTGGTACTGGGACCTGGAGGACTGTCAGGTGAGAGTTCCTACTCCTGACTAGTTCTGTACTTTCCATTGGTTGCCCTCAAGCTGCTGACCAATCACTGCTCCCAAGGCCCTACTTGAAATCTCATTGACTGCCCACACTCAGTCCTCACTCTGCCATTGCTGGTGCCCAAATGTTTAAACTTTTCCTTTGTAACTTGCTGTTATTGAAAGGATTTCACCTGTATTGAAAGGATTTCACAGTAACTACTTTTAGTAGCTATTAATAGGTCCTTGATCATGAGTAGTTTCAGTAGTCTAAGAAGTTGTGAAAAGCCAGATTAAATTTAAAGTACACAAGTCTTTAAAGTCTTTAATATGTAAACAGCCATTGTTAACATCTAAGAGGATAATATCGCCATTTTCTATTATTATTATTATATTGGTTCACCAAACTAGCATATGTAACACAGCTTTGGACATATTGCATTTAAATATTGCTTCACTTGTTCTATCTGTTTTTAAACTATTTTGAAGCAATTTTTAATATTTGCATTACCAAACCAAACTTGGGTCAGCTTGACTGCCACAGCAAAGGCAAACACACACTCCTAGGCTTATAGAGAGATTAAAAAAAAAAAAAAAACAAACAAAAAGGCATTTATTGCAGAGCAGAAAACGAGGAGAACTGGCAGGTAACATTTAAGACCAAAACTCCCTGATAGCTTACAAGCAAAAGATTGTTAAAGGCTGAGGTAAGGGGGCTCTCTAAAGTGAGTTAGGGCTGAGGAATTTCTGGAATTTCCTCATCTACTTTCGGGTTCCGGTCTGTCTGAGGTTCCATTCTGTTTGAGGTCTATGTGACAGCAATCAGCATTTTTCGTGCAGTGGTAGTCCTTGATTCTGAAAAAAATTCGAGGATATATGTCAAGATGTTACCACTAGGTTATACAGGAAACCAAACATCTTGTGACTCTAATTTACACAAGGTTGATTGTCTAAGTTATTATTACCTTCTTGCTGAGCAGGTTATTTATTCACGTCACCAGTTGCTGGTTGCAAAGGAAGCTAGATGAATGGAATTTCCCTTGAAGGGACCCAAATCTTTCTGTATTCCCATGCTTTGAAGAGGCGATAGGGACCTGGCAGGCCCTTAAGAGGCATTCCTACTCCATCCAATATGCAATCTCCCTCTCACTGTAAGAAAATCTGCCAAATCTCCTTCAGCAATCCACATTTTGATTCACCAACAGTAGGTAAACTAATGGTTTGCAAATGTGCTCTAATGAAAGAAATTCAGTAAGATTGATAATAATAATAAAAGCTAACATTTGATACTTTTTTGCTAAATGTCAAGCATTATGCTAAATGCTTAACATGATTTATCTAACAATTCTTACAACAATGCCACAGAGTACATATTATTGTCCCCATTTTACCAATGAGAGGACTGAGGCACAGTGAGGTGAAGCTAATTTCTTACGGTAACACAGCTAAGTGGTTGAGTAGGAATATAAACCAAGCAGTCTGATTTCACAATTGCCACTCTTCAAAAATTTTATACGCCTTCCTAATCAAATTTATCTATGGAACTCCTTTCCAGCTCACATATTCCTTAAGATGTCATCATTTTATAAAATAGCTTGCTCCTTTCTTTCCATGGACCCTCCAGTAATCCATAGTTGTCTGAATGGTATCTCTGTATAGATGAGTATAGGTCTCTTTAAGAGGTCACCACGAAGTAGAATGACATTATATACATCTGCCTCATGAAAGTGGCAGCCAGGGAGGATTTATTTTAAAGTACTTACTCGTACTAAGAGATACAGTAGCTAGTTGATAACTCATTTGAGTTTACCTATTTTGAACATACTCTGTCTTCACTTTTATCAGAAATAACTGGCTTTTCTTGAGATCCAGTTTTCTATCTATGAATAAAGATTACATGTTTCCTAGCTAATAATTTTCTGTCGCAATTCTGGGTATCTTTCTATCTATCTATATAGTCACACATCTCTTAACTATGGGGAAAATGTCTCCAGGGAACTTCAGAGATATTCAGGGCAGCACCCCCACACCTCCATCACAGGTCTAGAGGCCTAGGATGGAAAAATGGTTTCGTGGGCCAGGCCCAGGGCCCCACTGCTCTGTGCAGCCTTGGGACATGATGCCCTGCATCCCAGCTGCTCCAGCTCCAGCTGTGGCTAAAAGGAGCCAAGGTATAGCTCAGGTCACTTCTTCCGAGGGTGCAAGCCCCAAGCCTTGAGAGCTTCCACAGGTGTTGGGCCTGCAGGTGTGCAGAGTGTGATAGATGAGGTTTGGGAACCTCCACCTAGATTTCAGAGAATGTATGAAAACACCTGGATTTTCAGGCAGAAGTAGGTTGTAGGGACAGAGCCCTCATGGAGAACCTCTACTAGGAACTGCAGAGGGGAAACGTAGGGTTGAAGCCTCCACACAGAATCCCCACTAGGACACTGTCTAGTGCAGCTGTGAGAAGAGGACCACCTTTCTCCAGATGCCAGAATGGTAGATCCATCAACAGTTTGCACCATAGGCCTGGAAAAGCTGCAGGCACCCAACACCAGCCCATGAAAGCAGCCTCAGGGGCTGTATTCTGCAGAGCCATGGGGGCAGAGCCGCCCAGAGCCTTGGGAGCCCACCTCTTGCATTAGCGTGACCTGGATGTGAGATACGGAGTCAAAGGAGATTATATTGGAGCTTTAAGATTTAATGACTGCCCTACTGGGGTTCATACTTGCTTGGGGCCTGTAGCCCCTTTGTTTCGGCCCATTTCTCTTATTTGGAATGGGAGCATTTACCCAAGGCCTGTACCTGCCTTATATCTTGAAAGCAATTAACTTGTTTTTTTATGTTTACAGGTTCATAGGCAGAAGGGACTTGCCTTGTCTCAGATGAGACTTTGGACTTGGACTTTCGAGTTAGCGCTGGAATGAGTTAAGACTTTGGGGAACTGTTAAGATGGGATAATTGTATTTTGCAATGTGAGAAGGACATGAGATTTGGGAGGGGCCGGGGCAGAATGATGTGGTTTGGCTCTGTGTCCCCCCCTAAATTTCATGTCAAATTGTAATCCCCACACATAAGAGGAGAGATGTCATGGGAGGTGATTGGATCATAGGGTGGATTTCCCTATGCTGTTCTTGTGATAGTGAGTGAGTTCTCATAAGATCTGATGGTTTAAAAGTGTGGCACTTTCCTCCTTGCTCTCTCCTGCTGCCATGTAAGACATGCTTTGCTTTCCTTTCACCCTCTGCCATAATTGTAAGTTTTCTGGGGCCTCCCCAGCCATGTAGAACTGTGAATCAATTAAACCTCTTTTCTTTGTAAATTACCCAGTCTCAGGTATTTCTTTATAGCAGTGTGAAAATAAACTAATACATTGATGTAACATGAAGACAGTACTGTAATGCACCCTACCTCCTTCAGGTCTCTAGGCAGCACTTCCTCCCCAAAGCTTCACCCTCCTTGGTGAGAAGAGCACCGAGAGCCTCTCAGTCAGGCAGCTTGCTGTTTCCACAACTTTCCTTCCCTTGGTGAGATTCTCAGTGAGACCCTTTCAATAGAAACACATTACAAAATAAAAATCCGATCTTTACCACCACAGTAGAGTGGGGACTGAGTGTGAGCAGCCAATGGGATCTCCAACAGAGTGTTTGGACTGTGGTTATGACTGGTGGATGGGGCGTCTGCCCTCCAAAGATCCTGACAAGGTTGAGAAAATACAGGGGCCTCTAGAGTTGATCTTAAGTCTTAGTGAAGTATTGACTTGGGGTCTTTTTACTTTTTACAGTGGTGGGAAATCAGATTCTATCAGTTTCTAGTAATTTCATACTTTCCTCTGACTCCTCTGGGCAATTGGTTGATTGATAACAGTTGTGATTATTTAAATTGGAAATTGTATTTACCCTTAGAGATTGGAAAACACACACCCCTAGCAAACACACACACACCATAAAATTACAGGGGAGGATGATCATAATTCTGAAAGACAATCCCAAACACCATCATCCCAGTTGTTGAAATCCTGAGAGATCAAAATCTATAAAGCCAAAAATCTCAAAAATTCTAATCCTGTAAGATCAAAATCCCAAAAATATAATTCTAGGAAAAATAATATACAATTATTTAAAAGACACTTATTTACATTTTAAAGAGGGATATATCTGAAAATATAAAAATACAAGAGAACATTTTATAGGCCACACTGCACAATAAAATAGACAATAATAGCATACATACTTTTGCAAGCATGAACACTCAGATATACCTATGGTAGTTGCATGAGTATGGGCAGATGAACTGTATTCATTTTTTTTAAAGGCCATAAAGTGAATTGTACAATGTATTTCACTATGATTGGTGATTGTATGCACCCAGCTTTATAACTGCAATCCTCTGAAATGACATGATGTACACCTAAGTGTTTGGAGGAGAACAAGCAAAAACCATGAAGGGCCATCACATATTCAATCACTCAAAGAGCTGAAATCTTGAGAAATTTCATCTTTCACAAATGCAGATTTACAAAAAGGACATCTTTTCATTTATTGAGGAAGTTTCAGTGTTTTCACATACATGCAGAATGTTAACACACAAAGTCAGTGGTGTGATAATGGACTTTAGTGGAACCAAATTTCTGATACCCAAAGAGCAGAAGAAATGTCTATCCCAGCTCTCAGAGACCAATTTGCCTTCTGTGTTTGTTGTCTCCTAGCCCTGGGCTGATAGATTGTTGCCCACCAACACTGAGGCCAGATCTTCTGTACATAGTCCATTGAGATTCACACACTAATCTCTTCTGGAAAAACCCTCACAGACACACCCAAAATAATACTTTGCCAGATTTCTGGATATTCCTTAATCTGGTCAAGTTGACACCTAAAATTAAGTCCACAAGACTTAATTGTCAACTTGGCAGCCACACACATCTCCTTAAACCATTCTTAAATTCCAAATAAAAAGAATAACAAGGTAATAGTTTCATTTAATATAATGCAACTGTCCTGTGAGAGTGATTGTGGGCATTTCAGATGTTAGGGATTTTAGACATTAAGGATTTCAACTTTAGAGATTTGTATTTTTAGGGATTCAGAATTATGGCATCCAGGATTATGTCTTTTAGGATTATGATCCAAACCAAAAAAACAGTAGAATTCCACAATCCAGAGAGAACACGTTGGCAACACATATTCTTGCAAAATAGTTAATACACATGATCACTTCCTGTATTCTCTGTGTGTTTTGTATGAGAAAGAGTAAATTTTTATCATTTTTAAATGTTAAACAAATCAACATAATTTTCTAGGCAATGGATGCTGTAGAAGACTATCAAATTATACATTGATCTTTTAAATGCAAAGAGGTTCAATGTTTTTACACCTGATGTGTTTGAGTTCAAAATCTACTTAGTTTAGCTCTGTTCCCACAGAAGAGTCTAATAATTTGATATAAGTTAGGATATTTCTGAAGCAAACTAGTAAATATATTAGTTCCCACTAAAAAGTATGATCTAATTTTCTGCAAATTGGAGGAAGGTTTTGTCATCATTCCTCAAATGGTGAGCATCAGGTAACTGGTCAAATAATAACTGTTTAAAGCTAAGGGATAGTTGGAGTCATGGCTTTTAGATGTGTTTTCCCTATGGCAAGCAGTTTGGAAGAGGCTTCTCGGAACTGAGGTTTGGGAGGCACTTTTACAGTGTGAGTATCTAAGGAGAACAAGTCATTGCTTACTTAAAAATAAATTTCCCACTCTCCATTTAATGTTGAATTTTCTTTTTAAAAAATTATTTTGGGAGACTCAGCATCCAGGCTGGCATGTAAGAAGTCACTATTTCATTCTGACAATAAGGAAAAAGCTTGACAAACTGAAAAATTAACAACTCTTAGACTCATGACAGAAGTGGAAATTTAAGGCACATTTTGCCTCCAAAATTGGAGAGAGTGACAGGCAAATACAGAGAATCACAAGTTACTAGAGAAGAAACCCATGGGAAGAAACCTCTATGGGAACCAGCACTGGGGTAGGAAACCTCAACCGTAATGAATGAATTGCTGTGGGGGGGCCCTGTGGATAATTCTAAGAATTAACGCTTCCATGGGGTCTGAGTTATAGGAGGCCTGGACAATTTTTTAACTTTAGGAGTTCTGCCAGGTTCCACAGTGAATATTTTGAAGAATATTCTAATGCTTCTGACAGAGGAGAGGAAACATAACCTTTTTGAAATATGCCAGAGTATTCTGGTCTTCTTAATAAGACCTGACCTCAAGAGAAACTACTTTACCACAAGCTAAACTATTGGGTTGCTATTTTTTTCTAGAGCCTAACCAATGAAGAGGAAAAGATATATCCAATTCAAATGCACTCTAGCAATCCTGTCACACCTAAACAGAAAAGGTGGTCACCTGAGGAGAAGTTGTGAAGTTCTCAGTCTAGAGGGACAAACTTACTAACCACTAAGAGCTAATAATAAGACTATGAATGCTTCCCCTTCCCCTACACCTACGCCATTACGATTCTTACTATTTGTCACAATTCCTTTTATCCATTACATTTTGTTTGATTATCACAAAGACTAAAGTAACATCAGCCCACACAGATGATAAAGGGTCAGCAAAAGAACCTTGGCAACTCAAAAAGCCACAGTGTCTTCTTACCTCCAAATGACCACACTAGCTACCCAGCAGTTGTTCTTAACCAGGATAAAATGATTGAAATTATAGACATAGAATTAAAAGTCTGGATAGCAGTGAAGATAATCAAGATTCAGGACAAAGTGAAACCCGAATCCAAGAAATACCAAGAATCCAATAAAATGAAACAAAAGCTGAAAAATAAAATAGCCATTTTAAGAAACAACCAAACTAATCTAATAGAGCTGAAAAACTCACTATAAGAAGAACTTCATAATATAATTGGAAGTATTAACAGAAGAATTGACCAAGCTGAGGAAATAAATCTCAGAGCTCAAAGACTGGTTCTTCAAATAGACTTAGTCAGAAAAAGAAAATTAAAAATTAAAAAGAATAAACAGAAGCTCTGAGAAATATGAGATTACATAGAAAGACCAAATCTACAACTCTTTGGTTTCTCTGAAAGAGAGGGAAAGAGAGCAACCAAGATGGAAAACACATCTGAGGATATTGTCCATGAAAATTTCCCCAACCTCACTAGAGAGAAAGACATTCAAATTCAAGAAATTCAGAGAATGCCTATAAAATACTATACAAAACAACTATCCCTAAGAAAGAGTCATCACATTCTCCAAAGTCAATGCAAAAAAAAATATATTAAAGGCAGCTAAAGAGGAGGGACTGGTCACCTACAAATGGAACCTCATCAGGCTAAATATGCATTTTAACGGCACCCCACTGAGAGTAGCCCTGATCCAGATACTTTAAAGATTTTTTTCAGCTTGCTATAGTTTGGATGTTTGTCCTTCTAAACCTCATGTTGAAATGTGATCCCATATGTTGGAGGTAGGGCCTAATGAGAGGTGTTTGGGTCATGGGGACAGATCCCTCATAAGTAGATAAATGCCCTCCCTGAGGAGGGGTAGTGAGTGAGTTCTTGCTCTGTTAGGTCCCATGAGAGCTGGTTATTAGAAAGAGCCTGACACTTCCCCTCTCTCTCTTGCTTCTTCTTGTCATTTGATCTCTGCACAGACCAGCTCTCTTTTACCTTCTGCCATGAGTGGAAGCAGCCTGAGGCCCTCACCAGAAGCCAAGCAGATGCCAGCACCATGCTTCTTGTATAGCCTGCAGAACCATGAGCCAAATAAACCTCTTTTCCTTATAAATTACAAGCAATGGAGAAAGGACTCCCTATTCAATAAATGGTGCTGAGGTAACTAGCTAGCCATATGCAGAAGGTTGAAACTGGACCCCTTCCTTTCACCATATACAAAAATCAACTCAAGATGGATTAAGTACTTAATGTACTTAAATGGAAAACCAAAAACTATAAAAACCGTAAAAGAAAAGCTAGGAAATGTTACTCTAGACATGAACCCTGGCAAAGATTTCTTGATGAAGACTCTTAAAGCAATTGCAACAAAAACAAAAATTGATAAATGGGACCTAATTAAACTAAAGAGCTTCTGCACAGCAAAAGAAACTATCCACAGAGTAAACAGACTACCTATAGAATGGGAGAAAATACTTGCAAACTGTGCATCCAACAAAGGTCTAATATCCAGAATCTATAAGAAACTTAAACAAATTAACAAATGAAAGACAAAAAACCCATTCAAAAATAGACAAAGGACATGAACAGACACTTTTCAAAAGAAGACCTACATGTGGCCCACAAACAAATGAAAAAAATGCTCAACTTCACTAATCGTTAGAGAAATGCAAATCAAAACCACAATGAGTTACCATCTCATACCAATCAGAATTGCAATTACTAAAAAGTCAAAAAATAACAGATGCTGACAAGGTTGCAGAGAAAAGGGAACTCTTATACACTGCTGTTGGGAATGCAAGTTAGTTCAGTCACTGTGAAAAGCAGTTTGGAGATTTTTCAAAGAACTTGAAACAGAACAGCCATTTGACCCAGCAATCTCATTACTGGGTATGTACCCAGAGGAGTATAAATGGTTCTACCATAAAGACACATGCACACTTATGTTCATTGCAGCACTCTCACAATAGCAAAGACATGGAATCAACCTAAATGCCCATCAATGGTGAGTTGGATAAAGAAAATGTGGTATGTATACACCATGAAGTACTATGTAACCATTAAAAAAAATGAGATCATGTACTTTTAGCAATACAGATGGACCTGAAGGCCATTATCCTAAGTGAATTAACACAGGAACAGAAAACCAAGCACTGCATGTTCTTACTTATAAGTGTGTGCGAATTATTGAATACACATGGATGGACACAAAGAAGGAAAGAAGAGACACCATGGTCTAATTTAGGATGAATAGTGGGTAAAGGATGAGGATTGAAAAACTACATATCAGGTACTATGCTTATTACCTAGGTAACAAAATAATCTACAGCAAACCCCCATGACATACATTTTACCCATGTAACAAACCTGCACATGCATCCCCTGAACCTAAAACTTGGAAAGAAAATAAATAAATATGACACATATATAGAAAAGTAAATGGATTGAGATAGAGATACCATGCTAATACGAATCAAAAGAAAACAGCAATAGCTATAATAATTTCAGACAGAGTAGACTTCAGAGCAAGAAATGTAACCAGTGGCCACTCAGGGATACTACATCATGATTAAGAGTTCAATTCTCCAAGAAGTCTTAACAATTCTGAACACATATGTGGCTAACAACAGAGCATCATATATGACAGGCAATGCTGATAGAACTGGAAAGAGAAATAGATTAACCCACTGTTGGAGACTTCAACATCCCTATATCAGAAATACACATATCCAATAGGCAGAAAATCATTAATAACTCAAAAACATGATAAATCACCTGGATATAATAGACTTTTAAGACTATTTCATCTAAGCAGAGTACACATTCTTCTCAAGCTCACACAGAACATTCATCACGACAGAGCACATTCTGGGTCATAGAGTATATCTTCAATTTAGAAGAAGGGAAATCAGAGAATGTGTGCTCTCAGAACACATTGGAATTAAGATACCTGGAAAATCCTACAATACTTGGAGATTAAACAATATACTTCTAAGTAATACATGGGTCAAAGAAGAACTTTCGAGAGAAACAAAAAAAATTTTTGTTTATATTTAATGAATACATTAAAATGAAACTAAATGAAAGCTAAATGAAAATGAAAATACCATTTATAAAAATTAGTGGGAGGCAGCAAACATATTCTTAGAGGGAAATTTATGGTATTGAATCCATGCATTAGGAAAAAAGTGTTAAATTGAATTCAGTTTGGCCTAAACCTGCCTCCATACATAGTTTAAGTTTCACCTAAACGTCTCTCTGTACATAGTAAAGTGTAACCTAACTTGATGTGTAAACAGACTGTGATCTACTCTTGTAACAAGTAGCCAAGTCTCAGCAAATCATAGCAGCTGAGTTTTGGTCATTCACAGGCAGCCAACTTGTACAATTGTGTTCAGATAAGGCAAACACCTACTTGCAACCAATCCACCTGTTTCTGTACTTCACTTCTGTTTTCTGTACATCACTTCCTTTTTTTATGTCTATGAATGTTACTGACCATGTGGCAGCCCTGGAGTCACTCTGAATGTATTCTGGTTCTGGGTTCTGCCTTGTTTGATAATTGTTCTTTTCCCAAATAAATTCTGTTAAACTTAATTTGTATAAAGTTTTTTCTTTTAACAGAAGAAAGATCTAAAACCAATCATCGAAGCATTCACTTTAGGAAACCAAAAAAGAAAAGAAAAGAGCAAATTAAATCCAAGGTAAGCAGAGGATAAGAAATAATAAAAATTAGACCAATTATTAATAATATTAAAAACAGTAATGAATAAAGAAAATCTACTAAATCAGAAACTGGTTCTTTGGTAAGATCAGTAAACTTGATAAGCCTCTAACCAGGCTAACGAAGAAAAAAAAAAGAAGACACAAATTGCCATTTAGTAATATCAGAAATAAGAGAGGGCCGTGCACAGTGGCTCATGCCTGTAATCTCAGGACTTTGAGAGGCTGAGGCGGGTGGATCACTTGAGGTCAGGACTTTGAGATCAGCCTGGCCATCATGGCCAAACCCTGTCTGTACTAAAAATACAAAAATTAACTGGGCATGGGGGTGCGTGCTTGCAATCCCAGCTACTCGGGAGGCTGAGGCACAAGAGTTGCTTGAACCTGGGGGGAGGAGGTTGCAGTGAGCTGAGATCGTGCCACTGCACTCCAGCCTGGGAGACACAGCAAGAGTCCATCTGAAAAAAAAAAAATCAATTCAATACTTAATAATCTTCCAAAGCAGAAAGTACCAGTGCTAGAAGGGTATAATGATAATGTATGCCAAACTATTTGGAAGAAATTATATCAATTTTCTATAATCTCTTGCAAAAACTAGAGGTAAAGTGAATGCTTTTTAACTCATTCTATGATGCCAGCATTATCCTATACCAAAACCAGACAAAGACGCTACAAGAAAAGAACACTGAAAACCAATATATCTCATAAACATATTTATGAGATAAATATGAGATAATTATCAACAAAATATTAGCGCATCGAATCCAATAATGTTTAAAAAGAATTATACAGCCAGGTGCGGTGGCTCACGCCTGTAATCCTAGCACTGTGGGAGGCTGAGGTGGGTAAATCACAAGGTCAAGAGATCGAGACCATCCTGGCCAACATGATGAAACCACGTCTCTACTAAAAATATAAAAATTAGCTGGGCATGGTTGTGCGCACCTGTAGTCCCAGCTACTTGGGAGGCTGAGGTAGGAAAATCACTTGAACGTGGGAGGCAGAGGTTGCAGTGAGCCGAGATCATACCACTGCACTCCAGCCTGGTGACAGAGACTCCATCTCAAAAAAAAGAATTACACACCATGTCCAAGGTACACAGGTCCGATTCACCAAAAGAAAATCAACTCATGCCAACATGACTGAACTAGAAAGAAGTCAAATCCCTGAATAGACCAATAACAAGTTCTGAAATTGAGGGAGTAATTAATAGCCTACCAACCAAAAAAAGCCCAGGACCAGATGGATTCACAGCCGAATTCTACCAGAGGTACAAGGAGGAGCTGGTACCATTTCTTCTGAAACTATTCCAAACAATATAAAAAGAGGGATTCCTCAATAACTCATTTTATAAGGCCAGCATCATCCTGATACAAAATCCTGGTAGAGACACAACAAAAAAAGACAATTTCAGGCCAATATCCCTGATGAACATCGATGTGGAAATACTCAATACAAATACTGGCAGCACATCAAAAAGCTTATCCCCAATTATCAAGTCGGCTTCATCCCTGAGATGTAAGGCTGGTTCAACATACACAAATCAATAAACGTAATCCAGCACATAAACAGAACCAATGACAAAAACCACATGATTATCTCAGTAGATGCAGAAAAGGCCTTCGACAAAATCCAACACCCCTTTATGCTAACAACACTCAATAAACTAGGTATAGATGGAACATGTAACTATTTATGACAAACCCACAGCCAATATCATACCGAATGGGCAAAAGCTGGAAGCATTCCCTTTGAAAACTGGCACAAGACAAGGATGCCCTCTCTCACCACTCTTATTCAAAATAGTATTGGAAGTTCTGGCCAGGGCAATCAGGCAAGAGAAAGAAAGAAATAGTATTCAAATAGAAAGAGAGGAAGACAAATGGTCTCTGTTGGCAGATGACATGTTTGTATATTTAGAAAACCCCATCATCTCAGCCCAAAATCTCCTTAAGCTGACAAGCAACTTCAGCAAAGTCTCAGGATACAAAATCAATGTGCAAAAATCACAAGCATTCCTATAAACCAATTATAGACAAACAGAGAGCCAAGTCATGAGTGAACTCCCATTCACAATTGCTACAAAGACAATAAAATACCTAGGAATAAAACTTACAAGGGATGTGAAGGACCTCTTCAAGGAGAACTACAAACTACTGATCAAGGAAATAAGAGAGGACACAAACAAATGGAAAAACATTCCATGCTCATGGATATGAAGAATCCATATCATGAAAATGGCCATACTGCCCAAAGAAATTTATACATTCAATGCTATTCCTATCAAGCTACCATTGACTTTCTTCACAGAATTAGAAAAAACTACTTTAAATTTCATATGGAATCAAAAAAAGAGCCCGCATATCCAAGGCAATCCTAAGCAAAAAGAACAAAACTGGAGGCATCACGCTACCTGTCTTCAAGCTATACTACAAGGCTACAGTAACCAAAACAGCATGGTACTGGTACCAAAACAGATATATAGACCAATGGAACAGATTAGAGGCCTCAGAAATAAACCACACATCTAGAACCATCTGATTTTCAACAAACCTGACAAAAACAAGCAATGGGGAAAGAATTCCCTATTTAATAAACAGTGTTGGGAAAACTGGCTAGGCATATGCAGAAAACTGAAACTGGACCCCTTCCTTACATCTTACACAAAAACTAACTCAAGATGGATTAAAGGCTTAAACGTAAGACCTAAAGCCATAAAAACCCTAGAAGGAAACCTAGGCAATACCATTCAGGACATAGGCATGGGCAAGGACTTCATGACTAAAACACCAAAAGCAATGGCAACGAAAGCCAAAATTGACAAATCGGATCTCATTAAACTAAAGAGCTTCTGCACAGCAAATGAAACTATCATCAGAGTGAACAGGCAACCTACAGAATGGGAGAAAATTTTTGCAATCTACCCATCTGACAAAGGGCTAATATCCAGAATCTACAAAGTACTTAAATTTACCAGAAAAAAAAACAACCCCATCAAAAAGTGGGCAAAGGATATGTACAGGCAATTCTTAAAAGAAGACATTTCTGTGGCCGATAAACATATGAAAAAAAGCTCATCGTCACTGGTCATTAGAGAAATGCAAATCAAAACCACAATGAGATACCATCTCATGCCAGTTAGAATGGCAATCATTAAAAAGTCAGGAAACAACAGGTGCTAGAGAGGATGTAGAGAAATAGGAATGCTTTTACACTGTTGGTGGGAGTGTAAATTAGTTCAACCATTGTGGAAGCAGAGTGGAGATTCCTCAAGGATCTAGAACTAGAAATACCATTTGACCCAGCAATCCCATTACTGGGCATATACCCAAAGGATTATAAATCATTCTACTATAAAGACACATGCACACATATGTTTATTGTAGCAGTATTTACAATAGCAAGGACTTGGAACCAACCCAGATGTCCATCAATGATCGACTGGATAAAGAAAACGTGGCACATATACACCATGGAATACTATGCAGCCATAAAAAACGATGAGTTCGTGTCCTTCGCAGGGACATGGATGAAGCTGGGAACCATCATCCTCAGCAAACTCATACAGGAAAAGAAAACCAAACACCACATGTTCTCACTCATAAATGGGGGTTGAACAATGAGAATACGTGGACACAGGGAGGGGAACATCACATACTGGAGCCTGTTGGGGGTTGGGGGCAAGGGGAGGGATAGCATTAGGAGAAATATCTAATGCATGCAGGGCTTGAAACCTAGATGACGGGTTGATGGGTGCAGCAAACCACCATGGCACATGTATACCTATGTAACAAATCTGCATGTTCTGCACATGTAACCCAGAACTTAAAGTATACTAAAAGAATAAATAAATCAATAAATACATAAAAATAAATGGTGAAAAAAAAAGAAAATCAACTTATGCAATACATCATACTAACAGGCTAAAGAGAAAACATCGCATGATTATATCAACAAATTCTGAGGAAACATTTGATAAATCCAACACTCGTGCATAATAAAAGCTTTCAGCCAACTAGGAATAGAGGAGAACATCCTCACTTGATAAAGAATATCTACAGAAAACCCATAGTTCATATTGTACTAAATGGTTGGATACTAGAAAATTTCCTGCTAAGGTGAAGAAGAAGAAAAAACGTTTCCTTTTGTCCTTCATTACACACTGTTCGTGGGAATGTAAATTAGTACAGCCATTATGGAAAACAGTATAGAGGTTCCTCAAAAATTTTAAAATATAACACTATATAATCTAGCAAGTCCACCACTGGGCATATATCCAAAAGAAATTCAATCAGACTATCAAAGAAGTATCTGCATTCCCGTGTTTTCTCTAGCAGTATTCATAATAACCAATATATGAGATCAACTTAAGTGTCCATCAACTAGAGATAATGCACTTTATATGTGCAATGGAATACTATCAGCCATAAAAAAGGAGAAATTCCCGTCATTGTGACAATATGGGTAAACCTCAATGACTGTATATTAAGAGAAATAAGTCAGACACAGAAAAATATTGCATGATCTCACTCATAAGTGGCATCTTGAAGAGTATTTCTACATCTCATAGAAGTAGAAAGCAGAATGGGCTCACTAAAAATAAGAGACCTAATTCTAGGACTATAAAACCCATATCTCCTCCCCCCACACACCTACCTTGCAATCACATCAATTGCACCCTAAATAATAACAGTGGCTTACAAGCAAAAGAACTGTAAGCCTCAGACCTTATTTAAGAAGTCTTTGGGAATATTCAAAGATAACAGGGGAGACAAAAGCAAAGACATCAGAGAATTTTAGCCTCTGAGACTTACAGCTACAACATAAGTTAAATATACCAAAGACCTATTTACATCAGGTCCTTTACCCATCATGTTTGGCTTTTAACAAACATTACAAAGTATACTAAAAGGCAAAAAATACAATTTGAAAATACAAAAAGCATCAGACCAGACCCAGATATGGCAGAAATTTTGGAAATATCAGACTGGGAATTTAAAATAACTGTGATTACTGTACTAAGGTCTCTAATGGAGTCGACTACATGCATGCACAGAAGCATAATGTAAGTAAAGTGATAGATGCTCTAAGAAAGATTTTTTAAATGACAGAAATTTAAAACACTAACAGAAATTTAAAAATGCTTTTGATACACTTATCATAGATTGAATGCAGTCAAGGAAAGTACCAGGGCCTTAAGGATATGTCATAGAAACCTCTCAAATGATAAGGCAAAAATAAAAAAGAAACTTTAAAGAATGGAATACAATATACAAGAACTGTAGAACGAGCACAAAAGGTATAACATATGAATTGTAGGAATGCCACAAAGAGAAGGAAAGGAGAAAAGAACTGAGAAACATTTAAGAAATAATGACTAATAATTTGCCCAAATAAATGTCAGACACCAAACCACAAATCCAGGAAGTGCAGAGAATGTCAAAGAGGATAAATACTAATCTACAGCTAGATACAACATATTCAAACTGTAGAAAATCAAAGACAGAAAATTTTGAAAGAAACCAAAAGAAGAAGAAAAAAAAACATGTACAACACACCCACAGCTAATATAATATTGACTGTGGAAAAACTGAAGGCCTTTGCTCTAAGATCTGGAACATGACAAGGATGCCCACTTTCACCCCTGTTATTTAACACAGTACTGGAAGTCCCAGCTAGGGCAATCAGACAAGAGGAAAAACTAAAGGCCTGGGAAAGTGTGAAGAGGCTCCGCTGCTGTGGGGTGGGGTGTCACCAGTTGGTGCAGACCCCAAGTGGTCTGATCCTTGGACTCCCAGTGGGTCCAAATAAGTGCACGGTGGCTCTCCTGCTCGAGAGGGTCAGCTCTCAGGCTCTGGGGAGCATGTGCATCAGCTCCTTCTGTATTGGGGTTAGCCTGCCCCTTGTGCTGGTTAACTTGTTACCTGGGATGCCGGGTGATGATGTGTGGGCTCGGGTGCATGGGTTCATGGCTGCACTGCTGGGCCCAGCTGGAGTCATGGTACTGCAGCCTTTTGCGTGGATGTGATGGGATAATGGCAAAGCACTAGGGATGTACAGATGTATGGGGTCATTGGCCCCTGGGCAGAATGTGCTCTGACAGTGGTTTCATTCTCAAAATGGCACATGCTGCAGCAGTCTGAGTCCTGGAAATTCTGGGAGCATCAGTGTGATTTCCTCCCTGGAGTAATGCAGTCACGTGGATTCCAGGCAGCTCTCTACCCTGAACTCAAGGCCTGTGAGGATTATAGGGCTCTCCTGCAGTTAGGATTACAGGTGTCTGTGGTAGGAATATGAACTTCCCGGGATCTTCCACTTATCTTTTCCCTGCAATAAAGAGTCCTTCTTGGCTCTGAGTAGATCCCAACCAGATGCTTTGCCTACCTCCCTATGCTGCCATCCCAAGTTTCCATGCCTTAAAGAGTCTTGCTGAATTCTGTTATTCTCCCCTAGAACCTCTATTTGATGTATGGTTATATACTTGTTATTTTTGCCCTTCTTTGTGAAGAAGGTGAATGCTGGGCACCTCTAGCCAGCCATCTTGATGACATCTCCTCTCTAATAGGGAGTTATTGATCAAAGGGTGCAAAGGTTCAGATGACAAGAGGAATAGATTTCAAGAGCTGTTGCACAGCAGGGGGTCTATAGTCAATAATAATGTATAATATATTTCAAAATAGCTAAGAGAGTACATTTCAAGTGTCTCATAAAAAATGATAGGTCAGCAAGGTGATGAATGTGTTAATTAGCTTGATTTAATAATTCCACATTGTATACATATATCAAAACATCACATTATACCCCATGAATGTATATAATTATGATCTGTCAATTGAAAATAATACAATAAAAGAAAAAGAAAAGAGCCCAATGATATACTACATCACGTCCATTAGGATGGCTCTAATGCAAAAAGGAAAATAACAAATGTCAGAGATGTAGAAAAATTGAAACATTCATGCACTATTGGTGGAAATGTAAAGTGGTGTAGCTTCTGTGGAAGACAGTAGGGTAGAGAAGACAGTAGGGTGGTTCCTCAAAAAGTTAAAAGTAGAAAGACCACATGATCCAGCAATTCCATTCCTAGGTATGTACTCCAAATAATTAAAAATAGGCAGTTGCACAGATAGTTATATACTAATGTTCACAGCAGCATTATTCACAAAAACTAAAAAGATAAAAATAAACTAAATGTCCATCAATGGACAAATGAATAAACAAAATGTAGTGTGTGTGTGTGTGTGTGTGTGTGTGTGTATGTGTGTGTATATATATCTATATAATACATGTATTTATATATATAATGAAACATTATTCCTCCATGAAAAGGAATGATCTTCTGACACATGCTGGAACATGGCTGAATCTGAAAAATGGTAAGTGAAATAAGCCAAACACAAAAAGACAAATATTCTATGATTCTATCTACATGAAGTAGCTAGAGTAGTCAATTTCACAAACACAGAAAGTAGAATAGTGGTTACCAGGGGCTTGAAGTGACAGAATGGGGATGTCATGTTTAATGAATACAGAGTTTCAGTTTGAGATGATGAAAAAGTTCTGGAGATAGATAGTGGTGATGGTGTACAACAATGTGAACATACTTAATGCCACTAAACTTACACTAAAATATAATTAAAATGGCACATTTTTGGTATGGGTATTTCATCATAATAAAAAAATGCAAAATTATAAAACTCTTAGAAGATGACATAGGAAAAAACTCTTAAGTGACATTGGGCTTGTCAATGACTCTTTAGATACAATACTAAACACAGTCTGAGAATACAAAAATTGATAAATTGGACTACATTAAAATTATAACTTTCTACTCTTCAAAAGATATGCTTCAAGAGAATAAAATGACAAGCCATAGACTGGGGCAAAATATTTGCAAAATATATCTGATAAAGGACAATTACTCAAAATACACAGAGAACTCTTAAAACTTAACAATAGGAAAAAAATCCCAA
Organism: Homo sapiens; assembly: GCF_000001405.40. NCBI lineage: Eukaryota > Metazoa > Chordata > Mammalia > Primates > Hominidae > Homo > Homo sapiens. The sequence continues at coordinate 5,286,932 of NC_000009.12, forward strand.
TTTTTTTCCGACTTTTATTTTAAGTTCAGGGGTACATGTGCAGAATGTGCAGATTTGTTACATATGTAAACATGTGCCATGGTGATTTGCTACACAGATCATCCCATCACCTAGGTATTAAGTCCAGCATCCATTAGCTATTCTTTCCGATGCTCTCCCTCCTCCCGTCCCCCATTTTCTGACAGGCCCCAGTGTGTGTTGCTCCCTGCAACCCCCATGTGTCCATGTGTTCTCATCATTTAGCTTCTGCTTATAAGTGAGAACATGTGGTATTTGGTTTTCTGTTCCTTTATTAGTTTGCTGAGGATAATGGCTTCCAACTCCATCCCTGTCCCTGCAAAGGACATAATCTCATTCGTTTTTATGGCTGTATAGTATTCTATGGTGTATATGTACCACATTTTCTTTATCTAGTCTATCATTGATGGTCATTTAAGTTGACTCCATCTCTTTGTTATTGTGAATAGTGCTGCAATGAATGTACACGCGCATGTATCTTTATACTAGAATGATTTATATTCCTTTGGGTATTCATCCAGTAATGGATTGCTGGGTCAAATGGTATTTCTGCCTCTAGGTCTTTGAAGAACTGCCACACTGTCTTCCACAATGGTTGAACTAATTTACACTCCCACCACAGTGTAAAAGTGTTCCTTTTTCTCTGCAACCTCACCAGCATCTGTTGTTTTTTGACTTTTTAATAATAGCCATTCTGGCTGGTGTGAGATGGTATCTCATTGTGGTTTTGATTTGCATTTTCTCTAATGATTAGCAATGTTGAGTATTTTTTTTTTCATGTTTGCTGGCCGCATGTACATCTTCTTTTGAGAAGTGTCTGTCCATGTCCTTTGCCCACTTTTTACTGGGGTTGTTTGTTTGTTTCTTGTAAATTTGTTTAAATTCCTCACAAATGCTGAATATTAGTTCTCTGTCAGATGGATAGATTGCAAACATTTTCTTCCATTCTGTAGGTTTTCTGTTCATGCTGATGATAGCTTCTTTTGGTGTACAGAAGTTCCTCAGTTTAATTAGATCCCATTGGTTGCTTTTGCTTTTGGCAATCATTAAATCTTTGCCCGTGCCTATGTCCTAAATGGTATTGCCTAGATTTTCTTCTAGGATTTTTATAGTTTTGGATTTTACATTTAAGTCTTTCATCCATCTTGAGTTGATTTTTGTACATGGTGTAAAGAAAGGTTGCAGTTTCAATTTTCTGCATATGGCTAGCCAGTTCTTATAGCACCATTTATTGAATAGGGAGTCCTTTCCCCATTGCTTGTATTTGTCAGTTTTGTCAAAGATCAGATGGTTGTAGGTGTGTGGTCTTACTTCTGGGTTCTCTATTCTTTTCCATTGGCCTATGTGTCTGTTTTTGTAGCAGTACCATGCTGTTTTGGTTACTGTAGTCCTGTAGTGCAGTTTGAAGTCAGGTAGCATGATACCTGCAACTTTGTTTTTTGTTTCTTTGTTTGTTTGTTTTTTAGGATTTTCTTGGCTATTTGGGCTCTTTTTTGGTTCCACGTGAACTTTAAAATACCTTTTTCTAATTCTGTGAAGAATGTCAGTGGTAGTTTAATGGGAATTGCATTGAATCTGTAAATTGCTTTGGGCAGTATGGCCATTTTCACAATATTAATTCTTCCTATCCATGAGCATGGAATATTTTTCCATGTTTATGTCATCTGTGATTTCTTTGAGCAGTGGTTTATAGTTCTCCTTGAAAAGGTCTTTCACTTTGCTTCTTAGCTATATTCCTAGGTATTTTATTCCTTCTGTAGCAATCCATTCATTGAATGAATAAGACTTCACTCATTCATGAGATTTCATTCATGATTTGGCTCTAAGCTTGCCTGTTGGTGTACAGGAATGCTAGCAATGTTTGCACATTGATTTTGTATTATGAAACTTTGCTGAAGTTGCTTATCAGTTTAAAAAGCTTTTGGGCTGAGACACTGAGGTTTTCTAGATATAGGATCGTAACATCTACAAACAAAGATAGTTTGACTTCCTCTATTCCTATTTGAATATCCTTTATTTCTTTCTCTTGCCTGATTGCCCTGGTTAGGACCTCCAATACTACGTTGAATAGGAGTGGTGAGTGAGGGCATCCTTGTCTTGTAAGGTTTTCAAGGGGAATCCTTCCAGCTTTTGCCTATTCAGTATGATATTGGCTGTGGCTTTGTCATAAATGGCTGTTATTATTCTGAAGTATGTTCCTTCGATACCTAGTTTATTGAGAGTTTTTAACATGAAGGGATGTTGAATTTTATTGAAGGTCTTTTCTGCATGTATTGAGGTAATCAGTTGGTTTTTGTCTTTAGTTCTGTTTATGCGACGAACTACGTTTATTGATTTGTGTATGTTGAACCAACTTTGAATCCTTGGGTTGAAGCCTACTTGATCATGGTAGATAAGCTTTTTAATGTGTTGCTGGATTCCGTTTACCAGTATTTTACTGAGGATTTTTGCAATGATGCTCATCAAGGATAGTGTCCTGAAGTTTGCTTTTTTTATTGTATCTCTGCCAGGTTTTGGTATCAGGATGATTCGGACCTCATAGAATGAGTTAGGGAGGAGTCCCTTCTCTTCAATTTTTTGGAATAGTTTCAGTAGAAATGGTACCAGCTTTTCTTTGTACCTCTGGTACACTTCAACTGTGAATCCATCTGGTCCTGGGCTTTTTTTTGTTGGTAGGCTATTTATTACTGCCTCAATTTCAGAACTGTTTGTCTATTTATGGATTCAATTTCTTCCTGGTTCAGTCTTGGAAGGGCGTATGGTGTCAAGAAATTTATCCATTTCTTCTAGACTTTCTAGTTTATGTCCACAGAGGTGTTTGTAGTAATCTCTGATGGTTGTTTGTATTTCGGTGGGGTCAGTGGTGATATCCCCCTTATCATTTCTGATTGTGTTTATTTGAATTCTCTCCCTTTTCTTCTTTATTTGTCTTGCTAGTGGTCTATCTATTTTATTAATTTTTTCAAGAAACCAGCTTCTGGATTTGTTGTTTTGAAGGGTTTTTCTTATAGAGACAAATCCCCCTCAGTTAAGCTCTGATCTTGCTTATTTCTTGTGTTCTGCTACCTTTGGGGTTTGTTTGCTCTTGGTTCTCTAGTTTTCTTAGTTGTGATGTTCGATTGTTGACTTGAGATCTTTTTAGCTTTTTGATGTGAAAAATCCCAATTTTAAAATGGGCAAAAAATTGAAGAAATACTTTACCAAAGAAGATATGCTGATGGCTAATAAGCAAGTGAAAAAAAATTTCAACATCTTATATCATTTGCAAATTGTAAGTTAAAACAACAATGAGATATCTTTACAGAACTATTAGAATGGCTAAAATCCAAAATGCTGACAACACCAAATGCTGATGAGGACATGGAGCAACAGGAATTCTCATTCATTGTTGGTAGAAATGCAAAATGATACAGCTATTTTAGAAGACAGTTTAGCAGGATTTTTTCAACTAAACATATTCTTACCATGTGGTTTAGCAATCACATTTCTTGGTATCTACCCAAGTGAGCTGAAAATTTATTTCAGCATAAAAACCTGCACATGAGTGAGTATGGCAGCTTTATTCATAATTTCCCAGACCTGGAAGCAACCAAAATGACTTTAAGTAGGTGAATGAATAAATAGACTGTGGTGCATTTAGACAAGGAATACTATTCAGTGCTAAAAGGAAAGAGTGAACAAGCCATGAAAATACACTGAGGAACTTTAAAAGCATATTACTAAGTGAAAGAAGCCAATCTGAAAAGGCTGTATCACGTATAATTACACCTGTATGAGGTTCTGGAAAGGCAAAACCATGGAGACAGGAAAAAGATCAGTGATTGTCAGGGATTTGGGGAGAGAGAGGCATGAACAGGGGGAGCATAAGGAATTTTTAGGGCAGTAAAATCTATTTTGAATAATTCTATAAGGAGGATACATATCATTAGACATTTGTCAAAACCCATAGAATGTAAAATACAAAGAGTAAACCGTAATGTAAATTATGGGCTTTGATTAATAATAATGTCAAGGTTCCTTCATCAGCTGTAACAAAGGTACCACATGTAACAAACTTACAGATGATGTGGACTGCGGTAAGGGGATATGGTTGGGGGAGTATGCAGTAACATTCTGTATTTTCTACTTAAATTTCCTGTGAACTTAAAACTACTTTCAAAAGTCAATTAATTTTTAAAAATCCATAGAGTGTACTCTAAACAGTAAAATCCAAAGAGTGAACTCTAATGTAAACTATGGGCTTTAATTAATAATAATAATATATCAATATTGGTTCAGTTGCTGCACAAGTACCACACTAATGCAAGGTGTTATTTATAGTTAAAACTGTTTTTGTGGTGAGGTGAGGAGCCATATGGGAAGTGACTCTACTTTCTACTATATTTTTCTGTAAACCTAAAATTACTTTTAAAAATGATTTTATTAATTTAAAAACAAATATAAGTATTTTCTGTCAAAAGAAACAAACACCTTTTTAAAGAGAAAAAAAATATGTCTACACATACACCTGGTAAGTGCCGAGGCTACAATTCTACCCATGTCCACCGGATTCCAAAAAGGTCTTTCTTTTTTCCACAATATCCCATGGATTTACCTGCAGTTGAAGTCAATCTAATGGTGAAGGGTAATAGACAAACATGAAAGTCTTTCAGACAGTAATTACGGATACAAGAACAGAGAGCGTGAGTGCATCTATAAGTTAACTATGCCAACCTCTTTTTCTAGAAACTTCTCCCTAGACTATCTAAACTCTTGAGGCTATAAGTGCTAGATACGATTTCTCAATGTTTCTTGCAGGTAGCAGTGTCCATATGACACAGCTCTTGCCAACATACCATGAGCACAAGTGAGGTTTCTGGAAAAGCCTTTGCTTTTCTCTTCTAGGCATTAAGCCCTCTTGTTTCCCCCTTTCTTTCCTGCCTGAAATGCAGACCGAGAAAGGAAGAGGAAGCAGCCATCTTGGGACCCACCATGTGGTAGGGAGCATAAGGAGGAAGGCCTCTATGCTAGGCACAGGTGACTGGAAAGTTGGGAGGAGCCTGCTGGTAGCATTCAGAGGCTAAACAGGGGCAGATACTTACTTACTCCATGGGCCTCTTAGAAGCTACTTTTGTAGGGTATTCTGTTATTTACAGAGAACACAGTCTTAACTGATACATAGTATCAATAGAGTAAATGTTTTATTTGAGACATAAGTTAAACTTACAAGTTTTTCATGACAGTTTTAGGTGGACTTTAGTAGCACTTGAAATATACATTTTAAAGGTTGAAGTAATTATTTACATTTTTGTAGTAGACAGTTAACCATAAATTATCTTTGAACCACTCAAAAAGCGGACATACCATCAGAAGCAGTAAATATGGCTTCTAATTCAGTGACTCTGCCTCCATGGAATTTGTGAAGGAGCAGATGTGAAACATGGGCTCAGACAGGGTCTGGGTAACAGCCTTCTGTGTCTGGAGGTGCCTCTCTGTCCTGTAAGAGCTGTAAGTTTCCTGGGCATTGTCCTCATTCTTCTAGGTTGGAATCTCCATATCAGACAGCACTCTTCCTTGCTTCATCTGAGGTGGATTATGATCTGTGAGGTTTTGCAGTCATTTATGAAGCTTTGCAAGGTACCCTTGGTGAGGAATTAATAAATCCTAGAGACTTGGTTATTATTAGTTATGTATGGGAATTTGAAAAGCAGGAATTACTATCTTCATTTCTTAAAATTGTTTACAGACATTTGATGGAGGAGATAAATGCAGTTGTCATTGAACTGCATTTCTTCTATAAATGCTGGCTAAAATGCATGTGTATATAAATAGACAGAACCAAGGAGGAGGATTCAAGATGGCCAAATAGGAACAGCATTGGTCTGCAGCTCCCAGTGACATTGTCACAGAAGATGGGTGATTTCTGCATTTCTAACTGAGGTACCTGGTTCATCTCACTGGGACTGGTTGGACAGTGGGTGCAGCCCACGGAAGACAAGCCGAAGCAGGGCAGGGCATCACCTCAACTGGGAAGCACAAGGGGTGAGGGAATTTTCTCCCCTACCCAAGGGAAGCCATGAGGGTCTGAGCCTGAGGAACTCCGGCACAGATACTGTGCTTGTCCCATGGTCTTTGCAACCTGCAAGCCAGGAGATCCCCTCTGGTGCCTACCCAACCAGGGCCCTGGGTTTCAAGCACAAAACTGGGCGGCCAATTGGGCAGACATCAAACTAGCTGCAGGAGATCTTTTTTTTTTTTCCCCATACCCCAGTGGTGCCTGGAATGCCAGCGAGACAGAACTGTTCACTCCCCTGGAAAGGGGTGCTGAAGCCGGGAGCCAAGTGATCTGGCTTGGCGGGTCCCACCTACACAGAGCCCAGGAAACTAAGATCCACTGGCTTGAAATTCTCGCTGCCAACACAGCAGCAATCTGAGATCCACCTGGGACATTCGAGCTTGGTTGGGGGAGGGGGATCCACCATTGTTGAGGCTTGAGTAGGCAGCTTTATGGTCACAGTGTAAACAAAGCCACTGGGAAGTTCAAATTGGGCAGACCCCACTGCAGCTCAGCAAGGCTGCTATGGCCAGACTGCCAGATTCCTCCTCTCTGGACAGGGCATCTCTGTAAAACAGGCAGCAGCCCCAGTCAGGGGCTTATAGCATACTTAAACATCCCTGCCTGATGGCTCTGAAGAGAGCAGTGGACTTCCCAGCACAGCGTTCAAGCTCTGCTAAGGGTCAGACTGCCTCCTCAAGTGGGTCCCTGACCCCTATGTATACTGACTGGGACACACCTCCCAATAGGGGCCAACAGACATCTCATACAGGAGACCTCTGGCTGGCATCTGGGAGGTGCCCCTCTGGGTCGAAACTTCCAGAGGAAAGAACAGGCAGTAATCTTTGCTGCTCTGCAGTCTCTGCTGGTGATACCCAGGCAAACAGGACTGGGAGTGGACCTCCAGCAAACTCCAGCAGACTGGCAGCAGAGGGGGCCTGACTGTTAGAAGGAAAAGAAATAAACAGAAAGGATTAGCACACCCACTCAAAGACCCCATCTGAAGGTCGCTAATATCAAAGACCAAAGGTAGATAAATCCACAAAGATGGGGAAAAACCAGTGCAAAAGGCTGAAAATTCCAAAAACCAGAATGCCTCTCCTCATCCAAAGGATCACAACTCCTTGCCAGCAAGGAACAAAACTGGATGGAGAATGAGTTTGACAAACTGATAGAAGTAGGCTTCAGAAGGTGGGTAATAACAAACTCCTCCAAGCTAAAGGAGCATGTTCTAACTCAATACAAGGAAGCTAAGAGCCTTGAATAAAGGTTAGTTGAATTGCTAACTGGAATAATCAATGTAGAGAAGAACATAAATGACCTGATGAAGCTGAAAAACACAGCACGAGAACTTTGTGAAGAATACACAAGTACCAATAGCTGAATTGATCAAATGGAAGAAAGGATATCAGTAATTGAAGATTAACTCATTGAAATAAAGAGAGAAGACAAGATTAGAGAAAAAAGAATAAAAAGGAATGAACAAAGTCTTCAAGAAATATGGGACTATGTGAAAAGACAAAATCTACGTCTGATTGGTGTACCTAAAAGTGAAGGGGAGAATGGAACCAAGTTGGAAAACACATCTCAGGATATTATCCAGAACTTCCCCAACCTAGCAAGACAGGCCAACATTCAAATTCAGGAAATACAGAGACCACCACAAAATACTCCTTGAGAAGAGCAACCCCAAGACACATAACTGTCAGATTCACCTAGGTTGAAATGAAGGAAAAAATGTTAAGGGCAGCCAGAGAGAAATATTGGGGCAGCCAGAGAGAAAGGTCAGGTTACCCACAAAGGGAGACCCATCAGACTAACAGTGGATCTCTCTGCAGAAACCCTACAAGCCAGTAAAGAGTAGGGACCAATATTCGACGTTCTCAAAGAAAAGAATTTTCAAACCATAATTTCATATCCAGCCAAACTAAGCTTCATAAAGGAGGGAGAAATAAAATCCTTTACAGACAAGCAGATGCTGAGGGATTTTGTCACCACCAGACCTGCCTTACAAGAATTCCTGAAGGCAGCACTAAACATGGAAAGGAACAACTGGTACCAGCCACTGCAAAAACATGACAAATTATAAAGAACATCGATGCTATGAAGAAACTGCATCAACTAACAGGCAAAACAACCAGCTAGCATCATAATGACAGGATCAAATTCACACATAACAATATTAATCTTAAATGTAAATGGGCTAAATGCCCCAATTAAAAGACACAGACTGGCAAATTGGATAAAGAGTCAAGACCCATCAGTGTGCTGTCTTCAGGAGACCCATCTGACGTGCAAAGACACACATAGGCTCAAAATAAAGGGATGGAGGAATATTTACCAAGCAAATGGAAAGCAAAAAAAAAAAAAAAGCAGGAGTTGCAATCCTAATCTCTGATAAAACAGACTTTAAACCAACAAAGATCAAAAGAGACAAAGAAGGGCATTGCATAATGGTAAAGGGATCAATTCACCAAGAAGAGCTAACTATCCTAAATATATATGTATCCAATACAGAAGAACCCAGATTCATAAAGCAAGTTTTTAGAGACCCGCAAAGAGACTTAGACTCCCACACAATAATAGTGGGAGACTTTAACACCCCACTGTCAATATTAGACAGACCAACAAGACAGAAAATTAACAAGGATATTCAGGACTTGAACTCAGCTCTGGACCAAGCGGACCTAATAGACATCTACAGAACTCTGCACCCCAAATCAAAAGAATACACATTCTTCTCAGCACCTCATCGCAGTTATTCTAAAATTGACCACATAATTGGAAGTAAAACACTCCTCAGCCAATAGAAAAGAATGGAAATCATAACAAACAGTCTCTCAGACCACAGTGCAATCAAATTAGAACTCAGGATTAAGAAACTCACTCAAAACCACACAATTACAAAAAAACTGAACAATCTGCTCCTGAATGACTACTGAGTAAATAATGAAATGAAGGCAGAAATAAAAATGTTCTTTGAAACCAATGAGAATGAAGACACAAAGTAACAGACTCTCTGGGACACATTTAAAGCAGTGTGTAGAGGGAAATTTATAGCACTAAATGCCCACAAGAGAAAGCAGGAAAGATCTAAAATTGATATCCTAATATTAAAAATAAAAGAACTAGAGAAGCAACAGCAAACAAATTCAAAAGCTAGCAGAAGACATGAAATAACTAACATCAGAGCAGAACTGAAGGAGATAGAGACATGAAACACCCTTCAAAAAATCAATGAATCCAGGAGCTGGTTTTTTGAAAAAACTCAACAAAATAGATAGACCGCTAGCCAGACTAATAAAGAAGAAATAGAGAAGAATCAAATAGACACAATAAAAAATGACATAGGGGATATCACCACTGATCTCACAGAAATACAAACTACCATCAGAGAATACTATAAACACTTCCACACAAATAAACTAGAAAATCTAGAAGAAATGGATAAATAACTGGACACAAACACCCTCCCAAGTCTAAGCCAGAAAGAAGTTGAACCCCTGAATAAACCAATAACAAGGTCAGAAATTGAGGCAGTAATTAATAGCTTACCAACCAAAAGAAGTCCAGGACCAGATGGATTCACAGCCAAATTCTAGCAGAGGTACAAAGAGGAGCTGGTACCATTCCTTCTGAAACTATTCCAAACAATAGAAAAAGAAAGAATCCTCCCTAACTCATTTTATGAAGACAGCATCATCCTGATACCAAAACCTGGCAGAGATACAACAAAAAAAGGAAATTGCAGGCCAATATCCCTAATGAACATCAATGAGAAAATCCTCAATAAAATACTGGCAAACTGAATCCAGCAGCACATCAAAAAGCTTATCCACCATGACCAAGTTGGCTTCATACCTGGGATGCAAGGCTGGTTCAACATACACAAATCAATAAACATAATCCATCACATAAACAGAACCAATGACAAAAACCACACGATTATCTCAATAGATGCAGAAAAGGCCTTCAATAGAATTCAACACCACTTCATGCTAAAAACTCAATAAACAGGTATTGATAGAACATATCTCAAAATAATAGGAGCTATTTATGACAAACCCACAGCCAATATCATACTGAATTGGCAAGAGCTGGAAGCATTCCCTTTGAAAACTGGCACAAGACAAGGATGCCTTCACTCATCACTCCTATTTAACACAGTACTGGAAGTTCTGGCCAGGGCAATCAGGCAAGAGAAAGCAGTACAGGTATTCGAACAGGAAGAGAGGAAGTCAAATTGTCTCTGTTGGCAGATGACGTGACTGTATATTTAGAAAACCCCATTGTTTCAGCCCAAAAACCCCTTAAGCTGATAAGCAACTTCAGCAACGTCTCAGGATACAAAATCAATGTGCAAAAATCACAAGCATTCGTATACACCAATAACAGACAAACAGAGAGCCAAATCATGAGTAAACTCCCATTCACAATTGCTACTAAGAAAATAAAATACCTAGGAATACAACTTACAAGGGAGGTGAAGTACCTGTTCAAAGAGAACTACAAACCACTGCTCAAGGATATAAGAGAGGATACAAACAAATGGAAAAGCATTCCATGCTCGTGGATACAAAGAATCAATATCATGACAATGGCCATATTGCCCAAAGAAATTTATACATTCAATGCTATCCCCATCAAGCTACCATTGACTTTCTTCACAGAATTGGAAAAAACTACTTTAAACTTCATATGGAACCAAAAAAGAGCCCGCATAGCCAAGACAATCCTGGGCAACAAGGACAAAACTGGAGGCATCGCACTATCTGACTTCAAACTATACTACAAGGCTACAATAACCAAAACAACATGGTACTGGTACCAAAACAGATATATAGATGAATGGAACAGAATGGAGGCCTCAGAAATAAACCACACATCTAGAACCATCTGATCTTCAACAAACCTGACAAAAACAAGCAATGGGGAAAGAATTCCCTATTTAATAAATGGTGTTTGGAAAACTGGCTAGCCATATGGAGAAAACTGAAACTGGACCCCTTCCTTACCTTATACAAAAATCAACTCAAGACGGATTAAAGACTTAAACGTAAGACCTAGGGCCATAAAAATCCTAGAAGAAAACCTGGGCAATTCCATTCAGGACATATGCATGGGCAAAGACTTCATGACTGAAACACCAAAAGCAATGGCAACAAAAGCTAAAATTGACAAAAGGGATCACATTAAACTAAAGAGCTTCTGGACAGCAAATGAAACTATCATCAGAGTGAACAGGCAACATACAGAATGGGAGAAAATTTTTGCAATCTGTCCATCTGACAAAGGCCTAATATCCAGAATCTACCAAGAACTTAAACAACTTCACAAAAAAAAAAACCCCATCAAAAAGTGGGCAAAGGATATGAACAGATACTTCTCAAAAGAAGACATTTATGCAGCCAACAGACATGAAAAAATACTCATCATCACAGGTCATTAGAGAAATGCAAATCAAAACCACAATGAGATACCATCTCATGCCAGTTAGAATGGCGATCATTAAAATGTCAGGAAACAACTGATGCTGGAGAGGCTGTGGATAAGTAGGAATGCTTTTACACTGTTGGTGGGAGTGTAAATTAGTTCAACCACTGTGGAAGACAGTGTGGTGATTCCTCCAGGATCTAGAACTAGAAATACCATTTGACCCAGCAATCCCATTACTGGGCATATGCCCAAAGGATTATAAATCATTCTACAATAAAGACATTTGCACATGTGTTTATTGCGTCACTATTCACAATAGCAAAGACTTGGAACCAACCCAAATGTCCATCAATGATAGACTGGATTAAGAAAACGTGGCACATATACACCATGGAATACTATGCAGCCATAAAAAAGGATGAGTTTATGTCCTTTGCAGGGTCATGGATGAAGCTGGAAACCATCATTCTCAGCAAACTATCACAAGATCAGAAAACCAAACACCACATGTTCTCACTCATAAATGGGAGTTGAACAATGAGAACACATGGACACAGGGAGGGGAATATCACACACCGTGGCCTGTTTGGGGGTGGGGGGCTAGGGGAGGGATAGCATTGGAGAAATACCTACTGTAGGTGATGGGTTGATGGGTGAAGCAAACCACCATGGAACATGTATATCTATGTAACAAACCTGCACGTTCTGCACATGTAACCAAGAACTTAAAGTATAATTTTTAAAAAAGAAAAAAAATAGACAGAACCAGTAAAATACTAAGTTGATAACTACGTCAGTTTACTTTTCTAACAAGTGTTCATACTATTTCAGTAATTTTGCTTACAGAAATAGTTTGCAAATTCTAAAGAAGTGAACATAAATTATGTTCCTTCATTATACTATTTCTTCTGTAATATATGATATGGACTTGTTTGTTCTGTTCTATATTATGTCTATTCCTTTTTATCCTTAAAAAATAATTTACTTTTAAGTTTCTTAGACACTGGAACTGAGAACAGAACCCTAGCTTGAAAAGTACTTGAGTTCCCTTCAGACTATACTAGAAAAAAAGGAAATTAAAAAGGAAAAAAAAGCGTTTGAGTTTATATGGTCTTAACTAAATTACATTGGTTTAGTGTCCAATCCGATTGTTTGCAATGAGTATTTCAATATGACACAAAAACCTTTTGTAATCTATTAGGAAAGGTCAAGTTTTATGGCTTTATCTATATCCAATCTAAGAGTTAATATCAATAAAACATTTTGGTCCATTTCATGTAACTGGTGTTAGGTATTGTTACTACTATATGGTGTTAGGTATTGTAACAACTGTATTGTTACTACGTATGGTTAAAGCGGTAGAGGTTTTATTGTAATTTTAAGTTAACAGCATTAAAAAGAATAACACAACATAATCATGCTGTTAATAAAAAGACAAAAAGGCTTTTCAGCAAAAAAATGTGTCATTTAATCACACAAAGAACATTTTCTTACACATCAAATAAAAAAATCTAAACATCAACAAAGATGTTTAGATATTCTAAGAATTGATGGGACCTAATATCTAACAAAGATTCTTAGATATTCTAAGAATTGATGGGACCTGATAGAAGCATCAGTGAAATGTCATTAAGAATATGTGTGAATATTATACGAGATGTGCACAATTAGCTTCATCTCAGCAAAATCTAGCAAGAGATCTTTTGGTACAACCAACATGGCAACATTTATTAGCCAATGCACTGTAGAGTTGTCTCTTTTTTCGAGAATGAGTATCCAAGCCTAAGTATTTTAATTCTGAAGGACTGCTGTCTGCGGCTTCACTTTGTCTATTGCGAATAAGTTTCTTAAATTCTTCAAAGAGAAGACTGGAATCTTTTAATACAGGTACATGTTGTTGTAGCTGTGGTAATGCTGGCTGCATCTCAGACAGGGTTAACTTCAGCTCCTGTGGCAAATTAGCAACAAATTCTGACATCATATTTATGGTTTCTGTATCTTTGTTGATGAAGGATGGCACAATTTCTGTTAAATTTAAAAAAAAAGGTGTATGTGAGGGTATATTCATGTCAAAGAGCACTCAGAAAAACTATGAATGTTTGCATAGACAAAAAAGCATTGCCTCAGTATAAATTAAACATTGAAACAAAATAAGCAAGCATCCTAATATCTAAACACTTAGCTTACTTACAGTTGGACACCTTAAAGTACCATAATTTTACCAAGGCTCTGCTTTACCCCATTGGTCCTCTCTCGTCTCTCTTCATGATCCCCTCAGTGCTTTTATCATAGTACTTTTGACTCTCCCTGACATTAATCTGTCATCTTTCTGAAGTCATGTAAGTCACTGAAAACAGTTTGACCACAGCTAGTGGTCATTTTCTTGGATTCTTCTTAGTTAAGTCATTTTCTTCCATTGCTATGATTTATGATATTATGAGTTGTAATAGTAACCCTTGAAAAAGATATTACTTTAAGCTATTGAATATTTCATGGTGGGAAGTTACTCCTGGAGGATAAAGTTAAAGAGGCAGAATTTCCAACACCTCTGATCTAATCAGCAGGAGAAAGAAGTCTCTGATGTTCCTTAACCATCTATTTAACAATTTGTCTTCCCCAGAGTATTTACTCCAAAACAATAGTATTTTATATGAAAGAGAGAAGTGGGTTAAAAGAACACTAACCAAAAATCACTGATTTAAGAAGAGATTTGTATCTGCTGTGGAGTATGTGTACTGACTAATGTTTTCTGTTTGATATTTGTTCCAAAGCTGCAGATCATGCACTATGCAAGATCTGTGTGTCTCCTAGGAAGGGAGCCTGTTCTTACACAGCATCCCAGGCTGGCCAAATGTGAAGGCTGGGACTTGGGCTGGGAACCTGCTGGACACCCAGCTGACATCTTCCTCCATCTTTGCACCCATTCAGCTCAGTTGAACATTCATTACCTGTTTCCATGTCTCTGGCACTGCCAGTTAAAAGATATAAATTTATTTAAATGTTTCTTGCTCTCAAAAAGCTTACAGTGAGTTAAACCCTCTCCTAACCTTAACTGTCCTAATTATACAACTTAATAGTTTTATTTCACAAAGAAATTAGAAACACGATGATGTTTAAATTACAGTGAAAACCCATATCAGGTCTTGCTGCTCTTCTTCCTGGACAGGAAAACTCTCCATTAACAAGGCATTACTCTTGAAATAATGAAAATAAAGAGAAGAGGGGAGTAAATCTAAGTGCGGGAGGCAGACACCTGGTTAACCACTGATGCCTGCTGATCAGAGGAAACCACGACCCTTCACCTAGACAGCGGTGGTTCTGGGGCTGATCATTTCCTGAGTTTTCTGGCAAGAGATTCAGTTGTTCCCCTTCTAGCCAACAAAAAAATTCAACAATTGGAGTTTGACAGAGGAATAAAAAAAAACAAACTGTAGTATTTCATCCTTCCTCCCAACACTCTCCCTCATTCATGTTCTAAACTGGAAATGACAGATGAGAATTTATATCGTTTTTGGTTAAATGAGAGGTTTTGGCATTTCCCCTCAGTAAGACATCCTAAGTTTAATTCAATTTCATCATAAAAACCTCTCTTTGATCCAACCTAAACTTTCTGTAGTTGGGGCCTTATTAAATACTGAAAGAAGCTGATGGTAATTTTCTATATACTTAAAGCCAGTTAAATGAGTCAGCCAAAACAGTTATAGTTTGTATTAGGTTTGTTCATAGGCTGTGTATTTTATACTTTTATTAAAATTATATTTTTAAACCTGTTTTGAAATATTTCATAATCCATAACACCTTTAGCTATGGAACCTAGGCTCAAAGAAAATATTCTGTCTGAATTCATACAAATACCCTTATTCACTTATTATTTTGGATGTAAATCTCACTAAAATAGGCCTCTTCTGGTTTAAAGGGTATCTTATTTTTAAAAGGGATGCAGTGAATATGATTTTAGCACATATTGTAGGATGAAATGGATGGCTAACAATGTAATAATGTGGAAGCAAATAGCAACTACCTAACAGTAGAAGTCTGAAAACTCAAATTAATCACAAATTACTGACATGTACTTCCAAAACGATTCCTACCTAGTAATGGTAAACATTTGTCTTAATCTCCACCTGCAGGCAATATTTTCTGAGGTTACTTTCAGTTAAATTATACTGCACATCAATAAAGAAAATTCTTTAAAAATACTTTGTAATCTCATGTCTCTTCAAAGGAAATAAAAATGTAGCCATATCTATATACAAATGTGCTTAATGAAGTATTTTCAGCAACAATTTAGAAATAAACTAAATATCCACCAAAGAATCCTTAAGTGTATGTGGCAGATTTATGACAAAAAATACTACACAGGAATTTCAAATTGTGTTTTGGGATAATAACAATGTGAGAAACTGCTCAAAGTATAATGGTGAGTGAAAATGCAAAAGATATATACATATACCTATCCAAATGTTAACATTTCTTTCCACTTACTTGTTTAATATAATTTCATTTTCTCATAAAATTCACATATACTTTTCAAAGTCCTTAATATCTACGAGTGCTTCTCATTTTTCACGCTGCATTAATGTACATTTGTCTTTAATATGAGCATTACTACTTTTATAGTCAGAAAATGTGGAATAATAAAGCAAATGCAATGCAATCCGGTCTTCTCTACTTTTTATCACTAAATTCCTAGACGTTGTGGTATTTTTGTACTAATGTTATACAAAAGTCATGTAAAAACTGCCATTAAATAAATCAAACTCTAACAATGTAGAAAAGTAAATAACTTTAGAAGCATACTTTAAATCTCATAAAAGAGAAGTAAATGTATTTCTGTTAGAGTCATTTATATATAGTATATGCATATAGCCTATAAAATTTAGTTGCGGTTTATCATAAATTACATGTCATACTAATACAAAACACTTAGTATTTGCAACTGCGGTTACTTTCTCTGAATTTAATATGACCCGTTACACTTCTTAGACTAGTATATACCTCCATGAGTTTCCACTGCTACTTTATAAATACTAAAATATTTTTAAAAGCCATTTCAGATTGAGCTGTACTCAACTCTAAGAGCTTGCCTTTAAAGCAAACCCACTGCAGCTTCCAAATGCTTGAAAGCATCAGTAGGGTCTTCAGCTATGATGGTCTGAACGGCCTGCTTTCCTTGTCTCTGGTCCTCTTGAGTTTCTCCTAAAGGCATTCAAGCCTTTCCTTTCTCTTCCATCCCCTGCCTCACAAATGAACTTCAATACCCAGATCAAAGAAGCGGGAGGTCAGACTCTTTCCTTTGGGATTTTCTGTTTGTTTATTTTAAAGAACGTTTCCAATGGCAAAGGCCACAGCCCAACTTCTGGACTAGGAGAGTCATTAAGTGTAAGGCCCTTCCTGTCTTCCCATCACGGGACCCTCACAGAGACCTCAGAGTGTTGCCCCGTCCTACAGGCGCGCAAACAGGCTTGATAACTAGCGCGCCGCCTCAGTGTTTGTCCCCTCTCCTCTCTATCCGAGAAGCCCTGTTCAGGTGCCCCCACCAGCACGCCCGCTGTCTGGCCGCCTGGCTTTCCTGTGGGGTGCAGGAGTGCGCCCGGCCTCCTGCGGGTCTCCGGGCGGCGTCACCTCCTCTGAGGCTTCCCCTCCCTTTCCACCCCGTCGCTCTGACTGCCTTACGGAAAGGGCACCAAGGAACTCTCGGGTGAAGCAGCTTCCTGTTCTCAGTGCTTTCCCTCCGTCCGGTGAGATTCCCAGTGAGACTGTTTGAATAAAATCACCTGGCAAAGGAAAAGCCCAAACTTTAGGGACCAGCCACGGCTGAGTAGGGGCTGAGCGGTGGCAGCCAATGAGATCTCGAGTCGGACGTGCAGGCCGCCGTTCCAATTGGGCGGCCGCCCCAGAGTAACCAATGGGAAGCGCGGGAAGGCCGGGAGGGGGCGGGAGCTCTCACCTGCCACTGGTCTAGGTGTCTGAGGAGCATCTTCCTGGCTCAGAGACCTTTTGCTCCAGGTGCTCATGCCGCAAATGGCAATCTGCGCGCGAACTAATTCGCGGCCGCATAATTTAATAACTTCCTCCATCCATGAGTCCGCGACTGCTCTGGAAAATTGGTTCAGTAGTAAACAGACTCCTAGCAGGTGGAAAAAAAACAGGCGAGGCATCCTGGGCCTGGTCTCTCCTGGAGGTCGGGACGTTGCAGCCTTTCAGGACTGCAGCTGCTGTGGCCTACACACCTGGGCCTGTGTGCCTGTCCCGGGCTTTAGGCTGCTTTCCCTACCCGGCTCAAGCGGTCTTTTGTATCCCTTGGGCTATCACTCAGCTTTTAAGGCAAGGGTGCCAGCTCCACCCCTTTCCCACACCCCTCCACAGAATTTTCCCCCTCAGCTCTTGGTCTCCCTCTCTGCCTTTCCTTCATTTGCCCATCCCTCTGTCCTTGGCCCTTTTACAGTTGTGTTCTTCTCATTCATTACCCTCAAACAATTTAGTATACTGAGGTAAAGTCATTTTAGATATGAAGCCTTTCCTTTTACACACACAGAAACAAATTTGAGATCACCCATATTCTTACAACTCAGTTTTCTAGAGTGAACATTTGCCAAAAAACCCTTCTAACCTAAATAAGATTATAGATTATCTTGTAAATTGGGTTAATTAGTATAGTGTTGGGTATATCAATCCATAAAAATATAAAAATAGAATGGATGAATAAATAAATTGTTGATGACAGGGAAAACTGATGACTTTTAATCTGAATGCAGGTAAAAACATTAAAATCCCCAGTAACATCATGTTAGGCTTGTGCAGTAATGTCTTTAATTTACAAAACAATTTCTCCATTGCACTTTCCTTCCACTCTTGGGGATAAATTTGATTGTAACTAGTTATCTGAACATTTTAATTTAAAATTCTAATCTACATCTCTGGAGACTGGAGAACATACCACACACACACACACACACACACACACACACACACACACACACAGAGAGAGAGAGAGAGAGAGAGAGAAGAAAAAAAAGCAGTGGAAATCCCACAATCCCACAAAGAATATTTTGGTAACAAATTACAGCACAAAGATATGTTTGTTTGTTTACTGTATTTTGTGTTTGCTGCACCTGGTAAGAGGTGATTTTTTACCATCATTTAATTTAACTTTCTAAAGATCCACACTGTTCTAGGTAATATGGTTAGTAGACAACCCTTCTACCTGTAAATTTTTAGTACAAGTAGGTTCATTTTTTAAAATAACTTACTTGCTTGTGTTCATAATATACTCAGATTAGTTCAGCTCCATCAGATAAACTGGAGACATGCAGGACATTAGGGTAGCTTTGAAATAAAAGAATAACAATCTCTTAGTTACAAACATAACTATGGAATCAAATAATTCTAATTTCTAGATTGCTGGTGATGTCAGTAGGCCCACTTAGCATTGGTCAAATGCCAAGCAATGTGTAATTCTTCAAAAAATACCTGACCAAGACTATGAGATGGTCAGATGCAATCAATGCTTTTAAATGAGTTTTCATTAAAACACGCAGTTTGAGAGAGGCCTCTCAAAACTGAGGTTTGAAAACATTTTTGTGGGTTGACAGTCCTTGTAAAAACAATCCATGTGCAAGGCTGTACTCCAAAGTAATTGGTCGTTAAAAATGTAAATTTCCAGGGATTTCTTTGTTTTTGTTTTTTGTTTTTTTTTTTTTTTTTTAACAGAATTTGGCTCTTGTCGCCAGGCTGGAGTGCAATGGTGTGATCTCAGCTCACTGCAACCTCCACCTCCCAGGTTCAAGCAATTCTCCTGCCTCAGCCTCTGAAGTAGCTGGGATTACAGGTGTGCACCACCACACCTGGCTAATTTTTGTATTTTTATTAGAGACTGGGTTTCACCATGTTGGACAGGCTGGTCTGAAACTCCTGACCTCAGGTGATGCACCCACCTTGGCCTCCCAAAGTGTCCAGGGATATTTTGATTTTTTATGTTGCCTACATGGTTTTATAGAGTCCTTAAAACTGTCCAGTACAATGCCCGCTTTCCCATTTTACAGAAAGAAGAAACAGATTGAGAGTTGTCATGCACTTATTCAGGGTAATTTTGGCCAGCACATATGCCAGATGTGGGCTTACCCTACTGCTAAGGATCACAGGCAAATGCAAGATTCACAGTCTTTACAGGCACAACTAAAAGGCATTTCAAGTCCTTTAAATAAAAAGGAAATCTTTTTAAGGAGAAACAATAAATATGTCCATGCATACAGCTGTCAATTGCTGGAGTTTGGGTTCCAACCCATGTCTACTGGATTCCAACGCCCCCTTTCCTTCATTTCCCTATATCCTAGATCCAGTTCCAGTTGTAGTTCATCTGAATAGTGAAGGTTAATATGTACAGAGTAATGTCTTTGAATGTAGGACAGCAGGAACATTCGAGGCTGTAAGTGCTAGACATGGTTTCCCAGTGTCTCTTACAAGTAGCAGTGTCTATGTGACACAGTTCTGTCTAATACAACCTAAGCACAAGTGTGGAGGTTTCTGGGAAAGCCTTTATTTCCTGATTCTAGCCCTAAGCCTTATTTCTCCTTTCTTTCCTTCCTGAAGCAGACATAGAAAGGGAGGTGAAGTAGCCCTCTTGGGACCATGAGGTGTGGAGCATAAAGAGGAAGGTCTATATGCTTAGACACAGCTGCCTGGGAGGGTGGGAATAGCCTGCTGGCAACATTGAGGGGCTAAATGGGGTTGGATGCTTTTTCTCACAGGCTCTTATAAGTAACTTTTTAAGGTTTTTCTGTTATTTACTCTATCCTGAGATAGATAGATGATAGATAGGTGATAGATAGATGATAGATAGATAGATAGAGGATAGATAGATAGATAGATAGATAGATAGATAGATAGATGATAGATAGATAGTGTGTGTATATATATATATGTGCAAAATACATTTTTATTAAGAAATAAACTTACAGTCATCAGTTTCCTATGAGAGTTTTAGGCATACTTTAGTGGCACTTGAATTAGATAGTCTAAGGATTGAAGTGATTATTTGAGTGTTTATACTAGATGGTTTACCACAGGAAATCTTTGTACCACTGAAAGAGGAGTCATATATTGAAAAGCAGTGAATACAGATTCTGGGTCCAGAAGCCCTGCCTCCACGGATTTTGTGGAGGACAGGATGAGGGATGTGGGTCAGGATGGGCTCTGCCGAGCTGCTTTCTGCATCTGGGGGTGCATCTTTGTCTTGTCCAAGTTGTAAGTTTCCTGGGCATTGCCCTCGTCCTTCTGTGTTGGAATCTCCATTTCATAGAGCACTCCTTTCAGCTTTGTCCCAGATGACAGGTGGCCTCTGAGCTTCTACAGCCCCATATTGAATTCCTTTGCTTGTGGCCTTCTACCTGCACCATCTTCCAGCGCCAACTTTGTCTATAGGGCTTTGCCAACAGTTGTAAGAGAAACTTATTTTTAAAATATATAAAACCCTGCTCTTTTATATTTTACCACTAATCTCTTTTCCTAGTTTTGTATTTTCTACAAAATTCTTATTGTTTCCCATGATCTGTCAACAACAGGCAACTCATACCTGATCCCAATGACAGTCGGTGCTACATTGGATCTGTTTTTTTTCTAGTTTTTTTTTTAAATTATTATTTCATTGAGATTTGGAGAATAAGAAGAAGTAAACACTTTTATTCAAGCCTCCAGTGCTGACTCTCCCCAGATGCCTTTGGAACTGCTCCAGATGTTTATGCTTTCCTTTCAGGTTATCATGCTGCTTTATCCAGAAGAATCAAACAAGAAATGAAGGGCCATCGTGATCTTCAAAAAGTCTTCTTCTCAGCAAACTGCTGGAAATACCTTGGTTAAGAGATTAGGAAAGATAAATAACTTCATTAGTTTTTTCCTCACTTCTTACTTCTACTCAAGTAATAGCGTATGTATGGAAAGAAAGTTCAGAAAGAATCACCCCTGGCCAGGTCTGGTGGTCCCAGTAATCATCACCCAGGCCTCAGAGAAATTCAAAAACAAAAACAAAACAATAAGATGTCACTGTTTGCTTTTATTGGGGTTTGTGGTTTTACTGTTATGCTGGGCATTGGCTCTCACGTGTGTTCTCCAGTCTCTGACCATACAATCCAGCCATTGCCACAATCACATATGGAACATCACAAGGGACCCCAGAGCCCGGCTCTTCCATCTAAATTTAGGTTAAAATTAATGTCAAAGCATCAAGGGTTGATCTGTTCTATAAGGCCTAAAATTAATCCCAACATTATGTGCTGCCCTGACATCTGGTAAAACTGGGATGGCCTCACATGGCCTGACCACAAGTTTCCTCCCTCACTCTGCTCCTGCAAAAAACCCTCCACTCAAGAGAGCCAGACACAGTTCCTGCTTATTCCTGAATAGCAAGTTTCAGCTCTCTGCCAGCCCTGGAATTATTCAAAGAAGGCAGTCACATCCTTTCGTGGTAACCAGGGGTCACCTTACCCTTTTGATACTGCAAAGCCTGCCTCACACGGCCCCTCTTATTCAGTCTGTTCCCAACTGCAACACCCACGTGGCCCTGCATGGCATTTAGTGTCCTTATCCTCCATCCTGTAATTCTATGTAATTAATAAATTTCTGTCAGTCTCATTAGGCCAGTATCACTTGTCATATGTTTGGCCATGTGCGTAATCCTAAGGCAGGAATCCCTCCCACTCCAACAGGGTGAATAGGAGGTGATTAAAACAACCAACTACTACAACATATCTCCTCCTCTTCTTTGTTCCTAGAGGGACAGAGGAGCCAGTTCAGACTGTATATAATGTGTTCTATGGTTCTCAGGATCTCTTTGCTACCTCTTCCCACATCCCTTCTCACTCTCTGCTCAGCGTTGATAGAAAATTAGTCTCTCTAATACAGAAATCATGATCCTTTTGTAACCCCTTCAGCTATTTCCCATTACCCCTAGCATGTAGTCTAAACTTCACAGCTGGCTTCTACAAGGTTCTTTAAGATCCCCTCTTCCTGTCTTCTCTCCAGGAGCATTTTCCTTTCCCTCTTCCACAACCCAGTCCTCAGTCCTACTCACTCCCTGACAGTTCCCCTACATTCCATGCCCTGGACCATCGGCCTTGCCACTCCCTTTGCCTTTCCCTGTCCCTCCTCCGCCTCTCTTTCTTTGCTTATTTTCTTTTCAAAAGCAGATCAAGCATCAACTACATGATGGATCTTTTGCTAACCATCTCTTACACACTCAGCACCGCCCATCCCAGTTCCTCTACAGTCTGTTCCTTTTATCACAGCACTCACAACTCCTTACTTGTAGGTCTTTCCTGCTAGACTGTGAGCTCTTTGGGGGCAGTGGCAAGCACACAGTGGCTGCTCAACACATCTGGGTTGAAGGAAATTTATAGATCTCATAATGAGGTGTGCGCAGCTTCCCTGGGGGTTGTGGGTGGAAGCATGGGAGCACCTAGAAGGCCCTGGCTACAGAGTATAAAATGAACTGAGTCCCCAGATTACTAGAACTAGGGAAAGGCAGAGCCCCTGTAATTAAAGACCCTGTGACACACAGTGAGGAGATCCAGGCTGCCACAGGAGCACCAATCTTAAGGTGAGTCACATCTTTGAGGAGGGGGAGTGGAGTAGTTGTGTTGGGTAAAAGAGGAATCCACAGGATTGTGGATGGGAGAGCAGGGTGCAGGAAGCAGGAGGAATATCTGTATTGGACTAAGGTCTAAGGAAGCAGGGTTTTAGAGAGGGCTTGGGGTTATCCCAGGGCAATCATGCCTAATTCCTCCCTCCACCAATTTTTTGCACCCTATTTAGTTCTGGTCTTTAGGTAGAGCAGGTTAGCTGCTTTAGCTCTTGCATTCTTTCCACTCTAGAAAGAGAACAAAACCACGAGATTCTTGTGTGTGAAGCTGTGTTTGTGTGTAGGACTTTTTGTTTTCAGTAATTTCATACCCTTCCTCCCTGTACCTCTCCCCTACACCCCTGCCCAAACTGCCAAGTTTCAAAGGACTTAGGATCTATACTTATTTCCTAGGAAAAAACTAACATTCCATTGAAGTTCCATTCCTATCATTTAGAGTCTCTTCCTCGCTAGGGTGACAGATCTTTCAGATCCCCCAATCGTGCATGGCTCCCATTCCCCATAGTGCATAGCTTCAATCGAACCTTTAATATTATTACCTTTTCTCTCCTTTCTGAACATATCAGTTATAACTCTTTTTGAACTATTTTTAGAGGTTGCCCAAGAATTTGCAATATACATTTACAATTAATCCAAGCCCACTTTCAAATAACACTAACTTACTTCACTGGAGTACAAGTGTTTTATAATAAAAAGTAATTCTAATTCCTCCCTTCCATTTCTTGTATCATTGCTGTCATTTATGTCACTTAAACAGAAACATACACTAAGATATATATAAGCATACATAATCTAATACATTGTTTCAACTATTATTTTGAACAAAGTGTTCTGTTTTATCAATTAAGAATAAGAAAAATAAAAATTTTTGTTTTACCTTCACTTATTCCTTCTCTGATAGGCTTCCTTTCTTGATTTAGATCTGAGTGTTTGCTCTGGAAAGCCCTACTTGCAGAAACAAATGTGGTTCTAGCAAGAGCTAGATCTCAGTCCAAGAATTCACCATGAGCTCATCTGGCTGGAGAAAAAAATGCACTCTAAGATGATAGGCCATCACCTGACTCAAATAATTGCTTCTTGACATACCATAACTTGCAACAAAGTGAAATCTCTAAGATTAGGAAAAACTGAAGATTGGACCAACAACAGGAGTAACTGAAGGTCAAAACCAAGATATTTTGAAGAATTTATTTCACATGTACAAGATGAGAGTGGGGGGCGGGGTATGTGTATGTGTGCATGTATATGAGTGCATGAGCAGACATGTGATGGGAGGAAGGACATAAACCTCACTGGAACTAATGTAGCTGATAGGGAAAACAGCCGGGGCTCTCATTGGACACATTCTTAATACAAGAATACAATTTTTAAGTACATCACCACTGCCAGCATGCCCAAGAGAAAGGCTGAAGGGGATGTTAAAGGAGATAAAGTCACGATGAAGGATGAACCACAGAGAAGATCATGAGGTTGTCTACTAAACCTGCTCCTCCAAAGCCAGAGCTCAAGCCTAAAAACGCCCATGCAAAGACAGGAGAGAAGATACCCATAGGGAAAAAGGGAAAAGCTGATGCTGGCAAGGAGGGGAATAACCCTGCAGAAAATGGAGACGCCAAAACAGACCAGGCACAGAAAGCCGAAGGTGCTGGAGATGCCAAGTGAAGTGTGTGCATTTTTGATAACTGTATACTTCTGGTGACTGTAGAGTTTGAAATATGATTTTTTTATCAAGTTTTATAAAAATGCAGAATTTTTTTTTTTAGTATTTTTTTTCTTTTTTTTTTATTATACCTTAAGTTTTAGGGTACATGTGCACATTGTGCAGGTTAGTTACATATGTATACATGTGCCATGCTGGTGCGCTGCACCCACTAACTCGTTCAAACAAATTTACAAGAAAAAAACAAACAACCCCATCAAAAAGTGGGCGAAGGACATGAACAGAATTTTATTTTACTTTTTTTTTAAGCTATGTTGTTAGCACACAGAACACTTCATTGTTTTTGGGGGAAGGGGCATATGTCACTAATAGAATGTCTCTGAAGCTGGATTGATGTGGGGAAAACACCTTTCCCTTCTAGTTTTGAGAGACTTCCTCTTGGCTCCCAAGAGGAGGGATCCCCTGATTTTGACACACATGGCCACCTTGGCACAAAGCCTTGTGGTATGGAAAAACAAATTCGTTTTATGTCTTCTTCTCCCTTTCCATCTTTCAGCGTAGACTTAACTCCCTTAAGCCTAGACATCTATTGGGACCTGACCCCCAATCATTGGTTACAAGTGTGTCAGGCAATCTGGACTTTCCAGTGATGCCACTGAGATGGCAGCTGTCAAAAGAGAAGTGGTTCCGTTTCTAGATTGTGGATCTTCAGATAAATTCTGCCATTTTCTTTTCACTTCCAGAAAGTCAGGGTCGGCTTGTGAAAAGTTGTTAAACAACATGCTAAATGTGAAATGTCAACCCTCACTTTAAACTTTCCCTGTTCAGAGCATAAGATGAATACTTCATTGGGTTTTATAGTGGCTTTCTAATTTTTGGTAGTCCGTTGAAGAAGGGAGTATAAAAGTTGTTGTATACTGTTAATGATTTTCTGCCCATGTCCTGCCTGAAATACCATGATTGTTTATGGAGAGTATCTTTAATAAAGCTGGATACAGTTTGCTTGGAAAAAAAAAAAGAATTGCTTGTGCTGCATCCCGTAAGTTTTGGTATGCTGTTTCTATTTTCATTTGTCTAAAAATATTTTTAATTTCCTTTTTATTTCCTTCTTTGACCCATTGTTTAGGAGGAGGGGGTCTAATTTCTACGTATTTTTGAATGTTCTGCAATTCCTTCTCCAAATTAACAATTTGATTTCTAGTTTCATGACATTGTGGTATCAAAAAATACTTGATATGATTTCAATTTTCTTAAATTTGTTAAGACTTGTTTTGTGACCTAACACATGATCTAGCATGAAAAATGTTTTGTGTGTGCATGAAAAGAATGTGTATTCTGCTGCTGTTGAATAGAATGGTCTGTATATGTCTGTTAGGTTCATTTGACCCAAAGTGTAGTTCAAGTCCAAGTTTCCTTATTTTCTATCTAGATGATTTTTGTGTTGCTGAAAGTGAGATACTGAAGTCTTCTGCTATTATTATATTGCACTCTATCTCTTCTGATCTATTAATATTTGTGTTATGAATATATAGATTCTCTGATGTTGAATGCATATGTATTTACTTTATATCTTCTTCATGAATTGACCTTTTTATCTCATTATATAATGACCTTCTTTATCTCATTTTAGTTTTTGACAATGTCTATTTTTCCTGATTTAAGCATAGCTACCACTGATTTCTTTCGGTTTCCCTTTGCATGAAGTATCTTTTTACAACCTTTCTATTTCAATCTATGTGTATTCTTAAAGGAGAAGCAAGTCTCTTGCAGAGAGCATAGAGTTGGGTCTTGTTTTTTAATCCATTCAGTGACTCTATGTCTTAAAAACTTTTTATTTTATTTAATTGACAAATAATAATTACATATATATTTATTGGGTACATTGTGACAATTTGATACATGCATACATTGTGAAATGATCAAATCAGGTTCATTAATATATTCATCACCTAATATATTTGTCATTTATTTTTGGTGAGAGCATTTGAAATCCACTTTTTATGACATCAGTAAGATAACCTAACTAGAAGCTCCCAATACTCACCACCACCCTCCCAAAGATAGCCAAAACAATAAGTAAGCAACTACATTTAGAAGAAAATAACTAAGGGAGGATGTTAGAATACATTAAAGGTGTATTAGAAACTCTGTAGTGTGCAGAAACCCAAGATGGCCACATAGACAACAGAAGGAAACACCTCACCTCCACCACCCTATCCCTACATCAGGATCAGTTGGAACCAGGGGGAAATTCTCCTTGCAGGGAAAAGGTAAGGAAGAGGACCACAGCAGCCCCCATCACCACCTTAGGCACCTACAGTCCTCACCTCTGGTGACCCCTGCAGTTCTCACAGGCACTAAGCCCAGCTGAGGGAACTCCCTGGAATCCACACAGCTACACTCCCCACAGAGGAGGAGAAAATACTCACCACTGTGACCCACGTGGCTACTGCATTTGAAATCAGAAACATTGTTGGAATGTGTCCTGTTCTGGGGATAGGTAGCCACAGTACACTTCCATCCCACCAGCTTTGTTGCTGTTGAACCGCCCCCAAATTGTTGCGCACCATCCACAAGCTGAGCTGCTGCTACATCCTATTTCTTGGGGCCAAGCTGCAGTGGAGATGCTCCACCCACCCCTCCAAGTTGCTTTTGGCCCTGCCCCGTGAAGGCTTGAGCTGAAATGGCACTCAGCCTCCTAAAGAATTGGCTCCTTGGCTGCTCAGGGCAGTCATGCACCCCCATTCCTGAATGGAAGCAGCACCTTGCCTCCAGGAAATCAGTGTCATGGCCAAACCCAATCAGTTGCACATCTCAGGGATGAGATGACATGGTATTTTACATCTTAGCTAAACAGAGCACTGACTGAGCTGGGTCACCTCACCCTACAGGTTGAATAATTGTAGTACCCTGCTTTCCTGGAACTGGACTAGCCCATTAGAGTATGAGCTGCTGAGATACTCCCATCCCCAAGGAATGGAATCATTGCAGCACTGCTCCCTTCCTTCCAGGGCCCAAGTGACATCTGCCCTCTGCTATTCCAGGGTCCTTGCTGCTGTCACACCTGGCTTCACAGAATCTGGGATACTTCTATGTCCCACTATCCCCAGGTCCAGAATCCCCACCATGCAGTCCCTCGTGTCCTGGGGCCTAAGTTGCAATGGTGCCCTATTGGCTCCGTTTCCCAAATTGCAGCTGTACCTTCTTTCTGGGTCCTAACCTTTAGCTGGGCCAATGCTATGCCATGCCTTCCAGAGTCAAAGTCTTTCCCTACTAAAGGCACTCTCTAAAGTTTGGAAGAAGTGCTGTTCCACCAGATGCACAGACATCAATGCAAGGACATAAGAACTATTAAAAAGCAAGAAACATGACACCAATAAAAGACAAGGTGCCAGTAACTGACCCCAAAGAAAAGGAAGTTTATGAGTTGCCTGAAAAGGAATTAAAAATAATAATCTTAAGGAAACTCAGATAGATCTGAGAGAATACAGATAGACAATTCAGCAAAATCAGGAAAGCAATTCGTCATCTTAATGAGAAATTCAATAAAGAAGAAAACAGAAATCTTAGAGCTCAAGAACTGAGTGAAGAAAATAAAAAATACAATAGAAAGCTTCAACAGCAGACTAGATCAAGCACAAGGAAGAAACTCTGCATTTGAAGATAGGTCTTATGAAATTACCCAATGAGAAGGAAAAAAAAAAACGAAAAGTGTGAAGACAGCCAATGGGACATACGGGACATCATTAAGCAAACAAACTTTTGCATTATGGGAGCTCTACAGGGAGAAGAGACAAATGTGCAGAAAGCTTATATAATGAAATAATTGCTGAAAACTTCCCAAGTTTTGAAAGAGATTTGAACATCCAGATTCAAGAAGCTCCAAAGTTCCTAAACAGATTGATCTCAAATAGGTCCTCTCCAAGTTGCATTACAACTAAACTGTCAAAAGCCGAAGACAAAGAGAATTTCAAAAGCAGCAAGAGAACAGCATCAAATCATATATGAGAGGATTCCCATTAGACTATCAGCAAATTTCTCAGCAGAAAACTTGCAGGTCAGGACAGATGAGATGATACATTCAAAGTGCTGAAAGAAAAAAATTTTCAGGTGAGAATACTATACTCAACAAAGCTATCCTTTAGAGATGAAGGAGAAATAAAGTCTTCCCCAGACAAACAAAAGAAGTTGAAGAAATTCATTACCACTATACCTGCCTTACAAGAAATGCTTAAGGGAGTCTTCAAGTGGAAATAAAAGGACACTAGTTACTAATATGAAGATATAAGAGAGTATCAAATTCACTGGTAAAGGTAAATACATAGTCAAATCCAAAATACTCTAATATTATTATGGTTCTCTGTTAAGTCATGTATATCTTTAGCATGAAGGTTAAAAACCAAAAGAGTCAAAAATAATAACTACAATAAGTTGTTAAGAAGCACATAATTTTTGAGTATATATTTGTACATCTGTACTTATTAAGTATATACTTATCATTGACATATATATGTATATATGTGCAAATAACATCTTTAGGACTTTCTTCTGCTTTTTTGTTATTACTTTTTTATTGTTTTCCTTTCACTGATTTCTCTTTTTTTTATTACACTTTAAGTTCTGAATGTACAGGTTTGTTACATAGGTATACACATGCCATGGTGGTTTGCTGCACCATCAACCCGATATCTACATTAGGTATTTCTTCAAATGCTATCCTCCCACTAGCCCCTCACCCCCTGAAAGGCCCTGTTGTGTGATGTTCCCCTCCTTGTGTCCATGTGTTCTCATTGTTCAATTCCCACTTTTATGAGTGAGAACATGCAGTGTTTGGTTTTCTGTTCCTGTGTTAGTTTGCTGAGAATGATGGTTTCCAACTTCATCCATATCCCTGCAAAGGACATGAGCTTATCCTTTTTTATGGCTGCATAGTATTCCATGGTGTATATGTGCCACATTTTCTTTATCCAGTCTATCATGGGTGGGCATTTGGGTTGGTTCCAAGTCTTTACTATTGTGAATAGTGCTGCGGTAAACATACATGTGCATGTGTCTTTATAGCAGAATGATTTATAATCCTTTGGGTATATACCCAGTAATAGGATTGCTGGGTCAAATGGTATTTCTGGTTCTAGATCCTTGAGGAGTCACCACACTGTCTTCCACAATGGCTGAACTAATTTAGAAATACATAATGTAAAAATATGTAAATTGTGAAATCAAAAATATAAATGAGGAAGTTTAAAGTCTAGAGTTGTTGTATGGGATTGAAATTAAGTTGCTATCAACACAAAAGAGTCTTATAACTGTAAGATGTTTTATGTAAGCCTCACAGTAACCAGAAAACAAAAGATAATAGCAGATACACAACTGATAAAGAGAAAGGAATCAAAACAGTACCACAGGAAAACATAAAATCACAAAGATAAACAACAAACAAAGGATCTATAAAATAACCAGAAAACAATTAACCAAATGGCAATAGTAACTCCTTACCTATCAATAATTACTTTGAATGTAAATGGATTAAATTCTCCAATCAAAATACATAAAGTGGCTGAATGGATAAAAAACCAAGATTCAACTACGTGCAGCTTACACAAAATACACTTTAAGAACACACATACCCTGGGAGGCTGAAACAGGAGAATTGCTTGAACCCAGGAGGCAGAGGTTGCAATGAGCTGAGACTGCATCATTGCACTCCAGCCTGGGCAACAGAGTGAGACTCTGTCTTAAAAAAAAAAAAATAGCTGGGCTACACTGAGAACGAAGAGCTCTGAGGGAGAACTGGCCCTACTAGATATTACACCCTATTTCAAAGCCTATATAGGTAAAGCAGTTGGTATTAGTACGAGAAAAAAACCGCACACACATTGTAATCAGTCAAAAGATGGTATTAAATTGAAAGAAAATATTTGCCACATCTATTACAAATACAAACAATGGTTCTAACATACAAAGACCTTTTTAAAATTGAGAGGGAAAAGACCAAAATTCTAGAGAAAAATGGGTAAAAGACACAAATTAGGCAACTTGCAAAAGATGTAAATTGGTCTGTGAACATGTCAAAAATGCTCAGTTGTATTTATAATAAGAGAAATGCAAACTAAAACCACACTAAGATACCATTTCTTACTCATTAGAATAGCAAAAATTTTCAACTTAATACACTGTTGACGAAGTGTGGGAGAGACACTCATCTATGCCAATGGGGTGGTGGGAATGCAAAATCGTACGACCCTTTTGGAAGAGAATTTCACAGTATTTAACAAAACTATGTGTGTGTGTGCGTGTGTGTGTGTGTGTGTGTGTCTGTATACACACAGTTAGAAATAGTAGAGACAGGGTTTCGCCACATTGGCCAGGCTGGTCTCAAACTTGTGACCTCAGGTGATCCGCCTGCCTTGGCCTCCCAAAGTACTGGGATTTACAGGCATGAGCTACTGCACCCAGTCAAAATTTCTGGATTTTAAAAATTATTTGCAACATTATAATAAGATGACTTCACCCTGCCACTTTTATTTTCTCCCTCAGTGAGTGAAGTCAGGATAAACAACATCCCTTTTTTGTTCCTCCTACCATGAACAAAGTAACAAGAAATAGCTGGTTGGAAAAATGAACATCTCGTAATAATATGAAATACATTTAAAAGCCTTCTATTTCCTACACCTCTTGGTGGTTTTTTTCTATGGTTACTGTGAAATATGTGGATTTTTAAAAATAGCTCTAGCAGTTAAATGATGCTGTAAAACCCCAATATGGTAAGTGTAAATAATTCTAACAGTAATTTCTTGTTACTATACCTTTCAAAGAAGTTTATTCTATAATTTAGTAAGGTCTCTTAACATTAATGTTTTTACTCAGCAACAGATATGGACCTTCTCAAAAAGAATCACAGAACAAGAGAATTAACAATCTTAATTTTCTTCTTACCTATTGATTGGTAAGAAAATGAGCTGTGCTGCTCATTTTCAACCTTTTGGATTCAGAAATTCTGTTACTTGTTTGTAGTTTTTGCTGAGGATTCTATTTTTTTTTAAATAAGCTGGGAACAGGATCAGCTAACTCAAGGAATTAAGTAATTTATTTCTAACAATGTTTAACCATTTGCTGATTTAAAGTTGAGCTACTATTTTTTCTGGGTTGATTCCAAAGAGAATAGATTTCCGTTTTAAAGATTTTTAAGATTGGCAATAAGAAAAGGGCCAATCAAATACAAATCTGTGCCCTCATGGAAATGAACACTGAAAACTATACCCAGATGTTTGATGATCTGGGAAGAAAAGCCTCTTAACCTTATAGTGAGATACATTCTCCTTCAGTTGGTGAATCTCTAGAAATGACCATCTCCCTAGCCCAGCATTCTATCTAGTGTTGCTCTTTTTATCATTAACACCAAGTTTCATACACATCCCTTTCCTAAGGAACTATAAACACGTTCACTGCAAGTAACCTTTGGGAAGTGAAAGTTTCAAAGGCAAAATGATCTAGATTTTTTGATGTGGTGACTAAGATTTCTTTAATTCCTGGGAAGCAATACAGGAAGCCTACATGACTTCCTGATGAACTGAGGGTGAGCAGGGAAGGCAGAGGAGGCAGACATATTTACCACTTTCTAACATAGCCATTGAGAAAAGAACAAGACGAATGGCTCAGGTGCAGGGAAATGAAGAACGAGGGAGAAAACATGAACTGAATGGAACGTCCCATGAGGATTTTTTATGAGAAGTTTTTTTTAATGTAACTTTTCATTTAGGAAAAAGTTCAAATATCAGATGCTATAAACAAAATTCACCATCCTCCAGTGGTAGTTAAATTCATGCACAAATACATTAAGCTGACAAACTTTTACTAGGGTTTGGGTAAAGTTACCGATATATGCTATAAATATATGAAACTATAAAATGAATCTCCTCTATGGGATCATTAGTCAAAGGCATGATGTTAGTTTATTTACAATAATTGGCAAGCAAGCAACTCAGTGAATTACTGGTATTTCAATTCTAGACTTCAATTCAGAAGCCACTGAAATCCTGGACAGTAGTTCTGACCATCTCTCTGTGTAAATAACTTTGCAGAATTATGGAGCAGGACTCATTAAGAAATAAGAATAACATTCTTTATGAAGTCAGAAAATATGGATTCATGTAGTAGAAAATAATAGAAGAGCAGGTGAAAGAAGCACCTTTAAAGATGTTCTTAAACTTAATTTTTTTATTTGATCAGATACCATTAAGAAATGCACTAAGGTTCATCCTCTAAGCTAACACTTTTTTTTTTTTTTTTAAGACGGAGTATCACTCTGTCACCCAGACCAGAGTGAGGTGGCACAATCTCGGTTCACTGCAACCTCTGCCTCCCGGATTCAAGCCATTCTCCTGCCTCAGCCTCCCAAGTAGTAAGGATTACAGGCACCTGCCACCACATCTGGCTAATTTTTGTAGTTTTAGTAGAGATGGGGTTTCACCGTGTGGGCCAGGCTGGTCTCAAACTCCTGATCTCAGGTGATCCGCCCTCCTCGGCCTCCCAATGTGCTGGGATTACAGGTGTGAGCCACCACACCCGGCAAACCTAACACTTTTAATTAAACTTTACAATTCTGAAAGAATCTCTCCAGTGAATTTTGGACACTAACAAGGACACAACAAAATTATTTATTTTTTAATTTTTTGACACAGGGTGCCACTCTGTCGCCTAGGCTGGAGTGCAGTGTCATGATCTCGGCTCACTGCAACCTCCACCTCTCAGGTTCAAGTGATTCTCCTGCCTCAGCCTCCTAAGTAGCTGGAACGACAGGTGTGTACCACCACACGCGGCTACGTTTTGTGTTTTTAGTAGAGATGGAGTTTCACCATGTGGGCCAGGCTGCTCTCAAACTTCTGACCTCAGGGGATCCGCCCACCTCAGCCTCCCAAAGTGCTGGGATTATAGGCATGAGCCACCATGCCCAGCCACACAAAAATAATTTAAATGAAACATTTTCACATATGAAAAGTTATTTTTAGTATTGCATTTAAAGACTCTTTATATTCAGAGGGCATTTAAAAATACTAAATAAAGACTTTTTGAAGAAGCACACAAACCTGGAAGAAAGATAGTTCTGTCTTCTAGCTACTCTGTGCTGGAAGACTGGGTAGAAATGATGAATTTTATCATTATCATCTGAATGTAACAGATGGAAGCCAGCTATGGATAAATCTACAACTGCAACAAAGACTGGAACAATTTATCTCATCAAAATTAGGCAGCACTTCATTTTCAGTGAGTTGAAGAATCACAACATGATTCTCATCTTAAAATTATACAGTTCAATGTGATTCATACTTCACAGTAACAATAAAGGCAAACATAAGACTATTCTTCTACTAAAGCAGAATTTTTGAAAATCACAGTTTTAACCAAAAGTTTAAATTCCAATCTTACTTTCTCATATGAGTAAATTTTGATGCTGGAAGCAAATATTTTAGTGGTAAGTATGAATGTGAAGGCCACAAAACAAAATTGTAGGCTTCCTCCTAGTGGCAACAGATTGAACCAACCCATTAGAAAATGAGCTCATGGACTTTCTTCCAGGTAAGATCAAAGAAGTGAGTGTGCTTATTACCTCATCTTGCACATGGCTTTCCCCTCATTTTATTCACGTTTTTATTCAAATACTTCTTTCCCAAAGACAGCTCTTCCCTGACTCTCCATCCAGCCTTAATGTTCATCATAGCACTTAGCTTGATTTACACTTTGTATTTCTTTAGATACTGTCTGTCATTTTTACTAAATGTAGGCTGTATATGAGCAGTGACTGAGCACAATTCTGTGTCCCAATCACCTTAGATAAGTGTTAATCAAATATTTGTTGAAAAAAGGAAGGAAATAAGGCAGGAAGGAAGGAGGGATGGAGGGAAGGGATGCAGGGTGGGGGGAAGCAATGGAGAAAAAGAGGAAGAAAAAGGAGGGAAGAGGGAGGGAGGGAAGAAGGAAGCAAGCAATGGTCTGTGGCTTGGAGGCATCTGCCTAAACACATGCACTGTGGCTAAGGAAAAAGGAGAAAGCAAGAACACTGCAAGCAGCTGTCCCAGGTGCTGCCCTCAGGTCACTGAACTTACAGAGCATAAAGATACAGGGAGCATTGGCTGCCCTTGGTGTCAGCTGTGCTCAGTACACTGGAGTTTGTGAGCTTGCTCCTCTTCTCTATCTCTAGCTTTGAGGCAGCCCTGAGAACGATGGTCACTTTCTTCTCCTCCTTATTTCCTTTTATTTCAAAACTAGAACAGGAAGGTATAGAATTTGAAGGAGGACATAGCTGAGATCTGTGCAAATAGGAACTCTGTAGCTTGGTGCCCAAATCCGAATGGATGGGTACAGCAAAGCCTGAACCACACTGAGGAGTAGAGCAGGTAGATTAGGATATCAGTGGATGGACAGCAAAACGGGAGCAGACAATGAATAAGATCCCTTCCAAGTGGGAGCTTCTCTTTGTGACTCTGGGAAAGCTGATAGGGCAGCAGCTGCACCCTTACCACTCAGCAACCCCCAAAGGAGAAACATCAGGGGTGAGTTACCCTCCAGCAGGGCTTTACTGCTCAGATTTAGGAAGGTGAGAAACCTGCTGCCCAGTCATAGGACTGCAGCATGCCAGGGACCCTCCAGAAGCAATATGCTTTTAATCACAGATGAAAAGTATTTAATAGTTACTGAACTACATAAAAACAACGACAAGCAATCCAAGGAGAGAAGTTAATTCTGTTAAGCCAACCAAGTGACACAAGGTTTTGCCTGTAGGAAGGAAAACAGAGAAGCAAGCTGTGATCTTCCTTTTTTTTGTAGCAAGTGCTTTGAATCTCCTTGGAGAAGGAAGTCCACAGAGAACAATTTGATTTCTAAGTGAGTAATAATTAGATGCTCTAAGTTTTCAATTTGATAAAGCTACAAACATCCTGGCATTTCTTCTCCACTGCATCCCAACCCACAATAGAATATGGGGGTATAAAGCCTTTGGGATCCTCTCACTGGAGATGTCCATATCTGAGATACCTCATTTTACATCATAAAGCTTTGAGGAAATTATATCATGTTTAAAGACTTTTTAAAAGAAGGCGCCACATGATGTTATAATATTGGGTAGCATTTTACCACCAAGTAGTGATGGGATCAGAACAAGTCATCCCAAAATATGCCACTTTGATGTATTATTTTGAGCTAAAAGAAACTGAGAACCAGTCAATGCAGAAAAAGCACTTCGCCTCCCCATCTGCTTAAAGTATAATTTCCCATTTGTAAAGGACATTTTTATTAGTAAATGTATCTATCTTTGCCAGAAAGAGAGTTACTCATAGATAACTTTTTCTCACTGGAGAGACTTTTATCTGCATAGCAAGGTAACCTTTATTCACCACACATTTCCTCCTCTCGCCTTCCCACAATTCATCTCTACCACTCCCCAGTACCCCCAAATCCTTATTCCTATTCCTTACTCTAGCTTAAGATAGTATCTGTCTCAGTCATCTGGCTGCTTCCTGGAGTCTCATATTTTGGTGGGACTCCTGTGCATATGTGAGTAATTAAATGTTTTTTTCTCCTTTTAATCTGTCTAATATCAATTTAATTCATAGACCAGCCAAAAAACCTCAAAGGGTACACAGAAGCAATTTTCCCTCTCCTACAGTAGTTTTTCTCCTAATAAAATATATAAAGAAAACAAATTCCTTGTCATCATCATTATTTCATCTTATATAACTTCTGTTATATAAGGTTACTTGTTCTTCCCTTTTATATGGCTCAATAGGCAGATTTTTTCCCTTTTCTTTAGAGTTGTGCATTTTTAGGGTGTCCAGTCCTTGCAACTGACTGTTCTTGAATATGAAAGCTCTAATTGCTGTACTTATTAAAGGTACACAGCAACAAACTATTACTTAGAAATGAATTGATTTTCAGAGGTTTTAAAATATCTAACCTAATAGAATTTCCCTTACTTGTAAGTGTACTAATGTCTTTAAATATGCAAATGTTTAAATACTAAAAATATATGCAAAATATGGAATTAAAATACACAGGCCAGGCACGGTGGCTCATGCCTGTAATCCCAGCAATTTGGGAGGCCGAGGTGGATGGATTCACTTGAGGTCAGGAGTTCAAGACCAACCTGGCCAACATGGCTAAACTGCGTGTCTACTAAAAATACCTAAGGTTAGCCAGGTGTGTTGATATGTGCCTGTAGTCCCAGCTACCCAGGAGGCTGAGGAAGGAGAATCACTTGAACCCAAAGGCAGAGGTTGCAGTGAGCCAAGATCACACCACTGCACTCCAGTCTGGGCAACAGAGTAAGACTCTGTCTCAAAATAAATAAATAAATAAATAAAAGATGTAATTCCAATCAGCTCTTAAGGTGGTGGTAGTCATTTTTATTGTTATATGTGCAAAAAAAATCACCAATATTTGTGGGTAGATTAGCAGTTACTAATGTTAAAGTGCAGGGTCTACAGCTGAAGTTCTCCTTGTGTTTTTTACTTGTTTATGTACATTAAAAAGAAAATATATAATCACAGATAGATTTTCCAAGAGAGGAAAATTACGCATAATCCCCACTCAATATAACTTCTAATACTCAGAGGTCTTCATATTCAAAATTCCCTCAAAACAAATGTGGCTTCAAATTGTGGGGTGCATAACTGAAAATAATCATTTTACATTATAATTTGACATTTAAGTCATGTAAAATGATTTAAAAATCAGACCAAGTGTAAAATAAATTCCAATTCCAATGACATAATCCTATTACCATAATGAAATAAATCCCTAACCTGATGGTCCCTGTATTTCTAATTTGTCTTTGGTAAATATACTTGAACTGAACCTAACCAGGAATTTAACATCATAAACCTACCAAACAGATTCAAAGATAACACAAAATTTGTGTTTACTGAACATCATCCAAATATTTCTTCTTCTAAGAAAAGCACTGAGTAAAATAATTTGAACCACCAGAACATATAAATATTATAAAAGTACGCAACCTTGCCTTTTCACCTTTATATCCTCATTGAATAGTACAGAGGCTGGCGTATTATTATTGTGTAATAAGCATGGAATAAGTAAACCAGTATTATTCTCTTTGGGGTTCTATCCTTAACATAAACAAAGGTGAAGACACAAATAAAAAACTCAACATATTCAATTGCACTGCTATTCAGCCATATGATGTAATTCCAACGTAATTTTTCCAGAAATATTCTGAGGCGTTGCTTTGCAAATTCATGCCTAAGTATAAGGATAAGTGTAGGAGAAGTGGGGTGTTGGGAAACTTTACCCTCAAAAACCCCAGAAACCAAGTTAGATAAGATCTTAAGACAGTTGGCTTAAAAATAATAATATAACATTTTTACTTTAAAATTTTATTTTTTAAGGAAAAATAACTGCTATTGCTGGCCTTAATTATTACTATTATTTTGTGGGGACAGGTGGCCGATAGGGGAATTTAAGGCTGTCATTTGCAAGTATACAAGCTTAGTGTTCCATTACCCAGTCTACACAAGACACAGGACTATAAGCTCAAGTCACAGAAACTACTGGAAGTCCATCAAAGACATAAAGAAATAAGAAAGGCAACAAGAATTTTAAAAATAGGAAAGGCTAGAAAAAAAAACTAGATTATGCTTTTCTAGAAAACTGCATTAATTTGTTCACATTAAAACTTTGTCTAACACTATTTTGTTTTGCATGGCACTCAGAATGAGGTAAATACACAATAGAACAAACAAGAGAGCTTAATAAAGCAATAGAGAGAACTCGTAATTAAGATTGTTAACCTCTAGCACAGTTCTATGGCCTGTATCACAAAGAAAGATTAGAAATGACTACAATATACCAAATAAGCTTCACAGATGAACAGGAAGACTTGGTCTCAAAAAAATATCTTTTAAGCAGAGCCTTTCATCTAAAAACAAGATATACTACTTATAAATAAAATAAGCCAGCATTATTCACTTCGGTTTGATGTAAATTTGTTAATTGTTATATGAGGAAAATGGGTATTCACAAGCCAATATCATCTTAATTTATGTTCTAGGTGAAGACAAGGGTTGTAGTTCTATAAATTCTTTAAGGTTGCAATATCTATATCTGAAAGGTGACATCAATTTTTTTTTAATTTTTCCTTCCCAAAGGCGATGTCAAGGGAACATCAATTCTATTGTGGAAGCAGCTTCTCTGTTGTAAAATCCATGTAACACACTGGAAAGTTCTTTTCTCTTTAGTCAACAGACACTTGTCTCATTTCAAGTGTGGATTTTTTTAAATTACCACAGTTATAATGAAGTCTGACCCAAAAATTTAATTTGTAATTATGGCATGTATTAAAGCAGTTTAGGAGCATCACATTCAATCTAAAATTGCTAGAAACCTTGTTACAGTTTAATAAACAATTATTTTAAAATGGACCTTTTTAGTGTTCCTTATAAATGCAGGTTTCTGTTAAATTTTTTAAAATTGTTTATAACAAAAACACAAACATACCATTATTTTGTTTGAGTAGTGTCAATGGTAACCTCAAGGGATGAAAAGGCACCCAGGGGCTGACAGTAGCAGGAAACCATTAACTCTTTTAGGCTAGAAGGGGAAGAAGGAAACAGTATTAAGCAGATCCAGTGACAGGTGGAGCCACTGAAGTGGTACTGCCTAAAAGGATCTGTGGCTTAGGAACCCACTGCCATAGGCAGACCACATACCTAAACTCACTGTCTCCCCACCCTAAAGACTCCTGCTGGTACCCAGACTGGCTGATCTCCATCAGAAGCCAGAGTGTGGGAGCCTGGGAAATGCAGTGTGGAGGGTCAGACTCAGAGCATAGGGCAGTGATGGACAAGGAAGAGCAGGGTATGGAGGAGCCAGGTGGGGACAAGGGGGGAGGGCATCAAACAGAGAATGCCCAGGTCTCCACCTGATTTATGTCAAATAGTGATCTGAATCAGCATGACAGACTATTTTTAGCGTTCTTGTTTAAATCAGCTTCAAAATTTTTATAAAGTGTAAAAGGAGGACAGGAAAATTAAGTCCTTAATGTTTTTTAAATTTAGGAAGAAATGATGGTTAGCACAAATCAGAATTAGTTGTAAAGTAAATACTAAGTATTGAAATAGAAGGCAAATGTCTTGACAAGAAAAAATTGATAACAGAAATGAGGAAGGGGCATTAAAAATATAAAATAAAAAACTGGTCACTTCCAAATGGCCCAATAGGAACAGCTCCAGTCTGCAACTCCCAGTGAGATTGATGCAGAAGACAGGTGATTTCTGCACTTCCAACTGAGGTGCCTGGTTCATTTCACTGGAACTGGTTGAACAGTGGGGGCAGCCCACAGAGGGTGAGCTGAAGCAGGGCGAGGTGTCACCTCACCCGGGAAATGCAAGGTTGGGGAGGATTTCCCTTTCCTAGCCAAGGGAAGCCATAACAGACTGTAGCTGGAGAAAGGGTACACTCATGACCAAATAGTGCCCTTTTCCAACAGTCTTAGCAACCGCAGACCAGGAGATACCCTCCTTTGCCTGGCTAGGCAGGTCCCATGCCCAAGGAGCCTTGCTCACTACTAGCGCAGCAGTCTGAGATCGACCGGCTACGCAGCAGCTTGATGGGGGGAGGGGCATCCACCATTGCTGAGGCTTGAGTAGCTCACAGTGTAAACAAAGAGGCTAGGAAGCACAAACTGGGTGGAGTCCACCGCAGCTCAACAAGGCCCACCAGCCTTTGTAGACTCCACCTCTAGCGGCAGGGCATAGTAGAACAAAAGGCAGCAGACAACTTCTGCAGACTTAAACGTCCCTGTCTGACAACTCTAAAGAGAGCAGTGGTTCTCTCAGCACGGCATTCGAGCTTTGGGAATGGACAGACTGCCTCCTCAAGCAGGTCCCTGACCCCTGTGTAGCCTGACTGGGAAACACCTCCCAGTAGGGGCTGACAGACACTTCAAACAGGCAGGTGCCCCTCTGGGATGAAGCTTCCAGAGGAAAGATCAGGCAGTAATATTTGCTGTTCTGTAGCCTCCACTGGTGATACCCAGGCAAATAGGTTCTAGAGTGGACTTCTGGCAAACTCCAACACACCTGCAGCTGAGGGGTCTGACTGTTAGAAGGAAAACTAATAAACGGAAATGAATAGCATCAACATCAACAAAAAGGACATCCACAACAAAACCCCATTTGTAGGTCACCAACATCAAAGACCAAAAGTAGATAAAACCGCAAAGATAGGGAGAAACCAGAGCAGAAAAGCTGAAAATTCCAAAAAACAGAGCACCACTTCTCCAAAGGATCACACCTTCTCAGCAGCAAGGGAACAAAACTGGACAGAGAATGAGTTCGACAAGTTGACAGAAGTAGGCTTCAGAAGGTTGGTAATAACAAACTTCTCCTAGCTAAAGGAGCATGTTCTAACCCATCCCAAGTAAGTTAAAAACCTTGAAAAAAAGTTAGACGAATGGCTAACTAGAATAAACAGTGTAGAGAAGATCTTAAATGACCTGATGGAGCTGAAAACCATGCCATGAGAACTTCGTGACGCATGCACAAGCTTCAATTGCTGATTCGATCAAGTGGAAGAAAGGATATCAGTGATTGAAGATCAAATTAATGAAATAAAGTGAGAAGACAAGATTAGAGAAAAAAGAGTGAAAAGAAATGAACAAAGCCTCCAAGAAATATGGGACTATGTGAAAAGAACAAATATACGTTAGTTTGGTGTACTGGAAGTGACGGGGAGAATGGAACCAAGTTAGAAAACACTCTTCAGGATATTATCCACGAGAACTTCCCTAATCTAGCAAGGCAGGCCAACATTCAAATTCAGGAAATACAGAGACCACCACAAAGATACTCCTCGAGAAGAGCAACCCCAAGACACATAATTGTCAGATTCACCAAGGTTGAAATGAAGGAAAAAATGTTAAGGGCAGCCAGAGAGAAAGGTCAGGTTACCAACAAAGGGAAGCCCATCAGACTAACAGCGGATCTCTCGGCAGAAACTCTACAAGCCAGAGGAGAGCGGGGGCCAATATTCAACATTCTTAAAGAAAGAATTTTCAACCATCAGCTAGAATTTTCAACAATCAGAATCTCATATCCAGCCAAACTAAGCTTCATAAGTGAAGGAGAAATAAAATCCTTTACAGACAAGAAAATGCTGAGAGATTTTGTCACCATCAGGGCTGCCTTACGAGATTTCCTGAAGGAAGCACTAAACATGGAAAGGAACAACCAGTACCAGCCACTGCAAAAACGTGCCAAATGGTAAAGACCATCAATGCTATGAAGAAACTGCATCGGCCGGGT
Organism: Homo sapiens; assembly: GCF_000001405.40. NCBI lineage: Eukaryota > Metazoa > Chordata > Mammalia > Primates > Hominidae > Homo > Homo sapiens. The sequence continues at coordinate 5,329,030 of NC_000009.12, forward strand.
GCGGTGGCTCACGCCTGTAATCCCAACACTTTGGGAGGCCGAGGCGGGTGGATCATGAGGTCAGGAGATCGAGACCATCCTGGCTAACAAGGTGAAACCCCGTCTCTACTAAAAATACAAAAAATTAGCCGGGCGCGGTGGCGGGCGCCTGTAGTCCCAGCTACTCGGGAGGCTGAGGCAGGAGAATGGCGTGAACCCGGGAAGCGGAGCTTGCAGTGAGCCGAGATTGCACCACTGCAGTCCGCAGTCCGGCCTGGGCGACAGAGCGAGACTCCATCTCAAAAAAAAAAAAAAAAAAAAGAAAAGAAACTGCATCAATTAACAGGCAAAATAACCAGCTAACATCATAATGATGGGATCAAATTTAAACATAACAATATTAACCTTAAATGTAAATGAGCTAAATACCCCAACTAAAAGAGACAGACTGGCAAACTGGATAAAGAGTCAAGACCCCTTGGTGTGCTGTATTCAGGAGACCCATCTCATGTGCAAAGACACACATAGGCTCAAAACAAAGGGATGGAGGAAGATCTACCAAGGAAACGGAGAGAAAAAAAAAAATGCAGGAGTTGCAATCCTAGTCTCTGATAAAACAGACTTTAAATCAACAAAGATCAAAAGAGACAAAGAAGGCCACTACATAATGGTAAAGGGATCAATTCACCAAGAAGAGCTCACTATCCTAAATATATATGGACCCAATACAGGAGCACCCAGATTCATAAAACAAGTCCTTAGAGACATATAAAGAGACTTAGACTCCCACACAATAATAATGGGAGACTTTAACACCCCACTGTCAATAATAGACAGATCAATGAGACAGAAGGTTAACAAGGATATCCAGGACTTGAACTCAGCTCTGCACCAAGCAGACCTAATAGACATCTACAAAATTCTACACCCCAAATCAACAGAATATACATTCTTCTCAGCACCTCATCGCATTTATTATAAAATTGACCACATAATTTGTAGTAAAACACTCCTCAGCAAATGCAAAAGAACAGATATCACAACAAACTGTCTCTCAGACCACAGTGCAATCAAATTAGAACTCAGGATTAAGAAACTCACTCAAAACTGCACAACTACATGGAAACTGAACAACCTGCTCCTGAATGACTACTGGGTAAGTAACGAAATGAAGGCATAAATAAAGAAGTTCTTTGAAACCAATGAGAACAAAGACACAATGTACCAGAATCTCTGGGACATTTTAAAGCAGTGTGTAGAAGAAAATTTATAGCACTAAATGCCCATAAAAGAAAGCAGGAGAGATCTAAAATTGACACTCTAACATCACAATTAAAAGAATTAGAGAGGCCGGGTGTGGTGGCTCACGCCTGTCATCCCAGCACTTTGGGAGGCAGAGGAGGGCAGATCACGAGGTCAGGAGATCGAGACCATCCTGCCTCACACAGTGAAACCCCATCTCTACTAAAAATACAAAAAATTAGCCAGGCATGGTGGCGGGGGCCTGTAGTCCCAGCTACTCTGGAGGCTGAGGCAGGAGAACGGCATGAACTGGGGAGGCAGAGCTTGCAGTGAGCCAAGATCACACCACTGCACTCCAGCCTGGGCGACAGAGCAAGACTCCATCTCAAAAAAAAAAAAAAAAAAGAAAAAAGAAGAAGAAGAATTAGAGAGGCAAGAGCAAACAAATTCAAAAGCTAGCTAGCAGAAGGCAAGAAATAACTAAGATCAGAGCAGAACTGAAGGAGATAGAGAGACAAAAAAAAAAAAAAAACCTTCAAAACATCAATGAATCCAGGAGCTGGTTTTTTGAAAAGATCAACAAAATAGATAGACCACTAGCAACACTAATTAAGAAGAAAAGAGAGAAGAATCAAAGAGATGCAATGAAAAATGATAAAGGGGGTATCACCACTGATCCCACAGAAATACAAACTACCATCAGAGAATACTATGAACACCTCTACGCAAATAAACTAGAAAATCTAGAAGAAATGGATAAATTCCTGGACATGTATACCCTCCCAAGACTAAACCAGGAAGAAGTTGAATCTCTGAATACACCAATAACAGGTTCTGAAATTGAGGCAATAATTAATAGCCTACCGACCAAAAAATGTCCAGGACCAGATGGATTCACAGCCAAATTCTACCAGAGGTATAAAAAGGAGCTGGTACCATTCCTTCTGAAACTATTTCCATCAACAGAAAAAGAGGGAATCCTCCCTAACTCATTTTATGGGGCTAGCATCATCCTGAAAGCCTGGTAGAGACACAATAAAAAAAGAGATTTTAGGCCAATACCCTGATGAACATCGATGAGAAAATCCTCAATAAATCACGCTACTATAAAGACACATGCACACATATGTTTATTGTGGCACTATTCACAATAGCAAAGACCAACCCAAATGTCCATCAATGATAGACTGGATTAAGAAAACGTGGCACATATACACCATGGAATACTATGCAGCCATAAAAAAGGATGAGTTCATGTCCTTTGCAGGGACATGGATGAAGTTGGAAACCATCATTCTAAGCAAACTCTCACAAGAACAGAAAACCAAACACTGCATGTTCTCACCCATAGGTGGGAATTGAACAATGAGAACACATGGACACAGGGTGGGGAACATCACACACAGGGGCATCTAGGGGGGTGGGGGGCTGTGGGAGGGATAGCATTAGGAGAAATACCTAATACAAATGATGAGTTGATGGGTGCGGCAAACCAACATGGCACATATATACCTGTGTAACAAACCTGCACGTTGTGCACATGTACCCTAGAACTTAAAGTATAATAAACAAACAAAGAAAAATAAATAAATAAACTGGTGCAACCTCTTTGGAGGGCACAATTTTGCAGTATCTATTAATATGAAAAATGTATTTATCCTTGACTAAGTAATTCCCATTCTAGAAATGTATATTATGAAAATACATGCACAGTATGCAAATGTATACAAGTATAAGGGTGTCCATTGTAGTATTATTTGTGTTAATGAAAAAAATGGGATGAAGGCAAATGTCTATTATAAGAGATAGGATAAAAAATTTAGTGTATACTCATATATTGAAATAATATTAAGTCAATTAAAAAAACAAAACTGATCTACGTGTGTGGAAATGAAATTATTTCCCAATTTAATTTGTTGAAATTTTAAAAAGTAAGACTCACAGTGGTGTGCAGGTGTACTCCCTTTTTTATAAGGAAAGATGCATATATGTACATATGTTTGTATGTGCAGAAGTAGACTGGCTTTCATTTTTATACGCTTTTGTACTCTGAAGCTTTCTATATGAAGTGCATGTATTACTTTTTCAATAAAAAATCTAATCAATAAAAGATTTTTAAAAATTGAATAAAGAAATTTATAGGACAAACCAAACCCTAGCAGAAAAAATAGTATTGTCCCCTGGATAACTGGTGCTGGAAGCCTGGCTAGAAATAAGGTTTATTTTGTTGAATTTACATCATTATTGGTCTCAATGTAACACATGGAAGGTGGCATTGGATAATTTTAAACAGACAGCAGATTGGAACAATTTATTTCACCAATACTTGATGCTTTGTTATGGAGCAAGTTGAGGGGTCACTGAATGTGCTTTTTTTTTTTTTTAATGTGATACAGTGTTTCACTCTTGATGCCTAAGCTGCAGTGCAATGGCGCAATCTCAGCTTACTGCAACTCCCGGGTTCAAGCGATTCTCCTGCCTCAGCCTCCCGAGTAGCTGGGATTACAGGCGCACACCACCACTCCTGGCTAATTTTCTGTATTTTTAGTAGAAACGGGGTTTCACCATGTTAGCCAGGATGGTCTCGAACTCCTGACCTCAGGTGATCCACCTGCCTCGGCCTCCCAAAGTACTGGGATTTCAGGCATGAGCCACCGCGCCCGGCCATGATTCTCATTCTTAATGTTGTACACTTTCAAGTGATTCATACATCACAGTAAGGATAAAGGCAATGATAATATTCTTCTACTAAAACACAAGAAAACAAGATCACAGTATTAACCAGAAGCTTAAAATTTAATCTCATTCTATGTTCTCTATTGAGTAAACTTCTATCCTGGAAGCAAATATTTTAGTGATGCGTATGAAGGGGAGGACTACAAAACAAAATGGTGGACTTCTTATTAATGGTCACAGATAAATCAACCCATGAGAAAATGCGCTCATGCACTTTTCTTCACATAAGATGACAGAAGGAAATACCATTTCTCTGGCCTCTGCCTGTTCATAGGTTCCGCCTCATCCTACAACACTGATAAAGAAGAAAAAGGAGAAGATTCAAATAAACACAATCCAAATGATAAGGGGGATACTACCACTGAACCCACAGAAATACAAACAACCATCAGAGAACACTACAAACACCTCTATGCAAATAAACTGGAAAATCTAGAAGAAATGGGTACATTCCTGGACACATACACCCTCTCAAGACTGAACCAGGAAGAAGCTGAATCCCTGAATAGACAATGAGTTCTGAAATTGAGGCAGTAATGAACAGCCTACTAACCAAAAACAGCCCAGGTCCTGATGGATTTACAGCTGAATTCTACCAGAAGTACAAAGAAGAGCTGGTACCATTTCTTCTGAAATGATTCGAAACAACTGAAAAGGAGGGACCTCTCCCTAACTCATTCTATGAGGACAGCATCATCCTGATACCAAAACCTGGCAGACATACAACAAAAAAAAGAAAACTTCAGGCCAATATCCCTGATGAACATCGATGCAAAAATCCTCAATAAACACTGGCAAGCAAAATCCAGCAGCACATCAAAAAGCTTATCCACCCCAATCAAGACGGCTTTATCCCCAGGATGCAAGGTTGGTACAACATACACAAATCAATAAATGTGATTCATCGCATAAACAGAACTAAAGACAAAAACCATATGATTATCTTAACAGATGCACAAAACACCTTTGATAAAATTCAACATCGCTTCATGTTAAAAACTCTCAATAAACTAAGTATTGAAGGAACACACTTCAAAATAATAAGAGCCATTTATGACAAACCCACAGCCAATAGCATACTGAATGGGCAAAAGCTGGAAGCATTCCCCTTGAAAACCAGCACAAGACAAGGATGCCCTCTCTCACCAGTCCTGTTCAACATAGTGTTGGAAGTTCTAGCCAGGTCAGTCAGGCAAGAGAAAGAAATAAAGGGTATTCGAATAGGAAGAAAGGTCAAATTGTGTTTGTTTGCAGATGACATGGTCCTATTTCTAGAAAACCCAATTGACTCAGCCCAAAAGCTTCTTAAGTTGAGAAGCAACTTCAGCAAAATCTCAGAATACAAAATCAAATTTACAGACATTTGATGGAGGAGATTAACTTGTCATTCAACTGTATTTCTTCTATAAATGCTGGGTAAAATGCATGTGTATATACATAGATGGAACCAGTAAAATAGCAAGTTGATAGCTATGTCAATTTACTTTTCTAACAAGTGTTCATACTATTTCAGTAATTTTGCTTACAGAAATAGTAAATTCTAAAGAAGTGAACATAAGGTATGTTCCCTCATTATACTATTTCTTCTGTAATATATGATATGGATGTTTGTTCTCTCCTCCATTATGTCTATACGTTTTTCTCCTTAAAAAGTAACTTAAGTTTTATGGACACTAGAACTGAGATCAGAACCAGAGCCTGAAAAGTACTTGAGTTCCCTTCAGACTCTGCTAGGAAAAAAAGAAATTAAAAAGGAAAAAAAATACTTGAGTTTACTTCAACTAAATTAAATTGGTTTAGTGTCCAAACTGATGGTTTGCAATGAGTAGTTCAATATGCAACAAAAACCTTTTGAAATCTATTAGGAAAGTTCAAGTTGTATGGCTTTATGTATATCCAATCTAAGAGTTAATATCAATAAAAACATTTTGGTCCACCTCATGTAACTGTTGTTAGGTACTGTATTGTTATTATGTATGGTTAAAGTGGCAAAGGTTTTATTGTAATTTTAAGTTAACAGCATTAAAAAGAATCAACACAATTATACTGTTAATAAAAAGACAAAAAGACTTCAGCATAGAAAGTGTCATTTACAGAAACTACAATCATACAAAGAATATTTTCTTACACACCAAATGAAAAATCTAAACATTAATAAAGATTTCTTATATTCTAATAATTAGTGGGACCTGACAGAAGCATCAGTGAAATGTCATCAAGACTATGTGTGAAAATTAGACAAGATGTGCACAATTAGCTTCATCTCAGCAATATTTAGCAAGAGACCTTTTGGTACAACCAATTAGGCAACATTTCTCAAACAGTGCCACGTAGGGTCGTCTCTTTTTTTGAGAATGAGTATCCAAGCCTAAGTATTTTAATTCTGAAGGATTGCTGTCTGCGGCTTCACTTTGCCTATTGCGAATAAGTTTCTTAAATTCTTCAAAGCTAAGATTGGAATCCTTTAATGCAGGTACATACTGCTGTAGCTCTGGTAATGATGGTTGCCTCTCAGATAGGGCTGCCTTCAGCTCCGGTGGCAAATTAGCAATGAATTCCAACATGATAATTATAGTTTCTGTATCTTTGTTGATGAAGGATGGTACAATTTCTGTTAAGTTTAAAAAAAAAGTGTATGTGAAGGCGTATTCACGTCAAAGAGCATTCAGAAAAACTGTGAATGTTTGCATACACAAAGAAAAGAAAGCATTGCCTCAATATAAATTAAACATTGAAACACAAAAGCATCCTAATATCTAAACACTTAGCTTTCTTACAGTTGGACACCTTAAAGTACCATAATTTTACCAAGGCTCTGCTTTACCCCATTGGTCCTCTCTCGTCTCTCTTCATTATCCCCTCAGTGCTTTTATCATAGTACTTTTGACTCTCCCTGACATTACTCTGTCATCTTTCTGAAGTCATGTAAGTCATTGGAAACAGTTTGGCCACACATAGTGGTCATTTTCTTGGATTCTTCTTACTTAACTCGTTTTCTTCCATTGCTAAGCTATGATTTCTGATATTACGAGTTGTAGTAACAACGCTTGAAAAAGATATTATTTTAAGCTACTCAATGTTTCGTGGTGGGAATTTACTCCTGGAGGATAAAGTTAAAGAGGCAGCATTTCCAACACCTGTAATCTAATCAGCAGGAGAAGGAAATCTCTGATGTTCCTCAATCATCTATTTAACAATTTGTCTTCCCCAGACTAATTACTCCAAATCAATAGTATTTTATATGAAAGAGAGAAGTGGGTTAAAAGATCACTAACCAAAAATCACTGATTTAAGAAGAGATTCATATGTGCTGTGGTGTAAGTGTACTGACTAATGTTTTCTGTCTGATGTTTGTTCCAAGGCTGCAGATCATGCACTATGCAAGATCTGTGTGATTCCTAGGAAGGGCCTGTTCTTACACAGCATCCCAGGCTGGCCAAATGTGAAGGCTGGGACTTGGGCTGGGAACCTGCTGGACACCCAGCTGACATCTTACTCCATCTTTGTACCCATTCAGCTCCGTTGAACATTCATTACCTGTTTTTGTGTCTCTGGCACTGCCAGTTAAAAGATATAAATTTTTAAAAATGTTTCTTGCTGTCAAAAAACTTACAGTGAGCTAAACTCTCTCCTAACCTTAATTATCCTAATTATACAATTTAAGAGTTTTATTTCACAAAGAAATAAACACTGACAATGTTTAAATTATAGTGTAAACTCAGATCAGGTCTTGCTGCTCTTCTTCTTGGACAGGAAAACTATCCAATACCAAGGCATTACTCTTGAAATAATGAAAAGAAAGAGAAGAGAGGAGTAAATCTAAGTGCGGGAGGCAGACACCTGGTTAACCACTGATGCCTGCTGATCAGAGGAAACCACGACCCTTCACCTAGACAGCGGTAGTTCTGGGGCTGATCATTTCCTGAGTTTTGTGGCAAAAGAATCAGTTGTTCTCCTTTTACCAACAACAAACTTCAACAGTTGGAGTTTGACAGAGCAATAAAAAACAAAACAAAACAAAACAAAACAAAAAACCTGTAGTATTTTGTCTTTGCCCCTAACACTCTCGCTCATCCACATTCTAAACTGGAAATGACAGATGAGAATTTATATCATTTTTGGTTAAATGACAGGTTTTGGCATTTTCCCTCATTAAGACATCCTAAGTTTAATTCAATTTCCTCATAAAAACGTCTCTGTGCTCCAACCTAAACTGTCTGTAGTTGCAGTCTTATTAAATGCTGAAAAAAGCTGATGGTAATTTTCTGTATACTTAAAGCCAGTTAAATGAATCAGCCAAAACAGTTATAGATTGTATTCAGTTTATTCATAGGCTGTGTGTTTTGAACTTTTATTAAAATTATATTTTTAAACCTGTTTTGAAATATTTCATAATCCATAACACTTTTAGCTATGGAACCTAGGCTCAGAGAAAATATTCTGTCTGAATTCATGCAAATACCCTTAATTCACTGTATTTTGGATGCAAATCTTACTGAAATAGATCTCTGGTTTAAAGCGGATCTTATTTTTAAAAGGGATGCAGTGAATATTACTTTGGCACACATTGTAAGATAAAATGGTTATCTAACAGTGTAATAACGTGAAAGCAAGTAGCAATTACCTAACAGTATAAGTCTGAAAACTCATATTAATCACAAATTACTGACATGTACTTCCAAAGCGATTCCTACCTAGTAACGGTAAACATTTATCTTAATCCCACGTGCAGGCAATATTTTCTGAGGTTACTTTCAGTTAAATTATACTGCATAGCAATAAAGAAAATTCTTTAAAAATACTTTGAAATCTCATGTCTCTTCTAAAGAAATAAAAGTGTAGCTAAATATCTATATACAAATGTGATTAATGATTTTCAGCAACAATTTAGAAATAAACTAAATATCCACCAAAGAATCTTTAAGTTTATGTGGCAGATTTATGACAAAAATACTACACAGGAATTTCAAATTATGTTTTGGGATAATAACAATGTGAGAAACTGCTCAAAGTATAATGGTGAGTGAAAATGCAAAAGATATATACATATACCTATCCAAATGTTAACATTTCTTTCCACTTACTTGTTTAATATAATTTCATTTTCTCATAAAATTCACATATACTTTTCAAAGTCCTTAATATCTACGAGTGCTTCTCATTTTTCACGCTGCATTAATGTACATTTGTCTTTAATATGAGCATTACTACTTTTATAGTCAGAAAATGTGGAATAATAAAGCAAATGCAATGCAATCCGGTCTTCTCTACTTTTTATCACTAAATTCCTAGACGTTGTGGTATTTTTGTACTAATGTTATACAAAAGTCATGTAAAAACTGCCATTAAATAAATCAAACTCTAACAATGTAGAAAAGTAAATAACTTTAGAAGCATACTTTAAATCTCATAAAAGAGAAGTAAATGTATTTCTGTTAGAGTCATTTATATATAGTATATGCATATAGCCTATAAAATTTAGTTGCGGTTTATCATAAATTACATGTCATACTAATACAAAACACTTAGTATTTGCAACTGCGGTTACTTTCTCTGAATTTAATATGACCCGTTACACTTCTTAGACTAGTATATACCTCCATGAGTTTCCACTGCTACTTTATAAATACTAAAATATTTTTAAAAGCCATTTCAGATTGAGCTGTACTCAACTCTAAGAGCTTGCCTTTAAAGCAAACCCACTGCAGCTTCCAAATGCTTGAAAGCATCAGTAGGGTCTTCAGCTATGATGGTCTGAACGGCCTGCTTTCCTTGTCTCTGGTCCTCTTGAGTTTCTCCTAAAGGCATTCAAGCCTTTCCTTTCTCTTCCATCCCCTGCCTCACAAATGAACTTCAATACCCAGATCAAAGAAGCGGGAGGTCAGACTCTTTCCTTTGGGATTTTCTGTTTGTTTATTTTAAAGAACGTTTCCAATGGCAAAGGCCACAGCCCAACTTCTGGACTAGGAGAGTCATTAAGTGTAAGGCCCTTCCTGTCTTCCCATCACGGGACCCTCACAGAGACCTCAGAGTGTTGCCCCGTCCTACAGGCGCGCAAACAGGCTTGATAACTAGCGCGCCGCCTCAGTGTTTGTCCCCTCTCCTCTCTATCCGAGAAGCCCTGTTCAGGTGCCCCCACCAGCACGCCCGCTGTCTGGCCGCCTGGCTTTCCTGTGGGGTGCAGGAGTGCGCCCGGCCTCCTGCGGGTCTCCGGGCGGCGTCACCTCCTCTGAGGCTTCCCCTCCCTTTCCACCCCGTCGCTCTGACTGCCTTACGGAAAGGGCACCAAGGAACTCTCGGGTGAAGCAGCTTCCTGTTCTCAGTGCTTTCCCTCCGTCCGGTGAGATTCCCAGTGAGACTGTTTGAATAAAATCACCTGGCAAAGGAAAAGCCCAAACTTTAGGGACCAGCCACGGCTGAGTAGGGGCTGAGCGGTGGCAGCCAATGAGATCTCGAGTCGGACGTGCAGGCCGCCGTTCCAATTGGGCGGCCGCCCCAGAGTAACCAATGGGAAGCGCGGGAAGGCCGGGAGGGGGCGGGAGCTCTCACCTGCCACTGGTCTAGGTGTCTGAGGAGCATCTTCCTGGCTCAGAGACCTTTTGCTCCAGGTGCTCATGCCGCAAATGGCAATCTGCGCGCGAACTAATTCGCGGCCGCATAATTTAATAACATCGTCCTTCCATTTGGCCGCGACTGCTCTGGAAAATTGGTTCAGTAGTAAACAGAATTCTAGCAGGTGGAACAAGAACAGGCGAGGCATCCTGGGCCTGGTCTCTCCTGGAGGTCTGGGTGTTGCAGCCTTTCAGGACTGCGGCTGCTGTGGCCTACACACCTGGGCCTGTGTGCCTGTCCCGGGCTTTAGGCTGCTTTCCCTACCCGGCTCAACCAGTCTTTAGTATGGGCTATCACTCAGCTTTTAAGGCAAGGTTGCCAGCTCCACCCCTTTCCCACACCCCTCCACAGAATTTTCTCCTTCAGCTCTTGTTCTGCCTCTCCGCCCTTCCTTCATTTGCCCATTCCTCTGTCCTTGGCCCTTTTACAGTTTTGTTTTTCGCTCTTTTGTTACCCTGAAACAACTTTGTATACTTAGGTAAAGTTATTTTAGATATGAAGCCTTTCTTTTTACATACACAGAAATAAAATTGAGATCGCCAATATTCTTACAACCCAGTTTTCCAGAGTGAACATTTGCCAAAAACCCTTCTAACCTAAATAGGATTATAGATTACCTTATAAATTGGATTAATTAGTATAATGTTGGGCATATCAATCCATAAAAATATAATGGATGAATGAATAAATTGTTGATGAGAGGGAAAACTGATGACTTTTAATCTGAATCCAGGTAAAAAGATTAAAATCCCCAGTAACATCATTTTAGGCTTGTGCAGTAATGTCTTTAATTTACAAAACAATTTCTCCATTGGACTTTCCTTCCACTCCTGTGGGAGAAGTTTGATTGTAACTAGTTGTCTAAATATTTTAATTTAAAATTCTAGTCTATGTCTCTGGAGACTGGAGAACACACCACACACACAGAGAGAGAGAAAGAGAGAGAGAAAAGAAGAAGAGAAAGAAGAAGGGGAAAAAAAGCAGTGGACATCCCACATTCCCAGAAATAATATTTTGATAACAAATTACAGCACAAGGATATGTTCATTTGTTTACTGTATTTTGTGTTTGCTGCACCTGGTTAGAGGTGATTCTTTTTTTATTACCACCACCTAATTTAGCATTTTAAAGATCCACACAGTTCTAGATAATATGGTTAGTAGACGACCCTTCTACCTGTAAATTTTTAGTACAAATAGGTTCATTTTTAAAAATAACTTACTTGCTTGTGTTCATAATATACTCAGATTAGTTCAGCTCCATCAGATAAACTGGAGACATGCAGGACGTTATGGTAGCTTTGAAATAAAATAATAACAATCTCTTAGTTACAAACATAACTATGGAATCAAGTAATTCTAATTTCTAGATTGCTGGTGATTTCAGTAGGCCCACTTAACATTGGTCAAATGCCAAGCAATGTGTAATTCTTCAAAAAATACCTGACCAAAGCTATGAGATGGTTAGAGGCAATTAATGATTTTAAATGGATTTTCACTAAAACACACAGTTTGAGAAAGGCCTCTCAAAACTGAGGTTTGAAAATATTTTCGTGGGTTAACAGTCCTTGTAAAAACAATCCACGTGCTAGGCTGTACTCCAAATTAATTGCTCATTAAAAATGTAAATTTCCAGAGTTTTTTGTTTGTTTTTGGGTGATTTTTTTGAGACAGAATTTGGCTCTTGTCACCCAGGCTGGAGTGCAATGGTGCAATTTCGGCTCACTGCAACCTCCACCTCCCAGATTCAAGCGATTCTCTTGCCTCAGCCTCCCAAGTAGCTGGGATTACAGGCATGTACCACCACACCCGGCTAATTTTTGTATTTTTGGTGGAGACTGGGTTTCACCATGTTGGATAGGCTGGTCTCGAACTCCTGACCTCAGGTGATCCACCTGCCTCGGCCTCCCAAAGTGTCCAGGGATGTTTTGAAATTTTATGTTGCCTACATGGTTTTACAGAGTCCTTAAAACTGTCCAGTACAGTGGCCACTTTTCCATTTTACAGAAAGAAGAAACAGATTGAGAGTTGTTCAGGGTAATTTTGGCCAGCACATATGCCAGATGTGGGCTTACCCTACTGCTAAGGATCACAGGCAAATGCAAGATTCACAGTCTTTACAGGCACAACTAAAAGGCATTTCATGTCCTTTAAACAAAAAGGAAACCTTTTTAAGGAGAAACAACAAATATGTCCATGCATACAGCTGTCACATGCTGGAGGTGGGGTTCCAACCCATGTCTACTGGATTCTTCTACAGTAATGAGAGAGGACTTTAATACTCCACTCTCAACAACATACAGATCAAAGACACAGAAAATTAATACGGAAATATTGAAACTGAATTGCACTGTAGACAAAATGGCCGTAACAGATACATGCAGAACATTTTATCCAACAGCAGAATCCGCATTTTTCTCTAGTGCACATTCTCCCGGATAGACCATTTGGTAGGGCACAAAACAAGTCATAATAAATTTAAGATCAAAATCACATCAAATATTGTTCCTGACCAAGATGGTATGAAACTTAAATCAATAACAGGAAAAATATACGGACATTAAACAAAATGCTCTTGAACAACAAATGTGTCAAAACAGAAACAAAAAAAAGGAAATTACAGAATATCTTGAGACAAATAACATTGGAAACACAATATACCAAGACCTATGGGATGCAGCAAAAGCAGTTTTAAAAGGGAAGTTTATGTAATAACAATAAATGCCTACATTAAAAAAGAAGAAAAGATCCCAAATAAGTAGCCTAACATTACAGCTCAAGGAACTAGAAAAAGATGAAACTAAACCCAACTTTAGAAGAAGGAAAGAAATAATGAAAATCAAAAAAAGAAACAGAAAAATCAATACAACTAAGAGTTTTTTTGTTGTTTTTTGTTTTTATTTTTTGAGACAGAGTCTCACTCCATCATCGAGGCTGGAGTGCAGTGGCACAAGCTCAGCTCACTGCAACCTCCACCTCATGAGTTCAAGCGATTCTTGTGCCTCAGCCTCCGAGTAATTGGAATTACAGGCACGAGACACCATGTCTGGCTAATTTTTGTATTTTTAGTAGAGATGAGGCTTTGCCATGTTGGACAGGCTGGTCTCAAACTCCTGACCTCATGTAATCCACCCTCCTCGGCCTCCCAAAGTGCTGGGATTACAGGCATGAGCCACTGCACCCAGCCTAAGAGCGTTTTAAGTAAGCAAAACTGACAAACCCTTAACTAGGCTAAGAAAACAAAAGAGAGTACTCAAATATATAAAATCAAAAATAAAATTGGAGACAGTAGAACAGACACCTCAGAAATAAAAAAGATCATAACGAACACTAGTTCGTTATGAATAATTATATGCAAAAAATTTGGTAATCTAGAGGAGATATAGACATTCCTAGAAAAATACGAACTACCAACATTGAATCAGGAAGCTGTAGAAAGCCTGAACAGATAATTAACAAAGAAATGGAAGTAGTGATTTAAAATCTCTCAACAAATAAAAGCTCAGGACAAGATGGCCTTACAGCTGAATTATACCAAACTTTCAAAGAAGAATTAATGCCAATATTTCTCAAACCCTTCCAAAAAATAGAGCCAGAGGGAATACATTTTAACACATTTTATAAGGCCAATATTACCTTGATACCTAAGTCAGACAAAGACGCAGCAAGAAAAGAGACCTACAGGCCAATATTTCTGAGGAACATTGATGGAAACATTCCCAATAAAATATTAGCAAACCGAATTCAACAACACATTGAAAGATTATATGTCATTATCAGGTGGGAATGTATCCCTGGCATGAACAGCTGGTTTAACATACACAAATCAGTCAATGTGCTATATCACATGAACAGACTAAAAGATTAACCACATATGGAACTAGCCCCAATGCCCATCAGTCAACAAGTGGATAAAGAAAATGTGATATATATATACCATGGAATAAAACGCAGCCATAAAAATGAACAAAATAATGGTATTCACAGCAACCTGGTGGGAATTGGAGACAATTATCTAAGTAAAGTAACTCAGGAATGAAAACTCAAACATCATATGTTCATACTCATAAGTGGGAGCTAAGCTATGAGGGTGCAAAGGCCTAAGAATAATACAGTGGACTTTGGGGACTCGGGGGGGAAAGGGTGAGAAGGGGGTGAGGGATAAAAGACTACACACTGGGTATGGGTACACCGCTCAGGTGACCGGTGCTCCAAAATCTCACAAATCACCACTAAAGAACTTATTCATGTAACCAAACATCACCTCTTCCCCAAACCTACTGAAATAAAGAAAAATAGAGTAGTATCAAATTTTTAAAAAAAGAAAAAGATAAAAATTATCAAGGTCATCAAAAACAAGGAAAACTGCCACAGCCAAGAGGAGCCTAAGGAGACGTGAGCGCCAAATATAGTGTGGTATCCTATGGGATCCTGAACAGAAAAAGGACTTTAGGGAAAAACTAAGGAAATATGAATAAAGTACAGATTTTAGTTAATAGTAATGTATCAACATTGGTTCATAGGTGTAATAAATGTACTATACTAAGTATAATGTTACTAATTAATGTTAACAGTAGAGAGAACTGTGTGTGAGATATGTAAGAATTCTCTGTACTGTCTTCATAATTTTTCTGTAAATCTAAAACTGTCCTAAAATTAAAAGCCTATTAACATAAAAAAACACATGATTATGTCATTTGACACAAGAATAAAAACACTGGACAGAGTTCAACAGCTTTGTTTTCTTTTTTTCAAGTAGGTATATGACCTTAGGTAATTTATTTAATCTCTCTGAACCTCAGTTTTTCACCTATAAAATATATATCTTAACTGGATCAAATTCTGTAAAATTGTGTTGAAGGTTAGTTGAAATACTTTATCTAAAGCACTTAGCACAATTCTTAGCACTTAATAAAAGTTGCTACTCAATGAAAGGTCGTTATAATCTACAAAATAATTTTATAACAGTTCTTCAAAAACAAAGCTTCCAAGTTTTCACTCAGTAAAATATTTTTTGATGAATAAGAAAAAGAAATTAATAAATAAAAAGAATAAGAAAAAGACATTAATAGACATTTCTCAAAAAAGATATTCAAATGACCAACAGGTACATAAAAAAAATCCAACATCACTCGTCATTGGGGAAATGCAAATCAAAACCACAATGAGATATCACCTCACTCCAGTTAGAATGGCTAAAATAAAAAAGATAAAAGAAAACAAATGTTTGTGAGGATGCAGAGCAAAGTGAATGCTTACATACTGTTGGTAGGAGTATAAATAAGTACATCCAGCATGAAAAACTCTATGGAAGTCCCTTAAAAATTAAAAATAGAACTACCATATGGTTCAGTAATCTTACTATTGGTTACATATCCAAAGGAGGGCAAATCAGTATGTCAAAGAGACATCTTCACTCCCATGTTTATTGATGCACTATTCACAATAGCCAAGATAAAGAATCAATCCAACCCAAAAAGGGGTGGTTTAAAAAGTGTGATATAATACATATTCATATATATACATATTCATATATATATGAATACTATTTAGCCCTAAAAAAGAATTGAGTCCTATCATTTGCAACAACATGGACAGACATAGAGGACATCATGTTAAGTGAAATAAACTATACACAGAAAAACAAATACTACATAATCTCAATCATGTGGAATCAAAAAAAAGTTGATATCATAGAAGCAGAGAATAGAACAGTGGTTACTGGAGACTGGGGACAGGAGAAGGACAGGAGTATGAGGAGAAGCTGGTCAATGAGCACAAAATTATAATTAGATAGAAGGAATAAGTTCTGGTATTCTGTTGCACAGTAAGGTGATGATGGTTAATAGTAAAATATAATATATTTCAAAAGACCTAGAAGAGAGACTTTTGAATGTCTTCACCATAAAGAAATGATAAATATATGAAGTGACAGTCATGCTATTTGATCATTATACATCATATATGTATCAAAATATCAAGTTTTACCCTATAAATATATATAATCACAATGTCAATTTTAAATATAATAAAAATCTCAACATCCTTTCTTGATAAAAATTCAACAGTTTAGGAGTAGAAGGAAATTCAACATAACAAAAGCCATTTATGAAAAACTCATAGTTAATGTCATGATTATTGGAGTGAAACTGAAAGCTTTTTTTTTAAGATCTGGTACAAAGCAAGGAGGTTCCCTCTCAACACTTCTATTCAACATTGTACTGTAAGTACTATCAAGAGCAATTAGAAAAGACAAAGAAATAAGAGAATCCCGATTGAAAAGGAATAAGTAAAATTATTTCTATTTGCAGATGACATGATCCTATGTGTAGAAAACCCCCAGTTCACCAAAAAACTGTTAGACTTAACAAATGAATTCAGTAAAGTTGTAAGATACAAAAACAACATGTGAAAGTCTGTGGCATTTCTATGCACAAATAACAGCCTAGCTGAAAAAGAAATCATGAAAACAATCCTATTTATGATAGTATTAAAAAATAAAATACTTAGAAAAAATTTAACTAAAAGGAGAAATACCTGTACACTGAAAACTGCAATAACATTGATAAGAGAAATTGAAGGAGTCACAAGTAAATAGAAAGGTATTCCATGCTCATGGACTGAAATAATTAATATTGTTTAAATGTCTATACTACCTAAAGCAATATATAGACTCAATGCAATCCCTACCAAAATCCCAATAGCCTTCTTATAGAAATAGACAAAAAGTTTTAAAATTTGCATGAAACCACAAAAGCTTCTAAATAGCCAAGCAATTCTGAGGGAAAAAAGTTGGAAGCATCACACATCCTGATTTAAAATTATATTACAAAGCTAAAATAATTGAAACAGTATGGTACTGGCATAAAAACAGACTAATAGACCAGTGGAACAGCATAAAGAGCCCAGAAATAAATCCAAACACATATGATAAACTAATTTTTGACAAGGGCCACAACAAGACACAATGAGAAAAGAATAGTTCCTTCAATAAATGGTGCTGGGAAAACTGGATCTCCACATGCTAAAGAATGAAATTGGATTCTTATCTTATACCATATACAAAAATCAGCTCAAGGTGGATAAAAGACCTAAACATAGACCTGAAACCATAAAACGCCTAAAAGGGGAAAACACAGGGGAAAAGCTCCTTGATATTGGCCTTGGCAATGATTTATTGGGCATCACACCAAAAGCTCAAGCTATTAAAGCAAAAATAAATAAATGGGACTATATCAGACTAAAAAGCTTCTGCACAGTATAGGAAACATTCAACAAAATGAAGAGGCAACCTACAGATTGTGAAAAAATATTTGCAAACCATATCCAAGGGATTAATATTCAAGGTTTATAAGGAACTCATACAACTCAGATAAGGAGTTAATATCCATGATTCATAAAGAACTCATACAACTCAATATAGCAATAAAACATATAACCTGATTGAAAAAATGGGCAGAGGACTTGAATAGTCATATTATAAAAGTTGACATAAAAATACCCAACATACGGCCGGGCGCGGTGGCTCACGCCTGTAATCCCAGCACTTTGGGAGGCCGAGGCGGGCGGATCACGAGGTCAGGAGATCGAGACCATCCTGGCTAACATGGTGAAACCCCGTCTCTACTAAAAATACAAAAAATTAGCCGGGCGCTGTGGCGGGCGCCTGTAGTCCCAGCTACTCGGGAGGCTGAGGCAGGAGAATGGCGTGAACCCGGGAGGCGGAGCTTGCAGTGAGCCGAGATTGCGCCACTACACTCCAGCCTGGGCGACAGAGCCAGACTCCGTCTCAAAAAAAAAAAAAAAAAAAAAAAATACCCAACATACATGAAAAGGTGCTCAGCATCACTAATCATCAAAGAAATGCAAATCAAAACCATTGTGAGAACTACCTCACACCTGTTAGGATAGCTATTACCAAAAAGATAAGAGATAAGTGTTGGCAAGGGTGTACAGAAAAGAGAACCTTGTACACTGTTGATAGAAATGTAGATTAGTGCAGCCATTATGGAAAACAGTATGGTGATTCCCAAGAAAATTAAAATAGAACTGCCATATGACCCAGCAACCCATCTTCTGGATATACATCCAAAGGAAATGAAATGACCACCTTGTTAAGATATCTGCCCTTCAATATTTATTGTAGTAGTTTTCATAATACCCAAAACATGGAAACCACCTAGGTGTCCACCGATGAGCAAGTGGATAAAGAAACTGTGTGTGTGTGTGTGTATGTGTGAAAGAGAGAGAGAGAGAATATTATTCACCCTTCAAAAAGGAGGAGCTCTTGCCATTTGCTACAACATGGACGGATCTGGGGAAACTTAACGCTAGGTAAAATGAGCCACACACAGAAAGAAAAATATTGCATGGTCTCATTTACATGTGAAATCTTTTAAAAAGAAGAAGAAGAAAGTCAGATACAAAGAAATAAAAACAAAACAGTGGCCACCAGCATTGGGGTGAGGGGAGGAAATAAGAAGATGCAGGTCAGAGAATACAAAGTGGCAAATATGTAGGGTGGACAAGCCAAAAGATCTAATGTACAGTGTGAGGACTATCACTAATAATAGTATATTGTATTCAGGATTTTTGCTAAATGAGTACATTATAGTTGCTCTTGCCATGAGGGAAAAATGGGTAACTATGCAAGGTCATGTATATATTGATTTTTTCCACTATAGTAACCATTTTACTATATACAGTTGGCCCTCCATATCCATAAGTTCCGTATCCATGGGTTCTGCATCCATGGGTTCAACCAACTGCAGATCAAGCATATAGTATTTGCTGGACGTGGGACCAGTAGAAATGGAGGGCTGATTTTTTTGCATTGATGATTCCACAGGACCTACAGTGAGACTTGAGCATCCATGAATTTTGGTATCCTCAGAGTCCTGGAGCCAAGCCCCAGTGGATACCAAGGGATGACAATACATGTATCTTATAACATGTTATATACCTTAAATGTACAAAGAAAATTTTATCTCTAAAAAATACACTCTTTTAGCAGTTTTGAAACATATAAGATATTATTATGTCTTTTAGTTAGGAAATTTAATCCATTTAAATTTGGGTGTAATTGGGTTACATAAAACATCTTATAACACTATTAAACTGATAAAAATTTAACTTCACATACAAAAACCACACTTTTACTCCATCTTCCATCTTCCATTTTTATTTTTTGATGTCACATATTACATCTTTTTATATTGGGTATCCTTTAACAAATTATTGAGCTATTCTTATTTTTAATAGGTCTGCCTTTTAACCTTTATACTAAAGATATAAGTGATTTACACATCACTTTTACAGTATCATAGTATTCCAAATTTGACTATGCACTTACTTTTACCAATGAGTATTATACTTTCATGTTTTCATGTTACTATTTAGCTCTCTTTCAGCTTGAAATTTTTCCTCTAATATTTCTTATAAGACAGGTCTTGGCTGGGTCTGGAGGTTCACACCTGTAATCCCAGCTACTTAGGAGGTTGAGGCACGAGAATTGCTGGAACCCTGTAGGTGGCGGCTTCAGTGAGCCAAGATCATGCCATTGCACTCTAGCCTGGGCAACAGAGGGAAACTCTGTTTCAAAAAAAAAAAAAAAAAAAAAAGGTCTGGTAGTGATGAACTTCCTCGGCTTCTGTTTGGCTGGGAAAGTCTTTAATTTTCTTCATTTCAGAAGGACAGCTTTGCCAGGTACATTGTTCTTGGTAGGCAGATTTTTCTTTAGTGCTTGGAAAATATCATCCCACCCTCTCCTGGCCTGAAAGAGCTCTTCTGAGAAATTCTCTGCTAGCCTTTGGGACTCTCTTATAAGTGCTTTATTCTTTCCTTTTGCTGCTTTCAGAATTCTCTCTTTGTCTTTGTTGCTTGATAGTTTGATTATAATTGTCTTGATGTCATTTTATTTGAATTGTATCTGATTAGAGACCTTTCACCTTGCTCCTGGGAATTTATATCTTTACTCAATTGGTAAGTTTTCAGCTTTTTTTTTTTTTTTTTTTTTGAGAGAGAGTCTCGCTCTTTCACCCGGGCTGGACTGCAGTGGCACTATCTCAGCTCACTGCAAGCTCCACCTGCCGGGTTCATGCCATTCTCCTGCCTCAGCCTCCCTAGTAGCTGGGACTCAGGAGCCTGCCACCACACCCGGCTAATTTTTTGTATTTTTAGTAGAGATGGGGTTTCAGGGTGTTAGCCAGGATGGTCTCGATCTCCTGAATTCGTGATCCGCCCGCCTCGGCCTCCCAAAGTGCTGAGATTACAGGTGTGAGCCACTGCACCCAGTCGTTTTCAGCTATTATTTTAAAAATAATCTTTCTGTCCCTTTGTCTCTCTTTCTTAAATTCCTATAATTTGAATATTTGCTTTTACGAGGCTGTCCCATAAATCCTGTATGCTTTCTCTATTCCTCTTCATTCTTTTTACTCCTCTGACTGTATATTTTCAAATACCTGTCTTCAAGTTCACAGATTCTTTCTTCTGATTAACCAACTCCCTGTTGATGCTTTCTATTGACTTTTTCATTTTTTATTGTATTTTTCAGGTCCAGATTTCTATGTGTGTTTTTAAATAATTTCAATTGCTCTATTAAAGTTCTCATTTTGTTTATTATTTTTCTGATTTCATTGAATTGTTTGTATTTTATTGAAGTTCACTGAGCTTTCCTAAAACAAATATTTTGATTTTTTTGTTAGAAAATTCATATATTCCCATTTATCTAGGGTCAGAAACTGAAAAACTATTGTGTTCTCTTGGTAGTGATATGTCTTTTTGTTTTTTCATGTTTCTTGTTGCATTGCATTGATGTCTACACATTTGTTGAAACAGTTATCTCTTTCAGACATTTGGGCTAGTTTCACTGTGAAAAGGCCTTCCTCAACAGGGAGGAGTAAAGGCTCTGGATGGTTGGAGTGTGGCTCCTTGGTAGTAGCCACATAGTTCCGTCAGCTAAGATCAGTGTTGTTGAAGATTACAGAATCCTCAGCAGCGAATGCTGTGAATGTCCACAGTAGCAGTGAGGGTTGTTAGGGTTTTCATGACAATGGCTTCTACAGTCCTCCCAATCTTTTTCCTCCTGCCAGGGAAGTTGTAGATTGGGGCAGGTCCCTCTTGGCACTGGGACCAGCTTTCAGGCCCTTTTGCAGTAATGGTGGCTCTGGTATCTGATGAGTGGCACCCATGGAGCAGCCACAGAGGTTAGTCCTAAGGCATAGGCACACATCCTGGCACTATAGCTCTGGGCTGTAGGCAGTAGTGGCACTGGTGCCCAGGGAGCAGGTACCCCCACTGCTGTATTGGTAATGGTATGTGTTGCACATATGCTTGTGAAACAGCTGGGGAGCTGAGAATGGCAGCACAGGTGTACATAGAGTTATAGTACTTGGGAGCTGGGGTAAGATCTAGCTCTCTATGGCAGTTGAGCCTGGGGCATAGGCATGCTCAGAGTGACCTTGGCACTCTAAAGCCCAGAATGTGAACTAGCTTGCTATAGCAATGGATCCAGTGTCTAAGATGTGTTCAGGGCGGTTAAGCCACAGAACACAGCTCTAGAGTGTGGGCGCTCATAAGGCAGCTGCTGCTTGGGAGTTGGGGCACACAGGGTTAAAAGAGGTGGCAGAGGGAAGTGCAGCTATGTCTTCCTCTCTGAGAGTGGTAAGAATGGCTGTTGGGTACCTTAGTATCAAAAGACGCTGGTGTCCTTTGCAGAGAATGCTGCTGGGGACCACAACAGTTAATTTGGCTAATACCAAAAGCATCTGTCTTCCTTCTTTGTTCCTGTCTTCTGGAATCTCAGGTATACAAATCTCACCAGTGATCCTTTCTAAGTGGATAGTTTCCATTTTATTTTGCTCTACTGTGCTGCTGCAGATTCTTTAATGGCCCTTGAGCTGTCTCAGGGCTATAGTGGTTTGTGGAAATAGCTGTCCATGTTTGTGTGTGCGTGTGCATGTGTGTGTGTATGTGTGTGTGTGTGTAGGGGAGGATTGAAGGCTTATATCTCCTACTCCACTATCTCGATGATATCAATCTCTCAACTTCTACCATGTTTTTAAACCTACTAAATATATTCTTCTGCATATTGTAATATTTCAATCAAGATTAAAGTTTTGATATCTATCTTTTTAAAATGCATGTAGTTTCAAAAGTCTAGCAAAATCAGGTTTGCTGATTGAACAATTTAGAAAGTACTTTGGCTTTTAAAAGCTCTTTATTATGAAAAACTGTTTATTATGAAAATTTCAAATATGTACAAAGTAAACAAAACAGTATAAAGAATCCTCATGTCCTACATTATACAACTGCAATGGCTATCATTATTTTTGTCATTCTTTTTTCACCTGTATCTCTCATTTATCACTATATACCTATATCTATCACTACATATATAACATACCTTGAAATGCCTACATATTAGCTTTACAATTTTGACAAATGAGTACACCAGAGTAAGCCACATCTTTATTATGATATAAAACAATTCTCTCTTCCCAGATAACTTCCCAGATAACTTCCTCATATCTCTTTCTGATCAACCCTCAACCCTTAGGGTAGGCACTATTCTGATACAATTAGATTTGTTTTGCTTTAAACTTCATATAAATGAAATCATAATGCATTCGCTTTTAATTTAAAGGAGAGTTTGCCAGAACTGGTCTTTCATCATGAAATCAGATTAAAAAGTGACAAGTGAGAATAAAAGTTGGACATTGAATAGTATTGAAGCAACTCAAGTGTGTAATGAGTGTGTTTAGAAAAAGCTAGTCTAATTAAAATCATCACTGATGTATACTTGAGAACAGTAGGTAAGAGTGTAAATATGTAATATGCAAAGCTCTGAATTTATAGTTAGATTTCTGGCAGCATATGATGTTTAATTTAACAAAATAATTCAGCAGGAACATTATAATAGAATTTTATGAAGTTCTTCTTTGCTCTTAGATAATATCCACACTGATGGGAGGGATAAGAAACATTAAGATAAAGAAACACAATTCAACCTGCTAAAGTGGGCTTTATGCTTAGAAATGCAACAAAGTCACAGCAGTGAAAAATACATCTACTTCTTGGTCAAAAGACATTGTACTTTTTATTTAATGTATTGCAACTTAGAACTGTTTCTAACAGGTTTCCATGATGCTGTGCAAATAAGCAGCTAGAGTCAGGTTAAAAGAGATCGAGCATTTCCTGTGAGAGGTCCTTAGAAGGAGAGATTAAGGTGGGACCAGAGATGAGCTTGAAGGCAAGTTGTGTTTCCTGTGGGTCTGGTTTCCTGTCCCACTCCACCACACCTTTCCTCCAGCTATGACCAATGAGCTACTTGAAATGTTTCCTTTTCCTAAAACACTCCTACTCTAATAGGAAATTGATAATCTGTTTGAGAGACCATGTCCAAGTCTGAAACTGAGCAGAACCCCTTTGCTTACCTAGATTTTTAGGATGCTTCAGAGGTGTCAGGCTTTGCAAAAATTCACCTGTGACCTGTCCTAAGCTGTCAGTTCAGAGAAGAAAACTGGCTGCAAGGTCAATCCAGTGCCCTGTGTCTTCCACAGCTACTGAATTTGAGAGAAGCAACTATTCATCAGCACAAACTTTATTCCAACCCCAAGTGTCTTTTTATTATCACTAGTTTGAAATAGATAGCATCAGTTGGTCTGCTTCCAAAATTCTTATTTCTTTGAAGATGAAAAGAAAAACATTCCAGAGACCAAGTTTTCTCTGAAGTATTTTAAGGAAGTATGAAACTGTTAAGTGCCTCAGAACCCATCTTGGGTTCTTAGCTTATCTTTCTTCAAAATCACCTTAGTGGATAAAGTTGGTGCTACCTTCAAGTCAAGTCAAATGTTTATCAGCAGTAAATTAATGGTGTGGGAATGGTGGGAAGAGAAGGAAAAAGTCACTCGTATTTCTCAAAGTCTGATCAAATTATTTTAACATTATCCTGACAGCCTTTCACAGGTCTCCCTTATCACACTTCAATATCTACCACTATCTCTAACCCATTGACTTTCACATACATTCAATGGCCATTTACTTCCTTACTATTTTTTGAAACCTTCACCAAGCTACAGTCCTAGATTTCTGATCCTTCCTACAACATGGACTCTGTTCTCCCAACACCAAATGGCATGCTTAAACTAACTCCAGGTCAGGGTCTACCTCCACCTCAAGTGCAGAGAAGAAAACACCCATGGAATGCTGCTGACCACAGATGGAGTCCTTCGAGAAAAAAAATAAACTAACTAAGGCTAACACTCCATCACTGAATCCTTGACACTTGTGGACCGAGAAATTTTGAGGCAGAAATGTTATCCAAACCTCAGACTTAGTGATGCCACTGAGTTCTTATCAGTGGGATACAGTTTCCAGTTGCTTTTATTCAGTGGTAATGATGAATTTGTGCTGCCCCAGCCACACTTCGGTCATTTGAGTAACCAGAGGAACAAGTTAACACAGCAAAATAAACTGGCCTGTGAGGGATCCCATTGGTGGCTTTGGTCTTTGGATTGGGTTGGTGGGTTCAGCTCCCCCAACCAAGCCAGGAGCTGAACCCTAACAGGCATTCTTGGGCTGTCTACTGTCGGAGGCAGTTGAGTCAGCTCCATCCCATTCTTCCTTGGCCCCCTTCTTATTTTCCAGACTTTTCTCACTTCGCCTCCTTCCATTCTGCCTGTGTCTCTTAGTACATCTGCAGCCCAGATACTGCTCCAGACAGACTCAGAGTTATCATTAGAAAAATCAGTGGAGATGCTAAACAGCCAGACAGTGATGATAAGCAGGGTACTTCCTGAAATCTCCTGTGGGCATCCACAAGGCCAAATCTAAGGGAGCATTTCCAATCCTCTCACAAAACAGACACACTCCAAGGTCAAGAGACACCACAATGCCTGACCAATGTGCTTTATTTAATTATATTTTCTCAGTAACAATTTATTCCTTTCCAAGAATGGTGGGGCAGAAAAAGTATCAAGGTTCTGGCTTGTGTTTCTAGAATATCACACTTGAACATTCATATATTAAAATTGTGGAAGTCTATAAAATATATTATCAATTTCAGATGGCTTATATTTAGGTTACATTGGTCATAGATTATTTTTGCAATCTGTGTCTATTCCTTCTCACTTCTCTTCTAACCAATGCCCTTCTAACCCCACCCTAGGACACTTCATATGGCTCTGAGACTGAATGTGTGTGATAATTTTTTTAATTATATTTGATTTTGACTTTGACACTATTTTTTCTTGATCAGGCAGCATGTTGTATTGAAAAGAATCCTGCCAGGGATACCAAATACAAAGGTTTTAGTGTAACTACCATTACTAGATATAAAACTTTAGGTCAATCACAAAGGGCCTCAATTTTTTCAAGTGTAAGGTGAGGGCTTAGACTAGACTATTTCTAAGTGTCTTCCCTTCTTTAAAATCCTTGATCATAACTTCACTATTTGTCATTAAAACAACTTCGGCTTATGGGAACTTTCTCACAGCCTTTCCAAAGTGCAATGAGTACCACACCATAAAGGAACCTTCAACATTACCCATAAACACAAATTCAGATTGGTTGAACACCATATAAACTTGATTTATTTGTAAATTTCAGACCCTGATATGTTATTTTTGTTTAACTGGGAGAACAATTCTCTCATGTAAATGTGAATAAGAAACATTCAAAACACTTAGGTAACGCAATGTTATAAACTGCATTTTTACTATTATACAGTGATTGTCAAGAACAGTCTTTCTGTTGCAGAGAATCTCTGGATCCATATTTATATCCCTTAACTATGACAGACTCCACATATACTTAGCAGTCTCTGCATTGCTTTGGCTGAGCCAAGAATGTCTTGGGAAGAACAGAACCACATGGAGTGTAGATAAGTTTTCCTCCAACTTTATTCCTAATAATTGACAAAGAG
The DNA here is from genome assembly GCF_000001405.40 of Homo sapiens. Taxonomy (NCBI): domain Eukaryota; kingdom Metazoa; phylum Chordata; class Mammalia; order Primates; family Hominidae; genus Homo; species Homo sapiens. The sequence continues at coordinate 5,355,520 of NC_000009.12, forward strand.
ATTGAGTGAGGTTATCATTATTTTAATCTCTAAATCTTTGTTCATAATGAAACCTGTTTCTTATCCTTCTCCTAATATACTTTCTCATATTTATTTCCTCATTCTTCTTGCAATATCACAAAAGTTTGTGATGATTATAAGCTAGTTTCTTATAGAAGACCATATAAGTTTCAGTATTTGGAAACATCAGATGTCTAGTTGGTAATTAGGGATTAATCATAAGCATAAATAAATATTTAATTAATATAAATGAAGAAATAGCTCAGAAGCATCACAGCAGAAATGTTTTTCCTTTCAACAAAAGGACAATGTAATAATGAGAGGAAAAGCTTTGGATAATCAGCAGTTATAACACTGAAAAATGTTACAACATACTTGTGCTGCATGGTCATTTTTAATAGCTCCACTTTGATTTTTGCCTCACTATACAATTGGGAGCAAACAACAGTATGAGTGTAAGTGTGTGCGTATGTTTTTCAGCAGGGCCTCTACTGAGGTAGAATTATTAATAAACTCAGTGTCAGTGCCAGAGGAAGAAGCCAAGAAGCCAATACAATTGAACAGCCTGGTGTTCTTAAGGGGGCCCAGGGCCTGGCTATGTTGCCAGCAATGAAAATCCCAGATAAGGTCTTGAGCCGATCAGCCTTTGCAGAGGCATCAAACCTACTCTTGGTGAGCTCTGGCTAGACTATATCAGGAACATTTGAATAGCATGATTGAATTGTGGGGAAAGAAATACAATTCCAGATTCTGGTGTGACCTACAACCAGCACTAGGTCTTGGGCATTCATGAGTCCACCAGTGTTCCTCCCAGTACTTCTTCTTTCCCATGTTCTCTAGGGGCCTTAGATAATCCACACAGATTAAAAATGCAGGGAAAACAACTCCCACTCTGTGACCTCAAACTGGTTTCCTGGTACTGCTATTCTCTATTTTCATAATCTTGAGTCCATTCCCAAGGCTGTAGCCTTAATTCAGGCCACTGGTCAGCACTCAGATGGATCATTGCAGCTCCTCATTACTTGGGATCTGGGATCTTTCCCCTCTAATCTACAAATTTGGGTAAAAATCCCGTTTTGCATTCTTTCACTGCTATCACCCTCAGGAAAGAGTCCAAACTGCTTGCTGTTACATCCAAGGCTCTTCAGGAATTGAATTGTACTTCCACCAGGATCATTTCTGAAAAAGTCTCCCACATGAGGAACCCCTTGCTGCAGCCAAATTGAATGACCTGCAGCAATTCCTTGGATTTGGCTTGCACGGTCCTGCCTTTGTTCAAGCTGCTTCTCCTGCTTGGGGCACCCTTCCTCTTCAATGTTTACCTTCATGGAGAACTTCTATGCATCCTTCAAGACTTGGCTCAAGTTTCTCTAAAGCTAAAATTGTAACAAAACACATGTTGATACGTTGTCAGCTCCTTGAAGGTAGGGACCACATCATATTCATGCTTGTTCCTACCTTAATATTTAATCTCCTATTATTCTTCCTGGGCTTCTTTCTATTATTTGGCCATGCCATGTCTCAGTTCAAATGTCACCTCTGCAAAGAGGCAGTGTCTGCAGTACCGATCTAAAGTAGCACCACCTCATTAACCCAATCATTCTCTTATCACTCTGTTTCATTTCCACTGAAGCATTTGCCAGGATTAGAAATGATCTTATTTATCTTGATGTTAATTTGTTGCCCGCCCCAATTATCCCACCCCTCACTAGAATATATTCCTCTGCCCAGGATATAGGACATTGTCTACTTATTCACCGATGTAGCTCTAGTGTCTACAACAGTGCCTGGCACAAAGTAGTATCAATAAATCTCTTTGGAATGAGCATATTATATGTAGGGTTCGCATCTGAAGAAATACTTATATATAGGAGTATTTTATGAGGAGTTTTCCCAGTGAGTCTAAATAAAAAGGCAGTCATCCAAATCTACCTCTCTCTTGTTTCCACCTCTCTAGCAACTATGCCCTGAGTCATTATTTGAATGTTGTTACCTTTTCCCTTTTATAGCTTTTCTTTGCAGGTTAAGCATCAGTTAAGGCCTTGTCAAGGCCTTTTAGAGCACAGCCACTGGAGCCACACTTGTTCAAATCCAAGCCCTGGCCAAGTATGGCTTTGGCCCAGCCAAATTGGATGACCTGCAGCAACTTCTTGGATTTGGCTTGCGTGCTTCTGCCTTTGTTCAAGCTGCTTATCTGTGCTTCAGTTTCCACATTTATAAAATGATTCCTGCTTCATAAAATTATTGGGATGATTACAAGAATTTGTACAAAACACTCAGAACAGTGCCAGTCATAGAAAATGCAGTATATATGTTAGTCAAACAATACTGTTTTCTGTCATGTAGGGGCAGGACACAATTGACAAATCCAAAATACAGAAGCATCTGTGGAAATGGAATGTGGTATGGAAAGTATGTGTGACAGAGAAATGAGAGCAGCTGGGCATTTGCTTCCAGGAATTCAAAACAATTTATTAATTTTACACTTAGATATTGGTAATGCACACAGAGAGAGGAAATCTAAAAGTTATTTAGAGCACCTCCATGATTTTGTGTTGAATGTTATAAATTTTATTTTAAAATAGCTCAAAACTATCTTGCATTTTAATATTTTAAAATAAAATCTATAATATCAAAATCTTGAGCATTTAAAAAACTGTAAAAACCATGATTCAAGTCAATAATTCTGTGCTTTGAGATTTGATTGGTAAGCATGATTTCATTTGTCTATGAAGAATCTACTCTGTTCCTTTCTGGCTTTTTCAATGCTTTCAAAAGTGATCATTCCTCTTGGCAGCTGCAATTTACTCTTTTCTGTTTCCAGTATGTCCTCAGCTTCACCTTAAATAAAGTACAGAAATACACAAGGTGACAAAGGGGTCATCAGCAATTTGTGACAAAGCCTGATTGCTATATTCCTTGACAGGCTCTAACACCGTATGAGCCATGTCCCCAATCTCACACTTAAACATTTTCCTCAGGAGAAGTAATATACTTCCCAGAGGAAACACAGTGATGAATTCTGAACACCCATAAATAAATCAGGAGCTACAGATGGTATTTTTGACATGTAGAAGAGAAAGAACATCAAGATAAGTAATTTTTTCCCTTGAACCAAAGTCAGGATTCGTATTAATTCTGTTTGGAGGGATTTGGGTAGAGAAACCACACATAGTCTTTCCCATTGTCCTTTAATATAAGTGACAAGAGAGAAAGTAAAGTTTACTACAAATTCTAATTTTTCAGAAAAGCTAATCTTCAACCTGACATTACTTGTAAACACTTAAAATAATATTAAATGTTCTTCAGTCTGTATACATACAAATATACATATATACACATCTTTATAAACAATTCCTCTTTCAAAGAGCTACACAACGCAGTAATTTCTTGGGCCCAGTGACATTTGCCAGGTTTTATTGTCGAAGACTACTTAGCACATTGTAAAAAATTGTATTACAGTACATGTTTACATTTTATAAGCCTCCCTTGGGATTAAAAGGTAACACTTTCTGTGAGTACTCCTCTTTTAACACACTATTTTATTTTTTTTTTTTTTTTGAGACAGTGTCTAGCTCTGTCGCCTAGGCTGGAGTGCAGTGGTGCAATCTCAGCTCACTGCAGCCTCTGTCTCCTGGGTTCAAGTGATTCTTGTACCTCAGCCTCCTGAGTAGCTGGGACTACAGGTGGTGTACACCGGCTAATTTTTTGTATTTTTCATAGAGACAGGATTTCATCATGTTGGACAGGCTGGTCTCAAACTCAAGTGATCTGCCTGCTTTGGCCTCCCAAAGTGCTGGGATTACAGGTGTGAGCCACTGCACCTGGCCTTCCTTTAACACACTATTAATTGTACTCCAAACCCAACAGAACAGACCATAGTTTTCAAATTATAAGAGCATTTCAATCATCTGCAAATGTCTTATTTTTTTTACCTCTGTCTCAAATAGCAAGTAAAATTCATTATAAAATTATATGTAATTAGGTTGGCCATTGATGACAGACTAGATGTTTTCCACGTGAGAGAGCCTTTCTTCCAGTTGGTAAATTCTCATCATGTGTTAAAAGAATGGCTGATGATAAACTCAGTCGAATAGGGATTGTATATTTTAGGGTCATCACTATTAACATGGAAAAAAACTATAATCTACATTTTCTAATGTGATAAGTTTTCTGATGAATTTGACTTTTTTTTAAACAGGAAATTCCCACAAAAATTTCCTATTAAATTTCTGTGCCAGCTGGGTCAAATTCCAGGGCAATAAAAATCAGGATTCTGTGACAGCAGCAGTATGCTGGTGAATATTTACCAACCAGTTCTCTGAAAATAAAATGTATATAAATGTATAATATATATGTTTATTACACGTGTTATACATGTTCACTATACATAAAAATATGTATCATAATAAAATGTACATAAAATTCCACATACTAAATTGATTCTCACAGAATGCTTTCATTGATTTTTATGGAATGCTTGAATCTGTAGCCAGCCTATGTTGCAGCTGATGAGAGAGTATAATGGATGATGGTTGGTGTTTTCATTTACACTAATGAGTAGGACAAAAGTGAAACAATTGTTTCCTTCAAGACAAATGTTGGAACTTCATTTATTTGAGAATGATGTAAACAACTTATTTGCTGAACTGGATAATAGTTTTTCAATATTAGAAGAATATTTCACCAACTTTTATGCTACTTACAATGTAATAGTTACAGACAAAGCACACTTTTAAGCTTAATCTGCATTATTAGCATTTTCTTCATCAAGTTTTAAAATCTAGACCATAGGTTGGCAAACTGTCTTAAAGGGCCAGACAGTAAATATTATAGGCTTGTGGACTCATGTTTCTGTTTCAAGGATGGCTCTGTCATGGTAATGGGAAGGCAGCCACAGACAATACATAAATGAATGAGCATGGATGTGTCCCAATAAAACTTTATTTTGGAAAACAGGTGGCCAGCCTCAGGCCATCATTTTTCAACCCCTGGTCCAGACAATCAACAAAATAAGAAGTCAAGCCTTGATTTGGCAACAACAGATTTCCATTGTGTAAATATTCCCACCAAGACCAACTTCAGGCTACCAATGGGATGTCACTGAAACTGGACTGTAGCTGTATTTTGTTTTGTCTGTGTATTATATCTGCATTTCTATCACATAGATACAATAGCTATAAATAACCAGAGTATGGATAATAGTAAATATTTAGAAACAGATGAGTTCTGTTTATTACCTTTGTTTTAAACACAATTTAATATTATTTATTTGCTGTAATTTATTTATTGCAAGTTTATAAAAGTTTTAATACATTAAGTGACTATGTTTAACAACCAGCTTACACAATCCCTGAAAATGTAGCGATTGGTTCTTGTGAGCTGGTATGAGCTGGCTCTAGGACACCACTGTGTGAAAGGGAGCAGAAATGTTGCTCATTGGAGGTTCAAAGAGAGAGTCTTGTCAGAATCTTTATAAGTCAAAGGTTCCTAAGGCAGGGATCCTTGAAATGGAAAATAAATCAGCAAATAGAAACTCTAGTTTACCAAAGACTTACCTTTCATTCTTTCTAAAAGGGTTCCATAGCCCAAGTCATACTGGTAGGTGAGGATAAAGCTTAATGGAACAATCGGGACCAGGAAGGCTGGCTTCTTTTTTTTAATCGCTCTGTTTCAAGAATTAAAAGAAGAACCAATATCAAAAAATAACCTGTAAATACATATCTGTATACTTAAAGAAAAAAAAATACCTGCTTTTTGGAAGAATGCCTTTTCCTTCAGAAGTTACTTAACACATTTGATAATTCTATGGAAATAGGATTTCCTTACCCAATACCCCTAACCAGATTCTGCAGTTCTCAAGGGCAAGGTCTGTGACTTGCTCATCTTTATTTGACTCTGAAGCTCAGGTTCCTTGTTTTTAAAATGAGTAAGGATTGGTATCTACCACTAAGGGATTGTGGAGATAAACACATAGAGCCCTTCTTGGTGTCAAGTTGGTGCTCTCTCTCTCTAACTAATAAAGTAGAGAAAAAGACAGAAGCAACCTAGGAAACTAAATTAACTGTTACTGCCTTGCTTTCACAGAGTTACCCCCAAGGACTAAGGTTAATAGGTTACTTTGGTTACATACACTATTTGGACCAAAGTCTTATTCTGGCCAACTTCATAATAAAATGGTAATGGAAAACACAAAAAGAAGTAAATGACTGAAGAAAATGTTAAATAGCAAACATACCCAGCTGTTAAAGAGATGGCTGCAAGGCCAAAAAAAGTTCCAAAATATTTGAGGAATTCCCGAGACCACGCAATCTGCATGGCCATTTGTCTTTCCCTCATTTCACTCTGCATGATGAGCTGCCTTTCCAGCTAAGGACAAAACAAAAGACAAAGTAAAGTTACTCATCTTTGGAATCTGAACAAATAGTTAATAATCTGTTTTTCCAGCGGATTCATTCTTCAATTGCTTTAATTCATGTTTTTTCAAAAAAATCTCAACAGACTTTGACTAAAGTTCCTTTGGACAGCTCTCACCAACTGTCACCTTGGCAGTGAAATCTTCCTGGAATAAATACAGAATAAATATCAATATTCCATTTTTACACCCTGAGGTCTTGACTGCCTGTGGTCTGGAGCTTTAGCCAAGTCTCAAATAAATGTCCAGCTTTTCCTATTGGATGTGTGGAAAGATCTATGGGTCTTTAAATGTAGATACATCTTATTGGCCTTTATTTCTACTTGCATGGAAATCTGCCTTCCAAATCCATTCCAAATTGAAATTTATTTGGAGTATTTATTTGCTCCATATCATACCACAATATCATAGTAGATGGGTGTTGTTTTGAGACATCTATAGAGATTTTTCTTTGCCACATTTTTCTCGCCTCAAGTTCTTCACCACTTTGTTCAGTGCCTTTCACTGCTTTGAACAGAAGGCAGATGGCTCAGAACAGAGAAGGAAACTGAATTTCTAAATTGATTTTTAGAAAATACTCAGGAGAAGCAACTGTCTGTAAACCCAAGCCCATTATTTGAAGAGAGTTATATTCTTGACAGAGAAAAGTGTTGTTGGCATTGTTGTTGATGTTTTAATTCTAAAATCTTGGCACTACATGTCATTAGCCAAGCTAGAGGGCAATACACAGGGAGTTCATGATGCAAGGAAGAGGAGAGGAAGGACTAATAATGTGATTTAGTTTTCCCTCCATGCCCTCTTTCTACTGAGGGGAGTAGCTGGGAGGGGCGAATGATAGTTTAGATGTAAAGATGGGGCTTGGCTCCTTGGCCTATTTGGGAGGTTAAATCACCAGAAGATATGACGGAAGCCTCAGATGGGTTTGGGAATCCCTAAACAGAGAAGACTTGTGGCCTTGCTTCCTGCGGAGAATTCTGGGAGGGAGCAGCTACAGCACAGCAGAAATGGTTTCAGGGCAGACCTTGCAGAGAGCACACCTAAGAGAGGCCGCTTCCATCTCCCTCAACAGCCAAGGGGTGTGGAGGAAGTCTGCAAGGTTCTCACATCAGCTGGAGAGGGGCACAGAAGGTAACTGCGGATTGAGAGCAGGGGGACTACCAATGAGTCCAAAACCTAGAGCCAGCGGACCCCATAACAGACACTTGGGGAGTGAACATAAGCCAGTGGCTGGGTGGGGAAGGCCACTCACTGGATCCCAGAGGATCAGCAGCACCCGAGAGTGCTTTTCTGCTTTGTTTTCTGTTCAATCAACCTGGACAGCGCCACATGATGTTCCCTAAGGGCATGTGGCCATGTTCCAGGCTGGCGTAACCATCATCGCCATACTCTCAGGTGCTACTGATCCTCTGGGATCCAGTGGCCTTCCCCACTCAGCCACTGGCTTATATTCACTCCCAAGTGTGTGTTATGGGGTCCCCTGGCCCAAGGTTTTGGACTCTGGTAGGCCACCTGCTCTCAATCTTCAGCTACCTTCTCTGGCCCTCTCCAGCTGATGTGAGAACCTTGCAGACTTTCTTCACACCCCTTGGCCGCTGAGGGAGACGGAAGTGGCCTCTCTTAGGCATGCTCTCTGTGAGGTCTGCTCTGAAACCATTTATGCTCTGCAGTACCTGCTCCCTCCCAACATTCTCCACAGGAAGCAGGGCCATAATTCTCTGTCTGGGGATCCCCAGATGCATCTGGCTAGATGTGCCTTCCCTGATGCTGGTGCCACCTGAGATCACCTGGACCCAAGCCTAGGTCATACCAGGGAAAAGATGAACGGAGAAGGGGAGGAGGAAAGCTGAATTCAACTATTTTCTCCCAAAGAACCGAGTTTTAAACTAGAAGTAATTGAGTAACTTTGACTTGTCAAAATTAAATTTGCTGTCACCAAGAGAAACTGAGGTTCATTTTGAGTTCAATTAGAGTTTAAAAATAGATGTGTTTTTGCACAAGATTAGTGTGTGAAATTCATCCTTGCCACATTACTTATTTACAAAACTTACATACTGATTCATCATATCCCCCAAAGTGATGTAAATACAGCAATTAATTATTTGTGTTTTTATCAAAAGGCAGCAAACAAGAAATAGAGGAGTCCAGACTGGTTCTAAACCTTTGCTGCACATCATGAGCATCTGGGGAGATTTTCAAAGGTCTAGTAACCAGATATACCTCCCAGACCAACTAAACCAAGTGGGATCAATTAAGTCAGGATCTGGAGGTAAAATCAGGCATCCATAATTTCTAAAGGCTTCCAGATAGTTCCCGTGTGCAGCCGGGACTGAGAACCGTCACCTGAAATGAAAGACTCATAGCTCATATTTTTTTTCCCACAAAAGATCAACCTGAGATATCAACCTGAAAGAGATTACCTGGGAACTCTCAAAAGATTGTGAGCAGAGGGGCTTTCAGGGTGATGGAGTTAATCTGTATGGTACTATCGTGGTGGATACATGACATTCTGCATTTGTCAAAACTCATAAAACTTTACAGCACAGAGTGAACCTTAGTGCATACAAATTTTACAAATCAGCCAAAAGGGCAAGGGATGCACAAGATGGAATGGGGACTGTGACAAAATAATCTGACTGTGCTACAAATGTGTGGCACAACCTCAATGAAGGGTTGGGGGAAAAGAACTGATCTATCTTTGGAAAATGGTATTTTGACTAAAAACTGTAAAACTAAAGACAAAGGACTATACATAAACACTGTACTCTAGTGAGTAAAACTGTCTCTCACGAGTTACAGATTAACAATTCTGAAACTGCTTTACATGTCTACTGGAGATGAGCAACAAGTAAATTGACAGAAGATGGTGGAAGCCAGGTTTCTTATTATTAAACAGGGAGATTACAAACAAGCAAGAGGAAAAGACTAGAATGAACCATGTGGTACTGGATTAGAGCCAATGACATCCGTATGAACTCATGCTTAGTGCTTGATACAGACATAGACAAGGATGAAATTATAGATATGCATATCTATATGCATGCATAGATTAGGCATTCATGGCTTAGTGTAAGTACATACATTTTCTCAGCTCTGTCCACTGACAGGGCATAGAGGCAATAACAACCCCTTGCAAACAAGCATACCTAACACCCAGAAACACCCAGACATGATTTCTACTCTCCAAAAAAAAATAAATAAATAAACCAGGGCTCCTTAGAGAAATAGCTGGCCTAGGACTGGGGCAAGAAATGTATAAGAGGAGCCTACAGAATCTTATAGTGCCAGAAAGTCAAGAGATACTAAAATAATAATAATGATGATGGAGTATGTCAAAGGGACACAGGGGTCAATCTGAAAGAGCTCCTAATGTCCAAAGCTGGAACAATTTTATCAGCAAAATAAATAACATAGTGTTGGATTATAACCTAAAGTACAAAATAAATATCCATAAGCCTATACTAACATAAATGGAGAAGAGACAAATATCCTGTACAGAAGAATTCCAACTCATTTATATACATACTCCTCCTCCCTCTTCAAAGAAGTGGAGCTTAACTCCCACCCCTTGATCTTGGGCTTTGCTTAGTTACTTGCTCCCAATGAAAACAGTATGAAAGGGCAGCGTGAGGGATGAAGAAGCTAAAGAGACAAGAAGACTAAATGTCATGTGGCATCCTGGGTGAGATTCTGGGACAGAAAAAGAACATTAGAGACAAACAAATGAAATCTGAACGTGGGATGTATTGAATAGTAATGGATCAATGTTAGTTTCTTATTTGTGGCAAATGTGCCATGGTAATGGTAAGATGTTAACAGCAGGGCACAAAGAATGTAGGGTATTCAGGAATTCTATATGCCTTTTCTAAAAACCTAAAACTACTCTCAAATTTAAGTATATTTAAAAAACTAGTCATGAACAAATATTATATTCTGAGTCGGTTCCCTTACTGTTAAGAATAAAGGCAATCTTGTCCATCTTTCATAGATAAATTATGAAAATCAGCAAGGTTGTGTATCTGTGATAAACTATGGGCCTAGAGTGAGAAAAAATTCCATGCAGACTCTCTCCATGAGCAAAACATTCTAATGAAAGATATTTTGATCTATAATGTTAATTATCAATTAAAATGTTATTAACTATTCTAAATTTCATAAGATTATGTTTAAATTCATAGGTCTATATCTGCACACATCTTAAAAATCAAATTAATAAACTTGACTGTCAAATTTTTCAATAACCATAAAGGGATAAATGAATTAATGCAATTGTTAACTTACCAATAATTGGCATCCTTTAACTATGTGTACATTCATTTTCAACCTTCCTTCCCAATTACTGACATTAAAAACAACAAATAAAAGCAAAACAGAACATGTGCAGCAAGTTCTCTTAATGGTTGTTAACACAAATCCTAAATACAAAATTCTTTATCGTATTTTAAAAGAAATGTAGACCTTTTATAATAATAATTTTCTTATCTCTGGACCTTTTGATACTGCTCTACAGAATAATTTGAAATCAAAATGTTCCTGATTATAACTTCACACTCTGAGGATTTTACAGGCTTATCTGATGCTAGTTTAACAATTAGAGAACCACAATTAATTTCAAAGAGAGCACATAAGACGCTCCACAAACTAGGCATCGAAGGAACATATCTCAAAATAATAAGAGCCATCTATGACAAACTCACAGCCTATGACAACATCACTGAATGTGAAAAAGCTAGAAGCATTCCCCTTGAAAACTAGAACAAAACAAGGATGCCCCCTCTCACCACTGCTATTCAATGTAGTACTGGAAGTCCTAGCCAGAGCAATCAGGCAAGAGAAAGAAATAAAAGGCATCCAAATGGAAAAACAAGTCAAATAATCCCTCCTCACTGAATATGATTCTATATTAGGAAAACCTAAAGATGCTGCCAAGAGGCTCCTACCCCTAATAAATAGACCTAATAAACAACTTCAGTAAAGTTTCAAGATACAAAATCAACAAACAAAAATTAGTAGCATTTCTACACACCAATAATGGTCATGCTGAGAGCCAAATCAAGAATGCAATCCCATTTACAACAGACAGACAGATACACACACATACACACACACACACACACACACACACACACACACACACCCCTAGGAATGAAAGAAATCAGAGACAGCACAAACAAATGAAAGAACATTCCACGCTCATGAATTGGAAGAATCAATATCATTAAAATGGCCATACTGCCCAAAGTAAAATACAGATTAAGTGCTATTCCTATCAAACTACCAACATCATTCTTCACAGAACTAGAAAAAAAACTTTTCTAAAATTCATATGAAACCAAAAAAAGTCCAAATAGATAAAGCAATCCTAAGCAAAAAGAACAAAGCCAGAGGCATCACACTACCTGACTTTACACTATAGGGCTATAATAACCAAAACAGCATGGTACTAGTACAAAAGCAGAAACGTATGCCAATGGAAAAGAATAGAGAATTCATAAATAAAGCCACATACCTACAACCATCTGATCTTTAACAAAGCTGACAAAAATAAGCAACAGGGAAAGGATTCCCTATTTAATAAATGGTGCTGGGATAACTTCCTAGCTATATGCAGAAGAATGAAAATGGACCCCTACCTATCACCATATACAAAACTTAACTCAAAATGGATTAAAGACTTAAGTGGAAAACCTTAAACTATGAAAATCCTAGAATAAAACCTGAAATAAACCATTCGGGACATTGATCTTGGCAAAGAATTTATGACTAGGTCCTCAAAAGCAATGACAACAAAAACAAAAATTGACAAATGTTACCTAATTAAACTAAAGAGCTTCTGCCCAACAACAACAAAACTATCAACAGAGTAAACAATTTACAGAATGGGAGAAAATATTTGCAAATTATATATCTGACAAAGGTCTAGTATCCAGAATCTATAAGGAACTTAAACAACTCAATAAGCAAAAACCAAATAATCCCATTAAAAAGTGGGCAAAGGACATGAACAGACACTTCTCAAAAGAAGACATATGCTTGGCCAACAAGCATATGAAAAAATGTTCAACAACAATAATCAGGAAAATGTGAATCAAAACTACAATGAGATACCATCTCACACCAGTCAGAATGGCTATTAAAAAGATAAGAAATAACAGATGCTGGCAAGGCTGCAGAGAAGAGGGAATGCTTACACTGTTGGTGGGAATGTAAATTAATTCAGTCACTGTGGAAAGCAGTTTAGAGATTTCTCAAAGAACTTAAAACAGAATGACCATTTGACCCAGCAATCCCATTACTGGGTATATATCCAAAAGAAAATAAATAATTTGACAAAAAAGACGTATCTACTCATATTTTCATCGCAGCACTATTCACAATAGCAAAGACATGGAATCAACCTAGGTGCCCATCAATGGTGGATTGGCGAAAGAAAACGTGGTACATATACATCATGGAATACTATGCAGCCATAAAAAGGAATTAAATCATATCCTTTGCAGCCATATGGATGCAGCTGGAGGCCATTATCCTAAGTGAATTAACAAAGGAACAGGAAGCCAAATAACTCATGTTCTCACTTGTAAGTGGCAGCTAAGCACTGGGTAACTATAGACATAAAGATGGCAACAATAGACACCAAGGACTACTAGAAGGGGTAGAGGGGGAGGGAAGCAAGTGATGAAAAACTACCTGTTGGGTTCTATGCTCACCATTTGGGTGATGGAATCATTCGTACCCCAAACTTCAGCGCCACACATAATAAACCTGCACCCCCTGAATCTAAAACAAAAGTTGAAATTATAAAAAATAAAGATACCAAAACGGATATATAGACCAATGGAACAGAGCAGAGCCCTCAGAAATACCACCACACATCTACAACCATCTGATCTTTGACAAACCTGACAAAAACAAGCAATGGGGAAAGGATTCCCTATTCAATAAATGGTGTTGGGAAAACTGGCTAGCCATATGCAGAAAACTGAAACTGGACCCCTTCCTTATGCCTTACACAAAAATTCACTCAAGATGGATTAAAGAGTTATACGTAAGACCTAAAGCCATAAAAACCCTAGAAGAAAACCTAGGCAATACCATTCAGGACATAGGCATGGGCAAGGACTTCATGACTAAAACACCAAAAGCAATAGCAACAAAAGCCAAAATTGACAAATTGGATCTCATCAAACTAAAGAGCTTCTGCACAGCAAAAGAAACTATCATCAGAGTGAACAGACCAACTACAGAATGGGAGAAAATTTTTGCAATCTACTCCTCTCACGAAGGCTAATATCCAGAATTTACAGAGAACTTAAATTTACAAGAAAAAAAGAACTCCATCAAAAAGTGGGCGAATAGACACTTCTCAAAAGAAGACATTTATGCAGCCAACAAACATATGAAAAAATGCTCATCATCACTGGTCATTAGAGAAATGCAAATCAAAACCACAATGAGATACCATCTCATGCCAGTTAGAACGGTGATCATTAAAAAGTCAGGAAACAACAGATGGTGGAGAGGATGTGGAGAAATAGGAACGCGTTTACACTGTTGTGGGAGTGTAGATTATTAGTTCAACCATTGTGGAAGACAGTGTGGTGATTCCTCAAGGATTTAGAACCAGAAATACCATTTGACCCAGCAATCCCATTACTGGTTATATACCCAAAGGATTATAAATTACTATAAAGACACATGCACACATATGTTTATTACAGCGATGTTCACAATAGCAAAGATTTGGAACCAACCCAAATGCCCATCAATGATAGACTGGCTAAAGAAAATGTGGCACATATACACAATGGAATACTGTGTAGCCATAAAAAAAGGATGAGTTCATGTCCTTTGCAGGGACATGGATGAAGCTGGAAACCATCATTCTCAGCAAACTAACACAGGAACAGAAAACCAAACACCACATGTTCTCACTCATATGTGGGAGTTGAACAATGAGAACAAATGGACACAGGGAGGGGAACATCACACACCAGGGCCTGTCATGGGGTAGGGGGACTAGGGGAGGGATAGCGTTAGGAGAAATACCTAATGTAGATAACGTGTTGATGGGTGCAGCAAACCACCATGGCACTATGTAACAAACCTGCACATTCTGCACATGTATCCCGGAATTTAAAGTATAATAAAAAATAAAAATAAAAGTAAAAATAAAAATAAAAAACATAAAAGGAAGCTAGCATATCATAGCAGGAGGAACCACATTCTAAACACATTCATAAAATTGTTACATCAGCTCTTTCCTGTGTATTTTCATTCTTCAATTTCTTTGTTTAAAAAATATTAAGAACAGCCACAAAATTACTGACCTCAGTAATTTGTCAATCTGTTGAGTTTCCAAAGAGGCAATTATGTAAAGGTCCACAGACTATTTAATACAATTTTCCCCTTAATAAAATAGTAAAGTTATTAAATTTCATTTGGACACACAAAACATTGTATAACACAAAGGCAATGACATTATCCAAAATCATTCTTATTGCAGTTTTAATTTCATATTTACTGGAGCCTTCCCTATTTTTGAGAAATAATTAGGCCAACTCTGAGAAACAAATCAGTTTACTACTATGTTTTAGTTTCCAATGACATTTTAATTTATGCACAGTATATTCACATGACAGAAAAGTTTGGTTTTTATTTGCAAAACTTTTATTTGCCAAAAAGTTATTCTACATGTTCTACCACAAAAGGTCATGTAGACCTGTTTTTGTTTTGTTTTTATCCGAAATGAGAGTATTTTATATTTATCTATGCCTTTGTTAACTTAATAGAAACATTATTAATACCTTCTAAACCAAAAGAAAATCGATGTTTCAGGTAAAAACAAAACATAAACTAACATTGTTAAAACAAAGCAGCCATAATGAAAGCTGTGGCAAGTGGCATTTAACCTTAACTTGCTTGACGGATATGTTAAATGTTCAATGTCCAGTCTAGGAAGAATCTCAATGAGGAAATCAGTAGTAATTTGAAGTTCTTTTTGCCTTAAGAAAAAAAGTCCCCCTTTATCAATAACTTATAAAAATAATTGAATACTAACCAAGTTGTAGTATTATTCAAAGGCTTAAAAGCTGTGGTAACAGCATCTTATTATATATCTTCCAATAAAGATTACAACATAATTACATCCATTCTTACGCGTACATGTAACATCTTATTATAAACAATAAGGTTGCCATATGTAAAAATGAGAATTTCAGTTTGGCAAAAACCTGTGTTTTATGCCAAATGCCGTATTAAGAGGTAGATTCCAAAATAAATATTTAGACTTTTTCTAAAAAGATCAGAAGATGCCAGTAAGTTGAGCAGCTGACAGAACCTAGGAAAGAAACAACAAAAGACCATCCACTTCTGATATGATTTGGCTGTGTCCCCACCCAAACCTCAACTTGAATTGTATCTCCCACAATCCTCACATGTTGTGGGAGGGAACCAGGTGGAAGTAATTGAATCATGGGGGCCAGTTTTTCCCATGCTATTCTCATGACAGCGAATAACTCTCACGAGATCTGATGGGTTTATCAGGGGTTTCCGCTTTCGCTTCTTCCTCATTTTCTCTTGCCACCGCCAGGAAAGAAGTGCCTTTTGTCTCCTGCCAGGATTCTGAGACCTTCCCAGCCATGCGGAACTGTAAACCCAATTAAACCTCTTTTTCTCCCCAGTCTCAGGTGAAATCAGCAGCGTGAAAATGGACTAATACAACTTCTCAACCATTATCTAAAATTCTTGAAAGTCACAGCTCCTAACAGTGTCTGGTAAGTTATTAGCACTGTCAACTGAAGTTGAAGACAATTCCAGATTGTCTATTGAGTAAAAACAATAAGGGTGTTTTCATTTATCCTGTATTTCCTCATTTTAAAGAGTACATATTTCATAGTATGATAGCTAATATTCCACTATGTCATTCCCAACAGTGCACAAAAGACCTCTATTCTACAATACTTAGGATACCTAAGTATTATACTCTATAATAATTAGGATACCTAAGAATCTTGGAACCAAGACGTGCTGCAAAAAACAATATCAGAAAATCCTTTTTTTTTTTTTGATATGGAGTCTCGCTCTGTCTCCCAGGCTGGAGTGCAGTGGCGCGATATTGGCTCACTGCAACTTCCGCCTCTTGGGTTCGAGCAATTCTCCTGCCTCAGCCTCCCAAGTAGCTGGGACTACAGGCACACACCACCACGCCCAGCTAATTTTTGTATTTTTATAGAGATGGGGTTTCACCATGTTGGCCAGGATAGTCTCGATCTCTTGACCTCGTGATCTGCTCACCTCAGTCTCTCAAAGAAAATTCTTAAGAAATTGCAGCATGCTTGATTTTATTACAACAGGTGATGCACTAATAAAAATAATAATGTGGCTCACCATGTGCACAGTATATGCAAGTTACATATATTCATATTCTAATATGCCTAATCTTCCCCCAAACCCTATGAGGTTAGTCTATGAGTTGCAGACAATGGAATCCATCCTAAACAGTAGTTTGAACAGAACAAGATTGATTTCAGGGTATCTGGCAATTACAGAATTTCTGGGGGAGCATGGAAGTAAGTTTGCACTCTACATTATCAGGAATGATGCAGCCATTCTGGAGAAATGTTCAGCCAGAACGTGGGATTCTCCTAGGGGAACTCCACAGCTACTGCCTCCTGCCACAGGTGCTCAGGACTAAATATTGAAATGTCACCTCTGCTACTGTGCTTACAAGAGCTAATGTCGTCTCGAAGCTTTTCACTGCCCACTTCCACCTCCCAAGTCTCCTTCAGGGGTGCCTACTTGGCAGAACCAGGTCAGATGTAAAACCCAGGTGCGAGGGAGTCTGGAAATGTTCTCTGTGGCTTTCTAGCCTCTGTTGTATAGGCAGGCATGCTATTAGGGAGTTGGAATGGAATCCAACTAGTATTACCTGCCACTGAAGGTATTATCTCAGTTTACAGCTGAGGAAACTAGGGATCAGAATTTGAGTGATTTTCCCCGTGGTCACAGTTATTAAGTGACAGATCTGGAATTCAAACCCAGGCCTGCCTGCTCCAAAGCCAAAGTTTGCCGTCTACTTGCAATAATCACGTTAATATGGAAAATTGGGGTGGAATGGACAGTGTATCTGATTGCCATCTCAAAATCCTTCACCTTTCTATATAATTAGTGCAAGAATTTAAAAAAGGCACATATAATGAGCTCTAAGTTGATCTGGGGTATAGACTGACCCAAATTATTCCGTTTAAATCTCTTTGAAAGAGCCTGTATACTCATTGCCTCCAATTTCTCACCAGCATTTTATGCCCCTATCCACTGTAGTGTGTAATTTTAGCGACTACCACTCTCTGAAATTAAGCCTTCCATGGACCTTGTGACTTCCTCTTCCTTGCTTATCTAATTCCTCAGAGAACTAACTGGGAGAAACCATGACGTCCAAATAATGACCACATTCTGTAAACTCAACTTTCTCAACATTTCTTGAGGGATGGCCTTCTCTACTCTGCTGCACAAATGTGGGTCTGGGGCTCTGAACCAAGACCCTGGGAAAGACCAGGTCAAGCTTTTGGCTCTATGAGAAAATTAGGCTGAGCACAGTGGTTCATGCCTGTAATTCCAGCACTTTGGCTGGCTGAGGCAGGAGGATCGCTTGAGCCCGTAAGTTCAAGACCAGCCTGGGCAACATAGTGTGACTCTGTCTCTAGGAAAAATAAAAATTAGCTGGGCATGGTGGCACACACCTGTAGTCTTGGCTACTTGGCAGGCTGAGGTGGGAAGACCACTTGAGCCTGGCATGTCGAGGCTGCAGTGACAGAGTCTGGGTGACTAGAGCAAGGCCCTGTTTCAAAAAAGAAAAAGAAGAAAAAAAAAAGAATTGTCTATGCTTAAGGTGGGGACAGAACAGGAAGCTAAGGAAGTTCTTCTAAAAGGGCAAGTCTTGCTCCCCTCCCATAACTAAAATACAAAGGGAAAAGGCACCTCCTAAGAACAGCCAGGCATTGGAGCCTTTTCCAGAGAGGGTCCCTCTTCAAATCCCATATTTGTTCACTTTCCCCCAGAATGTCCTTCTCAGACACCTCCTTTTGGTCTTCTCAGTTCCTGATAATAGCATCACCTTCTGGGCTCTAACCACTACTTCTTGCTGATGACGTCTACATTCAAATCTCTACCTTAGAACTGTTCTTGGCTGTAGGCTTATATTTCTAACTGTCCTTTGGGATCTCCACTGGGAAATGGAGAGCAAAATCTAATTATAATATCTCTGAGTAACTCTTGAACCAAGTCTCCTATCTGCAGCCCCTACTCCAGTTCAGACCATCATTACCCATCAATAGAACCACTGAGGTGATCACTAAACTGTGTTTTCTGTTCTTGGTTTCTTCCCCCTCTAATCTACTTTTTATGCTACTGCCAGATTCCTCTCTCAAAAATGATCTGGTGTTGCTTTCCTGCTTAAAAATGTTCAGTGGTTCTTTAGCTCCTAGACAAGACATGGTCTTTAAAAATCCCATCCCAACTTAACAGTCTAGCTTCATGTCCTGCCAGGCTTTTCCTTGACCCCAGGCTTCAAGCCTCACTGAGGCCACACATGCTCACTTCTCCACACCTTTTTGCTTATGGAAAGAACACACACTTTAGAGTCACATGAAATTGGGTTCAAATTCTAGTTCTATTATGTGATTGTGGGCAAGGTCCCCAAACTTCCTGAGCTTCAGGACTCATGGTGCAGGTTATTTCCAATGCTAAATAATTTTAGGCAAGTCTTTAAGCTAGAAATTTCTCATTTAAGCCTGATTTTAATATAAAAACAAAAGTAGATTATGGAAAGTATTCATTTTTAGTTATCCATTTCTGGAAAATAATACTTCCAACATTCATATTCCTATATGATCACAAAAATAACATAGCATCTCATTATTTTAGAAAATACCATTAATTCCTCAAACTGAAAAAAAGTCATTATTTTTACATGCTATTATGTTCTGATTTGTATAAATCTAAGATTTCTACAGAAAGGTCAGCTTGACCCAGTTACAACCAGCAAATCTTAGATTTGTTACTATTTAATCCCTGTAGACACTCACCACGCCCCAACTTCAAAGTAATGCTAAATAAAAACCCAAACTGAATAGCCACAGATAAGGAATGAGAGGTCAACTTCAGAAGCATAAATATAAATGTAATTAAAATTCTATACTATAAAACTTTTCTGGTCCTTTGAATGTTTTTCCTTAATAAGAAAAGATGTACATTTTACATTATGAGTTGTTTAGTCACACTGACTTCCTTTGCTGAAACTGAAAGCCTAATTTGATAGTATTGACATGCGAGCTAAGATATGAAGTGTTGAAAACAATAGTGGTTCATTATGGGCCCCAGGTATGTGTGGGGGAGGTGGGGAGGAGCCACAGAAATGACAGGATGGTGGAAAGGAAAATGCATGAGCTTCCAGGAACAATGCAGGCATCACTGGTTTTCAGTTTGGGGGAAGACAATTAGTGTGCCCAGTATCAAATAAAACAGAAAATGAATTCCAGATAAATCAAAGCCCTAAATGTACCAAATGAAATAATAAATACATGTAAAATTTTGAAACTGCTTGTATAATCTTAGAGAGGCAAAGATGTTTTCAAGGAAGGCAGGGAAAATAAAGGAAAATATGGACATACTTCATACATTAAAAATAAAAAAATTGCCACTTTCTACCCAAGAGGATGAC
Organism: Homo sapiens; assembly: GCF_000001405.40. NCBI lineage: Eukaryota > Metazoa > Chordata > Mammalia > Primates > Hominidae > Homo > Homo sapiens. Next base: position 5,375,652 of record NC_000009.12, read on the forward strand.
TATTATCCAAAATAAAGCAAACAAACACACAACAAAAACAGAAAATAACCACTGTTGGTGAGGATGTGAAGAAACCAGAACCCTTTTGCATTGCTGGCAGGAATGTAAAATGATGCAGTTGCTGTGGAAAATGGTAAGGTGATTCCTAAAACAATTAAACATAGAACTAACATATAATCCAGCAATTCCACTTCTGGGTCTATACCCAAAAGCAATGAAAGCAGGGACTTGGACAGATGCTTGTACACCTCCATTCATAGCAGCATTATTCACAACAGCCAAAAGGTAGAAGCAACCCAAGTGCATATCAACGGATGACTCGGTAAACAAAATGTACATATACACACAACAGGATATTATTCAGCCATAAAAAGGAAGGAAATTCTGACACATACAACCACATGGATGAACTTTGGAGACGTTTTGCTAAGTGAAACAAACAATCACAAAAGAACAAATTATATAATTCCACTTATACCTAGAGTAGTCAAATTAATAGAGAGAGACAGAAAGGAGAATGGTGGTTGCCAGGGACTGGAGGGAGTGGAGAGTGGGGAGTTTGTGTTTAATGGGTACAAGGTTTCATTTGGTTACGATGGAAATGTTCTGGAGATGGAGGGTGGTGATGTTTGCACAAGGCAGCACAAGGGAGAGGCGCAGTGAAGGGGCCACGTCTGGGCCTTGCAACCAGACTGTCTGCATTTGCATCCTGCCACCACCACTTATTAGCTTTGTGTCCATGGGTAGGTCCCTTAATCTCTCTGTTTCCTTATCTGTAAAATATGGGTAATAATACTAACTACCTCTGAGGTTGTTTTGAGACTTCATTATTAATGAGAATGGCATATAAAAGTAGTACAACCCTATGGCTGAATTTGGAAACAACAACATTAAAATTTAAAATGCACCTACTCTTTGATCTAGTAATTCTACTTTCCAGCAGCATCAGCACTCAGTAGAAACTGTTTTTCTCCTTTTCCTCCTTATCAACATCATCATCATCATCATCCCTATGCAGCTACATGTCCTGATGTGGAAAATTCTGTAAGGTATTGTTAAATGGAAAAAGCAAGGTACAGAAAGGGTATAGTAAGCTACCTTTTGTCATTTCTGTATATACATACACACATACATACATATAATCATATTCCAATATGCCTAACTATGTATAGACTATCTTTGAAAGACTATTCAAGAAACTAGGAATGGATGTATCTGAGGAGGTGAACCAGGTGGCTGGGGACAGGGGTAAGAGGAAGTTTTCAATATATACCTTGTTGTTCTTTTAGAATTTTGATTCATGTACACATATTAACTATTCAAAAATTTATAATTTTTATAAAGAAATAAAATCCCTTAAGCCTTCATTTCAGAATGAATCTGTACTCAGGCTGCCTGGGAAGTTAGAGATCTGTTTCCCTGTCCAATTGCAGGGCAGTGGATAAGGAGGTAATGAAATACAACAAAATATCCTGCAACCGTTACAATGACTTTCCTACATTGTGAAGGCTAGCCACAGTGCTGGAAAGTGCTTAGACACACTGTCAAGTGCAAAAAGCATAATATAAAATTCTTTTAGAGAGGATAACAAGTAAACTAAAAAAAAAAAGATAGCACAGAGAAAAAAACTGAAATATTAAACAAGGCTGTTTTGAAATAATAGTACTATGGTAATCTTTTCTTCTTTCCATATAAATGTATTATATAATCTTTTATTTATTAGTTCACTCATTATACTAAAAAATACATTAAAAAGGAAAAATGTAAGCAGGGATTACTGGGTAGTGACATAAGAGACTATTCATTTTTTTCTCCTTTGTATTTATCTATATAAAAATAAGCTAACAATATTTTTTAAAAGAATATCTCCATAATGGTGCTGGAAAGCAAGAACATTTTCAGAAATGTTGAGAAATTTCTGAAAGAGAGAAAGCAGATGGGATCAAAATGATGGTAAAACCTGTAGGAGTTTCTGTAGAAGAAACTACAACCTAAAGCAGACTCTAGGGAGGACTATTCTGCCTATAAGAATGCCGGAGAAGCTCCAAGCTTGGAAATAATTTAATACCTACCCACGTAACAACAAATGGTGCCCCTCCATTCCAATACACACAGAGGTGGCAGTGTTTGTCCCCAGCCAAATTTTCTCCAAAGTGGCAAATCTCTTGGGGGAAGCTTTTATTCTAGGGGATGGGGTCTGAAAGAGAAGAGCTGATATCGAGGCAATTCTGCACTTCGACAGCAGACAAGAAAGAAAGAAAAAATAGAAGGCAGTACCACTGAGACCTGAAGTATGACACCATGCTTCGTCCCAGAGTAAACCTTTGTTCTCTGGCAATTGTGGGGTTCTTCAGCCTGCTTCTTGCTCATCCACCCTAAAGGGAAGCTCTTGTGTTGGCACATGTTGCACATTCCAAAAGGCCCACAGACTGCACAGAAAATCCATGCCAGCTCCTCAAGATAGTCAACCTGGTTCTTCATCATACATTTGAACAGGCAACCAAGGGCTACCAGACATTTGAGGGAAACCAACAGCGTAATAGATAAGGATAAAGGTGCATAAAGAGAACATCTGGAACGGGAGATAATAAAGGTAATGCAGAACAGAAGAAAAGAATGCAGCCCAAGCGATGAGAACCTTCCTTCCCTATTCCCAGATGTATCTCTGAAGGGAGACACATGCCCCTCATGTGCCAGCATGTTTTCTCTATCTGGCTTGCAGTTTTAGCTCCTGCTGAGGGAGTCCAACAGAAACTGTGATAACACCGCACACAATATGAATGAATCTCATAATCCTAATGTTGAACAAAAGAACCCAGACACAGAAAAGGATAAACCAGAAGTAAAAAGATCAAAATTAGACAAAAAACTAGCCCATGCTCTTGGAAGTCAGGATAGTGGCTATCCTTAAGTGGGGTTAGTGACTGCAAGGGGTTGGGATGCAGCTTAAGGAATATGTTCAGTCTGTGTAAATTAATTGAGTTGTACACTTTAACATTGATAAAAGGCATATATAATTAATGAAGAAGATAGAAGAGTTAAGAATTTTTTATAAATCAGACAAAACATTAAATGACATGAAGCAAAACTGTTGGGAATACAAAAAAAAATTACAAATTATAAATAATAATGGTAGGATTTAACCATCTCTTTCAGAAATATACAGGTTAAATTGGAAAAATGTAGTGATATTAAGGATTAAGCAATTAAATCAACAAGCTTAATATGTGTGTATCTGTATAGCCAATAAATATTTTTAAATTCTTTATAAATATTTAGGGAACATTGTATTATGCCACAATAAAACATCCCAATAAATTCATGAAAGTTGAAATCACATAGGCCATATTTTTTTAACCATAGTACAGTAAAAGTATAAATAAATACAACTAGATAATGATTGCCTAGCTTTAAAACTCAAGAAAATAAACTGAACAAACTATTAGAATCAACAAGATTCTAATCAGAATCAGCAGAATGGTTGAATATATAATCAACACACAAACATTACAGATTTTCTATATGCCAAAATCCATTAATAGTTATTCACAATATTGTAAATATAATACCCAGGAAGAAATACTAATCAAAATCTGATCAGAAATTACTTTAGTGAACTTTACAAGCTCATTGTAAGATTTCCTTGGAGAGGAAAATATACAAAAAAAGAAAACTTTGAAAATTGTCTTACCTGCCAGACATATAAAGTTACTACAGAGATGTGCTGTTCAACATGGTAGCCACTAGCCATACTGAATATTTACATTAAGATTAATTAAAATTAACAATTTAGTTTCTCAGAGGCACTAGTCACATTTCCAGTGTTCAACAGCCACATGTGAGTGGATATGTGTGTGTGTGTGTGTACACAAATACATAAATATAAACTGATACTTTCAGCCTATCATATTTATATATATGATTTAACAAATAATAGTAAAGAAAATCTACAAGCCAATAAAGTTAACCCAATAGAAAAAGGGCATTTCACTGAAGAATAAATACAAATAAAAAATACATTATGAAAAATGTTGAACTTCATTTGTAGTAGAAAAATAAAATTTAAACAACAAACATCTCATTTTTGAGTCTCATATAGATAAAAATTGATACTATCCTTTGTTGGTGAGAGTGCACTCATGCACTATTTTTGGGAAAGCAGAAGAGTACAGTAGTTTTAAGGACAATTTGACAGTATCTGTGTGATAGAAAATCTTCATGCTTTTCTCCCCAATAATTTCATGTCCGGGAAGTTACCTACTAAAATATTTATGTATTTGATCAAAGAAATGCATACAAGACTATTCAATATAAACAGTATTTGTAATTGAACGAAACTGGGGACCAATTAAATGTCTACCAGTAAGAGAATGATTAAATAAATTCTGATATATTCTTGCTGTGGATGAACAATTTAAAACAAAAAGAATAGGCTGGGCGCAGTGGCTCATGCCTGTAATCCCCGCACTTTGGGAGGCCGAGGCAGGCAGATCACGAGGTCAGGAGATTGAGATCATCCTGGCTAACACGGTGAAACCCCGTCTCTACTAAAAATACAAAAAAATTAGCCAGGCGTGGTGGTGGGCACCTGTAGTCCCAGCTACTCGGGAGGCTGAGGCAGCAGAATGGTGTGAACCCAGGATGTGGAGCTTGCACAGTGAGCCGAGATTGCGCCACTGCACTCCAGCCTCGGCCAAACAGCGAGACTCTGTCTCAATTAAAAAAAAAAAAAAAAAAAGAATAAAAATAATAGCTAATATTTATCCTGTATTGTACTTATGATGTGCCAGATACTATTCTATTAACTCATTTACTCCTCATTTAATCATAAATCACAATCCTACGATTTGGATGTTACTATCATCAAATATCATTTTCTCAGTGAGGGCTTCACTGATTCCACTTTTTAAAACTCCAAGTGCTTCACCCCCTAAACACCCTTTTCCTTCCCTGTTTTACTGAACTTTTACCTTCAGATATACTATATAATTCACTTTTAAATTTTATTTTATCTTTTTCCCACTTCTAAAATGTAAGCTCCATGAGGGCAAAGTATCTTTTTCTCTTTTGTTCTCTTGCCATAACCTTGGTGCCTAGAAGAGTGCCTTGCACATAATAGATACAAAATAAATATTTTGGATTGAATGACTCATCCCCTAATATGGTTTGGCTCTGTGTCCCCACCCAAATCTCATCTCAAATTGTAATCCCTATGTATAGAGGGAGGGAGCTGGTAGGAGGTGATTGGATCATGGTGGGTGGTTCCCCCCATGCTGTTCTCATGATAGTGAGCGAGTTCTCAGAAGACCTGATGGTTTAAAAGTGTGGCACTTCCCCCTTTCTCTCTGTCTTTCCTGCCACCATGAAAGATGTGCGTTGTTTCTCCTTCACCTTCTGCCATGATTGTAAGTTTCCTGAGGCCTCCCCAGCCATGCAGAACTGTGAGTTAATTAAACCTCTTTCCTTTTTAAATTACCTAGTAACAGTATGAAAACAGACTAATACAGAAAATTGGTAGTGGGAGTTTGGAGCCAAATGTTAATAGCCAAGACAATGGGGAAAATGTCTCCAGGGCATTTCAGAGCTGTTCGTGGCAGCCCCTCCCATTACAAACCCAGGAGCCTAGGAGGGAGAAATGGTTTCACGGGCCAGGCCCAGTGCCCCACTGCTCTGTGCAGCCTTGGGACATGGTGCCCTGCATCCCAGCTGCTCCAGCTCCAGCTGTGGCTAAAAAGGGCCAAGGTACAGCTCAGGTCATTGCTTCACAGGGTGCAAGCCCCAAACCTTGACAGCTTCCACGTGGTGTTGAGCCTGTGGGTGCACAGAAGTCAAGAACTGAGCTTTGGGAACCTCCACCTCAGTTTCAGAGGATGTACAGACATGCCTGGATGTCCAGGCAAAGTTTGCATTTACAAACGTGCAGATGTGTGGCCATGAGAAAGTTACATAAAATGGGGATGTATTATTCCTTTTTCACACGGCTATAAATAACTACCTGAGACTGTAAATGCAGAGATCTAAAACACGCTTTAAAAGGGGTCACCTCTTGGGAGGAGATGAGACTGTGCTAAGAGGGTGAGCAGGTTCTTCACTTGTTGCCTCTGTGTAGTAGGATTTTATTGTTTGGAAGTTGGTCTAGAAACATGGCCAACAATTGTAGTTTTAAAAAATACATAAAGCAAAAACAACAGACTAAATTTAACTAACATACCTTCCTCACAGATCCTTAAGTTGTACCAAATCACAGAGGGACCACATCATGAGAGGAAGAGTCTGCTCCGAGACAGGGCCTCCATGCCTGAGCCAGCTCTCAAGCACAAGGCACTCCTCCCCTGGCTTGTTTACCCAGTCACAAGACTTAGCAGTTGAAAATGTGCACCCTGAAAAAAAAGTCATATTAGCCTCACAACTTTCCTGTTTTATTCTTAGAGAAATTCAGAATTATTCCTATAATAAATCGTTGGAAAATAAACTATTCATGATGACTCTCTATTCATTCCCTCACTTGCCATCCATTCATGGAGAGTTCAGGCAGTCTCCGGATGCTAAGGATGGAAGACAGCACCTGCCCTCATCGAGTCTAGTCTAGCAGAGGCAGAGAAGTATTAAAGAAGAAATTTCAATGTTGGTCATCACAGTTATGACAGGCACAATTCAGGGCATTATGAAAGTGCATGGCAGGGCTGCCAGAGCTAGTTAACCAGTCCTGAGAGGCCTCTGTGAGGAAATGACGTTGAAGCTGAAGATCTATAGGAGTTAGCCAGGTGAGGGGAGATAGGAATGAGGGGCGAGAAATGGGGAGCACTTCAGGCAGAGGGAACAGCATGGGCCAAAGCCTGGAAAGAAGAATGAGCATGGTGAATTTGAGGAAATGAAATAAATCCTACAAGGGCTACTGAAGAAAACAGGAAAGAGTCGACTGAGGTAATGGAGGAAGGAGGGCAGGCCTGGAGGAATTTGCAAGCCATGCTAAAGATGTTAGACTTCGTGGGGAGCCACAAAGTCACTGAAACAGAACAGTGACATGATCAGATTTGCATTTTAAATGCCCTCTGGCCGCCCTGTGAGGAATAGAGGGGAACAGGACTGAACACAGGTAGACCCACTAGGGAAGTGTCCACTTCAGACAGGCAGGTGCTGATGTTGCCTTGAAGTAGGATGGCACAGACAGAAAGAAGTAGATGGGCACCAAAGGACATAGAATCAGTAAGAACTGTGGGAACCTGAATGTGGGTGGAGAAGGAAGGGAAGAGTAGGGGTTGACTCCCTATAGTGGGTTAAATGGTGGCCCCTAAAAGGTAGGTCCACATCCTAACTCCAGAAACCTAAGAATGTGACCTTATTTGGAAGTCTTTGGGGGATATAATTAAGGATATTAAGATGAGATCACTTTAGATCACCCAAGTGGGCTCTAAATCCAATGACAAATGTCCTTATAAAAGACACACAGAGTAGAGAGGCCAGGTGGAGAAGGCTGTGTAAAGATGCAGGCAGAGATTGGAGCAATGCAGCCACAAGCCAAGGAACGCCTGGAGCCACTGGAAGCTGCAAAAGGCAAAGAAGGATTCTCCCCTAGAGCCTTCAGAGAGACGGTGGGCTTGCTGACACACCTCGATTCAGACTTCTGGCCTCCAGAACTGTGAAATAATCATCTTCAGTTGTTTAAAACTAGCACACTTGTTGAGGCAGCTCTAGGAAACCAATACACTCCTCAGCTGCTAGCTGGATCAGCAAGCACAGTGGTCCCCAACCTTTTTGGCACCAGGGACCAGTTTCATGGAAAACAATTTTTCCATGGACCAGGTTGACGGATGGTTTCAGGATGATTCAAGTGCATTATATTTATGGTGTACTTTATTTCTATTATTATTACATTGTAATATATAATGAAATAATTATACAACTCACCATAATGTACAATCAGTAAGAGCTCTGAGCTTGTTTTCCTTCAACTAGACGGTCCCATCTAGGGGTGATGGGAGATAGTGACAGGTCATCAGGCATTAGATTCTCATAAGGAGCATGCAACCTACATCCCTCACATGCACGGTTCACAACAGGGTTCACACTCCTATGAGAATCTAATACTGCCCTTGATCTGGCAGGAGGTGGAGCTCAGGTGGTAATGCTCACTCACTGCCGCTCATCTCCTGCTGGGCAGTCCGGTTCCTAATGGGCCAATGACCAGTACCAGTCCGTGGCCCAGGGGTTGGGGATCCTAGAGTTAGTGGATACAGGTGTGCCATTTATTGAGCCAGGGAATGGAGGAGAAGCAATTTGAAGGCCAGATGACTTCAGCTTCAGATGTGCTGAATTTGCGGGGCCTGGGAAACAGTCAGGTGTAGGCATCCATTTACATGGAGCCACTCCACTGTCACAGCGCCTGACCATTTGTGGCAGCCCTGGCTCCAAAAGGCAGTGAGATAGATGGATCTGAGACTCAGGCAGGAGGTCCACATTGGAGTTCTAGGTTTGAGAACTTCCAGCATATATCCCTAGGTTAAAGTGATGGAAGTAAAAGCCATTGTTGGGGGAGATCCCCTAGAAGTGGAAGGCCTGGGACTCTACCCTGAAGAGTGGCAAGTATGTGAGCCACTGGGAAAGGAAACTGAGAAGGAAATGAAAAACGGTCAGGGGATCAGAACAGAACAAGACAGGGGAATCTTTTAATTATTCCAGAGTTAAAAAATTATCTTTATGAAATTTCAGATAAAGTTGATAAAAATAATTCACAGTTTTTTTAGAGCTTCCATTAGTAAAGAAGAAAAAGTCAGTAGTGCATGCTATATATCATAGTTCATGCTAGACATGGAGAGGAATAAAATCTCACCATGACATTGCTATACTTTGACTGTGACTGTGTACTCAGAAGGTAAAGTCAAAATTTCATTTAAAATCTTCTTTTCATATCAATACTTAGCTACTCTGGAGATACTGCTCTTGATTAGACTGAATCATCTGTGGAAGAGAAGTCAAACTACACAGAGGTAAGATAAAGGAAGAATGACCATGTAAACATGACATGAAAAAGATCTAAGGTCATGATAGGTTAAATTGGGTCATAAGTTAGAAATTCAGAGCTACCTCTTAACTAACCAAGCAGAAGAAAAATCATCACTCCCCACACAAAAACCAGCATGAAAAGATGCACAAGAACCCAGCATAGCCCCTCACACACAGCAAGTGCCTAAATAATGTGAATTTCCTTCTTGTTTCCTAAGGTCTTTCACTGAAACTTATAAATTAAAATATAATAATTTTGATATGTGAATTCATTTTCCTCTGATATTTGGTATTGCTTACACCTTTATTTAACAAGAGCAACAGCCAAAGTGAGGGAAGATGAAGTAGAAATGAAGTCACCAAGGTGAGATGAGGTCAGATGGAGGTGGGTGGGGCCAGGGGAGGGCAGATCATGTGGGACCTTCCAGGCCATTGTAAGTGTTTTAGATTTTATTCCCAGTGATACTGAAAGCCTGTGGAAGGTTTTGAAACAGTGTGATTAATATTATTTCAACAACAGTACACATTTATGAATGAATAAATGTTCTAAATCCATCAGTATTAAAACAGTAAATAAGTATTATAAGAACTTTTTGGATTGCTTAAGCCTTCATAACTTTCCCAATGTTTGTTATTCTTGTGGCCTCTCATCTGCTTGAGTTGAAAAGGACATCTTGGTATATGTCTTTTATCCACCACACCTGGCTAATTTTTTGCATTTTTAGTAGAGACATGGTTTCACTGTGTTAGCCAGGATGGTCTCGATCTCCTGACCTCATGATCCTCCTGCCTCGTGATCCTCCTGCCTCAGCTACCGCGCCTGGCCAAGATCATTTTTTAACTCTGGAATAATTAAAAGATTCCCCTGTCTTGTTCTGTTTTGATCCCCTGACCATTTTTCATTTCCTTCTCACTTTCCTTTCCCAGTGGCTCACATACTTGCCACTCTTCAGTACCTGTGTGTTTTGGAGAAAGTAAGGAAGAACAGGGTCTGCTGTGTGAAGTCTCATGAGTAAGGAGGAACCCCCAAGACAGAGAGGATGGTGGAAAGGAAAGGAAAGCAGCCAAAATTTGTGGTCTATTTTTGAGAGGCAATTCTCCACGGATCTCCCACATCTCTGTATGCCTTTCGAGCAAAGACACTGACAGTGTTTCCTCCAGAATATATTTCCTAGGATGTTTATACAGCAAAACCCTTGGAAGACAGAGATGGTGTCTCTCTCAAGAGAAAAGGAAAGGCATGCTTATTGCCCATTAGCATTATTTTAGTAAAAGCACAGTTATGGGTCAATAAATGTTGGTTCTTTATATTTGGATTTGGATTCCTTATGTCAGACTTCATCTCATGTAATGCAATCCACTGCCATATCTAGTATCTCCTGGCCCTGATCACATAGCTTCTGTGGGACCTGAGGACAAGGAGAACAGATGCAAGAAAATGCGAATGCACTGGATGTTACCATTGATGTCAGTAAGAAGTCCTTTTTCTCTGACCCAGGAGTCATGTGTCTTCCACCAGCATCTGTGAAACTATGGCAGGCTGACTTGCTGGCCTGCATGCAGGATAAAAATCTCAGACCTTCTACAGTTGTTGACACAAATGAGAGTAAAACCAAAGCCCAGCAGTGGTCAAGAACTTAAGTACAGGTAATTCCCTGATACCTTTAGGATATTTTAGCCTCAAAGTAGTGGTTCTCAACCAGGCATGATTTTGCCTCCCAGGGGATATTTGGCAGTGTCTGGGGACACTTATGATTGTCACAATTGAAGTATGCTACTGGCATCTAGTGGGTAGAGGTCAAGGATGCTGCTGAACATCATATGATATGCAGTGGACCCCCACACACACACAACAAAACAATTTTCACTTCCAAATGTCAATAGTGTTGTGGTTGAGAAATTCTGGCCTCAATTAAAGAGGCCATATAATCAACACAGGCACTATAGAGGCCAAAGAGAAATGTGACTCTGCTCCTGCCCCAGGGGAGCTCTCAACCTCACTCCAGCCTTCATCTTTTCCTTCTGACATCTGTTTCTGTTCATCCCACCTGCTCTCTTTCCCCCACCTCCCATCACTGCTACCTGCTGTTAGTCATCCTATGTCCATCACCCATAATTATCCTCTGAGTTCATTCATTATGGGCATAAAAAGTTAGAAACCATACCACAAAATTAAGGTCACACAGGAACCCTATGACTGGGTCAGGAAAGGAAACTGCTCACCAGGTCTTGCCCAGACAACCCCTCAACTATGAAATGCCTGGGGTGTTTAAGAAACAGCAAAGTGACCCATGTGGACAGCATGGAGTGAGCAAGGGAGAAAGTGGCAGAAGACAAGGTTGGATGGGTGATGGCAAACGGACAGACTGCCAAGGGCAGAGCTCCTCAAACTTTAATGTGTGTGTGAATCACCTGGGGGATTTGCTCAAAGCAGGTTCTGATTATGTAGACCTAGGAGGGACAGGTGATTTTCTACTTCTAAGGAGCTCCAATGTCAATGCTTTTAGAAAATGGACCATATTAGAGTACAGGAGTATAGGGTCTCGTAGGCCTTTGCCAGAACTCTAGCTTTTACTCCGAAAAAGATGGAATGCTGCTGGAGGGTTTGGATCAGGAAATGTAATTTGACATTTCAACAGGACCATCTGACCTCTGTTTTAAGAATATTGAGTACCCAAGAGGAATGAACACATTTTCATTCATAGCAACAATTGCCATAATAGACTCAAACTGGAATTAATCCACATGACCATCAACAGCAGAATGGATAATTATGGTGTATTCATATAATGGGATACTATAAAACATGGAAAAAATAATGTATTACTTCTACAAGCAACAATGTAGATGAATTTCACAGATGTAATGTTGAATTAAGAAAACAGACATAATAAAGTATATACCATATAGTCCCATATATAAGGAGCGTTAAAATAGGCAAAATTAATTTATGGGGATAGAAGTCTAGAGAGTGGTGACTTTTAGCACTGAGAGAGGCGGGAGGAAGCCTCCTGCGGGGGGGCTGGGAATGATCTATCTTTTGATCTGGGTGTTAAGTACACAGGAATAAACATCTGTAGAAATCAAGCTGTACTCTTAAGATTTGTGCACATCACTATATCTATGTTATACTTTAACATAAGAAGAAAGGAAGGAGTATTGCAGATGGGCAAGGGTAACAATAGGGAGAGCAGTTAGGAGGCTATAGCACTAATCCAGGCAACAAACAGGGGTCTGGGGTAGAGTGACACCAGTGAAAATGGTGAGAAGTGGTTGGATTCTAGATATATTTGGAATTGGGAGCTGAAATGATTTTCTGATGGACTGGATATAGGTGACATGATGTGTCAAGCAGGCAGTTTGGTATAGCAGTCTGTAGTTATGGCCAAATTCTGGGTTAGAAATATTAATTTGAAGGCATCAGTTATGCGGGAGTTATTTGAAATTATGAGACTGGATGAAATGCCCCAGGAAGCGAGTATAGATGGTGAAAAGAAGACAATGGCAATCTGAGCCACAGCCACTCCAGGAATGTGTAACAGTCAGGAAGAAGAGGAGGCAAAGGAGACTGAGACAGCACAGTCAGAGAGACAGGGAGACAGGCTGCAAGTGTGGTTTCCCAGGAACAACTGAGGAATGTTTTTCAAGGAGGGAGAGATCAACTGTGTCAAAAGTTGCTGAGAAATTGGGTGAGATGAGCACTGAGATATCGCAAGCTTGTCATTCATTAGTAAACATCTAAAATTCTGCCTGTTACAGAGAAAGCACTCAATAAATATCATAGGATATATGCAGATGATACATAAAAATCTATATAAACTCACTATTCTTGCCAAGAGATCATATTTCTGCATTGAAGAAAATAATAAGTCTTCACAAACTGGCCTACTCTTTCACTCTTTCCCCAGCCCTTGAGGTTTTGACTTAAAATGAGGAAGTAGAGAGGATCTTCTCCCCATTTGGAATAGCCCAAGGGCATGAGCCTAGCCCTCAGTCGCCCTGGTCCTAAAGGTCATGGAGAAATGAAGTGTTCTCTTGGCCTGTTCTGTAATTTCTGCTAGAACTTGTGATGAAATGTCCCTCTTTAGAGAAACAGGACTTCCACTTAACCTCTCTGTGCTTCAGTTTCCTCGTCTACAAAGTGGGAATAATAAAAGTGTCAATCTCATAATTTGTTACAAAGATTAAAGGCGTTCATATATGCAAAGAACCTACAACAGCATCTGGCACATAGCAAGTGCTAAATAAGTATTAGGTATTTATGATATTGTCATGATATTGACAACGTCCTCCAGCTGAAGGTACCAGGAAAATACCTACAGTTGATAAAGTTGGCTTATTGACTTGTGCAATGAAGAAGACATGTACCATGGGGAACTGTGGGGTGTCTCAGTAAGAGGGTATTAGAGAGGACTTAACATAGGACATGGACTTGTGTTAGATATTTGGAGGAGGGCCCAAAGATTACCTGGATTGGATGCTGTCAGGAAGTGGCCATAGTTATATGATGGGATATCTTAAGATTTACTTAGAAGCAGGAAGAAAAAAGCAGGCAACAGTGAAAAATAGTAAGGCTGCAGGAGCACTGCTATTAGTCAGCAGGGGGGATGCTTGGTCATTTCTGTGGTTTTGACAACGTTCATGTGGTTGTCAGTGCCTGGCATGATTACAGAATGGTCTTGTTTTATGTCTTTGTTCATCACAAGTCACAGCATGGTCTTGTCTGATGGTGCTGATCTATGAAATTGTTTATGTTCTGCAGGAGAACATGACGGTCTAGCTGATAGTGCCAGGTCAGCCCCCACCTGTCAGGGTATGTAAAAAATGCCATGTGCTTTGAGGGGATCATTAAAATACTTTGGAAAGACTTTCCATTTCCTCCAGTACCATCTGGATAATGAGTCATCAGAGAAAACCTGGAGAGGTGGGCAGAGAGGAGTAACTGATCTAGGAAGACCCCAATTGCTTAGTCCTAGACATGCTCATCTTCTCTGCTTCGCAAATGATTCACTGAAAGCTCTCAGAAGGGGCTGGGAATTTTCTAGGTGACCCAAAATAAGTTCATGAAGAAAACAGGAAGAGATAGGAGTTTGTTAGCCTGCACTCCAGGATAAAATGGCATTCTCCCTAATGACCGAAGGCCATTATAAGGACAAAGTAGAGAAACCAGCTTCATAGTATGTGAAACGGACCTTCATTGAAGGACAACACCTGTGGGAACTCCCAGCCAGAAAGCACATCAGGAAACCTGAACTGCCAGGAGAAATATCAAGGAGGAGTGAGGAACAAGGGTGTGATTTCCAGGGTCCTGAAATGAAGAATACCCAGGAAGGTTGGTACATCATGTCCAGAAGCACCAGGAAGGTGCCACTGGGGTCAGACAGTCATTGAGGAAATCTAGTGGAGTCAAAGGAACCAATGCAGGCCATCTAGAAGATTCTAAAATCCAGATACCAACCCTCGTCTGCTTCAGGATGGGAGGGTATTTTTGCTTAAAATACCAGCAATTCTCAACTCTGTGACTAATTCAGTTCTTCTGTGTGAATGTGTATATGTGTGTGCGTGTGTGTGTGTGTGTGTGTATGTGTATATATATATATATATTTGCCTTTCTCCATGTAAAATTAGGCCTGAAAAACCACAAAACTGCCAGACGAAGACCTAGACATGTGACACTTTTATCAGAATTTATCAAGGTAGCCTCATGCTGGACCAGTTTCAAAATTTGAAAGATCACAGGAGAGGCCAAACAGAGTGGTCTCAGGCAGAGAGAGTCAAAGAGGCAGGCTGAGGGGGCTGAAGACCCTTCCCGCCTTGGCTGTCCCCACAGGGTCCAAGGGCAGAATGCAAACACTATCACATCATTCTCACCTTTCCTCTACAAATGATGTTTATTCTCCTTGGCATTTGATAATTCAGCAAATCAAGTTGGGGTTAGTGGCTTTGGAGCCAGAGAGACCCAGATCTTTAACTCAGGCTCCTTCAGGTAATCATTGCCTGATCTCAACCATGGCATTCCTCCAAACTGCAGCTTCCCCAATGTACCCAGTCACTCCTACCTTGCAAGGCTGTTGTGTGACTTAGAGATAATATAGGTAAAAAGGCAAACCCAGGTGTAGCCAACAAAGAAAAATAATATCAAGTCAAGTTTATAGCTATGCTGCTTTTTGTATCTCCACTGGAGATTTTTTAAATGTCTTCAAAACACAAAATGACTAAATCTTCAAAAAGAAAAAAGTTCTATTTACTAACATAATTCTCAATTGTCAGAAAATTATAATAAGGGGGACATTAGTGGTTGGTTTTGGGTTTTCTTGTTTTTTGTTTGTTTTTGCACTATTCGGTCTCTCCACCCTAAATATCAAAGCAGCAGGATTTTCTAAGAACAATTAAAAGATACCTAGCACATCCCAATAGCCAGAAAAGTACTTTGCGGAATTGATGTTGGTCACAAGACTTTAAAAACTTGACTTAAATGGTTAAATGCATGTGTGTGCATAAAGCATCATTAACTTTATCTAAAAATCACTGATTTGAGGCAACTTTATATGATGCGATATGGTTTTGATTTGTGCTAAGTCAAAATAAGATTATTTATCTTTGAACCAATTGCAGTTTATGGCACTTGGTTTCTTGGAGTGGAAAAGAAAACAGCCAACATGTCTTGAAAACATTGCCGGGGAAATAAAAGCTAAGATAAGAAAAGAAAGTCATCCTGCTGCAATACTAATTTCACCTAGATTATCGCAATATTTCTCTTGAGGATAGCATACTTTGATTTCATATCAGAAAATTCCATAAAATTAGTTTGTTACATGTAATGAGCTGTGCTTCTGGGTACAAAGATGACATCACACTGGCCACATCTTTGGCCTTTGGTCAGAAGCAGTGATAAACTGGTGTAGACCGAACTCTGCTTTCTCCATGTCACCCTGTAATCAGTGACACACATTTTGGAGACTGTCCTCCAGAGTAAAAGGCAGAGTTTGTGGCATTGAGGCAAGAGTAAGGCTAGCTCTTCTCCATGGATGAACCAATAAACAAAGCAAGCAGCCCCACAGGTATCCTGAAAGGTTCAGTCGTATTCATGCTTTGTCTAATTTAGCTGTCCTTAAACTTTTAGCAAGCCAAGACACCTCAAAGCTAGTGACTTATTAGGTTCTCTGTAGGAATTAGGGGAAGGAATGTTGGCTGGGAAAGCCCTGCAGGTAATTTAGACGCACCTCCCCTCCCTCATCCTTCCATGCAGAAGTAGGGATGGGCATGTTCCTCTCAGTTGAACAATTCAAGGCTGATCTCCTTAGCTGCAAGGATGCACAGAGAGGAGAAGTTGGTCTGGCCTGGGCAACACTAAACTCATCTCTTAGAGCTCTGACATATGTACCATGAGACCTAGAGGGGGAAAGTGTGTGAGGCAGCAACAAGGCTAAGCATGCTGAACACACTGGGACAAATTGAGTTTTCTGTGCCTTTGGGTTTTTTTCCACTTAAATCTCAGACGCTGTAATAGCAGTTATATTATCTGGTCTCCTCAGGACTACTCCGGAGAGGTACTTTTAGGACAAATGGGTATTTGTCAAGTTGTTATGGATGTTCACAATAAAGATATGATCATAGTTCTGATTAATTGCTTAGGGTTAATATATTGATATAAATGAACTGCCATTGACAATCAGTCCCAGAGGAATGTATTCTTTATTTCTACAACTTATCTTTAATTGTGTCTTAAAACTTCTACTAACACTTCCTATTCACTGTATCATTATTGTGCAATTATAATACAGTTATTCATAAAGCAAATTGCTTAAGGCTAACTCACATTCTCACATTAGCATGTCTCGGCTTTTGCATATGTCTCATGAATATGTGAAGCAGGAGGAGATAAGCATTCCAATTCTGTAGTCAGGCTCCCTGATTTGAATCTGAGCTCCCCTACATACTAGCTGTGTGACCTCAGGCAAGCTGCTTTTCATCTTTGGGCTTCAGTTATCTCATCTATTAAAAAGAAATAAATAATTAGATCTCCTTACTGGGTGATCATAAAATAAGAGAATACATAAAATGTTCAGACTAGTAACTGGCATTTAATAAGCATTCAGTAAAAATTAACTACTATGAGTATTTTTGGCATGCCCCTTTATTTAAATTTCCGGATTGATTTTTATTTATTTACTTTATTTCATTTTATTATTATTATTTATTTTTGAGACAGAGTCTCACTCTGTTGCCCAGGCTGGAGTGCAGTGGTGCAGTCTCGGCTCACTGCAACCTCCACCTCCCAGGTTCAAGTGATTCTCCTGCCTCAGCCTCCCGAGTAGCTGTGATTACAGGTGTGTGCCACCACACCCGGCTAATTTTTGTATTTTTATTAGAGACAGGATTTCACCATGTTGGCCAGGCTGGTCTCAAACTTCTGACCTCAGGTGATCCACCCGCCTCAGCCTCCCAAAGTACTGGGATTACAGGTATGAGCCACCGCACCCAGCCAAAATTTCTGGATTTTAAAAACTATTTGCGACATTATAATAAGATGACTTCACCCTGCCATTTTTATTTTCTCCCTCAGTGAGTGAAGTCAGGATAAACATCCTTTTTTGTTCCTCCTACCATGTACACAATAACAAGAAATAGCTAGTTGGAAAAATGAACATCTTGTAATAATATGAAATATATTTAAAAGCCTTCTACTTCCTACACCTCTTGGTGGTTTTTTTCTATGGTTACTGTGAAATATGTGGATTTTTAAAAATAGCTCTAGCAGTTAAATGATGCTGTAAAACCCCAATATGGTAAGTGTAAATAATTCTAACAGTAATTTCTTGTTACTATACCTTTCAAAGAGGTTTATTCTATAATTTAGTAAGGTCTCTCAACATTAGTCATTTTACTCAGCAACAAATATGGACCTTCTCAAAGAGAATCACAGAACAAGAGAATTAACAATCTTATTTTTTTTCTTAACCATTGGTAAGAAAATGAGCTGTGCTGCTCATTTTCAATCTTTTGGAATCAGAAATTCTCTTACTAGTTTGTAGTTTTTGCTGAGGTTTCTATTTTTTTAATAAGCTGGGAATAAGGACGAGCTACCTCAAAGAATTAAGTAATTTCTTTCTAACAATATTTAACCATTTGCTGATTTAAAGTTGAGCTACTATTTTTTCTGGGTTGATTCCAAAGAGAATAGATTTCCGTTTTAAAGATTTTTAAGATTGGCAATAAGAAAAAGGCCTATCAAATACAAATATATGCCCTCATGGAAATGAACACTAAAAACTATACCCAGATTTTTGACCATCTGGGAAGAAAAGCCTCTTACCTTATAGTGAGATACATTCTCCTTCAGTTGGTGAATCTCTAGAAATGACCATCTCCCTAGCCCAGCATTCTATCTAGTGTTGCTATTTTTATCATTAACACCAAGTTTCATACACATCCCTTTCCTAAGGAACTGTAAACATGTTCACTACAAGTAACCTTTCGGAAGTGAAAGTTTCAAAGGCAAAATGATCTAGACTTTTTGATGTTGTGACTAAGATTTATTTAATTCCTGGGAAACAAAAGCAGGAAGCCTACATGACTTCCTGATGAACTGAGGGTGAGCAGGGAAGGCAGAGGAGGCAGACATATTTACTAGTTTCTAACATAGCCATAGAGAAAAGAACAAGGTAAATGGCTCAGGTGCAGGGAAATGAAGAACGAGGGAGAAAACATGAACTGAATGGAACTTTCCATGAGGATTTTTTAATGAGAAGTTTTTTGTTTGTTTGTTTGTTTTTGAGAAGGAGTCTCGCTGTGTTGCCCAGGCTGGAGTGCAATGGCGCAATCTCAGCTCACTGCAACTTCCGCCTCCCGGGTTCAAGCAATTCTCCTGCCTCAGCCTCCCGAGTAGCTGGGATTACAGGCGCCCACCACCATGCCCGGCTAATTTTTGTATTTTCAGTAGAGGCAGAGTCTCACCATGTTGGTCAGGCTGGTCTCAACCTCCTGACCTCAGGTGATCCACCTGCCTCAGCCTCCCAAAGTGCTGGGATTACAGGCGTAAGCCACTGCGTGACAGGGAAGTTTTTTTTTAAATATAACTTTTCATTTAGGAAAACGTTCAAATATTGGATGCTATAACAAAATTCACCATAGTTTCCTGTATCAGTGATTTAAACATGTCTGTTTTTTAATGAACTCTCTTCTTGCTGCTGGAGATAGACTACAGTGAACTATTTCCAAACAGCCAGCCATGGTGAAGCTGACTGCAACGGAGCCTCAGGGAAGGCAATGAGGGTGAGGGAAGTGGGCAGAGGGGCCCCCATTCTGCAAGGCTTTGCAGCAAGGCTACCCAAGCTATCTTGAAAGATTCCGACTTTTTTGTTTTACATTTTATTAGAAGGCATTATGACAATGAAACATTACACTCAAAATATTACACTTAGATTTTCCTAGTGGTGAAAAGGCTTTGCAAAAAAAAAAAAACTTAATGAAAGATTATCTTCAAACAGATTATCTTCAAATAGGTGTAATATATTATTGGGGTTTTACAATTTTCAAGAGAAGTATTCGACAACTAGTGGTAGTTAAGTTCATGCACAAATACATTAAGCTGACAAACTTTTATTAGGATTTGAGTAAAGTTACTGATATATGCTGTAGATATATGAAACTATAAAATGAATCTTCTCTACAGAATCATTAGTGTGAGGCATGATATTAGTTTATTTATAATAATTGTCAAGCAAGCAACTCAGTGAATTACTGGTACTTCAATTCTGGACTTCAATTCTGAAGTCACTGAAATCCTGGACAGTAGTTCTGACCATTGATGTAAATAACTTTGCAGAATTATGGAGCAGGACTCATTAAGAAATAAGAGTAACATTCATTATGAAATAAGAAAGTATTGACTCATGTAGCAGAAAGTAATATAAGAGCAGGTGAAACAAGCATTAAACTTAAGAACATGTTTAAACAGTGCAAATTCCTTTGTATAATGATCTCTATTCACTACTTGATCTGGCATTTTCTTTTATCCTCTGAGCTATAGGACAGCATAATAACTTGTAAGCCTATCTCTTGAAATAGGCAAAAAGAACCAAACCAAGATGTAGTTTCTTAATCCTAATTTGCATAGTTTTCATTTTTCCAAGGCATTTTCATGGAAACATTGACAAAAAAAAAGGTGGATTTTTTTTATTTGATTGGATACCATTAAGAAATGCATTAGGGTTCATCCTCTAACCTAACAGTTTTTTTTTTTTTTTTTTTTCCTGAGACAGAGTCTCACTCTGTTGCCCAGACTGGCGTGAGGTGGCACAATCTTGGTTCACTGCAACCTCCACCTCCCGAGTTCAAGCGATTCTCCTGCCTTAGCCTCCCAAGTAGCTGGGATTACAGGTGCCCGCCAACATGCCCGGCTAATTTTTGTAGTTTTAGTAGAGACGGGGTTTCACCATGTGGGCCAGGCTGGTCTCGAACTCCTGACCTGAGGTGATCAGTCCGCCTCAGCCTCACAAAGTGCTGGGATTACAGGCATGAATCACCACACCCAGCAAACCTAACACTTTTAATTATACTTTACAATTCTGAAAGACTCTCTCAAGTGGATTTTGGACACTAACAAGAACACAACAAAATGATTTATTTTTTATTTTTTTATTTTTTGAGACAGGGTGTCACTCTGTAGCCCAGGCTGGAGTACAATGGTGTGATCTCGGCTCACTGCAACCTCAACCTCCCAGGTTCAAGTGATTCTCCTGCCTCAGCCTCCCGAGTAGCTGGCACTACAGGCATGTACCACCACACATGGCTAATTTTTGTATTTTTAGTATTTTTAATAGAGACAGGGTTTCACCATGTTGGCCAGGCTGGTCTCGATCTCCTAACCTCAGGTGATCTGCCCACCTCAGCCTCGCAAAGTGCTGGAATTAAAGGCGTGAGCCACTGCATCCGGCCACAACAAAATAATTTCAATAAAACATTTTCACATATGAAAAGTTAGTTTTAGAATTGCATTTAATGACTCTTTATATCCAGAAGGCATTTAAAAATAATAAATAAAGACATTTTAAGAAGGGCAAAAACCTAGCAGAAAACAGTTTTCTCTTCTAGCTAGTCTGTGCTGGAAGACTGGGTAGAAATGATGCATTTTATCATTATCATCTGAATGTAACAGATGGAAGCCAGCTATGGATAAATCTACAACTCCAACAAAGACTGGAACAATTTATCTCATCAAAATTAAGCACTTCATTTTCAGTGAGTTGAAGAATCACAACATGATTCTCATCTTAAAATTATACAGTTCAATGTGATTCATACTTCACAGTGACAATAAAGGCAAACATAAGACTATTCTACTAAAGCAGAATTTTTGAAAATCAGAGTTTTAACCAAAAGTTTAAATTAACTTCCAAACTTATTTGCTCTTATGAGTAAATTTTGATGCTGGAAGCAAATATTTTAGTGGTAAGTATGAATGCGAAGGCTACAAAACGAAATTGTAGGCTTCCTACTAGTGGCAACAGATTGTAGGCTACTCGTGCCTACTAGTGGCAACCCATTAGGAAATGAGCTCATGGACTTTCTTCCAGGTAAGATCAAAGAAGTCAGTGTGCTTACTACCCTCATCTTGCACATGACTTTCCCCTCACTTTATTCACGCTTCTATTCAAATACTTCTTTCCAAAGGCAGCTCTTCCCTGACCTCTACATCCAGCTTTAGTGTTCATCATAGCACTTAGCTCGATTTACACTTTGTATTTCTTTAAATACTGTATGTCATTTCTATTAAACGTAGGCTGTATATGAGCAGTGACTGAGTTCAATTCTGTATCCCAATCACCTTAGATAGGTGTTCATCAAATATTTGTTGAAAGAAGGAAGAAAAGAGGGCAGGAAGGAAGGAAGGAGGGAGGGAAGGAAAGAAAGAAGGGATGGAGGGTGGGGGAAAGAAACAGGGAAAAGGAGGAAGAAAAGGGAGGGAAGAGGGGAGAGAGGGAAGAAGGAAGCAAGCAATGGTCAGTGGCTTGGAGGCATCTGCCTAAACACATGCACTGTGGCTAAGGAAAAAGGAGAAAGCAAGAACACTACAAGCAGCTGTCCCAGGTGCTGCCCTCAGGTCACTGAACTTACAGAGCATAAAGATACAGGGAGCATTGGCTGCCCTTGGTGTCAGCTGCGCTCAGCACACTTTAGTTTGTGAGCTTGCTCCTCTTCTCTATCTCTAGCTTTGAGGCAGCCCTGAGAACGATGGTCACTTTCTTCTCCTCCTTATTTCCTTTTATTTCAAAACTAGAACGGGGAGGCATAGAACTTGAAGGAGGACATAGCTGAGATCTGTGCAAATAGGAACTCTGTAGCTTGGTGCCCACATCCGAATGGATGCATAGAGCAAAGCCTGAACCACACTGAGGACTAGAGCAGGTAGATTAGGATATCAGTGGATGGACAGCAAAACGGGAGCAGACAATGAATAAGATCCCTTCCAAGTGGGAGCTTCTCTTTGTGACTCTGGGAAAGCTGATAGGGCAGCAGCTGCACCCTTACCACTCAGCAACCCCCAAAGGAGAAACATCAGGGGTGGGTTACCCTCCAGCAGTGCTTTACTGCTCAGATTTAGGAAGGTGAGAAACCTGCTGCCCAGTCATAGGACTGCAGCATGCCAGGGACCCTCCAGAAGCAATATGCTTTTAATCACAGATGAAAAGTACTTAATAGTTACTGAACTACATAAAAACAATGACAACCGATCCAAGGAGAGAAGTTAACTCTGTTAAGCCAACCAAGTGACACAAGGTTTTGCCTGGAGGAAAGAAAACAGAGAAACAAGCTGTGATCTTCCTTTTTTGTAGCAAGTGCTTTGAATCTCCTTGGAGAAGGAAGTCCACAGAGAACAATTTGATTTCTAAGTGAGTAATAATTAGATGCTCTAAGTTTTCAATTTGATAAAGCTACAAACATCCTGGCATTTCTTCTCCACTGCACCCCAACCCACAATATGGGGGTATAAAGCCTTTGGGATCCTCTCACTGGAGAAGTCCATATCTGAGATACCTCATTTTACATCATAAAGCTTTGAGGAAATTATATCATGTTTAAAAACTTTTTAAAAGAAGGCGCCACATGATGTTATAATATTGGGTAGCATTTTACCACCAAGTAGTGATGGGGTCAGAACAAGTCATCCCAAAATATGCCACTTTGATGTATTATTTTGAGCTAAAAGAAACTGAGAACCAGTCAATGCAGAAAAAGCACTTCGCCTCCCCATCTGCTTAAAGTATAATTTCCCATTTGTAAAGGACATTTTTATTAGTAAATGTATCTATCTTTGCCAGAAAGAGAGTTACTCATAGATAACTTTTTCTCACTGGAGAGACTTTTATCTGCATAGCAAGGTAACCTTTATTCACCACACATTTCCTCCTCTCGCCTTCCCACAATTCATCTCTACCACTCCCCAGTACCCCCAAATCCTTATTCCTATTCCTTACTCTAGCTTAAGATAGTATCTGTCTCAATCATCTGGCTGCTTCCTGGAGTCTCATATTTTGGTGGGACTCCTGTGCATATGTGAGTAATTAAATATTTTTTCTCCTTTTAATCTGTCTAATGTCAATTTAATTCATAGACCAGCCAAAAAACCTCAAAGGGTACACAGAAGCAATTTTCCCTCTCCTACAGTAGTTTCCCCCCTGATAAAATATATGAAGAAAACAAAATCCTTGCCATTATTATTTCACCTTATATCACTTCTGTCTGAAGATTACTTGTTCTTCCCTTTTATATGCTCAATAGGCAGATTTTTTTTCCCTTTTCTTTAGAGTTGTGCATTTTTAGATTGTCCGGTCCTTGCAAGTGACAGTTAGTGAATATGAAAGCTCTAATGTTATATTTATTAAAGGTACATAGCACCAAACTATTACTTAGAAATGAATTAATTTTCAAAGGTTTTAAAATATCTAACCTAATAAAATTTCCCTTACTTGTAAGTATACTAATGTCTTTGAATATGCAAATGTTTAAATACTAAAAATATAAGCAAAATATGGAATTAAAATACGCAGGCCAGGCACGGTGGCTCATGCCTGTAATACCAGCAATTTGGGAGGCCGAGGTGGGTGGATTCACTGGAAGTCAGGAGTTTGAGACCAGCCTGGCCAACATGGCTAAACTACGTCGCTACTAAAAATACCAAAAATTAGCCAGGCCTGGTGGTGCACGCCTGTCATCCCAGCTACTCAGGAAGCTGAGGAAGGAGAATCACTTGAACCTGAAAGCAGAGGTTGCAGTGAGCCAAGATCGCACCACTGCACTCCAGTCTGGGCGACAGAGTGAGACTCTGTCTCAAAAAAAATAAATGAAATAAATAAATAAATAAAGTGTTATTCTAATCAGCTCTTAAGGTGGTGGTAGTAATTTTTATTGTTATATGTGCAAAAAAAATTCACCAAAATTTGTGGGTAGATTAGCAGTTACTAATGTTAAAGTGCAGGGTCTACAGCTGAAGTTCTCCTTGTGTTTTTTACTTGTTTATGTACATTAAAAAGAAAACATATGATCACAGATAGATTTTCCAAGAGAGGAAAATTACGCATAATCCCCACTCAATATAACTTCTAATACTCAAAGGTCTTCATATTCAAAATTCCCTCAAAACATATGTGGCTTCAAATTGTGGGGTGCATAACTGAAAATAATCATTTTACATTATAATTTGACATTTAAGTCATGTAAAATGATTTAAAAATCAGACCAAGTGTAAAATAAATTCCAATTCCAAATGACATAATCCTATTACCGTAATGAAATAAATCCCTAACCTGATGGTCCCTGTATTTCTAATTTGTCTTTGGTAAATATACTTGAACTGAACCTAACCAGGAATTTAACATCATAAACCTACCAAACAGATTCAAAGATAACACAAAATTTGTGTTTACTGAACATCATCCAAATATTTCTTCTTCTAAGAAAAGCACTGTGTAAAATAATTTGAACCACCAGAACATATAAATATTATAAAAGTACTCAACCTTGTCTTTTCATCTTTATATCCTCCTTGAATAGTACAGAGGCTGGCATATTGTTATTGTTTAATAAGCATTGAATAAGTAAACCAGTATTATTCTCTTTGGGGTTCTATCCTTAACATAAACAAATGTGAAGACGCAAATTAGAAAACCAACATATTCAACTACGCTGCTATTCAGCCATATGATGTAATTCTAACATATTTTTTCCAGAAACATTCTGAGGCACTGCTTTGTAAATTCATGCCTAAGTGTAAGGGTAAGTGTAGGAGAAGTGGGGTGTTGGGAAACTTTATCCTCAAAAACCCCAGAAACCAAGTTAGATAAGATCTTAAGATAGTTGGCTTAAAAATAAAAACATAATATTTTTACTTTAAAATTTTACTTTTTAAGGAAAAATAACTGCTACTGCTGGCCTTAATTATTACTATTATTTTGCCGGGACAGGTGGCCAATAGGGGAATTTAAGTCTTTCATTTTCAAGTATACAAGCTTAGTGTTCCATTACCCAGTCTACACAAGACACAGGACTATAAGCTCAAGTCACAGAAACTACTGGAAGTCTATCAAAGACATAAAGAAATAAGAAAGGCAACAAGAATTTTAAATATAGGACGGGCTAGAAAAAAATATGTAGATTAGGTTATGCTTTTCTAGAAAACTGCATTAATTTGTTCACATTAAAACTTTGTCTAACACTATTTTGTTTTGCATGGCATTTAGAATGAGGTAAATATACAATAGAACAAACAAGAAAGTTAATAAAGCAATAGAGAGAATTTGTAATTAAGACTGTTAACCTCTAGCAAACTTCTATGGCCTGTAACCCAGAGAAAGATTAGAAATGACTACAATATACCAAATAAGCTTCACAGATGAACAGGAAGACTTTGTGTCAAAAAAAACATTTTTTAAGCAGAGCCTTCCATCTAAAAACAATATATACTACTTATAAATAAAATAAACCAGCATTTTTTACTTTCGTTTGATGTAAATTTGTTAATTGTTATATGAGGAAAACAGGTATTCAAAAGCCAATATCACCTTAATTTATGTTCCAGGTGAAGATAAGAGTTGTAGTTCTAAAATTTCTTTAAGGTTGTAATATCTATATCTGAAAGGTGACATCAATTTTTTTATTTTATTTTTTCCTTCCCAAAGGCGGTGTCAAGGGGACATCAATTCTATTGTGGAAGCAACTTCTCTGTTGTAAAATCCATGTAACGCACTGGAAAGTTCTTTTCTCTTTGGTCAACAGACACTTGTCTCATGTTTAGTGTGGATTTTTTTTTTCTAATTACCACAGTTACAGCAAAGTCTTACCCAAAAATTTAATTTGTAATTATCGCAGGTATGTAAAGCAGTTTGAGAGCATCAAATTCAATCTAAAATTGCTAGAAAACTTGTTACAGTTTAATAAACAATTACTTTAAATGTACATTTTTAGTGTTCCTGAATAATGCAGGTTTCTGTTAAATTTTAGAAAATCATTTGTAACAAAACCACGAACATACTATTATTTTGTTTGATTAGTGTCAACAGAAGGTAGAGATAGTATTCCCTCAAAAGAGTTTAACAGAGAAGAATGTAATGAAAGAACTCTGCACTCTCTGTGGACAGGGTTTAAGGTAACCTCAAGGGATGAAAAGGCACCCAGGGGCTGACAATAGCAGGAAACCATGAACTCTTTTAGGCTAGAAGGGGAAGGGGAAGGAAACAGTATTAACCAGATCCAGCAACAGATGGAGCTATTGAAGTGGTACTGCCTAAAAGGATCTGTGGCTTAGGAACCCACTGCCATAGCCAGACCACATACCTAAACTCACTGTCTCCCTACCCTCCAGACTCCTGCTGGGAACCACACTGGCTGATCCCCATCAGAAGCCAGAGGGCAAGGGAATCTGGGAAATGCAGTGTGGAGGGTCAGACTCAGAGCACAGGGCAGTGACGGACGAGGAAGAGCAGGGTATGGAGGAGCCAGGTGGGCAGGTTGTGGTAGGACATCAAACAGAGAATGTTCAGGTCTCCACCCAACTTATGTCAAATAGTGATCTGAATCAGCATGACAGACTATTTTTAGAGTTCTTGTTTAAATCAGTTTCAAAATTTTTATAAAGTGTAAAAGTAGGACAGCAAAATTAAGTCCTTAACGTTTTTGAAATTTAGGAAGAAATGATGGTTAGCACAAATCAGAATTAGTTGTAAAGTAAATACTAAGTATTGAAACAGAAGGCAAATGTCTTGACAAGAAAAAATTGAAAACAGAAATGAGCAAGGGGCATTAAAAACGTAAAATAAAGAAACTTATAGAACAGACCAAACCCTAGCAGGAAAAATAGTATTCTCCCCTGGATAATAGGTAGTGGAAGGCTGGGTAGAAATAAGGTTTATTTTGCTGCATTTAATCATTATTGGTCTCAATGTAACAGATGGAAGGTGGCATTAGATAATTTTAAACAGACAGCAGATTGGAACAATTTATTTCACCAATACTAGGTGCTTTGTTATACAGCGAGTTGAGAGGTTGAGGTTGCTAAATGATTCTTTTTTCTTTTTTTTTTTTTTTTGAGATGGAGTTTTGCTCTTGTTGCCCAAGCTGGAGTACAATGGTGCGATCTCCGCTCACTGCAACCTCTGCCTCCCGGGTTCAAGTGATTCTCCTACCTCAGCCTCCTGAGTAGCTGGGATTACAGGCGCACGCCACCACTCCTGGCTAATTTTCTGTATTTTTAGTAGAAACGGGGTTTCACCAAGTTAGCCAGGCTGGTCTCGAACTCCTGACCTCAGGTGATCCGCCTGCCTCGGCCTCCCAAAGTGCTGGGATTACAGGCGTGAGCCACCACGCCCAGCCATGATTCTCATTCTTAATGGTGTACATTTTGAAGTGATTCATACTTCACAGTAAGGATAAAGGCAACGATAAGATTGTTCTACTAAAGCACAAGAAAACAATATCACCGTATTAACCAGAAGTTTAAAATTTAATCTCATTCTATGTTCTCTATTGAGTAAACTTCTATCCTGGAAGCAAATATTTTAGTGATGAGTATGAAGGGGAGGACTACAAAACAAAATGGTGTGCTTATTAATGGTTACAGATAAATCAACCCATGAGAAAATGGGCTCATGCACTTTTCTTCACATAAGATGACAGAAGGAAATACCATTTCTATGGCCTCTGCCTGTTCATAGGTTCCCCCTTATCCTACAAGACTAATAAAGAGAAAAAGCAGAAGATTCAAATAAACACAATCAGAAATGTTAAGGGGGATACCACCACTGACACCACAGAAATACAAACAACCATCAGAGAATACTATAAACACCTCTATGCAAATAAACTAGAAAATCTAGAAGAAATGGGTACATTCCTGGACACATACACCCTTCTCAAGACTGAACCAGGAAGAAGTTGAACCCCTGAATAGACAATGAGTTCTGAAATTGAGGCAGTAATGAACAGCCTACCAACCAAAAACAGCCCAGATCCTGATGGATTTACAGCTGAATTCTACCAGAAGTACAAAGAAGAGCTGGTACCATTTCTTCTGAAATGATTCCAAACAATTGAAAAGGAGGGACCCCTCCCTAACTCATTCTATGAGGACAGCATCATCCCGATACCAAAACCTGGCAGAGATGCAACAAAAAAAAGAAAACTTCAGGCCAATATCCCTGATGAACATCGATACAAAAATCCTCAATAAAATACTGGCAAGCCAAAACCAGCAGCACATCAAAAAGCTTATCCATCCCAATCAAGATGGCTTTATCCCCAGGATGCAAGGGTTGGTTCAACATACACAAATCAATAAATGTGATTCATCGCATAAACAGAACTAAAGACAAAAACCATATAATTATCTCAATAGATGCAAAAAACACCTTTGATAAAATTCAACATCGCTTCATGTTAAAAACTCTTAATAAACTAAATATTGAAGGAACACACTTCAAAATAATAAGAGCCATTTATGACAAACCCACAGCCAATAGCATACTGAATGGGCAAAAGCTGGAAGCATTCCCCTTGAAAACCAGCACAAGACAAGGATGCCCTCTCTCACCACTCCTATTCAACATAGTGTTGGAAGTCCTAGCCAGGTCAATCAGGCAAGAGAAAGAAATAAAGTGTATTCAAATAGGAAGAGAGGAGATCAAATTGTCTTTGTTTGCAGATGACATGACCCTTTACCTAGAAAACCCCATTGACTCAGCCCAAAAGCTTCTTAAGTTGATAAGCAACTTCAGCAAAGTCTGAGGATGCAAAATCAATGTGCAGAAATCACAAGCATTCCTATATACCAACAATAGACAAGCAGAGAGCCAAATCATGAATGAACTCCCATTCACAACTGCCACAAAGAAAATAAAATGCCTAGGAATACAGCTAACAAGGGAAGTGAAGGACCTCTTCAATGAGAACTACAAACCTCTGCTCAAGGAAATCAGAGAGGACACAAGCAGATGGATAGGAAGAATCAATATCGTAAAAATGGCCATACTGCCCAAAACAATTTATAGATTCAGTGCTACTCCCATTAAATTACCATTGACATTCTTCACAGAATTAGAAAAAAGTATTTTAAAATTCATATGGAACCAAAAAAGAGCTCGCATAGCCAAGACAATCCTAAGCAAAAAGAACAAAGCTGGAGGAATCATGCTACCTGACTTCAAACTATACTACAAGGTTACAGTAATCAAAACAGCATGGTACTGGTATTTTTAAAATAGACACATAAACCAATGGAACAGAATACATAACTCGGAAATGAAACTCATATCTACAACTGTCTGATCTTTGACAAACCTGACAAAAACAAGCAATGGGGAAAGGACTCCCTATTTAATAAATGGTGCTGAGAGAAATGGTTAGCCATATGTAGAAAATTGAAACTGGATCCCTTCCTTACACCCTATAAAAGTTAACTCAAGATGGATTAAAGACTTAAATGTAAAACCCAGAACTATAAAAACCCTAGAAGAAAATCTAGGCAATACTATTTAGGACACAGGCATAGGCAAAGATTTTATGATGAAATTGCCAAAGGCAACTGCAACAAAAGCAAAAATTGACAAATGGGATCTAATTAAACTAAAGAGCTTCTGCACAGCAAATGAAACTATCATCAGAGGAAACAGACAACCTACAGAATAGAAGAAAATTTTTGCAATCTATCCATCTGACAAAGGTCTAATATCCAGAATCTACAAGGAACTTAAGAAAATTTACAAGAAAAAAACAAACAATCCCATCAAAAAGTGGGCAAAGGATATGAACAGACACTTCTCAAAAAAAGACATACATGCCGCCAACAAACATATGAAAAAAAGCTCAACATCACTGATCACTAGAGAAATGCAAATCAAAACCACAATGAGATACCATCTCACACCAGTCAGAATGGAAATTATTAAAAAATCAAGAAACAACAGATGCTGGCAGTATTGAGGCGAAATAGGAAAGCTTTTATACTGTTGGTGGGAATTTAAATTAGTTCAACCTTTGTGGAAGACAGTATGGCAATTTCTCAAAGATTTAGAACCGAAAATACCATTTGACCCAGCAATCCCATTACTGGGTATATACCCAAAGGATTATAAATCATTCTGTTATAAAGACATATACATACGTATGTTCACTGCAGCACTATTCACAATAGCAAAGACATGGAATCAACCCAAATGCCCATCAATAACAGACTGGATAAAGAAAGTGTGGTACATATACACCATGGAATACTATGCAGCCATAAAAAGGAACAAGATCATGTCCTTTGCAGGGCAATGGATGAAGCTGGAAGCCATTATCCTCAACAAACTAACGCAGGAACAGAAAACCAAACACTGCATGTTCTCTTATAAGTGGGAGGTGAACAATGAGAACACATGGAGACAGGGAGGGGAACAACATTCACTGGGGCCTGTTGGGGGAGGGTGGGCCAGGGGGAGAACATTAGGGAAAAGAGCTAATGCGTGCTGGGCTTAATACCTAGGTGATGGGTTGACAGGTACAGCAAACCACCATGGTACACGTTTGCCTATGTAACAAAATGCACATCCTACACATATACTCTGGAACTAATAAAAACCTACATATTGGCTACGACACACTACTCAGGTTATGGGTGCATTAAAATCTCAGAATTCACCACTATAGAATTCATCCATGTAACCAAAAACCACTTGTACCCAAAAGCTATTGAAATTTTTAAAAATATTAAAAATAAAAATGAAGTTAAGGTATAAGGTCTACAGTTGCAGCTCTCACTGTGCTTTTTGTTTGTGTACATTATAGAATAAAATGTAATTGCAGAGTGTTTCAGGAAAGAAAAATCACCCATAGTCCCTCACTTTTATATTGCTTTTAAAACTTTGAGGTCTTCATGTATAAAATTTTCTCAAAGTAAATATTTCTTCAAATTAATATTTTTACTTTGGAGTACATAATTTTATTCTATAATTTGGCATCTAAAACATGTACAATGATTGACAATCAAATGAATGTTCTCATATATAACAAAAATTCAGATGCTAAATGACAAAATTATCTTACCATAATAAATAAAATCCTAACCCAATGGCCCCATATTGCTAATTTGTCTTCAGTAAATATACTTGAACTGAACCTACCCATGAACTTAAACTGACATCACTAATTTTTCATACACACAAAGAAAACACCAAATTTGTGTTTATTGAACATAATCTAAATTGTTCTTCTTCCAAGGAAAGCACTATGTGATATAATTTGAAACACTTCAGAACATTTAATTATTATAGAACTTCTGAACCTTGTGTTTTTATCTTTATAACCTTATTGACTAGCACAGGGCCTGGCATATTGTCAGGGCTTTAAAAAGTGTTGAGTAAATAAATTAGTATTACAATATTCTATTTGGGGTTCTATCCATAACATAAACATGTCTGATTACACCTCTAGACAGCATTCTAATGTTGTTCTTACAAATTTTTCAAAAAAAAAAAAATTCTGAAGCATTGCTTTGCAAATCCACACCTAAAGTGATAACTCAAGAACAGGAGAAGTGGAGAATTTGGAGACTTTACCCTAAAAACCCTAGGAACCAAGTTAGATAGGATCTTGAAATAATTGGCTTAAAAATAGTAACATTTGACCTTAAAACCATAATTTTAAAAGAAAAGCAAAATGCTATTGCCACTCTTAATTGCATCTGTAACTATGTGTGTGTGTGTCTGTGTGTGTATGACTGATATTAGCATTTAATGCTGCCATTTTCAAGTACTACTACAAAGGTTTAGTGTTTCATTGCCTAATCTGTATATAGACAACTCTATTGTAAGTCCAGGACATGGAATTTAACAGAAGCCCACCAAAGACATGTAGAAATTTTCTCTGAGGGAATAACTGGTCTAAATTTGGAGGGGCAAGAAAAAAAGTTTTATTTTAGATTATATTTTGCTATAAAATCATATTATCTTGTTCACACTGAAAGTGGCTTTCGAACTGTGAAATGGGCAGAGGTTGGAAGAGTGTGGAGGGCTCAGAGGAAGACAGAAGGATGACGGAAAGTTGGATCTTCCTAGAGACTTGCTGAATGGTTGTGACCCAAATGCTGATAGTGATATGGACAGAGATGGCCAGGTGGATGAGGTCTCAGATGGAAATGAAAAACCTATGGGAAGCGGAGCAGTCACTTCTCTTAAGCTTTAGCAAAGAGCCTGGCTGCACTGTGCCCCTGCCAAGGGATATGCGCAACTTCGAGCTTGAGAGTGATGATTTACGGTATCTGGTGGAAGAAATTTCTAACCAGCAAAACATTTGAGATGTAGACTGGCTGCTTCTAGCAGCCTAGGCTCATATGCACAAGCAAAGAAATGACCTAAAACTGGAACTTATATTTAAAAGGGAGCATAAAAGTTTACAAAATTTGTAGCATAGCCATGTGGTAGAAAAGAAAAGCCCATTTCTGGGTGAAGAATTCAAGCAGGCTGCATCAATTTGCATAAGTAAAGAGGAGCCAAGTCTAATAGTCAAGACAATAAAGAAAAGGCCTTGAAGACATTTCAGAGACCTTTGCAGCAGCCCCTCCCATCACAGGCCCAGAGGCCTAAGAGGACAGAATGGTTTCCTGGGCCAGGCCCAGAGCCCCACTTCCCTGCACAGCCTTGGGACACTGTTCCCCCACATCACAGTCACTCCAGCTCCAGCTTCAGGTCAGATACAGCTCAGATACAGATACAGCTCTGGTCACTGCTTCAGAGGGTGCAAGCTGTAAGTCTTGGCAGCTTCCATGTGATGCTAAGCCTGTGAGTATGCAGCGGATAAGAGTTGAGGCTTGGGAGCCTCTTCCTAGATTTTGGAGGATGTATGGAAAAGTCTGGATGTCCAGGCAGAAGCCTGCTGCAGGGGGAGATTCCTCATGGAGAACCTCTATTAGAGCAGTACAGAGGGGAAATATGGGGTTGAAGCCCCCACAAAGATTCCACTGGGGCACTGTGATGGTTAATACTGAGTGTCAACTTGATTGGATTGAAGGATGCAAAGTATTAATCCTGGGTATATCTGTGAGGGTGTTGCCAAAGGAGATTAACATTTAAGTCAGTGGGTTGGGGAAGGCAGATCTACCCTTAATCTGGATGGGCACCATCTAATCAGCTGCCAGTGAATATAAAGCAGGCAGAAAGACGTGAAAAGGTTAGACTGGCGTAGCCTCCTGGCCTACATCTTTCTCCCGTGCTGGATGCTTCCTGACCTTGAACATCGGACTCCGAGTTCTTCAATTTTGGAACTCGGACTGGCTATCCTTGCTCCTTAGCCTGCAGATGGCCTATTGTGGGATCTTGTGATCGTGTGAGTTAATACTTAATAAACTCCCCTTTATATATATACCCAGAGTGGTAGATCCACTGACAGCTCAGACCCTGCTCCTGGAAAAGCCACAGACACTCAACACCAGCCCATGAGAGCAGTTGTGGGGGCTGAACCTTGCAAAGCCACAGGGATGGAGCTGCCCAAAGCCTTGGGAGCCCATCCCTCACACCAGTGTGCGCTGGATGTGGGACATGAAGTCCAAGAAGATCAGTTTGGAGCTTTAAGGTTTAATGACTGCCCTGCTGGGTTTTAGATGCATGGGGCCTGTAGCCCCTTTATTTTGGCCAAATTCTCCTATTTGGAATGAGAGTGTTTACCCAGTGTATCTTGGAATACCTCCAATGTATCTTGGAATAATGAAATTCTAACTTTTTTTTCCAGAAACATTCTAAGGCATGGCTTTTCAAATTCTTATCTAAGAACAAGCATAGGAGAAGTGGGACCTGGAGAAATTTTTACCTTTAAAAACCCTAGAAACCAAGCATATAAGATGATAAAATGATTGCTTTTAAAATAATAAAATAATATTTTGACTTTAAAACTTTATTTTTAAAAGCAAGAAAAATTGCTATTACTGGCCTTAATTGTACCTATTCATTTTTCTATTTGTGACTGAAATAAGCATTTAAGGTGATCATTTTCAAGTATAAAAGTTTACACTACATTATACAATCTGTGCAATCAACCTCACTATAAACTCAAGACATAGAAATTAACAGAAGTGGGTGGGCACAGTGGCTCATGCCTGTAATCCCGGCACTTTGGGAGGCTGAGTCAAGTGGATCACTTGAGGTCAGGAGTTTAAGACCAGCCTAGGCAACATGGTGAAACCCCCATCTATACTAAAAAAAAGTTCAAAAATTAGCTGACATGCTCACTTGAACCCAGGAGGCAGAGGTTGCAGTGAGCAGTGGGCCAAGATCGTGCCACTGCACATCAGCCTGGGTAACAGAGCAAGACTCTGTCTCAAAAAAAAAAAAAAAGGAAAAAGAAAGAAAAAAGAAAAAGAAATTAACAGAAGTCACCAAAATCATGTTGAAATCATAATTAAGGCAATAAGCAGTTTAAGCAGGCAGGGTTGGGAAAATTATGTTTTAGATTATGCTTCTCTATAAAAAATGAATTAATTTGTTCATACTGAAACTTTGTCTAACACTATTGTCTGTTGCATAGCTCTTGGAATAAGGCAGATCCACAGTAGAAAATTAAAACGTTTCACTTCTAGTACAGGTTTATGGCCTGTACCACAGAGAAAGATTAGAAATGGCATCAGTATATCAAATAAGCGTTTACAAATGAACAATAAAATTTTGTCTCCATTTTTTAAAGCACAGCCTTTTACCTTGAGACCAATACACAACACTCTAGATGAAATAAATCAGCATTATTTACTTCAGCTTGATATAATATTAATTGTTATATGGCTAAACAAAATGGGTATTTGTATGATAATATTTAGCTTAACTTACTCTCTGGTTATGTATATAATGAAACTAGAGATGAAAGAAAAAATGGAGTAGTCATCATGAGCAAATAAGAGAAAAGAAAGCAGACAAGAAAAGATGGAAACAGGCCAGTTGCGGTGACTCACGCCTGTAATCCCAACACTTTGGGAGGCCGAGGCAGGTGGACCACCTGAGGTCGGGAGTTTGAGATCAGCCTGGCCAATATGGTGAAACCCCGTCTCTACTAAAAATACAAAAATTAGCCGGGCCACAGTGGCATGCGTCTATAATTCCAGCTACTCAGGAGGCTGAGGCAGGAGAATCACTTGAACCTGGGAGGCAGAGGTTGCAGCGAGCCAAGGTTATGCCACTGCACTCCAGCCTGGGAGACAGAGCAAGACCCTGTTTCAAAAAAAAAAAAAAAGAAAAGAAAAGAAAAGAGGGAAACACTATTGAGCATCTACTCTGCTACATGAACCAATTCTTGGGTATCCTTCTCCCCATCTTAGAGATGAAGAAGCCAGACTCAGAGAGCCTGTGTCACTTATCCATGGTTACTGAACCAGTAAGTGATAGAGTCAGGTTCGGACACAGGTATATGTGACTCCAAAGCCTGTGAACCTGCAAGTGCACACAAAGAAGAATGAATCCACAGCCCTCAGTAGCCATACCATGACGTTAAGCCACTGCTAACACATCCTCTTGCTGGCTAGGTAAGAAATCCAACT
Organism: Homo sapiens; assembly: GCF_000001405.40. Taxonomy (NCBI): domain Eukaryota; kingdom Metazoa; phylum Chordata; class Mammalia; order Primates; family Hominidae; genus Homo; species Homo sapiens. The sequence goes on from NC_000009.12 coordinate 5,411,704, forward strand.
ATAAGAATATATTTCCAATTACTGACAAGATATTACAGTTTTAAATTTAACTTAAAATTTCATTTTTTCTTTAGTTTAGCCTACAGTTTATTTATAAGCTTCTGGAAGACATTAAAATAGACTTAAACAAATGGAAAAACATTTCCTATTCTTGAATAAAATGACTCAATAGTTCTTCACAAATAAACTTATAAGTTAATACAATCCCAATGAAAAATATCAACAGACTATTTTATACTTGGGCATGTTGATACCAAAATTTCTGTGGAAAATCAAACATGAAAGATTATCCAAGAAAACATTGAAAAAGAAAAACTACAATGGTATAGTAGCCTCAACAAGCATTAAACCATACTAAAAAGTGTCTATAATTAAAACATTACAATACTAGTACATGACTAGACAAACTGACCAGTGAATTAGAGTGTCCAGAAACAAATGCAAGTACATACAGAGACTTAGTATGTGATACAGGTAGTATCTCAACTCACTGGGGGTAAAGATAGACTTCTTAATAAGTGGTATAGGTACCACAAGGTAGCCGTCTGAAAAAGATAAAACTAGATCCCTATCTCATATCATATATGAGAATAAACCCCAAATGGATTTGGAATCTAAATGTCAATAAATGAAGCTATACAAGTTGCTATGGTTTGAATGTGTCCCCCCAAAGTTCATGTGTGGGAAACTTAATCCTTTATCCTCATGAATGAATAAATGCTGGCTCTGCCCTCATGAATAAATTAATGTCCCTATCATGAGAGTAGGTTTGTTATCATGGCTTTGTTATAAAACCAAGCTTTCTTGGGCTTGCTTGCTCTGTCTTATCATATGATGCTTCCCGCCATGTCCTGATGCAGAAGGAAGGAGACTTCCCAGCCTCTAGAACCATGAGCTAAATCAATCTCTATTCTTTATAAATCACCCAGTCTGTATATTGGATTATAGCAACAGAAAATGAACGAAGACAAAAGTACCACAGGAAACAAGGATAACTGTGGTATAGGGAAAAGCTTTCTACATCAAGAATCAAAATGTAGAGTAAATAAAATATTGGTAACTTGACCACATAAAACTAAACTTTTTTTCATGGTGTAAAAATTTTTAAACCACCGTAAACAAGTGACAATCTGAGATAAAATATTAGGAAGATATATCCATAGACAAGAGGCCAATACTCCTAATATTCAAAGAACACTTGAGGGACAGTAGACAAGAGACCAATAAACAGAAAATTCACAAAAAAAACAAGATATATAAATGGCCCTCAAATGTGAGAAAATGTTCAAACTCACTCATAATTAAAGAAAAGCAAATTAAAGCAAGACTGAGATACCACTTCTTGCTTGTCAGGCTAGCAAAAACTAAAAAGCAAGACAACATACTTTGTTGGTGAGACTTTGGGAAAATAGCCACTTTCAAATTGATAAACCCTTCTGAAGAGAAACGTAGCAATATCTAACAAGTACTTGCCTTTAACTCAGCAATCTCAACTCTAAAAATCTACCCTGAAGATACACCTCTAACAATATAAAAATATGAAAGAACAAAGTTATTCATTGAAGCACTGTTTGTAATAGCAAAATATTGGAAATAACCTAAGTACCTGGGGTGGGCAGAATAATGGGACCTCAGAGAAGCCCATGTCTAATCCTCAGAACCTGTGAATGTATCTCCTTACGTGGCAAAAAAGGACTTTGTAGATCTGACTCAGCTCAGGATTTTAAGATAGGAAAAGAAGAGTATCCTGTATTATCCAGGCCCAGTGTAATCACAAGGGTCCTAAAAGTGAAAGATGGAGGCAAGAGAGTCAGAATTAGAGAGAAATGAAGATGCCATGCTGCTAGCTTAAATGTGGAGGAAGGGCCCATGAGCCAAGGAATGCAGGCAGCCTCTAGAAACTAAAAAAGGCAAGGAAAGAGGTTTTCTCCTAGACCCTCCAGAAGAAATGCAGCCCCCCTCACATCTTGATTTTTATCCATTGAGAACCATTTCAAACTTCTGGCCTTCAGAAATATAAGATAAACAATTTTATGTTGTTTTAAATCACTAAGTTTGTGATAATTTGTTATAGCAATAGAAAACTAATACAGTGTACATACATCATTTGAATAAATTTTGATATAGCTACACAATAAAATTCTATGCAACCATTTTTTTAAATGATAAAGATCTCTATGAATTGATTTGGAGTGGTTTCCAGGATATACTGCTAAATGAAAAATGCAAAGTAAACAATGTATCAATGATATGCTACCCTTCACACATGAGAGAAGGGGGCATAAGAAAATACTCATATAGCTATTAACTGTACCAAATCAATGTAGGAAGGACAAACCAAAGATTTATCTTGGTTAAGAGATTAAACACCTATAGAGGAAGGGTGGGAACAGGGTATTATAAAGAGGAGGGGGAATGGGAATGAGTTAATAGGGAGAAAGAGGAAGAACATTTCTTGGAGTGTATCTTTTTTGTTTGTTTAAGACGGAGTCTCACTCTGTCACCCAGGCTGGAGTGCAATGGTGCAATCTCGCCTCACTGCAACTTCCGCTTCCCAGATCCAAGCGATTCTGCTGCCTCAGCCTCCCAAGTAGCTGGTATTACAGGCACCTGCCACCACACCCAGCTAATTTTTGTATTTTTAGTAGAGACGGAGGTTTCACCATGTTGGGCAGGCTGGTCTCAAATTCCTGACTCCAGGTGATCTGCCTACCTCGGCCTCCCAAAGTGGTGGGATTACAGGCATGAGCTACCGTGAATGTATCTTTTTTATATAGCTTTGACTATTAGAACCATAGCAATGTTTCATATACTCCTCAGCACTATAATTAATTAAAACCAACCAGATGTGGAGAGAATATAAATTATAACAAATAAATCCAACTGCATTACAAGTCAATAAACTAACACTGAAGGAGCCGGGAGAAACTAACCTTACTAACTTAGGAAAACAATATTTTGACTGGATACTGTGAAGACAAAAGGAACATGCAAATAACGTCCTCTGGTTATCGAATCTGTTTCTCACAGGGGTACGTACTGGCAATTCTAAAACTATTTTACATGTCTACTGGGATTGAAGTGAATATAGTGTAAGTGTCCCAGTACCTGAGGAAAAAAAACTTATGAATGAAGAAAGGGGAAGAGCTAGAATGAAATGTGTCACACTGGATTGGAAATAGAAGTGTCAATATGAACTTCTGGTTTAGAAAATATACACAGATAGGTAGATATAGAAATAAATACAGATGTGTGTCTATGCATGGGTTCATATACATACATGTCTTTGCTAAGAGGACAATCATCATAACAGTAAGCATACCCAGAGCCCAGGTCTTGATTTCCAAATATCATTCTCTGACAAAAGGGACCAGGACTCCATGAAGAAGTCATTAATTCCAGGCCTGGAGCAGGAACAATATAAGATAAGCCTGGCATATATTGTGATCACAGAAAAGAAGCAGGTACTCAAAAAAGGATGGGTTCTATTAAAAAGATATAGAAAGCAAATGGAAGTTGGTCAAAGTCAAGGCTGAAACAATCTGGGCCGCAAAATAAATAATGATGGTACTAGTTTATAACCCATAGAGTAAAATGTCCACGAAAACATATTCATATAAATAATTGGATAAATAAACACACAAAGAAGGGACAGCTCTTCCAATTAACAAATACAGATGAAATGAAGTAAATAAAAAAATCACTATTAGGCAAACCTCAGAGTAATAACTGTTGCATGTAAGATCTCACCAATGAAAGATGAAATCAGTGGGCAAAAGTTCAAGAAGAAGCAGAATATTAACAAAGTCTCAAAGTATCTCCTCAAAGATATTTATCAATTAGAAAGAAAAAATAGTAACTTTACAGTGTATATAAACTTGATGGATACAACCTTAACCAAGTGATCAAGGTTAACACCACTAGCAATAAGACATATCAACTTCATGTATCCTCTGATACAATGCAACAAGGAAGACACAAAAGCATTTTGTGGTTTAAGAAAAATAAGCAAAAACATTCACAATCTCAATCTAATCATGAGAAAATATTGAACAAACCCAAAGTAAGAAATTCTACTAAATAAATGACCAGTATTTCTCAAAAGTACTTATCATAAAAGGCAAGGAAAGAAAGAATAACTGTCACAGATGGGAGGAGATTAAGAAGACATCAATTAAATGTGATGGGAGATCTTGGGTTTGATCCTGGAACAGAAAAGGGACTTTAGGAAAAAACTGGTGAAATATCAAAAAAAAAAAAAAAATCAGTGGTTAATAGTATTATACCAATATTAATCTCCTGGTTTTGATCATTGTACAATGACTTTGTAAATTGTTAATATTAGAGAAAGCTGGATAAAGGATATACTTGAACTCTCCATGTTTTGCACCTTTTCTGCAAATCTAAAATTATTTCAAAATTAAACATTTTTTTTAAAAATATGGATTCACTTTTATTCTGAATGTCATGAGTTTATTCAAGTCTAATAATACTTCAGATTGTTTTCCTTAATACTCAACATTAAAGACATCTATGGGGGCTTTTTTCTCTCTCTCTAGAAATCCTCCTCCTCCTGCTGCCCTAAATTCTTCATTATCTTAAGGAACCAGGTAAAGTAGAAACAAGACATGTAGAAGTCTAAAGATTTTAATAGCAAGGTTACCTGAAATTCTGTTTGAAATATGGTAGGGTGACTATGTGTCTGTCTGTGTACATATTATCAAAATGTATAAAGAAGGCAAAAACAATTATTAAAGCTATAGGATCATTTTTAATCATTTTGCACCTGAAACCCTACATATAGTAGGCATTCTGAAAATGCCTCACAGAATTAATAAATAATAAAGCAATCCACCCCCTTGCCCAAGCAATGAAGAACAAAAATTAATGAAAATTTGCTCTCTTCAGATTTATGAAAATAAAATTATAGCTTGAAGGAGGAAAACAAAAAAAAAAGCTTTCTGATGGTTACTGGATTCATTGGTCTCACTTAAGTTTGTGAACAAATCTAAAAACTGTGTGTCTGCCCTGGAGAAGTGTCTGTCCTGGACCCATTGTTTGCATGGAAGGGCTAGGCAGCCAAGGATCAGCTTGGTGGCTTGACCTTTCTTTGCCATTTATCTACCTTTGTAGAAAAGTGCCTGTGGCACTAATGACCTTTATTAACTGTTCTACTTTCACTTCCTACCATTTCTGGACATCAGAATATAGGAAATATTAAAAGTATTTTCATTAGCTCCCCAAGTGACTGCAGACATATTAATATCTGCCCTACATTTTAAGAGACTTGGTGGACATTTTTAGTAGGCTCTTTAAACGTTAAATAATGCATAATAGTATTTGCATTTAGATACAGTCCTTCTTACTGTAACTAAGCTAACTTATTTCCATTCATTCCAGCTTTGAAAGAGAAAGACACAGCAGGTTGCCACTCAAACTTTGAAGACCAGTAAAGGTCAAGATGCACTTTTCAAAGGGGCTGTGTGGGCAGAACCTGGTAAGCAGTTTCTTTATCTGAGCCAGTTAAAGACTTAGTATGTGACCCCTAATATTTACTGTACAGTGTCTAGCTTCGGTATGCTTATAAAGAATGGACCTCATACCAAGACAGCTGGATATCCACACGCAAAAGAGTAAAGTTGGACCCTTACTTCATACCATACATAAAAATTAACTCAAAATGGACCCAAGACCTAAATTTAAGAGCTACAACTAGAAAACTTTTAGAAAAAAAACACAGGAGTAAATCCATATGAAGTTGGATTTGGCAATGGTTTCTCTGATATGACACCAAAAACAACAAAAGAAAAATAAACTGGACTTCATAAAAATTGAAAATGTGTGTGTCAAGGGACACTGTCAAGAGAAAAAAAAAAACACCTGCGAATGGGAGAATATATTTACAAATCTTATAGCCAATAAAAATCTAGTATCCATAATATGTAAAGTACTCTTTTTTTTTTTCTCATGATGTCTCGGTTTATTGCTCCCCTATTGGGCTTTCAGTTTAATAAACACGTAGGATCTCTAATTACAAGTGAAGAAAATGAAGGTTCACAACAAAACACAACACATTGGAGACAGTTGTTAAAATATTTTCTCAAAAAAAAACGACTGTCCATTTTGACTTGTTTTGCTGCCATTCAAAATGTATAAAAAGCCTCAGCAACTAAATGAAGACTGAGTTTCAAGGAAAACAAAAAAAGTAGAGAAGCCAGCACTGCATGTCTTAACTGAATTTTTACAAGGATTTGCAGGTTTAATTCTACTTGCATACAGAGCATCTTTGTTTTAATCTAACGGATTTCGAGAAGATCACATTGTACGCACTTGTGGAGTTTAACGTCTAAGTAGAATATGTCTATCTCGTAACGTGATTTTGAAAAATCAGAAATTACAGTCCATTGAATACATGATTATGAGGATGCATGCAATCATCTTCAAAGCTGTTGCCATCAGTACTCAGAGCAAGTTGCCTGGTATCTTGTTGAGACCTCACCTTCTGCCCTTCATGTCTGTCTTGCGGTAAATCAAGAGGCAAACCAGAGGCCAGCTCTCAGCACCAAATGGTCAGTGTCGCCCCCTCATCTTCTCACTGGGATCTCATCACCAATGTGCTCAACCCCTAAGTTGGCACCCACAAGAGACTTCCCTGCAGCCCTCTCCAGCCACAAGATGTCACAGTCAAGCGCTTAGAAATGCAGGACATGTTATGGAGCACGATGCTGAGGAGGAAGACCAAGACGCAAGCCACCAAGATGACAGTGCACACCCTCAACCACATGGAGCTTTTCACCATGCCCCGCCTGTCCTGCTCCTCCTCCGCCACCCCCTGGGGAGCCCTGCCTTGCAGAGGCTGCTGTCCAGCAGGGATGGTCACCACAGTGACGGACTTCTGCCGGTTCCTGGGCAGCAGGTGGCGGCTCATATCTCCGGGCAGCAGCGCGTGCTCCTTGGAGATGGGCAGGGGCAGCATGTAGCACCCACTGCCGGGAAGTCTGATGAAGACCGGCATGTGCTCCGAAGCGTGTGGAATGGTGATGACAGCCAGGACCTCGGGGTCGTCGAGGAGCTGCGACACGGAGAAGTCAGGGGGCAGCTTGGTGACACCGCTGCACCAGGGGCATCGCACATCCTTCTGGCTGGTCCTCGTCTGCTGGAGGCAAACTGAACAGCAGGTGTGCTTGCAATCCAGCAACTTGGCCTTCACTAGGGGCTGCAGTAATTAAAACAGATCTGACATTCTAGCAGAGTCCTGGGACAGCGTCTCCATGGTGGACCCTGAGCAGGAAGGGCAAGGCCAAGGGGAAGGGGAGGGAGCTGGTCTTCAGAGGCCGCCGCTCTGCGTCTTTCCAGTGCAGGTCATGGGGAGCTCAGACATCCAGCACTCACAGGTGTGTTCATTTTGTCAAAGGCCAGGGCGACCTCAGCGACAGGCAGCTCAGAGCCAGCAGCGGGGCACATCTTCTTTCAAAACACCCAGGAATACAAGGCCAGCAGCAATGGCAATTTTCAAAGACCATGGCTTCTGGAAACAGTGGTTCCCAAGGAAAACATTGCAATATGATTATTTATCCTCCAAACTGAATCTGTCACTGAATCCCTTTCACTCCATTCTGAGCATGATGACATCAAGTGGAAATGGTACGTGTTTGGGAGGCAAGAGCCAGGAAGCACAATTGAGACTGAGCTTTCTTCAGCGGACCTTTCTCCGTGGCGTGTTCAGGTGCTGGCTACAGAGGCCACGGACGCTACAGCTTCGCGGGGTGGTCCTGGGTGCCTGCCCAGCTGAGCCAGACATGCCCTATGGCCAGCGGCCGCCGCGAGCCACAAAAAAAGACACAAAAAAGACTAGAACTGACATTTCGCCAAAGCAGATATACAAATGGCCATTAAGCCCACGAAAACATATTCAATGTTATTAGCCATTATGGAAATTCAACTCAAAACCAGAATGAGATATATTTCAAAACTACCAGATGACTAGAATTTGGGGGGAAAAAAAAAGAGAGAGAGAAAATAAGATTTGGTGACGACATAAAAAATGGTAACCCTTACACTTTACAGCGGGAATGTAAAAAACTGTGGCCATGGTGGAAAAGAGTTTGGTGGTTCCTCAATAAGTTAAGCATAAAATTACCATATGACTCCGCAACTCCATTACTAGGTATATACCCAAAAGAATGGAAAACAACTGTTCAAACAAAAACTGGTATAAGAATGTTCACAGCAGCACTATACACAATATCCAAAAGGTAGAAACAACCCAAATATCCACCAACATATGACTAGGTAAACAAAATGTGGTATATCCATACAATGGATGATATTCAGCCATAAAAAGGAATGAGGTACTGATACATGTTACAACATGGATGAATCTTAGAAAGGTTATGTTAATTGGAGGAAGCCAGACACAAAAGACTGCATATTCTATGATTTCATTTACAGAAAATGCCCAAAATAGGCAAACCCATTGAGGCAGAAAGCAGATGAGTGGTTGCAGAAAGCATATTAGTGGTTGCAAAGGGCTGAGGAAGGAGAGGAGGAGTTGGAAGTGACTGGTTAACAATTACAGGGTTTCCTTTTGGAGTGATGAAGTGTTACAGAATTAAATAGTGGTGACAGTTGCACAACACTGTACATGTACTAAATGTCACTGAATTGTGGTAGACTTTAAAATGGTGACGTTTATATGATGTGTATTTTTTTCACAAGTGAAAAAAATTAACTTCAGAAGAATGACTTCAGATGAGGAACATGGGGAGACTACGGCAGGTAGTGGGGACAGGAGGTATGGGCAGAAATGAGCCCCAGAACGAAAAGCTAAATACGGTGTGGATCCAGGAGTTAAGTCATGCATGTACACCCACTCCCTCGGTGAACTTGTGTTGGCCATGCTGCCCCTTTAAGAAAGACACTTCCAGGTTAAGTCCGCTCATACTTCTAGTCTCTGGGCCAACTCCCACTCACTACCTGGTCTTTCTCCCTACAAAGATTGTGCTGCTTTCTTCTCCTCCACCTACTCTACATTCTGGTTCCTTGTCACCAAAAGCCTCTCTAAAAGCACACACTGCACTTTCTTGCTTTCCTCAGAACATAGGACCCTTCCTATTTCAAGATGTTGGTACAGCCTTCTCCTCAAAAAACAAGCAAGTAAAGAAAAAAACAGATGGGGGGCACAAGTGTGACAGATACTGGGAGTTATAAGGATTTAAGCAACTTTTAAATGTGCTCATAATAGTTATTTGCTGCTTTAACTTTTATGTATTTCAGAAAGCATTTATTGAGCACACACTATATTTTATGTTGCAAAAACCATCAGGTCACATCACTACTCCTCTCAAAACCCTTTAATGGCTTCCCACGTCACTCAGAATACATTTCAAAACAGTTGTCCTGGGTACAAGGCTTGAGCGACCTCTGACCTCATCTCTATCCACTCTCCCCCATCCTTTCAGAGTTCTGGCCATACCAGCCTCTTTGCTGTTCTTCCAACTCACCACGAGTTCTCCCAGCTCAGTGTCTCTGCATTCACTTTCCTTTTGCCTGAAACTCGTTCCCTGGCTATCTGCATGGCTCACTTTGTCATTTCCCTCAAGGCTCTGCTCAAAGGTCACCTTCTGAGGCTTTCACTAACTACTCTACCAAAAATGGGGTTTCCCATTCACCCACCCATGGTCTCCCATCATCATCCCTTACCCTGCTTTTTCCCCTCACAGAACTCATCACCACTAACACTCTGTGTTTGTTGGTTTGTTGCATGTGTTCCCACTGGAGTGTAAGTTCCACAAGGGAAGGATTTTGTTCACTATTATGTCTCCCCATCTAAATATTACCCAGTATAGAGCAGGGGCTCCTCAATAAACATTTGGTGAATGAATAAATGGCACATCTAATAAGAAAACTTTTGCTTTAATTACTGACTTTGCTGAGTGCTTACATGGGGCAGATGCTGTGTGCTAAATTCTTGTATGTGGGACATCTCACTTAATCCTCAGAGTAACCCTACAAAGTATCATACTCCTTATTATTAAGCTATATACTCACATGTGGGAAATGAGACACAGGCAGGCTAAAGCAACCTCCCTACAATCAAGAATTAAGTGGGTCTTATCTAAGGGACATAGGAATCAACTTGAAAGAGCTTCCATTAGCCAAAGATGGGATAACTTGAGCAAAAAGAATAATGACTACAACTGATTAAAGAGTTTATAGTCACAATATACAAATAAACAAAAGTTATTTGGTAAATTGTGGAGACTTCTAGGGTATCAATTCACTATTCTGAAATTGCTAAATAAAAGGACAGAATCAAGCATTTATTTTGTTTCCTGTACAAACTATATTCCAGGATAACCAGGTAGTAAAAGTTCTTAATAAATTTCCACACAACGAATGTCAAAGGAATGAGAGAATATTTTTAAACTGCCATTTTATTCAAGCCCTAATGAAGTCACAGATGTAGGCAATGATCATGAGTGGATGGTAAGGCCGGCCGATCACAGGTTGATGGGGAAACTTATAATGGGTAGATCAGGTCGATATGACTAAAGGTAAGACAACCAGACCTCATGAGCCTTGTGATGTGATGTATTAGGAATTACACACTGCCACCTAGAAAAGATTCTTGCTAAAAGAACTGAACTGGAGTCTCATCAAACCTCTAGATTTACCACTTCATAGGAAGAATGAAATAGAAGAATATGCTCAGAAATACCATGAGGAGGCAATCAGCCAAATACAAACTGTAGCACATTCCATAGAACAGATGAGCTGGTTTCTTCAACAAATAAATAGTACGACAAGTAGAAAGGGAGGGATATTCTCACAAACTGAGAAAGACTTAGGAGTCATAATAATCAACTATAGTAGGAAAACTTTGCTTGGATCCCTATTTCAAACACAACTGTAAAAGACACTTGTGAAGCAACTGAAATTAGGTTGCATATGATAGGAAGAAATTATTGCTAATTTAGCTAAATATGGTTATATCTATATCTGTTAGAGAATCATATGGAAATATTACAGGTAAATAGAAATTTGCCTTAAAGTATATTCCAACAAAAAGGGGCAAAAAGGCAAAGGAAGATGGAATAGAAGAAAAAAGACTACCAAAATATTGGTTTTAAAGTTTTTTTTTAAAGTTTTCCTCTCCTCTACATGCACTTTAGCAAGTTAGATTTGCTGGTGGGTCTTAGTATTTCTTTCTAAATTGACAAGATTATATCTTCAGTTAATTGCTTTCGAAACACCTGGCTGACTTATTTTCTTAATATTTGCACGTTTAAAATTTTCTTTTTATCATCATGCATATATAATTTACCTAAATATAAAGTTTTGGGGTTTTTCTCTCAAAATTCTGAAGATATGGCTCCATAGTCTGCTGGCACTTAGAAAACATTTGAAGCCAGACCAATTTTGGCTCACAAAACACTCTAGAATTCTCAGTTCCTAACACAATATTGAAAGTGTTTGTTGTCACTATCACACCACTACCCTGTTCAAGAGCCTGAGTTCCTTGAAAGAGGGGATTGTGCTGTTTACCAAAGTATCTCTAGCTCCTAATTCAACTGGCACGTGATAGACACTCCATAAAGTGTACTAAATGTGTAAATGAATGTTGTAATGCCAAAGGAATACCTCCCAGTATGTGTCTGGAAGTATGTTTCTTTTTATAATTATATTTGGAACATACTGTATCTTTTACCTGCATGGTAAGATTTCACAGAAAACTAAGGGAGTCTATATACATTCTTCCTTCATTTTATCCTTACGTACACTCAGGCCTTTACAGACTTGTTTCTTCCCTCATATTCTACTGACATGGTTCCTCCCAGGCACTGACCTTTTTTAAAGGCCTTTGACTTCTCTGCAGCATTTGACACCGTTGAAAACACCTTCTTTCTTCTTGAAACACTCTATGAACAGATTGCCAGGCCCCAGGTACCTCAACTACAGCTCATTAAGAAATTCAGATGGGAAATTTCTTTTTTATTATTTTTCTTTTTTTTTTGAGACAAGGTCTCACTCTGTCACCCAGGTTGTAGTGTAGTGGCATAATCACAGCTCACTGCAACCCTGACCCCCCCAGGCTCAAGCAATCCTCCCACCTCAGACTCCTGAATAGCTGGAACTATAGGCACACATCACATTGCCCAGCTAATATATATGTAATATAGTCTATAATATATATTACATATATTAGATATTATATTACCTGTTATATATTATATATAGTAATATATGTAATATGTATGTGTAATACACAATATATGTAATATGTAATATATATGTATTTATTTCATCTATTATATATGACATATATTGTATATACCATATGCACACATCACATTGCCCAGCTAATATATATGTATAATATATAATATATATTATATATGTAATATAGTCTATATTATAATATATATTACATATATTATATATTACATGTAATAATATATATTATATATAGTAATAGATGTAATATGTATAATACATAATATATGTAATATGTAATATATATGTATTTATATGTGTCATATAGTATATATACACTATATGTCATATATTATATATAATATATATTAGATATTAGCTGGGCAATGTGATGTGTACCTATAGTATTATATATAATATATTATCATTAATAACATATAATACATAATGTAATAATATATAACATATTATAAAACATAATATATTATATATTAACATATAATATATAACATATTATAAAATATATTATATATTATAACATAATATATAACATATTATAAAATATAATATATATTATTAACATATAATATATAACATATAAATATATATTATTAACATATATGTTAATATGTTTATATAATACAATATAATATATATTACTTATTATATTATACAGTAATATAATATATTATTTATTATATTATATTATATTAATATATTTACATTATATATAATATAATTATATATTTTATATATATATATATATATATATACACACAGGGGGGGGAGAGAGGGAGAGACAGAGAGAGAGAGAGAGAAAGAGACAGAGTTTTGTCACGTTGCCCGGGCTGGTCCCAAACTCCTGGGCTTAAGTGATCCTCCTCCCAAGTAGCACGAGCCACCACGCCTGACTCATCTTTCGTGTTGTTTTGTAGAGATGGGGTTTCACCGTATTGACCAGGATTATAGGCGTGAGCTACCCCACCCAGCCTATACATATTAATATTAAATAACTGTATTTTTTGGTTTATAGCTATGCCTCATTTTCTTAACACCAAAGTCTAACAACAGATATAAAGGTCAAAGTCTAGATCTCATGCATTTTTAAAAAACCTTTAGTTTGTTGCTTGAACACAATAAACAACAAATAAACATCTATTTACTGCCCAGCTAATCTTTACATTGACCAAAAGTGCTTTGCCTACATAGCACTGCAGCACAGCATGGACCTATAGAATATGTTCTTCCCTCATTCTCAAAATGCTTTTCCAGCCACTCAGGTGACATAAAATTAGTTTAGGTGTGCCTCCTAGTGGCATTTTAAGGAAGTATTCATTTTTAGAGGAGTTTTTAGATGAGTTTACCACTCATCCACCATCCTAACACAGGCTAGAAAGAAACTGAAGTTTGTTGATAATCTGAAAATATCATTATAACTAGTAGCATGAATCCTCTCCATCACAATTTGAACCAAAGTCGTAAGTTAAAAAAAGAAAACCTTTTGATTTGAGGCCTTTCATAAATTTGGTTAACCAGACTCCAGTGATTGATTTAATTTCGTTTCCTGATTGGCTTACTATTAATTGAAAACTTGCTTGGTTTCTATCTCCATTATAGATTATATTAAATCACTGACAATCACCAATTATAATTATGTAGCATCACAGAAAAAGAAGGGAAAAAATGTTTCTCACCCCAGGCCATTACATTGCATTACAGTCCCCTAGAGAGATTAAAATAACAACTCTGTGAAGGTCTGAGGTGGGACCCAAACATTCAAAAGGCCCTAGATGAATCAAATGTGCAGCCAGGATTGGGAGCCTGACCAGTGGTATAAGAGATGGGGTTGAATCATGAGTGGTCTTTTCCCCCAAAAGAAAAAAACAATAACACAAAATTACTGAGCTGTGATTTATCTTTGTTTTTAATCAAAAAATAAAGAACTAAAAAAACTCCAGTAGGATAAGATTTTATTTATTAGGCTTTACTCTAATAAACGTTTTGCTTTATTTCTTCTATTTATCCTTCTCATGAGGTGCCATTAAATTTAAAAATAGCCAAAAGACTAAATCACAGGCTAAAGATGTTATTTAGACATGGTATTTCAATCAGAATCTTTTTTAAAACTTCATCTTTGAAGACCCTAAAAAGACAACATCTTCTAGCCCAGTAGTCAAGTCCATGCCATTTTCAGGGTCCTTTTCAACCCTAGGGACTTCTGGGACATGAGGTCAATTCCAGCCCAGCCTTAGCTATTTGGGTTCACTCAATACATAGGGAGGAGAACCCCCAGGGAGCTTCAGGAATATTGTCATAACAGAATTCTTAAGCTTAGTGGGAGATTCGCTGGTGTTCATCTTATTATACTCCATAACTTACATTTGATATAAATATACTCTGTGGTATATATCAAATACTTCATACTCTTAAAAAAGGAAAGAACAGCTCAAAACCCTAGAATGATGCTGGAAGTTTAATTCCTTCAAGTGGGACACATTCAAGGAACAAACCAATCTTCCGAAACTATTGTAGATGAGGATGTTTCTCTCTAGGCTGCCCCAGGGAGGATCAGAACTCAAGTATCTCTAGAGTTAGAACACTGGTTCAACCATGTGGGTCTATATTCCCCTGTTCATCCTTTCTTGAAATTAAGAAATAAATAATAAAGTGTATCTTGATCAACAAGAAAAACCTAGTCACCTTAAGCAACATATGTTAGGAGAATCAATCCACCATGGGACAAGTCTTCCTGCACGATCTTGCTGGGTAGGATGAGGTCACAGGCCCTGACTGCTCTTTAGCTGGGCCATTTCCCAGAGTTGTGTTTGCAGTAAGCAACCCTGAGGGATGAGGTACCATCTCCTTCCAGTCAAAGAGCAGACTTGCTCATCACTCATGATGAAAATGATAGAGTCCACAAGCTCAATGTACCTCAGCTATGTCACAAACCCAAAGCATCCATCCCAGCATCCAACGAGGCTCTCCTTCATCTCCTTTATGGGACTTGGAGTGCGTGCCGCTTTCTGTGCTACGAGTAATAAAGTCTTCTGCCAGCATCCATGAAATAATAACAGGCTAATTTATTACAGCAGTCCCCTCTTATCCACAGTTTTATTTTTCACAGTTTGAGTTACCCATGGTCAACCTCAGTCTGAAAATATTAAATGGAAAATTTCAGAAATAAACAATTCATAATTTTTAAATTACCCATCATTCTGAGTAATGTGATAAAATCTCCCACCATTCCTGCTGGGACATGAATCATCCCCTTGTCTAGTGTAGCCAAGCTGTCCACACTACCTGCCTGTTAGTTACCTAATAGCCATCACAGTTATCAGATCAGCTGCCACAATATCACAGTGGCTGGTGTGCAGGTAACCCTTGTTTTACTTAACCATAGCCCCAAAGTAGAAGAGTAGTGATGCTGGCAATTTGGATATACCAAAGAGAAGCAATAAAGTGCTTCCTTTAAGTGAAAGAGTGGAAGTTCTCAATATGAAAAAAAAAATCATATGCCAAGGTTATTAAGATCTACAGTACGATATTTTAAGAAGGAGAGAACATACACAAAACTTTTATTATAGTATACTGTTACAATTACTCTATTTTTATTAGTAATTATTGTTAATCTGTTACTGTGGCTAATTTATAAATTAAACTTTATCATAGGTATGTATGTACTGGGAAAACCATAGTATACATAGGCTTCAGTACAATCCATGGTTTCAGGTATCCACTGGGGATCTTGGACCATATCCCCCACAGATAAGGAAGACTACCGTTGTTTGCAAGTAGCATAAAATCCCAGACACTTTACATGCCCTGATAGTTTTGGTGGCAAATGTGAGATGCTCATAGAAATATTTGACTTTCTGGAAAAGGAGGGACAAGGGCCCTGGTTGGCTGGGTTACAGGACGTGAGAAGATTCCCAGAGATCTGGTAGTAAATGCTCTTGCCTAGATGGTGGTGAGGATGGGAAAGTGGAATAAGGGTTCCTCACTGTCCTATGTGTTAAATGTGGTTGAACAACAAAAGGTAGGGTTGAAACAAGGTGTCCTAATGGTGCTTTGGCTGTGTCATACTCCCTTCTGGGGTGGGAGAAGGGAGGATGTTATCAATGACAATGGGGCAGCAAGCTCCACGATCCAGCCAAAAAACAAGGCGACGTGGCGATGGCTGCTGAATCTAGGGGTCCCCAGAGCTGAAATAAATGGTGTTAACAATGAGGGTAGAGAACTGTG
Organism: Homo sapiens; assembly: GCF_000001405.40. NCBI lineage: Eukaryota > Metazoa > Chordata > Mammalia > Primates > Hominidae > Homo > Homo sapiens. The sequence goes on from NC_000009.12 coordinate 5,428,162, forward strand.
GGTAGACTAAAAGCGTCAGAAACTTGTCTGTTGAGCCCAGTGGCAGAGGTCACTTGAAATAAAGTAAATACAAAGCCTTGCTTACTGGCACTGAGTGGCTCTCTCCCTCCAGTCCCCAATCCTCCCCTGCCTCTCCTCCAACTCCCTCTGCTTTAGGGAAGTATGCTGGGGAACTTCAGGGCAGGGAAGGACTCAAAATTTTATGGCTCTGTTGGACTGGACACGAGTGCCAAAGTCTACTTGGTCTCAGGGAAGGCAAGTATGCTAAGCACTGGGGTGGCCCAGAGCTCCAAAGACTGCAAGGCCATGCAGTGGCTCCAGCAAAGGCTGAAATAATGATGGCTCTGAGTGGCCATTCTCTCCAGAGGCCAGAGAACACAGGACAGGAAGCAGCACCCATTCTGGGACGAGGAGCCAAAGGACAAAAAGCCCTCCCTGCCCCTCTCCCCTAGCTGGAGACAGCATAATCTCTTGAAACTATTACGACCACCCTTGAAGTACCTATGTTAAACTCTTTTGTCTCTGTTCTTTTATTGTTATTGTTTTGGTTTTTTGAGATAGGGTCTCGCTCTGTCAACCAGGCTGGAGTACAGTGGTATGATCACAGCTCACTGCAGCCTTGACCTTCCTGGGCTCAAGCAATCCTCCCACCTCAGCGTCCTGTGTAGCTGGGACTATAGTTGTGTAACACCATGCCTGGCTAATTTTTTAAATTTTTTAAATGGAGATGAAGTCTCACTATGTTGCCCAGGGTGGTCTTGAATTCTTGGGCTCAAGCAATCATCCTGCCATGGTCTCCCAGTGTGCTGGGATTACAGGTGTGAGTCATCATGCTTGATCACATGTATATTGTGACTAGGTGGGGGAAAGTAACTGAATTCAACTGATAGAGTGTAAGCAAACTTCACAATGAGTAAAAAAAAATTAAAGGGACCTTTATAGCCAATTCAAGATACTGTGATGTGTGTCAACACTCTCCCTACCCACTACATACAAATGTACAATGACATTGATGTATTACATGCTTGTATTATAAAACTCACAGTGACCAAAACAGACTCCCCAGTCAGGGATTCCCAGACCCCTTCTAGGTGGTCTAATAGAAACATAGAAGCCCAGGGAGGAAAAGAAAATCACTATGAAGCTCCAGTGAGGCCACTGCCCAGTGCAGCAGCACCACCTGCTTGGCACAGGCACCAAATACATCCTGTATTAGTTTGCTGGGGCTGCCATAACAAAGGACCACAAACTGGACGGCTTAAGCAACAGAAATTTATTGTCTCTGTTCTGAAGGGGAGAAATCTAAAATCAAGGTGTCTGCAAGGTTTGTTCCTTACTAAGGCTGTGAGAGAAGCATCTGTTCCAGGCCCCTTCCTTGGCTTGTAAACAGCTGTCTTCATATTCACATTGTATGGTCCCGGTATGCATAGTCCAGTATGAATTGTATGGTCTTGTATCCAAATTTCTTCTTCTCATAAAGCCATCAGTCACACTGAATTGGGGCCCATTCTAACGACCTCATTTTAACTTGATTACCTCTGTAAAGACCCTATCTCCAAACAAGATCACATTCTGAAGTACTATAGGTTAAGGCTTCAACATATGAATTTGGAGACAGGAGACACATTTCAACCCATAACACACCCCTTTCAAAAAGGGGACGCAATCGTTGGTCTGCTGCTGAGCTCTTGTTAAAAATGAACCCATGGAGGCTTGTAACTCCCAGGTCTGACATCTCCATTTTGGGGTGGGTCAACCAGGACACAACAACTACGAGGAGAGTAGCTCCCACCCTCTCCCCCTGCCACAACCCACCCCTTGCTCATGGCCCACTGTAAAAGCAGTAGGCTCCCTAAGCTCAACGCTGCTCAACTGTGACACAAATCCACTGAGTGCATAGCACTCATTTCGCCCGTGCCCATCTTTGTCACCTCGGTGAGTTTTGGAGGACATGGGGAATTAACACCACCACGCTCATGCTGTTTGCTGTGCTGTGAGTAATAAAGTCCTCTGACTCTGATGTAGTTGTCTCCAGTCTTCTGTAATAGGCTAACACGTTAGCTTGCAAGTAGGGTAAAATCCCAGACCCTTCACAGACCCTGACTTCATGGGGACCAACATAAGAGTAAAAACCCTGTAGTTTCCAAAGGTCTTTGACAAGGACGTGCTAAGCATCGGATAGCTGGCTGATTTGTAAACCTAATACTTGGTCTCGCCTAGGTCACTGCTCTGTTACAATAATTCAGTTGTCCATTCTTTCAATTGTTTCATTGTCCCCAAAGAGATATTTATTCTGCATAAGACACTCTTGTCAGTCATTAAAAACAATAATAGTAACAACAGCAACAAATATTTATGAGGTGAGAAGCATTTTTCTAAAAACTTGAGGCATTGTTCTATATATTTCATCTTTAATCTTTAAAACATCCCTTTGAAGGGGATATTATTACCTCCAGTGTACAGATCAGGAGACTGAGGCACAAGTCACACAGTTAGTCAAGGGTGGGACTGGGATTCAAACTCAGGCAGTCTGGCTTTAGTCTTCATTTTTAACCACTAGCTACATGCCTTACCAGAGGACTTTCTACTCCCAGAGCCATAATGGGCCACAGAGGCCTAGACATCTTTGTCTGAAATCTTAGGAAAATAATTCGGGTCAAACTTTTAAGACTTGATTTTTTGACTTGCAACATTTTAAAATGTTTTTTACAACCTGTATTAGGCAATTAGATAATCTTCTGCAGTGCTTTGATCTTTTCTATCCAGCCACGTCTAAATCCAATGTTAAGGTTTCACACTCCATGTTAGTTTCCTATTGCTGCAGTAACAAATTATACGAAGTCTGTGGCTTAAAACAACACCAATCTATTATCTTACAGTTCTAAGTTCAGAAGTCCAAAATGGGCTGGCAGGACTGCATCCCTGTAGAGGCTCTAAAGAATAATCTGTTTCCGTGCCTTTTCCAGCCTCTAGGGGCTTCCTGAATTCCTTGACTCATGATCCTTAAACAATCTTCAAAGCCAGCAGTGTAGCATCTTCAAATCTCTCTTATACTGACTCTCATGCTTCCTTCTTTCTCTTATAAAGACCCTTGTGGGCCAGGCACACATACCTGTAATTCCAGCAATTTGGGAGGCTGAGGCCAGTAGATCATTTGAGGCCAGGAGTTCGAGACCAGCCTGGCCAACATGGTGAAACCTTGTCTCTATTAAAAATACAAAAATTAGCCGGGAGTGGTGGTGCATGCCTGCAATCCCAGCTACTAGGGAGGCTGAGGCACAAGAATCGCTTGAACCCAGGAGGCAGAGGTTGCAGTGAGCCCAGATCATACCACTGCACTCCAGGCTGGGCAACACAGTGAGACTCTCTCAAAAAAAAAAAAAAAAAAAAAAAGACAGACCCTTGTGATGACAATGAGTCCATCTGCATAATCCAGGATAATCTCCCCATCTCAAACATTATCTTTGGGGGTGGGGGGCATTATTCTATGTACCACATACTCTAAGCAGTTATCTCTTCCTACAGAATGGAAATTTTTACACAAATTTATCTGGATTGGAGATTTAAATTAGCCCATTCACCAGATAATTAGTAAGCCATTTTATCTTGGTTTTAAGGATGCAGCCCAAAGAACATTTTATTGTTGGGAGTCAAAGAGAATGTACGGCTGGAGTACATGTGGTAGAAACTTTAAGCATTGTAACAACATAATAGCTTAATTATTTTAAAACATACCTGAAGTCGAGCATTCATAAGCATGAACTCCTTTTGATTTTTCATGCTTTCATTCATAGATTTTGAAAATATAAACCCCATTTTGACCTAAAATGTAAAAAAAGCAAGGAGACTTATAATAATACACTACATGCATTCTTGTATGCTCCACTTTGAGCTACCTTGGGCTTATGACAAAGTAAAAAAAAAAAGTAAAATTTCTGATCTAGGAACACAGTGTGGATTCTAGTTCTTGCTCCTAACTAGCTGCCTGACCTCAGGCATACTTAACGAGTCTGGCCATCATTTTACTCACCTAACACCAACTGATTGAACTAGATAATTTCCAAAATCCTTCCCTGCTCTATAAGTATATGGCTGTTTCCTGATTTTTCTTCCCACCATAAATCTTGAAGAACTGAATTCTTGAAGAAAAAAACAACTCTCTTTTTTTGTGAGGGGAAGGGTGGATACCATCCATCTTCTTACCTCTGTACAATTAGGCAACAGAACCTTTGCATCTGAGGAGGGATGATTAAGAAGATGCCTTGTGCGTCTTAAGAACATATTTCTTTGTGCTCTTTGCATTTGCGTTTTAAGAAGATTGAGCTCTCCCTCTCCCTCCCCCTCCCCCTCCCTCTTTCTACGGTCTCCCTCTCTTGCGGAGCCTGGACTGTACCGCCATGATCTCGGCTCGCTGCAACCTCCCTGCCTCTGGCTCCGGTGATTCTCCTGTCTCGGCCTGCCGAGTGCCAGGGATTCCAGGCACGCGCCACCACTCCTGACTGGTTTTTGTATTTTTGGTGGAGACGGGGTTTTGCCGTGTTGACTGGGCTGGTCTCGAGCTCCTGGCCTCGGGTGATCTGCCCGCCTCGGCCTCCCGAGGTGCTGGGATTGCAGACGGAGTCTCGCTCATTCAGTGCTCAATGTTGCCCAGGCTGGAGTGCAGTGGCGTGATCTCGGCTGGCTACAACCTCCACCTCCCAGCCGCCTGCCTTGGCCTCCCAAAGTGCTAAGATTACAGCCTCTGCCCGCCCGCCACTCCGTCTAGGAAGTGAGCAGCGTCTCTGCCTGGCCGCCCTGTCTGGGAGGTGAGGAGCATCTCTGCCCGGCCGCCACCCCGTCTAGGAAGTGAGGAGCGTCTCTGCCTGGCCGCCCATCGTCTGGGATGTGAGGAGGGCCTCTGCCCGGCCGCCCCGTCTGGGAGGAAGTGAGGAGCGCCTCTGCCCAGCCACCCCGTCTGGGAAGAAGTGAGGAGCGCTTCTGCCTGGCCGCCCCCTCTGGGAAGTGAGGAGTGCCTCTGCCCGGCCGCCACCCCGTCTAGGAAGTGAGGAGCATCTCTGCCTGGCCGCCCATCGTCTGGGATGTGAGGAGCCCCTCTGCCTGGCCACCCCGTCTAGGAAGTAAGGAGTGTCTCTGCCTGACCGCCCGTTGTCTGGGATGTGAGGAGCATCTCTTCCTGACCGCCCATCGTCTGGGGTGTGAGGAGCATCTCTGCCTGACCGTCCACCGTCTGGGATGTGAGGAGCGCCTCTGCCTGGCTGCCCCATCTGGGAAGTGAGGAGTGCCTCTGCCCGGCCGCCACCCCGTCTAGGAAGCAAGGAGCGACTCTGCCTGACCACCCATCGTCTGGGATGTGAGGAGCGCCTTTGCCCGGCCGCCCCGTCTGGGATGTGAGGAGTGCCTCTGCCCGGCTGCCCCGTCTGGGAAGTGAGGAGCGTCTCTGCCTGAGCGCCCATCGTCTGGGATGTGAGGAGCGCCTTGGCCCGGCCGCCCCGTCTGGGATGTGAGGAGTGCCTCTGCCCGGCTGCCCCGTCTGGGAAGTGAGGAGCGTCTCTGCCTGAGCACCCATCGTCTGGGATGTGAGGAGCGCCTTTGCCCGGCTGCCCCGTCTGGGATGTGAGGAGTGCCTCTGCCTGGCTGCCCCGTCTGGGAAGTGAGGAGCGTCTCTGCCTGAGCGCCCATCATCTGGGATGTGAGGAGCGCCTTTGCCCGGCCGCCCCGTCTGGGATGTGAGGAGCGCCTCTGCCCGGCTGCCCCATCTGGGAATTGAGGAGCACCTCTGCCCGGCCGCCCCGTCTGGGAGGAAGTGAGGAGCGCCTCTGCCCGGCTGCCCCGTCTGGGAGGAAGTGAGGAGCGCCTCTGCCCCGTTGCCCCAAATGGGAAGTGAGGAGCGCCTCTGCCCGGCCGCCCCATCTGGGAAGTGAGGAGTGCCTCTGCCCGGCTGCCACCCTGTCTGGGAGGTCAGGGGCGTCTCTGCCCCGCCGCCACCCCGTCTGGGAAGTGAGGAGCGCCTCTGCCCGGCCGCCACCCCGTCTGGGAGGTGAGGGGTGTCTCTGCCCAGCCATCCCGCCTGGGAAGTGAGGGGCGCCTCTGCCCGGCCGCCCTTCGTCTGGGAGGTGGGGAGCGCCTCTGCCCGGCCGCCCCGTCTGGGAAGTGGGCGCCTCTGCCTGGCCACCCCGTCTGGGAGGTGAGGAGCACCTCTGCCCGGCCGCCCCATTTGGGAGGTGAGGGGCGTCTCTGCCTGGCCGCCACCCCGTCTGGGAAGTGAGGAGCACCTCTGCCCGGCCGCCGCCCCGTCTGGGAGGTGAGGGGTGTCTCTGCCCGGCTGCCCCGCCTGGGAAGTGAGGGGCACCTCTGCCCGGCTGCTCTTTGTCTGGGAGGTGGGGAGCGCCTCTGCCCAGCCGCCCCGTCTGGGAAGTGGGCGCCTCTGCCTGGCCGCCCCCTCTGGGAGGTGGGGAGCGCCTCTGCCTGGCCACCCATCATCTGGGATGTGAGGAGCACCGCTGCCCGGCCGCCACCCCGTCTGGGAAGTGAGGTGTGCCTCTGCCTGGCCGCTCCGTCTGGGAAGTGAGGAGCGCCTCTGCCCGGCCGCCCTGTCTGGGAAGTGAGGTGTGCCTCTGCCTGGCCGCCCCATCTGGGAAGTGTACCCAACAGCTCCGAAGAGACAGCGACCATCGAGAACGGGCCATGATGACGATGGCGGTTTTGTCGAAAAGAAAAGGGGGAAATGTGGGGAAAAGAAAGAGAGATCAGATTGTTACTGTGTCTGTGTAGAAAGAAGTAGACATAGGAGACTCCATTTTGTTCTGTACTAAGAAAAATTCTTCTGCCTTGGGATGCTGTTAATCTATAACCTTACCCCCAACCCCCTGCTCTCTGAAACATGTGCTGTGTCAACTCAGGGTTAAATGGATTAAGGGTGGTGCAAGATGTGCTTTGTTAAACAGATGCTTGAAGACAGCATGCTCGTTAAGAGTCACCACCACTCCCTAATCTCAAGTACCCAGGGACACAAACAGGGCCAAAGGCCGCAGGGACCTCTGCCTAGGAAAACCAGAGACCTTTGTTCTTGTGTTTATCTGCTGACCTTCTCTCCACTATTATCCTATGACCCTGCCACATCCCCCTCTCTAAGAAACACCCAAGAATGATCAATAAATACTAAAAAAAAAAAAAAAAAGAAGAAGATTGAGCTGTCTCAAGGTCAGTAGACCAGTTATTCTTCCTGTCATCCCACCACAATCCCTGTCCCTCTCCTACATGCCCCTTATTTCCATCCACCCACTGCTAACTGCCTTAGCCATCCTCCTCCAGCTTCACTCTCATTCTCTCCAAGATAGCATGTACTAAAGTTCTCAAAAATGGAAAAACATACAGATACTTGAATGTCCTGGAAAATGTACTTTTTAGATGAATGCACAGTAGTGTCTATCTTATGTAAGTTTTTAAGTGGGCTGTCAACTCTACAAGGGACAGAACTCCAATTTTTATTCTTAATCCAACTGGGTGGGTACAGAAGACCTTGAGTTAGTTGGTTGCATTTCAGAATACTGCAAAACTCAGGGGAAAGTTACAACTGCTCTACCCTTCTCAACAATGTTGCTGATACCTTTTCTCTTTAATAGGCTGTTGAGTAGGGTTGTGAACCTCAGGTAAGAATGGCCAGTCTTAATTCATTACAGCCAGGATTCCCAAGTATTCTGTGGGAAGCCCAGCTAATGGGGTTCCAGGTGAGTGGGAGCTGCAAGCAAGACTTCAGTGACTTCCTTGTATTCTGATCAAGGATACACCTGGAGTTTCAGGGCTCTGTGCCAGAGTCAGCTTCAAAGCTGAGCACAGGATACCAAACCACTTACCAGGATGAAGAGGCACAATGCTGAAAAGGCCTGAGGTGGTGAGATTTCCCTCCCCTTCTGCCACTGTGCCACTCGAGCACCCTGTGACCAGAGTTAGAGGCCACTCACTGACAGCAGGGTGATTTGGCAGTTCTTTCCTTTCTCCAAACCCTAACAGTCCCATGCGACTCATCTCTAACAGCAGACCAGAACCTGCCTGAGGTTAGGAGCGAGATATTATCCATCTTGATAGTCTCCATGGTGTCTACTTCCCCTAAATATTTGCACAAAGCATGAGAGATACAAGAAAAACTGTGGCTCAGGCCACTTGCCATTACTTATTTTTCTTCTGAACATAGGAGTGGATGACTAAATTTTTACACCTGCTGCAAACATTTATAAAGAAAACAACTGTACTCTAGTACTATTCCTCCACATACCCTGTATATCACAGAGCTGTGTGCTTTCAAGTGCTCCTGTTTGTAAGGGGTTAGGATCTCCCCTGAAAAGAGAGAGTCCTCATGTCAATCATCTGGGAAAGAAACACTGTCTGGGAAGTTAGTATTTAGATTTACCTCTTTCTGGGCCTTGCTCTCCTGGGTCTGGACTTGTAGTCTGAATGTGTTAGAGGACGCTCCCAGGTGGAAGGGTTAAAGGTGGAAGCCAAGCAGGAAGAAGAGCTTCCTTATGGGAAACCACACCTGAGAATAAATAAATGCATCACACCTTGTAAATTTCACCCTGGAGTTCAGTATTTTCAACATTCTTTCCTTTCCCAACTTCCCCATTCCTGGCAAAGTCATTTCCCAAAGTCTGGGAATATTCCGTAGGGTGTCCAGAACACTTTCAGCTATCTCCTCTTGCTCACAAAATATGTATCAGAAAATAAGCAAAATTGACCTTGCAATAGGGATAACTTTGATTTCACTCACTTGTATAAGTTAAGTCTTTTAAAAATTCTAACACTTTTCACCAGGGGTAAAAAAAAATGTCTTGCTACTTATACAATTTTAAACATCACTGTGTCTCAGAGTGATGTTTTGCAGAGAATGCTGATTTCAATCCCTCTGTCTTCATTTTCCCTTTGATTCCTTCTGAGATCTTGGAAGGGGTCTTTAATGCTTCAGCCCTGCCTCAGGTGAGCTATAGATTACTATGGGAAGGTGTATTTCTGGGGAGGAGAAGTGGTGCCTGCAAGTTCCAGACAACCTTTCTTCCGGTCACCCGTGAGTACCTAGATTTGATTTTACTTGGGGGGACATAAAAAATTAATTGCATGAATTCTGTCATCGGGATTACCACGCTGACTTATTTCCCGATCAGATGACACATTGCCTGAATGTATGACTGATCGTCTCACCACAGTCATTTTCAATATTTGCATCCCATTGAAATTAAGCCACATCCCCTTGCAAATTCCAGCCCAGAGCCCACAGCTTCCGGAGGTTTTCTGTAATTAACACCGCCCTTGCTCCCTGAGGCCAGTTACTGTAATTTAGGTATTCCCCGCAATAGTGTGCTGATTTCTGTTGAGAGCACTGTGCCTGTTTTTCTCAACTCTATTTTAAAGCTACGGAGAGATCCGGAGTCCACGCCAGGCGACAAGAACGCGCTCTAATGGAACGAAGTTGGCAATACCTATCAGCACCAGGGGCAGTGCGAGAGCCAAGAGCCGGCGCTCACGAGGAGCGGGCGCCCAGCGCTGCCTGGCAAGCCCGGAGCCCAGGAGATCGCGCTGACTGACATGGCCGGGCTGACCCTTCTCCCCACCCGCCTGCGGCCGGTGTTCACTCACTGGGCGGCGCTGGTGCCGGGACCAGGCGACCGGTACGCAAACCTCCAGGCCCGGGCTCCTTTCGCCCGCTGCAGGGACCGGGCCTCGCTCCGCCCAGCGTCGGGATTGGCGCCCAGACACAGTAGATGACGCACCTCAGCCAATTCGCGCAGCCCTCAGCTTCTTTAAAGAGCCGGCACTTCCGCCAGAAGCCGGGTGTGTCCTTCCGGGCCAGGCTCAGTGTTACCAGAGGTGGGAGGGGAAGGTCAAAAGAGGCAAATTCAAAGCCGCGGCGACTCAGCTGCCAGATTTTTGAGATGAGGCAGAGGAAGCGGAGTGGAATTCTCAATTAAAGGCCTCTGTCCCCTCATCTGTTAAATTGGCACTATTAAAAAGTCATAAAGATAAGACAGAAACGAGAAAGAAGAGAATTGACTGAAATTACCCATTCTTTTTTGAACAGAGCCGTCTTTCTCCCCTGCTGCTCAGAGAGATGTCGGTCTCGCCTCAACCTCACCAGCAATTTCTATCTTGAATAAGCCACGTCTCTCTCCCAGCCTGAGAGAATGCTTGAATTGTTGGCACTCTGTTCTTTGCTACCAAATGGCTTGGAAAAATAGCATGAACGTCACCAGTCTCTGGCCTTCAGGAAAGTCCCTGCTAACCACCACAGCGGTGGAGAAGGCGTCTAACTTTCTCCAGGCTCAGCGTGTGAGTGCACACCGCCCTGACCTCCTGGGCGCGTCTTGATGCTCTCAACAGCAGCCCTCAGGATTCTGGACTGTGGGTCCCACATTCCAGATACCATTTGTGGAATGGCTGGATGAGAAAATTGCAACAGCACCCTCATTTCCAGTTAAGGGAATGGGCGGGTTACCAGGAGGTTTGACACTCTTGAAGGGAGGTTAACAACTGATGCAAGAAGTAAGGAATCGTGTTTGAGTGCACAGACTCTAGCATAAACACACCTACCTTCAATTTCTAGCTCTGTCACTGTCACTCTGAATTTATCACCTCTGCAACAGGACTAAAGCCATCTAATTTATTGGATTGTGAGGACTAAAAGATAATATATGTGGGCATTTAGCACAGTGTCGGGCACATAGTTCGCCTTCCGTAACCAGTAGTAACCAGTAACAGCGGGGAGCTGTTAGTAACTATAGGGCTGAGGGGTGGGGGAAGGAAGCAGTTACTAAAACCAGGCGAGAGCGAGAGCGGTAGCTGTGGCTGTACGAGAGAGTAACCAACTGGAACCGTGTCGTTCAGTAGAGGAAAGCAAGCAATGCCAACTTTTCACCAAGTAAGGTGAGATTCTATAGTTGTAGCCAGTGCTGAGACGTCAGCCCAAAGCAGGGACAGAGTGGAGAAGACCCACCTCTCTGTTCTCCCAGCTCTGATATCCAGCTGGGGTCTTCCGCTGGCTGGATCCACCAGGAAGCCAGAAGACAGTGGAGCTAGGTCTGTGTAGTCTGTAGAGGTCAGCCTACTAGGCACAATGCCTGGAGGGAGAAATAGAAAATATCCAGCACACCATTTCTTTTTTTTGTTTGTTTTTACACTTTAAGCTCTAGGGTACATGTGCACAACGTGCAGGTTTGTTACCTATGTATACATGTGCCGTGTTGGTGTGTTGCACCCATTAAGTTGTCATTTACATTAGGTGTATCTCCTAATGCTATCCCTCCCCCCTCCCCCCACCCCACAACAGGCCCCGGTGTGTGATGTCCCCCTTCCTGTGTCCAAGTGTTCTCATTGTTCAATTCCCACCTATGAGTGAGAACATGCGGTGTTTGGTTTTTTGTCCTTGCGATAGTTTGCTGAGAATGATGGTTTCCAGCTTCATCCACGTCCCTACAAAGGACATGAACTCATCATTTTTTATGGCTGCATAGTATTCCAGCACACCATTTCTACAACCTTGGGTTTATTGTGTTTGGAAGCCTAGATCCAAAGGAAGGAATGCTGCCACTAGAAGACCCCGTCACTGAATTGAATTGAATTTCAATTCATTGATTCGAAAGCTGAAACTGCCCTCTGGTCACTTTGATTCCTCACAGTGACAGAATGGTATGATTCATCCCAAATACCAAAAGGAAATTGGGTTACATCTATATATTGAGGGCAAGAAGAACTATGCATGACACCTGGAGATTCACTGGGCACTTCTTAATACTGCCGTGTGCCATAATAATGATTATCAGATAACTGAAGTAATGCAGAAATTTCAGATCATGAAGAAATTAAAGTGTTGAAGCATACCAGATAAAAAAATCCTGATCTACCTAGGTGTTGGCATAGGGCAGGGGAAACATACATAAGTAAATGAGTAGGAAGCTATGATTATTAATTTTAGCCTTGCAACAAGCTCTAGAGGCAGGAATTATAGTAGCTCTCCATTTAAAATGTTAATTACTTCTTCCCTGACTCTCTTTTCCTATTACCCTGCATAAAGAGTAGTGGTGGAGATAAATATTACAATTTAGTTTCTGGGTGAGAATGTGCCTGAACTGACATCCCCTCAAGGCAATATGGCAGCTGATGAGGCTTGTTAAGGAAAATCAAAGCTGGACAATAGCTGTAGCAGTAAAAATAGATTTTTATTCAGCAACTTTTGAAATAGGGGGAAAGAGACCTTGGTAAAGAACTGGGCTCAATTCTGAATACAGTAAGGATAAGTGGGGATTTATAGCCGAGGAGCAGGTTGTGTGGATGGGGGTGGGGTCCGTGGATGGAAAATTACTAAGAAGAGACAGCAAGGGTAGGGGAAATCCTTGCTAAACTGACCTAACAGGATTCTTGCTAAAGGTAGGCCAGGGTAAGCAGACATCACCTGGGGGCTGGTGGGGGTAAGGAATTTGATCAGATATTGAGAGTGGTCAAACATTCAGGGTGGGAAGATCCTCTCTAAACTGACTTAGCAGGATTCTTGCCAACACTGATTCTGCAAGGATGAACACTGCAGCCCAAGGTCAATATCTAATCAAGGAGATGGCTTAGAGGAGCCTGACTAAAGTTTGGTCGAGGAGAAATCTTGTCAGACTCTGTCATTCTCATATGTAAGGGATGAGCTGCTCTTCATCTGAGCAAAGGAAAAGAATAAATTCTGGGTGACAAAACAATTAGACTGTCTAGGTTTTCTGTTTGCCTTCCATCATATTCATTCTCCTCACTTCCCTGCCCTGTTCTATACCCCAAAGCTGACCTCTTTGGACGGCACCACCTGGGCTCTCCTCAGCTGGTTTCCATTTGAGTTTGGACAGCGGGAGGCATTCAGGGAGATGGGAGGCAGGAGGAAAAAGACATCAGGGTATATTTTCTCTGTTCTTTCTCTGTTTGGGGCTGAGTATCTGGTGGTGGTTGTGTTTCTCCACAATTGCAGCTCTTGGCAAGCAGTCCCTTCTCCATGGCTCCAGCTCCATGGGCTCTGGAAACACTTTTCTCCTTTGCTATGTAGCCTAGAGAGAGCGCAGTCTTCCTGCTGTTGCTAGACTCTGGATGACTCAACTGGATGGTTCTCTTAGTCATACTCCTTTAAGTAGTGTCTTCACTAATATCTCTTTAATCAAACCAACTGAGTAAAATTCTGATTCCTGATGGATACATGTTAAACCGAAAACACACATTATAAATTTTCTTGTATGTATGATGTTTTTCATAATTTTAAAACATAAGTGAAAAAAGTGACCATAGAAAAATATGCCCAGGAAATTGAAAAAAAAAGTCTTGGTATAGATATTGGACACATTTTATAAAATGTGGAGTAAGAGGGTTAAAGGAAATTTATTTCAGAATCAAATGGCATATAACTTTAACTGGTATGTGAATTATTTTCAGTTGTATGAATTTGTGAATATATATGTGTACATTTTTATGCATATATATAAATATGTGTTTTATATCATCTTGCATTATAACATAAGGATTTTTATGTTGCTACATTGCATTTATATTTACCATTTTTAACAGCTAAAGGATTTTCAATAAGTGTGTATGTAACAACTTCCATTGCTGGATATTTCTCAGTATATATATGTATATATACATATGTGTGTATACATATATATATACATATGTGTATATATACATATGTATGTATATGTATATGTACGTATGTATGTGTATATATACATACATGTGTGTATACGCATATATACATATGTGTATATATACACGTATATACATGTGTGTATATATACACGTATATACGTGTGTATATACACACGTATATACATGTGTGTATATACATGTGTGTATATACACACGTATATACGTGTGTATATACACACGTATATACATGTGTGTATATACACACGTATATACATGTGTGTATATATACGTGTGTATATATATAAACACATATATATATGCACATGCATATGTATACACTGAGTTAAGTAGTATAAATATTTTAGAGAAAATTGATGTAAAATCCTCAACTCATTTGATGCTCCCTATCCCAGGACAGTAAAAATTGCCCAATATTTCCTTGGACCTCCATAAAGAAGCAGTTTTTCAAAAAATAAAGTGTTTGGAAGTTTAAGATGTGCCTAGCAGTGTCTCCTTTTAACAGAGATGCTTTCACAAGGATTTGAATTTCCCCATTGAGCTGGGAACCAGGTTTAGCCAAGAACTTCGGTCTGTGAAGGACTGCAAATAGTTGCACAGTGTGGGGCTGAGGCTAGAACCTCCTTAATATTAAACCATTCTGGGATGGTGCTCCCCAAATTCTGGATTTTAACCTTCACTCCAATCCTGGGGCACCTCTGTAGCTTGGGCATGACCTGGACACAAGCTTTGTGTAAGCCTTCTTTGGACTTCATCCATTCCTCAACGGTGACACCATGTGGCAGTGTAATATAATGGCATCAGTGGACTCAGATCCTGTTCTCTCCCTACCTAGAGATTTTTAAGATTAAGATATGTAATTCACAACCATAAAATGTACCACCTTAAATTGTACAATTTATTGGTTTTTCATACATTCAAAAAGTTGTACAACCACCACCATTATCTAATTCCATAACATTTTCTTCACCCTAGAAAGAAACCTCATACCTATTAGCAGCCACTCCCCAAACTCCCCATTCTCCCCATTCCCCCAGTTTCTGGGGACCCCTAACCTACTTTTTGTTTTTATAGATTTGCCTATTCTGGACATTTTATATAAATGGAAGCCTACAATCTATGGCCTTTTGTGTCTGGCTCCTTTTACTTAGTATGATCAAGGTTCATCCAAGTTGTAGCATGTACCAGTACTTCATTTCTTTTTATGTCTGATTAATGTTCCAATGTATGGATATACCACATTTTGTTTATCCATTCAAAATTGTGGGGCATTTGGATTGTTCCCATTTTTTTTGCTGTCATAAATAATGCTGCTAAGTTTTTGTATGAACGTATGTTTTCAATTCTCTTGGGTATATATGTAAAAGCAGAATTGCTGGGTCATATGGTAACTCTGCATTTAACTTTTTGGAGTTGAACAAATACACCATGCCAGCAGTGAATAAGGATGCTGATTTCACTATACCTTTGCACAATAGTTAAGAGCATAAACACTGGAACCAGATGTCTGGGTTCGAATCCCAGCTGTGCTATCTCCTAGCTGTGTCGTTTAGACAAGTTACTAAAGCTCTGTGCCTCAGTGTCCACATCTCTAAAATAGAGGCAATAATAGTACCTTCCTTACAGGATTGTTGTAAGATTTAAATGAGCTAATATGTGTAAATCACAAAAATAGGGTCTGACATTTTTTAAATGGTATATGTTTTACCATTGCTGCTATTTTAATCTTTATTATAATTATTGTGTTTTGTTTTGTTAATTTGATAGCTTTAAAAGGTAATGATACAGTTTATTGATGTTTGTTATGAAAAGGAGTAATTGGAGAAGATAAAAATGTAAGGGGTAATAAAGTCAAGGAAGGTTTTTTGAGCTGAAAATGATTATATTTCAGAGTGTAACCTGAATAAAACTGAGGCTTCACATGGCTCAGTCCATGCATGTAATAGCATTCTAAGAAAACATAAACTGAATGAAAACGTAAACTGTGAAGCATGAAGAATAATGAGGGTCTTCACCTTATGCTTTCTGAAGGAGTCCCCGCAAATGCTTCACACAGCATATTGAACAAGAAACTCCTAAAATCTTCTCTAGATATTTCTCTCTTTCCTATTTTTTCCCACTGACAGTAGCACCTTATATCTATCCTCCTCAACTGCGAGGTCACTACAGCACTATACTAAGCCCCTGTTAACTTCCTTCTCTTGAAACCCATGCAACTCACATGATCCTATTCTCAGCCTGTGAATCTCAGCCTCCTGCAATCCTGTGAAATTCAACTTGGTCTCCTACTCTGAATGTGTATAAAAATAACAGAGAACAGTTCCTGAACTCTGATGAGTAAAATGATCTACCTTATTACATGTGGTATTATAATAAATAAATATACATTAATTTCTTTCCCCATTTTCCAGCACACAGCTCCTAAAAGACTTGTAACTTCCTGAGTGATAGGTATGCTAGGTAAATTTTTTGTTCTATGTGACCTTCGACTCCAGTTCTTGACACAGAGCTCCTGATCCCTTGGAATTTCCATAGTGATAGGAGCATCTTTCATTCTCCTGAAGTAACTTGGTGGGCTTCTGGATGGGAGCTGGTCACAAGAATGACCAAGCCATGATTAGAAGCTTGGAACTTTCACCTCCTACCTCATCCTGTGAAAAGGGGAGAGGGGCTGAAGATTGAGGTAACAATTGCTGATGTGTACATGATGAAGTCCCCATAAAAATCCCTAAATGAGGGGATTTGGAGAGGTTCTGGAGGTGCTGAACGTGGAGGTGCTTGGAGGGTGGCCTATCCAGTTCATCTCCAGAGTTCACACACTCACCTAAGTGCTGATGCCCACCTGATGGCATTTCTCAGCCTCCGAGGCTTTCCTTCTTTGTACTTAGTCAAAAGAATGCTCTAATCCAGTCTATCATTGATGGGCATTTGGGTTGGTTCCAAGTCTTTGCTATTGTGAATAGTGCCGCAACAAACATACGTGTGCATGTGTCTTTATAGTAGCATGATTTATAATCCTTTGGGTATATACCCAGTAATGAGATCGCTGGGTCAAATGGTATTTCTAGTTCTAGATCCTTGAGGAATTACCACACTGTCTTCCACAATGCTTGAACTAGTTTACAGTCCCACCAACAGTGTAAAAGTGTTCCTATTTCTCCACATCCTCTCCAGCACCTGTTGTTTCCTGACTTTTTAATGATCGCCATTCTAACTGGTGTGAGATGGTATCTCATTGTGGTTTTGATTTGCATTTGTCTGATGGCCAGTGATGATGAGCATTTTTTCATGTGTCTGTTGGCTACATAAATGTCCTCTTTTGAGAAATGTCTGTTCATATCCTTCGCCCACTTTGTGATGGGATTGTTTTTCTCTTGTAAATTTGTTTGAGTTCTTTGTAGATTCTGGATATTAGCCCTTTGTCAGATGAGTAGATAGATTAAGGAAATATGGCACATATACACCATGGAATACTATGCAGCCATAAAAAAGGATGAGTTCATGTTCTTTGTAAGGACATGGATGAAGCTGGAAACCATCATTCTCAGCAAACTATTGCAAAAACAAAAAACCAAACACCGCGTGTTCTCACTCATAGGTGGGAATTGAATAATGAGAACACTTGGACACATGGTGGGGAACATCACACACTGGAACCTGTCGTGGGGTTGGGGGAGGGGGGAGGGAAAGCATTAGGAGATATACCTAATGTAAATGACGAGTTAATGGGTGCAGCACACCAACATGGCACATGTATACATATGTAACAAACCTGTACGTTGTGCACATGCACCCTAGAACTTAAAGTATAATAAAAAAAAAGAATTCTCTAATCCATGGAATAAGTGTTGAATAATGAAATTCTGATATTGTGTTTAATGATATACTGCACTATTCAGAATATTTGTACTTACCTTCGAGTCTCTCTTCTAAAAGATGCCAAACCCCCTTACACGAAGTAGAAAACGTCAAATATCTAAATATTGTATCTTAATAATGTTCAAACATTAAATGTTTCAAATATTCCAATGTTTAGAATCATAAAAAAAAAACATAAGAATTGTTTTAAAAAAATGCTCTAAACTTAACCCACAGCCCTTCTTGTGAATTTCTCCAAAATAACTGGAGCCTGGTTAATAGCAAGCCTCAGGAGCATGGCTTTGAAATACTGTCAACATACTGCCACCAATTTCTCCATTTCCAGAAAAGACTGTAATTTTTTCTTTAGAAATCATGATTTTCTTGATTGGTTTAGACTGGTTTCCAGTAGTTCACTTACCAGGAAAGTTTCTGTTTTGTTTTTAGACTTCCTTAATTTAGAGAATGCACATAATATTGAAACTGGCTATAGTATCCTACTCTGGAAAAGCATATTAAATACATACAAATATATATTTAATGTATATAAATACAAATATATATGTAATGTATATAAATATATACAAATATATGTGTGTGTGAGTATGTATCTTCCTTGATTTCCTTTTATCCATTACCACTAATATCCCTCAATAAGTCCTACTGGTTCTACTTCCAAATTATATTTTGAACATGCTCTACAGAAACAGCTCCTAAAGATTTTCCAGCCTCCATGAATGTAAGTCCCCTCCATATTCCATTCTTCGTACCACAGCTAGAGTGGTATTTTTAGAACATTCATCAGGCAACTACCCTGCTCTAAGCCATCTGGTGGCTTTTCATTGCAAGTAGAATGCAACCTCTCCCCTAGTCCTCAAGGCTCTTCATGATATGATTTGACCCTCCCATCCCTCTTCCTCACTCTCTACCCACAATTCTCTTCTTTTCATCCTTGGAACTTGCCAAGCTTGTTCCACCCGTATAGTCTTTGTACCTGTCTCTTCCCATGGCCAAATATGCTCTTTTGGCAGATCTTTCCATGGTTATCTTCATGATTCATTTCTCAGATATCACCTCTTACACATTTCCTGACCACCATAACTAAAGGAACCTCACACCTGTGCACTATACCATATTGCTCTGACTTGTCTTCTTTTTTCTTGTATAGGACTTTTCGGTATCTGAAATTTTTATTTATTAATTTCTGTTTGGAACATATCTCTCTCAGAGCAGAAAGGTCTTGCTGTCCTTTCAAGGAAATGGTGGGGAAAAGAAAAATTCTCATTCTTTTATGATGAGCCTACAAAAATAAATGGGTTAAATGGGTTCTTGATCCAGTTCACCTTAAGTGTGGTTACCAAAGGAAATGATTCACAAGGTGACTATTTCATTTGTGTGACACTCACTTATGTTATTAGTTCTAGGATATTAAATCAAGAAATATTTTCTAGGATCCCCTGAAAGAGTATCTCTCAATTGTAAACTTTATCTTTAGTGGCATTTTGTTGATTTATTGAGATTCCCTAGATTTAAAATATTTACCACAGAGTGTTCCCCAACTCCCACAGCATTTATCCAGGCCATAACTACTTATGTCTGGATTTATGAACTTATTGTGGGTGGGGGAAATTGTTGGAGGTCTCATCTTTGTTTTAAAGTACCTGTGGCATGGGGTCTGCCCTTTGAAGGCAAGAGCTCTTCACCTGCCCAGCTCTTCCCCAGCTTAGGACAGGAAGGAGAGAGACACAGTGTGAGCGAGAGAAGCATCTGATTGTGAGTGTCAGATGAGGACAGCTGCTACTCTCTGGTCACCCATACATGTTAATTACCCCTGTCATTTAAACCATTGTTTTGTGTAACTAGAACAAAGTATTCTTTCCACGAAGTCTGTTTGACACGAGACACATATAGGATGTGAGTCTATGACAAGGGTAGGGGCAACAAATGTGAGGGGTTGGATGGAAACAGAGGAAGAGAAATGAGCATTGCATAGGGCAGTGGTTTAAAACCCTACATGATCAAAAATAGAACCTGGAGACAAATCTTGATATTGTCTTTATACATAATAAAATGCATTTTAAAATATTCGATGCAAACAAAGCAGTTTGTCATGTCTTTTGTTTTGAGTCTCTTTAGTATATGCTGCTTTTGAAGATCAAGAACATTTACTGGAAATTGCTCCTTCACCAGGAATTTGCTCACATCTCTTCAGGTCCACTTATAAGATCTTGAAATCAGTCCTCCTGAGATCAGTACAAACGAGGATCATCTCTCCTGCTTTAGAAGCAAAAGTGGCAAGCAGGGTAGACAGAGGCAGAAGGAAGGATGGTACTGATAAATCAGCCAAATTAGATGGAAGAAAGCGAATTACAGCTGTACTTGCAAAGAACTCTTGGCTCATTTTTTCCCTTAAATATTAAATCACTAGTTTTCAAAACTTCAAATGTGAACATGACTCACCTGAGGACAATGTTAAAATGTTGACCTCCAAGACCCTGCCCCCAAGTTTGGATCCCAGGCAGAACCCTGGAATCTGTATTTTAAACATTAACCCCAAGTCGAGTGTAATGCAAGTAACCATCAGAGACACTCTGAGAAACAGCACATTGGCAATGATGAATTTATATGTCTAAAAATGAATAGAGTAGATGTTACATGAATAGGAAGTGGTGGTATTCAAGATGACCATAGTATCTAGCTCTTCAGCCCTGGCTCCCCACTGCTCTTCTCCCATCTCAGCACTTCTCCATCTATTTCGTCCAAATAAAAAAATTCACACAGAGTTTCAGGACTTAACCCCCCACTCATTAACCATCTGTTTTGCTTTACATATTTTTCTGAGGTAATAAAATTTCTCTTTTTCTAAACACAGCCTGTTTTTCAATCTCCGGGTAGTTGATCAATTGTATGGGAAAATGAATGGCTGAAGGGTAGAAACAGGTGGGAAAGATGAACAAAAACACGAATCCTCACATTACTAATACGCAAATCACTGAGCAGCAAGCTGAGCAAATACCCTCAATTCCCATCAGCAACTTTAGAGAAAGGCAAATTCCGTTTGCCTCATTGATCATTTAGGTAGACCCTGAACACTGCTTTCATAAAACAAAAACAAAATACCCATCCCCAGTTTAAAAAATTATTCATAGATCATCCAGGCCATCTAGGAGGATATGATTTAATCCTGGCTACTTGGTAAATTATTTGCCCAAGTTAACTCAGCTAGTTAGTGGTAGATGGCTCTGAAGCCAGTTGTTTTTTTTTGTTTTGTTTTTTGCAGACCTCAAGAGTCATGATGAACTAGCAGATCATAAAGTTTATGCCCTGGGTCTTGACCATTTTTAGAAAAATAAAACATTAAATGAAAATATCAGAGGGCATTGCAGATAGTAGATCTAAGTATTTTTTCATGAAACTTGTTGTACATGTGTGTGTCATACACAGACTATATATATGCAGTACCTGTAAACTGTATTGCCACATAATGTCTATATTTTCCTAGAGGTCACAGTCACCAAAGTTGGGAAGTCACCCAACTTCGGGAACTTTGGGAAGTCACCCAAACTTACAGTCACCAAAATTGCTCTATTCTACTATGTGACCTCAAAAGTGATTTGAAAGAAGGAACATCTGAGCTGGGCCCAAACCCTATTGCAATTTTATTGGGGCCAAAGAGAACTCCATGCTCCTGCCAAATCAAGGCAGTGTCAGCCTCAATAATTTCCCAGATAAAAATAAAAATCTGTGATACAATCAGAATGTGAAAATTCTTATTTTGGAAGCAAATGTCATAACCAATGCAAGGGCTATCTCAATATTCATTCATTATGCAGTATTTTGAACTGCAGTTGAAATGAATAAGAAGGAAAGGCAAACAACGAAGAGTCCAATTTCTCAATTTAGAAAAAGAGAAAAAAAAGAAAAGGGAGCACACAGGCACGGTGGCTCAAGCCTGTAATATCAGCACTTTGGCGGATCACTTGAGGTCAAGGAGTTCGAGAAAAGAGAGCACCTAGAAGTTCAGCGCGGGATAATACTTAAGTAAATTATGACACCATCGTCTGTCATCTTGGGCCCATTCACTAACCCAAAGCTTTCAAAAGGGCTTTCTTAACCCTCACCTAGAATAGGCTTCCGCAGCCTTAATCCTTAGGGTGGCAGAATATCAGGGACCCTGAGCATTCTTAAAAGATGTAGCTCGGGATGGGAAGTTCTTTTAATGACAAAGCAAATGAAGTTTCATTATGTCGAGGAACTTTGAGGAAGTCACAGAATCCACGATTTAAAAATATATTTCCTATTATACACCCATACACACACACACACACCTACTTTCTAGAATAAAAACCAAAGCCATATGGGTCTGCTGCTGACTTTTTATATGTTGTAGAGTTATATCAAGTTATGTCAAGATGTTCAGTCACCTTGAAGAGGCTTTTATCAGAAAGGGGGACGCCTTTCTGATAAAGGTTAAGGGGTAACCTTAAGCTCTTACCCCTCTGAAGGTAAAATCAAGGTGCGTTCAGATGTTGGCTTGTTGTAAATTTCTTTTTTTATTAATAACATACTAAATGTGGATTTGCTTTAATCTTCGAAACTCTTCCCGGTGAAAATCTCATTTACAAGAAAACTGGACTGACATGTTTCACTTTCTGTTTCATTTCTATACACAGCTTTATTCCTAGGACACCAACACTAGATACCTAAACTGAAAGCTTCCGCCGATTTCACCGAAGGTCAGGAAAGTCCAACGCCCGGCAAACTGGATTTGCTGCCTTGGGCAGAGGTGGGCGGGACCCCGCCTCCGGGCCTGGCGCAACGCTGAGCAGCTGGCGCGTCCCGCGCGGCCCCAGTTCTGCGCAGCTTCCCGAGGCTCCGCACCAGCCGCGCTTCTGTCCGCCTGCAGGTAGGGAGCGTTGTTCCTCCGCGGGTGCCCACGGCCCAGTATCTCTGGCTAGCTCGCTGGGCACTTTAGGACGGAGGGTCTCTACACCCTTTCTTTGGGATGGAGAGAGGAGAAGGGAAAGGGAACGCGATGGTCTAGGGGGCAGTAGAGCCAATTACCTGTTGGGGTTAATAAGAACAGGCAATGCATCTGGCCTTCCTCCAGGCGCGATTCAGTTTTGCTCTAAAAATAATTTATACCTCTAAAAATAAATAAGATAGGTAGTATAGGATAGGTAGTCATTCTTATGCGACTGTGTGTTCAGAATATAGCTCTGATGCTAGGCTGGAGGTCTGGACACGGGTCCAAGTCCACCGCCAGCTGCTTGCTAGTAACATGACTTGTGTAAGTTATCCCAGCTGCAGCATCTAAGTAAGTCTCTTCCTGCGCTAAGCAGGTCCAGGATCCCTGAACGGAATTTATTTGCTCTGTCCATTCTGAGAACCCAAAGGAGTCCTAAAAGAGGAATGGAGGAGCCTAAGAATAAAAATAGTATAATAAAACATTTCTTAGACACATTGACCTTGGCCTATGTCAAAGTTCAGTCTGGGTTTGTCTTATAACACAAGGAGTAAAAGTACCATTGTTCTACCTCTTTTTTTAATACTTGAAAAAAATTTACTGTGGATGCTTTTCTATGAATTAAATAACCTTCTAAAAAATGTTTTCATTGCTGCATTCGATTAGATTGGGTAACTAAATGAAATTAATTCCTCACTGTTGGGTATAAAGGTTATTTACAGTGGTTCTGTCTTAGCCATTCACTGAACTCATTGCATATATATCTCTGGAATATTGCTGATTGTTTCCTTCAAGTAAACTTAGAAGTGTAACTACTTAGTCAAAGAGCCTGAATATTTTAAAGGCCTTTTGAAGAAAACTGAAAATGCTTTCCAGAAAGGATGTATCAGTTGACAATGACAGTCGTCAACAGTATTTAAGGAGAACTATGATACTCTGAAGAAAAACTTAGCCTTTCTCAGTAAAAGTAGGTAGGCAGAGGCCACATGACAGCAGTTAGAGTGTGGTCTTCAAGGAAGTCACAGAAATACTGTGGGGAATTGAAACCCCATGTGGAAAATGTACAAGAGTGTCTCAGTGTGACTGAGAAGGAGGTTGGGCATGGGGTTTCATGGAGTTTAATAAAGTTTGGTCACTTAGTAGAGGTTTAATAAATCAACTGTCTTAATCTTTGATCCTACTTAAGAATTTTTTTTTTGTTTTTGTAGAGATGGGGCTCTTGTTATGTTGCCCAGGCTGTTCTCGAACTCCTAGCCTCAGGCGATCCTCCCTCCTCAGGCTCCAGAAGTCCTGGGATTACTGGCGGGAGCCACCATGCAGGCCTCTTGCTCCTACTTTTGAGAAAGGAAGTTTAACCGGTTTTTTTTGTCTTTTTTTTTTTTTTTTTGAGACAGAGTCTCACTCTGTTGCCCATGCTGGAGTGCAGTGGTGCAATCTCAGCTCACTGCCTCCCGGGTTCAAGTGATTCTCCTGCCTCAGCCTCCCGAGTAGCTGGGACTACAGGCACCTGCCACCACGCCCAGCTAATTTTTGTATTTTTAGTAGAAATGGGGTTTCACCATATTGGCCAGGCTGATCTCGAACTCCTGACCTCAGGTGATCCGCCTGCCTCGGCCTCCCAAAGTGCTGGGATTACAGGCATGAGCCACTGCTCCTGGCTGCTTAACTTTTTCTCTATCTCATCCTCCTACCCATCCTACCCTTGGAAGATAGAGAAGTAGTATTAGTTCCATAGTGTTATACTGGGCTTCCCCCAGGGACAAACCCACTTCCCCAACCTGAATGAGCCATCACTTCTTCCCCAGTTTACATTTCATTGCTCTTTAAATGTCTCCATTCGGATATGGGAATTCACATATGGTCATAATTCTTACCTGAAGAAGATGTCAGTCTTCTTCTCTTAGACCAACTGCCCTGATATGAGGTTTAGAGGTTAAAGAACATGTGTGTATTTACATGATCTTTGTATTCTGCCTTTTCGTCCCTCACTAATGACAGCTGCACCCCAAGGAAATGGAGCTGTGGAAGAGAGGGTTTGATAAGAAATTAAGTAAATATTGGATCTAATCCATCACCCTCCAGGAAGCCTTTATTACTCCTAAAAATTTCAACCAAATTCATTAAAGGACAAGAACTCCACCAGAGTAGGCCATAAACATTGGCAAAATTAGTTGTAATCCATGACTAGATTTAATGTCCCTTTGTTTTATTCCCATATGGTTATAATGCTTTGCTTGGCATTAGGGGTATTTTAAGTTTTCTTCTGCCTAGTAAGTGAATTTGTGTTTATAATACAATAATCATAAAATATCACATTAATATTTTATAACTGTACAGTTATAAAATATTTTATAAGTAATATTTATATTTTATAAGTAATATTTTATAACTGTACAGTTAACTCTGGCCCAAGGAAAAGATAGTCTGATAGATGCTGCAGCCCCATTTTAGCAAATGTGACCTCACAGGCCTGAATGCCATCGCTATTCCACATCTACAGGATAGACGGAAAGGAAAGAAATAAAAAAATAGGTACCTAACACTGGCAAGAGGATGATGACTCATGTTATTTCACTTAACCTTTTTATCTTTTAACATGAAGGACTCATACAGGTTGATAAGAAACCAGTGACATAAACAGACCAAAAAATGATCAGATCTTTCAAATTAGCAAAAAAATAATATTTTTTAAACAATGGGTGAAAATACAGTGTAACAGTACCAATTATCAACATGTGTTGAGAACCAGAAAAATGTTCTTTTTCTTTGATCAGCAACACTATTTGGGAAAATCTATCCTCAGGGCCTAGCCTGGGGCCCTGGCACACAGTAGGCACTCAACGAATATTTGCTGAACACACAAATACTTATGATATTTTAAAAAATTGGCAACAATCTGATACCTAACAATAGAGGGATTAAATATTATGGAACTGTTAAATAAGATGCTTATGAATACCATGCAGTAAGATGGGCAATATTTATGCCATAAGCTTTAATGAAACAAATGGGTATTAAATGTATGATAAGGTTATAAATTACTTTTTAAAAGATTACAGGGAAAAAAATTGAAAGATATACACTGAAATGTTTTTTGCTCACAGTGGTGACAAGGTTTCTCAGCACTGGCACTGTTGACGTTTTAGGCTGTATGTCTTTGCTGTGGGAGGCTGGCCTGTGCACTGCAGGGTGTTTGGCAGCACTCTTGGCCTCTGCCCCTAGATAGCAATAGCAGTCCTCCCTCAACCAGCCCAATTTTGACAACCAAAAATGTTTCCAGGCATCACCAGATGCTCCCTGGGTGAGAGTGATGAAATAGTAGGGGATTTTCCCCTTCTTTTCTTATTTTCTGTAATTCCATTATATTACTTTAATAATAAAGAAAAAAACATAAAAAATAAACGAATGTTATTATTCTACGTCAGTTTGGATGTTTGGACTCCATTTTGGGGTTCTTTCCATTATATCACTTGGTCTGCTAAACATTCTACGGTTTGGTAAGGTGAAGTGATTCATGAAATTTTGGTTTTATTTTTTTCCTGATACTAAAAATAAAACATTCTTTCACTTGGAAATTTGGACACAGAACACCAAAAAAAATCCATAATCTCATCTCTCTTTTTCTGTCTTTTCCTTCCTTTTTTCCCTTTAAAAACAATAAAGAGTGAAACCTACCTGTTCTCCCTCTAATTTAATTCCTAAATATAATCACTGTCAATATCTTGGACATTTCCTGTGTCTAAACACACACACACACTTTTTTTTTTCAGCAAAAGTGGATTTCTGCTACATGTAGTGTTCTGCAACTTACTTTCTATGTGTTTACAAAATCAGTACATGTACATATGCTGAATTCAGTCCTTAATGGTATTATATTTTGTGAATATACCAAAATTTGTTTAACCACTTAGACAATCTAGGATATTCTCAGTTTGCTGTTATGAGCAATGCTCTTCCTTTACATATACAGACATATATATATATATGTGTGTGTGTGTGTTTTTGTTTTAGTAGGATAGATTTCTAGGAGAGGGTGAAAGGTCTTATGACATCCGCATTTACGATTGTAATAGGAAGTATCAAAGTGCCCCCTAAAGAAAAAAATCCTCCCATTAGTGGGTAAGAAAGCCTATTTGTTCATATCTTCACAAACACTAAATATTAGAAATATTTACAATTGTGGTCAAGCTCATAAGTGAAAATGGTATTTCATATCTTATATTTTTTATTGTGAGATTGAACATCTTTCATATGTTTACATGTCACCTGTATTTCTTATTCTCTGAACTATATGTTATGACCTTTCACTTTTTTTCCTCATGGGTTATGTGTAGTTTGTATAGTTGTCTTATTGATTGTTAGGAGCTATTTATATATTAGGAACATTAATCTCCTGTCTTATATATACGTGGCATCGATTAGTTGATCATTTGTGAGTTCATGTCTGTATACAAAGATTGGAGAGGCACTAAGAGGGAAAACTTACCTCTTTCTTATCAAAGTTTGTAAATATATGTATAACAGAAGAGGGAGAAAATATTAATAAATGCACAGATTGGCTGAAATAGAGTATAAATCTTTTACTCCCCTACTTCAACATAAACTGCAAAAGGAGAGTGACTTTTCTTTCACTCTGACTTCCGTATTCCTCATGCTTAAAATAGTGCCTAGCACAGAAGAGGTGCTCAATCAGTGTTTGCTAAACGAAATAATTAGTCACATTTCAAGCAGGATGACTAAATGAAGAATAGAATCTAGGCAGATACTCTGGAAGAGTGGCTGTGAGTCATTCATATCTTAGTATGAATTAGTCAAATCCAACTCTCTCCCCTTCCCACTCCCCACTGTTAGTAGAAGAATCTGTTTATTGAGAGAATAGATTTATAATTTAGAATAAGTGAGAGGGGCAGAAGAGGAGATTTTGAAGGATGGCACCTGAAGGAGGACTAGCATGGCTGAGACAGTGAAGTGGAAGCCTTGAATAGCTAAAGGGTAAGATGAAAGTATTTAGCTGTAGGGGGAAAAAGCATTGACAGGTTGGAAAAGTAAAAGTCAGATTCTCCTTGCTCTGAAATTTTGTACAGGGCAGGTTCTACTAGGTATGTTACAATGCAGAAAAAACATGAAATAATTGAGAGGAATTTGGTGCAATATTATCTTCTTGGCTTCTTTTGAGTGGGCAGATTTTTTTCACGGCCTGTAACTATAATAAATTTGAAACTTCTCATCTTTTAGTAACTTTTTTCACTTAAGTTTATGTGGCTGTGGGCAATGGAATGAAGATATTGAACTTCCAATTCCCTGTTGGGTTTCCACAATTACAAGTCAATCATGACTGGTTATTAGAAGACTATTTCAGTTAGAACCACCAAGTCCCATATTGTCATATTGTATGTTTAATTATTAAGTGAAGCAGTCTTCTTTTCGTGTTTTCCATAATTAGGGCATTCCAGAAAGATGAGGATATTTGCTGTCTTTATATTCATGACCTACTGGCATTTGCTGAACGGTAAGACACCAAATCCTTCCATTAGGTTCTATATTTTAAATATTTTAACCATGAGTTTAAAACTAAAATGATCATTTAAAATGCATGCAATTTTCTTATAGAGAGAACATTCTATTCTTTCTTCTACTTTACACAATGGCAAAGTCTTCTTTCTACTTTACGCAATGATAAAGTTACCTGTGTCATTTTGTAAAAATATAGAGAATATAGACAAATTGAAAGACACAAAATAATCTATTACCCATTTCCCAGGGTTAACTACTGAAAATATCTGGGGAAATGGCCTGTATGTATACATTTATTTGTTTGCTTTCAACAAGGCCAAGATCCTTTGATCTTTCAGTCTTGGTTGCTCTGTGACATGCCTTTCCTGATGAGGATACTTTAAGGAAGAATTGTAAGATACATGGAAAATGTCAGGCTAACACAGTACTGGCATCACCCTGTGCTCTTTCCTGAACTCCATACCAATGTACTTCTTGCCAGAAAACTGATCAAAAGTTTAGGGAAGTAAAAAGAGATGACTGTTAGAATCTACCATTCCCTCTATGTAGGAAGCAAATAGGTGTCCTGTCAAAGGACATTCTGGGGATGTCTACATGAAACCAAGTCTCCCTGGTTGTAAGGACTCCATCTCCATATAATATTTATACAGTAATATATGTTTATAAATTGTGGGGGCAACTTGTTTAGCTAATTTTATTATTCTGCTATTGGGACACTGTGTCTCAGCATGAGATATAGTGTCCCAAAACATATTTCAAGCCCATTGGATAAAATATGTGTTTAGCAAGTTCTTAAATATAATGATAACATAACCGACCAGATAAAGTGATTTATAAACGCTGTGCCAATTTTGTAAATGTTTCGAGGAATTTTCCCTTTTCTGAAGATTGTCCTTCTTTCTTTTTAGCATTTACTGTCACGGTTCCCAAGGACCTATATGTGGTAGAGTATGGTAGCAATATGACAATTGAATGCAAATTCCCAGTAGAAAAACAATTAGACCTGGCTGCACTAATTGTCTATTGGGAAATGGAGGATAAGAACATTATTCAATTTGTGCATGGAGAGGAAGACCTGAAGGTTCAGCATAGTAGCTACAGACAGAGGGCCCGGCTGTTGAAGGACCAGCTCTCCCTGGGAAATGCTGCACTTCAGATCACAGATGTGAAATTGCAGGATGCAGGGGTGTACCGCTGCATGATCAGCTATGGTGGTGCCGACTACAAGCGAATTACTGTGAAAGTCAATGGTAAGAATTATTATAGATGAGAGGCCTGATCTTTATTGAAAACATATTCCAAGTGTTGAAGACTTTTCATTCTTGTAAGTCCATACTTATTTTCAAACAGAACAGCATAGTCTGTTCATTCATTCATTCAATTCATGAATTCATTCACATAATTATCCAATTTCTTGAGCACCTATTTGATAGTCACTGGAAATCCAGAGACAAACAACACAGAGCCATGTTCTACAGTATGTACAGTTTTCCAAAAAGAATTTCTAGTCTTTACTTTTTTATTACAAATGGAATACGTATACTTGCAAATAATTCAGATACTGTGGAAGAGATCAAATGAATTGCAAAAGTGTCCCTCCTCCCTTCACCACTATCTCCCATGGCATGCAGAGAGAGTAACCATTATTTGTGTGTCCCTCCAGAAATTTTTTTATTCAACTACTATTTTTTTATTTTATTAGGTCCGTCAGTTTTCCTTTTTTGAGCCTCTCTATATCAAATGCAAATAAATATATTCAGAACAAACCCCACTGTAAGGTTCACATTAAAAAAGACTTGAAGTCACCCTATGAAGACAAAAAATAATCACATTAAGTGTGAAAGAACCTATTCTTCCAGTACAGGATAAGCCATACTTACTGGGCATATATTCATCTTGAAAATCTATACTGATGTTGTCTTGGGGAATTGAAAAGGAACTAGGAGTGTTAGTTCCTCGGTATTGACCCACAGTTATGTTATCAGGTCACTTGAGTTCAAAGTTTTGTGTTGGCACTAGCTAAGTAAAGGAAAACACCTCTGCTTTCATTGTTGAGTTTCACAGAATTGAGAGCTGAAAGGATCCCAGGCAGGAGCAGCTAATCCAAACTCCCACAAAGAACAAAAATCCCCCAGAGGATCTTCTGTTCTTATATTTCCTGCAATGGCGTCCCTGTCATATCCCACAATGGCCTCCCTGCCATTTGGATATCCCTTCCATATCCTGTTGAAATTACTCCCTAATAGTAAGCTGAAATCTGCCCCTCTAGTTGTAGTCTTGGGATTATTTCATTTACATGATGACCTTTTAATATTTGACTAGAATTAAATCATCTCCCCTTGGTCTTTCCATTCCTGGGCTAACTACCATCAATCTGAGGGCTAACAATACAAGTAGAAAAAGTATACATTTGTCACTGATCACTGATCAATTATTAATCAATGATCACTGATAACTATAAACTCAAAAACAAAATCATGTGGGGATTAAGAGAAATGTATCAGTTTTATGTTGTATTTCTGGTCCCTGATACTGGCTCAGGTAATGCCACTATTGTCAAGAAGATACCACTTGTAAAGTAGATTTAATTTTCATTATATTTTACCATATGCTTCTCCATTCATGACATCTCTTGAGATGTTGTGGTTTATACTTTCAGTTTTTCTCCAGTCCATCCGCAAATATCAGGCATCTACTGTGTTCCAAGATATTAAAGAAATCATCATGACTTAGCCTCATCAACAGCATTGCTAGATCTGGGATGGAAAGGAAGAGTATAATCCTGGCAGTCAGGAAGAAGGCAGCATAAAGTATAAGTTTCTGCTTCCAAAAAAGGTCTCTCATCAGCCTGTAGGGAGTGTGTAGGGAAGGGACAGCTGTCCTTGTAGTAGGGAAGGGTTTTATTCAGGTCGTCTGGGCTCCATAATATCCCTTGTGTATCTGCAGTCTCCTTTGCCATGGATCAACACAATAGGAAATCTTCCGGCACTGATGGTTTTTCCAAGGGGGAGTTCTTCCTGGAGCAAAGCAAATGACCAACCAGGTTTGAGGACCTGATTTGTTTGACAATTCCATTTTGTATTGTAAATTACTTAATTGGCATTCTACTCCCAATCCATCTTGTCATTTGCATACAGTGGTTTTGGGATTGAGTTCAGCTATACCAAAAGTCTGAACCTTCTGCACTTAGAACAAGGCAACCACCAAGCTTCACTTGCACTGAGGCCGTGTCTCCAATGGAAATGAGGCAGCTGGCTTGCAGGAGCTTCCCAACTCAGGGAAGTAGAACTCCTGAGTCACCTCCATATGCAAATGATTTCACAGTAATGCTGTTGAACTTCACTTCCCATCACAGCAAATGTGTGGTAACATAGCTTCCCCACAGGAGTTTACTCACCATGGTATTTTAAAGGTGAAACATTTCAAAACTGAAATTTGAAAGAATTTAGTTTTGGATTCACTCAATTATCACTATCACTTCGGGTGTTATTGCACCTTTCTTGTTTGTGAGTTTAAATGCCAGACTCTCAGGCCACTAACTTTCAATTAAAAGTGTTTTTCTTTAATCGCTGAACCTAACAGCAGGGAAAACGAAATGTTCATTCAGACTTTCAGAACCTTCAATGAGATTAGGCAGCTGAAAGATCAAAGTGTTGCATAGTTGTCCCGATAAAGCTATTTGGATCATATGGACCAAATCGACTGCTGTCATTCCCCACCAACCCCATCTCTCCCCAAAATTCCCAGCCCTGTTTAAGTGTTCTCTGTAGCATTTATCTCTATCTAGTATATTGTGTAGCATATCATATCATACTTTTCTGTTTTGTTTATTGTCTCTCTCCTCCTAGAATATAAACTCCACAAGCACAAAGATTTGGGCCTGTTTTATAATATTGTTGCATCCCCAGGGCCTGATATACAGCAGAGTGGTGGTACGAAAAGAGCACACAAAAAAATATTTGTTGAGTCAATGAATGAATGATTTCCTCAAATAGGATTAGCCTAAAATTTTGGAAACATGAACAGATTTGGATATGTGAAAATTTATTTCCAGACTGTTCATCAGGAACTGTTAGCAGCTTCTAAAGGGTACACTGGAGCAGCAGTAGTAAAAGGAGGAAGAGGAGCAGCTCTGCTACTGCTACTATCGAGTACTACTACAATTAGCACTTGCTTATTCTGTGTGTTAGGCCCTGTACTGAACACTCTGTCTAAATTAGTTCATTTCCTCCTGGAAATGACTCTAGGGGGTAAGTGCTTCATCATGTAAGATGAGTATTTTTCACATTTTGTTGTGTCTGAAATCTGAGTGTGTCTTTCAATGATGGAATCTTTGATTCCATGATAAGTGGTATTATTCCCATTTTAAGGATGAGGAAACTGAGGTCCAAAGAAATTAAGTAATTTGCCCAAATTCACCCAGCCTAGAAAATGATAAAGCTAGTTCTAAACCCAAGCAGATTAGCTCTGAAGTCTGGGCCCTTAATAACCACTTTTTATTGCCTATATTTGTACCTCTGGTGTACGTATCAAGTTATATGTTGACTTCAAAACTATCATGACCTTTTCTTGGTTTTGATTGTCCAACATTAGTATAGTGTTCTGGGTCTGCAAAAATTTTGATTACTCATCTCATCTGTAAAACATTTTGAACTCGTGTGTTTGTGCATGCACATTTGTGTGTAATTATAAAAATTTTACTTTCTGTTAATATATAAGTTGTATCATAAGAAACTGCCGTTTTTGAAGAGCAAAAAAAGGTTGAATGTTACCAGTTACATCTGGTTCAACCTAATAGACATTTGTACAAAAACAGACATTTTAAGAGGTTGAAATAAAAATTTAATAAACAATATTTTCAGTTTTTACTAATTGTGATGCTTCACTATCATTAGCTAATATGTCAAGGCATAATATACCTTAGGGTGAACTTTATCATTAACAAAGGTGGATGGTGTCAATAATCTTGAGGTTTGTGTTTTTTTATATAACACTGCGAGGTCTAATTAAGTACTTACTGTTTACCACCTCATACAGTGGCCGATAAAAAGTGTCACTTCTGCTGTTTCCTCTGGGTTGTGCTTGAATTATTAGTATTATCTTCAGTCCTCAGTTTCTTTGTGGGAAACTTTTTAATTAGTTGTTTAATTTTGTAAGATGGTTAGTTTAGTCAAAATTAGATAAGAGAATTTGAAAATCCGTAGCTACCCCAAAGCAACCTACACATAAGAACTATTATTTTTGTGTTTTGAAATCATAATTTTATTGATTTCCAGTGTTTCCACTGGTAGTGGTTTCATTGATATAGGAGTATCAAAACATCACTCATTATTTATTTCAGTTTCATTTGATCCTAGCCGTTTTGTATTAACTCTCTGTGAAGAAATTACCTCACAAATCTATTGCTGTCCTTGGTAAAGGAATGGAGAATTAAGGCTCTAGATCATTAGTGGTTACACTATAGTATTAGAAGTAAAAAAAAGATTATACCAACAAAATAAGAACATGTTAATGTACTTGTAATGAATAAACATGAATAAAGCTCTTATGCTATATAGGTGCACTAAACAATCTACTAGAATTGTCAGCAAACTACGTATCTTAATCCTGAAAGGGTCCCAAACCAATGATCTAAAATTGAATCAAACTTTCTTCCTTGAGCATAATTACTTAAATGATTTATTAAAATAGCCAGCATTTAAAAGCTTAAAATGTAAATATCATAATGTGGTATCCTAGATAGCATCCCAGAACAGAAAAAGGATATTAGGGAAAAACTGGAGGAATGGAATAAATTATGCAGTTTAGTTATTAATAATGTACTAACGTCCTTAGTTATGACGATTGTACCATGGTAATGTAAGATACTAACAATAGAGGAAACCGGGTAAGGAGTATACAGTAACTCTATACTATCTTTGCAACTTTTTTGTAAATTTAAAACTTCTAAAATAAAGAACAAATTTAAACATTAAAAAGTATCACCAGGAACATATATCACTGTTTACAGATGAAATACTATGTATTTTCATATCTAATTTCTGATCATTGACTTCAAATCAGAAAAGTGAATGACACCTCAAAATCAGGTTTTCTGTTTACTGAAGTCTAAGAAAAGAAAGCATACCAGCTGGAGAGATTCATGTTTATAAAGACAGATTTATAACAACAAAAATAAAATATCCAAGAATAAATTTAAGAAGAAGCACTTTACTGAGAAACATATGAAAACCTGAACAAATGGAGAGGGATATTTTGTATTTGAATAGAAAGACTTCTGGTTTAAAGATAATTCTCTTTAAATTATTTTTTGTAGAAATTTAAGGGGTACAAGAGCAGTGTTGTCACATGGATATATTACATAGTGGTGAAGTCTGGGGTTTTAGTGTAAATTAATCTTTACATTTTGTTTGAGCCCAATAAATGTACCAACATGATTTTTATAGAAAGATAGTCATTCCTATTAATCCAAACTTGTCCCAACTTTGAATTGAATTGAGGCAGAGCTAGCAGGTGTTCCCCACGGCTGAGGCATCTGAACATTAAGCATATCCCTCTGAGAACCAGCCTGCATTGATACTCTTTCTAATGTGGACAGCATCAAGCTATGTACGTAGTTCTGTGCTCAGCAAAAGCCCTGACTTCTTTTTGTTTATGTCCTAGCCCCATACAACAAAATCAACCAAAGAATTTTGGTTGTGGATCCAGTCACCTCTGAACATGAACTGACATGTCAGGCTGAGGGCTACCCCAAGGCCGAAGTCATCTGGACAAGCAGTGACCATCAAGTCCTGAGTGGTAAGACCACCACCACCAATTCCAAGAGAGAGGAGAAGCTTTTCAATGTGACCAGCACACTGAGAATCAACACAACAACTAATGAGATTTTCTACTGCACTTTTAGGAGATTAGATCCTGAGGAAAACCATACAGCTGAATTGGTCATCCCAGGTAATATTCTGAATGTGTCCATTAAAATATGTCTAACACTGTCCCCTAGCACCTAGCATGATGTCTGCCTATCATAGTCATTCAGTGATTGTTGAATAAATGAATGAATGAATAACACTATGTTTACAAAATATATCCTAATTCCTCACCTCCATTCATCCAAACCATATTGTTACTTAATAAACATTCAGCAGATATTTATGGAATATACCTTTTGTTCCATGCATTGTAGTACTCATTGGATACACATAGAATAATAAGACTCAGTTCACACTCTTCAGGAAACAGATAAAAAACTAAGAAACAAACAAAAAACAGGCAATCCAACACCATGTGGGAAATGCTTTCATAGCCGGGAAACCTGGGGAATACCTGAGAGGAATACTCAATTCAGGCCTTGTTTCAGGAATCCAAATCCTGGCACATCAGAGCTGCTTCCCTCTTTCCAGGGTGGCAGGAAATAAATGGAACATATTTTTCTATCTTATGCCAAACATGAGGGACCCTTTCTCCCCGGTGCCTCTCCCAAGGTAGTCTACAATATTTCAACTCTAGCAGTCTGCTTAGTGCATAGAACATGAGGCTGTGTGTCCCTGGGCAAATTACTAGACTTCTGTGTGCTTCACTTTCCCTGTAGGATTATAATCTACTGAGCAAGCTTATTGTAAGGGTCAGATTAGCAACAGTGTATGAAAATGATTTGAGACCATTGCCTGCACAAATTCAACTATTTTTTTTTATCTCACTACTCTACAGAAGTAGGTAGGGTGGGAGACAGAGTCTGATGAGAGGCTCAGAATGTGAAAGAAAGTGAGGCGAGTGAGCATGATATTTAATATAAACACAAAGATATTCTGAGAAGAGCTGCTCACTGCCCCCTCCCCCAATACATGTTGATAGGAAAATGCCACGTACTTCAGCAAAAACAACTGAAAAATTAGATAGAAAAGTCAATCAATAGGAAAAGATAATCCAGGACGGTGTTGTGAACAGAAAGAGGGGGAAAAAACTTTAGAAAATGATGGGGATGCTCTTACTGGGGTACGAGTCCTCAGGTATTGAACTGGCTTTCAGTAAAAGCTAGATTAGTGGGTTCCTGCCATTTACAAGCTGTTTTATGACAACTTACTTGTTGGGTGGCCTACAGTAACTCACCTAACTGCACTGAGTCTGTTTCCTCATCTGTAAATTGGGGATTTTTTTTTAAATACCTGGCATGCCTAACTCATAAAGTTGTTCTGAAACTGAAATAAAACATACGTGAACAGGCATTGTAAACTGTAAGTTACGGAAAAAGCTGGCTGTTGTTGTGTCTTTAAAGTTTCACCTGGGTAGTCAAAGATGGATCATGGGTCTCAGTGGAGAGCTGAGCCAGGCAGGAGCTGACTAAGGGTGAGAGGTGGGAGTTAGCAGCCTCTGAACATCTGTGTACCATGGGACCCCCTTTCCTCCTGCATGGTACCCCAGACAAGGAGCCTAGTAAGAGATACTAATGGCTTGTTGTCCAGAGATGTTCAAACTGCAGAGAAAGATAAGACAACAAGCATTGGCCTCCAATCATGATGACAGATAGGAGGAGGTGGGAGCTCCTTAGCAGTGCTGGTTGGCCTTCCATGTTCTACTGTGGGCCATCTCTGCCATGTACTGTAGGCTACTAGCTTCTATATTAAAGAATGCAAGAGGGGCCAGGAGCGGAGGCTCATGCCTGTAATCTCAGCACTTTGGGAGGCCAAGGTGGGCAGATCACTTGAGGTCAGGAGTTTGTGACCAGCCTGGCCAACATGGTGAAACTCTGCCTTTACTAAAAATATAAAAATTAGCTGGGTGTGGTGGTGTGCACCTGTAATCCCAGCTACTCGGGAGACTGAGGCACAAGAATTGCTTGAACCTGGGAGGCGGAAGTTGCAGTGAGCCCAGATTGCGCCACTGCACTCCACCCTGGGCAACAGAGAAAGACTCTGCCTCAAAAAAAAAAAAAAAAAGCAAGAGGAAGTGAAATAATCAAGGCCGCCATTTAATAGTGAGCAGCCACTCCATGTGGTACTGTGCAAGCACATTATAAATATTAGCCTCACAAGAAATGTATTAGCATTTGTATTTTGTACACTGGTTAAGTATCTTGCCCAAGACCTCAAAACTGGTTAAGGGCAGCAGAATTTAGCCCCAGCACCACCTTTTCAAAGCCTGGGCTTCTCACACTTCTCCATGCTGTTCCCATTTTAACACAGGTATCTCGCCATTCCAGCCACTCAAACTTTGGCATTTAAGAAAATTATCCTAAAGCTAAACTAAACTTCAAGGATGACCATTCTCCTGACCCCTTCCCATCAAAATTTTATCTTTAGTCAGTTTGTTTTCGTTTTGTTTTGTTTTTCAGAACTACCTCTGGCACATCCTCCAAATGAAAGGACTCACTTGGTAATTCTGGGAGCCATCTTATTATGCCTTGGTGTAGCACTGACATTCATCTTCCGTTTAAGAAAAGGTAGTATTTCCTTAATTGCAGTGGTCTCCACTGGGGGTGAGGAAGGGGTGAGAATTGGATCATGGCTGCAAGGAAACCCGACTTAACCTCTGCAAGGTGGTGCAAAGGCATTCCACTGTTCAACAGCAATTATATTGAAGCTGAGTGGGATCACTGGGTGAAGATGAAGCGTAAGGGGTGAGGGGCAGGAGAATGGGTATGGATGGAGGTAGAAGATGCAGTGTCATACAGTTTTTTTCTATCATGAAAATAACCACAGACTTACAGAAGAGAAAGAGCTAAAATGCCCGTCATTTTCAGTTGCATTTTAGTCTTGCATTAGTTGCAACCAGCTGGTTTCTGGGTACCCTAAGTAATAAAAATAGTTCCTCTGTAGAACTGTAGTATGTTTACCATAGAGTATTTTGCAAAATTTTTGGTAGAGGATGTTACATAATTTGCATGTGTTCATTTCTCCATTTACCTGTGGGAACAATTAAAATCCAGGAAAATGAGTATATTC
Organism: Homo sapiens; assembly: GCF_000001405.40. Lineage (NCBI taxonomy): Eukaryota > Metazoa > Chordata > Mammalia > Primates > Hominidae > Homo > Homo sapiens. Next base: position 5,466,109 of record NC_000009.12, read on the forward strand.
AAATAATTTCCTCCCATTTAAGATGAGTCAGAGTAAATAATTCCTCCAATACTTAGAGAAGTATACCAAGAGATCCAGTGATGGTATAGAGTTGTCTGATGTTAAATAGGGAAGTAGAATATGGAAGGGGATTCCAATAGTCGTTGAAAAATTCCCCATAACCCCTTACATGGGGGAAAGTAGTGTTAACTGAGAGAGTAGAGATAAGCTGTTTCCAAAAATTATATTCTTAACAGGACTGAGATAGCCAGAATATAAGGATCAAGTTTCAATGACAGTAAGATCCTGAGATGGAGTTGATTTGCACAAAGAAATAATTGTTGCCAGCATGCATTTTGAATATTTCTCTGGAAAAAAAGATTAGTTGGCAGTAGAAATGGATAGAAATCAATAGATATTAAAATACCTCAGAATTTGGTTCATCTCTGGGAAAAGATGAAAAATAAAAGTGTATACTCCTCAAGAACATCTAGGATCAAAAGCATGTGCCCTACACTATTGAATTAATTAACCTCATAAGTTGGGACCTGTGGAATAAGGATGTCCACCAGACTTCCTAGGGATTACAAATGTTTCACAGAACTTGAAATTTAAACTTGGGTCACTGTATGGGATGTAGAGCTGTGCTATATGGAAATAAAAATGATTTCTTTTTCTCAAGGGAGAATGATGGATGTGAAAAAATGTGGCATCCAAGATACAAACTCAAAGAAGCAAAGTGGTAAGAATATCAGAAGGAATTGGGAAGTAAAAGTCAAAGGAAACAAAAAGCTAAAGCAATAACAAAGAGAAATCCATCAGTCATAATCTCCTCTCCTTTTAAAGAATGCTGGTTCCCCTTTGCCTCACAGCTAACACAAGAACTCCTCCACCGTCTGAGGAGGTTTAGGAGCAGGGAAGGGGAAGGAGTCAGCTTCATTTGCTAATCTTCTGTTGCCCTGCACCCTAGCAGCTCCTTGCAGCAGGGGACAAGGATGACTTAGGTGGATGGATAATTAATTGATTCTAAAATATTGTGTGTCAGTATTGTAATACTATGTTAATTGCACCATGCACGGTATCTCATTTAATCCCCCACCCCTTGCCATTACCAAAGAGAGAGAGAGAGAGAGAGAGAGAAATACTAGAATTTATCCTCATTTTACAGTAGAGAAAACAGAGGGTCAAGAAGATAATGTAAAGTGCCCAAGAACACACAGCTGATCACAAAAATCAAGCTTGGGGGCCATTAGCCTAACCACAGACCCTTACTCTTAACCCATCTGCTTCAATCCATTTTGCTACAAATGTTTACATTTATAAGCAGGGCAGAAAAACCTCATCCAGGTTATTGAACTAAGAAGAAAGTTATATTAAGGTTTCTAATTTTTTTAATGTAGTTAGAAACCAAACTTAACAATGAGCCCAAGTTTAAAGCAGTCTAATTAACCTGGACAAGCTCAGGCAAGTTTCATTCTGTGGCCCATAGCATCATCTGTGTTGTAAAGCTAAGTAGCAAATGTTGTTTGGGTCATGCTGGGGGACAAGCCATCCCAATTTGCTCAGGACTGAGGGGTTTTCCAGGATATCATGTAAGGATAATTGGGTACAAATATAACCTGCTGCTTTCTCTCATTTCAAATTTATCATTTATCATATCAGCAACTATGAGTTATGTTTTTTATTAGATTTCTTGTTACTTTTTCCCCAGACCACTTCCCATGAAATTAATATACTATTATCACTCTCCAGATACACATTTGGAGGAGACGTAATCCAGCATTGGAACTTCTGATCTTCAAGCAGGGATTCTCAACCTGTGGTTTAGGGGTTCATCGGGGCTGAGCGTGACAAGAGGAAGGAATGGGCCCGTGGGATGCAGGCAATGTGGGACTTAAAAGGCCCAAGCACTGAAAATGGAACCTGGCGAAAGCAGAGGAGGAGAATGAAGAAAGATGGAGTCAAACAGGGAGCCTGGAGGGAGACCTTGATACTTTCAAATGCCTGAGGGGCTCATCGACGCCTGTGACAGGGAGAAAGGATACTTCTGAACAAGGAGCCTCCAAGCAAATCATCCATTGCTCATCCTAGGAAGACGGGTTGAGAATCCCTAATTTGAGGGTCAGTTCCTGCAGAAGTGCCCTTTGCCTCCACTCAATGCCTCAATTTGTTTTCTGCATGACTGAGAGTCTCAGTGTTGGAACGGGACAGTATTTATGTATGAGTTTTTCCTATTTATTTTGAGTCTGTGAGGTCTTCTTGTCATGTGAGTGTGGTTGTGAATGATTTCTTTTGAAGATATATTGTAGTAGATGTTACAATTTTGTCGCCAAACTAAACTTGCTGCTTAATGATTTGCTCACATCTAGTAAAACATGGAGTATTTGTAAGGTGCTTGGTCTCCTCTATAACTACAAGTATACATTGGAAGCATAAAGATCAAACCGTTGGTTGCATAGGATGTCACCTTTATTTAACCCATTAATACTCTGGTTGACCTAATCTTATTCTCAGACCTCAAGTGTCTGTGCAGTATCTGTTCCATTTAAATATCAGCTTTACAATTATGTGGTAGCCTACACACATAATCTCATTTCATCGCTGTAACCACCCTGTTGTGATAACCACTATTATTTTACCCATCGTACAGCTGAGGAAGCAAACAGATTAAGTAACTTGCCCAAACCAGTAAATAGCAGACCTCAGACTGCCACCCACTGTCCTTTTATAATACAATTTACAGCTATATTTTACTTTAAGCAATTCTTTTATTCAAAAACCATTTATTAAGTGCCCTTGCAATATCAATCGCTGTGCCAGGCATTGAATCTACAGATGTGAGCAAGACAAAGTACCTGTCCTCAAGGAGCTCATAGTATAATGAGGAGATTAACAAGAAAATGTATTATTACAATTTAGTCCAGTGTCATAGCATAAGGATGATGCGAGGGGAAAACCCGAGCAGTGTTGCCAAGAGGAGGAAATAGGCCAATGTGGTCTGGGACGGTTGGATATACTTAAACATCTTAATAATCAGAGTAATTTTCATTTACAAAGAGAGGTCGGTACTTAAAATAACCCTGAAAAATAACACTGGAATTCCTTTTCTAGCATTATATTTATTCCTGATTTGCCTTTGCCATATAATCTAATGCTTGTTTATATAGTGTCTGGTATTGTTTAACAGTTCTGTCTTTTCTATTTAAATGCCACTAAATTTTAAATTCATACCTTTCCATGATTCAAAATTCAAAAGATCCCATGGGAGATGGTTGGAAAATCTCCACTTCATCCTCCAAGCCATTCAAGTTTCCTTTCCAGAAGCAACTGCTACTGCCTTTCATTCATATGTTCTTCTAAAGATAGTCTACATTTGGAAATGTATGTTAAAAGCACGTATTTTTAAAATTTTTTTCCTAAATAGTAACACATTGTATGTCTGCTGTGTACTTTGCTATTTTTATTTATTTTAGTGTTTCTTATATAGCAGATGGAATGAATTTGAAGTTCCCAGGGCTGAGGATCCATGCCTTCTTTGTTTCTAAGTTATCTTTCCCATAGCTTTTCATTATCTTTCATATGATCCAGTATATGTTAAATATGTCCTACATATACATTTAGACAACCACCATTTGTTAAGTATTTGCTCTAGGACAGAGTTTGGATTTGTTTATGTTTGCTCAAAAGGAGACCCATGGGCTCTCCAGGGTGCACTGAGTCAATCTAGTCCTAAAAAGCAATCTTATTATTAACTCTGTATGACAGAATCATGTCTGGAACTTTTGTTTTCTGCTTTCTGTCAAGTATAAACTTCACTTTGATGCTGTACTTGCAAAATCACATTTTCTTTCTGGAAATTCCGGCAGTGTACCTTGACTGCTAGCTACCCTGTGCCAGAAAAGCCTCATTCGTTGTGCTTGAACCCTTGAATGCCACCAGCTGTCATCACTACACAGCCCTCCTAAGAGGCTTCCTGGAGGTTTCGAGATTCAGATGCCCTGGGAGATCCCAGAGTTTCCTTTCCCTCTTGGCCATATTCTGGTGTCAATGACAAGGAGTACCTTGGCTTTGCCACATGTCAAGGCTGAAGAAACAGTGTCTCCAACAGAGCTCCTTGTGTTATCTGTTTGTACATGTGCATTTGTACAGTAATTGGTGTGACAGTGTTCTTTGTGTGAATTACAGGCAAGAATTGTGGCTGAGCAAGGCACATAGTCTACTCAGTCTATTCCTAAGTCCTAACTCCTCCTTGTGGTGTTGGATTTGTAAGGCACTTTATCCCTTTTGTCTCATGTTTCATCGTAAATGGCATAGGCAGAGATGATACCTAATTCTGCATTTGATTGTCACTTTTTGTACCTGCATTAATTTAATAAAATATTCTTATTTATTTTGTTACTTGGTACACCAGCATGTCCATTTTCTTGTTTATTTTGTGTTTAATAAAATGTTCAGTTTAACATCCCAGTGGAGAAAGTTACTTGGAATATTTGCAGCCTTGTTCCTAGTTCTTTTTTCATTGCTTATACAGCATGTTTTTATACAGCATGCTTTTGAATCCTGCACAATGAAAAAAGTATCAAAAGATTTTATTTTAAAAAAGAATGTATTGAAAATTTTCATTCTCTCTCATTCGGCAGCTTCCTTTAGGACCATACCAAGAAGAGTCAAAATCCTGTCATCTACATTGAAGATCTAAGGGAGAGAGGGTGGGAGAGAAGGAGTGGAACCCAATAGAACTATAGGGAAACAAAGGGACTTACCTCTAAGAAAGTACTTTTCCCAGATCTGTAAACGGGTATGCAATCCAGTGTGTAGGAAGATAGATGTATTGCAGTCTTCAAGTTTTGAAAATAAAGCGAGGAAACTAGAACTAAGCCAAGTTGAGGATTAAGGGCTAGCAATGGTTAGGACCATAGATCTGTGGTTTTAAACAAGCATGACAAAACTTATCATTCAAGGAAGTATAGACCTTTTAATGTGTCATCCGGTGAGATTTTAGTCATGAAATTCCATTTTAAAAGACTATCACTTATTTGAATCAGATACTCTTAAAGGATTATAATGGCTATTTCTAAGAATATGTGTTTGACTCTAGATGCTTTTGTTTGTTTGTTTTTGAGACAGAGTTTTGCTCTTGTCACCCAGGCTGGAGTGCAATGGCACTATCTCAGCTCACTGCAACCTCCGCCTCCAGGTTCAACTGATTCTCCTGCCTCAGCCCCTCGAGTAGCTGGGATTACAGGCACCTGCCACCACTCCTGGCTAATTTTTGTACTTTTAGTAGAGACAGGGTTTCACAATGTTGGCCAGGCTGATCTCGAACTCCTGACCTCAGGTGATCCACCCATCTCAGCCTCCCAAAGGGCTGGGATTACAGGTGTGAGCCACGGTGCCTGGCCTCTGGATGTTTTCAGTAGTAATGATGATGCACTATTTATGCTAGCCCTTGGGCAGTCAAAGCAATAAAAATGTGTGCTAGACATCAAGATATCTGGCCTTCCTAATCAGGAAAGGATATGGAGAACTAGTCTTCCTGGCTTGCCTTGGTGGTATGGAAATTTTGTGACACTTGAGGGGTCTGTATTATAGAAAAGTTAATATGAAAATGGTTCATAAGCTTTCATTAAACTTTTGTTCTAGTCCCTTTTACAAGTGTGTGCCTGTCTGCCACAAGTAGGCCTAATATATTTTTTAAGTTTTATTTTTAATTGACATATAATTGACTTTTTTTTATTATTATACTTTAAGTTCTAGGGTACATGTGCACAAAATGTAGGTTTGTTACATATGTATACATGTGCCATGTTGGTGTGCTGCACCCATTAACTCGTCATTTACATTAGGTACATCTCCTAATACTATCCCTCCCTCCTCCCCGTACCCCACGACAGGCCCCGGTGTGTGATGTTCCCCATCCTGTGTCCAAGTGTTCTCATTGTTCATTTCCCACCTATGAGTGAGAACATGCGGTGTTTGGTTTTTTGTCCTTGCAATAGTTTGCTGAGAATGGTTTCCAGCTTCATCCACGTCCCTACAAAGGACATGAACTCATCCTTTTCTATGGCTGCATAGTATTCCATGGGGTATATGTGCCACATTTTCTTACTCCAGTCTATCATTGGTGGACATTTGGGTTGGTTCCAAGTCTTTGCTATTGTGAATAGTGCTGCAATAAACATACATGTGCATGTGTCTTTATAGCAGCATGATTTATAATCCTTTGGGTATATACCCAGTAATGGGATGGCTGGGTCAAATGGTATTTCTAGTTCTAGATCCCTGAGGAATTGCCACACTGTCTTCCACAATGGTTGAACTAGTTTACACTCCCACCAACAGTGTAAAAGCGTTCCTATTTCTCCACATCCTCTCCAGCACCTGTTGTTTCCTGACTTTTTAATGATCGCCATTCTAACTGGTGTGAGATGGTATCTCATTGTGGTTTTGATTTGTATTTCTCTGATGGCCAGTGATGGTGAGCTTTTTTTCATGTGTCTGTTGGCTGCATAAATGTCTTCTTTTGAGAAGTGTCTGTTCATATCCTTCACCCACTTTTTGATGGGGTTGTTTGATTTTTTCTTGTAGATTTGTTTAAGTTCTTTGTAGATTCTGGATATTAGCCCTTTGTCAGATGGGTAGATTGTAAAAATGTTCTCCCATTCTGTAGGTTGCCTGTTCACTCTGATGGTAGTTTCTTTTGCTGTGCAGAAGCTCTTTAGTTTAATTAGATCCCATTTGTCAATTTTGGCTTTTGTTGCCATTGCTTCCAGTGTTTTAGTCATGAAGTCCTTGCCCATGCCTATGTCCTGAATGGTATTGCTTAGGTTTTCTTCTAGGGTATTTATGGTTTTAGGTCTAACATTTAAGTCTTTAATCCATCTTGAATTAATTTTTGTATAAGGTGTAAGGAAGGGATCCAGTTTCAGCTTTCTACATATGGCTAGCCAGTTTTCCCAGCACCATTTATTAAATAGGGAATCCTTTCCCCATTTCTTGTTTTTGTCAGGTTTGTCAAAGATCAGATGGTTGTGGATGTGTGGTATTATTTCTGAGGGCTCTGTTCTGTTCCATTGGTCTAGATCTCTGTTTCAGTACCAGTACCATGCTGTTGTGGTTACTGTAGCCCTATAGTATAGTTTGAAGTCAGGTAGCGTGATGCCTCCAGCTTTTTTCTTTTGGCTTAGGATTGTCTTGGCAATGCAGGCTCTTTTTTGATTCCATATGAACTTTAAAGTAGTTTTTTCCAATTCTGTGAAGAAAGTCATTGGTAACTTGATGGGGATGGCATTGAATCTATAAATTACCTTGGGCAGTAGGGCCATTTCACGATATTGATTCTTCCTATCCATGAGCATGGAATGTTCTTCCTTCGGTTTGTGTCCTCTTTTATTTCATTGAGCAGTGGTTTGTAGTTCTCCTTGAAGAGGTCCTTCACATCCCTTATAAGATGGATTCCTAGGTATTTTATTCTCTTTGAAGCAATTGTGAATGGGAGTTCACTCATGATTTGGCTCTGTGTTTGTCTGTTGTTGGTGTATAGGAACGCTTGTGATTTTTGCACATTGATTTTGTATCCTGAGACTTTGCTGAAGTTGCTTATCAGCTTAAGGAGATTTTGCGCTGAGACGATGGGGATTTCTAAATACACAATCATGTCATCTGCAAACAGGGACAATTTGACTTCCTCTTTTCCTAACTGAATACCCTTTATTTCTTTCTCTTGTCTGACTGCCCTGGCCAGAACTTCCAACACTGTGTTGAATAGGAGTGGTGAGAGAGGACATCCCTGTCTTGTGCCAGTTTTCCAAGGGAATTCTTCCAGTTTTTGCCCATTCAGTATGATATTGGCTGTGGATTTGTCATAACTAGCTCTTATTATTTTGAGATACGTCCCATCAATACCTAGTTTATTGAGAGTTTTTAGCATGAAGCGCTGTTGAATTTTGTCGAAGGCCTTTTCTGCATCTATTGAGATAAACATATAGTTTTTGTCTTTGGTTCTGTTTATATGATGGATTACGTTTATTGATTTGCGTTACGTTGAACCAGCCTTGCATCCCAGGGATGAAGCCAACTTCATGGTGGTGGATAAGCTTTTTGATGTGCTGCTGGATTCAGTTTGCCAGTATTTTACTGAGGATTTTTGCATCGACGTTCATCAGGGATATTGGTCTAAAATTCTCTTTTTTTGTTGTGTCTCTGCCAGGCTTTGGTATCAGGATGATGCTGGCCTTATAAAATGAGTCAGGGAGGATTCCCTCTTTTTCTATTGATTAGCATAGTTTCAGAAGGAATGGTACCAGCTCCTCTTTGTACCTCTGGTAGAATTCAGCTGTGAATCCATCTTGTCCTGGACTTTTTTTGGTTGGTAGGCTATTAATTATTGCCTCAATTTCAGAGCATGTTATTGGTCTATTCAGAGATTCAAATTCTTCCTGGTTTAGTCTTGGGAGGGTGTATGTGTCCAGGAATTTATCCATTTCTTCTAGATTTTCTAGTTTATTTACGTAGAGGTATTTATATTATTCTCTGATAGTAGTTTGTATTTCTGTGGGATCAGTAGTGATATCCCCTTTATCATTTTTTATTGCATCTATTTGATTTTTCTCTCTTTTCTTCTTTATTAGTCTTGCTAGCGGTCTATCAATTTTGTTGATCTTTTCAAAAAACCAGCTCCTGGATTCATTGATTTTTTGAAGGGTTTTTCATGGCTCTATCTCCTCCAGTTCTGCTCTGATCTTAGTTATTTCTTGCCTTCTGCTAGCTTTTGAATGTGTTTGCTCTTGCTTCTCTAGTTCTTTTAATTGTGAGGTTAAGGTGTCAATTTTAGATCTTTCCTGGTTTCTCTTGTGGGCATTTAGTGCTCTAAATTTCCCTCTCCACACTGCTTTAAATGTGTCCCAGAGATTCTGGTATGTTGTGTCTTTGTTCTCGTTGGTTTCAAAGAACATCTTTATTTCTGCCTTCATTTTGTTATGTACCCAGTAGTCATTCAGGAGCAGGTTGTTCAGTGTTTAGTTTCCATGTAGTTGAGCAGTTTTGAGTGAGTTTCTTAATCCTGAGTTCTAGTTTGATTGCACTGTGGTCTGAGAGACAGTTTGTTATAATTTCTGTTCTTTTACATTTGCTGAGGAGTGCTTTACTTCCAACAATGTGGTCAGTTTTGGAGTAAGTGTGATGTGGTGCTGAGAAGAATGTATATTCTGTTGATTTGTGGGGAGAGTTCTGTAGATGTCTATTACATCCACTTGGTGCAGAGCTGAGTTCAAGTCCTGGATATTCTTGTTAACTTTCTGTCTCATTGATCTGTTAATGTTGACAGTGGGGTGTTAAAGTCTCCCATTATTATTGTGTGGGAGTCTAAGTCTCTTTGTAGGTCTCTAAGGACTTGCTTTATGAATCTGGGTGCTCCTGTACTAGGTGCATATATATTTAGGATAGTTAGCTCTTCTTGTTGAATTGATCCCTTTACCATTACATAATGGCCTTCTTTGTCTCTTTTGATCTTTGTTGGTTTAAAGTCTGTTTTATCAGAGACTAGGATTGCAACCCCTGCTTTTCTTTGTTTTCCATTTGCTTGGTAGATCTTCCTCCATCCCTTTATTTTGAGCCTATGTGTGTCTCTGCACGTGAGATGGGTCTCCTGAATACAGCACACTGATGGGTCATGACCCTTTATCCAATTTGCTAGTCTGTGTCTTTTAATTGGATCATTTAGCCCATTTACATTTAAGGTTACTATTGTTATGTGTGAATTTGATCCTGTCATTATGATGTTAGCTGGTTATTTTGCGCATTAGTTGATGCAGTTTCTTCCTAGCATTGATGGTCTTTACAATTTGGCATGTTTTTGCAGTGGCTGGTACTGGTTGTTCCTTTCCATGTTTAGTGCTTCCTTCAGGAGCTCTTGTAATGCAGGCCTGGTGGTGACAAAATCTCTCAGCATTTGCTTGTCTATAAAGGATTTTATTTCTCTTTCACTTATGAAGCTTAGTTTGGCTGGATATGAAATTCTGGGTTGAAAATTCTTTTCTTTAGGAATGTTGAATATTGGCCCCCACTCTCTTCTGGCTTGTAGAGTTTCTGCTGAGAGATCCGCTGTTAGTCTGATGGGCTTCCCTTTGTGGGTAACTCGACCTTTCTCTCTGGCTGCCCTTAACATTTTTTCCTTCATTTCAATTTTGGTGAATTTGAAAATTATGTGTCTTGGAGTTGCTCTTCTCAAGAAGTATCTTTGTGGTGTTCTCTGTATTTCCTGAATTTGAATGTTGGCCTGCCTTGCTAGGTTGGGGAAGTTCTCCTGGATAATATCCTGAAGAGTGTTTTCCAACTTGGTTCCATTCTCACCATCACTTTCAGGTACACCAGTAAGACGTAGATTTGGTCTTTTCACATAGTCCCATATTTCTGGGAGGTTTTGTTCATTTCATTTTACTCTTTTTTCTCTAAACTTCTCTTCTTGCTTCATTTCATTCATTTGATCTTCAATCACTGATACCCTTTCTTCCAGTTGATCGAATTGGCTATTGAAGCTTGTGCATGTGTCACATAGTTCTCATGCCATGTGTTTTCAGCTTCATCCAGTCATTTAAGGTCTTCTCTATGCTGTTTATTATAGTTAGCCATTTGTCTAATCTTTTTTCAAGGTTTTTAGCTTGTTTGCGATGGGTTCAAACATCCTCCTTTAGCTCAGAGAAGTTTGTTATTACCAGTAGTCTGAAGCCTTCTTCTGTCAACTCGTCAAAGTCATTCTCCGTCCAGCTTTGTTCCATTTCTGGTGAGGAGCTGCGTTCCTTTGGAGAAGAAAAGGTGCTCTGATTTTTAGAATTTTCAGCTTTTCTGCTATAGTTTCTCCCCATCTTTGTGGTTTTATCTACCTTTGGTCTTTGATGATGGTGATGTACAGATGGGGTTTTGGTGTGGATGTCCTTTCTGTTTGTTAGTTTTCCTTCTGACAGTCAGCACCCTCAGCTGCAGGTCTGATGGAGTTTGCTGGAGGTCCACTCCAGATCCTATTTGCCTGTGTTTCACCAGTGGAGGCTTCAGAACAGCAAATATTGTAGAACAGCAGATGCTGCTGCCTGATCCTTCCTCTGGAAGCTTCATCTCAGAGGGGCACCCGGCTGTATGAGGTGTCAGTCGGCCCCTACTGGGAGGTGCCTCCCAGTTAGGCTACTCAGGGGACAGGAACCCACTTGAGGAGGCAGTCTGTCCGTTCTCAGATCTCAAACTCCGTGCTGGGAGAAACACTACTCTCTTCAAAGCTGTCAGTCAGACAGAGACATTTAAGTCTGCAGAAGTTTCTGCTGCCTTTTGTTCAGCTATGCCCTGTCCCAAGAAGTGGAGTCTAAAGAGGCAGGCAGGCCTCGTTGAGCTGCAGTGGGCTCCACGCAGTTCGAGCTTCCGTGTCGCTTTGTTTACCTACTCAAGCCTCAGCAATGACGGGCACCCCTCCCCCAGCCTCCCTACCACCTTGCAGTTGGATCTCAGACTGCTGTGCTAGCAGTGAGTGAGGCTCCATGGGCATGGGACCCTCCGAGCCAGGCGCGGGATACAATCTCCTGGTGTGCTGTTTGCTAAAAACCATTGGAAAAGTGCAGTATTAGGGCGGGAGTGTCCCGGTTTTCCAGGTACTGTCTGTAATGGCTTCCCTTGGCTAGGAAAGGGAATTCCCCGACCCCTTGCACTTCCTGGGTGAGGCAATGCCCTGCCATGCTTCGGCGCACCCTCCATGGGCTGCACCCACTGTCTGTCAAGCCCCAGTGAAATGAACCCAGTACCTCAGTTGGAAATGCAGAAATCACCCATCTTCTGCGTCACTCACACTGGGAGCTATAGACTGGAGCTGTTCCTATTTGGCCATCTTGGAATCTCCCTACCCATTTTCCATAATTGACATATTTATAGGGTACAGTGTAATGTTTTGATAGAAGTATACATTGTGTAATTATCAAATCAGGGTAATTAGCATATTCTTTTCCTCAAATATTTATCATTTATTTGTGATAAGAACATTCAAAATATTCTCTCCTAGTTATTTTGAGTTATACAGTATAATACTGTTAACCACAGTCACCCTATGTATTAGTCCATTTTCACAGTGTTATAAAAATACTACCTGAGACTAGGTAATTTATAAAGGAAAGAAGTTTAATTGACTCAAAGTTCTGTATGGTTGGGGAGGCCTCAGGAAACTCACAATCATGGTGGAAGGGGAAGCAGTCACCTTCCTCACAAGGCAGTAAGAGGAGAGAGAGCAAAGAGGGAAGAGCCCTTTATGAAACTATCAGCTCTTATGAGAATTAACTCACTATCATGAGAACAGGATGGGGGAAACCACCCCCATGATACAATCACCTCCCTCCCTCAACACGTGGGGATTACAAGTTTCTCCCATGACATGTGGGGATCACAATTCGAGATGAGATTTGTGTGAGGACAGAGCCAAACTGTATCACCCTACTATGCAATAGAACACCAGAACTTATTCCTTCTATCTAACTATAAGTTTGTACCTGTTGACCGATCTCTACTAATCTCCCCTCCTCATGCCCCCAACCCTCTCCAGCCTCTGGTAACCACTACCCTACTTTCTACTTCTGTGATATCAACCTTTTAACATTCCACATATGAGTGAGATCATTTAGTATTTGTGTTTCTTTGCCTGGCTATTTCACTTAACATAATTATCCTCTAGTTTTATCCATGTTGCCACAAATGACAGGATTTCATTTGTTATGGCTGAATACTATTCTATTTTGTGTGTGTGTGTGTGTGTGTGTGTGTGTGTGTGTGTGTGTGTGTACACCACATTTTTTCTTTCTTTTTTTTTTTTAAAGAGATGGAGTCTTGCTATGTTGCCTAGGCTGGCCTTGAACTCCTATCGTCCCACCCACAGCCTCCAGAGTAGCTGGGAATATAGGCACATGCCACTGCACCTGGCTTATATACCACCTTTTCCTCATCCATTCATCTGTTGATGGACACTTAAGTTGATTCCATAGCTTCACTATTGTGAATAGTGCTGCAATAAACCTAGCAGTGTAGATGTCTATTTATGTCTTTATTTATTTAACTATTTTATTTATTTATTCTTTATTTAACTATTTTAAAGCTGAGAAATTCAAAATTAACTTTTGTTCTATTGATATATTTGGCCAAATTTGTTAAGACAGATACACCTGTTTTTAGAATTTTTCCTATCCCAGGCTTCCAAAGTTTCAAGAAAATTGATATAATAAACCAACTTATTCCCATTATAATTTAAACATTTCCGAAATTATTTCCATTTTAAAAGAAGTTAATGTTTGACCAATGAAGCAATTGTCAATGATGGGGTTTTATTATGAGTTTAATAATGATATTTACCATTTATTGAGCATGTACCTTATGCAAGGTCTTCATCTGTCAATCATCTCTTCTTTCTGCAAATACAAGACTTAGCAAGCTTGGAGTAAGTTATGAATGCTAACATATGTGAGATCAAATAGTCTCTTTCTAGGGCACTGAAGGTCTTTGGGGACTTAAAAACTCGATTACAATGATTCAGTCATATAAGAGAAAATTGCAACACACACACACACATAAAACAGAAAAGAACTATTTGTACATGCCAGGAAACACTGCTCTAAGAGTTGCTTTATTCTAGGTGACTATGAAAGGAAAAAAAAAATCTAACTATAGAGAAGTTAAAAAATGTACATATATTTGGGAAGAATAGGAAATTTCACCAAAGGCCTGGAGTCACTCAAACCCGAGTTCCAATCTTCTTAGATGTAAATTAACTTCATTGAACCAGTTTACTTTAAAAATTCTTGTTTTTATTAAAAATTTCAATTACTATTAAAATTATATTTTTAATTAAAAATACTTTAAAAATTAAAGTGTATAGTTTTTCTATTTATCTTAAATATTCAAATAATTGTGAATTAAAGTTGTGCCAGCTTGAAGATTTAAAGTGATAGGCTTAATAATTTTGGAACTTTTCTTAATGTCAAAGTTAACTAGAGCTTCTTTTCTTTTTCAAATTACACATTTAAAATTCCGGCATCAGTTCCTTTTTGAGTCATCTAGGTCTCTCACGTCAGTAAATATTGAGCTACTGTAAAGCTGAAGTTACTTACGTAGTAACATAACTTACTTAGGGGAGATTTGTAAATGTTTATTTTGGATAAGCTATGTCTTATTTTTGTTTTGCTTTTGAGAAAGATACTTCTCATTCTTTGCTAATTTCAAACAAACAGCTTTATAGTAGAAAGCAATTATTTCTATAACTCAAGTTAAATAATTCTGTCTATTCTTTAGTCAAATTGAAAATAAGACATAACAAAACAATGACCCCCTTGCCTTGGTTTCTAACTTTTCAGAGGTGAACACAACCATAAATGGTAACTAACTTACAGTAGTGCCTACTGTATCCACTAAGCATTATGTAGAATACAGAGGTGACCCAGACATGCACCCTGCCCTTAAAAAACATGAAGATTGAAACATATTATCATGATTTACAGGCATAGCTCCTCCTCCTCCAAAAACAAAACAATACAAAACACACAAATAACTGTGTTTGTCAGAAATACAGACACCAAGTGTTAAAATGTCAGAAAATAGGGCAGCTTGAACTCAACCTTTGCACTCTCTAGCACTTGAATTATATTTTATCAAACCTTTGTTAAGTTAGTTCATGTATTTTGGTGCCTCAGTGGTTCTAATCCAAGTATAGTATTTTTGTAGATCCATCTGTCCCAGTGCTGCATAACAGCACTAGAACATGTGGAAGAGATTTAACAAATAGTATTAGCTATGATATGTATATATTAGTATATATTACATGTCAGGAAGTGTTCTGAGTTCTTTACGTGTACTAATTCATTTAGCCTTCCCAATAACCCTATGCGGAAAGTTATTACCATCTTCTCTTGACAGATAAAGAAACCAAGCCACAGAAAGTTTAGGTAACTTGGCCGAAGTCATGCTACTAATAAGTTATGGCCCCAGGATGTGAGCACAGTTTGACTTCACAGTTTGCTCTTATACCCTACACTATGCTACCCCTAAATAATTATTCGAGTCATGTTAATGAGGGGATTTTAAAAACTTGACAGTATTGGAACAGTATATATAGTAAGCTGATACTTCCCTGGGTTGGACAACTCCAGAAGCAATCTGATGTTTGTTTGCCTGTATATTTTTGTTTTTCTAGGCAATGGGGGCTAATCTCACTAGTACTTCTGTAGACTGTCTAGCATATGTCTTTCGGTGAATCTTTGAACTCGTTTTCCATTTGGTATATATCTGATGGTACAATTGCTGAATTCTTGGTATATACATAAGAATAGAATTTCTAGGTCATGGTATAGGATTGCTGGAAACTGTACCAATTTGCATTCCCACCAGCAGGGCATAGGAGTTCCAGTTGCCTTGCATTTTTCCCAATATTTTCTGCCTCTTTCATTTTAGGTGACTATGCAGAGACATCACATTTTGGTTTTAATTTGCATGACTCTGATGACTAATGGAGTCAAACTCATTTTCATATATTTATTGGCCATTTGTCAATAAAGTTTTATGAGGTGTCTTTTCAAGTGATTTGCCCATTTTTTAAATTAGGTTTTCTGCCTAATTCCTAATTGTGTAGGAATTCTTAGCGTATTCTAGATACAAGCCCTTCGTCAGAGACATAAACTGAAAATCTCTTCTCCCATTCTGCAGGATGTCTGTTCTCTCTTCACGGAGTCTTTTGAGGAAGTGAAGTTCTTACTTTACATAGTTCAATTTACCAATTTTTTTCCTCATGGCTAGCACTTTTTTGTGTCCTGTGTAAGCAAACTTTGCCTACTCCAAGGTCATGAAGATTTCTTCCATGTTTTCTTCTAAATCTCTATCATTTTATTTTTCACATTTAGATCTGTAATCCTTCTGGAATTATTTTTTTGCATATGGTGTGAGATAGGAGTTAAAATACATTTTCATGTGGACATTCAATTGTCCCTACACCATTTACTGAAAATACCATCCTTTCCCCCACTATACTGCAGTGTCACCTTTCTCATAAACTAGTTGACTATATCTATACCTATGTCTCTATCTATGTCTATCTACCTACCTGTATATATCTGTTTATGGAGTCTGTTCTATTACATTGATCAGCTCATTTGTTTTTTTTTTTTGTCTAGAAAATTTTGCTAAAGCAGTATTAATGAGTTTGAATCTTGCCTCTTGGGGCTGTGACAACACTTCAGGTTGTGATTCCTCACCTGCAGCCCTATCCATGCCATGGCAACCACCGAGGCATCCATCCTGTGGTTATCTATACAATGCATAATAAAGACCTCAGCTGGCCTCGGCGGCTCACGCCTGTAATCCCAGCACTTTGGGAGGCCAAGGCAGGCAGATCACGTGAGCACAGGAGTTCGAGACTAGCCTGAGTAACACGGCAAAACCCCATCTCTCCAAAAAATAAAAAAATTAGCTGAGCATGGTGGCATGCGCCTGTAATCCCAGCCACTCAGGAAGCAGAGGTGGGAGGATTTCTTGAGCCTGGGCTATCGAGGTTGCAGTGAGCCGAGATCGCGCCACTGCACTCCAGCCTCGATGACAGAGTGAGACTCTGTCGGAAAAAAAAAAAAAAAAGATAACCTCTATCTCCCACTGCTTTCCCTTCCCACCGTCACCCCAAGTTTCTGTCATTTCTTTGAATTTGTTATTTGACTTTCCACAAGTATAAAAGTACACTTGTATCATTTATTTTAGGTATTGGATATCTTCCCTTCCTTATGTATTATTTTAAAAGCAGCTAAATAAAAAATTTAGCTTGGTTTTTGTTGTTGTTGTTGTTGTTTTGTTTTTTTGGTTTTTTGAGACGGAGTCTCGCTCCATTGCCCAGGCTGGAGTTCAGTGACATGATCTCAGCTCACTGCAACCTCTGCCTCACAGGTTCAAGAGATTCTCCTGCCTCAGCCTTCTGAGTAGCTGGGACTACAGGTGCATGCCACCACGCTTGGCTAATTTTTTTTTTTTTGTATTTTTAGTAGAGACGGGGTTTAATGTAGCCTTCAAATAATTTTTTTAACTATAAATTCAGTGGCTTTTGATTTTTCAAAAAGAGTCTCCACTCTTACCTAAAACTACAATGGGTATTTGAATTCTAGAAGGAGGTGATTTTATTCCAAACTGATAATCACTATAAAACATTATGTCTTTTCTACTGGAAATAGAAATACAGTGTATATAGATGTTTGTTAGACATCTCTAATAAAAAAATGAGTATTGTATATAACTGAGCCTTCCTAGAATGTTTGCCCACAGCCACAGTGTTATAGCAGTTCATATTATCTCTCTCATGGTCACATGTTAGAAGTAGAGTCATGTAGCAGTATGCAAGCAAATCCCCTGTTGGGATGCCTGTTGGCTTCAGATTAGCTCACTTACTGGGCAAAACAGAGACTATGGGCAATGCCCAACATTTCCTCATTTCTCATAATGGCTTATCAAATTCCCAGTCACAAGAGCTAAAACCTTAGAACAATCTTTTACTCTTCCCTCTTCCCCATGGCACAGCTTTAACATCGACTGAAGCTTCTTTTATAGAATTGTTTCTCCGGTTCCTTTTTTGTGAATTTATTGTTACTATTCTCTCTCAAACTTCATATAGGATGTTGACAGTGACTTAAGCAATAAGAAAGATTATCACATAAAACAAAACAAAACAAACAAACAACAGCAACAACAACAAAAAATATATATATACACACACACAGGTAGGATGGCCCTGTCCCTGCTTCTCTGCGATCCTCTTTGTTCTACCCTACTGGTGGATCTATACCCAAACTGGCAGCAAGATAGCTTGGCAGTTCCAGGTTACACCTAGCAGACCACATCTCATGTCTCACTGGCCAGAGTCAGGTCACATACCCATCTTTAAGACAGTTGTTGGCAAGGATTTACCCTGGAGCCAGGGATGAAACCATCTTCCCCTGAGTCACATGGGAAAGGACACCTGAACAAAATTAGCGTCTTGTCACCATAGGGAATGGGCTCTGAATGCTGGTGGATAATCAACAGTGTCAGCTCCAGACTCTAACCACTTCACTTAGATAACTGCAGCCACCTCTTAACTGTGGTCCCTGCCTCCAGTTTTTGGCTCCATCTTCTCAACATGTATAATGAAGCCAGTACAATTCTCCTTAAACACACTGCTGTCATGACAGCACTTTCTTGGTCAGGGGGCCTAGGTGGCTTCACTGTGACTGATGGACAAAATTCGAACACCTTGGCCTCCCCATTCAAGATGTCCACAACCAGACTCCAACCTATCCCTTATCCTTCCTTCTCCCTAGTTCCTTACAACAGGGGTGGTAGTAAATATATCAGGCTTTGTGGACCATGTGGTCTCTGTCACAATTACAGTAATATTCCCCTCATCTGTACAGTAGAATAAGTTGTTCTGAGAAGAAGAAGGAGAAAGAGAGAGAGACCACATTCATACCACCTTTATTACAGTACGTTGTTATAATTGTCCTTTTTTTTTTTTTTTTTTTAACTCTTGTCTTGCTATGTTGCCCAAGCTGGTCTTGAACTCCTGGGCTCAAGTAATCCACACACCTCGGCCTCCCAAAGGGCTGGAATTACAGGCACGAGCCACTGCACCTGGCCCGAATTGTTCTATTTTATTAGTAGTAATTGTTGTTAATCTCTTACTGTGCCTAATGTATAAACTTTATCTTTTCTTTGCTTATCTGTCTTTCCACAAGTATAAAAGTATACTTTTACCATTTATTTTATGTATTGGATATCTCTCTAAACAAATCACAGGTATGTATGCATAGGAAAAAACACAGTATGTGTAGGGTTTGGTACTATGCACAGTTTCAGGCATTCACTTGGGGATCTTGGAACATAACCCCTGCAGATAAGGAGGGGACTACTGTAGTCAATTCTTCCCTTGTAGTGCAAAAGCAGCCATGCACAATACAATACAAATGAATGTGACTGTATTCCAATAAAACTTTATTTACGAAACAGGCAGTAAACTAAATTTGGCCCACAGGACACACTTTAACAATCCCTGCCTTACATGAAATCCCTTACTCCACTAGGCCCTAAGTTGGTAAAATCAACACTCCATTGGAGCCACAAAGATGACAACATAATGGTATGGGGAAGTCCTA
This sequence comes from Homo sapiens, assembly GCF_000001405.40. Lineage (NCBI taxonomy): Eukaryota > Metazoa > Chordata > Mammalia > Primates > Hominidae > Homo > Homo sapiens. The sequence continues at coordinate 5,485,260 of NC_000009.12, forward strand.
CCTACACAGGACATCTGGCAGGGTCCGGGCTTCATGTCTGACATATCGTCAAGAGTTACATTGGCAATGAGACTAGTTTTCGTAAATTTATTCAGTTTGATCATTCAGCTGATTCAAAGATCAAAAGATCCTTTAGGGCTGTGTTTTCTGACCTTTTTAAGGCTGTGGTACATGGATTTGTTAGGCTAACTGAGACAAATAAATGAGTTTGTCTCTTCACTATGCTGATAATACCTTGGCAAGTCATCAGTCAAGCTCTTTTTCTCACCCTTACCCCCAGATCTACACCCTGCTCCTACAATCTTATCTCTGTCTCCTTCTCCCTTCTAAAAGAAACCTGATGAAACAAAAAGAAGAAACCCAGAGATAATAATACACCCAAGATCATACTGATAGACCTACATGTGCCAAACATTGGTTGAGAAATAATGTCTTGTGATCCACAATAATCAGTACCAAAAATCCAAGTACTTCACGCGGTCTTAGGAAACAAATATGTGGGAAAGGCTGAGGCTTGGCTTATTTAGTTAGCTTTTGTTTTAGAACTACATAAACAGAGAGTGTAAATAGTAACCTGATTAAAAATACGGACTTTAGGGTTAGTTTATCTGGGTTTGAATTCTGGTTCTGCTGCTTCCTGTTTATCTGACCTTTGGTAAGTGACTTAACTTCTTTGTGTCTCTATTTCTTCATCTACGTATCTGACCCAGAGAGTTGTTAGGATAATTATGTGAATTAATATGTGCAAAAATTTAAAAATAGGGCCTATCACATTGTTAACAGCATATATGAGTTGGTAAAAGGATATATATATATGTTGCGTCTTAGGCATGGAGTAAAATTCATGTAAACAAAAAAACAGAGTGAATATTCACTTAGGCAGGCAGTCTGCTCCATGTAATCATTCAAGGATTCAGATAGACAACGGCTCTGCCATCTTCAACATGTGGTCTTCAAATTTTCCCTGGAGGTCTCCATACAGTTAAATAGACTAGAAGGGCATACAGAATCTCAGTGGGAGATTTTTATGCGCTAGATTTAGGAATGATGCGCATAATTTCCTTTCACATTCCATTAGTTAGAATTTAGTCACATGACCATAACCTAATCCCAAGGGAGACTGGAAAATGTAGGGTAGCTTCCCAGGAGGAAGAGGAGTATATAGATTTGATGGAAGACCTATCAGAATTGGTTATAACTGAGTATCTGGACAACACCATATTGGTACTGGTATCCTAGCAAGAAAAGTGTACATTGAATTGTAGTATCTATAGTGCCATTAGCCTTTCATGAAGTTATTTTAATAAAACAACTTTTTTGAAACTAGTTATTAAATACGGTCTAAAAATAATGATGAGGAACTCTTTATTTCATTACCTAGTGTGCTTTCTAAAGAACACTAGGAAAAATTTCCCTTTGACCTTAATACAAACACACAAACACAAAATAGTTGTGTTTCCCCGAGTGAAAAGTTGCTTAGCTTTGCCCCTGCTCCCCAAATCTTGGAAATATTATTAATTGTTTAACTGTCCAAGCTTGGCTTAGAAAGCTTAGAATCAATTTTATTCTTTCACTCAACTAATTTACTGAGCATTTACTACATGTCAAACTTCAAGCTAGACACTGAGGATTCAAGAGGGAACAAGACAGACATGGTTCTTGCCCTCATGGAATTCACATTCTAATAAGGGGTCAAGGAAGTGGATGTGTGGAAACATATAACGAATAAACAAATGACTATATAAATGCAGCAATACCAATCAATAAGGGACCAAGCTAAATAATTGCCAAATTGGGAACCAATTTTAAATGGGATGGCTGGGACAGGGGCTTCTTCAAAAAGGTTGAATTTAAACCGAGCCAGCCATACAAAAGGGCGTACCCCCAGCAGGAGGCACAATGTGCACAGGAGCTTTGATGAGAGATTGAGTTAAGGAGTTCAAGGGCTAGAAAGGAGGCCAGGGTGACTAGAGAGTGGAGAGCAGAGCAGGGAGGGGCACAAGATGAGACTGTGCATCACGCAGGCCCGTGACAGCCATGGTGAAGAGTCCAAATTCTGTTCTAAATGCGGTGGGAAGTGGTTGCAAGTTTTTGTTTGTTTGTTTTTGTTTTTGTTTTGAGACAGAGTCTCGCTCTGTCACCAGGCTGGAGTGTAGTGGTGCAATCTCGGCTCACTGCAACATCTGCCCCTCGAGTTCAAGCGATTCTCCTGCCTCAGCCTCCCAAGTGGCTGGCACTCCAGGTGCACTCCACCACGCCCAGCTAATTTTTGTATTTTTAGTAGAGATGGGGTTTCACCATGCTGGCCAGGATGGTTTCGATCTCTTGACCTTGTGATCCACCCGCCTCGGCCTCCCAAAGTGCTGGGATTACAGGCGTGAGCCACCGTGCCCGGTCAGTTGCAAGTTTTAAGTAGGGGGAAATGATTGATCCAGCTTGTGTTATGAGATCATTTGGGCTGCAGTGTGGAGGAAGAACTAAAAGGACATGGAAGCAGGAGGACAGCCAGGTGATGGGTGTCGTAAGCCTGGGAAATGTGATGGTAATACAAGCATGTCAAGCCCGCAGATCCTGACAGTAAGCATGCCTTCCTGACTTGTGCCCGGGGAGAGGAGGCGACAGTGATTCTGACCTCTTCTTATTTCCCTCCCTTTCTAGCGCCACTTTCCTGAGCTTTTTTACTGTATGTTATGTATACCGTATGCTGTATGCTGTATGCTGTATGCTGTATCTAACAGCCCTTGTAAACAGCCTTAAATCCTTTCTAAACATCCTGGATAGTCCTAGAATCCTAGAATATGGATTCTTTCTTGGTTTCAAAACTGATTTCATTATATTGCATGGAAAGAAGAAATGTCTTTATTGTAGAGTGTTGGTATTTCTGGGTAGGTTGATTCAAAGATTAAGTTGTGAGGGCAGTTGGGACTTTTAGAGAAAGTGGATCTAGAAAATCTAAATTGTTACTAAGAAATATTGATGAATGTAGGTCATGGAGCTCAGAAAGAAGTATCTCTTTGATATTTTTCCTAAACTATGTGAAAGGGAAGCAATGGGAAATTTCGTGAACGGAGTCAGGAAAGCCTCAAGTTGGGTGGCTAGGAAGGGTAGAGGAGTTGCTATTAGGGAACCGAGGAGTGAATGTGGAGATGGTGAAGTGAGACAGGAGGCTGCTTCCTCAAAAGTCAGGACAGTTATGAGAATGCTCTGGTTTGAATGTCAAGATGTTACTGGAAATGAATAACTACAAATACACGCATGTTCATGCACACACACATACACAAACACATGAAGCTATTGAAAAGAATATGCAGCAAATGTGTTTTGTAAGTGAGCTAGTATCTAGTTGAAGTACCATGATCATCTTTAAAATCTCTTGCTAGAAGAGGAATGTTGACTGCCCAGTGTGGGTGTGGATAGGGAATGAATATCCTCGCTGTGGTATCCATAATTGAAATGCACTGTGCCTCATCTCCAGACCAGCCCTTACAGCAGTGCCAATCTCCTTCTTGTCCACTGCACAATAGCTCGCTGACTCTGCCTACTCTTTGGTCAGTTTCCCGGATATCCTTGTCTCTTCATTCTTAGTACATCACATCATTACTCAGGCCTCTTGCCTGGGCCCCTGGCAGCTTTAGGTACCTCATTCAGCGCAACTGTTTTCCTGTTTTCTTGAGCAGTGAGGTCATAATTTCATGACCTTGGATACACATTGCGTGAAGTAAAATGTTTATTAAGTCAGATGAATTAATAACATTTTCAGGAAGTTCATAATTGATGGAGACAAATTACATATGTACCATACATCAACACACACACACACAGAATGTGCACACTCAGGAGAGATTAATAGTGTGTATGTTTATTAGATATAAAGCAGCTGTAGCCTATGAAGAAAGGACAGAAGAAACAGCGAGGTACAGGAACTAGAGTCGACAAAGAAGAAAAGCAAAGATGCCCACATACATCCTACTTTTAATGCAAAGCTTGTCTCTGCTGGATAACATCACAAATCCCCCAACTAAAATCACCAATTGTTCTGTCCCTAAAGATATCTTTCTAGTTCTCAATCCCAGGCCAGGTGGGGCTCTATTTAACTCTCTTTTATTTAATCCACTTTTGATCACTCTTAGGAAGTTTCACTTTACTCAACAAGCTCAAGATTGATCACCCTTGACTTTATCTGTTTATCTTAGGAGTGTTTGGTTGAAGACAGAACCACAGATGCCCATTATTACTAGTATTATCATAACAATAAAGAGGAGCAATAGTAAATAAAGGAAACCCAGAGCCAGATTATCGGGACTTAAATCTGTTTTCCCACTTTTGTGATGTTTGACCTTCAGCAAATTATCTACCTTCTCTATGCCTCCGTTTCCCTATTCATAAAATGGAAACAATGAAAGTACCTACCTCGTAGGGTTTTTGTGAGAGTTAAATGGGTTCATACACATAAAGTACTTGGATCTGCCCTGGCAATATTTAGACCTCTGTGAATAGTAACCTGTATTACTGCGTTTCAGTTAGGAATGACTAAATGTTGCGGCAAACTGCACATTCTGTTGACCCTTCCTGGTCACTGCTCACCCATCCGAAGCCTGTGTAATACAATATTCAACTCTGAAACTGCATCTAAGGTGGCCAGGAAGGAAAGCTGGAGGGAAATGTGTAGACCAGCTGACCTCTATTTTAGGTTGAAGGTCCAGGCATTTCCTCCCCTTTCTCTACCTGTGAGAGGAGCCAACCAGAGCTGGCCAAGCCATGATGCAGCCCCTCGTGTGGCCATTTCCTTCCCAGCCTCTATTCATCTTTTACCACTCTCTAGCAGCAGAAGCTGGTGGGTTGTGGTTACCACTCTTGTTTGTTGCCCCACATCCCAGCTTCATTTTCTCAGGATCACTGCCAGGCAATAAGGAAAGTTTGGGGCCTGAAAAAATCTGCCCCAGGCCTGTGTAGAGCAAAATACCCTTGGACATTATACCCGCAGAAGGTTCCTCAAAATTATGTGACATTTTTCAGCTGATCGAACTTCCCTAACCTGACTTCCTGGAAAAGCCAAGAATTCAGAGAAAATGTAGGGCACTGACGAACCAATGAAGAGGTCAGTAAATTCTCCCGGAGTCCCCACTCAGGTCTGAAAAATGTTGTGTGAAACCTGTGGGTAGGGATAGCCTCCAAATATTTGCCCTCCCACAACTGTCCATAGGCCTAGTTGCCCTGCCATAGCTAGGTCCCAAATTGTTGCAAAAGCCATAAAGCCATATCCATGTAGATTCTGCCAAACCAGCTAACTGGCCAATCTGTTTTCCCACAACATGAGTTACCTTACTGGGATGTGCGTCTTCAGGTATATGCACTTGGATCCAGTTACAGCAAGTTACCCCAAGGAAATAATCAGACAAGGGCATAGAGCTGATTGTGAAGGGTCATTCATGGTGCCCATGGTTTTGTAATATCAACACTTACAAATTAGAAGCAACCTAAATTGCCATCACTAGGGGATGGCTTAAACAAACTATGGCATACCCATACAATAAAATATTTATCAGTCTTTATAAATAATCATGGGGTCTGTAATTACCAACATGGAAAAATGCCCATGATACCCTTGAAAAGTGATAAAACAGTTCACGGAATTACATTCTGATATAATGGTACTTATTAAAATTGCATTCTCCAGCCTGGGCGACAGAGCGAGACTCCGTCTCAAAAAAAAAAAAAAAAATTGCATTCATCAATGAGAACACTTGGACACAGGAAGGGGGACATCACACACTGGGGCCTGTCGTGGGGTGGGGGGAGGGGGGAGGGGTAGCATTAGGAGATATACCTAATGTAAATGACGAGTTAATGGGTGCAGCACACCTACATGGCACATGTATACATACGTAACAAACCTGCACGTTGTGCACATGCACCCTGGAACTTAAAGTATAATAATAATAATTAATTAATTAATTAAATTGCATTCATATGAATGGTACCTATTAAAATTGCATTGATATGCAATTTTAATAAGTACCATTATATCAGAATGTGTCCAGGGATCTACAGAAAATTATGTTCACAAAAATACTGACAGCAATTATCTCTGTGGTTGAGTATTTGGGTAATATTTACTGTTATTTTTTACTTTTTTTTGGTATTTAGAAAACACTTAGCAATGATACAATGTGCTATCTGAAAAAAACTAAACTTTTTAAAATATAAGTTTGAGGGGAAAATGAACTAAGTTAGTAATGTTTTGGGAATAAGATCATGGGTTGGCCACACCAAGCAGGTAATGGCACAAGGATAAGATAATTAACATTTATTAAGCACTTATTACATGCCAGCAGGCCCTGTTCTAAGCACTTTCCGTGTATCAACTCATTTCATTTGCACAACTCCACAAAGCAAGTCTTTTATGGTGCCCATTTTACAGATAATGAAATGAAACAGGCACCAAGAGAGGAAGCCGTTTGTTTGAAGTCTTACGGCTGGCAGGAGGTGAAACAGAGATTTAGACAGAGGTCTGCTTCCAAAATCTCTGAGCGTGACCCCTGTGCTCCCCTGCATAGGGCTGGCTTTCCTGCAGGGGAGGAGGGAAGGTGCTGAGGTCAGAGGAGGAGAGAGGAATGATGGAGGGAGTGGAGAGGGCAGAGGTGGCTGCTGACGATGGGGAACAAGACACTGTCCTCTTCCCCCTGCAGTTCCTGAAGGATCTTCATTCTCCCACTGGCCACCTGTTTACCTAACCCCTCTAAAGCCTCAGTTTCCTCTTTTGTAAAGTGAGGGAGCCTTCTCAGGCCATTCACCTTAATTAGTTCCTCTCTATGCCATATAAAGTCCTAGAAGCCAGTTCTGCTGTGGCACATATGCAGCCACCACCATCATCACCAGCATCCCACTTCCGGCTGAGAGACGCAGGCCCCGGTGTCTCCCAGTGTGCAAGTTGTCAGAGCAGGCTGGAAGAGAATTGGGCATTCTCTGTCTCTGCTGTAGAATGACCACCCTGAAGGATAATTCTGCTCACTTGTTATTCTCCTCACTGGACAGGAGACCCTGGAAGCAGAGACAATATCTGATGCACCTCTGCATTCCCACTACCTGGAACATAAAGTCGTTCAATAAATAAACATCCTCTGTTGAATGAATAACTGGAAAGTACAGCCATGTGGCCTTATGATTCCAGAGTAACAAGTAGGAAAAGCAACACTTGCATATTAATTTCTTTATTTTTTGTTTCTGTTTTCTACCTTATCTGGCACAGAGTTCAGAGTAGGTACAGTCATTAAAGAAGTCACTGATTTTTAACATGCCACTTAAGCAAAAGGAGCAAGAAGGCCCTATTTATGTTGATCAACTAATTCAAGAAATTCTGGGCTTTTGTTTTTTCTTTTCTTTTTTCTTTTTCTTTTTCTTTTTTTTTTTTTTTTTTTTTGAGACAGGGTTTCACTCCTGTTGCCCAGGCTGGAGTGCAATGGTGCGATCTTGGCTCACTGCAGCCTACCAGGCTCAAGAAATTCTCCTGCCTCAGCCTGCCGAGTAGCTGGGGCTACAGGCACATGCCACTGCACCCAGCTAATTTTTGTATTTTTTGTAGAGATAGGGTTTCACCATGCTGCCCAGGCTGGTCTTGAATTCCTGAGCTCAAATGATCTACCCACCTTGGCCATCCAAAGTGCTGGGATTACAGGTGTGAGCCACCACACCCAGCCAAATTCTAGGCTTTCTATGTAAATTATAAAATGTAATTTACAAAACTCTGTTCAGACATTTTATCACCAAGGCAGAGAGTGGTCAAATCACAGAGCTAGTAAGGAGTAGAACCAAATCCAGCTTCTCTGCCCTTGGTGTCAACTGCTTTTTCTACTTTCCACATAGCTCCACCCCTCCAGCCAGTCACAATGGTTTCTAAAAGTGGACCTGCCTTTGCAGTTATTCATTCAACAGAGGATGTTTATTTATTGAGCAACTTTATGTTTCAGGTAGTGGGAATGCAGAGGTGCACCAGATATTGTCTCTGCTTCCAGGGTCTCCTGTCCAGTGAGGAGAACAACAAGTGAGCAGAATTATCCCTCAAGGTGGTCTTTCTAAGCAGAGACCTGCCTTAATTCTGTTGCCTTAGGTGAGATCAACTTACTTCTGCATGCTTCCATTTCTCCTCCCCCTTGGTAGATTGAGAATCATGGTATCAGCTCTTCTTAGTGAAAGAAAATCTAAGAAACATAGACAGGTGTCCACATCTTGAAGTAGCTGAAGTTTGTCTTTGGGTTCTCAGCTTCCTTTTCTCCCTCTTGCTTACTTCCCTTCAAGGATTGCTGCCATCAGTGTCATCAAACCCAGGGATTCCCTAATGCTAATCCACCAATTAGAGCACGGCTGGTTACTACAGAACCACTGATGAGTTTCAAAAAATGCAGACTTCTGGACCCCACCCTTGGAGATTTTGAATCAGGAGGTCTTAGGTAGTGCCCAGGCACCTCTATGTTTCAGGTTCCCCAGGGGATTCTAACCTGCAGCCATATTGGGGAACCACTGACCTAACACGAAAACATGAGTCAGCTGTCTCAACTGTATTGAAAGTGATGAATCATCATTTCACTTTAAAAAGAAAAAAATATGAGCTGAAACCAAAGTCATTGTGAGAACCTTTCATTTCCTTTACCTGAGTTTGAATTCAGGTTTCCTTTACTTGAGTTTGAGTTTAGAAGTCTTCTATACTTGGTCCAAGCATTTTTACGGAGATTCCCAAGGTCTTAAGGCAAACAGACTTAAGACCTGTCCTCAGTTTAGTCCTGGGAACATGCTGTAACCCTGATCAGCCCTGGCTAGGGGGACCCTGGGAAACTGGCTGGCTCTGGAGATCCTTCAGGCCAGAGTTGCTGGGAACCACACCGGGTTCATCTTACACCATGCCTAGGTGCTGGGGTCCAATAGTCTTGTCTCCTCTGGCTTCCCAGAGCCAGAACTAGGAAGACGAGAAGGCTTTGGGATATGGCTGGCTTCCAGAGACTGAATCAGCAACTCATATTCTCAAGACCGAGGTGGGTAGGCCTGACACAGAAGGGTCAGGAGGCTGCTAGAATCTATGACAGGGCAGGAACAGCGCTGAGGCAGCAGAAACTGAGAAAGCAGAAGTCACCAGAAAGAGAAAAGAAGTTCAAAGTAGAGGGAAAGACTGAGGAAATAAGCAGGGTGAGTCGAACAGATGAGATGTGCAGAGAGAAGCAGATATGAGCTGAGGGAGAGAGACTCAATGAACCACGAGAGGTGGGCAAAGAAAGCAGCCAGTCCTGAGGTTACCTTGTTTCTGACAGTTTGGGTCCTGCCCATCCTTTCTTTTTTTTTTTTTTTTTTAAGTGATTGATTGTTGGTTGTTTTTTTTTATTATTATTATACTTTAAGCTCTAGGGTACATGTGCACAACGTGCAGGTTTGTTACATATGTATACATGTGCCATATTGGTGTGCTGCACCCATTAACTCATCATTAAACATTAGGTATATCTCCTCATGCTATCCCTCCCCCCTGTCCCCACCCCACAACAGGCCCCAGTGTGTGATGTTCCCCTTCATGTGTCCATGTGTTCTCATTGTTCAGTTCCCACCTATGAGCGAGAACATGCAGTGTTTGGTTTTTTGTCCTTGCAATAGTTTGCTGAGAATTATGGTTTCCAGCTTCATCCATGTCCCTACAAAGGACATGCACTCATCCTTTTTTATGGCTGCATAGTAGTCCATGGTGTATATGTGCCACATTTTCTTAATCTAGTCTATCATTGTTGGACATTTGGGTTGGTTCCAAGTCTTTGCTATTGTAAATAGTGCCATGATAAACGTACGTGTGCATGTGTCTTTATAGTAGCAAGATTTATAATCCTTTGGGTATATACCCAGTAATGGGATGGCTGGGTCAAATGGTATTTCTAGTTCTAGATCCTTAAGGAATAACCACACTGCCTTCCACAATGCTTGAACTAGTTTACAGTCCCAACAAAAGTGTAAAAGTGTTCCTATTTCTCCACATCCTCTCCAGCACCTGTTGTTTCCTGACTTTTTAATGATCGCCATTCTAACTGGTGTGAGATGATATCTCATTATGGTTTTGATTTGAATTTCTCTGATGGCCAGTGATGATGAGCATTTTTTCATGTGTCTTTTGGCTGCATAAATGTCTTCTTTTAAGAAGTGTCTGTTCATATCCTTCACCCACTTTTTGATGGGGTTGTTTTTTTCTTGTAAATTTGTTTGAGTTCATTGTAGATTCTGGATATTAGCCATTTGTCAGATGGGTAGATTGCAAAAATGTTCTCCCATTCTGTAGCTTGCCTGTTCACTCTGATGGTAGTTTCTTTTGCTGTGCAGAAGCTCTTTAGTTTTATTAGATCCCATTTGTCAATTTTGGCTTCTGTTGCCATTGCGTTTGGTGTTTTAGACATGAAGTCCTTGCCCATGCCTATGTCCTGAATGGTATTGCCTAGGTTTTCTTCTAGGGTTTTTATGGTTTTAGGTCTAACATTTAAGTCTTTCATCCATCTTGAATTAATTTTTGTAAAAGGTGTAAGGAAGGGATCCAGTTTCAGCCTTCTACATATGGCTAGCCAGTTTTCCCAGCACCATTTATTAAATAGGGAATCCTTTCCCCATTTCTTGTTCTTGTCAGGTTTGTCAAAGATCAGATAGTTGTAGATAGGCTGCATTATTTCTGAGGGCTGCCCATCCTTATATCACCAATTCAATTGAGGAGACTCGACCAAATGTTTTATTTTTCTAATAACTGTTGCCAGTAGTATTCTGGGAAATCCTTCTAGCCTGTTGGGCAGTGAGTGACCCTCATCATATATCAGTGCAATTTCATGATTTGTAGATCACTTATTATGACTCAGTCTAGTCCCATGTTTTCTAATAGCTTTTGAGATCTAATTCATATACCATGCAATTCACTCATTTAGAGCAGGGGTTCCCAAACCCTGGACTGTGAACCAGTACCCATCCATGGCCTGTTAGGAACTGGGCTGCACAGCAGGAGGTGAGCACCCAGCAAATGAGCATTACCACCTGAGCTCTACCTCCTGTCAGATCAGTGGCAGCATTAGATTCTCATAGCAGTGCAAATCCTGTTGTAAACTGAGCATGCAATGGATCTACGTTGCTTTTCTTATGAGAATCTAACTAATGCCTGATGATGTGAGGTGGAACAGTTTCATCCCAAAACCATTTCCACCACCCTTCCCACAATGCACGGAAAAATTGTCTACGACGAAACTGGTCCCTGGTGCCAAAAAGGTTGGGGATTGCTGATTTAGAGCATACCTTTCAGTGGTTTTTAGTATATGCACAGAGTTCTGCAACCAACAATATAATTAATTTTGAAATATTTTCATCATCCCAAAATGAAATCCCATCCCTCTAGCAGTCACCCCCTAGTTCCCCTCATTCCTCCCAGTCTTAAGTAATTATTTCCTGTCTCTATGGATTTGCCTATTCTGGACATTTCGTCTAAATGGAATCATACAATATATACAATCTTTTGTGACAGGCTTCTTTCACATAGCATAATGTTTTCAAGGTTCACACACACTGTATCACGTATCAGGACTGCATTCATTTCTAAAGCTGAGATATATTCCATTGTATGGACATACTGTTTTTTATTGTCTCATTCATCAGTCTCTGGACATCTGGTTTGTTTCCAATTTTTTGATACTAAGAATAATGCTTCTATGAACATTCATGCAGACATTTTTGTGTGTACATTTCATTTCTTTTGAAATATACCTAGGAGTAGAACACTGGGTCGCTATGTTTAACATTTTGAGGAAGTGACAGAGTTCATCTCATTTAAAATTCCAATCCCATATTTTACAAATATGAGATATTTTACAAATATCTCTCCTCCCAGAATAGGTGAAACTTATGACCCTGCAATCTTCAAGTTGGGCAGAGAAATGGCTCAGGTCTCAGGCGGTTGCAGTCTAAGGGTAGTGGCCTGTGATAATGGCTGGGGCCTCCCATGCCTTTGGCTTCCTTCTCTTCTGCATCACACGAAGCCATAGTAACTGTTGGGGTTTTTGGTCATCCTTGAGGACTCAGGAGCCTGGGATGTGAATGATATCCCCATTTTCTTCATTCCTGAAAATAAGTCTACAGCCCTTTTCACTCCCCGGGTGTGGGACACCCAGTGAACCTCCCATTTTCAGAAACTTCAGGCAAGAAGCAGGTATTAATCTCTATACAAGGCACTCTCAAACTTTGGAGATATGCGTTTAGCACCCCTTTTCTCTCCCCAAGAATGAGAGGAGACTCAGATAATATACATCCACTCTAGGCTCTCGGAACCTTCTCCCTGTCTCTTAGTCTCCTTCTTACTTGTCTTTGTTCAAGGCCAGTGGGCCAGTTTAATTTCTCTCCTCCTCCTCTCTTCTCTCCTCTCATTTCCTGCCCCCAACCCTGCACTTGAAAGACTCATTGAAGGAATTAGGCCTGACTTTATTTTTTTTACCATATTAACAAAACGATATTTCTTTTTGAAAAATTTATTTTTATTATTTTTAAAGACAGAGTCTTGCTCTGTCACCCTGGCTGGAGTGCAGTGGTGGAATCATAGTTCACTGCAACCTCAAACTCCTGGACTAAAATGATCCTCCCTCCTCAGCCTTTCAAGTAGCTGGGACTATAGGTGTGTGCCACCACTCCTGGCTTTTTAATTATTTTTTTAATTGACACATAAATAATTATATAGATTTATGGAGTAGAGTGTGCTATTTCGACACATGTCTAAGATGTATTATAATTAAATCATAGTAATTAGCATATCCATCATCTGAAACTTTTATTTCTTTGTGTTGGAAACACTCAAAATCCTCTCTTCTAGCTATTTGAAAATATAGAATACATTGTTGTTAACTGTAGTCACCCTACAGTGCTATAGAGGCCTTACTTAAATTTGACCTTTGTGAGTTCAGTAACTTTTCCTCAACAAGAAGCCATCTACCCAGTTATTTCTTCACTATTCAGTAACATGGGGCAGAAAAAAATACTTAATCAGTGCCCCACATCAATCTGTTACACTTATAATAAATCTCTTTTTATTTTGAAAAGTTCTTTTCTGTGAATGAGCCAAACCTAGACCTCTCTCCTTCTAAGAACAAACAAGTATTTCAGTTGCTCCGGCCAGAACTTCAATTCACACCTTTCCTTCTCTTACTTTGAGACCAGGCCTTTCTTAGCACATAGAGACCAGGTGGGACTGCAAGCCAAGTGTGGACTTTGAGGATGATGACCAGTGACTCACCTCCAGCCCCTGGCTGACCATGACACAAGGGAGGCCAATTTTCGGGCTGGCCCCCATGTGGTCTCCCTCCTCCTCCTCTCTTCCCCCAGCTGCTCATGACCTGCCTGCCCCACCCCAGAAATTCCTTGTCCCCATTTTCTTTTTCATTTGAGACAGAGTCTTGCTCTGTTGCCCAGGCTGGAGTGCAGTGGCACGATCTCAGCTCACTGCAACCTCCGCCTCCTGGGTTCAAGCAATTCTCCTGCCTCAGCCTCCCAAGTAGCTGGGATTACAGGTACCTGCCACCATGCCTGGCTAAGTTTTGTATTTTTTAGTAGGGATGGGGTTTCATCATGTTGGCCAGGCTGATCTCGAACTCCTGACCTCAGGTGATCTGCCTGCCTCGGCCTCCCAAATTGCTGGGATTTCAGGCGTGAGCCACCGTGCCCGGCCCCCTCTCCCCATTTTCAAGAGATTAAGCTGGTCTTCACCTGCTTCCTTCACATTCCAGATAAACTCACAGCAGATCCCTGCTTCCTGACTTTGGAAACGTTGCTAAAGCAGGTTCTAGATAAACTGCTGCCTCCTCATTTCTCACACCTTCCTTAGCTCTTGCTCTTTGCCTGTTTTCCCAAAATTCAAGTGCATTTCTTTCTCATCCTCAAGCTGTATTTTTTTCCCTTATAAAACCAAGCAGAGTGGGAAATACTGGACTTATTTTTTTGGACCTGAAAGCATTAACATTGATTTAGCACCTGCTGTATGACAAGCACTGTTCTAGGTGATTTACATGAATATTTACATCATGTCATATTACAATATATTACATTACATCGCATCACATCACATACATTGTATTGCATCATATTATATTACATTGAACTACATTTGCATTACACTGCATTTGGAGGAAAATATCTTGGGAGGAAAGGACAGAAATGGTTGTAGCATTTCTTACCTACTCTGCCCTACATTCACAGGGTGATCTTGGTTAAGCTCTGTAATCTCTCTTTGTATTAACTTTCCCTTCTATAAGATAGGAGGGGCCTCATAGATTGGCTGGTGACATAATTATTAAACTCATTATATTCTTATTATAGTCTAATAGTTTATGACCAAAATTCTAATTTTCTATTTCCAAGTGACAATGCAATGTTGAAGGGGGTGCCTAATTCTACACACAGACACACACACACAATTTAGCTATGCCTCTCAGGAATCTTCTATTAAAAAGAGAACAAAGCTAAATTAAATAAATTGCCAGCCAGGCATGGTGGCTGACACCCGTAATCCCAACAATTTGGGAGGCTGAGGTGGATGGATCACTTGAGCTCAGGAGTACAAGACTGTTAGGTTTTGAAGGGAAGGCGAGACTTAAAGAAAGACACACACACATAAGAGGGAAGTTCAACAACAAATGCAGACTTTATATCCAGCATAAAACCTACAGAAGTCAGAGACCAGTCTAATGCCAGTACCTGCTGCTGCTTATAGGCTGGGGCAATTTATAGGTATGGGCAGGAGGGGTCTGGGCAGTATGGCTTGCTGCCTGGCAGGAAATTGATAAGATGGTCCCATGATGAGGCAGTTCTGGTCCTTGTTCAGGCAGGATGTCATCATGGTGTTCCTTGGACCTTTGCCCAGAAGGTCTTTGCCTTCTAGTTTAGCATAAAAAGGAAGAGGGGCATTGTTAATTATCTGGCTGTTTCCTGCTAAATAGGAGCACTGCACTCAGGCTTTGGGTTTTCAGCAGTGGGTGTCCGACTTTAGAGTTGTTTTCCTGGAAGTGCTGATACCAAACTTGGCAGAGAAGAATGGTATCGTGTTTCTATATAGCTGCCTGGACAAGGGAGTTCGGCCTTTGGGAGATAAAGCGGGATATGAAGGTGCGCACACATGGGCCAATTGTCAGTATTATGAGGGAGAAAATTAGGGACCCTAAGACAGGGGTTACCCAAGGTATCCACTTTAGGAAGGATGACCCCTGCCAACAGTGAATGACTTGATGTTGGATTTCTGCAGCCGTGTAATGGAGCCTGTGGGCTGCGTTGCGAACAATGCCGGCTTCATTAACATAAAAACAGCATTCTTCTTGGACATATACACATGTGCCCCAAGACAAGAATGTTAATCCAAACTGCACCATTTTGTAAGCGCCCTGCTATTTTGCAGACCTTGGTAAAAGTGACACATTTCATGGGTTTTTGGGCCATGAGAAACACCCTGCCTAACCACTTGACCACAAGGCCCACAAAGGCCCAACTAAAGAAATATCTCTATCATATCCTTCTGGGCAAAGGTCCAAGGAACACCACGATGACATCCCGCCTGAACAAGGACCAGAACTGCCTCATGACGGGAACATCTTATCAATATCCTACCGGGCAGCAAGCCATACTGCCCAGACCCCTCCCGCCCATACCTATAAATTACCCCAGCCTGTAAGCAGCGGTAGGCACTGGCGTTAGGCTGGTCCCCGACTTCTACAGTGTGCATATTTCTTTAACCCTCGCCTTCCCTTCAAAACCTAACAGGGATCAGCCTGGGCAATATGGCAAAATGCCATCTCTGCAAAAAAATACGAAAATTAGCTGGGTGTGGTGGCGCATGGCTGTGGTTCCAGCTACTTGAGAGGCTGAAGTGGTAGGATCGCTTGAGCCCCGCAGGTTGAAGTTGCAGGCAGCCCTGATTATGCCACTGCACTCCAGCCTGAGTGACAGAGTCAGACCCTGTCTCAAATAAATAAATAAATAAAAATAAATTAGAAACACATACAGCCCTTTGTTGATTTCTTTAAATGTTTTCTTCTTGTTATTTTTCAGTAATCTAACTATACTCTCCATTATTGCTTTTAAAAAATTATTTCTGTCTTTACAAAAGTAATTTGTGCTCATGGCAGACTATTTAAAAAACAAAATGAAGCCAAAGAAAGAAAATAAAAATTAACTGCAGGAGAAGGAGGCAAGAGAGCTAACTAGATGCAGCCAGGAGAAACACCTCTCACAGAGATCTTCCCAGATTTTCAGAGGGAAGGCATCAAGAGTGGACAGAGGGAAGACACAGAGGCTGGGCTGAAGCAGGAGGAAGCTGAAAACCCTGCATGAGGCTACCACACACTGGGACTTGTTCCTGGCCCCCAACAACTCCTGCAGAAGGGATGAGTTGAACAGGCAAGGAGAAACATGCTCTTGCAATGGGTCTCTGGAATCACGACAGGAAGAGACCCCTCAACCACTGTGGACACTTGAGTTGGCAAGGAGAGCTGCTTAGAGAAGTGGTAGGGGCAGAGCTCCAGGTGATGTGGAGCCCAGTAGGTTTCGTGCGGGAGTGTTTGTGGTGGAGTACAGCCAGCGATGTCCATCTCCCTAGGCTCAACTTGCTTCCATAGGAGACTTTAGCACCAGGGGAGCTGTCGGTCCTAAATTCTGCAGGGCGGTGTTGCCCATGAGATAGGGCCAGTCTGACTTCAGCACCCTTTGGTCTGCTAGCCTTTCCCAGGGCCCCAGCCTGTCCATGCCTGCTTGCAGTGCAGCCACCAGGTACCTCCTGGGAGCCCACATCATAGCACCTGTGCTGGCAGACCATGCCAGACTGTCAGAGTGCTGCAGCAGAGTAGCCCCCATGGACACACACCAGCCCACCCAGCTCATCCCCTAACTACAGCCTCCCCCTTGTTGCTTTGCTTGCACACACTTGCCCACAGCCACCCTTCATATCACTTTGCCAGTACCTGCGTGTACAGGCAGACCTCACCTTCCCTTCCCCACCAGCATACGTGTGAGCGTGTGCCCTGCCATGCCACTGCTGCTGGTGTGAGTATATCCTGCCCCTCCTTTCCCTGCAGCACTGTCCACTGTGATGGCAATGGCATTGTCATCAGAGTGTTGTTGGGCATGGAGCTGCCAGCTCCGCCCCAGCCAGTCCCCAGCCCTGCCCCTATGCGAACACTGCCTATGGCACAAAACTAGGCACAAAAACCAGCAGGCCCACCCCTGCCCTGAGCGGCCAATGCCTCCCATGTGAATGTGCACAGGGGGCACACACAGCCCTGCATCTAGCAGCATCCTGCTCCCATGCTAATCCCAACACTGGCACAAACATGTGTACAGTTGCTGGTGAGGGCCCCCCAACCTGCCTGAGCCATGCTGCCACTGCTGCTTCTATGAACACCTGCACGAAGGCTGGCACTCCGGCATCCACTAGCACCTTGCTGCAGCCAACAAGTGTGCACCCCACTGCACCGCTGCTGCCACTGCGACTGGCACATGCGACTGAGGATGGATCATGTTTCCACAGCCCTACAAAGCACTTTGGCTGGCACCATGCCTCAGAGAGTTGTGATCAGAGGTCCAGGAGCACCTCAGGCCCCTCCAACATAGCAGGTTCCTAACCTTAAGGAGCCAGAGAACAAGACCGGGGCCTGATACCAGTGCCCCAGAGTTATAACACACAGTTTGGGAGTCCTGAGCTGAGACTTGGGCCCCTAAAATCTTCCAGAAATGAAGCCAGTCTACTGAACCCACCTTATACCACAATCAAACCCCGAAGGTCATTAAATATGATATAAAAAGGGGGAAAAAAAAACAAAAACAGCAACATCAAAGATTGAAGGAACATCATTCTACAAAGATGAGAAAGAACCAAGATAAGAACTCTAACAACTAAAAAGCCAGATGGTCTTCTTTCCTCCAAACAATCACACTAGTTCTCCAATAATGGTTCTTAACCAGGCTGAGATAGCTGAAATGACAGAAGTAGAATTCAGAATATTGATAAGAACAAAGATCATCGCAATTCAGGAGAACACTGAAACCCAATTTAAGGAAGCTAAGAATCACAATAAAACAATACAGGAGGTGACAGACAAAATAGCCAGTATAGAAAAGAATGTAACTAAACTGATAGAGCTGAAAAATATACTACAAGAATTTCATAATGCAATTGCAAGTATTAATAGCAGAATAGAACAAGCTGAGGAAAGAATCTCAGAGCTTGAAGACTGACTTTCTGAATTAAGACAGACAAGGAGACAGTCAGACAAGAACAGAGAAAAAAGAATAAAAAGGAACAAACAAAACCTTTAAGAAAAATGAGATTATGTAAACAGACCAAATCTATGACTTATTGGTGTCCTTGAAAGAGATGGGGAGAATGGGAGCAACCTGGAAAACATATTCCAGCATATCATTCATGAGAACTTCCCAACCTAGCTAGAGAGGCCAACATTCAAATTCAGGAAATGCAGAGAACCCCCACAAGATACTTCACAAGACTGTCCCCAAGACACATAATTATCAGATTCTCCAAGATGGAAATGAAAGAAAAAAATGCTAAAGGCAGCTACATAGAAAGGAAAGGCCATCTACAAAGGGAAGCCCATCAGACTAATAGTAGACCTCTCAGCAGAAATCCTACGAGCCAGAAGAGATTGGAGGCCTATATTCAACATTATTAAAGAAAAGAAATTCCAACCAAGAATTTCATATCCAGCCAAACTAAGATTCATAAGTGAAGAAATAAGATATTTTTCAGACAACTCAACGCTGAGGTAATACATTACCACCAGGCCTGCCTAACAAGAGTTCCTGAAAGAAGCACTAAATATAATAAGGAAAGACAGTTACCAGCCTCTACAAAAATGCAGTTAAGTATATAGACCAGTGACAGTATAAAGAAACCACACAAACAATGCACAGAATGGCAAGCTGGATAAAGAAGCAAGACCCAATGGCATACTGTCTTCAAGGGACTCATATCACATGCAGTAACACACATAGGCTCAAAATAAAGGGATGGGAAAAAATTTACCAAGAAAATAGAAAACAGAAAAAAGCAGGGGTTGCAATCCTAATTTCAGACAAAACAGACTTTAAACCAACAAAGACCAAAAAAGAAGAAGAAGGGCATTACATAATGATAAAGAGTTCAACAAGAAGATATAACTATCCTAAATATATATGCACCCAACACAGGAGCACTCAGATTCATAAAGCAAGTTCTTAGAGACCTTCAAAGAGACTCAGACTCCCATACAACAATAGGGGGAGACTTCAACACCCCACTGACAATATTAGACAGATCATCAAGTCAGAAAATTAAAAAAGATATTCAGGACCTGAACTTAACACTGGACCAAATGGACCTCATAGACGTCTACAGAACTCTCCACCCAAAAACAACAGAATATACATTCTTCTCACTGCCTGCCACATGGCACATACTCCCAAATCAACGACACCATCAGACATAAAACAATCATCAGCAAATGCAAAAGACCAAAATCATACCAACCACTCTGTAGAACCACAGTGAAATAAAAATAGAAATCAAGACTAAAAAAAAAATTGCTCAGAACCATTCAATTACATGGAAATTAAACAATCTGCTCCTGCATGACATTTGGGTAAATAATGAAATAAAGGCAGAAATCATTAAGTTTTTTTAAACCAATGAAAACAAAGACACAACATACCAGAATCTCCAGGACACAGCTAAGGCAGCGTTACAAGGGAAATTTATAGCACTAGGTGCCCACATCAAAAAGTTAGAAAGGTCTCAAATTAACAACCTAACACCACAACAAAAAGAACTAGAGAAGTAAGAGCAAACCAACCCCAAAGCTAGCAGAAGACGAGAAATAACCAAAATCAGAGCTGAAATGCAGGAGAATGAGACATGAAAAACCATTCACAAGATCAATGAATCCAGGAGCTGGTTTTCTGAAAAAATAAATAAGATAGATAGACTGCTAGCTAGACTAATAAAGAAGAAAAGAGAGAAAATCCAAATAAACACAATCAGAAACAACAAAGGGAATATTACCACTCACCCCGTAGAAATACAAATAACCATCGGAGACTACTATGAACACCTCTATGCACACAAACTAGAAAATCTAGAAGAAATTTATAAATGCTTGGACACATACACCCCCAAGACTAAACCAGGAAGAAACTGAATCCCTGCACAGATGAATAATGAGCTCCATTACTGAATCAGTAATAAATAGCCTACCAACCCCCACCCCCAAAAAAATGCCCAGGACCTGATGGATTCACAGTCAAATTCTACCAGATGTACAAAGAAGAGCTGACACCATTCCTAGATAAATTATTCCAAAAAAATTGAGGAGAAGGGGCTCCTCCCCAGGTCATTCTATGAGGCCAGCATAATCCTGATACTAAAACCTGGAAGAGACACAATAACATCAACAAAAAACTTCAGGCCAATATCCTTGATGGACATTGATGCAAGAATCCTTAACAAAATACTAACACACTGAATGCAGCAGCACATCAAAAAGCAAATCCACCATGATCTAGTAGGCTTTATACCCAGGAGGCAAGGTTGGTTCAACATACTCAAATCAATAAATGTGATTAATTACATAGACAGGACTAAAGACAAAAACCACATGATTATCTCAATAGATGTAGAAAGGTTTTTTATAAAATTCAACATTTCTTTATGTTAAAAATGCTCAACAAACTAGGTATTGAAAGAACATGCCTCAAAATAAGAGCCAACTATGACGAACTCACAGCCAACATCATACTGAATAGGCAAAGGCTGGAAGCATTCCCCTTGAAAACCAGCACAAGACAAAAATGCCCTCTCTCACCACTCCTATTCAACATAGTATTGGAAGTCCTGGCCAGAGCACTCAGGCAAGAGAAAGAAAGAAAAGGCATCCAAATAGGAAGAAGGGAAGTTAAACAATCCCTGTTTGCAGATGACATGATTCTATATCTAGAAAACCCCTAGTCTCAGCCCAAATGCTCCTTAAGCTGATAAACAACTTCAGCAAAGTTTCAGGATACAAAATAAATGTACAAAAATCACTAGCATTCCTATACACCAGCAACAGCGAAGCCGAGAGCCAAATCAGGAACACAATTGCACTTGCAATTTCCACAAAAAAAAAAAAAATACCTACGAATACAGCTAAACAGGGAGGTGAAAGAGCTCTACAATGAGAATTACAAAATACTGCTAGAAGAAATTAGAGATTACACAAACAAATGGGAAAACATTCCATGCTCATGGATAGGAAGAATCAATATCATTAAAACGACCAAAGCGGTTTATAGATTCAATGCTGTTTCCACCAAACTACCAGTGATATTCTTCACTGAACTAGAAAAAAATATTTTAAAATTTATATGGAACCAACAAAGAGCCCAAATAGCCAAGGCAATCAAAGCAAAAAGAACAAAGCCAGAGGCATCATCCTACCAGACTTCAAACTATACTACAAGGGTACAGTAACCAAAACACCATGGTTCTGGTACAAAAACAGACACATAGACCAATGGAACAGAATAGAGAACCCAGAAATAAGGCTGCACACCTACAATTATCTGATCTTTGACAAAGCTGACAAAAACAAGCAATGGAGAAAGGACTTCCTACTCAATAAATGGGGCTGGGATAACTGGCTAGCCATATACAGAAGATGGAAACTAGACTCCTTCCTTACACCAGATACAGAAATCAACTTAAGATGGATTAACAACTTAAATGTAAAACCTAAAACTATAAAAAACCCTGGAAGACAATATAGGCAATACCATTCTGGACATAGAAGTGAGTGAAGATTTCATGACAAAGACACCAAAAGCAATTGCAACAAAAGCAAAAATTGACAAATGGGATCTAATTAAACTAAAGAGCTTCTACACAGCAACAGAAACTATCAACAAAGTAAACACACAACCTACAGAATGGGAGAAAAGTTTTGCAAACTATGCATCTGACAAAGGTCTAATATCCAGTATCTATAAGGAACTTAAACAAATTTACAAGAAGAAAACAAACAACCCAATTAAAAAGTGGGCAAAGGACATGAACAGGCGTTTTTCAAAAGAAGACATACACATGGCCAACAAGCATATAAAAAAGCTCAATATTACTTATCATTAAAGAAATGCAAATCCAAATCACAATGAGAGATCCTCTCACACCAGTCAGAATGGCTATTATTAAAAAGTTAATAAGTTGGCCGGGTGCGGTGGCTCACACCTGTAATCCCAGCACTTTGGAAGGCTGAGGCAGGTAGATCACAAGGTCAGGAGATCCAGACCATCCAGGCTAACATGGTGAAACCCCGTCTCTGCTAAAAATACAAAAAAATTAGCCGGGCGTGGTGGCGGGCGCCTGTAGTCCCAGCTACTCAGGAGGCTGAGGCAGGAGAATGGCATGAACCCAGGAGGTGGAGCTTGCAGTGAGCTGAGATCTCACCACTGTACTCCAGCCTGGAAGACAGAGTGAGACTCCATCTCAAAAAAAAAAAGTTAATAAACAACATGCTGACAAGGTTATGGAGAAAAGGGAATGCTTATACACTATTGGTGGAGTGTAAATTAGTTCAACCATTATGGAAAGCAGTGTGGCAATTCCTCAAAGAGCTAAAAACAGAACTACCATTCAATCCAGCAATCCCATTACTGGGTATATACCCAAAGAAATGTAAATCATTCTATCACAAAGACACATGCACACACATGTTCATCATAGCACTATTCACAATAGCAAAGACATGGAATCAACCTAAATGCCCATCAACGACAGACTGGATAAAGAAAATGTGGTACATATACACCAAGGAATACTATAGAGCCGTAAAAAAGAGCATGTCCTTTGCGGGAACATGGATGGAGCTGGAAGTCATTATGCTTAGCAAATTAATGCAGGAACAGAAAACCAAATACCACATGTGTTCACATATAAGTGGGAGCTAAGTGATAAGAACACATGGACACAAAGAGGGGAACAACACAAACTGGAGCCTAGCTGAGGGTGGAGGCCCCAGGGAGGAGGGAGATGAGCAAAAAAAAAAAAAAAAAAAAAAAAAAAAAAAAAAAAAATGACTGGGTTCTAGGCTTAGTATCTAGGGGACAAAATAATCTGTATGACAAACCTCCATGACACGAGTTTACCTATGTAAAATAAAAGTTTAACAAAAAACTAAAAAAGTTACCTATGTAAAACAAAAGTTTAACAAAAAACTAAAAAAAGTTACCTCCACCCAGAAATGCCTTTATTAACACTTTGGTTTGTAACCCTCCATTATTTTCTCTAGACATATAGATTTATGAGGCAGGCTAATGTGCTGAGACACTAGCTTGAGTTTCATTTGGCCTTGCTGTGAATATACCTGGGCCTTCCTTTGCTTCAGGATGCCCTAAACTGTGGCAAAGCAGAGCTGAACTGCCCAAAGGAAAGTGTGAAGAGGAGAGGCAGGCCAAGCCTGGAGAAAGGCTACCCAAGAGAGAGGAAAGGAAACTGTGGTGAGTGCACCTCACTCCTAAAGAAGGACAGGAACTCTGGTAGGTGAGGTGTGTTTTCCATAGATACTAAAACTCAAAGCCACACAGGGGACATATGTCCATTCCTCAGCCAGTCACTGTGGCCAGGAACAGAGGGTCAGGTAAGAGAATGGCAACTCCTAAGGAAACCACATGCCTGGAGCCGTGGGTGTAGAAGCAGATCCCCAGAGGAAGCACGGGTCCCACAGACACAGTCCCAACTCTTGCCGTCTAGGCAGCCACTCCCATCTGTAGGTACTACACAGCTTCGTAGTACTTCTTAAAGTACTTCTTGTTCAAGCGATGGGACGAAAAGAGGATGCAGGACAAGGAGGAGGAAAGGAGATCCTTGCTTTTGTAGAAGAAACAAGGAGGCAGGGAAGGCTTAGAGGACAGGCAAGGAGAGATGTTTTCTTAAAAACATCCTCTGTCTGAGTGTTCAGCCCCACATCTCTGCTGGTCCTACCCCTATAAGCACAAGGAAAAGGGCGGGAGGCAGCAGGAGAAGGATTGATCATTCAGGCCTATATTCAAGTTTGCCTTTTCTTGCCATGTGGTTTTAATCTCACCAATCACAAGCCTGAAGGTATAGTGGGGCCACTGAGGTCCGAGTTCAAATTCAGCCATGCAACTAAGGAAACATTGTTTGATCTTGGTCCTGTTTTCTCATGTGTAAAATGGGTCTAACTCTAAACCACACATTGCACTGAGAATGAAATGAGGCACTATGAAATGAAGTGAGGTTAGTTGAATAATGTTCCCCCCAAATTCATGTCTACTGAGGACCTCAGAATGTGACTATATTTGGAAGTAGGGTCTACGCAGATGTAGTCTAAATGAGGTCATACTGCATTAGGGTGGGCACTAATCAAACGGATGGTATCCTCATAAGAGGAGAGGAATGTAGAGATACACACAGAAAAGAATGTCATTTGAAGATGGAGGCAGAGATTGGAGTGATACAACTATAAGTCAGGGAATGCCAAGGACTTGAGGTCATGTGTTACAGAAGCCCTAGGAAATGAGTCAATTTCCTGGCACAGCACTAAGACATGCTGGTATTCTTCATTCCATCCCTTTCCCCTATTCCTAAATGTGCTCCAGGGACAATGGGGAAGCTGGAGCACATATAAGAATAGGGGAAAGAGAGGGAATAAAAGGGTATTAAAAACTCTCAAGGTATGTTAAAAAAAAGACTCTCAACAAACCAGGTATTGAAGGAACATACCTCAAAATAATAAGAGCCATCTATGATGAACCCACAGCCAACATCACACTGAATAGGCAAAAGCTGGAAGGATGCCCCTTGAAAACCGGCACAAGACAAGGCTGCCTTCTCTCACCACTCCTATTCACCATACTATTGGAAGTCCTGGCCAGAGCAATCAGGCAAGAGAAAGAAAGAAAAGGCATCCAAGAAGGAAGAGAGGAAGTCAAACTACCCATGTTTGCAGATGACATAATTTTATATCTAGAAAATCCCACAGTCTCAGCCCAAAAGCTCCTTAAGCTGATAAACTTCAGAAAGTTTCAGGATCCCACATGAACATACAAAAATCACTAGTATTCCTAAACACCAACCATAGCTAAGCCAAGAGCCAAATCAGGAATGCAATCCCATTCACAGACAAACTGCTAAAAGCAAAACCAAAACTTTCCAAATAAGCCAGGCTTTCGTCAGTTCCTCAGAACTAGTTCTGGTTTGACTCACTCTCATGTTACGGCAAACCTTAAGCTGAATGAACAACTTTTCTTCTCTTGAATATATCTTAACGCCAAATTTTGAGTGCTTTTTTGTTACCCATCCTCATATGTCCCAGCTAGAAAGAATCCTGGGTTGGAGCTACTGCATGTTGATTGTTTTGTTTTTCCTTTTGGCTGTTCATTTTGGTGGCTACTATAAGGAAATCTAACACAAACAGCAACTGTTTTTTGTTGTTTACTTTTGCATCTTTACTTGTGGAGCTGTGGCAAGTCCTCATGTGAGTAACGAGTGGGTTGAGATACTCTCATACTATTATGTTGTGGACCATGATGAGGCTGCCAGGGTGGGGGAAGGGTGGCCTACCTTCTCTCCACACCATTTGAGGCAAGAGACATTCTGCCTCAGAAATTGTGCTGAGGGGCACAAATAAGCTAATGTCCTCCTGCCCCAGATTTCTCTCACTTGTTCCTATGCATATTGTTCTTGTTGCTCAGTTTTATAAGGTGAGATATTTTCTGCACCAAATATGTGCACTGTAAAATAATATAACTATTCTTAAGATTGTCTCTCAGCTTAGAGTTTTCGGAGGCTTAATGGTGAAGAACTTAAAAATCTGTTTTCCTATGACTGACATCTGTTTGTGATTATCCATTTAGCAGACGGTGATCCCTCCAGGCTGGCCTTTGTTTACAAGCTATGCCTAAGAGGCAGCTGTTGGTGGAGGGGGAACAAAAACAAAAAACCCAAAACTATTATCTTAATAACTTATAGAGGTAATCATTATTGAACAAAAGCATGATTTGGGGACTATGGAAAGGCTTATTCTTTCCATATAAAATGATCAGCGAAAAGGTAGAAAAATTAAACAGAACTGAAATAATTGCTATTGATTGCTCACCGCCTGGATGCACTGAGTAGAAGAGCAAAGGCAATGGGTTCATGTGGAGGGGATGGAGGTGGAGAGGCTAAGCCTGAGTGAGATTACCAACTAATCAGGACTTTTAACCCAAAAATACTATGGCTCTGAGGGGCAGGGAATGAGAGACCTAAATTGACAAAATGCAGAGTAAAAATATTCAGTGTGAGCAGTAATGAGACAGTTGTATCAGGGTCAAATACGGAGTTGGCCTGGATGTCCTCCAAGCTCCTTTCCAAGCCTAAGATTCTGTGAGTGGATGAACAATCCTGGTCCTGCTGCTCTTGCCACTGGAACCTGATCTATTTGCCTTCATTATTTGAGGTCTCCCCATCATCAGGCTCTTTGTTGTCTGCTGCTTCAGGGTGTCTTCTCCCCAGATTTCTCCTGTTGGTGAGCTTTTCCATTGAACTGGAGCTCCTCACAGGCAAGAAGCACACCTTTAAGGTTCTCTGAGTCCCAAGTTCCTAGTGCAGTACCTGGCAATACACATAGGTGCTTAGTGGGTGCTTGCCGAATTGTTGAATGGATTTATTTGATGAAATGTCAGGAGAATCACCAGAAATGAAATGTTCGTGTAATGGACAGGGGGAAGTTTGAGGTTGATTTGAAAAAGGAGATGGTAGAGACAGTATTATGGGTCATGCTTCAGAGTTTATTTGCTTTACAATACATTGGACAGCAACCAGTAGATTGTTGTGTGTCATTTTAATTCCACATGCTAATGTCCAAATATGTCATATGTCTTAATTGTTGCATACGTGGGTTACTCTGTAAAGGGGCAACTGTAGTATCACCTCCTCATGCCACACCCTGCTCCACTGTAGCTGGGCTCGATAACCTTCAAATCAACTCACAGAATTCCAGGACAGACAAGAGCATCTGAAAGGTTATCTAGCCCCAGTCACCTCTGATGCCTTCCAGCTGTCTCTAACACACCTGTGGGCTGACTTCCAGTTCTTAGTCTTCACGGCTCCCTATGATGAACTGCCCCTGCTTTGAGGGATTTTCCTCCATTGCCTCAGAAGTACTGCCCTGGGGGAGCTTCTGATGCTCTTCTGACCACCTTGTCTCTGCCTTTTTCACTAGTCCTCTGTTCCTGCTCTCCAAATTTTGGGACGTTCCTGAGTTCAGATCTTTTCTTTATAATCTTTCTTTTATATTCTCCCCATCAGATGGTTCATTCATTCCTCAATATTAACTAACATTTCCATATTAGAAATAACTTCCTTATCTTTAGCCCTAAATTTTGTCCCAAACTCTGGACCTACAATTTTTTGGAATGCTTATGCCTTGCCCAGACTAAAACCAAACTTACTGTCTTCCCTCTAAAATCAGCTCCCCATCTTCTATTTCTCCCTGCCACCCTTCCTCCCCCATGGCTCCAATATTGTCTTGCCAGTCTGGTCTTAAAACCACAGTCAATCTTGTTGCTTTTCTCTTTGTCTCTTGTGCATGGCTGATCAGCAGTCAATTGTTTTGTCAATTGTCTTATATGTTTCTTCTTCCTCTTCCTTGCTTCCTTTTTCTGACCTGAAGTTAGGGCCTTGTTACCAAACATCTAGATGAATACAGTGACCCCCTAATTGAGAGGCTGTCTACCAATTCCACCCACCCTCAATTCTATACTCAAAAAAAAAATTAGATGTAATCTTTTTCAGATACTCCTTTGGTATTGTCACTTAGTTTTTGAGTGACTGCCACTATTTCCCGATTGGCAGCTCTGCCTGGCATTAAGCTCTTGACATTCTCAACCTAAGTGTCCAGCCA
Organism: Homo sapiens; assembly: GCF_000001405.40. Lineage (NCBI taxonomy): Eukaryota > Metazoa > Chordata > Mammalia > Primates > Hominidae > Homo > Homo sapiens. Next base: position 5,513,213 of record NC_000009.12, read on the forward strand.
AGTTACTCTGTTCATTGTCCCCTCAACACGCCTGTGCATTTGCACCTCTGAGACTGCTTCTGAGTCAGCTATGCACTGCCCTTTAGAATAGCTTCAACCCCAAATCCTACCAGTGCTTCAAAGGCCCAGTTCAAATCCTACCCCTCTGGGAAGTCTCCCTTCCTTTAGTCAACTTCTAGGGCTTTTGCAATTTTATCACTTGTTTTACATCAGTTTTACTATTTTTCATGTGTGAGAGTTTTAACCTTCCAATTATGGTACAATGTCTTTAAGGGCAAGGGCCCTTTCTTAGAGGAAACCCTCTATGAATTCTCCAATGATAAATTATTCTATGAATTCTCACAACTTTCTAATATAAAGGCTTATAAAAAGTGGGAACTCACTGTTTATTGCTTAAAAAATTGAGATTTAATTTGAACTTAAATGCTCTATTAAATTGAGTAGAATAGCATCTTAAGGCTACTGGTAGTCTATCTATGCCACAGATGGTTTAGAGATCAAATAATTACTCATATACCTATGACAGCAGAGTACTGGCTGTAAGATCCCCCCAAAACTCAAATACCTATTGGGTTTGTCAGGCAACAAAAATAAGTGAATCCAGCTAGGTCTAATACAATGGAAAATGGTAGGACCTGGGGCAAACTCTGCATAACTTGCCCAAAGGCATTCAAATTCAGATTATGTTCAGACATTGCTAATTACAATTAGTGTCTTAGACACTTGGCTTCAAAACAGTGGTTAGTTCAGGTATTTCAGATCAATTGGGTATGCATTTATCTAGGTCTTCATGGATAGCCGGGCTCTACTAGACACTGGGAGAGGGAAGAGGCAAATGGGATAAGACTGGCAGTATTTAACAAAGAATGAAGTATTTTACAAACATGATCCTTTAGGCTGGTTATTGTTACACAAAGGAATGATTTGCTAGGATTCTTGAGATACTTCCATAGAATGTCTATGCCTCACTTATTGCACAGACCAGAGAATTCCATAAAAGCACTGGCTGTGTCTTATTTACCCTTGTATACTAGAGCTTGGCACATAGTAAATACCAAGTAAATGTTTTGAATAAAAGAAAGAGATAATTAAAGCTTCAGCACCACAATTATTTGTATTTCATCTATCAGTTTGGAAATAGATCTCCACAGACAGTAGAAATGGCAAGAAACTAGGCCTATAGCAACCAAGAAGTGAAACTGCTAGAACCTACCATCATTTCTGATCCTCTTGCAAATTTTGCTTGAAAAAAATTTCCTCATTTTCTGTTTACGAACTTATCCTCAGAATTTACAGATGTTTCCTTGATTTCTCTGGAAAGATACAACTTCCTAATGCAATTGAGTAAATTGATACTTCTTATGTAGAAATAAGCAGAATAAGCTGGGCAAGGTAGCCCACAACTATAGTCCCAGCTACTTGGGAGGCTGGGGCAGGAGGATCACTTGAAGCCAGAGTTTGCTTGAGGCCAGGAATTCGAGGCTGCAGTGCTCTATGATCACACCTGTGAATAGCCACTACACTCCAGGCTAGGCAATGAGTGAGACCTAGTCTCTAAAGAAAAAAAAAAAAAAAAAAAAAAGACAAAATAAGATCAAAATTGAGTATGAACTGATAAATACAAGGTAGACAAGAAATATCCTGAGAGGCGCAATCGTTCTGCAGACATTTGCTTGGGAAGCTCAGGGGAGGATTTATGAAGGAGGTAGCCCTGAGTGAGTCTTAAAAAATGGGTAGACTTTTACCAGGCAAGATCTTAGTGAAGTTAGTGAGAGGAGTGGTCATATAGGAATTCATGGGATTTTTAGACCAAAGATTACCACCCTCATAAGTGATAATGACGATGAATGTGAAGAATGTTTACCACTTGCAAAGTATTTTTCACATACCTTGTCCAAGTTCCCACAAGCATTTCTGTTCACTACCTGTGGTTTGGTCAAGAGACCCAGATATTAGAGAACGTGTTGATTTCTAGTTTCTAACTCCGCCCAATAACATTAAGATGAAAATGGATAGCCACATAGGAACAGACATCAATAAACATATTTAGAAAACACAAGTGAATTTTAAAAGGGGAGACTTAAGAGGTGGCATGGTTGTTTGAACATGTTCGTTTTTGTCTCCTGGAGAAAAGTCAGCACAATGCTCATTCAGCTACATAAGTGTTTCTGTTACAGCTCTTTCAGTCCACCATTCGGCAGGTCCTGAATTCTTGTCCCTTGTCCAGAAAAAATGAGGTATGTGGACAACTGGAGGGTGAGCAAGGCGGAGAGGAGCTTCGTTGAGTGACAGAACAGCTTTCAGGAGACCCAAAGTGGGTAGCACTTTTCCATAGGCAGGAAATGAGTGTTCAACTCTCAGCAGAGAGGAGACCCACAATGGATAGCTCCTTACCACAGGCAGGTCATCCCAGAGAGGTGAGGAGACACAAGCCAGGCACAGTGGCTCACGCCTGTAATCCCAGCACTTTGGGAGGCCGAGGCGGGTGGATCACGAGGTCAGAGTTCGAGACCAGCTTGGCCAAGATGGTGAAACTCCATCTCTACTAAAAATATGAAAAATTAGCCAGGTGCAGTTGTGCACGCCTGTTGTCCCAGTTACTCAGGAGGCTGAGGCAGGAGAATCACTTGAACCCGGGAGGCGGAGGATGCAGTGAGCCAAGATCACACCACTGCACTCCAGCCTGGGTGAGAGAGCAAGACTCCATCTCAAAAAAAAAAAAAAAAAAAAAAAAAAAGAAAAGAAAGAAAGAAAGAGGAGATCTGAAGTGAGCAACTGCTTCCCCTAGCTGGTAGTCCCAATGTCTGTTCAAGTCTGGCTGAGTCCAGGGTTTTGTGTTTGTTTGTTTTGTTTTTTTGAGACGGAGTCTCACTCTGTCACCAGGGCTGGAGTGCAGTGGCGCAATCTCGGCTCACTGCAACCTCTGCCTCCCGGGTTCAAGCGATTCTCCTGCTTCAGCCTCCCGAGTAGCTGGTATTACAGACACCCACCACTACATCCAGCTAATTTTTTGTATTTTTAGTAGAGACGGGGTTTCGCCATGTTGGCCAGGCTGGTCTCAAACTCCTGACCTCGTGATTTTCCTGCCTCGGCCTCCCAAGTGCTGGGATTACAGGCATGAGCCACTGAGCCCGGTCGAGTCCAGGGTTTTTACAGGCTCAGAAGGGAGGAAGAGTGTGCTGATTGGCCCATGGGCAGCCATGGAAGGGCCCAGAAAAAGCACTGTAAGTTCTTACCCCAGGCTGTGGACTCCACCCACAATTGGCAACCTGGCTCCCAGGCTTTGGGCCATCCCTGGCTTGAAGGTTGGGTTTCACCAGGGACCTAACCCCTTTCCGCCAAGGAACCTGTCTCCCTCTTGCCATCAACATGCTGTCCATGATGCCCAGGCTGTTCGTGCCGAGGGGTGCCTGCAGGCCTGCCCTGAGCCACCCTCAGCCCCTGCTCAGCCTCCCTCTGTGCTTGTCAGCACCCAACATCTGGAAGAGGTCGAGGCAGCAGGGGGCTAGTGTGTCAGTACCATCCTGAGCACCCACATGCCTGGCCGGGTTGTGACAGCACCTAGGCTTGGCCACAACTTTGCTTCACCCAGTAGCAGGTGCCAGGAGTGGGAAGAGGCCAGGGAGTGGGAGCAGGCACTTTCAACCTTGTGGGAGCAGGGGACTTCCTGGGCCCCTGAGAGTACAGAGATGCCTGGGTCCAGAGCCACTGCTGGGCAGCTACAGGGGTGCCTGGGAGCATGCGGTTCCCACCCCGCCAACTCAGTACGGGGCGGGACTCCCACCTGTTCTTGGCCTCCCTGGCCACACCTCCACTGCTGCAGCTGCTCTAAACGGGCAGCTGCTGCCATCACTGTGAGCTATGATTGTGCCACTGACTCCAGCCTGGGCAACAGAAAGAGACCTATATGGTATGTTAAATGGTAATGACTGCTTTGGGGGAGAAAAGATGACTAAGGATTGTTGGGAATGCTGGGGTAGGGTTGGAGTGCTCTTGCAATTTTACATAAGACAGTCTCAGGAGAAAAAACAATGAAAGTGTCCGGGTAGAGGGACATGTACACTGGCAGCAAGGTCTTCCCTTAGGGATTGGATCTGCGGAAGAGGCCACACAGGCCTGGAAGCAGGCTTAAGGCCATTCAGGCTAGGAATTCCAGTGTTTCAAAGACAGACTGCAATGGATGGCGGTTGGTAGGTCAAAAGCTCCAGATAACATCTCTCAGCCCTGCGAACACCTTACTCTCGGGGAGAAGGATGGGCACAGTGGGTCCTTTAAAGCATGGGGTCCAGGACAGGGGCCTCTTGTCTTGGCTGTTGAAAAAACTGGGTTTTACACTGAGTGAAATGCTGAGCCATCGGAAGGTTTTAAGAAAATATGGTTTGACTTTTATTTTTTAAAAACCACTCTGGCTGCAGAATCAACTGCAGGAAGGCAAAACTGGAATCATAGCATCCAGTTGTCAGACTAATGCAGAAATCACCATGAGAAATGACAATGACTCTGACCGATATGGAAGCAGTGGAGGTGGTGAGAAATGGTCAGATTCTGGATATATTTGAAGGAAGGGCCAATAGGGTTGGTTAATGAATCAGATGTAGAGTGAGAAAAGAAAGGACTCAAGATGACTCCAAGGTTCTTGTCCTTCACCTCAATAAGTGGAGGATGGAGCAGAGGAAGGCAAGACTAGAAGGTAAAAATAGCAGTGAGAAGGCTCTGCTATGGTATAAGAAGAAATGATAAGAAGCTGAATTAAGGTGATGGCAGTGGGGTGGAAGAAAGGAGAGCCACCATGCAAAAAGTATCCAGGAGGGAGAATTAACAGGACTAGGGGATGGGCCATATTTGCAAGATGAGAAATGCAGAGGTCTAAGATTCTAGCTTAAGGTGGGTGTTGCTACTATTAGCATAATAGGAAAACAAGGCACAAAGACTTTTCAAAATTTGTCCAAGGTGTTAGAGGCTTACAATTTGTAAAACCAGGATTAAACCCAGATGTGTCTGATTTTAGAGCCTGAGCTCTTACTCATTGCATAAACCATATTTTCCCCAGAGGAGGATTAGTAGGAAAGGAAGCTGCTGGTTGGAAAGTATCTTTATAGCAGTGTCTGTTCCTCGGTTTGCTCAAGGGGACAGTGTGCCAGGAAAGTCCCCGTGGAAGGGCAAGGAAGAAGGGGAAGTTAAAGCCAGTGGCAGGTGATCCAAGAATCTTTTCTGTTGCTAGAGCTATGTTACATGCTGTCCTTTCATGCTCTAAAAATAAGAGTGCTGGCAAGTGCCAGGCCTGTTGGTGCAGCTTAAGATGATACCTTTCTTGGATATATATGCATCTGAATAAGGAAGGCTATCTTCTGGTCAAGCTAAGGTATGCCATGAGCATTTCCCTGTGGAAAGCACTTAATTCTGTTCCCAGTTGTTACCTGCTGTAAGATCTCCCTTTCTAAAATAAAAACAAGAATACAGCTCACTGAGGACCTTACATTTCCCTCTAGCTACTGACTCATTTCTCTTCTCCTTTTTATAGCACTCTTCTTGAGAGAGTTGCCTATATTTGTTGCCACATCTTTACCCATTCTCTTTTGAACCTATTCAAGCTTTCATCTGTACAAAACTCACTGATACTGTGCTTGTCAGGATCATCCATGACCTCCATACTGCTAAATGCAACTCTCAAGAGTATTTGGCTCTACTGATCACTCCTTTGTAGCACTGTGTTTTAAAATATAGGTTTTATTATTATTTAGGTATGGTGAGGCCAATATATCAGGAAATGACTGTCGTTGAAAAAAGTATGTTGTACTCACAGATCCCAAGAGAAGGGGGGCACACCATGCCACAAAGGGCCACATGGGGAAGCACCAGGGTCAGCCAGGAGGTGGGTGGGGGGTGCGCAAGATCTTTATTGTGGTTTCAACAGGAAGAAATGGGTGAAGCAGGGTGAGTGGATTTAGGATTAGCTGATATAAATAATTTCAGCAGGCTCTGGGGCATAGGGGCTGTCCCTAGTCTTCTGGTACTTGGCCCTGGGGTGATTAAGGCAGTTGCATAGTGTTGGGAATGTGAAAGCCCCCAATAAATGAGGCAGTTGTGGGTATGGGCTCTGAAATGGGTTGGTTTGCATTTGAAAGGTGTGCTCATGGGCAAGTGGTTTACTCTCTCTTAGAGGTTAGAATTGGCTAACCCTGGGAGCGGCAGTCCCTTCAGGGTCAGCAAGGCCCCAGGTGTCAAAGCATCAGAATACAGAAAATAAAATGCATGGATAATACACACTGCCATTTGCCTTTGTACCCTTCCTTTCAATCTTCTCTGCTGGTGACCGCTCTTCACAAAGATCTATAAATGTTGGAATACCCCATGTCTCAGTCCTTGGGCACTCTCTTTCCTATCTCTCTGTAGGTGATGTAATGCAGATATCCATGACTTTAAATCTTTAACACTTCTGCATTGATGACTCCTAAATTTACATCTCTACCCCAACTGCCTACTAAACACCTCCACTTGGCTATCTAATAGGCATTTCAAACCAAATCTACAACAAACGTAACTCTTTTTCCCCTTCCTTAATTTGCTTCTCCCCCAGCCTTCTCCATTTTAATAAACAGCATCTCCATTGCCTTAGTGACTCAAGCCCCAAACTTAGGAATTTTCCCAGATTTCCCTCTTTTTCTCAAACTATATATCTAGCCTGTCAGCAGTTCCCTTCAGGTCTTTTTTCAAACTATAGAAGGCCTAAACAAAGGAAAGACATGCTGTATTCATGAATTGGAAGACTAAATATTATTCAGCTGGCTGTATTCCCCAAATTGATCTATGGATTCAATGCAATCCCTACCAAAATTCCAGCTTCCTTTGTCTGCAGAAATGAGCAAGTTGACCCTAAAATTCATTTGAAAATGTAAGGAAGCCCGAATAGCCCCCTAAAAAAAAATCTTGAAAAAGACTAACAAAGTTGGAGGACTCACACTTTCCAGTTTCAAAACTTACTACAAAGCTACAGTAATCAACGCTGTGTGGTACTGACATAGGATAGACATATAGTTCAATAAAACAGAATCGAGAGTCCAGAAATACATCCTTATATATATGATCAATTGATGTTTTGCAAGGGTGCCAAGACAGTTCAATAGGGAAAGAATAATTTCCTCAACAAATTGTACAGGCACAACTGAATGCCCACAATCAGTAGAACAAATTTGGAACTAAAGTTCTTATATTTAGGTTCTTGATCCATTTTGTTTAATTTTTGTATATGGTATGAGGTAAGGCTCCAAATTTGTTCTTTTGCATGTGGACATCCAGTTGTCCCTGTACAATTGCTCCATTTATATTTATCTTAGCAGAAAATACAGATGTAAATCTTTGTGACCTTGACTAGGCAATGGTTTCTTAGGTATTACACCTAAAGCACAAACAATAAAAGAAAAAAGTAGATAAATTGGATTTTTTTACTTAAAATCAATTTGTGTTTCAAAATTAAATAAAATCAAAATTAAATTAAAACATTTATCCTTCACAGGATTCTATAAAGAAACTGAAAAGACAATGTGCAGAATGGGAAAAAATATTTCCAAATCATATATTTGATAAATAGTTTGGCAATTCCTCAAAAAGTTAAATATAGAGTTACCATTTAATTCAGCAATTCTACTCCTACATATGTACCCAAGATAATTAAAAGTATACATAGACAAAGACTTGTATATGAGTTTTCATAGGAACTTTATTCATAATAGCCAACAAGCAGAAACAATCCAAATGACCATCAACTGATGAATGGGTAAGCAAAATGTGGTATATCATACAATGGAATATTATTTAGTCACAAAAAGGAACGCAGTGCTGATATATGCTACAATACAGATGAACCTTGACAACATTATGTTCGGTGAAAAAAGCCAGCCACAAAAGTCCACATATTGCTTGATTCCATTTTTATGAAATATCCAGAATAAGCAATTGATAGAGACAGAAACTAGATTAGTGGTTGCCAAGGGCCATAGGGAAAGGGAAGGGGAAATAGGAAGTTTCTGCTAATGGGTAAGGGGTTCCTTTTCAGGGTAATGAAAATGTTCTAAAATTGGATAATAGTGTTTGTTGCACAACTCCGTGAACATACTAAAAACCACAGAGTCGTGCACTTAAAAAAAGTTTGTGTTTTAAATATATATACACACTTAGACACATATAACCCTCTTTCGTATATCAATTATACTTTAATAAAGCTGTTGAAATTTTTAAAATAAAATTTTAAAACAAAGAAAAAATATATAAACTCGCCAACAGACCACTTCTCACCCCTACTAGCCCCTCTACTCTAAGCTATCAGCATTTCTGCAAACACATTCCTAACCGATCTCACTGCTTGTAATCTTGCCAGCAACCTCTCCCTCTCAGCAATAGTCTATTGCCTACACCAAAGCTTAGTTGTCTCTTAATGATGTAAATGAGGTTCTATCATTCTCCTGACCCAAACCCTCCACTGCTTTTCATCACACTCAGAGCAGCTCTGCTGTTGCCTGATTTAGATGTATGGCTCCAACAGATTTCCCCTGAAGAAATGATTCCATGGCTGATAAAAGTTGGAAAGCCTCCTCAGTTTCAGACCATTATCAGATTAGCTGTGTGCTCTGTCCCTTTCCTCAACCATAAGAAGTCCATGGATAAAGAAAGCTTCAGAGTAAAGGAGAAAGCATGGGAGGTACAGCAGGACCAAGGTGGGGCATTCGCAGCCCCCACCCTCATCAGAGCCAGTTCCCTACTCTCCCTGTCTAAACCTCTTAGTAAGAGGTAGTTCAAGAGAGGGGCAAACTCAATTCCAGCACTCAAAAGCACTTGACTACTTTGCTCAGTCAACTAGCAAGTATTTATTGAGAATGTAGCTCTGTTCTATGGAGTCTTATTTTCAAGTGTCAGACTCCCAGACATCCAGTCCAGGTAAAGAAGATGGTGTCCATTATTCATTTGACAAACAAAGTTGGGGTTCAAGGGCCAGCTATTGAAAAAAGCTATGGAAAGCTTCATGAGACGTGCAGGTAACTGCCAATATGTGTGGTTCACAAGGACTGGTTCATATTCAGAAACGGCCATTAGAAAAGGAAGAAGAACTTCTCATTTGGATTTATAAAGAGTGTCTTGTTTACTCTTAATTTATATCTTCTCTTCTCCAGGAAATCAACCTATAACTTCTCCTCCCAGCTCCACTCTACCATGGTCTGTCACCTTCCCCAAATGATTTGTTATTCCCCTGTTTTCAAAAGTGAACAAAGAACCAAAGACCCAGCAAAGTTTCACAAGGCCCTGAGACTTTCAATTGTCTATTTCAGATCAAATACAGAACATGATCTTCCTCCTGCTAATGTTGAGCCTGGAATTGCAGCTTCACCAGATAGCAGGTAAGAAAGGACAAAGGGAGAGGCTTAAGAAAGAAGAGCAGGTGGTGGTTCCTAGCCAAAGCCAAAAATGAGAATGTGGCCCTCAGGCTGAGGGCTTTCTTTGAGAGGACGTATGATTTCTGGGCTATTCCAAGCACCACAAAAAAAAAAAGAGTCCCCATGGTGGCTTATACATGCCAATGTCCCTATCTGACAGAAACGGTGACTGAGAATATTGCTCCATCTATTCCCACTATCCAGTGAGGGTAATGACAAGAAGACAGGATCACTCAGACCATGTAAATCTAAACTGATACAAGAGGGCAGGGGTTGAGTTCCCTTAAAGGTGAGATGCCAAGCAGCTGTCCCCTTCCTTTCTGGCAGGGAGAGTAAGGAGACAATGGCCAGGGAACACCGTTACTCTAAAGATAATGTCTTGAAGACATTCTGCATATTATTAGTTGTTTCTGTGAGTTTCTTTTTTGAAAAGCAACAATAGCAGCCGTTGGTCATTCATACCTTAATGTGGTTTACTGAGTCTTCCTAAAACCCAAATGAACAATGAACCTTAAGGCTATCCCTTTGGACTTGAAGAAAGGACTTCTATTGGAGGATGAGGGTGAGCAGAAAGAAAAGCAGTTTCACAGTTGGTTGTTCTCCTGGGGAAGGTAGTTCAGACCATTCGAGGGTGTAGTTAGAACCATGAGTGCACTATTTTGGATGAACACCAGGAGCTAAGAGAGTAACATAGAGGTGTGGACAGAGGATTAAGTCCTCAAGACAATAGCCCCAGCCCCATGGGAAATCATCTTTCTGCTCATGATTGAGAAATAATGGCTCCCTTGGCACTTGATAACCTTTCGAAGAGCTTTCTCCTCCCTACTAGCTGGTTCCAGATCACTCTTCACCCAGTCACATTCCTCTCACTCACTTGAGCTGCCCAGCCTGGTCTGGCACTAGAGACATGCACTTGGGGCCCTCCTCAAAGGAAGACCCTGAGATATTCTGCTTACTTCTACTCTGCTCCTGCCTGCAGGGCCAGCTAAAGGAACTTTTCATGTTTTCTTTGCAAGGAACCCTGCCTGGCTGGCATTTTAGAGACAAGCAAAAGGGGCAATAACTTCCTTGCTACAAAACAGCTTCAAGTTTCCATAGAGTGATAAGGGAAATGAGGGCCAAAAGACACTGTTCCCCATCCTGTGGCAGGACTGGGGGCTTCAGGAGAAAACTTGGGGAATGTGTAACCTCTGTGGGTTTGTAGCTTAAAAACACTGAGATCCTGGGTTTTCTGTCTTTGTTTTTTGCCTTTTCTCTTAGGAAAGGAGTGAGCTAGGGTGACAAGGGGCAACATTTTTTATCCCTCATTGGCTCTTTCTACAGAGGAAGGATCTTTTCTTCTAAGATAATCAGCACAAGACAATGAAGATAGGCACTAGCTCCCAGTTAGGTATACTAATGGGGCAAAAGGAAGAGCATTTACATTTATTGAAGATTCACTAAATGCCAGATACTGTGCTAGGCAATTTACATATGGTATAGTTCATTTAATCTTCACAATGATCATTTTGCAGGTGAGGGAACTAGAACTCAGAAAAGGTACTTAATTTCCCCAAGATTACATAGTTATTAGGTGACACCGGCAAGATTTCAACAAAGCTAATGTCCTTTCTACTTTACTGTGCTACCATGATGATGGTAATCAAAAATGGCAGACAACCCATAAATCTTCCAACTTTGGAATAGGTTTTTGCACTGAAGTCTGAATATGGATACGTATTGAATGTTTATTCTGGATATTCACAGAATCAAAAAATATGTGTAATGAATTATGTTGCTGAATTAACTGAAAGGAAAGTAAAAATGTAGCGCTTTCTCATTTTCTTCACGAATTTGGAATTCTTTTCTGCTTTCCACTATGCAGATAACATCAGTTCAGACAAATATTAAATACCTACCTAAATTAGAATGCCTTCTCCTCATGGGATTTTTTTAAAATCTTGTCATTTCATGTCTCTTTAATTAAAGAGTTTTGATTTCAGAGGAGGGTACCTGCAAAAGAAAACAACAAAAAAACTAAAGGATCTGAGAAATAATTAGTGTTTACTTCTGGGGAGGGGAGGAGGTCTGGGATGGGGGTAAAAAGGATAGTCTTATCTATTATGTATATTCAGGTTTTTGTTTTTTACAAGAAGCATGTATTAGGTATTATTTGTATAATAAAATATAATTTTAAAAATACAAGAAATTTCTCATATAAAAATATGAAAGTAATCAGACTGCAACACTCAGTGCCTGAGACAGAGCTACAGCTATCAGGGTGTCCAGACAGACAGAAGATTACATTTTCTTCCTTGCTCCTTGTACAGCCCCAGACCTGCATGCTTCATTGAAAAGAAAAGAAGATACCTGAATTAAATCAATGTGATGCTTAGTACCCTATCAGTGCACATTTCTTTTCTATTTTTAAATTTTAAAAATAACACTTGGCCAGGCGCAGTGGCTCACGCCTATAATCCCAGCCCTATGGGAGGCCGAGGCGGGTGGATCACCTCAGGTCAGGAGTTCGAGACCAGCCTGGCCAACATGGTGAAACCCCTCTGTACTAAAAATAGAAAAATATTAGCCGGGCATGGTGGTGGCCACCTATAATCCAAGCTACTCAGCTGAGGCAGAAAAATTGCTTGAACCCAGGAGGCAGAGGTTGCAGTGAGCTAAGATCATGTCACTGTATTCCAGCCTGGGTGACAGAGTGAGATTCCATTTAAAAAAAAAAAAAAAGAAAAAAAAACACTTATGGCGGTATTCTCAGTCATTACAAATAAATAAAAACAATCCATATGCCCTGGAGAATTTGATTCCAGGAGTAGGTCTAGAAGAACTTCAACTGGAGAATGGATAGAGAAATCATGGTATATTTGCAGAATATATATTATATATATAATAGATAGCATGTGAATAAATTAATTACAAAAACATATGACTACATCTATTATTATATAGCATGTAGATAAATTACAAAAACATGTAACTACATCTATGAATCTTAGAGCATAATATTGAGTAAAAAATAAATAAATAAAAATTAAGGCCAGAAGATAACACATAGCACAATGTCCTTTTCATAAATAAATATATTGCTTAAGCATACCTTATATATAGAAGATAAAGCTTAAAAAGTAAAGAAGAGGCCGGGCATGGTGGCTCACGCCTGTAATCCCAGCACTTTGGGAGGCCAAGGTGGGCAGATCACGAGGTCAGGAGACCGAGACCAGCCTGGCCCGCATGGTGAAACCTCGTCTCTACAAAAAATACAAAAATTAGCTGGGCATGGTGGCACAAGCCTGTAATCCCAGCTACTCGGGAGTCTGAGGCAGGAGAATCGCTTGAACCAGGGAGTCGGAGGTGGCGGTGAGCCAAGATCACGCCACTGCACTCTAGCCTGGGCGACAGAGTGAGACTCCGTCTCAAAAAAAAAAAAAAAAAGTAAGGAAGAGACTGATAAGCCCGATATTCAGGACGCCAGTTACCTCTGGTGCAGGCAGACATACATCATTAGTAATGTGCTAGTTCTTAGGGTAGGTGGTAGGTTCACAGATGTTCATTTTACTTAATTAAATATATTTTGAAAATTTATTTAAAGCTTTCTGTTGTAAAATATATCACAGAGAAAACCACATGAAACAACTATAAAGCTTAACATTACTATAAGGTGATTACTTTTGTAACCACCACCCAGGTTAAGAAGAACTTTGTCAGCTCCCCAGAAATGCTTCACATACCCTAGCCCAATAAAACCTCCTTTGCAAATACTCTTCATAGCACTATCTGATATGCCCTTTATTTTTACCTTTTTTAAATTAAAACAAAACTTTTTAGAGACAGGGTCTTCCTCTGTCATCCATGCTGGAGTGCAGTGGCCCAACCACAGCTCACTGCAGCCTCCAACTCCCAGGCTCAAGTGAGTCTCCTGCCTCAATCTCCTGAGTAGCTAGGACTACAGGCATGTACCACCCGGTCTGGCTAATTTTTTAAACATTTTTAGTGATGGGGTCTTGCTATGTTACACAGGCTGGCCTCAAACGCCTCGTCTCAAGCAATCCTCCTGCCCCAGCCTCCCAAAGCACTGAGATCACAGGTGTGAGCCATCACTCTCAGCCTGCCCTTTATTTTTTCATGAAAGAAATTGCTGAAGAGGACTAAAAGAAGTTTTAGTAAGCATTCAATAAATGTATGTTCTTTATAGTTTCCAAATCAGCAAATATAGACATCCTGCATTTTTAAGGAGATTTATATATTTTATTGGACATGCTGTAATTTATTTAACCACTTCCCTGTTGGTAGACATTATTTCCATTTTCTTCTGCTAGATTAATGCTTGAAAAAAATGTGTGCCTCCTAAAGACTGTGATGAAAGTTGCCTCTGAATAAAACTCAAACAAATCATTAATCATTAACTCTTTCCTTACTTGTATGCTCTTTGGATGCTCTACTGTGTTATCTATAAAATAAAGTTTGAAGTGAAAAATTAGGGTAAAACATTTTATATCATTTTTAAAGGATATATACATGGATGTACTTACATATGCATGTTTAAATTTATATACCATAACATTTATTCTTTTTTTAAAAAAGTCTTATGAATTTTAACAAATGCATAGTCCTATAACTACCACCACCACAGTGAACATCCAGGACAGTTCCATCCCTTGCCAAACAAACAAACAAACAAAAAGCTTCACCCAAGTCTTAAGTCCAGGCACTTACTGATCTATTTTCTGTCCTTATAGTAATGACTTTTCCAGAATGTCATATAAATGGGATCATTCATTAGATATCCTTTTGTATCTGGCTTCTTTCACTTAACATAAAGCATTTGAAATTCATTCATATTGTTGTGTGAATCAATAATTTATACCTGTTTGCTGTTGAGTATATTCTAGTGTATGTATACTATATTTTGTTTATAAATTCCCCAATTGGGGCACATTTGGGTATTTCCCATTTTGGGTGATTACAAATAAAGTTATTATAAATATTTGCATATAGGTTTTTTTGGGCAAACCTAGGTTTTCATTTCACTTGGATAAATACCTAGAAGTGGGATTGCTAGGTCACATGGTAAGTGTATGGTTTATTGTGAGAAACTGCCAAACCTTTCCATAGTGGCTGTACCATTTTTTCATTCCCACCAGCAAGTATATGAGAGTTCTAATTGTTCCTCATCCTTCCCAGCACTGGTATTCTTTTCTATTTTTTCTTTTTTTTTGAGACAGAGTTTCGCTCTGTCACCCAGGCTAAAGTGCAATGCCGTGATCTTGGCTTACTGCAACCTCCGCCTCCCGGGTTCAGGCTATTCTCCTGCCTCAGCCTCCCAAGTAGCTGGGATTACAGGCACCCACCACCATGCCCTTCTTTTGTTTTGTATTTTTAATAGAGACGGGGTTTTGCCATATTGACCAGGCTGGTCTTGAACTCCTGACCTCAGGTGATCCACCCACCTTGGCCTCCCAAAATGCTGGGATTACAGGCATGAGCCACCACGCCCTGCTCTTTTCTTAAGTCATTCTAATAGGTGTGTAGAAGTGGTTCTAACTTGCATTTTCCTAATGACTAATGATATTAAGTATACATATATTTATATATTATTTTATAATCTTATATATAATATACATATTTTATATATTATATATATATTTTATATATATATACACACACACACACATATTTTTTTCTTTTTTTGAGACAGGGTATCACTCTGTTGCCCAGATTGGAATACAGTGGTATAATCATAGCTCACTGCAGCCTCGATCTCTCAGGCTCAAGCGATTCTCCCACCTCAGACTCTGTAGTAACTGGGACTACAGGCCATGCCACCATGCCTGGCTAATTTTTTTTTTTTAATTTTGTAGACATGGGGTCTCCTTGTGTTTCCCAGGCCAGTCTCAAACTCCTGGACTCAAGCCATCTTCTCGCCTCAGCCTCCCAAAATGCTGGGATTACAGGCATAAGCCACTGCACCTGGCCTTAGTTAAGTTTTTATGTACTTATTGTATATCTTCATTGGTGACATTCAAATCATTTCATCCTTTGTAATTGTATACTAAGGAATTAAACGATTGTTTAATTATTGTTTATTTTCTTATTGTAAGGTTTTAAAAATTCTCTATTTTTTTGAGACGCAGTCTCCATCAGTCGCCCAGGCTGGAGTTCACTGTCGTGGCTCACTACAGCCTCTGCCTCCCAAGTTTAAGCGATTCTCCAGCCTCAGCCTCTTGACTGGCTGGAATTACAGGCATGTACCACCATGCTTGGCTTATGTTTGTATTTTCAGTAGAGTCGGGGTTTCACTATGTTGGCCAGGCTGTCTCAAGCTTCTGACCTCAAGTGGCCCACCCACCTTGGCCTCCCAAAGTGCTGGGATTACAGGTGTGAGCCACTGCCACGACCTTAAGAGTTCTTTATTCTAGATACAAGTTCTTTATCAGATATTGATTTTCAAATATTCTTTTGAAGTCTGTAGCTTGTCTTTTCATTTTCTTAACTGTGTCTTTTGCAGAGCAAAGATTTTAATTTTGATGAAGTTTGATTTATCAATGTTTTCTTTTATGGATCATGCTTTTGGTATCATATCCAAAAACTCTTTACATAACCCAAGATGTAAAAGATTGTCTTCTATATTTTCTTCTACACATTTTGTAGTTGTATATTCTATATGTAAGGTTTATAATCCATTTTAATTTTTATATAAGGTGTGATGTATAGGTTAAGCTCATTTTAGTTTTACATGTAGATGTTCAGTTGTTCCAGCCCCATTTGTTAAAAAACACCCATCCTTTCCCCATTCAATAGCCTTTGAATCTTCATCAAAATCAATTAGTCATATTTATGTGGGTCTATTTCTGGACTTTTTGTTCCATTAACTTATGTGTATATCCTTTTGCAAATATCACACTTATATTTGTTTTTTTTCTTACATTTTTATTTCAAAATCTAAGGACATCTTATAACCCAGAAATATTTTTTATACCTTGTCATGTCTTAGAGGAAAGAGCCACCCCAGTCTTTTTTCATTGATGTTTTTCTTCTCTCTTCGTACTCCAGAGGTAGATGAAAACCAGAGGGCCACAATGACCATGGTGATGCCTGAGGTCATTCTGGGGCACAGACCTCAGCCTAGGTTACTCCACTTCGCCTATCTTTAGATCCAAAACTACCCTGCTGACTGCTGAGATAAACAAAGGAGAATAATCAGGTTGGGGAAAGGATTTCTATGCGAAGACATGTCTCCATGCAGTCCTCCTACACTGAGCAGAGCATGAGTCAGGTGCTTAGAGCAGGATTTTGTCCTAAACCAGGAACTTCAGAGTTTTCTGAAGAATGTGGCTATGTAAAGCACCCCCCCACCCCACCCTTACTTCTCAAGTACATTACGTGGCAAGTCTGAAAAAACTTACACTTCTGTTGTTAAATGTGGGGGATAAAATATAAACTTAGTTTCAAGAGGAAGCTATCTTGGGAGGTAATGCAAATAATTCGTTGTGTGTTTCCTGAATAAGTGACAGGTGCTGACTACCATTGATGCTTCATTGCAATAAAATGCAAAGCTCCCCCAAGAATTTTTGAAATGCATCAAGCTAGGTGTTCTAATCTAGCAAAAGGACCTGCATACATGAATTTTTCATGCTTTTGCCAAGTCTTTTGCCCTTTAGTTTAGTTAAGGGCCCCACATGAATGGAAAGCCTGTGTTGTCAGCTTAATTTTGTAGTTGTGGAAACCTTCCAGTTTTCTCCTTTGTCTAATACCTTCAGGAGTTCAATCCTAGGTTGAAGCTTAATTTAATAACCATGTGGCATGTAAAGTAGAAAACAAAACATCTTTTCCTTAGCATACAGCAAAAAAAAAAAAAAAACTCACTCATGGATGTAGTGTACACATGCCAGTGGATATATAGTCATAACTGCAGTCATTGGTAGCACAGAAATAAATGTGCATTGAAGACACAGAGATGAATTTGAATTCCGGTTCCATGAGCTACCATTCTTTGACCTTGGGCAAGTTGCATCACTTCTTTGAGCCTCAGTTTCCCCATCTGTAAAATGTGGATAGCAACATCTACCTCGCAGAGTTGCTGGGAGGATCAGATGAAATGATGGGCTAGCCCAGTGTCTGACTTACTGTGTTTAAGAAATATCAACTATTACGCTACTTCCCAGTGACAGTCCAAATGCAGACCAGTGTTATAACTCTACTTCTCAAACATTAATGTGCATGCAAATCACCGTGACCTTCTTAAAATGCAGATCCTGATTCCCTAGGTCTGGGGAAGGCTTGAAATTCTACATTTCTACCTAGCTTCCAGGTGAAGTTGAGGACAACACTTTGAAGGCAAGGTGGTAAAAGACGCTTGCACGTGCAAATGTTACTTTGTGTAACTAATGGTTCGCAATACTGTCTGCACTTTAGAAGCTCCCAGGAAAAGAAAATCTTTAATGATGCTGACCTCATCTCCAAAATAATGTAATTTTAACAGATCCAAAGTAGTGCCTGGGCATTAGTGTGTTTTAAAAGCCTCCCAGGTGATTCCAATGTTAGCCAAGATTGAGGCCCTCTGCTTAGTGAATCTAATTTGCAGCTGGGCTTGAGAAAAAACCTCTTCATAGAATTGTTTGCATCAGTGTCTTGATTGCCTCTGTAACTTACAATAAGCAAGAATGTTTCAGGATTTCAAAAATCTATTGCATTGCCTAAACCTCTTATTTTGTATGGAGTAATCAAGCTCAAAGTTTGCATGTCTTAGAAACTTTACTTGGGGCAAAATTAGACCAAGTAACAATTAATCTTCTAGGTATTCTGAGCTATTCAGACATATGATTCATGTTTGCTAATTGCTCTTTTCTCTTGTAAATATTAGCTGAAAAATGTCACCTGTCTGACAAGTAGCATATTTTATGCCTATCACTCCTGGCACGCATTCTTACAAGGCAGACAGGAAAAATAGGAAGAAAATGGACTTTTATCAAAGGCCCAGGCAGTAAAGAGGGGAGTTCTGCTGTAAGCTAAGGGGAGTTCCAGAGGAAGTTATAGGCGTTCCCTTTCTTATGACAAGAAAGCATAGTGCAGTAAATAAATTTGCTAAATAGATTCAACAGTCTCTACCCAAAGTCATCTATTTAATTCTTGTTGTTATGCAGACTCAGCAACTAACCTTCCTTGTAAGCCCCATTTTCTTCCCTGTTTCCTGTTTATCAAATGTAATTAAACAAGAGAAGTATTATAGAAGAGTAAAAGTAGTAGGTAATTCTTGAACTTGGCATATGATTACTACATATTTGATGAATAGTTGAATATTATTCTTCAAGGACAGATTGGATTTGGTATCAGGTGGCTCTGCATTAAGTTATAAGGGACTTAATAACTCAAGTATTTAAGGACGGCTTCCATCATAAAGGGATCTGCCCTTAAGAGGGTCCCATTATGGAGATTCTGAGGTGAGAGCTATTCCAAGTGTGCAGTGGATTAAAATAAAAGAATCATACAGGAAATCTCTTTTTACATGCCTTATTCCAGGGTCTTTGCAACCTGGCACAGCAAGTGCAGATATGATTAGCATTGTTTTACACATGTACACTCACCTTATAGCCCTGCCCCTGTGCCCCTCCTGCACAAAAGAATGCTGGGCACACGTGAACTCCTCTCTGTAGAAAGGCACATTAATGTTCTAGCCATGGTTAAAACAGGGATAGAGGCAAGCCAAAAATGTCGGTCATTTGAAATAAATCTCAAGTTTGTGCATATCACTATCAAGTGTGCTGTGTGGCAATTAAGAATGCCAATTTGTGTGATCACAGGCAAGTTGCAGTTTGATGAAAGGAAAGCAGAGGTGAATATATAACCAGGGTCATCCTTTCTTTCTCCCTCTCTCTCTTTCTGTCATTTATTTGCCAAGCTCTTAACTAGAACTTGCTATGTGCTAGGTACTGGATATATCAAAGCAAACTCAGCCTGGTCTTTGCCTTCAAAGATTTGCAGGATAGTGGGAAGAAAAACTTGAATCAGAGGACATCTGCAGTGGGAATCATTCAAGCAGCAGAAAACCCAAAAGTTACTTATACTGTGAAATCTGATCAGAGAATGGACTGTCCTGGTTAGTAAAATATCCTGGAGGATAAAGATTGGCCATGCATTCCACATATGAATTACCACTTTCCCAAGAATTAAAACATGGTACGAAAGAAAGGAACGAACATTTGCTGAGTGCCTACTGCCTGCCAGATCTAGGCACTTCACATGTAACACCTCGTCCAGCCTCCACCACAATACTGAGAGGTAGAGTTCAACCTCATTTTATAGATAAAGAGGCTGAAGCTCATAAAGATTAAAGGACGGACTCACAGTCAAAGGACTCCTAATCCTGAGTCAGCATTTGAACCCAGGCTCACCTGTCACTATATCCTATGCTCTTCCGTATCACATTTTATACTGAAACAACTTCTGGAATAGCTAATGCTTAGAAGCAGCTCCCAAATATTTGTTGAATGAATGATTTGATTGAATGAATGAATAAATGAATGAAGCAAGCTCTACTGAACATAATTTGATCTAATCTTCTGTGATTATTCAGAAACTACTTCAAGATTTTCCTATACCTCCATCATAATGAATACCCATTCATTAATGATGGAAGCAGCCTAATTTTGTCATTTTTCACACTTTATTGATGTAACACTACCTTTACTAGTTTGGCCACTCCTTATGCTTTTTTTATAGAACTATTTAGATCAATTCAACTTTTAAAAAATAAAGCCACATACCCCTGTGGTAGATGAAAAACAAGTATCATTTGCACTGGTAAATAGAGAATAGGAAGAAAAATAAATGCAGTGAAAATAAAGCAGTGTTATCAAATCCTACCCAGATACTGTTATCTACCCGGAAGCTTCCTGTTTGATTAAAAGGAAAAATAGCCAGTGTTAGAGGTGTGGAAGTCTAGTTGAAATTATATGCAATTGAAGGATTAAAATAGAATTGAAAAGGGAATAAATTCCTCTCTGAATAATTTAACTCCCTTTAGGCTTTGATTCTGCCTCATCTAAAATCATCTTACATACTTCTAGTGGCGTGTCCCTCACATTTTGGTAAACTCTGAGTGGAAACTACGGATTTTGTAGTCAAACATCTGACTGGCTCTGGATTTTAACTTTACTAACATATGTCCTGAAGTGAACTGCTTGGAGCCAGTTTCCTCAACTATATAACCATAATGACAAAACAGGTTTCACGGTCATGTTTTCAGTATTAAACAATATAGTTAAAAGTACCTAGCACAGTGCCTGGCATAGAACATACTAGATATACATTAAGTATCAGTTCCATTTTTCCTTTCCCTTTATTGTCAGAAAATAGAAAGCATCTACAGTGGGCTTGTATGATGTGGTGGTTAGAAATACCTGATCTGATTCTGGCTGTGCAATCTTGGGCAAGTTACTTAACCTTTTTGTGCCTCATTTTTGTTTTCTGAAAAAAAGGATAGAATATTATTACCTACCTTGCTGGCTTCTGGGAAGAAGCTCAGTGAGACGATGTGTTAGCAGAGTGTCTGACAATTGTAAGAATTCAACAAGTAATAGTTATTATTACCATCACTGGTGAGAGGAAGTGATACCTGGCACAAAAATATATGGATTAATCAATATGGATTGAGGGAAACAAACCTGGAGAATAGGATGTGAAGGTATTTAAGTAACATGAGCTCAGACCTTGATGGTAGGGAAGTCGAAAGGAAGCATTTTGTTCTTATATGACAGATGACCTGGAATGACTGCAGGGCTTGGGGGGTCAGGGACTGGAGGTGGGAGAGGCCTCTGAGAGCAAGCAGTGCTGTCCACCAGAAGCTCTTGCTGGGGTGCCCAGAGAGGAGCAAAGGGCAGTCAGCTGCACAGGAGGGAATGTTTGGAGGAGAGAGCCACCTCAGATCAGCGGGTCAAGAATCCCACTCTTGCCCAGATGGATGGGGCAAAGGAGAAAAAGGATTCGCCACGGGAATGTCCAGATAAGACAGGTGCCTTTTGGAAAATGGGGGTGAGATGGGTCTCAGGTTACACTTCGTAAGAACTGGAATGTAAAGTAAAGGCAGACAATGACAAAATATCTTGTTTTCTTTTCAGCTTTATTCACAGTGACAGTCCCTAAGGAACTGTACATAATAGAGCATGGCAGCAATGTGACCCTGGAATGCAACTTTGACACTGGAAGTCATGTGAACCTTGGAGCAATAACAGCCAGTTTGCAAAAGGTGGAAAATGATACATCCCCACACCGTGAAAGAGCCACTTTGCTGGAGGAGCAGCTGCCCCTAGGGAAGGCCTCGTTCCACATACCTCAAGTCCAAGTGAGGGACGAAGGACAGTACCAATGCATAATCATCTATGGGGTCGCCTGGGACTACAAGTACCTGACTCTGAAAGTCAAAGGTGAGTGGTGTCAAGGACTAGAATCCATGGAAGCATCTCTCCAACAGAGGATCTGCAAGTCACAGAAACCCATTAAAGGTAGCTCAAGCAAAAACAAGCAGGCTGCTTTTAAGGAGACAGCTATTTCAGAGAAAATGAAAGCATCTGCTCGGAAATAATTTTTGACATCTGAGTACAAAGCAGCCGAAGTACAAGTGAAAGGGGGTAGGACCTATAGGAATAAAATGGGACTGGAGGAAGCCAGGAAAATTAGTCCCTGAAATGTGGGAGGGTATGAAAAATAAGCTTTGCCTAATTCACAATTCTCCCATGGAACATCCCTGACTTGATTATTAAGATACTCTTTTTCAATAGTTTATACCCTGAATCCAGAGTTTTTAAAACCATGGTTTGCCGCCCATTCATGGATTAAAATATCAATTTAGTGAGTAGCAACCAGATGCACGTTTCCCGCCCTTTAAAAAATAATGTATAGAAGAGAATAGACAGAGTAGATCAGACGACATCACAGAGTAGGACTGAGTACTGTAAAACTAATTTCTGAGGGACGTGTGTGTGTGTGTGCGTGTTGGGTCATGGTATAAATTTTTTTTTTCTTACTTTGGATCATAAAAAGTTACAAGTTTGGAAAACACTGCTCAAATGCAAGCCCTATTTATTGCAGATGAAGTAGCTGAGATCCAGAGAAGGGAAGTGGGTAGCCCAAGAGAGTCCCATGAAGTCTATAGCTGTCCCTATTCCTCTGGATTCAGGGATCTCTCCACTCCAGCACAATTGAAAATCTAAATATAAAGAGAATCTTCACACTCTTGTTTGTTCTAGAAAAGGTGATTTGAGGAAAGACATATAACAACTATAAAAAATAGATTTTGCTTGTTCATTGGCTTATGGTCTCCAGGCTTGAATGCTCTGAGATAAATGATGCCAATATTTCTCTGGCCTCTTCCCCTCCCACGCATTGGACCTCAGATGGTCTGTACTGTCTTCTAGAGGGTTTGTGGGTTTTGGCCCCAAAAAACCATTAACCTTGGCAGAAAGTGTGTGACTTTATGATCTGGTACAAAGAAGGACAAACTAGAGGGACTGGACATGAGGATGAATATTGTGTTCGCCCTTATCCTTGGGCAGGTTATTTTGCCTTTCATAACCTCACATTTTGCTTATTTGTAGAAGACGAACAATAGTAGTACCAAACACACAGGATTGTTGTCAACATTGAGAGAGATAATGAACATAAAGAACTGAGCATGGTACCCGGCATATAATAAGTGTCCAGAGACTTGGTTAAAAGACCCTCAGTTGTTACAGGGGCAGTGACCTCCTCACACCTCAACCATCAATGAGTCACCAGGAAAGCCATTAGCCTAGATGTAACTGTTTTCTATCTTTATTGCATTTCCTACATCCAGGCAGCAGCTGGGAGGAACTCTAGAACACTGAAGTTTGTCTGAGTTCCCTTAATGTAAGGCTGTACATTCTCAGGATGCCTTGATGTACTCGAATATCTGCAACCCTAAATCACCACCTCTGTTTTTATTGATCTCTATCTGAATGCTGTATTAATGGGCCAGGCCTTCTGCCCATTCTCTCAAACTGAGAACTGTCTCTCATTCCTGGGGAGGCACCCTGCCTACTCCTTACCTAGATCAGGGATTTCTCAGTTGTGGAGAGATTTGTTCCTTATAGTGTTGGTCATCAAACTGGGATATTTGGGGATTACAAAGACTTTTCAAGGGATGTATGGGCACAGGCAGTTTTAGGAAGTGAGTTCCTAGATCCTCATCTTCCCCAAATACTCGTTCCCAAAATTGACGAGCCTGACAATGTGCATGCCAGGCAAGGCTCTTGGGGTTCCCCTAAAACACTTCCTCTTTTAAGCCTACCACTCACTCATCATGAATATAGTCCATTGTCCCAGGGTGTAAAACCCTCTATAGTGTTAAATAAAAGAATGATTGGGAACATTGACACCTGATGGAACTGTTATGACTAAAAACCCTTTTGCAAATAATGTGGTATCTAATTTTCTGCTTTCAACAAAATTGAAGGAGGCCCTTATAAAGTTAATAACTGATAATCAAAAATGAGTAATTTTTGCCATGTAAATCAGGTCAAAGAATGAAATGGCATTGCTGTAACGAAACTGCTTCCATTCCCATTGATTTACTCATACGAACAAGATTCCTTAGCCTTTATAAGCTACAAAAAAATGAAAAATAGAAATAGAATTGAGGCTGAATTCTATTATATAAAATCATTCCAACCATGTCATATGGTTCTTCGGATTCATGAATAATTTGGAAAAGAGAGCCATATCCATCTTATTAAGGGACACATTCCCAATAAATTTTCATCTTTCATGTTTAATAATTATCAATATTCATAACATTTTACATTTTGATCAAATATGTGTTAATAATAATAGAAATAAATGTCCAACAACGATAGACTGGATTAAGAAAATGTGGCACGTATACACCATAGAATACTATGCAGCCATAAAAAATGATGAGTTCATGTCCTTCGTAGGGACATGGATGAAGCTGGAAACCATCATTCTCAGCAAACTATCCCAAGGACAAAAAACCAAACACCGCATGTTCTCACTCATAGGTGGGAATTGAACAATGAGAACACATGGACACAGGGAGGGGAACATCACACACTGGGGACTGTTGTGTGGTCGGGGGAGGGGAGAGGGATAGCATTAGGAGATATACCTAATGTTTAATGACAAGTTAATGGGTGCAGCACACCAATATGGCACATGTATACATATGTAACAAACCTGCACGTTGTGCACATGTACCCTAAAACTTACTGTTAAAAAAAAAAATTAGATCTTAATGCAGAACACCCTGAACATTTAAAGCTTCATAGTCACAAGAGAAAAGTTTTCATTTCAATAGCTATAAATATTTTGTTGTTGTAAAGACATATAACGATAATCAATACAAAATCTGTCAAACAAAAATATGTTACATTAAGATAAAATTCTGTAGGGAAGGTGAAATTGGAAGTGAGTTTCAATGAATGAAAAGAAACAATTTAGACAGAGAAGAATTTTTTCATTTAATAATTTATTTATTTTTACTTAGAAGGAATTGAATAGATTAGGTTCCTTACCCAAAAAGCCTCTGTTATTTGTCTTATTTATTTATTCTCTTTTTTCCACATTCTCCAGTCTCATTCCCCTTTTTTAACACAGGAAATTATTCCAGCATGTTTCATACATATTCTTTTGTTTGTAAGAGCTTATTTAAAATATGTAATATTGTTTTAGATGCATATATTTTTTTTCTTGTGGAAACTATATTGTACTATATATATATATTTTAGAAATGGACACATTAGGCCGGGCGCGGTGGCTCACGACCGTAATCCCAGCACTTTGGGAGGCCAAGGCGGGTGGATCATGAGGTCAGGAGATCGAGACCATCCTGGCTAACATGGTGAAACCCTGTCTCTACTAAAAAATACAACAAAAATTAGCCGGGCGCGGTGGCGGGCGCCTGTAGTCCCAGCTACTGGGGAGGCTGAGGCAGGAGAATGGCGTTAAGCCGGGAGGCGGAGCTTGTAGTGAGCCGAGATCGCTCCACTGCACTCCAGCCTGGGCGACAGAGCGAGACTCTGTCTCAAAAAAAGAAAAAAAAAAAAAAGAAATTGACACATTAAGTTTATTGTGAAAACATGATTACAAGCAATAACAGATATAACAGCAGAAAAAATTGTGAAGTTATGTGCACCTTCTTTTGAGATCATTTTTTTGGGTATATGTGAATGTATTTTATCTTTTTTTAATTGACAATAATTGTACTTATTTATGGGATACATAGTGATGTTTCAATATATACAATGTATAGTGATCAGATCGGGGTAATTAGCATATTTATCATCTCAAATATTTATTATTTCTTTGTGTTGAGAACATTCAATGTACCCCTTCTGGCTATTTGAAGCTATATACTGTTGTTAAATATTTATATGTATTTTTCAAGGATAATGTTGTATATAAAAGATAACTTCTTTTATATTTAGTCACCTTTGGATACATATGTAAGAGTAAAATAATTGTTTTACTAAAAAAATTCATAAGATGCTGAACATTATATGTTTTTCCAGTATAGAAACTTATGAAAAATTATAAGAATCAACTTAATAGGTGAGAAGAGCATACTGCATCATACTTATTTTAGGAGGAATACAAGCAAAAAAAAAGTTGGACCATCACCTAAGAGTAGGCTACCCTGATCCAGGGTCTCTAAAAGAAGCAAGATAGATCTGAGGCCCCAATGAGGGTTCCCATGAATGAAGTAGGACTAGAAGAAGGACATGTTTTTATCTTAAAGTGCCTGATCCATGGCATAAAGCTTGAAAATGGGTTTGTTTATAGCACCTTCGTTGATGTCTGGGCAGAAATTCTTATCAAATATAATGAAAAGAGTTAATTTCAAAAGGACAGAACAAATTATGAGGTGGAATGACCGGAGATTCTGGAAGAGACAGTGATAAAGGACTGTGGTTTCTGAAAAGCCAGGTGGCACCTACATTTCTGGGGGCAATCCATCTGAGGAAGGGGCGGGAGCATGGCCAAAGAACAGAGAGGCCCCAGGAGCCCAGGGGTCTCTCAGAGGAGCTGGGGTTGAGAACTGGTCTGTGCAAAGGTTTCCAGACAGGGTTGCAGAGGAGGCACTAAAAACAAGAACACCAAGAGCCAAACCATCCTGAAGGCCTGGGCAGGGCAGGGGGATGGGAAGAGCCAACACCAGGAATGGGCTGAAGCTGACAGAAGTACTTCAAACCAGAAACAATGAATTTAAACTATGCCCTACCACAAATAGACTTAACAGATATTTACAGAACATTCTACCCAACAATCGCAGAATATACATTCTATTCATCAGCATATGGAACATTCTCCAAGATAGACTATATAGTAGGCCACAAAACAAGTCTCCATAAATTTAAGAAAATCAAAATTATATCAAGTACTCTCTTAGATCACAGTGGAGTAAAACTGGAAATAAACTCCAAAAGGAACCTTCAAAACCATGCAATTACATGGAAGTTAAATAATGAGTGATCATTGGGTGAACAATGAAATCAAGATAGAAATTTAAAAACTCTTTGAACTGAACGATAATAGTGACACAACCTATCAAAACTCTGGGATACAGCAAAAGCAGTGCTAAGAGAAACATTCATAGCATTAAATGCCTACATCAAAAAGTCTGAAAGAGCACAAATAGGCAATCTAAGGTCACACCTCCTGGAGCTGGAGAAACAAGAACAATCCAAACCCAAACCCAGCAGAAGAAAAGAAATTACAAAGATCAGGGCAGAACTAAATGAAATTGAAACAAAAAAAATACAAAAGAGAAATGAAACAAAAATCTGGTTATTTGAAAAGATAAATAAAATTGATAACCAAGAAAAGAAGAGAGAAGATCCAAATAATCTCAATTAGAAATGAAATGGAGATATTACTACTCATATCACAGAAATACAAAAGATTATTCAAGGCCACTATGAACACCTTTACACGTACAAACTAGAAAAGCTAGAGGAGATGGATACATTCCTGGAAATATACAACCCTTCGATTAAACCAGAAAGATATAGGAACTATAAACAGATCAATAACAAGCAGCAAGATTGAATGGTAACTTTTAAAATTGTCAACAAAAAAAAATCCAGGACCAGACAGATTCATAGCTGAATTCTATCAGACATTCAAAGAAGAATTGGTACCAATTCTATTGACACTATTCCATGGGATAGAGAAAGAGGGAATCCTCCCTAAATCATTCTATGAAGCCAGTAGCACCCTAATACAAAAACCAGGGAAGGACATAACAAAAAAAGAAAACTACAGGCCAGTATCCCTGATGAACATAGATGTAAAAATCCTCAACAAAATACTAGCTAACCAAATCCAACAGCATATCAAAAAGATAATCCACCATGATCAAGTGGGTTTTACACCAGGGATGCAGGGATGGTTTAACATCCACAAGTTAATAAATGTGATACACCACACAAACAGAATTAAAAACAAAAATCACATGATCATCTCAATAGATTCAGAAAAAGCATTTGACAAAATCTAACATCCTTTATGATTAAAACCCTCAGCAAAATTAGCACAGAAGGAACATATCTTAAGGTAATAAAAGCTAACTACGACAAACCCACAGCCAACATTATGCTGAATGGGGAAAAGTTGAAAGCATTTTCCCTGAGAATTGGAACAAGACAAGACACTTTCACCACTTTTATTCAGCATAGTACTGGAAGTCCTGGCCAGAGCACTCAAAGAGAAAGAAATAAAGGGCATCCAAATTGGTAAAGAGGAAGTCAAACTGTTGCTGTTTGCTGATGATATGATCATATACCTAGAAAACCCTAAGGATTCATCTTGAAAGCTCCTAGAACTGGTAAACAAATTCAGCAAAGTTTCAGGATACAAAATTAATGTACACAAATCAGTAGCTCTGCTATACACCAACATCAACCAATAGCTGCAAAAATAAAATAAAATACTTAGGAATATACCTAACGAAGGACATGAAAGACCTCTACAAGGAAAACTACAAATCACTACTGAAAGAAATCACAGATGACACAAACAAATGGAAACACATCCCATGTTCATGAATAGGTACAATCAATATTGTGAAAATGACCATACTTTGTAGATTGCAAAAGCAATCTACAAAGTCAATGCAATCCCCATCAAAATACTACCATCATTCTTCACAAAAGTAGAAAAAGAAATCCTAAAATTCATATGGAACCAAAAAAGAGCCCACATAGCCAAAGCAAGGAAGACTAAGCAAAAAGAACAAACCTGGAGGCATCACATTGCCTAACTTCAAACCATACTATAACACCATAGTCACCAAAACAGCATAATACTAGTATAAAAATAGGCACATAGACCAATGGAACAAAACGGAGAACCTAGGAATAAAGCCAAATACTTATAGCCAACTGATCTTTGACAAAGCAAACAAAAACATAAAGTGGGGAAAGTACATCCTATTCAACAAACGGTGCTGGGATAATTGGCTAGCCACATGGAGAAGAATAAACTGGATCCTCATATCTTACCTTATAAAAAATCAACTCAAGATGGATCAAAGACTTAAATCTAAGACCTGAAACCATAACGATTCTAGAAGATAACATCGAAAAAGCCCTTCTAGACATTAGCTTAGGCAAAGACTTCGTGACCAAGAACCCAAAAGCAAATGCAACAAAGACAAAGGTAAATAGATAAATAGGGACTTAATTAAACTAAAAAGCTTCTGCACAGCAAAAGAAATAATCAGCAGAGTTAACAGACAACCCACAGAGTGGGAGAAAATCTTCACAATCTATACATCTGACAAAGGACTAATATCCAGAATCTACAAGGTATGCAAATAAATCAGCAAGAAAAAAACAAACGATCCCATCAAAAAATGGGCTAAGGACATGAATAGACAATTCTCACAAGGAGATACACAAATGACCAACGAGCATATGGAAAAATGCTCAACATCACTAATTCTCAGGGAAATGCAAATCAAAACCACACTGCGATACCACCTTACTCCTGCAAGAATGGCCATAACAAAAAAATAATAGATGTTGGCATGGATGTGGTGAAAAGAAACACTCTTACACTGTTGGTGGGAATGTAAACTAGTACAACCACTATGGAAAACAGTGTGGAGATTCCTTTAAAAACTAAAAGTAGATCTACCATTTGATCCAGCAATCCCACTACTAGGTATTTACCCAAAGGAAAAGAAGTCATTATACAAAAAAAAGATACTTGCACACGCATTTTTATAGCAGCACAATTTGCAATTGCAAATATATGGAACCAGCCCAAATGCCCATCAATCAGTGAGTGGATAAAGAAAATGTGGTATATATATTATACATACATATATATATGCATATTATATATATACACCATGGAATACTACTTAGCTATGAAAAGGAATGAAATCATAGCATTTGCAGCATCCTGGATGGAATTAGAGACTATTATTCTAAGTGAAGTAACTCAGGAATGTAAAACCAAACATTGTATGCTCTCACTCATAAGTGCGAGCTAAGCTATGAGGATGGAAAGGCATAAGAATGATACAATGGACTTTCAGGACTTAGGGGAAAGGATGGTTGGGGGTGAGAGATAAAAAACTCCACATTTGGGCCAGGCGTGGTTGCTCACACCTGTAATCCCAGCACTTTGGGAGGCCGAGGTGGGCAGATCACGAGGTCAGGAGATCAAGATCATCCTGGCTAACACGGTGAAACCCCGTCTCTACTAAAAATACAAAAAATTAGCCGGGCGTGGTGGCAGGCACCTGCAGTCGCAGCTACTCGGGAGGCTGAGGCAGGAGAATGGCAGGAACCTGGGAGGCGGATTTTGCAATGAGCAGAGGTCGCACCACTGCACTCCAGCCTGGGCGACAGAGCGAGACTCCGTCTCAAAAAAAAAAAAAAAAAAAAAATGGCCTTCACCCTAAGAAGGAAGAAACCAAGGGCAGAGGAAGGAAACAATCAAAGAGAAGCAAGGCAGCAGTGAAAAGACAACTGTACGTTTAAGCCTCTAAGGCCCAAGGAAAGCATTTGCTAAAAGAGCCAAGTCTCAGTGTCTTTTTTTCCCTTGGGGAAACAGAAGGGTGTAAGAAAATCGGAGTCAAGAAAATGTCCTGAGCTCCGCCTGCAGTAGCGGGAAGCCTAGGAGTAAAATAACACGTTTTTTAAAAATAAAGAAAGAAATTATTTTAAAAAAGAAAACAATGTCCTGAATTTCAATGGGGTGGGGGGGAGGGGAAGCTCCTGGGGATTACAAACTCGTTAACCTGCTATTCCTTTTCAGGCAATTTAACAGATGAATTGAAAGCAGTCCTAAAAGATTTAACTGATTACTAGAAACTTGCATAGATCCTCTAAGACCAAGGCATGTAAAACTACATTTTTCCATTTATTTACTGTCATTATGACTATAAAACAGATACTACCATGTATACATTTCATCTTTATTTCAGAAATTACAGCATTGCTTGTAACATATCTGTCAGACAGCCAGAACAAACCAGGGAAACAGAAACCATTTAAACCTGTGGAAATCTAAAGCTGAAACTAGTAATTCTTTTAATGAGGGAGACTGAGAAGCCAAACAGAGAACAGGGAAGCAATTCAGAAATTAGCAATAGCAGAAAGCTGCTCCTACCACTAGGCTATAGTGAAAAGGGGGAAGGCAGGGTTAATGGAGCCCAGGGATTAAAGTCACTTGACAGACACTGGAACCCAGTGGGCCTGTCCATTGGTATCTGGAGCCAGGGAAGAGATACATCTTCTGCTGGAGAGGCCACAAAAGTATAGAGCATAGGGGAGAAATACCTTCCCTTCTCCCTCCAGTCCACCCTCTAGTGTTCCTGTCTTGCTTCCTATTGGCTGTCACGTTCCTAGGCTATACAGGCCACAGGAGTCTGCCTTCCTGCAACACAGAGCAGAGAAGAAAAAGTGAGAGATGGATCTGAAGGCAAACAGACCCAGGACACACAAAGCACACACACCTTGTGTATTGGGTGGTAAAAGGTGGGATAATAATACAGTTGACTAGATCTATAACAGACTGAAAAGCTAGTAGTTGTTGAGTCAGGGACAACGAAGGCTGGCTGATGGCCTCAGTCAACTTGGAGACAATCTCCAAGTGCTAAGGGGTCTGTTATTCAGGTTGTAAGGATATAGCCAACCTAACTGAGCAGCAGATCATATATTTAGCAAAACTGATCTTATGACCTTAGGTTACATTAAAACCCTGGATATTTGTGCTGCTTAGATAATATCTAGAATATAGATTGTGTTACATATCCTTTTTAAAGAACGTGGCAAAACTAAACTATAACCAAAGACTACTATCTGGAAATGGGTCTGAAGACTGTATCTTGTGAGATATAGTTAAAGGAGGTAGGCATGTTTTACTTAGGGTTGAAAAGACTAGATGGAGTCTTCCCAGTTATATTCAAATATCAGAAGGGTTACCTGCAATAATTGCTAACACTAATTGAGTGTTTACTACGTTCTAGACATCTAACTAATTATTTAACACCCTTGTTAAGGATAAGTATTGCTGTATCCATTTCCTAAACAAGAAAACTGAGGGTTTAAGAGGTCATATAACTAGCCCTTGGCTAAAGCCTACTCAAACTGCTCAGATTCTGAACTCATGTTTTTAACTACGGTGCTTACCATATGTTGTGTTACTAAACTAGACAAATACCAATGGGTAGAAGCTACAAAGAGGCACAATTTTGCTTGGCATGAAGAAAATCTTTCCAATGGAAGTTTAACTTGCTTATTGTATAATCATGGCAAAGACTGCTTCTAGAGGAAGTAGGAGTTTCCATTCATAGATGTTTTCAGGCAAAAGTTATTTAGCAGTTTACTAATATCAGAAGAAAAATATTACTAAAGATAACAAGGGACACTTCATAATGATAAAAGAGTGAGTTCTAAAGGAACACATAACAATCCTAAATGTGTGTCCATTTAACAGTATAGCTTCAAAATATTAAACAACAATTGGCAGACTTAGGAGAACCAGTCAAATCCACAATTACATTTGAGATTTCAACTCATCTCTATTACAACTGATAGAACAAACAATTAAGAAAATAGAAAATCTGAACAACACAATTAGCCATCTTGACCTAATAGACATATGATATATAGAACATACACCCAGCAACTACAGAACACACATTGTTTTCAAGCGTATGTGGAACAATCATCAAAGCAATTATCTAGGAGAATTGCTGTAGAAGGTGTTTTTCATTGAGCAATAAGTCAGATGACTTGAATTTTTGGAGTACTTCCGCCTCTTAAATTCTAAAATTTACTCATCTTTTCCTAAGAATATCACCCTCAGTCCAGCTTCCCCACTGTGGGAAGCGATTCCTTTTCCACCACCTTCCAAATAAGAAAGAGGCTGTGGAGACATTTCTGATACTGCAAAAATGTAGGATGTGGGCTCCTGTCCCTTCCCCAAACCTTGCTGATTCTTGTAGTGGAAGAGCTCTCTCTCTGTCTCCCTATCTGCTCCCTCATGTATCCCAAGTCAAAGCCTCAGCCAAGCTCCCAATTCCTGGCATCCCTACTTCTGAAATCACTTCTCAACCAGGACACCAAGATCAGTTTCTTGGTCCAAGCCACCTGCAATAGTGGGCTGGACCCTCACCCACAGTACTCTGCTCCTGTTCTTGTTCTACTTCATTCCCCAAAAGACTTGAGAGCTTACAGAAATAATCTACAGTATGATCATATAAAATGATTACAAAAGACATTGAACCAAGGGAAAATAAGTGTAGATAAATAATACAAAATGAGAGATAAAGTGAGTACTCGAAATACACACTTCGGGTACTGTTTGATTATGAAAGATAGGCCAAAGTTTTGGCTTCAAGGAGATTGGTGAGTCTAACAGGTCAAGTCCTTCAGTAGGCTGCTTCAGTGTCTGAATTGCCTTATCTTCTACTACTGCTGGGTGCTCCTAAGAACCTCAGAGCATATTCCTCTATCTGCTTATGTTGCACCATCCCTAGACATCTGCAATTACACAGAGACACATCCTCTTATGGTGATTCCAATTAAGAATGCATTACAAAATAGTAATATGAATTTTACCCACCTCATAGGGTCTGCATATCATTTAAATGACATAATGTATTATATGTATTATGTATATTTATACATTAGGGGGAAAGATGTCAGAGCTTTTTGGGACATACCAGGAGGCCCAGCTGGGTGTGCTGACCACATGGAGACGAGAACTTCAAGGGAGAGCCAAAGTGCACGCAGGTTCTGGTGGATGTTTCATTGTGCAGTGACCCTGCTCTCTAGTGAACCCAGATCTAGTGGGTGTTGTTTGCTATAATGAATCAAATTGTCAACTCTTAACATTGAGACCCACAACACAGGAGGGGAACAGAGGGGCAAAAATTGTGAAGAACGGCATGAACATTCCTTCTCTTCCATAGGATGTAAAAGGACGTGGCACAAAGCTCAACACATAGAAAACAATAAGTAAATCATACACATCAGATGGTTTTCACATGGTTGTTACCATTATTTTAATGTGAAATTGTTTTTCACAAAGTTTGTACCTATTTATACTTCCAACAATTTAGGAGAAAAAAGTTGTATCACACCTCTGCCTTTACTTCAAGACTACACTTACTTCAAAAATTGTATTGAAATTTAATTTCTTAAAAGAATATTTCCTACCGAATGGAAGCCAGTGCTCATCCCCTCTTCCTCTCACCAAATATCAACAGGTGACTTTCCACACTGCCTGGTAACTGCATATGGTATTGATATTTGTTTATTTTTAGCTATTATCTAAGACCACTGGAAGGTTTGTTCTTGTGTCTTCTAGTCTCTTGGAATATCATGCCTATTTTACTTATTTTTAAAGTTTTTATAAGGTTGTAATGTTTTATTTTAATTTTAAAATTTATTTTTAACTGGCAATAATGTATATTTATGGGGTACAATATGATGTTTTGATCTATGTATAGATTATAGAAAGAGTCAATCAAGCCGGGCACAGTGGCTCATGCCTGTAATCCCAGCACTTTGGGAGGCCAAGGCAGGTGGATCACCTGAGGTCAGGAGTTCAAAACCAGGCTGACCAACATGGTGAAACCCCATCTCTACTGAAAATAGAAAAAATTAGCCAGGCATGGTGGCAGGTGCCTGCAATCCCAGCTACTCAGGAAGCTGAGGCAGGAGAATTGCTTGAACCTGGGAGGTGGAGGTTGCAGTGAGCCGAGATCACGCTGTTGCACTCCAGCCTGGGTGACGAGCGAAACTCTGTCTCAAAAAAAAAAAAAAAAAAAAAGAATAAATCAAACTAGTTAACATATCACATCACCAAGTTGTTTTTTTGTGGTCTTTATTTTTTTCTCTTCTTAATCTCAAAACAGAGAATGTAAAAAATTCATGCTTTTAGCAAATTTGAATACAGAATGCATTAACTGTGGTCATCACACATGGCAATAGATCACTAAAACATTTCCTCTACTCTGAGACTGAGCAACATCTTCCACATCCCCAGCCTCTGATAACCACCTTTCTACTCTGTTTCTATGGGATCTACTTTTTTAGATTTCACAAATAAATGAGATCATACATTATCTGTCTTTTTGTGCCTGGCTTACTTAACTTAGCATAATACCCTTCAGTTCCATCCATGTTGTCATGAATGACAGATTTTACTTCTTTCTAAGGGCTGTAAGTATTCCATTGTGTATATATACCACATTTTCTTTATTCATTCTCTGTTGATGGACATTTAGTTTGGTTCCACATCTTGGTTATTGTGAATCATGCTGAAATGAATAAAGGAATACAGATATCTCTTCAACATACTAAATTCAATTCCTTTGGATATATACCCAGAAGTAGGACTGCTGGATCATGTGGTCATTCTATTTTTAGTTTTTTGAGGACCTCTATACTATTTTCCAAAATGACTATACTTAGATCTCAGCTTTCTTGAGGCAGGGAGCCATATCTGTTTAATTCACTCAGCATATACTGCAAAGAAGCAGGTGTGTGTATGAACTGTGTGTGTTTGTGTGTATGTATCTGCATGTGTTAGGGAGAAGTGCAGAATAAATATACCCAACTCTTTACTATGTATAGACATTATCTAGGTCTTTATTTTTTTTCTCTTCTTAATCTCAAAGAAAACAGAGGAAAGGAGGAAGTAAAAAGTAAATTTTTGCCTGAAGATGTTTGGAAAAAATACCAAATAAAGTGAGATAGTGGGTAATCTAGTGATTTTTATTTTTCCGTCCTCTTTCTGGCCTCCAATTGTGAAATAATTTATAGCACTGTAAGAAAGAAGCCACAAATTGTGGTAGCTTGGACCACTGTTGAGGTCTGGAATCAGAATTCCAATGTTCAAATATTGGTCCTACCAGTTATAAGCTCTATGACTATGAACAAAACACTCAACTTCTCTATCTTCAGTAACCGTCCACAAGAATTGGGAATATCAACAATGCCATCTTTATTGCATTGTAAGAATTAAATAATTCAATATATGTGGAAAATAGCATGATATCAGGGATATACAATGTGTTTACAAATGATAACCATTATTACTTAATATTGATAGTGATAATTTTATTCATTTCACATGGCATGAAGTACCAAGCTCTATAGGAATCAGAAAATAAAGTCTTATTTCTTTTTCTTCTCTATTGTCCAGCTTCCTACAGGAAAATAAACACTCACATCCTAAAGGTTCCAGAAACAGATGAGGTAGAGCTCACCTGCCAGGCTACAGGTTATCCTCTGGCAGAAGTATCCTGGCCAAACGTCAGCGTTCCTGCCAACACCAGCCACTCCAGGACCCCTGAAGGCCTCTACCAGGTCACCAGTGTTCTGCGCCTAAAGCCACCCCCTGGCAGAAACTTCAGCTGTGTGTTCTGGAATACTCACGTGAGGGAACTTACTTTGGCCAGCATTGACCTTCAAAGTAAGAGCTGCCCCCACTTCCTAGGTCTATCAG
The DNA here is from genome assembly GCF_000001405.40 of Homo sapiens. Lineage (NCBI taxonomy): Eukaryota > Metazoa > Chordata > Mammalia > Primates > Hominidae > Homo > Homo sapiens. The sequence goes on from NC_000009.12 coordinate 5,549,638, forward strand.
TTAGGGTTCAGACAAGAAACAGATGGCATACTCGAGTGATTTGAGGAGAGTGTAATAAAGGGACTGTTTACAAAGGTGTGATCACCATTTGGAGAAACTACAAAGGATAGTGCAGAACACTGGGGCTTCAATGTTGGGAGGGCAATTACCACTGTTGGAGAAGTTACTGGAATCAGAAGGGAGCTGTAGGGAAAGCCCCACTTCCCAGGAGCTGTAGCCACAGAATAGGGAAGCTGCCACATGCAGCGACTCCAAAGGGTGGAAACTGGATGAATGAATACCCCAACTCATTCTCCTCCCACCCTCCAATCTCCTGCTAGCACCTCCCATTGGCTGAACCCAGCTAGAAGTCAGAGAATACAAGGGTCCACTGTTGTATTCCATAAAAGTCAACTTCTCAGGGCTCAGAGCAATATTGACATGTACAGAATAGATCTGGAGAGGAAACAGAAAATATCTAGTACAATAGCTAATCACTGTGATTCATGCACAGTGTCATGAGCCAGCAGGATGAATATTCCTTTGCTGTACTTGCTGCCAGTCAGCTGGTTATGGGTTTTTCCAAGAAATTTGGTCTCTAACAAAATTCTTCAGAGCCTTTACTGACTATGCTGGATATTTTTGGAAGGGATCCCATACTTTTGAACTTCATACAGCAGAATTTCAAACAATCTTGGGAAAATAACAACTTTTATCTGCCCAGTAAGGACAACTAACACCTAGTATCATAATCATTTCGTAAGAGACAGGTAATTTCATCACCGAGTGCATATGTTTTCTAATGCTCTTATATCAAATTACCACAAGCTTCACAGTTTAAGACAACACAGATTTATTATCTGATACTTATGGAGGTCAGAAAGCCAGACTTGAGTTTCACTGGGCTCAAATCAAGGTGTCAGCAGGATTGCAGAGGCCCTAAGGGAAGATTCCACTTTCCTGTCTTTTCCAGCTGCTAGAGGCCACCTGCATTAATTGCCTCATGGCCCCTCCCTCTATCTTCAGAGGCAGCAACCCTATCATTCAGCCTTCTGCTTCTGTCACCACATCTCTCTCTCTCTCTTTTTTTTTTTTGAGATGAAGTCTTATTCTGCCCCCCAGGCTGGAATGCAGTGGCACGATCCCGGCTCACTGCAACCCCTGCCTCCCGGGTTCAAGCTATTCTCCTGTCTCAGCCTCCTGAGTAGCTGGGATTACAGGCACATGCCAACATGCCTGGCTAATTTTTGTATTTTTAGTAGAGATGGGTTTCACCATGTTGGCCAGGCTGGTCTCAAACTCCTGACCTCAGGTGATCCGCCCGCCTCAGCCTCCCAAATTGCTAGGATTACAGGCGTGAGCCATCATGATCAGCCACATCTCTTTCCCTAACTAGCTTGCTTCTCTTTGCCACCTCTTAAGGACCCTTGTGATTGCATTAGGTACTCCATCCCCCTGGTTATTTGGGGTGATCTTCCCATCTCAAGGTCCATCTTCAAAATTCCTTTTGCCATGTAAGGTGACATATTCACATGTTCCAGGGATTAGAATATGGACATCTTTGGGGAGAGCCATAATTTTATTTATCCTACTGAGAAGGGATATACTCTCAGACTAAAGGACAGTCCCTAGTACTGATTCAATCTGGCTTTATAGAAAATTCACTATATTGTCATTGTATTTCACAGTTTGCCCTTTGTCTTAGCTGGTAAGACAGAGCCTATGATAAGGACTTGTGTGGCATGCAGGTATTTAATTGGCAACCCCAGAGGGCAGAAGCAAGAGATTTAGGAGTTTAAGAGAGGGTAATATAAGAGTATATTATCAAAGTTGTAGTGTGGACAACAGAAACTCAAATATTCAAGGACCAGCATGTAGACAGCCTCCTAAGATGTCTACTCAGACAAAGAATTTCAGGTGGAAGGACTTGTTCATCTGCTTCACGCCCATTGGTTGACAGGAATATGAACTCCATTCTGCTGCTGGGCTAGACATGCATGTGGGCTGAGTGAGCTTTCCCCAGTATCCGTAGCATCAGAAAAGTCGCAGGGCAGAAAGAAAAGTATCCAATTTGAGGTGAATTACTGACCTTGAAGTGAGTGTAAGCCTAACTAGAATTCTACCCCAGCTGGCTGAAGTGAAAGGTGAGGCTGAGAGGAAATAAGGCAGGACTGCACAGTCCCCAATTGTACTGTTCAAATCCACTCATGCCCTTCATTAAGTCAGCTCTGCCACTGAGCCTTCCAGCTGGGAGGCAGCCACAATCTCTGCAGAAGATTTAATATACACCAGTTTGTGGAACAAGCTGTAGTTCCTGCTGCTGCTGTGGATCCCAAGCCACAGTTGATATTTGTTGTCTCACTCATCCACCATACATTCCAGATTTCCCTCACCTAACACCCCAGATGGAATGGTTTCTTTGCCTGATAGGGTGACCCAGACTTAACGACCCTAAGAGATCTGAGCTTTTGATCAGCATGCCCTTAACAGACTGGGGTTGTTGCAAATATCTTTTCATTATCACTGGATATGGAAGTAAAAAGAACCAGTGAATCAGCGGACCCCTGAGTTCCAGACATACTCTTCCTTGTCTCCATTATGTAGCAGTGTTCAAGATTTTCATGATAATCAAGATTGATTTCTCCACCAGTATGGTAATTTTTTTCTTTGCTCACTGGTCTGCCAATATTAAGAGCTCAAGGTGGCCAGGCCAGTAGCAGAGCTTTAGATGCAGTAGAACAAGCAGAGTATCCCCTGCTAGAATTCCCCGTAGGAAGCCAGACCTTTGATTCAGCAGAGCCTAAATGTGTGGGGTTGAGTGAACTTCTATACGTGAGTCATTAGAAGTAATGGTGAGAGGGGCCAACCTGCAGCACTGGGATAGCCCTGGTACAGACGTAGAACATGCTTGAGGAGGTTGTCAGGAGGAAATGAGTTAGACCTTGCACAGAACTACCACCATCAAGTACAGTTGGGGTGAGGCAGACATGGTATGAGTTGAGGCATCAGAGATATCTGATGCTTTATGCCAAATTAAAATTAATTTTTTCATGGAGTGACACTGATCCACAGACCAGACTCCAAGAACTTTGCAGTGACTAAATACCCATCTCATCATAACTTTCCTGGTATTTTCTTCTGGAAAAAATTCTTCCCTGATACAGTTTTCAGAGGCAGCTAGATGCACTGTCATCTCTCCCCTTTTCCCACTTCCCTACCTATCCACAATTTACTACCCAATGCCAACACTAAAGTTAGCCCAACTTCCTTCTAACTAAATTATTAGTTTAGAAGGAAAGAGAGGAGTCATGCTAAGGATCTTAACTGAAATCAAAACATTAGAGGCTGGGCATGGTGGTTCTTGTCTGTAATCCCAGCACTTTGGGAGGCCAAGGCAGGAGGATCACTTGAGCCCAGTAGATTGAGGTTACAGTGAGCTACAATTGTGCCATTGTACTCCACTCCAGCCTGGGCAACCGAGTGAGACTCTGTCTCCAAAAAAGAAAAGGAAAGGGGAGAGGAGGGGAGAGGAGGTAGGGAGGGGAAAGAAAGAAACTAGAAATCCATCAATTTTAGGACCAACTTCAGGTAAAAAAATGAATTAGGCAAGTTGGTCTTTCAACATTCTCTACCTCTCTTTATATCATGGTTGAGACCACAGACTTCTCACCTCATGAAAGATGAACTCTAACTAATTCATACTAAAGCTAAAGCCTCTAAAGAGGATTAAATATGAGCAATCCCACGAGAACTTTTTTCCCCTGGAATTGTTTATTCAACTGTCGTTCGTTATATGGAATTTCCTGCCTGGTTAAGTGTAGGCCAGTACTTTGGATGAATTGTAGTTTTCTAGAAAGACGCTTCTTATATAAGAACCTCTCCAGGGAAACAGGGGCCTGTATGAGATGAATTGAGAAATAACTTTACACCACTGATTATGTCAGTGTTCTATTCTGCATGGTAGAGATGTGAAAGGGCAGACTGACCATTGCTCTGGAAGCCTTTACGCTGTGAGAAGTTAACAGTGGAGTAAAATGGCCACTCCACTCTCTTCATGGAAGCCAACATGGCTTACTAAATAGTCAACAACCATGGGAGAGACCTGTGGGGTCTTCATCAGAGCTCAGGATCTCCTAGGGTATCACTCATAAATACAGCCATCAGGGAGATGGAGAAATCTTTGTGCAGCCAGAAATTCTCAACCTGGTTTTACCCATCCTTCCCAACTTTGTATTCGTCCTACTGTTTACTGACATGGATCCTCTGCTTCATTAACCATCCCTTCCTCACCACATGCTCTCTGAACTTGGCTGCACCTTTTCTACCTCCATGCCTTCTTTGCTCAGGTTTTTCCACATAAATATCATTATTTCCCTCTCTACTAGCTCCAAGCCCACCCTCTCTCTGGGGCAGCTCAGTCACTCCAGGGCACAAGGGGGTCTTTCCCTCATCCCACATTTTGAGACCTACTACCTGGACCATTTGTTTGCCTTGTAACTATGCTTGCCTTTTTAATTGCTATTTTATTTTCCATGTATTTTCATTGTTCACACAAGTCTTCTTTATTCCACACTAAGGCAAAAGCAGAGTCCTGTGTTCATAATAAGTGCTCAACAAATGTTGGGTTGATTGGGTTGGAGATTCCATCTTAGATAATCGCAGTCCCATCATGCCAGCTACCAGACTGTGTGGACAGCCAGGTCAGAGCAGCCAAATGATATTCTAGCTTGTGGCACAAATACCAGCAACAAAATAACCAAAGTCACACATCTGCCTCTGAGTTCCTGGCTTCTATTTCTCAAGGGCATTTTTAAGTTGTCTTATGACTGTTCCCTTTCTACTCATTCTCATAAATTGAGCTGTGGACTGCTGTGACCCACAAGCTTCTCCGGAAGTCAATGTATAAAACAAACACGGAAACGAAGAGTATGGTGGGTGGAGGGTACTCCACTGACTCTAGAATGGATGACTGAACATTCCAAATTTCAAGCACAAGTTAGGGAGCAACAGATCATTTTCCTTTTGAAATAGGGTTTCTTCTGCTCAGCCAGTTGTTGTATTTTCATTAGGAAATGGAATGGGACTACAGCACAAAAAATAAATATAAAAGGACCCTTGTAGGGCTGGCAGAAAAGAGAATCCTTCCTAGGAGACCTGGAGGTGATTCCAGGCAGTGGTTGAGAGCATGGGCTCTGATGTCAGACAGGCTTAAATTTCAAACTCTCTCTCTATTAGCTTTGAGAACCTAAATATCCTACTTAGCCACTCTAGCACTCAGTCTCTCATGTGTAGCATGAGGGTGAGTAGTGGTAGACAGTTTATAGGGTTATAGTGAGGATTAAATGAAATGTGCTTATAAAGTGCTTAGTACTCAGAAAGTGTGCAAACAGTAAAAAAAAATGGTATATCTAGCAAGTTGCATGCCTTACTTGTGAGTTCATGAAGTTGTGGCAAGGATAAGACAAATATTTTTTGCCATTGCATCATTATATCATTGCTAAGAGTATGCCATTATTGGCCAGGTGCGGTGGCTCATGCCTGTAATCCTAGCACTTTGGGAGGCTGAGATGGGTGGATTGCTTGAGGCCAGGAGTTCAAAAATCAGCCTGGCTAACATGGTGAAACCCCGTCTCTACTAAAAATACAAAAAATTAGCCAGGCATGGTGGCAGGTGCCTGTAATCCCAGCTACTCAAGAGGCCGAGGCAGGAGAATCACTTGAACCCAGGAGGCGGAGGTTGCAGTGAGCCAAGATCATGCCACTGCACTCCAGCCTGGGCAACAAGAGGGAAACTCCTTCTCAAATAAATAAATTAATTAATTAAATTAAAGAAACGACAAAAGAGTATGCAAGAATTTTAAAACAACTTAGAGGAATATGTATGAGGATACAGGCTAAGCTACCATAATGAAGAGACCTCGAAATACAGTGAGAAGCGAGACAGAAGTATCTTTCGTTCCATGTAACACTCAGGTGGTTCAGAGCAGCTAAGCAGCTATGTTCCATAGAGTCATTCAGTGATCCAGATTATTTTCATCTGTTGCTCTGCCATTCTCCAGGATGTTGTCCCTATAAAATTGTCAAAGCTCAGTCAGTGCCAAACCCATGTTTCAACCTTCAGAAAGTAAACGAGTGGTGGAAAACACATTCAATGTTTTAAGGCCAAGACCTTGAAAACTCACTCTCTTAGCCTGAACTTAGATTACATGGCTGGGCCCACTTAACTATAGGGGAGGCTTGGAAACATAGTCTCTGAGAAGCCATGTGTCCAGCTAATTCCCTAATACTAAAGTTGAAAGAAAGAATGGATTAACCAGCAGTATACCACAAGGTAACAAATGACTAGGAGGATCAGGCTAGGTGGACTAGAAAAGAGACAGTCAATTCAGTGCAACAATTCCATATTGGCACTTTTCATGTAGCTGTTGCTTGGCTCTATCTAGAGAGGACTCAGAGGTAGTTTAGATAAGGCCTTTGCCCTCCAAATACAGTCTAAGCAGACTGATTTCCTACTGGATGTTCAACTTTGGAGTCTTCAGGGATGAGTAGGGCTTCTGTACGTGGAAGAGACTATGAGGGAACCTGCACAGGACAAGGGTTTGCATAAAGACACTGAGGTAGGGACCTCTCCTGTTGTGGGGACAGTGAGAGGCCCAGGTCTCCTTGACTCACAAAGTGCTTACTAAGCACTTACTAGAAATTAAGAAGCAGATTATAATCAATATGGGTTATCCAATGTTTGGATGAGCAAGGCTCCTTATCTTTTCTTCGTTAATGTTAATCACACTCTTTTGGATGGAGACAAATATCTGTGGGGGCTGAGCTTTGGGTCAGATAGATCTGGGTTTGCAATCCTGGCATTGACTTTTACTTAGCAGTGATGACCTCACATAGATTATTTAGCAACTCTGAGACTTACTTCCTCAACTCTAAAATGAGGGGCTCAGACTAAATAATGTCTAATCTCTTCTCCAGTAAAACAATCCGTGGTTCTCAGATAGCACTGTGCTGGAGGTAGTGGGGTTTGAGGGCTGGGAAGTTGGGAGGACTGAGCCCTTCCCGCTGAGCAGTTTCGTCCAGTTTTTCCTGTACCAGCCTGTCATGTTTATTCCATGTGAATGACTCCAGAGGCAAAATTCAAGCTTTTGAATAGGGCACAAATTAACTTGAGTACCCTTTCATTTCCCTGTAGGTGAACACTCCTCTAGCCCTGCCTTTTGTCAGTCTGGAGCCCTTGTTCTAATCTGTACACACCAGAGGACTTTACAAGGCTTTCCCCAGCCTCCAGAATTATTCTTCTGATCCACCCTCTACTAAACTCACCCTTTCCTCAGTGCTAGGACGTTGAAAAACCGAAACAAGGCAAAGGGCCAATTGTAATAATTCACACTAAGGCATGAGTGACTAGGTTTAGTATATTAACACTACCTAGGATATTCTATTTCTTCCAAAAGGATCCTGTTAATCCTTGAAATTTAACAACTAATGGTATAGATTCTAAGCACTGTGAGTACTTGTCAGTGGGGGAAAGACATTTTTGGGCTGAGAGACTTTGCCACTGGGAAGAGAGAGAGGATGAGGAGGAGAAGGGGGATAGGGAGGAAAAAGAGAAAAAAGAAAGAAAGATGATTAGATGATAGATGGATGGATTGATGGATGGATGGAAAAAAATAACATGAGAGAGTGGTAAAAAGCACAGAATCTGGAACCAGACTGTATCTTAGCTGGGTCACTTACTATGTAACTTAGGGAAAGCTTCCTAGTCTCTCTGTGCCTCCCTTTCTTCACCAGTGAAATGGGGATCATAGCAGAGCCAACTTCACAGAGTGGTTGCGAGGAGTGGATGAGCTGATAGGTGCAGAGCACTTAGAATAGGGCCTGGTGTGGAGTAAATGCTCCACAGAGCTAGCCGTGTTGGCTGTCACCCACTCATGTGGCCAGCCTGTTGGTCTACCTCTTAGTTGCCATGTAACAGGATTCTGGTGCTTTTCCTTTGCCCAGGTCAGATGGAACCCAGGACCCATCCAACTTGGCTGCTTCACATTTTCATCCCCTTCTGCATCATTGCTTTCATTTTCATAGCCACAGTGATAGCCCTAAGAAAACAACTCTGTCAAAAGCTGTATTCTTCAAAAGGTAAGTGAGTTTTATTCATGGTAACCCAATGCACTGGGTGTCTGCAGCATGAGCCACTGCTTTGCACTGCAGGCCTATGGCTTGCTGCTTTCATGCTAAACCCACTCAGAGCTTATGAACCACTTTGAGCTTGTCTTGATGATTATTTTTCCCCAGAAGAAAATGGCTCTCATCGTCAGTGAGCTGAACTTCTTACACTGAGTTTTTTAAAGGGAATGTTTTGTTCTTATGTCTGAAAGAGTTTGTCTTATTCTTTGAGCCAAGAGCTTTCATCAGCCTCATGAGAGTGATGTTATTTTGGCAATGCAGAGAGCTACGTGCTCCGATTTTGCTGGTGGGAGGTTGCCAGGATCCTTTCTGAGGATTCCTTCCATTTTCACCCCTCTTTTCCCCAGTCTGGATATGACCTGGGTTAAACCCACCCCCTCTCCCAGGAATCTCAACCTCACGGTTGGGTAAGGAAAGGAGAAAGGTTTGTGAGGCCATTTGGGGATAAGGAAACAGCTGGTTGGTGGTGCATTAACGTCTTTCAGCAGCTCCCTTCGAGTTTCTCCTTAGCCTGTTGTATTCTTACCAACACACTCCTGTTCTGTTGTACCAGCTGGGACAGAGCATGCTGAAGCCTTTCAGCCCTGATTTCATTGCTTCATTGTTCATGTGTCTGTCTTTGGTTTCCTGGGTGGAGCCTGCCCACAAAACCCCCAGAATGTATGCAGGCCTAGCTGGTGCTTTCCTAAACGGCTCCCTTGTCTGCACTCAATGAACTTCTCCAAAGATCTATACATGGCCTCATCTATAGAAAGAGAAATGACATGTGGAAATAATTCAGTAGGAGTTTGCAGCAGCACTATCTGAGGACTAGGGGAATTTTAAGTGGTTGTTATCTTACATTTATACTCATAACTTCTATATTTTCATCTGCCATAAAATATTGTCATGTTCTATTTGTCCATTGCCCTATGTGTGTATGTATTCACTTGGGTGCTGACCACAATATTTCTAACTGTAGAATGCAAGGAATTGTTGCCAAAAGAAAAAGACAGAGGGAGGGAAGAAGATGGCCAGGGGAGTGAGGGAGAAAGAGAAAACAGGAGATGGAGAAGAAGAAAGATAGAAAGAAAAATAAATGTGGGAGGGAAGGGAGCTTCATGGTAAAGGAGGAGGTATGTCCAACAGAACTTCGACTTTTAAATAGAACCACTTCAGAGAGTTGTGTCAGGTGCACCTCAGTTGTCTTATCTTCTGCCATTCTTCTTTTACCTCTCACACCCATACCTCAGGGTTCAAGGCCTGGGGCCTGAGGACTCCTTAATAACTTCAGAAATGAGCAGCTGAGTGTTCCGTTCCAGCTGTCTTTGGGAGAATGGAATGGAGTCACACTCAAAGATAGAGTGGAAATAAATCCTCTCCTCATCCTTCACCCCAATCTTAAGAGTGAGTGAGGATATCAGTAGCTCCGAGCTGGGAGGTAAAGCTCAAGTTCTAACTGTGATTAGGAGACCTTTCTTACAAATAAGAATTAAGTGAATAAATGTGCAAACAATTTCTTTTATATTTTTAATGAACCAGAGAGAAATCATGGTTGCCTATATAACCCTTGTCTCCAACTCACTTGCATTCAGATCTGCTTTCTTACATGTGTCTGCCATGCACACAAACTTGTGTGCCATGGAAAAGGGTTGAGAACTGCTGGTGATGCAGACAGAGCTTTAAACCAGGGTCAGAGGGCTAGGCTGGGACCTTGTGCTGCCATTTGTTGGCTTTCTGACCTTGTACAAATTGCCTATCTTCTTTGAGATGGTCTTTCTATCTGTAAAAGGGGAAGCAGCAAGAGAAGGAACATTTTACAGCTTATTGGCCGAACTTCACTGCCGCTAGTGTGGTTCAACTTGGACTACAGAGAAATCTTCCTAACTGGTTTCCCTGTATTCACTCCTGCTACCTCCAACTTGGTCTGTTCTCACTTTTTGCTATAATAGGCTTTTAAAAATCATAAATCTACCATGTGTCCTCTGTCCAGACCTTCTCCATGGCTTCTTATTGCTCACTGGATGAAGTTCCAACGAGCCCAGGATGGTTTGACTCATGTCTCCAGCTTTAACTGCATCACCATCACCTTCATTGTCTAAAGCTCTAACCACACAGGATTTTCTAGTCCTCAGAGGCATGGCAGTCTTTCAATTCCGAGTTTTCTCATACAATATTGTCTCTTCTTAAAATATTTTTTCTTGTTGTCCACCTGAGTTGGAGTCATCTTTTAAATCTCAGCTAAGCTTATACTTCATCAAGTCTTTCCTAATTCTACCTCCACGCACCACACCCATTACATTAAATCCCCTTATTATATGTTTCCATAGCACCTACTTCTTCTTTCAGTATACTCAGCACACAATCACATGTCTAGGATCTGTTTTAATAGCTTGGACTACCAATTAAATTGCATCCCTTTTAATTTTCCAATTGATTCCTCAAGTACCCACATGCCCATCTTAGCAAGAAGTTCAGTGTCTCCCTCTTATAGCATGTACTTCTCCACCTCCCACAAACTGCCAGAAAGCTTACTTAGCCCACAGGGCCAGTGCTAGGCAGCTAGGTTAGTCCTCCAGAGGGCCCTGGTTTTGAGCAGTTGCTGTCTACTCCGGCCATGCAGAATCTCTGGTCCTTCCAGATGTCTCCATCCACTGTGCAAAGGTAACCTTGCTGGTTCCGATCCCCACACAGACCACAGTGCTACAAGATTACAGTTCTTATGGTTCCCCAACACATGCTCTGTCATTGGTCCCAAAGCAGGACCCCTATGGGTTGATGAGGTAGGAGGAGGTCCCTGCCTTAGCCACAGCTGCACACAGCCAGCCTCTTCCCTTCTAGGCCCTCATGTTGAGCCTGGGACGCCAGTCCTAACTTCCTTCTCTTCAGTTCCTCTTAGGGCCATTGGTATCCTGAATTTCTTAGTCCATTGCAAAGTTAAGTAAAGAAGCAGCAGGCTTGGTCCCTTTCCTTCCAGATGGCTTCTTAGCTCCTGAACAGATTTACCCACCTATACCTCAGTGACTAGCTCTGTGTACTAAAGTGTATTGGGAGGGCAGCCATTATTGGTCCATAAAAGGTCCTGCTTACCATTTTCCCCTAAGAGGAACCATTCAACAGTTTGGGGCTCGAGGGTGACCTGCTGGGCTCTAGAGAAGAAGCTGGCAACTTCTGTTGCAAAATAATGTTAAATTCTGCTTCATCTGCTTGTCTTTACGTTTCAAGAATACAGTAACTGTGTTTCTCTGATTCACCAATATATGCCCAGTGTCTAAAAAATTACCTGGCATATAATAAATGTTCAATGAAATTTTAAACATTGAACCTACTATATGCAGGTGAGTATGCTAGATCTGCTCTGTCCAATATAATAGCCATCTGTGGCTCTTTTTAAGTTAAATAAAAATTCATCAGTCACATCTTAAGTATTCACACACTGTAAGTGCTCAATAGCCATGTACAGATAATTGCTCCTGTATTGGACAGTACAGATATACAACATTTCCATCATTGCAGAAAGTTCTACTGAAAACCACTGTGCTAGACCCTTTACAAACTTCTCATTTAATTTCACAAAAATTGCTTGTGGCAAGGAGAAGTGTCTTTATGCTGGAGTTAAGAAAGTGAGGCTCAGAAAAGTTATATGACTTCCCAAAGTCATACAGCTGGGATTTGAATACAGGTCTGTTTGACTCCAAAACTTGTGGCCTATTTGTTGCAAAAGTGCTTAATACAAATTGGTTCAGTCAATATTATTATCTTTGAACAATGGAAGGAGAAAGTAAGTTTCAATCCAAAATAATTGAGTGACTTATACATTGACTTGCTGAGCCAATGGCAAAGTCAAGTTAGAATCCAGCAGAAGTCACCAGCTACAGAATCTAGATCTTTAGAACATGTCTTCAGATCTTCAGAACAGTGTTTCTTAAACTCTCTTGTGAAGGAACAGTTATCATCATAGGCTGGTAACAGTTCACCTACCAGCACCAGCCCATGAACCAGACTCTAAGTGGCACAGCCCTAGAAGATTGAGCCAGAATTTTACAGAGGTTTAAAGACCAAATATGCTGGTTTATGGTTACCTGTGGCCCACAGAGAATGGCAGCACTAACCTCAGGCATAAATGAGGTACCCACTGAAGCCAACATTCAAGAGCAATTCCTATGGGTTAACCATTGGGCTCCTTTCAAATGCAAACCCTCATGAAAGAGACTACAGTGCTGAATAGAGACCTCCAAATTCCAGGCCAAGCTCAGGATAGTCATGAGGGAATTACTAAAAACCTGGTATATAGGGCAAAAGCAGAATTAGGAATGGACTGATTTCAGGAACCCAGGCAATGGCAGGAGTTGGGCATTAAATCCTAAAAGAGAATCAGAGTGGGAGGGAATATGTGAAATCAGAGGTTAAGAAAAAAGTGAAAACCTATTCATGATTGCAAAGATATGAAACCAACCTAAGATCCCATTGACGAATAAGTGGATAAAGAAAATGTGGTATATATACACCATGGAATACTACTCAGCCATGAAAAAGAATGAGATAATGTGTTTTGCAACAACTTGGATGGAACTGGAGGTCATTATTCCAAGTGAAGTAACTCAGGAATGGAAAACCAAATACCATATATTCTCACTTGTAAGTGGGAGCTAAGCTATGGATATGCAAAGGCATACAGAGTGGTATAATGGGCATGGGAGACTCAGAAGGAGAGAGTAGGGAGTGGCAGTGAGGAATAAAAAAGCTGCATATTGAGTTCAATGTACACTATTTGGGTGACGGGTGCACTAAAATTCAGACTTCACCAGTATACAATTCATCCATGTAACCAAAAACCACCTGTACCCCTAAACCTATTGATATAAAAAAAAAATTAAAAGAAAGATGTGAAATCAAGGAAACTTACTGGTGAGCAGCATCCCATTATGTGAACTTGTGCTTCTGAACCAGTAACTTGAGTTACTTTGAGCCAGTATCAGTCACTTATACCTTAGTGCAAAATTAATTGATCAGACATTCTGACCTGGACCAGGGAAGGCAGGCAGAAGTAGCAGTCAAGACTAAAGCAGAAAAGGGAGAGCTAATTCTGCAGCCAGACATTTCCTGGATTGAATACCCAAATTAGTCCCTCAGCCTTTAAGTGCCTGAGGGCCAGGAGTAGACAGAGGAATGGAAAGTGTGAGACTTCTTTGTTCACACTCTTTGCCTAGGGGCCAGATTTTGCTTTATGCATTACCATCCGAAGTCCCAGGCCACAGTGAACATTTGGGCTTCGCTATGTGGATTTATTTAGATTTACTTTTTGTCCTGCCATATTTTAATCTATAAGCCAAACAGTTTTCTCATTAATCTTATTCCATTTCTGGAATTTTTCCTTTTCAGACACAACAAAAAGACCTGTCACCACAACAAAGAGGGAAGTGAACAGTGCTGTGAGTAAGCATGATTTTTACTTTTCTTTCTTACTTTCTTTTCTCTCTCAGCTTGAATTTTAAAGTAACCACTGTTCTATTAATTCATGGAAGGCAACTGAATAGTTCCAGCTTATAGAATCTTCCTGTTTGGTAGCATTTCAGCGAAGCCTCGTTCTTAGCCCCAGAACAATCATGCCATCTTTTGCTCGGTCTATATTCCTAAGCACTCCTAGATGATACTGCACTGGACCTCTGGTCTCACATAGTTAGAAACAGAGTTAAAATCGAACAGCAAAGAGAAGATATTCAACTGCGATGCAATTGACAATGGATGTTTTTGCAACAAACAATGATTAAGAAGTACATTGTTGTGGGCTCTGAGTCAAGAGTAATATGGGAAAAACACAAGTCTCTTCATGAGGTTGACAGGTTTGGAGCTGGAATCTGTGGAGGAGGAAGGATATGATCTAGGGGTCAGAAGAAGTGGGTTACTAAAATCATTAAGCCTGGTTGGATGAAAAGCTTAGACTCAGGGGAAGCAGCACATGATTGTGGGGGCTGGCAAGTTTGAAATGTGTAGGGCAGGCCAGCAGTCTGGAAACCCAGGCAGGATTTCTACCTTACAGTCTTGAGGCAGAATTCCATCTTTTCTGGGAAACCTCAGTTTTTTGCTCTTAAGGCCCTCAACTGATTGAATGAAGCCAACCTACATCATGGGAGATAATCAGCTTTACTTCAAGTTAACTGATAGCAAATGATAATTACATCTACAAAATACTTTCACAGCAACATATAGACTAGCATTTGACTAAGCAACTGAGCACCATAGCCAAGATGACACATAAAATTAATCATCACAGGCACCAAGAGATGAGGGGGGCAGTCTTGGCCATATATTTGGCTGAAGTAAGTCAATTTGTCATTCCTGCATGAGCCTTTATAAACAGAAGTAAGTAACCAACTACTATTTGGTCATTGGAGTTGTCCAAGAGGCCAGGGTTCTGTCTAATACCTGTTCATGCATGAACATGCCAACCTAGATTGCATGCAGACTACCAGTTTTGGGTTTTTGTTTAGTTCAGCAGGATTTTTCTCAGCTCACTGCCTCTCAAACTTTCAGCAACAAAAGGACATCTGTGATATCAGAATCTACCACTCTAAGTATTTGGATGCAATAGCAATGAATATCTGAGTAAATCTAGGTGGGGAGTGGGGGCACCCTGTAGCCAAAATGATTTAACAAAATCAAACCAAAATTTTGGAAATGATGCCTTGGTACAATGAAGAGACTACTTGAGGTAGGTTTGACTTATCTAATATCTTATTTTCTTTACCAATACCTAATGAGGAATTTAAATATTTCTAGATAGCTTTGGAAAGGTCCCTTAAAGAGGCACCAGCATACCACTGCCAGATCTAATCCCCCCAAACACTGTTTTCATCATCATCATGTCATCTCTTGTCTCTATAGATCATATCAAATCCTTCCCAGAGTTTTTCAGGCCTTTTGACAACTAGCCACATTTCACTAAGCCAACTCATCTACCACTCTTCAACAAAACTTTTCCTCAAGTTGAGCTGCTCCACCAACACCACTGCCATGAGCTCATTCCCACTTCTGTGGCTTTGCTCATGTTGGTTATTTTTTTGGAGTGTCCTCCCTATTCCTTCTTACTTGTCCCAATCCCAACTTTTGGCATGGTCTACTTTAAGATACAGTAATGAGTAACTTTATTATTATAACACCAGGCTTCTGTTCTAAGACATTAGAAGTGTGTTTAGACTAGCTCATTTAATCCTCACAGTAGCCCTCTGAAGTACTTACTCCCTGCTTCCCATTTTATAGGTGAGGAAGAAAAACATGAAGAGGTTAACTAACTTGCCCAAGGTATATAGCTAATAATATAAGGGCCAATAAATTGATTCAGCAATCCAGGTGTCCAAGTCCAGAATCCACACCCATACACTACACTCTGCTTTTTTAAAATTTAATTCAATTTTTTTTTAGAGACAGAGTCTTGCTCTATCACCCAGGTTGGAGTGCAGTGGTATGACCGTGGCTCACTGCAGCCTCAACTTTTGGACTCAAGCTATCTTCCCACCTCAGCCTCCTGAGTAGCTGGGACTACAGGTGCATGCCACCGTACCTGGATTTTTTATTTTTATTTTTTGTAGAACTGGGGTCTCACTATGTTGCCCAGGATGGTCTCAAACTCCTCGGCTCAAGCAATCCTCCTGCCTTGGCCTCCCAAAGTGCTGGGATTCCAGGCGTAAGCCACTGTGCCCAGCCTACATACACAACACTCTCTTGCTTAATCTGTAAGACTCTCTCCCCCACTCATACCTTTTTATTTTTCCTCTGCATTGTACACACAATCTATACCACTCTTAAGCACATGATTACAGCGTTATTTTCTGGCTGCTTCTATGTGTCTATATTTTAGGTCCACCTGGTCAATATAATAAAGTGGGATATTAGTGTTAATGCAACTATATGGTATTTGATATTTGTCTTTCTGTCCGTTTATCAATGTTTCTTATAGTTTATTATATAATAAATTTAAAAGGTGTCTGATTTTGACCAAATTTGACTAAATACTAAAAAACAATATTAAAATAAATTTTGTTTAATTTTAGTTGAGTCTATCAACTCAAAAAAGAATAACGTACAACAATAACAAGTTTCAGAACATTTTTTAAATTACTGATTTTATGAGTATAAAAATAAAAAATAAAAAAGTATAAAGAAAACAAAAATAATTTAGAATCCATTGCCTAGAAATTGCCATGGTTAAGATTTTAATATTGCTCAGGCCCAGACAGCTCAGGGCTTTGACATTCCCACACCCATTCTCTGCCATCCCAGTTCTATCTCATCCCAAAACCATCCATTATGAGGAGAGTGTACAGCTCTAGGCTGCCCGGGAGCCATCCCGCACTCTCATTTTGTGACTCGGCATCTTGGGAGATGGAGTCTTGGGACTTAGCCTGGACATGTCCCTTGCATGTACTTCTTACAAGACTTTTATTCAGATGAATATTTTCCCTTCCAACTTAAGAAGCACAGGGCTTGCTGGTTTTGCTTCACTAACCAGCAACTGAAGCAAGACCTGACTTGTGAAAATGCCTAATAGAGTTCAGTATTAGCGCTGTTTCACCATTTCCTGGATCTCTTGCCTTTGTGCACATGATAGAATTGCACTTCTCTGTGATTAATTTGTAGTTAAGTGTGGTCATGTAACTCGCTTTGGTCAATTAAATGTAAGCATAAGTGATGCGTGTTATTTCTGGGTAGAAGATGTAAGAGTTGGCATATGCTTTGCCATATTTTCTTTATCCATCTGGCATGGTAACCAGTAACATTCTAGGTAGTAATTGCTCCATCAGTCTCAGTCTCTGAGTGACTAAAATTGACAGAGTCCCCTGCTGACCCTCAATGTACATGGAACATGAACAAGAATAAGCTTTTGTTTTTTATATTGAGATTTTGGAGTTGTTTGTTCCTACAGCATTACCTAGTTTACTCTAATACAACATGGAAAAAACTGGAACCTATAATAAATAGACCCTACGTTGCCATTTAAACTTCTAGTTCTGAGGAATAATAATGTGGGGAAATACTTTCTATATAATAAAAAAATAGAAAATTGCAAAATAAAAATATACTTATGTATCATTCATGTCCTATTAAAAATGTTATTTATAGACTCACCATATTCCCTTCCTCCAGAAAAACAGAAGTAAAAATATGAAAATGCCTGTAATCATGTTTTTGGATTATGGAATCAAGTATTGCTTTTTACTTTTATGTTTTCTGAATTTTTGTTGTACTTCACTACATTTTTGAGTGCCCTGATGTATTACTTTCAAAAAGAAGAAGAATACTTTCTGAAGCCATTTCAACCATCCCCACTCACCTCTCTAGATCCCAGTAACCAAATACATTATATAGGACTCTTCATCAGTCCTTATCAAGTTTAGGAAGGGCGATGCTATACCTTCTTTAAAGGACACCTACCAATGTCTTAGTTGCCTTTCAAAGACTCCTAGCACAGCTAAATGTGATGGATATGCTCTAAGGATATAAGAGCTGAAGTGACTTGCATAAGGTCATATCATAACTTACTGTTAGAAATGGAGCTAGAACTCAGACCCACTGAGTCCTTGTCTGTGACACACTGCCCTTTCCATTTGTGGAAGTTGTTCTTGTATCTAACTTTATCTGTGCTACTATTTGGGCCTAGCCATTCTCCCTCTTATGCAGACAAGCAGATAAACAGTAAAACTTTAGGAGTGGATTATGATACCATAGATATATATCATCTATCCTTTACAAAATAGTTATTACAGTCATCAAGCCTTGGTTAGAGTTTACAGACCATGTATCCTAGCTACCTCATTTCACAGATTATGACATTGGGGGCTAAGAGATATTAAGTGACTTCCTTAAGTGAAACAGTAGCAGACCAAAAGAAGTCATGATTCCCAGCATAGTGCTACTCACTCATTTATTCATTCATTCACCCACTCACAAACCTGTATTAAGTTTCTGTTATTTGCAAGACCCTGTCAGTTAGGCCATGTGGGAACTAGAAGGATGAATTTATCAGTCATCCAAGATTCTTACAATTAAGTATTACCGATAAGGTACTCAAGAAACAGTTCTCATTCACATAATTTGGGTTAAAACAAAAAGAAGCCAGCTTTCTATATACTTTTGGTCCAGTCTTTACGTTTTTTGTTTTGTTTTGTTTGTTTTCATGAGTATCCCGACTTCCTTCTAAGAACTTCCACCTGAGAACTGACCACAGCGTCAGCATTCCACATGGGTGTGTTTCCTTTCCCCTTTCCCATTTCAGTGGTTTCCAATTTCTTTTTCTTTTGGCACTATAAACCTTTCGCAAAGGAAATATTAGACAGAACTCCTACATGTCAAGCAAATTAAAATAGTGGTGAAATTAGAGTGGAGGACATAATCACCCTATCATATAGGCTATTTGTCCATATCATATTTGTCCCTACAAAGGCCTCTAAGGCAGGGGTCCCCAACCTCTGGGCCGCAGACCGGTACCAGTGGCCTGTTAGGAACTGAGCCACACAGCAGGAGGTGAGCGGGAG
Source organism: Homo sapiens (assembly GCF_000001405.40). Classification (NCBI taxonomy): domain Eukaryota; kingdom Metazoa; phylum Chordata; class Mammalia; order Primates; family Hominidae; genus Homo; species Homo sapiens. The sequence goes on from NC_000009.12 coordinate 5,568,312, forward strand.
ACAAGCGGGCACTACTACCTGAGCTCTACCTCCTGTGAGATCAGCAGCAGCATTAGATTCTCATAGAAGCGTGAATCCTATTGTGAACTGCACATATGAGGGATCTAGGTTGTGTGCTCCTTATGAAAATCTAATGTCTGACGATCTGAGGTGGAACAGGTTCATCCTGAAACTATAGCCTACCCCCACTCCCACACCCAATCCATGGAAAAATTGTCTTCCCTGAAACCAGTCCCTGGTGCCAAAAATGTTGGGGACCACTGCTCTAAGATACCTTGTGCTTCTTGGAACATATTTGGAAAATCATGTAGCTCTCAAATTATCCCTATGTCCTGAAGCCCACCTTACCATCAATCCTCAGAAATACCCAACCCATGTCAGGCAACTTCACACTTTCTTTCTTCAGGCAGCACAGTTGTCTCAGGGAGGGAGGAGAGTGCTATTAGCAAGAGGAGTCACTAACAGCTTCACTCACCTGTGCCCATGAATTTTTAATGGTGTGAAAAGTCTGTGTATTTTTTATGGTTCTCTATGGCTCATATAAGAGGGACAAACAATACATGAAAGTTCAGAGATGGGGACAAATATCACTTTAAGCTGGGGATAATCAGGGAAGAAGAAAGTTTTCATGGAGAAGGTGACTTTTGAATCAGGAAGAAATGGAAACAGCAAACTCTTCTAGATAGAGGAGACACTAACAGGAAAGGCAGAGAGGCAGGAAGGTGTGGGAAAGTGCACGTGACCCCGTTCAGAGAGAAAGCCAGGTGTGAGATAAGGGGGAAAGACTGTTAGGGCATGTATTGTAAACCACTAATTCCAGGCAAAAGTTAGATTTTACTTACTAAGCAAGAGTGCTTCAGTTAGATCCTAGCAGGAAATGGAGGGTATGCTTAGAAGAGGTAACTGAGGCAAGTTTAATTTATAAAGGTGTGTGCAGCATTAAGGGAAACCAGCAAGGGATACTGAGCATGCCAGGATGCAAGAGCAGGCAGGGAAGGTGACTATTCCTAGGTCTGAAGGAGAAAGGGGAGGGAGCAGTTCCCAGAACCCTAGTAAAAATGGCAATGAGAAAGGTCCATCTGGCAGGACCTATGGTCTTTAACAGAGGGACAAAGTCAACCCACAACTTGTCTGGGAGGTTGCTGAGGAATAGATACCCCAACCTCTCTCTCAACCCACTGCAACACTCTTTTTCCCCTAGACTGAGCCCAGTCAAAGACAGAGGGAGGAGCCCAGTGATGCAGTCTGCAATGTCATCATCCTGGAGCATGAATAGAGTGCAGCAGGGTGAATAATGAGTCTGCAGGAATTAATAGAAATATCTGACACAATAGGGAACTATAAGAGGTTTTGAATAGGAGAGGCCCCTGAAATGTGCTCCAATATTACTGAACTATGTGTGGCCCAAAGAATGGAAGAGGAACAGCTCTTGCAATAGGTCTGAGGAGAGAAGCTGAAGACTTGGACTAGGGCAATGGTAAAAACTGTGGAAAGAAGTTTTAAATGAAAAGTTTTAAACCATGCGGCTTCCAGCTAGATGAACTTTTTTAAAAAAATTAGTTCCTCACTCAAATTTTGGGGAGGTTATATATTTTCTAATCATAAAAAATGATTTTTCTTATTTGTGGGCTTTTCTCCCCAGATCTGAACCTGTGGTCTTGGGAGCCAGGGTGACCTGATATGACATCTAAAGAAGCTTCTGGACTCTGAACAAGAATTCGGTGGCCTGCAGAGCTTGCCATTTGCACTTTTCAAATGCCTTTGGATGACCCAGCACTTTAATCTGAAACCTGCAACAAGACTAGCCAACACCTGGCCATGAAACTTGCCCCTTCACTGATCTGGACTCACCTCTGGAGCCTATGGCTTTAAGCAAGCACTACTGCACTTTACAGAATTACCCCACTGGATCCTGGACCCACAGAATTCCTTCAGGATCCTTCTTGCTGCCAGACTGAAAGCAAAAGGAATTATTTCCCCTCAAGTTTTCTAAGTGATTTCCAAAAGCAGAGGTGTGTGGAAATTTCCAGTAACAGAAACAGATGGGTTGCCAATAGAGTTATTTTTTATCTATAGCTTCCTCTGGGTACTAGAAGAGGCTATTGAGACTATGAGCTCACAGACAGGGCTTCGCACAAACTCAAATCATAATTGACATGTTTTATGGATTACTGGAATCTTGATAGCATAATGAAGTTGTTCTAATTAACAGAGAGCATTTAAATATACACTAAGTGCACAAATTGTGGAGTAAAGTCATCAAGCTCTGTTTTTGAGGTCTAAGTCACAAAGCATTTGTTTTAACCTGTAATGGCACCATGTTTAATGGTGGTTTTTTTTTTGAACTACATCTTTCCTTTAAAAATTATTGGTTTCTTTTTATTTGTTTTTACCTTAGAAATCAATTATATACAGTCAAAAATATTTGATATGCTCATACGTTGTATCTGCAGCAATTTCAGATAAGTAGCTAAAATGGCCAAAGCCCCAAACTAAGCCTCCTTTTCTGGCCCTCAATATGACTTTAAATTTGACTTTTCAGTGCCTCAGTTTGCACATCTGTAATACAGCAATGCTAAGTAGTCAAGGCCTTTGATAATTGGCACTATGGAAATCCTGCAAGATCCCACTACATATGTGTGGAGCAGAAGGGTAACTCGGCTACAGTAACAGCTTAATTTTGTTAAATTTGTTCTTTATACTGGAGCCATGAAGCTCAGAGCATTAGCTGACCCTTGAACTATTCAAATGGGCACATTAGCTAGTATAACAGACTTACATAGGTGGGCCTAAAGCAAGCTCCTTAACTGAGCAAAATTTGGGGCTTATGAGAATGAAAGGGTGTGAAATTGACTAACAGACAAATCATACATCTCAGTTTCTCAATTCTCATGTAAATCAGAGAATGCCTTTAAAGAATAAAACTCAATTGTTATTCTTCAACGTTCTTTATATATTCTACTTTTGGGTAAGAGGTTTGCTCAGGGTCTTGCAAGTCAGTAAGTTTAATATCCTATTACGCCATTTGGCTCCCAAAGATTTGAAGGCCTTTGAGGCAAACTTGGATGTACTTTTCAGCAGGGTTGGGTCCTAGGGATGCTTGATCTGGGGCTCCTGCTGGAGGAGGAGCACTTCCTAACACCACAGAGAGCAGGGCAGGAGACAAGGCCTTCTTCCCTGGAAGAAGCCCACCTATGCTGCCCCTACCCCCACCCATGCCCCAGATATGTGATTGGCATGTTGAATGCTTGGGGAGTTTTGTTTAACTCTGTTAGGAACCCAGTGGCATAATGGCTTCTGTCAAAATATTCCCATCTTTGTTCCTAGATTGGGGCTATCTTTTAGATTACCAAATAGGGAGAGAGCAATCTAGCTGTAGTATCCTGAAATCTGGGTTCTGTCAGGGGAGAAAATCATAAGGCAATGTGTCTTAGCTTCAGAAATTTTCTATACTACAGCATGCTATCTTAACACCTAACATTTATCAAGTACTTGCTATTGCCCAATATTGTTAAGCATTTTACACATACTATTGGAACAAATCATCCCCAAACTCTCTGAAAAAGACACTATTAATTACTCCATTTTACAGATAAGGAAAGGCACAGAGAGGTTAAGTAATTTGGTTAAGGCTGCTTGTTCAGTTTGAAAGGGATGGAATTAGAGCAACAAACCTATATTTTTTGTTACACACCATAATGTGCCCTGATTTCCTACCACATGGGGTTTAAAGTGGTATTTTTATACTGTGTGGTCTCTTTGCTGGTCAATAATTAATTTCAGAAACAACAGATGCTGGCGAGGGTGCAGAGAAATAGGAACACTTTTACACTGTTGGTGGGAGTGTAAATTAGTTCAACCCTTGTGGAAGACAGTGTGGTGATTTCTCAAGGGTCTAGAACCAGAAATACCATTTGACCCAGCAATCACATTACTGAGTATATACCCAAAGGATTATAAATCATTCTACTATAAAGACACATGCACACGTATGTTTATTGCAGCACTATTCACAATAGCAAAAACTTGGAACCAACCCAAATGCCCATCAATGATAGACTGGATAAAGAAAAGGTGGCACATATACAGCATGGAATACTATGCAGCCATAAAAAAAGAATGAGTTCATGTCCTTTGCAGGGACACGGATGAAGCTGGAAACCATAATCCTCAGCAAACTAACACAGGAACAGAAAACCAAACACCACATGTTCTCACTCATATGTAGGAGTTGAACAATGAGAACACATGGACACAAGGAGGGGAACATCACCCACCAGGGCCTGTTGAGGGGGTTGGGGGAAAGCAGAGAAGAGCATTAGGACAAATACCTAGATGACATGTTGATAGATTCAGCAAACCACCATGGCACATGTATACCTATGTAACAAACCTGCAGGTTCAGCACATGTATCCCAGAATTTAATAATAATAATTAATTTCACTCTTTTCCAGGGAAGTGCTATAGGAGTGTAGGTGGCGTGTGGGTTCTGGCATCAGAGATTCAAACCCCAGCTCAACTAGGTATGAGTTATACAACTCTGAATATATTGGTTGACCTCTACGCATCAGTTTACTTCAATATAGTGAGACCTGGCCAGGCGTGGTGGCTCATGCCTGTAATCCTAGAACTTTGGGAGGTCAAGGTGGGTGAATCACTTAAAGCCAGAAGTTCGAGACCACCCTGGCCAACATGGTGAAATCCCATCTTTACTAAAAATACAAAAATTAGCTGGGGATGGTGGCACGCACCTGTAATCACAGCTACTCAGGAGACTGAGGCAGGAGAATCGCTTGAATCTAGGAGGTGGTGGTTGCAGTGAGCCGAGATCACACCACTGCACTCCAGCCTGGGCGACACAGCCAGACTTTGTCTCAAAAAAAAAACAAAAACAAAAACAACAACAAAAAATGCATATATATATATATATATATATAAATAGATATAGTGATATAGTGATACCCCATCTCTGCAAAAAATTTAAAAAATAAAAATAAAAAAAATTTAAAGGGGCCGGGTGCAGTGGCTCACACCTGTAATCCTAACACTTTGGGAGGCCAAGGCGGGTGGATCATGAGGTCAGGAGTTCAAGACCAGTCTGGCGAAGATGGTGAAACCCTGTCTCTACTAAAAATACAAAAATTAGCCAAGAGTGGCGGCGGGTGCCTGTAATTCCAGCTACTCAGGAGGCTGAGGCAGGAGAATCATGTGGACCCGGGAGGCAGAGGTTGCAGTTGCAGTGAGCTGAGGTCATGCTACTGCACTCTAGCCTGGGCAACAGGGCAAGACTCTGTCTCAAAAAAAAAAAAAAGAAAAAAAAGAAAAGAAAAGATAAAGAAAGCAGTTATCTTTCTCAGTTTATCATGAGGATTTTGAGCACAGGTTTTGTCATCCCCTTAGACTCCTAGAGAGCAGGGAAGGAGTGAGATTTTTGCCATGTACCTGGTACGTGATAGGTACCTCATGCATGGTCACCTCTGAGACTCATTATGTATTGGGAGAATGGCTACTATTAAGACTTCTACTTTTTTTTTTTTTTTTTGAGATGGACTTTTGCTCTTGTTGCCCAGGCTGGAGTGCAATGGCACAATCTTGGCCCACAGCAACCTCCGCCCCCCACCAGGTTCAAGTGATTCTCCTGCCTCAGACTCCTGAGTAGCTGGGATTACAGGCATGCACCACCACGCCCAGCTAATTTTGTATTTTTAGTAGAGGTGGGGTTTCTCCATGTTGGTCAGGGTGGTCTCAAACTCCCGACCTCAGGTGATCCGCCCGCCTCAGCCTCCCAAAGTGCTAGGATTACAGGCGTGAACCACCGCACCCAGCCAACACCTTTACTTTTTATGGCCTGGATATAATGGGCTAAAACATATATAATGACAATGCTTAAAAGACTTAGATGAATTCTAAGTCTGGAAAAAAAAGTACTTTTTACAAAAGGAGCAAAAATAGCATTCAGGAGAGTTTGAGGAATTGAGAAAGACCAAACAAACAAAAATCACCTATGATCTCATCATCCAAGCACAAACACTTTCATGTTTGCTGTTTGTTTCTGCTCTTTGTCCATTTATGTATTTAAGTTTGGCTATGGTTGCAACATGTAATTTTCTATACTTTAAAAAATTTGGGGCTGGGCACAGTCGCTCACGCCTGTAATCCCAGCACCTTGGGAGGCCGAGGCGGGCGGATCACCTGAGGTGGGGAGTTCAAGACCAGCTTGACCAACATGGAGAAACCCCGTCTCTACTAAAAATACAAAATTAGCTGGGCATGGTGGTGCATGCCTATAATCCCAGCTACTCAGGAGGCTGAAGCAGGATAATGGCTTGAACCCAGGAGGCGGAGGTTGCAGTGAGCCGAGACAGCACCATTGCACTCCAGCCTGGGTGACAAGAGCGAAACTCCATCTCAAAAAAAAAAAAAAAAATTGTCATCTACCATAAGCTCACACTTATGTTGCTGACAAGTGTTCCTAATTATCACTTTTACTGGCTGCATAATATTCTACTGAGTGGCTGTGACAAAATTTAATTAACTGTTCCCCTATTAATGTAAGATTACCGTTGTTTCTGGTTTTTTTGCCACTTTAGTTACAAGCTTTTGTGCTGGATATCCTCCATTTGACCCTCCAGATCCACTCTCCAGCCTTGTCCTCCCTGCTTTGGGTCCTATGAAGCTGACTTGTATGGACTGTATCAATGGGCTCCATTGCTCTCTGGCTTTTGATTGGGTTCAGCCAATGGGGACCCTGGCAGGAGATCAGAGGATGGGAGAAGAGTATTGCTGGGGTATTTATTCCCCAGGCTCTCCGTCTCCAGGGTCACTGCTGGCTGGATAATTCTCTCAACTAAAGGTCACAGCTCTTGTTGAATGACCCTTTCCACATGGCTCCATCTGCCTGTGGGTTCCAGTAACTGCTCTCTCCAGTCCCCTTTTCATGTCTGGGTGCCTACGTGTCCCCTCACCCCCTGCAACACACACACACATGTGCAAACACACACACACACACACACACACCTGTTCCTGCTAGCCTTTGGGTACTGCACTATTCCTTAGAGTTCCCTACACCTGGCCCACATCTCTACAAAGAGTCTCTTTAATTAGTCCTCAAATTATACAGTTCAGTGTCCTAACTGATATATCATGCTATTTCAGATAATGCATGTCTTTTTACATCTAATTTCATTAGGATGGATACCTGAAAAGGGAATTATGGAGTCAAAGAATGTGAACACTTCAGGCTCTTGAGTCATACTGTCAATTTGCTTTTGAAAAGGATCTGTTGGCATTGGTACCAGTGCATCCTTCCAGCACTGGATATTTTAAAATATAATTTTGCTAAGTCAATAGGTTAAAAAATGGTACTTTATGGTAATTTAAGTTTTCATATCTTGGATTACCCTCAAGTTTGCTTATAAAACCTGGTTATTGCTGTGTACGTTGTTATTTTGGAGTTTGTTTAAATGTTTCTCCCTTCCCCACTCATTCTCTAGTTGTATAATCTTTCCTTAATAATTCAATTTTTTAAAAGATCAACTTTTTAAAGCCTCAATGTCTTCATCTATTTACAGATATCCTAACAATAACACCTCTCTCACAGAATTATTGTGAGAATTAAATGAAAATAAGCATGTAGCATATAAGAAACATCCAAGAAACATGAATGCTTTCCTCCTTAATAATTATGCATGGAGTTTAATTAACAAATTATGTCTATTTTTTAAAAAAATTGTGTCAGTTTTCTTTCAAGTTTATATTGAAACTTACTTCATAAAATAATATTATAGATGAGCAGAACAATTCAGTATTATCCAGATTTGTTTTTATATATTATGTGACTTTAGAAAATTTGTAACCCTTTTAAGCCAAAATCTTTAAAAACTATTTATTTTATTTTATTTTATTTTATTATTTTATTTTATTTTGAGACAGGGTCTCACTCTGTCTCCCAGGCTGGAGTGCAGTGGTACAATCATGGCTCACTGTAGCCTTGACCTCCCAGGCTCAAGTGATTCTCCCACCTCAGCTTCCTGAGTAGCTGGGACTATAGGCACATATCACCATGCATGTGTTACCTCAGGTCTGGTTTCTATTATACAGATCAAGTAATGCTTTGGCAGGCTACACATCTATTATCTATTTAATTCTTTTTTTGTGTGTGTGTGTGACGGAGTTTCACTCTTGTTGCCCAGGCTGGAGTGCAATGGCACAATCTCAGCTCACTGCAACCTCCGCCTCCCGGGTTCAAGCGATTCTCCTGCCTCAGCCTCCTGAGTAGCTAGGATTACAGGCATGTGCCACCATACAAAAATAATTTTGTATTTTTAGTAGAGGCGGGGTTTCTCCATGTTGGTCAGGCTGGTCTTGAACTCCCAACCTTGGGTGATCCACCCACCTCAGCCTCCCAAAGTGCTGGGATTTCAAGCATGAGCCACCACGCCCGGCCCACATCTATTTAATTCTTAGAGCCAACCACCACCAAAGATTATTCCTGCTGGTAAAAAATGCTGATCGCTACTCTGGGATCTCATCATCTACATTGAGATCAGGCAGATTTTCCCACCACATCCTTGGCCTATAGAAAGCAGCTGCCTGAACATGTTCAAGGGTGCTGGGGCTTCTCCCATTAAAGCATTTTTCAATGCTTTAGAGAAGAAACTATTCCTTAGGCTCTTTCAGGACCAAGTGTGGTGAGGGAAGAGGCACAGTTACATATAATAAATCACTCCTTTATTTCTATCTCCTTAGAGATTCTAATGGCTTAGGCCATTAGAATCCTTCCTATACATTATTCCAGAGAAATTCTGGCAACTCAACACCATTAAATGTAACCTACCAGTGAGTCCAAATTTCAGCCAATCAACTAAGCAAATAGTGCCATTCACAGCTGCTCTAGCTAATACATTTGTTTCAGCTAGCTTTTGTTGTATAACAAACTATCCAAAACTTAGTGACTTAAAACAACTGTTTATGTTTTTATGATTTTATAGGATAACAATTTGGGCTGGGCTCAGTGGAGGCAACTCATTTGTGCTCTACGTGGTGTCAGTGGGATCATTCATGCATTTGCAGTCAGTTGGCAGTTTGGCTGCCAGATGGCTGGTCTCAGATGGCTTCATTCATATCTTCCTATTGGTGCTGGCTGTTGGTAAAACCACGTATCTTCAGTAGGTTAGTCCAGGCATCTTCAACATAGAGTCTAATCCAAAAACAGCAAAAAAGAAAGAAAACCCCAATGTGCAAGTGCTTTCCAAGTCTCTGTTTGTATCACATTTGCTAATAATGTTCCATTATCCAAAGCAAGCACATAACCATGCCAAAAATCAATGTGTAAAGGAATTACATGAAGGCGTGATACCACTACTGTAATCATCTACAACATTAAGTCCAAAACTATCTGGAAAGTGTAGTATATCAGGACTACCTTAATTTGGCCCCAGTTCAATGTTATCTTCTGTGCTCCTGGGTCTAATACCTTTAGAATTCATCCCCATACATACTAGCCTGGTTTCCTCTAATGTTAAGTTAACAAAATCTTATGATTCTTTTGAAGTATAAGACTTTTCCTGCTGAGCTAGACTCTGCTCTTCCCACCTCCGTATATTCCGGGAACTGACTCTAAATAAAGGCCATGAGAGTTGGGAGCACTGGGGCTGAGAAAGAATAGGGATCTCCCTTGCAAGGCAAGTGCCTCATATGGGCTTATTACAGGCTTTCAAACAAGGAAAGGCTAATATCATTAGACAAGAAATGAGAGGCTTCTTCCACTATCAAGGGAAACTCAGGGATGCTTGGGGGTTTCAACATTCTCAGTTTCATCCAAATCCACCAAAATGTCCCCATTCCTAGTCTCAGAGTCCTACTCCTTTCAAATTACTGAGAAAACTTTCACATATGAGACTTAGCCAGTCTGTGAATGATTGATTTGGGTTGAATTTTTCAGTCATGTCTTTCATGTCTAGTGATTCCTGTAATTAGAAGGAATAAGAGGTACTTTCAGGGCAGTCTTAGAAGCCCTCTGGTGCTCTGAATATGATTTGAGGTGAAAGCCCTAAACTTGTTAGTTTCTTCCTGTAAGCACCCTGGTGCAATCAGAAGCAGCCATCCCACATTACATTCCTTATAATCATCTTTACTACCATAATGGTTAAATGCAACAGCTACTTGGCCTCCAGAAACTTGCCTTTCATTGGTATTCAACCCTAGCAAGAACAGATGATAATTTAATCAACCATGATGTCAATGCATGCCATAGATTACTAGTGGCAAAGAGTTCAGCTCTCAATTCAAACCAATCCAACACTAACAACAAATCAAATCAATCCCAGAATGTCAGAATTTGAGAATCTGTTTCCTATGACCACACCTAGTATCAAGTGCTAGTATCAGCCAGAGTCCAGTCATAAAAATAGAGTGTATTTAATATTAGGAACTTGTAATAAAGATATAAGAAGACTGAAAGAGCAAAAAAGTGGATGCCAAATATTAGAACTACAGACAGCAGCTACCTTTCTACTACCTATTGCTACAGGCATGACACATTCAGGAACTAGAAACAGGAAATAATTCCCCCTCCCACCTTCCAGTCCCCAAGGCCTTCCCATTTACTGAACTTAACAGGAAGCTAGCTGGCAAGGGAGGCTGGCAAATGAAGTTTGTCAAAATTCCAGCCCTGGCACATCAGAGCAGAGGAGAGGAGGATGGACTTAGAGTTGAGAACAGGAGGTACATAACCAACTCACTCCTCAATCAAAATCTATCTGGATGAAGTGGAGACATATCCATTAAGAGATAAAAAATAAAGAGACTATAAATTCCAATTAGATTGTAGCACAAGGAATTGTCTTAAACTCTGTGGCATCTGACCCTGTAACAAGGGCCCAATGTATATTTGTTGATTGGTTTTATGAGAAAAATAAAAATTGGGCATCTGCTTTGACCATGAGCATAGGACAAAATAAACTTATTTATTTATTTATTTATTTATTTATTTATTTATTTATTTATTTATTTTTGAGACGGAGTCTCACTCTGTCGCCCAGGCTGGAGTGCAGTGGCAAGATCTCGGCTCACTACTAGCTCCGCCTCCCAGGTTCATGCCATTCTCCCGCCTCAGCCTCCCAAGTAGCTAGGACTACAGGTGTGCGCCGCCATGCCCGGCTAATTTTTTGTATTTTTAGTAGAGACGGGGTTTCACCGTGTTAGCCAGGATGGTCTCAATCTCCTGACCTCGTGATCTGCCCACCTCAGCCTCCCAAAGTGCTGGGATTACAGGCGTGAGCCACCGCACCCGGGCCTTTAAGTACATTTTGTAGAAGTTGTATCAAAATTCATTGGCTGCAAATGAGAGAAAACCTGATGCAAACTGGCTTAAATTTTTAAAAGATAATGTGTTGGCTTATGTAACTGAGCAGCCAAATGTGCAACTGGGTATAGGGGGTCTAACAAATGTCTTCAGGATTCAAATTGTCTCTATCATTTCTTCACTCTGTTTCCTTTTTGTTGATGCCATTCTCAGACAAGATATCTCCTCATAATTACAAGATGGATGCCAATGATTATTAAACCTTTCAGATTCAAATATTTTACAAGAAAAAAAAGCCAGAGTATTTTTCTCAGCATTCTCAGCAAAATCCTGAGATTTACAGTGGAAAACTTATGTGCTGTGCCCTCTCCAGAACCAGTCACTGAAAGAAAGAGTATGTAAGTGATATCTTACATCTGGAGCTCCACCCAGACCACATGAACTGAAAGTGGAGAGTGAATCAAAGTGACATCTTTTGTGCTAAGATGTTGCAATTGCCCAAATGCATCTGTGGACTTCTACTAGAAGGTATAGCAGAAGGTGTTAGGTGTCTATTATAAGAAAAATATCACTATCATATAACACCCCTGGGGGACATATTTCTAAATTTCAGACAAAATATATTTTCAGTGCGTTGTCTTTCCTGATAATGTATTTACAGCCTGTCATGGGATATGTCTGTTTTAAAGTGCTGGGCAGGGTTTGGACTACATGTTCCTCCTTGTGCTGGGTTTGAAACATTAGATTGCCAATGTCTCATTGCTGGTATCCAAAATGAGGTTTAATTAAGTTTGCCATTATAGCTAATCTCCATACCATGCACCAGACATTGCTCTAATAGCTTCACATGTATGATCTCATTTAAACTTCATAACTTAGTGTATTGTCTTGTCTATTTTACACGTGTATTAGTCCGTTCTTGCATTGCTATAAAGAACTACCTAAGACTGGGTAATTTATAAAGAAAAGAGATTTTATTGACTCACAGTTCCACAGGCTATACAGGAAGCAAGGCTGGGGAAGCCTCAGGAAACTTACAATCATGGCAGAAGGTGCAGGAGAAGCAGGCAGGTCTTACATGGCCTGAGAAAGGAAGAGGGAGAGCAGGGGGAGGTGCTACACACTTTTAAACAACCAGATCTCATAAGAACTCACTCATTATCATGAGAACAGAAAAGGGAAATTCCACTCCCATGATCCAATCACCTCCCACCAGGCCCCTCCTCCAACACTGGGCATCACAATTCGACATGAGATTTGGGCGGGGACACAAATCCAAACCGTATCAACATGTAAGCAAACTAAGGCCCAGTGAAGTTAGATAAATTGCTCACATCACACAGCTAGTAAGTGGCAAAGCTAGATCTTAAGATTTTGCAAGCCAGACATGACATCAGGCCAAATATCCTACACCTGTACCAGTCAAGCCTTCATTATATAGTATTTTATAATTACATATGTGTTCAGTTTTCTCCAACAGCCTTTGAGGTATTAGGAGGAGGACCTGGTATTTTATTCATTTTTATAGTCCCAGAACCCAGTACAAGGATTCGCACATAGAAGATACTTAACAATTATCATGGAATTGAATTGAAAGCAGTGTGCATGGAGTCGAGGCAAGAGAGGCCAATATGGAAAAATATTTAGTGAATCTCCAGCATGTCCAATGGAGAAGGGTCTCTGTCCATCCAGCCCACATGTTCCTACCACCTGTCAGATCTATTCCTCCTATGTGAGTGCATCAGTCATGTAGCTTGTTGACACTAGTCATTAAAATCATTCTAGCCACCACCACCATCCTTCACCCCATCTATGGTCTATGCTTACTGAGAAACCTGAGTATAATTTGACTTCTTATATAGGGTTTTCTATAGGAATAGACTTTTTAAAGCAACTTCTGATATGCATGTCAATGGCATTTCTTATAATAGAAAAGTCCCTTAGGAGTTTGGTTAGTATGATCCAGTTTTTTAGTCTAATTCTGAGTTTACTCACAGAATCAATTTTCTAGACCTTTGAGATAAGACCTGGTGGTGTCAACAAGAACACCATTTGACCCAGCAGAAATACCATTTGACTCAGCAACCCCATTACTGGGTATATACCCAAAGGAATACAAATCCTTCTATTATAAAGATACATGCACACGTATGTTCACTGCAGTACTATTCACAATAGTAAAGACATAAAATCAACCTAAATGCCCATCAGTGATAGACTGGATAAAGAAAATGTAGTGTATATATACCATGGAATACTATGCAGCCATAAAAAGGAACAAGATCATGTCCTTTGCAGAGACATGGATGGAGTTGAAAGCCATTCTCCTCAGCAAACTAACACAGGAACAGAAAACCAAACACTGCATGTTCTCACTTACAAGTGGGAACTGAATGATGGAACACATGAGCACATGGGGGGAACAAAACACACTGGGGCCTGTCAGAAGCGGGGGTAGGAGGAGGGAGACCATCAGGAAAAATAGCCAATGGACGCTGGGCATTAGGTAATGGGATGATCTGTGCAGCAAACCACTATGGCACACGTTTACCTATGTAACAAACCTGCACATCCTGCACATGTACCCCTGAACTTAAAATAAAAGTTAAAAAAAATTTAGAATGGGAAAAAAGGACAGAAGGAAGTATGCTAAAATATGAATAAGATTTTGTTAAAGTGTTGGGGTTGTATGTAATTTCCTTCTTTTCTCTGTTTTACAAGATGTTTTGTAACGTAGTATAGTAACTTTCATAAAATGTTATTTTAAGTAGTTTTCCTCTGTGACATGGAAATGAGATCTCTGTAGAGCTTACTGAAGAAACATCATGGTGTTCAGAAACAGCAATGGTACTCCTGGCAATATGTGTTATTAGGAATATGAATATCTGTCAATTGTTTACAAAATTTTGGGGGATCCCTCTAAGGAGTTTTTTTCTTAAAGTTGAGAAAAAAAACCCTAAAAGCTCATTTTCTTTCCTTTCTTCCTCTCCTTTGTTTTCTCAACTATAAAATTAGAATGGCAATAACAGTGGCTATCTTTGTCAATGTCATGAGATTATGGGTAATTTTTTTCTTTATATTCTTCTTGTATTTGAAAAGCTTAAAAAATAAACATTTTAAATTCAAAAAAAATCTTTAAGCAATTCTTTAAAAATATTTTGAAATTTTAGAATTTCAGCATCTGCTTATTATAAATCAAAAGGTCACATAAATGGCAGATATAATGTTTCTGGGGCAGAATTTTTAGATGCACAACTTGTGTTTTTTCCCTATGTCAAGTACAAACTTTCACCTGTGTTTTTATGAGAATCTAAAGAGAAACTACAAGAAAAGTGTACTAAGTTAAAGTTTGAAAAGGCACTGGGTTTGCCAGCATCCTGCCTGCCTAATCAAACATCATGCAGCTCCAGCACAGAATGCATGACTGAGCTGCGTCAGAACATGTGAGGTTCATGTGATTGGAGGAGCTGCCAGCATCTTTCCACTAGTGCTCTGGGGAGTTGTCTTCAAGAACTAACGTCCTGAAGGCAGAAAACTCAAGGGTGGGGAATGAAAGGGGTCTTTCCAAAATATAAAAACTTTTCTGAGTGTTCTCAAAATGAAGACAAAGAAAGAACAGCTTCTGTGTGTGAGTATGTTATAGTGGAATGTGACATTTGAAAGCTGTTAGGGAAAATGCCAGTCTGGCAGGCTACAGCTGTATCCCCTGAGAAGCACAATGGAAAGTTTAAGTCCAGGTTGACCAGAGCCTCTACTTTCTTACACTCATCAATGAGACAGGGTGATTCACTGGACTACCCTGACACAGTCCCCTCCCTTTCAAGGCTGTGTGGCATAAAGGCAGCTCATCTAGTCCCCAGGGTGTTTCAGACTCTGTCTTAGGACTCTGAAACCCCCAGTCAGCACTGTGTACTTGTGAGAAATACAAAGTATGTATTAGATATGCTCTACCTTGAGTTTGAGGAATGTATAGTGAGCTGGAGAAATACACCACAAAAACCAAAGCTACATGCAATCAAGTGACTGATAAGTGGGACCAGACCATAAGACCCAAAGGAATTCAGGGTGGGTGGGAGCTCCCCATGGACAGGAGTAGCCCAAGAGAGCAGGGAGGGAAAGAAAAATGCAATTTGGGAGGCCGAGGCTGGCAGATCACTTGAGGTCAGGAGTTAGAGACCAGCCTGGCCAACATGGTGAAACCCCGTCTCTACTAAAAATACAAAAATTAGCCGGGCGTGGTGATGAGTGCCCACCAGTTACTTGGGAGGCTGACGCAGGGGAATTGCTTGAGCCTGGGAGGAGGAACTTCCAGTGAGCTGAGATCACGCCACTGCACTCCAGCCTGGGCGACAGAGCAAGACTCCATCTCAAAAAAAAATTTTTTTAAGTTTACAAAGCATTTTCAAATGTCTTGTTATACTAGTTGAGCCTCACTACCACCTGGTAAAGGGAGTAGAACAAATATTCACATTTTATGGATGAGGAAACTTGGGCTTATAGAAGTTAAGTAACTTGCCTAATTTATCCCATTTCTTTTTCAGTAAAGTTACCAGTTTGGGCTGGGCATGGTGGCTTACACTTGTAATCCTAGCACTTTGGGAGGCTGAGGCAGGCAGATGGCTTGAGCTCAGGAGTTCAAGACCAGCCTGGGCAACATGGCAAAACCCTATCTCTACAAAAAATACAAAAATTACCCAGGTGTGATGGTGCACGCCTGCAGTCCCAGCTACTGGGGAGGCTGAGGTGGGAGGATCGACTGAGCCCAGGAGGTTGAGGCTGCAGTAAGTTGTGAATACACCACCACACTCTAGCCTAGGAAACAGAATGAGACCCTGTCTCAAAAAGAAAAAAAAAAAGTTACCAGTTTGGTAGCTTAGGGAGTTACAAGTTTGGTAGCTCATGGAGTTGCCATAGACATAGAATATATTGATTTTTAATCACAGCACACAACAAGATGTACATTTATATCCTTGTGAGTAAGTGAATATGGTTGAGAGAAGAGGTTAGGTTGACAAAGCAACTACTAAAAAATTGTCTTTTTCCCTCTGTCTTATGGGTAACTTGGATGAAAACATAGAAGATGAGCTTATAATATATGATGATTAATAAAGTAGGGAGAGAGAGTCAGTTGGATAGAAGAGTTTCTATTTCAAAATCCCAGGTTGCCACAGTGGCTCACACCTGTAATCTCAGCATTTTAGGAGGCCGAGGCGGGCAGATCACTTGAGGTCAGGAGTTCAATACCAGCCTGGGCAACATAGCAAAACTCCATCTCTACAAAAAATACAAAGATTAGCCAGGTGTGGTAGTGTGTGCCTGTGATCCCTGCTAATTGGGAGGCTGAGGTGGGAGGATCGCTTGAGCCCGGGAGGTTGAGGCTGCAGTGAGCCAAGATTGTACCACTGCACTCCAGCCTGTACAACAGCATGACGCCCTGCCTCAAAAAATAAAAATAAAAAATAAAAAAATTAAGTCCCAGGTTGAATCACGAGGTCAAAACCAAAGAGGTAGAATGAAAGGTCCTGCTTTTGATCCACACACCTAAGATGGAAGAGCAGTTTATTAGCAGTTAATATGAAAAAGTTCTGGGGATTTAATAGAAAAGAATTTAAACAGTATCATACTCATAAACTACAAATGTGCCCTAAGTACAAATGCAGGTTGAATTGAAATCCAATTGCTTAAAAACTAAGGAGGTTGGGCATGGTGGTTCATGCCTATAATCCCAGCCCATTAAGAGGCCAAGGCAGGTGGATCACTTGAGCCCAGGAGTTTGAGACCAGCCTGGGCAACATGGCGAAACTGCGTCTCTATAAAAAATACAAAAATTAGCTGGGCGTGATGGCGCACACTTGTAGTCCCGATACTAGGGAGGCTTAGGTAGGAGGATCACCTGAGCCCAAGGAGATCAAAGCTGCAATGGGCCATGACCTCACCACTGCACTCCAGCCTAGGCAACAAAGTGAGACCCTGTCTCAAAACAAAACAAAAACACTAAGGAGAACTTCAGCAGTGTTGACAGGACACTGTTCAGAACTGGGAACAAATAGTCCTATGGAACCTACTATGTCTAGGCCAGCCTACCTCTAGAATATTTTGTTCTATTCTGGGCCCGACTTGTTAATTGGGACATGAATAAATGAGAGTAGATCTAGAGGGAAGCACCCAAGATGGCAATCGGGCTTGAAGCCACCCCTAGACTAGGAATATTGGAAGAAGCTGGGCGCATTTCTCCTGGAGAAGAATTATCAAGGGAAGACATGAGAGCCAAGATCAATGGGTGCAAGTTACATTGAAGAAGAATTTGGCCCAGAAATGGAAAGAATTCACTAACAACTAGAGCTGTTCATCAAAGGTTAACCTCCTGGTTCCTGGATATATCTACATAGCCTGGAGCTACCATTTTTCAGGATACTCTGGAAAGTATTCTTCCCTTAGGTGATGAATTACAAATCTTCTTACTCTAAGATCCCATAATTCTTCAAACTAGACACTTAACTCCTATGAGCCTCAGTTTCCTGAGAAGACTAAAATGAAATGGCTTGTAAATCCCCTTCCAGCTCTAACTTTCTATGAAGTACTTGGTCCTAAAGGGTACCCTCGTTTATGTTTCACAGAGATACCAGAAACAGGAGTCTTTTATCTTCAACTTGACTCTCAAGATGTTATCCTCAAGTGAACTTTTTTCTACCAGCTGAAATATGTCCTTAAAATCTTTGAGTCAATGAATCATGAAATGAGCCAGGTTTTCAAATCTCATTTGTAGGGTTCCTTAAGAACTATGTCCACTTGCCACATTCTTTTCTGAATATTATTCTTTTTTTCTTCAACCCTGTTTTTTAACCCAAACATCCTGTTTTCAAACATCCTGTTTTCAACCCTCTTTGTATCTAAGGATGGAACAAGGCTGATGACACAGACAAGAAACTTGTAAAACATAGCAAGTATCTGCCTTTTATTTGGTGAATAATGTCAGGACTAGAGAAGGGCTGATGTGAAATTCTGGGCTGGGCTTTAAGGCTTTAAGGCATAGTTTTGCCTCAAAGAATTGCCTCCACACAGGACAAGTCACTGTAAGCAAAGTATGTGGCTGCATCTGGACATGACAGGAGGTGAGCTGGGAAGTCCCTGCCCTTTCCCTGCACATGCACTTACCCCATTTCTCCATCTTTCTACCTCAACACTTCACCTTCAGAGATAATTTCTTTCAGGCCTCAAAGCATTTTTAGACTTTAAGTTCTTTTGTTGCTGTTTATTAGCTCAACCAGGGCCATGTACCAGAACCTGGGGGAAAGGGCCATTTCTATGGAAATGGAGATAGGGTCCAGGCCTATCCTGAGAAAGTGCAATCATGAGGAGACCATCCTGTTCTTTCTCATGTATTTTATCATTCATTTGGTACTAAGCACTGTACTAGGCACCAAGATAGATAGTAAAACATCAGCCTTGTCTTCAAAGGGTTTGCAGATCACAGAAGCCCTCTCTCTCTCTCATCTTTTACATAGATGATATCCTATATAACAAGAAGAGATGTCACAGGATGACTAAAACAGGCAAAGCAGCTGGAATATGTGTGTGGCTGGGGCAGCCCATGACAGGGCCTTAACCCTAGTAATGACGCTGACAGCTTTAGTCACTGAGGGGAGTGGCCAGAACCTGCTGGTTTGGTCAATGGGGGACAACAATCAAGTAAGGGAAAAGTGATCTTATAAGGACTGGAGGGAAGTCAACAGAAAATCTCAGCCAAGTGCCATACATTTTTTTCTATAGAGTTCTATATTTTCTGGAACTCATATACAGAATTAAGTAAGAGTCACCCTGGGCTATATTGGTAAGGGCAAAGAGCTGGAATTTCTTACAACTTTATTTTGAAGCCTCAAGCAGCGGAAGGCAGATGGAAGAAGTAACATGTGGTGGTGGTTCTCAGAATTTTTACCACCCCCAAAACATGGAAGATAATTCCTCACTCTCCGGTCAGTAACAACCACTGACTTCTGCAAAGATTCACAGCCATTTGGGGTACATATCAGAATATCATGGAGAAGCAGGAAGTGGGGAGCAATTTCATAAAGCTTCCTACTTGAGTCTAATATAACCCTTTCCTACCTGCCCTGAGATCTATAGGTAGCTTGCCTGAGTTGAATCCAGCTCTGCCATTAACCAGCTGCATGACTACAGACAAGTCGTTCTCTTTGAACCTTAGTTTCCTCATACATAAAATAACGAACCTTACCTGGCAGTGTTATTGAGAGGAACTACAGAACCTATCACAGTTAGTATATAGCAATATAGCCAGATCTTTTTTTTTTTGTTTTTGAGACAGAGTCTCACTGTGTTGCCCAGGCTGGAGTGTAGTGGCACGCTCTTGGCTCACTGCAACCTCTACCTTGCAGGCTCAAGCGATTTTCTTGCCTCAGCCTCCCAAGTAGCTGGGATAAAGACACCCACCACCAAGCCCAGCTAATTTTTGTATTTTTAGTAGATATGGGGTTTCACAGTGTTGGCCAGGCTGGTCTCAAACTCTTGACCTCAAGTGATCCGCCTGTCTCGTCCTCCCAAAGTGCTCGGATTATAGGCATGAGCCACTGCGCCTAGCCCATAAAGCTAGATCTTAATGAGCAATTAGCTACTAGTACAATAATTTGTTTTAAAAGCTATATTATAGGATAACAGAGTCTACTCAGTCAGCCTTTATGCAAAAGTGAAAATCTTGGGATTCTCAGAAATATGCTCTCAACAGTAAATGCCCTATGTAACAAGGTGCACCAGCTTAGGCTGGGGCCATTGGGCCCATAAAATCTTCATTGTTAAAGTTAAGAAGTTGGGTACAAGGACAGAGAAAAGCTACTATTCCCAAGTTGCCAAATTAAAAAAATTACCTATCTGGAAGGTAAATTTTTTTTACCCCTTAACAGATCTTTAAGTGTATAATAGAAGGGAGATTCAAAATTTACATTTGAAACTGATTGTTTGAGGGGAAAAAATCTAAATAAAAATTTTAACAATCATATAAATATAAAGCCAAGATCTTAATCTGGAATGGGAAGGTTAAGACCATTCATTAATTCAACAAATATTTACTGAGCAGCCCTGAGACTGTTTTCCTTGGGGTCTGGGAAGGGGAGCCATGGTCAATGGACTCTTGTTATCTGTAGGAATATTGATCCCTACCACAAGGTAGAGGGACAGGGAATAAAGGGGAGATAGTCCTCCTATGAGATAAAGGTAGGGGATGTTCTACAGGGCCCAGTTTTATATTTTTCTTTTCTGCCTTGTTATTTCTTCTCATGATTTTCTTTCAGTAAAATCTCTTTCCCACATCTCTTTCAGTAAAATTTTGTTAAATGATAGTCTTGTTCTCTGTTTTGGGGAATTACAAGATGGACTCTTAATGGGGCTCTATTAGTAGATGGTAAGAATTCCTGGGAATTTCCAGAAATTCTTTGGGAAAAGTCAGAGACTAATCTTCTCACAGTTACATAAGGGGATGAAGCTGAAAGTTATTTGGGCATTAATTAGAAGTGTGGCCCACTGAAGGCTGGTGAAATCTGGACACCTCTGCTATACATGGTCCTTGTGGATGGTTTGAATGATATTCCCAAATTGGCTGGGCACATTCCCATGATATCAGGCCGATGGGCATTAAAAATGCAAATTAGTTCACATGCTGGGGTACAATGCCCTGAACCAGCTGACTTTAATGGACTGCAGATTGCCAATCCAAGGCTATGTTCTTTCATTCCTTTCCTTGCCTTACTTACTTATCATTCATCCTTCCCCTAAGTTCTCTTGGGCCTATTGCCCAAATAAAAGTGAAGAAGAAATTAACACATATGAAAGCGTGCTATGCTAAGTACCATGTGGGGTGTGTTTTGCATGAATTATTTTACTTAACCCCTTACAACACCTTGGCAAGATAGGCAGGATTATCCCCATTTTATTGATGAGAAATGAAAGCTGAGAGTCCTATCTCCCAAGTAACACAGCCAGGTATTATAACAGTCCTGGGGTCCACATACAGGCTTACATAACTCCAAAGTTCTTTACATCATACCACCAAGAAAAATGTATTTTAAGATTCACCTAATTAAAACATAATTAAGAAGAACAATGTATTGGGAGAGATGCTTACTGTTTCTAAGCAAACATACGTGATTGCCTATCAATGAACAATGACCTCAAGCTGTAACTCAAACCGGAGCTGCAGGGGGCTCAGATTCAAACACTTCCTCTCCACTTACAAAACTGCCACAAAGGAAAATGAAATGGTAAAAGGCAGTTTCTGCCAAATCTTGGCAAAACCAGCTAAACTTTCTTGGTCAGTGGGAGTAGAAGGGGTGATATCTCTCTGTCCTGAGGAATCAAAAAGTTGCCTACCAGGTTAATACATAATACAAATCTGACATTTCAAACACAAGTTGTTTTACATATCTGGGCTCAACAGTTTAAGTTTACAAAATATCCCCACCCATCCAAAATCATGTGTCCATATAAAGGCACATCTGTGGTCTACAGTTGGATAATTCACAGCCCTCTTATCTAGCACTGGTCATTAGAAATTAGGGCGGCTGTGTTACACAACCATGCAGATGGTGCCCCCTAGTGTTGCACAATGACAAAGCCCTGAAAGCAACCACCTGAAAGCACAATCTAGACGGGTGCTTCTCAAACGGACTGTGGTAAAAAATTGTTGTTACTTTGTTTTTTTCAACCTCCAATCCTTCACAGACCAATACTTTTAAAAGCTATAATAAAAATAATTTAGCAGAAAAATTAAATAAGTAAAGGTATTACAAATAGAAGACTTAATCTTTTTAACCATTAGATTCAATAGACTTAAAATTATTCTGTGAAATTGCTCTAAAGTTTCTACACTCAGTTCCTTTGCAGACCAGGAACAACAGTTTGTGGATGGGCACGAATGCACAGATCACGCTTTGACAAACACTATACTGCTTCACTTTTTTTCTTTCTTTTTTTTTTTTTTGAGACAAAGTCTCACTCTGTCGCCCAGGCTGGAGTGCAGTGGCGCGATCTTGGCTCATTGCAACCTCCGCCTCCCGGGTTCAAGCCATTCTCCTGCCTCAGCCTCCCAAGTAGCTGGAATTACAGGTTTGTGCCACCACTCCCAGCTAAATTTGTATATTTAGTAGAGACGGGGTTTCACCATGTTAGTCAGGCTGATCTCAAACTCCTGACTTCAGGTGATCCGCCCGCCTCGGCCTCCCAAAGTGCTGGGATTACAAGCATGAGCCACCACACCTGGCCCATTGCTTCACTTTCAGTTACAAAGACTTACCATGGGTTCCTTCTAAGGTACATTGAACCACTTGACCCTCAATGTGGTGTCCACCTATCAATTAACTACAAATTCTTTCTTTCCTCTTTTTTTTTTTTTTTTTTTAACTCAAGCAACCCACAGGCCGGTTTAAAGTGGTCTTTAATTACTGAAGACTTTCCCTTATTTAAAGAAATAGGGGAAACTTGGAGGTCTAGATTAGATTTCTTTCCAACGGTTGCTATGTAACTTTGTGACATTTGAAAGATTAAAGTTGCTTCTGACGGCACTACAGTAGAACCTCAATATTTGCATGTTTCTTCCTTAAATTTCCCCTTTCCCTGACACTGTACATACACTTTCTAAAATTTGTTTTTTAATTTTTACTTTTCACTTTTCAATTTTTAAGGAAATAGAGATGGGGTTTCACCATGTTGCCCAGGCTGGTCTCAAACTCCTGGGCTCAAGCGATCCACTCGCCCCAGCCTCCCAAAGTGCCTGGCCCCTGTAGGTACACTGTTAACAGAATCAGATACCAGTAGGAAAATGGTAAAAAGAGAATATGTAAGCAGAGATACCAATTTGTGGTAAGCATTCAAATTGGTTCTTATGTAGTCCTATTGTGGAATTTGATTTAAAAGCCAAAACAGACATCACTATATGTCCCCTTTATATCTTTCCTTCATCATCCTTGTTTTGTGGTAATATGCTTCTCTATCATCCATTGATAATAGAATTACAACATTATGGATTTTCTATGCTGATTTATCAGAAATAGATTGGGGTAATGGTGTTATTTCTCTTCTGTTTTCCCTCCCACAAAGTTTCCCTCTGTGCACCTCAAACTTACTCTTTAACCTAATCTTCTTTTGAGGGAAATTACTCAATGGTTTTTAGGGAATCAACTGAGCTCTGACCTCAGGGATCCACCAAAATCAGCCAGCCCTTCACTCAGTCAAGTTCAATAATTATTTTCCACAGGTGCTAAAACCCCAGTTGAACCTGGATATTTTCCCCCTTAATATCCCCTTTAGAGAAAAAGAATCAGAGAATCCCACATGTAGAGGAGTGAGCAGATAACAGAAACCCTGAAGCCTTCCAGATTTAACTGTTCCTGCTGTTCCAATGAGCCACCTGAGGCCACAGCGGGAGAAGATTTAACACAGGAAAGACAGTGGCTTTTACGGGCTTTGGAGAAGGGCCAGGGTCTCAAGGGAGATCAGAAAGTGTGTAGAAAGCCCTGTCGTTACTAGGAAAATGCAGGTATCAGTGCCTGACAGACAGTAGGTGCTCAATATATACATTATATAACCGAATGGTACAGTGAATTGGCAAAAGAAAAAAAGCAGAAAAGATGAAAGTGAAGCTAGGACAGGTAGAGATGGGATTACCTTTCTTTCCTCCTAGCATCTTTTTTAAGGGTTATTTCTTTTTATTTTCCAGCTGCCCCAGGGTGATTTTCAGTCACTATCTCCAGGCTGAAGCCTTCTTGATCATTCCTTTTTCCAACCTTAGTGATAGCTAGCCTAGGAATGCTACAACTCCCAGGTGGAGATTCAGGTTAAGCGAGACTGGGTCGTAAGAAAAAAAGATGGAGAGAAAAGGAAAGGGAAGCAGAGGAGTCTGCATTCTGCATTCTCTTCCTTCCGTTTTAATTTTGCCAGTTGTTATGGGCAAGTTAAATTCTTCTCATGTCTCTGTTTTTCATAACTGGGAATTATAGTTAATATAACTGAGGCACAACTGATAGTAGATCTGTGAAAGCATAAAGGGAAATATAGTGTTCAGCAATATCTAAGGAATATGCTTCAAAGCAAACCTTTGCTTCTTACCAGGTGTCACCTAAACCAGCGCTACTCACACTTTGATGTGCAACATAATACACCTAGAGATCTCATTAACATGCAGGTACTGATTCAGTAGGTCTTGGATGGGGCCCAATATTCTGCAATTCTAACAGTTGCCTGGTGATATGGTTTGGATGTTTGTCCCCTCCAAATCTCGTTGAGATGTAATCCCCCGTGTTTGAGGTGGGGCCTGGGTGGGAGGTGTTTGGATCATAGGAGTAGAACCCTCATGAATGTCTTAGTGCCATCCTCTCGGTGGTGAGTTCTTACTCTGAGTTCTTGCTCACCCATAAAAATCCCTAAACTATGTACGAGGCTTGGAGAACTTCTGGGTTGGTGAACACATTCACATGCCAGGAGGGTGATGCACCCCAACTCTAAGGGGAGTGGCGGCCCTTCCGGACCTTGCTCTGTGTACTTGTTCATCTGGTTGTTCATCTGTATCCTTTACAATAAACCAGTAAATGTTAAGTTAAAGCATCTGAGTTCTATGAGCCATTATAGCAAATTATTGAATGTAAGGAAGGGGTCTTGGGAATGCCCAACTTGTAGCCAAGTTTGACAGAAGCGTGAGTAACCTGGGACTCACCATTTGTGACTGACATCTGAAGTGGGAGAAGTCTTGTGGAACAGAGCCCTTAACCTGTGGGGTCTGATGCTGATCCCAGGTAGACAGGGTCAGAAGTGAGTGAATTGAATTGAAGGACATCCAGCTGGTGTCTGGAGAGCTGGAGAACTGGTTGTTGGTGTGGAAAAACAAAATACGTTTGGTATCAGCAGTATTGTGGGTAGAGTGATACAGTTTTTGTTTTAGGCTGAATTTGGAAACCCAAATGGATAGGCAATCTTGAT
Organism: Homo sapiens; assembly: GCF_000001405.40. Lineage (NCBI taxonomy): Eukaryota > Metazoa > Chordata > Mammalia > Primates > Hominidae > Homo > Homo sapiens. The sequence goes on from NC_000009.12 coordinate 5,593,595, forward strand.
ACAATCTTTTCAATGGGGCTGATTTGATTGCTTTTCTTTTTTTCTTTTTTTGAGACAAGGTCTCACTATATTGCCCAGGCTGGCCTCGAACTCCTGGACTCAAGCAATCCTTCTGCCTCAGCCTTCCAAAGTGCTGGGACTATAGGCATGAGCCACAGTGCCCAGCCCTGATCTGCTTTTCAAGAATTCCTCAGTTGTTGCCATGTAACTGTCTCTCTGACAAGACTGTAAGCTTCCAGGAGTTGGGATCAAGACTTAGCCACTTGCACCTCTCTGGGACTGTGGGATGCTGTGTGAAATGTAGTAGGTACTGGATTTGCAGGGAGTTTTCAGCTGTCAAGGGCCTTGGTAAAATAAGGAAGTGCAAGGGGCCAATAATTCTTGGCTAAAATATCCAGAATTTCACTCTGGGACTGTAAAAGAGATTCCTCTGAGAAACTTGCTAATATCTTGCAAAACCTCAATCCAGGTTTTGTCTTCTTACATCACCTTGTTCTCATTTAGGTCAGTTTCTGAAGATGCAACTGTGGTTTTGCAGTAAGGGGAACTGAGAATCTTGAATACTGCATGTTATCACGTGACTTCAGGATGAAATATCATTCAAAACAAAACATAAATTAAACGTATTCACACAGAGAGAAAAAGCAAAGCCTAAATTAAATACATTCACACATAGAGAAAACAGAGTATGGTAAGATATCCAAATTTCCAAATTTCCATTTTTCTCTTTGAAGAATTTAATCCTAGATCTCCATAGCCTCAGGTCCAGTATAGCAAACAGCTGGGAAGCTGTTTGACAGCACTTTGGGCCTAGTATCTTGGATCTTTTCATCTAAGAGATTGTCTACTTATCTAGGACCAGACTTGCTCAGAGTGATGTGGAATCATTTTCGAAAAGAATAGAGATAAGGTCTTTCTGACACATCATGAAATTTAACACTGATGACCACCCAAGGACCTATGCTAGAGTCAAGATTTGGGGCCAGGCATGGTGACTCACGCTTGTAATCCCAGAACTTTGGGAGGCCGAGGCAGGAGGATCACTTGAGCCCAAGGGTTCAAGACTACCCTGGACAACACAAACCCTCATCTCTGAAAAGATAAAAATTAGCCGGCATGGTGGTCACACCTATAGTCCCTGCTACTCAGGAGGCTGAGGCGGGAAGATTGCTTGAGCCTGGGTGGTTGAGGCTGCAGTGAGCCATGATCACACTACTATACTCCAGCCTGGGGAACAGAGTGAAACCCTGTGTTGGGGGGACAAAAAAACTGAATTGGGTAATTGCAAAATTTTTCTTTTTAAGGCAATAAAAAAATACTGACTTCATGTATTTATTCCCTGGGTTATTTCTGGAAGGCAGTCAAGCTAGTTAATTTATTTTCCTTTTTAAAGAAAATAAGCCAAAATAAACCAAAAGAAAAAGAAAAAGAATATAAGCCAAATAGCAAACATTAATTTTTTTCAGATTTCAATTGTTTAAAATGCATGTTCATTTTTGAAAAATTTAGAAAGCATAAAAGAGTTCAAAAAAGAAGGATCCCTCCAAATGTCACCAACTAGGCACAATCTTACAGATAATCTTGCTATAGTTTTTCAAATCTTAGAGAAAATCAACACATGAAAAACTGTGTTCATATATTCACCAGGTGAACCAAATGCAAGCTATACTCTTATACTCTGTGGACCAGGGGAACAAGACAAGTAAAAAAATCCAGAAATCTTACATGTCAAAATAAAAATTAAGGATATATGTAAAAATTGGTAATTACTTTAAATGAATGAGAGTTCACACTTCATAATCTCACATGACTAGATTTTTAAAAATAGATTGAAAAGTTTTGATGCACTTGTTTGATGTTTCTACATCTTGGAGGAAAGCTGAAAGCACTTGATACTGGTGGTGTATAGACACACACCTACTCCAATCCACCTGGAGAAGTTAGAGAAACCCCAGAACATGATTTATCAAGTAATTCAGTATCATTTTTTTGAAAAAGTTTGGCTGGAAAATTTCTTACTTACAATACCAGTTATAAGACATTTCTTCTGGCTGTCCACAACATTTTCCTTCTTACATAGCTCCTCTTTCTTAACCTCTTTACCTGGTTCTCAGAAGAAATCTGCAGTGATCTAACTAACTCTGATAACCACATAACGGGCAGATGAATTTATTACCATATGGTATGGAACTGCTTTAAAGCTGAGTTCTGAAGTTTGATTTAAATATCTAAGTTTGAGTCAATATGTGTGCCTTGGCATGTAAAAATAACAGCAACAACAACAAACACTTTTTGTAAAGTTCTTACCATGTGTCAGGCACTATTCTATGTGCTTTATAAATACTAACTTATTTAATCTTTATAACATAATCCTCCTATGAGCTAGATACCATTATTGTCCCCAGTTTACATATAAGGCACAGAGAGTAATTTGCCCGAAGTCACAGAGCTTGTAAGTAGCAAAGCCAGGCTAAGAGCACAGCAGTCTGTCTCCAGAGTCCATACCTCTAATACACATGACTGTCTCATCCAGCAATCTATTTCTCCAGTTGAAAAATTACATTGATTCCTCCTACTCACCCTCCTCCCTCAAAATACCTACTTCTGTAATTAAATGCCACATCAATAAAGCATATTCTCTAACAACCCCCTTAGGTCCATGGAAGAAGCTGGCTATTTGCCAATGAAGCCTTGTTCACTCCCCATCTGGAAAGGCCTGGTGGCAAGTAAGATTCATGTTACTCAAGGGAGGAAGGGGAGTTTTCCTGTTCATTTAGCATAAAGAGTCTCTTAAGTCAAAAAATTTCCTTCCTCCTCTTTCCAGTGTCACCAGTCACACGTGAGAAAGTCATCTCGGTATCAACTTCACATGATCTGCCTCAAACAAAGACAGTTCATGTGCTCTTGATATAGCATTTCTTGCTTCAACTTCACTGCTAACTGCATGTTTCATCTACAGGGAGAGTTTACAGAAATTAGCATGAATTATATAAACTCTGATACTTGGTGATGTAGATAGATCTCATCAGCTTTCATTTTCTTTGCTGGGAGTGTAATCAACATGATTAAAGCAAAGAAAGAAACTCTCAAGTCATTGTATTAACTATTCTGTTCTCTGGATGAGACAACATAAAACCTTGGGATAGTAGAGCTGGAACAGAAATCCAACATCATCCCCCACATTTCACAGATAAGGAAACAGAGTCCCAGAGGGAATTTGTGATGTACATGATAACACAACTAATTTGTGACTTTAAAAAAACTCCTTTTTGGTTTATTTTTAAGAAAAAGAATAGAAATTAACTAACCATATAGAAATAGCTTATGGAATAAGGTTCATGTGGAGCCACCATTTTTTATTGTCTTACACAGAGGTAACTGCAATTATTACACCCCACCACACTCACCCAGTGGCAGGCCAACTAGGGCCCTAGGGCTTACACAGCCCCATGAAAAGGGAGGAGGGCCTGGTCTTTGGTCCCTCAGGTCATTGGGCTGGTCCTTTGGAATTTGGTAGGCCCTACTGCCCTTGGCAGACTGCAGAGATGCTCCCACAAAGTTCTCTCTTTTGACCACAGGTCCTCCACAAGGAATTCTTGCCACTGCTTTGGGGGCCAGAGCACTCAGGCCAGGCCACCACAGACATCTACCTATGCCTCTCCCACTGCAAGTGTCATAGTCTTTGGAAAACTATGCAAAAGTGTGATAACATCCCAAAGCCTTATAGAACCTACTGCAAACCTGTTCCCCCAAGTCCCTATCCAGGACAGTCTCAGGCATTCTCCTTTCCGTTAGGGTCAGGCCACTTCCTTTCGTCTTCTCCTCCAAACTCCAGTTCTTACCATCACAGAGACTTTCTAAAGCAAAGGTTGTAATGCATTTCTGAGACTAGGAAGCCCTCACCACCCAGACATAAAGCCTGAGCTAATAATCTCTCTGTTTCAGGGAGAGACTATAGCAGAAAACAGAGATTCCTGTTATCCTGAACCAATTATTTGTATAACTGTATGTTTAATACCTGATTCTCTTTGGAGTAAAAATTTCATGAATTGAGTATTAGGATTACGTTAAGGTTGCAGTTGGCTTTAGGATCCCTCTGTCTTATTCACTTTTGCATCCCTGTGCCAGTTCAAGGCCTGATAAATAACAGCCACTCAATACATATTTGCAGAGCAAAGAGAGAAAGAGAGGGAGGGGAGGGAGAGAGAGTGGGAAAGACTAACCAAAGTTCTGCAATGGCCCACAGAAATATGAGTATGAGTTAAGGCAATCTCAAAGGAGATAGAGAAAAAGGGATGGGAATGAAGATGAAAACTATTAAGAATTAATAATCTACAGGGCTTGATAAGAAATTTGATGTGGATGATGTGGAAGAGACCAGTCAAGGATAATTCTGAGATGTGTTAATTGATCCACCTGAATGTGATGTGGGCTTGTGAGAGGAAGATGGGGTTTGGTTTTGTTGGTAAAGGATGGTGAATGGTGGAGGGGTTATGGACAATGAATCCAGTTCAGGAAATATTTGTGGGTCTCACTGTTTTAAGTATATGTGAACAGGAATATCAGAATGAAACTGTGAAGTGGGTGAAGTTATCTTCAGAAACTCCCTTTCATTTAGGCCCCATTTCACATATCAAGGGATATCACATATCCCTAATTATCTGCCCTAATTTCCTATCAAGAAGTGATCTGATGATCTCACTTACATAAAAGGTAAACTACTGATGAAATAGGAGATAGCTCTCAGGCTGTGTTTTAATGTTAATAATGGAGCACAGCCACAAGCCAAAAGAATGATAAGAGCACTACTAATAAGAGTCAGTGCTTATATGGCCCTTAACATGTGGCAGGCACTTAATGCCCTTAGCAACACCATGAGGAACTATTTTATATATGAGGAAAGTGAGGCACTGAAAGGTTGTGACTTGTCCAATGTCAACAGCTAATAAGTAATGGAGTGGAAAATACAACCTAGCATTGTGGCTATACAATCCATGCTTTTAACCATGATGCTAGGAAATAAATGTGTAAGGGTGAAAATTTTAAGAAGAGTGGAAATGTGCAGTAAATTTTGTGGGGGTCCCTCAGCAAGATTCAGATCACTCCAGTCTCATAATGAAGACTATACAGGTCACTCAAGTCTCACTCTACTAACTGAGTGTTAGTAGTGTTACTAATGACATAGACTCTGCCAATGACTGACTTTAGACAACTTAATCTCTTTCTGTTTCATTTTCCTCATACATAAAATAAGGAGAAATAACCTACATACAAGGTTATTCCTTAAAGCAACATTTGTAAAAGTAAGTGACTGGAAACAACCTAAATGTCTGTTGATAGAAGGCTGGCTAAAAATTGTGCACCTATAAAATGGAATATAATGCAGCCATAAAAAGTAATAAGATTAAATTATTTCAAACAAAAGAACAGCCTGAAAAAATCAAGTTGCAGGCATAGATAAGGGAAGTTGCTCAAGAGATAAGGGGGCTTGACTAAGACATCCCCTCAGCTGCATAGATAAGAAAGACTATACAGGAGACTTGCCCAGACATACCTGCAATGGAAAATTCTGTCCCCTGACACATGTGCAGTAAGGGAAACGAAGCAACATGGAGTAATTCAAGCTAAGAGCCCACATCCACACTAGGAAGATGGGGTGGAATTACCAGAAATGCACACCTTATGCAAATGATATGACCAGCCCCCTATCCGTTTCTTATAAAAGCCTCCGTATCCAAACTGTGAATTGGCAACCTATCTTTCCAGGATCCCTCTCTGTAGCAGAGAGCTATTCTCATTCTTTCACCTATTAAATTTCTGCTCTAAACCCGAAAAAAAAAAGGTAATAAGAAAGACCCCTACATACTGCTATAGAATGATCTCTAGGATATACTATTATGTGGGATAAAAAACAACTACAGTGCAGAACAGGACATATAATATACTACAATTTGCACAAGAAAGGATAAATGGACTAGATATATTCCTTTATGCTCATATTGCATAAATACAGGAAACTTCTAAAATTGGTTGCTTCAAGAGGAGAACTGAATTGGCGTGGGACAGAGAAGTGAGGAAGGAGAACGTACCAGTTAGGATCTCAGCAGGAAATATATGGCATATTCAAAAGGCGTCATCGAGGAGTTGAGTGACAGAATTATTTACAAAGTTGTGGACAGGGCTAAGGCACCCAACAAAGGATGCTGACACTTTCCAATGGGCAACCTACAGAGGGGAATCATTATCATACCTAAGTCCTAAGGATGAAGAAGGGGAGTAAGTGGTTACTTGAATCCAGAGAGAGAGAGCTATAGGTATAAAAGGGGCTACGGGACAGAAGCCATAGCTCTTTCCTAGATGAAGTCAGCCACTGTTCATCCATAGCCCAGCAGGGAAGGCACTGGGGGAATAAATAGCCTCACCACATTCTCCTTCTGCACTTGGATCTCTGGACATCCTTAGGGATGAGCCTCTTGGGGCTCAAGGCAGAGTGGAGAGTAGATCTGAAGGCATACAGAGAGAATATCCACTGCACAGACTGTACAGCATTTTTACTTTGTAAACTTAGAACTATATAAATATGTAACTTATTTGAAAAGTAGAAAATGGCGGGGCCCAGTGGCTCAAAGTGCTAGCTTGTAATCCTAGCACATTGGGAAGCCGAGGCGGGCTGATCATCTGAGGTCAGGAGTACAAGACAAACACGGTGAAACCTCATCTCTACTAAAGATACAAAATAGCCAGGGCGGGTGGCAGGCGCCTGTAATTCCAGTTACTCGGGAGGCTGAGGCAGAAGAATCGCGTGAACCTGGGAGGCGGAGGTTGCAGGGAGCCGAGATGGCGCCATTGCACTCCAGCCCGAGCAACAAAAGCTAAACTCCGGAAAAAAAAAAAAGAAAGAAAGGAAAAGAAAAGACAAGAAAAGAGAAGAGAAGAAGAAAATTTTGCACACACAAAAGATAAATTAAAAAGTAAAACGGAAATGAGGGACCAGAGCGTATGCTTTCCAAGTCTCCTCCCTCTTCAAATTCTACCTCTGTTTCGTTGGAGCTGCAGTTTTTCACCTAATCACAGTCCATGGCTCCCCCTAGTGTCAAGGCGACGCTTCACCAAGCTCTAAGAACCATCTAATTCTAGGGGAATTCTGGGGCAGTCGGGCGGCCTCTGCCTCAAATCACTGATGTGTAAGCAGTTTTCACTGTGAATTACACCCACCTGGTAAATGATCGTATCCCCTGAAAGAAAAAAATACATTATTATGATTATTATTATTATTATTATTATTATTTGAGATGGCGTCTCGCTCTGTCGCCCAGGCTGAAGTGGTGCAATCTCAGCTCACTGCAACCTCCACCTCCCTGGTTCAAGCGATTCTCCTGCCTCAGCCTTCCGCGTAGCTGGGATTACAGGTGCCTGCCACCATGCGCAGGTAATTTTTGTATTTTTAGTAGAGACGGGGTTTCACCATGTTGGGCAGGCTGGTCTCGAACTCCTGACCTCAAGTGATCCACCCACCTTGGCCTCCCAGGGTGCTGGGATTTACAGGAGTGAGCCACCACGCCCAGCCAAAATTAATTATTCTGAGACATAGACTAGTTATCATTTTAAGCTATAGCGGAAATTTATCTAAATTAAATTTGGAACTAAGTAATTATCTTTTTCCCATATTTCAAATTATTAAATAAATTTAGAGGTAAACAGCATGTGATCTACAACTCTAAATCTGCAAGCCCACTTTTGAGCTTTTTACTCCCTAGTCCATTTGTCCTTAATGCAGTGATTCTCAGCCCTGGCTACAAAATAATGTCCCCTGGGGAGAAAGCTCCTACTGGAGACTCTAATATAATCTGTCTGGGGAGGGACTTAATATCAATATATATTTTCTAACCTCCCAGTTGTTGTAATGGGCAATCAAGGCTAGAAGCCCCTACTTAAGTGATTCCTTGCTGCCTACTAGGTAGATTTTGATTCCTAGTACATTTCTTGTCACTACTCAGGATGTGCTCACTCTGCTTTAGACAAACTGGGTTACTTGTAAAACAATTTCCCACCCTCTGTGCCCTTACATACCACACTCTCCGCCTTGAACACTCTGTCACCTGCCTCCATCTCAACTGTCATAGTTCTACATATTATTACAGGGCCTGCTTGAAGGCTACCTCCTCTGAGAATTTCCCTGCCCCTCATTCCCAAACAGATGTTTCTACCTCCTTTGAACCCCTGAAGATTTTTAAAATAACTTTTATGATCAATCTTCTTTTCTTAATAGAAAATAAACACAGTGATTGACTATTCTTTTTAACTTATCAAATGAACAATAACAACAAAGTATGATATTTCTGTGAGAGAAATGAGCACTCCCTGTATTAACAAGGGAATAAATTGGTGTTATGGCTTTTAAAAACTTAATCTGGCACTAAATGTCAAAATATATTCTGTTTGGCCCAGCGTTTTCACTCCTAGGAATTTATCCTATGGATATAATCACATGAGTGGGCAAAAATACCCATAATGGAATGCTCATTGCAGCATTGTTCATAAAAGCAAAAGATGGGAAACAACTGAAATGTCTCATTAATAGAAGACAAGTTAAATAAATTATGGCACATAATATAGATGGAATGCTGCATAGTCATTTTAGAAATGAGGTATATCTGTATTTGTGACCATAGAACAATTCTAAGACATAGCATTAAGTAGAAAAAAAAAGATCCAATACAATGTCATAGAATGCTTCTACTGTGTTTTGTATAAAAGCACAAATATACATTTGTCTGTGCTTCCAAAGCACTAGGTATCTTTGGATGGATATACAAGCAACTGTCAACAACAACTGACTCTAGGGAAGCAAACTAGTAGGTTTGAGGTAACAACATTACAGAATAAAAACCATGACCCCATCACCAAATATAAGAATTAGAATATTACCAATACCTTTACATATACCCAGAGTCATAGGTAGCCCATCCAGAGCCTCTGTGCAAATTAGAAAAAAAGCTCCTCTTCTTTGGGTTGGACACAACTCTAAACCAAGGTGCCTTGCTTGCCAAACAGAACACAGGCTATATTAATTACATGACCCACTTCTGCCCTGGTGTGCTTTCAGACTTATGTAAATGGAATTCTACTGTATATATTATCCTACAAATTATCTTTTTTACTTAACATTATGTTTGTAAGATATATCAATATTGTTACATGTAGTACTCCATTTTCACTGCTGTGTAATATTTCTTTGCATGTTTACGTGCTAAAAGAATTAACTCTATATCCCACTATTTCAGTTACAGGGTATCTATTGAAGGGTGAATGTGACTAAACTAAAAGAGAAATGTAGATCACATAAAGATGGATAAAGGAACTCTGGATCTTATTTTGGGTCAGGGAAAGCCAGTGTGCTTTCATTTGATGAGAAATAATTGCATTATATTAGGCAAGAGTGAGCTGGTAAAGGAGTGAGCACAACAGTAAATGTCTGGTGTCCATGCAGTGAATATTTTACATTCACTTATTTTCTCTATGGCATTTTCTGTCCTTTAATAAGCTTTTTCACTTTAATAATGTGGAAAATACAGTAATAGTGACAATCCATGCCTATTTAAGTAATGGGAGCACAATATGTGAGCTTACTAGAGAACGGCTATGACTGAAATGGACTCTACATCTTTTCATTTGGACTTACATGCAATTTCAATGTCTTTTGCTAGCAGATGAATGTGAATTCATTGCAGTGGATTTTTTATTCAGATACAGAATATTCGGTGCAATTTTTCTAAGTCACTATAGTCAATTTTCAGATAACAAAAAGTCCAATAACTTCTAAAATAGAAGAGAGAAAAATGGAAAAAGAAAACAAACTTACAAACAAAAGCCCAACCCCAATCAACTGAGTAGAGAGCAATAAAGGAAAAGGGGGAAAGCCAAATAAAAGTTGGACAAATAAAAATTAAAAGTGTGGTGGTAGAAAATGTCTAGATATATTAATAATTATAATAAATATAAATCTAAACTTTATAGTAAAAGACAGATTGGGGAACAAACAAACAAAAAACCTCTAACTACATGCTCTTTCAAAAGAAAAACCTAAAACTTAAGACACAAAATGGTTGAAAGATGTAGCAGGAAAACAGTAACCAAAAAAACAGAAGTGTATATTAAAAATCACACAAAATAGACTGATGAAAATAGGTATCGTTAGAGTTAGAGAGGGACCACTACTTGATTTTTATAAACGTTCCAATTGTCAGTGATATAATAACTTCAAAGTTTTACACCTAGAAAAATTGTTTCAAATATATAAAGCAAATATTTACTGAACTACAAAGAGAAATTGCCAATGAGAGCTTTCAATATATCTCTCTCAATTACCAACAGACCACCCAAAGCAAAGATATTAAAAATATGGAAGATCTGAACAACACAATTAATAACAATCAAATAGATAAAAATTCTGCATCCAACAGTTGGCAAATGCACTTATTTTTCTTAAATATCATAGTGCAATTACAAAAATTGTCCATTTATTAGACCATATGGCAAGTCTCACAAAATTATAACACAGTCCTCATTCTCTGTGCGCAAAGTAATTAAGTTAGAGGCAATAACAAAAGATAAATCTATAAAAGTTCTTATATATTGAAAAATGTGGAAACACACTTGTAGGTAATTCATGTGTCAAAGAAAAAATTATGGAAGAAATGTAAAAATCCTAAAAGCCGAATGATAATGAAAATATCACCTACCATGTTCTGTAAAACAGTCAAAGTCATTCTCTAAGGACAATTTATTAATTTGAAAGCTTGTTTCAGACAAGAAGAAAGGTTAAAAATTAATGAGCTTTGTGTTCAACTCAAGAAATTAGGAGGAAAAATAGAAAAACAATCAAAGTAGGAGGAAATAGATAACAGAGATAAAAACAGAGGTTCAGAAAAAAGTAAACAAAGCTACAAAAAAAGAATCCACAAAATTAAAAGTTTTATTTTATAAACAGAACAATCTCTGCTGAGATTGAGCGAGGAAAAAAAAAGAAGGCACAAATAAGCAATATTAGAATAAAAAGGGACCTAATCACAGACAAGGCAAAGATTTTTTTAGATGAGCTACTCTGAATCAATTTAGGCCACATATTCAAAAACTTAGGTGAAATGGGCAAATTCCTAGAAAACTATAATTTACCAAAACTTACTCAAAAACAGAGAACCTGAATTGTTTTGTATCTACCAAAGAAATGCAATCAATATTTTTAAATCTTCCCACAAAGAAAATATTTAGTTCAGATATGTTTACAAATTACTTACACCTAGGTTTCAAGAACGAGATCATTCCAATCTTTAAAAATGTCCTATAAAACAGAAAAAGAGGGACTATGACACAATTCACTCAATGATATTAACGTAACCTTGATAGCAAAACCAAAGAAGGACAGGACAATAAAGAAACCTTTTGAACCAATCTCACTCATAAACATAGCTACAAATTCAAATTAAATACTAATGAAACAAGCTTAGGAGTTTATTTCAAATAGATAATACATCATAAACAAGTTGAGTTTAACCAGAAATGCAAGCGCAGTTAAACATTAGGAAATAAAAAATATGGCTAGGCATGGTGGCTCACACCTGTAGCCCCAGTGCCTTGAGAGGCCAAGGTGGGTGAATTACTTGAGCCCAAGAGTTAGAGACCAACCGGGGCAACATGGTAAAACCCCGTCTCTACCAAAAAAAATACAAAAATTAGCCAGGCTTGGTAGCACATGCCTGTAGTCCCAGCTACTTGGGAGGCTGAGGTGAGAGAATCACTTGAGCCTGGAAGTGAAGGTTACAGTGAGCCAAGATGGCACCACTGCCCTCCAGCCTGGGCAACAGAGCAAGACCCTGTCTCAAAATAATAATAATAATAATAATAAAGAAAAGAAAATATAAAAATATAATTCATTGGCCAGGCACAGTGGCTCATGCCTGAAATCCCAGCACTTTGGGAGGCCAAGGCAGGTAAATCACCTGAGGTCAGGAGTTTGAGACCAGCCTGACCAACATGGTGAAACCCTTTCTCTGCTAAAAATACAAAAATTAGCCAGGTGTGGTGGCACACACCTGTAATCCCAGCTACTCGGGAGGCTGAGGCACGAGAATCGCTTGAATCCAGGAGGCAGAGTTTGCAGCGAGCTGAGATCGCACCATTGCACTCCAGCCTAGGCAGCAAGAGTGAAACACCATCTCAAAAACCAAACAAACAAACAAACAAACAAAAATATATATATATATGTAAAATTTACCGCATTAACAGACTACAGGGGAAAAATATGATAATCTCAAAAGATGCAGCAGATAATGAGCAGACTTATTAAAATCAGGAACAAGACTTAGAAGTCCTATTTACTTCTACTCAACATTATAGTGGATTTTCTAAGTGCATTAAGACAAGAAAAAGCAGCAACAAGTACAAAGATTGGGAACAGCAATAAAAGGTAGGAGTATTGGAATATACTTCATTCATAAGGATATAATTCTCTAAACAGAAAGTCCCACAAAATCTACAGGCAAATTCTTGGTAATAATAACAGAGCTGGCCAGGTGTGTGGCTCACGCCTGTAATCCCAGCACTTTGGGAGGTCGAGGAGGGCAGATCACCTGAAGTCAGGAGTTCCAGACCAACCTGATCAACATGGAGAAACCCCATCTCTACTAAAAATACAAAATTAGCCAGGCGTGGCAGCACTCGCCTGTAATTCTAGCTACTCAGGAGGCTGAGACAGAAGAATCGCTTGAACCCGGGAGGCAGGGGTTGCGGTGAGCCAAGATCATGCCATTGCACTTCCAGCCTGAGCAACAAGAGCAAAACTCTGTCTCAAAAATAAATAATAATTTAACAATAACAGAGCTAACCAACATGGCTGAATAGAAGACCAATACGCACAACCAAATATATTTCTAAGCATTGGCAACAAACAGAAAATTTAAAAAGTATAAAAGCAGTTTACCATATGATATGGTTTGGCTATGTCCCCACCCAAATCTCATCTTGAACTGTAACTCCCATCATTTCCACATGTCTTGGGAGGGACTCGGTGGGAGGTAATTGAATCACGGGGTTGGGTCTTTTCTGTGCTGTTCTTATGAGAGTAAATATCACGAGATCTGATGGTTTTATAAGGGGGAATTCCTCTACACAAGCTTTCCTTACCTGCTGCCATGTAAGACATGACTTTGCTCCTCCTTTGCCTTCTGCCATGATTGTGAGGCCTCCCGAGCCACGTGGAACTGTGAGTCTATGAAACCTCTTGTTCTTTATCAATTACCCAGTCTCTGGTATGTCTTTATTAGCAGCATAAAAGACTAATACACCATAACAACAAAAAAGTATAAATTACATCTAATGAAGTTATAGGAGACCTATATGGAATAAATTCTAAAACTCTATTTGATAAACATCAGAGAAGATCTACTATAGAAATAAATAAAAGACGACATTCAAAACGAAGACTTTCTATTGTGAAGTTACCAGTTTTTCCCAATTTGACCTACAGATTCAGTGTAATTTGATGCCAAATCACACTTTTTTTCCCAAGAAACTAAGAAGCTGATTCTAAAATTCCTATGGATGAACAAAGGTCAAAAATATAACAAAGACTCTTTTGGAGAAGAACAAGGTAGGAGGTATGCTTTATCCTGTTTGAGGACTTTGATTACAAAGTTAATTAAGAGAGTGGTATTAACGCTGCAATACACAAATGGGTTAATGGTATAGTAGAGACTTGGGAAACAGAGCCACACATATTTGGACATCATATATAACAGAGGTGGTATTGTATATAATCAAGAAAGGGAGAATTAGTCAATAAGTGGTGCTGGGAGAATATGGGGAAAAATGAAACTGGATTCCTACCCAACATGATACGTAAGTCAATTCTAGATGCATGCAAGACTTGGATGTGAAAGCTGATATTTTAAACATCTATAGGATAATATCTTTAGTTTCCTGGGGTAAAGAAAACACATACAAAACAAAAACAGGCTTGTCTGAAACTGAGAACACAAAACACCCCAAAAAACTTATCTAAAACTGAAGAGATTAACAAATTTGACTTTCTATTTTTCAAAATACTCCAAACAAGAATTTGTAGACAAGCGACAAGCCAGTAGTAGATATTTGCTATATATAACTAGTGGTACGCCCATACATGTTTTAAAAACCTAGCTTTGCAGAGATGAAAAAAGCCATGATTTGTTGGGTTTGATTCTTTTCAAGGTGGAAAAGTTTATTTCAAGCCACCAACATGATGTTGCTAAACATGAAGTTAGGAAGACATACACAAAATCTCTCAGACGAGTCTACACAAGCCAGCTCCAGTACACCACTGCATATAACACTAAAGGATTTGTTTCCAGAATGCATGAAGAACTCTTTCTATTTATCAATAATTAAATGACAAACAATGCCACAAAAAAGGGAGGCATGAATAGTCATTTTGCAAAAGAGGAAATATGAATGAAGAAAAAATACATGAAAAGATTCTCTACTTCACAGTGATCATATAAATGTAAATTAAGATTATAATGAGTAAACATATTATACTCTCCTGATGAACTAAAGTTAAGTATTACTGCTGGGTGCAGTGGTGGATGTCTGTAGTCCCAGTTACTTAGGAGGCTGAAGTAGGAGAATCACTTGAGCCCAGGAGTTTGACTCTAACCTGAGCAACATAGTGAGACCCTGTCTCTAAAAAACATTTAAAAAGAAATATTACTATATTAATTTTTCCCAAAGACAGATCAACGGGAACTCTTAAACAATGCTGGTGTGAACATAAATTGGCACAACCACCCTGGAATAGGATTTGGCATTATCTTACAAAGTTAAGTACTGTACATTCTACAATCCAGCAATATGTAAGCTCAGGTATATATTGTAGAGGAATGCTTGCACAAGTGCACCAGAAAATATGAACATGAATATGCACAGTAGCACTTTTTGTTAAAAACATAACAACCCAAATGTAATCAGTCAAGGTTTGTTCATAGAAGTAGAACTACTAAGATAAATTGACAAAACGGATTTAGAGACTTGACTGTATGCAATTGTGGAAGCTGGTTATACTCTCTAGGGGAGGCTGTTGTTTCTGTGTCTAGTGCTGGAGCTGAAGTTCACAGGACCAGTGGTCAGGAGGTAGAGAGCAGGAAGCGAGGACAAACTGGAATCCATGAGGATGGACTGGAATCTGCATTGGTCTCTCACCACCTCCAAACCTCTGGTGGAGGAGGAGTTAAACACACCTCTGACCCAAGAGTTAGAGAAGCTGAAGCATAAGATCCACAGGAGCTGGAGGAGCTATGGACCCTGCACCTACCTCCTGAGTGTTAGGAAATACAGCTAATTTCTTCACTTTCACTTTCCACATCAGGCAGAAAATGTCTCTCCAGGTTCATCTAGTCTATTTTCATATGAGAAGTTTAAGAGGCCCAGAGAAGTGAAGTGACTTGTTACCTAGAAGCCTGTTTTTAAAAAAAAAAAAAGTCTTATGCATCTGAAACTCTTCGTAAGAGAGTGCACGTCAGTATTTTTGATCTAGGTACAGGCTGTCCGAGGGATATTCTTGACTCATGTTCTTTTGCCAGTTGCCTCTGATTATATCACATAAGAGGGCTTAGGCAGCTTTGCAATAATAGTTCTACTAATTATTCTCCAAAGGAAATTCCTCATTCCACTGCAAATAGATGTGATCTTAAGACTGATTTCCCCCAGAATCACTACAATATACTCTTATCTAAATTTGAGCACAGCATCTAAATATTCATTTTATTTAAATGTGAATTGCTGCATTCGAGCTAAGGCCGAGTTCTCCATACGAGATCCAAATTTGGTACCAATTTGGTAACCATAATCCATGGTTACTCTGTGACTACTAATCTGGGGGAAAAAGAAAACACTCTTTGGCAGAAGAGGATAAGTACATTCCTAATTTTCATTTCCAGATTCTTAGCCACTCATCCAGGATGAATGTTAAAACCATTATCAAAACATAGCCTTAGAAATAAAATTGTTAGGGAGATAATAATAACTCTTTGTCAATGAATTTATTTTGAGCAATAATAATACAACAAAGTTCCAGTACTGCGAAAAAGTTTGGCTAATCTCAAGAACATTATAGCATATGCAACTTGAAGTAATTTCTTTATCTAAAAATATTGGGCCAAAAGAAACTAATTAGAGTTTAATGTAATTTTATATTAAGTGTCTTGCTGTGGTTTTAAGATTTTCAGTAATATACTTTATTTTAAATCATCTCAGTGATTTAAAAGAGTAACACTTTTAAATGATAAAAAAATTTTAATCATTTATCATTTTAAATGATAAAAATAAATTTTGAGTGGGAAACCCTTTTCATAAAGAAAAAAGAAAAAAAGAAATTTTTATCATTTTTAGTTTCACAAAATAACAAATTGGAAGGTAATAATGTAAATTTGTAAGCTTTTCGCTGCAAAAAACTGTCATAAAAATCTTTAGATGGTGTGTTTCATTACTGACTTTAAAATAAAATTTAATATAAAAATATAATTCATAGCTAACTTTTTCTGAAATGTGTTTCTTTTTTTACAAAGTGAGATGTATCAGTACTTCTTTCGTTTCTATGCAATAATATTGTCACTCTCCCTTTTCTTTTTTATTAACTGATTTGGACTCTATTTCTAAGATAGCGTATAACAAAATGCCCCCAAAACCCACAACTCACAATTTTATGGATACTCTACCTATTGGGATATATTCCAATATGGTTATCATGTAGAAACCTCAAAAGAGAAAGGCTAACTTCCTCCTGTAAAGGAGTGATCATTACCACCACCAATCAATTGAACAAAGCCACTTCCACACAGTCAATAAGCTGCTTTGACTTTTTCTTGTTCTCACTTTTCTGGGTCTAGACTTGGGGAGTTAAAGTGTTAAGGTCTATGTACTTTGGCCATGGGTAACTGCCACAAATTGGGTTCTCAGTGAAGCACAGTCTGGACAGAGATTGGGGTGAAGGAATTTTATTAGGGAGTGTTCTTGGGATCAAACCAGTCCACTGCCTGGTCTTAGGACAATAGTAAAGAGGGGAATAGCGCCCTCCCCCACAGGCCAAGGGAAGACAAAATTAGCAGGATGTAAGATCTAGCTATTCTTCCCCATGTGGAGATTCTCCTTCCAGTGAACTTTGGAGAACCGTTTATTTTTATTAAGAAAGGCAACATTTTTTGACATGTACAAAGCACTTTCCTATATTTTTATTTTTTAATTTTTGATTTCCATAGGTTTTTGGGGAACAGGTGGTGTCTGGTTACATGAGTAAGTTCTTTAGTGGTGATTTGTGAGACTTTGGTGCATCCATCTCCTGAGCAGTATACGCTGAACCCAATTTGTAGTCTTTTATCTCTCACCCCCTTCCCACTCTTCCTCTGAGTCCCCAAAGTCCATTGTGTCATTCTTACGCCTTTGCATCCCCATAGCTTATCTCCCACTTATGAGTGAGAACATATGATGTTTGGTTTTCCAAGGGAAGGCAATATTTTTATTAGGGGTCTATAAATATTAGTGGCTGTTTTTTAAAATTTGGTATTTCAACTGTAGTCTTCATGATCAGTGATTTAGAAAAATACCATATTGTACTGAAATAAATTTGCTATATATTTATTTCAGATTCTATATTAAAAATTGAAAAATTAGTGTTTTCTGCTGTTTGGAAAATACAGTAAATTTTCTTCTCTAAGTTTTCTTTTGCTAGAGTTTTTATGTGATGTCACGGGCCTCTCCATGCCCTTTGCATTCTCTTCCAAAAATCTGTTCTTGCTGTCAGTTAAGTGGAAATGGTTAGCAACGAAGCAAAATCAAAGTGGACCCACCCAGCTTTTATATCCTGCATGGCTGAGCTTTAATGAAAGTTTGAGTTTTTCCAAAAGTCTGGTCTCTACTGACTGGGAATGAAAAACATTTGGAAAAAAATGCCTTGAGCATGTGAACCATGTAATTTCATTTGAACTAAGGAATTCCAAAAATACTTTGCTTATTGGAAGGGCAGTTATATTGCTGCATTAGAACTTGATATTGAGAAGGATAAGTACTAGTTCTTTTCTCCCTTTTTCTCATAAACATTAAAAAACTTAGACTGAGTGGCTGGGTAGGAAAATAGTGTAAAGAGGCTAAGTTGGACCACCAGGTGGGCTTGCTCTAGAACCTATTCCTTCCTTAGGAGATCCATCTACTCTTCCGGGTTCCATAGAGCCCCACGCAGCTTGAAGCAACCCACTCTGCACTGATGACAATGCAGGGCTTCATCTGGCCATATCTTGATGACTACTTGAACTGAGGCCCAGTCCTTTAGTCAGTTCTGCTCACCGACACCAGTGTAAATGCTATGCCAGTAGCAAAACTGGAATTGCTGGGTCCCTGCTGGGCAATCTGGCCAGAGAACAAAGTAGGTCCTGTTCAGTTTTATGTCTCCATGAGGGGATCAGGTGTTAATATTATTAACTAGCATTTTTGGGAATATGTACTATGTGCTAGTCACAATACTGGATACTTTTACATGGATTACATTATTCAATCTCCGTAACAATCCTCTATGGAATTTTGAAGCTTAGAAAGGTTAAGAAATCAGGTTTTGAAACCAATCAGTCTGACTCCAAAGCCTTTGATCTTCTTTCCTATTTTGTAATCCCTGGCTTTTAATCATGGGTCTTAGTGTACTAGATTGGGATCACAGATAGCAGTGTGGCAGATACAGTTGGTGCCCTGCCCATGTCTCCTGAGCCTTACCAAGTGCCAGCAGCTGGACCATCTTGCTTAATGGCCTTCTCTGGTGGCTGGAGCTCCATATGTGAGCATAGGTTTGAGGAGATGTAATGCCTTAAGTGCAGCCTTTAACTAATGATTGATAGGAGTTGGGGTATGAATACTTCAGCTCCTTTGCTACTCTGGTAGAGTAACTCAGAGGCATGAATTTTACACTGGTACCCAAAATTCTCCAGAGGGATTAAGTCCATTACCCACAGTACTAACCCACTTGAAAACATGCCCTTTTTATTGATTGCCTTCCCTCTTTGTCTCACTTCCCTTGCCCATATTTCCTGAGATCACTACCCAAGTAAGCTACTTGTGTACATATTAATGCCTTAGGATCTGGCTTCTGGGGGAACCAAAACTAAGACAAAGAGCAAAGAAACGGTGGACCTATGAAGAAGGAGGACCCAGTTGGAGTGGATGGGGCAATGCTGGAAGGAAAGCATGGGGTTGCAGTCTCTAGGAAGAAGCCTCTGATGATGGTTTCCTGTTCTTGAAGCTGACAGTGTCATTGTGAGACAGGAGACAAAGGTTTTGGGGGATTATTGAATATTGACACACTGGATGGTTCTTTGATTGCTTGATTGAATGGAATTTCTTTCAGAAGTTCTCTCTTGGTCTGTTCTTTTCAAATGTATTCTATATTTACCCAAGTTTAATAAGAAGAGATTCCAGAAAATGCAACCATTAATAACTGGAATAATGAAAGAAAATGCTAACACGTTAAAAACAGAACATTGAGTAAATGGTCATAAGTAAATGAAAGACAAATGTATATATATAATTTTGGAGGATGTATAATTTACTCATATGGCCTGAATGTGGTAATACTATGTATCATATTTCATGCAAACATAAACTGAATGAGGCTTTTTTTTTTTTTAAGACAAAGTCTCCCTCTGTCACTTAGGCTGGAGTGCAGTGGGGTGATCTCGGCTCACTGCAACCTCCGTCTCCCAGGTTCAAGCAATTCTCCTGCCTCAGCCTCCCAGGTAGCTGGGACTACAGGCGCGCACCACCATGCCTGGCTATTTTTTGTATTTTTAGTAGAGACGGGGTTTCACCATATTGGCCAGGCTGGTCTCAAACTCTTGACCTCGTGATCCACCCACCTCGACCTCCCAAAATGCTGAGATTACAGGCATGAGCCACTGCGCCCGGTCAATGAGGCTCTTTTATACCACTTTTACTACACTTATAGGATCATTTCTCAACTTGTGACTCTATCATCTTTACTGATTAACTGGACATCCAGTGGTGCCCAAATTTTCAGGGAATAACATGGGCATGGGCAAAATCTTGCCTTGTTAAGGTTAATGGTATTGTAAATTGTTAACTATTGCATTTAGGTCGGGCATGGTGGCTCACCCCTGTAATCCCAGCACTTTTGAGTGGCCGAGGCAGGCAGATCACTTGAGGCCAGGAGCTTGAGACCAGCCTGGTCAATATGGTGAAACCCATCTCTACTAAAAGTACAAAAATTAGCCAGGCATGGTGGCAGGCACCTGTAATCCCAGCTACTGCAGAGGCTGAGGCACAAGAATCACTTGAACCCAGGAGGCGGAGGTTGCAGATTGTGCCACTGCACTCCAGCCTGGGCGACAGTGAGACTGGAAAAAAAAAATCAATTGCATTTACACATTTTAATATCTGTCATTAATTTTATATATTCAACTTCATGTCCGCATTAACCAAGTTTTGCCTGAGACATCATACTTAAATTTACATGGCTGTTATAATAATCTGAAACAAATTGGTTTTTGAAGCAGTCGCTTGGGGTATTGTTAACACATTCATGAAGAGCAAACTTAGAAATGCCCATTATTTTTTATAAAATCTGTAGATTCAGAGAGGAAAATAAAGTTGTAAGTAGACATTTCTTCTTCTGAATACTCCAACCACAAGAAGGAACTGTATGAGCAATAACAGAATATTTTGAGATAATCTTTAGAGTATCTAAGCACTCAATCCCCATTCATTGAGTCTTGAAGACGCCCAATATGCTCACCACATTCCAGTCAAACAGCACTTTCACCAGAGATTTGAGTTACAGAGCTGGATAACCCCTCAATGCTTTTTTTTTTTTTTCTTTAGATGGGGAGTCTCGCTCTGTGACCTAGGCTGTGGTGCGATCTCGGCTTACTGTAACCTCTGCCTCCTGGGTTCAAGCAATTCTCCTGGCTCAGCCTCCCAAATAGCTGGGATTACAGGCGTGCACCACCACACCCAGTTAATTTTTGTACTTTTAGTAGAGACGGGGTTTCACCATGTTGGCCAGGCTGGTCTTAACTCATGACCTCAAGTGATCCACCCACGTCAGCCTCCCAGAATGCTGGGATTACAGGCATTAGCCACCACGCCCAGCCACCCCTCACTGCTTTTTAACAAATACTAACAGGTAAACTGTTTATCTGCTTGATCATAGAAGAACATGGACTCAATGATGAAGTATATATAGGCAATGGTCAACTTTGTTTTCTAATCCACACATACAGCTGATTTAAACCCATGTTTTCATTTACTGGTCAAGATAAAAATATGGAGGGAGTCTTGCTATTCATGCAAACATTTTTGTCTTTACCACACAGGAATCCTCAGAAAACCTCTGAGAACAATATGTTTGCTTGGAGTTAGAGAGGTGTCCAGTTAGGGGAGATGTTGGGACACTTTGCTCCCTTCCTACAGAAGGGATTCCCAAGTCCTACAGAAGAAGATTCCCCTCTAATGGAAAGCAGCACGTAGTGGCAGCATAAGCTAAGAAAACAATCAACTCCTAGGAAACTGTGGAGGACAGTAAGAGCCTGTAGCGCATTACAATGGGCATCCTGAGAAAGTGACCAGGGTACAGGGAGATTCTGCCTTTGGTGTATTATATATTAAATGATGTGGATGGATTAATGTTGTTAAAATATGGAGACTTCTTCCCCCGCCCTTACTCTTCAGCCCCAGTCCCTCCCCTCCTCACCCCCTTCAAAAAAGAAAGAAAAAAGAAAAAGAAAGAAAGAAAATGGTGTTAAAATATGATCCTATTGTTAAATGTTAACTCTTTGATTCATTTATAGCCTTCAACATCATACCTGGGTGATGTGATTCCTTCTTCCCTCTCTTACTTTTACATCCATGGATGTATGCCACAGAAAGATCTACAGCACTGTTTATTTTCAAGAATTCACATGACCCTTTAGATAAATTATTGTTTTCATTTTTGCCTAAGATACACAAGATATTATTCTCCAAGTAAATGTGAAAATACTGATTTCCTTCATTTCTTTAGCAAAGTAATTTTATACATGAAGGATTGAGTAAAAACAAATACCTTAGGAGTTAAAAAAAATGTAGTTAATAAGACAGCCTGACATAAATTATTATATACATTTAGTTGGTGAGAAAATAAGTTTGTGGAAAGAGATGGTATAGTGAAGTTGATAAACTTGGGGATTCTGGGTTCAAGTTTTGACTCCATCACTTTCCAGCTCTGTGAGCCTTGAGCTTCTCTAAGCCCCAATTTCCTCATCTGTAAAATGGGGATAATATGTATCTCATGTGATTGTTGAGAGGATAAAAATTAAATAATGTAAAATGCTTAGAGCAGTATCTAGTACATAAGTGCAGAATAAATGCTAGTTACTGTTATAATTTATGTAACAGTACCAATCATTAGACACAAAGTTCTTTGTGACTAATCCACAATATACCACTAAAGGCACAGATTAATGCCAGTGCCTGGTTTCTAGCACTTAAAAAAATAACAACCTGGTATGACAGATATTAACATTTCCACCTGCAGGTAAAAAAACGGTTAAAGGTAACTTAGGGCTAGCAGGGCAATATGAAGGTGATCAGCAGGGGCCAGGTGGTCAGGTTTAACTTGCCCATAATTGCTATTGAATGACCCAAGGTCACTTCCACTACTTGGTCTTATCTGGTTTTCACAGCACAATTTTTACATCCTTAGACAGCTCTCTCATTAGGAAATCAAGAAAATTCAGATCTGCTGGAGAAGGGATCATGGCCATATCTCCCAGGAATCCAGTGCACTTTTTGACTTGTTTACAAACTAACAGAAGGTTGAGTACAGAGATTCCAGACCATATTCAAAGTACACACCGGACACTTTTTTTTCCTCCTAAAGAAATGTCAACCTTATTAATATGCATGAGACTCATAGTGGATATTTGTTAAAAATGCTAATTCTTGGGCCATACCATCAACATCAAGGACTCCGGATTCAGAAAGCCTGGGACTTGGCCAAGGAATCTGTATTTTAAATATATCTCTAGACAATTCTGATCCAGATGACTGGACCACACTTTGGGAAAACTGATCTCCTTGATAACAAATTAACAATTTTAAAAATAGTACTTATTATTTTTTGATGATAAAAGAAAAATTAGAAAGTGCTCAGAACAGAAAAAATTAATAATTATATTTTCAGGAGATGATGACTGCAAATATAGCTGTCCTAATTTTTTTAAATAAAAGACAATAAAGGAAATAATGTATTTTGGGGGGCATTTGGTAGCCATTTTTCCATATCTCTTTTCAAGTTCTTACATTCAAGTGTATTGGTTGTTCAGTTTCACAGGTATATTCCTTTTATACCAACTCTTAATGGCTTTTATAAATGATTTCTATGTTTGAAATATATATAAATTTACTCTATGAAATCCACTTATATTCTTGTTGGGTCAGGAGATTGGACTGGATGTGTTTAAGGCCCATTCTGACTAAGATGTCATACTTGTAAGATTGTTATAACTCTTTTAAGTATAAGGAATAACCCCATTCAAACTTGACAGATAATTTAAAATTATATCCCCCAAAAGTTAAAGATTTCCTCTTGGGGTTTGACCTTTTATGCAGATCTCCTGATGTGACAGTATATCAAAGGTAGTAACATTTCTCCAAAGGTGATACACAAATGGCCAACAAGTATATGAAAAAATGCTCAACATCACTAATCATCAGAGAAATGCAAACCAAAACCACACCCATTAGGATAGCTATCATTTAAAAGCAAAAACAAAAACAAAGCCTGAATATAACAAGTGTTAGCAAGGATATGGAAAAATTGGAACCCATGTGCACTGTTGGTGGGATTGTAAAATGGTGCAACCACTATGGAAAAGAGTATGGAGGTCCCTAAAAAATTTGAAAAGTAGAAGTACCATATGATTCAGCAATCCCACTTCTGCGTATATATCCAAAAGAATTGAAAGTAGGGTCTCTAAAAGATATTTGCACACCCATGTTCGTAACATCACTATTTACAATAGCCAAGATTTACAACAGCCAAGTTGTGGAAGCAACTCAAATGTCCATGGACGGATGAATGGATTAACAAAATGTGCTATATACATGCAATGAAATGTTATTCAGTCTTAACAAGGAAAGATATCCTGTCACATGCTACAACACTGATAGACCTTCAGGGCATTATGCTAAGTGAAACAGGCCAAGCACAAAAAGACAAATACTGTATGATTCTACTCATATGTGATATCTGAAGTAGTCAAATTCACAGAAACAGAAAGCAGAATGATGGTTATTAGGGTCTGGGGAAAAGGAGGAAAGGGAAGTTGATGTTTCATGGGTATAGAGTTTCAGTTCTGCTAGATGAAAAAAGTCTGTCATGATTGGGTAATGAATTTGACTCTAAGTTCACTGATACATACAGGAGATAATGGACTGACACAATGAATATGAAATTTTGGCTAAATTATTGAAGGCATATTTGTCTGAATAGAGAGTAGGGTGGGAATCTCAGAATTATAGGGTTAAAAATGTCTTGTTCCAACTCCTCTTGCCATTTTAGTAAAGAATACACACTGAAAATGCAGGTATGACTTTTTTTTTTTATACTAGAGAACTGATAGGGACATGGTCAAACACAATTGTTACTGTTGGCTAATTTATGTAGAATCAATTCTGTTTCCAATCAGTTTTCATTTCTAAAAAGACTAAAGTGAAGAGCAAACATAACGACCCTTCCCATTTTGCTTGGTTAGCAATAGTAGGCTGTTTGGCTTTATTTTCCAGTTTGTGCTAATGCTCCAGCCCAGAAAGTCTCACTCAGATCCATTAAGGCTTAACAATAAGCCATCCTGCCTTTAAGGTTAATTAAATGATTTGAACTAATATTTAACACTATGAACTGTGAGGAGAATTGTGGACAAAGTAGACTGGTTAGTCACATATGACCAGTTACTGACATGTTCTTTTCAATTTAAATGTTTACATTTTTTATTAATATTATTTAAAATGTCAACCACATACCAAAGTGGAGCAGATAACACAGTGAACTCCCAAGTACAGTCACACACTGCCTAATGACAAGGATATGTTCTGAGAAATGCATTGTTAGACAATTTTGTCACCCTGTGAACAAAGAGTCTACACCAAACTAGATGTTGTAGTCTGCTACATACCTAGACAATATAACATATTGCTGCTAGGTTACATACCTGTACAGCATGTTACTGTACTGAATACTATAGGCAATTATAACACAATAAGTATTTGCATATCTAAACACAGAAAAGTTACAGTAAAAATACGGTATAAAAGATTTAAAAAAAAATGATACACCCATACAAGGCACTTACTATGAATGGAGCTTGCAGGACTGGAAGTTGCTCTGGGTGTCACTGGATGAGTGGTGAGTGAATATGAAGGCCCAGAACATTCCTATACACCACTGTAGACTTTATAAACACTGTACACTTAGGCAATAAATTTATTTACAAATTTTTCTTTCTTCAATAATAAATTAACCTTTGCTTACTGTAATTTTTTACTTTATAAACTTTAGTTTTTTAAACTTTTAAACTCTTGTAATAACAGCTTAAAACACAAATATGTTGTGCAACTGTATAAAAACTATTTTCTTTCTTTATATTCTTATTCTATAAGCTCTTATCCATTTTTATTTTATTATTTATTTGAGTTGGAGTCTCGCTGTGTTGCCCAGGCTGGAGTGCAATGGCGCTATCTCGGCTCACCACAACCTCCGCCTCCTGGGTTCAAGCAATTCTCCTGCCTCAGCCTCCCAAGTAGCTGGGATTACAGGCGCCCACCACCACGCCTGGCTAATTTTTGTATTTTTAGTAGAGACAGGGTTTCACCATGTTGGCCAGGCTGGTCTCAAACTCCTGACCTCGTGATCCACCTGCCTCAGCCTCCCAAAGTGCTGGGATTACAGGCGTGAGCCACCAAGCGTGGCCCATTTTTATTTTTATTTTTTCTCAGACACAGTCTCACTCTGTCGCCTAGGCTGTAGTGTAGTGGTGGGATCCAGCTCATTACAACCTCTACCTCCCAGGTTCAAGAGATTCTCGTGCCTCAGCCTCCTGAGTAGCTGGGATTACAGGTGCACACCACCACACCCGGCTAATTTTTGTATTTTTTAAATTTTTTGTAGAGATAGGGTTTCGCTATGTTGGCCAGGCTGGTCTCGAACTCCTGGCCTCAAGTGATCCGCCCACCTTGGCCTCCCAAAATGCTGGGATTACAGCCATGAGCTACCACGCCCGGCCTATTGTTAAAAAATTTAATTTTTAAAAACTTTTAAAACATTTTTGTTAAAAACTAAGACACAACTACGTAAGCCTAGGATTACACGGGGTCAGGTCATTAATATTAGTGTCTTACACCTCCACATCTTGTTCCACTGTTAAGTTTTTTTTTTTTTTTTGACAGGGTCTCACTCTGTCACACACACTGGAGTGCAGTGGCGTGACTAAAGCTCACTGCAACCTGGAACTCCTGGGATCAAGTGATACTCCTGCCTCAATCTTCCAAGTAGCTAGGACTACAGGCATGTGTCACCATGCCTGACTAGTTTTTTAAAAAATTGATTCGTAGAGACAGGGTCTTGCTACCTTGCCCAGGCTGGTCTTGAACTCCTGCCTCAAGGGATCCTCCCACCTTGGCCTCCGAAAGGGCAGGGATTACAGGTATGAGCCACCACATGGGCCTCCCACTGAAAGTTGCTGAGAGGCAATAACACACATAGAGGTGTCATATCCTGTAACAATGCCTTCTTTTGGAATACCTCCCTGAAGGACCTGCCTAAAGTTGTTTTACGGTTAAGTTTATTTTTTAAGTAGAAAGCGTACCCTTTAAAATAAAGAAAAATAGCATAGTAAATACATAAACTAGTGACATAGTCATTTGTTATTAAGTATCATATACTATATATAATTGTGTTATACTCGTATTTAACTGGCAGTGCAATAGGTTTGTTTACATAGGCATCAACACAAACACATGAGTAATACATTGTGTTATGGCAGTATGACAGTATCATGTCACCAGGTGATAGGAATTTTTCAGCTGCATTATAACCTCATGGGACCACCATTCTAAATGCAGGCTGTCACTGACTGAAACATCATTATATGGTACAGGACTATACTCATCACTCAGCTTCAAAGAAAAACAACTCATGGCCAATTTTGTTTCATATATATTTCACTCACCCCCAGATTATTTTGAAGCAAAACCCAGACATCATATCAATTCAGCTGAGATATTACTTACTTTCAGAAGGGACAAATGAAATCAAGAGGCTATCCCAGTCCAGGCAAGGTGGCTCACGCCTGTAATCCTAGCACTTTGGGAGGCCTAGGTGGGTTGATCACCTGAGGTCAGGAGTTCAAGACCAGCCTGGCCAACATGGTGAAACCCCCATTTCTACTAAAAACACAAAAATTAGCTGGGCGTGGTAGCATATGCCTGTAATCCCAGCTACGCAGGAGGCTGAGGCAGGAGAATCGCTGGAACCCAAGAGGCGGAGGCTGCAGTGAGCCGAGATCTTACCAATGAAGTCCAAGCAGGGGAACAGAACAAGACTCATCTCAGAAAAAAAAGCCACCCAGGAAGCAAATACAACAGTTTATACGATAAAAGTGTAATCAGGTTGAATATTAAAAATATATTAAAGTCATAAATGAAAGCAGTACCATTTTCAATGGATATTATCATAGGTTCTTACGGAGGTCTCCAAATACCGAGAGTAGTATGCTCAGACCCAAAATCCAGCCACAGCTCCATCATCACAAGCCTGTGAATACGTGCGAAAGTACACAGGGCCTACTTTTAATCTGGTGACTCAGGGTACCCTTCCTCCTCATCTTCTTCTCACTAGGCTTGGGACTGAGCCAGAAGCTACACATTACACTACTCCCTTTGACTTGCCAGTTCTGCAAGGTCCTACTTAAAGCAGAACAAACAAACAGGACATTACTAATCATAAGCAATTTAACTTTTTAAAATAACTTTATTCTTATCACAAAAGTAACATGAACTCATTACAGACAATTTGGCAAATCCAAAATCCCAAGGAAGAACATAAAAAGTACCTATAATTGCATTTTCCCCATTTTTTATTAGGCACATATGTAATTTTTTTATAAACATGAGATTATATTTTACATACTGTATTTAATCTGTTTTCATTACTTTCTAATATATACTGAATATACTTCCAAGTGATTAAATATTCTTCCTCAACATAAGCTTTTATTTTTGCAAAATACTCAGGTGTAAGGAAGGACAGTAATTAATGTCTTTTTGGAGACATTTAGATTATTCCCACTTAGATACACCTTTAGATTTAAAGCTAAAATTCTGTAAATATCAGTGTTTATTTCCTTAGAAAATAATCATAGGAAAGAAATCCAGGCATACTTCAGAGATATTGCAGGCTGGGTTCCAGACCAACCCAATAAAGTGAATATTGCAATAAGATGAGTCACACACATTTTTTGGTTTGCAAGTAGTTATAAAAGTTATGTTTAGACTGTTCTGTCATCTATTAAGTGTGTAATAGTATTTTGTCTAAAAAATGTGTATACTTTAATTTAGAAAATACTTTATTGCAGCCGAGCATGGTGACTCATGCCTATAATCCCAGTACTTTGGGAGGCCGAGGCGGGCAGATCACCTGAGGTCAGGAGTTCAAGACTAGCCTGGCCAACATGGGGAAACTCCATCTCTACTAAAAATACAAAAATTAGCCAGGCATGGTGGCACACGCCTGTAATCCCAGCTACTCGGGAGGCTGAGGCAGGAGAATCGCTTGAACCTGGGAGGCGGAGGTTGCAGTCAGCCGAGATTGTACCACTGTACTCCAGCCTGGGTGACAGAGCGAGACTCCATCTCAAAATATATATATTATTGCTAACAAAATGCTAATGATCTTCAGAGCTTCCAGCAAATAGTAATCTCTTTGCTGCTGGAGGGTCTTGTCCCATGTTGATGGCTGCTGACTGATCAGGGTGGTGGTTGCTGAAGGCTGTAGTGACTGTTCCAAGTTTTTTTTTTTTTTTTGACATGGAGTCTTCCTCGGTCGCCAGGCTGGAGTGCAGTAGCGCGATCTCGGCTCACTGCAACCTCCGCCTCGCAGGTTCAAGCAATTCTCCTGCCTCAGCCTCCCGAGTAGCTGGGACTACAGGCGGGTGCCACCATGCCCAGCTAATTATTATTTTTTTAGTAGATACGGGGTTTCACCATGTTGGCTAGGATGGTCTCGATCTCTTGACCTTGTGATCTGCCTGCCTTGGCCTCCCAAAGTGCTGGGATTACAGGTGTGAGCCACCGCACCTGGCCCCTTTCCAGAAGGTTTTAGATTCACTTTGCTCAGATCCATCAGAGGAATCACTGTGTATAGCAGATCCACTATGTATAGCTGCATTTCATAGCAGCTCTAGCCTTATGAAATGTATTTCTTAAATAATAAGACTTAAAAGTCAAAATTATTCCTTGGTCCACAGCTACAGAATGGATATTGCATTAGCAGGCAAGGAAACAGCATTAATCTCCTTGTATGTCTCCATCAGAATTCTAGGATGGCTAGATGCACTGTCCGTGAACAGTGAAAGTTTGAACTATGTATAGCAGATTCACTATGTATAGCTGCATTTCATAGCAGCTGTAGCCTTATGAAATATATTCCTTAAATAATAAGACTTAAAAGCCAAAATTACTCCTTGGTCCATGGGCTACAGAATGGATACTGCATTAGCAGGCAAGGAAACAGCATTAATCTCCTTGTATGTCTCCATAAATACTCTAAGATGGCTAGATGTGCTATCCATGAACAGTGAAAGTTTGAAATGACTCTTTCATTCCAAGTAGTAGTTCTCAACAAGAGCTTAAAATATTCAATAAATCATACTGGAAACGGATGTGCTATCATCCATGCTTTGCTGTTCCATTTATAGAGCACAGGCAGAGTAGACTTGACATAATTCTTAAGGGCCTTAGGATTCTAGGAGTGGTAAATGAGCACTGGCTTCCACCAAAAAAGCCACCAGCATTATTAGCCGCTAACAAGGGAGTCAGCCTGTCCTTTGAAGCTTGGAAGCCAAGCACTGACTTTTCCTAACTATGGAAGTCCTAGATGGCATCTTATTCCAACAGATGGCTGTTTTGTCTACACTGAAGATCTGTTGTTTAATGTAGCCACCTTTATCAAAGATCTTAGCTAGATCTTCTGGATAACTTGCTGTAGCTTCTACGTCAGTACTTGCTACTTCACCTTGCAGTTTCATGTTATGGACACAGCTTCTTTTGGTAAACCTCATGAACCAACCTCTGCTAGCTTCAAATGTTTCTTCTGCAGTTTCCTTGCCTCCCTTAGGCTTCACAGAATTGAAGAGAGCTAGGGCACTGCTCTGGCCTAGGCTTTGGCTTAAGGGAATGCTTTTTAAAAACTGGTTTTTGCTTCATTTTAGAGAC
Organism: Homo sapiens; assembly: GCF_000001405.40. Taxonomy (NCBI): domain Eukaryota; kingdom Metazoa; phylum Chordata; class Mammalia; order Primates; family Hominidae; genus Homo; species Homo sapiens. Next base: position 5,624,150 of record NC_000009.12, read on the forward strand.
AGGGTCTCACTCTATCACCCAGGCTAGAGTGCAGTGGCGCAGATAGCTCATTGTAATCTGGAACTCCCAGGCTCAAGTGATCCCCGTCTCAGCCTCCCAAGTAGCTAGGACTACAGGTGCACACCATCATACCCAGCTAATTAAAACATTTTTTTTTAAAGAAATGGGGTCTTGCTATATTGCTCAGGCTGGTCTCGAAGTCTTAGGCTCAAGTAATCCTCCTGTCTCAGCCTCCCACAGTGCTGGGATTAAGGCATGAGGCACTGCGTCTGGTTTAAGGGAATGTTGTAGCTTGCTTGATCTCCTACCCAGACCATTAAAACTTTCTCCAGGTCAGCAACAAGGCTGTTTTGTTTTATCATTCCTATGTTCTCCAAAGTGGTACTTTTACTTTCCTTTAAGAACTTTTTTTCCTTTGCATTCATAACTTGGCTAACTGGTACAAGAGGCCTAGCTTTTGGCCTATCTTTGCTTTCAATATGCCTTCCTCACTTAGTTTAATCATTTCTAGCTTTTTACTTAAAGTGAGAGACGGGGATTCTTTCTTTCACTTGAACACTTAGAGGCTACTGTTGGGTTACTAACAGGCCTAATTTCAATATTGTTGCATCTCAGGGGATAGGGAGGCCCAAAGAAAGGGAGAGAGACAGAGGAACTGCCAGTTGATGGAACAGTCAGAACACACATAACATTTATCGCTTAAGTTCTCCATCTTACATGGATGTGGTACATGACACCCCAAAACAATTACAATAGTTACAACAAAGACCACTGACCACAAATCATCATAACAGATATACTAATAATGAAAAAGTTTCAAATATTGAAAGAATTACCAAAATGTGATAAGAGCCATGAAGTGAGCATATGCTATTAGAAAAAATGGTGCCAATAGACTCACTCAACACAGGGTTACCACAAACCTTATATTAAAAAAAAAAATTGCACCAAATCATACTTCCATCAAGAGAGTATAAATGTATCCCCATTTCTTATGTGTACTCTTACCAACATTATTTCTAGTAATTTAAAAAGTTTATAAGTTTCATAGATGAAAACATGCACCTAGTAACTTTTTTTTTTTTTTTTGAGACAGGATTTCATTCCTTTCACTCAGGTGGGAGTGCAATAGCATGATCTTGGCTCACTATTACCTCTGCCTCCCAGGCTCAAGCAATTCTCCTGCCTTAGCCGCCTAAGGGGCTGGGACCACAGGTGTATGCCACAGTGCCGACTGATTTTTTGTAGAGACAGGGTTTCACCATGTTGCCCAGGCTGGTCTCAAACTCCCGGGCTCAAGTGATCCGCCCACCTCTGCCTCCGAAAGTGCTGGGATTACAGGCGTGATTACCCTGCCCGGCCCCCTACTAACTTTTATCATAAGCTTAATCTTAGAACAGAGTCCAAAAATTTTGACAGGAGTGGTGGTGGAAACTAGTAGAAAAAGGAGGAGAAGACCTAAGGCATGAGAACTGTCAGTATATTTTACAAAATAAAGTTAAAATATGATATTTGAAAGTTGAAGCCAGGCACGGCGGTTCACACCTGTTATCCCAGCACTTTGGGAGGCCGAGGCTGGTGGATCATTTGAGGCTAGGAGTTGGAGACTAGCCTGGCACATGATGAAACCCCATCTCTACTAAAAATACAAAAACTAGACAGGCGTGGTGGTGCATGCCTGTAGTCCCAGCTACTCAGGAGGCTGAGGCACAAGAATCACTTGAACCCGGGAGGCGGAGGTTGCAGTGAGCCAAGATTGCACCACTGCACTCCAGCCTGGGTGACAAAGCAATGCTCTGTCTCAAAAAAAAAAAAAAAAAGAAAGAAAGAAAAAGAAATGATGTTGAAAAATCCAGCCAATAACATTTTTGTCACAATAGGGGAACTCTCAAGTATAGGGTTTTGGAGAGTCAGATATTTCCTTTTCTCCCCGCCAGGGAGAAAGACCTAGAGGTTTCCCCCACTCCCTCTCACTGTCCAGAGCAATTACCACAATTTAGTTCAGCCTAAAGAGCATATGCTGTTGGAAAAACAGCAACAATAGACTTACTTGATGCAGGGATGCCATAAGCCTTAATTTTTTTTTTTTTTTTTGAGACAAAGTCTCACTCTGTTACCCAGCCTGGAGTGCAGTGGAGCGATCTCGGCTCACCGCAACCTCTGCCTCCCAGGTTCAAGCAATTCTCCTGCCTTATCCTCCAGAGTAGCTGGGATGACAGGTGCATATCACCATGCCTGGCTAATTTTTGTATTTTTTTTTTTTTAGCAGAAAGACAGGGTTTCACCATATTGGCCAGGCTGGTCTCAAACTCCCGACCTCATGATCCGCCTGCCTTGGCTTCCCAAAGTTTTGGGATTACAGGCATGAGCCACCGCGCCCAGCCAAACCTTAAATTTTTAAAAAAATCACACAGGAGGCTGGGTGCGGTGGCTCACGCCTGTAATCCCAGCACTTTGGGAGGCCGAGGTGAGCGGATCACCTGAGGTCGGGAGTTCCAGATCAGCCTGACCAACATGGAGAAACCTCGTCTCTACTAAAAATACAAAATTAGCCAGGCATGTTGGTGCATGCCTGTAATCCCAACTACTCCAGAGGCTGAGGCAGGAGAATTGCTTGAACCCAGGAGGTGGAGGCTGCAGTGAGCTGAGATGGCACCATTGCACGCCAGCCTGGGCAACAAGAGCGAAACTCCACCTCAAAAAAAAAAAAAAAGAAAGAAATCACACTGGATCTGTAGAAAGAACATCAGTTCTTTTCAGGCCATGTGAATTCAGGCACATCTACCACACCTGTCCTGTTTCCTCACTTGAGAAAGTGAGAATAACAACATCACACCAATGTCACTCACCTTGAATGTTTACTATGAATTAAATCAAGACAAGCATTTGGAATTATTTTGTGAATCTTAAGTGCTACACAGGAGTGTGGCAGAGGAATAAGCTTCTAAAGTCAGCAAGTAAGGTTAAAATTGAGTGCAATAAAAATTGCTTAGAAGTTCCTTAAATTGCCCATGAGCACAGTATGACAAACTTGAGACACATGAGAACAAAGACTCTCTGAGAGACAGCTGGGACAAACATTCAGTAACACTGCCAGCAAAATTGCTGCACTAGAACATTTTCATTTCCTCTTTCTGCCAAGTGCATAACTGAATCTAAGATGAAAGTATGATGCAACTTTGTTATTCTACAATTTGAAATTGGCAAGTTAAGAAACCTCTCTGGGCCTCTTTGTCTAATGGTGTAGCTCAGCTGGATCAGGGTTTCCTCCACGGTTTGTCTGACAAATACTGCCAGCTTACTATGCTTACTATGTTCCAGGCTGCTGTGTTGGACTGGGGGAGGGTAGACGCCAAGGAGACAATCTGATCGCAACAGGCTGGTGAGTGGTGAGGCAGTTTCAACCTCCATTTGAGGAATACAGGATTCTATCATCACCTTCCAGGGAATGCAGTGAATGTTTAGAAAAATTACAGAAAGTTACATATTTGGTTATGAATACCAGCTACAATGCTATATCTAATATGAATTAAGTTTCTTTGTTTCCTTTTTTCTGTTTATGTTGCTACTTTTTTTTTTTTTTTTGAGACAGTCTCACTCTGTTGCCCAGGCTGGAGTGCAGTGGAGGGATCTTGGTTTGCTGCAACTTCCGCCTCCCAGGTTCAAGCGATTCTCCTGCCTTAGCCTCCTGAGGAACTGGGATTACAGGCACCTGCCACCACGCCCAGCTAATTTTTGTATTTTCAGTAAGACGGGGGTTTCACGATGTTGGCCAGGCTGGTCTCGAACTGCTTACCTAAAGTGATCTGCCCGCCTCGGCCTCCCAAAATGCTGGGATTACAGGCGTGAGCCCCAGCACCCCGCCTACGTTGCTACTTTTTAATGTGGGGTCATTTTTTAAACCTGGCTTTTTAATTGAAAAAGTAATACAAACATATGGAAAAATTCAAACTGTACTAAAAAAGGTAGACAATGAGAAGCAAATCTTTCTTCTATTTCAGACTCCTCCTTCCCCCATTCCACACCATATCCCCTCAACCCTCCTTCTATTCAGACGTTACCACTGGGTCAATCCGTTGAAAGTTACAGCTAAGGTGATACCTGGGGTCCAAAAGCTAAATATGGACCTACGCTATCACCAGTCCCTTCCAGTTCTAAAACTAAGTCCAAGCCTTTTGCAGCACGAAAGAGATAGCCTCCTCTCATCTAAAGTTATGGCTGGTAAGGCTGAGACGAATGGAAATGGATTTCAAAGACATAGATTTAGAACTCCTGAAAGGCAGGAGACAGAACTCAATACTTTCATGGTGAGTGGTTTATTTACTGATTAAATAAACGCTCCCTTAGGGATGTAAGCTCCACACCGGCAGGAGCTTCATCACCAGCTCTCACTGCAGACCCCGGCATTAAAGGAGCTCACACGGTAAAAGCCCCTACCGCCCACCACAGCCACAGCGGCCGGCAGCCCAAAGTGGGAAACCGCGCCGGCCGTCACGTGACTCCAGCTCCCCCCGGCAACCGGCCCGCCCCCACCGAGACCCCGCCAATCCGGAAGGGAGGTCCAATTTGGCCAGGCCAGGGCGTGTTCCACCGGCCCAGTAGCCTTGCTGCTGCGTTATCCCTAGACTCGCCCCACTTGCCTCGGAGTCTCAGGCCGTTGCCTAGGTCCTCCCGGTAAAACCCTGGAGACTGCTAGGGAGAGGAGCAAGGGAGGGGCCAGCGCGCAGAAGTGCGGACGCAACCCGGCGGCCGCGGGCGAGGCTTATGCAGAGCTTCAAGAAACAGCTAGGGAGACCGCAGGAGTCTCCAGAGCGCGCGCGCGGGCCCTCCCCGGCCCGACCCACGCGGCGCGGCGTGGTGACGCCCGCGCGGCCTGAGGAAGGGGCGGGGTCGGGGCGGGCCTCCGCGCTCCTCCCGCCCTCTCTGTGTCCCTACTCTCCCTCCCCTTCCCTCCCCCACACTCGGCCCCGTCAGCTTGGGGGTGCCTTCGTCGCGCAGCCTTGCGTCGGCCCGGCCCGGCCAGGCCAGCGGGCAGATGCCCCGAGCTGCCGCCGCCGCCGCCGCCGACTCGGCCGGTGGCGGTGTGGGAGGTGGGCGACCAGCCCGGGGCCGCTGAGTGTGACGGACGCAACTGGGGGCGCCGGGGGCTCCGCACGGACCATGTATTTTCTGAGCGGCTGGCCCAAGAGGCTGCTGTGCCCTCTGGGGAGCCCGGCCGAGGCGCCTTTCCACGTTCAGTCCGACCCGCAGAGGGCTTTCTTCGCCGTGCTGGCCGCGGCCCGCCTCAGCATCTGGTACAGCCGAGTAAGTAGAGCCGCCCGCCGCCTTTCGCCGCTGCCTCCCCGGCCTCCCGGCGCCGTCCCACCCCCAACTTCCACCCAGAGCCTAGGACTCCTGCCCCTTCGTGCCAGACCCACCTGCCTTCGCAGTCCGCGTCCTCGTTCCACCGAATTGGCCGCAGGTACCCGCCGGCTGCAGGCACGTCCTCCAGCCGGCGGTCCGGGGTGGATGAAGTCGCTGCTGCCGAAAATCCCTGAGCCTCCCCGCGTTGGACCGACGGCCGCGGCGTGCAGACTCCGCACGCTCCCCGGCCGAGCCCAGACTTGTTCTTCTCTCCCTTCCCCCATTCCCCGAGGGACAAATTTGTTTAAACTTTCCACAATTAGAAATCCGGCCGCTGTGGTGCCCCAACCCTCCCTTACTTTAAAGGTCGCCGTTTTGGAGTTAGGGAAAGCCTCTTGGGCTTTACCCAGCGCCAGACTTTACAGGCCTGTAATAACTTATTTCTACAAACTACAGCCTGAATTCTTTATTCTTCACTAAAGGTCTGGTTATTTAACTCCCCTCTTTAACCCCAACATCCCTTCCCCACTTTCGAGTTGGTCTTTTTCTTTGCTGCTGCTCTTGGACTCTTCGGAATAGGGGGTTAAAGGAGCGGAAGTAGAACTCAAATCTGTCCGCGGAACTCCCAGTTATAACACCTGGAAATAATAAGGCTTGGGAGGAGCATGGAACTGAATTCTGTTTTTGCTTTAAGTCCTGGTTATCTTTTTCTTTCTTGTATTGAATTACTGAGTAGATATGAGAAAGAAATAAGTGGTGGATGGGATACTCCCTACTCTCTGCAAACACTGCTATAACTTTGTCTATGAGAACGACAGAGTTCAGAGTATAAAAATGCTTTTTTTCCTCCCCAAAGAAGGCAGTACCAATCGATGTCAGAGTGAAGTTTTTCTCCTTTCCAAGTTAATTTGACCATGTGGGGATAGGTTGTGATCTTGTCCTTATTAGGTGTTCGTGAAATACTGGTTTTAGTTTGTTAAAATCCCCAAATCTTTGTGTGTTGCTGTTCCATTACCTGTAATGCCCTTGACAGTCCTCACCCACTTCCCTGGTAATACTGGTGATGGGATTTAGTGACGGGTAATTCTGGTGTCTCCTTTGACTGTCATAGTTGGGCTGTAAATCAGACTATTTGCCATCAAGTTTTGGCTGATCTAATTTTCAAATGCAAATCAGAACAAAACAAACTTATAAAATCGTAATACCAACAATATGACTATTTTGTCTAGTGCCTGATTGTATTTTGAATATATATGTATGTATGTGTGTGTGTATATATATAAACATATGTGTAAATATATATAAAGTATCATCTGGTTCCTAAATGAGATATTCGTTTACAATGTATATGCCAGTTGAATAATTTTTAATTTGTTTAGGTGTATATAACTCAACTTTAAAGCACATGCAGAAAAAAATAGAACTTGAATTTAAATTGTCTTTTGAATTTAATACATAATTCCTTTTGAATGTAACAAATTTAGACTTTCGTCTAAAATTTAACTTTTCTTACCTTTAAAAAGGCAGACCTAACTTAATTTTAAATAAAAGTAAACAATATGACCTATGAATTGACCAGAAGCCTGTAAACCACTTTATTCCCCCATAAGAGAAGCATAAACATATGCTTTAATTTAGGGACATTGTGAATATTCTTAAGCATGTCTATTGTTTGGTTTTGGAGTTACATACGACATCTAGAAATCCAAGGCAGTTCTGGAATTTAAACTATTCATACTCTTCTTTCAAATTCCCACCTCACATGCAACTTCCTTTTTCCACAGAAGTCCAGGGACCCCTACTATTAAGTTCTGTTGTGCAAAAGTTAGGCTGTAGGGAACCCATGGGTTTAGAGGTCTGGAGTGAAATGAAATGCAGGAATACCTTAGAGGAGGCTGTATAGTACTGTAGTATGAGTGGTTAACCTTGGTCTCTGGGCACCAGCTTTGTTGTCACTGAAAAAAATCAGATATTCACGAGGTCAAGAGATCGAGACCATCCTGGCCAACATGGTGAAATCCCGTCTCTACTAAAAATACAAAAAAATAGCTGGGCGTGGTGGTGCACGCCTATAGCCCCAGCTACTCGGGAGGCTGAGGCAGGAGAATCGCTTGAACCCAAGAGGCAGAGGTTGCAGTGAGCCAAGATCCCACCACTGCACTCCAGCCTGGCGACAGAGCAAGACTCTGTCTCAAAAAAAAAAAAAAAAAAAAATCAAATATTGAACCAAGTGATTATAAGGTGTATGATTACATGCCTAGGTGAGTGGGATACATATGCTAGACTCCAGCTTCCAATCTTCTCTTCCTGGGATATGCCCTTTCTTACTCTGTATGAAAGTTTTCATTTTGATTTTCTAATTTGTAAACTTCCTGAAAGTATGTAAGTTAATTAGGTTAACAAACTTCATTTAAAAGTGAAAATGCCTTTAGGTAAATTAAAGGGCTATCAGTTATACTTCCATAATTTAGAGTGAATTGGTTTAAAAAGTTCTCATGGAGCTGCTAAAAGCTTTGATTTTTGAGAGGCTGTAGATACAAGTAGTTTTATAATAATATGTGAAGATCTACAGGATTTTACAGAGTTGAAGTCTTACAGCTGCTTGAGGGCATTTGAAGGCAGGGAGACATGCTCGTAGAGATGATAAAACAAGATTTGCTTACCTGAAATTTTGTTAGGGCTCACTTAGTAAATCAGGCTCTCTTAGGAGTGATATATTTTAAAAAGAGACAACTAGCCTTGTGGAAGGGACAGTCGTTTAGTAGTCTAAGCTGGTTGTTTCAATGTTCAAAAGAATTGTGGAAATTGTATGTGTACAGTGATAATTCATAAGACTGAATCTCTATTAAAATCTCTAACTGTACATTATATGGGTCTTCTAATGAACTTTTATGTACTACTTATACCTACTGTCCTCTATTCTAAGTAGGTATTCGGAATTCCACTGTTTAGACTCATATCTCTTCAGAATTATTTCCTACCCCAAATTTGAGAAATACAGTATAGTGTTGTTTATGAACAAAAGAGCCTCTAGATAGTTACTTAGCTTTTTTATATTGGAGCCCCAATATTATATTTTGGAGCCCCCCAAATGGTGTTAAAAAAAGGCTCAGTATGTGTAGGCTAGATTGGGGTGGTAGAGGTAGAACTTGACTGGGGGCAGTTGGTACATTTCTGCTAAGGTTATTGTAAAAGGACTAGTTTCAGCTTTGAGGATGAAACTGTTGCATAAGGTAGGTTATGATTTATGATTGACGTAGGTGTAGTGTGAGATGAATTACATTTTGTACTGTACTGAGGGCCCAGAATTATTCCTTTAATATACTAACTGTGACTATGAAAGTCTATATATGTGAACATCAGAATGGTATCTTTGAATTTAGCCATTCTAAATTAGATGTATAGACATTCTCGTTTTTCAGGTCACCGACTTTAAACATTTAAATTAGCTTCAGAAGTATTTTTGAACATCAACTGTAAAAGACAGATGTGTATAAAAGGGATGAAGAGACATGTTATATGTTAGTGTGTTAGATGTTAGTGTGTTAATATAAATCTTGTGAGATATCACTGTTGTAGGTAGCTAATAAAAAGCTGAAATGGGCAAATAATTACTAGGCTTATAAAATAAATTATATGTCGTTTAGTAATCCTGAGCAAAAACTTAGTTCCCATTGGTATGTGCTAATCATGGAAAAAAACAATGATATGTCAAAAGAACCAAGCTTTGGATCAGGTATGTGATTAACTGTGTTGACCTCAGGAAGACCATTTTATTTGTATTTTCCCAGCATTCCCATTTCTCACCCTTTTAACTCTATTACTTTCTCCAGAGAGCCTTCTTTATAAATTCACTGCTCTGAAGTCTTCTAGGGTTCACTGTTGATGAAAGAATGGAGTTCAAACTCCTTAGTTTGATATCACAGACACTCCCTTCTTGGAATGCTCTCTTGCCTCATTTCTGCCTGTCAGAGTATTATCTATCCTTTAACTGCTGTTGAAATCCTTTCTTTATGAGTCATTCTTTACCTACCGTAACCATAAGTGTTCATTTTTCTGATGAACTACTGCTTCCCCACTACTGCCAGCTTTGTTGAGGTATAATTGACAAATAAAAATTGTATATATTTAAGGTGTGCTGTGCGATACTTAGATCTACCCTGTGAGTTGATAATCACAATCAGTCTAATTAACAGATCCACCATCTCACACAGCTCCCTCTTTTTTTGTATGTGGGATGAGAACACTTAAGACCTACTCTCTTAGCAAATTTCAAGTATACAATATATGTTAATTATGGAAATAAATGTCATTATTAACGATAGTTACTGGGCCATGCATTAGGTCCCCAGAACGTATTCATCTTATACCTGAAAATTTGTACCTTTGACTGAAATACTCCCATTTCACCCACCTCCCAGCCCCTGGTAATCATCGTTCTATTCTCTGTTCCTATGAATTTGACGTCTTTATATTCCATATATGAGATCATGAAGTTGTTTTTTGTCTTGCTTACTTAGTATACTGTCCTTAAGTTTTGTCCATGTTGTTGCAGATGGCAGGATTTCCTTGTTTTTTAAAGGCTGAATAATATTTTATGTGTGTATGTGTGTGTGTTACATTTTCTTTATCCATTCATCTATTGACAGACACTTAGGTTGTTTCTGTATCTTGGCTACTTTGAATAATGCTGCAATGAATATGAAAGTGCAGATATCTCTTTGAGATACTGATTTCAATTCCTTTGGATATATACCTAGAAGTAGGATTGTTGGATCATGTGGTAGTCCTGTTTTTAGTTTGAGGAACTTCTGTTTTCCATCATGACTGTACCATTTTGCAGTCCCGTCAATAGTGTACAGGGAGGGGATCCCTTTTCTCCACGTCTTTGCCGACCTTGTTATGATTTAACTTCTTGATAATAGATATCCTAACAGGTGTGAGGTATCTTATGGTTTTGATTTGCATCTCCCTGATGATTAGTGTATTGAGCACCTATTGGCCATTGGCTGTTTTTTGGTAAAACATCTGTTCAGATCTCTTGTCCATTTTTAAATTAGGTTATCTGTTTTGTTTTTTTCTCGGTACTGAGTTGTATGAGTTCCTTACATATCTTGAATATTAGCCCCCTTTTAGATGTATGGTTTGCAGATATTTTCTCCTATTCCATAGGTTGCTTTTTTATCTTGTTGATTGTTTTCTTTACTGTACAATAACTTAATTTCATGTAATCCTACTTGTTTATTTTTGCTTTTGTCACCTGTGCTTTCCATGTCATCCAAAATACCATCGTGAAAACAGATGTCAGGGTGTTTTTCCCCTGTTTTCTTCTAGGATTTGCATGGTTTCAGGTTTTACATTTAAGTCTTTGATCCTTCTTCTTATTTTAATTTTTGTGGGTACATAGTAGATCTGTGTATTTGTGGGGTATATGGGATATTTTGATACAGGACTATAGTCACCCTGTTGTACTATCAAATACTAGATTTTATTCATCATCATCACCATTATTATTTTGAGACAGGGTCTCACTCTGTCACTCTGGAGTACAGAGTCATGATCATGGCTTACTGCAGCCTCGACCTCTTGGGCTCAAGCAATTCTCCCACCTTAGCATCCTGAGTAGCTGGGAGTACAGATGCATGCCACCATGCCTAGTTAATTTTTTGAAGAGATGTGGTCTTGCTGTGTTGCCCAGGCCGGTCTCAGACTCCTGGACACAAGTGATCTGCCCATCTCAGCCTCCTAAAGTGCTAGGATTACAAGCATGGGCCACCACACCCAGTCCTTATTCATTTTTTCTATTTTTTGTACCCATTAACCATCCTTCCTTCCCCCTCCGTCTTTAATCCTTCTTGAGTTGATAGTGTAAGATAAGGGTCCAGTTTCCTTCCTTAGCATGTGGATATCCAGTTTTTCTAACACTATGGTGTTGAAAAGTCAGTGTTGCAAGATGTGTTTTCTCCATTCTTAGCACTTTGTGAAAGATTGACTATATATGCATGCGTGGTTTTATTTCTGGACTCCATTCTGTTGCATTGGTCTATGTATCTCTTTTTATGTCAGTACCATACTATTTTGATTACTATAGCTTTGTAATATACTTTGAAATCAGGTTGATATGGTTTGGCTCTATTTCCCCACCCAAATTTCATCTCTAATCGTAATCCTCATAATCCCCATGTATGGAGGGCAGGACCTGGTAGGGGGTCATTAGATCATAGCGGGAGTTTTCCTCATGCTGTTCTTGTGATAGTAAGTTCTCACGAGATCTGATGGTTTTATAAGTGTTTGACTGTTCCTTCTACACGCTCTGTCTCTCTCTTGCCTGCCAGCATGTAACAAGTGCCTGCTTCCCCTTCTGCCATGATTGTAAGTTTCCTGAGGCCTCACCAGCCATTATGGAACTGAATCTATTCAACCTTTCTTTATAAATTACCAAATCTCAGGGAAGTTTGTTATAGCAGTGTGAAAATGGACTAACACACAGGTAATGTGACACTTCCAGCTTTGTTGTTCTTTCTCAAGATGGCCTTGGCTATTCATGGGCTATTGTGGTTTTGTATAAATTTTAGGATTGTTTTTCTGTTTATGTGAAAATATCATTGAAATTCTGATAGAGATTGCATTGAATCCATAGATTGGTTTGGATAGTAGGGACATTTTAACAATATTAATTCTTCCAATCCATGAACATAAGATATCCAGCCATTTATTTGTACCTTCTTCAGTTTATTTCATCAGCATTTTATGGTGTTTAGTGGCGGTTAAATGTATTCTAAGTATTTAGTTTTTTGGAGCTACCATAAATGGTATTGTTTTCTTTTTCTTTTTCTGTTTTTTTTAGACAAAGTCTCGCTCTTGTCACCGAGGCTGGAGTGCAATGGAGCGATCTCAACTCACTGCAGCCTCTGCCTCCTGGGTTCAAGCAATTCTCCTGCCCCAGCCTCCTGAGTAGCTGGGATTACAGGTGCCTGCCACCATACCCGGCTAATTTTTGTATTTTTAGTAGAGACAGGGTTTCACCATGTTGGCCAGGCTGGTATCGATTCCTGACCTCAGTTGATCTGCCTGCCTCAGCCTCCCAAAGTGCTGGGATTATAGGTGTGAGCCACCACTCCCAGCCATGTTTTCTTAATTTATTTTTTAGATACTCATTGTTCTTGTGTAGAAACACAACTTATTCTTGTATATTGATTTTATATCTTGCAACTTTACTAAATTCATTTCTTAGTTCTAAATTTTTTGGTGGTTTTTAGGTTTTTCTAAATATAAGATTATGTCATCTTCAGAGACAATTTTGCTTTTTCCTTTGAACTACTGCTTTATATCGTAAGTTTTGCACTTATGCTTTATTTCTCCAGCTAGATTATAAGTTTCTGGAGCACAGAAACTATCTTAATTTGTATTATCTATAGTGCCTTGTACAAGGAAGATGTTTAATAAACATTTTTAATATTAATGAATTTAAGGTATTTGTCATACGTGTGGCACAGCAATTTTTTTTTAAGTTTTAGTGTTTTGATTTTTGTGAGAACACAGTAGGTATATATTTATGATTTTTTTGTTTGTTTGTTTGTTTTTGAGACAGGGTTTCACTTCAGTTGCCCAGGTTGGAGTGCAGTGGCACAATCTCAGCTCACTGCAATCTCTGCCTACTGGGCTCAAGCAGCTGTCCTGCTTCAGCCTCCCAAGTAGCTGGGACTACAGGTGTGCCCCACTGCACTTGGCTAATTTTTTTTTTTCTGTAATTTTTTATAGAGATGGGATTTCACCATGTTGCCCACGCTGGTCTTGAACTCCTGAGCTCAAGTGATCCATCCACCTCGGGCTCCCAAAGTGCTGGGATTACAGGCATGAGCCACTATACCCAGCCATGAGATATTTTGATACTAGCGTGCAATTTGTAACAATCAGTTCATGAAAAATAGGGTATTCATCCCCTCAAGCATTTAACCTTCATGTTCCAAACAATCCATATGTACTCATAGTTATTTTAAAATATACAATTAAATTATTTTGACTGTAGTCACCCTGTTGTGCTATCAAATACTAGGTCATACTCATTCTCTTTTTTTGTACCCATTAGCCGTTCCCACCTCCCTTCCTATCCCCCCAGTTACCTTTCTCAGCCTCTGGTAATCATCTTTCCACTCTTTATCACCATTAGTTCAATTGTTTTGATTTGTAGATCCCACAAATAAGTGAGAACATGCGATGTTTGTCTCTCTATGCCTTGCTTATTGCACTTAACATAATGACCTCTAGTTCCATCCATGTTGTTGTAAATGACCGGATCTCATTTTTTTTGTAACTGAATAGTACTCCATTATGTGCAAGTACCATGTTTTCTTTATCCATCCATCTGTTGATGGACACTTCCAGTACTGTGTTGAATAACAATAGTGAAGGTGGGCATCTTTGTCGTGTTCCAGATCTTAGAGGAAAGGCTTTCGGTTTTTACATACTCAGTATGATACTAGCTATGGGTCTGTTATATATGGCTTTTATTATGTTGAGGTATGTTCCTTCTATACCCAGTTTTTTTAGGGTTTTTATGAAGGGATGTTGAATTTTTATGAAATGCTTTTTCAGCATCAGTTGAAATGATCATATAGTTTTGGTCCTTCATTCTGTTGATATGATGTATCACATTGATTGATTTGCATATGTTGAACCATCCTTGCATCCCTGGAATAAATACCACTTGTTCATGATGAATGATCTTTTTAATATATTGTTGAATCTCATTAGCTTGTATTTTGTTGAGGGTTTTCACATCAGTGTTCATCAGAAATATTGACCTGTAGTTTTCTTTATTGATGTGTCTTTGTCTGGGTTTGGTATGAGGGTAATCCTGGCCTCATAGAATGAGTTTAGAAGTACTCCCTCCTCCTGTATTTTTCAGAACAGTTTCAGTAGTATTGGTGTTCTTCTTTAAATGTTTGTTGGAATTGAGCAGTGAAACCACTAGGTCTTGGGCTTTTCTTTACTGGGAGACTTTTTATTACAGGTTCAATCTCACTGTTGTTAGTCTGTTCAGGTTTTGAATTTCTTCATGATTCAATCTTGGTAGGTTGTATGTGCTAGGGATTTATCCATTTCCTCTAGATTTTCCAGTTTATTGGCATATAGTTGCTCATAGTAGTTTGTGATGATCGTTTGAATTTTTGCGGTATCAATTGTAATATCTCCTTTCTTATCTCTGATTTTATTTATTTTGGTTTTCTCTTTTAAGGTTTGTCAATTTTGTTTATCTTTTCTAAAAAGCAACTTTATGTTTCTTTGGTCTTTTGCATTATTTTCTTCATTTCAAGTTAATTTATTTCTGCTCCATCTTTATTATTTCTGTTACTAATTTTGGGTTGTTTGCTCTTGCTTTTCTTGTTGTTTAAGAGGCATCATTAGGTTATTTATTTGAAGTTTTTCTTCTTGTTTTCTGAGACAGGGTCTCTCTTTATTCTCCAGGCTAGAGTGCAGTGGTGCAATCTCGTCTCACTGTAGCCTCAACCTCCCAAGTTCATGTGATCCTCCCACCTCAGCCCCCTAAATAGTTGGGACTACAGTTGCATGCCACCGTGCCCAGCTAATTTTTGTAGAGACAGGATTTCACCATGTTTCCCAGGCTGTTCTCAAATTCCTGAGCTCAAGCAATCTGCCCACCTCGGCTCCCAAAGTGCTAGGATTCAGGCATGAGCCACTATACCCGGCCATTTTTCTTCTTTTATGGTGTAATACTTATAGCTATAAATTTCTCTGTTAATACTGCTTTTGCTGTCTCCCATAACTTTTGATATGTTGTGTTTCCATTATCATTTGTTTCAATAAAGTTTTCAGTTTGCTTCTTAATTTCTGCACTGACCCATTGGTCATTCAGGAACATATTGTTTAATTTCCAAGTGTTTATATGATTTCCAGAATTGTTCTTATTGATTTCTAGTTTAACTCTATTATGAGAGAAGATGCTTGATATTATTTCAGTTTTTTTGAATATTTTAAGATTTGTGACCTATCATATGAGCAATCCTTAAGTGATCCATGTACTGAGGGAAAGAATGTGTGTTCTGCACCCTTTGGATGAAATGTTCTATAAATATCTGTTAGGTCCATTTGTTGTATAGTGCAGATTAAGTCCGATGTTTCTTTGTTGAGTTTCTGTCTGGGAGTTGGGTTCAGTGCTGAAAGTGAGGTGTTGAAGTCTCCAGCTATCATATTGAGGTCTAGCTCTCTCTTTAGCCCTAATAATGTTTGCTTTGTATATCTGGGTGTGTTGGGTGCATATGTACATATGATTGTTATATTCTATTGCTGGATTGACTCTTTTCTCAGTATATAATGACATTCTTTGTCTCACAATTTTTGTCTTGAAATCTATTTTGTCAGTATTTATATAATTACTCCTGCTCTTTTGGTTTCCATTGGCATGTAATATCTTTTTCATCCCCTTATTTTCAGTCTATGCATACCTTTGTATGTGAAGTGTGTTTCTTGTGGGCAACAGATCAGTGGATCTTGTTTTTTCATCCATTCACCCACTCTCTGTCTTTTGATTGGAGAGTTTGGTCCATTTGTATTCAATGCTATTATTGATAAGTAGGGACTTCTGCCATTTTGATATATATTTTCTGGTTGTTTTGTGGTCTTCGTTCTTTCTTTACTTGCTGTGTTCCTTTTAGTGAAGGTGGTTTTCTCTGGTGCTATGATTTAATTTCTTGCTTTTTATGTTTTGTGTATCTGTTGTGTTTTTTGATTTGAGTTTACTGTGAGACTTGCAAGTACTGTCTTATAACCCATTATTTTAAACTCACGACAACTTAACACTGATTGTATAAGCAGTCAAACACACACAAAGTGTTTAAAGTGTAATTAAAAGTGTAATTAAAACTCTACACTTTAACTTCATCCCTCTACACTTTAACTTCATCCCTCTGCTTTTTAACTTTTTTGTTTGTTGTTTCTCCTTATGTCTTACTGTACTATGTCTTGAAAAGTTGTCGTTATTCTTTATTGGTTCGTTTCATCAGTCTTTCTACTTAAGAGTAGTTTACACACTACAATAACACTTATAAAATAAGAATCATTGTTAGGTTATTTATTTGAAGTTACAGAATAAGAGTGTAATTGTGCTGTGTAAACTACTCAAGTAGAAGGAGTTATACTCTTCTGTGTTTTTCTGTGTGCTTACTATTACCAGCGAGTTGTACCTTCTGATGGTTTCTTCTTGGTCATTAAATACTCTTTTCTTTCAGATTGAACAACTCCCTTTAGCATTTCTTGAGGGCAGATCCAGTGTTGATGAACTCTCTCAGCATTTTTTGTCTGTGAAGGTCTTTGTTTCTCCTTCATGCTTGAAGGATATTTTCACTGGATATACTGTTCTAAGGTAAATGCTTTTGTTTGTTTTTTTTGTCAGCACTTTCAACATATTGTGCCACTCTCTCCTGGCCTGTAAGATTTTTACTGAAGAGTCTGCTGTCAGAGATATTGGAGCTCTATTGTATGTTATTTGTTTCTTTTCTCTTGCCGTTTTTAGGATCTTTCTTTATCCTTGATAAAGAAACTATCCTTTGAGAGTTTGTTTATAGATGCCATAAGGTAGTCTTCTTTTTTTTTTTTTTGGACGGGGTCTTGCTCTGTCACCCAGGCTGGAGTGCAGTGGTGCCATCTCAGCTCACTGCAAGCTCTGCCTCCTGGGTTCACGCCATTCTCCAGCCTCAGCCTCCTGAGTACCTGGGACTACAGGCGCCCACCACCACACCCGGCTAATTTTTTGTATTTTTAGTAGAGATGGGGTTTCACTGTGTTAGCCAGGATGGTCTCGATCTCCTGACCTCATGATCTGCCCGCCTCGGCCTCCCAAAGTGCTGGGATTACAGGCATGAGCCACCGCGCCCGGCCGCCATGAGGTACTCTTCTTTAGGTTAAATCTGCTTGGCGTTCTGTAACCTTCTCATACTTGAATGCAGATATCTTTCTCTAGGTTTGGGAAGTTCTCTCTTATCCCTTTGAATGAACTTTCTACTCCGGTCTCTTTCTCTACTTCCTCTTTAAGGCCAATACCTCTTATATTTGCCCTTTTCATGCTATTTTTTAGGCATGCTTCACTGTTTTCTATTCTTTTTTCTTTTGTGGTCTCCTCTGACTATATTGTCAAGTAGCCTGTCTCCAAGCCCACTAATTCTTTCTTCTGCTTGATCAATTCTGCTTTTCAGAGACTCTGATGCATTCTTCAGTTTGTTGGTTGCATTTTTCAACTTTAGAATTGCTGCTTGATTTTTAAAAATTTAAATTTCTTTGTTTAAAATGTGATAGAATTCTGAGGTCCTTCTCTGTGTTATCTTCAATTTCTTTGACTTTCCTCAACATAGCTATTTTGAATTCCTGCCTGAAAGGTCACATATCTATCTCTGTTTTTCCAGGATTGGTCCCTGCCTTACTTAGTTCATTTGGTGGGGTCATGTTTTCCTGGATGATCTTGATTTGATGCTTGTAGATGTTCATTGGTGTGTAGGCATCAAAGAGGTAGGTATTTATTGTAGTCTTTGCAGTCTGGGCTTGTTTGTATCTGTCCTTTTTGAGAAGTCTTTCCAGTTATTCGAAGGGACTTGGGCCCCAAGCCCAATAATGCTGAGGTTTTTGCAGACTCAGAGGTACTGCCTTGGTGGTCTTGGATAAAATCTGGAAGAATTATTTGGATTACCACGTAGAGACTCTTGTTCTTTTCTGTTACTTTCTTCCAAACAAATGGAGTCTCTCTCTGTGCTGAGTCTCCTGGAACTAGGGATGTGTTCATGCGTTGATGCAAGCACCCCTGTTGCCACCACCACTGAAACTAAGCTGGGTTAGACCTGAAGCCAGCAGAGCACTGGGTCTCATCCAAGGCCTGCTGTCACCACCACCTGGCTACCACCTATGTTCACTCAAGGCCCTAAGGCTCTACCATCAGCAGGTGGTGAAGCCAGCCAGGTTTATGTCCTTCCCTTCAGAGTGTCTCATTCCCCAAACCCCAGGCCAGTCCAGAAATGCTGTCTGGAAGCCAGGGATTAGAGTCAAAATTCTTAGCAATTTGTTTGATATTCTGTTCTGTTGTGGCTAAGCAGGCACTCAAACCGTAACACAAAATTCTTCCCACTTTTTCCCCTGTCCACAGGCAGAGGAGAATCTGCCTCTGTGGCCACCACTACCACAGGGCCATAGTGGGTTCTGCCTGGCCACTGCCGGGCAGTCATCTTCAGGTGTTTATGAATCATTAACATAATCCATATTATAGTTAAATATTTATTTGGAGTTTACTGTGGACTAGGTATTTTACATCATAGTAAGCAAAGTTTCCCAAATTTAAGTTCTTTTTATTTCTCATTCATGACTTTTGGCCTGTTCTCATACTACCTATTCATTGTAACTTTTAAACTTGAAAGTCTCTTTCAAAATAAATGAATTTATACTTTTACCATAAATGGAAATCTAGTACCATTTTTATGAATAGAAGATATTATGAAGGAATACAATAAAAACAATTTTATAAGTCTGGGCATGGTGGCTCACACCTGTAACCTCAGCACTTTTGGGGGCCTAGGTGGGAGGATCACTTGAGCCCAGGAGTTCAAGACCAGTCTGGACAGTATAGGGAGACCCCCATCTCTATAAAAAATAAAAATAAAAAAATCAGCTGGCCATGGTGGTGCATGCCTGTGGTCTCAGCTAATCTGGTGGCTGAGGTGGGAGGATTGTTTGAGCCTGGGATGTCTTGATTCATAAACACATGAAGATGACTAAAATCTCCTTTTAAATTTGTTTATACTGCTTTTTCTTCTATGGCTTTCTTTTTTTCATAGATCATGTCAATATAAACACATACTGAGAACCAGGAGTTTGAGTGATTCTATATGAATGACTGTATACTATTTAAATTTTGATGAACTACAGAGTAGTTTGAGCCTAGGAGGTTGAGGCTGCAGTGAGCCATGATTGCACTATGGCAACCCAGCCAGGATGACAGGGTGAAACCCTTTCTCAAAAAAAAAGTTATGAAAAATATGGTTTCCTGCCAAACTCATAATTACTCCTTTATTAAAAAGGGCAATTAGCCCTTTTTATGCAAGGTGCTTAAAAATAAACTAGCACCTCATTTAGATACTCTCCTTACGTAAATAAAAAAGATTGAAGAGGAGTTGAAAAAAGATTTTTTTCCTATGTGATTGTTTACTTCAGTATTTGTATGTCATCTAAAATGGTGATATAGGACCTGCATTAAAGTGTTCCACCTGTATTAGTTTGTTAGGCAATTTATTTAATCAGAAAAAATAAAATAAATTTACAATTTAAAAATATTTTGGAATTTACACCTGCCACAAAATGAGACAGTTTCTTCGTTCAGATTTCTTACTCATGAGCAGGCATCAATTGGTTGGAATCAGAGAGGTTTCTTACCTTTAAGTTACAATTGCTTTCCTTTGAGTTGCTGTCACAAATCTACTGTCCCCCAAGTAGTTTACCTTATTTCAACCATAAATCATACAAAAATTTACCTATGAAAATTTGGATATTATTGTAGATAATACTGTAGAATTTGCTATGGTTTAAATTTTTAAGAGCTTTGAGGTGCATAAAAATACATCTAAGTGTACATTGATTTTTAGTAAATTTATAGTGTTGTGCATCCATAATCACAGTCTAGTTTTAGAACATTTATATCAGCCTTAAAAAGTACTATGCCCATTTGTCATCAACCTCTTCTCCCATTCCAGCCTTAGAAAACCTTGGCCTACTTTTTGTCCATTTGATTTAGCTTTCCTAGAATTTTCATATCATTGGAATCATATGGTATATGGTCATTTGTGTTTGGTTTTTATTTAGCATAATGTTTTTGAGGTGCATCCAGGTCATAATATTTCTTTTTTCAAAATGTGTGTAAACTAAGGGATACAAGTGCAGTTTTTTTACAGGGACATATTGCACAGTGGTAAAGTCTGGGCTTTTAGTGTAATCATCAGCTAAAGAATGTGCATTGTACACATAAGTAACTTCTTATCCTTTATCCCCTTCTCATCCTTCTGAGTCTGGTATCTGTTATTCCACACTCTATGTCCATGTGGTAGTATTCCTTTTTGTTGCTGAATATTTTTCCATTATTTGCATATGCCGCATTTCTATCTCCATTCACCAGTTGACAGGTATTTGAGTCATTGTGAATAATACTCTCATTTTGAATGATTGTGAGTAATACTGCTGTAAACATTTGTATACATGTCTGTGTGTGGATAAATGTTACTCTTCTAGAGAGATACCTAGGAGTGCAACTACTAAGTCATATGGCAAGTTTAACTTATTGGTAAAGTGCAAAACTTTGTTCCAAAGTGACTGTAGCATTTTACAACCCCACCAATAATGTATGGAAGTTTCTGTTTCTCCACACCCGTTCTAGAGGGTTTGTAGTGGTGTCTTATTTGTGGCTTTAATTTGGTGTTTTTCTAATGACTAAAAAATGTTTGGCATGATTTCATTTGCTTATTAGCTATTTATATATCTTATTCCATTTATATATCTTATTAGCCATTTCGCTATACCTATGTAGTTAATTATCTATTCAAATCCTTTGTCCATTTAAAAAAAAAACAGTGATCTGATCTTGGGTCACTGCAGCCTTGAACTCTTGGGCTCAAGTGATCCTTCCACCCCAGCCTCCCTAGTAGCTGGGACTACAGATGCCCAACAGCATGCCTCACTTATTTAAAAATTTTGTAGAGACAGGGTCTCCATAAGTTGCCCAGGCTGGTCTTAAACTCCCATCGTCAGGCTATCCTCCGAAAGTGTTGGAATTACAAGTATTAGCCATGATGCCCAGACCATTTTTGTTTAAGTGGAATATTTCTCTTATTATTCAGTTGTAAGAGTTCTTTATATGTCTTGATACAAATTATTTAGCAGATATATACTTCGCAAAGTTCTGCAGCATTAAGTACATTCACATTATCATGTAACCATTACCACCATCAGTATCCAGAACTTTCATTTTCATTTTCCCAAACTGAAGCTTCGTACCCTGTAAATGGTAATTCCTGGTTTTCTCATCCCATCAGTCCCTGGAAACTACTATTGTATTTTCTGTCTTTATGAATTTGATTTGTGTGGGTACCTCAGACAAGTGGAACCACACACTATTTGTCTTTTTGTGATTGACTTATTGCACTCAGCATGTCTTAAGTTTTATCCATGCTGTAGCATGTACCAAAATTTCCTTCCTTCTTAAGGCTGAATGATACTCCATTGTATATGTACATACTGCATTTTGTTTTATTCATTCATCTGTTGATGGACACATGGGCTGCTTTTACCTCTTGGATATTGTGAATAATGCTGCTGTGAACATGGGTAGACAAATATCCAGATCCCTGCTTTACTTCTTTTGGGTACATACCCAGAAGTGGACCTGCTGTTTCATTTGGTTATTCTATAGGTTTTTTTTTTTTTTGAGAAATTTTGCTTTTTTTTTTAATGTTAAGAAATTGCCACATACTGTGTTTCCACAGTGTACATCATTTTACATTCTTACCAGCAATACAGTGGTTCCAGTTTCTTCACATCCTTGCTAGTACTTGTTTTCTGTTGTTTTGATGATTGCCATTCCATTGGGTCCAATGTGGTATGTCATGGTTTTGGTTTGCATTTTCCTAATGGTTATTAATGTCGAGCATCTTTTATGTACTTGTAAGTCATGTGTATGCCTTCTTTGAAAGTGTCCGTTGAAGTTCTTTGCCCATTGTTTTTCTTGGGTTATTTTTTGTTGAGTTGTAACGCTTCATGTATTCTGGGTATAATCCTTTATCAGATATGTGGTTTCTAATACAGTTATGCTCCATGTAATGGCAGTTTGAGATGTTCCTGTCAACAGACTGCATTATATGATGGTGGCCCTATAAAATTCTAATGGAGCTGAAAAATTCTTCTTGCCTAGTGACAATAGAAATTTTATATAGTGTAATGCATTACTTTTTCTATGTTTAGAAGTATTTAGATATAGAAATATTTACCATTATGGCACAATTGCTTATGTATTCAGTATAGTAATATGCTATATAGGCTTGTATCCTAGGAGCAATAGGGTATACCTTATAGCCAAGGTGTGTAGTAGGCCATAACGTCTAGGTTTGTGTTAAGTACCCACTGTGATGTTCACATGATGACAAAATTGCCTAGTGATGCATTTCTTGGAACTTATCCCCTCTTGTTAAAGTGACACGTGACTGTATTTTCTTCTGTTTCAAGGGTTACATTTTTACTCTCTTTGTAGTAGCCATTGATGCACAGCATTTTCAATTTTGATGAAGTCTGTCTTACCTATTTTTTTTTGTTGCCTGTGCTTTCAGTATCATATCCAAGAAATTGTTTTCAAATCCAAAGTCATGAAGTTTTTGGCTTGTGTTTTCTTCTAAGAGTTTTATAGGGTGAGGTCTTCTGTTTAGAGTTTTGATCACTTTGAGACAATTTTTGTATATAGTATAAGATAAGGGTCCAGCTTTATTTTTTTACATGTGGATATCCAGTTTTCCCAGCACTGTTTGTTGAAAAGACTTTCTTTCCTTTTCCCCTTTGAATGGTCTAGGTAGCCTTGTGGAAAATAATTTGACTATTTATGCAAGAGTGTATTTCTGGACTCTGTGTTTTATTCTGTTGGTCTATATGTGTATCCTTGTGCCAGTACGACAGTATTTTGATTGCTGTAGTCTTCTAGTAAGTTTTGATGTCAGGAAATGTGAGACGTCCAACTTTGTTATTTTCAAGTTTGTTTTGTCTATTCGAGGTCTCTTGGGAATCCATATGAATTTTAGGATGGATTTTTCTGTTTCTGCTAAAAATGCTGTTAGGATTTTGAAAGGACTTACATTGACTATGTAGATTGCTTTGGGTAGTATTGACATCTTAACAATATTAAATTTTCTAATCCATGAACAGAGGATATCTTTTCATTTATTTGTGTCTAATTTCTTTCAGTGATATTTTGCAGTTTTCACTGTAGAAGTCTTTTGCCTGCTTGGTTAGGTTTAGTCCTAAGTACTTTATTCTTTTTGATGTTACGGTTTGCTGATTTTTCTGTGTTGATTTTGTATTCTGCAGTTTTCCTGAATTCATTCATTCTAACAGGTTTGTTGTTGTTGTGGAATCTTTAGAGTCTTTACATATAAGATCATGTCATCTTCAAACATATAATTTTACTTATTCATTTCCAAGTTAGATTTATTTTATTTCATTTCCTTGCTGATTGCTCTGGCTAGGGCTTTAGGTATTACGTTGAATGGAAGTGGTAAGAATGGGCATCTTTGTCTTAATTCTGACCTTTGAGGAAAAGCTTTCCATCTTTTCACCATTGAGTTTGATGCTGGTTACAAGTTGTTGTTTTGTTTTTTGTTTTTGTTTGTTTGTTTTTTGTTTGTGTGTGTGGGGGTGGGTGGTGGTGGTGGTGGTGGTGGTGGTGGTGGTGGTGATGGTGGTGGTGGTGGTGGTAGTGGTAGTGGTTTTTTCTTGCTCTGTTGCCCAGGCCGGAGTGCAATGGTGTGATCTCGGCTTACTGCAACCGCCACCTCCCGAGTTCAAGCAATTCTTCTGCCTCAGCCTCCCAAGTAGCTGGGATTACAGGCGCCCGCCACCATACCCGACTAATTTCTTGTATTTTTAGTAGAGACAGGGTTTTGCCATGTTGTTCAGACTGGTCTCGAGCTCCTGACCTCAGGTGATCCACCTGTCTCGGCCTCCTGAAGTGCTGAGATTACAGCTGTGAGCCATCATGCCTAGCCAGGTATAGGTTTTTTATATATGGCCTTTTTATTATCTTGAGATAGTTTGCTTCTATTCATAGTTTTTTGAGTATTTTTAGCATGAAAGGATATTGAGTTTTATCAGATGTTTTTTCTGACTCAATTGAAATGATTATCTGTTGGTGGACACTTAGGTTGATTCCATATCTTTGCTAATGTTAACAGTGTGGCTATGAACTTGGGGGTGCAAATATCCCTTTGATGTATTTATTTTGTTTCTTTTGGATAAATACCTAACAGTGGGATTGCTGGATCATATGGTAGTTCTATTTTTACTTTTCGAGAAATCTTCATACTGTTTTTGGTAATGGCTGTACTAATTTATATTTCCACCACAGGAGTTCCCTTTTCTCTGCATTCTCATCAACATCTGTTATGTTTTCTTTTTAATAATTGCTATTCTAACTGGGTTAAGATGATATCTTGTGGTTTTGATTTTCATTTTCCTGATGATTAGTGATGTTGAGCCTCTTTTGATGTACCTGTTGGCCATCCATATGTCTTTTGAAAAAATGTTTATGTCTTTTGCCCACTTTTTAATGGGAATGTTTTGTTTTAACTGTTGAGTTGTTTGAGTTCCTTGTATATTCTGGTTTTTAGTTTCTTGTCAGATGCATAGTTTGCAACTATTGTCTACCATTCAAAAGGAAGGTTATTTCTTTACTCTGTTGGATTGTTTCCTTTGCTATGCACAAAACAAGTCTCAAAACATTTTAAAACTCTGGGAGGCTGAAGTGGGAGAATCATTTGAGCCAGGGAGGTAAAGGCTGCAATGAGCTATGATTGTGCCACTTCACTCCAGCCTGGCAACAGAGATAGACCCTATCTTAAAAAAGAAAAAAAAAATTAAACTCAAAACTATATCAAGTGTCTTCTTAGACCACAGTAGAATCCTCAAACTAGAAATTAATACCAAGAGGAACTTAGAAAACTGTCTAAATAAATGGTAATTACATAGAATACTCCTGAATGTCCATTGGTTCTTTTTCTGCTCCTTTGATCTTGTCTTTGCCTTCTGTAACACCAAAAATTCAAATAGATCACTTTATGGTGTCCCATATGTCATGTAGGCTTTGTTCATTCTTATTTATTCTTGTTTTGTTTTCTGAGTTATTTCAAAAATCTGAAATTCATTCTTCTGCTTGATATCATCCATTGCTGAAGCACTTGAATGTATTTTTTATTCCACTTAGTGAATTCTTCGGTTTGAGGATTTCTGTTTGGTTCCTTTTTTATGATATCTATCTTTTTGGTGAATTTTTCATTCATATCTTGAATTGTTTTTCTGATTTCTTTGTATTTTTGTGTTCTCTATCTCACTGAGTGTCTTTAGTATTATTTTGAATCCTGTTGCTGGCATTTCATAAATTTCTTTTTTATTAGAATCTGTTGCTGGGGAATTATTGTGTTCCTTTGGAGATGTCATAATTTCTTGTTTTTTTTTTTTCACATTACTTGTATACTTACAAGTTGATGTCTGTACCTCTGGTGTAACAGTTGCTTCTTCCAGTTTTTTAGATTGGCTTTCAGAGAGGTAGACTTTTTCCTGAAGATCTATCCGTGGTGTTGGTTGGGTAGGGCACCTTGTCTTTGATTCTGGGTGTGTGCAGTAGTGTATTTTTCATATGACCTTTTTAGCCATATATAGCATTAGTGGTGTCTGTGATTTCCTCAGTGGTTTAGGGTGCAATTGTTAGCAGAGGCTGAGGTGAAGTTCTCCTGGGCAGTGGGATGCTAGGTAGGCCAGTCCTTGGGCACCAGTGGTGGCAGCAGCAGACTGTGTGCCTGTCCTTCGGCCCCAGGGTACACAGGCATGGTGTTAGCAGGTTTAATTGGGTTGATTCTTAGGCCTCCATATGGCTTGCTTAGGTGCTGGTGGTTGCAGTGGATGACCAGGTGAGTGGGTAGGTCCTTGGATCCCTGGGCAGTGCATGTGGTATGGGCTATGGCAGTAGTTGTGATGGTAGCATCAGGCTGGGTGGGCTGACTCTCAGGCTTCCCTGTAGGAGTGCGTATGTGTGAGTGGCAGACAGGGTGAGGCAATCTCTATGCTCCAATCTCTATGCTTGGGCCCTTGGGGGTATGTGGTGCCAGGCCAGGTGGGCCTGTCTTCAGGCCCCCTGGTAGAGTGCTCAGGTAGCAACAGTGGATAGAGAGAGCCTTGCCTCAGGGCATGTGCATGTCCACTGTGGCCCTGCTACTAGAGGGGATAGGGTTGGTGTCGGTGTCAGTAGCCTCACACCAGAGGCTGGGGTGGGGCAGGTATGGTATGCTTTGCTCCAAGCAGTGTCAGGAACATTGACACTGGCATGCTGGGAGATTCTGTCCTCAGGACATGTTCAAGTGTGCTGCAGTCTTGCTGTTAGTGGAGATGGGGTTACTGTCAGTGGCAGCAACCCCAGGCTAGCAGGGTTTAGGCTCTCAGAAGTGTACGCTTTGGCTCTTTTTGTCCTTGTGATAGCCTCCCCAGTATACCCTCCCCAGTGCATTGCACTTGCCTGTTCTCCACAGTGTAGGATTTTATATATGCTTTAATACCAGGGACTCTGCCACTCTGCTGGGTCCAAGTGGCATTGCATCACTGTAGGCCCCCAGGTGGATGCAGGGAATGTTAGTAGGGCTTTACTAATGTGGAAATGCAGGGACTCTTGTGCTCAAGGGCAGGATGCAGCCTGTTAAGAGCTGGACTGAAAATGACACCATGCTGTAACTGTTTAGGTCTCATGCAGGTGGTACAGGACCCAGTGTGAGCTCTCTCTCTGGAGCAGTGTCATCACATGGTCTCTAAGAAGTTCTCTATGCTAGTCTCTGGACCCCCTCTCTGTAAGCTAGGGTTGCAGGAGTCCGTGGTGGGAGTGTGAGCTGCTGGGTATCTCTCATTTACCTTTCCCCCACACTGGAGATCTGCTCTGTGCTCCAGGTCGATAAAGGCCAAGCAAACAACCTTGCTTCCCTCTTCTTCCTTGCTTTAGGTGTTTCCTGTCACTTCTCTGCTAAATTCCAGTGTTGTGTCTTAGATGTTCTGTTGAAAGTGTGACTCCTCCCTGTTTGGGTTTTTTTTTTGTGAAGGAGGCAAGGGCTGATGTCTCTAGTCAGCTATCTTGAAGCCCCTCCTCTATTTTTGCTGTTGTTGCCTGTGCTTTTCAGGTCTTATCCAAAAAATTCCTTGCTCAGACCAATATAATGAATCATTTCCTTTATGTTTTTCTTCCAGTAGTTTCATAGTTTTGGGTCTTACATTTAAGTCTTTAATCTTTTTTTTTTTTTTTTTTTTTTATTGAGACAGTCTCACCCTGTCCTTCATTCTTGAGTGCAGTGGTGTGATCTCAGCTCACTTCAACCTCCACCTCCTGGGTTCAAGTGATTCTCCTGCCTCAGCCTCCCGAGTAGCTGAGATTACAGGTGCATGCCACCATGCCCAGCTAATTTTTGTATTTTTTTTTATTAGAGATGGGGTTTTGCCATGTTGGCCAGGTTGGTCTCGAACTCCTGATCTCAAGTGATCTGCCCACCTCGGCCTCCCAAAGTGCTGGGATTACAGGCATGAGCCACCGCACCTAGCCTCTTTAATCTATTTTGAAATGAGTTTTGTGTATAGTAAGATAAGGGTCTAATTTCATTCTTTTGCATGTGGCTATCCAGGTTTCCCAGCACCATTTATTAGATTATCCTTTCTCCAATGTGTGCTCTTGGCACCTGTTTTTTGAAAATCAGTTGGCTGTAAAAGCATGGATTTATTTCTGGGCTATTTTGTTCCATTGTTTTATTTGCTTTTATT
Source organism: Homo sapiens (assembly GCF_000001405.40). NCBI lineage: Eukaryota > Metazoa > Chordata > Mammalia > Primates > Hominidae > Homo > Homo sapiens. The sequence goes on from NC_000009.12 coordinate 5,652,083, forward strand.
GCCAGTACCATGGTGTTTTGGTTAATACAGCTTTGTAGTATATTTTGAAGTCAGGTAGTGTAATTCCACTAACTTTGTTATTTTTGTTCAAGATTGCTTTGGCTATTTGAGGTCCTCTGTGGTTCAGTATGAATTTTAGGCTTGTGTTTTCCACTGCTGTGAGGCATATCATTGGTATTTTGGTAGGGATTACATTGGATCTGTAGATCACTTTGGGTCATATGGACAATTTAACAGTATTAATTTTTCCAATCTATAAACATGGGATATCTTTCCATGTATTTGTGTTTTCTTCATTTTATTACTGTTTCATAGTTTTCATTGTAGTGATCTTTTACTTCTTCAATTAAATTTTTTGTTCTTTGGGTTTTTTTATAGCTATTAATAAGTGGGATTGTTTTGTTGATTTCTTTTTTCAGCTAATTCACTATTAGTGTATAGAGGCATTACTGGTTTTTGTATATTGATTTTGTATTCTACAACTTTACTGAATTATTTTGTTCTACCACTTTTTTGGTGGCATCTTTAGGGTTTCTATATGTAAGATTGTGTTACCTGCAAATAGTGTTAATTTGACTTCTCCTTTCCAATTAATTTGGATACTTTTTATTCTTTTTTTTTTCTTGCCTAATTGCTCTGGCTAGGATTTCCAGTACTGCGTTGAATAAAAGTGGTGAAAGATAGTATCCTTGTCTTATTCCAGATTAGAGGAAAAGATTTCAACTTTTCCTTATTCAGTAGTGTTAGCTATGGGTTTGTCATATATGGCTTTTATTGTGTTGAGTTACATTCTTTCTATTCTTAATTTGTTAAGAGTTGTTGTCAAGAATAGATGTTGAGTTTTGTCAAATGCTTTTTCTGCCTCTCCTGAAATGATCATGGGGTTTTTGCCTTTTATTCTGTTAATGTAATATATCACATTTATTGATTTGTCTGTGCTGAACCATCCTTGCATTCCTGGGATCAGTCCTACTTGATCATGATGAATTGTTGAATTTGGTTTGCTACCATTTTGTTGAGGACTTTTGCATCTGTGTTCATCAGGTATTTATTTTTGTGAATGTTGACGTCTAGTTGTTTGAATACTATTCATTGCAAAGACTGTCTTTTCTCTGTTGTACTTCCTTTCCTTGTTTGTTAAAGATCAGTTGGCATATATTTGTGTGTGTCTATTTCTGGGCTCTCTATTCTGTTCCATTGATTGATTTGTTTATTATTTTGTTAATACCACACTTTCTTGACTACTTTAGCTTTATAGTAAGTCTTGAAGTCAGGTAATGCCGGTCTTCCAACATTGTCTTCTCCAGTATTAAGTTGCTAGTCTTGGTCTTTTGCCTCTCTGTATCAACTTTAGAGTGACTTTGTTGATAGCCAGAAAATAAATTGCTGGGAATTTGATTGAGATTGTATTAAATCTGTATATCAAGTTGGGAAGAACTGACATATTGTGACAGTATTGAGTCTTTGTATTCATTAACATGGTATATGTCTCCATTTATTTTTTTCTTTCTTTCTTTCTTTCTTTCTTTTTTTGAGACGGAGTTTCACTCTGTCACCCAAGCTGGAGTGCAATGGCGCAGTCTTGGCTCACTGCAGCCTCCGTCTCCTGGGTTCAAGTGATTCTCCTGCCTCAGCCTCCCGAGTAGCTGTGACTACAGGTGCACACCACTACGCCCGGCTAATTTTTGTATTTTTAGTAGAGATGGGGTTTCACTGTGTTGGCCAGGTTGGTCTCAAACTTTTGACCTGGTGATCTGCCTGCCTCAGCCTCCCAAAGTGCTGGGATTACAGGCATGCACAACCACACCCAGCCTGTCTCCATTTATTTAGCTCTTCTTTGGTATCTTTCATTAGTGTTTTGTAACTTTTTTCTATAGATAAACGTATTGTGTTACATAGTTTTTTAAAAATGCTTTTTACATTTTTTATGTTTTTGAGACAGCATCTTACTCTATCACTTAGGCTGGAGTGCAGTGACATGATCTCAGCTCACTGCAACCTCTGCCTCCCAGGCTCGAGCAATCTCCCACTTCAGCCTCCTGAGTAGCTGGGACTACAGGTGTGTGCCACCATGCCCAGCTAATTTTTGTATTGTTTTGTTTGTAGAGACAAGGTTTCACCATGTTGCCCAGGCTGCAAGTGTGTATTTTTTGTTTTTGTTTGTTTGGTTTCTTTTTTTTGGAGGTAGAGTCTCACTCTTGCTACCCAGGCTGGAGTGCAATGGTGTGGTCTTGACTCACTGCAGCCTCTGCCTCCCGGGTTCAAGCGATTCTCCTGCCACATTCTCCCGAGTAGCTGGGATTACAGGTGACTGCCACCATGTCCAGCTAATTTTTGTAATTTTTTAGTAGAGACGGGGTTTCACCATGTTGGCGGGCTGGTCTCGAACTCCTGACCTCAGGTGATTTGTCTATCTTGGCCTCCCAAAGTGTTGGGATTACAGGCGTGAGCCACTGTGCCCAGCTTTGTTTTTGTTTTTGAGATTCAGTTTCTGTTGCCTAGGGTGGAGTGCAGTAGCGCAGTCTCAGCTCACTGCAACCTGTACCTCCCAGGTTTAAGCAGTTCTTCTGCCTCAGCCTCCTGAGTAGCTGGGATTAATTTTTGTATTTTTAGTAGAGATGTAACCACACCTGGCTAATTTTTGTATTTTTAGTAGAGATGGGTTTCACCATGTTGGCCAGGCTGGTCTTGAACTCCTGACCTTAAGTGATCTGCCTGCCTTGGCCTTTCAAAGTGTAGGGATTACAGGCATGAGCTACTGCGCCTGGCCTGCAAATGTGTTTATAATGACAAATTCCACTTTTTTATTGCTGGTATATAGAAAATTTATTGACTTTTGTATATTAATCTTGGATCCTGTAACCTTGCTATAGTTACTTATTCTAGGAGGATTTTTGGGTCAATTCTGTCAAATTTTCTACATAGATGATCACATTATCTATGAGTAAAGACAGTTTTATTTATTCCTTCCCAATCTCTTTACCTTTTATTCCTTTTTGTGGTCTTATTGAATTAGCTGGGACTTCCACTATTCTGTTGAAAAGCTGCTGTGAGTGGAGACATCCTTCCCTTGTTCCTGATCTTAGCAGGAAAGCGTTGAGCTGTAGGTTTCTCATAGATCTTCTTTATCACGTTGAAAAAATTTCTTTCTATTCCCGAGAGGTTTTTTTAAAATCATGAATGAGTGTTGTTCTGTAGTTTGCTCAGTGTTTTTTGTTTATTTGTTTTGTTTTATGGAGACAGAGTCTCGCTCTTTTGCCCAGGCTGGAGTGCAGTCTCACAATCTCAGCTCACTGCAACCTCCACCTCTCAGGTTCAAGTGATTCTCCTGCCTCAGCCTCCCAAATAGCTGGCATTATAGGCGCCTGCCACCACACCGGGCTAATTTTTGTATTTTTAGTAGAGATGGGGTTTCACCATATTGGCCAGGCTGGTCGCAAACTCCTGACCTCAGGTGATCTGCCAACCTCAGCCTCCCAAAGTGCTGGGATTACAGGCATGAGCCGTGGCGCCCGGCCTTGCTCAGCGTTTTTATCTTGGTTGTTAGATTTGTTAAGTGCTTTTTCTGTGTTTATTGAAATAATCATGTGATTTTTCTGTAGCCTGTTGATGTGATGGATTATATTAATTGAGTTTTGAATGCCGAACCAGGCTTGTATTTCTGGGGTATATCGTATTTGGTTATGGTGTTTAATTTTTTTTAATACCTTGTTGGATTTGATTTGCTAATATTTTGTTGAGAGGTTTTATATCTATGTTCATAAGAGATGTTGATCTGTAGTGTTTTTTTGTTTTTGTTTTTGAGACAGAGTCTCGCTTTGTCACCTAGGCTGGAGTGCAGTGTTGTTGTGATCTCGGCTCACTGCAAGCTCTGCCTCCCAGGTTCACGCTATTCTCCTGCCTCAGCCTCCTGAGTAGCTGGGACTACAGGCGCCTGCCACCACGCCCAGCTAATTTTTTTGTATTTTTAGTAGAAACGGGGTTTCACTGTGTTAGCCAGGATGGTCTCCATCTCCTAACCTTGTGATCCGCCCACCATGGCCTCCCAAAGTGCTGGGATTACAGGCATGAGCCACCGCGCCTGGCCTGTAGTTTTCTTTTCATGTAATATCCTTTTCTGATTTTGGTATTAAGGGAATGCTGGACTCAAAATTAGGAAGTACTCCTGCTTCTATCTTGTGGAAGGCTTTGTAAAGAATTGGTGTAATTTCTCCCTTAAACGTTTGGTAGACTTCACCTATGAACACATTTAGTCCTGGTTCTTTCTGTTTTGGATGATTATTAATTATTAATTCAGTTTCTTTAATAATACAGGCGTAGGTTTAGGTCTTTGTTTTGGTTGATATGCTTGCAATGTTGAAAGCCGATAGTTTAATATCAATATTGTCTTTTATTTTACTGTAAAAATACTTTGAATACTCTGTTATCTTAAATTTTATTTGTGTATTTTTATGAGATATTGATAAAAAATACAACTTTTTTTTTTTTTTAATCACACAGCCTAGTGTGTTAATTGTAACCTACAAGGAGCCTGCAAAATCATCTACTCAGTTTGGATCCTACAAGCAAGCTGAATGGAGGCCAGATAGTACCATGATAGCTGTATCAGTAAGTAGATTTTACCGCTAAATAGTGTTTTCTTATGAAATCATTACATCGCATTTAAATTTGATTCTCTTAGATGACTTTCTTTCAGTCTTTTGCACTCATAAGTATTTATTTTATTCTGATAGGAATTGCTTTACTGATTATTCTATGTGGATTACTCCTACTATAGCTTTTCTTCTGACTCTGCTACTTCCTTAACAAAGCACCTATATCCCTAAACATAGCACCTGTATCCTTTTCTGTTTGTTGTTCTCACTTTACTGTTTTGCCCTTGAAGTCTAACTGCTTTACTAATTATTCTGTGCGTGTTACTCCTACTATAGCTTCTGTTTTGACTCTGCTGCTTCCTTCCATCCCTAAACATAGCACCTATATCCTTTTCTGTTTGTTGTTCTCACTTTACTGTTTTGTCCTTGAAGTCTTATCTAGTTTTTTAAAACATATTCACATGATATTCTTGAATTTATATTTAAATTCCTCCCTTCCATTCCAAAAGATATTCCAGAAAATAATAAGCTTTATGTGCATATGTTATACTAAAATTTCCATATCCATTTGGATCTGTTTCTCCTTTTTTTCTTCTGTTCTATTAAACGTGCCTAGATATGTTTAATTTTACCTTTTCAGTTCATGTTTCATCACTGTCTAAGGCTGTCATTATGACTTAATATGCATTAGCAGTAATATATGTGGTTAATTAACATTATTGAGCACCTCCTATCCGATGAGTACAATTGTAATCAGTTTACATGGATCATCCCATTTAATCTTTAGATAAGTGCTTTGAAGTAGATATTATTATCCTTCATAATGGATGTGTAAATTGAGGATCTGAAAAATTGTCTTATCCAAGGTTACATGCGTAGTGTATATTAGAGAGATAAGGTATAAACTTAGCTACTCAGCTTCCATTTACTATATCCTTATATCTAATTTATCTCTTTGCGTTGGTCCCTTTCTAGTCCATACTGTATATAACACTGACTAGGTTAATAGTCTGAAATGTTCATATGATGAAAAATACTGAGTAGTTCTACGCTTCCTATAGCAGGAGTTTGCAGATGACTGACCATGTACCAAATATGCCCTGGTGCCTGTTTGTACACAGACCATAATGTAAGAATAGTTTTTACATATTTAAATAATCAAAACAAGTCAAAGAAGAATATTTGCTACAGTTGAAAATTATGTGATACTTAAATTTCAGTGTCCATAACTAAAATTTTACTGGGGCACGAAAATCCTCACTGATTTATGTATTGTCTGTAACTTCTTTCAAGCTACAATAGCAGATTGAATTGAAGTTCTTACAGCAAGTGTATGTGGTGCTCTCATTGCTTTGCTCTTCTGTTCAATGCACTGTGTAGTAACACAGTTGTAACTTCATAACATTTCAAGTGTACACATATTGCCATTCTGTGACATTTTATATTATTTTTATTCTAGTACATACTCATGTCAAAAGAACCAAAGAAGACAAAAAGACTTTGTTTTGTTTTTAAAGCACACTGTAGTGTGGTTTCTTTTATTATTGAATTAGATGGCAAAATATTGTATTTATTATTCAATGGCACTATAGCTATGCCAAAAGAATATAAGCTGACATCACTAGACTAAGCACTTATCAGAATGTACTGAAGGTTAAGTTAGAAGAATTAAAAAATTTAGCACAGAACAGCTCACCACAAAATTCCTTCACAAAAATAAAATATGAAAATGAAAGTGCAGTAAAAGTAAGTTTGCTTAGTTTTTGATAAATTGACAGATGTTATAATACTGCTCAGTTGTAAATTTCAGTGGTCCATGTGAAGTATGAATTGACTAAGAATTACTGTGAATGACCTGCAGAACAATTCCAGATGAAAAAAATTCTCAAAGGAGTTGAGAAAATACTAATTCAGTACAACCCGAAGTAGAATCTAAGAAGTTGTATTAATTGATAGTAGTAAAAATCCACATGGAGCAGCAAAAGACTTAGTTGGACAGATTTACAAAGTTTGTGAAAATATAAGACTTTTAAAACCTATGGTTAGTGTAAGTTTTTTCAGAGATGGAAGCAGGAATATCTTGAATTGCCCTCCTCCACAGCTGTTATGGCTTGGGTAGTGATAAAAGTTTATTGGAAAGTTTTTTTGTTTTTTTTTTTACCGAGACTGACTTTTTTTTTTTTCTTTACTTGAAGGACCACCATCTACCACTTAACAGACACTAAATAACTTTGGAAAATAGCTTTTGCTGTATTAGAAAATGTTTTCAAATATGAATTATGTAAAATGTCATTAAGGACCAGCATTAATAGATGAAAATTTGCACTCAATTTTGATGATAGGGAAAAGTACTTTAAACCCCAATTTACCAAAAAGGTTATTTCCACAAAAAGAATCTAATTCTCATTAGTGGATGTATATTACCAAAAAAAGTTGTACTTTATGTTAAATGTTACAGTACAATATGTTAAAGAACTATTCTTTTCCCATTGAACGGTCTTGGTAGTCTTGTTGAAAATCAATTGGCCATTGGTATTTGGGGTTATTTCTGGATGCTCCATTCTGTTTCATTGTTATATATGTCTGTCCTTATTCCAGTACCACAGTTTTTAAATTACTGTGGCTTTGTAGTAACTTTTGAAATCAGGAAGTGGAATCCTCCAATTTTATTGTTGTATTTCAGGATATAAGTCATGTCAACCCATTGTCAACCCATTGTAAGTTGAAAATACCATAAGTAAAAAATTTAACAGCCCCAAACATCCATCATAATGTCGTAAGTTGAACCATCATAAGTTCAGTATCATCTATAGTTTTGACTATTCTGAGCCAGTCCCTAAGATGCTATATGACTGTTTGAACTGGTTTTCTATTTCTGTAAAAAATACCATTGGGAATTTGGTAGAGACTGCATTGAATCTGTAGTTCTCTTTGGGAAGCATTAATTTAAGTCTTCCAGCCTATGAACATGCAATGTCTTATCAATTATTTAGACCTTCAATTTCTGTAAGGAGTGTTTTCTGGTGTTCAGTATGCAAGTCTTTTTCCTGCTTCATTAAATTTATTTTTAAGTTTTAAATTTCTTTTTGATGCTATTGTAAATGGAATTGTTTTTAAGTTTCCTTTTCAGTTGTTCATTCCAAGTGTGTAGACATATATCTGATTTTTTCCAACTTAACTTCAGGGTACATGTGTAGGATGTGTGGGTTTGTTGCATAGGTAAACATGTGCTATGGTGGTTTCCTTGCACAGATTATGCCATCACCTAGGTATTAAGCCCAGCATCCATTAGCTATTCTTCCAGATGCTCTCCCTCATCCTGCGCCCTGCCCCTCCATCCTCTAACAGACCCCAGTGTATGTTGTTTCCCCCATGTGTCCATATGTTCTCATCATTCAGCTCCCACTTATAAGTGAAAACATGTGGTATTTGATTTTCTGTTCCTGTGTTAGTTTGCTGAGGATAATGGTTTCCAGCTCCAACCATGTCCCTGCAAAGGATATGATCTTGTTCCTTTTTGTGGCTGCATAGTATTCCATCGTGTATATGTACCACATTTCTTTTATTCAGTCTATCATCGGGGGACATTCAGGTTGATTCCATGTCTTTGCTATTGTGAATAGTGCTGCAGTGAATATATGCATGCATGAATGTTTGTAATAGAATGATTTATATTTTGGGGGGTATACCCAGTAATGAGATTATTGGGTCAAACGGTATTTCTGCCTCTAGGTCTTTGAGGAATTGCCTACTGTCTTCCATAATGGTTGAACTAATTTCCACTCCTACCAACAGTGTAAAAGCATTCCTTTTTCTCCACAACCTAACCAGCACCTGTTGTTTTTTGACTTTTTAGTAATAGCCATTCTGGCTTGTGTGAGACGGTATCTCATTGTGGTTTTGACTTGAATTTCTCTAATAATCAGTGATGTTGAGCTTTTTAAAATGTATTTGTTGGCCACATTTATGTCTTCTTTTGAGAAGTGTCTGTTCATGTCCTTTGCCCACTTCTTAATGGGATTTTTTTTTTCTTGTAAGTTATTAAGTTCATTGTAGATGCTGGATATTAGACCTTTCTTTGTCAGATTAATAGATTCCAAAAATTTGCTACCATTCTGTTGTTTATCTGCTCACTCCAATGATAGTTTCTGTTGCTGTGCAGAAGCTCTTCAGTTCGATTAGATCCCATTTGTCAATTTTTGCTTTTGTTGCAATTGCTTTTGTCATCCTTGTCGTGAAATCTCTGCCTGTGCCTGTGTCCCAAATGGTATTGTCTAGATTTTCTTCCTGGGTTTTACATTTAAATCTTTAATCAATCTTGAGTTCATTTTCCTTTAGGGTGTAAGGAAGGGGTCCAGTTTCAATTTTCTGCATACAGCTAGCCAGTACTCCCAGCACCATATATTACATGGGGAATCCTTTCCCCATTGCTTGTGTTTGTCAGGTTTGCTAAGATCAGATGGTGTAGGTGGGTGTTCTTGTTTCTGGGTTCTCTATTCTGTTACGTTGGTCTATGTGTTTATTCTTGTGCCAGTACCATGCTGTTTTGGTTACTGTAGCCCTGTGTTACAGTTTTAAGTCAGGTAGCATGATGCCTCTGGCCTTGTTCTTTTTGCTTTGATTGCCTTGGCTATTCGGACTCTTTGTTGGTTCCATATGAATTTTAAAATAGCTTTTTTCTAATTCCGTGAAGAATGTCAGTGGTAGTTTAATGGGGATAGCATTGAATCTATAAATTACTTTGGGTAGTATAACCATTTTCACAATATTGACTCTTCCTAGCCATGAACATGGAATGTTTTTCCATTTGTTCGTGTCATCTGTCATTTGTTTGAAAGTTGGTTTGTAGTTCCCCTTGAAGAGGTTCTTCACCTCCCTTGTTAGCTGTATTGCTAGGTATTTTATTCATTTGTGACCAACTGTGAATGGGAGTTCATTCATGATTTGGCTGTCTGCTTGCCTGTTGATGTATAAGAATGCTAATGATTTTTGCACATTAATTTTCTATCCTTAGACTTTGCTGAAGTTGCTTATCAGCTTACAAAGCTTTTGGGCTGAGGCAATGGGGTTTTCTAATATAGGATCATGTCATCTGCAAACAAAGATAGTTTAATTTTCTCTCTTCCTATTTGAATACCCTTTATTTCTTTCTCTTGCCTGATTGCCCCAGCCAGAACTGCCAATACTATGTTGAATAGGACTGGTGAGAGAGGGCATCCTTGTCTTGTGCCTTTTTTCAAGGGGAATGCTTCCAGCTTTTGTCCATTCATTATGATATTGGCTGTGGGTTTGTCATATATGACTCTTATTATTTTGAAGTATGTTCCTTCAATATCTGGTTTATTGAGAGTTTTTAACCTAAAGCGATGTTGAATTTTATTAAAGACCTTTTCCGCATCTATTGAGATAATCATGTGGTTTTTGTGTTCAGTTCTGTTTATGTGATGAATCACATTTATTGAATTGTGTATGTTGAACCAGTCTTGCATTCCGGGGATGAAGTCTACTTGGACATGATGGATAAACTTTTTGATGGGCTACTGGATATTTGCCAGTATTTTGTTGAGAATTTTTGCATTGATGTTCATCAAGCATATTGGCCTGAGGTTTTCTTTTTTTTTGTTTTGTCTCTGCCAGGTTTTGGTATCAAGATGATGCTGGCCTCATAGAATGAATTAAGGAGGAATCCCTAATTTTCAATTGTTTTGGAATAGTTTCAGTAGAAATAATACCAGCTCTTCTTTGTACCTCTGGTAGAATTCAGCTGTGAATCTGTCTGTCCTGGGCTGGTTTTTTTTTTTGGGTTGCTAGGCTCTTTATTACTTCTCAATTTCAGGACTCATTATTGGTCTATTCAGAGATTCAGTTTCTTCCTGGTTCAGTCTTAGGGAGGGTGTATGTGTCCAGAAAAGTATCCATTTCTTCTAGATTTTCTATTTAATGTGCATTGATGCATTTATAGTATTCTCTGATGATTGTTTGTATTTCTTTGGGGTCAGGATGATATCCCCTTTATCATTTCTGATTGTGTTTATTTAAATCTTCTCTTTTCTTCTTTATTAATCTAGCTAGCAGTCTATGTATTCTATTAATTTTTTTAAATAACCAGCTCTTGGATTCATTGATCGTTTGAATGGTCTTTCATGTCTCTATCTCCTTCAGTTCTGCTCTGATCTTGGTTATATCTTGTCTTCTGCTAGCTTTTGGGTTTGTTCTTGTTTCTCTAGTTCTCTTAGTTGTGGTGTTAGGTTGTTAACTTGAGATCTTTGTAGCTTTTTGATGTGGGCATGTAGTGCTATAAATTTCCCTCAACACTGCTTTAGCTGCATCCCAGAGATTCTGGTACATTGTCTCTTTGTTCTCATTAGTTTCAAAGGACTTCTTGATTTCTGCCTTAATTTCATTATTTACTCAAGTCACTCAGGAGCAGGCTGTTCAATTTCCATGTAGTTGTGTGGTTTTGAGTGAATTTCTTAATTCTTCTGAGTGAATTTTTTTGAGTGTTGTGGTCTGAGAGACTGTTATCATTTCAGTTCTTTTGCATTTGCTGAAGAGTGTTTTACTTCCGATTATGTGATCAAATTTAGAGTAAGTGCCTTGTGATGATGAGAACAATTAGTTTCTGTTGTTTTAGGATGGAGAGTTCTGTAGATATCTGTCAGGTCCACTTGATCTAGAGCTAAGTTCAGATCATGAATATCTGTTAATTTTCTGTCTTGGTGATCTGCCTAATATTGTCAATGGTGTGTTAAGTCTGCTACTATTATTGTGTGGGAGTCTAAGTCTTTTTGAAGGTCTCTAAGAACTTGCTTTAGGAATCTGGGTGTTCCTATACTGTGTGTGCATATATGGAGGATATTTGGCGCTTATTAAATTGAACCCTTTATGTAACGCCCTTTGCCTTTTTTATCTTTTTTCATTTAAAGTCTGTTTTGTGAGAAACTAGGATCGCAGTCCGTGGTTCTTTCTGTTTTCCATTTGCTTGGTAAATTTTCCTCCATCCCTTTATTTTGGGATGTGTGTCTTTGCACATGATATGGGTCTTTTGAAGACAGCATACCGCTGGGTCTTGGTTCTTTATTTAGCTTGCCATTCTGTGTCTTTTAATTGGAGCATTTAGCCCATTTACATTTAAGGTTAGTATTGTTATGTGTGGATTTGATCCTGTCATCAAGATACTAGTTGGTTATTTTGCAGACTTATGTGGTTCCTTCATAGTGTCACTGATCTGTTTACTTCAGTGTGTTTTTGTAGTGGCTGGTAATGGTTTTTCCTTTCCATATTTAGTGCTTCCTTCAGGAGCTCTTGCAAAGCAGGTCTGATGGTTACGAATTCCCTCAGCGTTTGCTTGTCTGAACAGGATCTTGTTTCTCCTTTGCTTATAAAGCTTAGTTTCGCCAGATATGAAATTCTGGGTTGGAAATTCTTTACTTTAAGAATGTTTAATATTGGCCAGGTGTGGTGGCTCACACCTGTAATCCCAGCACTTTGGGAGGCCAAGGCGGGCGGATAACGAGGTCAAGAGATCGACACCATCCTGGCCAACATTGTGAAAAACCCCATCTCTACTAAAAATACAAAAATAATTAGCTGAGTGTCGTGGCGCATACCTGTAGTCCCAGCTACTCAGGAGGCTGAGGCAGGAGAATTGCTTGAACCCAGAAGGCAGAGGTTGCAGTGAGCTGAGATTGCACCACTGCACTCCAGCCTGGCAACGGAGCGAGACTCTGTCAAAAAAAAAAAAGAATGTTTAATATTGGCCCCAATCTCTTCTGGCTTTTAGGGTTTTCACTGAGAGGTCTATTGTTAGTCTCATGGGCCTCCCCTTCGTAGGTGACCTGGTCTTTCTGTCTGACTGCCCTTAACATTTTTCTTTCATTTTGACCTTGCAGAATCTGATGATTATATGTCTTGGGGTTGATCTTCTCAGGGAATATCTTACTGAGGTTTTCTGCATTTCCTGAATTTGAATGTTGGCCTGTCTTCCTAGGTTGGGGAAGTTCTCCTGGATGATATCCTGAAATATGTTTTCCAACTTCGTTCCATTCTCCCCATCTCTTTCAGGTACCCCAGTCAGTCTTAGGTTCAGTTTATTTACATAATCCCACATTTCTCAGAGGTTTTATTCATTTTCATTCTTTTTTCTCTATTCTTGTCCGCTTATCTTATTTCAGCAAGATAGTCTTCAAGCTCTGAGATTCTTTTCTCCACTTGGTCTATTCTGCTATTAATAGTTGTGATTGCATTGTGAAGTTCTTGTAGTATGTTTCTGAGCTCTAACAGGTCGGTTATGTTGCTCTCTAAACTGGCTCCTCCTAGTATTGTCAGTGGTGTGTTCCAGTCTCCCACTATTATTGTGTGGGAGTTTAAGTCTCTTTCAAGGTCCCTAAGAACTTGCTTTGTGAATCTGGGTGTTCCTACATTGGGAGCGTATATATTGAGGACATTTAGCTCTTCTTGTTGAATTGAACCCTTTATTGTTATGTAATGCCCTTTGTCTTTTTTGATCTTGTAGTGTGTTTCTCAGCTCTAATAGGTCAGTTAACTTCCTCTCTAAACTGGCTGCTTATCTCTCACATTGTCAGTGGTGTGTTAAAGTCTCCCACTATTATTGTGTGGGAGTCTAAGTCTCTTTGAAGGTCTCTAAGAACTTGGCACGTCCTGTATTGTTTTGTCATGTTTCTTACTTTGCATTGGGTTAAAACTTGCTCCTTTAGCTCAGTGAAGTTCGTTGTTACCCACCTTCCAAAGCCTACTTCTGTCATTCAGCTTTCTCAGCCTCAGCCCAGTTGTGAGCCCTTGCTGGAGAGGTGTTGTGGTCATTTGGAGGAGAATAGGCACTCTGGTTTTTTGAGTTTTTAGCATTTTTGCATTGATTAATTTCTTATCTTTGTGGGCTTATCTGCCTTTGATCTTTGAGGTTGCTGACCTTTGAATGGGGTTTTTTGTAGGGTCTTTTTTGTTGATATTGTTGTTTTCTGTTTGTTTTTCTTTTAACAGGCCACTCTTCCATAGAACTGCTGCCATTTGTGGGGGTCTACTCCAGACCCTAGTTGCCTCGATTTTTCCTGTACCTGGAGGTATCACCAGGGAGGGCTGCAAAACAGCAAAGATGGCAGCCTCCTTCTTCTTTGGAAGCTCCTTCACAGGGGGGTACTGACCTGTTGTTAGCTCAGATGTGCCTGGAGGAGGTGGCTGGAGACCTCTGTTGGGAGATGTCACCCAGTCAGGAGGAACGGGATCAGGGACCCACTTAAAGAAGCAGTCTGGCTGCAGCAGGTGTGCTGTGTTGGGGATTCCTTCAGCCCCCCAATTGGTATGGGCTCTCCAGGACCCACAGGCTGGACTGATTGAGAAGCCTGAATGCCAGTGTGGCAGCCTACCCCACCACTCAGGTATACTCCGTCCTGGGGGGAAATTAGAGCTCTGTCTAATTGGGGGTGGCTCAAGACCCCAGCTGGGAAGACCCACTACCCCATGAGGAGGAGTGGATTGAGGTCTCACGTAAAGAAGCAGTCTGGCCATGATCTGGCAGTGTGGCTGTGCTACACTGCAGGAAACCTTTCTCTTCCATGCTGTATGGATATATGTGATTTTTGTGTATTGATTTTATATCCTACGACTTTGCTAACTTTATTAGCTCTAATAATTTTTGTGTGCATTATTTATACATCTCTGTGGTCTGATTTGGATGCCTTTATCTCGTTTTCTTGTTTAATTGCTCTTGGTGGAACTTTCAATACTATGTTGAATTAAGTGGTAAAAGTGGGTATCCTTATCTTGTTCTTGTTCTAGCGGGAAGGCTTTCAGTCTGTCACCATTGAGTATAATGTTGGCTTTAGGTTTTTCATATATGGTCTTTATTATGTTGAGGTTATTTACTTCTGTTCTTAGTTTCTGGCATGCTTTTATTGTTAAAGGTGTTAAATTTTGTCAAATGCTCTCTTTGCGTCAATTGAGAAACGTGGATTTTTTCTTCATCCTGTTAATGTAGTGTATTTCATTGATTGATTTTCCTACATTGAATCATCCTTGCATTCAGTGAATGAATCCCACTTTGTCACGATGTATGAAGTATTTGCTGAGGACTTTTGCATCTGTATTCACACAATATATTGATTTATATTGATTACCAAAACTCAAGTCAGTTTTGGTAGATTGTATGTTTTTAGAACTTTGTCAGTTTCATCTGGCTTGTCTGATTTGTTGGAATACAACTCTTTATTGTATTCTCATAATCTCTGTTATTTATGCAAAATTACTGGTAATGTTCTTTCTGATTTTTGTGATTTGAATCATCTCCCTTTTTTCTTAACTTACCTAGAGGTTTATCAGTTTTGTTGATTTTTCAAAGAGTCAACTTTTGGCTGGATGTGATGGCTCATGTCTGTAATCCCAGCACTTTGGGAAGCTGAGGCGGGAGGATTGCTTGAGGCAGGGAGTTACAGGGGAGCCTGGGGGACATAGCATAATGCCATCGCTACAAAAAATAAACTTAGCCAGGTGAGTTGGCACATGATTGTAGTCCTAGCTGCTCAGGAGGGTGAGTCAGGAGGATCACCTGTGCCCAGGAGTTCAAGGTTACCATGAGTTTTGATCTTGTCACAGCACTCCAGCCTGGGCAATAGAGCAAGACTCCGTATCAGGAAAAAAACAATTTTTGTTAAAGTGTATTTTCTTTATTGTTTTTCCATTCTCTTTTTATTTTGCTCTAACTTTTATTATTTCCTTTCTTCTGCTAGCTTCGGGATTACTTTGCTCTTTGTTATTTAGTTATTTTATGTGCACATTTAGGTTATTTATTTGAAATGTCCCTCCACCGCCACCTTTTTTTTTTTTTTTTTTGAGACAGCTTCCTGTTTTGTTGCCCAGGCTGAAATGCAGTGGCATGATCATAGCTCACTGCAGTCTTGATTTCCTGGGCTTAAGTAATCCTCTCCCTCAGCCTCCCTAGTAGCTGGGACCATAGGCACGCACCACCACGCCTGGCTGATTTTGTTTAATTTTTGTAGAGATGTGATCTCACTACGTTGGCCAGGCTGGTCTCAAACTCCTAGGCTCAAGCGATCATCCTGCCTTGGCCTGTCAAGTGCTGGGATTACAGGCATGAGCCACCGCACTGGGCCTGAGATGTGCCTTTTTAAGTGTGGATGTCTACTGTTCCAACCTCTGCCAGTTACCCAGCTCCAAAGTTGCTTCCACATTTTTGGGTATCTTTATAGCAGCACCCCACTCTCTGCAGTACCAATTTACTGTATTAGTTCTTTCTCATGCTGCTATAAAGAACTGCCCAAGACTGGGTAATTTATAAAGGAAAGAGGTTTAATTGACTTACAGTTCTACATGGCTGGGGAGGCCTCAGGAAAATTACAATCATGGCAGCAGGGGAAACAAACATGTCCCTCTTCACGTGGTGGCAGGAGAGAAGTGCTGAGCAGAGGGAGAAAAGCCACCTATTAAAGTACCATCAGATCTCGTAAGAACTCACTCATTATCACGAGAACACCGTGAGGGTACCACCTCTGTGATTCAATTACCTCCCGCCAGGTCCCTCCCATGACACAGGGGATTATGGGAACTACAATTCAAGATGAAATTTGGTTGGGGACACAGCCAAACCATATCACTGAGGAACCCTTATATTTGATAAGCTGCTTCTCTGTTAATGTTTTCAAAATTCTGTCTTTTGGTTTCAGCAGTTTGATTCTAGTGTGTCTCAGTGTGGGTCTCTGAGTTTATCCTTTTTGGAATTTCTTGGATTTGTATATTCACGGATTTCATTAAGGCTCCTGACATTTTCAACCATTTCTCTTTCCTCCATACTTCTATTCCTATATTATGTATGTTGTTGTGATTAATGGTGCCCCACAGGTCCCCCAGACTCTGCTTATTTTTCTTTATTCTTCTTTTTGCTCCTTAGATTGCATAATTTCAAATGTCTTATTTTCAAGTACATTTATCTTTTCCGTCTGCTCAAATTTGCTATTGAATTTCTGTAGTGAATTTTTCATTTTAGTTACTGTACTTTTTATCTTCAGAATTTTTTCAGTTCCTTTAAAAAAAATTTTCCCTTTTATCGATATTCTCATTTTGTTTAGACATTGTTTTCTTGATTTTCTTTAGTTTTTTGCCCATGGTCTCCTTTAGCTCATTGAACATATTTAAGAGTGTTGATTTAATGTCTCAGATTAATAATTCAAATGTCTGGGCTTCCTTAGGGATGGTTTCTGCCATATTCTTTATTTTCTATGACTGGGCCATACTTTTCTGTTTCTTTTTATGTGTTGTAATTTTTCATTGAGAACTGGACTGAGTATTATGTTGTGGTGACTTTGGAAATCTAATTCTCCTAGCCCTCAGAGATTGCTGGGGTTCTGCTCCTTGATTACTGAAGAGTTCCTTTTATGATTTTTTGAAACTCTTTTTGCATAGTATGTATTTCTTCTGATGGGTGGTCTCTGAAGTTTCTCTTTTGTTTTCTCTGTTGCCAGCCAGTCATGTAAGATTTCCTTATCCTACTCCCAAGAGAGGGGAGATTTTGGTGCACCCATCACCCAAGCAGTGTACACTGTGTACCCAATTTGTAGTCTTTTATCCCTCACCCGCCTCCCACCCTTTTCCCTGAGTCCCCAAAGTCCATTGTATCATTATTATGTCTTTGTGTTCTCACAGCTTAGCTCCCAATTATGAGTGAGAACGTAGGATGTTTGGTTTTCCATTCCTGAATTACTTCACTTAGAATAATAGTCTTCAATTCCATCCAGGTTGCTGCAAATGCCATTATTTTGCTCCTTTTTGTGACTGAGTAGTATTCGATGGTGTATATATATACCACATTTTCTTTATCCACTTGTTGATTGATGGGCATTTGATTGTCATCTTGCCCATATGACATCAAAATTCAGCAGATGTCTTGAGGGTAAAATTGGTGTTAAAGAAAAAATTATCGAATAATACTTGTTGAAACACAGTAAGGAAAACTTTTTTGGGGACTATCGCAGTATATATAGGGAACACTGCAGTGGGTTCTTGCAGTGGCAAAGAGAGATTGGGCTCACTTCTTCAGCATGGGCAAGTGGGAATTTATAGCCAAGGAGCAGTGTGGGAGTCAATGGATAGAAAATTAATAAGAGGAAACATCAGGGGTAATGGGGATTCTGGCTAAAACAACAGGATTCTTGCTGAAGACAGACCAGGGTGATCAGACATCACTTAGGGGAGATTGGAGGATGAGCCACCTAATCAGATATCAAGTGTGGGGGTCTTGCTAAACTGGATTTTATAAGGAAATGCACAGATGGACCTAAGAGAAGAAGGTTCAGGAGCCTGACTAAAGTTTGACTAAGCACAGAATCTTTGTCACTGGTTATGTGTTTGAGGCACATCAGGTCTCCAGTTAGTATGGATACCTGTGCATCTCACAAATACAGGAAATTTTACTTTGCCTGTATGAAGTTTGCTTTCGAGCCCTTGAGCCCCTTCTGCAGCTTCTAAGTTCAGCAGATGTCTTGTGGGAAAAATTGGCTGTGGAGTTGAGGCATTTCAAGTCTGATTATTTCTTCAACCCTATGTAACTGCCAAGAGCTTTGCTGATTTTTCTTTGCTCCAGCAGGCGTCTGCCTGAACTAAGTCTGCTGCTTTCTTAGCCTGTGCCCAGAATTGGTGAATGCTCTTAGGGGAAAAAAAATCAGCTTACTTCTGAACAGCCCTCCTACTATGAATTTTAATCAGTCTAGGCCTTATTGATTCCATAGCTTGCCTGATGCCTTTAAAAATATAATTTTTTATGTTTTCTGCCTTTTTCTAGCTGTTGGGAGAGTTGGTCTGCCATGACCTACTTATTGTATATTACTGTGCAGTAGAATTCTTAACCATGTAATATAAAATTGCCTTAATACTCCTTTTATGATTTTTTGAGTCATTTCATTTTTATATATAAAATCCAAAGCATTATATAAAGATGGAATGAGCCCAGATATATCCATTAAAACTATTGTAACTGCCCAACAGTTTCGTTTTGCCTGCTGCCTGAATACAATTGATTTATCAAGACAGAGGAATTGCAATAGAGAAAGTTTAATTCATGAAGAGCTGGCTGAACAGAAGCGCCATAGTTTTATTATTCAAATAAGTCTTCCCCAATATTTGGAGGCTAGGGTTTTTCAAGGATAGTTTGGTGGGGCAGGGAATGGGTGCTGCTGATTGGTTAGGGAGGCAGTCAGAGGTGTGGAAAATGGTCTTCATGTCGAGTCCACTTCTGAGTAGGACCACAGGACCAGGACCAGTTGGTGGGTCCACGTGGAGCCCTCCGCCGTCAGAAATGCAAAAACCTGAGAAGGTATCTGAAAAGGCCAATCTTAGGTTCTACAGTAGTGATGTTACCTGCAGGAGTAATTGGGGAAGTTGCAAATCTTGTGACCTCTGGAATAATGACTGGTAATTGTTTACATTTACACTTTAGCAGAATTCAGGCTCCTCTCCTCCTCCTAATGTCTTGCTAAACAGATGATACAAAAATATCAGTGACCTTTCTAAACTATTACCAAATAATACAGAGATGGCTCTCTGTATTATTTATTTTATTATTATTATTATTATTTTTTTTTTTTTGAGACGGCATCTTGCTCTGTCACCCAGACTGGAGTGGAGTGGCGCAGCGCAATCTCTGCTCACTGCAACCTCCGCCTCCCAGGTTCAAGCAGTTCTCCCTGCCTTACCCTCCCAAGTAGTTGGGATTACAGGTGCTCGCCACCAGGCCCAACTAATTTTTGTATTCTTAGTAGCGACAGGGTTTTGCCATGTTGGCCAGGCTGGTCTCTAACTCCTGACCTCAGGTGACCCGCCTGCCCCGGCCTCCCGAAGTGTTGGGATTATGGGCATGAGTCACTGCACCCAGCCTGTATTATTTTATATCATAATGAAAGAAATGAAAATAAAAAAGAACCTGTTTTGCAGGCAGAGGCTACAAAAACTTTGAACAACTAGTAGAAATGGTTTAAGTTAATTTCTAAATTCTGAGAAGATAGAAGGACTAAGCCCCCATTCCTAACTCCTCTCCTCTTCTCAGGAGTATAAACATGAGCCTAAAGTCAGAATCATCAAGATATCAAGTTCTTTAGGGAAAGAATAGGTGCTGAAGGACCAGGCAGAGGGAAAGGTTTGCTTTGCCACTCCTTAAGGCACTGAGACAGGATCTGAGATTTCACAGTTCTCTAAGTGAGCTTAAAAAAGTGGAATCCTGTGGTTTCCCTTCAGAAAAGGGAGGACTGTGTCTGCTCCTGGAAGTGGACATTAGCAGGGCTTCCCATAAAACTCTGTTAACTGCTGCGGACTTAGAGTAGAGGTTGCACAGGTGAACTCAGTTGCTGCCACACCTCATGGTCTGAGGAAGCCGGCCCTTCTACTCAGAGACAGTGCCTGAGAGGAGACTGCTGAAGCCTCAGCTCAGCAGTATGTGAGCTTGTCTGCCTCTGCAAACTGTCACTTTATCCAGCATCTGTAGGTTTGCATTGCCAGATACCCACATCAAAGCCTAACCTCTACAGGTGGCTAATGGAACACAGCAAAGAAAAAAACCACTAAGGGAGCTCATTAACTTTACGATGTAAGACCAAACTAAACAAGTAAAATATGTGGCTCCTATTGATGAGCCACAGGGATGAGACAGAAGAATGTAGTAAATTAAGAAAAAAATTACTAAGAACTTTCAGAAAATGTAATTAGAACATAATCAGGATTTTTCAGAGCTAAAAATTTCCTAAGAGAAAAATTCAACAGATGAACTGATAAATAACCCCTTGTGAGAGCTGAATCTTTTGTTCCAGAAGATCAAATAGAAACAATTTCATGATGTAAGGCATATAGAAATAAAATTATTTTTGAAAAGATAAGAGACCTGCAGGAGCAAATTCAAGAGGTTTGGGAATGAGTGTTATAGAAAGAAAACAAGACAGAACAAGTATTAGTTTAGGAAATAATAGAAGAAACTTACCTAGTTTAGAAACATTGAAGGTTGTCAGATTGAAAAGGCTGAGACTTAGATACATTTGATTGCGGGTGGGGCTATGTGGAAAAAGTTTAATGAAAAAACGTACATATCTAGAGATAATGTGCAGAAATAACTGAATTTCAGTCATGAGAAAAATCATTCAGAGAAAAGGGAAAGAGAATCACATTGACAATAGACTTCTCACTACTAACCCTGGAAACTTAAGGGAACATTAGAACAACATCTCATAGCCATGAAAAAAGAATCTCTAACAATCCTGTACCTAGACAGGATGTCCTTTATCTCGGTTAAGTAACGGTATGTTCGGATAATTTATTTCGTTTAATAAGGGAATGCCTTGGTATTGGAGCTACAGTGAACAGGACAAGCAAGTGGACATGTAACTAATTCCTAGGTTAGTGAGAGATAGGTGATAAACAAGTTTAGACAAGAAAATGAAACGTGATGACCATACCATCCATGTTAGGTATATGCAATGCTTAGGGACAATTATTATCTGTATTAATATTCATATTAATAAAAACTTCCTATGGAAGACCATCCTATTGAAAAATGGACGAACAAGGCAACTTGCAGAAGGAGAAGTATGAAGAGCCAATAAAAATGAAAAGATAAGCATCACTAGCAAGGAAACAAATGGAAATTAAAATAAGACCATTTTTCACCAATCTAATGCAGGCATAAACAGGAATTCTAGGAACAAGTAGAGTGTTACTGGGAATTAATGTAATTTTTTGGATAAATTTGGCAATACATATTAAAATGAATGTACATACATACACTTTGACTTGGCAATCCTACTTAAGGGAAGGTACCCCACAAAATATATATGCACCAAAACATAAGGAGATATATATATATATATATATATAAATAAATGTTGATTGCAGCATTGTCTGTAGTTGCCAAAGGTCCATCAAGAAAAGAATAGCAAAGTAAATAAGAAACTTCCATACTTTGGAATATCACACAAATACTAAAAATAGTAGTAAGTGTATCTATGAATGTGGAAGAACAGTCAGAAAACACTAAGTGAAAAAAATCAAATTGCATGGTAATGTGTAAATTAAGATTCCAATTTTGTGTGAAAATGATAAAAGTTCCTGTATATATTTATCAGTTTAAAAATTTACTCATTTCTGAGTTAGAATCCAATGCAGACATTTAAAATCAAGTTACAGAAGAATGTTAAGTTTATACAACATTTGTGATAAAATAATGTCATAAAAGCAGATTATAAAACTGTATGATAGCTTTATATAAAGAAAAAAATTGTATTTTAGATAACCCTCTACTTAAGAAACTAACAGATTTATCAACTGTGCTCGTCATAACCAGTTACATTAGCAGGCATTTACAGTATCATCAGTTTGGATTTAAAAACAGACTTCAGCAGAAGTCTAATATGCTGTAAAATATAAGAGTTTGTGCAAATGTCCCTGGAAAAGACATAAGGACTACATAAAAATTGATAATGATTATCTGTGAATGGTGAAACTATTGGCAGTTTATTTTTGTTACTTTCTGTGTTTCTTGGGTTTTCTTCATTGAACATGGAGAAATTTGTCATTCATAAAAAAAAAATTTAACAAAAATTCATTTATGATCCTGTATGAATTTTAAAATTCATATAAGCTAAAATGTTAATTCATGTTTTAAATAGCCCAAGTAAGGATGAATTAAATTACTAGAAGCAGGTCAGCATTTACTCAATATATTTAATATAAGCCAGATTACTATGACTAATATTATATTTATCTTAACATCTCCACAAAGTTCTAGAAATAAGACGGTGGTGAAAGGATAATAAAAACTCAGGACCCCAATTCACCACTCCAAAAGGGAAAAAATAAGCTGAAAGCCCAGTCATGCAAGAAACTGCCTTTCCTTTTGTTCCTGAGCTGATAACTACAGATAAAAGGTTAGGTTACCTACTCCACAAGTAGCTACTTATGTTCACCATATCTTATGTAAAGTGCCTGTTTAATGATGCCAGACGAATACATAATTGACTATTCCCCTACCTGCTCTTTTCTCTTGGAACTTGTGGATTACCATACCCTCCTTCTCTCCCCTCCAGCCCACTTTTCCCCTTTAAAGATTGAAGCCCTCAAATTCATCTTTGGAGAAAGGCACAGATCACAGACTGTCACTGTGATTCTGTTTTTTTGTTCCGGGCATATGCTTAACCTTGGCAAAATAAACTTCTAAATTGATTGAGACCTGTCTCAGATACTTCTTGGTTTACAACTATGTTCTAAATAAAGTGTTGGTGCCACAAAAGAAATAGCACTCAAATATAAAATTTTCTTTTTAATTCTCAGCAAGGCAGTGTACTTCTATAGAGGGGTGCGCCCTTACAGATGGAGCAATGGTGAGCGCACACTTGGACAAGGGAGGGGAAGGGGTTCTTATCCCTGACGCACGTGGCCCCTGCTGCTGTGTCGTTCCCCTCTTGGCTAGGGTTAGACCGCACAGGCTAAACTAATTCCGATTGGCTAATTTAAAGAGAGTGACTGGGCGAGTGGTTTGGCGGGAAAAATGGTTATGGCAGAGCAGGAAATTGGAATGAGTCAGGGTGGAGAATGAGCAGGTAATGGGAACGAGTCAGGGTGGAGTAGGTAATCGGAATGAGTCAGGGTGGAGGAGGTAATCTAAAAAGATTGCTTTATGAGGAAGTTAAGTTTAAAAGTAGAAGGCAAAGAATTGAACTTACTGACATATCGATTCTTTGAAGAGAAACTTAGAACTCCTATCTAACAACTATAAGTAATAAATAAGTGAAATAAAAATTAGATTTTCAGTGGCCAAAAATATTAAATTATTTTGTTACTCTTTATGTACTTTATTTCTTCAACTTACGACAAGTATAATTTCTTCTAACTTCTTTGTTGTCTTAATATTTAGCGTAATATAAAAGGTAGTCACTTAATAAATTAATGTGAAATTATTTCTGATATAAAAATAAAGCTATCAGACTGTTCCCTCTGTACTGTCTAGTGGGAATTTTAGGGGGGAAAAATGTACATACAAAATGGCCTACAAATAACATGGAGGAATCATATGTAAAAACTAATGTACCAGTTGCTTAAACTTTCACTAAACTCTTCTTCCTTTGAAAGATGAGGAAGAGTTTTAATTATATACTGAATATAAAAATTATGCTATTCATAATATGCATACAGCACATTTGCAGTCAGTGGTAAATTATTGATCTTGAAACCACCTTTGCAAAAATAACAATGAGAAAATTATGACAGTAAAAGAAATCTAATCTAACCCCCATCTTGCCTTTAACCTCCCAACTGCCCTTGGTCATTCCTGGGCCTAGGCCATGCTAACTTTAGGAGAAATTTATAGTTTAAATGATAATGGCCCTTCCCCAAAACTAAACCACCTTTGTAAAGCTAACGAAAGACGAGGTCTTGCTGTGTTGCCCAGGCTGGTCTCAATCTCCTGGACTTAAGTGATACGCCCACCTCAGACTCCCAAAGTGCTGGGATTACAGATGTGAGCCACTGCACCTGGCCTGGATAAGCAAACTTTCTAGGTAACCAAAGCTTTATCAGATTCTGAAACGTTACTAATTTAATGATTCTTTTCCTCAAATGTATTCTATAGTTTTTTATCCTTGTATGAAATATATTGAATATGAATTAACGGTGTACTTGAAGATTAAATTGTATAATTATAATAGTAAATTTTGGGAGGTGTCTATGTTCTAGGCACTGTTGTAGTGCTTTATGTGTATTAAAATTAATTTGTTATTCATAACAATCCTCTCAAGGTAGATACTTTTATATTCCCATCATACAGTTGAGCAAACTAGGGTACAGAGAGGTTAAGTAACCTGCTCAAGAATACATGGCTAATAATGAAATGTTAGTAATATTTTGAAAGCTCTATTTCTGCATCATTATTAGAGCCATAGGCATCTCCTTATCAATTTGTATCTTAAAAAGAAATCTCACTGGCACTTTTTTAATGGGGTTTAAAGAAAAAAATTGCTCTACTGTTTTAAGAATCCCCACCTCTCTCAAAACCAACGACTGATCTGCTTTTTGTCACTGCCAATTACTTTGTGTTTTCTGGTTTTATATAAATTAAGTCATACACTGTATACTTATTTTTTCTAGTTTCTCTCAGCATATTTTGAGATTCATCCATTTTGTCGTGAATCAGTAATTCATTATGAGTATTAGTTTACGGATTTCTCACAGTTGGTTTATCCATTCATCTGTTGATGGACAGTTTGACTTGTTTCCCGTTTGGGGCTGTAACAAACAAAACTACATGAACATTGATGTACAAGTCTTTGTATGGATGCGTATTTCCTTTTCTGTTGGGTAAATATCCATGAGTGGAACAGCTACATTATATGGTAGAAGTATATTTGACTTTTAAAGGAAATGTGAAACTTTTCTGAAGTAGTTATACCATTTTACATTCCCGCTAGCAGTGTATGAGAATTTCTATTTTCCTCTATCTTTGCCAACATGTGGTAGGGTATGCCTTTTTAATTTTAGTCATTCTGGTAGTGGTGTAGTGATATCTCATTATAATTTTAACTTGCATTTTTCTAATAACTAATGATGTTGAACATTTTTCTCATTTGTTTATTTGTTATGTGTGTGTCTTATTTGGTAAAATGTGTGTTCAAATCTTTTGCCCATTTTTTTAGATGGGATCCTTGATTTCTTGTTGTTAAGTTCATATTTTGCATCTTGATATCTGTTCCAGTACAATTGGTTGAAAAGATTATCCCTTCTACACAGCATATCTTTTGCACCTTTGTCAAAAATCAGTTGTCTACATATGTGTGGGTTTACTTCTATATACTTCATTCTGTTCCATGATCTATTTGTATATATTTAACATCATTTTGATTACTCTAGATATATAATAATTTTTGAAATCACACAGTGTTAGGTCTCCAACTTTGTTCATTTTCAAAGTTGCTTTTGCTATTGTAGGCCTTTGTATTTCCATATTTTATGTTCATCTCAATTTTTTTTTGTAAACATTAAAACACAGGAAAAGAATTAGAGCATAGATATAAGGGTTATTTTTACTTATAGCATTATATGTAAATTAAAACTACATTGTTTTGAAAAAACTTCCACTGAACAAACATTTTTCTCACCATGTTTACTCTTTTTTTTTAAATTTTATTATTATTATACTTTAAGTTTTAGGGTACATGTGCACAATGTGTAGGTTTGTTACATATGTATACATGTGCCATGTTAGTGTGATGCACCCATTAACTCATTTAGCATTAGGTATATCTCCTAATGCTATCCCTCCCCCCTGCCCCCACCCCACAACAGTCCCCAGTGTGTGATGTTCCCCTTCCTGTGTCCATGTGTTCTCATTGTTCAATTCCCACCTATGAGTGAGAACATGCGGTGTTTGTTTTTTTGTCCTTGGGATAGTTTGCTGAGAATGATGGTTTCCAGCTTCATCCATGTCCCTACAAAGGACATGAACTCATCCTTTTTTATGGCTGCATAGTATTCCATGGTATATATGTGCCACATTTTCTTAATCCAGTCTATCATTGTTGGACATTTGGCTTGGTTTCAAGTGTTTGCTATTGTGAATAGTGCCGCAGTAAACATACGTGTGCATGTGTCTTTATAGCAGCATGATTTATAGTCATTTGGGTATATACCCAGTAATGGGATGGCTGGGTCAAATGGTATTTCTAGTTCTAGATCCCTGAGGAATCGCCACACTGACTTCCACAATGGTTGAACTAGTTTACAGTCCCACCAACAGTGTAAAACTGTTCCTATTTCTCCACATCCTCTCCAGCACCTGTTGTTTCCTGACTTTTTAATGATTGCCATTCTAACTGGTGTGAGATGATATCTCATAGTGGCTTTGATTTGCATTTCTCTGATGGCCAGTGATGATGAGCATTTTTTCATGTGTTTTTTGGCTGCATAAATGTCTTCTTTTGAGAAGTGTCTGTTTGTATCTTTCGCCCACTTTTTGATGGGGTTGTTTTTTTCTTGTAAATTTGTTTGAGTTCATTGTAGATTCTGGATATTAGCCCTTTGTCAGATGAGTAGGTTGCAAAAATTTTTTCCCATTCTGTAGGTTGCCTGTTCACTCTGATGGTAGTTTCTTTTGCTGTGCAGAAGCTCTTTAGTTGAATTAGATCCCATTTGTCAATTTTGGCTTTTGTTGCCATTGCTTTTGGTGTTTTAGACATGAAGTCCTTGCCCATGCCTATGTCCTGAATGGTATTGCCTAGGTTTTCTTCTAGGGTTTTTATGGTTTTAGGTCTAACATTTAAGTCTTTAATCCATCTTGAATTAATTTTTGTATAAGGTATAAGGAAGGGATCCAGTTTCAGCTTTCTACATATGGCTAGCCAGTTTTCCCAGCACCATTTATTAAATAGGGAATCCTTTCCCCATTTCTTGTTTTTGTCAGGTTTGTCCAAGA
Source organism: Homo sapiens (assembly GCF_000001405.40). Lineage (NCBI taxonomy): Eukaryota > Metazoa > Chordata > Mammalia > Primates > Hominidae > Homo > Homo sapiens. Next base: position 5,679,143 of record NC_000009.12, read on the forward strand.
TCAGATAGTTGTAGATATGTGGCATTATTTCTGAGGGCTCTGTTCTGTTCCATTGGTCTATATCTCTGTTTTGGTACCAGTACTGTTTTGGTTACTATAGCCTTATAGTATAGTTTGAAGTCAGGTAGTGTGATGCCTCCAGCTTTGTTCTTTTGACTTAGGATTGTCTTGGCAATGCAGGCTCTTTTTTGGTTCCATATGAACTTTAAAGTAGTTTTTTCCAATTCTGTGAAGAAAGTCATTGGTAGCTTGATGGGGATGGCATTGAATCTATAAATTACCTTGAGCAGTATGGCTATTTTCACGATATTGATTCTTCCTATCCATGAGCATGGAAAGTTCTTCCATTTGTTTGTATCCTCTTTTATTTCATTGGGCAGTGCTTTGTAGTTCTCCTTGAAGAGGTCCTTCACATCCCTTGTAAGTTGGATTCCTAGGTATTTTATTCTCTTTGAAGCAATTGTGAATGGGAGTTCACTCATGATTTGGCTCTGTGTTTGTCTGTTATTGGTGTATAAGAATGCTTGTGATTTTTGCACATTGATTTTGTATCCTGAGACTTTGCTGAAGTTGCTTATCAGCTTAAGGAGATTTTGGGCTGATACGATGGGGTTTTCTAGATATACAATCATGTCATCTGCAGACAGGGACAATTTGACTTCCTCTTTTCCTAATTGAATGCCCTTTATTTCCTTCTCCTGCCTGATTGCCCTGGCCAGAACTTCCAACACTATGTTGAATAGGAGTGGTGAGAGAGGGCATCCCTGTCTTGTGCCAGTTTTCAAAGGGAATGCTTCCAGTTTTTGTCCATCCAGTATAATATTGGCTGTGGGTTTGTCATAGATAGCTCTTACTATTTTGAGATACATCCCATCAATACCTAATTTATTGAGAGTTTTTAGCATGAAGGGTTGTTGAATTTTGTCAAAGGCCTTTTCTGCATCTATTGAGATAATCATGTGGTTTTTGTCTTTGGCTCTGTTTATATGCTGGATTACATTTATTGATTTTCGTATGTTGAACCAGCCTTGCATCCCAGGGATGAAGCCCACTTGATCATGGTGGATAAGCTTTTTGATGTGCTGCTGGATTCAGTTTGCCAGTATTTTATTGAGGATTTTTGCTTCAATGTTCATCAAGGATATTGGTCTAAAATTTTCTTTTTTTGTTGTGTCTCTGCCAGGCTTTGATATCAGGGTGATGCTGGCGTCATCAAATGAGTTAGGGAGGATTCCCTCTTTTTCTATTGATTGGAATAGTTTCAGAAGGAATGGTACCATCTCTTCCTTGTACCTCTGGTAGAATTCAGCTGTGAATCCATCTGGTTCTGGACTTTTTTTGGTTGGTAAGCTATTAATTATTGCCTCAATTTCAGAGCCTGTTATTGGTCTATTCAGAGATTCTGCTTCTTCCTGGTTTAGTCTTGGGAAGGTGTAGGGTGTATGTGTCCAGGAACTTATCCATTTCTTCTAGATTTTCTAGTTTATTTGTGTAGAGGTGTTTATGGTATTCTCTGATGGTAGTTTGTATTTCTGTGGGATTGGTGGTGATATCCCCTTTGTCATTTTTTATTGCGTCTGTTTGATTCTTCTCCGTTTTCTTCTTTATTAGTCTTGCTAGCGGTCTATCAATTTTGTTGATCTTTCCAGAACACCAGCTCCTGCAGTCATTGATTTTTTTTTTTTTTTTTTTTTTTTTTTTTGAGACGGAGTCTCGCTCTGTCGCCCAGGCTGGAGTGCAGTGGCGCGATCTCGGCTCACTGCAAGCTCCGCCTCCCGGGTTCACGCCATTCTCCTGCCTCAGCCTCCCGAGTAGCTGGGACTACAGGCGCCCGCTACCACGCCCGGCTAATTTTTTGTATTTTTAGTAGAGACGGGGTTTCACCTTGTTAGCCAGGATGGTCTCGATCTCCTGACCTCGTGATCCGCCCGCCTCGGCCTCCCAAAGTGCTGGGATTACAGGCGTGAGCCACCGCGCCCGGCCGATTTTTTTTAAGGTTTTTTTGTGTCTCTATTTCCTTCAGTTCTGCTCTGATCTTAGTTATTTCTTACCTTCTGCTAGCTTTTGAATGTGTTTGCTCTTGCTTCTCTAGTTATTTTAATTGTGATGTTAGGGTGTCAATTTTAGATCTTTCCTGCTTTCTCTTGTGGGCATTTAGTGCTATAAAATTCCCTCTACGCACTGCTTTGAATGTGTCCCAGAGATTCTGGTTATGTTGTGTCTTTGTTCTCGTTGGTTTCAAAGAACATCTTTATTTCTGCCTTCATTTCGCAGGAGCAGGTTGTTCAGTGTCCATGTAGTTGAGTGGTTTTGAGTGAGTTTCTTAATCCTGAGTTCTAGTTTGATTGCACTATGGTCTGACAGACAGTTTGTTATAATTTCTGTTCTTTTACATTTGCTGAGGAGTGCCTTACTTCAAACTATGTGGTCAATTTTGGAATAGGTGTGGTGTGTTGCTGAAAAGAATGTATATTCTGTTGATTTGGGGTGGAGAGTTCTGTAGATGTCTATTAGGTCTGCTTGGTGCAGTGCTGAGTTCAATTCCTGGATATCCTTGTTAACTTTCTGTCTCTTTGATCTGTCTAATGGTGACAGTGGGGTGTTAAAGTCTCCCATTATTATTGTGTGGGAGTCTAAGTCTCTTTGTAGGTCAGCAAGGACTTGCTTTATGAATCTAGGTGCTCCTGTATTGCGTGCTCCTGTATTGGGTGCATATATATTTAGGATAGTTAGCTCTTCTTGTTGAATTGATCCCTTTACCATTATGTAATGGCCTTCTTTGTCTCTTTTGATCTTTGTTGGTTTAAAGTCTGTTTTATCCGAGAGTAGGATTGCAACCCCTGCCTTTTTTTGTTTTCCATTTGTTTGGTAGATCTTCCTCCATCCCTTTATTTTGAGCCTATGTGTGTCTCTGCACCTGAGATGAGTTTCCTGAATACAGCACACTGATGGGTCTTGAGTCTTTATCCAATTTGCCAGTCTGTGTCTTTTAATTGGAGCATTTAGCCCATTTACATTTAAGGTTAATATTGTTATGTGTGAATTTGATCCTGTCATTATGATGTTAGCTGGTTATTTTGCTTGTTAGTTGATGCAGTTTCTTCCTAGCCTTGATGGTCTTTACAATTTGGCATGTTTTTGCAGTGGCTGGTACCAGTTTTTCCTTTCCACGTTTAGTGCTTCTTTCAGGAGCTCTTTTAAGGCAGGCCTGGTGGGGACAAAATCTCTCAGCATTTGCCTGTCTGTAAAGGATTTTATTTCTCTTTCACTTATGAAGCTTAGTTTGGCTGGATATGAAATTCTGGGTTGAAAATTCTTTTCTTTAAGAATGTTGAATATTGGCCCTCACTCTCTTCTGGCTTGTCGAGTTTCTGCCAAGAGATCGGCTGTTAGTCTGATGGGCTTCTCTTTGTGGGTAACCCGACCTTTCTCTGTGGCTGCCCTTAACATTTTTTCCTTCATTTCAACTTTGCTGAATCTGACAATTATGTGTCTTGGAGTTGCTCTTCTCAAGGAGTATCTTTGTGGCGTTCTCTGTATTTCCTGAATTTGAATGTTGGCCTGCCTTGCTAGATTGGGGAAGTTCTCCTGGATAATATCCTGCAGAGTGTTTTCCAACTTGGTTCCATTCTCCCCGTCACTTTCAGGTCAGGTACACCAATCAGACATAGATTTTGTCTTTTCACATAGTCCTATATTTCTTGGAGGCTTTGTTCGTTTCTTTTTATTCTTTTTTCTCTACACTTCTCTTCTCGCTTCATTTCATTCATTTCATCTTCCATCGCTGATACCCTTTCTTCCAGTTGATCGCATCGGCTACTGAGGCTTGCGCATTCGTCACGTAGTTCTCGTGCCATGGGTTTCAGCTCCATCAGGTCCTTTAAGGACTTCTCTCCATTGGTTATTCTAGTTAGCCATTCGTCTAATTTTTTTTCAAGGTTTTTAACTTCTTTGCCATTGGTTCGCACAGAGTAATTTGATTTTCTGAAGCCTTCTTTCAACTCGTCAAAGTCATTTTCCATCAAGCTTTGTTACATTGTTTGTGAGGAGCTGCGTTCCTTTGGAGGAGAAGAGGCACTCTGATTTTTAGAGTTTCCGGTTTTTCTGCTCTGTTTTTTCCCCGTCTTTGTGGTTTTATCTACCTTTGGTCTTTGATGATGGTGACGTACAGGTGGGTTTTTGGTGTGGATGTCCTTTCTGATTGTTAGTTTTCCCTCTAACAGTCAGGACCCTCAGCTGCAGGTCTGTTGGAGTTTGCTGGAGGTCCACTCCAGACGCTGTTTGCCTGGGTATCAGCAGCAGTGGCTGCAGAACAGTGGATATTGGTGAACCTCAAATGCTGCTGCCTGATCGTTGCTCTGGAAGTTTTGTCTCAGAGGAGTACCCGGCCGTGTGAAGTGTCAGTCTGTCCCTACTGGGGGGTGCCCCTCAGTTATGCTACTCAGGGGTCAGGGACCCACTTGAGGAGGCAGTCTGCCGGTTCTCAGATCTCAAGCTGTGTGCTGGGAGAGCCACTACCCTCTTCAAAGCTGTCAGACAGGGACATTTAAGTCTGCAGAGGTTACTGCTGCCTTTTGTTTGTCTGTGCCCTGCCCCCAGAGGTGGAGACTGCTGAGGAAGGCGGGCCTCCTTGAGCTGTGGTGGGCTCCACCCAGTTCAACTTCCCGGCTGCTTTGTTTACCTACTCAAGCCTCGGGAATGGCGGGCGCCCCTCCCCCAGCCTCGCTGCCACCTTGCAGTTTGATCTCAGACTGCTGTGCTAGCAATGAGCGAGGCTCCGTGGGCATAGGACCCTCCGAGCCAGGTGCGGGATATAATCTCCTGGTATGCCATTTGTTAACCCTGTTGGAAGAGCACAGTATTAGGGTGGGAGTGACTCGATTTTCCTGGTGCCGTCTGTCACCCCTTTCTTTGACTAGGAAAGGGAATTCCCTGACCCCTTGCGCTTCCCAGGTGAGGTGATGCCTTGCCCTGCTTCAGCTCACGCACAGTGCGCTGCACCCACTGTCCGGCACACCCCGGTGAGATGAACCCGGCATCTCAGTTGTAAATGCAGAAATCACCCGTCTTCTGTGTTGCTCATGCTGGGAGCTGTAGACTGGAGCTGTTCCTATTTGGCCATCTTGGCTCCACCCCCCCCCCCCCCCCCCCCCCCCCCCGCCATCTCATCAATTTATACAGAAATGTCTGCTGGGAGTTTGATTGGGATTACATTGAATCTTTGGATCCATTTGGGGAGAGTTGCTATCTTAGCAATATAAACAAGATGTATTTCTCCATTGAAGTATTTTTACTTTCAGCACTGTTTTCTAGTTATCAGTGTACAAGTATTTCATCTCTTTTGCCAGATTTATCCATATCTCACAACTTTAATGTTACTGATTTTTTTCATTTTCTAATTGTTCTTATTAGTATGTAAAAATGCAGTTGATTTTTCTATATTTGTCTTGTGTCCAGCAGTCATACTAAACTCACTTATTATAGTTAATTCCATTAGGAGTCCTATGCAAATGACCATATCAAAAACAGTTTTACTTTTTCTCCCCAATTTATATACCTTTTCTTTTTCTTGTCTGAATTTACTGCCTAGAGTCTAGACAGTGTTGAATATGATGAAGGCATTCAGTCTTTTACCATTAAGAATGATGTTATAAATATTTTATAAATCTCTTTCATCCAGATATGGAAGTTTCCCATTTCTTCCTAATTTACTGAGAATTTTTAATCAGGAATGGATGTTGAATTTTGTCTAATGCTTTTAATGCAATGTATTCAGACTGTCATGGTTTTCCTTTTTTAGTTTGTTAATAAGGTAAATTACATGTATTTAATTTTGTTAAACCCCAACCCTGCATTCTTGGATAAACCTCATTTGGTTGTGATGTTTTTTTTTTATAAGGTTGAATTTAATTTGCTATAATTTTGTTTAGAATATGTTAATGAGGGAAGGAGAACTACAAACCACTGCTCAAGGAAATAAAAGAGGATACAAACAAATGGAAGAACATTCCATGCTCATGGGTAGGAAGAATCAATATCGTGAAAATGGCCATACTGCCCAAGGTGATTTACAGATTCAATGCCATCCCCATCAAGCTACCAATGAGTTTCTTCACAGAATTGGAAAAAACTACTTTAAAGTTCATATGGAACCAAAAAAGAGCCCGCATCGCCAAGTCAATCCTAAGCCAAAAGAACAAAGCTGGAGGCATCACACTACCTGACTTCAACTATACTACAAGGCTACAGTAACCAAAACAGCATGGTACTGGTACCAAAACAGAGATATAGATCAATGGAACAGAACAGAGCCCTCAGAAATAACGCCACATACCTACAACTATCTGATCTTTGACAAACCTGAGAAAAACAAGCAATGGGGAAAGGATTCCCTATTTAATAAATGGTGCTGGGAAAACTGGCTAGCCATATGTAGAAAGCTGAAACTGGATGCCTTCCTTACACCTTATACAAAAATCAATTCAAGATGGATTAAAGATTTAAATGTTAGACCTAAAACCATAAAAACCCTAGAAGAAAACCTAGGCATTACCATTCAGGACATAGGCATGGGCAAGGACTTCATGTCTAAAACACCAAAAGCAATGGCAACAAAAGCCAAAATTGACAAATGGGATGTAATTCAACTAAAGAGCTTCTGCACAGCAAAAGAAACTACCATCAGAGTGAACAGGCAACCTACAACATGGGAGAAAATTTTTGCAACCTACTCATCTGACAAAGGGCTAATATCCAGAATCTACAATGAACTCAAACAAATTTACAAGAAAAAAACAAACAAACCCATCAAAAAGTGGGCGAAGGACATGAACAGACACTTCTGAAAAGAAGACATTTATGCAGCCAAAAAACACATGAAAAAATGCTCATCATCACTGGCCATCAGAGAAATGCAAATCAAAGCCACTATGAGATATCATCTCACACCAGTTAGAATGGCAATCATTAAAAAGTCAGGAAACAACAGGTGCTGGAGAGGATGTGGAGAAATAGGAACAGTTTTACACTGTTGGTGGGACTGTAAACTAGTTCAACCATTGTGGAAGTCAGTGTGGCGATTCCTCAGGGATCTAGAACTAGAAATACCATTTGACCCAGCCATCCCATTACTGGGTATATACCCAAATGACTATAAATCATGCCGCTATAAAGACACATGCACACGTATGTTTATTGTGGCACTATTCACAATAGCAAAGACTTGAAACCAACCCAAATGTCCAACAATGATAGACTGGATTAAGAAAATGTGGCACATATACACCATGGAATAGTATGCAGCCATAAAAAATGATGAGTTCATGTCCTTTGTAGAGACATGGATGAAATTGGAAATCATCATTCTCAGTAAACTATCACAAGAACAAAAAACCAAACACCGCATATTCTCACTCATAGGTGGGAATTGAACAATGAGATCACAGGGAGACATGAAGGGGAATATCACACTCTGGGGACTGTGGTGGGGTGGGGGGAGGGGGGAGGGATAGCACTGGGAGATATACCTAAGGCTAGATGACGAGTTAGTGGGTGCAGCGCACCAGTATGGCACATGTATACATATGTAACTAACCTGCACAATGTGCACATGTACCCTAAAACTTAAAGTATAATAATAAAAAAAAAGAATATGTTAATGAGGGATCTTGGCCTGTAGTTATAATGTCTTTGTCTGGTTTTGTTATGAGGCCTCATAAAATGAGATAGGAAGTGGTTCCTTCTCTTTGGTGTTCTGGAAGAGTCTGTATTCAACTGATATTATTTATTTCTTAAAGAGTTGGTAGAATTTACCAGTGATGCTGTCTCAGCCTAGAATTTTCTTTGTGGAAAGGATTTGAATTGGAATTATAATTTCTTTAACAGACATTGGCTTTTCAGGGTACAGATTTCTTTTCAGTGAACTTTGGTGGTTTGTGTTTATCAAGGAATTTGTCCATCTCATCCAAGTTGTTAAAATTATTGTCATATTAATAATGTGACCTCATTATTCTTTTAATACCTCTAGAATTTGTAGTGATATCACCTCTTTGATTTCTGTTAGTGGCTCTTTTTTGCCTGATCAGTGTGACCAGAAATATGTCAGTTTTAGTGATCTTCTAAAACAATAACAAAAGAACCCCAGATTTTTATTCATTGATTTTATTTTTCTGTTTTCTATTTCATTGATTACCACTCTGATCTCTGTTATTTGCATGCTTCCCCACCCTCCACCACTTGCTTTGGATTTCGTTTGCTCTAGTTTAATTTGTTTCTAGTTTAAGGTAGAAGCTTGTCATTGATTTGAGATTTTCCTTTTTTTCTAATATAAGTATTTTAAGGCTGTAAATTTCCTCTTTAGTACTGCTTTAGCAGCATCCCACAAATTTTGGGATGATGTATTTTTAAAATTTCCCTTTTTCTCCTTTGATTCATGGGTTATTTAGAAGTATGCAGTTAAGCTTCAAAATATTTGTGGGCTTTCCAGAATTTTTTTTATTTGTTTCTAGTTTTGTTCTATTGGGATCAGGAAACATATATTATACACATTTTATTTTTACACACGGTATAAACCCCAGCATACACTGCTATTATTCTTGTTTTAAAGCCTGTTATCTTTTAAAGAAATTTAAGTGAAGCAAATGAAATTTGAATTTAATTAAATATTTTTTTTCTGACTCTTACCCCTGTCATGCGGAGACTCTGTTTATATGTATATTGGGCTACATGAAGTTGTTCCTCAATTCACTGATTTTGTTTCTGTTTTATTTTGGGTTTTTTTGTGTGTGTGTGTGTTTCATTATGGATAATTTTTATTGCTGTGCTTTTCTGATCATTGTCTAACCTGTCATTCATCCAGCCAATGTCTTTTTCATCTCAGATATTTTAGTATTTCTGTTTCTAGAGTTTTGTTTGAGTTTTCTATATTGCCTAACCTTTGGAACATACAGAATATAGTTCACATTTGGAACATTATGAAATATAGCAAAAGGTTTTAATGTCCTTTTGTGCTAATTTTAACATCTGATTGAGTTATGCATTGTTTTGATTGGTTGATTTTTCATTATGTCTCATGTTTGTCTTACTCTTCCTGGACTCTTCAGCTTCTTCTCAACTCTGGAAGTCTGCCAGGCTTTGTCTTAGTGCGCCTTCTAAGTGTGCTGACCCAGAAATTCTCACAAGGCAGTAAGCTGGGTAAGAGTAGGAGGGTCACTTCAGTTGTTTCTTATCTCTCAAGGATGACTGGCCTTCATTGCTTGATGCCAGTGTTTTGAAAAGTATTTCATAGATTTTGTCTGTTTTTGTTGTTGTTGTTGTTCTTGTTTTTTTATGTGTGAAACCTTTGTTATGATTTGATTTGAAGCCATTTTCCTTTTGCTTCCATACTCTCCATATTGCAAGAACATAAAATTGCACATAAAGAATTAGAAAGATGATCTTATCTGAAGAATTTTCACCCTTTTGTTTTTGTATCTTACAGTGTTGAAACTCTAGTTTCAAATACATTATAAAATAGTAAAGTTAATGGTCAAAAAGAAAGCAAACCACCTGGTTTTGCTGAAGAAACTAAGTATTTTCTTGGTCATTCCTTTGAAAAACAGGAAGCCAGAATTAGAAAGTAATTTGAAACCTTGGATAATTTCTTGGTTTTCTTTGGTTCTACTTTGAGTACATGCCCACCTCCCTCTAAAATGATAGGAATTCAGTATTACTGTAAAGTAGTTTGGGCAAAACACTGCCACTTCACTCTGTTAGGCGTAAAAATGTTTGGCTGGAAACAGCTAAATATAATATTTTGTACTTACAGAAATGTAAAATGGTTGTTTGAACTTCACAAATGTATGTATGTCATGACGCAGATGTATGTCATGATCATGTAATAGCACTGTTTTTAATACAATTTCTTTTTTTTTTTTTTTTTTTTTTGAGACGGAGTCTCGCTCTGTCGCCCAGCGGGGAGTGCAGTGGCGCGATCTTAGCTCACTGCAAGCTCCGCCTTCTGGGTTCACGCCATTCTCCTGCCTCAGCCTCCTGAGTAGCTGGGATTACAGGCGCCTGCCACCACGCCCGGCTAATTTTTTTGTATTTTTTTAGTAGAGACAGGGTTTCACCACGTTAGCCAGAATGGTCTTGATCTCCTGACCTCGTGATCTGCCCGCCTTGGCCTCCCAAAATACTGGGATTACAGGTGTGAGCCACCGCGCCCGGCCTACAATTTGTTGTTAAAAAATATTTTGTTAACTTAGAAAAATGAACTAGCTGATACTCAAATTTTGGAAATTAAAGGTTTGCTCTGTTTTATGTCTGTATCTGGGGCTATATTTTGTAGTAAATCAGAGACCAAAAGATTGTTTTTGAAATATATAAATATGCTGTTCTGAAGTTAATACTGTGTAAATTTTGAGTAGAGTAAGCGTTTTGTCTTAAAGGTGTAATAAAGCCATAAAGTGGCATTGTTGCTTTATAAACTTAGAATAATAATTTGCCATATTAGTGCAGAGTTCAAAAAGTACTATATATTTTGCAAAATAGTCACTTACTCATTATTGAATAATGCAGTTACTTGAGAGTATGCATGTCTAGAATACTTTATGAAGTACTGATTTCACTGAAAGATTTTGAAATCTGTAAAAACCCTTTTTTTCAACATGGGTTATATTAAAAAGTCGCTTCTATTTGCATAATTAGGCTATAATTCTCCAAGGGAGGGTATTGGAGAATAAATTTTTTTTCGAAGTAAGAATTTATAAAATTAAAATTCAGGGTTACAGTTATAGCCTTACTCTTTAATTCATGATTAATAAAATTTCTCTTTCAGACGGCAAATGGATACATCTTGTTTTTTCATATTACATCTACAAGAGGGGACAAGTACCTTTATGAACCAGTGTATCCCAAGTAAGTTTGTTGCCTTTCATTCTTTTAATATGTGATTTGCATACTTTATATTCAGAAAAACATTACAGTTTTGAGTTGTCTGTAGTGATTAGAATAAAACTAAACCAGCATTTCCCAAATAGTATTTAAAAAATTACCAGGTCTTTGAACTGTCATTTCTTGAATAAAGAATTCTTTAAGTCTGGGAATCTTGATGATAAACTATATCAAGACTATTTTCTTGGGTATTCAGAATGACTGTTAATATATTCCAGGTCTAGCATTTCTCATTCCTTATTAGGGAAGAGCTAAGAGATCATGAGAGGAAGAGTTGAAATGTTGGTAAGTTACAGGTACTTTTGCATGTGCTTTTGTATATGCATAGAAAAAAAAGAACCTCAGACAGTTATTACCTCTTGGTTTAAATTTGGGAAAAACGTGGACTTTTGCCCTTTACACTGTGTAGTTATGTATATTTTGCATTCTTTTCCTTATAGCAGGCCTTAACTTTTGAAATAAAAGAACATACAATTGTAAAGCATTCCATCTTTTTTTTTTTTTAATCAAGCCATAAAGCCAGATAAAAATATAAGAGCATTTATCACATTTCTAGATGGTGGAAGATATCCAAAGTTTAATAGGTATATAAGAAATTAGAAAGACAGATTTTACTGTGTGAAAAGTTTAAATTTTTGAATATTAACAGAAAAAAAGAAAAACATTAACAGCAAATAACTTGGGAAAAATATTTGTGGTAAATAGGGCCAAGTCTTACTACTTTTATATAAAAGAGATATATAAATTGCCAATAAGCACACAGAGATTCCAGTAGATAAATAGGGAAAGTAGTCTCATTAAAGGAAATACTGTAACTAACAAACTCAAGAGAAAGTATTTAGACCCAGTAGTAACCCAAATAAAATAAACGTTAAATAAAATAAACCCAAATAAAATAAACATTAAATATAACCATTTTTATTTTTTAATAATTAAAGAATTATTACTGCTCGCAGAGGTATAATAAAAGTTGTGTTGCACACTTCTGATACACAAAGGTGTGATAATAGGGAGCTGGTTAACAAGTTAACTGTGGTACATCCTTCTCTTATAGTGATATGTAGTCATTATGTCTCAGAAAAATGTATAAACTTAAGAACTTGACCATATTATAATGCCAAGTGAAGAAACAAGTCACACAAAATTATATATGTAATATGACCATGACTGTATAAAACAAAACAACGCAAGTCATCTAAAGACAAAATCTAGAGCAATACAGTACAAATATTTATAGTAATTGTTCCTGAATGGTAGAACTGTAGTGATTCTTCTGCTTTTCAACTCTTAAATTTTCAACTAGTTAGATTTTCTTGATGCTATAGCCACTTGTTTTTGTAACAAGTATAGTGCTAACTGAGGTATTCGGTTTTGGAAATCTTTAAAGTACAGACTTTTTTGATGATGGGATTCAATTTAACTTGTTTATTTTTCAATAAAAATATTTAGTGCAAAAATTTTTGACACATAAATATAGTGCAAAATGATAGGAACATCATGATGTATTTAGAAATTTTAAATTCAGTTTTATGGGTAAAACTGAAAAAAGAATTTTTTTGCATTCTAAGTGATAATTTTGTGATTCTTTTGAAGAACTGTTGTAATCAATGACTAAAATTAGATTTACTGGTGCATTTTAAACTACTATGTTTGTTTTATTGCTTAATTTAGACATGTTCCTATAAATAAAAAGCAGTAATCAGAAACAACAATTTAACTCCATTAATTTATGTTCCTGTGGGCATGGTAGAGAAATAACTTCTCTTGAAACAGTGAAAATTCTATTTTCTTTATTTCAGTTCACTAATACCATTACATGTTTATAGTGTTTTGGAATAGTATTTTGAGACCCACTTTTTGTGTTCCAGAAAAGTTTTAAGAAACAGTTTCTTTCTTTTCTGATTCTAAAACTGCAAGAGACACCAGTTAACTAAGTAGTCCTGACAATGCGTGAACTTTGCTGTGTTTGACTCTATGTGTTAAGGCAGAGAACTAAATAAAAAACATACTCTCTTTCTTAATTTGGGCATTCTTTTACTATATTGAAAGTTTTAGGTTTCAGTGGCTGGCCTCAATAAAATGTGCATTGCTTTAGAGCAGTTCGAATAATAGTTAAAGATACAGGCTTTGGTGTCAGATAGACCTGAAATTAAATGTTGGCTGTGCCACTTTTCAGCTATATGACTTCTTTCAAGTTATTTAATACCACCAAAAACTTTCCTCATCTGTAGAGTAGGATAACAGTAGTAATCATCTCATAAGATTAAATGAGATCATTCATATTTAATGCTTAGGTAAGCACCTAGCTTATGGGATAATTAATAAAGGACAACTGTTATTATCAGTAATTTTTTTCACCAAGTGTTTACTTCATTTCTAAGCTTTTAAGTAATTTTTAAATATATACATATATATCTACTTGATATTTTACTTCTTTGCCAGAGTCTAACTTCTAGTAACTGCTACCTAAAATCTCTTATATGAAAATAGTTCTGCAGATTAAAGTCAGCCTGTTGTGTATTTGTGTGCTTGACTGTTCTAGTTATGTTACTTAGTCTAGTGAGTTTCTTGGTTTTTCTGCAGAACCCATTTGTACAATGGGAATAAAAATAACTTCTTTCATTGTTAAGAGGATTATGTGAATTCATATTCTTAAAACCTGAAAAATAGTGGTTATATAAGGTTTTGAGGAAAGTAAAGTTTGGTTTTGACAGTGGTATCTTCATTGTCATCTGTGCCATTATAAACCCTTCTGTAGTTTGAGACACTGTTCTAAGCATTTTTTAATACGTATTTAATCCCTTTAGCAACCCTATGAGGTAGTTAGGTATAACTGTTTTACAAACTGCTGCACAGAGAGGCAGAGTAACTCACCCATAGTCACACGCGAATAAGTTGTACAGCTAGGATTCAGACATAAGTGTTGTAGCTCTAAAGTCTGTGCTATTAATCAGTAATATACTGTCTCAACCCTGTTTATGCTCCATCCAGCTACTACTTTGGGGTTTATCTGGGAGTAGAGAATGGAAAAAGGAGAAATGATCTGGAGTGGTTTCTAATAGTCCTGAAGAATAGAGGCAGTATAATTACTGAGGCCAGTGGTTAATCATCCTCTTCTCACTTAGTTATAGAAATACTATTGTCTCTCGTTTCTCTTCTGTAAATCTTACAAGTTCATCACAGGAGTTTTTCTAGAGTATCTTAACTTCCCTGTATTATGTGACAGCATCTTAACCTCAGACTGCATATCCTTTTCCACTATGCTCCATCTGAGAACACAGTTCAGATGCCTCATGATCTTTCCTAGTTTCCACCTAGTGTTGTTTCTAGCATCCTTCTATAGATGTTGGGAGTCAGTCTATAACAATGGTGGCAGTCTTATTAAGTGACTCTGTACCTCAAAGATCATTTATTCTTTGGTGAATGAATTTTCCATTTTAGAAATCTTAGATTCCATTGTATATTACATTATCTCTTCATATTAGTTACACAGACCAGTGGACCAGACTAGTTGAAGGTTGTCTGGACATTTTATTTTATGGCTTGGAAATTTTAGTGAAATTAATGAAGGAAACTTCCAGGGATAAGTCAGAAATAATTTGTGTTTAGCTTTAAAATGTGTTCATATGCTTATGTTTAAATAGAAGTTTAGTAGATTTCTAAATTGCACATCATGTTTAATTTCAGCATAATGAAAAAAATTTAAACAAATATGTCATCATCATGTATACTTTGTTGAGAGCAGAGATTTTTTTCCCCCTTCTTCCTGTCTTTTCACTGCTACTATTACCCTCTTTTTTGTTAGAGACTAGCATTTTTGAGGCTGAGTTTCTTTAAAAAAAAAAAAAGTTTCTGTACTGAAATTCAGTACATTTAATTATTATATAGTAAAGATACTGGTCTTTTTCACTGAAGAAAAAAAGTCACTCCAAAATATAATCAAATCTCCTTCTCCTCTTCCCCCTCCACCCTCCCCATATAATTTCATCAGATGGCAATACTTCTTACCAGCTCACTGCTAATGAATTAGTGCCAGCTGGAAAGGAAGAAGAGCATAGCTACCTGAGGTTAGCAATTTTTAACTTCAACACAACTTGCCCCTTCTAAAATCCAGCTTCTTTGCAGAAGAAACCTACAGTAAGGGACAGAAGCATCTAAATCGTATCAAATTTAAAGGTGACAAGAGATCTGAATTAGTTACAGACTCATGAAAGTTTCCCTCAATATATGTTTCTTTTTGCTAATATGTTGTGAGTGTTCTTTTTCTAGAGAGGAACTTTAGCCACTTTTTCCCCGTATTTCTAATAATAAACCTTGTTCTACATTCAGTTTATAAACTTGACAAAGTATGTTAGTGATCTTGATGTTTTTTGTTCTGCTTGAGCCTCTGAAAACATCCCGTGTCTAATTTGATTTCAGTGTGTTTATATTCTGTAAATGTACATGGGTGACCTTTTACTACTGAACTTTGCATATTACATGCATCCATTACTTCACATTATAGTTGCATGAGCACTTATTAATAGGATTGGCAACAGTGTTATTATATAAGTTCTGGATAGTGAAAACTCCCTTATTGGCCACACTTCCAAGGATGGCACCTGAATCCAAAGAATGGTAGGACTGCCCAAATCAGAGAGCCCTGCACATTGTTTCTGTCAGACTGGAGGCTGTCTCAATGTGTGATAATATAAACGATAAGCAGTTTTGGTTTTTGGTGGCTTTTTTTTTTTTGGTTCTATGAAAAGTCTGGTGAAAGGGTACTACGTCTTTCAAAAAACTCTTCTGAAAATTATTTTCATCCATCTGTCTATCCATTTAAAAAGTATTGAATTTTGTCCAGCTCTAGGCACTGTTGTAGATACTAGAGATCTAACAGTGGAAAAAAACAACAAAACAAAAAGCCCTGCTGATAGATCTTGTTATTCTTCTAGTAGAGGGTGATAAGTAAAATACATTATGAGTTAGGTGATCCACTCTATGGAGAAAAATTAAGCAGGGTAAGGGAATAGAGAGTGGAATATGACTTAAAATAGTGGTCAGTGTCTTCACTGAGAAGATGACATATAAAAGGATCTCAAAGATGATGAGGTAACAAAACATATATCCAGGGGAAGACAATTCTGGATTGGTGAGATTTAGCAGGTATGAAAATTCATAAGAAGATACCGTGAATAAATTTTAGGTCCTATAATAATTTATAGTTAGTAAGAAATGATGAACTTTTTTTATTAGCTGTAAAAATGAAAATACAGTCTGATTTTTAGGTAACTGAATCCTGGGAAAGTCAAGAGCGCACCCGCTTTTTTCTTCCAGTAAATGGCACCACCGTGTATTTGAGTTTATTCACTCTTCCTGCCCACTAACATCAATAGCCAGTCTATATCCAGTCTAGTATATTCTACCTTGTATGTCATTTCTTTTCCCTCCTCGTAATTCCCAATGACACTAGTTCAGTTTAGGTCTTGTCACTTTTCTCCTGGATTATTATTATATCTTTTTTTTTTTTTTTTTTTGAGACAGAGTCTCGCTCTGTCGCCTGTGCTGGAGTGCAGTGGCGTGATCTTGGCTCCCTGCAATCTCCGCCTTCTGGGTTCAAGCGATTCTCATGTCTCAATCCTGAGTAGCTGGGACTACAGGCATGCACCACCACACCTAGCTAATTTTTGTATTTTTAGTAGAGACGGGGTTTCACTATGTTGGCCAGGATGGTCTTGAACTCCTGACCTCAAGTGATCTGCCTGCCTCGGCCTCCCAAAGTGCTGGGATTTCAGGCGTGAGCCACTGCACCCGGCCTATTATGTCTTCTTAATGTCAGATTCATGTCTAAACCTCACTCACTTACCCCCTGCCAAGCCAAACATGCTATTGCTTTGCTAAACTTTTTTGCAGTTACCATCATCTTTTGTACGTTGTATGAGGTAGAAAACCTTTAATTCTTTGTTTCTTCCTCTGGATTGTTTCTTCACTTTACATATTTGTTCAGTCATCAAATTTTACTGATTGATTAGAGTTTTCCAGTGCCTCTGGAATTCATTTAACTCTATTTTACTCTCATTGGTCTTTTTAGGGGCCCTCATGTCCTCCTCCTTGTCTATTAAAAAAGCTTATTCACTAACTCATTTCTCTTCCCCTAGTCTCTTTCACCTACATAATGAAGTTTATCATTTGCATTGATAACAATTTTTTTTTTTTTCCAAAACGAAGTCCAAGCTCTCTGGCCTGGCATTTAGAACCTACTTTCTCCATATCTTGAACACATCGAACCCACAATTCCTATTTAATGCCTCTATTCCTTTGTTATTTGCTCTATTCAGTATGACTCCCCTGCTATCTTTTTTTATGTAAGAAATTTATCTGAGTTGGTTTTCAAGCTCAGGTCAGACATCTGTTGTACTCTATAAACCTTCTGCCCTCAACTCTCCTATATCCGCCCCTGTACCCAATAAATAACTGATCTGGCATGTGCATTCCCATAGTATGTTTTAAAAATTTACACTACTAATTCATCAATACCTTCTTACTTAAAAAAAAATCCAACAATGAGAGATCTATAAAGATAAAAAGTAAAAAAATGTGAACTTTGCTTTTTTAGATTCTAATCTCATTTCACTCTCCAGTTGTCCTGTATCTCTTGAGTAAATAAATACCTAGGAATAGAATTGCTGGGTCATATCACATGTCTAGTAATTTCAGATTGGATGTTAGATACTGTATTACATTATCCATTGTCTGATTTTTGTCCTTTTCCTTTAAAGAGTATTGAAGGTTGTTTTGGGTGGCAGGTAAGCTGCTTGGAGATCTTACTGATCTTTTGAGGCTTTTTGTATGTCTTTTAGGATGGATTTAACTGTTAAGCTAGCTTAGCCCTTCTGAAGTCCACTGAATGTCCTAGGTCTTTAAGAAGGTCTCTCCATTCTGGCTAGTCAGAACCGAAATGTCTCCCAGTCCTATATGAACTGGGTAGCCAAAAACCCTAGTAGTCATTCTTTGCCTGTATTTGTGGAGTGTCACTATGTATTTGGATAGTATTCAGTAAGACTCGGGAAACCCCTGCAGGTTTCTAGAGCTTTTCTCTGTGTGGCTCCCACATCACTGGTGCTCTGCTTCACAAATAGCTGCTTCTGCTTCTCTGAACTTTAATCTTTTTCTCCTCAACTTAACAAGGCTGCCATACTATGCTTGGTTTCTCTCACTCTACATGATGGACAAAACCTTAAGAGGTTAGATGGTGACTTCTGCCAGAAAACCTGTTTGTTTTCCTTCCCTCATGATATCAGTCCTGTGCTGCCTGCTGTCTCATGTCTGAATATGGTTGGTTGATCTATTTTGTCCAGTTCTCTTGTTTCTGGGCACTAGTTTGGTACCAGGTACTCTATTAGTAGAATAATAAAATGACCATCTGTGTGTCCATCAGTCAGTTTGAACAATTTTCAGTCTTTTTCCACTGGAGTATATTTAAGCACATCCAAGATATCATTATTTCATTTCATCCAAAAATACTTTTTATTATTGTAAGCATTCCAGTAAACAATGATGAATGCAAATGATGAAATATGAGGCCTGGAGTTTTAGGAAAAGAAATCGTTCTGAGCCTTTCCAGAATTATGGTTGGAGAACTAAAGCCTCTTAGTCCCAGAATTTACATAGGACTGCCAGAACTTTCTAGATCAAGCCTTGCACATTTCAGAATCATCTCAAATGGATTCATCCTCATTTATTGTATGCCTGCTATCTGTAAAACACTTGCTATACACTGCTACTGAAGATGCTAATGAATAATTGTTTAAAGTTAATGGCAATATAAAATAACAGATTGCCAGGTAAATATCTTGAAAAGTCATAATAGCATTTCAGGGTAAAGTGATTAGTTGTCAAGGGAAGTTTTGTAGATAAGGAGACTTGAGTTCTATACTTGGGAGAGAAGTCAGGACTTAGGTAAGTTATGTTGCAAGGAAAAACACTATAATTAATTGCATTCTTGAAGTTTCTGTTCCCCCACACCCCAAATCTATTAGGTTATTTGCCACATTATTCTTTTCTTTAGCTGGCACTTAAAGCATTTGGTATCTCCTGCACAGAAGAATTTGCTCAAAGAAATGGCTGTTGAATTTGTGAATCAGTTTTCTGTATCACCTGATCTAGCCCTCAAAGCATACTTGACATGCTTTAAAAGCAGTCTTCTTTTCTTTTAAGACTTCTGTGTAGTTTTTATGCTACACTTGGTATTGTGGTTTGATTTTTGGTTTTTACCAATTTGATGAGAAATTACTCCCCGCTCAGTGTCCTGGGAAGTTTGACTAGTGGTTGACCCATCCCATAGAAACATTTTATTTTTTTCATGGCCCTTTAAGGGCCACTCATTAACATGAATGCCTTATCATTCATTGGAATAGAAAACTGGGAGGCTTTACTTTTAGTTACAAAAGTTAATGTATGGAAAATACATTAATAAAACCGGCTTAGCTTCATTTTTCCTACTTTCTTGTGATATTTTTCTTAGACTTGCTATTGATACCTCAGATAAATATCCAGCAGTTTAGAGATGTGGAAAAAAATATGGCAGTTGGAATCAGAGAGGCCCAGGTTCCAGTTCAGATTCTGCTTTTTCCCAAGACTTTGGAAAAGCCATTTTCTAAAGTTGCTTTCTGTGCTGTGTGTCTATAAAATGAGAAAAATGAGTGATTAGATTCTTAATAAGTTGCAACTGGTATTGTTGTCTAGGTTGCCTTCTGAATTATGTAAATATAATGTGCCTCCATTGCATATTTATGACAATTTATAAGTGTTTAAAAAAGAAGGGGATTCTAGTTCATTAACTGCGAGGTTTTAGAGTGAACTAGAATTTGAAGAATGACAAAACTTTAAGAGGTTGCCAAAAAATACAGGTGTACTTGTTCAAAAGCAAGTCTCAGATTGAGTCATGTATCAAATGTAAGCAATAACAGACTTGACTCCTCTGGGGAACTTAGGCAGAGTATTCATTTATACAATACTTGAAAATTCCAAGTATTAACAAAGATAGCTTCTTTAATATAGCGAGAAACTCCTTACATCATATCCTTGAATAATGTCATAACATCGATGAGGGAAAAAAATTGATCCCTGGCCAGGGCCACTGTCAATATGGAATTTTCATATTCTCCCTATGTCTGTGTAGTACTGTAGTTTCCTCCCACATCCCAAAGATGTACGCTTTGGGTGAATCAGCATCTGCATGGCCCCAGTCTGAGCGAGTGTGGGGTATGTGTGTGAGTGCGCCCTCCAATGGAATGACATCTGGTCCAAGGTGGGCTTCAGCTTTGGCCCCAAGCTGCTGGGATGGGCCGTGGCCACCTGCAATTCTGAACTGGAATTAGTGGGTAAATGTTTTTATTCATCTTTCTTAAATGTATGTATAGCTTACATTTATTTCAATGTCTTTTTTTTTTTTTCAAAAAACTGTTTGTATATTGCATATATAACTAAAATATAAAAGCAACATTTTATAAAACTTTCTAGAGAGACAAATTCCACACAAGTGGTAAGGGCAACCTAGTGTCTCTAGATTTGTTCTGTTTCATAAATTGGATTTTAACAAATCCTATGTAAATCAATTTTTGTAAATAAAATGTAATTGTTGGATTTTTCACATGTTAGATTTTTGCAATAATCTGAGATTTACAACACTTTCTGATGTATGTTCACTCTGATTCTGAAACTAAATTATATTATTGGATTTCATATACAGTATTAAAATTAGTGGTGGTTTACCAAGATTAAACTTTAAAGCATATCTGAAAGTTATCTATCTGTAAATAAGACAAATTGTCTACAGAATTAGTTTTATATAGTCAGTGATGTGTAAACCTCTTGGCTTTAAGAACCACAACAACTTTGAATGCATTAAGAAAACTGTCACACAATTGATCCGAAACTGCATTAAGAAAAAAATTCCTACTTTTTTTTTTTTTTTTCCTTTCACTGGTTTCTTGTCTCTCAGGGTCATCGTTCCATGGGCTGTCCCCACCCAACCCCACCAAGTTTCCTTCATTGACATTTCTGTTCTTTCCTTCACAAATTCTGCCATGGCTTGTAGGGAGAGCACCTGATTAACCAATACTGAGCTGGGAATGACCGACACTTCTTAGCTAGTTCTATAAATTTTGTTAGTTTGTTTTTGTTAGCCCCAGTTAATCTCAAATAGATAGAAATTTAGAACATTATTGAGGGGATTATAATGGGATTAATCCCTTTTGCCTATCCCATAATGTATTCAGCTGTTTCATTTCTTTTTGTTCATTTGTGATTTTGTGTTTTCAAAGTAAAAAATCTGAATATTTATTTAGAGTTTACTTTGGATTAAAAATATTCAATTTATTAGAGCTTCAAAATAATAACTGTAGCTCAAACTTTTAAGTTCCATCTACAAATCTTAAAAATCTATTCGTAAATCTAGCAAATTTCAACACTTTTAGAGGGGAATCTTACAAATTAAATTCTCTTACGTATATTAATGTATATTTATAAATATGCCTTATAAATATATAATAAATTATATATTTTGTTTCTTCTTAAAATACTTGAATTGTCTAACAAGCTTTGTACCATTTCATGAGCAGGTATTTTTGCCAAAGCATGATATATGCATTGTGTAAACACCTTCATTCTGCACAAGTGCACACTAAAAACAAAGCTTGTGGGAAAATCGTTGGAACAGATCACTTAAAACTTCCTATAACTTTGAACTAGAGGAGTCACAAATAATAATCTTAATAAAAGTTAGAAAATAATTAAATTTTTTCTTTTCCATGTAGTTTCACAAAGACAACTGCAAGTTATAAATATTTTTTTTCAAATAAGTATAATTTCCTACTGCTTCCCTACTCTTCACATTCTTTTCCCCAGTTAGCTTACCTAGCTTTTAGTTCAGATTCTTCTCAGAATCGTATGGTCAAAGTCTGGTGTTTAATTTCCCTTCATGTTTCTTCTCAAAATTTATCAAAACTATCACTATGACTTAAGTTGGCTGGGTTCTATTTCATTAGTGCAAGTAAACAATAACTTGTTATCACCCATTTGTGGTAAAACTGTGGTATAGCTGGCTCTTCTGTTTGAGACCTATAGAAAAGCTCTGAATGTTTTTTTTCTTTCATGAGTGGATGTGTACATAGCACTCCTGATGGAGATATTTATCTTTTTTATGGGCATCTATATTGAATCCTTTGGAGTATATCGATTTAAATGCAAAGTGTAGCTTAGAAATAAATGTTTGGGCTGGGTGAGGTGGCTCACGCCTGCAATCTCAGCACTTTGGGAGGCCCAAGGCGGGTGGATCACTTGAGGTCGGGAGTTCAAGACCAGCCTGACCAACATAGCAGAACCCCCGTCTCTACTAACAATACAAAAATTAGCTGGTGTGGTAATCCCGGCTACTCAGGAGGCTGAAGCAAATTGCTTGAACTGGGAGGTGGACATTGCAGTTTGCCGAGATTGCACCACTGCACTCCAGCCTGGGTGACAGAGCAAGACTCCATTTAAAAAAAAAAAAAAAGAAAAGTTCAGTTACATTTTCTCTTGAAAATTCAGGTTTTTGTTTTCTATCCATCTTCCTTACCTTGTATAGTTTAACTTAACTTTTGCTCTGTATAATTCGTACTATAACATTAGTATGAATATGGTAGGTAGTGCATGTCAAATCTATTATCTGTTCTTCCAAACAATTTTGCTTTTAGTGAGAAAACCATCATAATTAAAATATTGAAGCTGGTTAGTTTCTCAAGCACATGACTGGGATCAAAAGCAAAGGAGTAACTGTTAACATTTAATACACTCAAAATGTCAAAAAACATACGTGCATACATCCCACTTATGCAGGGATCCACGTATTAAACATCATCAATTGCCTGGAATAGCTAAGACTCAGGAAATAAGGCCTCCAAGGGGACACTCATCTTTACTCATTTAAGACATTTGTTGGTTTTGGGCTATATACAAGGCAATGGTGTGAATTAGAGTTGATTTTTTCCCAGTCTGAAGCTCATAGTTTATTAAGGGGACAAAAGCTAAATTCAGATAATATCAAATATACTGTAAAAGTGATGTGTACTCTAAAGGAGCTACAGATAAATAGCTTTGGGAGGCAGTTTAGAAAGGGAATATACTTTCAGTGTATTATTGAGGAATTCTTTGTAAAGAGAGTAGCATCTGAGCTGAGTCATGAGGTATATTAGTCTATTCTCACACTGCCATAAATAAACACCTAAGACTGGGTAATTTATAAAGAAAAGAGGTTTAATTGGTTCACAGTTCCGCAGGCTATACAGGAAGAATGGCTGGGGAGGCCTCAGGAAACTTACAGTCATGACAGAAGGAGAAGGGGAAGCAGGCACCTCTTACACGGCCAGAGCAGGAAGCCGGGGAGAGGTGCTACACACTTACACACTTTTTTTTTGTTTTGTTTTGTTTTTGTTTTTGTTTTTGTTTTTGTTTGTTTGTTTGTTTGAGACAGAGTCTCACTCTGTTGCCAGGCTGGAGTGCAGTGGCACCATCTCGGCTCACTGCAACCTCCGCCTCCCGGGTTGAAGCAATTCTCCTGCTTCAGCCTCCTGAGTAGCTGGGACTACAGGCACACGCCGCCATGCCCGGCTAATTTTTTTTGTGTGTGTATTTTAGTGGAGACAGGCTTTCACCCTGTTGCCCAGGCTGGTCTCGAACTCCTGAGCTCAGGCATTCTGCCCGACTTGGCCTCCCAAAGTGCTAGGATTACAGGCGTGAGCCACTGCATGCAACTGAGCTACACACTTTTAAACAACCAGATCTCACGATAACTTACTATCACAAGAACAGCACCAAAGGGGAAATTGCCCTCATGATCCAGTCACCTCCCACCAGGCCCCACCTCCAACGTTGGGGATTACAATTTGACATAAGATTTGTGTAGGGACAGAGACCCAAACCATGTAATTCCACCCTTGTCCCCTGCCAAATCTCATGTCTTTCTCACATTTAAAATACAATCATGCCTTCACAAGAGTCCCCCAAAGTCTGAACCCATTCCAGCATTAACTCAAAAGTCCGAAGTCTCATCTGAGACAAAACTAGTCTCTTCTGCCTATGAGCCTGTAAAATCAAAAACAAGTTAATAACTTCCAAGATACAATGGGAATACAGACATTGGTTAATACTCCCGTTCCGAAAGGGAAGAATCAGCCAAAAGAAAGGGACTATAAGCCCCGTGCAGATCTGAAACACAGTAGGGCAGTCATTAATTCTTAAAGCTCCAAAATAACCTCCTTTGACTCCATGTCTCACATAGCATTAAGTACATTTACAGTGTTTTGTACAACTATCACAATTACCTAGTTCCAGAACTTTTACATCACTCCAGGCAGAAACCATGGATTCATTAAGCAGTCATTCCCTGTTCTCTTCTGCTCTCAGCCCCTAGAACCATACATTTGTTTCTTGTCTGTGTCTCTCTGGATTTGCCTATTCTGGATACACTATATAAATATAATACAGCATGTACCTTTTGTGTCTTATTTAATTGCTGGATACTTTGTATAAATGGAATCACACACTATGTACCTTTTGTGTCTTCTTAATGTAATGTTTTCAAGGTTAATTCGTGTTTTAGCATGTATCAGTACTTCGTTTCTTTTATGGCTGAATAATATTTTGTTATATGGATTTACCACAGGGTGTTTATCCATGAATCAGGTGATGGCCATTGAGGTTGTTTTCACTTTTTGGCTATTGGAACAGTCCTGCTATGACTAGGAGTGTTCATAGCAGTTGTTCATGTACAATTTGTATTTGAACACCTGTTTTCAATTATTTTTGGGTATATACCTGGAAGTAGAATTGCTAGGTTACATGGTAATTCTATGTTTAACTTTTTGAGAAACTGCCAGACTGTTTTCCCACAAGCCATATGTGAAGGTTCTGGTTTCTCCATATCCTCATCAACATTTGTTATTTTCTGGGTTTTTTTTTTTATTATATTAGGGTCATCCCAATGAATGTGAAATAGTATCTCATTATGGTTTTGATGTGTATTTCCCTAATGATTAATGACATTGAACATACTTTCATTTGCTCTTTGGCCATTTGTGTATCTTCTCTAGATAAATATCTATTCAAGTCTTCTTCCCACTGTCTTTTTTTTTTTTATTTTTTTAAAGAAAGCTTCTTGCTCTGTCTTCCAGGCAGTGTCACAATCATAGCTCACTGCATCCTTGATTTCTTGGGCTCAAGCAATCCTCTCACCTCAGTCACCAGAGTAGCTGGGACTACAGGCATGCACCACCACACCTGGCTAATTTTTTGATTTTTTTGTGAAGTTGGGATCTCACTACATTGTTCAAGCTAGTCTCAAACTCCTGGGCTCAAGCAATCCTCCTGTCTTGGCCCCCCAAAGTGCTGGAATTACAAGCATGAGCCACCATGCCCTGCCTCTCCCTTCTTTTTAATTGGTTTGTTTATCTTTGAGTTATAAGAATTATTTATATATTCTGGATACTACATCCTTTTAAGATACATGATTTTCATATTTTTTTTCTCATTGTCTGGGCTTTTCACTTTCTTGGTAGTGTATTTTGCACAAAAAAGTTTAATTTTGATGAAGTCCAATTTATATATATATTTTGTTCCTTACAGTTTTTTTATATCTAGAAAACAATTGCCAAATGCAAGGCCATGACAATTTACGCCTATATTTTCTTCTATTTTTTTAAGAATAGTTTTAGCTCTTATATTTAGAGTTTTTATTCATTTTGAATTATTTTTTACTTATGATGTGAGATAAGGATCCAACTTAATTCTTTCGTAAATGGTTATTCAGTTGTCTTAGTACAGAGAATGTTGTTTCCCCTGTTGAGTGCACTTGGCACCTTTGCCAATAATCAATTGACCATAGGTATACAGGTTTATTATTAGGCTCTTAATTCCATTCCATTGATCTGTATGTCTGCCCTTGTATCATTACCACACTGTGTTGGTTACTGTAGCTTTGCAGTAGGTTTTGTGATCAGGAAATGTGAATTCTCCAACTTTGTTCTTCTTTTCAAGATTATTTTGGCTCTTCGGGGTTCCTTGCCTTTCTGTATGAATTTTAGGATCAGCTTTCCCATTTCTGTTTTTTTTTTTTTTTTTTTTAAAAGAACATTGGGATTTTGGTAGAAATTGCATTTAATCTATAGCTGTTTGGGAAGTATTATCGTAACAATATTAAATATTCCATTCATGAACATAATATACCTTTCCAATTTCTTAGTTCTCCCTTAATTTATTTACGCATACAACTCTTACTCATCCTTGGGTCAGTTTATTCCCAAGTATTTTATTCCTTTTTGATGCTATTGTAAATGGAGTTGTTTTCTGAAATTTTTATTGCTAGCGTAGAGAAATATATACGATTTCTGTGTTGATCATGTACTACAGCTTTGATGAATTTATTAGCTCTAATAACTCTTCTGTGGATTCTTTAGAATTTTCTATATATACTATACTATTATGACATCTTTGAATAAAGAGAGTCCCATTTTTTCCGTTTCTGTTGGATGACTTTTCTTTTTCTTACTTGATTGCTGTCTAGAATGTCCAGTATTATGCTGAACGGAAGTAGTGAGAGCAGCATTCTTGTCTCATGCATGATCGTAGCGGGAAAACTTTCAGTCAGTAAACAGTCATTTACTGTTGAGTAAGATGTTAGCTGTGCGCTTTATCATATATGTCCTTTATCATTTTGAAGAAGTTCCCTTCCTTTCCTCATTTGTTGAGTGTTTTTATCTTAAAAGATTATTACTATTTTTTCAGATGCTTTTTCTGCATGAATTGAAATCATTCTGGGATTTTTCCCCTTCATTCTATTAATATGATTACATTGTATTACATTGATTTTCATGTGTTGAACCACCATTGTATTCTTAGGCTAAAGCCCACTTGGTAGTGGTGGATAATCCTTTTAATATGCTACTGGATCCAGTTTGCTAATATTTTGTTCAGGATTTTTTTTACATCTATATTCATAAGGTATATTGAGCCATGGTTTCCTTTTCTTGCAGTGTCTTTGTCTGACTTTGGTATCAGGGTAATTCTGGCCTCATAGAATGAATTAGAAGTCCGGGGATGGTGGCTTAACGCCTGTAATCCCAGCATTTTGGGAGGCCAAGGTGGGCAGATCACGAGGTCAGGAGATCTAGACCATCCTGACCAACATGGTGAAACTGCATCTAAAATAAAAAAATTAGCTGGGCATGGTGGCACATGCCTGTAATCCCAGGTACTCGGGAGGCTAAGGCAGGAGAATTGCTTGAACCAGGGAGTCGGAGGTTGCGGTGAGCTGAGATCGCACCACTGCACTCCAGCCTAGCGACAGAGCAAGACTCTGTCTCAAAAAAAAGGAATGAATTAGAAAGTGTTCCCTCCTCTTACCTATTTTTTTTTAATAACATCTTGAGAAGGATGAATGTTCATTCTTATTTAAATATTGTATAGGTCACTAATTAAGCCATCTTGTTTTGGGTTCTTCTTTATTGGGAGGTTTTTTGATTAGTGACTCAATTTCATTACTTATTATAGGTCTATTCATATGTTTTATTTCCTCGAGTCAGTTGGGAAATTTGTGTGTTTCTAGGAATTTGTCCATTTAACATAGGTTATCTAACTTGTTAGCATTCAGTTGTTTACAATATTCTCTTATAACCCATACTATTTTTTTGTATGATCAGTAATAATATTCCCACTTTCATTTCAGACTTATAAAGTCTTCTTTTTCCTTAGGTTTTTCAATTGTATTGATGTTTTCAAACAACCAACTTGCTTTAATTGATTTTTCTCTGTTTTTCTATTCTCGATTTCATGTATAGCCACTCTAATTTTTATCACATCCATCCTTCTGCCAGCTCTTTTACTAGTTCCATAAGGTATAAAGTTAGGTTACTGATTTGAAATCTTTTTCTTAATATAGGCATTTTACCTATAAATTTCTCTCTGAGGACTTCATTCACTGTATCCCATAACGTTGCATGTTTGTTTTCATTAGTTTCAGAGCATTTCCTGATTTCCCTTTTGGTTCTTCTTTGAGTCATTGATTGTTTTACAGTGTATTTTGAATTTCCACATATTTGAATTTTCTAGTTTTTCTTTTACTGATTTTTAGTTATATTCCATTTGGTTAGAGAAGATACTTTATGTGCTTTCAGTCTTTTAAAATTTATTAAGACTTTTTTGTGGTTTAATATCCATTCTGTCTTGGAGAATGTTCCATGTGCATTTGAGAATAATATGTATTCTGCTGTTGGGTGGCATATTCAGTATGTGTCTTAGGTCTAAGTGGTTTATATAGTGTTATTTAACTTCTCTATTTCCTTATTTTCTGTCCAGTTCTATCCATTATTGAAAGTGGGGTATTGAAGTCTCCAACATTATTACACATCTATTTTTCCCTTCAGTTTTGTGTTCTTTCTTCATATATTAATATTTTGTGGCTCTGATGCTATATTTGAATCTCTTTATAGGTGTGGTATCTTCTTGCTAGATTGACTGTTTGATCATTATAAAAATCCTTCTTTGTCTCTTGTGATAGTTCCTAAAGTCTTTTGTTTTTTTGTTTGTTTGTTTGTTTGTTTCTGATTTTACCACAGCCACCCTACTATTTGCATGGAATATATTTTTCCTTCCTTCCACCTTCAACTTGTTTCCTTGGATCTAAAGTAATTTTCTTGTAGACAGCTTATAAATGGACTCATTTGGTTTATTCGAATCCATTCTGATAATGCTTGCCTTTTAATGAATGCATTTAATCCATTTACATTAAAGTACTTACTGATAAAGAAGGATTTCTGCCATTTTGCTATTTGTTTTCTATTATGTCTGTATCTTTTTTGTCCTGGGTTCCTCCACTGCTGCCTTTTTGTTGTTGTTGTTGTTGTTTTTATTGTTGTTGTTGGTTTGATTTTTTTGCATTGTACCATTTCAACTCCTTTCTCATTTCCTTTTTTGTACATGTTTTAGTTATTAATGGTTACCTTGGGGATTAAATTAACATCTTGCATGTACAACAGCCTAGTTTGAAGTAATACCAACTTAGCTTCAATAATATCTCAAAACTATGTTCCCGTACATCTCCCTCTCTCCCTTTTTATGTTGTTGTTATGACAAATTACATCTTTATACATTGTGTAACTGTTAACATAGATATATAATTACTGTTTTATGCACTTGTCTTTTGAGTCATATAGGGAAAAAAAGGCAGATTTCTGAACCAAAAATACTGCTGGCTTTTATATTTACCTATGTAATTACTTTTATCAGTGTTCTTTATTTTCTTACATGGGTTTGAGTTATTGCCTCTTGTTTTTTCAGGCTGAAGAACTTCCTTTAGCATTTCTGGTAGTTCAGGTCTACTTGTGACAAATTCCCTCAACTTTTTGTTTATCTGGAAATTCATTAATTTCTTTTTTGTTTTTGAAGGATAATTTTTCTAGATATTTCAGCACTTGAAATATGTCATCCCACTGTTCTCTGGCCTCCATGGTTTCCTATGAAAAGTTGGCTGTCAGTCTTACTTGGGATCTCTTGTATGTGAGGAGTCACATACATCTCTTGCTGCTTTCAAGATTCTCTTCGTTTTTTTGACAGTTTGAACATGATGTGTCTCTGTGTGCATCTTTTAAAATTTATCCTACTTGGAGTTTCTTGGAAGAAAGACTCTTGGCTTTCTCAGATTTGGAAAGTTTGTAACCATGATTTCTTCATATATTCTCTTTTCTCTCTCCTTGCCTTTGGACTTCCATCATACAGACAGGCGTTGGTATTTATGATGTTGTTCCCATAAGTCTTTAAACTGGGTCTATTTTTTTTTCATTCTTTTTTCCTATTTCTTGGATTCCATAGTTAATGAAATCACTCATGTCGAATAGTCACAAACTGTTAATTTGTTGAGTTTTACAGGACAAAAATCTAACAATTGTTAGTTACTTGATTTTGTACACTATATTAGTCAGCATAGCTTAAATCATCACAGTAGAGGATTAAAAACAAAACATGTACCAAGTGTTGGCTCTTAAATCTTCTGTTCAGAAATGACACAAATCACTTCCCCTCATATTTTATAGGCCAAAGTAAATCATGTGGCCACACCTAATTTTAAGAAGGCAGGAAACTGCAGTTCTGCCGTCTGTCCAGATACGAAA
Organism: Homo sapiens; assembly: GCF_000001405.40. Taxonomy (NCBI): domain Eukaryota; kingdom Metazoa; phylum Chordata; class Mammalia; order Primates; family Hominidae; genus Homo; species Homo sapiens. The sequence goes on from NC_000009.12 coordinate 5,709,253, forward strand.
AACATTAACATTTACAGTGTGTGTTCCCTTCCCTACTCCATCCCCAATCCATTCCTTAGCATTCATTCCATTATTTCTACGTGCAGACAGAGGTTACTGTGTTAGTCTCTTTAACTCTAATTTTCAGTTGCTTAGAGCCTTAAATATTAGAGTTTGATTATCAGCTCCCTTACTTTCTTAGCTTTGTGATCAAGAGCAAAGTTCTCAATATTTGTACGTTTCAGTTTTCTCTCTGAAAAAGTGGAGATAATTCCTGTCTCAAAAGATTACAAATGATTGGTTGAGAGGATGTGTATAGAACGTTTTGTACACTGTTTCATACATAGTAAATGCTCTATTCCTATTCTCCTGGCATTCAGTGCTTTCATAATCTGGCTTCAACTTATTCTTCTAGCCTCATCTTCTGTGACTCTCTTCCAGTCATCTGATGCTGTACCTTATCAAATTATAGTTGAATTCTAAGTAATAATATTTTTTATGAGAAAGTCAGAATTTTTTTGTTACTGTAATTTTTTAAAGTTTGCTCTATTTTAGTATGTTTGGAAGACAGGATGGAAACTTTCCTGCGAGATGTATCTCTAATTTTATAATGGAAGTCATGAAGAAATTAGAATTTACTTAAATTTGCTTTAAAGTTCTTGTAATACTTTAGTTGTAATAAATGAGAATATTCATATAAAGAAAAACACGGTTTCCAGTTTTAAGATAGGTAATGTGGTTTCAATTCTTTCTCTTGATAATCACCAACAGAAAAAAAGCTGAAATAAAATTCCCATCTTTAATTTAAACTAGAGGTATCTCCAACCCTTGAGCTAAAAATCCAAAGAGAAAGATAAATAACTAAGGAAGAGCATCAAACTTGAGCGCTTAAGAACCTACAGGATACTGATAAAAAGCACCTTGTTTTACCTGCAAACTCAGAAAGGCTTAGAGCTTAGAAGGACTGGTACTACAGAATATAGGAGTGAGGCAGGGGCCATCAACATAGAGATTGCTTGAAAACACTGAATAAGGATTCCTATGTTCCCACCTCACAGGAAATATACTGTCTGGTTTAACAATATGTATTATATTTAACAGAAGAGTGAGATGCTAAAGTTGTCATAGTGCCTCTTTACCCTGCTTGGCTCCAGACTTCTGTCTTTCACGCTTTGATATCCCAGGCAGGTTTGAGGGATCCTTCCTGGAGAAATGGAACCACTGAAGAAAAACTGCTCAACAGGTACTAGTATTTGAAGACCTCAAAAAAGTGCTGGCTGGCCACTACCCTGCTGAAGTCCACCAGTTGACAGCCTGCAGACACGTAGTCACCTTTTTATTGTTAACCTCTAAAATAAGAACAAAGGACTAAACATTGTTAGCCATTTTAGGAAAGTTTCCAGTGTAACTTAGAAACACATACCAGAAAAAAGGAACTTAAAGTAAACAGATACTTGAAGGAATGAAAACAGTTTGAGGAAATAATTAACAACCTTAGACAGATTTTGGCTAATCAAACAAGGTAGGATGGTTTAAGAAAACGGGGGGAGTGGATGAGAAAATTCTCAGAATGAAAAGTACAATAGTAGAAATATATTCAGTAAAAGCATTGAAAGAAACAGTTGAGGAACTTTCCCTGGATATAGAATAAAAGACAAGAATAAGAGAGAAAAGAGAAAATTAGAGTTTAATATGAGGTTTAATATCTAACTGACTAGGAGTTGTAGAAAGAGAGAACAGGGAATGGAGAAGCTTATTATTATATTAAGGAAACAAAACATGTAAATTTCCTAGAGTTTAAACTAAATACATCAGTAGATTGAACAGGTCTACCAGGTGCTCAGTGCAATGATAAACATTCACATACTTGTAGAAAAATTAATTATTTTGAAATTTCAGAACCCATCGGATATATAAAAAGAAGATCCTAGGTACTTCAGAGGAAAAAGAGCTAGTCTGTGAATAGGAATGTCATTGAACTCCACAGCCACACTTGAGAATCTAAAAGGACATGTCCCCAGTGTACTTATCTCCCAGATTCAAAAGTTGTCAACATCCCCCTCTCCCCATGCATGCATACTTTTTAATTATTAAAGCAACTTTCATATACTATATCATTCAACCCTAAATGCTTCTGTTTTGTCTGTAACAGGTAGACATTTTAAGGAAACCAAACCACAATATTATTACCCAACAGAATTAATAGTTTATTAGTGTCATCAAATACTCAGTCTGTGTTCAGTTTTCCCATTTTAACTCAGAGCTGTTATTTTAGGAGTTGGTCTGTTCAAATCAGGACATACGTCTTTTTTGTTTGTTTTCCTTTTTATCTTTATTTTATATATATATATATTTTTATTATACTTTAAGTTCTAGGGTACATGTGCACAATGTGCAGGTTTGTTACATATGTATACATGTGCTGTGTTGGTGTTCTGCACCCATTAACTCGTCATTTACATTAGGTATATCTCCTAATGCTATCCCTCCCTGCTGCCCCCACCCCACAACAGGACCTGATGTGTGATGGTCCCTTTCCTGTGTCCAAGTGTTCTCATTGTTCAATTCCCACCTATGAGTGAGAACATGCGGTGTTTGGTTTTTTGTCCTTGCGACAGTTTGCTGAGAATGATGGTTTCCAGCTTCATCTATGTCCCTACAAAGGACATGAACTCATCCTTTTATATGGCTGCATAGTATTCCATGGTGTATATGTGCCACATTTTCTTAATCCAGTCTATCATTGTTGAACATTTGGGTTGGTTCCAAGTCTTTGCTATTGTGAGTAGTGCCGCAATAAACATACATGCGCATGTGTCTTTATAGCAGCATGATTTATATTCCTTTGGGTATATACCTAGTAATGGGATTGCTGGGTCAAATGGTATTTCTAGTTCTAGATCCCTAAGGAATCGCCACACTGTCTTCCACAATAGTTGAACTAGTTTGCAGTCCCACCAACAATGTAAAAGTGTTCCTATTTCTTCACATCCTCTCCAGCACCTGTTGTTTCCTGACTTTTTAATGATCACCATTCTAACTGGTGTGAGATGGTATCTCATTGTGGTTTTGATTTGCATTTCTCTGATGGCCAGTGATGATGAGCATTTTTTCATGTGTCTGTTAAAGAGCTTCTGCGCAGCAAAAGAAACTACCATCAGAGTGAAGAGGCAACCTACAGAATGGGAGAACATTTTTGCAATCTACTCATCTGACAAAGGGCTAATATCCAGCATCTACAAAGGACTCAAACAAATTTACAAGAAAAAAACAACCCCATCAAAAAGTGGGCAAAGGATATGAACAGACACTTCTCAAAAGAAGACATATGTCTTTTTAAGTTTCCACTGAAAGGAGTCTACCTCTGTGTTGTTTTCTGTCTTAAGCTTTCTAGCCCTATTTGAATTTTAACTTCTGTATATATATTACTTTGGAAAATAAAATTTAACTTTAAAACCAGATATATTAATACATCGAAGACATCTCAGTAAATCATCACAGACTGTGTGTTCAGCAGTTTAAATGTGACTCCTATAAACTAATTACTTTCATGTCCTTTTTACAGGCTGTCACATCAGTCAGACATGTTAGTTGAACACGAACCTGTATGGTTAAACATTAGCTAGTTTAGTCATTTAGACTTAGAAGGAATTAAGTAAGTACTCCAGTTCATAGTAGTAGCAGGATAGAATGGTAATAAATCACCACAAAACTTTATAAGAAAAATAGTCTGTAACAAAAAAATAAGCAAAAATAAGTAAGAAAGAAAACTAAAAAAATGAGCATCAAAATATATTTCCCAAAGCCAGGAACTTTGAAAGCTATTGGACTTGTTTGCCTCTTTGTGCATATTTTAATAGTATCGACAAATTATAGGAATGTACTTGACTGGAAAGGGAGAGATGACATCAGCAGGCTAATTGTTGCCACAAGTGATAGCTGATGGTGAGAGACAGATAACTGTTAAATTCCAGCACAGGCACTGAAGAAGATACTGGTCTACCATGCCATGTGGAGATAAAGAATACAAAACAACCTGTAGTCCTTTGAAGGGTCGTGTGTGACAGTTCAGTTAAGTTGGCATTGACCCAGCACTCTACTGCAGCTATTTGATGCCAGGGATTTAAAATTTTAGGTATTTAGCTACTTATTACTAAGTAACTTGTGAAACATCTCCTAATTGCACCCTTGAATTTCACCTTAATTCTGATTCACACCCAAAGAATAGGAATGAAGGATAAGGTGTGGAGTAAGTAAAGATGAAGCCACACGATTTGGATCACTGGGACAGATACTGTATAGAATGATACTTTTTTCCATAGTTGTCCACCTTAGAAAGGGCCCTCAGGAATTTTAAACAAAATGCCTGTTGGTTCTCTTTAGAGTTAGTTCACTTTTATTTCAAGTGGGTTTTTTTCTCAGATTCTCTGCTCTTCTTCCCACCCTCCTAACACAAATTACATTGGTCAAACATTTATTTCCAATTGATAAGTAGATAATGTCTGCTATAATAGAATTTAAGTCTGTTTTTCATTTGAGAATCTGAAGGATGAATACCTGATTTGTAAGTTTTATTTCATTTACTTTATTTGATTGTATGTGTATTAGCCACAGAATGGAGGCAAATTCAGCATCTTTCTTTAACTCTATGCTGTTTGTTTTAGAGGAAGTCCACAAATGAAGGGGACACCCCATTTTAAGGAAGAACAGTGTGCTCCAGCATTAAATTTGGAGATGAGGAAAATACTGGATTTACAAGCACCCATCATGAGGTACAGTACTTTGGTTAAATTTGACATTGTGTGATGACAGTAGACAATGTAGTTCGTAAATCCCATGACCAACAGGAAAGTTAGTTTAATTTCTTTTAATTCAAGATAACTTCTTAGTTCTGGAAATGCTTGATTAACCCTTATAAGACAATGGAAGTTTTACAGATGGCACTTAATACTTAAATTATTATAATAAAATTGAATATACCAACTATAATCTTATTTTGAAATTTATATTTTATAAGGTCTAGAATTGTTTGATTGAGTGATAACAGTCCATATTTCCCAAAACAATACTGATGAAAGCACACAAGTTGAGGAAAAGAGAAAGTGCCTTTGTTTCCAAAGTTGCCATAAGCTTCTGGGAAGTTTATATACACTTGGAAGAAAGTTACACTTTTTCATCCAAGTATGAATAAAGGTTTTATGACAAAGTGGCCAGAAATACCAGAATACCAAAAATCTATTTTATACCCATTGGTAGAAAAAATCTTACCTACAATTTGGCTTTATTTCTTTAATTGTTGTTCCACTATTGATGTTTTAGTTGTCACTTAGTTTAGCTGCATATCTTTTCCATTGTGTAGATATAAGAAAATTTATTTAAACGATACGCAGCTGTAAAAACATTGAGGACATTCTTTATGGAAAAAAATCTTTCCAAATATGTTGTTGGGTGAAAAAAGCAAAATGCTTATGTTGCTAATGTTTGTTTTTAAAAGGGAGATGAGGTATCTCCATCTTGTTTAAAAGAGAGAGCATGTATTTTTCTGGAAGAATACATAAGAAACTGGGGATGAGAACTGAGTAGCTATGGGACAGGTTTGGGGGAAAAGCTTTTTATTGTGTACTCTTTTTTAATATTGAACTATGTAAATGTATTGAATTATATGAATGTCATGCTACTTTTAAAAAAATCCCTCTGACTCACAGTTCTAAGTAAAGGTTTATTTCACCATTTCTCTTGTTAGAGTACTGTACAGAATGATACTGAAACATTAAAACTATGCAAGTGGCTGGGTATTGTCTTGCCTTGTTTGGTCCATCCCCTTCATATCTTATTCTCATAGAAAAGAACACAATTATTATTTGCTTAAATGTAATCAGTGTTACAGAAGATTGAGTTCAAAGTTACTCATCGCCTTGGTCACAAGGTTATTCATCACTTCACATTTTATTTATTTCAGCATGGGAATCGTTTTCAAGAAAGTAACTTGATACATAAGGAATTCTGAGTGTCTGTAGGTACCAAGAAAAGGTGGAATTGTACAGGCTTGGCTTTCTACCTCCACCTGGTGGGAAACCTTGTATGGTGCATGGAAATAGAATAGAAAAAGAGCCAAAAAGAAAAAAAAACAATTCTGCCATCTTGTCCAAGTTTAACCTGTCAGGTGCTAGGTTTTAATCTATGAATTTAGGTGGTTGGAAATCTGTAAGGTTTCTCTCAAAACTCCAGTGAAATAACTGCATTTCAGAACAAAGTTATCAGCACCTGAAACACATAACTGCTGGAAATTTGAAATTTGCTATAGATTTTAAATCGAGTGAGAAGACATGAAACTTAGATTTTTATAACCAATTATTTTCCCTCCTGTCACCACAAATATAAGTCAGATAAGGCTAGGATATTGGTTATGCTGTTGCTTATAGGGGTAAGAGTACTATCTCATCTTTTATTTTTGATTTGAAGAAAAAATATTAATGTTAAGCATCTAACTTTTGTTATTAATTGAGGATAGAGAATGTTTAGAAGGTAAAAACATAATTTTAATGAGAGTTTCCCCTCCCCTCCCTTCCCCTCCCCTCCCATCCCCTTCCCTACCTCTCTCCCCACTCCTCCGACAGGGTCTCACCTTGTCACCCAGGCTGAAGTGCAGTGGCACAATCACAGCTAATTGCAGCGGCATGATCACAGCTCACTGCAGCCTCAGCCTCCTGGGCTCCAGTGATCTCACCTCAGCCTATCAAGTAGCTGGGACTACAGGCACACGTCACAGCACGCTAATTTTTTGTACTTTATTGTAGAGACAAGGTTTCACCATGTTGTTGAGGCTGGTCTCAAACTCCTAAGCTCAAGCGATCTCCCCTCCTTGGCCTCTCAAAGTGCTGGGATTGCAGGTGTTGAGCCACCACACCCAGCCAAGATCCTAAATTTAAACATACATTTAACACACACGCACACCTGGGATACCACATAGCTCTCATAAAATTAATGAAGTCAATGATTGAAGAGGCTCTCTAAGGATATAACTTAGAGTGTATTTACCTAAATTTTTAAATGTACTCATTAACAGTTGTGATATTAAAAATATTTCAGAACCAGGCTGGGCACGGTGGCTCATGCCTATAATCCCAGCACTTTGGGAGGCCAAGGGGACAGAAGGGCAGATCATGAGGTCAGGAGTTTGAGACCAGCCTAGCCAACATAGTGAAACCCTGTCTCTACTAAAAATATAAAAATTAGCTGGGTGTGGTGGCACACGCCTGTACTCCCAGCTACTCAGGAGGCTGAGGCACAATAATTGCTTGAACCCGGGAGGCAGAGGTTGCAGTGAGCTGAGATTGTGCCACTGCACTCCAGCCAGGGCAACAGAGACTGTGTCTCAAAAGAAACAAAAATTTAAGAACCAATACAGCATGAAAAGACATGGGTTATTAGTTATCGAACAGGGTTCTGACATCGCCCTACTACGCCAATAATGAATCCTTCAGTTGGCCAGATTTTTCTGAGGGAGGGGAGTCAGTTGTAGCAAACACTTAGGTGACTTGGGGCAAGGTCTATTTACCAACATTTATAGAATTATTAGTATTTTAACAACTGACACCAGCTTTTTTATTTCTAAATTTTTTTAGAGGTGGTAGTCTCACTGTGCTGCTCAGTTGGTCTCGAGCTCCTGGGCTCAAGCATTCCTCCTGCCTCAGCCTCCTAGTAGCTGGGATTATAGGCACAAGCCACCACGCCTGGCTCAGCCTTTGTTTTAACAAGTTTGTCCACTTTCAATTAAATGAGAAGGATATATCTATCTCTTCCTGTAGATTATTTATTATGTCTGTCACAGTTTTTAAAAAGCCTATCTGCTAATTCCAATATCAAGATTATCTATAAGTCTATTTATATTGATGGATTTTTCTCTTGACTCTAGGTTACATTTTCCTGTTTATTCACACATCTGGCCAGTCATTTGTTTGTTGCAGCATCACTGATTATCATGTTATAGAGATTATGAACTCTTAATTTTGTCAGACGATTGTTGAGTTTTGTCTAGCAGGTAGTCAGATTACTGGAGGATAACTCTGTTGTATACAGTGATTTTCTAGGGAGATAGGGTTAGGGGAGAGGGAGAATGTAGTTTGGAATAAACGATGCTGACTCCTTCCAAGGAAAATCACTGGTAAACCAGTGACTACTCTGCTAAATTGCCTCTCTTGACATTGTCAACTTGAAGTAATCAAAAGGATCAGATTCTGGAATTAATGCAAGCAGAAAGCTGACCAATCCGGGAGAACAGACTTCAGAAAATGGGGTCAGTGTTCCAAAGTTAAAAGTTCAGTTCTTGCAGGCCAGGCACAGTAGCTCACACCTATAATCCCAGCACACTGGGAGGCCGAGGCGGGTGGATCACCTGAGGTCAGGAGTTCAAAACCAGCCTGGCCAACATGGTGAAACCTTGTCTCTACCACAAACAGAAAAATTAGCTGGGCGTGGTGGCGCATGCCTGTCATCGCAGCTACTCAGGAGGCTGAGGCAGGAGAATCCCGGGAGGCGGAGGTTTCAGTGAGCTGAGATCGCGCCACTGCACTCTAGCCTGGGCAGCAGAGTAAGAGACTGTTTAAAAATAAAAAAAAAAAAAGTTCAGCCAGGCGCAGTGGCTCACGCCTGTAATCCCAGCACTTTGGAGGCCAAGGTGGGTCGATCACCTGAGGTCAGGAGTTCAAGACGAGCCTGGCCAACACGGCGAAACCTTGTCTCTACTAAAAATACAAAAATTAGCTGGGCATGGTGGCGTGCGCCTGTAATCCCAGCTACTAGGGAGGCTGAGGCAGGAGAATCACTTGAACCTGGGAGGCAGAGGTTGCAGTGAGCTGAGATGGTACCACTGCACTCCAGCTTGGGCAACAGAGCAAGACTCCGTCTCAAAAAAAAAAAAAAAAAAAAAAAAAAAGTTCAGTTCTTGCTTATATAGGTGGAAAATAAAGTTTAGTAGGATTATAATGTTTTCTATACAAGGCTGGTTTATGAGTTACAATTTAGTTACAGTTTGTTTTCTTTATGGCTTGTCTTTACAGCTAGTTTTCATTTCCAATTTAAAAAGAGTGTATTTAACATTCCATTTTAAGACAATGTGATAGCCATGAAGTCTTTGTGTAAGAAAGATAAGAGGGAAGTTAATCTACCATGAAGATCAACAGTGAAGAGGGAAGGGGTCTTCCCTGGAGCCCTTTAGTCATTTACAGCATTTATAAAACAATACAGTAAGGAAGAAAGCTAATCTATAATCAGAGAAAGAAAGATGACAGCTGCCTAGATTATAGCTGCCTATTGTGTGACTCAGGCCCCATAATTACATTTCTTTAAGGCTCAAAAGTAATTCAGATTTCCAACAGCTTAGATTTTGAATTACATATTTTCATAGCATATAGTAGTGCATCTAAAACATAAACTTTTTATACTCTACCCACCAAATGATACACATAGATTTTATCACTGAAATATAAATTTGAAATTAATATATAATGCTTTAAAAAGTGAAATGTCTAAAAACTGGGAATTTTAATTGATTACAAATGGCTGTGAAGTTCAAGAAATAGAGCTGGGTAAAGAAACATCTGTTTCTGATCTTTTTCAGTATTTTTATAGTTGGGGAAAAAACAGCAAATTCTACATTAGCTGAAATCTTTGGAGTATGAGTAATTGAAGTCAACTTTCCAAAGAATTAAAGGTTTAGTTTAAGAATTAAAATACTAAAAGACATTTTTTTCATCATTATGGATTAAAATATTTCAGAAATATGCTCTTAAGTATGAAAAGGAATTTAATAGTATTTAATAGGGTATATATAATATACACATAACATTTTTTGTTTTTCCTTATATAGTATTTGATACTTTGAACACTCTTTCTTAAATTCATCTTACTTCCTTGGCTTTCTTGATATCAGTTTCTACTGGTTTCCCTGGTTGTCTTTTTCTTTGTGCCAGTACCTTTGCGGTCTCATTTATGGGTTCCTCTTTCCTCTAACCCTTTCCCTCTTCTTGCCTCCTTTGCACAAATATTTAGTGACAGATTTAACTAACACTGCCCTTGGGGCTGTGCATACAGAGGTGAGCAAAACAGGCTATTTCCCCATTAAAGAAGTAAATGCTGAATATCTTCATAAATATTGATAAGTGATGAGATCATGCTATGTAACTATTTTTGATTTCTTGCCTGAGAAGTCCTCTGAAGACGGAGAATATTTTATTCATCCTCGAATATCCAGCACACAGTATAGCACCTGTCACAGAGGATAGGCTCAGTAAATGTTTGTAGAAGGAATGAACAATGTGAGACTTGCTAATACCTAAGAAATATATTGGCCTGGAACTATACTCCAATACAGTAGCCACTAGTCACACATGAATTTATTTAAATTTACATTAATGAAAAGTAAATAAAATTTCAGTTATTTTATTGCACTAGCCATATTTCAAGTGTATAGTCACCACATACAGCTCATAGCTACTGTTTACAGATAGCACAGATATAGAACATTTCCATCATTATTCAAAGTTTTATTGGACAAGTGCCAGAGCATTGTTACCTCTACACTTAATGGCTCTAGATTGTCATACTGTTATTAGTTGGGTTTATTCATTTTATGGTTTCTCTACCTCTTTTTCTTTCTTTCTGCTATCACTTCTGTTTCCATCTTCTAATTTGCTGTTTCAATATTTGTAGTTTTTAACTAGTTTTATCAGTTATCAAGTTTGTGACTGTGAGTGCCCATAGTCTTTCATTTCTTTCAGGATTTCTGATTCTAGATTGAAATATACATAGATAAAGTTGCAGATAAATGGAGATGTTTTGTAAATGGTTTCATGATCATTTTTGCATGAGTATTCTCTAAAGCAGTTTTAATATTCATACACATTGCTTTCCCAGTATGCTCTCTTAAAAATTAATTGATTCTACCTACAGTTTGCAGTCTGTGTTGGAAGATCTCCTGGTTGCTACTTCTGATGGACTTCTTCATCTTATTCACTGGGAAGGAATGACAAATGGAAGGAAAGCCATTAATCTTTGCACAGTACCCTTTTCAGTAGACCTGCAGTCATCTAGAGGTAGCTATACTTTCTACATGAGGTTGAACCAGTTGTTTAATGTTTGATGTCTAGTTAGGTATCTTCTATGGATGAACACTTCTTTGGAATTACTTATGCAAGGGGAGAGGTGGGCAGAGTATGAGAGGCGGGGTGAGAGAGGCATTTAATAGGAAAGGACAGTTTAATTATTTAGGGTTGTTAGGTCATTATTTTTACCCTTTTAAACTTACAGGTTTTTCTGGCAAAAAGTGAGAGAGTAATTTATTATATTCTTAATCCTATTTCATGTGCTTATTTTTTTCATCAGTAGGTTCATTCCTGGGCTTCACAGACGTACACATCAGAGACATGGAATACTGTGCCACACTTGATGGGTTTGCTGTTGTATTTAATGATGGTAAAGTTGGATTTATTACACCAGTGTCAAGTAGATTTACTGCAGAGGTATGACTTATTTACTTTGAAGGGTTTTTTGTTATTGTGTACTTATTTTATTCTTTGTTATCAAATTCTTCTCTATTTTCATCATTCATGTAAGATTTTAAGGGTTGTTAATTTTTTAATCAAACCAAACATATAAATAGTATAAGTAGACAAAATTCTCTTGGACATGTTAAAGAAAAATAATGATTCCTGTTCTCCTCCCTGCTCTCCTCATGCCTAATTTTCCACTTTTGGAGGCAACTACTTGTTATTCCTTTACTGGTTATTTTGATTTTTAATCTCCACTACTCTGAATATTTCCTTTAATTTTTAGTTCTTAGGCTGTGTTTATTGACTTCTTACTGTTGAAAGTGACCATTTACTTCCCTCTTCCCTGCTTCCACCATACTTATATTCTTCTCATGTTCCCATTATAGTTATTGTGATTTTGATTAGGTTACTATTAATTGTTTATATTTTTATCAATATGTAAGCCCCATTAGTACCGAAACCATGTGGTACTGACGCAGAAGTTTTTGCTCCTTAGTTTAGCTAAAAGCAGGTTCTTGTCACACAGCCAGGAAAGATTAGGCATGCAGACATACTGAAAGGTGAGGAGAGCAGAATTTATTAAAAGCAAGCTCTCAGCAAATAAAGATGATGTCCTGCTAACAGGCTCCCACTTCACAGATTGATTACCAAACCCCAGCACACACGCGCGTGCACACACACACGCTGAAGAGCCCCAGGGTCCTACCCGCTGAACAAGGCGTGAACTTAACCCCATTCTCCTAGTGCGCTTGTGGGCATTATTCAGAAAGAATCACTCAGGAAACGGCAAACGGGCAGTTATTTATCCCTCTGGATCACCAGTTTCATCTGGGACAAGGAGTCCCATCTTTCAGCCTTCAGGCACTTTTTGGGCTTGAAAGTGGGTTTTCACTGGGGACCCTTGGCCAACTCCTGTCTCTGTCAGTATAATTATTTTTCCTTTACTGCAGATTTTTCCTCCTGCTAGGAATTAATGATTGCCTTGTTCTTTACATTTGCTTAATTTTTGTGTACTTATCTCTTACTCAACCCAAACTGTCAGTTGTGTAAATATCCTCCCAGCTTTTTCAAACATATTAGCTGTTCTGTTCATTTCATCTTTTTTGTTTTCTTTTTTTTTTTTTTGAGATGGAATTTTGCTCTTGTTGTCCAGACTGGAGTGCAGTGGCACGATCTCGGCTCACCACAACCTCCGCCTCTCGGGTTCAAGCGATTCTCCTGCTTCAGCCTCCCGAGTTGCTGGGATTACAGGCATGCACCACCACGCCCGCCTAATTTTGTGTCTTTAGTAGAGACGGGGTTTCTCCCTGTTGGTCAGGCTGGTCTTGACCTACCAACCTCAGGTGATCCACCCACCTCAGCCTCCCAATGTGCTGGGATTACAGGCGTCAGCCATGGTGCCCAGCCCATTTCATCTTCTTCTTCTTTTTTTTTTTTTTTCCACAGTACCACAAAACAATTTAATGGAGGAAGAGATTTTTTTTTTTTTTTTTTTACCCCGAGGAACTATATCACTTAAGGATGGCTTACAGAAGGAATGAGCTTGCAAAAACTATAAGAGAGAGAGAGTGTGTGTGTGTGTGTGTGTGTGTGTGTGTGTGTACCTATGCAGTGTATGTGTGGGTCTATAGGTATGTATCACACGTCCACATGCATGTTCATAGCCTCCATGCACATGTAAATATTTCTTCACATAAACTTTTCTGACTTTAATACTAGAAAGAACTTACACTGGTTTTCTGAAGCCCACTGTGATATCAGAGATCCCTTTCTAAATCTATCTTTTTATTTACTTTTTTAAGTTCTAGGGTACATGTGCACAGCGTGCAGGTTTGTTACATATGTACACATGTGCCATGTTGGTGTTCTGCACCCATTAACTCGTCATTTACATTAGGTATATCTCCTAATGCTATCCCTCCCCCCCTCGCCCCACCCCACGACAGGCCCTGGTGTGTGATGTTCCCCACCTTGTGTCCAAGTGTTCTCATTGTTCAATTCCCACCTATGAATCAGAACATACGGTGTTTGGTTTTTTGTCCTTGCAATAGTTTGCTCAGAATGATGGTTTCCAACTTCACCCATGTGCCTACAAAGGACATGAACTCATCCTTTTTTATGGCTGCATAGTATTCCATGGTGTATATGTGCCACATTTTCTTAATCCAGTCTGTCATTGATGGACACTGGGCTTGGTACCAAGTCTTTGCTATTTGAATAGTGCCACAATAAACATACATGTGCGTGTGTCTTTATAGCAGCATGATTTATAATCCTTTGGGTATATACCCAGTAATGGGATGGCTGGATCAAATGATATTTCTAGTTTTAGATCCTTGAAGAATCGCCACACTGTCTTCCACAATGGTTGAACTAGTTTACAGTCCCACCAACAGTGTAAAAGTATTCCTATTTCTCCACATCCTCTCCAGGACCTATTGTTTCCTAAGTTTTTAATGATCACCATTTTAACTGGTGTGAGATGGTATCTCATTGTGGTTTTGATTTGCATTTCTTTGATGGCCAGTGATAATGAGCATTTTTTCATGTGTCTGTTGGCTGCATAAATGTCTTCTTTTGAGAAGTGTCTGTTCATAGCCTTCGCCCACTTTTTGATGGGGTGGTTTGATTTTTTTCTTGTAAATTTGTTTAAGTTCTTTGTAGTTTCTGGATATTAGCCCTTTGTCAGATGGGTAGATGGTAAAAATTTTTTCCCATTCTGTAGGTTGCCTGTTCACTCTGATGGTAGTTTCTTTTGCTGTGCAGAAGCTCTTTAGTTGAATTAGATCCCATTTGTCAATTTTGGCTTTTGTTGCCATTGCTTTTGGTGTTTTAGTCATGAAGTCCTTGCCCATGCCTATGGCCTGAATGGTATTGTCTAGGTTTTCTTCTAGGGTTTTTATGGTTTTAGGTCCAACATTTAAGTCTTTAATCCATCTTGAATTAATTTTTGTATAAGGTGTAAGGAAAGGATCCAGTTTCAGCTTTCTACATATGGCTAGCCCGTTTTACCAGCACCATTTATTAAATAGAGAATCCTTTCCCCGTTTCTTGTTTTTGTCAGGTTTGTCAAAGATCAGATGGTTGTAGATGTGTGGTATTATTTCTGAGGGCTCTGTTCTGTTCCATTGGTCTAGATCTCTGTTTTGGTACCAGTACCATGCTGTTTTGGTTACTGTAGCCTTGTAGTATAGTTTGAAGTCAGGTAGCGTGATGCCTCCAGCTTTGTTCTTTTGGCTTAGGATTGTCTTCGCAATGCAGGCTGTTTTTTGGTTCCATATGAACTTTAAAGTAGTTTTTTCCAACTCTGTGAAGAAAGTCATTGGTAACTTGATGGGGATGGCATTGAATCTATAAATGACCTTGGGCAGTATGGCCATTTTCACAATATTGATTCTTCCTATCCATGAGCATGGAAAGTTCTTTCATTTGTTTGTGTCCTCTTTTATTTCGTTGAGCAGTGGTTTGTAGTTCTCCTTGAAGAGGTCCTTCACATCCCTTGTAAGTTGGATTCCTAGGTATTTTATTCTCTTTGAAGCAATTGTGAATGGGAGTTCACTCATGATTTGGTTCTGTGTTTGTCTGTTATTGGTGTATAGGAATGCTTGTGATTTTTGCACATTCATTTTGTATCCTGAGACTTTGCTGAAGTTGCCTATCAGCTTAAGGAGATTTTGCGCTGAGACTATGGAGTTTTCTAGATATACAATCATGTCATCTGCAAACAGGGACAATTTGACTTCCTCTTTTCCTAATTGAATACCCTTTATTTCTTTCTTCTGCCTGATTGCTCTGGCCAGAACTTCCAACACTGTGTTGAATAGGAGTGGTGAGAGAGGACATCCCTGTCTTGTGCCAGTTTTCAAAGGGAATGCTTCCAGTTTTTGCCCATTCAGTATGATATTTGTGGGTTTGTCATAAGTAGCTCTTATTATTTTGAGATACGTCCCATCAATACCTAGTTTATTGAGACTTTTTAGCAGGAAGGACTGTTGAATTTTGTCAAAGGCCTTTTCTGCATCTATTGAGATAATCATGTGGTTTTTGTCTTTGGTTCTGTTTATATGCTGTATTACCGTTATTGATTTTCGTATCTTGAACCAGCCTTGCATCCCAGGGATGAAGCCAACTTGATAGTGGTGGATAAGCTTTTTGATGTGCTGCTGGATTCGGTTTGCCAGTATTTTATTGAGGATTTTTGCATCATTGTTCATAAGGGATATTGGTCTAATATTCTCTTTTTTTGTTGTGTCTCTGCCAGGCTTTGATATCAGGATGATGCAGGCCTCATAAAATGAGTTAGGGAGGGTTCCCTCTTTTTCTATTGATTGGAATAGTTTCAGAAGGAATGGTACCAGTTCCTCTTTGTACCTCTGATAGAATTTGGCTGTGAATCTGTCTCGTCCTGGACTTTTTTTGGTTAGTAGGCTATTAATTATTGCCTCAATTTCAGAGCCTGTTATTGGTCTATTCAGGGATTCAGCTTCTTCCTGGTTTAGTCTTGGGAGGGTGTATTTGTCCAGGAATTTATCCATTTCTTCTAGAGTTTCTAGTTTATTTGCTTAGAGGTGTTTATAGTATTCTCTGATGGTAGTTTGTATTTCTGTGGGATCGGTGGTGATATCCCCTTTATCATTTTTTATTGCGTCTACTTGATTCTTCTCTCTTTACTTCTTCATTAGTCTTGCTAGTGGTCTATCAATTTCGTCAGTCTTTTCAAAAAACCAGCTCCTGCATTCATTGATTTTTTTGATGGTTTTTTTATGTCTCTATCTCCTTCAGTTCTGCTCTGATCTTAGTTATTTCTTACCTTCTGCTAGCTTTTGAATGTGTCTGCTCCTGCTTCTCTAGTTCTTTTAATTGTGATGTTAGGGTGTCAATTTTAGATCTTTCGTGCTTTCTGTTGTGGGCATTTAATCCTATAAATTTCCCTCTACACACTGCTTTAAATATGTCCCAGAGATTCTGGTATGTTGTGTCTTTGTTCTCGTTGGTTTCAAAGAACATCTTTATTTCTGCCTTCATTTCGTTATGTACCCAGTAGTCATTCAGGAGCAGGTTGTTCAGTTTCATGTAGTTGAGTGGTTTTGAGTGAGTTTCTTAATCCTGAGTTCTAGTTTGATTGCACTGTGGTCTGAGAGACAGTTGGTTATAATTTCTGGTTTTTTACATTTGCTGAGGGGTACTTCCAACTATGTGGTCAATTTTGGAATAAGTGTGATGTGGTGCTGAGAAGAATGTATATTCTGTTGATTTGGGGTGGAGAGTTCTGTAGATGTCTATTAGGACCACTTGGTGCAGAGCTGAGTTCAATTCCTGGATACCCTTGTTAACTTTCTGTCTCTTTGATCTGTCTAATGTTTACGGTGGGGTGTTAAAGTCTCCCATTATTATTGTGTGGGAGTCTAAGTCTCTTTGTAGGTCTCTAAGGACTTGCTTTATGAATCTGGGTGCTCCTGTATTGGGTGCATATATATTTAGGATAGTTAGCTCTTCTTGTTGAATTGATCCCTTTAGCATTATGCAATGGCCTTCTTTGTCTCTATTGATCTTTGTTGGTTTAAAGTCTGTTTTATCAGATACTAGGATTGCAACCCCTGCTTTTTTTTGTTTTCCATTTGCTTGGTTGATCTTCCTCCATCCCTTTATTTTGAGCCTATGTGTGTCTCTGCACGTAAGGTAGGTCTCCAGAATACAGCACAATGATGGGTCTTGACACTTTATCCAATTTGCCAGTCTGTGTCTTTTAATCGGAGCATTTAGTCCATTTACATTTAAGGTTACTATTGTTATGTGTGAATTTGATCCTGTCATTATGATGTTAGCTGGTTATTTTGCACATTAGTTGATGCAGTTTCTTCCTAGCATCGATGGTCTTTACAATTTGGCATGTTTTTGCAGTGGCTGGTACCAGTTGTTCCTTTCCATATTTAGTGCTTCCTTCAGGAGCTCTTGTAAGGCAGGCTTGGTGGTGACAAAATCTCTCAGCATTTGCTTGTCTGTAAAGGATTTTATTTCTCCTTCACTTACGAAGCTTAGTTTGGCTGGATATGAAATTCTGGGTTGAAAATTCTTTTCTATAAGAATGTTGAATATTGGCCCCCACTATCTTCTGGCTTGTAGAGTTTCTGCTTAGAGATCTGCTGTTAGTCTGATAGGCTTCCCTTTGTGGGTAACCCGACCTTTCTCTCTGGCTGCCCTTAACATTTTTTCCTTCATTTCAACTTTGGTGAGTCTGACAATTATGTGTCTTGGAGTTGCTCTTCTCGAGGAGTATCTTTGTGGCGTTCCCTGTATTTCCTGAATTTGAATGTTGGTCTGCCTTGCTAGGTTGGGGAAGTTCTCCTGGATAACATCCTGCAGAGTGTTTTCCAACTTGGTTCCATTCTCCCCGTCACTTTCAGGTACAGCAGTCAGACGTAGATTTCATCTTTTCACACAGTCCCATTTTTCTGGGAGGCTTTGTTCATTTCTTTTTACTCTTTTTTTCTCTAAACTTCTCTTCTCACTTCATTTCATTCATTTGATCTTCAATCATTCGATCAAATCGGCTACTGAAGCTTGTGCAGGCATCACATAGTTCTCGTGCGATGGTTTTCAGCTCCATCACGTCATTTTAGGTCCTTGCTACGCTGTTTATTCTAGTTAGCCATTTGTCTAATCTTTTTTCAAGATTTTTTGCTTCTTTGCAATGGGTTCGAGCATCCTTCTTTAGCTTGGAGAAGTTTGTTATTACTGATCGTCTGAAGCCTTCTTCTCTCAACTCATCAAAGTCATTCTCCATCGAGCTTTGTTCCATTGCTGGCAAGGAGCTGCGTTCCTTTGGAGGTGAAGAGGTGCTCTGATTTTTAGAATTTTAGCTTTTCTGCTCTGGTTTCTCCCCATCTTTGGTTTTATCTGCCTTTAGTCTTTGATGATGCTGACATACATATGGGGTTTTGGTGTGGATGTCCTTTCTGTTTGTTAGTTTTCCTTCTAACAGTCAGGACCCTCAGCTGTAGGTCTGTTGGAGTTTGCTGGAGGTCCACTCCAGACCCTGTTTGCCTGGGTATCACTAGCGGAGGCTGCAGAACAGCACATATTGCAGAACGGCAAATGTTGCTGCCTGATCCTTCTTCTGGAAGGTTCATCTTAGAGGGGCACCCAGCTGGATTGAGGTGTCAGTTGGCCCCTAATGGGAGGTGTCTCCCAGTTAGGCTACTTATGGGTCAGGGACCCACTTGAGGAGGCAGTCTGTCTGTTCTCAGACCTCAGACTCCGTGCTGGGCAAACCACTACTCTCTTCAAAGCTGTTAGACAGGGACATTTACGTCTGCAGAACTGTCTGCTGCCTTTTGTTCAGCTATACCCTGCCCCCAGAGGTGGAGTCTACAGAGGCAGGCAGGCCTCCTTGAGCTGCGGTGGGCTCCACCCACTTGGAGCTTCCCTGCCACTTTGTTTACCTATTCAAGCCTTAGCAATGGTAGACACCCCTCCCCCAGCTTCGCTGCCATCTTGCAGTTCAATCTGAGTTGCTGTGCTAGCAGTGAGCAAGGCTCCATGGGCATGGGACCCTCCAAGCCAGGCGCAGGATATAATCTCCTGGTGTGCTGTTTGCTAAGACCATTGGAAAAGCGCAGTATTAGGGTGGGAGTGTCCCGATTTTCCATGTACCATCTGTCATGGCTTCCTTTGGCTATGAAAAGGAATTCCCCGACCCCTTGCACTTCCCGGGTGAGGTGATGCCCTGTCCTCCTTGGGCTCACACTCCATGGGCTGCACCCACTGTCTGACAAGCCCTAGTGAGATGAACCTGGTACTTCAGTTGGAAATGCAGAAATCACCCATCCTCTGCATCACTCATGCTGGGAGCTGTACACTGGAGCTGTTCCTATTTGGCCATCTTGGAACCTCCCATTTCATCTTCTTAAAGAAATTTCTCTGGGAGCCTTCTGGCCTGCTCCAAATTAGACTGCTTGCTTACTATAATCTTTAACACAGCTGTTTTTTGGCCTTCTGTCATAATTATCCTGAGATTCCCTTTACTCTTATTTGTGTCGGATCTTTTAATAGCTAATAGCTAATTAATATATGGATTTGGCTGCTGTGACAGAGACCTAAAATTAAAATAATTTATTGAAAACTGTGAATTTTGGTTCGTTTGGTTTACTATGTCCTTTACCATAGGATGAGCTGACTGAGTTATTTACTTGGGGGTCCTCCTACCTTTAGAGCCATACCCTTCCCTCTGTCCCTCCCTTCTGCTCCCCTCTCCCCTCTCTGTCTCCAGTGTTCCTTGGAAAAGAGTCCTGCAGTCCTTTCTAGAGGATATATACTTGGCTACCCCAGTATTCTGGGATTTGAGTTACAGAAGAGTTAAGCTAGCGGGTCCAAATTCAAGATGTGAACCTTTATTTTCTATCCCTGTTTTCAGTGTGGTCCATAGGCCTCTGGTGGAGGTGGTAGGGGTGGGGGTGTTTTGTTTTGTTTTTCTCCAAAGAAAAATATCCAGTTTTCCGTAGGAGTGGAGGTAGGGTATTTATTGGCTGCTCAGCTTTGGGGAAGTGCTCTGGGAGGACCTGGTTGCTTCTTTAAGTAGGTTTTGAACCACTTCTACTACATTTAATTTAGCCTTTCAAAGACCCCTGAATTCCCAAGCCTTTCGTGTACCCTACAACTTAAATTTAGACGTTTCTCAGCATTCTTCCCTGTCAGTTAAGGATTCTACTCATTGATATGCTTTCCAGCTTCTAAAATTTTCTAATGCCGCCTCCTATTATTTTTGTCTTTGCTGCTTTATGTTTTTTTAAACAAAAACTCTTTTCTCTTCTAGAAGTTACAGTTTTAGGAGTCCAAGAAGCTAAATATTTATATTCAGTCATCTCTCTTTAACTGGAAAGGAATTTAAGTTTTTAATGGCCTTTTTTAATTGTTGTCATTCTGTTTGGTATCAACTTTAATATTCCTATCTACTATCTTCCGTTATCAACTTTATTCAGATAGTAAGGTACTAAATAATGTATTTGTGATCACCTGTGTCAGAACATAAATAAGAATAAAAATAAACTTTTGATGAATTAGAAAAAACTCTTTTTTTTTTCCTATAAGGTGCATATATATTTGTAATTATCTTTGGGACTTAAATGTTTAGACTGGAAATAAAAATATTAGAGCTGAAAAAGTGATTGACTCTTTTCCAAGTACTTTAGAGTTAGTACAAAATATATTCTCAGTGTTTATTAGTATGTAATTAAATAATTTTTTCTAATAAGTTAAGGATTTAAAAACTAATGAAAAGCAGATGGGCATTACTAAATAAGGTATAGATAGAAAATACAAATTACAAGAAAACAGTACCTATGTATTAATGGTAATAGGGAAATAACTAAATGACATTTAACAGATGTGTTAAAATGTGATTATGTCAGTCCTCTGTGGAGACTCATTCAGTAGGACTAGATTATTAGGACAGAACCTCCTGAGGACTAAAAGAGCTGGAGAAAAAATATATTTTTTAATATGCTTGAAGCCCTTAGAGAGCAAACAAGACAGTAAAGAGTTGCCAGACTAAGGGAGGCCAGCAATCCAGTGAGCTAAGCCCAATATTTAAGCCTACAATGAACATGAACAAATTAGGCTATATGCAACAACACAGATAGATCTTACAGACATGGTAAGCAAAAAACAGCTAGACACAAAGGAATACATGCTATGATTCCATTTTAGGTAAAAATTAAAGGGCAAATAATGTAGGCATTTCTAAATTAGAGTATATATGGGTGCATGTTTAAGTGGTAATGATTTAAAAGAAAGAAGGAGGTGATTACCATGTAAATCTGGATATTTTTTGTTGTAGGGGTGTGAGGATACAGTGATTGGGAAGGGCACTATTGGGAGACTTTTGGGTACTCATGATTCTTGGCCTGAGTAGCAATTCCACAAGTGTTTGCTTTGTGATATTGAGATGTACATTTCATTTTCATGTATTCTTTATTATAATTCATGACAGAAAAGTTTAAAAAATTTGAATATTCTTCTTCTATATAACTTGAAGAAAAAGCCAAAATTCTTATGGTGGCCTTCAAAGCCCTAATTATCTGACCTCCTGTTACATCTCTTACCACATATACTACTTTCCTTTCACAACCCATCCACTTCACTCTATCCACACAGGCTTCTTTGCTGGTCTTTGAGCATGCCAGAAATGCTCCTACATTAGGGCTTTTACACTTGTTTTATTTCTTTGAGGACTTTCCTCAAAAGGCATCCTTATAGGGAAACCTGTTTAATATTACATCCTTCCCCTGTACTCCCTCTTCACCAGCATTGCTTAATTTTTTTTGTATAGTATTTTTTAACCTCCAGTATTCAATATACTTTTTTAACTTGTCTGTCTCTTGACTCAAATGTAAAGCAAGCATACAAGTAGAGATTTTGGTGTGCTAGTATAGCCTCAGCACCTAGAGCAGTGCCTGGTGAATGGTAACCACCTAGAAAATACTTATTGTAGGACTGAATTTCAGTCTAAGCAGCAGTTCAGAGAAATAATGCTCACTGCTGTCTTTACCATTTGTGACATAAAATGTCCAGTTTTATTATTAAAATTAAAAGATACAATTCCTACTAAAGCAAAGATTCCGTGTTTAGATAGTAGATTATATAGCTGATTGTGGAATTAAATGAAATCTGTAGGATTCTAGTTCATATAGTTGTGATTATATTGTATCTTTAATGTTTACTATTAGGATCATCCAAAAATAAAGTGCTATATTATAGTGTGCCACTTTTTCTGCTAACTGAACTAATGATTATGACCTTTGCCTTGGAATTTATCATCTAAAATGTCTGTGATTTGACAGATAGGAGCAAACAACTGAGCTGAATCTATTCTCTATATATGGAGATGGCATATGGAAATAGCATATATGCTTACTAATAATGTCATTTATTTATTGAATGCTTGTTGAATGGTAGGCATTGTCCTAAATAGTTTACATGTGTATCTTCATTTAATCTTTGAAACACCCTGAGAGGTAAATACGATAAGAAAACTGAAGCTTAAAAAAGATCAAATACTTATTTTGAGGAGTGAAAGCAGTCCTGAGCTGTCAGGCTTCCAGATACCATGCTATTAACCATTACACTATAAAGAAGGGAATTGTAGAGAATAGTAAGCAATTTTGCTTCTAAAGAATAAACCAAACAGAATGTACTACTTTTCACTGACTGAGAAGTTAAATACTATGTGCTAGGTGATGAGAATAATTACAGTGAGCAAGTTAGATGCTGTTTCCGCTGTCAAAATGTTTACATTCTAACAAGAAAGTCATCTTTATTTGAATTTGGAGATGAATTTCCATATTTTAGTGTTTTTTAAATAAATTAACTAGCACTGGACTGAGCTGAGTATTTATCAGACCAATTCATGAGAAGTTTGAGGTTTTAAGGGAGACTATTTGGTAGTATTTTAAGGGAGACTATTGTGGTAGTCCTGGTGGGATATTTTCCTCTGCAGATGAAACCAAATAAAGCATTATGAAATTGTATGTTTATTGAAGGAGAATTATATTGACTACGGTAAATTTGGAGAAACACTTTTTAAGCCTTAACTATTTTTCTTTATTATAGCAGCTTCATGGAGTTTGGCCACAAGATGTTGTTGACGGAACGTGTGTAGCAGTAAATAACAAGTATCGACTAATGGCATTTGGCTGTGTGAGGTATAATTGATGTAGGCTTTTGCATTTTTAAGAGTTGTTGCAAAAAATACTGGTTTTTTTTTTTGTAAACATAAGATGTTCCTAACATACTTATAAACTGCATCATGCTATCATAATTTATCAGTCAACCTTAATATGAAATGTAAAAGTATTTTATTAGATTGAAACAAACAAAAGTAAAGGGCAGATTTTGGAGGTTGAGCATGTTAATTTGTAAAAGTTAGCGTTTTCTTCAGTGGTGGAAAATTGAGTTACAAGTTAAACAGAATAAATCAGTTAAAGTTTAGGTTCTTTATTGTTTAAAAGAGGATTTGGAAGATTTTTTTAAATCTTAATTTTTAAGACATCAGCATTCATGACGCCTTCAAATTAGTGAGTGTGCTTTAGTTAACAAGCAAATTTAAAGTGCACATATAAAACCAGTTTCTTGCCTTAGTTTATTAAATAGAGATTTTAGAAAAAAATTGAATAAAATTATTTATTCAACAAGTATCTGTATGCCTATCACATACCAGCCATAGTTCTAAGCACTTGATACATTAGAAAACAAAGATACTGAACTTGGTTGAGCTTAAATTTTAGCTCATAAATTTTAGCTAAAATAAAACGATTATATTAGTTGTTATAATGCCTTGCAATGTATATAGTGCTTTTTAGTTTTCTAAACTCTTTCTTAAATAAAAAATCCTATGTTGCCCTCAAAATGAGACTTGGTTGTTCTATAGAACATATATCTAGTATAGTCTCCAGCCATATCATCACCACCCAATTTAAGTATCAAAGATTTTTTTTTTTTTTTTTTGAGATGGAGTCTCGCTCTGTTGCCCAGGCTGGAGTGCAGTGGAGCGATCTCAGCTCACTGCAAGCTCCGTCTCCTGGGTTCACGCCATTCTCCTGCCTCAGCCTCCCGAGTAGCTGGGACTGCAGGCGCCCACCACCATGCCCAGCTAATTTTTTTTGTATTTTTTTAGTAGAGCAGGCATTTCACCGTGTTTGGCCAGGATGGTCTTGATCTCCTGACCTTGTGATCCGCCTTGGCCTCCCACAGTGCTGGATTACAGGCGTGAGCCACCGTGCCCGGCCAGATTTTTTTATTAGTATAAATAATTCACATAAATCACTTTCATTACACTCTTAATAAACTCTTTGTAAAGTAGGGAATCCTCATCCTCAACTTTTTCTCAATACATTGATCCTCATTGAGCAGTTAAATGTAGAAATACGAGTAAGTTTAACTTAGTACAAGAGAGAAGGAAAAGCTTTTTTTTAATGTTTGTGGATTGGATTCAGTCATATTTTGTTTAGAATTTTAAAATGTATGTTCATGAATACATTTCACCTATAATTTTCCTCTTTACTCTTCTGAGTAAGGTTATGGCTGTCTCATAAAGCAAGTTATGAGAATCCCTCCCTTCTTTGTCTTCTCTATTCATCTTTGAATGTTTGGTAGAATTTGCCAATGAGAAGCCATCTAGACCTAGAATTTTCTTATTGTGGATTTTTTTGGACTACTGATTCAATTCAGTTTTTAAAAATATACATATATATAATGTATATATTTTAGATATATATATTTAAATATTATAAATATATATAATATATATTTTAAATATATATATATATTTATTTTATTTTATTTTATTTTTTGAGACAGTCTCGCTCTGTCGCCCTGGCTAGAGTGCAAGAGCGTGATCTTGGCTCACCGCAACCTCTGCCTCCTGGGTTCAAGTGATTCTCCTGTCTTAGCATCCTGAGTAGCTCGGATTGCAGGCATGCACCACCATGCCCGGCTAATTTTTGTATTTTTAGTAGAACGGAGTTTCACTGTGTTGGTCAGTCTGGTCTCAAACTCCTGACCTCGTGATCCATCCACCTCGGCCTCCCAAAGTGCTGTGATTACAGGTGTGAGCCACTGGGCCCGGCCCAGTTTTAAAAATAGATTTAAGAAGATTCAGATTTTGTATCTCTTCCTATGTCATTTTGGCAAGTTGCATTTTTTCCAGGAATTGGTTTCTTTCTTATACACCTTCAAACTTACTGGCATAAAGTTTATAATACCCTTTTTATTTCACATTGTGAAACAAAAATATGCATACAAAGTAGTACATAATCCAGATATTCATAGTTTTAACGTTGTAGTAGAAACACCCATCTCTTCACAACTGGATCAGTAAATAGAACATTACTGGTCTCCAGTCACAAACTGCCTCTGCTACTTCCTAGTCACAACTCTTATTCCCTCCTTGACTCACTTAGTAACTGGTCAACATTGTGAGATTCATCCATGTCATTTACCAGTAGTTGTAATCATTTTTTAAATTGGTTTATAAATAACGTTCCATTGTCTGAATATAGCATAATTTATCCACTTTGCTGTTGACATACTTTTGCCTTATTTCTTGGTTTCTAAAAAAGGAGACATTCTCTTGTATAATTGGAATATCTTTATCACATGAGATAATTAATGATAAATCCCTAATAGGATCTAATACCCAATTTATATGCAAATTAACCCAGTTGCCACCAGCTAAATTTCTTCTATAGCTCCTTTGTTCCAAACAGAATCGATCAAGATTCATTAATAATATTTGGTTATTATTTCTCTTTAGTTACCTTTTAACTACAATAGTCCTTATGCCACTTATTTTCATGACATTGACTTTTTTTGAGTCTGAGTCGATTCTTTATAGAATATCCTGCATCCTAGATTTGCCTTATTGTTTCCTCATGATGGCATTTACCTTGTTTATCTGACACCTGTCGTGACTAACCTGGAAGCTAGTTCTTGTTGAGCAATACAGTCAAGTGACTAGAAAGCCCACACATCAGGCATGGAAAAGTATTTAGAGAAAATACACAGAGACAGAAGCAGTGGCAAGTGTGCAGTTCCATTTACTGCATTTGGGGCCAGCACAAGGGTGGGTGTTAGAATCCAGAAGAAGTACTCCTCCCTAGGCTATGGGCTTATAAGCTACATGATTGGGAAGTACTAGCCCTTCCCAGGATAATGTAGGTAGACTCTTGGCCTATAGCTTTTCAGTCACCTCAGTTTTCATCAGCTACGAGACTACAAGTTCTCTTCTAGCATGCCCATGGGTTAGGGTTAAAGTTTTGTGATTCTAGCTGTTGACATAACAAACCAGTGTCTGCTAGTCCAGATCTGCCAACACTTATCAGGACTAATTACCTTGAACACTAGGTGATAGCTGGTGTCCTTAGAGTTGTGTAAGAAGCCAGCTTCCTTTTAGGATGCCAGTTTGCAGCAGATCAGTATTTTAACAACCTTCCTGTTAACCTAAATATTTAAAGGTATTACTAGATTCTGGTTACACATTTTGTCATGGGTGATGATATATATTTCCTATGGTATCATTTAGTAATAATGTCAAGTTGTTTCAGTATTAATGACACTAAATTTGATCACTTATGGTGATAATAGTCATATCTCTCTTATAGAGATTTGCTTTGGAGTTAGTAAGTCCTGTCTTTTTAATGAAAATATATTTTTCTGTTACATTGGGCTGGTGAGAAATGGAAGGAAAAGTAGTTTAAAGAATACAAGCACTATAGAATACCTAAAAGATTGTCAGACTTTTATAAGTAGTAACTTAGCACCTACTTCTTATATTTAAAACATGGACTCCTCACTAACATTTTAGAGCTCAGCAACCCAGGGTTAGCAGTTGACAGTTGTCAGATGCAAAGCAAAAACAAACACCTGCTACCCACTTAGTGCTGTCTCTCAGCAAGAGTTGATCTATTTGGGCAGGTAGTCTGGAAAGAAATCTTTTTCAGATATTTGGCTTCTGGGTATGATTGAATGACAGATGACATTTTCCCTCCCACCTGATACAGCCAAGAAAACGGACAAAAATATGAAAGAGCTGTTTTGAATTCAGAACACAAACATAAGGTAACAAGGGACAGTGATTTCTGAAAGATGAGAAACAAAATTATCTCTCTGTAACTGCCCTTAGTTTTTATTATTTTGAGTGTTTGTAGGCTGCAGCACAGGATTGGGGAGATACATCCTGAGCTGAGATAAGCACATGGAAATCAGAGAATCTGGGAAAACCAAGGCAGCTAGAGTTCATAATATAGACACCAAAGAGGTGGCACAAAGAGAGAACTTCAGAGAGCTGTAGAGGGTCTCTCTTGAATATTAAACTGAGACATGGAAGATATTAGAAAAAGACTGAAATTAAACTTCTAGAGGTGAAAACTATGATGTCTGAGATGAAAAACATACTGTATGGAACTAACAACAGATTAGACATTGCAGAAGAGAAGATTAATGAACTTGAAAAACAGAAATTATCCAAAATGGAACACAGAAAAAAAAGAAAACAAAAACAGAGTATCAGTAAGCTGTGGGACAACTTTAAGGAGGCTACTATTGCAGGTCTTTTAGTTAGTCCCAGTTCTAATCCTTGAGAAGAGGTAGGACCTGGATGGGAATGGATCAAAGCTGCTGTGAAGAAACCATCTGATTTCTCCTACCACCAAAAAAAAAAAAAACAATCTGGTAGTCATAAACCAGTGTCATCCTATTATGTGCAAAAGCATTCTTATATTAAAAAGTGTCTTTAAGAACATTTGTTTCTCTTTCTCACTATAAATGTTGCATAAGTAATCTAAAACAGGAGCCTCATTTTCAAATGCTGAATGTGCATTAAATTTTTGAACTGAGAATATACCATGAGCAGAAATGAGACTTTTCTGTTATCCTCGTAGTTCAATTTTGAAATGTGGCTTAGACGTATTATAGAGATTTTACTTCTGGCTTCAGGCCCTTCAGAAATTTGACCCTTGTAAAGATGTTTTAAATTAAGTAATTATATATACCATATACACAAAAAAGCATATAGATTTTAAAAATAAAATGTTTATAAATTACCATCCAACATAAGAAATAATACATCACCAGTGCTGATGAAGCCTCCTGTTTACCCCTCTTCTTTGATACTCCCTTCTCCACCAGAGTATCACTAATCTGAAATTTGTATACATTAACTCTTTGTTGTATTTTTACCACAAATATATTTACTATTAATACTGTATATCTACTATATATATATCAAATATGTATGTTTATATTTACTATGCTTTTACACACACACATGTTTTATATCTTAAACGTATATACTGTTGACCGTTGAACAGCCCAGGGGTTAGAGGTACCAACCCCCCAACACAGTTGAAAAATTTACATATAACTTTTGACTCGCCCAAGACTTTTAACTACTAATAGCATACTGTTGACTGGAAACCTTACTGACAATATAGTCAATTAACACATACTTTTTATTTTATATATATTAATATTATATATTGTATTCTTACAATAAAGTAAGAGAAAAGATTATTAAGAAAATTATAAGGAAGAAATAATGTACTTACTATTGATTAAGTGGAAGTGGATCATCTTAAAGGTCTTCATTGTCACCGTGTTCATGTTGAGTAGGCTTGAGGAAGAGGCAAAGGAGGTATGTCAGGTGTGGCAGAGGCAGAAGAAAATACATGTATAAGTGGGCCCATGCAGTTCAGATCCATGTTGTTCAAGGGTTAACTGTATTCGCTATCCATGTGGCTAAAGTTCATTCATTTTCAGTGCTGTAAGGTATAGTATTATATTGCTATACCATATGTACTATAGCCAAATAAAAGTTCATTTTTTTCCTCATGTTGCTAGATAGGCTATTTCCTTTTTTAAAAATTATCACAATAGTACAATGGACATTGTACATATCTCTAGTAAACATTAGACAATAATTTCTGGGATATATCTGGAAGTGAAATTGCTAGATTAGAATATGCCTTTGTTCAAATTTATGAGATGACTGCAACTTATTGACAAAGTGGTTTTGTTCTAGTTTACACTCCCACCAGCAAAACATAAGAGTTCTATAATGCTTTTTCTATTTGTATTTGTCTTTTTTCACTAAAAGTTTTTCGTTGTTGTTTTCACAGTGGTTCTGTGCAGGTCTATACAATAGATAACAGCACTGGAGCCATGCTGCTATCTCATAAATTAGAGCTAACAGCAAAACAGTATCCTGGTGAGTCTTTTTTTTTTTTTTTTTTTTTAACATTTTTAATGTACTGGTATTGCCATTTGTAGCAGATGCTGATTTTAAGTTAAACAATACATGTCATGCTATAGGTCAAATATTGGGGCTCTGGGTGTGTAAACTGGCTCAAGTCTGGAAATTGATTGAGGGGCCGTGATTCTGTTTTAATAATTCAAATTAGTATTTTGTCCATTTGACCTAGAAGTTTTCTGCTTGTATAAATTAAGTGGGAATGCAGTAGGCTTCCTATCAGTTTCACTTCCAGGAACACCATAATTAATTAGCCAATGCCCAAGTTCTACACAAGTCAGACTATTCTGATTGCTGCTTTGCTTCTGCTGTCCATTACAGTAGCTACGCCCACCTTACCTTTGATAGTTGAGTGCCGTCACTTGGCCCCTGCTACCTCCGGATCCAGTTATTCCCATTTTGTATTTAAATTTTGTAGTTGAGTGACTGAGGTTCCCACTGTTAGATCTGACATACAGAGAAGTGCAATTATAGGGTTCTTCAAAGATGTAGCTGCTGCCCTTGTAAATCTGTTTTGCAAGGCATCAGTCAAGGGTATATCTTCTGGACCCTCCCAGCTGGGATGAGTAGGTCTAAAGTGACTAATCCACTCCACCTTCTGAATCTCCCTAAGCCTTTGGATCCCTTCCTCTACATTAAACCAAGGGAGATCAGGCATTTCCAGCTCACTCACAGTGGGCCATCTTTTAATCCATATTTCAGCTAACCACGCAAATCAACTATTAGAACCTTTTTTAACTCCCCGAGCTGCAGCTTTAAATGCAGAATCCCTACTTAGTGGGCCCAAATCAATAAATTCAGCCTGATCCAACTCTGTGTACCTTCCATCATTATCCCACACCCTTAATATCCATTCCCATGCCTACTCTCCAGATTTCTATTTATGTAAATTAGAAAACTCAAGCAGTTCCCATAGTGCACCTCCTCATGGGTCATACTCTCAACCTCACCTCTAGAGGCCTGCCAGGACTTTATTGATAGGTCTAGAAGCAAACAGAGGTGTTGGGAGTGGCTCCTGAGGAGAATCAACATTATCTTGCCTGGCGACTGCCTCAGGGGAGGGCATCACTGTTGCCTCAGGCAGCACAGGGTTTATAATCCTCAGACAAAGGTGGAAGGGCTAATGGCAGCATGGGTCCAGGAGGGGATGTTGCCACTATTGGGGATGGGGAAAGCTGTTTCTTCTGGCAAAAAAAAAGGTTCACCAGAGTTTACAAACTCAGTGAATCTAGCTTCATCAGGGTCCTCCCACACATCCCCTTTCCAAGTTGCAGGGTCCCATTTTTTTCCAATCAGTGCCTTCACTTTAACAGTAGACACCTGGTGAGGCTGTGCATGCACCTTTTGTTGCAGATCAGCCACTCAAATGATAAGAGTTTGTCTCTGTGTTTCCACAATTTTAGCTCTTTCTCTATAGGAGATAAGACCCTCACTCAGGGCAATCTTAGCAGTTTTGAGGCTCAGTATCTGCTTCTGGGAGATGGAATCCCTGAGTTCATCATTTTCTTTCATCACCTTGTTCACTGAACTTAGGAGCAACCAACTAGCTTCATTATGTTCCTTGATTCTCCACATATGGTCAAAGGTGTTATGTATAGAGTCACTAAACTCCTTGCGTCTCACAAGCAATGAATCAGGAGTGCCAAATGCATTTATTTTGCATAACTCTATATAAACAGTTCACGTCAAGGACTGTCAGTGCGTACTATTAGAAATAGAGTCCTTAGCATTTTGGGGTCTAATGATATTAGGCAGCCAACTCTAGAAACCCCAAAACCAATGAAGGAACTCCATCCTTAATATTCTGTACCTCTAGAATCACTCCTGGTACCAATATCTGTATTAGTAAGGTTCTCTAGGGGACAGAACTAATAGAATAGATACATACATATTTATAAAGGGGAGTTTATTAAGTATTAATAAATGATCACATGATCACAAGGTCCCACAATAGGCCATCTGCAGGCTGAGGAGGAAGGAGAGCCAGTCCGAGTTCCAAAACTGAAGAACTTGGAGTCTGATGTTTGAGGGCAGGAAGCATCCAGCACACGAGATGTAGGCTGGGGGGCTAGGCCCGTCTCTATTTTCACATTTTTCTGCCTGCTTATATTCTAGCCGCACTGGCAGCTGATTAGATTGTGCCCACCCAGATTAAGGGTGGGTCTGCCTTTCCCAGCCCACTGACTCAAATGTTAATCTCCTTTGGCAGCACCCTCACAGACACACCCGGGATTAATACTTTGTATCCTTCAATTCAGTCAAGTTGACACTCAGTGTTAACCATCACAATTAGGATATTTAACTATTCATGTTGACTTAGTGTTACCCACATTTATACCAGTATTTTTGCCCACCATATCTTTGACCAACTCATACCTTCTTCTTGAGACCATTTTCTGCCTGAAAAACCTCCCATACATCCCTTGGAATTTCTTTTAATGAAGTTTTTTGAAGGTAAACTCTACTTTGGGAGAGTCTGAAATGTACTTATTTTGCTGCTGTGATTTAATTATAGTTTAACTTGGTGTGCTGTTTTGGATTGGCAGTTATTTTCTTTTTATACATTGAAGAATTTGTTCCAGTGCCATTGGATTTCCATTGCAGCTATTGAGAGGTCCTCTGTCAAGTTGTCTTCTCTTTTCAATAGATTGGTCTTTATAGCTACCTTTCAGATCTTGTCTTTGTTTTTGGCTTTCTGCAGTTCAACTGTGATGTGGAAGGGAAGAATTTTGTTTGTTTTTCAAATCCTGCTTGAGACTTAGGCTTGCTGGATGAAGATTTACATCTTTGAACTATTTCTGGAAAATTCTCAACCAGTATTTCTAAATATTCCTCTCCCCTAATCTATTTTCTGGAACTCAGATATACATTACACTTTTTTCCATGTTTCTTAACCTAACTTTAAATTTTTTAAAATTTTGTTTCTCTAGACTGCATTCTAGAAATTTTTTCTCCATCTAGGTTTGCTGATCCTCTCCAGTTATGCCTAATAATGTTGTTTGATCTGTCCATCAAGTTCTTAATTTCAGTTATTGTATTTTTTATTATTTAAAGGCTTATTTAGCTCTTTTTCCAATCTGTATGCATCCTGCTCCTTGTTTGAGTCTTCTCCTTTATTTTCATTGGCTATAAAAAGCAGTTATTTTATATTCTGTGTCTGTTAATCCCAAAATCTGAAGCCTTTCTGAGTCTGTTTCTGCCATGTCTTGATTCTTTGTGTTCTTGCTCGTTTGTGTGTGTATTTTAGGATTTTTGACTGAGAGCCGATTGTTTTCCTTGAAGCATATTTTTTGTGTGTGTAGCGCTTTGAGAACTGGATAACATTTGAGTTTTTCCAGAGAGGATTTAAATTTCTTTGCTTCCGCTGGTCACTTGGGAGCACTACATCAGTCTGTGACCCTTTGCATTGTATTCTCTGTTTGAACCACATTAAATTGCACAAATTACAAATCAGAGTGAGGGTTTGTGGCTTCAGATTATCAAGGGAGTATTATTTTCCATTCACTTCCACTGATGAAACATGAAAGTGTTCCTTGCTAATTCTTTTCCTACATGGCAGAGGCTTTTTTCTCATTCTCTCTTATACCATGGATATAGTCCATTGTAGTCCCAGCTTTACATGGGTATCTTTTGTTAGATTACCTGTCTTGGGCAAGCTCTGAGCTTTATCTCCTGTTCCTAACATGCTGTGAGTCATCAGAGGTAGAAGTAAAGGTCTCCAGGGTTTGGCAGAAAAATTCAGGGAACAAGCACTTTGTCTCAGTATTTTTTATTGTTTTGAGGATTTAAGTATTCTATTCACCATCTTAGTTTTTTCAGTGTGGAAGTCATTCAGGGTGTCATTTGCTGTACTTCCAGAAATAGAAATTTGCTCCTTACGTTTTTTTAATCATTCTTACTGTGTAGCTTTTTTTAAGGCCTGCATATGTTTTTTTCTAAAGACAGCTTTTACTGTAACCTTATCCTTGTTTTACAGAAACTGATTTATACAAAGCCAAAGACTTTTAAGATTACGCAGTTATAAGTTAATCAAGCTAATAGTGACTAGAAACAGCTTTCACTTCTTACAAATCACCTGTGCACTGAGTTTGTTCTGCTTAGATCAGGACAAAACTAATGGCCTTACTAACTTTAAGTAGTCCTAAATGACCAGGATTTATTTTTGGAAGCAGTCATACCTTTCTACTCATTTAGATTTGAAAATACAGATTGTATTTGAAAAAAAAAAAAAAACAAGTATTTCTGAAGCAACTATTTATTTTTAACTCTTCTCACTATTTCCTAACAGACATTTGGAATAAAACAGGAGCTGTTAAATTGATGAGATGGTCTCCTGACAATAGTGTTGTAATAGTGACCTGGGAATACGGAGGCCTTTCTTTATGGAGTGTTTTTGGAGCACAGCTGATTTGTACACTTGGAGGAGATTTTGCGTAAGTCAAAAAAGACAATTTTTAGATAAAATAACTCCATTATTTCTCACAATGCATGCATACAAAAACCTTGTGTCAGAACTTCCCTTTTTGCCTTGACTCTTACCTTAAAACAATTTGCAAAGTTCATAATCTGTTCGAATATACTGATTCTCTGAACATTCATTTTTTAAAAAATGTACATCTCATTCCACAAAAATGTATTTATTTATTGAACCCCTGCTGTATATATGACAGCATGTTAGACACAAAGCAGAATCAGGCATGGTTCTGCTTTTAGGTAGTTTATAATCTAATGAGGGTGGTAAGGCATGTACATAAATAGTAGAAAGTTACGTTATCTCATTAGGTTAATGTAGGTTAGCCCAGTGATTGATAGGAGTAGGTTGGTATCTCTGCCCACTTCATATACTACCCTGAACCTCAGTTCTGATGAAATGAGCACACCTTTAAAAGCTGCATATCTCTGGCAAGAAGTCACTTGGACCTCGGAAAATGTGGCTGAGAGATATATACACCTAGGTGTATTAACCCACAGTTTTGTATTTCATGCATTATTATGTATTTCTATTTTAAAGGAGCAAAATCCGTTTGATTTTTTAAAAAACACTAAATTTTATGTGTATTATATGTAATTGGAAGGCTGTATTATATTTAGTTTCTGTTCTGTTTCAGTTATAGGTCTGATGGCACCAAAAAAGATCCCCTTAAGATCAACTCTATGGTAAGTACTTTCTATAAAAAATTGGCATGGTATTAAAAAAACTTGGATTTTTCTTCCCTTTTTTCACTCATTTTTATTTATTTAATTTTTTGAGACAGGGTCTTACACTGTCACCCAGGTTGGAGAGCAGTGGCAGATCATAGCTCACTGCAGCCTCTCTAAGCGATCCTCCTGCCTCAAGCTTCCAAGTAGCTGAGACTCTAGGCACACCACTATCCACACACGGTTAATTTTTTTGATTTTTAGTAGAGACGTGGTCTTGCCATGTTGCCCAGGCTGGCCCCCTTTTTTCACTCATGTTGATCTGATAAAATCACAAAACTATTTTAGTCTCAGCAGACTCTTCATTATACAGTTCTTGCTTGATGAAAGTCTTTTGTTTTTTTTTAATTGGAAGGCTGCCTGGTTTTCAGTATTTGCATTTTGTTTAGATGTGGCCAGCAAACCCCTGTCATCTTTATGATGATAATGACTGTTCAGATGAGGCCTTTTTTGTATGTGTCTTCTCATGGCCTGCTTGCTTTTAACATGAGGTGAAATGCTCATTGGGCATTTTTCCTGGAGGACATGCACTTGTGCATTACTTGAGGATATCTGTATCTATATATCTATATATATGTATACAGTACCTTGAGCATATTTTTTAAAATTTACATAGATGTATGTCAAAGAGAATTATGGTCACTGTTGTAAACAATACAGGTTGAGTACCCCTTAACCAAAGTGCTTGGAACCAGAAGTATTTCAGATTTTGGAACTTTTTGGATTTTGGAATATTTGCAAATACATTCTTGGGGATGGGACTCAAGTCTAAACACAGAATTCCCTTATGTTTTATATATACCTTATGCACATAGACTGAAGCTAATGTAATGAATTTGTAATAATTTTGTACATAAAACAAAATTTTGACTGCAGCTCATCACATGAAGTCAGGTGTGGGATTTTTTTACTGTGGTGTCATATCAGCCCTCAAAAAGTTGCAGCTATTGGAGCATTTCAGATTTTTGGATTAGGGAGGCTTAACCTGTATTTTTATTTTTTACCTATTTTCAAGAGTTTCTGTAGAAAACAGAGATATAAAACCCCTGTCTTTACATAACAAGTTTTTCTTGCTATAGCCCCTCTGCATACCATCCTTTTTAAATTAGTGACTATGAGGCTTGTCGCTTCTCTTCTCTCTTGCTCCACAGAGGAAGACATTCTTCTGATCTTGAGTTTCTTGTAGAATTAAAACCGCCATGGTTGCCTAAAATAGTGGTTCCCAAACTTTCACCACCAAGGACCCCTTCTGATGTCTTTGCCCACCTCCATAGTTTAAAATAAGTTTTCACCACACATTTCTATAAATACCAATCAGTGCTTCTGAATGGCATGCAAGAACCAGTGTTGTCCGTCTCACTAAGTTGATATTTTAACCACAAACTAAGAATCTAAGCATTATTAGTTAAAACTTAGGCAGCTTTATCATAGGAAAACATAAAAGTTCTATTAAACTTTTGAAATTTTGCAACAATTCATGGGCTACCCCTGCCCCTTCACCATTTTCTTGGCTTGAAGATTGAGAATCACTAATCTTTAAAAATACTATCATGGAGTCTAGTTACAGAATATTAAAACTGAATGGTTCTGGAGGAATTTATTTGAACCTTCTCATTTTACAGAGGAAGAAACTTATATCCCGAGAAACGAGACAGCTTGGCCAAGGTAATATATACAAAAAGCCAAGCTATAATGAAGACTCTAGTCTCACAGCTTCCAATCCAATGTTTTTTGCTCCATACAAAACTGCATCTGTTGTAGGGGCTTCTTTGCCAGGCTTCTACTGGGTAACCTGGGGTGTCTTCTGTAAGGAATTTCTTTGTATTTGAGAGGCAGCTAAATTAAAGCAATAGAGAAGTTACAGAGCACAGTAGGTATTTTTAGGATTAAGACCCTGAAATTGGCATTAAGAATGGTAGGTAATGTTTTCACTTTTGCAGATAGAGAGCAGTGATGGTGATTTCCTCTGGAGTTAGTTAAGAGGTAACTGAAGGTGTGATTCTTGTCTGTGTTATCACGGTTTCTCCAACCTTCACAAATCATTAATAATGCTATCATTGGCTATTTCAGAATTTGAATAATTGAAGCTAGAAAGGGATACAAAAGCCTTTTATTGCTCTGACTTTTTTTCTCCCTCCTCTTCTCTCTAAGAGCTGGGGTGCAGAAGGCTATCACCTATGGGTAATCAGCGGATTTGGTTCTCAAAACACTGAAATTGAGTCTGACCTCAGGAGTGTAGTTAAACAGCCCAGCATCCTGTTATTTCAGTTTATTAAGAGTGTACTCACTGTAAACCCTTGTATGGTAAGTATATTTAAAGCTCTGATTTTTTAGTGTCTTTTGTGTTAGAAGCTCAGACCCTTCTTTATGACATATGTATGGCGTATACTTCTAAAATTGGCATATTATCTTCTTTTCTATGATTCTTGTGTTTCTTTTTAATTTATATTAAATTTATACCAAAATTTTATTTCTCAACGGGTTGTGTTTCTTTGGTCTTATTTTTTTAAAAGGGTCATAAGCAATTTGACGGAAAGCAATGTTTATATATTTATTTAAATAATTTGAGTAATTTAGTCTTTATCTGAATAGCATTTCCCAAAGTGTGTTCCTCCAGGCACTACTTATGAGAGATATTAGTAGCAGTTCCACAGGATTTTTTAAAAGTTTTGTTTCCATATAAGTGTCAAATAAAGGTAAAACAAAATTGTAGAGATTGATTGTAGGGCTCCAGAGGCTTAAATATGCCATTGTGCATCATGAAAATCCAGGAGGTGGTATATTAAAAACAGTGTTCCCCATGCTTATTTAACTGTGAATTTTTAAGAAATAGCTTAAAGAAAGTATGTCTGAGGACTTGCTTTTAGAAACACCGCCCCAAACACTGCCTCTTGTATTTCTATCTGAAATAGTGTATACTAATATTATTATATATCGCTAATATACAGTAATGGTATATGTTACATGTTAGAAATGTGTATCTTAATACCTACCATCAATGGCTTTTTAATGGATATTTGGTACAACAAATTTCTAATTAAAATTTACGAACATCCATAAAAAATGTGAAAATAGCCTGAATTTCAGATCCATTATTCCACTTGAAGACTAAGGATCCCCAGAAAAGAAGAGAGCATTTCTCCCTCCCCTTCCCCATCCCAAATAATAATTTAAAAGCACCCTTGAGTTTTATGTCAAGCCAGCATTTGGACTAAAATGGAAAAATGACAAGGGTAGGGTGCTACTTTGTCTGATTTCAATAGTTAATGAGTCTACTCACCTTTGAGAACACTGGCTTTCTAGCTGAAATCTCATAGTCACTAAGAGCACTATTCTTTCTAATTATAACAGTGCATGAGATTATTGTGTAGTCTTTGTCCTCTGTGAAGAAAATCAACATCGAGATACATGTACATTTCCTATAATAAAACTAAATCGATGTGTTATTTTTGCCTGCGTAATATTGAGTTGTTTTTATTTGTTTTCCTCCTTTGCCCTTTTGTTCCTCTTTCCCTCATTTAGAGTAACCAAGAGCAGGTGTTGCTTCAGGGTGAGGATCGCTTGTACTTGAACTGTGGAGAGGCTTCACAAACCCAGAATCCCAGGAGTTCTTCAACACACTCTGAGCATAAGCCCAGTCGAGAAAAGAGCCCATTTGCAGATGGAGGTTTAGAGTCTCAGGGATTAAGCACTTTACTTGGACATCGGCATTGGCATGTTGTACAGGTAAATCTTTAGTTACTGATTACTAGAGACTTATTCTTTGATAGGATATCACCTGGAACAGATTATTAAATATTTCATCTGTTAACTTCAGGCAACTGAGAATCCTTTTAACCATTTTGTCATGTCCCTCTTCTGCTTTTCTGTGTTCTTGTCCTCTAGTCTTCTCCCTCCTTTCTTTCCACTTGGCGTAGAGTGTATCCCCACCTGTTTCAAGTCTATTAATAATGTCAAGAACTAGAAGTTTATGTTTTGCCTTCTCATTGAGAACTATTTATTTTACTTTCAGCCTCTTTTTTTGTATAAATTTAGCTCTACGGATTTGCACAGGCAAAACAAAGTGTAATAATCTCATGGAAAGTGGCAACATCAGCTAGTACTCTGTACAGCTGACCTTACAGTCTTAAGGGGCCACGTTGAGGTTAATCATGTGACTTTGGACCCAAATTGCAGACTTGTGATCAGTAGAGAGCTTTATTGTTAATACTTTTATTAGCTAATCTTATTCCAAATTATTTATTCATTCTGATATCACTTTTAAATTAACAGTGTCTCACAGTAATTCTGATAAACTGACATTTAACATGGAAATTAATTCTCAATTTTGATACCAAGTAAAATTATTTTGGGGAAACCAGTAAGTTGAAGTTTCTTAAAAGAAACTTGCATACATAATTTCAGTCTTCCGACTGTTTTCTTTCCCTTTTTGATAGCAAAATATTTTAGGTACATCAAAGCCCACTCTTAGTTTCTTTTAGTCAGTTTCTGTTTCCATAATTCTTTGCCTTACTTTGACTCTCTATATGTTTACCCTACTAGCCTACTTCAGCTCCCATGTTATTTTCAGTTGACTTTGAGTGAAGATAATGAGAGACAAAAAAATGGTCATGTGAAAGGTTGAAGGATTATCTCCTACATTGACATCTGGTATACACTAAAAGAAAATGAACTTAACTTACATTAATAAATTCATAGAATCAAACAATGTACATACCATTTTATAATTAGTAACAATTTTTAAATAAAACTGCACTAGCTACTTCCTTGACTAAAATTTTCCACTGCTCCCTTCTCTCCTATAGCCATTTCTCTGCTATTTTCATTTCCCCATACTTTGAACTATTCATTCTACACTGACCTAGCATCAATGCCAGTTCTGCCTAGCCAGGTCTGTGTTACCAGAGAGCCAAGTAGAGCAGAGGATCAAAGAAGGTAGGTCTGGAACTAAAAAATCGATCAGGCAATAACAAAAATTGAATTTCCTTCCAGCTCAAAAACTCAGTGATTCTGTGATTCTTAAGCATCTATGAAGTACCCCATATAAGAGAAACATTTTAACACTGATTTTAGGACTTTGGGTACTAGCAAGATTCCACTGTTATTCTGTTCTTTAGATAGCTAAAGATATTTAGACAGATGAACTTTTAAAACTTGAGTTTACCTAGTTTATCAGTTTCCTTAAAAATAACATAAATAATGCCACATTGATTGTTTTGTACTGCTGAAACAATGAAAATGGGCTCATAGAATTTTTCAAGCTGGAAGGACCTAAGAGATCATAAAGTCCAACTGGATTTGATACATGAGGAAACTGAGGATCAGAGAAGTTATATGACTTGTCCAGTTCACCCAGCAGAGTAGTGGCAGACTTATCTTTATCATCACTCTACGTTAAAGTAAAAATCTAATGTATTTTAAAACCGAGGTACTGAGCATTAAATCACATAATACACCACTGACCTTGAGCTAAAACTTAGAATTCGCCTATTTGGCAGTTTGTACTTGGAGTTGCCCTGTATTTCGCTGGCACTCCAGCTACATGATTCAGTGCAGTTATGGTGGCGGTGTATAGGGCAGTATACAGTGTCTATATAATGCTAAACTTTTACGTTCTAGGCTTTTTAGCCATTTATGATGACTCCCTGAAGAAACATAGTTGCCTGGTTTAATTTGCCCCACAATAGTATCCTTTTTTCTAAGATAAGTGACCACATCCTCTGTCAAAGTTGATTTTGTTTGCGTGATTTATTCGTTGTATGTATGCTTCTTGTATAGCTTAGATGAACTCCAACTAATTCTGCTGCTTGTTCTGTTTCTCATTTAGAGTACTAGCTTTTTGTTTGTTTGCTTAAACCTGCTACCTTATACTCCTTAGCTTCCAGATTGGAAGATTCTATGTTACTTATGATTTTTCTTTAACTAAAACAAAACAAATACATACTTGTCAGAAGCAGGATTGGTAACTGGCAGTAAAGGCGGTGCTTTTTTTTTTTTTTTTTTTTTTTTTTTTTTGAGATTGAATTTTGTTCTTTGTTGCCCAGGCTGGAGTGCAGTGGCGTGATCTCAGCTCACTGCAACCTCCACCTCCAGGGTTCAAGCGATTCTGCTGTCTCAGCCTCCCAAGTAGCTGGGATTACAGGCACCTGCCACCATGCCCGGCTAATTTTTGTATTTTTAGTAGAGACGGGGTTTCACCATGTTGGCCAGGCTGGTCTCAAACTCCTGACCTTGTGATCCACCTGCCTCAGCCTCCCAAAGTACTGGGATTACAGGCGTGAGCCACCGCACCCAGCCAAAGCAAGCACCAGCAAGCACCAGCCAAGGTGCTTTTTAAAAAGTTTTTTCTTACCTATAAGTTTTAAAACTTTTGAAGTCATTTGTTGACATATGGGGCACAAACTATTGAAATTTTACAGAACACAAAGTTTCTAGTTTTAGGCCATGTTCCTTCTAAGACTGCCATTTATTTTAATGCTCAGTATTTTGTATGATGTAAGCATTTACTTCTGAAAGGTACATAAATCTATTATCCATTGTTCTGAGGGTGTTGGTTTGATGGTTAGCTTGGCTATTTAGAAAGAATAAGCTTCACAAAATGTGGAAGATAAGCACCTACAGGGTATCAGGCACTATGTTAGGGATTTCAACAGAGAGTATTTAAAGGCTCTTTCATTCATAAATTATTTACTGTCTTCCTACAGTATGTATCAAGTGTACCAGGTATTTGGCACAGAACAAATCTGCTAGGAGGATGGCTCCCACAGTCTCACTAGTTATAGACAAAACTAATCTAGGCAGGAGACAGAGTTTTAGCAGAGTTACTTTAAAATTTAAAAATCATAATAACAAATGAGGGCGGATTCAGTTTCTTTAAGAGAAACTGAAACATTCTAAGATAAGGGTAGAGTTTCTGTACCTTAGCACTCAGTTTTCCAGTGATGTGGCATGACTTCAGTGCCCTGAGTGTGCTTTCATGACCTGTTTTTTTTGTCACTGATCAGCTGCCTCTTCCTTACTTCTGCCATTCCCTTTTATCAAGTATTAGAGGTAGAGCTCAGAGTTCAGATGACACATAGATCAATAAAGTTGACCTACTGGAGAAAATACATAGTATCTTTAGACACAAACTGCATGAAAAATAAAGCTTCATTCTAAACTTAACACCTTAAGTTTTTAAAATACATCATTTGTGGCACTTCATAGATTTTTGTAGAATAAAGAATAAATTGTTTTATAGATATTGATCATAGTGTGATCATTTGATAAGATTTAACTTTGGTTCCCATTATTAGAAACTCTTTGTGTTAGAATCCACTTTTGCAGTAAGATCCCAGCTCCTCCATTACCCACCCACACGTTTCATAAGTACTCATGAAACACCAAGGTTTGAGGGAGGTAAGGATTCCTTTTAGTGCAATGGATGATTGACACAGTTATACTCAGGTACATCCTCCTGCTGTGAGTGACTGCTGAAAAAAGTTGAAAATGCTTTCAAGTTTTATTTCACCACCCAATCATTACCTTAAGTGTACCATTATTCTGAACTAATTTTACCCATCATAGTGATCTTTTTGGGGGTCTGGGGGGCAGGGAGACAGAGTCTCACTCTGTTGCCCAGGCTGGAGTGCAGTGGTGCAATCTCGGCTCACTGCAACCTCCGCCTCCAGGGTTCAGGTGATTCTCCTGCGTCAGCTTCCCGAGTAGCTGGGATTGCCGGCACCTGCCATCACGCCTGGCTAATTTTTGTATTTTTAGTAGAGACGGGTTTCACCATGCTGGCCGGGCTGGTCTCAAACTCCTGACCTCAGGCAATCTGCCTGCCTCAGCCTCCCAAAGTGCTGGGATTACAGGCATGAGCCACGGTGCCTGGCCCATAGTGAATTTTATTAATTTATTAAGCTATTGATTTAGTTGGATTTTAAGTTGACTTAAGTCAACTTAATAAGTATAACAAATAATTAGTAAGTAAAGCACTTGATAATAAGTGAAGTATAACAAACAGTTTTATCAAATTTTATCAAGGTTAATACAGATGTTTAGAGCATATTGCTTTTACTTAATTTTCTGTCTTCACATTACATACACAATCTTACTGGGTTTGATTGCTGTTGACTTAGCTTTTTAATTTGGCATTTAGTTTTTCAATATGTGACAACTTTTCTTAGAGTAAAATGAAAAATAAATTTGAACAGATCGAAGCTTTTCTTATTCCAAGAACAGAAGACTCTTTGTTCAGTTCTGTTAATTCTCGCCCCACTCCAACATGTGCTCATGAAAACTAATCAGCAGGCTAGAGAGATCAATCTCATTAAAACGAAAATTTACTTTATCTACATTGATATCCCATGTCAATTATTTAAATTGAAAGGTGTTGTTAG
This sequence comes from Homo sapiens, assembly GCF_000001405.40. NCBI lineage: Eukaryota > Metazoa > Chordata > Mammalia > Primates > Hominidae > Homo > Homo sapiens. The sequence continues at coordinate 5,752,161 of NC_000009.12, forward strand.
GGTGATACAAAGACACCATGTTCAAAGATGTAAGACAGACAACGTGGAAAAATGAACGCCTTTTCTTGCAGATAGAGTTAATATTTGTAATATATTAAAAGTTCTTGTAGATAAGTAAGTCAAATACCCCAATAGAAAAATAATAGCTTACATACACTCTTTCATGTACATATATATATGTTTGTTTAGAGATAGAATAAAAGCTAACCAGTGGTTGTACCTAAGTAACAGAGAATTTCATTTTGTCAATTTTTATATTGCATAATTTCATAAGTTTTTTTTTGTTTTTTTTTTTTGGAGACGGAGTTTCGCTCTTATTCCCCAGGCTGGAGTGCAGTGGCGCGATCCTGGCTCACTGCAACCTCTGCCTCCCGGGTTCAAGCGATTGTCCTGCCTCAGTCTCCCATGTAGTTGGGACTACAGGCATGCACCATCATGCACGGTTTCGTATTTTTAATAGAGACGAGATTTCGCCATGTTGGTCAGGCTGGTCACAAACTCCTGACCTCAGGTGATCCACCTGCCTCGGCCTCCCAAAGTGCTGGGATTACAGGCGTGAGCAACCACACCTGGCCTAAGCATTGCTGTTTTAATCAGAAAAGTGTAAAAGTAATAAAAATATTTCCATTAAAAACCAGAACTTTTTCTGAGGCTGTAATTGTATTAGATTAGGTTGTTTTGGAATGGTTTATATCAGCAAACCCAAACTGTTCATCTGCACAATTCATAGCTGCCCTCACAGGTGCCTTCTCTGAAAATCTCTTGTCAGTCTGTATTTATTGAATTCAATATTTAAAACAAACAGAAACATAAGGGGCAAGGGGCAGGGAGAGGAAAGCCTGGTGCCTAGAAACATGAAATAACGTAAGATGTAAAACATTGATTCATATACAAATGGTAAATTCCAAGTGCTCTGCTACTAACTAGGGGGCACCTTAAACATTGTTCGGCAAGATGAATCTCATAGTGTGATAACTTAATGCTTTAAGTTTAAATATATTTCATAAGTTTTACCAATCTGATGTGTTATTTTCTATAGATTTCCAGCACCTATCTAGAGAGCAATTGGCCTATACGGGTGAGTTGTTATTTTGTTGGTGTTAACTTTTGTTGACTAGCATTTGCTGCAAGAGGCATTCTGGGAAGAGCCCTTCAGTGGGTGTACTGAGAAAAATAAAACTCTTGATCTATTGTAACATTGCTAGTATATTAACATCTATAATTTTGTCAGATATAACTGAATATTTGGACTTTAAAATATTTAATTAGCAAACATTTATTAATTGTCTGTTTGCCTGACACAATACTAAGCTCTTTATGCCTAATAAAGTATATAGGTTTGCAAGGAAAAGTTCTTATTTTTTTTTTTAAACAGTTTTCAGCTATTGATAAGCTTGGACAGAATATTGCTGTGGTTGGCAAGTTTGGTTTTGCACATTACTCTTTACTCACCAAAAAATGGAAACTTTTTGGAAACATTACCCAGGTTAGTCTTTTTTGAGATTAAAAACCTATTTCTCAAAGTATAAGAGAACTACAATATGAAATAGCTATAAAGTTTATCACTAAGTAATTTTGGTTACTTATTAAAAATAAGGAAAATCAGATATAAAAAAGTGATATTGAATAATATGTAAGATTTGATTCTGATAAAATACTTGATATTTGATAAAGGATCTTGTGTTGAAATAGTTGGTTTATTTTTAATTCTTTTTAAGATCGGTAACTATAATTCCTTAGCCTGAGGATTTATTCTTACATTCCAGCTTGAGTTTATCTGATGTGATCAGAATAGATTTCCACAGAATTTGAGATCATTCCATGCCTATTCTGTGTGTGATGTATATGGGATAGTGAGTGTGCGTGTGTGTATGTGTATGTGTGTGTACATATACGCATGCAGTTGGAAGAGAAGGAAATCAGTACTTATTAGGTGCCTATTGTGTGTTAGGCATTTTAAGGCACTTTCATATATGTTATCTTACTCATCTGCACAGCAACCCAGTGAAGGCACTACTGTTACTGATCTTTTGATGTAAACACACACACACACACAAACTAGGATTCAGTTACTCATCTGATAAGTGATTAAGCCAGAATTTACACTAAGCCCTAATGGGTGTTAGAATGATGATGCTATATAGCACCCAGTTATTTTTAATGGTATACTTGCCTTCTTAAAGAAATATTTATTTTTATAAATAGGATATGGATCATTATTAATAAAGGCTCTAGAGTTATCATTGGAGAGAGGGGGAGTAAGAGCAGAAATAATTTGATCTTTGGCTGGGCGTGTGGTGGCTCACGCCTGTAATCCCAGCACTTTGGGAGGCCGAAGCAGGCGGATCACTTGAGGCTGGGAGTCCAAGACCAGCCTGGCCAACATGACGAAACCCCGTCCCTACAAAATATACAAAATTAGCTAGGTGTGTTGGAGCATGCTTGTAATCCCAGCTACTTGGGAGGCGGCTGAGACATGAGAATTCCTTGAACCCAGGAGGCGGAGGTTGCAGGGAGCTGAGATCGAGCCACTGCACTCCAGCATGGGTGACAGAGTGAGACTGTCTCAAAAAATAATAATAATTTGAGCTTTGTCTGGGTAAGAATTTTTATAAATATATTACTTTGTTATAATTTCTGGTAGCATAAGGTAAATTTTTTAAAAAATTTTTATTTTAAGGAGCAAAATATGATCGTGACAGGTGGCTTAGCCTGGTGGAATGATTTTATGGTCCTTGCGTGTTATAACATAAATGACCGTCAAGAAGAGGTAAGTTTTTTCTCTCAGAAATAACAGATTTTTATATTTTAAAGCTATTAAGCATGAATTAATTTTATATAGAAAATAGTCGATTGAAAACTGAACAAAACATTTTATTTTTTAATCAAGAATGTAGCTTCTTTTAGGTAGTGGGATTTTCTTTTCAGGTTATTACTTTAAAAAATTATTAAGTGACAATTGAGACTTTTAAGATAACCTTTTCTAAGGATTTTAGCTGTCGGACATTCCCTATGGAGTTTGAAAATAAAGAGTTAAAAGCAAAAAATTTCATGATATAAGAATGGCTGTCCTCAGAGATAGATTTATTTAGTTACTGATTTACAGTAACCCCTCCTTAATTATGGGGGATACATTCCAAGACCATCAGTGGATGCCTGAAACTGTTAATAGTACTGAACCCTATATAGCACTATCTTTTTTCCTATACATACATACCTATGATAAAGTTTAATTTGTAAGAGATTAATAATGACTAATAATAAAACAATTATGACAGTATATTGTAATAAAAGTTGTATGAATGTGGTCTCTCAGAATATCTTAGTATACTGTACTCACCTATTTTCAGACCATGGTTGACTGTAGATAACTGAAACTGTGAAGAGCAAAGCCATGGATAAGAGAGACTACTGTATCTGGTTTTTTGTTTTGAGAAACAGCTGGTCTTATTATGTATCAGGTCTAAATCTGCAGGTCTAGGCCAGGTGCAGTGGCTCATGCCTGTAATCCAAGCACTTTGGGAGGCTAAGGCGGGTGGATCACCTGAGGTCAGGAGTTCAAGACCAGCCAGGCCAACATGGTGAAACCCCATCTCTATTAAAAATGCAAAAATTATCCAGGTATGGTGGCACACCCCTGTAATCCCAGCTACTTGGGAAGCTGAGGTGGCAGAATTGCTTGAACCCGGAAGGCGGAGGGTGCAGTGAGCCGAGATCATGCCACTGCACTCCAGCCTGGGCAACAGAGTGAGACCCCGTCTTTAAATAAATAAATAAATAAATAAATAAATAAAGCAGGTCTAAAAGGAATATTTTATAATAGTACATTCAGTTTTGATCACTTCATTTTTTGCTTACTCATAGAATGAGCCTAGTCTGCAAAAATATGTAAACATAATCCATTTACTGTTAAAGCTTAGATAGTTCTTTTAACTCCTGTTACTAAAAAAAAAAAAAAAAGTCGGAAGTTAAAAACAGCATGTTTAAAGTATTTGGTCATCCCTAGTAGTTATCTTGTTTTTATAATTTTCTTCATTTTTGTTTTCTTCAGCTTAGAGTATACTTGCGAACATCAAATCTGGACAATGCCTTTGCTCATGTCACCAAAGCACAAGCAGAAACATTACTGCTTAGTGTCTTCCAGGACATGGTAATAGTATTTAGAGCAGACTGTTCAATATGCCTTTACAGTATTGAAAGAAAATCTGATGGGTAAGTATCTGGCATATGAGAAGTCACTTTTTGCTCCTATTTACCACGTTTCTCTTTTGTAGTTTTTGTTTTCTCAAAACAGTTATTCCACTTTTATATTCAATCTTGTTTTTGTTAGAGGTAAAAAAAGCAAGGAGTTTTAATTAGTGATATTGATATAATAGCTAAAAAAAAAAGAAATATCGTACACTAACTTCTTTAGCTTATCTTCCTGGAGTCATTTGAAAAAAATCTAGTTTGGGATGAGGTAAACCCTTAGATACTAAATTTTTTTTCACAACCTTGAAAATAAATGGTTACTGACTCTCCTGGTGCTCTCGATACTTGGTGGGAATTTGAAGGAGTTCTACAACTTTAAGACTGTAGGAAGCATGTCCTTAGCAAACTGACTTATATTTCCACTGAGCTAGATGGCTGTAGTCTGGGGCAGTAAAAAATCAGCAGTGTTGTTGCTGCTGCACGTTGCCTTATATTTGTCTTGGCATCTGGTCTACTTGCAACGTATTTAGACCACACCTCTTGAGTTTTATTTTTGTTCTCAGAGGTTAATTGAAGTATGTATTTACTGAAACAGCACAGTGATTGAGAAGTAATGCAAGATAAAAATTAAGACATCTCACTAGCCTCAATGATTGAACCATCATTCTTTCTCAACCCACTAGTTTTTTCCACTTAAATATTTGTATTCTTATAGCTTCTTCCCTAGTTTTCGTCTTCCCTCCTATTTGTTACTCCCTTTCTTTCTCTCTCATCCCCATATACTCTGGTTCCCCTCAACCTTGCCAACTTCCTGATCGAAGGATATATGGGGAGAAGATGATAGGTAGTAAGACATCTGAGTCTTCCATAAGCATGAAATCTAATACTATTACTAGTGGAAAAGAAAGAAAATCTTATTAGCATTGTTGTTGAGGTATGTGGGTTTCTTTTGTTTTTACAGTCCAAATACTACTGCTGGTATTCAAGTTCTTCAGGAGGTTTCCATGTCACGCTACATTCCTCACCCTTTCCTGGTGGTATCTGTCACTCTGACATCAGTGAGTACAGAGAATGGAATCACCTTGAAAATGCCACAGCAGGTACCACTCCATTATCAAAGGTCTTTGGAGTTTACATTTCTGTTTTTAGTATTTGAGTCCATATTAGGAAGTATTTGTTTGGCAAATAAATACTAAGTGTCTAAAATGTACCTTATATGAGAATGCTGGGTTGCAGTGGCAAATTAAAAAGACATGGTTTCTGCTCAGGCATTAAATAAATAATTACATACATAATGAATTGTTCCTGTTACGTGTACCAAAAAGTAGTACACATTACTGTGAGAGCATTTAACAAAAACCTGTTATAGTCTGAACAGTCAGAGATTTCTGTATCATTTAAATTAAAACTAGGAGAATAAGTAGAAATTATCCAAGTTAAGAGGGGATGGATTTTCAGGTGGAAGGAACAGTAGTGCAAAGGCCCATAGACAAGGCAGAACATGACACACTCAGGGAATTGGAAGAATTTTAGAGTGACTGGGACATGGAAAGTGAAAGAGGATATGAGTCTTGTAGATAATATTGATAATTTTAGACTTTAAGTCTAAAGTGTTTTAAGGTAGGTATTATTAGATCTAAGCTTTATAATGTTTACTGTAAGGAGGAAAATGAACTGAAGTAAGACAAAACTACTGTAGGGAGAGCAACTGGGAGGTCATTGTAATGATCTAGGTCAGTGGTGTTCACAGTCTGAACTTGGGCAGTGAAAAAGGATATGGAAAGAAGTAGAATGAGTATAGAATAGCAAGGGCTTTATAATTAGTTAATTATGAGGAAAGAGAAAGTATAATCCCGTAGTTTCTGGGTAAAGTAACAGGGTAAGAAGTAGGGCGACCAGGACCCACGTTGCATAACTTTCTATTTCAGTGGTTTCTAAACTTCATGTCAACTGGGAACCTACTGTCAGAGGAAAATTCTATGTGGATTTATTTGTCATCCCTGTCTGGGCAGTCTGTCTTTTACTTCCTATCGAGGCACTTCGATCAAACCTCAACACTCCATAAAATAATTAGAAAACAGACTAGACTAGACTATCCAGTTATGGGGAATTTAATATTACTTATATGAATCTAAAATCAATTTTGTTACCTTCTATCCCAGTTCTCTATTCTTTGTAGAAGACATTGTAAAAGCTAGTCCCTCTTCCACATGATGACCCGTAAAATATCTGCAGACAGTTAACATTCCTTGGCTTCTCCTTCTCTCCTCAAACCTCTCTGTCATCTTATCTGCATGCTAAATACTTCCATATGTCCAACTATTTCATTGGATGTTTATTCTAGACCCCTTAAGCATCTTGGTCTCCCTTCTTTTTTTTTTTTTTTTTTTGTCCTTTTTTCTTTTTTTTTTTGAGATGGAGTCTCACTCTATCGCCAGGCTGGAGTGCAGTGGTGCAATCTTGGCTCAGTGCAACCTCTGCCTCCCAGGCTCAAGCAATTCTCCCGCCTCAGCCTCCCAACTAGCTGGGACTGCAGGTGCACGCCACCACGCCCAGCTAATTTTTGTATATTTAGTAGAGACAGGGTTTCACCATGTTGGCCAGGATGGTCTCAATCTCTTGACCTCATGATCTGCCCACCTCGGCCTCCCAAAGTGCTGGGATTAAGGGCGTGAGCCATCGTGCTCGGCCTTGGTCTCCCTTCTATAGGTAAAATTGGTTTTCTCCTTTAAAATATAGTTCCCATTTCCTCTGCAAACCTTATTTAATGGTAACCAGTTAGTCCTAATTGATAAGGGAATATACTGTTTTACAGAAGTTTAGATAAAAGGTGTGAAAAAAAGTGACAATTTAAAAATCATTTTGCAGTCCTGAGGAACTAATCAGTCTTATCACTAAAAATGGGAAAACCAGATATGGTATGCTTCTTGAGGTGATATAACATGAAGTTCACAAGAATTATTGCCAAAAATCTTGAACCCAAATCAAATCAAGTATAGAGAGTCATCTTCCCTACCACAAGGGAGCAGAATACAAGACATTCTGTTGGACAGCTACAAGTCACTAACATGGGGGAAGAAGGAGTGAATCTTCTAGATTAAATAAGACTTTGAAGCCATAAAAACCAAATGCAGTGGTTAAAAGTCATTTGTGAGGCAAATGTGATAATCACTACCCTGCAGAACCAAGTCAGTAAGCTCATTTGTATCTTCATTCAAATCAGCTATGAAAAGACACTGTTGAAACAATTAGGGATATTTAAATACTAATGGAGAGAGAAAGTAGGGAATAATTGTAAATTTTATTGGATGTGATACTAGCATTGTAGCTATGTTAGCAGATGCCCATATATTTTAGGAATGCATATTAAACATGTAGAAGTAAAATGGGTAGCATGTCTTAATTGAAAATATTCTGACAAAACTGAAAAAAAAATAAGGGATGGATGGAGCACATAAGGCAAAATCTTGATAATTGTGAATCTGGATAATGGCAGTGTGAAAGTTCATTATACTATTCTCCATACTTTTAATCATGTTTAAAGTTTTCATATTTAAAAAAGGACTCTTATATATCCCAGATAGAGTAGGCAACCAGTGGCATCAGTAGTCCTGGATACCATATTTTGAGAGGGCCTTTCACAAAGAGAAGGTGCTTAATTTGGCTAGAGCAGATTAAGAAGTTAAAATTGACTGATTACCATAGAGGGAAGACAAAGAATGCTGGAGCAAAGTAAGTTTTCATTTAATACTAAAGTTTTCAAAAAAAATAGTAGTAACAGTGAAAACTCTTCAACAGCAAGATAGTCTCTCCATGAGAGTGAGCTCCTTGTTACTGAAACTCTCATAGAGAATCATCTGCCAGGGGTTTTTTTAGGGTAAGAGATTGAGTTTGGGGTTCCTTCAAATTTAGGATTTTGGGCATACATGTAGCCCTTGCTTTTTCTGAAAGCTTTATTAAAGTTGCTTGAGAGTGCTGTTGCAGTCATCTTTAACGTTATCAGAAAGTGTTGAATACTAAGATAGGATACTGATAATACCCACTCACTGAAGAAAAGAGAAGTGTACTTTTTTAATGAATTAGTATGAAATGTGGTGAAATCTACCATCTTAAAACTTAAGGTAGTCATTATAAACATTACTCATATTGTGGTGAATTACAGTAAATGCCTTTAAGGTCTTTTGAAGTGTTTTAGTGTATGCAGTTCCCAGTCATGCTGTTTTGCTGCAGGTGTTTGTCTTTTTCTTTTTCCTCTGCCATCTAGCTACATTTTACTGTTATCCAGGTGTCTGACTCTTCTAGTTGCCACACACCTAAATTCCATGTTCACTTCTCATACCTCCAAATTACTTTCTGGATAGATAACCAATTTTTTTATTTAGTCATTTCTTTATACATAATCCCCTGTAGAATCTGAAAGCAGTAAGCAAGAGTAGTTTGTATAGCCAAGTATTTTGCAACTAGAATATATAGGGTGGCTGCTGTTTTCTTGATGAACCCTAAATGATCATTGGTAGCTTAAATTCAGCCAGCCAGCATGCAGCAAAGCCTGGGACACAATCCCACAAGTTTTGAATACTCACTCTTTCCTCCCTGAAATTCTTTCCTTCTGTTTATATAGCATGTATAGCATTGTGCTTCCCTATTTCTCTTTTGTCTTCCAAAAGCTCAGGTGATGGCCCGCTGCTCTTTTTACCCTGGCTAGTGTGCCTGAGAAACATCTGTCTGTCTCCTTCAGTTTACCAGCCTCACCTTTTTTTTTTTTTTTTTTTTTTTTTTTGAGACGGAGTCTTGCTCTGTCACCCAGGCTAGAGTGCAATGGTGCAATCTTGGCTCACTGCAGCCTCCGTCTCCCGGGTTCAAGTGATTCTCCTGCCTCAGCCTCCCAAGTAGCTGGGATTACAGGCACCTGCCACCACGCCCGGCTTATTTTTGTGTTTTTAGTAGAGACGGGGTTTCACCATTTTGGCCAGGTTGGTCTTGAACTCCTGACCTCGTGATCCACCCACCTCAGCCTCCCACCAAATGCTGGGATTACAGGTGTGAGCCACTGCGCCCAGCCTGGCCCAGCCTCACCTTTAAGCTTCTGATGCTGGTACAGTCGTCTCTGATTTAGTGATTGCTCACATTTTTACTTGGAATTCTTAAGAATTTTTTTTTATTTTTTCAAATTAAATGAGCCAAAAAGAAAAAGGGAAACTCTTTGGTTTTCCCTTCCCTAATTTCTCTTCCTGTCTTCTATCAGTGATAATAACTTCAACTTCTCTAGCACCTCAGCTAACCTGGAAATCATCTTTGGTTCATCTCTTTTTCTACCTTTCATGTCTAGGATAGCAGTAAGTTCTGTTTTTTAACCAAAATGTTCCTTCCTCTTTACAGATAGAAATGACTTGATATCTGAGGTTCCTTTTAAAACAGGGCTGCTCAAAGTTTAATGTGCATAATGGTTTAAGTTGCGTGATAGGGCTCAATTGGAAATCATTATACTAGGCTCTCTGAGGTTTGATTGAAATTTTTCATTATAAAAAGGCAGACTATTTCCTCATTTCTGAAGTCAACACCCATGAAATCTGCCTCTCCTCAGTAACCTATCCTGATTAACTCTGATTTTTTAAATAACTGTCTTATTCAAGAACCATAAGTAGTGGCTTCTTTCCTGCTGCTCTTTTACCTGGCTTTCTGAATCCTCCTTGAAGGTCTGTTACCATCCAGCTTTGTTCTCATAATGTCCCTAGTCTAGCCAGACTGTTCTCACTTTCCCAATAGTTCCATGTCTTCGTTTTCCATTAGATTACCAACCCTTACTCTCCCACACGTGTATGTCTTCCTCATCTGTCAGGTTCACTGCATCCTTTTAAACTTTCTGTTGTTATGACAGCTAGATCACTGAAGTGATCTCTCATTTTTATAAACTTCTAAAGTTGTCTTAGCTTTTTCAGGATAATTCAACTCTGCCCTCAATCTTATGTCACTGGTGGTGTTCATTAATTGCATTATGTGTTAGGCTTTGTACCATCCTAGCCAGAAAGCTCCTTATATTCCCACAGAGCCTAGCAGAATGGCTGTACATAGTACAACCTCAATAAATAATGTAGATTGTTTGACCTATAAACCTTATGGATTGGGGGGAGATGCGGAAAGCATACCGATACAGAAGTATGAATTTAGCTGCTTTTTCTTAAATTTCAGGCTCGTGGTGCAGAGAGCATTATGTTAAACCTGGCAGGACAGCTCATCATGATGCAGAGGGACAGGTCAGGCCCACAGATCCGGGAGAAGGACAGTAACCCTAATAACCAAAGGAAACTTGTGAGTAAAGTACTAGTCATTTCTTTTCAAACATTAAGAAGGTATGGGATGAGGATGAAGGAATGAAACAATTTAAGAGAAGAGTATTTTATGATTTGGAAAGGAGAAATTAAGTCCATAAAATCAGTCTTAAGCCTCTGGGTGTAAGACTGACTGACTGGAGGATAAGGTCCCAAAATGATCATGAAATGTTCCATACTCCATATGTTAACTGCTTAGGCATCATTCATTGCAAATTCTAATGGAAAAAATAGGGATAGACTGGTGAAGTTCATGGGGTGTTTTGTTTTCAGATTTAAGTGTATATACTTTAAAAGGCCAGGATACTTTTATTAACTCTAATTCTAATTAGATCCCTTTGCTTTTCCCAAAAAAATATTATACTATCATTTGAAAGACTTAGTAAACTAGTACCTAGGAACTTAAGAACCTGCAGATTTAATAGGAAAACAACTTGATTCTTGTCTCTCCTTCTCCAGCTGCCATTCTGTCCTCCTGTTGTACTAGCCCAGTCTGTTGAAAATGTCTGGACAACGTGTCGAGCAAATAAACAGAAACGTCACCTTCTGGAGGCCCTCTGGCTGAGCTGTGGTGGTGCAGGGATGAAAGTTTGGCTCCCTCTCTTCCCTAGGGATCACCGCAAGCCCCATTCCTTCTTGTCCCAGCGGATCATGCTGCCTTTCCACATCAACATTTACCCGCTAGCTGTTCTGTTTGAAGATGCTTTAGTCCTTGGTGCTGTCAATGACACTTTGCTCTATGATTCTTTATATACTCGGAACAATGCTAGAGAACAGCTGGAGGTGCTCTTCCCTTTCTGTGTTGTGGAGAGAACCTCTCAGATCTACCTCCACCACATTCTACGTCAACTTCTGGTCAGAAACCTTGGGGAGCAAGCCTTGCTCTTGGCCCAGTCCTGTGCCACATTACCTTACTTCCCTCATGTGCTGGAGCTCATGCTCCATGAAGTACTGGAAGAAGAAGCTACCTCACGGGAGCCCATTCCCGACCCTCTGCTTCCCACTGTGGCAAAATTTATCACTGAGTTCCCCCTCTTCCTGCAGACAGTTGTCCATTGTGCCAGGAAGACCGAATATGCCCTGTGGAATTACCTTTTTGCAGCTGTTGGAAACCCTAAGGACTTGTTTGAGGAGTGTTTGATGGCTCAGGATTTGGACACAGCTGCCTCTTACCTTATTATCTTACAGGTAACAATTCTCTTCTTATAAAGGGGCAAGAATTAATGAGCTTAAACTTAGAAAAATAGAAATGTCCTGTTTTGACACCATGATTGTGTTTAAGGAATTCATAGTCAAATTTTCTGTTTATATCTTTAATTTGGAAGAATTCAGACAGATTCCTTTGAATATCATAAAGTAACATTGCAGAGATATTTTTTCCATTGTCCATAAATAGGCCTAAAACAGATTAATGAGTTCAGAGTAGTGTTTTGAAATTTTAATATATTGAAGAAATTTAATATGTATATTAGAATACATGTAATAGGAACATGGAAGAAATATTACATAAGATTATTGAAATATTACATAAGAAACATAGCAAAGAAAGTATTATTTGAGATATTAGTGAGTTTGAGCTTCTCACAACAGTAGATTTGTTTCCTTTCAGTGTGGGTTACTGAGGGGACACTTATTAGAGCATGGTCATAACAGAGCACCTTGAGCTAGTCTTCCCCAAAGCAAGCTGAGAAGGCTCAGGCCTGCCACAGCAAAGACCCTCATAGCACACAGTTTTTCTCAAAATAATGGCTTCTTTGCAACTCCTGAAAATTTATTTCATTAGCTATTTGACAAAAGGGCTTGACAGTTGGTTATTTGATAGGCTACACTTAAAGATTCTTTCCAGTTACTGCAAAGTTGTTTCCATTGATGTAAGAAGCTAACCATAAACCTGGTTTCAATCTCTGCCTGAAGCAGATTTCCTGTCAGCTTCTTTGCTTCATGACAATGAACTGAAACCAGAGGAGACACTCAAGCAGAGGCCAGGTGGCCTTGAAGTATGATTCCATGGCTAACCCTAAAGAAAAAGACATAGGGTTTTAAAAATAGAATCAAAATAAATGCAGCTGTTTTTTGGTTCCGGGTCACTCCCTGCAACTTCACTGTATCTCCCTGACAATGTAATTTTTTTCTGCAACAGAATTCCTAAGTTGCTATGGATTGGCAGATAATAATTACAATTACAGTTGTCTATTAGGCACCTTTCCATAAAGACCAAGATAGGCAGGTTAAATTTGTGAAAGAAAAATGGAGGATTCTGAATGTGCAGCAGAACTTTACTACTTGCTATTGCCCAAAGCAAAGATTCTAGTCACATCCTCAGAAAACTCTGCAACAGGAGACAGACCTGACCTATTTTGGAGTCAGGCAAACCTCCCTTTTTTTTCTTCCTTTTCTGCTGATCTTCAACAATTTACTTAACTCAGTTTCCTCACTTGTAAAATACAAATGATATGCCTATCTGCAGAGTCACTGGGAGAAATAAATGAAATGACTTAAAGTATATGTATGCTATCTGGCATGTAGTAGGAGTTTAATAAATTATAGTTTACATACACCAGAAGAGTACTTGCCTCGCTTTTCCTTGTATGGTACTTTTTAATCTTATTATTAAACTAACCCCTGTGGTGGTGTGGCTACATTCTTTGAGTTTAGAAAACGAGATAAAGAATTGCTCATATCTTCCCAAATTGTGTAGTATAAAAAGAATGCTGTCCTGGTTGTTTTTTGTAGAATATGGAAGTCCCTGCAGTAAGTAGGCAACATGCTACCCTTCTATTCAACACAGCACTAGAACAAGGCAAGTGGGACCTTTGTCGACACATGATTCGATTTCTTAAAGCCATTGGCTCTGGAGAATCTGAGACACCTCCATCCACACCCACAGCTCAGGTTAGTTGCAAAAGTTACACATCTTCTCTAGGCCATACACCCACGTAGCATCTTTCTCTAATGGTACTGCATATGGTGTGTAATCCTAGGAACCCAGTTCAAGTGGTGGATTTGAGTTCTTCAGGAATCGAAGCATCAGTTTATCCCAGTCAGCTGAAAATGTTCCTGCCAGTAAATTCAGTTTACAGAAAACACTAAGTATGCCATCTGGTCCCTCTGGAAAAAGGTAAAATAATAAAGAGCCATTACTGCTTTTTGGGCATTCATGACACATTGCATTTCAAGACATTTACAAAATTAGGTCTTAATGGAAACAACTATTTAATCCAATTGCAGTTTCTTTTTCCATTCCCAAAAAGCAGAGGCCACACAGAAGGCTTCCCTTTTTCCTTCCTCCCAAGTTCACTTCAGCACCCTCTGAATAGTTTCTGCCCCTTTTTCTGGAATAGATCTTCATGTACCTGTTCTGAATGTAACAAACTTGTTTAAGACAGAGTCTCACTCTGTCACCCAGGCTGGAATGCAGTGGCACCATCTCAGCTCACTGCAACCTCCGCCTTACAGGTTCAAGCGATTATCCTGCCTCAGCCACCCAAGTAGCTGGGATTACAGGCATATGCCACCACACTCGGCTAATTTTCATATTTTTAGTAGAGACGGGGTTTCAACATGTTGCCCAGGCTAGTCTCGAACTCCTGGCCTCAAGGATCCACCTGCCTCTGCTTCCCAAAGGGCCGGGATTACAAGCGTGAGCCACCCTACCTGGCCAAATGCTACAAACTTTTTTTTCCCATAAGTTACTGGGGTCCAGGTGGTATTTGGTTACATTAATAAGTTATTTAGTGGTGATTTGTGAGATTTTGGTGCACCCATCACCCAAGCAGTATACACTGCACCATATTTGTTGTCTTTTATCCCTCACCCCCTCCCAGCCTTTCCCCCAAGTCCCCAAAGTCCATTGTATCATTCTTATGCCTTTGCGTCCTCATGGTTTAGCTCCCACATATCAGTGAGAACATACTACATTTGGTTTTCCATTCCTGAGTTACTTCACTTAGAATAATACTCTCCAATCTCATCAGGTCACTGCAAATGCTGTTAATTCATTCCTTTTTATGGCTGAGTAGTATTCCATCATATATACGTATATACAAGTTTCTTTATCCACTCGTTGACTGATGGGCATTTGGGTTGGTTCCACGATTTTGCAGTTGTGAACTGTGCTGCTATAAACGTGTGTGCAAGTATCTTTTTTGAATGACTTCTTTTCCTCTGGGTAGAACCCCAGTAGTGAGATTGCTGGATCAAATGGTAGTTCTACTTTTGGTTATTGAGGGAATCTCCACCCTGTTTTCCATAGCAGCTGTACTAGTTTACATTCCCACCGGCAGTGTAGAAGTGTTCCCTGATGGCCACATCCATGCCAACATCTACTGTTTTTTGATTATGGTCATTCTTGCAGGAGTAAGGTGGCATTGCGTTGTGGTTTTGATTTGAAAATGCAACAAACTTTTAAATTACCTCTGATGATAGAGGACCAAAAGGAAGATAGATAAATCTGTAGGTAATCCAAAAGCCTTCTTAAAGTCGTAATTTTACCTTTCCTTCTAATTATACTTTTTGATATAAATTTAGTGCTAATGCATTTGACACTCTTGTGACCTATTGATTAGAGAAGTTATTACACAGTCGGGGAGCCAAATGAATTGTATGCTGGAGACTGAAACTGCTATCACCCATAGATGGGATATTGTCTTCTGAGAGATGACTATGAATTCACACTAACATTATAAAATCATGAGAATTTCCTCTGGTTTGTGAGGCCTGTGTATTCCTTCCTATGTTCTTCTGTTGTTGTCTCATTTTTTTCCTTACCTAATCCTTTGTTTTATATTGTTCATATTCTCTTTTTTTTTTTTTCCCCAGGACAACATGAACATATGTTTATATTCTTACTACCGTGCTTGGGCACATAGTGAGAGCTTATTGAACGTTTGTTATTGTCATGTTTTACTGGGTTTTTTTGTTTTTTGAGATGGAGTTTCGCTCTTGTTGCCCAGGCTGGAGTGCAATGGCTTGATCTCGGCTCATCGCAATCTCCGCCTCCCAGGTTCAAGTGATTCTTCTGCCTCAGCCTCCCAAGTAGCTGGGATTACAGGCATGCACCACCACGCCTGGCTCATTTTGTATTTTTAGTAGAGACGGGGTTTCTCCGTATTGGTCAGGCTAGTCTCAAACTCCCGACCTCAGGTGATCCGCCTGCCTCTGCCTCCCAAAGTGCTGGGATTACAGGCATGAGCCACCATGCCCAGCCTGTTTTACTGTTTTTTAACAAGTGCTTACTACATGCCAGGCCTTATTCTAAGCATTTACATACATAGGTCCTATTTTAAACAACTCTATGAGGGTTATCCACATTGTATAGGTGAAGAAACAGAGGCCTAGGAAAATAAACTTAGTTATGTTCACACAACAAATGAGTGGCAGAGCCAAGATCCGAATCCAGGCAGTACTGCACCAGAGACTAGGCTCTTTACCCCACCACTAAACTGCCTCTCACTTAAAGCACCACATTATCCAGTTACCAAACCAGTTCCCCCACATTAGCTCATGTAAGTCAGGAATGAGAGACTATACTTAGGCAAGTTGTAATTTTTAAAAATTGGTTTCAGGACTGGCAAGGTGGCTAACACCTGTAATTCCAGCACTTTGGGAGGCCAAGGTGGGAGGATTGCTTGAGGCCAGGAGTTCAAGATGAGTCTGGGCAACACAGCAAGATCCCATCCTTGCAAAAATAAAAATACATTGGCTAGGCATGGTGGCAAGTACCTGTAGTCCCAGCTACTTGGGAGGCTGAGGTGGGGAAGATAGCTTGAGCCCAGGAGTTTGAGGTTGCAGTGAGCTATGATCACACCACTGCACTCCAGACTGGGTGACATTGTGAAACCTTGTCATTTAAGAAAAAAAAAGTTGGTATTCTTTTCATATGTCTGCATGACTCACACTGAGAAATTTAATTTCACTTTGCCTCTCTATCCTTAGTTTCTTTGATGTGCTCTCCTTCCCTCTTTTCATTGGGCTTTTCAAATATAGCATAGAGGTTTGCTGCCTTTCTTTCTGTCAGCCACCCATCACCTGCTTCCTGGTCTGACTTCTTCTGTCCCCCTTTTCCTGTTCCCTGTATTCATTCTACAAATGTGTCTTAAGAGCCTTCTGTGTTCCGAGGGTTGTGGTGTAACACGGAGGAGAAGCGTTGATACTTTATCTTCATTGTCAATCAGAATTAGATCTTGGATCTCTTATCTCCTTGTCAGCTTTATCAGTACCTCTGCGTAATAAGGATGTGAAATCCTCCAGTAAAGATTATTCTGTAGCTTTCTTGTGTTTCCACTTACAGATGGAGCAAAGACAGTGACTGTGCTGAGAACATGTATATTGACATGATGCTCTGGAGACATGCTCGGCGCCTCTTAGAAGATGTGAGGTTAAAGGACCTTGGCTGCTTTGCAGCCCAGCTGGGCTTTGAACTAATTAGTTGGCTATGCAAGGAACGTACCCGAGCCGCCCGGGTAGACAACTTTGTAATAGCCCTGAAGAGACTCCACAAAGATTTCCTGTGGCCACTTCCAATCATCCCAGCCTCTTCTATCAGTTCTCCTTTCAAAAATGGAAAATACCGAACTGGTAATGTAGACTTCATGTCACTTGTACAAGGAGAATTGTATTTTACTCCGTGTATTTACACATTTTGCTATTAGTTGATATTCAAGGAATTATTTTCATTCCAAACTTAGGAATGGATAAAAGCCAACTTTTTGTACATGAGTTGGAATGCCCACTGTTTGACCAAAGATGTAAATAAAGTAGAACCTATGTCTCTAAGTCTTGTGACCTTGAAGTCTAATTCAAAAATCTAATCATACTTGGATTATAAAGAAGTTGAGAACTGCCTGAATATAAAAGCTACCATGCTTATGTTATTGTGGGAAGGAGTTCTGGAATCAGATAGACATGGACCTCAAAGTAAGCTGACAGAACTCATTCCAGGGGAACAGTAAGGCCACCTTCTAAACTAGGAGAGGACAAACTGAAAGTGTATATTTTGGTGAAATAAAAATTTAAAGTTTTTTAATTCAGGACTTTTTATGAAGACTGTTCTAATTATTATTATTTGTGAATATTGAAACCAAAACTTTTAACTTTGGCATTTGGAAACTTCATGTTATCTTAAGAGCCAAAGCAAATCACTTAGAAGATCAACATAATAAAGTTTTGCCTAGCTCCAGTAAGAAATAGGATGATATAACTTTTAGGTGGTATTGTGGTCAGTCCATTGTTACACAATCCCATGTCTCTAGTTTTGGGGTGGCTGATACAGTACAGGACAGTAATTGCCTTTGAACTGTTCTTATTGGGTAGGCAGGTAGGGGAAGCTAAAAGAGCTGAATTGAAAATGTCAGTGTGTGCATCTTCAATTTCTTCCTCCATTTTTTGTTTTCGGACCCACTCTGCAGTGGGAGAGCAGCTGTTAAAGTCTCAATCAGCTGACCCATTTTTGAACCTTGAGATGGATGCTGGCATCTCCAACATCCAGCGAAGTCAGAGCTGGCTCAGCAACATTGGCCCCACCCATCATGAGATAGACACAGCTTCATCCCATGGACCACAAATGCAAGATGCCTTCTTGTCACCTTTATCTAATAAAGGTAAATGTAATTTTAAATCCTAGCTCTTCAGTTCCTTTGAAGAAAATTTATGTGCTATAGCACTTCAGAGATAGACCTTCATTCTTTTTCTATCGTGATGGAGGATTAACCATTTGTATCCACTGGAGAGGTAGAAAGTTTGTAGAACAAGGCCAAACTGGCCTTGACTGTACTTTGCCATATTTATTTTATGTGAACAAAATAAATAGTACAGATCAACATTAATAGATGAATCTTTGTAAATCAATTTTGATGATAAGGAAACACTAACTTTGAGCCCCAAGTAAGCAAAATGTTATCCTCATATAAAGAATTCCATTTTTATCATAATTAGATGTGGATCATAACAAATTTTACTGCATTATCATTTTTATGTTTTTTATTTATTTTTCTTTTGGAATATGTGAGGAGGTAATGTTTTTTATTTCATCAATAAAAATTGTGGACATTTGCTTTTTCTCTTGCTATATAAGTTCCTACATAATATCCTTGATTTTGCCTCTTGGCCTTAAAAGCTTGTAGTATTTACTATCTGGTGCTTTTACAAAAAAATGTACACCAACCTCTGCTCTGTAGTAATGGGTAAATCACAAACTGAAGAGGTTTTGAAGCAATTTGTGTTGGCATAGGGTTATATAGTATAGGAGCTTAAACAACAATTTGTCTGAGTTTGCAGTTTTTTTAGTGGCCAGGCATTTGTCTAATGTTTGATTATCAGTCTGTCATCACTATTACCTGAGCTTCTGCTATGTGAGGAGGCTTACAGATCTCATTAGTTTTGTTTTAAATTGTGGTAGAATACACAATTTAACAGCTTAACCGTTTTTAAGCAGAGTTTGTAGTGTTAATTATGCCCACATTGTTCTGCAATCAGCCTCCAGAATGCTCTTCATCTTCAAAACGAAAACTCTGTATATGTTACTTAATAACAGCAGCTCCTCATACCTTCTTCCCCCAGCCAGTGGCAACCACCATTTTATTTTTTCTCTCTGAATTTGACTATTCTAGGTACTTCATATAAGGAAATCATATAGTGTTTGTCTTTTTCTGACCAGCTTATTTCACTTAGCATAATGTCCTCATGTTCATCCTTTTTGGAGCATGTTTTATTCCTTTGTATGCAGATACCACGTTTTGTGTATTCTTCTGATGATGGACACTTGGGTTGCTTTTACTTTTGGCTATTGTGAATTATGCTGCTGTGAATGTGGGTATATAATATTTCTGTGAGACTCTGTTTTCAGTTATTTTGGGTATATATATCCAGAAATGGGACTGCTGGGTCATAATTCTACTTGCATTTTTTTTGAGGAATCGCCATGTTTCCCATAGCAACTGCACCATTTTAAATTATCAGCAGTGGACAAGGGTTCTATTTTCTCCACATCTCACCAACACTCACTTTCAGTTTTTTGATAGTAGTCATCCTAATGGGTGTGAGATGGTGCCATCACTTTAGAAAACTTTTTTCAAGAGATAATTTCAAATATATTAAAAAGTACAGTTAATAATATAGTGGGTTCTCCTCCCTCCCCCATGTGGCCGTCACTCAGCTTACATCACTAATGGCCACATATGTTTGTTGTACCTCCCCACTCTTGTATTAACTGAAGAAAATCCATGACATATTATCTATAAATATTTCAGTTTTTTTCCTACAAGGACTCTTTAAGAATTATGACCAAAATACCATTATCATCCCTATAAAAATTTGATAATTCCTTGGTACCATCAAATATCCATTAAGTATTCAGATTTCTAATTGTTTCATAGACATCATAATTTTGTATAGGTTAAGATTTAAATAAGGTTCACATATTGTGATTGTGTTCTTAATTCTCTTTTTAAGTGGATGTTCCCCCACCCTCTCCTTTTCCCTTCCTTGCAGTTTATTCATGGAAGAAATTTGGTTTTGTGGATTTTCTCACAATAATGATTTTGCTTATTACATCTCCATGGTTTAGTTTAACAGTTTCCTCTATTTCCTGTAGTAGCTGAATGTAAAGACTTGGTCAAACTCTAGCTAGATTTTATTGAGGGAGTTGGGGAAGACTGCTTCATAGGTGGTGGTAGTATATTTTTCCATCTAAAGGTACATAATGTCGGTTATCTAATTCTTTCTTTAAATGTTTTCTATGTTCACATGGTAATTTTAGCCATGGATTTCATGTTTTAGTTTCAAGATCCTGAGAAATCAACATCTGAGGAACAGCTAATATTTAAAATTAAAGGAAAATATATTTTCTCCACGAAGTTGGTTGTAACTTTTGGCAATTCTTCATCAGGTGATGAATGCAGTATTGGTTCAGCCACAGACTTGACTGAAAGTAGCTCCATGGTGGATGGCGACTGGACAATGGTGGATGAAAATTTCTCTACACTCAGTTTAACTCAGTCAGAGCTGGAGCACATTTCCATGGAGTTGGCCAGTAAAGGGCCTCATAAATCCCAGGTCCAGCTTCGGTGAGTTTCTTGGCTATTTGAAATCACAGAATGCCTACTCAGAGTATTTGGGCAAATAGGTATGGGGCTACTCTCCTAATAATCATTGCACTTCTGTACATCTTATAGATCTTTCTTAGCATAAATCATTTTGTTTCTGCTTATATTTAGGTATTTGCTACACATTTTCATGGAGGCAGGGTGCCTAGACTGGTGCATCGTTATAGGCCTGATTCTTAGAGAATCCTCAATAATCAATCAGATTTTGGTTATTACACAGTCTTCAGAGGTAGATGGAGAGATGTTACAGAACATAAAGACAGGGCTCCATGCAGTGGACCGATGGGCCTCTACAGACTGGTAAGTGCTGCTTTCCTTAGGCTTGGTGTCCTTCCATGTCTTTTGGTGAATCCTGTCCTTTCACATTAAGGCCTAGTTATGGTTCATGTGTTACATTTTATTTATTTATTATATATTATTTATTATATGTTCATTTTTAAGCTACTTTCTTTAGTAATCATTCTATACCCAGCTATTTAAATGGATAATTCCATCGAGTAAGGTTACACTGTTGGTCAGTGTATAATTTATAGTGTGAATGTATATCACTGACTTAAGATTGATGCAGTGCAAATGAGCTTAGAATTAGACTGGAACTTCAGATTTGCATCCCTGTGAAATTGAAAGCAATGGTCTACAAATATCTACTTGAAAAGATTCAAACTTAAGGTCCATGTGAATTTAACATTCCATGGCAGTTACAAGCAAATCCAAATTAGAGTTGTGGTTGCAGTTAAGAGCCTTGGACTCTAGCCCTGTCTTTATTACCAGTTAATGTGTGTATTTGGAGCTAGTTACTTCCCTTACTTGGATCTGGTTTTCCTTAATTGGCAAATGCATTTAGGTTAAATGTTGTCTGAAGGTCCTTTTTCAAGTCTAAGCTCCTGTTGGCCTTTCAATTGTAAAATATAATTTTTAGTTGTAATACTGGTTCTAAAACATCAGCCTTTGCCCCTAATGCTTAGAAACTTAAGCCTCAGGCTTATGCAATGTGCAGCCCCCTCTGCTGGGCAGGACAGCCAAGAAGCCTTTCCTCCCTACCTTCTTTGCCTCCTCTCTCCCCTCCTAATCTATCGTCGTCTTTACCATATCAATGTTCAGTAGAAGTTCACCCGTAATGTTCTACCAAACCTTTTGAATTATGGCAGATGAGCTAATGTTTTTTTTCTCTACATAGTCCTGGATATAAGCCATTTTTAAACATCATTAAGCCACAACTGCAGAAGCTCAGTGAGATAACAGAAGAGCAGGTCCAGCCAGATGCCTTCCAACCAATAACTATGGGTAAGACTCCAGAACAGACTAGCCCCCGGGCAGAGGAGAGCAGGGGCTCCTCCAGCCATGGAAGCATCCCCCAGGGTGAAGTTGGAAGCAGCAATATGGTCAGCCGGAAAGAGGAGGACACAGCCCAAGCAGAGGAGGAAGAACCTTTTCAGGATGGGACTTACGACTGTTCTGTGTCCTAACAGTGAGGTTCCATCACAAAGGGGCAGTATTAATTAGCAGCAGCGTGCAGCTCAGTACGTTGTAACATAGTTGGATGATTTAACAGGAGAACTCAGTTCAGAGACTCTTCGGTAAGTATTAGTAGATTTTAACTAATTCTTTCTTGTCTAAGAAATCTTTTTGACTCCATAAAAATGTGATATAAAGCATCTTTCATAAAAAAATTTTAAGCTGCAGTGAAAAGTAAATATTGTACAGATGTACATGAGAATATTTTGGTTTTACTCAAAGGTTGGTAGCTCTTAAACCACAGGAATTGTTTTGCCCCAGGTGAGCTTACTTTTTCACTACTTACATCTTCTCACATTTCCCGGTTCTGCATTATGTCCAGATTGCTTTTTAAAAAATAAATGCTAAGGTGCTTGCTATAGTCTGTCAGGTACTTGAGCTACCTGTTTGCTCCCTTGGATACAGCTGGACTCTTTAATCAGTCCTCCTGAATAGATTGCTACCCTGGGGCACAATATGTGCCAGTGTGATGGAAACATTCTCCTTGGCTTTACTAGCCAGTCAAATCCCAGTCCAGAATTGATGGAAGCTATTTACCTGTGAGTTAATGTGCTTGTTTTAGCAAGCTTGATTCCCATTAGACCAATGTGGGCAGAGGTCTGAGGGGGTTCTTCTCAATTTTGCTGTTAGATACCACTAAACTATTTTGTATTAAAGAACAGTATCTTTTTGTGAATACTCTTGTGTAAATATATTCAAAGGCACTGTTCATATTTTAGGGCTTGTATTATAATTTGCAAGGTTTTAATGCTGGATTCTGCATGTCTACACATACAAAGACAGGGCTTGCTCCTCTGCAAAACTGAGGAAGACAGGTTTATTGGCTTGGTCATGAAGTAACAGAAATGGTCACACTGATCATGAAATGCAGCAAGTTTTGTGCAAATTAACATAGTCTCTTATTTATTGCTTTTGTAAATTGAATAAAGATGGACTTCTATGTAAATAGACTGCTGAATCCTGTATTACCACGGCTACTAAAAATTAGTGTGTAAAGAATGCATTCTTCATTGTAAACTTAAAGTATTTTATGTACTTCTAGAAATGACTTAAATTTGTTTTCATACATTATGAAAACAACTGCATACTCCTTAATTGCTTTAAACACCCATCCACTGTATGTAATTCTAATTACCTTATAACAGTATTAAGACAGCTTGTTTGTACTGTGCAATTTGAACAAGGAATGCAATGTTATTTTTTACAAAAAACAAACTTGTTTATTTTTATAATAACGATGTATTTGATGTGGACCAAATTCGTACCACTATCTAAAATAGCCTCTTTTCTCATAGTGCAGTTGTAGTTTAGAAACAAAACTTGGTCCTCTCTCCTTGCTTTTTAAAGTAAATGGCTAGATTTAGTTGTCTTAGCCAGGTTTCCTTTGAAGAGAAACTCAAAACCATTTTGAAACTGCTTAGTTCAGAATACATCGAAGTATTTAAAATTACTGAGTTGGGTAATTTACTATCATTTACTTTTTACATTACAAGTGCAATAATATTTCACAAAATGAAACTCCCGAATGGGTGGAGTATGTGATTATTGGTACCTGGTCCTTCTGGTGCTATTTTTATTTAAGTCTTTGTTTCAAACCACCTTTCCCTGAATCTTAAAGATAATGTTTTGCATGTGAGTACATGCAGCCCAGCAAGAAACTAAACTGAACTCTCTTCTCCTATCCTAGTCCATTAAGGAGAAGAACCAGCATTGCTTTTGTGTTTGGTGTGAATATTCAGTCAATAAAAATGATTTACCATTATAAAGAGCTGTGATCTTTTCAAGTATCTGAAATAAAACACTGTGCTGCTGAGTTCATCTCAAACATTCTTGAAAGCAGGGCACCAGTATAAGTTAACTGTATTCCTGTGGGTTAGGCCGTGAATGAATCATTTCTTTTATACAATATTCTTTTACAACTAATAGAGATAGGAGGCCCCCAGGCAAGAAGTTTGGCAGGTTTACAGAAAATTTGGTAATTTATTTGTTATATACCTTAATTTTTAAAAACCCATTTTTATTGTGGTGTTTGGTTCACATATCAACTGTTTAAGCCATAATTTTAGCCAATGAATTTAAATATTCAGTATAACTATTTGAGGTTTACTAGATGCATTTATTAATAAATTATTTGCTGAAACCAAAACAAGTCATTGGGGGTGTGGGAATAAAATCAACCTTTGCTTGTAATTAAAGTTGCTGCTATTTCTGTAATGTGTATTTTTCTCCCCTTGGTAAAGGGCAATAAAACCATTACACAAACTTTGGTTTATTCATCATCTCAGGTTAACAGCCACGAAAATCATCTTTTCATTATATAATTCTGCTTCTTAGAATTTTCCTTATGAAATGAAATTCAGACAGATTTATTTAAAATATTTATTTATATGTAGATTTAGAATGACAGCATCAAGAGTTCGCAACATCCTAGATGCCTGACAGTAAAATACTGGAGGAAACAGCCCATGTCGATGACATGGAAAATGTTCAAAATATAATGAAGGAATGACAGAAAATTATGTATACCTTAAGATACCTACCAAGCAAACAAAATTTTACATGTAAGTATAGAGGAACCTAGGCGTCATTTCTAATAAGCGGGATTAAAAAGTACTTTGACTTTTTCCCATTTTCCTAATTTCAGTCTCCATGGATTTGCCTATTCTGGACATTTCATATAAATGGAAACATATAGTATGTGAACTTTTCTATCTCACTTCTTGGCACCAAAGCATGTTGTTATTTTGGCTGTAGCCATCCAAGTTGTATATGAAGTAGTGTCTCATCATAGTTTAGATTTTCATTTACCTAATGGTTAATGTAAATCTTCTCGTAGGATTATTAGCCATTTGTCTATTTTTGAAGAAAAATGTCTGTTTAATTAGGTCGTTTCATTGTTGACTTGCTGGAGTTCTTTATATATTCTGGATACTACTCTTTTATGTACATATAAATTGCAACTATTTCTTCATTCTGTGGGCTTTTCACTTTTTTAGGTTTCAATATTCAAGTTTTTTTTTTTAAGTAATGTTAATTACAGCATTTGAAGGGGAGGATCTAATTCCACACAAAATGGAAGACTCTAAAATGTACCCATTAAATACTGCTAAAAAAAAAAAACAAATTGAGTGGTGAGAATACAACAGAAGTCTGACTTAGACTGAGTGTTGTCAGCATGTGATTACAATCACACGGACTCTGAATCATTTCACTTTCTCCATAATGTCCTTTGAAACACTGTTTTTAAGTCCAACTTATTTTTTCTTTGGTTGCTTGTGCCTAATCCAGGGTTATGAATATTTACGACTAAGTTTTAAGAATTTTATAGTTATATCTCCTACATTTAGGTCTTTGATCCATTTTGAGTTAATTTTCATATATGATATGAAAGAGAGATCTGACTTCGTTCTTCTAACGTGGCTATTCAATTGTCAGAGCACCATTTATGGAAAGGATTTTTTTCCCATTGTCAAAAATCAACTATAGAGGTATGGGTTTATTTATAGATTCTTAATTGTATTCTAATGATCTATAATATCTTCTTATGCCAATACCACATTGCCTTGATTTCTGTTGCTTTGTAGGAAATTTTGAAAGCGAGAGTCCTAAGTTTGTTTTTTCTAGGTTGTTTTGGCTATTCTAGGTCCCTTGTATTTCCATATGAATTGCAGGATCAGCTTGTCAATTTCTATACTAAAATAAAGGCAGTTGGGATTTTCATAAGCGTTGTATTCATGACATAAAGCAAATGTGGAGAATATTGCCATATTAAGCCTTCCAGTCCATGAACATGAGATGTCTTTCCATTTATTGGGTTTTTAATGTCTTTTAACAGTGGATTATAATTTTTGCTAAGTCTCATACTTTTGTTAGATTTATTTCTAAGTATTGCTACTGTAAAAAAAATGGAATTTCCTGTTTTTGGATTGTGTATATAAATACAATTGCTTCTGTATATTGACATTGCATCATGCAACATCAAACTTTTTCTTTTTTGTGGATTCCTTAGGATTTTCTACATTGAAGGTCATGTTGTTTGCAACCAGAGATAGTTTGAACTCTTCCTTTTCAATCTGGATGCCTTTTCTTTCTTTCTCCTGCCAAACGGTCCTGGCTAGAGCCACTAGTACAATGCTTATTAGGTGGCAATAGTGGATATCCTTGTCTTCTGATCTTAGGGAGAAGCTTTCTCTCATCACTAATTATGATGCTAGCTGTGGGTTTTTTATTGATAAGCTTTATCTGGTTGAGGATGTTGCCTTCTGTATAGTTTGTCTTTTACAAAAATCCAAATCCCTTCCATGATAAAAACACTCAACAAACATACATTGCATCTACTGAAGTAGTCATGTGGTTTTTATCCTTTATTCTATTAATATGGTACATTACACTGATTTTCAAATGTTTTTGTTTTAAGACAGAGTTTTGCTCTGTCACCCATGCTGGAAGGAAGTGGCGCAGTCATGGCTTGCTGCAGCCTCAACCTCCTGAGCTCAAGCCATCCTCCTACCTCAGTTTCTATAGTAGCTGGGCCCACAGGCACACACCACCATGCCCTGCTAAATGTTGTGTTTTTAGTAGAGTCAGGGTTTTGCCATGTTGTCCAGGCCAGTCTCAAACTCCTGGGCTTAAGCAATCCACCCACCTTGGCCTCCCAAAGTGCTGAAATTAAGCATGTGCCACTGCACCTGGCCAACTTTCTGTTAAACCAACCTTGCATTCCTGGCATAAATTCCATTTGGTCATGCTGTAGAGCCAAACTGGAGGAAAAAAAAAATTATTACCAACATGTTATGTTTTTACAAGTCAAATATGGAAGTAGAAGTGTCAAAAAATACACTGATACACTCCAAAAATCCCTACGTATTTAAACTAAAAACAGACATTAAGAGCCATAACTGGGATTGCTGGCAAGATGGCTGAATAGGAACAGCTCTGGTCTGCAGCTCCCAGCGAGATCGACACAGAAGGCGGGTGATTTCTGCATTTCCAGCTGAGGTACCTGGTTCATCTCACTGGGACTGGTTGGACAGTGGGTGCAGCCCTGTGAGGGTAAGCCAAAGCCAGGGTAGTTCGTTGCCTCACCTGGGAAGCGCAAGGGGTCGGGGAACTCCTTCTCCCAGCCAAGGGAAGCCATTAGGGACTGTTAGGGACTGTATCTTGCAATCCAGCCCAGATACTGTGCTTTTCCCACAGTCTTTGCAACCCGCAGACCAGGAGATTCCCTCCAGTGCCCACGCCACCAGGGCCCTGGGTTTCCAGTACAAAACTGGATGGCTGTTTTGGGCAGACACAAAGCTAGCCGCAGTTTTTTTTTTTCATACCCCAGTGGCACCTGAAACACCAGTCAGAACCATTCACTCCCCTGGAAAGGGGGCTGAAGCCAGGGAGCCAAGTGGTCTGGTTCGGTGGGTCCCACCCCCACAGAGCCCAGCAAGCTAAGATCCACTGGCTTGAAATTCTTGCTGCTGGCACAGCAGTCTGAGCTTGACCTGGGATGCTCCAACATGGGGGGAGGGGCGTCCACCATTGCTGAGGCTTGAGTAGGCAGTTTTACCCTCACAGTGTAAACAAAGCCACTGGGAAGTTCAAAATGGGCGGAGCCCACTGCAGTTCAGCAAGGCAACTGCAGCCAGACTGCCTCTCTAGATTCCCTCCTCTCTGGGCAGGGCAACTCTGAAAAAAAGGCAGCAGCCCCAGTCAGGGACTAACAGATAAAACCCCCACCTCCCTGGGACAGAGCACTTTGGACAAAGGGCAGTTGTGGGCGCAGCTTCAGCAGACTTACTTAAACGTCCCTGCCTGGCAGCTCTGAAGAGAGCAGCAGATCTCCCAGCACAGCATTGGAGCTCTGATAAAGGACAGATTAACTCCTCAAGTGGGTCCTCCCAGTAGGTGCCAACAGACACCTCATACAGGAGAGCTCTAGCTGGCATCTGGCGGGTACCCCTGTAGGACGAAGCTTCCAGAGGAAGGAACAGGCAGCAATCTTTGCTGTTCTGCAGCCTTCACCAGTGATACCCAGGCAAACAGGGTCTGGACTGGACCTCAAGTCAACTCCAGCCAACCTGCAGCAGAGGGCCTGAATGTTAAGAAGGAAAACCACCAAACAGAAAGGAATACTATCAACATCAACAAAAAGGACGTCCACTCAAGAGAACCCAGCTGAAGGTCACCAACTTCAAAGGTAGATAAATCCACGAAGATGAGGAAAAAACAGCAAAAAAAGGCTGAAAATTCCAAAAAGCAGATCACCTCTTCTCCTCCAAAGGATCACAACTCCTTGCCAGCAAGGGAACAGAACTGGACAGAGAATGAGTTTGACAAATTGACAGAAGTAAGCTTCAGAAGGTGGGTAATAACAAACTCCTCCAAGCTAAAGGAGTGTATGTTCTAACCCAATGGAAGGAAGCTAAGAACCTTGAAAAAAGGTTAGATGAATTGCTAACTAGAATAACTAGTTTACAGAAGAATATAAATGACCTGATAGAGCTGAAAACAACAGCACGAGAACTTCATAAAGCATACACAGGTATCAGTAGCCGAATTGATCAAGTGGAAGAAAGGGTATCAGAGACTGAAGATCAACTCAATGAAATAAAGCAAGAAGACAAGATTAGAGAAAAAAGAGTGAAAAGAAACAAACAAAGCCTCCAAGAAATATGGGACTACGTGAAAAGGCCAAATCTACATTTGACTGGTGTACCTGAAAGCCACAGGGAGAA
This sequence comes from Homo sapiens, assembly GCF_000001405.40. Lineage (NCBI taxonomy): Eukaryota > Metazoa > Chordata > Mammalia > Primates > Hominidae > Homo > Homo sapiens. Next base: position 5,781,021 of record NC_000009.12, read on the forward strand.
TGGAACCAAGTTGGAAAACACTCTTCAGGATATTATTTAGGAGAACTTCCCCAACCTAGCAAGGCAGGCCAACATTCAATTCAGGAAATACAGAGAACGCCACCAAGATACTCCTTGAGAAGAGCAACTCCAAGACACATAATTGTCGGATCCACCAAAGTTGAAATGAAGGAAAAAATGTTAAGGGCGGCCAGAGAGAAAGGTCGGGTTACCCACAAAGGGGAGCCCATCAGAGTAACAGTGGATCTCTCAGCAGAAACTCTACAAGCCAGAAGAGAGTGGGGGCCCATATTCAACATTCTTAAAGAATTTTCAACCCAGAATTTCATATCCAGCCAAACCAAGCTTCATAAGCAAAGGAGAAATAAAGTCCTTTACAGACAAGCAAATGCTGAGATGTTTGTCACCACCAGGCCTGCCTTACAAGAGTTCCTGAAGGAAGCACTAAACATGGAAATGAACAACCAGTACCAGCCATTGCAAAAACATACCAAATTGTAAAGGCCATTGACGGTATGAAGAAACTGCATCAACTAACGGGCAAAATAACCAGCCAGCATCATAATGGCAGGATCAAATTCACACATAACAACATTAACCTTAAATATAAATGCGCTAAATGCCCCAATTAAAAGACATAGACTGGCAAACTGGACAAAGAGTCAAGACCCATCAGTGTGGTGTATTCAGGAGATGCATCTCACATGCAAAGACACACACATGCTCAAAATAAAGGGATGGAGGAATATTTACCAAGCAAATGAAAAGCAAAAATAAAAGCAGGGGTTGCAATCCTAGTTTCTGATAAAACAGACTTCTTTAAACCAACAAAGATCAAGAGGGACAAAGAAGGCCATTACATAATGGTAAAGGGATCAATGCAACAAGAAGAGCTAACTATCCTAAATATATATGTACCCAATACAGGAGCACCCAGATTTATAAAGTTCTTAGAGACCTACAAAGAGACTTAGATTCCCACGCAATAATGGTGGGAGACTTTAACACCCCACTGTCAATATTAGATCAACATGATTGTATATTTAGAAAACCCCATAGTCTCAGCCCAAAGTCTCCTTAAGCTGATAAGCAACTTCAGCAAAGTCTCAGGATACAAAGTCAGTGTGCAAAAATCACAAGCATACCTCTACACCAATAACAGACAAACAGAGAGCCAAATCATGAGTGAACTCCCATTCACAACTGCTGCAAAGACAATAAAATACCTAGGAATACAACTTACAGAGGATGTGAAGGACCTCTTCAAGGAGAACTACAAACCACTGTTCAATGAAATAAGAAAGGACACACACAAATGGAAGAACATTCTATGCTCATGGATAGGAAGAATCAATATTGTGAAAATGGCCATACTGCCCAAAGTAATTTACAAATTCAGTGCTATCCCCAACAAGCTACCATTGACTTTCTTCACAGAATTGAATAACTACTTTAAAGTTCATATGGAACCAAAAAAGAGCCCACATAGCCAAGACAATCCTAAGCAAAAAGAACAGTGCTGGAGACATCACGCTACTGACTTCAAACTATACTACAAGGCCACAGTAACAAAAACAGCATGGTACTGGTACCAAAACAAGATATATAGACCAGTGAAACAGAACAGAGACCTCAGAAATAATACCACACATCTACAACCATCTGATCTTTGACAAACCTGACAAAAACAAAGAATGGGGAAGGGATTCCCTATTTAATAAATGGTGTTGGGAAAACTAGCTAGCCATGTGCAGAAAGCTGACACTGGATCCCTTCCTTACACCTTATACAAAAATTAACTCAAGATGGATTAAAGACTTAAACGTAAGACATAAAAACCCTAGAAGAAAACCTAGGCAATACCATTCAGGACACAGGCATGGGCAAAGACTTCATGACTAAAACACCAAAAGCAATGGCAACAGAAGCCAAAATAGACAAATGGGATCTAATTAAAGAGCTTCCGCACAGCAAAAGAAACTAACATCAGAGTGAACGGGCAACCTACAGAATGGGAGAAAATTTTTGCAATCTATCCATCTGACAAAGGGCTAATACCAGAATCTACAAAGAACTTAAACTTACAAGAAAAAAAAAAAACATCAAAAAGTGGGCAAAGGGTATGAACAGACACTTCTCAAAAGAAGACATTTATGCAGCCAACAAACATATGAAAAATAAGCTCATCACCACTGGTCAGAGAAATGCAAATCAAAACTACAATGAGATACCATGTCACGCCAGTTAGAACGGCGATCATTAAAAAGTCAGGAAACAACAGATGCTAAAGAGGATGTGGAGAAATAGGAACTCTTTTACATTGTTGGTGGGAGTGTAAATTAGTCCAACCATTGTGGAAGACAGTGTGACGATTCCTCAAGGATCTAGAACTAGAAATATCATTTGACCCAGCCATCCCATTACTGGATATATACCCAAAGGACTATAAATCATTCCACTATAAAGACACATGCACATGTATGTTTACTGCAGCACTGTTCACGATAGCAAAGACTCAGAACCAACCCAAATGCCCATCATCAATGATAGACTGGATAAAGAAAATGTGGCACGTATGCACCATGGAATACTATGCAGCCCTAAAAATGGTTGAGTTCCTGTCCTTTGCAGGGACATGGATGAAGCTGGAAGCCATCATTCTCAGCAAACTAACACAAGAACAGAAAGCCAAACACCGCATGTTCTCACTCATAAGTGGGAGTTGAACAATGAGAACACATGGACACAGGGAGGGGAACATCACACACCAGAGCCTGTCAGAGGGTGGGGGGCTAGGGGAGGGACAGCATTAGGAGAAATACCTAATGTAGATGACAGGTTGATGGGTGCAGCAAACTGCCATGGCACATGTATACATATGTAACAAACCTGTACATTCCACACATGTACCCCAGAACTTAAAGTATAATTTTAAAAAATTTAAAAAGAGTCGTAACTGCATCTTGGCTAAAAACAAATGTAAATAGCCATAACTGCATCTTGACTTTATTGGCCCTAAAAGAAGAAGAGGAGTATTAGGTTAGAAGTTGTTCAGCTGCTTCACCTTGCATTGAACTGTTCTGAGAGAATTCACTCAAAGTTTAAATAACTTGCACAGAGATCTCTGAACTCAAAGTTCATGCTCTATTTTGGTGAGTGGTGGTGCCCTTTCCTTCTGTGGAGATTAGAATAAGCAATGAGTCACTCTGGCTGAAAGGCAACTTCTTCCCTCCCTCCTACCCTTACTCCCAAATAAAAGAACGCCCTTTACCCTTTGCTATTTTTTTGCTAATGGGGATGATTTAAAACTCCTACATAGGTGAAGCTCAACATTTACCTAATAATTTCTGTGAAATTCAGAAGTACCATTTCATTCTAAGATAAAGGATTCTAACTGAAGTAAACATTTCCATGTTGAGTTCTTTGCTCACATGAGCCATCTAGGTCTTTTAACAGCAATTAAAAGGCTCTGTGGACATGGAATAACCCTTGAAAATATGGGGATACAGAAGAACACAGATCTGTTTTTCAGTTAAAAAGATACCAACCAGTATATTAAACAGTTTATTTCAGTAACATTGTAAGGCAACAATTAATCCTCAGTAAGTCAGCAAACCAGTGACAAGAAATTGACAAACACTCCTTCTACAGCTTCCTGAGACAGCAGGCTGGCTTGTGGCCCCCTGGGTGGTAACATCTTAAGGAATCCTATCATGTTTGTTTATATATGCTAAACTGTAAAAACAAACACTTCATGCGACAATCATTCTTAGGTCAAACACAAGAACGAACTATTTTGAAATCAATTCCTCACACTTTTTCCCTGAATATGCAGTACTGTACTACTAACATCTAATTCTGTAGAAAATAATGCATTTGTTAGTGACTTTGTTAGAGCTTGAAAAGACCCTTTTAGAAATTATTTAAATGATCACTCTTTAAAAATTTTTTTTAATCTCAGAATCTACTAATGTGACAGACAAACGGTATGCTTAACAGAGTCATAAATACTGTGTATAATTGCTTGACCATTTCTGGCATTTAAATGACCTCCCAGAATATTACACAAGCCCTGAGACTAGTGAGCATCTTACTACTGACCTTGTACAATACCAAAGCTTCATAATGCTAAAGAAAACCAAAACAAAAGACAATGGTTTACACAGGGAAATAACCCTAAGGCAATATGAAAACAGTCATAATTTATTACTGATAAAGAGTAAAGGCATCCTTCCCATAGAGGGGGGGAATTCACAGGGAACACTAATTATATCAGATGAACCACGGGGATAGAAAATAGGCCCATTTTTAAAATTCATTGAGAAATTATTACTTTTTCTCCACAACTGTGATTCTATACAAAATATAAACCCTGCAAACCTTATGTGCTACCTGACAGATAAAAGTAGCAGGAGCCAGACTCTTGAAGCACTTGAGACTGATTTCTACAAAGTCCAGGAAGAGCAATGATTCCAGTGTGCAGTGCTGATGCATGTGTGAGCCTAACATGTTATTCAGCTCTGGTTGCAGCCCCATCTACATGGGCCCAGTTAGTTTTTAGGGAGTCACAGATTAGGCAGGCAACGAGGGGCATGATTTAAAAAGCACATCATACACATGAGACAAGCAGCTTCAAGGACGTTTTCTCCGGCAATGCATACTTACTGTGCTCTTTCTATTCAGACAGATCCACAGACCACCTTTCAAGAGCATTCCTCTCTCATTTCCTCCATCACCCAAGATAAATCTAGCCACCCTTTTTTGTTAACTGTGCCTTTTCTTTCAACTTTTTGTCCTTGTTAAAACTCAAAATTTGTCCAACGTTTCACATTTCCTAATGATAAAAAGAAAGCTTGCACAGTTTACCATTGATCTCACCAATGCCCTCACTGCTGGAACCAAAAAGCCATGAGAGGTACTGCTGTGATACACCTTACAAGCTACATAGCCATCTTCAAAATGAAAACCACCTTTTAAGTCCTCATGCTGCCATTACGCAGGATCTGAACCACCTACACGTACAGTGGTCTCATTCCAGTATAAGCCACAACCTCAAGTCTCAGGAAAGCCAGTCTGCTGGATAGTAAGTTACTGAGAAAAACTAATCTATTCAACTGGCTGGAAAACAAAAAGATAGGCCCAGTGCATCAGTAAGATTATACCATGAAGGACTAACCTTGTATAACACAAGACTCCTATGAAACAAAGAAAAGAGAATAAATATTTATAAAATTCCCACCACTCCCAGCCTTCCTTCTACCCCAGAATAGCCCAGATGGCAGCTCAGTGCTCTGAGGAAGGAAGTTAAGGTCATGTACTGGCACAAACAATATTCTGAACCAAAAGAACCTACGAAAACCAGAGGGGTATGTGGCCAAATATTCCCCTTTTCAACTTGGTAAGATGGAGAGGGGTAACAGACATGTTTCAGAGGAAAACAGGCATAGAAAACCACCTCAGGAAAGCAGCACAGCAGTGCATCTGTGTGTCCACTTGTCAGGACAGTGAGTCACCAGCTCAGCACAGGGTCCAGGCCTCAGCACAGAGAGACAAAGCACATTTGAGAGGCTGCCTGAAGAAACAGCTTGACACAGGCTACAGCCTCAAGAGTGCAATGCTTCTCTCCCAGCCCTATGGCAATCACTTTCCAGTGACCTACACAGAGTTATATTCTCAAGGGGAATCATTACCTCAGTGAATGATATTTTACCCACCATCCACTAATACAACAAATGGTTTTGGGGCTTAAATTGGAAACAACTTTTGTCTCATTAACAATGCTCTGACAGTGTACATCTTTCTTGATCCTAAAGGGGCAGCTATTGAAGTGGATTGTTGGCTTTGTCCTTAAGGTCATATAAAATGACGTGTGTGTAGTGGCAGTACCCACATGTGCTGAAGTGCCAAAAGACTGGCATTTTCAAGTGTCAACAGGCCATGCATCACTGCGCCACAGCTAAACCCTTATAGTGCTTGGCCCTGAAAAGCGTTAACCCAGAAAGCTCTTTGAACATATGATCATTAAAATTCATTGACTTACGTTACAAACATCCACGTAACATAGGGAGAAACCATGTCACATGGAGTATCCACTGGGCATGTACTTAGAGCTCATCCACAAGATTAAAATACAAAGAGATCGTAGGTGCACACCCAGGCAGAGGGAAATGTCCAATCTGGGAACTTTTCCTTCAGAGCATCCAGTTGAGGGGATCTCTTGTCTTCCCCAGACAGATAGTGGGCAGCAATGGCCACGGTGACCATTCCTTCAGGATGTTCTTCTGAAACCTGCCAGAGAAAATCAATTAGTTCTCCAGTTCTCAGAAGCCAGAATACTGAACCCAAGGTTCTTGCTAAATACCACCTGGGAACCTAATCAATGAAACAAACAATGCTGGGAAATTGGCACCTGCACTTCTATCCAGAACTGCCATGCAGAGGCCTGGAGTCCATGGGAGTAAAAGACAAAGTAGTCTCCTCCTTTACTTGTGACTGGGGTGCCATTGCCAAGAGACCACTGAGAAAGTGTTGACCCTTTGTGGGCTCGAACATAGAAGGACATATGGCTTGGTCCTGTAAGGTAAAAGGAAGAAAGAACAGTTAATCTTTTTAAAAGGATCAAAAAAATAACCCACAATCCAAACCAGACTTCATAAAGGTTCATGCCTGCATGACTTTAAATATACTTACTATAAACCTAATGGAGGTTTACCAGTTTGGACACTTAGTGTGAATCAACAAGGTTAAATAATGAGGTACAGGAGAAAAGGCACAGACTGTAAATGAGAAAGCCTGTGTTAAGTTGGTCCTATCACTTAACTGCTGCATGACATCAGGAATTTAATCTATGTCACAATTTCTTCATTGAGGGGATTATATTAGAAAAAGCATATGAAAGTGTTGGCAAAACTGCGAAGTGCTGTAACAGTACTGAATAGGACTGCCATTATGAATGGAGTTGTAATTTTCAGAGTTGATCATGTAACACCTTAAAATATGTTTTACTAGTTTTTCCCTTCAAGCTGGAAAATATTAGCTCAGTTCTGAAAATTTAGTCATCACTGGGAACTTCCAAGGAAACTGATGACAGTGGAAGTCAAACTAAAACTAAAATAGATAAAACTAAACAAAAACACACCCTCAGCCTAACTTAAAGACAGAGAATACCCACATTTGAAATAACCGTAAATTTTTAAATCTCAGGGAGCAATCTCACACACTTGTGCCCACCCTGCTTCTGCTGCAAGGCTTTGTGGCAAATGCAGACCAAGTCAGTCCACCCTAAATCTGAAAATACTACTATAGTGTCCAGTCAAAGAAAGGTTTACAGGGCAGGGACTTAAAAGTATATTATTGAAGTAACAGTCTTCAAAACCAAAGCTTCTCAGGGAAAAATAAAAAAGAAGGAAGAGGAATCCTTTGGCATTTGGGTGGTGAAGATGAAAAGAAGCAAAAGAAAATTCAGGGTCCTGCAAGAAAAATCCAGTCAAAAAAGTTGAAAGAGATAAATATTATTCATCCACACCAACACAAACTTCCTAAAGAATCTGGACTTTCTTACACTGACAGAAAAGGAAGCCATTGCTAGAAATCTTACAAAACAGCACAAAAATGAGGAAGAAAAGGATAAACAGATCCATACAGTTATTACCAAAAAAAAGTATCAGAAAATTCCTCTTGGAAAAAAAAAGAAATAACCATGAAGCAGGAGAAAATGTTATAATCACACTCCAACTACAAATATATCCATACAAACATTTGGGGATATTTAAAACCCCACCATGAATCAGAAATTCTTACTAGAAGGAAGAATTAAAAGGACCGACTAGACTCAGAAAAGAAATGGAGGAAAAAGGCAAAATTACCTTAGAAATGAAGACAATTACAAGATGCCCAACAGAATAGATTCAAAGGAAAATTTAATAACAGTCATAAAGACAGGAGAAATACTAAGAAAATTAAAATGGGAAAAAGCAAAGTAAAAAAGGTTAGCGATAGTGGTAAAAATGGAAGGCAGGTCAGAAAAAATATTCATTTGGTACCCCAGAAGAAAACCAAACAACGAAACAGAACTAATATTTAAAACTGTAATCCAAGAAAGCATTCCAGAAACAAAAAGAGAGCTGAATCTACACATTGAAAGAGACTACCAGGCACCTTAGAATATTAACACAGAACAAACAACTTCAAGACATAACCTAGTAAAACTATTAGATTTCAAAGAAAAAAAAAATCTTCAAGGTCTTCAATAAAAAGTTTGATCAAATAACTTACAAAAAAAATTACATTGGTATCAGACCCCAAAAACAATATATAAAACAAGGCAACAATGGAACAACAATTTTTAAAAACTCAATATTGGAAAACGTGAACCAAAGATTTTATGTCCACCAACTTGTCCTTCAACTATCAGGATTACAGAAAACCAATTTTAACCATACAGAAACAGCACTCATGAGCCCTTCTTCAGAAACAGTCTAGAGAATAAGCTTCATCCAACCAACAGATAACTGTACAAACTTCAGCAAAAGAACTTTTTCCTGAGACAGGGTCTTGCTCTATCACCTAGGTTCGAGTGCAGTGGTGTGAACACAGCCCACTGCTCTACCACCTAGGCTGGAATGCAGTGGCATGAACAGCCCACTGCTCTGTCACCTAGGGTCGAGTGCAGTGGCGTGAACACAGCAGCCCACTGCTCTATCGCCTAGGCTGGAGTCCAGTGGCATGAACACAGCCCACTGCAGCCTTGACTTCCTTGGCTTGAGCAATCCTATTGCCTCAGCCTCCCAAGTAGCTGGGACTACAGATGCATGCTACAAACCTGGCCTTTTTTTTTTTTTTTTGGTAGAGATGGGGTCTCCCCGTGTTGCCCAGGCTGGTCTCGAGCTCCTGGGCTCAAGCCATCCTCCTGCCTCAACCTCCCAAAGTACCCCCAAAGTGAGCCACCACACCTGGCCAAAAGAACTTATTATACTGAGGATTTTAATATATCCAAATGTATTACAAAAACACTAAGGTGAAGTTATAAGACAAATATACAAATGTTACATGTTGTAATAAAAATTGGATGGAAAATGGGAGAGAGAAAGAGGAAAGTAGAATAAGCATGGCTGTTGTATGGGTTAATTGGTGGGAGTTAAAACAATACCTTTTTTTTTTTTTTTTTTTTTTTCCCCTGAGACGGAGTCTCGTTCTGTGGCCCAGGCTGGAGCGCAGTGGCGCAATTTCAGCTCACTGCAACCTCTGCCTCCCGGGTTCAAGTAAAATAATAGAGAATTAAAACAAATATAAACATTCATAAATGCCAGAAAATAAATGTTTTAAAGAGCATAGAAGACACCTCATAGAAAAAAGGAATATAACAAATAAAGCAACACATGTAATTATAAAATACTGTGACAACTGAGGCCAAATGTATGAGTAATAAAAATTAATGTAAATAAACCTAACTTACCCACTAAAAGAAAAACAATTTCAACTTGGCTTACAAAGCCAAACCCAATCACATACTGTATGTTTCCTGAATACAGAGAGATACAGAAAGGGTAAATAAAGGTATGAACAAAGGTATTTCAGGCAAGTGGAAATTGTTTAAAAGTCCTATCTTATTTCTCAAAACACAGAATTCAAGGCAAAGGCATTAAATATAAAAGGGGCACTTTTTAATACTGAAAGTCACAATTCACAATGAAGACATAAAATTGTGAATATCTATGCATCAGATAACATAGCAACCACTTTATAAAGAAAACTACAGGAGGCGTATAGAAGATATATACATATAAACACACAAATAAGAGACTCCAATATTCCACTCAGTACAAGACACATCAATTGAGCTTTGTGGGGTGATGGAAATGTTTTATATCTTCATAGAGATGAGGGTTACATGGGTATATATCTGCTTTTACCAAAACTAACTGAACTGTGTAAGATCTTTACATTTCATTGTATGTAAATTAGGCCTTGAAAAAAATAAAGTAGGCAAGGGGAAAAGTGATATTTAAAAATACTTTTCACTCATGAAAGTCCCAGACAACTTTCTATCAGGGGAAGAGTACTCAGAAAAAGTATAGCGTGAACAGCTGCAGGAACAGTTGAAGTGAACTTCCTATATTAGCATTCTCCAGGGAAACCAACAGGATGTGTACAGAGAGAAAGAGAGAGAGAGACAGAGAGAGTGATTGAGATTTATTTTAAGGAACTGGCTTACATGATTGTTGAGGCTGGCAAGTCCAAAATCTGAAGGATAGGCAGGCAGGCTGAAGAAAAAAGTCACAGTATGAGACTGAAGGCAGTCTGCTAGCAGAATTCCCCATTCCCTCTCCTTGGGGAAGGTCAGTCTTTTTCTCAAGGCCTTCACTGACGGGATGAGGCTCACTTGCATTATGGAGGGCAATCTGCTTTACTCGAAGTCCAGTGATTTGCATGTTAATCTTACCCAGAAAATATTTTCACAGAAACATCTAGGATAGCATTTGACCAGATACCTGGGTGCTGTGGTCTACCCAAGTTGACACATAAAATAACCATCATACTTCCCAAAAAGACATTAGAAAGGGAGAGACCATCCTGGTTTGCTCACTTTTTAAAACACCTCACAAGCAAACAAACTCTTTACAGCTTTTGAAGATGAGAAAATGTCATATGTCTTGACATTTCTCCTCCTCCTTTCTCAAGCATCTGTCTCCGTACTAAGCCCAAGTAGAATGCTTTAAAAGAAAAACAGTTGCTAAATTTAACAATTCAACACATGTCTTGAGTACCCATCAAGTGCCAGTGATTATACTGGATGCCAAGAATACAGAGATAAATGAAAACCCATTCATGTCTGCCTCCCTTTAATTCTAAAGGAAAACAAAGACATAAACTACATAATCGTGATACAAGATGGTCAGTGTTACAACAGATATACACAAAGGGAGGAAGAAGTGGGAGGATGGCAGTTGCTCACTTAATTGGAAATGATGGGAGAGGAGGGCAGAGAAATCTTCATATTTTGCCAAGAAGAGAAGGGTAGAGTCTGGGTAGGAGGTAGTACCAAGAAGAGTATCACTCATACCAGAAGTAACAGTGTGTGTTGGGTGCAAATAAGGGTTGGATGTGGCTATGCAGTGCAAAGGGAGTGCTGAAAAGAATCCCGAAATATACACAAAGTCCAGACTACCGAAGACCTAACATGCTTTGCCAAGGAATTTGAACTTACTCTCCAGGCAACAGGAAATCCATCAAAAGTTTTTTAATAGGGAAGTAGACATAATGAAATCGATATTTGAAAGATAAACTGGCAGCACCATAAAGAATATCCTAGAAAGAAGTTTTACAGGCCAAAACATAAGTTAAGAAGCTGGAAGACCTAACTGCTAGTTTTAAAGATGGAAAAGGGAATAAAATGTACCAAAAAAGATAAAGTCATAATGCCAGGCCAAATGCTCCTGGATCTGACAATGAACCAATATCTGACACTAAAAGTTTTTCAGTAAATCTTCTTAAAAATCATAACCAGTCTCAACTTCTTTGAGAAACAATGTAAGGCTCCTAAATTGCTGGTCAATTTAAGACTTAAACTTTAGGGCAAGAAAAACCACATGCAACTTATTAAAAGGTTTAAGAAGTGAAGGAGCAGGAAAAAAAGATGGTCATGTGACTTACCTATTGTTTAAAAGGTCAACTTGATAGAATCCCAGGGAGGGATGAATTGAGAATATTATGTTATAAGGTATCTGCACTACCATGAAGCAGTACAGTGTTAACTGAAGACAGACATACTGCAAGCTCCATAGCAACCACTAAAATAAGTATAATTGATATGGTAAGAATATAAAAGAATAGAACAATATACAATGCTCAATTAAAACCTGAGAAGGCAAGTATAATACAGGTCAGAAACTCAAGATTTTCATATAACAAAAGAAAGCACACTAGAGAGGGAATGAGGTAAAATAAAAACTCATTTTTCCTATTCTTAATTGATCTAACAGATAACAGTTTTTCAAAATAATAGCAACAATGTATGTGGTTATGTATACTTATATGTGTGCATTGTGTGTACATACTGCATATGTGCACACACGCTTCTGTATAAGAGAGATAAATGCTAGCAATGTTACAAGAGACTGGAAGGAGAAATTAGGATTATTTTGTTATTAAGTTATTCATAATCCCTGTGATGCAGAATAGTATTATTTAAAAGTGGGCTTGCATAGCTGTAAATGTGTACTGCAAACGACAGGGCAGCCATTAAAAAAGGTTAAAAAAAAAATAGTAGTGTAACTGACATGCTAAGAAAGGAGAGAAAACCACATCATATAAAATGTCCAATTAAAACTACTAAAGGCAGAAAAAGAGTGGAAGACAAAAACAGGAAGAAAAAACAAGGGCAACAAATAGAAAATAGTTAACTAATATGGTAGCTATTAATTCAACTATATTAATAATCACTTTGAATGTCAATGTCTAAACATACAAATTAAAAGACAGAGCGTCAGGGTGGATCAAAAAACAAGACCCCACTATGTGTTGTCTACAGAAAACCCATTTTAACTATGAAGGCACATAAATTAAGAGTCAGTGGATGGAGAACATTATACCATGCTAACACTAATCAAAAGAAAGTAGGAGAGCAATATTAATTTTAGACAAAGCTGACTTTTAAAGCAAGGAAAATTAGCAGCGATAAAGAGGGGCAATGCATAATGATAAAGGGTCAGTTCTCTAAGAAGACATAACAATCTTTAATTTGTATGTAGCTAACAATAAAGTGTCAAAATAGTTGGCAAACTCATACAACTAAAGGAGAAAGACAAATTCACAATTACAGTCAGAGACTTCAACACCCCTCCATCACTGAAAAATTCAATAGGCAGAAAATCAGTAAAAATATAATTGAACTGAACATCATCATCAATCGATTAGATCTAAGTGACATTCATAAAGCCTTCTTCCAACAGCAACAGTATGCACATTATTTTCAAGCATACTGCTTGAAATGGAACATTCATCAAGAGAGACCACATCCTGTATCATAAAGCACACCTTAACAGATTTAGAATAGAATTCATACAAAGTATGCTCTCAGACCACAATGAAATTAAACTAGAAATCAATTATCAGAAAAATAGCTGAAAAATCAAATCATTTGGAGATTAAAGAACACACTTCTACATAACAAATGGGTCAAAAAAGAAGTCTCAAGAAAAAATTTTTAAATACTTGAAACTAAATTAAAATGAAAATTCAACTTAAAATTTGTGGCATGGAACATAAGCAGTGCTTAGAAGGAAACTTATAGCAATGAATGCATATATTAGAAAAGATGATTTAAAATCAATAATCTAAGCTTCCACCTTAATAAACTAAAAAAGGAAGAACAAATTAAATCCAAAGTAAACAGAAGAAATAACTAGAACAGAACTCAATAGAGAAAACCAACTATAATCAAAAGCTAGTTCTTAGAAAAGATCAATAAAATTGATAACCCTTCAGCCAGGCAGAGAAAAAAAGAAAAGATGTAAATTACTAATATGAGAAATGAAAGAGGGGACATCATTATAGATCCCATGAACATTAAAAGGATAATTAAGGAATATTATAGACAAATTATATTTCCATAAATCTGATAACCTAGATAAAATGAACCAATTCTTTAAAAGACACAATCTGCCAAAGTTCACACCATGAGAAACTGACAACCTGAACAGGCCTGTATCTATTAAAGAGTGAATCAATAATTAATAACCTTCCAACACAGAAAAAGAACCTACCAAGCCTACGGGGGTTCATAGGTGAATTCTACCAAACATTTAAGGAAGGAATTATACTAATTCTCTACAAAGCTTTTCAGAAGACAGAAGCAGAGGGAATACTTCTTAACCCATCCTATGAGTCCAGCATTATCCTAATACCAAAGCTAGACAACAACAATACAAGAAAACTATAAACCAGTATCTCTCATGAACATAGATGCAAAAATCCTTAACAAAATATTAGTAAATCAAATCAACGATGCATAAAAGGTTTTATACACCATAACCAAGTAGGATTTACCTCAGGTATGCAAAGCAGTCCAATACTTGAAAATCAATTAATGTCATCTATTACATCAAAAGGCTAAGAAAGAAAAATCACATGCCCATATCAATATATGCAGGAAAAGCAACTGACAAAATCCAAGACCTATTCATGATAAAAACTCTCAGTAAGCTAGGAATAGAGGGAACTTCCTCAGTCTCATAAAAAACATCTACCAAAAAACGTATAGCTAACAACATACTCAGTGGTAAGAAACCAGAAGCTTGCCTAGATCAGGAACAAGGCAAAGATGTCCCCTCTCACAACGCCTTGTCAAAATCAAACTAGAAGTCCCAGATAATGTAACAAGTCAAGAAGTGGAAATAAAAATTATAGATATTAGGAAGGAGGAAATAAAACTGTCTGCAGATGATAAGATTGTCTATTCATAGAATCTTAAAAGAATAGGCTGGGCGCGGTGGCTCACGCCTGTAATCCCAGCACTTTGAGAGGCTGAGGCAGGCGGATCACAAGGTCAGGAGTTTGAGACCAGCCTGGCCAACGTGGTGAAACCCTGTCTCTACTAAAATTACAAAAATTAGCCAGGTGTGGTGGCGGGTGCCTGTATTCCCAGCTACTTGGGAGGCTGAGGCGGGAGAATCACTTGAACCCAGGAGGCAGAGGTTGCCGTGAGCCGAGATCGTACCACTGCACTCCAGCCTAGGTGACAGAGTGAGACTGTCTCAAAAAAGAAAAAGAAAAAGAAAAGAAAATCTTCTTAAAGAATAAACCAAACAAAAACAAAAACAAAAACAAAAACAAATCTCCTAGATCTAATAAGTGATTATAGCAAGGCTGCAGGATATGAGGGTAATAATCTGAAACTCAGTTGCTTTCCTGTAGACCATCAATGAACAATACCATTTATTAATACATTAGCACCCCCAAAAATAACTACTTAAAAATAAATCTAACAAAATATATATAAGGATTCTATAAGGAAAACTACAGAACTGATGAAAGAAATCAAACAAGATAAAAATAAATGGAGGGATATTCCAACACGGATAGGAAAAGCCATTATTGTTAAAATATCATTTCTTCCCACCTTGATCTACAGACTCAATACAATCCCAATCAGAACTCCAACAAGTTATTTTGTGAATATTGACAAACTGATTCTAAAGTTTACATGGAAAGGCAAAAGACAAAACACAATTCTGGAGAAGAAGAGTTGGAAGACTGATACTACCCAACTTCAAAACTTAACTATATAATTACAGTGATCATGACAGTTGTGGTATGGGCAAAAGAACAGAGAAATCAGTCAATGGAAAGAACAGTTTGGCAGTTTCTTACAAAGCTAAACATAGGCTTACCATATATAATATCCAGCAATCACACTCCTAAGCATTTACCCAAATGAGTTCAAAAACCTGCCCAGGAATCTTTATAGCAGCCTTATTCAAATATGGATAACTGCTGTACATCTACACAACGGACTATTCAGCAATAAAAAGAAATGGCCTATCAAGTCACAAAAAGATATGGAGGATCCCTTAAATGCATACTTCTAAGTGAAAGAAGTCAGTCGAAAAAGGCTACATACTCTGTGCTTCCAGCTATATGATACCTGGAAAAGGCAAAGCTACAGAGATAATAAAAAGACCAATGGTTGCTAAGGAGAGTGGGAAGAAAAGAGAGATAAATAGGTGAAGCACAGGGCATTTCTAGATGGTAAATCTATTCTGTATGATACTGTAATGGTAGATACATGGCATCACACATTTTTCAATACCCATAGAACTACACAACACGAAGAATGAACCCGAGTGGGAACAACAGGCTTCGATTAATAATAATATATCAGTGTTAAAACTGGTGCATCAGTTTTAACAAATGCACCATACTAATGCAAGACATTAATAGAGGAAAATCGGGGGGCAGGATATGAGAACTCTATAATTTCTACTTAATTTTTCTGTAAACTTAACATTGCTCCAAAAAATAAAAATAATTTTTATTTTTGAGACAGGGTCTTGCTCTGTCACCCAGGTTGGAATGCAGTGGTGCTATCAGCCTTGACCTCCTGGGCTCAAGTGATTCTCCCAGCTCAGCCTCTCAAGTTCTCAAGTAGCTAAGACTACAGGCATGCACCAACATGCCCAGCTAATTTTTTTTTTTTTAATTTTGTAGAGACGGGATGTCACTATGTTGCCCTGGCTGGTCTTGAACTCCTGGGCTCAAGCAATCCTCCTACCTCAGCCTCCTGAGTAGCAAGCATAAGCCACCATGCCTGGCCTATTAAATTTTTGTTAAGAAGTCATAACCAGCTTTGGCCGGGCGTGGTGGCTCATACCTGTAATCCCAGCACTTTGGGAGGCCGA
Organism: Homo sapiens; assembly: GCF_000001405.40. Lineage (NCBI taxonomy): Eukaryota > Metazoa > Chordata > Mammalia > Primates > Hominidae > Homo > Homo sapiens. Next base: position 5,797,418 of record NC_000009.12, read on the forward strand.
GGCAGGCAGACCATGAGGTCAGGAGTTCAAGACCAGCCTGACCAACATGGTGAAACCCTGTCTCTACTAAAAATACAAAAATTAGCCAGGCATGGTGGCACACACCTGTAATCCCAAATACTCAGGAGGCTGAGGCAGGAGAATCACTTGAACCCAGGAGGCGGAGGTTGCAGTGAGCCGAGATCGTACCACTGCACTCTAGCCTGGGCGACAGAGCGAGACTCCATCTCAAAAAAAAAAAAAAAAGAAGTCATAACCAGCTTCAATTGATTTTAGAAACATCACAGGCTCTTCCTAAGTTGCTGGTTCCTGTGATATATCTGAGGGAAAAACATACATGCCACTTATTAACAAGTTTAAGAAATAAAGGAGGGGAGAAAAAACTATTATATGACTTACCTGTTGCTTCAAAAGTCAATTTTATAGAATCCCAAGGTGTCTGTTCTTTGGATATGAGTCGGAAATGAGGAGGATTTCTTGGAGAAACTTCTGGGGCAGGAAGATACCAGTTTTTCCTATTTAGAAAGGAAGCTTCAGTTTTAGGGTGCTTTATTATTTGATGGCTATCTGTAACTCACAGAACTGTTCAGCATATATGAACACATTTTTGGGTATGAAAATAAACTGACAGACATGATAAGCAATGCCAACTCCAACAAATTTAGGTTATTTTGTAATAAAACCTTCCCAATGTTAAGAACAAAGGAGTAACCTAGGTGATCTTGATTCCACCACCCATCCTATTTCTTCTCATCCAGTCCTTCACTGCCAAGCTATAAAATCTTCCCAGAGAAAACAATTTTTTTTTTTCTTTGAGAGACAGAGTTTTGCTGTTGTTGCCCAGGCTGGAGTGAAATGGCGCGATATCGGCTCACCGCAACCTCCACCTCCCGGGTTCAAGCAATTCCCCTGCCTCAGCCTCCCGAGTACCTGGGATTACAGGCATGCACCACCATGCCCGGCTAATTTTATATTTTTAGTAGAGACACGGTTTCTCCAGGTTTGTCAGGCTGGTCTCGAACTCCCGACCTCAGGTGATCCACCCGCCTCGGCCTCCCAAAGTGCTGGGATTACAGGCATGAGCCACCGTGCCCGGCCACAATTTTTGAGATAGATGCTTATTGGCTATTATATTAGTTAGAAGGGCCACCTTTTCTAACCACTCAGGTTTCTAGAGAAAAGATTTTTAAAATTTGAAAAAACAAAACTACTCTTCTGAGTGCTTTATTCCACTAAAAAAAAAAAAAAAGTTTCATAATGATAGAAAAAATAGTACAAACACCACTGAACTTGTATATTAAAGGATGGCAGTTTAAATGATAAGAGTACTGATATGGTGACAAGACTTGAGAACAAACTAACCTTAAGCAGAAAAATAATGAACCAACCTGATCAGAAAGTGCACTGGAAGATACCAAGGAAAACCACAAAGAGGTGCATTCTCCTCACAGTGAGCTCGGATACTATCATTGATCTCAGGAATGTGAGGGGTTATGTGAGAAATTCCAGTATAATCAAACCCATTGATCCATATTCCAGAGTCCCGTTTAACTGCATTTCCTTCCAAGTCATGGAATGTTCTAGTCATATGCTGAAAAAAAAAGACTAGTGAAAAAACTGTTTCAACTAGTACACCCACATTCCCACCCCAGATTACAAAAATGGAGTATGACAATACCAAGAAATGATGTGGATATGGAGCAAGTGAATAAGACACTGAGAGTTTCTAAGGTACTGCTAGCGTTCTTTATTTTAAACTGGAAAATAGATATATAGATTATTGTTTTATTGTATCTTCCAAATATATTTAGGATTCCTATAAAATGTTTTTGAAACTTACTATTTCAGACTTAAAAGACGTTAATGTTAGAGCTGCTTTTAGATAAGGATTTAAAACAAATACATCCTAAGCACATATATACATACACACTCATTTCCCTATTAGTGTTTTATGAAGCTAATTCATGTGCAGAGAAAAGTGGGAATTGCAGCTCACCACTAGATGACAGCCTTGTGCCTAACAGAATTCTATGAAAAGGCACCGTGCTCCATTTGAAATAACTTTATTCACGGCAGAAACCAGCCTGAAGAATACCAATCAGGAAAAAAACAAACAAAAAAAAACACTGCATAGGGCAGGAGCCGGCAAACTGCAGCCAACAGGGCAAACTGTCCACTGACTGTTTTTATATACGAACCATTATTTGAACATGGCCACACTCATTTGTTTGGGTATACTCTGTTGCTGCTTTCGCTCTGTTTCACTGCAACAGACTGTATTGCTGACAAAGCCCAAAATATTATCTTGTCCTTTACAGGAAAAGTTTGCCAACTTCTGGCACAGTGGAAGAGAACCCCCAAACAAATCAGAAAATGACTTTTTAAAAATAAAAATCCTGCTTTTCCTAAGTATTACTGACATAATTATAAAACTTAATACATCATGAAAAACACACTGAACCTCCTAAAAAAAAATCCGTTCTTCACTAAAGGTTTTACAAATTGTAAAATCTCACATAAAATTTATCACAGTGTCCTTCAGGACTATAACAAGGAATTGTTATTTGGCCCCTTTTCAAAACCTCCTAAGTGTTTTTAATTTTTTAAGTCCTTGAATAATTATCTAGGTATAATTCCTCTGGCATTTCTGTTTGGCTAGATTAGGTTAGATGTGACTCTTGCCCTTAAGGGTATATGTTATCTTGAAGCAGGATCTTTCACTTACAGAGTATAAAATACAAATAAGAATTATGCAAAATATACAATATGTTAGTATGTGTTCACAAACATGAGAAAGGGATGGGTATAAGGCATAAGATAATTTGTGTAGTATGAGAACTTTTAAAAACAATTTAGAAAAACTAACAATTTAGCCATCTCTAACAGAGATGACTAGAATTGAGGCTTACTGCTTTATAGTACCAGGTCTAAAAAATTTGAAGAAAAAGTTGAGATCTAAAATAAGTCCTCAAACTGGCCAGGTGTGGTGGCTCACACCTGTAATCCCAAGCACTTTGGGAGGCCGAGGTGGGTGGATCACCTGAGGTCAGGAATTCAAGAACAGCCTGGCCAACGTAGTGAAACCCTGTCTCCACTAAAAATACAAAAATTAGCCAGGCGTGGTGGCGAGCGCCTGTAATACCAGCTACTTGGGAGTCTGAGGCAGGAGAATCACTTGAACCGAGGGGGCAGAGGTTGCAGTGAGCCAAGATCGTTCCACTGCACTCCAGCCTGGGCAACAGACCAAGACTCCATTTTAAAAAAAGAGAAAAGAAAGTAAGTCCTAAAACTCACTTTATTAAACCCTTTCTAAGTTATAGTTTCACTATCACATATCACTTTGAATGTTACTTAAGATTAATTTTACTAGCACTTCTAAACATCAATTTTATTTTGCCAGTTGACAGTTTAGATTTTACTCAGCCTGTATACATTTTTACAATCTATATTTCTAAAAACTCATTATTCCATAATAAATATTTGCTCCTGTTTTTCCAAATAGATGCAGTTTTATAATTTGAATAGTAATAAAAACAAGCAAACATTTCCAATTCAGTCTCCTGGGAGATATATGTCTAGCTGATAAGAATGCCTCTTGACAGTCAGTCTTCTCCTCACTGCCTTACACACAAAAAAGGTGAGTATGACTAAATAGGTCAACAGCAGAAAAGTCAGCTGCGCTTGCTATTCACTACTGAAGCTCAAAACACACAGGGCTTCCTTTCCAGATCTCAAATACCTCATGCAAAACTGCTCACCTGAAGAAACACTCTCTTTGGCTTCGGATTAGCAGGATTGGAGCTATATGGAAAAAATGTTCCACTGCAAACAAGGAGGAATGTAATTGCACATACCAAAGTTAAAGTTAGCATGGTTTTTTTTGTGCTCTTGGCAAGGTAGATGAAGTTAATCTGAAACACAAACCACAAACACAGAAATATTACAAATTCATTCTAGTGGTGGAAAGGTGTTTTTAACTAACTTTATTTTTAACAGTATTACCTAACAGCCCCTGAAGAAAATTTATCAGCAGGTGCTAGCATACTCTAACATCTAGTAAACAAAGCACTAACTCTAGGAGATTTCCATTGCAGGTGAGAACCTAGAAAATGACAGATGCCTCCAATCTGCCATGATGGTGCCACCTTTTTGGCATGCAGCCAAAAACCAAGAGGGAAAAAGGAAACTCAGGACTGTCGCTGTCCTTAATGTGCGAAAAGAACAGAAATGTAGATGTAATGGATTATTCATTAAATAACCAGAGATAAGCTTTAAGCTTAGGCAGATCTGTTTGGACAAAACTCAAATTCCACTCATAATGCTTTAAAATATGTCAAAATACTAAATTCATCTCAACTGGCATAGAGATGTACCTTCAAGACTCTGCCAGTGGACCTGCATAAGAGGAAAAACTGCATTACAAAGTAATATTATCCCTCTAAGTGACAAATTAACCAATGCCAACACAATCAAAACAATAAATCTAGGCAGTAAATGTAAATGACTCAGTCTCAAGGTTGGCATCTAGAAAATCCTAAATATTTTCAATCGTAATGAAATCGCTGAACTAAAAACTGTAAAGGACACACACGACTCACAGAGTATGTCCACAGATCCCTTACAGGGTCTGAAGAAGCCATTTGGGGAAACTTTTATGTGAAATCTGAAATTGTTCTAAGAAGCCACATTTTAAATATTGTGAATACTGAGAGAAAGATGGACAGCGAGGGTGACACATTTTGTTTTGCTAGCTCAGCCTCAAGTCCTCAGGTACTCTGTCATATTTTTGTACTCAGTATACAAATGTGAGATGTGTGACCTAAGGCTAGTACTGTTTTGCTGCAGATGCCTCTGGATGGAATATTGGTATACTATAGACATGAAATCTAAACCCACCTCCCCTTTATGCCTTCTTCATTTTATTTCTCTACTTATTTCCATAAGTAGAAAAATAACATGAATGTGAAATTTTATTTATTTTTCTGGAGACAGAGTCTCGCTCTGTCACCCAGGCTGGAGTGCAGAGGCACGATCTCAGCTCACTGCAATCTCCAACACTCAGGTTCAAGCGATTCTTGTGCCTCAGCCTCCTGAGTAGCTGAAATTACAAGTGTGCACCACCGTGCTCAGCTAATTTCTTGTGTTTTTAGTACAGACAGGGTTTCACCATGTTGGCCAGGCTGGTCTTGAACTGCTGACCTTAAGTCATCCACCCGCCTCAGCCTCCCAAAGTGCTGGGATTACAGGCGTGAGCCACCATGCCCAGCAAGCAATCAGTTAATAGGTGTCCTTAAGTTATTCTCTGCTGGACCTTCATGGTTATACGTATACTGATTGAATGACAGGGGAAATGGGGACTGCTGATACAAGTGGGGTCAGGAGGAGAAGACTCAGAAACAGCTCAGTTATCAGCACACAATGGACATTTCAGAGTCCCTTTTCATGCTTCTCTTCATTTTATTTTGCACCCATCTCAGAACCTAGAGTGACACAGGATGCAATATTTCAGGAAGGCCGAGGCACGAGAATTGCTTGAACCCAGGAGGCGGTGGTTGCAGGGAGCCGAGATTACACCACTGCACTCCAGCCTGAGTGACAGAGCGAGACTCTGTCTCAAAAACAAACAAACAAACAAACAAACAAAAAACCGTGATTGCTTGACAAGACTTTAATTGCTTTCTAGCAGATGTATTTAATAAATCCCCAAGGACTGAAGGGAAAGCTGTCTGAAATATGCATTGTGGTTCAATTCTCCATTACCCAAAGAAAACAGTCTTACTCTATTAATAAGCCACTATCATTAACACTGCTACACATAAGTAAGAAAATAATTAAAAGAGTGATAACTCATGGCATCAAAGTGCGGCAGGGCTATTTCACATTATAATGAAAAATAAGTGAGCTTTCTAAAGTATTCCAAGAGGCAGTCTTCTCTCCAAAAGCTTTCCCAATAAAATATAATTTAGATGATAAGACACTTTAATCCTCTTTCTTCTGGTTTCCAAGATTTCCATGCTTTGGGGACATTTTCCATTTCCACAATGAACATCTCCAGGGTTCATTTTGCCCCCTTTCATATTATCAGTGGAACAGAATTTAAATGTCCCCTATCTGAGTCATCTTTTATGGACATCCATAGCTCCCATTCATGACTATAATTTAACAAATAAACGGGGGTGTGGGGGCATTCAGTTCATAACTAGTTGACTTCAGATTAGATTAGAACCTAATCTATAGATAACAAAAGTCCACTGTCTCCTTCAATCCTTACAACAGCAAACCTATCAAAAATACAGATGATATAAGGGTTACTATTAAACTCAAAAGCAGCAAACCCTACAGGCAGCAAAGAACATTTTAGAACTTTTCATACAGCCCTATGAATACCAATAAGGATTATCCTTATCCTTATATTATCCTTAATAATTATCCTATAAGTAAAATGGTTGGAAGGCTCAGATCTCTTTTAAGACTAGTACAACCAACCTCAAACAATAATATGCATAAGAATTACTCTACAGGACTATATACACAAAGTCACATATATAGAGCTTTACTGGCTATAAGGGACTTCCACGGATGATGCTGACCATGTGTGTAGTGTTTTCCTTACCTGCTGTCTTTAGAACCTAACTTCCACAAAGTAAAGGGGTAACGAATGCCCTTTACTATATCAGTATGAAAAGGCTCACTATCATCTCCATGAAGAAAAGAACTATAATAAAATCATAGCTCCTTTTCCTGTTTGGTTCCCTATCCTCAAATTTCAAGGTGCACCTCTGAGTGTTCAATAATTACTTTTTATTCTTAGGAATTCCCACCAAAAGAGACCTGCATTCTCTGGAGGGGCCCATCTTGGATCGTGGAGGTGGACATCAAACCAAAGCAAAACCTTGCTTGGGGCTTACTCTGCTCAAGGGGGGTCTGGTCTTAAACTCTGCATCACTGTCTTTTCTTCCCTCTGGGAATCCCAAGGGAAGAAAAAAAGGGATGGCAAACACAGGACTCTCCTTACTAGGGCAGGACACTGATACGGCAAAATGAGGACTGACAAGGCCTGTGATCATTTCATTATTTGGTAAATGAAGGCACGTTTGGGTGTCATAACAGACTCAATTAACAAGCTTTCATGTGGTAGCAACAAGGTAGTGGAATGATAATGAAAAAAGCCTCATCAGATTTAGTCTTCCTTCACTAGCTCTAAAAGCACTAATAAAACCACCCATGTATCTATTAACATGTGCCTCTAATTAGTAATTTCAAAATATACTATTAGGATCATTCACCACCAGGCAATCTCTAACAATTAATACTTGGTAAACGCTCTACAAATTCACACTCAGGTATCTGACAGGCTATTTGAAAAGAGGTAAATCAGAGAATTTGGAAGGATAGGGAGGCAAAAAACTTTTAAACAGCAACAACAAACTCTATACTACAGTTTCTTACGATACCAAATTTACAAGATGCATGGCCATTCATTCACCATTTCTTCTGCTTCAGATTTTCTCAATAAAGTACACGTAACACTATTTCACAGAATCTAGTATGGCTAAATTCATATTCATATAAAAAATGAAGAAAAAGAAAAAAACTTATTTTCTCTTACAAAATAGGACGAGAGAATCATTGTACAGCCAGCCAAAATGGATGCCAGCACAACATCAGGTGGGATTTCAGAACCACTTCTCCCGAGGATAGGGGTAAACATCTCAAATACTGCCCAGATGAGGTACAATGCATAAAGATAAGGAATAAACATCCCCAAAAGGTAAAAAGCAATAAATTTTCCTTGGGCACCTAGGGAAAAAGAGAAAAAAAGCACACATCTATGAAATCCTCCAGTGAGATATAAATTTTTATAGTACTGGTGTGCCTTGGTACCCTAACAGAAATTAGGTTAGATGTGACTCTTGCCCTTAAGGGTGTATGTTATCTTGGAGTAGGATCTTTCACTCAGGATAAAATACAAATAAGAATAAAGCAAAATACACAAGTAATATATTAGTATGTGTTCACAAACATGAGAAAGGGATGGAGTATAAGGCATAAGATAATTTGTGTGGTATGAAAACTTTTAAAAACTAACAATTTAGAAAGCCTACCCAATAAAACCAAAAAAGAAAGAGTCCCTGAAAGCCTTAAGTATTTTAAGGTATTCTCCCATGTATATCAAAATCAAAAATACCCTACCATGCTGCTTGAAGTCCTTATGCACACAGAGCTTTGTGAGCAATGGGAATGCTACCCAGACAGCACTAATAAACGCCGAGCAAAGTCCTTGGTAAGTGAGGGTAACAAGAAAACAGCAATGGACAAACAGCGAAATGTCAAAAAATACTTCTCCCAGATACTGGGCACTGGCATTCTGAAAGAAAGAAAAATATACAAGTAGTCTCATTCAGGGGTCATGCATAAAGAGCTTTTATTATAGTAACACACTTTCCATCACTCAGGAAAGCTACATTTTGTTTTAAACACAGTCTGCTCTTTAAACTGATTTAAAGTAAACACTAACAAAGCTACCTCCCCCATCATGAAGTAGTAAATTCAAATGTAGCACAAGAAAGGGCATTTTAACAATATAGAGTATAAATGCTCCATGTACTCTATGCTTTTCTTCTACTAGGCTAAAAGTAGAAATTTTCCAAAATAGAAGAAAGGACTCTCCTAAAAAACAATCATCTCTGTAAGCTTTTCAGTTCATGCCAATTCCAAACACTGTTTCAAGCAAACTAGAGAAATGACCTGTGAAGGAACGTTAGGAACTGCTGCAGCACCACCAATAACCCACATCTGGAAAACTGCAGCACCTTTAAAGCAATCTGGAGTTTGGCTTATTTTCATGAGTTTTTTCTATCTCCAGTTGGTCTTGTACTGCACCTTTGCCCCCTTCTTGTATTCCTCATGATTTCCTATTATAAAATTTGATCTTACAGTTTTTGAGATTTAAAGTCCAAGGGTTCCTATGTAGCACCTTGCACTCTTCAAAATAAAGTTGCCATATAAACTTTTTTTTTTTTTTTTTGAGACAGGTTCTCGCTCTGTCGCCTAGGCCGGAGTCCAGTGGTGCGATCTCGGCCCACTGCAGTCTCAGCCTCCTGGGCTCAAGTGATTCTTCTGCCTCAGCCTCCTGAAGTAACTGGGACTATAGGCACACACCACTACACCCAGCAAAGTTTAAAAAAAACATTTTTTTTTTGGCAGAGACAGGGTCTTGCCATGTTGCTCAGCCTGGTCTCAAACACCTGGCCTCAAGCAGTCTTCCCACCTCAGCCTCCCAAAGCACTGGGATTACAGGTGTGAGCCACTGTGCCTGGCCTAATATGAACTTAATACATTTTAACATCTGCATGAGTAATTCTATTCACACAAACATGAAAGTTTTAATTACGGTGCATAAATACAAAGATGGAAATGGAGAAATAGATATATTAAAGTTTCTCCTTCTTCAAGGGCTCAAGAGTTTCTGTGACGTGTTTTCAAAACAAGTTACAGTTCATGTAACAACCCCTCCCCGCTCCCAACAATGAAAGATAGGCTACAGCTGCTAAATACTTAAGTTATTAACACTGCGTTGATCAAGAGGCTTGGTCTTTAAAAATAAGAAAATTATTATTATAGTTCAATTTGAAGCTGAATGCCACTCAGATATTCAAAAACAAAGATCTCATTTTAAGTGCCCAAACTGCACCAAAGATAAAACATCGCTCGAATCTATTTTCCTCCTCACCTCTATTCATCCCCTGCCCACTCCTGCTCCATTCCAGTCCACTTTATACATTGTTATCAGTTTTCTCACAAAATCACAAATTCTCTCACTGACCTGCCCAAAACATTTTAATAGTGGCCCCATTGATTTTTAGAATCATGCTCCCACTTCACCCTGGCCTCCTTTTCCAGTTATTGGACTACCTCCTTGTCTTCACCACACTGGACTGTCCACTAACTGACACAGATGCATTTTATACATTCCCACCTTAAACCGCTCATCAATCTGTTCCCTACCTGGTATATTTTAACACATGCTTCAAAAACCCCATTCAGGCCAGGTGCAGTGGCTCATGCCTATAATCCCAACACTTTGGGAGGCCGAGGTGGGAGGATCACTTGAGGTCAGGAGTTGGAGACCAGCCTGGCCAACATGGTAAAACCCTGTCTCTACTAAAAACACAAAAATTAGCTGGGCATGGTGGCACACATCTGTAGTCCCAGGTACTTGGGAGGCTGAGGCACAAGAACAGCTAGAACCCAGGAGGCAGAGGTTGCAGTGAGCCAAGATCACACCACTGCACTCCAACCTGGGCGACAGAGTGAGACTCTGTCTCAACAACAACAACAAAAAAAAAACGGAAACAATTCAAATGTTGCCATCTCAGCCACCCTGACTTCCACAAGCAAAATTCATCTCGCCTCCCCTATATTCTTACAGCATAGTTATATGTCAGTCTCACTTCATCCCACAATATATTGCAATTATTATCATTCCCACACCTTCCCAAACGAAACTGAGAGCTCCTCAAAGAAAGAGATCACATTCTTATGGCTCTCTTATGGCATCATTCTTGTTTTTTTTAAAAAAAAATAATAGAGATGTGGTCTCACTTATATTGCCCAGGCTGGTCTCAAACTCCTGGCCTCAAGCAGTCTTCCTGCCTTGGCCTCCCAATGTTGGGATTACAGGTGTAAGCCACCATGCCCAGTCTCTTATGGTATCATTCTTCTGCTACCATGTTCACTGGGCACTTAAAGAATATTTGTGAAAAGAAAATGAAACACATCACTCTTTCTATTGTGCTTTTACCCTAAAGTGTTACGATCAGACAACTGAAATTAGTAAAAGTACATGAAATTTTATTACACATTTCTATCCTACTTCTGCCCCAATCAACAATAGTTAGCCACACTCTGATTACATACAATTACAATAAAAATAAGCATGTGAAATTGAGCCCCACGGTATAATTCTTTTGGGAACTGAAGCCACTAAGATAAAAATATGAGCTCAACCATAAGCAGACGGCTAACCTCAAAGAACCTTCCTTCAGCAGGAGCTGCTAACATGGAAGGTTCCACAGAACACATCCCAACATTAACTGAAACTCAGACCAAAGTTCAGATACCAAAGACATACTTGTGGAAGGATGTTGGGTTAAAATCATCCATGTCTCATTCTAATCTTTATCAGGATAAATTGAAAACAGTAGGCTTACATGGAGCTAAGAAAGATCTTCCTCTTTAATTCACATAAACAATCTGAAACCATGACTCTTCACTGTAATTCATTTTTAGACCTATTATTTTACAGCTTTTTAAATTTTTGTTTGTTTGTTTGTTTGAGATAGGGTCTCACTCTGTCCCCTAGGCTGGAGTGCAGTGGTACAATCACAGCTCACTGCAGCCTTGATCTCATGGGCTCAGGTAATCCTCCTACCTCAGCCACCCAGGTAGCTGGGACTACAGGCACACACCACCATGCCTGGCTAATTTTTTGTATTTTTTGTGGAGACAGGGTTTCACCATGTTGCCCAGGCTAAAGCGATCCGCCTGCCCAGCCTCCCAAAGTGTTGGGATTACAGGCATGAGCCACAGCACCCAGCCCATAGCCCTAATTTCTTTTTTTTGAGACAGAATCTCGCTGTCGCCCCAGCTGGAGTGCAGTGGCTCAATCTCAGCTCACTGCAGGCTCCGCCTCCCGGGTTCACGCCATTCTCCTGCCTCAGCCTCCCGAGCAGCTGGGACTACAGGCGCCGCCACCTCGCCCGGCTAATTTTTTGTATTTTTAGTAGAGACGGGGTTTCACCGTGTTAGCCAGGATGGTCTCGATCTCCTGACCTTGTGATCCGCCCACCTCAGCCTCCCAAAGTGCTGGGATTACAGGCGTGAGCCACCGCGCCCGGCCAGCCCTAATTTCTAATTTTATTTTTGCCAAACAAATTTATGCATTTGAAACCATAATAATATAACAATATTCTCAGTATAAATCATTTGGAACCCTATTTCCCTTCCCTCTGTTTTCCTTAGCAATGTGTCTTTTAACTCCAATGACATACATGCATGCAGAATCTGAATCAACAATATACAGTTAAAAAGAAAAAACAGTGAGGGAAAAACTGAAAAAACTTTAAGTACAACATTCTTTTAGGCAACAAATACTTGCTGTGTGTTAATGCTGTGTGTCAGACACTACCTAAGCACAGAGGATACAGAAATAAATAAAACAATCCCTATCCTCAAGGAGCTTACACTCCAATGGAGAACAGATATTCAAATAACATAAATAAGTGGGTGAGCCCAGGACATATTTACAAACACTGCAGCAAATTCAGTAGAAGGCTGTGCTAACAAGCCTTCCAGTCACCACCACCCTAACACTGTTAACAGCCCGGCTTTATAACCTCATTTGAATTTTGTGACATTACCCTCAGAATAAGAAATCTTTCAGAAAATTAACACAGTGTAGGTGCGTTTTCCATAACCATGCTGAACAATTTTTTAGCACTCAAAAGGCCAAATACAATGAATCACACTTAAGTTCATCTTCAGTCCCTGGAGGCAACAGAAAGAAATCAACAAATATACCAAACACTTACCATGTAATAAAATCTTTTCGCAAGAGTATGTATAAGTATTATTTTGGCTACAGTTGCAGTTCCATACAGACAAACGGAGACATAGAAGTGGTTATACCATGAGAGAGACTGTCCAATAAGAGAGATGAACACTGCTATAATGAGAACGGTAACAAGGCTAGTGAACCAGCTGATCAAAGTGATGCCAAGTCCACACAAGAAGTCCTTCTTGTAGTTACCAGCTAATGAAGAGAAAACAAAAAGTTGAAATCACCATCTTCATCAAATCAGTTATATAACCAGTCAGTAGAGCTAAATGGGCAAACATTAAAACAAAAAACTCCCCACTGTACTTGAAAAGTATGAAAATGTCCTAGTGTTGAGATTGGCCAAACACAAGAACAAGGGAGGTATCAAATAATAATATTCAGGTAACATTTATTAAGAGTCTCTAGATACTAAACACTCAAAAAGATAAATCTTCTAGGAATAGTTCAGGTACATTCCTTATGAAGGAAGAGGATAGTCTTAATCTTCTTCACTTTTGGTATGCTTTGTGTATCAAAATATTAGCAAGAATGGAAGGCAAAGTTCCATATAAAATGTTGTTAAAATAAGGTAACATAAGAAGATAAGGAGTGTGGGGAAAATAAGCGTTGATAAAGAATTATTTAAACTGCTGCTAAATATTTTATCTCGTAACAGCACACAACAACTTAGACTCTGAAACATTTCAAGCAGAAATATTTCAAATAAAAGAAACAGTTTAACCACAAGCAGTTCATTCATACTTCGTGACACTGGTCCATACTAGCTATTGGTCTGTAGTGTGGACTTTTTAATGGGACTTTTCATTAGAAGTCAATCTGTACAAACCATTTTTCAATAGTTTCTATGTGGTACTTTTATGGAGTGCCTAAATATATAAAAATTGACTGCTTCACCAAGACTAAAAGTAAAATAAGCATATTAATTTAATATTTAAAAATTTCTTACAATATAAAGCAAACATTGTCTTAAGATTTTTAGCTTTCTGGGAAGATATAAACAAACTGACTGAAAAACTTCAAGCACATTCTACAGCAATGCCAGTATTTGTAGTTTTAGAGGAAAATACTTACTCTTATGTTTGGGCTGCAAAAATTTTTTGCCCAGGTACAAAACAACACCCATTACCACCATGTAGTTTATGATTGAGCCAATACGAGAGGGGTAGGCAATGACAAACAGGCCCAGCACATCAAAGAAGACCATGTTTCCATGTCGATACTTAGAAGCAGCAGCCAGCATATCAGATGTAGCTAGATGCTTAAGAACTGCTAAAATGTTGTCACCTATTAGTAAAAACAAAAAAAAAAAGAAAGAAAAGGAAAAAGATAAAAAGGCTGAATAAACTATTTGTGATTTACACATACCACTATTTAAAGCAGAAATAAACCATATACTGTTTGAATGAAGAAATGGTTAGAAAGAATGTGAACAGAAATCGCTTTCTACCATCCTACTGCTCTCCCTCACTTTTTTTACTAAATTTCTCAAATAAGGTCCATCCCCTGCCTTTCTCCATTTCCTCTCCACTCAGACGCTCAGCCAACTGGCCTGTATCTTTTCCCTTCTATTAGAACTATTCTCTGTGATCAATTGTACCTTCATTGTTGACAAATCCAATGGCTGTTTCTTGGTACCCATTCATTTAATAATATATATTAACTGTACTAGACACTCTTCTAGATATCAGAAATTTAGTGGTGAACCAAGAGACAAAGGCCTTTCACGAAGCTCAGAGATGCTGAACAAGCTGTCACACATGTGTTAAAAATTGAGGAGAGCTAGCAGAGTTCCACAGGAAAACATCATGGGAGACTAACAGAGCTACATTCTTACCACTCAGCAATCCTCCCAACCCTGGGCCAACTCCTTTTTCATTTCCTCACAATGAATATTCCTGACCTTAATTGCTACACTAGACTACAAGACTAAAATTCAAGATCTCATCTCTCCAACTCCAAAGCCCTAGCTCATTCACATTGCATACTGCCTCTCTAATGCACAGGCCACAGAATATTTACAAGTTTATGTATCATCCCTAACATTCCATCTTAGTGTATATCAAAAGTCTAAATTGGAATACCAACCTGCTCTCTGAATGGAATCTGTTAGAATTCTGTCCGCTGTGTCATACTTGGTGTGATAAATGTATCCATTCTCAATAAAAGCTAAGTCTATTCCTAAAACATATATATAGAAAAAAAAAAGTCATTTTGCTTTAAAGATCAACCTTGCTTTCGACCTATTTCTTTAATAAATTCCTAAAAGACAAAATGTCAAAGCAGTGGCACGATTGCTTTGTCACATTTACAAACGACTGATATAAATTCTCTTCCAAATTCTTACACAGTCTATAGCTTTGGTACATAATTCGATACATAATGATTGAAGAAGTATATTACTCCACAGGTAGGCATTACAAGTCACACAGCAAGGATAGGAATATTGAGTTTGGGAGGTCATGAAAATTTTGCCACCTACATTCTTGCCAGGCCAGAGCCAAATTTTAACTTCAAATAAGTTGTACATACAAGTTGCCAAGGGAGTTGGCAAACCAAGACAACAACGAAAGACCCCTGAAGGATCTATTACCATCTTTTGGGAATGAGGTGCTAAACAGTTCACCCCTGTTCTTCTATGGGGAAAGATGACATATTTTAGAGGAGGCCAGCATTTAAATTAGTATGGAGTTTAAAAAAGGAAACAAACTCTGTTTTAGTGAGTCAATGTATATTTCTCACATAAAGAATTTGATCTCAGAAAATGCTGTTTACTCACATACTTTCAAGATTTAAAATTTGCTTTTGATAAATAAATGCTGCACAGTAGGCCGTAACCATTGACAATATACCTGGAATGTTCCCAAAATCCCTGTAGATACGAAAGTCAGTATCTGAAGGAATGATTCCACTCTGAAAAACCTCCTGAGCCACCACAGAAGCAAAAGGGTGTTTAGCTGCTGAAACATAAGCTTGAACCAACCAAGGATTTTCAGGACCTAAAATGAAAGATGACAACACAATAGAAGGTATTCCGGCAATTTTTTTTAACATACTAATGTTTTTCAACACATAGAAAACAGTAAAAGTGGTGGTTTTGGGAGACGGGTCCAATATGTACCTTTTCATCCCTTTTTCTGTAGTTTCCAATGTTTCTCTGATATATGTGTTTGACTTTTAGAATAAAAACCTTTTGTGAAAATAAAGTATAAAATAACAGCAATACAAAAGTCTGTCTGAAAATGAAAGATCATTCATAAATCTATCATCCTAAAATGCCTATTATCA
Organism: Homo sapiens; assembly: GCF_000001405.40. Taxonomy (NCBI): domain Eukaryota; kingdom Metazoa; phylum Chordata; class Mammalia; order Primates; family Hominidae; genus Homo; species Homo sapiens. The sequence goes on from NC_000009.12 coordinate 5,813,325, forward strand.
ATTGTATATCTTTAATTTTCTTACTAATGTAGAATTGTGTGTATATAGCTGTACTCAAGATATATATACTTTGTACATTTGTTTTCACTTAACATTATATTAAATGCATTTTCCTATGTTGCTAGATACAAATTGGGTATACCTTATCTGAAATGCTTGGGATCAGAAGTATTTTGGATTTTTTACTTTTTCGGATTTTGGAATATCTGCATTATACTAGTAAGCATCCCTAATCCTAAAATCCAAAATCAGAAATGCTCCAATGAACATTTTTGAGCATCATGTCAGTGCTCAAAAAGTTGTGAATTGTGGAGCATTATGGATTTCAAATTTTCAGATTAGGGATGCTCAATCTGTATTATAATAATCATTTTGATAACTGCTTAACATTTCACTGAATATGCCATAAAGTTCCTTGTTACTTTTTATAATTTATCATTATTAATAATTTTCCATCTGTATCTCATACATCTACAGCTTTTTCAAATGGGAGTTTTTCCTGTAGGATAGTGGGATACATTGTTTTATAATTTATATAATTATATAATTATACGTATATTTATATAATTATAATTATATAATTATATGTATAATTGTATAATTATTCACTCTTCCCTCGCTGAAAAAGGATTATACATTCCTACTCTTGCCACATACCTTGTAATGCCTGCCTGGGGAATGAGTACATACTCTTCTGTACCTATTAACTGCAGGCGTGGCTACATGACTTGCTCTAGCCAACAGACTGTGAGGAGGAATGACATGACCCTCAACTGGGCAGAGTTTTCAAAGGCATTAACATCATTCATACTTATCCTTAACTTTGATTTGTGAGATCAATACATCCCTTATAGGGGCTTCTCCTTCAGCCTGGATCCCAGAATGAATAAGACACATGGAACATAATAACCGTGGACCATAACTGCAGTTATTCAGAAACCAAAATGCAACACGAGCAAGAAATAAGCCTTTGCTGTTGTAAACCACCAAGATTTTGGGGTTGTTACCACAAAACTTAGCAACATATTGACTGATGTAAACAGACCAAGTAACTGAATGTCAGGGAATCTAAGAATATTGTTTTTTTAACTTCACAGATTATAAAATTGCTTTCCTACATTTTAAAAAATGACCAAGGCTGGGTGCAGTGGCTCACGCATATAATCCCAGCACTTTAGGAGGCCGAGGTGGGCAGAGCACCTGAGGTCAGGCATTTAAGACCAGCCTGGCCAACATGGCAAAACCCCACCTCTACTAAAAATACAAAAATAAGCAGGGCATGGTAATCCCAGCTGCTCAGGAGGCTGAGGCAGGAGAATTGCTTAGACCTGTGAGGTGAAGGCTGCACTGAGCCAAGATTGTGCCACTGCACTCCAGCCTGGGTGACAGAGTGAGACTCCATCTGAAAAAATAAAAATTAAAAATTAAAAATGACCCAAAAAAGCAGAGGGACCCTATAGAAACAGACATACAAGTAATCCAGATACTGGAGTTACCAGACACAGATTCTAAAATAATTATGATTAATATGTTTTAAAAAACACAGATATCAGTAATTTCACCAGACAAGTATAATCTATTTAAAAGAGTCCTACAAATGGAAATCCTAGAATGAAAAAACATAACTGATGTTGCGAATTTTAATAAATGGGCTTAACACAAAGTTTAATACAGCAGAAGAAAGGATTAAAATTAAAGCATAAAAAGAAAAAAAGGTTGGAAAATACACAAATGTGAGTAATTGGAGTCCCAAAAGAACAGAAGATAGAATGGAGAAGATAAATGTTTAAAGACTTAATGGCCAAGAATCTTCCAAAACTCATAGAATTCAAGCCACGAATTCAAAAAGGTCTACAAACCCCAAACAAGATAAATATAAAGAAAAACTGTATCTGGCACCATTTACTTTTGAATACTATTCCCCACCAAAAGAAACCAAGCCTCCTTAGAGAAATGGCTGATTCCAGGTCTGGGACTAGCAAAGTACAAGGTAAGTTGAAACATCTGTGCCAGAAAGTAAGAAAGTGATCAAAAAGACATGTCAAAGGGGCTCAGGCACTGATTTGAAATAGACACCACTGGCCTAAACTGGGACAATTCATGCAACAAAATAAACAATAGTAACAGAATATATAGAGTAAAATTAAAATACATAAAGTACTGAAATAACAAAAAAAAAAAAAAAAAAAGGAAAATGGAAAGCCTTCCTTCTTGCAGAATTCCAACTATGACCTACAGGCAGAATGATGGAACCAGAAACTCAGCAGTAGCATTTGGTAAACATTGTAATAAAAATGCTTGGGGACAAGAGTCATCAATGATTGCTAAAACTAGGATCAAAGTTTTATGACAAACAGGATATTTACCTAAAGTATCTATCACTAAGGGGAAATCAGTAACTTGTACAAAGAAAGAAATAGTAGAAAAACCTGGCAAATAAATACCTTAATCAAACGATGAAAATGTAGTATCATTAATAATGAGACAAACAGATACCACATGCATCCTGATGTGATGCACTGAGGACACAAATACAAAAGGAAAAAGAACTATGATGATGGGGAAATACGTACATTACGAGATCTTATCATATTAAAATACTATTATTAAAATATTACTATTTGATATTAAGAAATTTATGCTAAAAAATACAATGAAAACCATACTGAAAAACAGGTAAAGCCAAACTATCATTAATTATCTTAAAACTTAGGATAATAGTTCCTCTTAGATGGGAGGGAGTTGTATTTGAGAAGAGAGGTTAAAAAAAATGCCTAGGCAGGCAAGGCAATCCACCCTCTTCCATGAGACAGAGTTAAAAAGATTTTCACCTTACAATAATTAAGTTTTCAACTTTATAATTAAATGCTATATTTGATCCTGGGTAGGAACCCAGATTTTTTTTTAAATGGTTAGGACATTAATGGAACAACTGGAAAAATCTGAATATGCATTATTATAGTTTAATATTAATATTTCTTGAGTGTGATCAATGTTCTGTTACAGAAGAGCATGTCCCTGTTTATCTGAGATGATCATCCTGAGATTATCAATTGACATGATTTTTCTCTTTATTCTGATAATGTAGTGAATTACACAGATTGATTTTCAAATATTATACCATCCTGTTGATCAACTTGGTTGGAAAGTATTATCTTTTGTATATATAAATATTCCTGGATTCAGTTTGCTAATACTTAATTTAGGACTTTTGCATCTAAAGTTGGTATTACCTACCCAAAATATCTACCAAAGCTGAACATATACACATCTTATGACCCAGCGATTCCACTCAGAAATGTGCATACACATACATGTGTACCAAAAGACATTTACGAGAATGTTCACAGCAGCACCATTCATAGCAAAAACCTGGAAACAACATAACAGCACCAACGGAATGGATCAATTGTTGTAGAATTGACTAGTGTTCGGCAAGAAAAAAGAATGAACTACAGATGAGGAAGTGAAGCTCGGAGTGGTCACATGACCTGTCCAAGGTTCCACGTGTAGAATGTGCTATAGCTAAAGTTTTGAGGTTTGACCTTAGATCATCTAACTACAGAGCCTATGCTTTTTTTTTTTTTTTTTGGTGACAGAGTCTCGCTCTGTCTCCCAGGCTGGAGTACAGCACCTCAATCTTGGCTCACTGCAAGCTCTGCCTCCCGGGTTCACACCATTCTCCTGCCTCAGCCTCCCAAGTAGCTGGGACTACAGGCGCCTGCCAATATGCCCGGGTAATTTTTTGTATTTTTAGTAGAGATGGGGTTTCACCATGTTATCCAGGAAGGTCTCGATCTCCTGACCTCGTGATCCGCCTGCCTCGGCCTCCCAAAGTGCTGGGATTACAGGCATGAGCCACCGTGCCCAGCCTTTTTTTTGAGACAGAGTCTCTCGCTCTGTCGTCCAGGCTGGAATGCAATGGCATGATCTCGGCTCACTGTGACCTCTGCCTCCCGGGTTCAAGCGATTCTCCTGCCTCAGCCTCCCAAGTAGCTGGGATTACAAGCGCCCGCCACCATGCCTGGCTAATTTTTGTACTTTTAGTAGAGACAGGGTTTCACAATGTTGGCCAGGCTGGTCTCGAACTCCTGACCTCAGGTGATCCGCCCGCCTTGGCCTCCCAAAGTGCTGGGATTACAGGCGTAAGCCACCACACCCGGCCAGAGCCTATGCTCTTAATCAGTACCCTATCCTACCTCCACGCAAAACCTTTTAGTTATCTTACAGAGTAAGGTGGCAGGCAGATACAGAAACATTTTCAATTGACATTCTTTCTCCTGCCATCATCTAAATCCTATGATGCTTCCAGCTTCTTGTGTGTTCATTTCTCAAGAATGAGCCTCATCTTTCTTAATGCAAAGAGTATGGGCATGCGTAACGTTCAGAGGAGGTAGGCCTCAGTGCCAAGAATAGTAAGTCAAAGTTCTCTAGAAGTCCAGGGAAAACAGACCCAGCTCAGCAGACCCACAGCATCCTTCCACTGCTTTACTTCCTTCAATCTCTAGTTACGGCATCAATACACAAAAGGAAAAAAAAAAAGGAGGAACTAATAAAAGAGACTAAGAGTGGTAAATATTATGATGGAAGCCAAGTAACATGAGGCCTGAAAACTGACTGAATTTGCCAATGTGACCTTTACAAGAATAGTCGTGGTGAAGTGGGGAGGCTAAAGCTGACTAGAATTGTTCAAGAATAGATCACATGGTGGATCTATCGATTTTGGTGGATCTCGGTATATCAAGGTGGATCACTTGAGCCCAGGAGCTGGAGAACTGTGAGCCATGATTGCATCACTGCATTCCAGCCTAGATGACAAAGCAAGATCCTATCTCAAAAAAAAAAAAAAGCAGTTATTCAAGACTATGACTACAGACCATTCTTTTGAGGAATTCTGCAGTAGAGGGTCAGAGGAATAAGACTAGCTAGCAGGTTGTGATAAAAGTGGTTTTCTTTAAAATGGAGGAAAAGGTATGTCTGCATGCAAATGGAAATGATCCTATAGAGAGAGAAAAATTAATGATGGAAGAAAGAAAAAAATTATCATGACCAGTCTCCTACTCATACACTAAAGGTATTTCCAATTTTCTACTCTTAAGAGAAAACCAAGACTGGACATGATGCCTCATGCCTTTAATCCCAGCACTTTGGGAGGCCAAGGAAGGAAGACTGCTTAAGTCCAGAAGTTTGAGACCAGCCTGGGCAACACAGTGAGACCCTGTCTCTACAAAAAGTAAAAAACTGGCTGGGCATGGTGGCACGTGCCTGTCATCCCAGCTACTCAGGAGGCTGAAGCAGGCAGATCACTTGAGCCCAGGAGCTGGAAACCAGTGAGCCATGACTGCTCCACCACATTCCAGCCTGGGCAACAAAGCAAGATCCTATCTCAAAAAAAAAAAAAGAAAAGAAAAGAAAACCCAAGATGACTTAGATTTATGTCAACTATTTCTGCAGGTTAAATTCCCAGAAATGGGTCTGCTGAACTGAAGAGCCTGCACATTTAAAAAAGTAATACATGTTGCCAAAATGCACATCTACATTCTCACTAACAGTGTATGAAAATGACTGCTTATACTCATCAGCACTGGGCATTATCATTTTACTAACTTTTTGCTGATCAAGTATTTTAAAAATCCTTACTGTTATATGTATTTGCATTTATTCTCAAATAAAACTGTTTAATTTGGCAGTTTCTTAAAAAGCTATGCATAAATTTACTATACATCCCAGGAATTCCATTCCTAGGTATCTAAAAGAAATGAAAATATACGTTTACACAAAGACTTACACATGAATGTTTACTCCAGCATTATCATAAAAGTCTAAAAGTGGAAACAATCCAAATATCCATCGATGGATGAATGGATAAACGAAACATAATACATCCATACAATGGGTTAGTCAGCCATTAAAAAAAAATGAAGTACTAATACATGCGACAATGTGGATGAACCTTGTGAAAGCTGTCAGAATCAAAACAGACTCACTTGCGTTAAAAACTCCGATAACGGAGCCAGGGAAGGCCATGAAGGGAGGGTTCTCATGCACAAATGCCTGATAACAAGAATTATCACAAAAGACTCTTCAAAAACCACAACCTTGCATAAAGGCCATTGCAACCTCATATCAAACAAAAAACTTCAGCAAGGACATCAGCCCAGCAACTGCCTGTCCAATCTCAGACTGGTGCCACCCTTGTTATTGATCCTTGTAGCCAAGGATAATTATCCCTAAAAAATTATGTAATCCTCTTCATTTTTCCTATAAAAACTTTTGTCTTCCTTTACTGCCCTGGTTTACTATGGCACATAGTTTCACAGTTTACTATGGCACATGTATTCCTACTGCAACACCCATTACTAAATACCATCTTCTTTGAGAGTCTCCCTCTGTTATTTAGATTAACAATCTGAAATACATTACACTAAGTAAAAAAACCCAAACGCAAACAATCACGTGTTGTATGATTACATTTATATGAAATGTCTACAGCAGGAAAATCTATAGAGACACAAAGTAGACAGGCAGTTGCCTAGGGATGGGGGAAAATGGGAGTGACTGCTAATGAGTTTCCTATTTGGGATGATAAAAACATTCTAAAATTGATTATGATGATGATTGCACAACTAAGAATTATATATCTCAATAAAGCTGTAACTTTAAAAAAAAGAATTCATTCTAAAGAAGGCTACAGGCCGGGCGTGGTGGGTCACACCTGTAATCCCAGCACTTTGGGAAACTGAGTGGGCCGATCACCTGAGCTCAGGAGTTCGAGACCAGCCTGGCCAACATGGTGAAACCCCGTCTCCACTAAAAATACAAAAATTAGCCAGGCATGGTGTCACACACCTGTAATCCCAGCTACATGGCAGGCTGAGGCAAGAGAATCGCTTGAACCCAGGAGGCAGAGGGTGCAGTGAGCTGAGATCGCGTCACTGCACTCCACTCTAAGCGACAGAGCGAGACTCCACCTCAAAAAGAAAAGGTGGCTATAAAGTAGCAGACAGAATATGATTCTATTTTTGCCAAGAAATATATATACACATATATAAATGTATATTAATGTTTGCATTTAGAAAAAAATTCTAGAAGAGTATAGACTAAACTATTACACTAGTTTGCTCTGGATGGTAGAATTACAGGGGCATGAATATTTTCCCAAGAGGAAAAAAGATTCTGTGACCCTTTTGCTATCAAGCCTCTCTCACTCATGAAATGAGGTCACTGGTCTGATAAAATCAAGTCATTCTTTCTGGCCCTTCTTAAAAATTAGGTAGTAATGATTATTCTAGTCACTAAAAACTCCCCAAATGAATGTCGCTCTCAGAAGTGACAAGGGAGTTCCAGAGCACAAACTGTTTAACCAAAAAGTTTCCAGGGCAGGACAAATATTATCACACAGAAAAAGGAGTATGGTTTAAAAAGCTGAGGACAGCACAATCTGGCATATACTCTCAAGCACAACTCCAAACCCAGGAGGGCCTTTATCCTCTTTTAGTCAAACATGAAAATAACACTAACTAGCTTTTTGAAAGCCATGCCCACAAGAAGCGCAGTCTTTTGTAGGCAGTGGCATTAAAAGTGACAGAGATGCTGGGAAAGGTATCAGAATGTCAGAAAGCACCCAGAAAGCTTTCAGGTATGGAGTTTAGCCAAAATAATGAGCTCCAAAACCTAGAGGGAGAAAAAATCATGTAAAATTTCAGAGTAAGGAGGGAAATAATCTCTTCAAATCTTTTGTATGACACCCCTCCAAAAAAATTAATTTTGAAACATGGGGATTTCAGAACAAGTAAAACATTTAAATTTTATGTTTATACTAACCAGTCATAAATCTGTTTTTTGCTTTATTATTAAAGTGATCATATACATTGCAAAAATTTAAATACATAAAATTATAGAAAGTAGTGCATTAATGACAATCAATTCTGGTCTTAAATTCATGAAGCAACAGAGAATTTAAACTGTTGTTTTACCTTTAACCTAGTCCTCCATTCCAGTCACACACAGCCCAGTTCTACCAGCAACTGCTCACCATCCAGCTAGGAGCATTATTAACAGTTTGTTTACACCCTTTCAGATAATGTAATTATTTTTAGAATTTATGCAGCTGCAGAATTTTTGTCTAAAACCATATGCATTTAATAAAAAGAGTAAGGACTCTGGGCTGCCCAGGCCTACCAAAAATGAGTACTTAATAAATGTAAATAAGTAATGTTAGTCAGTCTGGACCTGACTAGCCCTTGGTAAGTGTTTTAACCTCTCCGGACTACACATATGTAAAATATGTTAACATACGTACATAAAATACTTATGCATTAATATATATGTACATAGAAAAAAATCTAGAAAGGGTGCAGATTAAACCATAAGGCTGGTTTTTCTCTGGATAGGAGCAGTATAGGGGCAAGGTGCTGTGCTAATAAATTAAAAGCATGGAGATGAAGGCACTTAACACATAGTATACTTCAACATGGAAAATACACAGACACACTCCTGCTTACATGGAGCCCTGACATTTTTCACAATAGGAAAGAAGACTGAGTGTCCTCTCTCCTTCAGAATTTTCTTTTGCTGCTTTTTGATCTGGTGGTTGTTACATGTATGTGTTCCTCCTATCCTAACTGACATCCAAGAAATAGAAAGAGGCCGGGCGTGGTGGCTCGTGCCTGTAATCCCAGCTCTTTGGGAGGCTGAAGCAGGAGGACTGCTTGAGCTCAGGAGTTTGAGACCAGCCTGGGCAACATGGCCAAACCCCATCTCTACAAAAAAAGGAAATTAGCCGGGCATGGTGGTATATGCCTGTAGTCCCAGCTACTTGGGAAGCTGAGCTGGGAGGATGTCTTGAGCTCTCAAGGCAGAGGTTGCAGTGAGCCGAGATCATACCACTACACTCCAGCCTGGGCAACGGAGTGAGACCCTGCTTCAAAATAAATAAATAAATATATAGATATAGATATATCTCTATAATAATGTATCTACTCACTCTTGTAGATATTAGATCCCAGCTTCTTCTCATTAGTTAGAGTAAGAATAAAGCAGAAAGGTTTGAGAATTGAAAACAGAACCTTGCTGCTTCTGACATCATGACCTTGAGAATCTCAAACGCTTAGCTAAAGTAAAATATACATACATTTTGAAAGATAAAAGATTAAAATAAGTTTGATGGAGACTATTAAAATATAGTATTGTTTAGGTTATGAAGACATACTTAGCATAGTTTCATAATTTAAATAAAATCAGGTCTTAAGAGGGTGCTACAAAACAAGTTCCCACATCATCTTACTTCACCTAGCCCATCTCAGCACACAACACACTCTTGAATATTAAAACATCTAGCAAATGCTACATCTCTGGATAAAATGCATTACCCAAATTTCTAACAGGGCAGGGAAATGGAATGGAACTTCCAATGTCAAATTTTAGTATGCCCCCACTAAAAAAATCTATGAGCTCTGAATTTTGTTAATAAAGACAATTAAAACCCATTTATGCCTGAGGTTGCAATTTTTTTAATTTTTGCATGTGTGAAAAATCAGACCTTGGCGATGAGGCTTGAGCAGTAGGATATAAATAACTCCCACATGCTTAGCGTTCCAATAATGGAACACTAGGCATAAATAGGCTAAGTTGATATCCTTAGAAAAGTTTAATCATAAAACTAAAACTATTTCTCTGGGCCAGGCATGGTGGTTCATGCTTGTAATCCCAGCACTTTGGGAGGCCAAGGCAGGAGGACCACTTGAGCCCAGGAGTTTGAGACCAGCCTGGGAAACATAATGGGAGCCTGTCTCTACAAAAAAATTTTTAAATAGCCAGGCGTGATAGCAAGCACCTGCAGTCCCAGCAACTCAGGAAACTGAGACAGGAGAACCACTTGAACCCAGGAGGTCAAGGCTGCATGATGGCACCAGTGCACTCGAGCCTGGGTGACAGAGCATGGCTCTGTCTCTAAAAAAACAATAAAATAAAAATTATTCTGGCTGATTAAATATTACTAAATTTTTTTAACATTCCACTAAATCAATGATAAATTTAAACCTGTTACATACACTACAGGTAAATTTTCTCATTTTAACTCATGAAATGATTGACATTTAACAATATTTATATCATAACCACCCACAGTGGCTAAAAGTTCACTACCTATATAACAATCCAATTAGAGGTTAAGAACAAAGTTTCTGGACCCGGACTGTCTAGGTTCAAATCACACTCTGCCATTAAACAACTGTGAAACCTTAGGCAAGTTATAATCTCTCTGGACTCAGTTTCATCTCTAAAATGGAAGTAACAGTACTTATCTTACATGTTGTTTGGAGGATTCAATGACTTAATATATATGAAATGGTTTGAACAACACTTGGCATATAATAAGCACTATACAAGTGTTAGATGCTGCATTATTTGGTTCAAAATTTTTAACAAAGACAAGCTAACACCACCTCATGCTTTAAAAAGAATGCTCATTCAAGAGACTGTTTATTGAAGATATTATTTATAATCAAAAACTTTCTACTTTTACAAAAACTAGAATTGCATTAAAATATACAACGCACAATCTCACATACCTGTTTGGAATACAAGTTCTTTCCCTCCTACACCTGCTGCCTCTAGGTTAATGAATGCACGAATCAAGCTAGCCCAGGGGTGCTGAGTAATGAAACCATGACTGGCCTTAAAGAGAAGGAAAGAAAACAAATATTTGTTAAACAATCTTAAATTATCAGTCTTGATTTTGCTTAAACACAGAGAGACTACTTTGATGAGGTAAGGAATATGAAAACAAAATAATCGCTCTTCAAAGGCAGTATCCAAAGACATCTTCTGCTTCTTTTCCTATGCATAATGGCCATGCACATCAGGTTCGGAAAGTCACCTATCACAGAAGGCAGCCTGGTGACCATCAGCGGTGCCAAACAACATCCCTGGTAAGTACAAGGCTGTGCAAAAGAAAAGGCAAAGAGGGCCAGGCACGGTGGCTCACACCTGTAATCCCAAAACTTTGGGAGGCCATGGTGGGAAGATCACCCGAGCTCAGGAGTTCGAGACCAGCCTGGGCAACATAGCGAGACTCCCTCTTTTTTTGTTTGCTCATTTTTGAAACAGAGCCTGTGGCCCAGGCTGGAGTGCAATGGCTCGATCTCGGATCACCGCAATCTCCACGTTCCAGGTTCAAACGATTCTCCTGCCTCAACCTCCCGAATAGCTGGGATTACAGGCACCCACCACCACGCCTGGCTAATTTTTGTAATTTTAGTAGAGACGGGGTTTCACCATGTTGGCCAGGCTGGTCTCAAACTCCTGACCTCGTGATCTGCCTGCCTCGGCCTCCCAAAGTGCTGGGATTATAGGCATGAGCCAGCGTGCCTGGCCCCCTTCTCTTTTTAAAAAGAAAGAAAAAAAAGAGAACAGGAGAAGAGACGATCCATATGGCTGGGCATTTATTTGTGCCTGTCTCAAAACATCTCTGAAACTTCAATGTCAAAGAAAACCTGAGGAGAGTAATTATGCCAGCGAGAGCCCTTCTCTCAATCAAATCCTGCCACAATAATCTGCTAAGTGGAGTTTTCCAAATATTAAACATCTCTACATAAGTGGTTGTGAATTTGTTAAAGTACTGCTCATAAAGTATTTTTCTGCATATTATTTTATACTACCCACAGGAGTCATAAAAAATGCATTTACTATTTAGTAAATAATATTTAGCTATTATTATTAATCTCATCCTTATTCAAGCCTGATATTTAAAACAGTAAAATCTCACTTGCAAGACATTTTCCTCAGCACCATTAAAGAGAAATATGACAGCATGATGCAAGGCTTCTGAAGATGTTGACAAGACGCGAAGGACTTCCAGCATCACTGAGCAGCTAACTGCATCATCACTGGCACCTTCAAATCAGAAAAACAAATTTGCTGCTCAGATTTTAAAATGTTTACAATATGACCCATTAGGACTAGGAATGGAGCTTTCTCCTCAGAGAAGCATCACAATAGCTGCATGACCAGAAGCATAGCTCTGTCATCATCAGGTGACAATCACACCCACCAGCAGTAAGTTCCATGAAGGGATCTTTGTCTGGTTTGCTCACTGACTTACTCTCAATGCCTACTACCATGCCTGACCCACCAGAGTCACTCAATTAGTGTCTGCTAAATGAAGTAACCTGAGGGGACCTAAAGTCATACTGGAAACTGGTATTCTCAGCAAACCAAGGCAATCTGTTCTATTCTTTACCCGTATTCCACATCCTCTGTAATAGTCTCACTTCTGGTGCTCACAGCTTCCTGCATCATCTCCCACTGCACCCACTCCTTTCTTGCTTGTTTTCCTGCCAAAATCATAAAAGCTGCACAGAGAGGTCACTTTGGATGGTGTAACATTCCTTTAAGGCTTCTCCAAGGGGATTATGTGATGGAAAACTAAAAAGAAGATACCTAATCTAGTAAGTCACAGGAAAGGAGACTAATGACCTAAGTAGTATCCTAGGTCCCAGAACACACACTCAGTTGAATCTCTGAACCTCTTCTTGATTCAGAAATTTTGTATGTTAATTAAAAGTAACTATAAAGATGACTTAACTGTCTTGCTTTTTTAAAGCATTGTAAGAGACAATTAAAGGAATTGATTGGATATTTGATGATACCAAGGAATTACTGTTAGGTTTTTTTAGGTGAGGCAATTGGTGGTATCAAAAAGGGCCCTTATCTGCCAGCAACACAGAGTGAAATACTTTTAGAGAGGAACTGATATAGCTAAGATCTGCTTCAAAATAATCAAGAAGTTGGGAGGGTAGTGGTAGGAAAGAAACAAGATCAGACTGCTGAAGCTGGGAGATAAGTACACTGGGGTTCATTAAACAATTCTGCTTTTGAATATATTTGAAACTTTCCATATCAGAAAACTTAAAGAGTAATCAAAGTAAATAAGCACTAACGTAACTCAGGCAGTAACATTTCTGGGTTTACACATTTGAAGCAGGGTGCCAAAGAGTTTGGCGTGGATTTGAGAGCAAGAAAGATTTGGAAGTAAATTTGAGCTCTGTCACTTTACTCCACTATTTCCTGGTTGAAAGAGCAAGCTAATGATACCTACCTCACAGGTTTAAGAGTCACACAAGATAATGCCCAGTGCCTAGCACCTGGTAGGTATTCAATGTTCATTTTTCCCTCTCTTTGCAAATCTGAGGAAGGCTCTGTAGCTAGCTAAAATTAAAATGCTTGTTTGGGCTCTGTTAAATTCCAGACCCCATTCCTACTTAAGAAGAAATTACCTATTAACCATACTTGTCTTGGTGGTGATTACTGGTTTGTATTTCAATCGAAGTGAAACAAAGTAATAATCATTTAATTACTATCAAATAGAAAATGCTGCTATTAGCAAAATGTGTCACCTTCCAAAAACCTAATGAAATAAACTCTCTTTTTAATTTGACACTGTGAGTTACTTTAAAATAGAGAGCAAACAATAAAATGTTTCTTTATTCAAAAAGAGAGAAAGGGAAATTGAAAGGTATCTATACAGGGTTGATTAAAAAGTTAAACTGTCCATTCAGCTTCCCTTATTTTAATGGTTCTGGTGCGTTAAAAGAGAACTACAGAAGAGTCAAATATCTTTAAGAAAGGGAAGGAAAGTTAAGAGGACAGTATCTATAAGGGCTAGGTGGTTAGCTGACATCCCTTTCCATTTAGAATTAACCTTGAAATTGAAGCCACCCCCAAAATAACTCAATGCCTCTTCTACCAACGACCTGGAACCACACAGCAAACTCAAGAAGATAATTAAGGCTTTTCTGTGGATAACATTACTCCTAATTGGTATCAATTCCTGAGTCCTAGATACACAGATGAGAACTTAAAAAGAAAAAAAGAAAAAAGAAGTGCTTCAATTAGGCCATCCACTAAAAGGATTTAGGTGATAGTCTATTTCAGGGGTGTCCAATCTTTTGGCTTCCATGGGCCACATTAAGAGAAGAACTGTCTTGGGCCACATATAAAAGACACTAACACTAACAATCACTGATGAGCTAAAAAATAAAATAAAAATTGAAAAAAAAATCTCACGTTTTGAGAAAGTTTATGAATTTGTATTGGGCCACATTCAAAGCTACCCAGGACTGCAGGTTGGACAAGCTTAATCTATTTGATGAATGTGTGAAACACTATTTTTAACAATTTATTATTGACAGAAATTGCCTTGAGATTGTTGCTAAGGGTATTCCTATAAAATTTTAGTTAAAAGTAGGTTCTAGGGCCAGGCGCAGTGGCTCACACCTGTAATCCCAGCACTTTGGGAGGCCAAGGCAGGCAGATCACGAGGTCAGGAGATTGAGACCATCCTGGCTAACACAGTGAAACCCCATCTCTACTAACAAAAAAATAGCGAGGCTGAGGCAGGAGAATGGCATGAACCCGGGAGGCGGAGGTTGCAGTGAGCAGAGATAGCGCCACTGCAGTCTGGCGTGGGCGAGAGCGAGACTCCGTCTCAAAAAAAAAAAAAATTCGCAAGGCATGGTGGTGGGCGCCTATAGTCCCAGCTACTCGGGAGGCTGAGGCAAGAGAATGGCGTGAACCCGGGAGGCAGAGCTTGCAGTGAGCCGAGATCGCGCCACTGCACTCTAGCCTGGGCGACAGAGTGAGACTCCGCCTCATAAATAAATGAATAAGTGAATGAATGAATGAATGTACGTTCTAGGCCAGGCACAGTGGTTCCCACCTGTAATCCCAGCACTTTGGGAGGATGAGGTAGAATAATCACTTAAGGAGTTCAAGACCAGCCTGGGCAACAAAGTGAGAACCTGTCTCTATTATTTAAAACATAATAATAAAAAGTGGGTTCTAATGGCTCACAAAAATGCTGGCCTTTAATTATTAGACTCCACATATACAATCTGTAACATTTGGCACTATGTTTGTAAAGAGTAACTGAATATGCACTCCAAAATATGTCACTTTGACATACGGATTATTTTGAGCTGAAGGCAACTGAGAAGCAGGTACTATACAAAAAAGCTCTCTGCCCTCCCCTTGTTTGCCTAAAAGCAGGGTATACATTTACCAAGGTGTCCCCACTTCCCCTTTCCACCAGGAAGTACAAAGGTTGATCAAGAAAGACAACTTTAAACTTTTGGTGGCCTGGCAACAGCACAAAAGGAATCTATATAACACTTTACTAACTAACCTTTCTCTACCATTTATTTGCCTTCCTTCAATTTGCCACCCCTCGAGACTCAAGGTCCTTTTCCTTTGTCACTTCTCTAAAAATGTATTGTTTGGTTGAAGATGCTACATAAGCCAGATTTCTAAGCCACCTCTTTGAGATGTACTCATTTTCCTTGAGTATCTCCCATGTACATGAAGTGCATGTGTTAATAAACTTCTATTTGGTTTTTCTCTTTTTAACCTGTCTTTTGTTACAGGGGTCCACTCAGCTAAGAACTATGAAGGGTAGAGGGGAAACTTTTTTCTTTTGTCCCTACATTTGCTGCTAATTCTTGTATATACAGCCTTCTTATATAATGTTCTTAAGCAACCATGGTGTTTATTTGCCGCTTCCCAGAATTTAAGCATCATAATAGTGGGCAAAGAGTGACATTTATTACTGCTTTGAAATGGACATAAAAAAACCACTGGTGGCCGGGCACAGTGGCTCACACCTATAATCTCAGAAATTTGGGAGACTGAGGTAGGCGGATCACTTGAGGTCAGGAGTTCAAGACCAGCCTGGCCAACATGGTGAAACCCTGTCGCTGCCAAAAATACAAAAAAAATCAGCCGAGTGTGGTGGCACAGTAGGAGAATCGCTTAAACCCGGGAGGCAGAGGATGCAGTGAGCCAAGATTGTGCCACTGCATGCCAGCCTGGTGACAGAGTGAGACTTGGCCCCCCAGCCAAAAAAAAAAAAAAAAAAACACTAAACCACTGGTTACCCCAGCAGCACACGAAGGTACTTCTGGCTTATTTAACAAACGTGTGTATACTGATTTTTGAAAATGCAAGTTACATTCTAAACGCAATTGTCAAGCTTTCTAAATGAAGATATTCTAATATGAATCATTTTATCAAGCAAATAAATTTTACTTACATTTTGTATAACTCTAGACGTTCAAATTTGGCCTGCTATAAGTTCGAGTAATCCAGAAGTGTTAATATTACATAAGAGTTAATAAAAACTTTTAAAAATCACTTTCCATGCCAGGTACTATTTTAGCGTTTTACTTATTTTTAATCCTCCAAGCAACACTATTAGGAAAGTACTATTATTTTCTCCATTACACAGATGAGAAACTAAGAAGTTAAGCAATTTGCAAAAGGGAGTATTAATTACACCCTAATATTCTTTTTCCTTTCAAATGTAGCTGAAAGAACTGACTGGCCAGGAAATCCAGCATCTTATCCTAGTTTTGTCTCTGATCAGCGATGACCAGCTAGCTAAATGTACTCCTGTATCAAATGAGGGGTTCAGCCAGATGCCATCTCAGGTCTTGTCTACCACTAAAATGCTATGCCATTGTAAATGCTATTTTCCATCCCTATTTACAATCCCTTTAACCACTGAATACAATTTTCTGAAAAATAAATATTTTAATAAATGGAAGTTCAATTTAGGGGATTCCCATTCATTTGACAAATATATACTGCATCAGGCACTGTCCTAAATGCAAGTATTCTATTTTGCCAAATGATTTTCAGAGAAAGATTTACACATTAATTAGGTACTTTAACAGTATGGCACCCTCAGTGGAGCAAAATTCTCACTTTATAGGTCAACAGAATCTGCTAGAAGAGATATCCGCCAACCCGCAGCCCAGGACAGCTTTGAATGCAGCCCAATACAAATTTGTAAACTTTCTTAAAACATGAGTTTTTTTTTTTAAGCTCATCAGCCATCATTAGTGTATATTATGTGTGGCCCATGACAATTCTTCTTCTTCCAATGTGGCCCAGGGCAGCCAAAAGATTGGACACCCCTGCTCTAAAACCATGCAGTAACCCTTGAAGGCAGGGACTGTCCTTATGTGGTATCCCCAAAGCCTAGTATAACACCCAGCTGAGTAAAACACTTTCTAAGTGTCAGAACCTAACTCCAGGACACTAGGACACACACACTGTCTGGTAACATTGAGAAAGCTGCTTCAGTCTACCAGAAACATTCCAAGTCTTATCACTGGGCTGCTGGCATTAACACCAAAAAATAATATTAATAAAGCACTTAAGAGAAGACAGAATGGTTAGATCCTAAACTAAATGATACTATCCTAATTATCCTGCTTTCCATCACAAAGAAAAAAGGTTTGCCCAAGAAAATGGTCCCCACAATTGCCCAAGTAGCTTGGGGTTATGTTAATAAACTTTCTGGGCTGTGACAAGTTCCAAATGACTAAAAAACAGGTACATACCTGGTGAGTTTGCTACTGAGTCAAAATGACAATTAGCCAAGACAGCATGCTGGGCTCCATCTCTGGGTTCCAGCTTTACCACAACATTGGTGATGTTGTCATAATAGCTTGTAAAACCTCCCAAGAAATCAATGCTAAAAGAGCCTGTGGGCCGTTGTACATCTACTGAAATCTTATGAAGGCTGTTGCTTTGCACTTCAATCAGTTTAATCTGTTCCAAAAGGTAGTGCACGGTCAGAATTTCATTTTCTGGACTTCCTGTAGTCCTGGGGCCAATGGAGGTTATGTGTTCAAGATAATCCCTGGAAGTAACCAAAAGAATAACAAAGGTTTGTAGTTAAAATTGACACTTAGCGTGGGTAACTTTTCCACTACACACCCCTTCCTCCCCAAAAAAGCTTAGTTCTTTGCCTTATATAAAAGGGACCGCCTTTCATTATTTCAGACACCAAGTGAACATCACTTATAAAGTTCCATATTTTTATTGTTGCCTCCCACGAGTTGACCCCTTCAGTTTTCTCCACCATCCCACTCCCAACTTCTCCCCATATCAAACCAATACAAGGACTAGGGATGTATTCAAAACGTGTGACCACTGGCCAGGCACGGTGGCTCACGCCTGTAATCCCAGGACTTTCGGAGGCTGAGGTGGGTGGATTGCTTGAGCTCAGGAGTTTGAGACCAGCCTGGGCAACATGGTGAAACCCCATCTCTTCTAAAACTACAAAAACTAGCCAGATGTAGACTACTATCCGCCTGTAGTCCCAGCTACTCAAGAGGCTGAGGTGGGAGGACTGCTTGAACCTGGGAGGTGGAGGCTACAGACCCGAGATGGAGCCACTGCACTCCAGCCTGGGCGACAGAGCCAGGCCCTGTCTCAGAAAACAAACAAAAAAAGCTAAAGACTAAGCAGGATAGAATATAACTTCACTGTGCATACTCCTGAACGTTACAGATTCTGGGTTAATGACTTTAAGTAGCAGAAACCAATGAGCAAAAATAATCAAGTCAAGAGGTTAAATAAGGCGGGCGGGGGAAACTTTTGATGGACCTAGCCCTCCTAGCATACACCCAAGGTCTAATAACTTCAATTCAGGCCAAAACCAACTGTACCCCTAATGAAAACAAAACTGTTTTTGTCTTTTCACTGCATTCCAAGTGGGGAAAGCTGGAAGTGGGGGTGGGAGACGTTTCAGAAAGTCCTTAATAAGCTTGCAACACTTTGCATTCTAGCAAAAACTTTTTAGAACACAGTAGCTGTTGAAAACTTGACGCCAGCTTAACACTTCATGAGCTTTGACACACCTGGGTTACAATATCTTTGACTTAATCACCTTTCCTAGCATTCTTAAAGGTCTTAAAAAAAAAAAAAAAAGTCAAACCTTACACAGTCACTAATCCAAGGGGCCTAAAGATAAACTGCAGGGATCTGAGAATTTATCAGACTGCATACCAAATTTTGACTGGGCGGTGTTCCAGAAAGAGTTTCTATAGCCTTCAGATGTGGGGGCTGTAACCCTCAGAAAGTTAGAACAGTGCACTAGCGCCTTCCAAAACTCCCCGCCCCCAAAGCGAATTTATACAACAGTCTAGGTACACAAATTTCCATCTGGAAAGCAGAAGGGCTAAGCAAGGTAAAAAGGGGAAGCTGTTCCAGAATATGGGGAGACGACTCACAACCAACCATCTGCACGAAGGGCAGACAGTGGAAAGCAGGTTCAATCTACCTGGCAACCCCAATCTGCACCACGAGCTTAACCGGGGACAGGCAAGCCCCAAGTCCCGGCAATTCAGACCCCAGAAGAAGGACAAGCAAGGTCACCCCACCCCACGTGCAGCCTGGGAGGGGTCAGCGAGTCCCAGCGGTCCGGCAGGGGCGGGTGCACACAGGTGCGGTGCCCCGGAGCCTGCGCAGGAGCCGCAAACGGACGCGCGGGCCGTGCCAGGAGGGAGCGGCCGGTACCTGGCTTGGAGCGCGTCGAACTCCCCGCGGTGTCCAGCGGCCCCGCGTAGCACGAGCTGCTGCAGCGAGAGCTGCACCAGCGTCCGCAGCGCGATCAGGTAGAGCGCGAGCCCCAGCGCGGCGCGCACCTCAGACAGCCCGGTCCCCGCGCCCCTGCTCGCGCCGCCGCTACCCCCGGGGCTCCTCTTCCGCGTCCTCCCGCCGCCGCTGCACCCATCCACCAGAGGCTCCTGCGCTCGGGCCTCCCTCTCCGGCGGTGGCGCGGCCGCCGCTCCCTCTCGACGCTCTACTCCGACGCGGTGCCGCCTCACAGCAGCCGACTCAGAACCCCACTCCATGGCCACGAGCCTCAGCTGCCAGCCCAACCGCCCCAACCCGCGACAGCCCCGGCCGCCGCCGACGCCGCCGTCGCTGCCGCAGCGCCTCCTAGTGAGCGGACGGAAACTGCAGAGGGCCAAACTTCTTCTGATTGGCCCGTCCCGCCGCGCCAAGACCCAGCTTCTTTGGCAGTTCTCGGGTGCACACAGCTGCAGGGCCGACCCAGCAGCGGGTGGTGGATATGCCGTCTCCCGCAGGGCTTTTCCAGCCCTCTGTAGGACGGAGATTGCCAAATGTAAAGACACCTAAAAACCCAAAACGAGAAAAATGAGAGATCGCTTTTGAAAGAACACACAAGGCTCTTACAGTGCATCAGGCAGATGAAAAAAGCAATGACCTGGCTTTCGTAAGGAAGGAATATTAGAACATCAGGCTCCAAAAAAGTGGGTTCCTGGCTCTTAAAATTAGAAATAAGATTACGCAGAGGAGGCCCGGCCTATTGCTTTCACATGCATAATCTAATCAGATCTTCATAACTCAGCAACTTAATCTGTGCTATTACTGTCTCCATTTAACAGATAAAGAAAAATAATGGCTATTATTTATTGAATACCTGCTATGAGCTAAGCGCTAGGTCAAGTCCTTTAATACATCATCTTATTTAATTATCTTTAACAATACTTAAAAGGAAATATCTTTGTTCCCATTTTATAACCTGAGAAACGTAGAGATAACAGATGAAGAATGTAAATCTAATTTCATGGGCTCCCAAAACAGCATTCTGTTCCACTACTACATTAGCACTCTGCAAGTGAAGGTTCAGAAAGGCCATTCTTCACTTGACGACTCTCTGGGGCGGTTAAGCAGCAGAGCCTTGGTTTCAGTGCAGATCCTAGTGATTATCTAGTCTTCTTCCAGCTTGCCGGTACCCATGAGCCTCTCTGCTCCAAGGTTTTTTGTCCCTAGCTTGGAGTTGCTACATTAGCATGAGCATTAACCTAGAGACCAACTGGGAGAGCACACTGCCGGATTTTGACTTAGCACATATGTCAGATTTCATACAATGCCCTATAGTCCTGCTCTTGCCCACCTCTCAGGCTCCTCTGACACCAGGATGCTTCTTATTTCCAGCTCTCCAGCCACACTGGCCTCTTTCAAAGACTTCCTGCACGCATCTTTCCTTCTACAATAGGATCTTCTCACATGCTGTTTGAATTACCTGGAGTGTTCTTCTCTCTCCTCATTGTCTTTTTAACTCCTAGTTATCCTTTAAATCTCAGATTAAGTGGTACTTCCTCAAGCAAGAATCTCCTAATTTAATTAAGCTTGCTTCCCCTATTTGTAGGATCTCACAGCACCATGTTTGCATGTGACTATTTCATAACTTCCTCATTAGACTGTAAGCCCCACGAAGGCAGGAATCAGGTCTGGTTTTACTCACCATTTTATTCCTTGCTCTTAACACAAAGCATGACACATAGTATGTAGTCAATAGATATTTCTTGAGTGAATGAAAAAATGAAAACATACCACTTTTGTGGCAGCAAGCATAATTTTAGCTCTACAAGATCCCTTTCAGTCTGTAAGCACTATGAGACTAAAGACAGTGTCTATCTTATTTAATCATCACTGTATCCATAGTGCTTAGCTCTGGATAAGAGCCTAGCCCATGGTCATAACTATATGTATGTATATATGTGTGTGTGTGTGTGTGTGTGTGTGTGTGTGTGTGTGTGTGTATGTCTGACAATATCCCATGGTACCATAATAGGGAAATGCCTGGCTGCCTGGCTGTTGGGGACGGGTAGATCTGAGTTCCTGGATCTGGTACCTTTAGTACACATGGCATTATTCAAGTTACAATCTCACAGAGTCCACGTGTATTTATCTGTGGTAATGCAGATGATACCTGCCTTAAGGGGCTTCAGTGAGGATTAGATAGATAGACAGATGATAGATGGATAGATAGATGTGTGTGTGTGTGTGTGTGTGTGTGTGTGTGTGTGTGTGTGTGTGTGAAAGATCCTCACATAAGATTCTCATTAAAAACTATTTTTCAGAATTTTCCTTCTCATGAAATCCTTTGTAGATTAGATTAAAAGCTACTTTCCTATCATGATAATCATAGAACTCTAGGTGGTAGGAGTTAAGTTACAGCTGAGTTCCTGAAAGGCAGTTTTTCTCTATACTTGTATAGTCTACGGTATTCACGTTTGAATATTTTTAGCTACTAGTTGTTGGATATCTACTTGTGTCAGATACTGATTAAGGTGGAGAAACAGAGAAGAACAAATCAATGTTTCTACCTTCAGAGAGCTTACATTCTAACAAAGAGACAATGAACGCGCGCGCGCATGTGTGTGTGTGTATAAAATGTCAGAGAGTTAAGTGCCATAAAGAAAAATAAAGCAGGGAAATTGAGACTGACAAAAGCTGCTGTTTTATTAGGGTGATCAGAGATGGTCTCACAGTCTCTCTGAGAAGATGACATTTGAGGTGACCTGAATGAAGTGAGGAACAGGGCCACATAAGCCTGGGGAGAGAATGTTCCAGCAGAGGAAAGTGAGCTGGGATGTTCAGAGGCAACGTCGAATAAGGCATGCACTAAAGCAGACTGAGCCAGGAGCCCTGGTAGATGTGAGGTGACAGAGGTGGGTAGGAGCCAGTGCAAGGAAGGCCTCCTGGCCCTGGTGAGGACTCTGGGGTGGTTTTGAGCAGTGAAAGGTCATGCTTTAGGTGATGTTATATAAGATCACTCAGTCTCCATCCCAGGCAGAGCAGCACAGTGACCACATCTAGAACATATAGGCTTATAAAACACTTTGATAATGTCTGGTCTTTGAAGTGTTCAAAGCCAGTTTGATCTATAATTTTATTTGTGTTAAAAGTAGACCACAGTGAATTGGAACACATGCTCTAGTTCTCACATATCAAATCCCTGATAAGGATGAGGAACAGATAAATGTGAAAGGTTGTGGCTGCCCCGTCTGGTGAGCTATTGATCATGGGGTTGAGTCAACTCATCTGACTTGGCAGGCAGTTATGCTTGTGTCTCCCTTTATGACAAAGTAAGAGCTAAACTGACTGACAGACATAGAGATGTCCCATGTCCCTTCTGTCTTGCCATCTTTTCAGTATTTCCTAGTAGTTTGGCCAAGGTAAGTGGAAGGACATATGAGCTGTCAGGATTCAGGTGAACTGCCAGTTTCTGTCTTCCCCACAGGTCATTCCATAGCCAATTTGCCGTAGAAGAAAACCATAGCCTGTGTACTTTCTTCCTTGGAAGAGAGGCTACCAGTGTATCTGGTGAAGTTCTCTGAGGCTCAGGCTAGCAGAAGGATGCCTTTTACATGATGTTACAGTGACATTCAAATCAGGTGAGGTACCAAGCCAAGAGATGAGAAGTGAGCCCAAACCAGTTGCAGAAAAAAGAAGCAGTTGTCAAAAGCTGACAGGCAGAGCAAGTCAAAACCAAGTGCAAGGATTCCAAACGTGGAAGAGTTTATGGGTAAATGTAGCTAGGTGCTGTTGCGGATAGCTTGGTTTTCTGTGCTCACTGAGGTGGTATGAGAGTGAACCAGCTTTGTTTAAAGGTTCAGGGTACACCATCAGTTTTTTTAGGTTTTTGTTTGTTTGTTTGTTTAGATCCCTTAAGGCTAAAGCTTGGGCGTCAGGGTGCTGTTGGACAATTGATCTTTCCAACTCTGAAGCTCTGAAATGGAACATTCAGGAACTGGTGACAATGGTCAGCTCCACGGATCACCTCCAACAAGCCAGGAAACCTGGGGGCTGACAGTGCTGGCAAGAAAGGGCATTCTAAAAGGCACATGAGCCAGATCTGTAAATCTTCAGAGCTTTTCTACCCCCATGAGCTTAACGGGCCTTGGAGCCTAGGGAGAGGGTAATTGCACTCTACTTTTAACCCCCCCTCAAATTCTGGGCTGGTCCCCTGTGTTTTCTACGTCCCTGTATCTAGGTAGGCACAGAGAAGTTAGAGAACAAGCCTGGCTGCATTGCTAGCTGAAGCCACTATGTCAGTTTACCTTTTTTCCATGGCCTAGTAGAAAAGAGATTCTCTGATTCTGGAATACTCTATATTCATCTTAAAAGCCTTTCTGAAACAAATGGGGTTGAGACGATTGGTTATTTTCTCTTTTTTTAGAGACAGGTTCTAACTATGTTGCCTAGGCTGGACTTGAACTCCTGACCTCAAGCAATACTGCTGCCTTAGCCTCCCAAGTAACTGGTACTATAGGTGTGCCACTGCACCTGGCCAATTGGTTCTTTAGGGGAAAAAAATCAAATTAGAACCTCATACCATATTACACACACATCCACACACACCCACAATATTCAAGTACAATTCAGAATCAAATATCAACAACTTTTTAACTAGTACAAAAATAAGATGAATATAATTAAATATTTATAATAATCAAGACTCAAAAGTACAAGGACTCTTTAATCAAAAGACAAGTGGAAGATATCATAAAGGGAAAAATCACATATTGGCTACACAAAATTAAAAACTTCTATACATCAAAAACAGTCACCAAAAAGATGAAAAGTCAAATGACAAATGGAGGACATGATTTTCAAAAAACGTTTTTCAAAAAGGGGATAATATGTGTTATATACATTATTCTTTCTCACTCTTTCTGTTCGTGTGTGTGTGTATATGCATGCGTGCACAAAAATCGGTAAGAAAAATATCAACGCCTCAATAGAAAAACATGTAAACCATTCACTTTTTGTAGCAAAGGAATGCATGTGAAAATGTGGACCATTTTTATCACATTGAAAAAGCATTTTTTCACTGGGCACAGTAGCTCAGCCTATAATCCCAGCACTTTGGGAGGCTGAGGCAGGCAGATAACTTGAGGCCAGGAATTCGAGAGCAGCCTGGGAAACATGGTAAAACCCCATCTCTACTAAAAATATTAGCTGAGTGTGGTGGCATGCACCTGTACTCAGGAGGCTGAGGTGGGAGGCAAGAAAGGGCATTCCAAAAGGCACATGGGCCAGGACTTGCAGTGAGCCAACATCACGCACTGCCCTCCAGCCTGGATTATAGAACGAGACTGTGTCTCCAAAAAAAAAGAAAAAAGCTATTTTTTAAAATTATAATATGCACATTTGGCAAACATTTTATTTCTAGGCACTTTTGTGTGATGCTGGAGGACTACATATTGAAAAGACCTTTCTGGAAAGCAATTATGGAAGATGTACCAGGAGCCTTAAAAGAATTCACAGGCAGGGTGCAGTAGCTCATGCCTATAACTCCAGCACTTCGGAAGGTCGAGGGGGGTGAATCACTTGAGTCCAGGAGTTTGAGACCAGCCTGGGCAACATAGCAAGACCCCATCTCTACAAAAAATACCAAAAAAATTAGCTGGGTGTGGTGGTGCATGTCTATACTCCCGTCTACTAGGGAGACTGAGGTGAGAGGATCGCTTCCAGGAGGTCAAGGCTGCCATAGCGCCACTGCACTCCAGCCTGGGCGACAGGGCAAAACCCTGTATCAAAAAAAAAAAAGAAGAAGAAGAAGAATTCATGGTTTTTGATGTAGTAATTTCATATGTAGACATCTATCAAAGGTGTGATTTCAAAAAATGCAAAAGGATACTCA
This sequence comes from Homo sapiens, assembly GCF_000001405.40. Taxonomy (NCBI): domain Eukaryota; kingdom Metazoa; phylum Chordata; class Mammalia; order Primates; family Hominidae; genus Homo; species Homo sapiens. The sequence continues at coordinate 5,838,637 of NC_000009.12, forward strand.
TCTGTAAAAATCAAATATATGGAAATGACTTAAGCATATAAAAATAAGAGTTAAATAAATTATAGTACATTCAGAGTTTGGAACGTCATATATTATTAAACACAACTTTACCAAAGTCTGTTTAATAACGTGAGGGAAATGCTCACATTATAAATATTAAGAGAAACAAAAAAAAAAGACACAAAATGGAAATAGATAAGAATATACTAGTGAATAGTAAATAAAAGAAAGGAAAGAACACTAAAGCAATAACAGTGGTTATCTCTGGGTGATTTTCCCCCTCTATTCATTTCTCTACTTTCCACCATTTCTGCCATGAGTTCAGTGTTCCCTTTAAGAGCCATGGGCCTGGCATCAGTCTCCAGCAACCCTGTGCCTAGGAAGGCACTTGTCTGTAGATCACCATCATTTTAAGCCTTAGGAAGGCAGTTTATAAATTGATTCCAACATGGATGTGATCCAGGAGGGGAATGCAATGTCAAAAAGCTGATCTCCAGCCTGTATTCCTCAAGCACATTTCTAGACTAAAAAGTTTAGGGTCAAGATTCAGTAATTAATCAATTGCTGAACCAATTAAAAAAAACTGAGAGAATTTTCACTTAATCATTGTTCTTTAAATTCAGTCTGTGACCTGGGAGAAGAATTGGTGCATATACTTTTTAATGGCTTTGGATTTTGAATTTACTTTTCCCTCCTTCATAGCACATTCCTCATACAATAGGAGAAGAACCCATGAACCCGGAAGTCTCTAGGGATTTATTTGAGGGTCACACACCCAGGGCTCTGTTTGACTTTCTCCACTGGGCTGCAGTGGCAGGTGAGTTAGGACACAGGAGGTGACTCAGCAGTTTGGGAATGAGAGTCACTGACTCATGTGAATTTGCTCCATGCTGAAACTCGATTGTTTTAGTGAACTAAAACATTAATGAGAGTTTACATTGCCAGAGCTCAGCACATCTAGGTGTGCGCACCTGGAGACCCCCAGCACTTCCTGAGCCCCCCTCTACGTAGCTATCTCCTCCTGCAGCCCCCTGAAGCCCTCTTGCAGGCTGTGTCCTGGAACGGTTTCACTTGGCTTTCGGGCTGCATGACCTTCTTCAGGTCTTTACTGGCCTAAAATAGCCTCTGCAGCTGCTGCTTTCCAAGATGCCCAAAGGAGAAAAGAGACAACAATGGATCTTGTAGGAAAATGGCAAATATCTCTCAAAGTGTGGTCTGAGGACCATGTAATATGAGAATCACATGAGGACTTGCTAAAAAAATCATCCTCCTGTGTCCTACCCACCTACTTGGTACATTAGCAATCCATAAGCAGAAAGTCTAGGCCGGGCACGGTGGCTCACGCCTGTAATCTCAGCACTTTGGGAGGCTGAGGTGGGCGAATCACTTGAGGTCAGGAGTTTGTGACCAACCTGGCCAACATGGTGAAACCCCGTCTCTACTAAAAATACAGAAATTAACCAGGCGTGGTGGCGCAGGCCTGTAATTCCAGCTACTCAAGAGGCTGAGGCAGGAGAATCACTCGAACCTGGGAAGCTGAGATTGCAGCGAGCTGTGATGACACCACTGCATTCCAGCCTGGGTGACAGAGTGAGACTTCGTCAAAAAAGAAAGAAAGAGAGAGAGAGAAGAGAGAACGGAAGGAAGGGAGGAAGGGAGGAAGGTTGGGAGGGAGGGAGAGTCTACTGCATCCAACTCTAGAGGTAGGATCCTGTAATCTGTGATTCCTACATAAGCTAAAATGGTAAATCATGCCATAGCCAAGGGTTCACATGTCCAAGAAGGATGTAGGCCAACTGTGATGATCCTGGGCCAGATCACCCCTCCTGCAGCTTTATGAATGTCAGGTCTGCACTGCCATCTTCTCCCTCCCTACCCATGCCCACTGCCCCTCCCCGGCCCCCAGGGCCAGAAAGACTGCATAGCACCTTGCCACACCACATTGGAAAATAGGGATGCAAGAGGCAGTACGATGCCGCAGTTCAGAGCATGGGTGCTGCGCTGAAAGCACTCCAGTATGTTCTTCTGTAACCTGCGGTGTATCCTCCAACGAATGACTTAATTTTGTTATGCCCGTTTCTTCATCTGAGAAGTGGGGTTAATAGGGTTGTCCTGAGGCCCTAGATCAGGAGACCTGTGCCAGCTGTTGCTATTATTCTGTGGTTGGAACCTTCATTTGCATGGCATTAAAACCTTCATTTGCATGGCATTACAGAGGCCAATCACTCCTCTGCTCTGTAGTTGGCTAGGTGGATGAAAGGCAATAGAAAATGCTTAGCCAAGTTCTTTCATAGCAACCTAATTTAAAGTTGATGAAAGGCAACTTGTCACATGAGCCTGAGGCGAACTTGATTTATATTTTACTTAAAGGGCAACTTTTTAATTGTTAAGTGTTACTGTTCTGCTCTCCCTACCCGTAGGAATGTAACATTCATACCCTTGCAGGTATGTACCTCTTTATTAGTTCCTTCTTGTGAAAGGCGGTGTAAAAAAACCTGTTATCCTTTCTCATCTCAAGTCTTTAGTTCCCCTTGGTACATTAGCAATCCATAAGCAGAAAGCCAGAAGTACCAAGAATAGGTTCTCTATTTTTAAAAAATTATAAAAACTTGTTCACAATATGATTCAGCTACAAAAAGGAATGAAGTACTGATACGTACTATAATGGGATGAGCCTTGAAAACATTGTGCTAAGTGGAAGACACCAGACACAGCAGGTCACATATTATCTGATTCCACTCATTTAAAATATCCAGAATAGGTAACTGCATAGAGGCAGAACACAGGTTGGTGGTTAGAACGGACAGGGCAGAGGCGAGAATGGAATCAACTGCTTAAAAGGTATGGGGTTTCCTTTCTGGGTGAAGAAAATGTTTTGGGGCCAGGTGTGGTGGCTCATACCTGTAATCCCAACACTTTGGGAGGCTGAGGCCAGTGGATCACTTGAGGTCAGGAGATCAAGACCAGCCTCGCCAACATAGTGAAACCTGTCTCCACTAAAACATGCAGCTGGGCATGGTGGCACGTGCCTGTAATCCCAGCTACTCAGGAGGCTGAGGCACAAGAATCACTTGAACCCGGGAGGCAGAGGCTGCAGTGAGCCAAGATTGCGCCAATGTGTGTCCGGAACTGGTTCCTTCAGGTGAGTTCTTGGTCTCGCTGACTTCAAGAATGAAGCTGTGGACCCTCGCGGTGAGTGTGACAGTTCTTAAAGATGGTGTGTCTGGAGTTTCTTCCTTGTGGTGGGTTTGTGGTCTCACTTGACTTCAGGAGTGAAACCACATATCTTCGCAGTGAGTGTTACAGCTCTTAAAGGTGGCGCATCCGGAGTTGTTTTTTCCTCCTGGTGGGTTCATGGTCTTGCTGACTTCAGGAGTAAAGCTGCAGACACAGACCTTCACAGTGAGCGTTACAGCATATAAAGGTAGTGCGGACCCAAAGAGTGAGCAGCAGCAAGATTTATTGTGAAAACAGAAAGAACAAAGCCTCCACACAGTGCAAGGGGACTGGAGCAGGTTGCAGCTGCTGGCTGGGGTGGCCAGCTTTTATTCCCTTACTTGGCCCCGCCCACATCCTGCTGATTGGTCCATTTTACAGAGTGCTGATTGGTCCGTTTTTACAGAGTGATGATTGGTGCATTTACAAATCTTTAGCTAGACACAGAGCACTGGTTGGTGTGTTTACAATCCTTTAGCTAGACAGAGAAGTTCTCCAAGTCCCCACCAGACCCAGAAGCCCAACCGGCTTCACCTCTCAACTGCACTCCAGCCTGGGTGACAGGCAGAACGAGACTGTCTCAAAAAAAAAAAAAAAAGAAAGAAAAGAAAAAAGAAAAAAAGAAAATGTTTTGGAACTAGATAGCTGTGGTTTGCACAACATTATAAAGTACTAAATGCCACAAAGTTGTTCACTTTTAAAACAATTTTATATTATGTAAATTTCACCTCAATCAGAAACAAACTTATTAATTGTATATTATTCACAGCTGACTGTAGCAAGTAGACTATAAAAAGAAGTCTTAATTCCAGAGACAAATGCCTCCCCAAGTTCACTTTCAGTAAGCCATTTGCTACTCTGTTGCTGTTATAAATTGTGATGATAATAAGTGCCTTGGATTTCAGTAGCCTCTTACTTCCAAGCAATTCAAAGTACTAAATCAGGATTTCTGATCTCCGTTTTTTAAAGAAAATCAATAAACAGATCTGTAGCAGAGATGCTGATTCTTTAGAAAAGGCTAAGGAAATCGCTTAATTCATAGCCTAAAGTTTTAAAAGCCTTTTCCCTCTCAGATTCCTTCATGATTCTAATATCCTAGCCAGAGATAAGGCTAATCTTTAAGAAGCTCCACAAAGTTGTGAGCCCAAATTAAGAGATTCAGATACAAAAAGCCAAGTGACAAACAGACTTGTTATTCAAAAGTGCTATTATGTCAGCAAGGTAATTGGGACTTATTTAGGGAACAGAAAAGAGCATTTACCAACCATTTCCTGACATGGGCAGATAAGGTGATAGAATAAAACAGGTCAGGTTAAGGTTAGAAGGAGTGGTAAGGACTGGCGTGAACTAGAACCCTGGCTCCACCTAAATCAGTAACAGTAACCATAGCTCTGCGGAATTTGGGGCTCAGCACAGCCAAATCTGCTATTTTTTCAAGAAATGACAGAAACTCAGATATTTATGTGAAACCTTCTGCTCTGTTAATGTTGGAAACAAATTTAAAAAGAGAAGAACATTTTGTGTGCCAAAGAAAATAGGTGTGTAAACTGGATTCCACCCACCTGCTGCCAGTTTGAAGCCTCTGAGCCCTCACCTTTAAGCCCTCAAGGACATACTTGATTAAAGATAAAATATTTCCCTGAGTGGGGATCAGGTTATTCATGAGATTCTTATCTCCAGATTTGGGGGAAAGTTTATAGTGCTAGAATGTATCAGATGTAGCTAGCCAGTCAAGTCTCTTTCTTCTCTCCTTCTTAGTTGAGAGGTCAGTCTTGTCAAATGCCCCCCTCCCCGCTTCTAGCCACTGCTTTGTTTATTTTGCAGGAACAGTGAATAAGTAGCAGAACGCTTTCTGAAGTTTTTGCTGATGCAGAGCCGAAGATCTCTGCTACAACAAATGTTCTGAAATGGAGTCTTCTCTCTCATCCCCATCCCCTACCACGGACAGTGTTGCACACACCGGGGTTGTAAAACTCAAAGGCAGAGTTACAGCCCTCCTGGATTTTAGACCAAGCCTGGGGATATGCAGCTGTATTTACTCTTCTTGTGTGTCCTGGGGGGAGGAAGGATGGGAAGAGCAGTGCATCCTGGAACCGTGGCTATGGAAAATAACGAGCACTCCTCCACCCCCTGGCCAATACCGGCACAGACTTAATTTGAGGGGTAATGTTCTGTGAAGTATGATGGCATTTCCGGGAGAAGAATCTCAGTCAGACCTACAATCAAACATACATTTCCTTACCAGGGGTAAGGAAAAAAATCTTTCCTCTTAAAATTAGACACCCTGTCCTGGAAAACACTAACATCCTACATCCTGAGACTTCCTTCCTGCAGCCTTCCAGCTCTTTCTGCCCAGACTCAGATGTAAGTGGCCAAGTAGCCACAGGCTGCCTAGCAGAGAAGATTTTGTGTTTTTTTGTTTGTTTGTTCGTTTGTTTCAAGACAGAGTCTTGCTCTGTCACCCCAGACTATAGTGCAGTGATGCGATTTCAGTTCACTGCAACCTCTGTCTCCCAGGTTCAAGTGATTCTTGTGCCTCAGCCTTCTGAGTAGCTCTTATTATAGGCATGTACCACCATGCCTGGCTAATTTTTGTATTTTTAGTAGAGATGGTGTTTTGCCATGTTTCCAGGCTGGTCTCAAACCCCTAGGCTCAAGTGACCCACCCTCCTTGGCCTCCCAAAGTGCTGGGATTACAGGCGTGAGCCACCACGCCTGGCCCTAGCAGAGAAGATTACAGTCAATCTTTGTGAGAACTAAAGAGAAACTTCTGCCGTCACCTTTGCGGAGAACTGTCAAGGAGCCGCTTGGTCAGAAGAGCAGGAACTCCTCTGGAAGAAGCCTGGGCATACCTCCTGCACCCCTCCTCATCCCCTTTTTGTTTATATATGGGTGGATTTTTCAACTTTATCAGCCTTGCAGGAAACCATAAATATATTTCCAGTTGACAGTCAAGTTTTCTGGTTGTGAACCTCAGGTCTTCTAAAGTCACCATCTGCTACAGAAACAAAAGTCAACAAATACCACATTCTTCCCAACTGGTCTACCAAAAATTATGGCTGCTTTGAGCATGTCAGCCTTGTGGTTTTCTTCAGAGGGCAGGATGTGTCCTGGCCCCTCTGGTAGTTTAGCTTGGTTTCCTGCCAAAGCGAACAGGGGAAAATGTCCCCCCACCCCCGCCAGCTCTTCCTTGGGGCAGTATAGGGCCTTTGAAACTTAAACTTGCATTTGTCGAGCCTAAAACTTGAATCATCGTGTTTTGTTTTTGTTTCCATTGGGAAACTTTCAGTGTTTTTTTTTTTTGTTGTTGTGGTGGTGGTGGTTTAATTTTTTTATAAATCATTGTTTCTTCTTAAAGTTTTAATGCCCCTGACCTGTGACTCTGAGAGGATTTGACAAATTATCTGTGCTCTTAAAAGGAAGTTTCTTGTCAGGTGTTTTTGCTTGTGCCTATAATCCCAGCTACTTGGGAGGCCAAGGCGGGAGGATCACTTGAAACCAGGAGTTCAAGACCAGCCTGGGCAACATAGCAAGACCCCATTTCAAAATAATAATAATATTAAAAGTAACTTTCTTAAAGTTTGAGGGAGTGGGGAGGAGGATGAAGAGAGAGAGAGAATAACTTATTCAAGTTATCTTCTCTTTTTCTTTCACAAAACTAACTCCTGATTGATTGATTGATTGATCGATCGATAGATTATCTGGAGTTCTTCCAGCCTGTGGATTAACTGCACTCCACCTCATCACTCCCTTCCATTTGCTACCAGTGTCTTTTGTTATTTCTGCCACAGATTCTCTAGTGAAGAAAAGAAACCACTCAAATTGGTTCTCCTTGATCACACCAAAGAGAGGTTGTAGGGTGCCCTCTTAGAGCAGACAGTGGAGTCAACTCTTGCCTCAGGAGAGCACGCCTTGCTAAGGGCTCTTTGGGTATTTTTGTGAGGAGACTGAGGAGAACTCAGTAGGCCTGAGGAGTATTTTTGAGGCCACAGAACCATGGACAGGTGTAAGGGGAAGTTCCAGGAGGGAGGCAATTAGTGTAACTGTTGTTCAGGCCCTCGGAGTGTTTGGGTCAGGGAGAAGGGCAGAGAAGAAGCCACTTTGGAGTGTCAGGCAGGCCTGGATGGGCAAATGTGGCCAGTCAGTGCTTCTTGAACTTGTTTGTGCTTAGGTGCTACCTGGGGATCTGGGTCTGGAGAGGTTGGGTGGGGTGGATTCTGCACCCCTAACACAGCCCCTGCTCATGTTCATGCTGTGCTTTACCTCACTAGGTAACCACACTTTGTGAAGCAAGATGGTAAATATTCTGGGAGCTAGGGACAGCTTAAAGGTAAGGCCAGAGGCAAGGCCAGGGACAGCAAGCAAAAGCAGCCTGCATCCATGTCACTATTAAGGCACCAGATGGACAGTCTTACTGGAAGCCTGCCAAAAGTAGAGCAAGACCCCTCCCCCGCCACCCACCCAGTGGCCCACAGATCTGGGCTCAAATCCTAGCTCTGCTACTAATTTGCTGTGTGACCTTAAGGAAGTCATTTCATCCCTCTGAGGCTGTTTCCTCATCTGTAAAAACAGAGATATTAAAACCTCCCTTGGCCATTTCACAGGGTTACCCTGAAAATTAAATGATATAAGTATGGGGAAGCTGTTTGTAGCTGCCAAAGTACTTTGCAATGTAACCTGTGATTATGTCAGATAGATTCCTCTTGGGAACCTTGCATGGTTTCACTCATGTATGTGTGATTATCACATCTAACTACATTTCCCAAAGGATTGGGCAAGCACTTACTCCCGTGGGTGTGAAGGGGAAGAGTTCATATTTATTTCATCATGCTTCAAAGCCTTTGCAACTGGTCCATAGCTCAGGTACTTTGCTATCCCTGTGGTTCAACATTAATCACCTGTTTTATGGGGTGGTTATTCCTTTCTGAAAGGATGGAGGACTTGTTTGTGTTTATGGACATTTCCCCGTTCTATTTGAGTTATATCACATTCCGCTTTGACCCAAGCAGAATAGTTGATTTTCCTGTTCAGCATGGAACTGGACGCCCTTTAATTAGGAAACTCTGAATGGGTATGCTGCAGAGATTTATGGCAGACAGAGACCATTTCCTTCAGGTTTCCCACAGGGGTGCGATGGCCTCCCCCAACCAGATTCAGCATATTCTCTCCTGCATCCTCTCAGCACCAATGCTCAGCAGCCCATAGGCAGCCCTCAGCTACAAAGAATGCCCAGGGGATGGAGGGAAGAGACGCCAGTAAATTGAATTTGCTGTTTAACTCACTGTTAGATCTAGAAAATATGGGCTTTGTTTTTTTCAATTCTTACAATTACTCAATGTGTTTTGAAGATTAGAATTTTGCATCTATGTTATCAACCCAAATATCATCACTGATTGTGATGCTCGATGTGGATGACTATAAACAGGCCCAGCCTCATTCTGTTGTCCAGGCTGTAGTGCAGTCTGCTCCTCTGCCTCCTGGGCTCAAACGATCCTCCCGCCTCAGCCCTCCAAGTAGCTAGGACCACAGGGGCATGTCACCACACCCAGCTAATTTTTGTATTTTTAGTAGAGAAGGAGTTTCACCATGTTGCCCAGGCTGGTCTTCACCTCCTGAGCTCAAGTGATCACCTGCCTCGGCCTCCCAAAGTGCTGGGATTACAGGTGTGAGCTACTGCACCTGACCCCCAGATGGCTTTTTCACTAAAACCCCAATTTTGTTCCTTCTCTTAGGAATAACATGTACAAAACAAAACAAAATCGGCCAGGCGCAGTGGCTCACACCTGTAATCCCGGCACTTTGGGAGGCCAAGGCGGGCGGATCATGAGGTCAAGAGATCGAGACCATCCTGGCTAACACGGTAAAACCCTGTGTCTACTACAAATACAAAAAATTAGCCGGGCGTGGTGGCAGGCGCCTGTAGTCCCAGCTACTCGGGAGGCTGAGGCAGGAGAATGGCGTGAACCCAGGAGGCGGAGCTTGCAGTGAGTCGAGATGGCACCGCTGTACTCCAGCCCGGGCGACAGAGCGAGACTCCGTCTAAAAAAATAAAAAAGACAGGAAAAAAAAAAAAACCCAAATCAAAAAAATCAGAACAAAACAAACCCCGTAAGATGGGTTTATTATTATCCTGGTTTTATCAATGGAAAACTGAGGCTTAGAGAAAGGATATCATTTACTGAAGGTCATACAGACACTAAATGGCTGAGGTGGGATCTGAAGATGAGTCTGTGTGGTAGGCAGAAAAACAGCCCCCTCAAGATGTCCACATCCTAATCCACAAGACCTTTGAACGTATTCCTTTACTTGGCAAAGGGACTTTCAAATGTGATTAACTTAAGGACCTTGAGATGGGGAGATTATCCCAGTTATCTGGGTGGGCCTGATGTAAACACATGGATCTTTATGAAGGAAAGCGGGAAGTAGGAGAGTAAGAGAAGGAGACAAGATAATGGAGGAGGTCGGAGTGGCCACGAGATGCAGACAGCCTCCTGCAGCTGGAAAAAGCAGGGACGTGGATCTGCGCCTAGAACCCTCAGAACAAACACAGCTCTGCCGAGCCATTTCAGACTTCCAAACTCCAGAACTGTCAGATAATACATTCGTATTGTTCTAGGTCCCTAAGTTTGCAACAATTTCTTAGAGCAGCCATAGGAAGCTAATACACATCCAGATACAAGGAGTGGCAGAAAGAAAAGAAGTCTCAGTGGTTTTGTCAATAATTCATTTACAGGTCATGGCTAGCCATTTCTGGTTTTCTACAAGGATTTAGGGAACTAATTATTTTTTAATGTTCAGAGCTTGAATGCTTACCACTGAGTTAAATGACCTCTCTCTACCTCCACCCTGAAAAATGCCTCTTGTTTGAAGGTTGTTTGTAGCTAGAATTTGGGTTTCATAGGGACTGCAACATAGAGACTGCAAAGTTTATTTGTGCTGGAAATTATTAGTGAGGCTAGTTGAATATCACCTTTCTAAAAGAGTGAGTGGGTGAGGACTGGTTCACAGGGGTGTTGGTTTGAGTGCAGGTGGCTACTTGAAAGAGGAGGGACCTATGTGGCTTACTATGGTTAGATGGGGGTTCTGACCTAGCTGAGGAAACCAAGTGGAGAAGCCACTTTGTACTTTAGTTTTACAGTTAGTTTGATTATTTTTATTTTTATTTATATTTATATTTTTATTTTTATTTTAGATGGAGTCTTGCTCTGTCGCCAGGCTGGAGTGCAGTGGCACGATCTTGGCTCACTGCAACCTCTGCCTCCTGAGTTCAACCAAGCCTCCTGACTGGGCTTCCCGAGTAGCTGGGACTATAGGCATGTGCCACCACACCCAGCTAATTTTTGTATTTTTAGTAGAGACAGGGTTTCACCATGTTGGCCAGGAGGGTCTCAATCTCTTGACCTCGTGATCTGCCCAACTTGGCCTCCCAAAATGCTGGGATTACAGGCATGAGCCACTGCGTCTGGCCCAGTTAGTTTGATTTTTACAGCCTGTAGGGGAGAGAAGGGATCCTACAGATACTAATCTAGCACCTTCATTTTACAGATGAGCAACCTGGTCCGGGGGAGGAGAACTGACTTAGCCAAAGCAGACAGGGGGTCCTGGCCAGGATTAGAGCCCGAACCCAACCCCAGCTCCTTGCTATGCCCACTTCCTTCATCTCTCTTCCCACACCACTTGGTGTGGTTCTGTGTACACTAATTGGACATTTCCCATAAACAAAGTCATGGTTTGGTCACTGTTCAGAAGGTGGTATTTGTAGACTCAGATCACCAAGTGATATCCTCACTTCAATAAGTTGTCCTGTGATTCTTGGTTAATAAAACCCATGCTGTTATAACAAGTTTATTTCAGAGCCACATGTGTTATTAAAATAAATTACTCTGTTCTAGCACACTTTTGGCATGTTTGGTTCTTATAGAAGAGCCTGTGCTAGCAGTGGTAAGTTTAGCTACCTACCAGTTGGATCACATATAAATCTACCCAAATCTTGACACAAGACAGTAAAATCTAGGCCAAAGGGCACTCTTCCACCCATGCCCCAAACTCACACATGCCTTATTGCTCTTAGCAAGCAGACTCGAAATTAATGAACACAGAATCATATCCATGGTGGGATTGTGGATTTCAATCGTGGCCTTGCAGTGTAGGCACCACAGGTTATTTCTTACCAATCAGGAAACAAACCCAGAGTGTTTAAGGAATAGGCCCAAAAGGTCACACAGCCTGCTGTTATCAGAGCAGGCCAGGGCCCAGGTCTCCCCCCCTTTACACTCTGTGGACTAGTGTGACTCTGTGGATCATCGGCATCAGAATTACCCTGAGTGCTTGCTAGAAATAGAGAATTCCTCGAGACCAGCCTGGCCAACATGGTGAAACCCATCTCTACGAAAAATACAAAAATTAGTTGGGCATGGTGGCAGGCACCTATAATCCCAGCTACTTTGGAGGCTGAGGCAGGAGAACTGCTTGAACCTGGGAGGTGAAAGTTGCAGTGAGCCAAGATCGCACCATTGCACTCCAGCCTGGGCGACGAGAATGAAACTCCGTCTCAAAAAAAAAAAAAAAAAAAAAAAAGAAGAAGAAGAAAAAAAGAAATAGAAAATTCCCTGGCCTTCTGGGGTGGTTGGGGGAATTGGGAGGGAGCATGTGGCTGAGGAAACTGAATGTTTAACAAGTTCCTCCTGTGACTCTGAGATACCGTGAAGTTCGTAAACCTCTGAAAATGCTCACTGTCAGTGGTTCTCTACTCTCACTCTACATAAGAACTAGATGAAGCATCAGAAAAACCCAAAAACAACAACAACAAAAAATCCTGGGCCCAATCCCAGTATTCAGTTAATTTGGATGGTGCCAGGCAATTGTATAATTTTGGAAAATGGCTCAAATGATTCTAATGTGCAGTCAGAGTTGGAAACCCATGGCCATTGTGAACAGTGGTACCAAATGCTATACCTGAAAGGGCAGCCACCCTGTAATTCTACCCTAGCCTTCTGGCCATGTCCTAGCTTGCAAGCTCTGAGGAGGTAGGGCAGGACTCTGAAGAATAGAGAATGAATGAGGAACAAGGTTGCATCCTTTGAAAACTCCAGAGCTTTGATCAGTTACCTCACCCTCAATTCAATCCCCCATCCAGGAACTGCCCATGCCCTGACATCCTCCCTTGACTTATTCCCAAAGATCTCACACTGTGTTCCCTCTTTTAGACCCTTCAGAACAAAATCTGAAGATGTTAGCCCTTTTAGGCCCAACATCTCTATGCTGTGCTGGTATCAAGCAAAGCCTCCAAGATGTTTCCAATTTGTGAACATAGTGCATCTTGTAATTGATTTGTTCTTCTCTTTTCTCTATCTACTAGGAAGCTCAGAGCCAAATCTGAGGCACACCTTTAGCAGTCATACAGCACCTTATGGCATACATTTGCTATACCTTATTTTCCTGTCATAGCTTTTCTTTCATTTGTTTCTGTTTACCTATTTTTTACAGAGAAATGTCCTTTTTTGATTTATTCTGACATGCTATAAATGAATTAATTACACTATTTAAAGACTTTTCATCAATACATTTCTCTTTCTCTTGGGTCAGACAGAGAAAAAGAAAAGAGCATGCAAGAAAGATGGAGAGAAGAAACACATGCACACAGATAATATATAGAAGTGGGAGGAGGCGAGGGAGGGTTCGTGATCATATCAGCCTTACACAGGGTGGTGCTCTCCAAGGGGCAAGAGTCAACCTGCTTATTATAACCATTTCACAAGGATCTTAAAGGAACTTCCTTCTATGGTCAAACCCTTTTGTTCTTACTCAGAATCAGTCTAGCTGTTAAGTCTGTGGCAGCTGGAGCTACAAAACCAAGGCCTGAAAGTTGCAAAACTAGGTACTGTGACTGTGAGTCACCTTTCCCCTTCACACACATACACCCCACAAAATTGATTTTAACACACATAAAAATTGAGAAAACACTATAATACTAAATCTAAGATGATTTACAAAGGAATATTACTTAACGAATGGCTTGAAGTAGTTTTTTAAAAGCTTGGAGAGATTTTGATTTCATAATGAGTCAACAAGTCATTTTTTCTGCCATTAAAAAATCTCATTTCTTAATAAAAACACTTAGTTTTTCATGACCTTATAAATAAAAAAGCTCCCATTTCAAAGTAAAAATGAAATCTAAGATTATATAGACGTTTATGTCATTACTTTTATCTAAGCAACATACATACATGCTCAAGTAAAGCAAAAGGTTAAGTAAATTTCTGCAATAAATAGGCTGCTTTTGAAATGCAAAGAACATTATAAAGAATGCAGAATCTTAAGGGTAATCAAGCAGTCATTAAGTTTTTCTTAAGTATTCACTTTAGATGTTGTTATTTCTGGCACAGGTAAGCAGCAGAGTGTTTTTTTTTGTTTTTTTGTTTTTTTTTTCCAGACAGCGTCTCATTCTGTCATGTAGCTGGAGTGAAATGGCATGATCAAGGCTCACTGCAGCCTTGACCTTCCCACGCTCAGGTGACCTCCCTCCTCAGCCTCCCTCATAGCTGGGACTACAGGCATTGCCACCAGCTAATTTTTGTATATTTTGTAGAGATGGTCTTTTGCCATGTTGCCCAGGCTGGTCTCGAACTCCTGGGCTCAAGTAATCCAGCTGCCTCAGCCTTTGAAAGTGCTGGGATTACAGGTGTGAACCACTGTACCCCACCATAGCAGCAGAATTTTTTATGTGCTCAAATACTGGAATCTTTGGTTACTGCCATATCAGCAAAGAAGCCAACCATTTTAAGAATGTTTTATGAGAATGTTCATTAAAAAAAAAAAAAAAGAATGTTTTAAGTGAACACCTTGCAAATCCTAAGGATAGCTATCTATTTTTTTAACCTTGTATGTATTTTAATAAGCTGCCTCAAACATGCTTTTTGAAATCAGGGAAGATATAGAAAAATTAATAACAGCAACTGATAGGATTCAATTCATCACACTGAAACATGTTTTTGTAAATGAGATAAAAATCCTTTCCTGACTACAGGGTCATCTCACCTGTTAGTTCTTTTCACTACAGGGGAGAAAACAAACAAACCAGCAAAAACCTTTTCCTCTGCCCTCTTAGGTTCAGTGTCTGGGGCCTGAGAATTAAACTGGCAAAAGACAGATTAACAGGGGAAAAAGCATCTATTTTATGGACAAAGGAAACGGGTTTGGGCTTCTGGGGGTGAAAAATTGTAGGAAAGTGACTAGGAAGTATACAGGGAAAGTAATGGAAAGCAAGGGTTGCTTTAGTAAGGTGTCTTTATGCCAACTCATCTCAGTGCCAGTTTTCTGTCTCTAGTGATAGGTTACTTTCTTCATTCTGATACAGGAGAAGGGTGGAAATTTATGCCACCTTCACAAAGGGAAATTTATGTCCTGCTTCTAGGCAGAAAAGGAAAGGGCAGAGAGCTCTTCTTACAACTGCTATTTCTCCATTGCTTTCAGCCCAAAATAATCATATGCCAAGGTGGCATACTTTGGGGTGGTATAACCTGATCCCCTTCACCATGTCACTTAAATTCTCTCTTGTCCTGTTGCTGTGCTCAGAGATGCCCTGGGGTTTCAGTGTTGATCTCCCAGAAGAGCCATACATATCCTGTAAGAAACTATGCTCTGTTGGTTAAGAAACAGCCACCTAGATAAAGTTCAAAGAATTCTGCACTCCAGATTGTGTATGTTCCTAAATGTGGTTTGGCCTGGAGAAACAAGGACCAGGAAATCATGGAAAGCCAGGCAGATGGGAGTTAGAGAGCCTGGCAAGGGTCCTAAACAAGTGCTCCGTGCCTACCCTCCCACTACCCCCTGCCCATCTCTCCAGGAAGTGGTACTCAAACTCGAGCATGTGTTAGAATCACCCAGAAGGCTTATGAAAACAGATCCCAGGTCTTTGCCCACAGAATTTCAGATTTAGTAGATCTAGAATGCCCAGTAATTTGCAATTCTAACACGCTCTCTAGATGTAGCCTTGCTTCTGGTCAGAGACACCCTGAGTAGCACTGCTCTAGGGTGGTGAGACTCTCTGTCTTCCAGACAGGCTTTAAACTGACAAAAGACAGATGAACAGAGGAAAAGGCATTCATTTTATGGATGTTAATATTTTTACATAAATGGGGGCTTCACAGAAAAGAAGTGAAGAGCCAAAGAAGCAGTTAGACCTGGAGCTTATATATCATTTTAACAAAGGGGGATAAATTGTGGCCAGGTGATTAGATAAAAGAAAGGGGTTTGGGCTCCCCACTCTTTCTCCAGTGGGGAGAAAGAAGCTGCTGTGGGTGAAGTTTTACTGGGGATCTGGAGGAGGAGAAGGGGCCATGCTCATATCTGTATCTAGGTGCTAGAAAGAGAACAGCTGAGATTTTCCATAAACTGTCAGTACTAGTCAGGCTGAATCAGAGTGAATCTTTGGAATAGAAAAAAAATAAAGATTTTGCTTTCTCATCATCATAACACTCTTCTATTCAGTCTAGGCATAGCTAGTGCAACCTTTTGCTCCACCCAACCAGCTCCATTCCCTTTATCAATTATTTATAATATGCTTGGGTCACTCACGGGAGAAAAACACTGTCAGCATCAAGAGGTAGCAGAATTTTCAAAATACATTTTGCTGTCTTGAACAAAAAGTTTAACTATTTATTAGTCAGTAGTTCCATATGGTCTTATACTTTTTTCTGAGTCACAGTTTCACTGTGTCGCCCAGGCTGGAGTGCAGTGGTGTGATCTCCACTCACTATAACCTTCACCTCCTGGTTTAAGTAATTCTTGTGCCTCAGCCTGTAGCTGGGACTACAGGCGTGCGTCACCATGCCTGGCTAATCTTTCATATTTTTGGTAGATATGGGGTTTTGCCATGTTGCCCAGGCTGGTCTAGAACTCCTGACCTCAGGTAATCCACTCTCCTCAGCCTCCCAAAGTGCTGGGATTACAGGTGTGAGCCACCACACCCGGCCTGGTCTTATTACTTCTATACATAAGACAGGATCTTTCAACATTTATGTAGGTTAATATTTCCCATGTTTTTTGAGGATTCCCAAAAGACTTTGGGGGTTGCCAAAAAACTTTTAGGGGTTGAATCTTTTCGCAGTAACAGAAAGGGGAAACATCAATCCATGAGAGTTCAGACCAGCAGTTTAATAACACCCTCTTTCATAGCTCAGTTCCCAGTGCATGAAGAGATTCAAAGCAATCTTCTTGTTCTCAGTTCTTAGAAAGAAAAATTTGAGAGAGATAAAAGCAGTAATTATCTGTATTATTTAATAACTTAAATGTAATAGCCTAAGAAAAAACAGATGTCAAAAATATATAGTCTAAAAAAATAGAAGCTAAATCCTTTCCTCCTAGGATGTCTGAAAAGGAGAGACTCTATGGAGTATGGATGAAGCAAAAAAGGAGTGATTCCTACTGTGAAAGATGAACTGTGGACATAGTCACTCCAGACCACTGAGAGCAATTAGCCAATTTCATTGTCACCAGGAGGGCACATACCAGAGAATCTGGGAGAAAGCCTGGGCTAGAGCCCTTAGCATTCTCAGGCTTACTGGTGCTGTGATTCAACAGCCTTTGAGGGGATGAGGAGAACCAAAGACCACCACCATCACTTGTAAAAAGGATACTATAGCAACAACACAACTGTCAAAAATCACCTAGAGCTTAGACTGTATGCTGTTTGAAATCCAGCCTGAGTTGCTTTCTTGTGGAGGTATTGAGACATGTGCAGAGATACCTTAAATATGTGCAGGGGGCCCTTCTTTTTAAAGGACACTTCATGAGCTCTTTCTGCTCATTAGTTTTCCTAAGAGTTCACCATTTAAGCTAGAAAGATGCTGCAAGCTATCTCAGCTAGCTTCTAATTTGGACATAGCCCCAATACTACACACACAATTGAACAAGTGAAGAATCTTCCTGATTCTTCTTTGGACTGAATAGGTGTGATCTTGTTAAGAAAAATATGTAGACTTAGGGCCAGATTTTATCAGTCTCCATCCCAGAAAAATGGTGGAGCAAGCCTGGGCTCTTGCATAATTAAATGACTGGCTTTGCCACAACCTTGTACTGTCTTATCCTGGCAGCAACTGCTTCGATTTATCATCTTCCTGCTGGACTAATGGTTCTCCAGAGATGTCATCAATCCCATGTACACCAGGTGGATTGAAGCCCAGGTTATATACCCTGCTGCAAGGAGGGTGAATCCAACGTCGGCTGAGACAATCTTTAAGTGTTTCGAATGGAATCTTCAAACAGATCACTAAATCCACTTCATATATTTTGTCTTCAAATCAGGGCATTGGTTTGTCCTAAAGTCCTCAGAAAACCATCTGGGAGCCAGTGCTGGGCATACCTGTTCTCCAACTCTGACACCATTAGGTGTGTGATCACATGGTCTGGAACCGAAAGACTGTTCTCTGTTTATTGTTTTGCCATGTCAGTAACTTCGGTGTTGGCCTTGGTGTTCTCCCGCAAGAAATGGCCATTGGAGAGATGCTGGAGGCCAAACTTCTGGGCCAAGAGGAGCGGCCGGAGGATGACCATGTGCAGGAGTTTGGAAGCCATTGCCTTTGGGAGGAGTGGGGTGGCCAAAGGCGCAGCCAAGACGACCAGAGGGAGCACCAAGAACTTTGTTTCTTGGCCCCAACCTCTGGCACCCTCTCTGCTGGCTCTGGTACTCTGGTTACTCTCCTACTCAGGGAAGGAGAGACTTTTAAGACAACCCCTCCCCTTAGCCCTGTGCGGGGACTAACTCAGCCCTGTGCCAGTAGTCACATTCCATAAAGTCACAGCAAACACTGAATTAGCAAATACTGAACCATTGCTCCTAAAGGAAATACAGGGTCAGGTCTGGCGAGTCTCTGGTCACATTTTCACCAATCAATACATAACCTTGTTTTATGTGTGTTTCTGATTTGGGGACACTTTATTTAATATATATTGTTGATTCACTAATTTTGAACTCACGCCCAACAGCACTGTAACTCATGCCTGAACAAAACGTATACATGGAATTTTCTTTGCAAGGCACATTACAGCCTTCTTGGGCTTAAGGACACTTCAGTAACTTTATGACCAGTCTTGGGGGCCATTTTAAACATTGAAATCATCAATGAAAACCATGTGGAAAACATGACATTAAATGGACCATGACTTTTTTTTCTTTTTTTTCATTTGGAGACAGGGTCTTACTCTGTCACCCAAGCTGGAGTGCAGTGGCACAATTATAGCTCATTGCAGCCTTGATTTCCCTGGGCTCAAGCCATCCTCCCACCTCAGACTCCCAAGTAGCCGGGACTACAGACCTGTGCAATCATGCCTGGCTAATTTTTGTATTTTTTGTAGAGATGGGGTTTTGCTGTGTTGCCCAGGCTGGTCTCAAACCCCTGAGCTCAAGGGATCCTCCTGCCTTGGCCTCCCAAAGTGCTGGGATTACAGGCATGAGCCACTGTGCATGGCCGAAATTTTTTTCAATATGAGAGCTGAAATAAGAAGGCAGAGTCTGTGTCACTTTGTTTGCCTCGGCTGGGCACGTGCACATCCAGCAACTCAAAATTTTTACAACTCTGCGTGTGTCTCAATGACCACAAAAGTGCCATGAAAATTGATTTGGGGATTACAAATAGATTTTAGTGAGTAGACGAATTTGCAAATATAGAATCTGCAAATGATGAGCATCTACTATACCTAGACTTCACTCTTCTCCCTACTTATAATCTATTGGTACATCCCATTGACTGAACCCAACCAGAGGTCAGAATAACCTGTCAATACCATCTTATAAAGGTCAACTTCCTGAGTACCAAACAGGGTAAGCAAGGGTGGACAGTGGATCTGCAGGGGATCTAGAAAATATTCAGCATATCATCCCACGTTATCTGTAGCCTTGACTGGGATCCCTAGGGATCTGCCTATTTTATAAGACATTCATTCACTCATTCTTTTGTTCATCAAGTGTTTACTAAGCACCTAGCAATAAGCTATGTTCTGTGAGGTGTCTAGTAGAGGCTTAAAAATATTAGAAGATGTCGACCCCATTCTCTAAGGGCTCACAGTCCAGAAAGAAGAGCTGATAGTCAACTGACACATATTTGAGCACCTCCTATATTCCAGACTCTTTTTCAGGTGCCCAGGATGTGGCAGGTCCCAAGACAAATCTTTGTCCTGGCATAACTTACAGACCAGAGCAGAAGAAAGGGAAGTGGTTGAAAGACCTCATTGAAGGAAGGTTAGTGCTCTCATAGGAGCATTCACTCATCAGGGGAACAAGTAGGGCAGTGAGCATGGCCACAGAATAGTCAGCAAGAGCTTTCTGGAGGCAAGAAAGAGTATGGTTTGAAGGGCTCTGAGTCAGTGCCTGGAACCCAGATTGGGGAAGTAAAAATGATGAGAGATGAAGGCAAGTATTTGCAAAAATATGATTATATTACTAGTCCCAGTGCTGAGAAGTTCCAAAGAGAGGGACAGGTTAAAGCACTGCATGAGCTCACAGGAGGGTAAGACCATGTTGAACAGACCCTACGAGGACAAGCAAGACTTGGGCATGCAAACAAGAGCCAGACAAAATATTCCAGAGCTCCTGGCTCACTGTAATAACTTTCTCAAAGACAGGGGTTCCTATCATCCCTCCCCAGCCTCTGTGCTGCACACAGTGTCCTGCACACCTCCACTCAGTGGCATGCATTCTGCTAGCCTATAGCTGCCCTTAAGTGCCCAGGGAGGCCCACCTCCTCCTCCGGAGCACAAGAGTCAGAGTGGTAAAGAGAAGTTCTCCAAAGAGAGACTCAAAAGCTTAAGGTAAAAGTGTGGGGCAAGTGGGATCCTGGGGTACTACTCAAATCACATCATGCATGGCCCCCTTTTCCTTCATGGTGGTTCTGAGGTCAGAGAAATGTTCAACAACAATGCACACACTCTCCCAGTTCAACGTCAAGTAGTCATGCTCCATAGAAGCTGGAAGGATGGATGGATGATGGATGGATGGGAACATAGCATAACCTAATTCTCTATACTGTGTGGGACCAGGCAGGCTTCAAGCAGTGGTTCCTTCCCCTCACTGAGGCTGGGAGTTCACCAAGTCCCTATATGCCTGGCTCTGCCCTAGTCCCTCTCGCAGACATGAACTAATTTCATACTTGCAAGAACCTTGAGAGGTGACTATTGTTTGCTCCATGTAATGCATGGTAGCTTAGTAACCTATTCCAAACATCACGGCTAGCAAGAGGTGAATTTAGACTTGACTCTAATGCCTCTGACTCCAAGTCATGTCCTCTCTCTGTGTTCCTTTTCCATTTGCTTCCTCTTTTCTTTTCCTTTTCCTAATTATTTAGCAGGAAGTCCTTCTGAAACGGGATCTTCTCTGTTCTAAACAGGACTTAATGGAATACTCTCCTTGGCAAAGACACTTTGGCAAAGGGAGCTCTTGCTACTCTCTTGGGAGTGACTTGTTCTTTTAACCTTTCAAAGCACTTCCCCAACCCTCATAACATTTAAACCTTACAAGAACCATATAGGATAATTAGGTAAAGTTATGATCCATAGTTTCAGATAAGTAAACACAGGCTCTGAGGAATTTAATAACTAATCTGAAAATCATGCAGCCTTACCCTGAGACAAAACAAGAAAGACTCTCCAGAGTTCCAATCTCTTCCTCCTGGCCTAGAAATGGCAAGTGGGCAACATCTTTTACGGAGAGAAGTTCCGAGGCGAAGTTCAGGGAATGAGAAAGACCTGTGATCAGTTGACAATGCCTGTCATGGGTGAGAAAAAGGAAAATAGAGGCACATGTGCTTGGTATTTGCTATCCCAACTTACCCATAACTATTTCAAAGCCTTAAGTTGTTTCTCACCTTAATGAGGAATTATGTTAATTCCCTTACAAGTAAGGCCTGGCACATAGTTGATGCTTACTACAGAGACGTACTATAATTTACTGAGTGACTGCTATTCCTCAGGCACTGTGCCAGGCTACATAGCTACATTCAAGTGTATCATTACTAAGTATTTAGATTTACTAAATTTAAACACAGCCTTAGATATACTTTGAAAAAACCACACCCCTGTATTACACAGGTCTTAGTACCAGAATTTTTAATATCTTAATAAAGAATTCTTACATGCTAAATAAGCTCAACTTAAGTTTATTAAGAAAGCATTGGTCAGGCACAGTGGCTTATGTCTATAATTTCAGCACTTTGAGAGGCTAAGACTGGAGGATTGCTTGAGCCCAGTTTGAGACCAGCCGGGGCAGTATAGTGAGACCTTGTCTCTACCAAAAAAAAAAAAAAGTTTTAATTAGCCAGGTGTGGTAGTGCATACCTGTAGTCCCAGCTACTTGGGAGGCTGAGTCAGGAGGATTGCTTGAGCCCAGGAAATAGAGGTTGCAGTAAGCTGTAATTGTGCCACTGTCTGCAGCCAGACCCTGTTTCCAAAAAAAAAAAAAAGAAGGAAGGAAGCATTTATATTTATAACTGGGATAAATGCACTGTCAGTATTTTAGGGATGAAGTTTACTGCCAGCAAGCACAGTGAGGGCAGGAGCTCTGTTCCATTCATCTTTATGTCTCCAGTGTCTGGCCAGCTGTACATTAATATAAATATGGATGGATAAGTGAGTAAATGAATGAAGCTCAGAGCCATAACGTATGGGCTCAATTGCTCATAACGTAACCAATGGCAAGTGACATACTACATGTTCTCTCTCTAGTGGCCATGAAAGTTGCAAGGACAATTTTATCAACTTCAGTCCACAATTTTTTTTTTTTTTGTAGAGATCGGGGGGTCTCACTCTGTTGCCCAGGCTGGCCTCGAACTCCTGGCCTCAAGCAATCCTCCTGCCTCAGCATCCCAAAGTGCTGGGATTACAGGCATAAGCAACCATATCTGGCCTCATTAAAAAAAAACTGTAGAGACAGTCTCCCTGTGTTGCCCAGGCTGGTCTCAAACTCCTGGTCTCAAGTGATCTTCCTGCCTCAGTCTCCCAGTAATCATGATAATGGATTACTATGGTGGCTGGTTCCCTATAAAAGGGTCATTTCACTGTCCCACCTCCACCCTCTCTCACTCTCTCTCCTTCTGTCATGTGATAATGTAGCAAGAAGGCCCTCACCAGATGCCAGCACCTTGATATTGGAGTTCCAGCCTCCAGTACTATGAGCCCATACATTTCTGTTCATTGTAATTTCCCAGTCTGTGGTATTCTGTTATAGCCACACAAAATGGACTGAGACAGGGATCTAGTAAGAAGCTATGCTCTCTGTCAAAATGTTTCTGCATTTCTGAGAGGCAGTGAACCCACAATGGCTTAGGGGGTGTGTGTGTGTGTGTGTGTGTGTGTGTGTGTGTGTGTGTGTGTGTGTGTAAAAGCTAAGAAAAAGTAAAGTACTGGAGAGGGAAAAAAAATCAGTTAATAACTCAAAGTATTATCCCAGGATGTCATCATTGGCCTTAGCTGTGCTGAATTTGGGTGAAAAAAAAGTAAGATTTAAGGAAATATATTCTACACTCTTTCTACTCAAGGTACAGGGTTGAGTTTTCAAAATCATACTTGCTGGGTTTTTTTTTACTATTTTATTGAGGTATTCAGTACCACCTTTAACAAGGAGAAAGCAGGAGCCATGTGTGTCAATCTTGATTAAAGACCTATTTGTCTTCTTTTACAGATGGCACTAAAAGCAGATTCCTTTCTCACTAAGAAGTGGACAGTTAACTGTAGACTTAGATGCACAAGACAGGGCCTCTGGAAACCTGGCAAGAGACGGAGATGGAAAGTACTAAGCCAGTAAGGGGCCCTAGGGCTCCACTCTCTTCCCAGTGCAGGCAGAGCTCTAGTGTTGACCCCAGAGAAGAGAGGAAGGGTTTTTTTTTTTTTTTTTTTTTTTTGGTCTGCCCAGAAAAAGAATAGTCCAAGGTCAAAGGATCTCAGCAGGTGCAACAGCAACATCAGGGGAGGGGGACTGCTCATTCTGTTTCTCCAGGCCACCCTGGGGAGATGGCTCCTGGCCCTTCTCTTTTCATGGGGCCAGTTGAGTGTAGTCCCTCCTGTTACCAAAAGTGGTCAGATAATCAGGGGCTGTCCCTCTAGACACAATCCAACCACTAGTCCTTTAAAAGTTAAAGTTTTTTAAAAAATCACATTTTAATTTTTTTTTTAAAAAAAGTATGTATGTATGTATGTATTTATTTATTGAGACAGGGTCTCCTTCTGTCACCCCAGCTGGAGCGCAGTGACACAATCATGGCTCACTGCGGCCTCTACCTCCTGGGCCCAAGTGATCCTCCCACCTCAGCCTCCCAAGTAGCTGGGACCACAGGTGTGTGCCACCATGCCTGGTTAATTTTTAAATTATTTTTGTAGAGATGGGATCCCCCTATGTTGTCCAGGCTGGTCTTGAACTCCTGGCCTCAGGTGATCCTCCTGCCTCAGCCTCTCAAAGTGCTGGGATTACAGACATGAGCCACCATGCCTGACCTACTTATTTATTTATTTTAGAGACAGAGTCTCACTCTGTCATCCACACTGGAGTGCAGTGGTGCAATCATAGCTTATTGCAGCCTCGAACTCCTGGATTCAAGAGATCCTCTCACCTCAGCCTCCCAAGTAGCTAGGACTACAAGTGTGTGCCACCATGCCCAGCTAATTTTTTAATTTTTTGTACTTTTTATTTTTTGTAGAGATGGAGTCTCTGTGTTGCCAAGGCTGGTCTTAAAGTCCTGGCCTCAGGCTGTCCTTTTGCCTAAGCCTCTTAACATGCTGGGATTACAGGCATGAGCCACTGTGTCAGGCTAAAAATCACATTTCTTCATTTTATACATAACATTGGTGCCTAAACCAAAACCCTTGTATTATCATCAAGGGTCATCCTTGATTAACCGGCTTAATCCTTAAGGCCCACAACTGATCACCAAGGTGAGTTCTCATTCCAAAGGAGTGTCTACTTGTTGGGGCCATGGGTTGGTTCTCAGGTCCTATAAATGGACTTGTCCCAGGAGCCCCAACCAAGACTGTGTGACAATCCAATAAAATGCAATAAGAAAGCCAGAATCCAATGGTCTCCCTTAAATGAGGCAGTGTTAATGGAGCAGACAGAGATTTATGTGCAAGAGGAAGAGACTAAAACATCTGTTTGTGGTAGTGCAAAAATTCAGAGAAAGTTTCTTTTGAGCCCATTTTTGCTTTGAGTTTGGAAACCCAGCTCCTGGGGCAATGGAAATACCCCTAGTATCCAATAATTACAGCAGCAAGAAACCCTGTCTTCATAGGGAAAGGACAAAGACCCTGCTATCTTAGGCTAGTACTGCCAGTTTAAAGGCCTCATTAGACATGTAATGTTAGAAATGTTACATTTCCAATGATGGGCAGCTTCAGTGCCTTTGTACTTTGCAACAGAGTTTAAAGGCAATACTTTCAAAGCAGGAGTTTCTGCAATGTTGCCAATGACTTTAAAGTAGACGATGCCAGAACCTGGGATTTGGCATATCCCAAGGACTCCCTTTCCATCACCACAACATTCTTATGTCTAAACCATAGGAAAGACAGTTTCCCATTACTCCTTGCATCAAGGCTACTGTTGTTTTACTGAGGTAAGAAAATGAAAATGATAAGAACCAGAGGGCAAAGCCTGCCCTACCCAGTGGTGACAATAATGAGGGTGTGTCCAGCTGGGGAGAGGGCAGAGTCCTCAGATGACCTTGTTTGGGGCTGGCACAGGTCCTCCTTCCCTGTCTGGGTGCAGTTACATATCAACAAGCGTTACTGTTGATATACTATGTAAGGATCAGAGGGAAGGTCAAAAGCTTGCCTGCCCTTGGGAAGCTGGGTGGAGCTTCTTGGAGCCTTCAAAAAATAATTTTAAAAGACAATTTCCTATTACAGAAGCTACATGTATTCATCATCAAAACTTAGCAGACATATGTGTATCTTTTATTATTATAATTAACAAAAATGGGAACATTCTATTTTATAACTGGCTTCTTTCACATAATAATACAGTATGGGCATTTTCTGGTGTCAATAAATATTTACCTATATCATTTTTAGTGACTGAATAATAGTTCAGTAGTATAGATCTACTGTACTTTATTTGAAATCTTTTATTAGGTATTTAGATCATTTCCAATTTTTTACTTCTATAAACATCACCATACTGGACATCCTTGTAAAATACATTTCTGTTGTCTATGCCCATTTTAAAAAAGCTTATGATAGATATGGCCAAACTGCCCTCCAGAATTGCACATTTTCACTAGTCATGAAGTAGCATGTCAATTTGACTGTTGGAAATTGGTAGCTGAATGTGGTTTTAATTTACATTTCATTGATCAATGAAGTTGAACATTTTCCTCATAGACTTGTTGCTTGAGGCCATTTTCAAAAGGAAATAGGATCTCTGGGTGAGGAGTGTTCTGTTCCTCTAGTCTCCCTATCAGTGCAAGCCACTGTTTACTCAGTAAGGGAAAGGGCCAACCTGGAGAAACATCATTAAGCAGGCAAGACTCCTCACCAAGAACCCATCCTCCCAGATGAGATTCCAGTACCCCCACTCACCCTGCAAAACCCACTGTCAAGGAAGAACTGAAAGCTCATTTATACTAGAGTAGAAGTAATTAATAGCACTTTTGTTGAGCTATCCTTCCCAGGCTATTTAACCTCACCCCCGTGGGGAGGGGGGCGAGCGGGTATTTGACCCTTCTAAAAGCCTCAAGTGAAGGGAACAAAGCTGTCAAAATGACAGGCTTTCCTCAGGGGGTGGTAGAGATGTTTGGGGCAGGTGGAAGAAGCCAGCTTTTCCAGATCCGCAAGAATTCTGGCACCTTCCTTACCAGGATGTAGGCAGGCCTGGAGAAGAAGAGGCTGATCACTGGACAGGAGGCTTGTATTTCAGCATTAACCCCTGTATTCCCTGAGGCTCCATTCTGAACTTTAGTTAGGAGGTGTCTTGCAGAGTTCTTTGCAACTATTGGTGCCTAATGTGTGTGGATGGTGAGTTCCAGTGTGGTGGCATGATATTAAAATAAATGAACTAACACCTTTTCTGCAAGATAACAGGCTGCTTCAGATATAACATGAGATCCTAACTTGTGACTCAACAATATTTCTTTGGAGAGTTGTTTCATGGAAAAAAAAATCACTGAAGGAAAAATCCTGTATTTATGAAGATGTTTTTTGCAACACAATTGGCCAAACATTTAGAAATGCGGTAGTAAATTATGGTACAATTGCTAGATTAAAAATTACACAATCATTAAAAATGATCATCAGGACATAGGAAAATGTTCCTTTATATAAAATAAATGAAAAATTTATACATATACATATGTATATATAAAAAATTATGCCCAATCATACTTTAAAATTTATATGTAGGCTGGGCGCAGTGGCTTACGCCTGTAATCCCAGCACTTTGGGAGGCCAAGGCGGGTGGATCACGAGGTCAGGAGATAGAGACCATCCTGGATTAACACGGTGAAACCCCGTCTCTACTAACAATACAAAAAAATTAGCTGAGCGCGGTGGCAGGCGCCTGTAGTCCCAGCTACTTGGGAGGCTGAGGCAGGAGAATGGCGTGAGCCCGGGAGGCGGAGCTTGCAGTGAGCCGAGATCGCGCCACTGTGCTCCAGCCTGGGCGACAGAGCAAGACTCCATCTCAAAAAATAATAATAATAATAATAATAATAATAATTTATATGCAGGCCGGGCGCAGTGGCTCACGCCTGTAATCCCAACACTTTCGCAGGCCGAGGCAAGCGGATCACCTGAGGTCAGGAGTTTGAGACCAGCCTGGCCAACAGGTCTCTACTAAAACCTGGTCTCTACTAAAATACAAAAATTAGCTGGGCGTGGTGGTGCACGCCTGTAATCCCAGCTACTCGGGAGGCTGAGGCATGAGAATCGCTGGAAACTGGGAGGAGGAGGTTGCAGTGAGCCAAGATCGTGCCACTGTACTCCAGCCCGGGCAACAGAGTGAGGCTCTGTCTCAAAAAAAAAAAAAAAAAAAATGATAATATAAGTAAATAAATAAATAAAAAATATATAAAATGAGTTCAGAAGAAAATACAGCTAAAAGTTAGCAGGGTTTATATCTGGGTTCTGACATTAATAGTAATTTAAATTTTCTTCCTCATTCTTTTTGCATTTTCCAAGTTTTTGGCAGTAAGTGTGTTACTTTTAATAATAATTTTTTAATCAAATAATTGTGAACACTTTATCATTATGTGATTGTTGTACGGTAGAATATAAATGAATAAAAGCAGATTTTAAACACGTAGGTGTGCTATTACACATAATACACTTCCATTTTGGGGGGTAAATTGCAGATGAGCCCCTCTCTTACACCAGTTTCCATTGGTGTTGGGACTATATTGTTTGTAGAACTATTACTAGTTACCTCTTTGATTTCTAGATCGAACAGGATATATTGTTTGGATAATATTTCTTCTGTTTCGGGGAACAGAACCAATATTATCCAAACAACATACCCAAACCATAGGATCCAACAATAGTGGGGAGAGGATAAGTAGGCAGAGGATTGTTGGATCCTACTGTTTGGATATATACAAACAGAGCTGCTCCTCCACACAGCCTGGGGGCTGTGCGAGAATGCTATTAATATGCAGACTATGACAAACAGCCCAGAATTGGTAGCTCACTTGATGCTTTTGAAATCACTTGTACACAGATTATCTCACCTCCCTCTCAACCACTCCAAAAGACTGATTTAGGTCAAGAACAGATGAACTTGTAATTTCATAGAACTGGAGGCATGGGAAACTAAGGAAACCTGTAATCAAATTTGAACAGAAGGTCTTCAAACCCAAAGTACTTGATTTGAATTAATAGTATTATAAAAGTTTTTTCAAAAATCTGAGTGGCGATGAGAGGGTCAGATGATGACCCAGCTGTGGGAAGAGAGGGTGGGGATGGGCAAAGAGCAAGGTATGTATATTAGTGCTGTGCTTCCTGTTCCTTTTCTATTCGTGAGCCCTCAGGCAAGTTACACAAGCTCCCTGAGCCTCATTGGC
Organism: Homo sapiens; assembly: GCF_000001405.40. Taxonomy (NCBI): domain Eukaryota; kingdom Metazoa; phylum Chordata; class Mammalia; order Primates; family Hominidae; genus Homo; species Homo sapiens. The sequence goes on from NC_000009.12 coordinate 5,866,881, forward strand.
CTCATCTGTAAAATGGGACTGGTAATAAGAATGGGTTGTTTGAGGCCAGGCACAGTGGCTCATGCCTATAATCCCAGCACTTTGGGAGGCTGAGGCAGAAGGATTGCTTGAACCCAGGAGTTTGAGCAACATGGTGAGACCCCATCTCTACAAGAAAATTTAAAAATTACCTGAGCATGCTGGCGCACACCTATAGTCCTGGCTACTTGGCAGGCTGACACAGGAGGATCACTTGAGCCGAGGAGGTCAAGGCTGCAGTAGGCCATGATTACACCACTACGCTCCAGCCTGGGCAACAGAGCAAGACTCTGTCTTGGAAAAACGGGGGAGTGGGGGGGTCTTGTTTGAAAACCAAATGAGTTAATTTGTATGTATAACATGTGCAGAGTATGCTCATTAAATGAGTATTATATTTCTTATTTTCTGAAAAACCAGGAAAACAGTACTTTCTTATTTCTTCTTCAGAAGATGGGGCCAAGAGGGTGGGGAAGCCCACAGCCATTGCCTTGTCTTAGTAGGTCTAGGAGGCAGGGGGAGGCCTCTGCCATCCTTGCATGGTTGGGAAGAAGTAGAATTATACAGCAGTGACCCCAAAGGCCGACCTTGAGCAGCTAGAGGATAGGGGAGGTGGGCATCACTCACTTTGCAGTTTTGCCAGCGTGTCACTGTGGCTGACTGACCACCTCTGGCCAAGTTTGAAATAAAGACAGGGTGAGCTGAAATTCACATGACTGAGAGGCAGTGGAGCAGAGTGGTTCATGGTCTAGATTTCAGAGCCAGTTCAGCTGGGTTGGAATCCCTGTCTCTCCACATCCCGGCTGTGGCACCTGGCCGTGTTACTGAGTCCCCCTTTGCCTAAGTTTCCTCATCTGATGAAAAAGGAATGATGATGATGATGATGATGATGATAACAGTACCAACCTCTCAGTCTTGTTTTGAAGATTAAAGGAGTCCATTTGTATGAAGTGTTTAGAACTGCATCTGGCATGTGGCAGGGGTTTGCTCTTATTATTAGGCACACACTATGGAATGAATAGGAGAGACAATTTAGGTCAGAAAAGGTATCTGAGATATTGTTTCCCTGGATCACAGTTTACACTTGTAGACAGGTGGCAGAGAGCTTCAGAAAGGCTTGTTCAAGCTCAGATAGTCAGATGGCAGGAGGGAGGCCAAGAACCTTGGCTCCTCAACCCTTGGTCTCTGTGCTCCCTATGTAGCCACACTTGTGAATCCAGGCAAAGTTGTGTCATGAATATGAGACATCACCAGCTCTCTCATTGCTATGTCACCTCTGTGGGACCCCAGGAATCTATAGGCTCCCCACCTTAGCTGGAACAAAAGCTGGAATAAAGCAGGTAACAGGGTCAGCAGAGTTACCCTAAGTCGTTTGGGACTGCAGACAAGTTCACGGGAAAGGAAAGTTACTTGTTTGGTACCAAAAGCCACCAGCCAGCTAAAGAAACAACCCTGCCCTGGGGGTTAGAACGGCAGCCCCCGCTGAGGCAACTGGCCCAGCATTCCAGGGATTCAGACAACCCGAGAGCACGTACTCTGGAGGGAATATCGTGGCAGAAAACCGGGCCTCACAGTTACTGCTGGTCACATGACCCTCTGGTAAAGGCTAAGCGCAAACAGCAGAGAAGGAAATCTGATTTTTCCATAGGAAGACATGCTCTAATAAGGTTCTGATCTTTTCAATATCATTCATTACTTAATATAAAATATTATGCCAAAACATAATACCAAATAAATACCGCAGTAAACCATGCTAATCATAAACAATTAGAAAACATAGAAAACGTAATGAAGAAAGTAGAATTATCATTTTTATGTGGTTCTTTTTGGCTGTTTATGTGTATATAATATATAACTTGACACAATTTAGGTTATAAAGTACATTAAATTGTATATTCTGAATTTGGTATATTATTTCTTTTATTTATTATTTATTTATTCTTGAGACAGGGTCTCACTCTGACAGCAAGCCTGGAGTGCAGCGGTACGATCATGATTCACTGCCTTGACCTCCTGGGCTTCAGCAATCCTCCCACCTCAGCCTCCTGAGTAGCAGAGATAACAGGTGTGTGCCATCATGCTTAGCTAATTTTTGAAATTTTTTGTAGAGCTAGGATCTCACTATCTTACCCAGGCTGATCTTGAACTCCTGGGCGCAAGCACTCCTCCTGCCTTGGCCTCCCAAAGTGCTGGAATTACAAGGGTGAGCCACTGTTCCTGGCCTGCTTTTGGTATATTATAAGCATTTTTCCATGTCATTAAATATTCCTTAAAAATATTTTTAACAGCTGCAAAGCATTCTGTTGGATGGATGGACCATAATTCTTTGAAATATTATTAGGTTATTTTCAATTGTTTTTACAGCTACAGGAATGCAGCCCTAGATCACTTGTACTTCAATATGTGTGCACACCTCTGATTATGTCCTGAGGTTGAAATCCTGACATGGACTGGCTACTGAGGTTTTGCTTCTGCCCTTAGGAAGGACTTAAAGCTCCCCTTTCAGGGCCCCTTGGGAATGAGGAGGAGAAGGAGTGAAGTTAATGGAACAGATGCAAAATCATTCTCAGGACATGGTGGTAAAAGGTGAGGGTGTCAGTGATGGTAGGTTGGAAATGCTAGTGTCCACATGGGGGCCTCTCTCTCTAGCTTCCCACTTTTGGGGATTCTGTTCTCTAGCCTCCTGACCTGCCATCTTAGAAACCTGTCTCAAATGACTGTAGCAAAAGGGAGAGTCAATTGGAAGAATCCTGAAATATCTTCTGTAATCAAAAGAAGGGCATTTGACCAAACCATGGGAAGGGCAGGATACAGCTGGCCCTGGACCAACCAAATAACCCCATGGGAGGGCAGGTTCTCAAAGAATATGAAACTTCCACTTTGACCTCAAGGAGTTGGGGCAGGACAGTGCTCTCAGAAAAAGGAGATACTAGTTCCTGGAGAAAGGGAAGGCTCATGGCCTTTTGGATGTTGTTTTCTAAGAAGATGAGGTGGCAAGATGGACTTGGGGCTGCTGCCTCCCACTAGGGGCGCTACCTGCCCATGCTGTGGAAAAGTCTGGGCGTGGGAGCCTTTGTTCTGGTTTTGCTCGAGGCCTGAGGGAGGAACATTCTTTTAGATTGTCTCTCCGTTTCTTCCTGCTTTCAGGTTGGTGAGTCCTCTAGGACAAAGAGATTCAAGTATGGACCTTGGGGACAAGGGTGAAGGCAGCCAGTAGAGGGTTGCTCAGAGGTATACAATTAGCACTGTGGGCTTCCATAAGGTGCAGCCCAGCTCAACAACCTGAAGCTTTCACACAGAGATGTGGGGCCAAAACGAGTCAATAACAAATGCTGTGCTGATGCCTAGAGTGTCCCTAGTGCACATCTTTCTCCTGTACCTGTGGTAGAAGAAGGCTGGGAGTCCTAGCCAAATATCTGTCCAACTCTTCATCACTATCCAGAACAGAAGAACATGTTTAGGGCTTTTGAGACACATTGCCAAATTGCTCTGTTAAAAATGGAATATTTTGGGATCAAGCGAGAAGTCCAAACCAGGGGGCTCTTGCCAGTCCTGGGCATGTCATCCTCTCAATCAGCTTTAAGTAGCATGCCAGCATTCTGCACAGGATAGAGTTCTCCTTAGAATCAGTTGATCAGACATGACAGTCACAATCATACCACTGCTATTTGACAAAATATCGTATTGCTTTCTTCGATATAATGTTCTTATATCATTTTAAAAAACAGCTCCTGCTTTTTTTTAAGTAAAAAAAGTTGCTAGGGGAATGGAGTACTTTCAAACGTTGTTGAATTCAGAAGAGCTTCACTGGGACCCTGTTTTGCTGTGCTTTTTGTTGCCACTGAAGTTTCCTTCTTGAGCACAGGCATTAGCGTTCAGGTTGTAGGCTTTCTGCTTTCTCAGGGGTTGGTATTTCTTTGAAGACTGGCCAAACATGGATGAACACTTCATTGCAAGGACTGCCTACCATGACCTCTCTAAGCAACAACATGCTGTGATTGGCAGTGGGCCAGGAGGGCATGTGACAGGCTCACACCAGTAGCCACAGACTGGTATTAGCTGAAACGTCAAACCCTGTGTGGTTGTTGTATAGTTGCATGATTGAATCAAAGAATATTAGAGCTGGACGGACCCTTGGAGACCATAGATTTCAACCCTTTCCACCAGATCTACCCACCTTACAAATAAAGGAATTGAGACCCAGGGAGAAGAAAAGGCTTATCCATGGTTACACATAAAGAATAATCAGAATCAAGAATAAGGTGAGGCCAGGCGTGGTGGCTCACACCTGTAATCCCAGCACTTTGGGAGGCTGAGGCGAGTGGACCATCTGAGGTCAGGAGTTTGAGACAAGCCGGTCAACAAGGTGAAACCCCATCTCTACTAAAAATACAAAAATCAGCCGGGCATGATGGTGGGTGCCTATAATCCCAGCTACTTGGGAGGCTGAGGCAGGAGAATTGCTTGAACTTGGGAGGCAGAGGTTGCAGTGAGCCCAAGATCATGCCATTGCGCTCCAGCCTGGGCAATAGAGCAAGACTGTGTCTCAAAAAAAAAAAAAGAATAGGCTGGGTGTAGTGGCTCACGCCTGTAATCCCAGCACTTTGGGAGGCCAAGGCAGGCGGATCACCTGAGGTCAGGTGTTCGAGACCAGCCTGGCCAACATGGCAAAATCTCATCTCTACTAAAAGTACAAAAATTAGCTGGGCGTGGTGCCGGGTGCCTGTAGTCCCAGCTACTCAAGAGGCTGAGGCAGGAGAATTGTGCCACTGCACTCCAACCTAGGTGACAACAGCGAGACTCCGTCTCAAAAAAAGAAGAAGAAGAAGGTGAAATTTTTACAGTGTTAAAAAATAAGAACCATCAGCCTAGGATCCTGTACCGAGAAATTATCCTTCCAAAGAGCAGAAGAGGCTTCCAGTTTTCAGTCTGGCATGTAAAGGGCATGGAAGTCATCACTTCATCCTGGCAACAAGGAAAAAGCTAAACAAACTGAAAAAATAACTCGTCCTAGATCTGTCAAGGAAGTGAGGTCACAGGACAAACTGCTGCCCCCCAAATTAGAGACAGACAGGCAGATAATGAGAATCCAAACTTGCTGGAGCAGAAACTCACAAGCAGAAACCTCTGAGAGCCAGTGTCACTGCAGGAAAAACCTGCTCTATGATTAACAAACGAATGGCTGGAGGCTTGGCAATGACAAGTCTGAGAGTTAAGAGCCCCATGGACCCAGTTATAGGTAAAACACTTTTGTGAGTTTACCTTCTGGAGCTCTACCAGGTTCTCAGAGTGAAGACTGAGGGAAAAATCCCTTTATGTTCCTGGAAGAGAAAGGGAAAAGGAACCATTTTGAAATATACCAGAGCATTCTGGTCCCGTTAAGGCCTGCCCCAAGAGAAACTATTTTACCAGGATCTACCCTATTGGGGCTTAATTAGAGCTGACCTAGGGAAGGGAAATATCCAACTCTAGCCTCTTTTCCCATTCTGTCTCATGTAAGGGGTGGAGGGGAAACTGAGGAGCCCTTATAAAGTTCTCAGCCCTGATGCACAGGCTCCCTAAAAGACTGTGACCCAATCACAGGACTATAGAATGCTACCCCCACACCTCACACCACACCACTAAAGGCCTGTCTACCTAGTGCGTCATGCCTGCCTTTCAAAAAAAAATTACAAGGCATAAATTACAAGGCAAAAAGTTACAAGGCAAAAAACACTGTTCAAAGGGACAGAGCAAGCATTAAAACCAGACTCAGATGTGGCAAAAATGTTGAAATTATCAGACAACATTATTACACCAGGAACATTATCAGGCCAGGAATTTAGAACATTGTGAGGCCAGGAATTTAAAACAACTATGAAGAATATGCTAAGAGCTCGCATAAAAGTAAGTAAACAACGTGCAAGAGCAGATGGGTGCTGTAAGAAGAGAGACGGAAAATCTAAGAAAGAATAAAAAAAAAAGGCTAGGCTCAAAAACACTGCAACAGAAATGAAGAATGCCTTTGATAGGCTGGGCATGGCTGAAGAAAAATCTCTGAGTTTGAGGATTACATCCATAAAGCGCCTAAAACTGAAAAGCAAAGAGAAAAAGGATGGAAGAAGCAAAACAAAAACAAAAACCCAGGACAGAATAGTGGGACAACTACAAAACATACAATATTCATTTAATGGGAATACCAGAAGAAAAGGAAAGGAAGAAAGGAATAGAAGAAATATTTAAAACAATAATAACTGAGGCCAGGCATGGTGGCTCACGCCTGTAATCCCAGCACTTTAGGAGGTTGAGGTGGGTGGATCACTTGAGGTCAGGAGTTCAAGACCAGCCTGGCCAGCATGGCGAAACCCCATCTCTACTAAAAATACAAAAACAATTAGCTGGGCATGGTGACACACGCCTGCAATCCCAGCCACTTCGGTGGCTGAGGCACGAAAGAAAATTGCTTGAACCCGGGAGGCAGAGGTTGCAGCGAGCCGAGATCGCCACTACACTCCAGCCTGGGCAACAGAGAAAGACCCTGTTTAGAAAAACAAAACAAAAACAAAAACAAACAAACAAAAGATAATAACTGATAATTTCCCTCAAATTAATATCAGACACCAAACCACAGATCCAGGAAGCTCAGAGAACATCAAGCAAGATAAATGCCAAGAAACTCCCACATTTAGCGTATTATATTCAAACTGTAGAAATAAAAGATAAGGAAAAAATCTTGAAAGAAGCCAGAGGAGAAAACAACTTAGTACATGGAGGAGCAAAGATAAGAATTACATCTGACTTCTCTTTAGACAGCATGCAATCGGCCGGGTGTGGTGGCTCATGCCTGTATTCCCAGCACTTTGGGAGGCTGAGATGGGAGGATCACTTGAGCCAAGGAGCTTGAGACCAGCCTAGCCAACATAGTGAGACCGCGTCCCTACAAAAAATTTAAAAATTAGCTGGGCTTGGTGGTGCATACCTGTAGTCACAGCTAATCTGGAAGCTGAGGTGGGAGGATTGCTTAAACCCAAGAGTTCAAGGCTGCAGTGAGCTACGATGGTGCCACTGCACTCCAGCTTGGGTGACACAGTGAGACCCTGTCTCTAAAAAAGTTAGGAAAAAAAGAAAAGAAACCATTCAATTAAGAATAGAATGGCTTGAAACAGTGTTGAGTTGAGAGGAGGAAGAAAAAAACCCAACACCAACCTAGAAGTCTATAACCTGTGAAATTATCCTTTGAAAGTAAAAGAGAAAAAAAGACTTTTTTAGACAAACAAAAATTCAGGGAGTTTGTCACCAGCAGACCTGCCTTGCAAGAAATGTTAAAAGAAGTTCTTCTGAGAGAGGAAATGACATGGGTAAGTGTGATATTATGATAGCTATATATTGGTCTTCGTCTTGTTACAGTCTTTTGTTATAATGTTGGGACACTTTAGGTCTCCGAAGCAGGCCTCAGGAAACAGAATCTCTCTCTCTGACCTTTTCCTGCCCCTCCTTCATCCACCAGAGAGGGTCCTGTCCCCTACCCTGGAGGAAGGAATGCTACACAGACAGACCAAAAAGAATCTGGACAGGCCTTGCTGAGTTTCCCCACTCAGTCTATTCCTATGAGATCCTACCCTTTTGGTCCAATCACATTTCTACATGGTGGTCAATCATGCCTTTCCAGTGACGTCTCCATAAAAGGCCCAAGAGAAGCTGTGTGCTTAGCATGCACCTGTAATCCCAGCTACGTGGGAGCTTGGGTGGCTGAGGCAGCAGTTCAAAGCCAGCCTGGGTAACATAGCAAGACCCCCCCTCTCTAAAAAAAGCAAAAGCAAAACCAAAACAAAATGCTCAAGAGGACAAGGTTTGGGGAGCTTCCTAGTAGCTGAAGACCTGGAGATTCCTGGAGGGCAGTGCGCCCAGGGAGGGCATGGAGGGTCCATGCTCCTTTTTCCATACCTCACCCTATGCATCTCTTCATCTGTAATATACTTTATAATCAGCTGGTGTCCAGCAGCGGTGGGGGCCAGCCTTGGGGACAGAGCCCTCAACCTGTGGGATCTGATGCTATCTCCAGGTAGATAGTGTTGGAGTTGAATTGGAGGCCACCCAGTGGGTATCCACCGCAGACTTGATTGCTTGCTTGGCAGTGGAAAGAAACACTTCTCACATGTGGTCACAGAAGTCTTCTGTGTTGATGACTGCTGTTTTGAGTGAGAGAATAGAAAAAAGCAAGTTGAGGGTTAAACATAAACACACACATACACACACACACTCACAGTAAGGTATGCAGATCCACATGAAGAAAAGAAGAGCATAAAATGAAAAATTTCCCATCTCTACAGTAAAACACCCAAACAAAACAAATAAATTCCCAAAACATCTGCTTCTGGCCTCAGTGTACGTAGTTGGAAGAGGGAAAGGAAAGATGACCCAGAGTTGATGGGGGAAAGATGTTGCCCTGAAGGAAAAGGGAAGGAAGGAGCCCCCAGGGCTAAAGGAAGGGGCTCAGTGACTTGGTCGAGCCTGGACTGGCGGGGGTTACTTCTGCTTGAGAGTGGGGCCTGGAACACCCCTACCCTGGGTGGAGAGAGGAGTTAGAGGAGGGCAAAACCTGCTCAGGGAGGTCTGTGATGAGAAAAGGCCCATGAAATGGCGTCTCATCTAGCCACAAGCCAAGTATGGATCTCAGGAAAGGGCTGGGCATGTGGCTCATGCCTGTGATTCCAACACTTTGAGAGACCAAGACAAGAGGGTTGGTTGAGGCAAAGGAGTTTGAGACCAGCCTGGACAATATAGCGAGATCCCCTCTCTGCAAAATCTTTGAAAACCAATAGGCCTAGCATGGTGGTGCATACCTGTAGTCACAGAGACTCAGCAGGCTGAGGCCGGAGGATTGCTTGAGGCCACAAGTTTGAGGTTGCAGTGAGCTATGATCACACCACTGCACTCCAGCCTGGGTGACAGAGTGAGACCTTATCTCTAAAAAATTTTAAATTAAAAAACAGATCTCAGGGAGGGAGGCTTACTCTCAACTGGAGTAAAGGAAACAGCAAGAGAGGCCATGAGCAAGGGAGCAGCGAGTCTGTGGCAGCAAGCAGTGGCTGCTCAGAGGGGCCATGGGGCAGGGGGAGCAGAAGCCCTGGGTGTGGGATCTTTCTCATGGCTTTGCTGGGAAGCTGTGGGTGGGCTCCCCAGTTGGGATTCACTTTTCAGGGACTTTTCTCTATCAGCTTGTACTTCTGTCCAGGTCAGAGACTGCATGGTTTTCAATCTTTAGCTTGTGTTGGAATTACCTGCAGAGCTTGTGAAAATACTGAAGGTTGAGTTTCTGATTTAGTAAGTCTGGGGTGGGGCCTGAGGGTGTGTTTTTCTAACCAGTCCCTAGGGGCTGTTGCTGCTGCCTGTCGAGGACTACATTTTGAGACCCATTGAACAGGAAGACAATTTTATTTTATGTGACACCATGGTAGGCATGTGTAGCCTCTCATGTAACACTCACCACAGCTCTGCTGGAGAGGTGCTGGACAGTTTGTGAACCTCTGTTATGGGTTGAATTGTGTCCACCAAAATATGTTGATGTCCTAACCCCCTGGACCTCAGAATGTGACTTTATTTGGAACTAGGGTAGTTGTAGGTGTAATTAAGATGGGGTCCTATTGGGGTAAGGTAATCTGATATGACTGGTGTCGTTATAACAAGATACAGAAACACAGAGAGTGAAGAATGCCACATGAGGACAGAGACAGGGAGAAGACAGCCATGTGACAATGGAGGTGCAAATTCGAGTGATGCACCCACAAGCCATAGAATGCTCAGCACTGCCAGGCACCAGCAGAGGCCAGGAGAGAAGGAAGGATTCTCCCCTATAGATTTCAGAGACAGCATGGCCCTGCTGACACCACGCTGTGGCCTTCTAGCCTCCAGAACTGTGACACAGTAAATGTGTGTTGTTTTAAGCCACCCAATTTGTGTTACTTTGTTACGGCAGCCAGAGGAAACTAATACACTCTCAAAGCCAAACTAGCCTTAGGCTGTTCTCTCCAGGTGACTCAGCTGTTCTGTGAGTGCTGTGACTGCAACTGGCGGGACCTGGGATCCCTTCCTGAGTCAAAGAGAGCTATGGACATGAGGTGACCTGGTGCAGAAACATTGCCCAGTGGGGGCACTCTTTCCCGGATAGTGACGATTGGCCTAGCCAGCTCCTTTGACTGTGTGCGAGTGATAAAGAGGTAACAAGACGCATCAGAAGGAGCAAGCAGGGGGCATCCTGCAAAGCCATTCCAGCCACAGTCATCTCCTTAATGAAGAGGGGGCTTGTCCCAGGTCTCCAGGAAGCAGTTATGAAATTGTCCTGTTCTTCCTAATAATTAACTTATCTACCTCATCTGAGCAACCATTTGTGTGCCTCTCTTCTTTGCAATCTGGAAGGACCTAAAAAAATAAGAAGAATTCTAAATTAAAAATTACGATCTTCATTTCTCAGTTGAGCAAACTGAGGCTCAGAATGGTTAGGTAACTTATCCAGGGGCTAATAAACTGCAGAGATTGGTCTTAAACCCCTGGCTTCTATTTTACCATCGCATTCAAGTTATCTCTCAGGGGAAAGGCCCACGCAGAGTCTCTTGGTGTGAGGTGGCTTCTACTGTGAGCACCCCACATATCAGACTATGTGCCCTGCAGAATGCACAATGGCCACACCATGGGCTTGGGCAGGGGCCAGCAAGCAGTTTCCTCAACAAGCTACTAAGAAAAAGGTGGCTGCTCCCTCTCTGTCTTTGGCGCCCAGAGCTTGCCTCATTCTTGCCTCATGCATGTCTGCATCATTCATTCAACAAGCACTTATTAAATACCTTCTATGCTTCCCAGCCTTTGAGTGTTAAGGGTTCGTGCAGTTCTTTAATTTGAGGAGTTATCCTTCACACCCTTAACCACTAACTCAGTATCCCCCTCCCTAAGCAATCAATATGATTTTTACTATAGAGGAATTCATACAGGAAAGGGATTTATGCCTAAGGCTGTCCATGTATTGTCTGAAGAAGGTCTGCCTTCGAAAACATGTGTTCATGTGATGTAGACTATTAGAGGTTCAGAAAGGGAAACAGCAACTCAACAAGCTTTGGTGACTACTGAATCCAGTCCTTGGCATATCATAGGAGCTCAAGAAATGTTATGGACTAGTTGAAAGGATCTGGGCAATGCCTCTGTTAGAAATTATTTATCACCAGGACCAGTTAAAAATCAGTGTCTTCATTTATTTATTTACTTTTATTCATTCAAGAAATATCTATTGAGTCCCTACTGATAATGGAAAGGTGAATGAGTCAGTCCCTGCTCCTGAGAACATTAAGGAATAATCAACATGGAGGGTCCCTGGAACCAATGTTACTAAATAAATAACCGACCCTGGGGAAGAGCAACCATACTTAAAAGGCATCTTATGCTGGACTGTGTTTAGTTCCTGAGAAGTGTCCCCCTTGGGGAGGCACCATGTATAAGAATGGGAGTTGGGCCATTTGCCAGTTACTACTTATGTAATCCTAAATTATCTAAACTCATGAGCCTCATTCTCCTCTGTAAAAGGGGTGTAATAATCACACCTACCTGACAGCGCTGCTGTGAGGATTTGAGAAGAATATGAAATAATCCATGTAATAATCAGTTTGCTCAGTTTCTGGCACTCAGTAAGAAGACATACATTTAGTAGATATTTATGGGCTGAGCTCCTTGTGGAAAGGGATTACATTTTAGTCTCTTTGTTAACTACTTCGAGGAATAGGCCCATCAATCACACAAGAGGTGGGATCTATAATGACTCTTCATAATGATGTGGCCCAAAGAGTGTTTCTTGGAGCACCAAAGCCAACAAACACTTTCTTCATAATTAAATAGTTCGAGAAACTCTGCTGGCAATGCAACTGTCTTCTCTTGAAGATTCATAAGGTATATCAGTAGATTAAGGATGTTAGAAGAGTTTGTAATGAAGAAACCTGTTTAACTTTATTTAGTTCAGTGTTTTCCAATCTTATCGGACCAATAATGTACCCTGGAAGAACCCAAACTCCTGAAGCTTCAACTTGGAAGGAGATTCTGGGCAGAGAGATGGTTGATGCCAGAGCTCCTGCCTCTCCTGAGGGTTTCTTCTCCCCCATGGAGTTCTCACTTTACTCTCTGCTGTTGCCATCTATTGACTTCCAGGGTTGTTCTGACGCCTCATTAAAACTCACAGTAGAGCTGATGCTGGCTGAAATATTACAAAGACTTTGCTAAACATCAGAGGGACTTCCAGAAGAATACAAAGAAACATCAAGAAACACATCAGGCTGGGTGCGGTGGCTCACACCTGTAATTCCAGCACTTTAGGAGGCTGAGGTGGGCAGATCACTTTAGGTCAGGAGTTCGAGACCAGCCTGGCCAACATGGTGAAACCCCATCTCTACTAAAAATAAAAAAATTATCCGGGTGTGATGGTGCACTCCAGCCTGGGAAGGGCAACAGAGCAAGACTCTGTCTCAAAAAAAAAAGAGAGAAAGAAAAAGAGAAAAAAGAAACACATCAAAGCCTGATGGGAGTTGCAGCCCCCACACAGCCGGCTGCTGGCAGGCATTGTCCCCTTGAGACCCTGCCTCCTTTTCATCCCTAAAGGGCTGGTTGACCCATGATCAACCCAATCCCAATCCCCAATGCCAGCGGCCCCAAAGGAACCTGACCCTTGATGACCGCCCACACTGGTCTGGTGGCCACCGCTGGCTCTTTAAGATATGCTTGGGCCCTTGAAGCTTCTCTTAATTAACTGACAAGCAGACACTGGGCTGGACCAATTAAATGAGCTCAGGGATGACTCACTGGAAGGAAATGCAGAGATACAGAACCAGATAATCTGACTCACATGGTCAGCCTCTCTAGGTTCTAGCTTATTTACCTGCAGAATGTCAGAGATAATGGATTTATCCGACCTCTGACTATAATTCTAAAAAATCCCATAGCTCGGATCTCCCTGTCAGATAATAAGTCAGTTCTACTGAATTATTTTTTAATGTAACAAGACAAAAATGCTACGTAGAACTTACTTCTTTCTGAGACAGAATCTCGCTCTGTCTCCCAAGCTGGAGTGCAGTGGTATGATCTCAGCTCACTGCAACCTCCGCCTCCCGGGTTCCAGAGATTCTCCAACTTCAACCTCCCAAGTAGCTGGGATTACAGGCACACAGCACCATGCCCAGCTAACTTTTTTTATTTTTAGTAGAGACAGGGTTTCACCATGTTGGCCAGGCTGGTCTCACTCCTGACCTCAAGAGTTCTGTCCACCTCAGCCTCCCAAAGTGCTGGGATTACAGGTGTGAGCCATCACACCCCACCAGAAGTTTCTTTAAAAATAAAAAATAAAAAAACAAGCCAAATCCCAGCACTTTGGGAGGCTGAGGTGGGCGAATCACAAGGTGAAGAGTTAGAGACCAGCCGGACCAACATGGTGAAACCCTGTCTCTACTAAAAACACAAAAATTAGCCGGGCGTCATGGCACGCGCCTGTAATCCCAGCTACTCAGGAGGCTGATGCAGGAGAGAACTGCTTCAACCTGGGAGACGGAGGTTGCAGTGAGCTGAGATCCCGCCACTGCACTCCAGCCTCGGCAACAGAGTGAGACTCTGTCTCAAACAAACAAACAAAAACAAAAAACAAACAAACAAAAAAACACTGAAGTTCTTTAGCTCTTAAAAAGTCTGAATTAGTTTTCCCCACACAGACATGGTCAGGAAGAAATTAGAAAACATGACTCTGACCTTGGGCAATTTCAGTTTCTACCTGATCCCTTTCCCTCCCCTTCCCTTTCCTCCAACATTACTTTTTTTTTTTTTTTCCCTGAGATGAAGTCTCGCTCTGTCGCCCAGGCTGGAGTGCAGTGGTGCCATCTCAGCTCACTGCAACCTCCGCTTCCCAGGCTCAAGCAATTCTCCTGCGTCAGCCTCCTGAGTAGCTAGGATTACAGGCGTGCGCCACCACGCCCAGCTAATTTTTATATTTTTAGTAGACATGGGGTTTCATCATGTTGACCAGGCTGGTCTCGAACCCCTGACCTCATGATCCACCCGCCTCGGCCTCCCAAAGTGCTGGGATTACAGGCATGAGCCACCACGCTCGGCCCATTACTCTTAAAATTATAAGATCTCACCCAAGGTGGAGGAAATCACCTAACTCATCCAGGGATAAGAAGTTCTGTCAAAGGGTTGGTTTATTCCTTTACACACTTCACACACACACAATCCTTCCCCCACCCCTGACACCCTTTTCAACTATTTAAGGTCTGGGGGCTACTTCCGGGTATTTTTGGGTATCAGCAGGGAGACAGAAATGAGCAGGATTTATGGGAGAGTCAAATGCCCCTCTCAAAACAGTTAAAGGCCTTCCTTATAAATGGCCTCTCTCTGTAAATATAAAAACTAACTATAAGAATCTCAAACGGTCAGCCCTAAAAGACCAGGTCTTGTGGGATTGTAGAGTTGGCCGCTATGAAGGGAAGACTGGAAAAAGTGCCTCCAGAGACACGGGGTGGTCCACAGCCTAACAGTTAAAATGCTCATCACTTTTAAGAACTTTCCTAACCCCTTTAGTTCTTTGATGCTAAGCAGGGAAGAGGGAGGCTTGGAGACCAGGGATGTCCTCCCAGGTGGTGCTGGGGCCTGGGTAACCCTCAGGGTTGCCCTCAGGAGCCCTCTGCCTCTGGAACACCGTGCTTGGTAGGAGTTATTGAAGGGCTGTGTACAGTGAGTAAGCCCTTTCTTGTCAGCAAACCTTCATCAAGTCTTCAGAGCGATACCTGTCAAGAAGGATATGATATTTAGGGTGATGGTGACTGGGTAGGGAAAGGCTGATTTCTTTCAAAATTGGAAATAGAAAAATACACTGAAACAGACAATTGTTCTTAGTGTTGAAATATCATCCTGATTTCTCTGATGGTGCTACTTCCTAGGAAGTCACTAGAGATGAGATCTGAGTGACGGTTTAGTTCACTGAGGCTCTACCATGTGGCAGGCTCTGCGCCAAGCAATGGAGATACAGAAAGACGTAATCCCCACTCTCACAGAGCCCAGGAACCAGTGGTTGTGTCAGACATGAACAGGTGATGTCACTGTCATGCAGTAAGTGGTAGGATGAGAATATGAACGGGGAGCTCCCGGCAACCTTCCATAGTCTCCTGCAGGATTTTTAGATGTGCGACCCCATTCTTCTCACAGTGCTTAATAGGAAACAGCAAAGACTAGGAAGACTTCTCAGGGACAAATCCTAGCTCAACGAACCCAGTACTGTGTAACTGTGATGGTCACCATTTGCCAAATGTTGTAGAGGGCATCTCTGTCTTTGTCTCTGTGGGATCCCTTACTTCTTAATTTGGTGACAGCAATCTAGATTCTTCCTGAAGAATTACTCCTTCCCTGTTGCCTTAGCCTTGATGGGGTGTTAAATACCACCCCTTACACCCCACCTCTAGACACTTTATGCCTGAGCAAGGATTTCGCATGAGACCCAAGCTAGCCAAACAAGTGTGAAAGTAGTCAGAATCAAAATGGAGTCACTAATGTTAAGAAAACCCTGACAAATTGAACCCTGACAAATGAAAGAGGCTTCTCATACTTGTATGCCTGATAACAAAAGACTGCAAAACCACAGCCTTGCACAAAGGCCATCACAACCTTACACAAAAAATACTGCAAGGACAACTGCCTAATTACTGCCTGTCCAGTCTCACACTGAAGTCACCCATGTTATTGATCTTTGTAGCCCAAAATAATTATTTCAGGACAAGTATGTAATCCTCTTCACTTTTCCTTTAAAAACCCTTGTCTTCCTCAGTGTGGCGATTCCTCAAGGATCTAGAACTAGAAATACCATTTGACCCAGCCATCCCATTACTGGGTATATACCCAAAGGTGTATATGTGGCACATATACACCATGGAATACTATGCAGCCATAAAAAAGGATGAGTTCATGTCCTTTGTAGGGACATGGATGAAGCTGGAAACCATCATTCTCAGTAAACTATCACAAGGACAAAAAACCAAACACCGCGTGTTCTCACTCACAGGTGGGAATTGAACAATGAGAACACTTGGACACAGGAAGGGGAACATCACACACCGGGGCCTGTTGTGGAGTGGGGGGCTGGGGGAGGGATAGCATTAGGAGATATACCTAATGTAAATGACGAGTTAATGGGTGCAGCACACCAACATGGCACATGTATACATATGTAACAAAGCTGCACGCTGTGCACATGTACCCTAGAACTTAAAGTATAAAAAAAAACAAAAACAAAGACAAAACCCTTGTCTTCCTTTACTTCCCTAAATATGCACATAGTTTGCTGTGGCACATTACCATTGCAATGCTTTATTCCTAAATAAACATCTTTTGTTTTGGAGAACCTCTCTCTGTGTATTATTTAGTTTGATGCAAGATTCTCCAAGGAACCTGAACTTGTACACAGACAAAGATGAACATGAACAAAGCTAATTTCATTCTGGTGGCAGCAACCTGGAAGGTCATCCATGAATTCTTGCTACCTGTATCCCACAAAACAACTTCATCCTATTCCTTCTTCTTCTTTTTTTTTTTTTTTTTTTTTGAGACAGGGTCTTGCTCTTTCACACAGGCTGGAGTGTAGTGGTGCAATCATAGCTCACTACAACCTCATTCTTGTGGGCTCAGGTGATCCTCTCACCTCAGCCTCCTGAGTACCTGTGACCACAGGTGCGCACCAACATGCCTGGCTAATTTTATTTTTTTGTACAGACAGGTTCTCACTATCTCTCTATGCAGCCCAGGCTGGTCTTGAACTCCTGGACTCAAGCAACCCTCTCACTTCAGCCTCTCAAACTGCTGGGATTACAGGCATGAGCCACTGCACCCACCCCCTATTCCTTCTTAGGGACAGGCTTGCTCATATTTTTCTATAGTTTTGGGGACACCTTCATAACCTCCCATTAATTTTCTTAAGTAGCCAGAGTTCCTGTTGCTCACAACCAAAGAACCTGGACTGACACAAGGGTTTGCTCCATGCCAGACACACTAGGCCTCACCCTCCCTGAGAGAAAGAATTATTAGGTTTCCATTTTGCAGATAAAGAGACTGATGTTGACAGTCTTACACACCAAAAACACACGGCCAGTCAATGCTGGAGCAAGCATTTAAATAAAAATCAGAACCCAGAGCGCAGTCTCTCTCCTTTTTGTCCCTTCATATCACCAATCCAGAGCCCTGCCATTCAGGTATAAGCTGCTGCTTCTAGATCTCACATTGGTATGATTTACAGTTTACACAATGTTTTCACACACAACAATACAGGTAATCCTCATGGCCACCTGGGAGGTAGATATCTTCATGACACGGGAAAATAGATTTACTGCAAGTCTGGTCAACCCATTTTTTTCCCTGCTTAAAACCGTTCTGTGACTCAACACAGCCTACAAGATCAGTCCAAAGGCTCAGCGTGGTATTCCAGGCCCTGTGGCGCCCAGGACCGGGGCCTCAGGCCTGCCACTCCCTTTCTTGCACTTGGAGCTCCAGCCATATGGAACGACTCACAATTCCCTGAAGCTCACCAGACCGGTCTGGGGCCCTGAGCCCTAAACCACTGGGATGTCACCTTCCCGTCCTCACCCGAAGTTATGGTTGGTGAATGCCTACTTAACTTCCACTGGACTGGCCTTCATCTCATGCCTATGAAGGTGATCCCTACTTACCTTCCAGACACAAACACAGCCCATCTTCCTCTCAAGCCTCTTCTGTACCAATACCCC
Organism: Homo sapiens; assembly: GCF_000001405.40. Taxonomy (NCBI): domain Eukaryota; kingdom Metazoa; phylum Chordata; class Mammalia; order Primates; family Hominidae; genus Homo; species Homo sapiens. Next base: position 5,884,658 of record NC_000009.12, read on the forward strand.
CACTGTACCCTAGACAAGAATCTGGGGTGGCTCTAGCATTATTAGATATTGTAGTGAACCCTGGTGTTGACTCTTCAATATTTTTCCACTCCAAAGGTCATTTTAATCCGTTCCTGTAATCTCAACCTTCCTGTGACTAGTCACAAATGGCCATGGGATTTACCACGTTTCTGATTTATTAGTGCTCTTCTCTGCTCACCTGCGAGACTTGGGCCATGTTCTCAAGACTTCAGCCAGCTCTGTGCCCGTGTTCACCTGGAACCCCTTTCCTAATAGAGCCCGGGAACTGATGAAGCCTCCTTTGCTGCTTCCTGAGAGGGAGCCACACTCAAGGCCAGCCCGAGGCCAGCAGGCCACAGCTCTTGCTCTCGGGTGTCTGAGGGAGGAGGGAGTCCCTGTGGTCCTCCATTTCCTCCACCCTCCTGGCTGCTGGGGCTTCCCCTTTCGACCCCTGCCTAGCCATGCCTCGATTCTATTCCCTTCTCTACCTCGCCACTATCCCCTCACCATCAGAACCTCTCTGTCCTGGGTCTCTTTACGTCACAGCAAGCGCTTGTTAGCTGATTAACAATTAGCCATGGCCATGAGTTCATAGGCTCACCCCAAGGACTGGGCACCCCCTCCGAACTGTTTGTACATTCACAGGGAATTCGCAGAAGCACTAGCCTTTCTCAATGAACAACTTGCCAGGCACTGTGCTAGATGAGTTGACGTATGTTATCTCTTTTTTTTTTTTCAGTTTCACTCTCGTTGCCCAGGCTGCAGTGCAATGGCTCGATCTCAGCTCACTGCAACCTCCACTTCCCAGGTTGAAGTGATTCTCCTACCTCAGCCTCCTGAGTAGCTGGGATTACAGGCATGCACCACCACGCCCGGCTAATTTTTTTGTATTTTTAGTAGAGACGGGTTTTCTCCATGTTGGTCAGGCTAGTCTTGAACTCCTGACCTCAGGTGATCTGCCCACCTCGGCCTCCCAAAGTGCTGAGATTACAGGCATGAGCCACCGCACCCGGCCCATATGTTATCTCATTTAATTCTCACAGCAATTCTGTAATTATTCCCTATTCCTATGTTGCAGATGAAGACGGAATAGCTCAGAAAGGTTAATTAACTTGCTCAAGGTCTCACAGATAATAATGAGAGCTGGGATTCAAGGCACCTGTGAGGCTTACGGGGTGAGGACTCAGTAGTGACTGGGATGTGGCCTTGCCTTCTCTGCCTTCTGAAGAGCCAGTTCTGTTTGTTCAGCTCCTCCTATGAAAGGGCAACAGGACTTTCTGGGATTTTCAGGCATAACCCTGAAGTTCAGGTAGAAGTTGTTTTCCCCAAATCTTTTGAGCCAGGGGCTTGTAGCCTTCCCAAAAGGGAACACAGTGGACGCATGGCTAGCGGGGACCGAAAGCGGAAGCCCGAGCAGCCGGCTATCAACCCTCGTTTGTAGCAATACCTCTGCGGGGTGTGTGAGAGATCAAAAGCTCACAATATTGTGGGGAGCACTGAAGAGGGCCTAAGCCCCAAGCAGGATGAGTCAAGAGGATTCTGGCTCCTGAGCACTGTAAGCAGATGCCAAAGAGGCATCTCTGGCCCCTTCATGAGGTGGGCCTGTGATGCCAGGTGGCCAAGCCCACTAGGTGGCAGCAGAGAACCAGTCAGTGGCCAGCAAGGTCTAGCAGGTACAAATCCTAACCCTGGGGCTGGTGTGGGGGCTGAGCTGCCTCACAGTAACAGTTCACACTATTGTTGCTAGGCGTATTCTGTGCCACGTGCTGTACCAAGCACTTCCAACAGGATCTCGTTTAACTCTCACCATGAACCTATGAAGCAGATGCTGCTATTATCCCTTTCATTTCAGATGCGTGCACTGGGGCTTTCAGAGGTTTGAGATTTGCCCAAGGTCACACACACTGAAGAGATGAAGTGCAAGTGGTTTGGACTCTAGAGCTCCTGCTGTTAGTTTGGGACTAGATTGCCAGGGGAGAAAAGGAAGCCACTTGGAAGTGTTGAAAATGAAGGCAGGTAGGGCCTGACTTGGGCTGGCTTTGGTGTGGACTCTGAGGCCCAAGGCCGGCTCAAAAACAGAGACTAAGAGCCTAGTTAGAGGGAACTTCTAGGGGGCTTCCGGGAAACAGGATGTGGTAGGTTTTTCAAGTTGAGGTGCCCAGGGAACCCCTATTTGAAGAAGCGATCGCCAGCTTATCCTGTTCACATAGCCCTGAAAGGGCCAGGCACCTCAGAAGCTGCAAACCACTCAAAGACCCAAAGGGATGCCTGTGAAAGAGCTGGTCAGGTCTCCCTCGTTGAGCTCAAAGAACAAACAAGGGCCAGGTGCAGTGGGTCGCGTCTGTAATCCCAGCACTTTGGGAGGCAGAGGTGGGCGGACCACTAGAGGTCAGGAGTTCGAGACCAGCCTGGCCAAAATAGCAAAATCCTGTCTCTACTAAAAATACAAAAACTAGCTGGGCATGGTGGTGCATACCTGTGGTCCCAGCTACTCAGGAGGCTGAGGCAGGAGAATCGCTTGAACCCAGGAGGTGGAGGTTGCAGTGACCCGAGATCACACCACTGCATTCCTGCCTGGGCAACAGAACAAGACTGTCCCCCAACCCACCCACCAAAAAATATCTCAAACAAGCTGGAGAGCATGTTCCCAGACTGGCCATTGTGTGCCCAGCATGCTGAGTCTGGTCCTGTAGCATCCTCTGGGGGAGGGGATGATGCCAGCTGCCTGTTGTCTCCACCCTGGAAGAATGCCAGGGCACACTCAATCCCCAAGTCAGCTCACATCACCAGAGAACTTGAATGAGACCTGGGAACTTCACCTTGCCCTGAGATCCAGGTCAGTACTCCCTCCTCTGTGGTCTTGCCACCAGTCATATATGGGCCAGGCTATTATAGAACCCAGCTCAGTGCAATGGACTTTTCAGCTCAGAACTGCATCCCTCTTTGTAGACTAGTACTCACCACCAGGACTTTCTGGGATTTTCAGGCATAACCCTGAAATTCAGGTTGGAGTTGCTCTCTCCAAATCTATTGACACAAGGGGCTTATATCCTTCCCAATTTTTGCACAAAATTCCCTGAGATAGCCTCCACTCTGGGAACTCAGTCTAAGTCATGGTCTATTGTTCTGCCTCAAGGTCTCCAACTGGTTGTTCTTTCTGAAATGCTCTCTCTCCATCTTTTCATGGCTGACTGCTTCTTACCATTTAGGTCTCAGTTTAAATTTTCCCTCCTTTACAGATAGGCTCTCCCTGGCTTGCCTAATAAAGATCAACCCTTCTTTGTTTTCTTTCTCCCTTACCATTTTCAGTGGTGACTATCCAGTATCTGGTGGGTTGGTACTGCCCTTACACAGGACAGCCTTTGTCCATAGCTCACGATGGAAACCAGAAAAATCACAGGATCTGAAAGGAATGGGTCCTCAGGTATTATGGGAAAGGGGACCTTAGAGGTCATTTAATCTAAGTCTTGAGCTGCTAGGACTGTCATATTCCGGTGGGGTTTTTTTTCTTTGTTTTGTTTGTTCACAATGGCTATGGAGAGCTGGTGAGCAAAGGTGACTGTTGTGTCCCACTGAAATGCTTCTGGGCTGTCCAAGATAGATCATGATGTTAAGTAGAATCAGCTCTGGGGTCAATTATTAGGTGAGTGCAAAAGTAACTGTGATTTTTGCACTGTCGGACTTTGCTGTTTGATATTAAATACATTCTTAAATAAATGTGGTTATGTTATACATCATTTTAATGGGCATTTCTCACTTTATGTATTTTTGCTAAAGACATCACTTGTTCTTTGTTGTATGTTTATTTTAGACTATGGAAATGTTGGACAAAAAGCAAATTCAAGTGATTTTCTTATTCGAGTTCAAAATGAGTTATAAAGCAGCAGAGACAATTTGCAACATCGACAATGCATTTGGCCCTGGAACTGCTAACGAATGTACAGGGCAGTGGTGGTTCAAGAAGTTTTGCAAAGGAGATGAGAGCCTGGAAGATGAGGAGCTGGCCACTGGAAGTTGACAACGACCAGTTGAGAACAATCATCGAAGCTGATCCTCTTTCAACTACACTAGAAATTGCCGAAGAACTCAACGTCGATCATTCTACAGTTGTTCAGCATTTGAAGCAAATTGGAAATGTGAAAAAGCTCATTTAGTGGTTGCTTCATGAGCTGAGTGAAAATTTAAAAAACGGTCTTTTTGAAATGTTGTCTTATCTTATTCTACACAACAACAAGGAAGAATTTCTCAATTGAGTTGTGATGTACAATGAAAAGTGGATTTTATATGATAACTGGCAATGACCAGCTCAGTGGCTGGTCTGAGAAGAAGCTCCAAAGCACTTCCCAAAGCCAAACTTGCACCGAAAAAAGGTCATGGTCACTGTTTGGTGGTCTCTGCTGGTCTGATCCACTACATCTTTCTGAATCCCGGTGAAACCATTATATCTGAGAAGTATGCTCAGCAAATCAATGAGTTGCACCGAATAGTACAACACCTGCAGCTGGCATTAATCAACAGAAAAAGCCCAATTGTCCATGACAGCACCTAACCACATGTCACACAACCAATGCTTCAAAAGTTGGAATAAATTGGGCTACGAACTTTTGCCTCATCTGCCATATTCACCTGACCTCTCATCAACCGACTACCACTTCTTCAATCATCTTAACAACTTTTTGCAGGGAAAATCCTTCCACAACCAGCAGGATGCAGAAAATGCTTTCCAAGAGTTCATCGAATCTTGAAGCATGAATGTGTATGCTACAGGAATAAACAAACTTATTTTTCATTGGCAAAAATGTCTTCATTGCAATGGTTCCTATTTTGATTAATAAAGATGTGTTTGAGGCTGGGCGCGGTGGCTCATGCCTGTAATCCCAGCACTTTGGGAGGCTGAGGCAGGTGGATCATGAGGTCAGGAGATCGAGACCATCCTGGCCAACATGGTGAAACCCTGTCTCTACTAAAAATACAAAAATTTGCCAGGTGTGGTGGCGTGCACCTGTAGTCCCAGCTACTCAGGAGGCTGAGGCAGGAGAATTGCTTGAACCTGGGAGGCAGAGGTTGTAGTGAGCTGAGATCCTGCCACTGCACTCCAGCCTGGGCGACAGAGTGAGTCTCCATCTCAGAAAAAAAAAATGTGTTTGAGCCTAGTTATAATGATTTAAAATTCATGGTCCGACACCGCAATTACTTTTGCACCAACCTAATTGATGTCTAAGTAGGTCATATTCTACCTGCAAAAAGAAAATTTCATCTATCCCTTTCACATAGATGGAAACCCACTATCTCCAGTGGACAGTTAACACCAAAGGCATCACAGAGAACTCATGGAGCTCAGCTGAGGAGGTTTCAGGGATTTTTCTATTTCCTTTTCTTGATTATGAGAGTCTGGGACTAGATGCTCTCCAGACCTGTGCCTAAAGACTCTTCAACCCTTTGAGATGGAGATGAGGGAGGGAATAGGGAACCCAGTTTAGTTTGGATTTCAGATCCTTTTGTGGGTCATAAGCGTGATGATTGGGTTTCCATGTTCACGTGTGAGATATGCCTCCCTCAAACCTTGTTACAATGACATGGGCACCTTACCTATCTGACATGAGAAAAACAAATGTGGATTTCAGATAAACAAAAAATAACTCTTTTAGTGTATATGTCCCATAGAATATGTGGACATATTTATCCTAAAAATATTGTATGGGACATAGTTGTATTAAGAAACTGTTCATTGTTTATCTGAAGTTCAAATTTAACTGGGCATCCTCCTCAGCTGAGCTCCATGAGTTCTCTGTGATGCCTTTGGTGTTAACTGTCCACTGGAGATAGTGGGTTTCCATCTATGTGAAAGGGATAGATGAAATTTTCTTTTTGCAGGTAGAATATGACCTACTTAGACATCAATTAGGTTGGTGCAAAAGTAATTGTGGTGTCGGACCATGAATTTTAAATCATTATAACTAGGCTCATGTCATATTTTATGTGACATGGCAATCCTATGGAGGAGGGACCAACATTTAAAATAAATGGCTTCCCTAGGATAGAGCACTGGGACTGGGGAAAACAGAGGCCACAGTCAGCTGTGACTTTTTGAAGGAAGGAATAAAGTTGGTTTCTTTCATGCCAATTTAGCAATTACAGACGACCCCGTCAGAAATCTAAACCCGTGACTATCATGGGACTCAAAACCAGGAAAAAAAATAAGTCAAAACGATTAAGAGCCAGAGAAGCAGTCTTCATACACGCGGCCAGCCAGCAGACAGAGGACTCTCATTAAGGAAGGTAAGAGCGTTGCCTTCTCGCCATAATCATAGTCCTCTTCTCCCAGAATAGGATTTGGGAAATTCTGGCTAAGTCCTCTGCCTACCCTCATTGCCCCGCTGATGTGTGACATCAACAGAATTTCTCCGCAACGTTTGTCAGTCTCCAACCTCAGAGGGCTCACAAAGCCTCCTCCTGAATCCTCTCTCAGTCCTCCAACACTACCAAGAAGAAAAGCAATTATTCAGGATGGCATCTTGCTGGGGAGAAGCAGCCTCCCTGAGGTAGATGTGTTCTCCTGTCACTTAAAGAACCACTTCTCCTGGTCTGAGTAGTAAGAGGCGCATTTGCTGTTGCTGCACCATTTGCCAAGGCTCTGAGTTTGAGGTATGGGATGTATTAAAACAATTTAATGAAGAATTAAGATTCCATTCTGTCATTTTGAACACAGGGTTCAGTCCTATATTATTCACTTGAGAGGACTGGTGAGTTTGACTTTCATTTCTTTTTTACAACTGGGAAGGGCAAATTACACATAAAATGTCCCAGTGGAAAGGGGTCATGTGTCGAAATCCCCACTCTTCTGTCTCACCTCTCCCTGTTGTTTTAAACTGGGGCTCATTAATATAATTCTATGGGGATCACACCTTTGAAATTCATGAGGACAGTAAGAGAGCAGAAAAATACACAATAATAAGGAAAGGAGCTTCCATTATTGGTTTTTAATGAGCGTACTTGAATTACGGCCACTGCAGTTTATGGATATTTTTTGTTGTTCATTTGTATGTGTTATAGTTAGAAAAAAAAAGAATCCTAGCCAAGGGACTTGAACCAGAGAGAAGCAGAAATTGACTTAAGTAGGAAGGGAAACACATTGTTAGATAAAGTCAGGTCCTGGGCTTCCTCGGCTTGTTTTGGGTGGAGTGCCTGGGGACAGGCTGAAGCCCCTGTGTGGGGTGGTTTCCTTTGCTGAAAAGCTGGGCTGGAAGATGTTGTGCTCAGTGCTCAACCTCATGCACCCTCGCGAGGCACAGGCAACGGGTGCTCTGGGAAACACACGTTATGTATCATAGCCTCTGTTTGTCTGTGGGATTGATATCCAACAATAACTTTGGAGAAAAATAACTCCTCTAATTTTGTTAGCCACAGCCCTGGGCCAGGGAAGGTGGAGAATCAGTGAAAATGCATTTTGTTTGTTTCTCTAGAAGTTTATGGTGCAGAGTCAAATTGAAGGCAAATGAGGAATATTTTTTCACCAAATAATAACTCAACTTGCAAGTCTTTTTTGCTTTTGTTTGTAGTTTCTTCTTTGAACTTAATTTTCAGTTAGTAGGAGGGGTTAGAAACCTGAGCTATTGCTAAAGCCCTTGATATGAATGAAAGAAGCAGGTGCAAATCCCCTCACAGAGAGAAACCAAAGGGTCCTGGCTATGGATATTGGTCACCTAGTGAGGATGCTGTTGTGGGTCTTTATGAGATGATGAATAGGGTGGCTTTGGATGCATTAATGATGCCCACATGCTCCTTCTGTTAGGTGTCCTGTGCCCTGACCCTACAAGATGCCAAGAGAAGATGCTCACTTCATCTATGGTTACCCCAAGAAGGGGCACGGCCACTCTTACACCACGGCTGAAGAGTAAGTTCAAAACCAGACCCAGCAGGGCTTCCAGTTTGCCGTTTGCTGACACAGCCTGCTGACTTCCACCAGTACATGCCTGCTCGTAAATCTCCCTAGTGTTTATCTCCCCAGACAGTAACATCCCTGGCAACAAGGGGAGGAGATTCTGTGCTTCTATAAGGGGCTCAGTCAAGCTTCTCTGAGGCCAAACAGGCAGGAAGATGGGAATGGTATAAGGTTGGATCTTGCCATTTTTGGGTGCACTTTTGACTATTGGGTCTTATCTGTAGGTTCCCAAGTGGAAAAACATCTGTTCAGGATCACAATGCCTCTCTCCTCAATCCTTGTTCTGTCTCCTCCACTCAAATTCCTGAAGGTGGTTTGCAGACAGAATAAAAGTGAGTTGCCAAGGAGCCAGTAAGGATGACGGGCAGGTGTGTGTGACTCAGCCCACAGCCAGACTCGAGAGGAAGATGGAGGTCACAGCCTTTGCAGTATAACTTTATCCTAAGGAAAGACATTGGGTTTTATGAGTGAATTAAAAATAAGTATTTATATGATTAAGCATTTCTAAATGCTAAGCATTGTATACTGGCGTGAGACACTGTTTTTATCTTTGAAAAAACTCACAACTTAGTGGGAGAGTTAGGCATGAGATTAATTTCAGCAAATGTAAGTGCGGTAATGAAAACCCAGAGGCTGCAGGGACATACTCTGTATGTGCTGGGAGTGGGAAAGGGACATACTCTGTACGTGCTGGGTGGCAGGGGCAGGGGAGGCCCCACCCTCTGCGTGGGACTCTAACAGGACAACACCCTCTTATGTGGTCTGTCCAGAACTCCCTGTGAACCTGCTCTTTCTTTGGAAAGAGCTGTTGAACAATCTTTGTTAACAGTCAACCGCAGGGACCAGCAAGATGTAAAGCCCAACAAAGGCACTGAGGAAGAGTTCAGGCAGACAGCATTTCCTCAGAAGACCCTGGTATAGGATCCTCTAATATCCCTGGCCAATTGGAGATGAGGGCGGCGGTATCTTCTCAGAAAATGTCCTGACAGCAAAAACATACTCTTTGAGGGAGGGGAGCCCATTGCCCGTGCTATTAGTTAGGGTATCGTTTCAGCTTGTGTATAATCACTCAACAGACTCTTTAAAATATACTTTTATGTCTCGTGTAAAAATTCAAGAGTAAAGAGTTCAAGGCCTGTTCGTTTTCTTCTTGCTGGTTACTCCCTTGGGATGTCACTTTTGTCCCCATGGCTGAAGATGTTGTGCCATCACCTCCACATCTTGCCAACAGAAAGCAGGAGGTGAAGGAGAGGCTAGGACCGTTCCTTTCAAGGGGCACACGTCACTTCTGCTTATTGCTCCACCCCCGCCCCCCGCCCCGTGGCACCCACCCTGGTGGGTATCATTCTTGCTGTGTTGTAAATGAAGAAAGGTTTAGAGAAATTAGGAAATGTGTGGCCAGACATGGTGGCGCTGGGATTTAAATCCAGGTCTGTTTGCCTCCAGAGTCCATGCTCTTAAGTGTTATGCTGCAGGCCAGCAGAGGCAAATATTTGCACAATCCCATCCGACGAGAGGCTAGGGCAGAGGTCAGTATCTCTCAGTGTGAAGCTGGAGGCTGATGCTAGTCAGCTCAGTAGGCCGAAAGTGGAGTTGTCCTTTGCCATGTAGGGCCATCATGCCCAGCTGGGGAACCTCATAGCCAGGTGTACCCACAACCTGAACAAGGTAACTTTCAGGGTCTAGTCAGGAAGAAACCAACTAGATGGTTCAACATAGAGACTTTAATATAAGAAGCTGGTTAAACAGGCATGGGACTGAGACTGAGGAGGCAAAGAAGGCATCGGGGCAACCAAGGCTGTACCCACAGAATGCTGCTTCTACCCCCGTGTCTGGGGTAACAAACGGAAGGGTGAGGCCATCAGGACCTAGAGTTGGGAGGAGGGACGCCACAGAAATGGGACCCAGATCTCTAAGGAGAGATTTTTGTTTGGCTGGTTCTGGTGTCTCAAGAGCTTAGAAGTGAGGGGCATGAATCAAATACTCAGGCCTCTGAGGTCAGCCAGTGCTCTGCTGGGGAGGGGCATAATGAAGCTGGCTCTGACAATGCCGGAAAACGAGCTGGTGCTTGGCATATACAGACAATGTGAGCATTGCTGGGGTGATCCTGACAGGAGCCAGAAGCACACTGGAAGGAGCTGCTCCTTCTTGATGCCCCAGGTTTGTAGGCACCCTCTAGAGTACTCTAATGGGAGCCAGTGGGCAAAGGAGAAGTGGCATTTGCAGAGTCCAGTCCCAGCATCACAGAGCAGAGCATAGAAAGGTAGGTTTGGAGTTGAGGGACAATGGCTTAATAAAGGGCAAAGGGGGTTATGACCACTATCATGTGAAGGAACCCCTTGACTGAAGGCACAAGCTTTCTGTGTCTTGCAACCTGAATGACGTGCATAAGCAGGGTCAGGTGGGTTATCTGACATTTTCCTTGAGAACAAGAGGGAGCCTCTGGATTCCAGCACAAAAGAAAAATACCCACTCAACCCGTATGCGTGGGAGCTATCCTTTAAAGAGAAAGTAATTCCTTTTGACATTTTGCTGTCTGTAGAAGGGTCAGATGGCCAAAGCTTCCAGCACAATGAAACACTTAACTTCAGTCTGTGAGTGTAGGAACCCCTGAATACATGGAACATCATCATCTTGTGCAGGTACTGAAGGAGATCGGTCCAGAAAATAAGTAACTGCACATGGCCACCAATGTCAAAAGTCATTCCTCTCATGAAAAGTCCCTGCCCCCATTGCTGTTTGTTTAAATAGGTGGGATGGAGGTAGGGGAATGGGGCCATCTTCTTTTTTTTTTTTTAATTTTTTTGCATAAAATCCAGATCCTGCACAATGGGGCAATCTTCATTAAAACAATGCATCCCTAAGATCTGAGAATATTTATCCTTCTCACAATTGTGCCAGCAGGTGGAATGAAGAAGAATGATGCAAAATAAGTTCCCACATCCAGCCAAGAAGGACTACATACCTGCTTTGGGTATTATGTATCTCTTTGAAACCTCAGTGGAGAGCAGTTCTCACAGTTGGGTGGACACAAGTCATCCATGGAACTTGTTAAAATGCAGATTTCTAGGTGCTGCCACCTAAGAGGCTGATTGGGTAGGCCAGGGGTGGAGTCCTATGATCTGCACCTTAACGTGCATCTCAGGTGATTCTGCTGCAGGTGGTATTTGGAAGACACTCTGAGGCGCCCTGCCAAGCTGGGCAGTGGGTTCTTCCAATGTGTCAGGCATACCCTGGTGCTTTTCGCTCTCAGTTACTTGGGCATGTTGTGAGTACCACGTGACCATGCATAAAGTGCTGTAACAGAGCTCTGACTGTGTCAAGATATTCAAGTGGACGCCACAGGGTAAAATGAGAGCACAGGCATGTTGGGAGTTGAATCAGCTGCCTTCAGTCACGAGAACACACTGAACACTCCTTGTGACAGCTTCAGTTCAGGAAAGAGTGACTCTGCAGGAAAAGCACTGGCCTGGGAGACCTGGATCTGGCCCAAATTCTGGTGCTCACTTGCTTGGTCTCCCGTTCCAGTTGCTGTGAATGTTGGTTCTGCCACTTGCTGGTTGTGCAGCCCTGGGCACTTGACCAGCATAATGTCAGCTGTAAAATGAACATCATTCCTAACTCCGAGGACTGTGGTTAGGATGAAATAAAAGCATATATGTGGGGGTGCCTAGCCCAGTGCCTGGCACAAATTGGTGCTCAATGAATGGTAGTCACTATGGTTATGGTAATGTTGATGAATCTTCATAGGTCTCAGCTTCCTGATCTATAAAGCGGGTGGACTGACCTACATAAGTCAGAGTTTCCATCTAGCACTGTCATCCCATGGTTCGCTCTATCCTGTTTGGAGACGGACAGGATAAGCTTGATGTCTCCTCAGCCTTGAGACAGAAGTTGTCCAGTAGATGGTACTGAGCAAAAGTCTCTCCAGCAGAAGCCTTAGTTAAACCTTGCTTCTCCTGTAGCTGCTCAGTCTCTTGTAAGTCACTCAGCTCTGCAGAAACTTTCTTAGCGAGTTGACAACCACAGATAACAGAGTCAGTTCTGTCGATTTTGATCATGCTGTGATCAGGCAGATGTTAGCTAATTGATGATGCTTGCCCGGAGTGAACAGCTCCAGGCCCTGTTTCCAGGGTCTTTGTGGTAACTTTGTGGTAACTGTAATGCTTCCCAGGGGTCACTGAACACAGGGCCCAAGAGGCTGGTGTAGACCCCCAGATTGGCACCCTGCTGCTTAGACAAGATCCTTCTCAATAAGTAATGCCACAGCTTTGCTGTAGGTTCAGCCCAGACACTTCTCCCTAGGGCTGCAAGGAGCAAAGCGGGGAGTTTAGGGAAGGGAGGGCACGAACATAATTGAGACGGATTCAGGTTCAAATCCAGCCTCTGTTTTGTGCTAGCTCTGTATGATCACCAGCGAGTCATGTATCCTCTGCCTTTTATTTCCTCTTCTGTGAAAATAGGGGATGATAAATTGTGTCTACCCTCCAGTGTTGATGTGAGAATTGAATAAGCTAATGAATGTTTAGCACAGCACCTGGCTTTTAGTAGATGAGTCAGTGTTAATTTCTATTTTCTCTTTGTGGGCTGAGTTGGAGAAAATGTTTTAAAACAGCCTGATGAGAAGAAAAGATAATTTAGCCCCAATAAATACATTGTCCACATAAAGACCAGTTACTATGGCACTTCTCATACCTGGAACTTGGGTGCCTGGGCCATGCCAATTAGCAGAGTTCCTGTGGGCACACACTTGAGAGGCTCCTAAAGACCTGGGTTAGATCCAGGTGCTGGAGGCCTGGTGGGGTGCCCAGTGTGGGAGGTGGGAAACTACTTGGACACTGGGAGATGCTGCTCTGGGTCGTCAAAGTCCATATGAAGAGGAAGACTGATTTATGCTTCATCATAATGTAGAACAATGTTTCAATGACAAAGTGGATTTGTCTATCTCTTGGGCCAGGGCCGCTGGGATCGGCATCCTGACAGTGATCCTGGGAGTCTTACTGCTCATCGGCTGTTGGTATTGTAGAAGACGAAATGGATACAGAGCCTTGATGGTTGGTAAAGTTCCCACTGCTGAAATCCCTCCAAGTCCAGGGCCCTCTTTCCAGTTCTTTCCTCTGAATCTCTGGAGAGTCAGATAATTGCCTCATTATAACCTTCAGCTCTGATTCCGGCTTCTGATGCCTCTTTTGCTACATTGTACTTTGGCAACTCTACCTTTGCCTCTGCTCAGGCATGAACCTCAACCAGGAACTTGCCCTGTGTCTTAGTCTGTGATTATAACATAATACGAGAGACTGTAATTTATAAATAAATGAAATTCATTTGGTTTACAGTTGGGAGGCTGGGAACTCCAAGATCTAGGGGCCACACCTGGTGAGGACTTCTTGCTGTGTCATATCATAGTGGAAGGCATCACATGGGCAAGGGAGTGAGAGAGCAAGAGGGAGCTGAACTCATTTTTTTTTTTTCTTGAAACAGGAAATCCTGGGATGGAGCGCAGTGGTGAACATGAGTCACTGTAGCCTTGACCTCCTGGGCTCAAGCCATCCTCCTGTCTCAGCCTCCAGAGTAGCTGGGACCACAGGCACGTGCCACCACACCGGCTAATTAAAAAAAAACTTTTTTTTGTAGAGACGAGGTCCCACTATGTTGCCCAGGCTGGTCTCAAACTCCTGGGCTAAAGTGATCCTGCCTCGGCCTCCCAAAGTGTTGGGACTACAAGTGTGAAACACTCCACATATGGCCCAAACTCACTTTTATAACCAACCTACTTTTGCAATAACAAACACACTCCTGCAATAACAACATTAATCCATTCATGAGGACAGAGCCCTTGTAACTTAATCACCTCTTAAAAGTCCTACCTCTTACCATTGTTGCATTGGGGATTAAGTTTCCAATACACGAATTTTGGGGGACACATTCAAACTATAGCACCTGTCTCTTTGGTTCTACTCATAGCAGACTTGGGTACCTGGATGTTGTGTGTAGCTAAGCACTGACGGTTTATAGGGCACAGGGGAAGGGGTTTGAGGTTCCCTTATAGCAAACAGGAGTATATTAGACACCTCAGGTTTTACCACTTCTGGGAATTCTTGCTGGTTCTGTTACTCCACTTTGTGACCTGCTCTTCCTACTTTTCTTCTTCACCCCTTTCCTCACTGGTTACCTGTGAATTCCAAGTTCTTCTGACTCTACACTAAGCATCCCAGGATATCATCAGTGCGATGAGGAAACCATCCTTCCTGCATCAGCACAAAGGGTCACTTGTGTGTTTTTTAACAGGCTGCATCCTTCTTAGATGGCCAAAGGTTTTAATAGTATTTTTTTCTTCTTTACCCAAATATGCAGGAAGCTAACACAATTACACAATCCAATCTTCTGGTACCAGTATCCTCCATGAATGGGAAACATCAACTGAGTTTATAAGCTATAAAAATTACAGGTTTCAGCAATCTTGCTTAAAGCCAGGTAGCACTTCAGCACTTCAGCACCCGAAGGCATTCTCCATAGATCTCGCTGTCTCTCTTTCTTGTTATTACAGATCTGAAAGCTTTTCAGGTTGATGCATAATGGAAAAAAAGTATCTTTCCAAAAGATGTTGGAAAGTCCCATTCCTCATTCAGCAAGCACTTCATTTAGAGGAAAAGGTCCTGTGAAAGAGAGGAGGGTTGGTGTGGGGTGGGGATTGAAGCTTGGCAAGCTGATAAGGAGAAGGTGAGAGATACAACTCTGGATTCTTTCCCTCTTTGCCAAGAAACTTGGGCAGTCTCATGTCTCATGTCTCCTGTTCCCCAATGTCTTTCCAGAGCATAAATACAAATACAAACCATCAAAGGCAAGTCAAGTCTGGGGGCTGACACACCCACCGAGCATAGCCCTCTAGTGTGCTGACATCTAGTGGGAAGGAGGAGGAGTTGATGAATCTGAACAAGACTCCAATATTGGAGGAAATACTTGAGGAAAGCCTTGGGTTAGAAAGTTAGGGATAGAATTCCTGCTCATACGGCTGTCCACAACAGGTTAGTAGGGGAGGACTTTAATCTCTGCCATAGAACTCCATTTGTAACTCTAGCATGGGGTTATGACATTGCCTTGTAATTGGCTATTTACTTTTTGCCTCTTCGACCCCTCCGCTTTCCCCTATGTATGAACCACAACAGAGAATATTTCTAACTCATCTTCATATCTCCAGTGCCTAGCACAGTGCCTGGCACATGGTAGTCACTCAATTGTGTTGCATTAGGACTTGGTCCCATTGTCTGCCATTGAGTTGCTTGGAGACTAGAATTCAACTTCTCCAAGATTCACTAGCTCTATTTTACACCCAGACATGTTGGAAATCTGTGATGTAACACAATGTATATCCATTTTTATTTAATACATATTTTCTTCTATATTTTGATTTCATTATATATTTGTATATCAAAAACAAAATGTTTAGTCTTTCAAGAAGTAAAGCTATACAAACTCAATATGTTGGTACTCATTTCCTAACTATAATTATTAGTTTGATCCTATTGAACACAAATGCAGTAATTTTTCTTTTCTGCTTCAATGCTCTCATCTTAAATTCATTTAATTGAAAAATAACAGAGAGTCTTAATGTCATGTGCTCAGACACTGTGAACATTTTGCTTGGTAAGTTTCAAATTCAAACTCTATGCCTCCATTCCTCTAGGATTAGATCAGTGGTTTGTAGTTTCTGAGACTTTTTATTGAGAGGGAATCGTGTTTAAATTTCCTGGTTTATTTAATTTCCATATTTATTTTTTAAATTAATATTAAAATCTTATTTTGAGATTTTCATATATCTAGAAAAGTCAGTTTGGAGATCAGCAGTCTAATAAGTTTAGGCAAAATTATGTAAAATAGTGCATTAAGTATTGCATTTAATTACATAATTACCTCCCTTTCTGTCTTCAGTGATTCTATTTTCATTTTAAAGCAAAGGGATGTAAATGACATTAAATATGAGCTTTGGGCATGTGAATTACTCCACCTTTAACAATCTTCATTAAGCTTGAAATGTCTACTTTTCAACTTCCATTTGTCCACAGAGAGGCTGGTTGGAATTTAGATCTCTTAAAATTTCTCCCTTGGTTAACAATTCCCCTGAGCCCTGGAAAACATCTTTTGAAAGGAAAGGCTGCTTTTTGTAGCAACAGGAAGTGGGAAATGATTTGTAATAAACTGAACAGTGGTTTTTATATTAACCAGTTTTACATCTTCACTTGGAAGTTCAAGGACAAAATACTTTTGATTCTTGGAGAATTTCATGGCCCTTGCTCTCAGCTCAGTTTACACTCATGTGTCAGGGCACTGTGTTTTTCAATGCATGGTCAGTGGTCACCTGCACTGGAATACTTTGGGGTTCTTGCTAAAAGGCAGATTCTGGGATCATCTCTGGTGGTGGGATTCAGGAATCTATATTTTAAAATGTACACCCAGTTTTAATGTAAATACAGAGAACTGGCAGTGAACCGGTAGAGTGGATCATACTCTTAACCTATGGTGAGTGAGAGGCTTAAAAAAAAAAGAAAAAGAAAAAAATGGTAATTGACAAGGGCAGTTTTATTTTTTTTTCCCAATCAGTACACCTTTTATATCCTTTTCCAGTTTATTGCATTAGTTATTTGCAACTTCCAGTATGATGCTGAAAAGGAGTGGTGAGACAGGACATCCTTGCCTTGTTCCTGATCTTAGCAGAAAAGCTTCAAGTATGATGTTAACTGTTGATTTTTTGTACCTAGATATTCTTCAGCAAACTTGAGTAAGTTTCCCTTTATCCCTCGTTTATTGAGAGTTTTAAATTATGAATGGGTGTTTGATTTTGTCAAATGCTTTTTCTACATCTATTGATACAATCTTGCAAATTTCTTCTTTAGTCTATTGATGTATCAGAATAATTCATTTCTCTTTTTCTTTTTTTTTGAGATGGGGTCTCATTCTGTCACCCAGGCTGGAGTGCAGTGGCTCAATCTCAGCTTACTGTAACCTTCACCTCCCAGGCTCAGGTGATCCTCCCACCCCAGCCTTCCAAGTAGCTGGGACCACAGGTGTAAGCCACCACGCCTGGCTAAATTTTTTTGTATTTTCGGTAGAGATGGGGTTTCACCATGTTGCCCAGGCTGGTCTCAAACTCCTGAGCACAAGCAATCCACCTGCCTCAGCCTCCCAAAGTGCTGGGATTACAGGCGTGAGCCACCACGCCTGGCCTGATTTCTCAATATTGAACCAGGTTTGCATACCTGGCATAAATCCTATTTTGTCATGGTATGTAATTCCTTTTATACATTGTTAGTTTGACTTGCTAATATTTTGTTGAGATTTTTTGCATCTGTATTCATGAGTGATATTGAGCTGTAGTTTTCTCTTTTTGCAATATCTGTCTGGTATTAGGGTAATGCTGGCCTCATAGCAATGAGTTACAAAGTATTCCCTTTGCTTCTATCTTCTGAAAGAGGTTATAGAGAATTGGTATAATATCTTTCTTAAATGTTTGGTAGAACTCACCACTGAACTCATCTGGGTCTGGTGCTTTCTGTTTTGGAAAGTTATTATTGATTCAATTTTTATAATAGATATAAATCTCTTCAGATGGTCTAGTTCTTCTTGCGTGGATTTTGACAGATTGTGTCTTTCAAAGAATTGTTACATTCACCTAGGTTTTCAAATTTGTGAGCATAGTTCATAGTATTCCTTGCTTATCCTTTTCATGTCCATTATTATTTCTGATAATAGTAGTTTGTGCCTTTTTATTTCTTAGCCTAGCTAAAGGCTTATCAATTTTATTGATCTTTTCCCAGAATCAGCATTTGGTTTCATTGATTTACTCTACTGACTTTTTTTTCTTTCTTTCTTTCCTTTTTTTTTTCTAGAGACAGGGTCTCATTCTGTCATCCAGACTGGAGTGCAGTGGCACAATCATAGCTCACTGTTACCTTGAACTCCTGGGCTCAAGCACTCCAATCCTCCTGGCTCAGCCTCCTGAGTAGCTAGGACTACAGCTAGCTACCATAGTAGCTAGGATTATAGCATGTGCCTCCAGGTCTGATTAATTTTCTTTTTTTTTTTTTTAATTTGTAGAGACAGAGTCTCACTATGTTGCTCTGGTTGGTCTCAAACTCCTGGCTTCAAGCAGTCCTCCTGCCTTGCCCTCCCAAAGTACTGGCATTATAGGCATGAGCCATTGTGCTCTGCTGATTTCTTGTTTTCAATTTCATTGATTTCTGCTCTAATTTTTATTTTTCCGCTTACTTTGGATTTAATTTGCTGTTCTCTTTATTTTCCTAAGGTGAAAGCTTAGATGACTGATTTTAGATCTTTCTTCTTCTCTAATATACACATTCAATGTCATACATTTCCCTCTAAATACTGCTTGCACTGCTAAGCAGTATCCCACAAATTCTGATATCATATTTTAATTTCATTTAATTCAAAATATATTTAAATTTCTCCTGAGATTTCTCCTTTGACTCATGTGTTATGTAGAAGTGTGTTGTTTAATCTCCAAGTGTTGGGAATTTTTCAGTTATCTTTCTGTATTGATTTCTGCTTTAATTCTATTATAGTCTAAGTGCAAACATGGTATAATTTCTATTCTTTTAAATTTGTTAAGATGTGTTTTGTGGCCCAGAATGTGGTTTATCCTGGTTAATGTTCTGAGCTTGAGAAGAAAGTGTATTCTGTTGTCGTTGGATGAAGTAGCCTACAGATGTCTATTATATCTAGTTAATCGAAGATTTTGTTGAGTTCCACTCTGTCACAGTATATAATTCCTTTTATATATTGTTAGGTTTGATTTGCTAATATGTTGTTGAGTTTTTTTGCATCTATATTTATGAGAGATAACGAATTGTCATTTTCTTTTCTTGTAATATCTTTGTTTTTGATATTAGGGTAATGTTGGCCTCATACAATGAGTTAGTCCTTACTGATTTTTTACCTGCTGGCTTTGTGTTATTTCTGATAGAGAGATGTTGAAGCCTCCAACTGTAACTCCAACTTCATAGTGGATGCAACTATTTTTCCTTGCAGTTCTATCAGTTTTTATCTCATGTATTTTGATGCTGTGTTCTTAGGTACATGCAATGTTAGGTGTTCTTATGTCTTCTTGGAGAATGAACACCTTTATCGTTATGTAATATCCCTCTTTATCCCTGATAACTTTCCTTGAAATCTCCTTCTGAAACTAATATAGGAACTCCTACTTTCTTTTCATTAGTGTTAGCATGGTATATCTTTTTCTATGCACTTACTTTTTTTTTTTTGAGACAGAGTCTCGCTGTGTCACCTAGACTGGAGTGCAGTGGTGTGATCTCAGCTCACTGCAACCTCCACTTCCTGGGTTCAAGTGATTCTCCTGCCTCAGCCTCCCAAGTAGCTGGTATTACAGGTGTGCGCCACCAAGCCTGGCTAAGTTTTGTATTTTTAGCAGAGATGGGGTTTCACCATGTTGCCCAGGCTGGTCTTGAACTCCTGAGCTCAGGCAATCCGCCTGCCTTGGTCTCCCAAAGTGCTTGGGATTACAGGTGTGAGCCACCATGCCTGGCCTCTATCCACTTACTTTTAATGTACATGTATGTGTCTTTATATTTAAAGAGGGTTTCTTGTAGAGAACACATAGTTGGGTCTTGTTTGTTGATCCACTCTGACAATCTGTCTTTTAATTGGTGCATTTAGACCATTGATATTCAAAGTAGTTATTGATATAGTTGGATTGATATCTACCATATTGTTACTGTTTTCTACCTGTTGCCTCTGTTCTTTGTTTCTATTTTTGTCTTTACTCTTTTTCTGCCTTTTGTGATTTTCACTGGACATTTTATATGATTCCATTTTCTCTCCTTTCTTGGCATATCAGTTATACTTTTTTCTTTTTGAGACAGAATCTCACTCACTCTGTCGCCCAGGCTGGAGTGCAGTGGCACGATCTCAGCTCACTGCCACCTCTGCCTCCCAGGTTCAAGTGATTCTCCTGTCTCAGCCTCCTGAGTAGCTGAGATTAAAGGTGCATACTACTATGCTCATCTAATTTTTGTATTTTTAGTAGAGACGGGGTTTCATCATGTTGGCCAGGCTGGAACTCGACCTCAAGTGATCCACCCACTTGGCCTCCCAAAGTGCTAGGATTACAGGCGTGAGCCACCGCGCCCAGTCCAGTTACACTTCTTTTTTTTTTTTTTTGAGACGGAGTCTCACTCCGTTGCCCAGGCTGGAGTGCAGTGGTATGATCTGGGCTCACTGCAAGCTCTGCCTCCTGGGTTCATGCCATTCTCCTGACTCAGCCTCCCAAGTAGCTGGGACTACAGGTGCCCGCTACCATGCCTGGCTAATTTTTTGTATTTATAGTAGAGATGTCATTTCACTGTGTTAGCCAGGATGGTCTCAATCTCCTGACCTCGTGATCCACACGCCTTGACCTCCCAAAGTGCTGCGATTACAGGTGTGAGCCACCGTGCCCGGCCTTATACTTCTTTTTTACTTTTTTTCAGTGGTTTCCCTAGAGTTTGCAACATACATTTACAACTAATTCAAATCCACTTTCAAATAACACTATACCATTTCATAGGCATTATGAGTATCTTAAAATAATCCTAATTCCTTCCTCCTGTAAACTAAAAACAAAATCCTAAATCCTCCAAACAACTGAATGGACCCCCTCTTCACCAAGGGGACCCCAGGGAAACCTGAAAAACTGAGTGTTGGCCATGACGGGAAGGGAGGTGAGAGATGCCTCATTATACTCCCTCCCTTTTAGAGTTTTAGGTACAACTGACCAGCATTAATTTTAAAATAGAGATTACAGGACTGACAGAATGAACTCTTTGTGGCAATATCAAATTAGGAACAAGACAATGCAAGGAAAGGGTTAAATCATGCCCTTCAAACCATAAAAAAATTTTTTTTTAATTAACCCCATATAATGTGGTATACTTTCCAAACTGACTCTGGTATAGCATCACATGACAGATTGCAGACTCCCTTACCTTAAGCATTCCTTTATACTGACTTCAAGTCTTAAGACAGAGCTGAACTCTTTCAACCAGCTGCTAACTAAAGAATACCTAAAACCCACCTGTGACTTGTAAGTCTCTGCTTTGCCATGTCCTGCCTTTTCAGGCTGACCCAATGTATACCTTCCGTGTATTGATTTATGATTTTTACCTACAATTCCTGTCTTCCTGAAACATATAAAACCAAATCATAACCCAACCACCTCAGGCACACTTTCTCAGGACCTCTTGAGACTATTCTCCCGGCCATGGTCATTCATATCGGCACAGAATAAACCTCTTTAAAATATTTTGCAGTTTTTTTCTTTCTGTTAACATTCCTTTCCCTTGTATCATTGCTGTTATTAATTTCAAGTATATATAAGCATACCTAATTAAATACATTGTTGCTATTATTCATTTTTGAACAAACTATTATCTGTTAAATCAACTAAGAATAAGACAAATATGTTGGGTGCAGTGGTGCATGCCTATAGTCTCAGCTACTCAGAGGCTGAGGCAGGAGGATTGCTTGAGCTCAGGAGTTTAAGACCAGCCTAGGCAACTTAGCAAGATCATGTCTCTTAAAAAAAAAAAAAGAAAGAAAGAAAAACAAAGTTTTAGGAGGCTGAGGCAGGAGTATCACTTGAACCCAGGACGCAGAGGTTGCAGTGAGCCGAGATCGTGCCATTATACTCCAGCCTGGGCAACAGAGTGAGACTCTGTCTCAAAAAAAAAAAAAGAAAAGAAAAGAAAAGAAAAAAAAAGTTTTTATTTTACCTTCACTTATTCCTTCTTGGATGTTCTTCCTTTATGTAGGTACAAGGTTCTGACCTATGTTATTTTCTTTTTCTCTAAAGAACTTCAAAAGTTTCCTGCAAGGCAGGTCTACTGGCAATGAATTCCCTCAATTTTTGCTTGACAAAGTCTTTATTTCTGCTTCACTATTGATGGATAATTTCACAAGAGTGTTCCTTTTGTAGATTCACTCTTCTTATCCTTCCCTTCAGAAATATTCTTTGACCAACTATTGGGTCCCAGGTACTGCACTAGAGCTTTACTTCTAGTTAATTCCCACAGCAATTCTGAGAGGTAGGTAGGTATTATATTCCTAGATGCAAACTCAGAATTCAGAAGGTAAAGTGATGAGACTGAAGGCACACAGCAAGTAAGTGGCAGAACCTAGATTAAAACTCATTCTTAAAACTTTGGCTTCCTTCTCTTTTCTTTAATGGATTCAGTTACTTCTTCTCACCCACTCACCTTTATCAATTTACATTTCAGGATAAAAGTCTTCATGTTGGCACTCAATGTGCCTTAACAAGAAGATGCCCACAAGAAGGGTTTGATCATCGGGACAGCAAAGTGTCTCTTCAAGAGAAAAACTGTGAACCTGTGGTAGGTTAAGATCCTTCATAAGGGTATTTTCATGAATGGCTGTTTTTAACTCAAGTGAATACAATTATTTCCATTTAAAAAGCAAGGACAATGTGAATGTACTCATTGCCACTGAACTATATACACCTAAAAATGGTTAAAATGGCAACTTTTATGTGTATTTTATGAGAATAAAAAATAAATAATAATAAAAAACAAGGGAAGTACAGATATTTTCTTAATTGTGTTGTCACATACCCAGTGTTTCCAGGGTCAATAATGAGAGCCCTACATGTAAGATTCAAAGGAAGAATTTAGTCCTGGATACAATATTCTTTTATGTTTTTAGTTATATTTGCCTTTTTAATGGATGCAGATATATACAGAGGGAAGGGATAAAGTACCTATTATTTATTGTATAGAGCTGTGCTGTCTGATGGCTTAGCCACTAGTCACATGGTGCTATTGAACACTTAAAACACAGGAGTTTGAAATAAGATGTATTATAATACATATCATATTTCAAAAATATTAGTATGTAGAAAAGAAGATAAATGGTTCATTAATGATTTTTATATTGATTCACCTTGAAATAAATATTCTGAAAATATTAGGTTAAACAAAATATTTTAAGATTAATTTTACATGTTTCTTCTTTTAAATGTAGCTACTAGAAATTTTAAAATTACATATGGCTGGGCATGGTGGCTCACACCTGTAATCCCAGCACTTCGGGAGGCCGAGGTGGGTGGATCACCTGATCTCAGGAGCTCGAGACCAGCCTGGCAAACATGGTGAAATCCTATCTTTACTAAAAATACAAAAATTAGCCAAGCGTGGTGGTGCATGCCTGTAATCCCAGCTACTTGGGACGCTGAGGCAGGAGAATCACTTGAACCCGGGAGGTGGAGGTTGCAGTGAGCCGAGATAGTGCCACTGCACTCCAGCCTGGGAGACAAGAGCAAAACTCCATCTCAAAAATAAATAAATAAAATAAAATTACATAAGTGGCTTGTACCATATTTCTATTGGACAGCACTAGTACATATACAACACAGCATAATGGTTGAGAGCACTGACTCTGGAGCCAAATTACTGTGTTTGATTCTTAGCTCCACAACTTACTAGTTGTGTGACCATGGGCAAGCGAGTTAACCTCTCTGTGCCCCAGTTTCCCATTCTGTAACATGAAAATAATAAAAACACTCCCAGAATTGTTGTGAGCATTAAATGAAGCCCTGACACATTTGTTCTGGATACAATATCCTCTTGTTTTATATTTGGTAGTATCAATGTGCCTTTAGACACAATTACAACGATCTCTGTGGTAAAGATGCAATGTATATGGTGTCTATAAATAGCATTCAATGATTCGTTAGTTAGGGCTTGAGACTTTTACTGTCATGGAAAATCTAGGTATAGCTAAGCTTTTGAGATTTTGGGAACTCCTTAACCCTATTTTTCTCTACTCTTGCCCCCAACAATCAGCCTATATACTTGTGAAATTTAACAATTACTTCACTGGGCAGAAATTATATGGGAACACTTAGAAATTTCAGTCCACAGGGAAAGTATAAATATGTTAACTATTTTAACTTAATCCCTTCCTAGAAACACATACACTGTTGCCAAGCCCATATTCTCCCTTTCTTGTTCTCACAGGTTCCCAATGCTCCACCTGCTTATGAGAAACTCTCTGCAGAACAGTCACCACCACCTTATTCACCTTAAGAGCCAGCGAGACACCTGAGACATGCTGAAATTATTTCTCTCACACTTTTGCTTGAATTTAATACAGACATCTAATGTTCTCCTTTGGAATGGTGTAGGAAAAATGCAAGCCATCTCTAATAATAAGTCAGTGTTAAAATTTTAGTAGGTCCGCTAGCAGTACTAATCATGTGAGGAAATGATGAGAAATATTAAATTGGGAAAACTCCATCAATAAATGTTGCAATGCATGATACTATCTGTGCCAGAGGTAATGTTAGTAAATCCATGGTGTTATTTTCTGAGAGACAGAATTCAAGTGGGTATTCTGGGGCCATCCAATTTCTCTTTACTTGAAATTTGGCTAATAACAAACTAGTCAGGTTTTCGAACCTTGACCGACATGAACTGTACACAGAATTGTTCCAGTACTATGGAGTGCTCACAAAGGATACTTTTACAGGTTAAGACAAAGGGTTGACTGGCCTATTTATCTGATCAAGAACATGTCAGCAATGTCTCTTTGTGCTCTAAAATTCTATTATACTACAATAATATATTGTAAAGATCCTATAGCTCTTTTTTTTTGAGATGGAGTTTCGCTTTTGTTGCCCAGGCTGGAGTGCAATGGCGCGATCTTGGCTCACCATAACCTCCGCCTCCCAGGTTCAAGCAATTCTCCTGCCTTAGCCTCCTGAGTAGCTGGGATTACAGGCGTGCGCCACTATGCCTGACTAATTTTGTAGTTTTAGTAGAGACGGGGTTTCTCCATGTTGGTCAGGCTGGTCTCAAACTCCTGACCTCAGGTGATCTGCCCGCCTCAGCCTCCCAAAGTGCTGGAATTACAGGCGTGAGCCACCACGCCTGGCTGGATCCTATATCTTAGGTAAGACATATAACGCAGTCTAATTACATTTCACTTCAAGGCTCAATGCTATTCTAACTAATGACAAGTATTTTCTACTAAACCAGAAATTGGTAGAAGGATTTAAATAAGTAAAAGCTACTATGTACTGCCTTAGTGCTGATGCCTGTGTACTGCCTTAAATGTACCTATGGCAATTTAGCTCTCTTGGGTTCCCAAATCCCTCTCACAAGAATGTGCAGAAGAAATCATAAAGGATCAGAGATTCTGGAATGGTGTCATTATTTGCATAGCAACATTGCAATTTGTTTTCCTTTGGCTACATCAACGTATCACCTACACTATTATTTATCTAATATTTCTCTTTCAGGCAGCTCATTTAAACTTTTTTTGGCTTTAATTCCTATTGCCATCCTGAGTGGAAAACCAGTATCATTTTCCATAGTAGAGGATAACTATAACAACGAAGATAATGAAAGTAATTTTTTTAACCTAAGAAAATACTAATGGTCACAGAAGGCTATGAACCTGAGACCTGCTCTCTTTGTCAAACAGAGATTAACAAGGATCAGAGAAAAGTTAAAGGCTGTCTTTGACATAACTGGAAGGCTTACAAGAGTTTTAAAGAAATTACTTTCTCACTATATGATTCATTGCTATTTAACGGTGAGTCAGTAAACCACCTAAAAATCATCTTGTCTCATCAGAAACACTAGTGTAACATAACTGCATCATTTTCTACTAAAGACAAAATTTCACCAAAGGGGAAAAAGAAAACACAGGATAAAGAGATGTATTACACACATCGAAAAAAACAACATTTAACAAAATATTAAAATATTTCCCCACTCTTCTGATACTGTCAAGTCTTACTACTTAAAATAAGGCTTCCACCTCTCCCACTTCAAACAAATAAATGAATTCTAAACCAAAGAAACTTCATCAGGCATTTGGGTACCTCCTCCCCTCACCACGAGGTCTCTGCTGAACCTCAATCCTGTACACTGAGGAACCTGTGGCTTGAACCCTACATCCCTCCAGAACCCCCAGACTGTCACTCACTGAGGGTGCTCTCATTTCTCTGTGGAAAAGGCTCTCCTCACAGAGTTCCTCAGACAGTGTCCCAGGTGATGGACATGGAGACTTGGGCTGAGTCTGCCAGAAAGAAATTAGAAAAGTGAGATATTTTTGAAAGGAATAGAAAGTGCCAGATTCAGAAGACTTACTCCCCACTTCACAGAGGCACCCACACCTCTGAAGATGACTCCTTGGATTGGAAACCAATTGCAGGGCAACCCTGGGAGCCATGTGTTAAGGATGGAAGGTCACATGATGCAAGGAGCCTGGGTCATTACATCACCACTGAGAGCTCCTTATATATTCTGGTTATTAATCCCTTGTCAGATGGGTAGTTTGCTATTTTCTCCCATTCATGGGTTGTCTCTTTACTTTGTTGATTGTTTCCTTTGCTGTGCAGAAGCTTCTTAACTTGATGTGATCCTATTTGTCCATTTTGGCTTTGGATGCCTGTGCTATGTAGGGTATTACTCAAGAAATCTTTGCTCACTCCAATGTCCTGGAGAGTTTCTCCAACGCTTTCTTTTAGCAGTTTCATAATTTGAGGTCTTAGATTTAAGTCTTTAATCCATTTTTACTTGATTTTTGTATATGGCAAAAGATACGGGTCTTGTTTCATTCTTCTGCATACAGGTATCTAGTTTTTCCAGCACCATTTTTTGAAGAGACTGTCCTTTTCCCAATGTATGTTCTTGGCACCTTTGTTGAAAATGAGCTCACTGTAATATATGGATTTGTTTCTGAGTTCTCTATTGTGTTTCATTGGTCTATGTGTGTTTTTTTTTTTTTTTTTAATGCCAGTACCATGATGTTTTGGTTACTATAGGCTTTGTAGTGTAATTTGAAGTCACATAATGTGATCCTTCCAGTTTTGTTCTTTTTGCTTAGGTCCTTTTTCTTTTCTTTTCTTTTCTTTTTTTTTTTTTGAGACGGTCTCTCTCTGTTGCCCAGGCGGAGTGCAGTGGCACATTCTCAGCTCACTGCAACCTCCACCTCCCAGGTTCAAGCTATTCTTGTGCCTCAGCCTCCCGAGTAACTGGGATTACAGGTGTGTGCCCCCATGCCCAGCTAATTTTTGTATTTTTAGTAGAGACGGGGTTTCACTATGTCGGCCAGGCTGGTCTTGAACTCCTGACCTCAAGTGATCTGCCTACCTCAGCCTCCCAAAGTGCTGGGATTACAGGCACGAGCCACCACGCCCAGCCTGTAGGTCTTTTGTGGGCTATCCTCTTTGGCTATTCTGGGACTTTGTGATTCTATATAAATTTTAGGATTATTTTTCTATTTCTATGAAGAATGTTATTGTTACTTTGATAGGGATTGCATTGAATCTGCAGATTGCTTTGGGTAGCATGGATGTTTTAACAATAATTGAGTCTTTCAATCTGTAAACATTGAATATCTTTCTGTTTTTCTGTGTTCTCTTTGATTTCTTTCTTCAATGTTTTAGTTTTAATTGTAGAGATCTTTCACTTCTTAATTCTTAGATATTTTATTTTATTTGCAGCTATTGTAAATGGGATTACTTTCTTGATTTTTCAGGTTGTTCCCTGTTGGCATACAGAAATGATACTGATTTTTTAATGTTGATTTTGTACCCTGCAACTTTACTGAATTTATCAGTTTGAATAGTTTTTTGGTGGAGTCTTTAGGTTTTTCCAAATATAACATCATATTATCAGCAAACAAGAATAATTTGGTCTTCTTTCTTCCTAATTTGAATGTCCCGTCTCTTGTCTGATTGGTTTAGCTAGGACTTCTACTATGTCACCACTGAAGGTGACCCTAACCCATCTAAGAACACTTGGATTATGTGGGTTGGGGTGGGGGGTTGGGGAACGGGCCTTGAAGAAAATTCATGAAATATTAAGACATTGCCATTCTGATACTGAAATCCAGGGCTGTTACTTTACATATTTGTTGAGACCCTTCAGTGTTCTGTAACAGCCTGGACTGACTTAACACAAATGAGGAGAGGAGCCTTCAGGAAAGGGAGATCCTTGTGACCTTTGTAGATAGATAGGATGAGGCTTCCCTGCTGCTGAAGGAAACCTGAACTCAGGAAAATGAGCCTCACCCATAAGCATGGGCACAGGAGTCCTCTACTGCAGCGTGCCCTTCCTTTTTGCCCTGACATACCTGTGGGCTGGGAATGGGTAATGGCATGGCACTGCTTTGATCCCCTAAGCTTCCTGCAGGCCAGGGTAGGGACTAGAGTGACCAGAGCTCATGGCTGGTCTCCTCTGGCTGCAATAAGCATTTTCCACTTGCCCATATTCACTGTACAAATAATAGTACTTTTATTTGCATGGTGAGCAAAGTTAGAGAGTATTGTTTTATAGAACCTGGGGTTCCCCTTCCTGTCCAGCCCTCAGTGGTGGTGACTGATGCTTAAGACAAGGCTCAAGTCTCTATGCATTTCCCTGCAAGATTCTGATATGGTCTCTCTGATTGTTTTTATAGTAAAGAGCAGGCATACTTTAAGGAGGGAACAAGAGCTAGCCAAAAGATTTTCTGCCCAGGTTAAAGTCAGTGAAAATTTAGACTGATTATACAAATCAATGAAGCCTTCAAGTTATCTCTGGTGGAGACCAGTCCTCTGAAGTCACAAATGTTAAATTTAGCATTTAGTAAATATCTGGACAGGTTCACTTGTCACTTGAGAATATTGCAGACCTTCTCAAAAAAAGAACAGAAGGGAGTCTCTAAACTTTCATTTCACAGTTCAACAGTTACATGATGATGCATCAAAATCTGTCAATCTCAAGTAACCGGCGCCAAAAACATCTTTAAAGTGTCTCAAAAGAACTTTCAGAAGGAAATAATGGGTTGTTTGGATGAAAACACTCATTTTTAGGAAAATCTAAAAGCGCTATCCCAAGAAGCTGTGAAATGGAATAAAAAGTGTGAGAAACGGAGGAAAAAAATGCTTGACAACTTGAAAACATAAAGAGGTTGTAAAAGAGAGCCCTTTAAAATCTCTTAAATCATATGGAAGGTGATACACTTGCCTGTCTTCTTTAGCAAAAATTACATGGATGATGGCAACTTGAAATCAGACAAACACAAATCAGAAAATTGAGAACTTCTAGGTAAATCAAAAAGCAATTTGAAAAAATACATTGATGCTGTTAAATGTTTCCTTAAAAAGGCTTGAAGGAGAAAAACAAGGACTATTAAAAAGAAAATCAAATAAATCACTTACAGTTCAAAGAAATGGTCTCCCACCTGAGTAAGCATCT
Organism: Homo sapiens; assembly: GCF_000001405.40. NCBI lineage: Eukaryota > Metazoa > Chordata > Mammalia > Primates > Hominidae > Homo > Homo sapiens. The sequence continues at coordinate 5,913,872 of NC_000009.12, forward strand.
TTGTAGTCTAAAAATGCAGCTCATATGAAAATATCAGCTGTGTAACATCAGAAGCATGACGCCTACAGGAAGATGGCCTCGAGAAAGTCTTGGAAAGAAGCACTTTCTGCTATCAAAACTTGATCATTTCCCATGAGAAAAAATGCTCAAGAAAGTTGGATGGCAGCTTGGCACACTTAAGAGAAAGCTCACTGAAATAAGAAAAGAAAATGATCACAATAGACAAAGTTGACTAAAGCAGTTTAAATTTCAGGTTTTCCCAAGTGGTTCCTGCTGTTCCACGTGCAGGGGATCCCATGCATCATCATGTCTGCGAGGAAGGTTAAAATTGTAAGGGCTTACACATTTGGGTCACTAGGTTTGGTTCAGGTTTACAGCAACCAACTCCTAAATATATACTGGAGGACACCTGACCGTGTTTTCCTTACTTAATAATTTAATCTCTTTTTATTGTTTTTTCTTAGTTGATGGTACATTTGCTTAAATTCAAGCCTGAAAGAATTACAATTCCTAAGATGGTGTTTTACAAATCCAGATGGTTTTTTTTTTTTTTTTTTTTTTTTTTTTTTTGAGACGGAGTCTCACTCTGTCACCCAGGCTGGAGAGCAGTGACGCAATCTTGGCTCACTGCAAGCTCCGCCTCCCGGGTTCACGCCATTCTCCTGCCTCAGCCTCCCGAGTAGCTGGGACTATAGGCACCCACCACCACGCTCGGCTAATTTTTTGTATTTTTAGTAGAGACGGGGTTTCACCGCATTAGCCAGGATGGTCTCGATCTCCTGACCTCGTGATCTGCCCGCCTCGGCCTCCCAAAGTGCTGGGATTACAGGTGTGAGCCACTGTGCCTGGCCAAATCTAGATGGTTTTAATAAAATTCTTGACTATTTTTTAGATCATTCCATGAGACTCCCAGAATTAGATCCATTTAAGTACTGTATTTAGGCTGAATTAAATGGTTCACTATTATGTAAACCATAATTGAATTTTGTACGATCATGGAGAGACACAAATCAATAAAGGCCATTTATATATGCTATGAACTGTTACAAAAAATGTGAATAACAATATGTACCTCAATAAATTTAGGTTTAATAAAGAGAACCCCGCCAAGCCCAACAAACAAAAGAACAAAACAACAATAACCCCCAACTAAATTTATTAGTATTTTTATTAGTTTAGCACTAAATTAATAGATTTAGGGGAGGTAACACTTTGTTCATGATATTATTTGCTATTTAAATGTTTCTAAATTTTATACAGTCAAAAATAAAAGTTTTCCCTTAAAAAATACCTTTCTTTATCCTTCTCAATCTCAACAGTTTCTGTCTCATCTCTAGCATTACTAGATACCTGATTATGCCAAATATCAGGTCTTCACACCACTTTTCTGGCCCACCTAATATCCTGACTGGTCTCCCTGTCTTTAGTCAGGTGAATGATGGCAGCTACTATTTAAGTATTTACTATGTGGTAGGCACCGGGCTAAGTACTTTAGGTAAATTATCTCATCTAACTTCACAGCAATCCTGCAAGGTAATTGTCCCCATCTTAAGTTTGACTATTACTACCTTTGCTTCAAAAGCTTCAGTAGTTCCCCCATATACTTTCGAATATTCTTCAGTCCTCTATCAGCTAGCTCAACCTATTTTTATAATCATTCCCTATGGGTCCTCTTAACCTATAGCATTTCATTCAAATTCAACTGCTGTGTTCCCTACATGCTCCTTGGGCTTTTCTGAGACTCAGTCTTTGTGGGCCCAGTTATAAACGTACTTGCAGTCATAGCACAAATGCCACCTCTTACATGAAACCTTCTCTGGAAACTCCCTGCTAAATTCTTATAGTTCTTTATTCCTCTAACTTATTATTATTTTACTATTTTTTGTATTGAGGACAGAATGGAATCCTACTCATCTATATCGTTCCTGCAACATCTTCTACATTATATGGTTCTCAAGAAGTGCGTAGAATACATTTACAACTCTGGTAGATGCCTTGAATTTGTTTGATAATTACTTTAAGAATGTTTTACATGCATCATTCTTAAAGTAATTAAGATGATTACATACATCATTTGATTCTCTAATACTTCTTCATACATTTTTAACTATATGTTTCTCACATTCACATTTTCTCTCCAGGTTGTAAGAACCTTCTAAACTATGCTATACCCTTCAACTTTTCTAAGCCTCAAGCACCATGCTGTGGATAGTAAATGCTTGCTGAATAAATGTGTAAGAATAACTGGGGCAGATGACAACATTATAGTAACAATAAGCCAATAAGCTCAGATGATGGCAAAACTACTTCTGGAATGACTTCAGGTAAACTGTTTATCATTTCTAAGTTTTAGTAACTTTGGCTAACTAAAATCCCTATCAAATTTCTTAGATCTCTTTCAGAATTTGCCACTTTCTCAAGCTTTTAATGTTAAAAAATTCTAAATTTAGGTTGATCTACTGGATCAAGCAAACATTTCCACTGATTTTAGTGTACATATTCTAGCTATCACTACTTTAATCATAAAACTATTTCAATTAATTATTAAATACACCAATAAAATTGGAGACTTGGGACTTGAGCAGGACTTCAGCTATTTAGTATTACACATGTATGTGTGTATATATATGTATGTGTATATATACATATGTGTGTATATATATGTATATATAAAACTAATCACTATATATAAAACATATATAAAACATATATAACATATATATAAAACTAATCACAAAGGAAAAACTTTTTGTGAGGGCAGGAAAAACCATAGGAAATGAGAGGAAAGGGAAGTGCTAACACACCAGAAGGAGGCAGGCTATTTCAGCATCTTTTAACTTAGTATTTTAGGTGATACAGAACACAGATATCCAAATGGCTTAATTCTATACTAAGTATAAAAACATGACTCTCCAGTATCATGAATCTTTTCAGGTGGCATTGTGGTGACGTTTCTTCCTTTTCATGTATGCCTTTATAGACGCCCTTTACAGAACCCTTAATAACACTAAACACAATGAATTCAGGAATTTAACTTTGTGCTCTAGCCACGATCTCAGAAATCCACATGACCTACAAAACTGGAGGCAAAGGAATTTGGGTTTTTGAAGATATAAATCCATTAATCGAATTTCTAGTTTAAAAAATGGAGCATTAGTTTTAAAAAGTAAACTAGACCTTAAATAAGAGGTTATCTAGATTTGTCACCCACCTACTCAACAAATATACATTGAATACAGTGTGCCAGGTGCTGGCACAATAATGATGATGATTGATAAGGTTCCTGAAATTAAATAATTTCAAACAAGTAATTATAGTTTTGAAGAAGTGCTATGTTGTTCTCAGTCTGAGTGACTGCACAATATAATAATGCTGGCTGAGGTATGACAAGGACAGGGAGTTACATAACACGTAATAAGAACCTGTAATGGAACATTAGGTCAAAGAAGACATCTGGGAAGACCTTCAAGTGTCTTGAATTTTCTAGAAACTAAAAGAAAATTAGAGTACAGTGAACAAGAGGGAGAACAGGTTGAAATGAAGCTGGAGAGGTAGGCAGGAACAGACTGAAGAGCTTTTAAAACTTTAAGTGGGGACTTCAGTACGAAGGTTCACCAGATCACACAGAGCTATGAAGGTCATATTAGAATTTTGGATTTAGGAGTTAGAAGAGATTTAGTGGCTGGGTGCAGTGGCTCACACCTATAATCCCAGCACTTTGGGAGGCCAAGGTGGGCAGATCACCTGAGGTGGGCGGATCACCTGAGGTCAGGAGTTCGAGACCAGCCTGACCAATATGGTGAAACCCCATCTCTACTAAAAATACAAAAATTATCTGGGCTATGGTGGTGCACACCTGTAATCCCAGCTACTCAGGAGGCTGAGGTGGGAGAATTGCTTGAATCCAGGAGGCAGAGGTTGCAGTGAGCTGAGATAGCACCATGGCACTCCAGCCTGGACAACAGAGAAGACCCCGTCTCAAAAAAAAGAGAGAGATTTAGTGGTTAGTTTAGGTCCTTCACTGGGATTAAAGTTGGGCCATAGGTAATTCAGTAAATTAGTTTCTTAAAATGGCTTAAGAGAATTCTTCTGAGACAAAAGGCAAACAGTTTTGGGTCATTTTGTTTTAAAAGCTGAGTAGGTAAATACAGCCATTTGTTGAGCACCATCAATGCGCAATGCAATGCACTTGAAATATCACCCACTTCCCCAGGGCTTTCTTAACTGACAGAAAAACGGGGAGAGTGACTTGAGTAGAGCATAAACATGACTAGGAAAAGTACTTAGAGCATAAATAGCGGTTTCTGAGAGCCTTTAGTGACTTTCTAGGAATATTTTCACTACCCTCTCCACTTTGATAACAAATACACTTTGATGTAGTCTCAAAGGAAATCTTTAGGCCTATGCTTCCATATCATTTCCAACCCCCAACAATAACTTCATGTGATGAAGTTTAACAACATTATAAATGGAAGGATGAGTATACAGTTCAGTAGCTCAAGATAATGGATATAAAGATCCAATAAATATAAAAGCTACCTTTTATTTAAAACGAGGCATATTCTTGGGTGCGGTGGCTCATGCCTGTAATACCAGCACTTTGGGAGGCCAAGGTAGGTGGATCTCTTGAGACCAGGAGTTCAAGACCAGCCTAGCAACATGGTGAAACCATCTCTACAAAAAATTAAAAAATTAGGCATGGTGGCCCATGCCCGTAGTCCCAGCTATTAGGTTAGTGAGAAAGTAATTGTGGTTTTTTGCCGTTAGTGGCTTTTTTTTTTTTTTTTGCCATTAGTGGCATTAGTGGCAAAAAAACCACAATTACTTACACACCAACCTAATACTTGGGGGGCTGAGGTGGGAGGATGGCTTGAGCTCAGGAGGTGGAGGTTGCAGTGAGCTGAGACTGCACCACTACACTCGAGCCTGGGCAACAGGTGAGTCAAAAAAAAAAAAAAAAAAGGCATTTTCTGAAACACAAGATTTAAGTGAAAGTAGTATTTGTAAGCTGGAAAGCCATGTACAAGTGCTAGCTCTAATTCAAATTTCCCACCCTTAATTCTTTCTTGTAAAGGACTGTCTTCAATTACATCCTGTATTCTTTCAATGGAACAAGAACACACGTTAAAAATGGTATTCAAACAAAGAAATACAGCAACTCAGTTTATTACATGCAGATTCTTCTGCATTGTTGCTAACAGTTCACTGGTCCAAAATTACTAAAATACTTAAAAAACTATACATTATGTAAACAAAACATAAATAAGACAGCATAGTTCTTTGTACATATATTTAGTACAGGTTGTTAGGGATTCTGGAATATGTACAATTTTACATCATGGACTGCATTTTTCACAATGCATAAATATATATATGTATTTTTTTTTTTACAGAAACAAAAATAAGATTTCACTAATGACACTGAATACCATATCATAGATATGCTGCAACAGTCCAAATTCAAGAAGAAACATGTCAATGTAAATGTGCAAAAGGCTAGCTTACTCTAAACTATTCAAACTTTGTTCACTTTATGTTCTACAGACAGGTAAATCCTGACTTTAAACACAGAACCTTGAAACCCTCCTCAGAACAGTAAGTGAAATGGAACAGATCTTTCCCTCCCCAAGAAAACAAAGCCTTGTTGCAAGCTAATGAAAAGATACATTAAAACACACACACACACACACACACACACACACACACACACACAATGTATAGTATGCTTTCAACAGTATAATAAACATTGAAAATTTTTATGGGAGTCAAAACAATGCCCCATTATTTAAAAACTGGCTCTTTTAGTCTAAATTCAAGATGCAGCTCTGTCAGGCTTCTCTAAGCCCGACGACTGAAAAGCAGGGAAGACAGACGCAGGACTTCGACTGGCAGATACAACAATCTGAGAGAGAGATGGAGAGAGTGAAGAAACCTTAGATGCTGGAGTATTTATGGTATTCAAAATGGCTCCTTCTGGGCTAACCAACAATTTTTTGACAGGTGGGTCCAAATGAAACACTGAAGTGCTACTTGGCAGTGGAGGATTACTGGGGCAAATGGCAGAAACCAAAGATGTCTTAGCCAAAAGAGTAGCTGGAGACTTAATTACTGAAGTCAGTGATACTGTTGGTACAGGAGGTGGAACAGGAACCTTAGCAGTTGTGTTTATGAGTTGTGGTGATGTATGTACTGTGGGTATAGAACTTGCATTCCCAAAAGAGTTTATAAATTTTGTAGGGCTTCTTAGAGGATGTTGTAGAGGTTGGCCACTTAAGGAATTATTTGATGCTAGTGTGATCTTCTGGGCAGAGTTATCTATTGGTGTAGATTGAATGCCTTGGCCACTGTTAAGAACTAAGGGGGCTCCATATTTTGGATTAGTAGATATAAGGAGAACATGGCTGCCAGCTCCAAGACCTTGTGGTGGAACAATAAACCGGGTTCCGTTAATCATAATCTGAGTACCAGGTGCCAAAGGTGTACTGGTATTGATGACTATTTTTTGCTGAATACAAGGTTCACTGAACTGACTCCCGACTAGACTAGTTACATTGGATGGTGCCGAAGCCGTGTGAATGGTAGTGCCACCTGGAGCAGAACTGTAACTGGGGGTTTTTACTAAAGCTTGCTGATTTGGCAGAGAAGCAAAATTGGACGTATTAGTTATTTTACCTGGACTTGTTGAAAGGGACGACAATTCAGTTTGAGGTTTATTTGTGTTTACATTTGTTGGCACTGTAGTTGAAATCCCTGGTGAATGGAACTGGAGTGAAGTCCGAGATTGTCTTTTAGAAATAGATACAGAACGTGTGGCTCCTGGTACTGCTGCCGAATGTGGAACTGTGTTTATTATTTTAGGGGATGTAGTCGCAGGTGTAGGTAAGGCAACCGTAACAGGAATTTGCAAAGCTGATGTTAAACATTTAGGAGACACTACTGGTTGTGTAGTTGAAATCAGAACAGATGATGCAAGGTGTCCTGTTTTCACAGTTGATATAGCCACAGTGTTTCCGAGACTTGATGAGCAAAGTCTATTTGACAAAATAGGCATAATTCTTGAAGAGGTATCATTTCCACTGACTAAAACAGGAGGTTGTGCCCCAGCTGAAGCAGAGGCTGAGGTCACTGGAAAGGAACCCAAAGATAAATTTGCTCCGGTAACTGAAAGCACATTTACTGCTCTTGCTGAAGAAACCACTGATTCATTAACAGGGGTAATATTCTGACTCACAAAATTTGAGCTTACTGGAACTGAATTACCACTTGTTGACAATGGCAAAATATAGCCCTTGCTACTTTTGTCTTCTCCTTTTGGGGTTACATTTTGTAATATGTTAATTGATGGTATAGCTGGCACAGTGCCTGAAGTATTTACAATTGCTTGACCTATGTTTAGTCCAATTTTCACATCCTTTATCTGAGACACAGCTGGTGATGAATTTATTTTTATTGGTGTGCCCACTGTAGACGGAATCAGTACTATTTGGGGTTGCTCTGGAGTCTTAACATATGCTTTATGCAATGGAGGAGGAAGAGTTTGTTTTAATGATTCTGCAACAAGAGTTGGGGTTGATGTACCACTAGGAACTGGGGCATTAATAAAAACTAATTTCTGGGCAGAAACACCTGTAGATGTCAGCGCAGGTGTCATATTAATTGCAGTTCCATTGCCAGAAGAAAGAATAGATGGAGCTGATACCAGCATAAGTTTCTGAACTGGAGTCCCACTGATTACATCTCCATTTGTTGCTGCTGTTGCTTCTGACCTTGTAACAGGGTAACTTTTTGTGATATAATCTACTTGTTGCTGTTTAGTTGGAGTATGAATAATATTTGCATTGTTTTGTCCAAAATTTGCTGCTGATATGCTAATTACACTTACCGAACTACTTGTTGTTGATGGTAGTAGAGTACTAGAACAAATAGAGGACTTCAAGGGAGAAGAGGGCATGTGTGAAGTTTTATCTATCACGTGGCCCAAATCACCACTGCCAGTGGTGTGGCCTAATGTAAGTTTGAGATTTTTCCCCATGGATGGGGCAAAGCTAGCTGGAATGGAAACAGAAGTTGGTGTTTGGCTAAAAGGTGAAAGACTAGATGTAGTAGTTGTTCCAGCTACAGGTGAAAAAGCAGAGGAAGAAGTTGTTGATTTTGGCACCAGAAATGCCTGCAGCTGAGGAGCAAAAGTGAAAACTGAACTTGAAGATACAGTATTGGGTGAATTTTGATCTGGGTTGGTCTGTACTTTTACAACTCCAGTGTTCCCACCTCGTGTCCTAACAAGAATTGACTGTGAATCTCTTATGCACACAGTTTTCAGCTCTTGCTTTGCTTCAGAAGAATCAGCAGTCTGTTGTGCAAAACAGTTGAAGGAACTACCAGGATTTGTAGACCCATTTAGTGTTGTTGTTGATGACAGAGGCTGACCTGTGGAGGAAATGGTCGGTGAAGCACTGGGCAAGGAGAATGTGGCTGCTGAAACTGCATTCTTGGCTTTTCCTGCCTCACTCTGGCTAGTCTTAACTGATGGTGTTAATAAGTTACTTACAGAGGTTACAGGCGACAAAGGCTGTGGTCTAGCACTACTTATATTTGATAAAGGTGTAATTGTTTTGTTGAAAGCTGTATTTGGTAGTTGGGTAGAAACAGTTCCTGGTGAGTTGACAAAAACTGATGCTAAAGAAGAATTTATATTTGTTGTCTGTGGGAAAGATGAACAATGTTGTTCTGTACCTTTCTGTTGAAGTGGTGGCACTTCTTTTGCAACTGCTTTTCCTTCTTTATGCTGAATCACAAAATTCTTAGGCAGAATAAGAACTTGCTGCATGATTTTTTCTCCTGTTTTAGGATCCACCATAGGCTGCACCTGAATCTTTACAGAGCTATTTTGAAGATCTATTGGCAACCACTGGCCACAGGGCATTTTGTATACCATTTGTAAAGGACCTTTTGTATTGGTGTGGCAGGTCAATGCTGGCTTTATCGGGCTTGCTTCCGGAGGAGATAAAACTGGTTTTTCCACAGCAAGAGCATTTCTACCTGTGGAAGGAGGCAGTTGATTTGTTAAGGTCACTTTATTCCCAATATTCTTTGCAAGCAAAGCCTGAATGGGTTTGGTCCCTTTCTGGAGAGTAGACACTGGTACTGAATCCAATGAGGCAAATGACTCTGGAAATGATGGCTCTGTATGCTTTGATTCACTGAAACAGTCAATCTGCACATCACTTTCTAGATTCTCAACTGTTGTCTCATTTGTGCTTAACTTTGCCTTCTTCCTTGGAGAAAGCTCTTTTGTGCTGTCATCCACATAATCAGTTTGTTTGGACTGTCGTTTAAGTGTTTTAAGCAGTGTCTTCGGTAAGTCTTTTGAAGGCAATTCCTTTTTCAACAGCTTGCTTCTAGCCATAGGAAAATCTATTTCTGACAACTTCATATCATCTGAAAATTATAAAAACGGGCATTTTGTTTATATAAAACAGCAACTAAATAGTAATAACATCAACTGTAAAAAAGAAAGTCAATCTTTGAGCTGGCAGTGTATTAAGAAATCTACTGCAGGGTGATTCAAAAGCCTTAGCACCACTGATGAAGACAAAGGTAAGGTCATCTTTGACATGATAATCTAGATATCATAACCATGCCCAAGAAAAACCTATTATTGAGAAAATTTTTTTGGTCAAAATTTTTGGTCAAGAATTCTGCTAATTCTTCTGCCAGTGTAAGTGCAAAAAACTGTTTCATTAGAAATACCCAAATAAACAATCAGGGCTCAGAATTTAATTTGCAAAGGAATCTAGTTCTCTTTTTCTAGCTAGGAACATTTTGATACCATAGAGAGATGGTTCTCCAATCTATTCTATTTCTAGAGACTCTAAAGGACAAAAAATATCCAGCTTTTACTGATGTTCATCCTTATAGTGAAAAAATTTATGTTCATATTCGGTCAAACTAGGTTTATAAGACATTACTCTTAATTTGCCAAAGATGGAAAACAATAAGTTAATGCATTTCTAACCACTCTGTTGCCCATATTAACCTCTACATAACCAAAGAAAGTCATTAAACTAGATTTACATAACGTAATCTGATAAACTGAAATGAATTACAGGTAATCTAATCCAGCCCTTTATCCTTATTAAAATGATGTGTTCATTCTGGTCTCATTAGGCCATCAACCATGGTAATTCCTGAAAAAATAATCTTCACAATATTAAGAACTTGTCAAATTCTATTTCTAAAGTAAATTTCAGATACAGTGCTTCAAAAATACTAATAATAAAAAGAAGAGCATGAACCAATTTCAAAGGGATTACAGATCAAGGGTGTGTGGTTTGTAATGGGCAATGACAGGCCTACAGTTTGCAGTCAATTACTGGCTCCTGAAACTCCTAGAAATGTAATAATGACTCCAAGAAACTTTTTTTTTTTTTTGAGACAGCATTTTGCTCTGTTGCCCAGTCTAGAAAGCAGTGGACAGCTCACTGTAACCTTAAATTCCTGGCCTCAAGTGATACTCCTATCTCGACCTCTTGAATAGCTGGGACTACAGGGATGCAACCACCATGCCTGGCTAATTTTTATTTATTTTTTTGTTGAGATGGGGTCTCGCTATGTTGCCTAGGCTAGTAGAAACTTCTTATAAGGATGTGGACACTACTTCTTCAAAACATAACAGATTTCCCTAATCAATATATTTCATTGACCATATTATCTTTTGCCTTCACAGCAAACAAAAACTTCTCTTTGTGCCTTCAGTGTTGACTTAAAAAAAAAGTTTAATGCTTACCTGAATCAAAGTGATCTTTCTCCAGGATATCCAGAGGTTCTGTTGAGTCTATAGACTTACTGATTTCTCCCTTAGGAGAGTCTTTTCCAAGATCTCCTTCACCTTCATCAGTGGTCCATAGTTCTCTATTAAATGTATCATGATCAGGTTGTCTTCTGAAATCATCATAGTCTTTCTTCAGGCGGCTCCTGAAATAAAATGCCCAACATAATAAATAATACATATGATTTAAATTCTTGGAATCTAAACTAACTTTTAACATTTTAAACTACATATGGAAATATTTTTTATTAAGTCACTAGAAATGCTTTAATCTTAAGTGTGTCTAAGATGCTTAGTTCAGTCTTGCCAATGCTCAGGAAGACAGAACCTATGGTATAGGCATAAGAAACTTGAAACTTAAAAAATTATATGTATCTGGCCAGGCATGGTGGCTCATGCCTATAATCCCAGCACTTTGGGAGGCCGAGGTAGGCAGACCTCTTGAGCCCAGGAGTTTGAGACCAGCCTGGCCAACACGGTGAAGCCCTGTCTCTACTAAAAATACAAAAATTAGCCAGGCGTGGTGGTGGGCACCTGTAATCCCAGCTATTCGGGAGGCTGAGGGACGAGAACTGCTTGAACCCAGGAGGTGGAGGTTGCAGTGAGCCAAGATCATGCCACTGCAGTCCAGCCTGGGCGACAGAGCGAGACTCCATCTCAAAAAAAAAAAAAAAGAAAGAAAAGAAAAAAAATTATATATATCTGCAAATTTCAGAATAAAGATTTGAACATACCATCTGATCATCTTTATAAAGGTTGCTGTTAGACCAATTAAATGAGACAACTAATTTTTTTTCTAGCTGCACTGACAGATTAGAGTCTTAAAATTACTGACTATAACACATCTTAAAAGGTCATTTAAAAAAAGTTTAAGCCAGAAATTCTAAGCACCAGTATCTATTTTTGTGACTATCATACAGAGAGTAACAAATCTATCACTTAATCCTGGGAGTAATTGTATCTAAACCTTTCAATCTTAATAGAAATATTTTAAAAAATTATGCCTAGGAAAACAAAGCTGAAAAGTAATCTTTCACAGAGATCTTTTTCATATAAAAACATAATAGCTTTATTTCTGAGAAACTAGAGATGGAAACATGGTATTTTAGAGATCCTTCATTATTCCTTTTGTTTTCAACTAAGTGTTCTACCTTATCCTCAACTTTTACCCTTAGTGTCGTTTATTCAAAAAATAAACATGAACATATGTTCTCCATTTCCTTCTTCCTTTCCTTTCCTCCTTCGTCTTGCTCTGTCACCCAGATTGGAGTGGAGTGGCACAATCTCGGCTCACTGCAACCTCTGCCTCCCAGGTTCAAGCAGTTCTCCTGCCTCAGCCTCCTGAGTAGCTGGGATTACAGACACGCGCCACCACAACTGGCTAATTTCTGTATTTTTAGTAGAGACGGGGTTTCACCATGTTGGCCAAGCTGGTCTCAAATTCCTGACCTCGTGATCTGCCCACCTTGGCCTCCTAAAGTGCTGGGATTACAGGCGTGAATCACTGCGCCTGGCCATGTTCTCCAATTTATTTTTGCTATACATTCTTATTTGTGCACATTAGATTTTAAGTCCTACCTCTGTCACTTACCAGTTGTAAGACTTTCAATTTTAACTTAGTTTTTTGAGACAGGGTCTCGCTTTGTCGCCAGGCTGGAGTACAAGTGGCACAATCTTGGCTCACTGTAACCTCCACCTCCCAGGATCAAGCAATGCACCCACCTCAGCCTCCTGAGTAGCTGGGACCACAGGCATGCACCACCATACCTGGCTAATGTTTGTATTTTTTGTACAGACACAGTTGCACCATATTGCCCAGGCTTTAAATTTTTTATTTATTTATTTTTTTTGAGACGGAGTCTCACTCTGTTGCCCAGGCCAGAGTGCAGTGGCGCGATCACAGCTCACTGCAAGCTCCGCCTCCTGGGTTCATGCCATTCTCCTGCTTCAGCCTCCTGAGTAGCTGGGACTACAGGTGCCCGCCACCACACCCGGCTAATTTTTTGTGTTTTTAGTAGAGACGGGGTTTCATCATGTTAGCCAGGATGGTCTTGATCTCCTGACCTCGTGATCTGCCTGCCTCGGCCTCCCAAAGTGGCTTTTAATTTTTAAAACATTAAAATTCCTTAATTTCCAAAACATTAAAATTCCTTAATTTTCTAAGCATCAGTTTACTTATTACAAATGAGAATAATAATAGTACTTACCTCTCAGTACGTGTGGCACATAAATATTCAACAAATGTTAGTTAATAATTGCTTTCAGTTTATGTAGGTTTTCAATTATTGTTAAGGGTTTTATGGAAGCACATGAGGGCTGTGAAAGGTATTAGAATGGGTTACCAAATGATAATCATAAAATGAATTTCCCTTTCAATCTATAAGATTGGAATGAAAAAATATCTATGTGGGGATAGTATAAAGTTCTCCTCCCTTCTCACTCTCAGTAACCTTCTCGGTCTCAGTTAATGGCTTTACTTCTTATTTCAAGAAAAATGGAGGCAATCAGAAGAGAACTTTCACATGCTCACACCTCATCTGCAACTCACCTTAATGTATATTCCTATTCTCCATCTCCCTACCTAAGCTAACACCTCCATTTAAATGCATCCTCTTACCTAATCAAGGATAACACTCTACCAAATGTCCCTTCCTTTACCTGAATCCATTTTTTGTCTACTAAATCATTTCCATCAGTACACAAACATGTTATTCTATCACACAAACGACAACAACAAAACACACTCTCTTAACCTCTTTTCCTTCCAGATACTGCTCCATTTCTCTATTCCACCTTATAGCAAAACTCCATGAAAGAGGACTCTTCCATTTCTCTCCCCTAATTCTCCTGAATAGACTTCTAAGACTTTTATCCACTCTTCTACTACCACAGCTCACCAAGGTCATTAATATGATCCTCATGTTGCCAAATTAAATAATAAATTCTTATTTCTCATTTCCTCAACCCATCATGAGCAGCCCTCCTTTATGAAACATTTTCTTTACCTGGTTTCCAAAACACTTCTCTTCCTTGACTATCTTCCTGTTTTACTGAGCACTCCTTCAAAGTCTCTTCTACTGAGTCCTACTCATCTTGGCCACTTCTACATGCTGGAAGGTCTAATGCTCGCTTTTCTTTTCTTCTCTATCTATGCTCATATACTAAGTGATTTCTACCAGCCTTATGTCTTTAAATACAATCAAGATGCTGACAGCTCCCAAATTTGTACCTCCAGACTCCCTTGAACTCAGACTCCTATACTGAACTGCTTATTCAATAACACCAATTATATGTCTAAAGAGCATATCAAAGTTAACATGTTCAAATCCAACTCTTCAATCCCCTCTACCTCTCAAATTTGCTACTCCTTGAGTTTCCCCTATCTCAGTTAATGGCAATTCCATTATTCCAGTTGTTTAGACCAAAAATAGTGGGTATCATCTTTTTCATTCCTCACTTTCTCTCATACTCCACATATCCAATCCTTAAGCAAATTCTACCAATCCTACTTTCAAGGTATATCCAGAATCCAGCCACTCCTTGGTATCTGCACTGCTACTATCCTAGTCCAAGCCTCTACCATTTTTCTCCTGGATTACTGCTATAGTATACTGGTTTCCCTGCTTTCATCTTTGTCCTATTACATTTATCTCCACCCAACAGAGTGATTGCTTTAAAACATAAATCAAATCATGTCCCTTCCCTGCTTAAAACCCTTCAATGGCTTCTCACCTAACTCAGTGTAAAAACTCCAATTCTTAAAGATCTACATGATCTGGCTTCCTTCCTCCTTACCTCTCTGACTCTTGCCTGTTACCACATTTCTCTTCACTCGCTCTGCTCTGGTTACACTTGCCTCTTTGCATCTCCACTAAACGCCAAACATGCTATCAACTCTAGGGCTTTAGTACCTTCTATTCCCTCTGCTTTCCCCTCAGAAATCCACAGAGCTCCCTTCCTCATTTCTTTAAGGTCTCTGTTCAAACACCAACTCATCAGGGAAGCTTTCCCTGACACCTGATCAAAGAGTAACCTTCACCCTGCCCAAATCAGCCATTTCTTAACCCCCTTACCTTGCTTTATTTTTCTTCACAGCACTTTTTTTTGCCATCTGACATTTGAGTGTGTTTTTTTCCATGAGAATGTAAGTCACAGAGTGGAGACTTTGTTTAGTCAACAATATTTTCTCAGGGCTTAGAAAGAGCCTTGCACACAGTGGGCAGTCAAAAATATCTGCCGAATTACAAATGACTGGAAAACTACTAAATGATTCCAGGACATCATCCAAAAATCGTAAATTAAGGACCATAAAATAAGTAAAACAGATTATAACATTAAAATTACCTGTTTCTTTGGAAAGCCTTCATTAACTTTGGTTCCCATGGCAGCAATTCATTTAAAAGACGTATCAATGTACTATGTAATTCTTTTACAGCTTGCCTCCGATGATACCATTTTCCCTAAAAATAATGTTTAAAGTAAATCCCTTAGATTTATTCTAAAAGTAAATGTCAAAACTTATTTTCTGAGTAAAATACAAAAACACCAATACTCCATAAAAACGTATTTCTTCTTCAGAAGCTTGCAGAAAGGGGGAAAATATCCTGTAATAAATTTTATTCAATATATGTAACAATTCTCAATTCTACCAGAGAAATCTGAAACCTGTTTCATCCAACTGGAAGATAAAAATTTTAAAAATGTTTTAAAATTGCATCAATTGTAAATGTTTTAATAAATCATTTGTTAAATATATGTAAAAACACAAACATTTATATAAATTCATTAAGTAAGTATGACATGGGTCATTTCAGTAAAGTTACTGTAACTTTCCCAAAGACTGGGGAAAAGGGAGAAAAGGTAGGTTTGTTATCATGTCTAAAAGCAGTCTTTTTAACAAACTTCCTAGGAAATTTTACAATTATTTTATTTTACAATGTTTCTAGCCCAGAAAAGCAACCAAGCAGTTACTGTTTTCAATACCCTAATGCTATACTAAGAGTTAATAATTACTGATGTCCTCTCAATTTGCTAAGTTTTAACCTAGGTATTTCACATATATATATATCTAGAGAGAGCTCTAGCATTTACAAAAAGCCTTCTGAGATGTGTGCATTGTTATGTTCACTTTACAAATGATGAAAATAAGGCTCATAGAGATTAAATGACTTGCTTAAGGTCCTATAACTTAAACCCGTATCTGCCTGATTCTGAAGTCCAAGCTCTTAGAACCACATCACTACCTCTTAAAAAGTACATCACATGAATTCAATCTGACACAGGCTATAGAAACCTCTAGAAGATACACCTCACCTGTATATATAAAATTATTTGAATAACATAGGAACAATAAATTTATAGCTGCTAAGCCACAGTATATACTTATTATTACCATCACCTACTGTTACATAATCATGTTGGGTTTTTTTTTTGTAATGGCTTTGAGATATAATTCACACATCACACAATCCACATGTTTTCTTTCTAACAAAAGATACATAATTATATACGTTATGGGTCACATTTAACATGCATAAACAGATTTTGTCCTACAGCAACTGTTGAGTCCATTTGCATATAAGTAGAACACTAAGGTGGAAAAATTACCACTATCTAGAGCAAAAACTATTACAAACATGTGCATAAATTTCCCAATATATATAAGGAGATTATATATATATATATATATATATATGACCTTCAAATTTGTCATGAAAATTTTAGTCACATATAAACCTGTGTGACGAACAGTACAGTTTTACAAAAAATATTCTGTGCTTTAAACCAGCAGAATGTTTATGCACATTAACAGGTAAATTTCTACCTCTGAGGTTTTTATATCTTAGAAGAGGAATTGCTTACTAGAAGAGTAGGAAGATATGAGATTATATATGTGCATGTGCACGTAATGAATATGGAACCGAGGCTCATGACTAATTCTTGTTTCTTAATGGTATGATGAATCAAAGAATTAAGAAAAAAAATTCAAGAAAAGTAATTTTTATTTCATATATTAATCTAGATAGGCCTCTTTCTTGTTAAATGTGTTCTAAAGTACACAAAGGACGCAAGTTAAAAATGAGCTACACCTTACAAGTTTATTTTTCTCAAAGAAATGTTATAAAAGTGCTTATTTTAAGCCATGAACACAAAACTATTAAATGATACATTATAAAATTGAACAGGAAGTAACTTTCATCTAGAAAAAGTGAACTTAAAATAGAAATTAGGTAGACTTGTAACCAACATTCTTCCACTTCTCAACTATTTGGCTTCAAGAAGTCAAATGGTCAGAGTGGAAGTAAATCTTTCCTAAGTTAAAGAGAGAAGAAAGAGGAAAGATATGATAGTAGGGAGACTATACTCTTTGTGGCAGAATTAACTGGAAAACTGTTCAAAGGCTAGGGAACACCAGGCATGCTGAATTCCTCACCGGGAGTTACAGGAGAAAAATGGCAGCTGTAGAGTTACTCTGGGCAGTATGACTGCTGCCTGGATTAGCAAGTGGTAGTGTGGCGGGGGATGCAGAAGGACTAGCAGTATTGTGGCACAGAAGACCTTACTTAGGCCTAGGTAGATGAGGCACAGGATGGGGAGACTGGGTAGCTGGGATGTTGTTATTTCAAGATATTTGTCAACTGTATTTCTGCCTCTGTTGAATTACAATATTAATTTTTGTAGAAAAGTTTTTAAAAGATTAGAAAGTTTTTACCTTTTATGTTTATTACTAATCTTAGAAATTTAATCCCACATGGAGAAATATACTACTGAACTAGAAGACTGTATATAAGGAAGGAAGCTTAAATATTATGATCAGAGAACAGACTTCTTTCATACAACTTACCCACTAATCTGTTTTGAAATGTCTGTTATCTTTTAACATTATATGTTTTGTGGCCTTCTTCTCTTTCTTTATGTATTTTCAGTCTGGGGTAGTGGTGGTATAGTACTTCATTCATAATTTGAAAATGCTTATTAAATCATTCTATATTTCGAAAACAAACCCAAAAGTTTATTATTTTCACAACACAAATTATAGAAAAGACTGATAAAATGCTTTGTCTAGCAGATACATATGAATATAATGACCACAACAAAGGGCACCCCTATACCCTGCCATGGAGAATGTGAGTCAAGTTTTTATGTTGCTCAAAAGCATGCAGAGGTTTAAAAAAGTTGAAAATTAACTGTTCTGGGATTGCTATTTGAGGTAAGGTGCTTTAATTACTTAGAGTAAAAGGGAAACTCACACTGCCTGTTTTATGTATCATCTGCTTTGGTCAAAACATGGTGCTTATAACCCCAATCAAATTAAAATAATGACACTGTCCCTTTCTACTTAGTAGTGTTCTCAGAGTTGCATGGTATACAATGAAATTAATGTAAAGAGAAGAAAAGTTATATAAAAGAAATGAGATGATAATCTGCCTTATCTTGGGTCTAATATAAAAATCTACATAAAAATCAAGCAAATATTTATTGAACTTTAAATTAGGTCATTAACTAAAAGCTACTAATAGCTTTTCTGATTGATCAACTTTATTCATATACACGGACAAGGGAAAAACAAAGAACAATGATCATGTTTCATCTCGGATGAAATTATTAAAGTTGAAAGGAAACTAAAAGGGCATTTATTTTCTAGAAGAAAATGGTCTAAAGTTATACAGGGAAGTACAGTTGACCCTAGGTATCCAACCACAGATATAAAATAATTTGGAAGAAAAAAAATGAATGGTTGTGTCTACACTAAACACATACAGACTTTTCTTTCTTGTCATTATTCCCTAGACAATATAGTATAACCAGTATTTAAATCACATTTACATTGTAGTAGATATTATAAGTAATACAGAGATGATTTAAAGTCTACAGGAGGATGTGTGTAGGTTATACATAAAGACTACACCATTTTATATAAGGCACTCGAACATACATGGATTTTGGTATGAAGGTGGGGTCCTGGAACCAATCTCCCAAGGATACTGAGACACAACTGTATTTGCCGACAGAAGCAGCCATTAGACTAGAATTCTACACTCTAAATACTAACGTCTAATCTCCTTCCACTATACAATGCTGTATTTCTTGGACCCCACAAAGACAATTCCTAAAGAAGACATAGATTATCTTGTGTAAGTACCTATATTTACATGTAGGTATCTCTGTATTATAAGAATTAAAATCTCTAAGACTTATTTTAACTTTTAAAATTACAATAATAATTAAAATAATAATGACCTAAAGTTAAGAGTGAATTAAAAGCAAAACAGCAAGTTCTTCTGTCTTCAAACACAAAGACAGAATGTGGATGTAATAAAAATCAGAAAGGTTCTTAAGACTCTTTCTCTATACTGATTAATACACAAACAAAGATAAAAATGGCAGATAGATAATTTAGTAAAAGATCATTTGTGGAGCAGTGCTATGACTTTCTCTAATAAAAATATATTTAATAAGCTTTATGCATCTAATTTTAGTTCTGACTCTCCTTTATAAACAAGTATGTGAACACAGGGATAAATTAACTGTTTCCATGTTAGAATTTTCACTATTTTCATAGGCAAACAATACTGAGAGAATCTCAATGCATTACATGAATTTCATAATTCAAATATTTACTGAAGGTCACTTTATAAAGGGACAAGCAGTATTTTTCTTTTATGAATCAACAAAAGTATGAATTTCAAGTGTACATTATGGAACCAAAGACATACAATATAATTTAAATTTGAAGCTTACCTTTCATGCTTTCTCATCCAATGTCCACGGCAGCTGCAGATTGCCAGCTCCCTTTCCATAAGATGGCCCAACTACCAAACACTGGAGGTTTTATAACCCCATAGGGATTGCTACAACAAGGAACTGGTCTATGGTCACAAGATTAAGTCCTTCATTATATCATGCAGTTTTATAAGTCTTTGAATGTAACAGATTAATAACTTAAGGAATCATAAAGGAAAATAAAAAATAACTTACAAAACTACACAATATTGTAAAAAGAAAAGCTGCATCTCTATGTATGTGAAATGAGTCGGGAGGGAAACTTACCTCACAACTAAAGAACAACTGCATTCTGCTACAGTAATCTGGGATGGGTATGACAGCACCAGCATAACACTGGCTGGAGTGTGGCAAGGAGAGGGAGTTGGCAATCTACTGATGCTGGGGACATTGGATACCTAAAAAGGAAAAAAAGAGGGACATAAATAAATTCTATATTAAATGTCTCATAACAACAAATATATTTTGCACACTTTAATTTAGATACTTTGTACATTAAACTTAGGTGAAAGTCACTTGTTTATACAAGCCATACAGTTACTTACATAGATTTTTCTTGTAATATTATATCTAAACAAAACAGGTATCGGCAGTCATATGAAGAAAAAATTAAAATCATATAAAAATATACAAAGAATGCTTTTTAAAATGGAGATGGTATTATTGTGGAGATAACATTTTTATTTAAAAGAACAGTACAAAACATATACAACAAAAGTATGAATGCTTTTTTCCTATATGCTTTTATTTACAAATATGTTGTTAGATCACAGACACATGAAGCACAGAACATTTTTTGTTACAAGTTTAATTCTTGTCACAGACATAAATTCTGTGGTAGAGAAGGTATTAAATATCAATATATTACGCTTTTCTTTTTTTTTTTTTTTTTGGAGACAGGGTCTTGCTCTGTTGCCCAGGCTGGAGTGCAGAGGTACGATGTCGGCTCATGGCAACCTCCACCTCCTGGGTTCAAGCAATTCTCCTGCCTCAGTCTCCCTAGTAGCTAGAATTACAGATGCCTGCCACCACGCCCAACTAATTTTAAATTTTTGTTTTTTCAGTAGAGATGAGGCTTCACCATATTGACCAGGCTGGTCTTGAACTTCTGACCTCAAGTGATCCACCTGCCTTGGCCTCCTGAAGTAGTGGGATTACAGACACGAGCCACTGCGCCCGGCCATATTATGTTTTTTAATTAAAACACAAATACCTTTTAGAAAAGCTAAATGGATCCCTACAAAAAGAAGTCTTATTTAAGGGTCTCGTGCTCTACTGACTGAGTTAGCTGGGCACTAAAAGATGTCTCA
Organism: Homo sapiens; assembly: GCF_000001405.40. Lineage (NCBI taxonomy): Eukaryota > Metazoa > Chordata > Mammalia > Primates > Hominidae > Homo > Homo sapiens. The sequence goes on from NC_000009.12 coordinate 5,934,794, forward strand.
TTTAAAATCACTAACTATATCCAAAGGTATAATCTAAACTCACATGTATAAAAACAGTATATAATAAACTGTAACTAAGTATTTTAATAAACTAATTATTTGACATTCTCCTTAGTCTAAGTACTATTACATGAAAAGGTAATACTATATTCAATAAGTATTCACCTATTTTTCTTACTGCTTACCTACAGAAACTACCACCATACTAACATATTCCTGCATATTCACAGTTTTGGGGGTAAAACATCATGTTAATCATGTTGGTACACAGTCCCTGAAAAAGTGCTATTTTGACAGTATAATACATATAAATATGAAAAAAGTTAAAAAGTACTTTAACACTGACAGAAGCTCTAACATGAACTATTATATATGCTATTATTTTCTCTTGATACTCTTACCAATTTTTACTTAAGACTAGGAGAAAAGGAACGCGTTTGTACTTTAAAGGCATCCCACACTGAATACATTGAATAGTATATCCAACATTTCCATTATATTTCTAAATTAGCATTTAAATAGAAAGCATGAAGGCAAACTACAACAATAACAATAATGATAACATTTCAAGTTTCTCTGTCTTCCAGCTTTGTAGCGGGGGAAAAACTGGGTGACAGGTCACATTCCTGGTAAGGTAGTTCACTATCACCGGGGAAGAAAATCTAACAATATACATTTAAGAGACAATGTGCTACCATTTTCATTTACAAAGAATGAACCGTGGACTAGAAATTAACCACTGGTTGAGTATCTGAATTTGACTGTTTTCAATAAATTGATATTAAGCCAACAAACTGATGATATTTTAACAGATCCATATATGCTATCAGAAAGATGGGTTCTCAAACAATTCACAGCACAATCTAAACCACAAAGTAATGGCATGTTTATTTGGCATAAGAGGGGCATAAAAAGTTCCAAGTAAGTGAAATTAAGACGGGAAATATTTGAAAAGCAGGGACAGTATCCTACTTACTTTTATTTTTTCATATTCTCTCACAACGCCTAACTCTGACAGAAAAGGCCCACTTTAAGTGTTCCACTACATAAGCACATTTCTCATGTAACTGAGGTTTCTTCCTTAGATACAAAAGGTTATTTAAAAACTGATTAAAATGTTCCTAAAGTATAAGTCTTTCAGATTTTCTGACAATATAATGAATATAATCTAACTTGATGACTTGGGTCATCATTATGAACGAGTTATTTTGTTAGTTTTAAACTCCTAAGACCTGCTTTTACTTATTTTTTTCAATTGCTTTTTAAAAAAATTATTCATTAGCCGGGCATGGGGGCTTATGCTTATAGTCGCAGCATTTTGGGAGGCAGAGGAAGGTAAATCACTTAAGCCAAAGAGTTCGAGACTAGTCTGGGAAACATGGCAAAACCCTGTCTCTACAAAATATCCAAAGATTAGCCGGCCATGGTAGTGTGCACCTGTAGTCCCAGCTACTGGGGAGGCTGAGGTGGGAGGACTGCTTGAGCCTGGAGGTGGAGTTTGCAGTGAGCCAAAATCACACTACTGCACTCTTGCCTGGGTGACAGAGTGAGACCCTGTCTCAAAAACAAATAAATGAATAATTTATCAGTGTTTCATGCTGTCAGTAAATCTGCCTTAAACATCTCCTGTCCTAATTAAAAGCAGCTGCTACTACTTATTAGAATTACATCTTAAAGAACTGGTTTCCCATAAGGTCTTTCTATTTTAAAGTAGTGGAACATCCACATGTGTACTTTGTGCTCTCTATTTAGGCTCCTTTGTGCTCTCTGCTGGATTCTGGGTTAATTTTCCTTCAATATATGATGTATAATTTTTTTCTTTTTCTACAGAGTCTAGTAAGATGCTAAGAAAGTTTTATTAATATTCAGTCCACTGAGTTTTGACATAATTTCCCAACTCACAAAAGGCACTGAATTAAAGTCTTTCCAAAGATTTTTATATCTTCTATAATACAAAAACTAAGAATGATGTAAAGCTCATTTTTTTACCTTAACCTTCATAGATTTAAATTCAATTTTCCAGAACCATGGAAGGTAGTAATCAAACTGTTAAACAGAAGACAATACAAATTTATTGGGACTTTGAAAAATGTTTGACATTTAAATTACTTATATTTGAATAAGGGTATGTGATACGTGATTGAAAAAGGTTTAGGCCAGGTGCGGTGGCAATCATGCCTGTAATCCCAGCACTTTGGGAGGCTGAGGTGGGTGGATCACAAGGTCAGGAGTTCGACACCAGCCTGGCAAATATAGTGAACCCCTGTCTCTATTAAAAATACAAAAATATGCTGGGTGTGGTGGCACGTGCCTGTAGTTCCAACTGCTCAGGAGGCTGAGGCAGGAGAATCACTTCAACCCGGAGGCGCAGGTTGCAGTGAGCCGAGATCATGCCACTACACTCTAGCCTGGGCGATAGAGCAAGACTCTGCCTCAAAAAAAAAAAAAAAGGGTTTAAAGCAAATTATAAAAGACACACTAGCCTGTAATCCCAGCACTCTGGGAGGCCGAGGCGGGTGGATCACCTGAGGTCAGGGGTTCGAGACCAGCCTGGCCAATATGGTGAAACCATCTCTACTAAAAGTACAAAAATTAGCTGGGCGTGGTGGCACATGCCTGTAATCCCAGCTACTAGGGAGGCTGAGGCAGGAGAATCGCTTGAACCTGGGAGGCAGAGGTTGCAGTGAGCCGAGATCATGCCACTGCACTCCAGCCTAGGCAAATGAACAAGACTCCGTTTACAAAAAAAAGAAAATAAAAAGAAAAAGAAACACTAGAAAGCTCTTGACTACAGAAGGATCTGTACTTAGGTCAACTCCTCTGAAACTCAACTCTGTGCTGGGATAAATGGAATATACAGCATTAACTCCCTGCCTGATGTAAAACCAATGTACAATCTTTCTTTGGAAGAGAGAGGTTTTCAAACATTGTTTTCATGCAACTTTCCCTGATGGGATTCAAACCATCAAGCCAAACTGCAGTAAGTAGAAACAGTGAGCACTGTAAACCAAAGTTAAAATCTAGTTCTTAGTTGTGCAGAGTAGAATATGAATGAAGATAATGCATTCTCAAATAATTCAGTGACTACAGTCAACTGAAGCTTTGTTTGCCTTACCAGTCATATATATCTGGTTCACATTTCCTATCATCTAGGTCCCCTTTTTCATTATTATTCTGAACATGTCAGTTAACATTTGATTCTCCATAAAATTCATGTTATTTGCCCTTCTACCCTACTCCCAAACAACATATTAATATAAACATGTAATTAAGGGAAGTGAGCAAATGTCTATGGTGTCTGGTGACTTATGAATAAACAGCTTGAAAATAAAAGATTAAATATTTTATAAAAGGACAGGGGCTAGCCCAACCAACCCTAATTAAAAATAAAAATTTTAGCACTTTGGGAGGCTAAGGCAGGAGGATCAATTGAGCCCAGGAGTTTGAGACCAGCCTGGGTAACACAGCAAGACCTTATCTCTTCCAAAAGATACAAAAATTAGCCAGGTGTGGTGGTTTGAGCCTTTAGTCCCAGCTTCTCTCAAGGCTGAGGTGGGAGAATCACTTAAGCCCAGAAGGTCAAGGCTGCAGTGAGCTAGCTATGATCGTGCCATTGCACTCCAGCCTGGGTGACAGAGCAAGGAGCCCCTATCTTAAAAATAATAAAAATAAATTAAAATAAATAAATATTTTAACCCACAGGTTGAGGATAAAATCTTACTCTGTAAGTGAATTCCTTGACTATAGGAACTTAGTTTTAATCTCTGGATTCCTACCAAGTTCCTGGTACTATACACAGCACATAGAAGACATTCAGAAAATAGTTACCTAATAAATAAGGCTAGAATCTGTAACTAAGCAGGTAAAAAGCACATTTTATCTGTTGTGCAACATTTCCAAAAGGTCATTTTAATTTTTAAAAGACAGTGTAACTATTTAAAGGTAGATTGATTTTCTCCCACAGCTGAGATAGTTTTCAGTTTTGTTAACCATTAACGAGTTTACCAGAAGATCTAGAATAAAAAATATATCGTACACATGATGTGACTGTTAAAACCCTAAATAAAACTAATTTTAAGAATAATTTAGAGATTATTACAACCAAAGCCATGAAGTAAAGTAATTAGGGCTTACTGAGAACTCTGAATATACTTAAATCTCCTTATACTGTAGTACAACAGATTTTGTATTCTAAACAGCTGGCTATAAAATAATATTAAAAATATTGACTTGATACCTTACTGAGAAAATGGGACATGAAATGGAGAGAAGAGGGAAAATTCCATTATCCTTCAATAGAATAGAATAAAATTTATTTTTTACAGGTGTTAGAAAATAAGATTAATGCACAATAATTTCTTTGCCTCATATCAGTATTCATATAGTGAAAGCCGTTATTAATGTTATAAAACCACTTATTACACGTAGTTTTATAACATAATTAAAACACTACTATTACATGTGTAATAAGTGGTTTTATAACATTATATGTAGTTTTATAACATTATTTTATAACATTACTTGTCAATATTTTTCCATTTACTTATGTTATCATTCCTTACAATATCTTCAGTTAAGAACATATCACATCATATTTCTAAAACTGAATAAAGAAAATACATATATAACCATATTGTTTGTAACTTATTTCCTATACTAAGGGAAGCTAAGGTCAAGAATCTTTCTTAATCATCGATGGAATCACGAAAGGTAAAGGTTAACACAGACATTCACAAGTTCCATCAAGTACAAGTCTTAATTAGAAGTATATTATGTAATAGAATTCTCTCTATGATGGGATCTGGTATTATGATTTCAGTGATTTCTACCTAACTTTCAAAACATCAACTTGTTTTCTCTCCAAGTAAGTTGGCAGCAGTGGACAGAATGAAAGAATAAGGCCCTTAGCAAATACAGGCTTTTACCAGGGTTTTACAACCTCAGCACAACTGACATTTGGGACAAGACAGTTCTTTGTTGTGGAGAAATGTCTGTGCACTGTAGGATCATTACAGTGTAGGATGTTCAGCAGCAACATTGGTTTCAATCCATTAAATGCCAGTGCCACTTCTTCAACTATGACAATCAATGTGTCCTAGGGAAGGGGAGCAAAATCATTCCTGATTGATAACCACTGGCTTATACAGAACTCTGTGACCAAAAAACTGGGGGAGTTAGCATCTCTGATCTAAGCTTCTGACTTCTCTAATATTCAGTCTAGCTAATGTACACCCTTTGGTTAGGTAAGAGAAGTATTATTATTGTATTCTGAATTTACCTTATTTTAAGAACATAATAAAGATTAATTTTATCCATTACTTGAAATTTCTTTCTTTTTAACATATCTTTTTACATACTGTAATCATTATGTACATATTATTTTGTATGTCTTTTTGTTTTGAGATAGTCTTGCTCTGTCGCCCAGGCTGGAGTGCACTGGTACAATCTTGAGCACAGTGGTGCGATCTTGGCTCACTGCAGCCTCTGCCTCCCTAGTTCAAGCAATTCTCCTGCCTCAGCCTCCCGAGTAGCTGGGATTACAGGCACGCGCCACTACAGCCTGGCTAATTTTTGTATTTTTTGTAGAGACAGGGTTTCACCATGTTAGCCAGGCTGGTCTCGAACTCCCAACCTTGTGATCCGCCCACCTTGGCCTCCCAAAGTGCTGGGATTACAGGCGTGAGCCACCGCGCCTGGCCTATTGTGTATGTTCTTAAAACTTAACATTTCACAAATATTTCCGTATTGTAAAAATGATCTACCAATTTTGCTAGCTATATAACAGTGTGTTAATATTGTTTAGTTAGTCACCTCGCTACTGCTGGACATATGGATTTTTTCCAAATTTCCACTACGAGGGGTGGTCTGCTAAATACACCATTGTGTACATTACTTTTGGGGGTAGGGAGGACAAATGGGGAGAAAAGTTAAATTCCAAATATCATCACAGGATCAAAGCAAACAGGCGGTTGTGCTCAATATGTATAGCTTTCCTTACATATTGATTATAAAATTTAGAAATAAATAAAATCTTAGATCTTACTCAATGTTGAGGGGCTTATCTGATAAAAGATGTATTAGAAAAGATGTGGTCTTACATTTAAAATTTAATTATCAATATTTATAAGACTTTCATTTATCATCACATAACCCAGAAGAGGTTTTTTTCCTTATAAATAACATAGTTATTGCAAAATTTTCACTTTTCCTCATACCCAATCTCTACAAGGGTCTTTCCTTAATTGAAAAAGACTGAAACTTCTTTGAAAATCAGAACTATGATACAGAACATAAAGGGCATTAAACAAATATGAGGGAAAAGGGGATTATATGAAAAACTTAGAAATATAAGTTTGGCGAAATCTTCCAATTTTTATTATTTAGAAAGCAATACTATCTAACAAATTTCAAGTACAATAAGATCAGGTAAAGTTATCAATATCTTAGCTCTATCTTTCAGGAAAACTAATAAATTTTCTACATTAAAACAGGTATTTTTTAAATAAGCAAAATGCAAATTTTATCTGCTAACTAAAACCACAAAAATAAAAACAAAATGTTCTGATTTCTTCTTTAGATCATGAAAGAATGCTATCATGTAAATAATGATGAGAAAGCAAAAACTAAAGGGCTTTGTCAAACTACATATTTATCTCAACCAGAGGTCTCACTTTTAACAAATACCTGGTAGATAAAAATTAAGTTCAGTACCACAGGATCTAAACGATGATGAGGACTTTTTTGACTAAACCCCTAAATGGAGTGATGGGATCAAGTGAACTGCGTATAAATTTCAGAAAATTAAAAGCATTTTTCTCTTCACATTAACCATAAACAAAATTAGTTGCTTTGCAAGAATGAGTAAACAATCTAAATTTTAAAACACTAAGTCTTCCAGTACAATGAGTAGTTCAATGACACAACCTCTAAAAGGTTAAAAAGACTTTGTTATGTAAACATAAAGCTGCTCTAAAAAATAAAGTTTACTAATTAAAAACAAAAAAACTTTTAAAATGGAATGTTTACCTGAGTGAAAAAATGGGACCATTCTTCCCTGCTGCTTTTCTACTTTGGTAGGAAATACTATCTGGAAAGTCCCTGCAGAGAAGCCTCCTGATGCAGCTAGGTGTTTGTATTATATGAATCCATGTTAAATCCTCTATCACACGTGTAATTTCTATCTTTAGTAATGACACTTATAATTTATAAAAAGAAATATTTTATAAATATATTTCCAAAATATTATAATGGAATATATCTTGTTACTGGAGCCATTATCATAGATAATGAATGTTGATAATAAAAGAATTGTTTTGACTCCAGATACTTAGTTTTGACAGTGAAATACTCTTATGAAGATCAGTATTAATACTTCATTTGTCTGACAATAGTGAAGGAAGGCTTCCTATATATAACAATATAACAATATTGTTATTCATAACGATGACCCTCAAGTCATAAAGAAAAGGTTAAATTGTGTTTAGTACAAGGAGTCAGGGAAGTTTTTCCATTAAAGTTGTTTTAGTATCAAAGGTTTACATTTCAGTTATCTAGAAATTCAGTTAAGTGGAACACCTTACTCCCAAATGATGCTAAACTGGCAGTAAACATACATAACATATAACATAACGTAACATAACATAACGTAACATACATTTCATAACATAAACATTCAATAAAGTTAATTCCTAGAATATCTATCACAATCAATATTAGCTTTTGTAAAAAATAAGGAACAATAGATGCAAACTTTTATTGTCTATTTGCTTTTTGCTATGTGGCTGTTTCATTGGTTAAGATAGTCTGTTCATGTAAACAATCTTTTAAACAGTTTAAATTAAGGAGAAAGAGCTCTTATGTTTAGTAATCTCAGTAAGATTATCCCTGCTAAGTACAGTTCCAAGAATTTCTACTTTTTGAAGGGTGGAAAACATATTTTAAAACTAATATGCAAACATCAGGGGGCATGGACAAGTTAAAAGTTTAGAGATACAAATCAAATCAACTAAACCCTAGGGTAATCTAAAATTTTCTGATTAACATGCCCTCAAGGAATACAATGTCAAATATTTGTAGTTTATGCTTTCTTCTTCTGTTTTTTTGAGTCAGGCTCTGGTTCTGTTGCCCAGGATGGAACGCAGTGGCATGATCACAGCTCACTGCAGCCTCGACCTCCTGGGCACAAGTGATCCTCCTGCCTCAGCCTCCTTAGAAGCTGGGACTACAGGCATGCACCACCACGCTGAGCTAATTTTTTATTTTTTGTAGAGACGGGGTCTAGCTATGTTGTCCAAGTTGGTCTCGAGCTCCTGGGCTCAAGAAATCCTCCCACCTCAGCCTCCCAAAGTGCTAAATTTATAGGCCTGAGCCACTACGCCTGGCTGTGGTTTATGTTTTCTTTTATTCTTCTTCTACACAGTACCAATGGAAATGAGGTGAATGGCTTTACAGAAGCCTCTAGAATGCTTGCAGAAGTCTTTTTCTCCTATAATATATACCATAAGTACATAATTCAACTATGTTTAAAACTATGCATTAAAAAATGCTCTAATTTATAATATGGGAATAAATAAAAGTTATGTTTAACTGTAGCATAAAAAATTGGCAACTTTATTTAACAGAATTGTTTAGAACGAAATATGGACACCTCCCTAAAAACAACCTCTGCAAAAAACAGTAACACTCTGATATTTTAAAAAGACTATTCCTTCCCATTAAGGAACAGAATTAGTCCTTTCTGAGCATAAAACATAAAAAAAAAAAAAAACCCTCTGGCTACAGAGTAAATGACATTTACATAACATAAATATTTGAGGAATATATCACAGCAGTAAATTTTAATGAAACAGATGGTCTTCCACATCAAGAGACTGCCTATACACCTAAAGTGTATACGTATAAAAATATAAGAATCTAAACCATTTTTAATGAAAATATTTCCAAAATATGCACTTTTCCACATTCTCAAGTTAATTATTGAACATAATGTTTTCTTGCTAATTGATGACTATCATCATGAGCATTTATTCTCTTAAATTACCATGATACTCTCAGGGTTATCTGTCACACATGAGACTTCTGAAATGCTTAAGGCTGTTTCACCCTAGTACTAAGTAACTTCAGAAGGCTGTACTTTTATGGTACTGCAATCTCCTCCTTTCAGAGTGCTACCAACATGTCTTTCCTAACAACATATAAAATGACTAACACAAATCTGCCGATATCAAACTTGCTGAATCACTAACCATATTTTATACATATTTATATTAACAGGTTCTGAGCATAGATCTAAAAGTGGCTTCATGATATTCCTAAGGCGCAAAACGAAAGGTTTAAAAAAAACGATTTTCTTCAGGTTTAAAGCCTTTCCCATTTATTTACTGGTATGTAATTGTGTTTAAAATCTGTGCATAGCCCAACTATAAATGCTAGTTAAATAGGTGTTATTGATTTAATAAATAGCACAATTGAGTGTTTTACCAAGTATCAGGTGAATAAATATATGCCCTTAAACTCTAGTCTCTCAAGAACAATAAAAATATTAGAAAATGAAAGTAAAGATTAATTATAATTTAGACGATATAGTGAAAGTTAAAAAAAAACTTTCAGCAGATAAAGGTTCTTTAAAAAGTCATATTGTTAAGTATGTGTCAAAATTATCCGGGGCAGTATTAAACAATTTACATCTGTTTTTATGTTACACTGAATTAAAATTTTATGTTACTAAGCAATAAACTTCCATTAAAAGCATATAATTATTAAGAATATTTGCAAGGCAAACATTACCCAAAAAACTACCAGTCAGAAAACAACCAGCCAGTATACTGGGAAATATCTAAAACTATACCTGATACAAACCAGGCAAACAAAATTAATTTAACAGCCCCTGGCACGATTTCTGTCTATTAAAAATGAAAACTAGACCACACAGGAGAAATAAAAGAAACAATGTTTCTATCTTTCATGGTAAATTTTCATGTAATCCAGGAAAACAAGATTTCAAAAAGGCTTTAGGAAAAAGCAGGAATAAATTTTAATGCTGACAATAATAGATAGAACTTTTGGATCAACACCTACCGATTTTTTTCTACTGTTTTCCAGATCTTTGAGTTCATTCTCGATTTTTGTGATTAATTCCCTGAGTTCATCAAGATTAGTGCAAATAAGCTAAAATAAAACACAAAAACACAGCTTGATAACACATAATATAAAACACCCAAAATGTGGTAACAGAAGTTGTTTTAACACACACTGAATTCACAATTATTTTTCTCTGTAATAGTAAAAAGCAAGAAAAGCTCTGCAGTTTATATTTTAAAATATATTTACTTGCTATGATGTATGAACTTCAGGCTTAGTATAAAAGAAGCTGAAATTTCAACATTGGTGGTTTCATCCCACATCCCCACCTTTCAGTTTGCTTTATAATTCGGGTACTTTCTTAACATCATTAACTTTCAGCCCAGAATGACAAAGATCTGGAAACTCACCCTAGATTTCACAGGTTGTCAAATCACCTTTAAGAAATGCTTCATCAGGCAGTCTCCCAGTAGGTGAATAAACACACTCTTGGAGAACTGTTATACCTTTGCCTTGGTTTGCTAACTATACAATTTAACAAACCTTAGTTATTGCTGTTGGGGTTGCTAAAAGGACTGCAACTATATGTAACACATTCAAAGACCTAAACAAAATGAAGTACACATTCTTAATATCAGTTTAGTAGTCTTTAATAAAACCATCTCCACAGATAGCATCTATTTCCTTTCATAATTGTGTGGCTCATTTCATTTCACCTGGTAACATTGGCAAATGGCCAAAATAATTATTAATTACTAACAACTAAACTAGCTTGGTTTAATTACTAAAGTTTTAGTGAACTGTCAACAACAGTAACAAAAATATTAGTAACTACATCTTAGTTTTTGTAAAATTATACTGAATTTCTCCAATTCATTCAATATACTTTTTTCCTAAAATAATTTAAGCTATTTAAAAAAAATTACTGCGAAAAAGAACTAGATTTCTGAAACAAAACTACAACCGAATAGAGAGGAAAAATCTCAGATTAATGAAAAGTCTTATTGTAATGTTTATACCATGTGATAATTAAAAAAAAACTGTACTTATAAATTACTAATTCACCATTAGCTTTTATCAGCCCCAAGTTCGATACATTCATTAATTTCAGTGTCAGGGGACTGTTTTCCTAAAGGGCACTTTCTTCTGTTAGAAGAGCAAACAAAAACAATAAAAGCAAAAGTGGGTCACAACAAGATAATTCCTTGTGGCTACTGAGTGACAAAAATAAGACAGAGCCCCTTAAATTTCTTCTATTAGGTTAAACCATATGAAATTGCTGATATGCTTTTTATCCACAAAAATGGCAAGACAGTTCAACCTAAGAGATTAAGAAAAAATGATCACAGATAATTTTTATTAACAATTACATATTAGGAATATCTATATAATTTCAAATTCATAGAATTGACCAAGTAGGGAAAATATGTATTTAAATAACCCAGATTAAACAATTTGAGAGTAGAAATAATACAATGATGTAGTGGGACAGTGTAGCTGGTATTTATTAGAAACTACACATTCCAATTTGCCAAATTTACTTATGAAAGAAATGCTGATGGTCAAGCAGTGGACTGGCCAACCAGGTAAGTGGGTCTAGAACTAGAGAGCGTCTTCAACTTCTATTGTAACTATGAAGACTTGGAACAATGTTGTCCCTACCGTGGATTTTTATTAAGTATTCAGTGAGGACTAAACTTTTCATAGTATAATCTACTATTATGATGACGGTGTCAAATTTGCCCCAGAGCTTGCAGGTGGATGGCTATACCTCTTTCACCGAACTTGGTGTACTTGTTAATATCAAATCATAGATTTCTTATTTGCACATATGGCAAACCACAGAGGAATTTTTACTTGCATCTCAGTTGTCTCACTACACAAGGAATAGGGTATATTTTGCATGCAGTTTGTAGAAATTTACAGGAACCATGAAGACATATACCCCTAGAACTAAATGAAAACATATACTCCTACAACTAAACATGCCCTAAAACATTTTGAGATCTTTTAATTACCAATTAGTTATGAAGTCAACAGATATTTATGTTCCATTTAAAGGAAGAGATAACACAGTTATCTCTTCATAGAAACTTACAGGAACAATGAAGACATATACCTCTACAACTAAACATGCCCTAAAACATTTTGAGATCTCTTAATTATCAATTAGTTATGAAGTCAACAGATATTTATGTTCCATTTAAAGCAAGAGATAACACAGTTCTGAAGCCAAACCACGAATGAAATCACACAGCTTAAGAGCTACATAAAATAACACTTTCAAGTGGCTGTATCTAGTTAGTAAACTGTACTAAATTAGTACTTTTCAAACTTTAATGTGCATAAGAATTGCATGGGGATCTTAATAAAACAGTTTTTTGTTTAGTAGGTCTGAGGTGAGACCTTGGATTCTGCATTTCTAACAAGTTTCCAGGTATTGCCTGCAAATAACATTTTTGAGTAGTAAGGTACTAAATGACTATGAATTATAAATCAACATGGCTACTGGAACATTCTGGTACCATGGAGCTAATGAGTATGAAAATACAAGATTAATTTCCAAATAGGGAATGGCATATTGAATTAAATGTACGATAAGACAATTGTTTCTTAAAATATTTTTAGCTATAATATTTATTCTGAGGTTATATTAAAATGACGTTAATAGCTACATAACAATTTATACTTTATATATTAAAACTAATATATATTCCCTCTATATGTATATTTAATGTATACCTAATATATATACCCAATATATAGAGTCAAATTAACCTTTTATAAAACTGAATAGGAACACAATTAGTTTGACTTATGCCAACTCGATGTCATATACAACTCTACTACCTCTCTTCTGCCTCCAAAATAAGGCATATATGTGGCCATTACATTCAACTCAACTTCATATGATGTTTTTAAAAACAGAATCAACCCAATAAATAAAGTTCAACTTAAAAAAGGAGAACAAAGATTTTTTTTTAAAAAAGCAAAACACCTTATTAAAACCTCCTTCTCATTATCTTGCATTTGAAAAACGTATCTGAGGCACAGGGCCTGCAGGGGTGAACACGAAACTCCATAGCAGCTCAGATTACAGTCAGGTCACATTGCTAACACTTATGAGAGGAGGTTTTCAGTCAAGCCACAGAGGTTACAAGAAGAGTTTTATCTCCCAGCAAGAACCTCTCCAAGGCTGTCACACTCCCTCAAGTTAACCTTTCATTTAATATAATCCATGGCAGAGCTACAAAATCACAGATCTCAGAGCTGAAAGGGACTAAAAATGTGTAATTTGTCCAAGCCTTAGCCTAGGCTAAAGAGACCTATCTCCAATTCATATAAAAGGTAATTAAACTAACAGAGGTAAAGTGACCTAAGATGACACACTGCTAGAGGAAACCACAGAACCCAGGACTTCTCCTACTATATTATATTCTTTTTAAAAGGGTCTTTATAACAACACAAAAATAAAGAAATCTAACAACTGAACTTGTATTATAGTTTTAGGATTCAGTTTATATCTAAGCTTTCATTTTTATTAAATGGTAATATTAAAAGGTCCTCTCTTCAACTCAACAAGCAGCAATGTATGTATGTGGTGGGAGTGGGGAGGCCCTGTAGAGATAAAAAAAAAAACTCCATGACCGTATCTCAGAACTACATAATAAATCATTCCTTACTTTACTGATACTTCAAACTAGAAATTATGTCCTTTGGATAGAAATTCAATAGGTCTAAAAGATATTTACTTGCTCCAAAAAAGGACATAAGGTAACATTAAAAAATACAAACAATATGGTAGATTATATTAAAAAGCAAAGCAAAAGGAAAACAATGTAGAAAAGTAAAAATGAATAGGTCCAGACAAAAGGGATCACACATTCACTCCCGTTCTAATAAAAAGATCCTGTAATTTATTATAAAAATAATAAGTGAAATACTAAATGCATGGTATAAATTCAAAATTTATATTGTATTTAAACTAAAATTATAATGGCATCTGCTAAAACTATGCAGATGGGAAAATTTCTTTTTATTTCTTATCATCACCATACCAGCAACAAGGACTACTTAAAAACTTGCAAATAAGGATATCACTTGTGACATGAAAGCCAAATTAGTCTGATAAACAACCATGTGATTAAACACAGATGTTTCTCTCAATGAACTATATATATTTTTAAGGGAGAACTATATTAATTTTAAGGGGGAAGAACTCCTGCTGTTAAAAGTGAAACAAAAAGCGGAGGTTAAAAATATTCATTTTAAGAGGGAGCAATTCAAAATAATGATATAATCAAAACATCTTAATACAGTAAGCAGTTAAAAAGCTGATTAAACTAACAGAGGTAAAATGACCTAAGATGACACACTGATAGAGGAAACCACAGAGAATCGCTTGAACCAGGAAGTCAGAGATTGCAGTAAGCCAGGATTGTGCCACTGCACTCCAGTCTGGCGGCAGAGCGAGACTCCGTCTCAAAACAAACAAACAAACAACAACAACAACAACAACAACAAAACCCTAATTTTAATTTTGGTTTCAATTTGTTATGTTGCAGTACTTTATTTCTTATCCCTTAGTTTCTCCATTGGTTAGATGGAGAAGTATAGTTTTTTCAGAGGTATGTTAAGGATCAGTGAGTTTTTTCTTATGTTTGAAAACAATGTAATATAAGTCTTAGCAGCTGGATTCTGGAGTTCTTCTGCAAAGCAGCCTTTAAAATCAATCATGCATATGAAATGGGAGCAAGGGCACACTGCATGGAAGATTTTTTTTTGGTTATTGTTGAAAAGCAGACTTAGGGTAACTAAGGCTGTTAAATTATTTTTAAAACTTATGTTATTGAGACTCAACACATTAGTTTTTAAAAATACTTCCTGTAACTTTCTGTCATAATTATGTACAAAAGATAAGTCATATAACATTAGATTTCTCTCTTAAATGTTAAATGAAAAGACTTTTTAGGAAAAAGTAACTATTAGGAAAACTGATATTCACTTTTCAGTCTAATAGTCTTTCTTTGATTACAAAACAGATAAAGGAAAAAGAATTTTACCAATTTAACAAAGTCGTAAGTAAATGTTAAAGTTGATATAAAAGCTTAAATCACCAATATTCTATAATTATCACTAAAAAATCCAACAATTTCCCCTACATGACAAATATATAATGCATCATAACAATACAACAGGGATAAACGTAAGTTTTCACTCTCATCAAACATAATGATGCAAATACTATTACTTGGTTTTCCACTTTTCAAATTCTTGTAGGCTTAATCATGTGCCACTTTCATTAAGACCAAATCCAAGATTTATTTCAAGGTTTTAAGTAAATGGAAAGAGTGCTAAGGGTCAATAATAGATGTTTTTATGCCATTTTTAATTGATTTTCCTATTCATAATTCAGTGTTTTTCACCAGAAGCGACTGACCTGCTTATTTGAAAACAATAAAAATGGCTAAAACAGTAAGCTGTATCATTCAATCCTCACAACTCTACAAGGAAGGTACTATTATTACCCCACTGTACAAATGAGAAACTGGAATCATGGAGAAGTTAAATACCTTACCCCACAGAGTTAATCAGTGGTAGAGCTGGCATTCAAACCCAAGTAGGTAGCCTGGTTGCAGAACCCTTGTGTTTAACCACTATGCAGATTACTGGTACCCACTGAATCAAGGTCTTTTGGAGGATGAAACCAACAATCTTCATTTTAAATAAAGGTATCACATTATTTTTATACTATCTAAAGTTTGAGAACCACTGACATAACTCTTAGGAAAAAGTGGCACACATTTGGTTAGACCCTTTACAATATACAGTCGTCCCTCGGTATCCGTGGGGTACTGGTTCCAGGACTCACCTCTGAACCCTGCGGATACCAAAATCCAAGGATGCTTAAGACCTTGATATAAAGTGGTATAGTATCTGCATATAACACATCCTCCCATATACTTTAGGTCATCTCTACATTACTTATAATACCTAATACAATATAGTTGTGATATAAATTGTTGTTATATCATATTGTTTAGGGAATAATGACAAGAAAAAAAATCAGTACATGTTTAGTACGGACACATTTAAGAAAATATTTTCAATCCAAGGTTGAATGCACAGATGCAGAACCTACAGATACAGAGGGCTGACTGTACACACACACACACACACACACACACACACACACACACACACCCCCACCCCACCCTGCCACACATACAAATCCAATCCACCATTTGAATGCTCACAGTGTATACTCTAAATAGGAGTAGGATGATTATTTTCTAAACCTGGGTGCAGATATTAGGTGTGTATATAAACATGGATTCTTTCTGAAGCAAATAGGGGGGCAAGTTCAAGTTCTAGCTTTAAAAAAAGTCAACAAAAACATTGTCAAACTAAAAAGCAGCTGAGGTCAAAACATTTTTAAAAACTCATTAGGACTTAAAAAAAAAAAACTTCACAATTTAACCCTTTCATTTATCTCTATCTAAGCATGCTTTCTGTCAATTTAAAGAAGACTGGTCCTTTGGCAAACTGGTCAGGTTTTACAAAAGGGATCTATTATCTATCCAAAAACAGGTTCATTATTTTCAGAAGCAAGATATTTCAGAATGAATAATATGAAGATCTTCTGACTAAATATTTCTATATTTTTATGTTTAATGCTAGAAATGTGATATTTAAAACACCTTGAACAAAACAAATAATTTACAGAATCTGAGGTGCTAAATACCATATCGCTAGAACTTTTGGGCAGGGAATGAATTCACTTTATTATATAATAGTCTTCTTACATGTGGAAGACTCAAATAAAGTAACACACTACATAAAATTATTTTGAGAGACAAAACTAAGTTTTGCATTTAACAGCAAAGTTTACTAGTGACTAGCACTATCTCCTATTTTATTAATGTGTGTATTTGAAGCAAATGATCTATTTCCCTGTGAGACAGTTGCCAAGTTTCTTTATGAGTAATGCCGTGGTATTCATATTGTAAACTAGGCATAAGAACCACTGTTTTCATGAGACTATTACTCCTCTCTATCCTCTCTCTCTCTCTTCTTCCCTCTCTGTTTTCTCTCCCTCTAGGACACCTTGAGAACCAGGAAGAGACTTATTTATTTATTTATTTATTTATTTATTTATTTATTTAGAGACAGAGTTTCCCTCATTGCCCAGCCTGGAGTGCAATGGCGTGATGTTGGCTCACTGCAACCTCTGCCTCCCAGATTCAAGTGATTCTCCTCTCTCAGCCTCCCGGGTAGATGGGATTACAGGCACATGCCACCACACCCGGCTAATTTTTTTTGTATTTTTAGTAGAGATGGGGTTTCATATAGGTCAGGCTGGTCTCGAACTCCTGACCTCAGGTGATCCGCCTGCCTCGGCCTCCCTAAGTGCTGGGATTACAGGTGTGAGCCACTGGGCCCGGCCAAGACCATTTTAAACAGCTCAATCTGGCAAAATATTTTGACCATGACCCATGGTCAGCAACACATTTTACAATGCATATCCTTGTGTACACACATACAATTGAAACCAAAGTTTCACGAAACAATATATGTGAGTGTACATATTCACACTGCTATGTGTAGCACACTTACTATATGTAATTGTGCTGATTTCTTTTCTAGTTTAATTTTGTTAGCTTAAAAAAGAAACACTGGTCATGCAATCTGCTAAAATGATTTCATGCCTCACTAATGAATACCACTGCAATTTTAAAAAACACTGGCTATGCAGCCTGTGCTACTTAATATATGGAAAAGTCTATTCACTAAGATGGGTATAGAGGAAATATTAACAATGGGCCAGATTTGCTCTAACATCTACATTCCCAGGGCTGATGCTTTGAGGACTGAGAAAAACAAAAGTCGGAGAAATAGTAAACACAGGTGTGACAGCAGTGGACGCGTGATGATGTAATACTAAAGCATTAAAATATGTTACAAGAAGTGGTATAAAGGCCTCTAAGTAAACAGTAAAATTGTTATTTTTTTATTAACTACTCTGCAACCAAGGTTATATAATATATAAAAGGATTTTGTAGAAATGTTTGTAATTCATCCTAAGAATATCATTAAAAATATTCTATTCTACAGTACTAAGAGAAAAACATGTCTATTTTCTTTAACTGTTGATTTAAAAATGTTAAATTTTTACCAGTTAGTAACTTCCATAAAAACACTCTCCAAAATAGAATTTTTACTGAAAATGAATGTGTCCACATTTTTAGATATATCTAACTATTAAACTCACATTATATATTATCAATATTTTCATAGCTATTGTCCCTTTATTTTCATCTCTACTTGACTTGAGACTCACAAATTCATCTGAACACCACTTTTATCTTTTGGTCATTAGGTATGAGTTTATAAAACTTTTGAAAATTGACTAGACACATGAATACAAAGACGTTTTTAAAGAAAGTGTTTATTGAAGAAAATACATCTTTTATAAAATAGAAAATAAAAGCATTAATTAGGGTGAGATTCTCTGCTTAGTATTAGCTACAAATAAAAAACTCTTCACTTAATCATATGGCAGTACAGATAATTACTTTTTCTTTCCACAGAAATGTTTAAAGACCATTTCAATTAACCTTTACTTAATATTCTCTCTGAAGATCATATACAGCTAAGAGTTGAAAGATTTGTTTTCCAAGTTAATAAATCTACCATTTATTTCTACAGTGCCCAAATAAATGAAAACGAACTATCTAGGCACTATTACCATCTCCAAATTATGATTTGTTCTTGGAAGAGTTTCATTCACACATTTGCTTTTATGTATTATATATATATACATACACACACACACACATATACTATATAGTATATATATATTATTTCTATTAAACTGCTTCTAGGAAATGTACTAGTAGAGATTAAGATATAAAAAAGGGTTTTTATTATTAAAAGACAAAAATAGAGGTAAAAATTACGAAATACTAGCAGATTAAATCTTGGTTACATCTGCACTTGCAGGGAGAAAAGTCACTGTCAGAAACATTTCATTACAAGTAAGTGTGCTACAGTTTCTTGGAATTCAGCCAAACTCTCGAGGAATGATATGAACACTGAAACAAAAAATTGAAAAATTTCGAGACAAAGTTGAAACATTTACCTGAAACTCTGGTACAGTAGGTGACTTTATGACAGTTTTCCTCTTCTTTGTGATTGCTTTTTTAGAGACGGATTTTTTTCCTTTCAAGATTAAAAGAGAAAACCTTCATAATGCTGTTTATAGCACTTCATTAACAAAAAACAAATTACGCAGATCCTTGAAAGTTAAATTGTAACTAACAGATGGCTGCTAGTGAGTCAAATAAAAATGATGAATCAAAACAAGCCCCAGTAAAAGCAAACATTAAACTATTAACTACCTGTTAACAGACATATTAACAAATGCTGTTTTATGTTTATATGAACTGAACGATTACCATCTCCAATGTGTTATACGGTAGAATCTACTGCAAGATTAGGCAAAAAAGTCACATTACTACTGCTTAATTAAAATCTACATTTGCAACTTAAGATGAGACTACATAGGGAAAAAAACCTTACCTTTAACATTGACTTCGCAGTCAGGAACTTGCATAAGAACTACAGCTGAAGACTATGGTCTCTAGCCAGCCTAATGTGAAAATCCCCTTAAGTAGCTTAGGTAACAAAGTTTTTCTACTCCTTTAGCTCTGCACTCACCTAATAGGCTGCCCTTGGCGGTATCAATACCCAAAGTTTTAAAAGAAGATAAACATCTCCCTTTAAAGTGCACCTAGTTATTTGTGGAATCAGAAACCACTGGAAAAAAATAAACCTCATACTTAGAGCCAATTCACAGTATACACTGAAATATATCTACTTTTTGTATTTAACGTGACAAAAAAATACATACATGCATAAAAATTCTATTTTTAGACCAGGCGCGGTGGCTCACACCTGTAATCCCAGCACTTTGGGAGGCCAAGGCAGGCGGATCACCAGAGGTCAGTTCGAGACCAGCCTAGTTAACAGGGCGAAACCCCGTCTCTACTAAAAATACAAAAATTAGCCGGGTGTGGTGGTGCGTGCCTGTAATCTCAGCTACCTGGGAGCCTGAGACAGGAGAATCATGTGAACCTGGGAGGTGGAGGTTGTAGTGAGCCAAGATCGCACCATTGTTCTCCAGCCTGGGCAACAATAGTGAAACTCTGTCTCAAAAAAAAATAATAATAAAATAAAATTCTATTTTTAGTTAGAAACACATTAAAAGTTTTCCCCCAATTTGTAATTAGCAAAATCAATTAACAAACTGCTAATTACTCAACAAATACTAGATACAGGACACTGTACAAGCTACGGGGACAACAAGGAAGTAAAAAATTATAAAAAAGAAAAATCCTATCCTCTAGGAGCTTACAATCTACACAAGGGCACAAAAAATATTCAGCAATACTTTTCTGTCATTTTTAGTTCACAATCATTTGCAGACTAAAATCCACTTAAATGTCAATATTTTTTTCAAAAGGGAAAATGAATGCGTACATAAAGTAACTTTGCTGTACATAATCCTAATGCTCCTTTCCAAACATTTTCCTATATAAATATAATCATCTTGCAAGAAATATGTCAACTCAATTGACACAATTCCAGTTTATAATTTGTTTTTTGTATTACTTTTTAATCATATCGCAGAACTGTAATTTATAAAATTTCTAACTTTTGGCTCAATGAAATCCATGTATACTATGACTGAACTGCAAATTTTGAGTTGCTGAGGTTCACAGGGGTTTAACTGTCTTATTTTAATAAGTATTGACGGGTATCATTTGACATCTGCTTTCAATTAAATTAAAATAACCCAACATATATTTCTTTATTCACCATTGTTATTTACTTCTGTGCTTACACAGTACCTTATAACAGAAGTATACTCCTACAAAGATAGGTAAGTGGGTGGGCTGCTTAAATAAGCAATACTCAGGGAGAAGTGATTAAATTCTTGATATCTCTATAATACAGCTAGTAATTGATTCCTAAACTGAGTGCCATAAGTATTGCTGAAGGGGGCTCATGAATTTGAATGCCAAGATGCCTTTCCTCTATACACTGCCTTTACCATTTTTTAAAGTTCACAAGAAAAAACTGAATGATCTTGCTGACTTATGTATGGGAAGGTTTTATAAAAACAGTAATTTGGAGGAAATAAAATTCTTCCTCAACCTCTCCCCACCAGCCCTACTCTGATTAGCTTAAAAAAAAAGCGCCATTTGATTTTGTATTCATTTATAAGCACAACAGAGGTCACCCTTGATAGTCCCATGAATTTCATCTTATTGTTACACAGGCACTAAACACAGGTACTAAATTCTCAGTTAACTCTAGCAGCTACTCTATTTGAATGGACTGAGAAGCTAAGGTGGTTACTTGGTATTTCAGTTCACCACGTCATTAGGATGCTTAAATGTTATTAGGAAATTGGAGGTAATGTTACATATTGGTTATAAGCTTGAGTTTTAGAACTAAACTACCTGGGTTTGAGTGCCTGCTACAACCACCTACTATTATAGAGGTCATGTATAACAGCTATCACATACAAGACCTTGAGCAAACTGCTTTATTTCTTTGTGCAGTTTCTTCATCTGTAAAACAAGGGATAATAGTATTACCTACTCTGTGAGAATTAAATGGGTTATAACACCCCAAAAGCTTATACTACTGCTAGGCACATGGTAGGTGATCAATAAATGTTAGCTATTGCTTTAGCTTTAGCTAAGCTATGGTGAGAAAAGCCTAAACAGAAAATCTTTTAATTTTCTTTAAATTCTTTTTACTTACTCCATCTCAGTTCTTCTTATGCATGTCCTCTAAACTACCACTCTACTTTGTACACAAATCAATGAATGTAATACTTAACTTAGAGTACTGTAATTGTCTGTTCTTATGTTTGTCATCCTTACTATACTGTAAATTATTGGTGACAGAAATCACATTATTCACTCTGTATTTACAGCATTTAGCACACATAAGTTCTAAGAAGTGATCCCTAAATACAAGAATCCTACTTTTTTCAGAAATGTCACCAACAGTCTAGGGGGTAGGAAAAGGGATGCAGGTAACTGTTTACAATTCTGAGGGTCCATTTAAGTCTACTTTATAGTGAAGAAAACACTGACAACGATTTTAAATAATTTAAACAATTCACCAAAGAGTTTCAACATGACCTAGTAGTGGTAGTAAGAAGATTAACATTTATTGAGAACCTGCTGTGTGTCAGATACTTAGTAAAGTGGTCTGTATAAATTAACTTATTTATTTCTCAATATAACCCTCCCAGGTAGGTAATAACTCTACTGTAATACTGGATAACTGAAGATCAAAAAGATTAATTAACTCACTCATGTGTCACACAGTAAGTAAGCACCACAGTCAGGGATTCTAACTACAAAGTCTAAGCTCCTTCCATTATGTAATTCTACTGCACAAATATCTTAAGTTACCATTTATTGATTCCTACCATGTGCCAAGCTCCAAGTGACATACTGCGCATTTGTTATTCTAATTAATCTTAACAATACAGCCAAGTAGGTATTACCTCACTTATCACAGATAAAGAAACAGGCTATAAACAGGTAAAGAAACTGATGGAGGAGCTGTAGCTAATATGCACTAGGAGCATACATGTGAAATTAGGTCTGTCTCACTTCAAAGCTGTACTCTTTTTATGGTAAAATACTGCATTCTTTCAAATTTTTGAAAGGGATGTAATCTGCTTCTGTTTGGTTCAGAGCATTCCTTTTTATTAGGGTTGGATGATTTGTACATTTACTATTTTTTAATACCTTCAGTATATATCCTGAAAAAAACAATTTCAGTATAAATTTTCCTGTATTCTTCAGTAAAAACATCAGCACTTCAAAAAAATTAAATATTATTTTAAAAATCGAGCATGAGATACTACAAAATCATGCCTTTATTTGGTAACCTGTTTTTGCTTCAGGACAAAATATATACAGGGCAAGTTACATACTACCAGTGGGCTTCCCTTCCCTTATCACTCAACTTGATCATATCCCAGGCCTTTTACTTCCACTGCCCTAAGTTACTTGGTCATATAAAATAGAATAAAATTCTCAAACCTATAATTATGCTGAAATCAGAAGTCAAATTAAAACATACACAGAATTTCAATACCACTCTTGAGCCTAAAACAGAAAGTGTCAGCCTGTACCTGGAAAATGCATAAGGAAACATTAATAAACCTTAATAATAAACCTTAGTAATTAATGTTACAAAAGTATACCCTAATGAAGCTTTCTAAAACACTATGCTTAGAACAACTTAAGAAAAGAATGCCCAACCTGAGAGGGAAAATTATAACTAAAGATATATTTTATACTGTAACTGAGGAATAAAACTCTAGTTTTCTAGAATCTGGAAATATGCCTTTTATAAAAGAAATGGCATATTTCTTTACATAAGAAGGTGATTATCATCCCCCTTTCAGTTCCCCTTTCTCAGTTTCTTATTCCTCATTCTTTACCCTTCTCCTTCACCTGGTTTTCCTGTCTTCACTCCTCAGACCTCTGGGCTACTCATACTCAGACTTCCACTTTAAGCCAAGTGTGGTGGTGCATGCCTGTGATCCCAGCTCGCCTGTGGTCCCAGCTACTTGGGAGGCGGAGGTGAGAGGATGGCTTGCGCCCCGGAGTTCGAGGCCAGGTGGGCAACATAGCGAGATCCTGTCTCTCAGGGAGGGATAGGAGGAAGAAAAAGAACAGAAAAAAAAAGGTACTTCAATGCTTTCCTAGATTTAGCCTTTCCATGTTTTAAAATTATCCCAACACATTCACTCCTCCCTCTGTACTTTCGCCTTAGGAACCTTAATAAATAAATGAATACTAAGATATTAATCATTGTTGCAAGTAAAAACTCAAGGGTATTTGTATTATTAAACAGTGAATTTGCAAAGTGCCTGGGATGTAAAGTCACAGAACTAGAGCCTAAACTTGTCTTTTATTTACTAAATGTGCATGTCTTGAGCTAACTATATTCTAGGAGTTTCTGGAGTGTTCTATCTCAAGTAAGCAATTTGACCTTAACAAAACAGTTTATTTTCCTTTTATTCTTCTTACCTATAAGCAAATTTCTTATCATACTGGTAATTCTTTAACGCTATCACATAATTCAGTAACTCCTGAACACCCATTTCTTTTTACCCTTTAACTTAGAATATTGAATCAGTTGCCAAATTCTGCTACTTATTGCAGCATCTCTCTCAAAATAGAATTTTCTTCTATCATTGTGATAGAAAAGTCACATAATCAATCCTTACCTGGATTTAGAATTGTCTCGTTATAGTTATCATCTACCCCTTCATCTTACCCCTGCCAGCTTCTTTTCATAGCTCTTTAATGGTATCCTAATTATCTTGCAAGATCCTTTCTCCTAATCCTGTCACTTACTAGCTCTAGCTGTGTGACTTTGGACAAATAAATCTCCATCTCAATTTTTAAAAACCTCTAAAATCTGTAATAATGGGGAATAATAGTAATATTTATTTTTTGAAGTCTTCATGAAGATTAAATGAGATAGCATGTATAAAGGCTTAGAACAGTGCCTGGCATACAATAAGCACTCAATGAGTACTCGGTTTTTTAGACAAAAAGTAGAAGGATTGAAAAAATAAAAGGACATGGAGTATAGTAAATCCTTTCACTCTCTTTATATTTTGAAATCTTCAGCTGGTATGCTAAAAGTTTTCTCCGTAAGACACATGTAGTTAGGGTCTCTAGTGCTATCACTACAGAACTATATAATAACCTTTTCACAGATACGGGCCTGGAAATAATCAAACACTGTAGATTACATTACCTTCTCAGTCATTTCCTATAAAGCAGCTCATTACTTTTTACACATCTGATATATCTTATTTCAAGCTCAATTCCTTGCAATGGAATCTTGATTCAATTATTTAACATAGTACCACATGCTTAGAAAGATCACCCAAAAATGACACCCTTCTATCATTCGAACAGCTTCTAAAACCTCAACTTTTCCACAAAAGTTTTCTTTAATTGTGCTTCTTCCAGTGACACCTCACTTAATTATACCTCTATGCTTTTGCTCGTGTTATTCAACATTTTCCACCTATCCAATTCCCATTATTCTTCAAAGTCCTTCATCCCTTGTAAAACCTTCCCAGACTAGCACAGCACATTGATTTTTTCTCTACTTGACCTTTTATTGTGTTGTCTTTATCTGTACTTAACTATTATTCACTTGAGGTCACTGACCACTTTTTAACTTAGTTTTTTCACCTATAAGAGAATAAGACCACTTGTCTTATTCATTTTAGTCAGTTTAGAGGTGCTACCATAAAGTGATTTGGGTGAAAATAATAACTACTGGCCGGGCGTGCTGCCTCACGCCTGTAATCCCAGCACTTTGGGAGGCCGAGGTGGGCCGATCACCTGAGGTCAGGAGTTCGAGACCAGCCTGGCCAACATGGTGAAATCTCATCTCTACTAAAAATACAAAAATTAGCCGGACATGGTGGCACATGCCTGTAGTCCCAGCTACTTGGGAGGCTGAGGCAGGAGAATTGCTTGAACCCAGGAGGTGGAGGTTGCAGTGAGCAGAGAATGCGCCAATGCACTCCAGCCTGGGCAACAAGAGTGAGACTCTGTCTCAAAAAAAAAAAAAAAGAAAAGAAAAGACAATAATGACTATTTGAGGGGGGAAAACTTTCCAAACAGAACTGGTTGAAAGTATCTTAAAACACCATAAGCTTTTTGTAACTGTTAATGCGTCTGTAATCTTTTTTGTGTTTTTTCAGATTTTATAAAAAGTCCCCTAATTTTTAGAATTTCTAATTCATTTTCGCCAACTCTACTTGCTCTACACAATCTATAATAGTATATTATTGAAAACAACCAAAATGTCCAATAAGGAGACTGGTTAAATTAACTGCAAAATACAACAGGATCCTACACAGCCATTTAAAATGATGCTACAGGGACCTATTTATTGCCCAAAGATGTTCATGGTATACTGATACGCAGGGGAAAAAAAGCAGATTGTTAAAATGGTATGTATAGTATAATCCTATTCAAAAATACATAGTCTTTGAAAAAGTGTTGAAAGATACATATTAAGGAGTTAGTTTTAGTTACATCTAGGTGAACCATATTAAATGTGTTCATTTATTTGTTCAGTATATTCCCACACAATGCATCAATCAATCTGCTAAAGTGCCAGGGATGCAAAACCAGAAATAATCCTTCTGTCCCTAAGAATGTTATAGAATAGAGAGGAGACAATCCTCAAAATAACCTAGAAGTAAACGCAACTATAATAAGTATTACGAAGGAGAAGTGTCTGGTGCTATAAGCATGAACAGCAAGGAAAATTTTAACAAGTCACAAGATAATGGGAGGCTTCCTTAAGCAAGTGATAAAAGAATAAACATTTACTAGGTAATGAGGAAAGGGCTATTCTTTTTGCTTGTCTCTATATTCTTTAAAGAAAATGTACTGCTTTTATAATAAGAAAAAACAATGAAAGAAAACCAAATGATCTGAATTTTTTTTGCTCTGAGTTTTTTTTTACTCTTAAATAATTATTTTTAATTTATGCACAGCTAATCTTGCCTGTCTTGCTTAAATGACAAAGTTTTCAGAAACATTTAAATTTTGAAAACAGGTCATCAAGGAAAAATTTCTAATCGCCAGGACATATTTTTCTTTTCTATGATTGAATAAAAACATAGGATCAAGCATGAGATAATGGACATTATATTGTTTCCACTGTCTTCTATTTATTCTATAATGTTTCCAATAGTAAGGAACAGGCCTAAATGAGTAAAAATGAATTCAAAACTTAAAAAGGAGGAAAGAAACCCCAATTCTGAAAAGCAGATTAAAATGCTTAAATATTACCCAAACTGCCTCAAACTGTGCTAAAATTATCAAATCATTTTCAACCAAATTGTCTTTGTGCCTTCTACTAAAAATCACCTGCCGGTCTATCAATTTTGTTGATCCTTTCAAAAAACCAGCTCCTGGATTCATTGATTTTTTGAAGGGTTTTTTGTGTCTCTATTTCCTTCAGTTCTGTTCTGATTTTAGTTATTTCTTGCCTTCTGCTAGCTTTTGAATATGTTTGCTCTTGCTTTTCTAGTTCTTTTAATTGTGATGTTAGGGTGTCAATTTTGGATCTTTCCTGCTTTCTCTTGTGGGCATTTAGTGCTATAAATTTCCCTCTACACACTGCTTTGATAGACCGCTAGCAAGACTAATAAAGAAAAAACGAGAGAAGAATCAAATAGACACAATAAAAAATGATAAAGGGGATATCACCACCGATCCCACAGAAATACAAACTACCATCAGAGAATACTACAAACACCTCTACGCAAATAAACTAGAAAATCTAGAAGAAATGGATAAATTCCTCGACACATACACTCTCCCAAGACTAAACCAGGAAGAAGTTGAATCTCTGAATAGACCAATAACAGGAGCTGAAATTGTGGCAATAATCAATAGTTTACCAACCAAAAAGAGTCCAGGACCAGATGGATTCACAGCCGAATTCTACCAGAGGTACAAGGAAGAACTGGTACCATTCCTTCTGAAACTATTCCAATCAATAGAAAAAGAGGGAATCCTCCCTAACTCATTTTATGAGGCCATCATCATTCTGATACCAAAGCTGGGCAGAGACACAACCAAAAAAGAGAATTTTAGACCAATATCCTTGATGAACATTGATGCAAAAATCCTGAATAAAATACTGGCAAAACGAATCCAGCAGCACATCAAAAAGCTTATCCACCATGATCAAGTGGGCTTCATCCCTGGGATGCAAGGCTGGTTCAATATACGCAAATCAATAAATGTAATCCAGCATATAAACAGAGCCAAAGACAAAAACCACATGATTATCTCAATAGATGCAGAAAAAGCCTTTGACAAAATTCAACAACCCTTCATGCTAAAAACTCTCAAGAAATTAGGTATTGATGGGACGTATTTCAAAATAATAAGAGCTATCTATGACAAACCCACAGCCAATATCATACTGAATGGGCAACAACTGGAAGCATTCCCTTTGAAAACTGGCACAAGACAGGGATGCCCTCTCTCACCACTCCTATTCAACATAGTGTTGGAAGTTCTGGCCAGGGCAATTAGGCAAGAGAAGGAAATAAAGGGTATCCAATTAGGAAAAGAGGAAGTCAAATTGTCCCTGTTTGCAGATGACATGATTCTATATCTAGAAAACCCCATTGTCTCAGCCCAAAATCTCCTTAAGCTGATAAGCAACTTCAGCAAAGTCTCAGGATACAAAATCAATGTACAAAAATCACAAGCATTCTTATACACCAACAACAAACAGAGAGCCAAATCATGAGTGAACTCCCATTCACAATTGCTTCAAAGAGAATAAAATACCTAGGAATCCAACTTACAAGGGATGTGAAGGACCTCTTCAAGGAGAACTACAAACCACTGCTCAAGGAAATAAAAGAGGATACAAACAAATGGAAGAACATTTCATGCTCATGGGTAGGAAGAATCAATATCGTGAAAATGGCCATACTGCCCAAGGTAATTTACAGATTCAATGCCATCCCCATCAAGCTACCAATGACTTTCTTCACAGAATTGGAAAAAACTACTTTAAAGTTCATATGGAACCAAAAAAGAGCCTGCATCACCAAGTCAATCCTAAGCCAAAAGAACAAAGCTGGAGGCATCACGCTACCTGACTTCAAACTGTATACAAGGCTACAGTAACCAAAACAGCATGGTACTGGTACCAAAACAGAGATATAGATCCATGGAACAGAACAGAGCCCTCAGAAATAATGCCGCATACCTACAACTATATGATCTTTGACAAACCTGAGAAAAACAAGCAATGGGGAAAGGATTCCCCATTTAATAAATGGTGCTGGGAAAACTGGCTAGCCATATGTAGGAAGCTGAAACTGGATCCCTTCCTTACACCTTATACAAAAATCAATTCAAGATGGATTAAAGATTTAAACGTTAGACCTAAAACCATAAAAACCCTAGAAGAAAACCTAGGCATGACCATTCAGGACATAGGCATGGGCAAGGACTTCATGTCCAAAACACCAAAAGCAATGGCAACAAAAGCCACAATTGACAAATGGGATCTAATTCAACTAAAGAGCTTCTGCACAGCAAAAGAAACTACCATCAGAGTGAACAGGCAACCCACAAAATGGGAGAAAATTTTCGCAACCTACTCATCTGACAAAGGGCTAATATCCAGAATCTACAATGAACTCAAACAAATTTACAAGAAAAAAACAAACAACCCCATCAAAAAGTGGGCGAAGGACATGAACAGACACTTCTCAAAAGAAGACATTTATGCAGCCAAAAAACACATGAAAAAATGCTCACCATCACTGGCCATCAGAGAAATGCAAATCAAAACCACAATGAGATACCATCTCACACCATTTAGAATGGCAATCATTCAAAAGTCAGGAAACAACAGGTGCTGGAGAGGATGTGGAGAAATAGGAACACTTTTACACTGTTGGTGGGACTGTAAACTAGTTCATCCATTGTGGAAGTCAGTGTGGCGATTCCTCAGGGATCTAGAACTAGAAATACCATTTGACCCAGCCATCCCATTACTGGGTATATACCCAAATGACTATAAATCATGCTGCTATAAAGACACATGCACACGTATGTTTATTGCGGCATTATTCACAATAGCAAAGACTTGGAACCAACCCAAATGTCCAACAATGATAGACTGGATTAAGGAAATGTGGCACATATACACCATGGAATACTATGCAGCCATAAAAAATGATGAGTTCATGTCCTTTGTAGGGACATGGATGAAATTGGAAATCATCATTCTCAGTAAACTATCGCAAGAACAAAAAACCAAACACCGCATATTCTCACTCATAGGTGGGAATTGAACAATGAGATCACATGGACACAGGAAGGGGAATATCACACTCTGGGGACTGTGGTGGGGTGGGGGGAGGGGGGAGGGAGAGCATTGGGAGATATACCTAATGCTAGATGACAAGTTCGTGGGTGCAGCGCACCAGCATGGCACATGTATACATATGTAACTAACCTGCACAATGTGCACATGTACCCTAAAACTTAAAGTATAATAAAAAAAAAAAAAAAAAGAAAAAAAAATCACCTGCCAACACAATAAGAAGGCTTACTAAATTTGGAGATACTACCAAAAATTAAAGCCTGTATTACACAACATAAAACAGACCAGATTAACCACATGTAGAACTTAGTCCACCCTAAGTGAAGGTTCATACATCAGTCATGAATGACACAGCTCATCCCAAAGCGTATTCTACAGAATACACAGGTTATCGGTAATCATTACTCGAAAAAAAGCTGTGTTAAAATAAATTCAAAAAAAAAACACTACGTTAAACAAAATTAAGCAGTTTTCTTTTCTTCAAGACTTTCCAGAGTCTTTAATAAACAGGCCCAGAATAACTTAACAATTTAGAAGTTCAGAAGATTTTGAAAACTCAAAGTCTCAAATATAATTTATATGGTAAGAAAACCTGACTTCAACTTAAGGTTTTCTAGTCTTTGTTTTATTTAGTCTAATTCATACATTTTTCAGTAGAGATTATATGTTTGATTACAGGAGTAATTCCCACTGGGGATATTACTTAACCTAAGCCCCACTGGGGATGACTTAAACATTATATACACCATAATGCCCTTCTGAAATCTGAAGATTTCTGAATTTCAAAACAAATCTATTATCAGTTTTGCAAAATGAATTGTGAACCTCTACTAAAGGACAATGTGAATCTTTAAGAGGAGTATTTTCCAAACCTATGATGATGGAGCTCACTTTTAAAAAGAGTGAGAAAGTAAAGACTGGATTAAGGTATGCCCCGAACTGACTATGAAAGGCCACAACGTCTCACACCTAATAAAGAAGAACAGGGTAAAGCCTCAGATAGACAAGTGGACTGAAAATTACATAAAACAAATGTTTAGCTGTTATTATAACAGTTTATGTAACATTGTTATATCAATAAGGAATTCAGTAACTGATGAAAAAAGGGAATTGGCCAATGTTTACCCAGTATTAACTAGGTAAGCAGACAAAACTGCATCTACCAGATCCAAACATTTTTGTCACTTAAGATCTGACTTCCTAAAATTTGCTCTGAGAATAAAATAAGTATACAAACAAGTGTATTCTTTTCTTCTATTTCATGCATGTAAGTCTTCTCTCCTCAACTAAGGCTTAGAGTACTTGCTGAATACAATTTATAAATTTGCCTTCCAAGTGTTTCTATTCATTTTTCTAGAACTGGATACAAAACTCCTCCTCCCAATTTTCTCTCTGATCTACAGCAGTGTCTATTTTATAAACCACTTTATTGCCTTTGAGCATATGAACAGAAGTGTAATAAACAATAAAGGGTTCTGGGTTACAATTATATTAATAATATACTATATAATTGAGTTGGGAAGTAGTTCTAATTTTAAAATATTATTTAATATTTTAGAGACTAACATTTCCTTTTTTTTTTTTTTTTTTTTTTGAGACAGAGTCTTGCTCTGTTGACCAGGCTGGGGTGCAGTGGCATGATCTCTGCTCACTGTAACCTCTGCCTCCCGGGTTGAAGCAATTCTCCTGCCTTAGCCTCCCGAGTAGCTGGGACTATAGGCGCATGCCACCATGCCCAGCTAATTTTTGTATTTCTATTAGAGACAGGGTTTCACCATATTGGCCAGGCTGGTCTCCAACTCCCGACCTCATGATCTGCCCCCCTCGGCCTCCCAAAATGCTGGGATTACAGGTGTAAGCCACCGTGCCCAGCCTAGAGACTAACATTTCAAAGTGAATTTGCCAAATTCATCAAACTGAATTTATAAAAAACAAATGGATCGCTTATAAAATTTACAAGGCTTATTTCTAAAAGTAACTTTTAAACATTGTGGTTTTTCACCACCTGGATCAATGTGGAGCATTTTGAAATTTTCAGTCCATTAAATTAAGCCTGTTTTTGGTAATATATTTTATACTACTTTATCAATGATACATTATATACATGTTTTAAAACACATTCAATTGTATTTAATGATTTAAATAACTAAAACATAACACCAATTAGCTAAAAGATTCATTCCCTTATTTTCCAATTCATTACCAAATTTTTGCCAAATCTTACTTTTGCTACTGAAGAAAGAAATAAAAAGCTGAAATCCACAAACAATGATGATGAAGAGCCACCAGATTTTAATGTTAATTCCACCTTTTTTTTTTCCAATCAAGCAACTTCTTATTAGGGTTAATAAAGCTGATCATCTGCTTTTATCTCACTTATGTGCTTGATAAATGAGACATAAACTGATTTAAAAGACAGACAACAAGAAAAGCAAAAGCACCTAAGAAATTCAAAAGCAGAGCAATCGGCCACTGAAGACTTCATAGAATTTTCTGTTGTTTAAATAGGCTGTTGACAAATATATAGGGCATTTAAATTTGGTGAAAGACAAATTTACAAATCCTTTTACAGAAATATGCTTCATGTCTTATTAATTGATGTAATTTTCTTATATTCCACATATTTTCTTGATATAAAAATATATACTGAAAACATAGTTCTGAAAAATACATGATGTGGGAAAAAACAGACCCAGGAAGATAATCTGACTACCCTTGGTTTAAGCAGCTAGTTGCTATGAACTTTAGTCCTGGGAATGTTACTTCCTGAAATCAGTGCTTTTCCTACTACACTGTACTGCCCTTAGCCTGAAAAAAAAAAAAAAAAACACACATTTCATAAGCGATGGGAAAGAAATTGGTCCAGAGAAAGGTAAAAACATAATGTCCAAACATGTTCAACTGAAAATTAAATTCAAACATACTGCATCAGTACTTTTTTTGTTGTAAGTATATAAAATGTCATCTGCTCTGGCTTTTTAACACATTGAATATAAAATAAAATTTGACCCTCAAATATACACGCATGCATACATGTGCATTTTACTCTCTCAATCAAAGCATCCATGATGCATAATGGAAAAAACAATTTGAATTATACTTAAATATAACTCCCATCCATTTGTGTTAGCTTACCAGATTTGTGCTTCTTGTGTTTTGCTTTTTTTTTGATGATCAATAACTTATTCTGGATCTCAGGTTTGTAAGACTTGAATGCAAGAGAATGAAGACCTTCACGCTTTCTCTGTAAGTTTTCATTCAAAACATCTTTCAATTTCTTTTTTTTCTTTTTCTTCTTTTTTGCCCTCATTTTAGTTAGTTTGAGTTTCTTGTGGCTCTGTAGTGACTGCTCTAATAGAATATCCCTTACAACTTTGTGGCAGTTAATTTCTGGATGATCACTGTGACTTCCATTTACATGTATTTGGCAAGATTTTAGAGTATTTTCTTTTAATGGACTGGGTTCAATCTTTATTCTGGAAGCTTCACCGTATTTTTCCTGATTTTCTATAAACCTTATTTCACCTGGACTAAGAGGCTCTCCAAAGCCAGTAACTTCCCCTGGACTCCTTGGTTTCTCTAAATTTTCTTTACAACAATCAGTTTTTTTAATTTCACAAGGCCTGCGAATTCTAATTTCATAGTTGGATTTTACTCCCATTTCAACAGAGATGTCATGATTATCCAAGATCATTTTAGCAGGACAGCAAGCTGGATCAAAATTATTTTCCTGCTCTTTCTTGAAGGAAGAGGGCAGGCTATCTCTGCTACATCTATGTTCTCCATTACTTGTACTAACATAGTCACACTTCAATTTCTCCAATTTAATCCGAGGTACTCTTTGTATTTTAATGGGTGGAATTGGAAATTCTGGGGCCTGAAAGGGTCTCTGTTTATAAATCCGTACATCTGCACCACAGAACTGTGGAAAATGTACATAAGCATTCTCCAAATAATCATAACCAAGAATAACTTCCCTGCATTCATGGATAGGCTGTCCAAGTACAGCATCTTGAACTTCCTTTTGTGTTTCATACACAAAGTCACAAAGACCCTTAAGTAGCCACACTTTTTGGTAAAAAGGTAGTTCGTGAAAAGGTTTTTCTTCCAATGGATTAACTTCTCCAAGAACTTTAAAAAACTGAGGACACAACCCCAGTTTTTCAGCACAGTTATCAGGATTTTCAGTTTGCCCTACAGCAGTGTACCACTGTTGTACTTTCTGCCTCAGCGCTGCTTCCCAGGTCCTATAAGGCAAAGTAGGTCTTCGATGTAAGGTAGGTCTGCGATGGGGAGGACTTAATAGAGAAGTCATTATTTTCGATAGAAAAGCATTACACTGAGGCATCAGAAGACAACGTTCCAATTCGTAAAAGACTATTTCTGGCAAATTTAGAATTTGCTGAGCTAAACAAAGGAAATGCCCAATAGCTGGAATTTCCCACATGGTCTCCATACAAGTTGGAGCTGCTTGAGCTAGAAGTTTTCTTTCCCATTCTTCTATTTCCTTTTGACTAGCTTCTTCTGCTTCTTTTCTTTCCTGCTCCCGAAGCCTAAAGAAATTTAACAAATTATACTATTATTATTCAGAGGGTACCATAAAATGATAAATTTTAAGTATATTTATCTTTAGCCAAAAAGGCAATCAACTGTCCTAGTTTTATTTATTTATTTATTTGAGACAGAGTCTCGCTCTGTCCCCCAGGCTGTAGTGCAGTGATGCAATCTCAGCTCACTGCAACCTCTGCCTCGCGGGTTCAAGCAATTCTCCTGCCTCAGCCTCCCAAGTAGCAGGGATTACAGGTGCCTGCCACCACACCCAGCTAACATTTTGTATTTTTTAGTAGAGACGGGGTTTCACCATGTTGGCCAGGCTGGTCTCAAACTCCTGACCTCAGGTGATCCGCCTGCCTCGGCCTCCCAAAGTGTTGAGATTACAGGCATGAGCTACTGTGCCCAGCCTGCCCTAGTTTTAAATATCAGTACAAAGTGTCTCATAACAGTACCATTTTGCTTTTTTCAGATGAAGAAATACACATATCACTTCAGTCTGAATTTGATGGAGGATTGCTGACATAATTATCCTCAAGGTAAATTCTTCAATTTATAATGTATATCAACTTCATTTACTAAATGAAAGCACAGTAGAATTTGATTACAGTAATTTCTAGAAGTAATATGACTTCACATAAAAGCTGTAAGATATTTATATCCTCTGACCCCATAATTCCATTCCTAGAAAGTTATACTAAGAAAATAATTCAACAGAAGCAAAAAGTTATGTACTTACCAATGTTAACTCGAGTTTTATATAAGAAAAACAAAACTATGAAAAAATTGTTTTAAAATTGGGAAATAAACTGGAAATATTGTGCAGCCTTAAAAATTAAAATTATTAATATCATGCATAAATACAGAAAATGTCAGAATACAACACAGTACTTAATAGTCATAATGAAAATAAGTATATATTAAGCAGGGAGGTGACAGTGTTGCAAAAGTAAATAATTTCTAGGTTAATAGGAATATGAGTGCTTTTTTCCCCCTTAAGATTTTATTAGCACTACTATAAAAACTTAATTAAAAAAATGAAATTAGATGCAAAGATAGGCATTTAAGTCTTTGTGACCTTAGATTAGGCAATGGTTTCTTAGATCTGACACCCAAAAAATAAGCAACAAGAGAAAAATAGATAAACTGGGTATCATCAAAACTAGAAAAATTTCTGCTTTTAAAAGACATCATCAAGAAAGTAAAGACAACTCACAGGATGGGAGGATGTTTTTGTAAATTATGTACTTAATAGGAGACTTGTATATAGAATATATAATAGATACTTACAACTCAATAATGAAAGGACAAATAGCCCAGTTAAAAAATGGACAGGCTGGGTACAGTGGCTCACGCCTGTAATCCCAGCATTTTGGGAGGCTGAGGCGAGTGGATCATCTGAGGTCAGGAATTTTGAGACCAGCCAGGCCAACGTGGTAAAACCCCTTCTCTTTTAAAAACACAAAAATTAGCTGGGCATGGTGGCACATGCCTATAATCCCAGCTACTAGGGAGGCTGAGGCAGGAGAATCGCTTGAATCTGGGAGGCAGCGGTTACAGTGAGCCGAGATTGCACCATTGTACTCCAGCCTGGGCAACAAGAGCTAAGCAACGTCTCAAAAAAAAAAAAAAAAAAAAAAAAAAAGGAGAAAGAAACTTGAACTTGAATAGATATTTCTTTAAAGATGTGAACAACAAAATGAACAACAAAAGCACATGAAAAGATGCTCAGCCTCATTATCAATTAGATAAATGCAAATCAAAACCAGAATGAGATACTACTCCAAAACTACTTGGATGGTTATTACACAAAAGACAGATAGTAGTAACAAGTA
This sequence comes from Homo sapiens, assembly GCF_000001405.40. Classification (NCBI taxonomy): domain Eukaryota; kingdom Metazoa; phylum Chordata; class Mammalia; order Primates; family Hominidae; genus Homo; species Homo sapiens. The sequence continues at coordinate 5,971,270 of NC_000009.12, forward strand.
TTGGTGAAAACGTGAAGAAACTAGAAACCTCATACACTGTAGGCAGTATAATTGCTTTTGAAAACGTTACTATGTGATCTAGCAATTCTACTCCTAGGTATATGCCCAAGAGAAATAAAAACACTTGTCCACACGACAGCTTGTATATAAATGTTCTTAGCAGTATTATTTACAAGAGCCAAAAATGGGAACAAATCAATGTCTGACACTGGCTATTTTTCTATAAATCAGATTGCAATCCAGTAAGATAAATACATAAATAGTAAGAACACTACTTTGGCAAATATCACAACTTGCTCTTTTATAGAACAGCCTACTTTTATATTTTTGGTTGAAATGTCATACTATAACTGTCATTAGTGATTTGGTATTTATATATTACATTTGAGTACCTAAAAAATATTAAATATTCTTAATAAAATTCAACTTCTTTCAAATGTGCTTAGAGTTTTATGGAGTTTTATTTTTTACTGAATGAGGATGGTAGTGGGCAGGTAGAATTTGGCTTCCTCTGTACAGAGCTAGGACTCCAAAAGCACACACACTCAGTAGAGGGGCATACTAGAAAAAAGTCCCTTCCCTTCCCCTCATCCTCAACTAGAGGACTGCAAGAAAATTTTTTTGTCTTCACAATAGGAGTGGTGAGAGGAAAAAAAAATCTTAAGAATTTGTAACTATAAGCTGACTCATATGGATTTATTGCCCAAATTCACATTTCCTGAGTGCCCAGAAAAACATCACACTAAGAAATGAGTTTAATGTGGTTTCATGCCAATATTGCTGTCAGGTACATGAACAACAACAACAAAATCAAATCTCTAAGGGAATGCACCTTAAGTCTAGACTTTAAGGAACTCCTACTACTACAGTGATAAGAAATGAGTCCACAGTCAAAGATAAAACATAAAAGGAATTAAGATATTAGGAGGGATAGGAAGAAAGAATCTGGCCCCAAGATAATAGATGTAAGAATTATAGGACACAAGGAATACAATGTTAAGTGAAAAGAAACTGAAAACATGAGCAAAGAGAAGGAGATTATAAAAAATGACAAAGCAGTTTTGAATACGAATTAAAAAGAACTTCTAGAAATGAAAAATACAGAAAATAAAATAAAAACAGACTTACAGCTAACTCCTTGATATAGTTTGGATATCTGCACCCTCCAATTCTCATGGTGAAATTTGATTTCCAATGCTGAAAGCGCAGCCCAGTTACAGGTGTTTGAGTTATGGGGGTAGATCTCTCATGAATAGCTTGGTCCCATTCTCACTGCAGTGAGTGAGTTCTCACTCTACTGGTTGTCACAAGAACTAATTGTTAAAATGGGCCTGGCACCTTCCTCCTCTCTCTTGTTACCTTTCTCACCACGTGATATGTTGGCTCCCCTTCACCTTTTGCTAGGAGTAGAAGCAGTCTGAGGCATTCTCCTGATGCAGATGCTGGCCCCATGCTTCCTGTACAACCTACAGAACCATGAGCCAAATAACCCTCTTTTCTTTATAAATTACTCAGCCTCAGGTATTCCTTCACAGCAATGCAAAATGGACTAAGACACTCTTCAACAGCAATAACAGAAGCCAGCACACAATGGAGTATCTTTAATATACTCAGAAAATAAGTGCCAACAGAAATTTCCATTCAGAGTAAAAATCTCTCTCAAAAATATAGACAAAAAGATATTTTCAGACCAAAAAAATGTGGTATTTGTGACTGAAAAACACAATCTAAAGGAAAATTCTAAAGAATGTGCTTCCAGTGGAAGAACAGTGATCCCTAACTAAAGCACAAAGATAGGGGAAAAAAAAGTAGTAATACATAGGTTAATTTACATAGATATGGCATAAATAATTATTAAAATGCTCTACGGAGTTTAAAAAGAAGACAAGATAGAATTCAAATACATGACAACAACAGTTGGGCCCTGTGGCTCGTGCCTGTAATCTCAGCACTTTGGGAGGCCAAGGCAGGCAGATCATTTGAAGTCAGAAGTTTGAGACCAGCCTGGCCAACAAGGTGAAACCCTGTCTCTACTAGAAATACAAAAATCAGCTGGGCGTAGTGGTACACGCCTGCAATCTCAGCTATTTAGGAGGCTGAGGCAGGAGAATCGCTTGAACCTGGGAGGCAGAGGCTGCAGTGAGCTGAGATCACACCACTGCACTCCAGCCTGGGTGACAGAGTGAGACTCCATCTCAAAAAATAATACTAATACTAACATAAAATAAAATACATAACAGTAATAGCAAATAAGCTGGGAGAAAAATGATTAAACTGAAAAGGAAGAGACAGACCAAAGAAACACAAATCAATATCTAACATACAACAAATTGATTGGGCTGGGTGTGGTGGCTCACACCTGTAATCCCAGCATTTTGGGAGGCCGAGGTGGGAGGATAGCTTAAGCCCAGGACTTCAAGATCAGACTAGGCAACATGGCGAGATTTCATCTCTTAAAAAAAACGGGCCTGGTGTGGTGGCACAGGCCTGTGGTCCCAGCTATTCAGGAGGGCGAGGTGGGAAGATCACTTGAGCCCAGGAGGTCAAGGTTGCAGTGAGCTGTGTTCATGCCATGGCACTCTAGCCTGGGCAACAGAGCAAGACCCTGTCTCAAAAAAACCAAAACAAAACAAAAGCAAGAGACAAAAAACAAATTGTAGCTTCAGAAAGTAAGAATAGAGAGGTAGGAAGGTAATGGTGATGGTGATAGTTGAAGACATAATGGCTGAGAATTTTCCAGAACTAATGGGCACAAATCTTCATTTCAGGAAGCCCCCAAAAATAAATGAAGAACGTAAGCCACATTTGGGCACATGATAAAACAATAATAAAACATCAAAGACATACACAAAAAAAATCTTAAAAGATGCAGAAAAAAGGACAGATTACGTATACAGGAATGACAGACTGAGAGATCTATTAATAGCAACAAAATAAACCAGAAACAACAGAACAGTATCTTTAAAGTGCTGAATTAATATAACTGTCAAACTAGAACTGCATAACCAGCTAAACTATCATTCATAGATGAGAGTAAGTTAAAGTCATTTTCAATTAGACTAAAATGAAAACTTCCATGTAGTGTCTTCTGCTTCCAACCAAAATGAAGTAACAAAGAATCAAATTTATACTTTCATTTGAACCAACAACAAAAAAATCCTAATACATGAAATAATGGTTTTCAAGCAAAAGACAGCGATCCATGACACATTAGAAAGAGATGAGGTGAGCCCAAACATTGTTTCAGTTTATTGCCTTGAAAGAGTATCCAGATCATGATGCAGACAGACAGAGAGTACCCAGCTAAGGCCCAGCAGACTCCCTTATTGAGAAGGAGCCAAGAGTCCAGAGAGACCAAGGCAACTAGAGTCTGCAGGACATAGTACCTGCACAGTACCAATGAGTAGAGAGCTGCATAAAGAGAGAACTCTACAGATGTGCAGAGGATCTCCCTGGAGTATTAAGAGTACTGATTAGTACAGGGACAAACTTACAAGATATTAGAGAACATAGTGCCTGTTCCCACTAACCATGCTAGAAAACTAGACTCATAATTCACGGAATATTGGGTAGAATACTCAGGAAGGTCTTACCTTGGTAGTAGAGAATAATTAGACCTGGACTAGCGCTCAGGATCCAAGTAAAAAATCATAAAAGAGTCAGAATAATAAAGCTGTTTCCAACTAACTTAACTGCATTCCAGGAAAAAGCTCAAGATTTATAGAGATCCAAAAATATCCAGCGCTCACCAAGGTAAAATTTACAATGTTTGGCATTCAAACCAAGGCTACTAGGCATGCAACAATGCAGAAAAATGACCCATGATGAGAAAAATCAATCAAAACTGACCCAGAAATGATACACATATTAGAACTAGCAATAAGGGCTGGGCGTGGTGGCTCGTGCCTGTAATCCCAGCACTTTGGGAGGCTGAGGTGGGTGGATCACTTGACGTCAGGAGTTCAAAACCAACCTGACCAACATGGTGAAACTCTGTCTCTACTAAAAAAAAATACAAAATTAGCTGGGCGTGGTGGTGCATGCCTGTAATCCCAACTACTTGGGAGGCTGAAGCAGAAGAATCGCTTGAACCTGGGAAGTGGAGGTTGCAGTGAGCCAGGATCGCACCACTGCACTCCAGCATGGGCAACAAGAGTGAAACTCCATCTCAAAAAAAAAAAAAAAAAAAAAAAAAAGATTTAGCAATAAGGTCATTAAAGTAGTTATTGAAACTATATTATTCCATTTGGTCAAAAACTTAAGTAGAGACATGAGAGATATAAAGAAGACCCAAACTACACTTTTGGAGATAAAAACTACAATGTCTGAGATGAAAATACACAGAATGCGATTTATGACAGATTAGACACGGCAGAAGAAAAGATTAGTGAACTTGAAGACAGAGAGAGAAACTGTCCAAACTGAAATATACAGAAAACATACTTCTATAGTATATACTTAGAAGAGAAGAGATGATTACCAAAAGAAGTTCTAAAATGTGAGAAGAACTGGGAAAAAATACACTTAATCATGGGTAAATATGAATAAAAAATACATTATAAAAACAGTAATAATGGTTAGTTTGGGGGTTAAAAATGAGACAGAGCTAAATTATTAATCAACAATAATATATGAGATGGACGAGGCAGAAAAGAACAAAATTAAGAAGAGGAACAGAGCTTCCCTATCAGTGGAAGTAGGTGTAAAAGAATTCCACAGATAAATAGCAACAGATAATGCCAAATGGAAAAATCAAGAAATAGCAACATAGCATTTATTTAGAAATGTGAACATGATTACCAGAAGAAATAGCTAAAAGTTAAAGGTAGCTGATTCTGAGTCATGGGCTTGAAGTTCAGCTGGGTAAGACTGCTGCCTTTTAGTAGCCTTAAAGATACTCTGTGACTTTTAAACTAGAGAGTGTGTAAAATAAAATAAGTCTGAAATCAATTTTTCAAAGCTAAAAAAAAATCAAATGATTTAATCACGTTTATGTTAAATTTATAGATACTGTGTACTTTACCATGAAACTGAATTTCTCTACACTTTATGTACTGAGAAGGGTAGAATATTTTTCTTCAATGTACTGTTATTAACAACAGGCAAAGTTTTCAAGTTATTTCCCATAAAATTTAATTCAGAGTTTGTTTAAAAGTTTGTAATAGGATACTGTATCTTAGAATCAACCGTCAGAAACTGGGTTTGTTTATTACTATTCTTGGCAGAGAAAACTGATTTTGGTTAATCTTGTCATAATTAATCCTGACTATGAGCTCACTATAAAATCACTTATTAGTTATAAAACATCTCAGACTGTAAGTCTAGAAATTCTCCCTTTTTGGTTATACATATAAGTAAAATATAATGTTGTTTATGGCAGATTTCTATTTTCAAAATTAAATGTGACACTTTGTTTTTTTCCAAAGGAAATAAGATAAAGGAACTAGGAAGCGCCAAATAGTAGAATAGATGTGAAGAGTCAACACTAAGTAGGGAAAGGACAGCAAAAAAAAAAAAAAAATCTGGGAATCCTGAAGGCAGTGCATACATGACTAACATCAATGAAATACATTTTGTTCTGACAGAGAAGAGTGTTACATGTTCTGCAGAAGTGAAAGAGTGACAGCTAGTGCTTGGGGAAGAAAATGAAAGGGAAAGTTGGAGTAGATGAAAAAACTTTTATGGACTTGCTTTGCCTAAAGCAGTGAAAAGCAACTTTTGGCCAATATAAAGATTGGTGATAAGGTAATTTCACAAATTATTTACCTGCTGCGAATATTAAGGACATACAGAAAGGTGAAATAACTTCCCCCAGGTTTTCCTAGCAGGTCAGTATAAGAGACAGAAACACAGTTTGCCTGGTAGGCCAAAGTTAGCACCAACTGACTTGCTCCTAGAAGAGGAAGAAAATTCATGACACAGTTGAAGTGTGATAATGCCATCTGTGTGCACTATCTGAAGCTAATCAAGGGCTGCTACTCACACTGCTGCTGTTCCTCATACACTGTACCTTTCAGGGGAGGATTATGGAATCTAGCCTCAGACTATGAATACTAAAGAGATGTGAGGAAGGACAAAAAAGTACATGGCTGGTATAGGCCAGCATAAGGCAGAACAGCCCTTTACCTTTAGAAATACAACTATGGAGTCTCTTTCCTGATCCTCAGTAGTGTAGTAAATAGGGAATGGGAGCCTGCTGAAGATCTCTAGAGTTAATATATATAATCAGCCATTTTTAAAAAAACTTTAACACTTATAGTTAAAAATTAAAAACAGTATCTTAAAAATGCTGAAGTGGCTGGGCGCAGTGGCTCACGCCTGTAATCCCAGCACTTTGAGAGGCTGAGGTGGGCAGATCACGAGGTCAGGAGATCGAGACCACGGTGAAATCCCGTCTCTACTAAAAATACAAAAAATTAGCTGGGCGTGGTGGCAAGCGCCTGTAGTCCCAGCTACTCGGGAGGCTGAGGCACGAGAATGGTGTGAACCCAGGAGGCAGAGCTTGCAGTGAACCAAGATCACGTCACTGCACTCCAGCCTGGGCAACAGAGCGAGACTCCGTCTCAAAAAAGAAAAAAAAATGCTGAAGTACATCACATTTTGCTGGTAAGGCAGACAAAGCCATCTTCCAGAATTATTCTCATTTAAAAAATTTATCCAAAAGTACAGTACTAAAGGCAGATAAAGCAGTGCATGTTTCTAAAATACTAGCTCAAAAAATTAAGCCTTCAATGTTGGGAAAATACCAAAAGGCTGCCTAAGGATATTTGCAAAAATAACATTTGCTATTTTTAAAAACAGGGTACATAAACAATACTGAATAAACAAGAAAATTGGTTCAATTTTTTTTTCTGGATCAGCTCTCATTTTTGATGTTGCTCCTTACTGGGCTGTGGCATGTTTGCCTGTTACTCTGTGAAATACTAATAGAAGCTGTGCCTAAGGTTATTTTAGCCATGCACGATTTGGCAAAAACACTAGATTTCCAAAAGAAAATTAAGTTTTAAAGTATCCTAACTTTACTATTATAGTTTTATAAACTTTTATTGAATGCTTACCATGTGTGACAACACAAAGAGGTGAGAAAACATGGACCTCACTCTCAAAGACATTGCAATTTAGTAAAAAAAAAAAAAAAAAAGGAGTTTTAAGAAATAATAAAATGTACACAAATTGATGGCATGAAAAAGGGAAGCAAGATATTTATTTATATTTTCTAAGATGAATAACACATAATATTATATTTTAGAAAAATTAACCATTCATATCAAGTCCATCAGTCAACCTTCTTATTTATCTGACAACAACAGAATCTCCTCTGGCTAGCTGAAGCAGAAAAGGAATTTATTTAAGGATTAGTAGGGAGCTTATAGAAGCTCTGTCAAGAGTCAGAGAGCCAAACTTAGATGACAAAAAGCCAGAAAACAAGCCCAACCACACTTAGAAGGTTCTCCAAGAAAAACTACACGGTCAGCACTAGTTGGCACCTTTGATACCAAGAACCTGGAACAACCAGAAACTCCTACTACCACCTTTATCAAAAAATAAACCCTCTCACTCAAGATTGCTACCTGATGTTGTTCATGCAATATCAAGTAAGAAGTATATACCTGCTCATATACCTCTACCTTACCTGTGAGGGGGTTTGAGAATATAAATTTTCTGGCATCTATCCTGGGAAGTTAAAACTTGTACTATAGGAAATTACCAAAATGTAAGAAAGCTATTTAAAAATGCTGGGTGGCCACAAATGATGAATACATATTTAATTAAGTCACTGCTACTTTGTGTTATAGAGAATATGAAAATAAATCACTTAATTATAAAGTCATAGTATTTATTTTACAAAAATAATCACTGGAGTTTAAAAATCTGTTTCAATTCCAGTGATTTCCAGATCAGTAAAATACCAGCAAGTTTGTAAAAGTACATGAAATAAAGAGTACTAACAAAATACACACTGGCTGGGCATGGTGGCTCATGCCTGTAATCCCAACAATTTGGAAGGCCAAGGTGGGAGGATGGCTTGAGCCCAGGAGTTCGAGACCAGCCTGGGAAATATAGTGAGACCTCGTCTTTACGAAAAATGTAAAAATTTGCCAAGTGTGGTGGTCATGCCTGTAATCCCAGCTACTTGGGAGGCTGAGGTGGGAGGATAACTTGAGCCTGGGAGGTGGAGTCTGCAGTGAGTCGTGATCACATCATGCCAGCCTGGGAGACAGAGTGAGAACCTGTCTCAAAAAAAACCCACAAACAAAAAAAAAATCCACTATTTCTGAAAATCCAAATGGTTTTGCAAAAAAGGAACAATGAACAGATCTAGTATTTTTAAGACAACTAAAGTAGACTTAAGTTATCAAAACTGCTATCTAATAATGTCATATTCCAGATTAATAGAAATTTACTTGAGGAGAACCAATTGCCAATTTTCATTGATTTTATTTTATCTTTTAAGTATCTAAAATAGCCGGTATGGTGGCTCACACCTATAATTCCAGCACTTTGGGAGGCTGAGGAGGGCAGATCACCTGAGGTCAGGAGTTCCACACCAGCCTGGGCAACATGGTGAAATCCCATCTCTACTAAAAATACAAACATTAGCTGGGCATAGTGGCAGCACCTGTAGCCCTAGCTACTCAGGAGGCTGAGGTGGGAGAATCACTTGAACCTGGGAGGTGGAGGTTGCAGTGAGCCAGGACTGCACCACTGCACTACAGCCTGGGCAACAAAGCAAGACTCCATCTCAAAAAAAAAAAAAAGAAAAAAAAAAAAGAAGTATCTTAAATGTGTTATCTACTTTCCTGTTTAATAAACAAGGTATACAAAATATTATTCAATGATTCCTTAATGGTTTTAGGTCATCATTATAAACAGAATGTGGTGGTGGTTGTGATTAGCTTAAAGACTATTTCAGCAATAAATTAATCAGCTCTTTCACTCAATTTTCTCAGACTTTCACTTAGAGGGCTGCTGTCTCCTAAATCAACAGGGTCTCTCTACACCAGTTCCCCCAAGACTGCCTGTTGTCCTATCAGCATTTTCTTGAAGATGGCCAGACTACCAAGCCTTTCTCAGTATTTATTCCTCTCTGTTCAACAGGCCATCACTCGCCATCTCCTTTATACTGGTATCCAAAGCTGTCCAAACTAATAAAGACAGCAATAGAGGAATGCCAGGATTTTAAATCTGGCAATCTAAGAAGCCATTATTTTGATAGCATATACTGCACAAGGAAGGTAATCAGCCTACTGTATAAAAATTAAAATATAGAGTGGGGAGCTTCCTTCCTTTAAATGGAATAGGTAACAAATTAGAAACCAAATTAGGTACATTTAAAGATTGTAAAAAATTTCTGTAGACCAGGGTTGGTTTAAAAAAAACTTCACACACACACACACAATGTATATGTATATAGAGAGAGAGAGAGTAAAAATTTTAAAAAATCTACTTTTTAGTTTGTGTCTGCCCAGATGATCAGCTGTAAATTATCAGATGTCCATCAGATACCAGATAAAGTATTACCATATTAAAATATATACTAAATTTTCAGGCTGCTGCTATCTTGATCTCAAACTTCTGATATAACAGGTGTTTTAACCTACGTAACAAAATGAAAACTGTTTTCCCCACTTCTTATGCCAAAGGTTTTAATTAAAACAACAACAGTAACAACAACAACAACAAAACACCTTCCTCTTCTAACATGACCTTCCTATGATTTCAAAGTCCCTTCCCTATCTAAATTTATAAAATCTATACTCTTAGCTAGTCTCTGACTAACTCTTGACAGGGTATTAGATTGACAGATTAGATTGTTTGCCTCTAGATCCATTCTCCATCCTTCACTGTAAGGTTTATCTGTATCAATAGGCAACCTCACTCTCAGTCTTCCCTTGGGTTCATCAATGGAGAGACCTGGGAGGTAATCAGAAAGATAAAATAAAGTGGGATGAAGCATTTATTTCCCTGGCTCTCTCCTCATGAGGTTGCCTTGGGCTTTGTCCTTCAATAGAAGTATCTTCTCAAAACAGTCTCTCCTCTATAACCGTTTCCTGGGTACCAGTTACTCTCTCTGCTTACCCTGGTTACAGCCTTATTTCTTAAGATTCTGCTACATTGTAACCCCTTTGAAAATAAACCCTCTTTGAAATATCCTAATTTGAATGTGCCACATGTTTCCTGGCAGAGGAGAGACACTGATACCAACACTGACAGATACGACATCCAGAGAAGACATTAAGCAGGCAATTAGGTCTGAAACTTAAAGGAGAGACCTGGACTATCTATCTATCTATCTATCCATCCATCCAATCTATTTATCATCAATTAATCTATCTATCCATGTATCTATCTTCTATCTATCTATCTATCTATCTATTTTAATCTATCCATCTCTGTGTCCATCCTCAAGGGAGACACAAGAATGTTTACTATAGCATTCTATAATAATGAAACAACAGAAATACTTCAAAACGTCCATCTCTTCTGGAAAATGGATACACTGAAATACAGTCACATGATGTAATACTATTACATAGTTATTATATAAGGCTTGAAATAAACTAGAACAAAACAGTTCAACATGAATAAAGCTCAGATACGTAAATAAATGGAAACAGAAAGTTGTTAAGAGATAAAAGACCATACTTTGGGTAAAGTGTACACTGCTCGGGTGATGGGTGCACCAGAATCTCAGAAATCACCACTAAAGAACTTATTTATGTAACCAAACACCACCTGTTCCCCAAAAACCTATTGAAATTTTATGTATGTATGTATGTGTGTGTATATATATATATTATTTTTAAGTTGCCAATTATATGAAGGTTAAAGACATGCAAAAGAATGTTATATATTATCTACAAATATATACCTATGTAATTAAAACATTAAAAATGCATGGAAATGACCACTTTTTGTGGTCATGATGAAGTAATTGAACCAAACTTACCCTCCTACTGCAAGCAGCTACAAACTGAACACAATATATAAAACATACATTTTCAGACACTGGACAAACAGTGCAGGACTGTGATCACCAAGAGAAGTGAAACAAATGAGATGATCCCTACAATTGCCCAGTGCTAGGACAGCTGGTTTGAATAGTTGTCCCCTCCAAAACTCGTGTTGAAATTTAATCCACAATGTGGCAGTATTGAGAGGTGGGGCCTTCAAGAGGTTATTGGGTCATGAGGGTTCTGCCCAAATGAGTGGATTAATGAGGTATCATGGGAATGGGGCTGATGGCTTTATAAAAAGAAGTGAGACTTGAGCTAGCACACTCAGCCCCTCACCATGTGATGCCCTGTGCAGTTTCGGGACTCTGCAGAGAGTTGCCATCAGCAAGATGACTACCAGATGTACTCCCTGACCTTGGACTTCACATCCTCTGTAACTGTAAAAAAACAAATTCCTTCTCTTCATAAATTACCCAGTTTCCAGTATCCTGTTATAAGCAACAGAAAATAAACTAAGACATCCAGCTTTCTGACTGAAGGCAGTTTTTAGACTATGAGAACAGAAAGTCGGGATCAGGGAGTCCAGTGGAGTGGAGTTGAGGGGATAGAGATTGGCATCTGGGGAGGATGAAGCACCTGGAAGTTGTGAGATAATTCCAAAAAGAAGGAAGTTATACAGAACAGAAATCTATATTGTATTTTAAATTTTGAATTTTTAAAATTGTGGTATTGTTATTTTTATTGTTTTTTTCCCCAAACATGGGAAATATTTGGGAAATAAGCAGTTGGTTGAATCAGTGCATGTGGAACCTGCTGACACGGAGAGCCAACTGTCCTGGCTGTGACTTCCTAGAGTTAAACTCCACAAAGTTAAATCTGACCAGAATATTAATAAGGTAGCAATTCGGACAGCCACACAAACTGGGGAGGTAACTGAGTTCTGACCAGCTGAAGCAGAAAGTCTTCAGCCACCACTTAGGGGCATTTAGCAGAGGCCTGAGAGGCATTATGCTATTGTAGGGCTGAACTGGAGTGAAGGCTATCTCAGACACACCCTAAAACAGCTTAAAACCTGGACTTTTCAAACTGTTCTACAAGAAATTTAACTGCTTGCCAGAACAAAGCCTAATCCTCCTCAAAGGAAGTAAATAAAACTCCAGACTCAACAAAGCAATGTTCACAATGTCTAATTTCCAATAAAAATTACTGGACATGCCAAGAAGCAAAAGAATATAACTAGGAGAAAAACAACAGAAAGACTTAGAAATTACAAAGATGATTAAGTTAGAGATTAGAAATTAAAACATGAAGATAATGAGAGAAATGAAGATATATAAAAAACAGAACTAAATGTAACTTTTAGAGATAAAAAATTATATTCAGTAAACAGTTCACTGGATTAGACACTGCAGAAGAAAATATGAGCAGCCTTGAAAAGAGCACAGAGAAGACTGAAAGTCTATGGATCAAAGAAGCGAAATGAACCTCAAGCAAGATAAACACAAACACACACACATAAGCTCACACCAAATGCACATGACAAATTGATGAAAGCTAATTATAAAGAGAAAATCTTAAAGGCAGTTAAGAGAAATAAGATAGACCACCCCTATAGGAACAAAGATAAGGAAGTCAGCAGGCTTCTTTTAAAAAACTATGCATAGTAAAACACGTCATACTTAAAGTGCTGATAGGAAAAAACCTGTCAATACAGAGTCATATATGTATATGCATTACACACACACACACACACACACACACACACACACACACACACACCCCTCTCCATCCTTCAAGATGTAAGGAAAAATAAAAACTTTTTCAGTCAAAAAAAAACCTCAGAATTCATTGTTGGCAGACCTATATTACAAGAAATGCTAAAAGAGCTCTTTAGACAGTAGAAAAATGATATCAGATGGTATCATGGATCAATATAAAGGCAGGCAGAATGTTGGGAAGGGTAAAGGTGTGGATTAAATATAAAATACTTCTTTTCATTCTTTGATTTCTTTAAAACACAACTATTTAAAGCACATACAATAACAGTGTATTGGGGGTTTAAAACACATGTAGAAGGAAGGCATACGACAACAGCACAAAGAATGAAAAATGGTATACAGAGGCATACTGTCAAGTGGTACAGCATTATTTGAAACTGACCATGATAAATTAAAGCACATCCTGTAAATCCTACAGAAACTACTTTGAAAAAATAAAACAACGAGGCAGAGCATTATAATAGGCCAACACTGGAGATAAAATGGAATATTAAAGAATGTAAGCAATATTACCAGGGATAAAAAGGGACATAATAAGAAAGAAGTCAATACATCAGAAAACATAAAAGCCATAAATATCTATGCATCTAATAGCACAGTTTCAAATTACATGAAGAAAAACCTGACAAAACTCAGAGAAGACAAAAGGTTACTGTACTAAAGTTTGTATTTCTAGATATATTAGCAATAAATAATTGTAAATTAAATTTTAAAATGACTTACAATTGTATAAAAACCATGAAATATGTAGGGAAAAAGGTAACCAAATATGTAAAAAATGTGCACACTGAAAACTACAAAATACAGCTAAGAAAAAAAGAAAACAAAACAATTATCCAGAAACTGATAATTTCCATGTAATCTCAATCAACCTTCCCAGGATTTTTCTGCAGAAATTAACAATATGATTTCAAAATTACACAAAAAGTGAAGGTCCTAGTATAGACAAACGAATTTGAAAAAAAAAACCCCATAAAGTTGGAAGACATGCTATTTAATTTCAAGACTTACTGTAAAGTTAATCAAATCAATATAGTGCTAACATAAAGATACACCTATAGCTAAATGAAACAGAACACAGTTCAGAAAGACTCACAAATAATACGTTCAATTGCTTTTCAACAAAGATGCAAAGGTAATTCAGTGGTGAAAGAATAGTTTTTGTTCAACAAATGATACTGAAGGAACTGGCTATCCATATGGAAAAAAGTAAAGTTTTTCCTTACTTCATACCACACACAAAAATTAACTTCAAAAGAATAAACATAACCAGAAAAACCAAAACTTAAAAAATTCTAGAACAAAAATTTCCATAACCTTGGGTACGCTAAGATTCCTTAGGTAGGTCCACAAAAACATTTAAAAAATGGATGATTTGAACTTCCAAGACAAAAAACTTCTCCAAAAACACTGAAAATGAAGGCCATGGACTGAGAAAACACTTGTGAACACATATATCTGACAAAGGGCTTATATCCAGAATACATAAAGAATTCTTGGCTGGGCACGGTGGCTCACACCTGTAATCCCAACACTGTGGGAGGCCGAGGTGGGCAGATCACCTGAGGTTGGGAGTTCAAGACCATCCTGACCAACATGGAGAAACCCCATCTCTACTGAAAATACAGAATTAGCCGGGTGTGGTGGTGCTTGCCTGTGATCCCAGCTACTCAGGAGGCTGAGACAGGGGAATCGCTTGAACCTGGGAGGCGGAGGTTGTGGTGAGCCAAGGTTGCGCCACTGCACTCCAGCCTGGGCAACAACAGCAAAACTCCGTCTCAAAAAAAATAAATAAATAAATAAAGAATTCTTACAGTTCAATAATAAAATGCATGGGAATGAGAAACAAAAAAATTAAGATGGGGTATCTTCTATAACAGAAGTACAAGGAAACTAGATGGCATTTATGGCTAATTCTTTAAAAAAAAATTGTTGGGTTGTGGGCACATAGGCTTTTTAAAAATTATTATTATTATTTTAAGGTCCAGGATACAAGTGCAGGACATGCAGGTTTGTTACACAGGTAAACATGTGCCATGGTGGTTTGCTGCACCTATCAACCCATCACCTAGGTATTACGTTCAGCATGCATTAGCTATTTATCCTGATGCTCTCCCTCCCTCTACCCACCTTACAGGCTCCGGTGTGTGTTGTTCCCCTCCCTGTGTCCATGTGTTCTCACTGTTCAGCTCCCACTTATGAGTGAGAACATGTGGTGTTTAGTTTTCTGTTCCTGTGTTAGTTTGCTGAGGATAATGGCTTCCAGCTTCATCCATGTCCCTGCAAATGACATGATCTAATTCCTTTTTATGGCTGCAGAGTATTCCATGGTCTGTATGTACCACATTTTCTTTATCCAGTCTATCATTGCTGAGCATTTGGGTTGATTCCATGTCTTTGCTATTGTGAATAGTGCTGCAATGAACATAGGCATGCACGTACCTTTATAACAGAATGATTTATATTCCTTTGGGTTATATACCCAGTAATGGAATTGCTGGGTCAAATGGTTCTAGATCTTTCAGGAATCATCATACTGTCTTCCACAACGGCTGAACTAATTTACATTCCCACCAACAGTGTAAAAGCCTTCCTACTTCTCCACAGCACAGGCTTTAATTTTATTTATTCTTTGTTCTATGCTTAAAATATTTTATAATTTAAAACGTTAACACTAAAAGAGATAGCTTAATTCATATAACTCCATTAAATTATCATAGTTACTATGATATTTAACAGAGGGTTTTCCTCCCATGGCTTATTCTCCCATGTTTATTTGATGTCAGGGCACACATAGATTGATTCATATTCATAGTTTCCTGCTATGCATTCCTGCTTGGATATGTAAATGTTTTCATTATCATATTAAACAATTTATTCAAAATGAATTCACTGCTTTTTCCCCTACCTGGACTCACCTTTTCAAGCTCTTCTATTTTCTTTGCTAGTTTTACCATTTTACAAATCAAAAAATGGTATACTGCTTAGGAGCACTAGCTCTAGAGCCAGGCTGATTGGGTTCCAATCTTGAGTTCACTACTCAAAAACTGTATGACCTTGGGCAAGTTACTTCATCACTCTGTGCCTCAGGATAAATGCTGAATACAAGGAAGGTGCTTAGAGCTAAACCTGGCAAATACTCACGCTCAATAAACATTAGCCATTCTTTTTTTTTATCTTATTGTTTATATCACTACTATTATTACAACTACTTTTTGACTTATCTTTGTCTCTTCCTTTGTTCTCCCTATACCAAGGAAGATACTAAGTTCTATTAATTGTTCTCAGGACAATCTGATTTCTTCCAATTTCTGGTGACCAGTATTGGAGGTGGTGACCAGTAGTGGAGATGTAGACTACTACAGCCTTCTTCGTACAAGCCTTCCTTTTCTTCAATTCTCCCCATTCCAATCTACTGTACGCTACTGTCAAGTTAATCTTTACCCCTTTCCATAAGCCCTCCTTTCCTATAGTAGGAGTAGTTCTGTGAAGCTCTGCACAAGGAAAAAAAAAATACTTTACAGCAGGTTTCCAAATTAATTACTGCTGGAAAAAGTATGATGGTAGAAAGTCTCAAGGCTGAGTTTCAATCCTACAAATTTCAAAGCAAGTTACATTTATTATTACAAGAAGAGCAACAAAATATTATAAATTGCCTCTGACCAGCATTAACAAGTCCTTATAACATTAGTAATCACTCCTAACATAGTTCGCAATTTGATTTAGTACTATAAAAATAACTAGTCTTTTTGTTTGTTTGTTTGTCAGTATAGAAACATCAGTGTCACTTACCTCTCTGGGCCCTGGTTGTCTTTTTATAAATTGAAAAGTTATATAAATGCCATCACTCTTATGCTCCCAGACCCTAGAAGCTACCATTAATTGAGCACACTTTTTCCTGATCAGCCCAGAGTAAGCACAGTTATCCAGGATATTAATTCCAATGGAGGAACAGGCAGAGGTGAATTTATGTCATGCTTGAACTACATAATCTCTGGAGATTCTCCTGATTTTAAAGGTCTGTGATTCTGTTCTAAAACTACAAACCTATAGAAAATTCCTCTAATTTAAAACTTATAATTCACTTGAGAATGAATACTACTAGAAATCTAGAAAGCACTCTGAAATATTCTGTAGAAATTATTTTTGTATAGCTTCAAGATAAGTGGTTTTAAATTTTAAAATTACATTTTAAACAAATTTTATTGCGATATTTCATTATGAATTCATACTTTTGTAACAATGCATTTTAGAACACTACTAAAATGGGCCCAGAAATCTGATATGGGCACATAAAAATTATGCAGCTGAAATTATGAATTTTTTTCTTAACATTTACCTTTTTTCTTCTTTTGCTCTCAGCTGTTCTTCCTGTCTCAAAACTTGAACCATTATAGATTCAAAAACTCCACTTGTCAAGCCTGCCAAACTTCGCGGTGTTGACCGACGCCTTGTTGAGGTACATGCAGTTCCCTTCTCATCCTCCAATCCATAATAGCCTCTAGATGTAACTGCTATCGTTGTCTTTTCTCTCAAGTGCCTTGGAGAAGAATAAGTCAATTCACAAGGTCAAATCTTCTGGATAAGCAATAAACCCCCTTAGCCAGCAACTTAAGAATCCCTTTTGCTAAATACATAAAAGTATTTAAACCTTACTTACTTAGCTTTGTTCTAACTTTTTATCCTCCCTACACAATTTCTCATACTCCTTATGTCATAAAATCAGAGTGACAGTCTCTTCCCTGCATTAAAAAAAAAAATCTGAGACTGAAGCATTTAAAATATTGACTAAAGCACTATCTCTTTAATAGAAAACAAAGTTTATTGTTTGCAATGTATTTCATACTATCTATTATTGGTACGAGAAAATGTACAATAATACAGAAACATTTGGAAAAAGAAAATGTAAAATGATACATAAACACTTTGAAAAAATTATAAACAGCCGGGTGCAGTGGCTCATGCCTGCAATCTCAGCAATTTGGGAGGCCGAGGCAGGCGAATCATCTGAGGTCAGGAGTTTGAGACCAGCCTGACCAACACGGAGAAGCCCTGCCTCTACTAAAAATACAAAATTAGCCGGGCGCGGTGGCGCATGCCTGTAATTCCAGCTACTCGGCAGGCTGAGGCAGGAGAATCACTTGAACCAGGAGGAGGCAGAGGTTGTGGTGAGCCGAGATCACATCACTGCACTCCAGCCTGGGCAACAAGAGAGAAACTCTGTCTCATTAAAAAAAAAAAAAAAAAAAAAAAAAAATCCAAAAATTAGTCAGGCATGGTGGTGAGCACCTGTAGATCCAATTATTAATATATTAATACTTGGGAGGCTAAGGTGGGAGGACCGATGCTTGGGAGGTTGAGGCTGCAATGAGCTGAGATCGTACCACTCCACTCCAGCCTGGGTGACAGAGTTCCTACCTCAAAAAAAAAAAAAAAGAAAATTTATATAAATTAAAAGTTGACCCTATAGTTATATTTCCCTGCTTTCCTACAGGCTTTAACATAAAATAGGCTAAAGGTTCATTAAAATGTAAATTTTTTTTTTTTTTTTTTGAGACAGAGACTCTGTCACCCAGGCTGGGGTGCAGTGGTATGATCCTGCAGCTTCAACCTCCCTGGGCTCAGGTGATCCTCCCACCTCAGCCTCCTCAGTAGCTGGGACCACAGGCATGTGCCACCACGCCTGGCTAACTTTTGTAATTTTGTAGAGACAGGGTTTCACCATGTTGCCCAGGCTGGTCTTGAATGCCTGGGCTCAAGCGATCAGCCCACCTTGGCCTCCCAAAGTGCTGGGATTACAGACATGAGCCACCCCACCCAGCCAAACATAAATCTTTATGACATAAAATATAATAATTGAAGTCCTGTCCTCCTTGGACTATGTCCAGAGTGATTTATTACACTAAATTAGAATAACTTTGTAACAACCTTACCCTCAGTGCCATCTAGGTCCCATGAACAGTATGAGTGTAGGATTCTACCAAACTGTAGCACCATTATGTGTTTTCTCTGTTATACGGTGATAACACTATAACTAATTCAGCTTTAATAAGGGCATGAATGTTAAATTGGTTTTCCAAAAATACTGAAGAATTTGGGCTAATCTAGCATACCATTTTAGGCTGTGATCCTTCAGTATACAATGGCATACATCTGTATGATAGCTAATTGGGCCGGAAGTAAGGAATTGCGGACCCAGGGAAGATAGCCAACTGGCAACAACAGATACTGAATGGGTGTACTTTAATTTATTTTAGTATAATATTTTTAGTAGGTTAATTAATTAGCTATATAATTTTAACTACTTCTTCAATACTGATGAAAGAGAACATTAATGGACAATATTGCATTGAAAAATAATGACATCTCAGAGGTCACAGCAGGTATGTAGAGCATTGAGGATAAAAATTCAGTAAGTACACAGAACACTGGGGATAAGGAAAACTGAGAAAAATGGCAAGTTATATGGCTAAATTGTTACATAAGGTCAGAAACTGTATTTTACTCTTTAATTTCAGTTTTATAAGTAGATAAGATAAAGGTATAAACTTTCTAAATCAGTATTTTCTCAGAACAAAGACCAAAGAGAAAGTAATATCCTTTATTACTCATCAGAAATTAAAATTTATGAGCTTTGATATTTATTACTCATAATTAAAAGAAAATCCAACCAACCATGGTGCTGCTTCTCTCTCACCAACATGTAAAGATAAAAAAGACTGATATTACTCAGGGTTGGAAAGGATGTAAGGAAGGAAAAATTCTTAAACAACATTAGTAGAAGTGTAAACTGGCAGTCTTTCTAGCAGTCAATTTAGTAATAATCATTAAAGTTTAACATGAACATATCCTTTGACCCACCATGCTTCTCGGAATTTATCCAACAGATGTAATTCAACAACTACAACCAAGAACACTCAGAATATTGCCTGTTATTTTTTAAAACACTGGAAACATAAATGTTTTTCAATATGAGACAGATTAAATAATGTACTGAACATTACAACATGGAAGAGCATCCATCCATTAAAACGAATCAAGTATATGTATATGTATTCACTGTTAAAGATGTCCATATTACACTGCTAAATGTAAAAAAGAAGTTTCTGAACAAAATATATTTTTTAACCCAAAAATAATTATATATGTGCATGTGTGTTTTGTGTGTGTGTGTGTATATATATATATATATATATCATGCATGTACAGACACACTACTAGATGCCATATGTGTATTAGTTTTCATATGATATGTACGCATACATCTAGTAGTGTATCTGTACATGCATCTAGTAGTGTGTCTGTACACGCATGAGTTCAAACTCTCATCTAGACTACTGCAGTTGCTTTGTGACAGGCCTCCTGGCTTCTGCTCTGATATTCCTAGAGTCTACTCATATAGTAACCCAGGTAATCCTTTTAAAAAGCAAACCAGGGCCGCGTGCAGTCACTCACGCCTGTAATCCCAACACACTGGGAGGCCAAGGCAGGTGGATCACCTGACGTCAGGAGTTCCAGACCAGCTTGGCCAATATGGTAAAACCCTATCTCTACTAAAAATACAAAAATTAGCTGGGCCTGATGGCACGTGCACCTGTAGTCCAAGCTACGCGGGAGGCTGAGGCAGGAGAATCATTTGAACCTAGGAGGCGGAGGTTGCAGTGAGCCAAGATCGTGCCATTGCATTCCAGCCTGGGCGACAGAGAAAGACTCTGTCTTAAAAAAAAAAAAAAAAAAAAAGGCAAATCAGATGCCACTACCTTGCTCTGTCTCCTCCAAAGTCTTTCAGTTAGAATAACCTAAAGTTCTTATGATCTCCAAGACCTAGCATGATATGGCCTTCGCCTACCTCTCCAGGCCTAATTTTCTGCCATTCTGACCTTAGCTCTTTGTATTCCAGCTACAAAACTCTCCATTTTATTCTCAGTCATACCAACACAACTGTTTCCATGCATCTTTGCACTTGATCACTCTCCTTTAAGACACTCTTCCTCCAGATACTCATATGGCTACACTCTATCACTTCATTCAAGTCTCTGTTCAAATGCCACAACATCTGAAAGACCTTCCCTAACTTATTTAATAAACGATACCCTATCACTCTCTATTCTTACACTAGTTTCTTTTTCATGTCACTTATCACTACACTGCATTATATAATTACTATTTTTTTGGTAATTATCTAACAAAATGAAAGCTCCAGGAGGATAGGAACTTTGTTTTGTTAATGACTGTCATCATGCCCTCAAACTGTGCCCTATATATCTATATGCGCATAGAAAGTATTTGGAAGAACACAAGCCAAGTTATTTATTTTCCATTTTAAATTCACACACATAATTAAGGTTTAAAAATTCCAGTCATCTATATTGTCCATAGTAAAAGAATCCCGATTAAACATGTTACTATCTACTTGAGTTCCATTAATCAGTGAATAAAATAAGATAAAAAAATAAATTTACCTTTCAAATAGGGTTGTCAAATAATCAATGGCCAAATAAATACACTAAAATAGCTCTCCCATTGCAAAAAAACACACTAAAATAGCTCTCCCGTTGCAAAAATTCAAGCTTTTTTTCTGTCTATTAGGGAAATCATTTCATGAAATCTGACAGTAGTTTGAAAATAATAATATGCTGCCATCCATAAGCAAACACTAACCAATAATTATGGTTACTTATTGAGTTTTACGTTTACTTTCTTTCTCCCCCTTTTTTTTTTTTTAACACAAAGCATGTAAAGTCTTTTCTGTGTTAATACATTCCAAATTTCAGAATTCAGAGGCTTGATTCTGTTTAAAATTATTACAATAAGTCTTAACAAGAAAGTGAATTGATATTAAGCTTTACTTATAGTTAACATACAAACTGACACCTACTCCCCTACTAAAAATAGATGTTTGAACACTTTTGCATTATGTGATTTTTCTTTTGCTATCAAAAACAATGTACATGTGTCACCTATAAAAATTCTATCAGCACACTCAAAACTCATGGTTATCTAATCTGTTTAAAAATATTCTAAATGAAGCCAGGCGCAGTGGCTCATGCCTGTAATCCCAGCACTTTGGGAGGCCAAGGCGGGTGGATCAAATGAGGTCAGGAGTTTGAGACCAGCCTGGCCAACATGGTGAAACCCCATCTCTACTAATAATAAAAAATTAGCTGGGCACGGTGGCATGCGTCTGTAGTCCCAGCTACTCAGGAGGCTGAGGCAGGAGACTCACTGGAACCTGGGAGACGGAGGCTGCAGTGAGCCGAGATCTCACCACTGTACTCCAGCCTGGGTGACAGAGTGAGACTCCATTAAAAAAAAAAAAAAAAAAAAAAAACAACTAAATGAAGAGTTTCAATCACTTAGTTCACCTATCCATTTAAAAATATTAAAATGCAACTTTAGCCCTAAGGGTCCTGGAAAGAAATAGATAATATGTAAAAAGATGTGATGTTTATTTAATGAAGGGACTATTTACAAATGTGCAGGCAAGGTTGAGAGAAAATAGGAAGGGATAGTGAAGCACTCCAGTGCTAGCCACAGCAGAGAACTATTTTACCACTCTAAGCCCAATATGGGTAGGAGAGTGAATAGTTACTGGAACCCAGAGAGCGGTGACTGTAGGAGAAGGCCATAACGATGGAGCACAGTTTCTGACAACTTGCAACCCAGCAAAAAGGAAGCTGTAGGAATAAATATGTCTGTCCTCTCTGTCCTCCTGTCAGTCCCTCCTATTGGCTGAACCCAATCAGAAGTCAGAGGTCAAGGCATACCAGTTTGATCCTTATAAATCAGCCTTCTGGGGCACAGAGCACAGTGCACAAGGGTAGAAAATGCATTTACAGGGGCAAATGGAGATTAACAGCACAGCACACCTTAGAAATACTTTCCAAGAACAACTAATTAAATTAGGAAAGACAGAAAATTTTACTGGGGAATTCTGACAAAAAAATTTGCATATTTGATAGATAAGCATCATTCATCTAAGCTTCTGTCTACATTTATGTATCTTTACAAGCTCTGTGCTACAACAGCCATTAAAACCAAGTATCAAAATAAACCTAACTTAAAACAAGCCTTTCAAATAGCTCTACAGCCAAGTACGAAACCAAGATTCTCAAAACTAATGAAGTATCACAATGCCCTCACCAAAAACTTTTTATACCATCAATAATGTTAAAAAATTTTTTAAATATGCTTATTTACTCTCTCATTTTAAGTATCTAGCTTAGCTTATGTTTTATAATATATAAAACATAATAGTAAAGTATCCATATATGATTTATAAATAAATATGCATAATCGAAGGTATATATTCAAAATGTTTGCTGCTTGAGAAGCCAGATCATGAAAGTCTGGAGACCACTGCTCTTATCTGCAGCTATAAGCTACCTCACACACAAAAAGGTTTTCAGGAAAAGAAGTAGTCTTCATACCCACAAAAAAGCACTTATTAAAGACCATTAAACTTACTTTCTACTTGATTTTTACCTTCTATTTTCCCAGTCATTACCTTATTCCCCCTGAATTTCTTTTTCGTCTTCCTTCAGACCTCCAGTCCCTTGTCTGACTCTCATTTGCTGTAACATAATTCAACTTCTTTTAGCTATTCACATAGATAACCAGTTGAGACCCATAATACATGACTAACCTCTTCTCTTATCTCCCTGGACCAATTATATTTCTGTCTCAGGCATGTAGCCTCTCTCTTAAATCTCAGCCAAAGGCCCCTTCACTCCTATACTTCTCCTACTGAGCAGGGTAGAAAAAATAATCCCCTTATAATCTGTTGTCTAACTATAACCTCAGCTGGGCTCAACTGTACCTAATATGACTTCTTTGAAGGTGGTCAACTCCCTCTTTCATTCTCCATAACAGCAACTTCAAATGCTATCATTTTTCTTTTTTTTTTTTTTTGAGACAGAGTTTCGCTCTTGTTGCCCAGGCTGGAGTGCAATGGCACCATCTCGGCTCACTGCAACCTCCGCCTCCCTGGTTCAAGCAATTCTCCTGCCTCAGCCTCCTGAGTAGCTGGGATTACAGGCATATGCCACCACGCCCGGCTAATTTTCAGCATTTTCAATAGAGACGGGGTTTCTCCATGTTGGTCAGGCTGGTCTCGAACTCCTGACCTCAGTTGATCCACCCGCCTTGGCATCCCAAATTGCTGGGATTAGAGGCGTGAGCCACCATGCCGGCCCAAATGCTACCACTATTCAAAAGCTTCATTCCATCACTTTCTCGCAGGTGACTGCCCATAACTTATTTCAGAGAAAACGGCAGTTTTTAAGTAAGAGCTCCATTAACTTCCTGCTTCTCAAAAACCAAAATTATCTAAATCCAGGCCCATCCTTACTTTATGTTTCAGTGAAAAATGTGCCTCCAATCCTCTAATGAAAAATGAATCACTACACAGGTCTTCAGAATTTGTATTTCATTAATTATCTTCTGAGCCTTCAAACTCTCTTTCTCTGTCTGTTAGCTGCTTTAGCATATAAACAAGTCCAAGTTTCCCTGAGGAACATCTAAACTGCTGATCCAATTCATCTTTCATTCACATCTCAATCTATAATGTGGCATCTGCTTGGAGCTACTCCACTGAAATCCCTCTTCCCAGAGATCTCCCAGTTAGGAAATGCAAAGGGTATTTTTCAGTTCTTATTTTAGTCAACCTTTCTATACCCTATCTGGTCACCCTTTGTTAAGAACTTGAATTGGACTTTGCAGAAAGAACAGTTTTAGATAGATAGGAAAGAGTGGAGAGAGAATACTAAATAAAGACAAAAATATTCATTCATATTATTCAAATATATTCATCAAAATATTTACTGAGCCACAGGGATTTAGCAAAGAACACGCTAACAATTTGTACATATGGAATTAAAAGTATAAACATCAAAGATGACTGATACATTCAGGCTGAAACAATGATAACACCACTGACAAAAATGTGAAAAGTCAAAAAGAAAAACAGGAAAACTGGGAAGGAGATTTGGGCTAGAAATATACTCAGTTTTTAACATTTTGAGATAACAATTACACAACCAACTGGAAAAGTTCTATGGACAAAAATATGAAACTAAAACTAAAGGCGGGGGGTTCAAGATACTGATTTAGGAGCCCTTAGTGGTAAGTAAAGCCATTAAACAACAACAGTAAATAAATACATATATAAAAATAAATGTATTTATTCCTCTCCAGAGGAGAAGAATACAAACAAAACCTTCCAAAGCCATTATTCATTTCTGCAACAGCAACAGGTAAATGACATAACGCCCCAAAGAACAACTGAAGACCATGTAACTTGGTTTTTTTTTTTGTTGTTGTTGTTGTTTTTGAGACAACGTCTTACTCTGTCACCCAGGCTGGAGTGCAATGGCACAATCTCAGCTCACTGCAACCTTTGCCTCCTGGGTTCAAGCAATTCTTGTGCCTCAGTCTCCCAAGTAGCTAAGATTACAAGCATATGCCACTATGCCTGGCTAATTTTTGTATGTTTAGTAGAGTTGGGATTTCACAGGGTCTCTCACCACATTGGCCAGGCTGGTCTCAAACTCCCGACCTCAGGTGATCTGCCCACCTCTGCCTCCCAAAGTGCTGGGATTATAGGCATGAGCTACCATGCCCGAGCCATGTAACTAATTTTTAAAAAATCGTTTTGCTTAGAATATATTTATTCTGTTTTTCTGAATTTAGGAAAGGCACAAAGGCAAATGCAAAGTTTTTATTTACAGACAAACAGTATTTGAAAAGTGCCTTATCAACCTTGACAAGTGTGATAAGCATTTTTAGTAAGTTAGGGCTGCTCTGCTGAACATACTACTACTGCTACAGCTATTCCTACTTCTCAGGAGTTCTCAATGCAGGCAGAACAGAAGCTCTCTAGGTCACTAACTCTCATACTGTCTCAATATGCTAATGTTCCCTAGAAGATGCTAAAAATGTAATGAGTCTGCAAAGTACGCAGGTAAATACCTTGGCTTCCTGTCCCTGGCCAACTCTTCTATTTATCTCCTAAGCATTGATGAGGCTTTAAAGTAGCTGATTGTAAATTTAGGACACTTTCAGATTCAGACAATGGCACAAGGAAGAAAGGCAGGAAAGCTAGAGCAAGTCTTAGCGCCTGCCTACCTGAAATAACAGGTCTTAACAAAGAGATATAGGGACTTGGCAAGAGCTAAGGACATAATTAAAATGAGAAGAATGTAGCAAGTGGCTATTACAGTGTCTACAGAAAATAAGTAATGCTATCAACTTTTCATCTTTCACTTCATGAATGAGAAGAATACCACTCTTATTCCCCACAAACTAGTGATTTTTATTGTTTTCTTGCATATTTCTTATGCGAAGTGAACAAAACATGGGTGATGCAAATGTTGCTTCTGCTATACTTATTTAAAAGCCACATATCTAATGGAAAAATAAATACATGAAAAAATGGGTTTTTTTTTTGACAGAGGACTCACTCTACCAAATATATTAAAATAAATTCTAAAGTCACAGTAATAAAGTTTAATATCAGAAGATGAATAGTTAGATCAACAGCACACCAGAGAAAGTTAGATCCAAGTACACCAGAGACATATGATAAAGAAAAATAGATCCAAATACACCAATAATATATCATAAACATGGTAATTCAAAATAATGGAGAAAGTTGATGTTGCGACAACTGGCTGGGTATTTGAGAAAAAAATTAAGCTGGATTTCAACCTCACTTCTTCACCAAAACAAATTTCAGGCAGATCCATCCATCCATTCATTCATTCCTTCATTCAATATTAACTAAGCACTTATAGGTAGTGGGGTAGGTTTGGCAACAACACAGACAACATTCCTGTCTGCTCTGAGCTTACATGGATAGCAAAGAAGATACACAAAAAGTAAGCACACACAATACATAATAAATAAGTTCAAACTATAAGTTACATACTGTACGTTTTGTAAAGGACAGTCAAGAACACTTACTTAAGTGGTAACAATAGAAAGAAATAGGCAAGATTTAAAATATACTTTAGAAGTAGGAAGAATCAATGAAAAATGCTATTTTTTTGGCTAGAGCAATTTGGTGGATGGTCAAATCTCTAAGACTAAACTTAGTAAAAATAAACAAAAAAAAGAAAAGTTCTGTTTTGAACATGTTAAAGTTTGAGATGGCTACTGGACACTCAATTGGATAAAAGAAACTATTAACAGTAGGATTGGCCTCTTAACAGTAGGAGACCTGGAGACTGGTGAAAGAGGGAGATTTTCTCTTGTACTGTTCTATTATTGCCCCAGGATGTACACATTTTAATTAATAAACTATTACGAATATAAACACTAATCACTGGATTGCTAAAAAGTCTACATATATTAGTTACAATTCAACTATTTCCTTTAGATTTCCATAATATGTATACACATAACATTTTAATAATCTATATTGCAAATACTGTCAATCCTACCACCACAGGTATCTAAATGCTCCCTACTCCTTCAAATCTTTTATGATCCTTTTCTCTCCAGTCTGTCTCTCAGGAGAAAAGACTCCTTTCTCTCAATCCTTACAGCTTTTGTTCATAAGCAACCAAGCATGATGATTAAGTGCTATATAGCAAACTCAAACTTTGCATTTAATTTTTTTGGGTGTAAGTAAATAATACATGTGTACATATGAGATAAAAAAGGGTTTAAATTGTTAGTAAAAAATTAAGAGATTTCAGTTATCCTATAATTTATATACTCTTCTCATGAAACTTTTAAAATAAGTCTTGGATATGATTAAGAGCTTTGACTTAAATATTACTATCAATCAAATTTCCTAGCCTGGAATTAATAAGTAGTAGAAATCACTAGCGTACTAGAATTGTACGAAGGATTTAGATAAACTTAAGAATATAAATGGTTCTCATACTTGTCAGTAGTCTGTGGAATACCTTGAAATACTATCATATTTAATAGTTTTTAAATACCTTCTACTAGCAACGTTGTATTTTTTAAGGATTATGTTCTTATAAGTATTAAACTGTTACAAATATAAATTTGTGTCTATAAAAACTAAGCTGTCAAATTAAGCATATTGATATTGTCAATATGTTTATAATTTATTAATTATATTTGCCATAATTCTTTTTTTGGTTATTGGCAAAGTTGCTAAAAACAACTTGGTAGTAGACTAACTTAAACTGATAAAATTATGTATTTAACATATTTTTTTCCCTGAGAACAGAGAGAAGATTGAAATTATTCAAAGAAACAAAACAACTAAGTCTGACAAATTATTTGGAGATGTAAATCTAGCATATTATCTCAATTTGGCAAAATTTCTCTTATATCTAGCATTGCTCTAGGATTTCTGCTATATATAAAACTAATTTTTCCTGATACATTTATATATATATAATCACCAGACCTAAAAGAAACATAGTCAAACGCAATACTTTTAACTCGGAAGTCAAGAATAAGCAAAGCTGAAAATTAAAGGATGGGAAAAGATCAAATTGAGTCTAGTTTTCTCCTTCTCTAATTCATTTCATCTATGCATCCCTTGTAATTCCCTAGCTTAAAATCCTTCATACAACTCCCGAATATTAGCACAGCATATTAGGCCCTCTGTGATCTGGCTACATAATCTGGCCCTCACCGTCACACCTGTCACTACTTTTCTACATATAATTACACTCTAGCCAAACTAAACTACTGGCCATTCCCTAGCTACACACAGTAGCTCTTTTTGCCTTTGCACTTTTAGATATGGTGTTCTTATTGCCTGAATAACCTCTACACCAATTTAGTTTATCCACTTGTGTCTTTCTATATCCATCTTTGAATCTCCCTATAGTGCCTATCAAATAATAAGCATTGTAAATATATGCTAAAAATAATGAACTGAACTTGTCTTACCACATTAACCACATACTACCTTCTTGCATGCTTTTGAACACTGTGTCCATCCCTTAAGGGAGGGTATGTTGTCTGTGTTCAATTTTTAACTTGTATGGTTTATTCAGAATTGTAAATATTAACTTCCTTTCAATAAAATACATTTTTAATATAAAAGTAATATGCTTATTGTAGAATATCTAGGACATATAGAAAAGTTAAAAGAAGAAAATGAAAACTACCTAGGATCTTTCTAGTTAACAATAACAACTACTAACATTTTCTTGGTTTTCCTGAATCTTTTTTCAAAGTGTACATACTTAATATTCTGACTGTAATGCATGCTTATTTCTGGAACATTCATAGGTCTCAGGTGGAAGACGATATAACAAAGGGTTTGGTGACAGATACTACCACTGGGGCTTATTAGCCTTTCCCAATTAAAAAGAAAAAACTTCTGGTAACTTAACATGAATTTTAAGATTCATATTATTATACAAGTTCCTGGAAAATGAAAATGGCTATTATTTGTTCTGGGCAACTCTCATCTTACAGAGACAGCCTAAAGATCATCTGAAAGCTAAAATAAAACTATGAAAGGGATGACATTTTCTCTCCAAGATATGATTTTTCTTCCCTGCTCTAGTGTTCTTCTGGGAAATAAAAATAAATACAAGGGCACAAATATAAGGAGAAACAAACTATAAGGCAAAATACATTAGAATCTGTTAGGACATTTTTATTGTCTTAATTCTAAATCATTCTCAAATTAATATTTTCAAATGGAAGAACAATCTTTTTAAATAATAGTCTGTAAGTTCAGCATATTTCAAATAATACCTTTTTACTTATTCCAGAATAAATTCTTTTCAGCTTCATTAACTCCCTTTTCTAAATTAAGCATTTCAGCTTTTAATATACATTATACATATTTTAATCATAACCCTAATCTTTTTTCTTTTCAGTTTGAAGACATTCAATCCTCACACAAAGTTCTGCCATTGGCTCCCTTGTATTTTTACTAGACTCTGTCCTGGGCAATTTCATTTACTCTATTTCTTTATCATCCTTCAGCAAGTTACCCTCTAATTAAACTTCTCTAGCCCTTGTCACTATGCTGGACTCCACATGCACTCTTATAATTCTCAGCTGGGTATCTTCAAATGAATGCCTCCTCTCAGGTCCCCTAAGCATCACCACCAGCTGGGCTCAAATGCTTCTATTCATTTTGGACATCATCTGCTCCTTCATACTCCACATTCAACAGTTTGCCATTTACCACTGATACCTGTTGAATTTACCTCTTTTGTATCCCCATCCACCTTTCTATTCCTACTGTTTATTATCTCTTGATGGAATTAACTCAATAATCTTTTAATTGGTTTTCTTCCCTCATTGTCCTTTCACTTCTGCCTTCAAACCTCAAAATACTACTAGTAAAATCTTCACGTTACTCCCTTAGTCGCAACCTGTGATGGATCTACACTGCCTAGATTCTAAATTCCCTAGCAAGCATTCACGGTACTTTATGATTGGCCCCAGACTATCTTTCTAGACTTAGCTGCCACTACATATCCTCATCATCCTATACTCTAACCACTGGGTATAAACTGTTCCCCTAGACTACTCTGTACTCTCCTGCCTCCGTACTTTAACTTTTAATTATGCCTCCAAATACCTAACTTTTAATTATGTGTTTCTGTTTACCTATCACCTTGAAGGGACAAGGTAATGTTTGTCATTGTATCTACAGGGCTTTACATATTATCTAGCACATAATAGTTCAAATAATTGTTCAATGAACTACACATCTTCACCTATCATTATTCTACCCACTCTTCAAAACCTAGCTCAAAAACTACAATCTCTTGAATAAAATCTAATAAAATATTTTTAATCCCAGCTATCCACTCCCAATAGTTATCCCTCCTCTGCACACTATAATATAGCTCATCACGGTAGTATACATCCTCAAAGTATGCTCCTTGGAACATGGTCATTCATGAGCTGAACCAAGATTTATCACCTAAAATCTGAAAGTGATTATGTTTTCCCAATTTGTAGGGGGAAAAAACTAAGACACTACATAGAATTTCTTCAATTAAGGGTTCCCTCCCATTATTTGTTTTAAACCTTTTAGATGTCCTAGCAAAAAAATCATGATATAATTAAAAACATATTTCAGGATGTTGTGAAAATAGTACCATGACTTCTAAGTGTTCTGACAATGGAACACGTTTGAGACTCATGGTTTAAACATACTTTACCTTTTACTATGCCTGTATATGTGTTTCTTTCTACCATCTTTTAAACCTGTTGGGGGTGGGGACTGCCCCCCAAACCCTAGAACAAAACAGGTGCTCAATAAATGTCTTGTTAATTGAACTCTTTCATACTTCTGTTACTGCACTTAAAACATTTTCTGAACCTTCTTGAAATAACACTATTTTTTAAAGAATGGCTACTATAATAAATAGAACTACATGGAATATCAAGCTGTAACATTCCATAGGTTCTGAACATGAGGCAAATCCAGATTCTATTACCAAAGATCCCCAATTTGTAAAGATTTATATAAAAAAAAAAGCATTACAGAATCCAGTGGTAGGTAGGATGGGTGAGATTTACTGAGGAGAAATAAACATTTTGTTAAAATTTCCAATTACTTTATAGGTTTTGATCTTGACTGAGGATAAGCAAGCCAGTAAGAATTCAAATTTAACTTAGGAAAAGATTAAAATAAAAATTCATTTTTAATTTGATTACTACTTGTACTTGGAAACATCTATTTTCAAATTTTTGAGCCTTCATGAGGATGCTGTACTTTTTTTTTTTTTTTTTCCACTCTTATCACCCAGGCTGGAGTGCAGCAGCACCATCTCGGCTCACCGCAATCTCCATCTTCCAGGTTTGAGTGATTCTCATGCCTCAGCCTCCCAAGTAGCTGGGATTACAGGTGTGTGCCACTACACCTGGCTAATTTTTTTTGTTTGTTTGTTTAAGTAAAGATGGGGTTTCATCATGTTGGCCAAGCTAGTCTCAAACTCTGGGCCTCAAGTGAACCACCCGCCTCGGCCTCCCTAAGTGCCGGGATTACAGGCGTGAGCTGCCACACTTGGCAAAGTATGCTGTACTCTTACCCCAATCCAAAAAATATTCTGCCAACTAAAAAGCAATCACAAAACCAAATAATCTTCAGCTATATTTTAAGAAAGCCTTTTTATCCCATACATGTACCATTTTTTAACAGTAACAATATGGAAATCAAGAATAATTTTAACAAAGCTATACACAAGCTTATTTTCACCAAGATATTATCATAAATGGCAAAATTAAAAATTTAAATTTAGCTTTATTAGTGTCACTGGTGATGCATCTTTTCTAATGACAGCCTTTCAAAACTAGAAAAAGCCATCTTCAGCCTACATGGCAATATTCTTAAAGTTTTCAAAAATATCATCATTTAAAAATCAGTTTTGGAAGAGGTAAAAATTCATACTAATATTTGACGTTCTCTAAAGTTCTTTTCATAATTTCCTATTATTTTCTATTCCTTTCCACTTAGATGATCTTCTCCCTGTTTCTAATGTTAATTGCTATTTCTCACAGTTGCCTCAAATGGATGAATGAGATCCCTTCTAAAATATAACTTTCTTGAGAATAGATATGTTATCTAACAGAGAAAATTGTATCTATAGCAATGCGTGGTCAAAACTGTATTTTTGATACTAAAAATTTAAAAATCTGTGTTGGGACTTTCAAAATATGTTACCGCCTTTGAAAAAGGCAATATACACACCAGTAGCCCAATTTGGAATTCATTCTGAGAATTAATCAGCTTTTGGAAACTGAAAGAGCAGACCTGAATTTTAGTCCTACTTCTCTTGAAAATATATATAGATAATATAAAAATCATAAATATTTATAAATTATTTATAGATTACATGCATTGCTGCTTTAAGCATCACAAAAAGCAAACAAAAAGATATTTCAAAAGGTAAAATAATAACAGAACATACTTAAGTCCTAATATTTTCTTCTCTCACCCCAGTGGGTCATCCTGTCTACTTCCTGAGATGCTGAGACTACTCTGGAAACCACAGTGAAGCATACAGAAGTATTTGTAGTTTCCAGAAATACTATGCTGTTTCATGCCTTGCACTCACTGTAGTTCAGCATTCGGAATGCCCCAGTTAAACCTTCCTAAAAAGTTCAGTAGTAATATTCAACTCCTTCAAGAATCAATTCAAATATAAACACCTCTATGATAGACTAGTCTCTTTCTCTTCCTTACCTCGTCTCACTTGTCATCCCCACATTCACCCCTTCCGCTTCAGATTTATGTCATCTTCCTTTAAATTCCTCTTGTACTTTGTTCATATATCCATTACAGAATTATTCTATTTTTAAGTAACTGTTTCCCTACTCAACTACAAACCACTTAAGGGCAGGGAACTTATCTTTTGATCTCAGGGACATGAATGCCTAATTCTAGAAGATACTTAAATACTTGCACAATTATTCTACCCTAACACCCTCATTATACAGATAAGGAAACTGAGATTCAAGTTATATGCTGTGTCCAGGGTACTAATGCTATTGGGCTGCTCTCTAATGAGAATGTGGTATCCTCTTTACCTAATATACCTCATTTATTGCTCACTAGAAAGCTCAGCAGTATAGGGAACGGCTTTAAAGTCTCTTTACACTTTGAAAATAAGTTCCTTTAGTGTCTTACAAATATATTCCAGAAGTCAACGGAAAATTCAAATAATATCTAAGTGATTCATTGGTTTCATTTCTAAAATACCATATACCACTTTGAGATATTTACAAATAAGCTATGAGTCATCTATATGCTGAAAATCACACTCCCATGAACACTCTATAGAATATTGTTTTGAAACATCTATATACCTTAGTTGCATTTCAAACAGTTGTGACCTATGCTTTTCTCAAAGTTGTGCCCATTGGAAGCAGTTAGTAATGACTCAGATTTTAGGCTAGAAGAACTGATGTCCTAGTATCCACAAGTGTGGTCTCGCAAACCTGATGTGTTTGCATACATCAAATACAAAAAAGCGAGGGACTCCAACTTTAATTAACTATTTGAGGTCATACTACTTTTTGCTACTAAAATAGCAAGAATTTTACCTCTACTGGCCTAAGAATGTCAGAAATACATTATTTTTATAAACTACAATGTTGTAAGTTTAATTTCTAAATATGGATACTATTAGATCACATGGGAATATAAGTATTCTGAGCATTAACGACTGAGAATGATGATTCTAAGCATTTAGAAATTTACCTTTATGTAGTTTCTTAGTCTGCTCTTTTTTAAGACTAAGAAATGTTTATTATAGGCCGGGCGCGGTGGCTAGGGCCTGTAATCCCAGCACTTTGGGAGGCCGAGGCGGGCGGATCACCTGAGGTCAGGAGCTTGAGACCAGCCTGGCCAACATGGCGAAACCCCATCTCTACCAAAAATACGAAGATTAGCCGGGCGCGGTGACAACTAACCCCAGCTACTCGGGACGCTGAGGCACGAGTATCGCTTGAACCCGGGAGGCGGAGGTTGCAGTGAGCTGAGATCACGCCACTGGACTCCAGCCTGGGCTACAGAGGGAGACTCAGAGAAAATAAAATAAATAAATAAATGTTTATTACACACAGAGCTTTTGAAAACACCAGTAATTCAAACCCATATGCTATCTCTTAGCACTTTCATTCAGTCATTCTCTTGCCTCATTCTAAATCATTATTCCCACATCTGATAGATTAGATGAACTCTAAGGTTCTTCCAGGTCTAAAATCTTGTGACATCAATCAGGAGGATACTTCATAACTTCAAAATAATAACGTGAATGGATTGTTTTTTATGTGAGTCACAGCAATAATGCACTGTGGAGACAAGGGTAACAAACACACTACAGAAATACAAAATTACTAAAGTATTAAAAGTAATTTACAAAGCAAATATGTGAATAATTATTCTATTACTAAATAATCCTACTCTATGAAAGGATTCAAGAAGAGGTTCCTTAAAGAGAGCTCACTTAACGAAGACAGGCACTATGTTAACTGTTTTTGGTGAAAAAAATCACCGTTAGTCTTGAAAATGGCATATGGGAAGCCAATGACAAAGGTTACTTTTAAATTACAGTGACAAATCAAGAACCAAAAAATTAACACAATTTCTAGGAGCTATTCTGTAAGAGCACAAGTATAATGCCGTTTCAGATATGAAGTATACACTCATATTATTCAACGACTGCTACTACTTACATTAAAATGGCTAACACTTATACTTGGCTAACTATGGGAGCAGCACTGTTGATTTCACATTTATTAACTCATTAAATCCTCAAAGCAACTCTATGAGAGAAGTACTATTATTATCCCCGCTTGATAGATGAGGAAACTGAGGCCAAAAAGGTTAAGTGACTTGCTCAACTTAAATTCACTCTAATAGTAAACAGTCAAACTACTATTCCACTTCAACTACCAATACCAAAAACATTGAATTTTTCCACTCCCGAAAAATTTAAACTTTAGAAATTAACTTGGCTGACACAGACTATACAATTATTATAAAACAATACATTCATTTTAGTATCCTCCTCTTGTGTTAAATAATTGGATATATGGGTGGCGGATACCAAGAGCACAGTATCATCTGACTTGCCTATGATTTCTGGTAGAATAAACATAAATGTATAAACTTTAAAAAATGTGTGTTGATGCATTCCCTATTATTGCAAAAATTGGGTGTCCTCAGATGAAACGGAGAGAAAAGATCAGTAGTATGCAAAAGTAACCATTAACCATTTAGTAACACTCCATAAATCTTCGATGACCGACATGGGTAGTAAATGATAAAATTATTTTTTAATGGTTTAAGACACCTTTTTACATAAGCCAAAATTATTTTTCTAGAGATATTTCATCCTAAACGCTGTTTTAAATGTCATGCTAAAACTGTCTAAAAGTTGCAGGTCCAACTTCCATCCCACAAAAACTGTTCCTCTGCCTACACGTGCAATTCTTCCTACGGGACCCATTCCATTTTACATCTGCAAACTATACCCAGCTCTTCAGCGCTGCAGACTCGGGTTTCCTTCTCAGTCTACGCGCAAGCCGGGTTCGGCCCACACCCACCACACCCCTCCGGTCCCCGCCCAGCGCCGCTCCTCCTCCCGGGCTTCTCCAGCACCGACTCAGCACCTATCAGCGCCGCCCCCAGGCCCCTGGCCCAGCCCATCCTCGGGCACGTGTGAGTGTGTGTTTGTGTCAGTCTGTCAGTCCCACCGGGGACCGGGCTCGCTTACCGAGAGAGAAGCGCTAACTTCTGCTCCAGCATCATCTCCAGCTTCTGGCCCTGTTTGGAGATCCAGTGGTCCACTCCGTGCAGGCGGTAGCACGTCTCCAGCATCAACCTGAAGTCCGCCACGAACTCGGTGATGCCCCCGTACTGGCCGCTGGCGAACTTCTCTTCCATCTGCAGCAGACACATGCCCTGTCCGGGCTGCTGCGGGAAGGCGCGACCGCCCCGGCCCCCGCTGCGCGGCCCTTCCGCCACCTCCTCCTCCGCGGTGGCAACGCCCCCCAAGGGCTGCAGAAAGGGGGCGGTGAGGCCCCGGTGCTTCTCCTGCAGGAACTCGCCCAGGATGCGGTAGCCCTGCTGTAGCTCGTAGGTCAGCTCCTGCTCCTTGCAGCAACCGCCTCCGATCACCATCGCCTCCATCTCTTCCTCCTGATCGTCCGCGTCCTCCAGCGAGGAGGCACTCCTTCCGTGGGCCGGCCCTGAGGTCTGGGCCGCCGCTGCCACCTCCTCCTCGTCGTCCTCTCCTTCGGCCGCCGGTGGCGGCCGCTCTTCCTCCCCAGCCGGCTCCATCGCTCCCGGCGTCCCGGGCACACTCATGCCCCGGCAGGCCTAGGCTGGGCGGTGTGGAACAGCCGCTCGAGGTGCTGGGGGACGCGTGAGCGCGAGCCGCTTCCTCACGGCTCGGCCGCGGCGCGTAGCCCCCGCCACATCGGGCCTGGCTCTCCTCAGCCGCCGGCTCGGCTCGGTGCGCGCGGGGGTCTTGAGCTCACCGCCGGCGGGGCGGGGTTACATGGCGCGCGAGGAGGGGGGAGAGAAGAGGAGAGCCTAGGTGCCCTCCTCTCCCCTCCCCCCCGGCGGCGGCGCGCGCACGGCCCTCGCCGGCCTCACCCCTCCGCACCCCGCCCGCCTGCTCTTCACCGGCCAGGCCCTGCCGGGTCGCCGCGGCCTCGGCGCCCCACCCCCTCCCGGGCCAGCGGGGGGCTGGGAGGGGGCGAGGAGGAAGGGGGTTCTCCTCTCCCCTCCCCGGAGGGGGCCGCAGCGGCGGCTCCGGCTCCTCCTCTCCCTCACACCCCCTCCCGCCCCCCTCTACCTGCGGGGGACACGGGCAGAAGGAGGCGGTGCACGGACGGGGCCCGGCGACAACTGTCAGTTAGAAGCCCCGCTGGGCGGTGAGGGGGGAGAAAGGGGAGGGGCAGGGAGAGAAGGGGGAGGGCACTCAGCCCCCCGGCTGGGAAGAGCTGTGGAGAGAAGCAAAGAAAGAGGCCCTGTCGCCATCCCCGGTGCGCATGCGTAGTAGAACAATTCCCCCCTCCCCCCCCGCCACCATCGTGCCCCGCCCCGCTACGCAAAAGGAAGAGCTTCGGCTCAGCTACAGGCCCAGAAGCCTGCTAGGGTTGCGCGGACCAATGATGTAATCAATCGTAGGCCAATCGAACATGTTGATGGAGGGGGAAGCAAGGCGCCTGCGCAGCTTAATTCGCTACCGCCTGGGAAGGTGGCCAAAAGGCTTTTTTTAAAGCAAGTGCTTCAAGAGGAAACTTCTTTTGCAAGACCCGTGTTAGCCCCCCAAACTAAAATTAAAGTTGCTAGATAACCTTTGTTAATGGCAAATGAATAGTGAGAAAGCGCAAAATGTAAATCTTCTCTACTATAAAATTTACATTCTGTTCCCACCCTTTCTCCCTTGTGACTGCGGGTCTTCTATATATAACCAGAATTTTGAGAAGTTTAGAAAGAAAGTTTAAGGACTCGACCATACGTTCACATGCAGAAGAAAAGGAAGTGATTTTTAGAACCCCAGCTCTTAACATCAATTCATATTTTGGAACTAATTCCATGTTTTCAGTTACAAATTTCCACCCTCCCGATTCTTGAGATCTGTTAAGAATAAAGAGAATGGAACCTCATTTAAACAAATTCTTGGGACTGAAAACAGTCAAAATAGTTCATGTCTGAGTTGTACAGCATTAAACAGTTGTTTGCATGGGCTGATAATCTCACTACATTTTACAATTACTGTTTAATGACTAAAAAGTGGACTCATCATTCACATTGGTTTACATGTTACTTAAAATTAGTTGGGAGGTAGGAATTCATGGTTCCATAAAGCAAATACTACTATTTCCTCATGTTCTATTTGAAAGACGCACATATTATTTTTTCTAGGTACACAGAACCCTCGTTAAAACCTAGAATTACCTAAACACAAAAACAAAATTACAGAAATCATGCATTTTAAAAGTAAAATGTGTATAACTAAATGATTAGGATACTCTGACTCTTGCAATTGTTTACTTCTCATTAATGTGAACTTTAAAGCAGTGATAAAATTTTTTTTTAACCTCAAAGCTGTTTTTGTCCAGTAAGTTAAGTATCACTCTTAAGTAAAATAGTGAAGCGGGAACGCTCTGTTAGGGTATTCACACTGTCCTCCACACATACCTTTTATCTAGTATTCGAGGTCTCCTCTCATCAGACATTTGTAATATATAACGCATTTACAGGGTTCTCTCCCCTCAGAGAAGAGTCTGTGGACTCTGAAGAGTCCACAGAACCTCAGCTCACAGAAAGAAAAATGCAGGGATCAGTCTTACTTCAGCACCTGGCAACCAAAACGTGTGTCTGACTAGACATTCCTCCTTTCTTTCGACAAAGCCCAGGAATCTGAAGCCCAACGTACCCAAGCAAACATCCTCTACTCCTCTTTAGTCATCAGCTCTATTTCATGACTCTTGGACAATATTAGCTTACATTATTGAACCCTGTGCCACTAAGCACTTTATATTCATTGTCTCCTTTAATCTCACAACAAGCCTATCAGCTAGGTATTAACCTTATTTTTCAGATGAGGAAACTGCCTCTTAGTTTAAGAAAGTTGTTAAACAAAGTTAAAATCTAGGTCTGTCATACTTCAAAAACTCCAGGTGCCTAATTCCAAGTCATCTGGCAGAATTTCTAATTCCTCATACATAAAAGTGTAGGGAATTGCTAGAAATGTTGATAAAGGGTTTCTTAATTAAGATTATATAAAAGAGAAAGGTGTGGGTGAGTAGAAGGAACCTCAACTCTAGGTTATGAAGAGGTCAAGATGATAGCAACTTAACTATAATGAAAGTAGGATCGGGTCCTTGATCTTAAAAAAGAAACTCTATTACACAAGAAATATGGGCTGGGCACGGTGGCTGACACCTGTAATCCCTGCACTTTGGGAGGCTGAGGTGGACAGATCACCTGAGGTCAGGAGTTCTAGACCAGCCTGGCTAACATGGTGAAACCCCGTTTCTACTAAGAATACAAAAAATTAGCTGGGAGTGGTGGTGCGCACCTGTAATCCCAGCTACTCGGGAAGCTGAGGCAGAATTGCTTGAACCTGGGAGGCGGAGGTTGCAGTGAGCCGAGATCGTGCCATTGCACTCCAGCTTGGGCAACAAGAGCAAAACTACATCTCAAAACAAACAAACAAAACAAGAAATATGTTGGTTGTAGGTATGTAGGTAAATTAGAAAATATAGGTAAGTGAGGAGAAAATTTGCCACTTAATCCTACCACCTAGAGAAAACCTCTATTAATACTTTGAGGTGGGATTTTTCTATTCATTCTTCTATACTTTATTTATCTTAAATATACTAAAAATTGTGATCATACTATACATAATGTCCTTAATTTTCCTTTTTCCCCCATTAGTAATAATTACATGGAATGGACAGAATTGCATATCTAAAATCTCAACTTTATATTCTTGTCAACAATAGCCTAAATAGCCTGCCAATATGAATGAGTAGGGAATGGATTGGGAAAATTCTAAAGTAAAAGAAGTTCCAGACACAATAGAGGTACAAACAACAACAGCAATAACAGCTACAATTTATTGAGCACTTACTAGGTCTTAAATATTTGCTAAATACATACACAGTACTCACAATAGCCCCAGGAAATTATAGATGTATTTAAGTTTTGGATCAATGAGTAATCGTTAGCTGAGTAGAAAGCTCTTTTCTACCCTACAATAAGCTCGACATTAAAGACTGACATTCCAATTAATATAATTAACCCTGGACTTATAGAACTGTTTTCTCATAATAATGCACATCTACTGCTAAATGACTACTCTCAAAGTTGTTTTCTTTTTCATGTTCAAAGAAAATTACATTTCTTTCCTTTCACTTTTCCAATAGAATACTCTTCAGTTCTACTCTAGAATCTCTTAGGAAATTATTTGAAATAGAAATCAATTTAAGCCCTATAACTAGAGCTTTTTCTCTTGTTGAGCTGCTTTGCAGGGAGAAAATGGCATACATATACAAAATAATACTCTGCTGAAACACATAACACTGACTCCCAAGAATACTGCTTACTTACTCTTTGTCAAACACTGTTACATGCTACCAATATTAGATGTATCAGGACTCCCTTTTCAGTAACTATGGTTCTTGGAGTCCTGGATAACTTAAAAAAATAGAGACCTGTCTGGCTAAAGAAATTTAAAAGTTCTCTAACTCTCAACCAGACACCTTGGGAACTACAATATGGATATGTCCTACCCAGTTCCCAGGAGTACATTATGAAGAAGTTCATATACATCCCACATCCACTGCAGTATCTCAAAACTCTCCTAGTAACAGCATCCTCCCATCACCACAAATACCAAGAGTATTAATTAAAGAGGGACAAGCCTGCCACTATATCCTTCACTCACAATTCCAAAGATGTTTGTCCTGGAAATTCTATCTTATTTTTGTGAGCTCTTAGCATATTGTGATAGCATGACATCTTCACATCAAGTATACTGCTTGGCTAGCATCAATAATAGTTCAAACAAATAGCAACAATTTATATACTTTACATCAACTAGGGGAAAGGTGACAAACATTGTTTAAGACAGTTTGAAGCACAGGTTATCACCAAGGTCTGTGTTTGGAAGATAAAACATGCGAGATAAACAGAGGACTAACACTGATTAATTCTGGAGAAACATGGAGAAGAACTATAAACTGCTTAGCAGGGAGAAAACAGTTCTCTGATTTATAATAAAATCTATTCACAACACTTATTTGTAGTTACTTTTATAATAGATAATATTCAAGTTATATTAAAGTGCTTCAAGCAAAATTTAGCAACTCCTGTAAGGCTTCCTGCTGTTCATCATCAAGTTGTGATACACATTCCAACCATAAATCTTCAGAAGTCTGTACCTGACGCACGACATTAGCTAGGCGTTTGGCACAAGGATCCTCATAGTTAATAGTCTCATTAATTTTTCCTTCTGCAATTATACTGATTATTTTGGGAAGATTGGAATTATTTGGACCAATTACAACTGGGTGGTTACTTTCAATTAGGTCACAGAGAAAACTCAAAGTCTGAATAGCTTCCTCTTTATCTTCATGCAGTGGAAGCCATGATAACCAGTGTGGAAGAACTTCATCTACATTTACACAGTTAGGCTTAAACTTCAAAATCTTCCCTATTGCTGAGATACAGTTCTCTGTAGCAATGACATTTTTTTTGGTTTTGGAATTTGCACACTTAATAACTTTTACCAGAAGTGGAACAGCTTCTGAACATAAAGAACGATAATCATCTCCACCAAACTGTGCCATGACACCCAGGCCATAAGCAGCAGCTTGCCTGACTTCAGGGTTGTTATCTCGCATATTTAGTAGCATTGGCCACCGAAAATATTCTACATATTTAAATGAAGTTGGACTGCAGTGCTCTATGATGTCATCAAATATGCACAATCCCCACTGTCTGTCTGGCCATGGCCTACTTGAACAAATTAGATTTACAATTAATGGAAGTAGTTGTTCAAACCATGGTAAAATCTTTTCCTTATAAGTACTAAATAATGAGTGCAAAATATCTGATACTTTGGTCAGAATATAAACATCACATTCATCCTCATCTTGCAGAGACATCTCAACCTGTTGATCATAGTTTTCTTCCTGTCTTTTCACCTGTCTCAATTCTTGGTTTTTAAAGTGCCCTTCAAGTTTTGCTTTCAGTATTCCTCCCAGTTCTTCCAAGTGTTCATCATTAAGGCAACCATCTCCCATAACTTCAATGGACTTTGCAAAAGAATTCATTATTTCTGAGAGCACATCTGTATCTGGTTCAGTACCAATAGCCTTGATTAAGGGGTCACATATGAATTGCCACATCTGTGCAAGATACTCTGGGCCACGAATTCTTGCACATTCCAGGAGAAAAGGCATGGACTCTGCTGCTGCCACTCGAACATTGTCATGGAAATAAAATTTCAGTAAAGGAACCATCAGCTTCACAACTTGTTCTGTATATTCCACAAACCCTTCCCTTAACTCCTTAGCATAGTAAACCAACATTTGGCAAGCAGTTGCTTTTGCTTCAAGTCCTGAAGTTTTAATTCCAAAACTCTGCTGGTCTCCAAGATTTACAAATTGCCAGCCATCATCGTCACTCATATTTTCCACATCCTGTGTGTCTAAGAGAGCAACATCAGGTTTAGCTGAAGCAGTCTTAATAAGAGGCTCGATAACCAGTGGAAGGTACTGTTGAAAATCTTTTCCAAGAATTTTACACATTCTAGCCCATGCTGAAACCATGTAAGAGGTCTGAGGGTCATCATCTTCCATATTATTTAAGTCTGATTGTGTCTTCAACAACAGCTGCATCACATTTGATGCATCTTGCATAAATTTTTCCTTCCCAACAGCAAGACCAATATGGCTAATGCACTCGATAGTTTTTCCTCTCAGAAGCTTGAGTTCCTTCTGAACAGCAAGCTCAACAATGTGCTTTAGTGAGGGCATGAATATATCATAATATGGGACAAATTTTTCTTCTATTGTATCTGCAACTGATGCAATGGTTGTCACAAGTTGTTCCAAAGCCAACTTAGTTCCATTCCGAATCAACTCTTGAAGTTTAATCACCAAGACGGAATGTAGATTTTTCACCATACTATCCACATATAGAACTAGCAATGATTTAGGGCAGTCTTCAATAAAAATAATAAGAGCAGAAGCTGCATGTGATTGCACACGCTGATTACCTTGATTTTCCATGGTACGTAACAGAGCTGCAATCACTGTTTCATGAAATTTCTTTTGGAAATTAGGTGCAAAATCTGTAGCCATCTGTCCAAGTGTAGTACAGGCTGCAGCCCTCACCCTTGGATGAGGATCCTGAAGAAAAAGCAAAACGGAGTTAACTGTTTCATCTAGAATTGATTCCATTTGTTGATGGCATCCTTCTCCAATGGCAGATAAGGCCATTAATCCAGCATGTCGATACTTCCAGTCAGGGCTCTGAAGCATCTGCATGATATGCTCCTTGGTCATTGGTAAAACAACTTTTCCACCAAGCCCACAAGCCA
Source organism: Homo sapiens (assembly GCF_000001405.40). NCBI lineage: Eukaryota > Metazoa > Chordata > Mammalia > Primates > Hominidae > Homo > Homo sapiens. Next base: position 6,014,548 of record NC_000009.12, read on the forward strand.
GTCTGTCTAGTGCACTCTCCGCAGCAACTGCATTGCTGTCAAAATCATCTTCTTCCATTTCATCAGCATTTACCCAGTCCTCATCATCTTGTAGATCAACCATCATTGCTAATATATGAGGAACTGCCTGTGCAATAATATTTGTATGTTTTTTCAACATCGGAGTGGCAGTTTCAGACAAGGTCACTATAACTTCGAGGGCCAGCTGGCGCTGCAGATTACTAAGCCTAGAGTCTCCACATAACTTCAAACTCAACTGTAGAGTATCTTCTAAATAAGGACCCAAGTACTTAGGTACGGTATCTGCAATCTCAACAAGGGATTCTAGCACTGAATCATCATCCTGGTAGCATGAGTCATTCACAGCCTGTAAGATTCCAGGAAGCAAGTCTGCAAAGTCTTTGAAAAGAGCAATATTATTCTCATTAGCAAGTACAAATGCAGCTGCAGCTCTAGCGGATAATGTCCTGATTGCTGGATGTTCTTGATCTTGAATACACTGGTCCAACAACCGTTTGATGATATCCAAATCATGCCGCTCTTGGGTCCCAAAAATCCCAGGAAAGTGCCAGAAAACGTGAAGTGCAACTTCCCATAGAACCACATTTTTGGAGTAGATTGAATCAATAAGAAACTTCAGACCTTCCGGCCAGTGGTTAGTGCCATCCTCATCTATCAAATTCCTGGCCAGCACTGCAAAAATATCACAAAGTTTTTTCCTCATGCTAGCATGTGTTTCTAACTTAACAGCCAGAATCAGTTCAATCTTGACATCTCTCTGAACATCAGCAGGCAGATTTGGATAAACCTCCTCAAACCCAGAGGACAAAAGCCGTCGTAGCAGTGCGGCAGCCATTTGTCTCACCTCATAACCTGCTCTTCTATTTCTGACGGCATCTAAGAGGAAGGTAGTCTTACACAGACCTGGGATATTTTCATAGATTTCCTCTGCTTGCCTCCGCACCATACAGCTTGGATTGATCAGGTTCTTCAGAAGCTGGTAAAACTCTTGCTTTTCTGACACGGTCGCCGGCACCCCTGCAGACGCGGTTGCCGCCATTGCGCTCTGTCAAAGCTACCGCGACCGGGAAGGAGGGAGGGGGTCTGCGGCTCGAAGCAGTGACGTAGGCGAGGCGCCGGCGGGGATGGGCGGGGTGCTTCTCCCTCCTCTGCCCAGAAACTCTAGCTGCGCTCTGGCAGGCTGCGAGCTAGGTTTTGGAGAGAGGTGAGAGCCGTGTGGAGGCCAATGGCATCCTCCATTTGTTTTTCAATAAGATAAACGTGCACTTGCAGGCGAGAGAAGAAAAGCATTGATTAGAATGGGATCATGACTTTTTTTTTTTTTGGATACAAGGTCTGGCTGTGTCACCTAGGCTGGAGTATAGCGGCGCGATCCCTGCTCACTGCAGCCTCAACCTCCTGGGCTCAAGCGATCCTCCCCGCCTCAGTTCCCCCAGTAGCTGGGACCACAGGCGCGCGCCACCACGCCCGGCTAATTGTGTTTTTTATAGAGACAGGGTTTCGCCATGTTGCCCAGGCTGGTCTCGAACTCCTGGGCTCAGGTGATCTGCCCGCCTCGGCCTCCCGAAGTACTGGGAATACAGGTGTGAGCCACTGCTTCTGGTCAGATTATGAGTGATTTTTTTCTTTTATTTCTAAACTATATTGTTACTTTGATAATTTTAAAACAATAAGTCTATCTTGAAAACATGCCAAGTGAAAGAAACCAGTCACAACCACATATTGTATGATTCCATTTGTATGAAAGGTACCAAACAGGCAAATTGTATAACAGAAATTAGTGGTTGCCAGAGGTTGGGGGGAGGGGAGGATAGAGAATGACTGCTATCAAATAGGGTGTTTCTTTCTGAGTGATGAAATGTTCTAAAATTAATTGTGATGGTTGCACAATTCTGTGATTATACTAAAAACCATTGAGTTGTTAAATTTAAATTGGTGAATTGTATGGCATATAAATAATACTACAATAAAGCTTTATAAAATAATAAGTGTGATAATAAAATAATAATTACTTCCCCACTACCACATCTAATGCAGTAGAGTGGTAGCTCAAAATCTGGTGTGTGTCAGAATCACCTGGCCTGTTGGTTATAATAAAGAATGGGAAAGACAACTGAGTAAAGTATGGTAGAAAGTGATCTGAACTAATAATCAGAAGACAGACTTGCATCCTGGCCTTGTCACTAAATTAATTTTGTATCCTAGGACAAGTTACTCAAGATTTTCCTTGCATCTTGTCTAAACTGAAATATGAAGGGATGCGGTTAACTAGAATCCTAACTAACCATTAGTGGGAAGCTGCTGAGGTTATTCCAAGAAACAAATGTTGATGAAACTAAATTTGTTTCTTTTTTTTTTTTTTTTTTTTGTGAGATGGAGTCTCGCTCTGTCGCCAGGCTGGAGTGCAGTGGTGCGATCTCAACTCACTGCAACCTCTGCCTCCTGGGTTCAAGCAATTCTCCTGCTTCAGCCTCCTGAGTAGCTGGGACTATGGGCGCATGCCACCACGCCCAGCTAATTTTTGTATTTTAGTAGAGACGGGGTTTCACTATGTTTGGTCAGGATGGTCTCGATCTGTTGACCTCGTGAGAGATCACCCGCCTCGGCCTCCCACAGTACTAGGATTACAGGTGTAAGCAACCGCGCCTGGCCAGTTTGTTTCTTTAATTCAGGCAGGTGTGTCAATCAAAAACAAGTTTCATTCCTATAACAATGATTAGGTCTTACTTTTGTATTAGCACTTGCCACACTCATTTTGACCCTTATACAGAATTGAGAGATTGCTAGGATAGATATAATACTAAATTTAGGTGAGAAGTGGAAACTAAGGGAAGTTACAGGATTTGCCTAGGATGACACACCTGAGTCTCAATTCTACCTCTTCTGAAAGTGACACTGATGCTCTTTTCACCATATTGCTTCCCCATTAACTACTCTTGGTTTTGCAGCATGATCAGAGGCTTCACTTACTGCAAATTCTGTCTTAAACTTTTCCAAGCAGCCTTAATTTTGTTTTTGTAAAGTGCTGCCGCATATACCCACAAAAATTAGAAAGTCGTAGCTTTTACATTAACCAGATGATAGACAAAGTAGGTAGTCTCATAAATTACATTGTAGCCGAGCATGGTGGCTCACACCTGTAATCCCAGCACTTTGGGAGGCTGAGGCAGGCAGATCACGAGATCAAGAGATCAAAACCATTCTGGCCAACACGGTGAAACCCCGTCTCTACTAAAAGTACCAAAATTAGCTGGGCGTGGTGGCACATGCTTGTAGTCCCAGCTACTCGGGAGGCTGAGGCAGGAGAATCGCTTGAACCTGGGAGGCAGAGGTTGCAGTGAGCCGAGATTGCATCACTGCACTCCAGCCTGGCGACACAGCAAGACTCTGTCTCATAAAAAAGACACTGTAATATGAAACAGAGCTATTTTCTAAAATAGAATTTCTCATTCTGTAGACTGAAAACCAACTGCATTAGAATTGCTTGGGATACCTATTTTAAAATATAGATGTTAGGGCCCAAGTTCCTATTAACCCAGAATTCTGGGGGGACTGAGGACTAAGAATGTACAATTTCAACCAGCACATTGGGTTTTTATATAAATACCAACATTTGAGAATCGCTGATAAGATCAATTCTGGTTCTAAGATTATGACTACAGTTGTGCATTCATTGGTTTTCTTTCTTTCTTTGTTTTTTTTTTTTTTTTAGATGGAGTCTCGCTCTGTCACCTAGGCTGGAGGGCAATGGCACGATCTCAGCTCACTGCAACCTCTGCCTCCTGGGTTCAAGCAATTCTCCTGCCTCAGCCTCCTGAGTAGCTGGGATTACAGGCATGCACCACCACACCCAGCTAATTTTTATATTTTTAGTAGACACAGGGTTTCATCATGTTGGCCAGGCCGGTCTCAAACTTCTGACCTCAAGTGATCCACCTGCCTCAGCCTCCTAAAGTACTAGGATTACAGGCATGAGCCACCACACCTGGCCCATTCATTGGTTTTCTTACTGTTCCTTCAAAAAGTCTAACTGGAGGGACTTTGCATTTGCCGTTTCAGGAAATGTTAATAATAATTAATTAATTACTTAATACTATATCCACTAGCATATGAAAGACATTGAAAAAAACCACAGTGATACACCACCACAGACCTACCACAATGCTTTAAAAGTCTGACAAAGCCAAGGGTTGCTGAGGATGTGGAACAACAGGAAACTCAGTTATATTTTTGTTGAGAGTATAGGTAAATTGGTACAACCTCTTTGAAAAAAATGAGCTGGGCGCAGTGGCTCATGCCTGTAATTCCAGCACTTTGGGAGGCTATTGGGAGGCTAAGTTGGGCAGATCACCTGAGGTCAGGAGTTCGAGACCAGCCTGGCCAACATGGTGAAACCTCGTCTCTACTAAAAATACAAAAAATTTAGCTGGACTTGGTGGTGTGCGCATGTAGTCCCAGCTACTCAGGGAGGCTGAGGCAGGAAAATTGCTTGAACCCAGGAGGCGGAGGTTGCAGTAAGCCAAGATCACACCACTGCACTCCAGCCTGGGTGACAGAGGGAGACTCCATCTCAAAAAAAAAAAAAAAAGAAAAAAGAAAAAGAAAAAAATGTTTGAAAAATTCTGGGTTAAGATTATGCAATTATTTGGCCGGGTGCAGTGGCTCATGCCTGTAATCCCAGCACTTTGGGAGGCCGAGTTGGGCGGATCACAAGGTCAGGAGATTGAGACCATCCTGGCCAACATGGTGAAACCCCATCTCTACTAAAAATACAAAAATTAGCTGGGCGTGGTGGCGCGTGCCTATAGTCCCAGCTACTTGGGAGGCTGAGGCAGGAGAATTGCTTGAACCCGGGAGGCGCAGGTTGCAGTGAGCCAAGATTGTACCACTGCACTCCAGCCTGGTGACAGAGCGAGACTGCGTCTCAAAACAAAAAGAAAGAAAAAGAGTATGCAATTATTCAATTAGTCTCTCAGCAAGCATTCTTTGAGGGTACACTCAAGCATGGTGCTGAGTTGCTGGTATTAAAGACTAAATTCATGAAGATATGTGAATCTCATAGTAAACAGAGATAGTAAATGTCACATAGCGTAGTGATCACTGTAGTAATGATAAGCCTGCCATGGAGCCATATGGGGTTATGGAGGCAGCTAATTTACTCTGGGTATGGGGTTGATCAAGTAAGGCTTCCCAGAGGAGGTATCAGAGTTGACTTTTGAAGAATGAGTCCTCATTAACCATTTGAAAAGAGAGAAAGTTGTTCTAAGTAAAGGGTACAGCTTTTTCAGACACAGAGAGGCCTTCAGGTGTACTGTGATGAGAGTTCTGCCAGTGTTTCAGTAATGCTGGGGCGGTGAGCATGGGATTTGAGGGGGTCTGGGGATGATACAGGAAGCTGGAAGGAGGAAGACAGAAAGTTAAATAAAGGCCAGATCATGAAGGGTATCATATCTGTCAGGCCTCTAGCCCAAGCTAAGCCATCATATCCCCTGTGACCTGTACGTATACATCCAGATAGTCTGAAGTAACTGAAGAATCACAAAAGAAGTGAAAATGGCCTGTTCCTGCCTTAACTGATGACATTCCAACACAAAAGAAGTGAAAATGGCCTGTTCCTGCCTTAACTGATGACATTACCTTGTGAAATTCCTTCTCCTGGCTCATCCTGGCTCAAAAGCTCCCCCACTGAGCACCTTGTGACCCCCACCCCTGTCAGCCAGAGAACAAACCCCCTTTGACTGTAATTTTCCTGTACCTACCCAAATCCTATAAAACGGCCCCACCCCATCTCCCTTCACTAACTCTTTTCGGACTCAGCCCGCCTGTGCCCAGGTGAAATAAACAGCCTTGTTGCTCACACAAAGCCTGTTTGGTGGCCTCTTCACACAGACGCAAGTGAAATTTGGTGCCATAACTCGGATCGGGGAACCTCCCTTGGGAGATCAATCCCCTGTCCTCCTGCTCTTTGCTCCATGAGAAAGATCCACTTATGACCTCTGGTCCTCAGACCAACCAGCCCAAGGAACATCTCACCAATTTTAAATCTGGTAAGCGGCCTCTTTTTACTGTCTTCTCCAACCTCTCTGACTATCCCTCAACCTCTTTCTCCTTTCAATCTTGGCGCCATCTTTCAATCTCTCCCTTCTCTTAATTTCAGTTCCTTCCCTTTTCTGGTGGAGACAGGAGACGTGCTTTATCCATGAGCCCAAAACTCCCACGCCGGTCACGGACTTGGGAAGACAGTCTTCCCTTGGTGTTTAATCACATGGGGACACCTGCTTGATTATTCACCCATGTTTCAGAGGTGTCTGACCACGCAGGGATGCCTGCCTTGGTCCTTCACCTTTAGCGGCAAGCACTGCTTTTCTGGGGGGCAAGCACCCCCCCACCCCTTCCCTCCATGTCCCTACCCCTTTTCCACTTTCCTGGGGGGCAAGCACCCCCCACTCCTTCTTTCCATGTCCCTACCCCTTCTCCACTTTCCTGGGGGGCAAGCACCCCCTACCCCTTCTCCCCTTCTCTCTGTGTCTCTACCCTCTCTTTTCTCTTCACTTTCCTTGGGGGTAAGCACCCCCCAACCCCTTCTCTCTGTGTCTCTACCCTCTCTTTTCTCTGGACTTGCCTCCTTCACTATAGGCAACCTTCCACCCTCCATTCCTCCTTCTTCTCCCTTAGCCTGTGCTCTCAAGAACTTAAAACCTCTTCAACTCTCACCTGACGTAAAATCTAGCATCTTATTTTCTTCTGCAACACTGCTTGACCCCAATACAAGCTCGATAGTGGTTCCAAATAGCCAGAAAATGGCACTTTCGATTTTTCCATCCTACAAGAGCTAGATAATTCTTGTTGTAAAATGGGCAAACGGTCTGAGGTGCCTAACGTCCAGGCATTCTTTTACACATCGGTCCCTCCCTAGTCTCTCTTCCCAATGCAACTAATCCCAAATCTTCCTTCTTTCCCTCCCACCTGTTCCCTCAGTCCCAACCCCAAGCTTCGCTGAGTCTTTCCAATCTTCCTTTTCTACGGACCCATCTGACCTCTCTCCTCCTCCCCAGGCTGCTCCTAGCCAGGCCAAGCCAGGTCCCAATTCTTCCTCAGCCTCCGCTCCCCCACCCTATAATCCTTTTATCACCTGCCCTCCTCACACCTGGTCCAGCTTACAGTTTCGTTCCGCAACTAGCCCTCCCCCACCTGCCCAGCAATTTCCTCTTAAAAAGCTGGCTGGAGCTAAAGGCTCCTTTTAACCTGCTTTCAAGGTTAATGCTCCTTTTTCTTTATCTGACCTCTCCCACATTTATATTTGATGAAAAAGAGCATATATTTTCATCAAAAATCCAGCCCAGTTTATGGCCCGTTTGGCAGCAACCCTGAGACACTGTACAGCCCTAGACCCTGAAAGGTCAGAAGGCCGTCTTATTCTCAGTATGCATTTTATTTTATTACCCAATCTCCTCCCGACATTAAATAAAGCTCTGAAAATTAAATTCTGGCCCTCAAACCCCACAAGAGGACTTAACCTCGCCATCAAGGTGTACAATAATAGAGTAGAGGCAGCCAAGTAGCAACGTATTTCTGACTTGCAATTCCTTGCCTCCACTGTGAGACAAACCCTAGCCACATCTCCAGCACACAAATATAACTTTCATAGGAGTGTAAAAATAAAAACTCAAGTGTGAAGACTGGAGGCATTTATGAGGCCGATAACCTACTTCAGTTAAGCTGGAAGTCTAAACCATACTAGTGGTGCAGCAAAAGAAAAGAGGGCATGGATTGGAAAGGTTTTAAGGAGTAGAATTGATAGCACTCAATGGACCAGGAGAAGCCTAGGAAATCTCCCCAAGTTCTGGCCTGGGTATCTGGTTGGAGGTGCTGCTATTTACCTATTTATGTACCTATATATAAAGAAAGAGCAATGTTAACGCAAATCAAAAGACTACTAACTCTTCTGGAGGAAAAAGAGACCTCAGTGAGTCCCAGGGTCCATATTTTGTTCTCTAGTTGCTCTCAAGTGCTATAGTGATGGTTATCATCTCAGCAGTAGGAGTTAAACTGCATGCACTTTAGGAAAATTACTTACGATCTTGTACTTTAGAAAAGCATAAACTGATTCAAAATCTTAAGTTGCTTCCTTTTTAGACTACATAATTCTTTTTGCATTGTCATTTTTCCCCTCCTAAGGAACACACATAATACCCAAGATTCAAGACTGGACTTGGAGATTTGGTTAGAGTTGAACAACTATATTAAAGTTTGTAATTAAAATTGGCTTTGTTTGCACTGGTGAGAGGCCATCTCAAGAATGTTCCCACAAAGTGGCTCAACACCAGACAATTCAGGTGTTTATTAGCAGCTTACCAGGTAGACAAAGTTCATTGTAAGTTGCAAATATCTTCCAGGATCTGAGAGATTTAGAGTCAAATGAGAGGGATAGTATTAAGTTGGACATAGTTGACATTTTTTAAAAGAATAATTCAGAACCAAAAAACAAAACCAGAAAACAAAAAACACCATGAAAGCTCCCACTGACCAAAGATGGGACAATGTGAATATAAAAAAGAATAATGCCTGCAATGGATTAAAAAACATCAAATATATAAACAAAAGTGATGAGTATCTAATATGAAAAAAGGTTGCTAACTCATTGATCATCTCTGGAGATTGCTAGGTCATTGACTCTGATTTTTTTATTTTTTATTTTTATTTTTTAGAGATGGGGTCTCACTCTGTCACCCAGGCTGGAGTGCAGTGGCATGGTTCACTGCAGCCTTGACTTCCTGGGCTCAAGGGATCCTACTGCCTCAGCTTCTCCAGTAGCTGGAACTACAGGCACATACCACTATACCCAGCTAATTTATTTTTAAATTTTTTTTATTTTTAGTAGAGATGAGGTCTCACTACGTTGAACACACTGTCTTGAACTCCTGGGCTCAAGCCATTCTCCCACCTCAACCTCCCAAGGTGCTAGGATTACAGGTATGAGCCACTGTACCCAACCCAACTCTGAAATGATAAAGAGAAATAATCAAGATCTTTCCTGCCTTTCCTGTACAAACTGTATTTCAAAATAACCAAATAGTTGATGAGGGAATGTTCTTCTTTATAGAATTCCAGCTAATAAATGCATAAAGGATATTAAAATCAGGAAATTTCTGTGTTGTGGCCACTAATAAAATAATAAATTATCTAGGTAACAGTAACCAATGGATGTTAAAACCATTAGATTAAACACTGAGAATTTAATAATGGACGGATTAGGCTAAAGTCACCTAAAATCACTGATTAATCTTTATACGATTAAAGGTAGGATTAAACCAGAGATGTCATTTACCTGTTGTCTTTTAGCTCCACTTCCATACTTTCTATAATTTATTCTCTGATGCTGAGGTTAGGCCCTGGAAACAAAATTTCTCCTTTCATAGCTGGGTCACTGTTAGGTTCTATCAACAGAAGCCACTAGTGATTGAAGGATAAAAAGGGGACAGAAAAGGGATTAATCCTTCCTGTTTTTCCTGTTCTTGACTGGATTGCTCCAATAGTGGCCCTTCCTCCTGGTGGCAGCAGTTTCTTGCTTCTTGCAGGACTCTTAGAAACAAAAACAGCAAAACCCAGTCATATCCCATGTCTGCAGAGGTACCAGCAGTAGCCTGGGGTCAAGCCTTCCTCAATGGTTTTACCCACAGCTCTGGCAAGCCCCTCCACGGAGTTCAAAAGTGCCACTTCCACTTTGTTCCCTCAGCTTTAGTGGTGGCAACAGGTACTGCAAGTTGTCATCTTTCAGTTACATTTTGTATTAGTGCTCTTTGATCGTTGAGCTTCTTACACCTGTATAACCAATCCCCTAAATTAAATCTTCTCCGGAAGTACATAATGTGGTTTCTGTTTTTCTGATTGGACCTTGACTTATATGTCATTTAACGATGCATAGGCAGTACACAGAACCACCTTAAAAGAATTTTTCTTTTATTCAGGTTTGTTGAGGTATAATTTATATGCAATAAAATTCACCAATTGCAAGTGTATAATTGATAAGATGGATTTTGATGGTGAAGTTATCATTACCATAATCATATATAGACCATTTTCATGACCTTGAAAGTTCCTTTGGGTCCCTTTCCTGCCCCTGGCCCCAGGCAACCACTGATCTGATTTCTGTTGCTATAACTTTGTTTTTTCTAGAATTTCATATAAATAGAATTATTCAGCATGTGGCTTTTTGTATCTGGCTGCTTTCATTTAGCACAATGCACTGAAATTCATCCAGGTTAGTGCATGTTTGTTCCTTTATATTCATATGTCATATGAATATAGTGTTATTTCATCATATGAATATACTACAATTTGTTTATGTATTCATCAATCAATAGACGTTTGAGTTGTTCCCACTTTTAAGATATGAATAAAGCTCCTATGAACGTGTGAGTACAAGTTTTTGTGTGAAAATATATTTTCATTTCTCTTGATAAATACCTAGGAGTGGAATGCCTTGGTCATATGTTAAAGGTAGTTTTATAAGAAACTGCCAAATGCTTCCCAAAGTGGTTGCACCATTTTTCATTCCTAACAGCAGTTATGGGAGTGCCAGTTGCTCCACATTCTTGACAATATTTGGTATTGCCTTTTAAATTTTAGTCACTCCAGTGAGTATTTTGCAGTATCTGATTCTGATTTTAGTTTGCCTTTCCCTAAGGAATGATGGTGTTGCACATCTTTTCATATGCTTATTTGCCATTTGTATATCTTTGGTGGAGTGTTTATTCAAATCTTTTGTGTATTTAAAAAAATCTAGCTTTTTGTCCTCTTAGTATTGCATTTTAAGGGTTCTTTATATATTCTGAACACAAGTTTTTATCAGATATATGTTTTCAAATATTGTTGTCCTTTTTTCCATAACTGTGTCTTTTGAAAATCAATAAATTTTAATTTTCAGGAAGTTCAGGTTATCAATTAAAAATTTTTAGGGTTTGTGCTTTTTATGGCCTATTTAAGAAATTGTTACTCAATTGCAGGTCGCATATATTTTCTCCAATGCTTTCTTCTGTAAATTTTGAAGTTTTGCTGGGCGTGGTGGCTCACACCTGTAATCCTAGCACTTTGGGAGGCCGAGGCAGGCAGATCGCTTGAGGTCAGGAGTTTGAAACCAGCCTGGCCAACATGGTAAAACCCTGTCTCCACTAAAAATACAAAAAAATTAACCAGGCGTGGTGGCACATGCCTGTAATCCCAGCTACTTGGGAGGCTGAAGCAGGAGAATTGCTTGAACCCGGGAGGCAGAGGTTGCAGTGAGCTGAAATCACGCCACTGTGCTCCAGCCTGGGCAACAGAGTGAGACTCCGTCTTCCGTCTGTTTTAGGTTTTACATTTAGATCTATGATCTATATCAAGCTGGTTTTTGTATATGGTATGAGGTATGGATTGTGGTTCGTTTCTTTTTGCATATGCATTTTACACTTCTTCCACTTTTCCTCCATTGAATTACTTTGGCATCTTTGTTGACTATCAGTTGAACTACCAATTCTGAACCTTCTATTCTGTTCCAGTAATCTATTAATCTATGTCTGTCCTTTATCTAATACCATACTGTCTTGATTTCTATTCCTTTACAGTAAATCTTTAACCCATGTATAGTTTCCATCATTTCACTTCTTTGAAAATGATTTAGTTTCTCATCCAAAAAGGGAAGGAGAATTGTTGTAGAATAAAAGAGATAGATATAAGACACAAAATATGCACCTCTCCACTCCCCCATTGAAAATATAAATTTGGGAAAATGTCTAGCAAAAATATTCATTGTTTGTTCATTTATTCATTCATTCTAATAATGTCTCCTTTTGTTATGATCACATGTCTTTTAAAGTTTCTAATTCTGGCTTTAGCGTAAATAGGAAATATCCATAACTCAATACGTTAACTTAGATCTTTTTTTCCAGCTTTATTGTGAAGAATAATTATTAAATAAAATTCTAAAAATCATTGAACACTGTAATTTTTAGAAAGTACTTTCTAGGCTACAATAAATTGAACATACTTTTAAGCTACCTAAAGTCCACACAATTTGTAAAATTTGTATATAATTAGGAACTTTTTGCAATCTATACTCACTGCATCTTGAAAGATTAAATATTAAGCTAGATAAAACTAAAAACAAATTCCTTAATTCTTTTCATTGTGAACTTATTGATTTAGAATAATATCTCAACTTCTTCACCCCACCCAGATCTTCTGCAAAAAATAGCTGAGGACAAAGATATTCCTGACATCTGGGACTACAACCTTAAGCAGCTTGTGTTTTAACTTAAAATAGTTACGTAAATATGATGTTATAATTGCTGATATTTTCAAGTTTTTAAATATAAAACTGCTATCTCTCTAAGCCTTTCACTTCATTGATTTATTCAGCAAATATTCATTGAGTACCTACCATATGTCAGGCACTGAGCTGGAGCATTGGGGATGCAATGCTGAATAAAACAGAATGTCTATCTTCATAAAGTTTACAATCTAGTCCAGAACTCCTTAGCTCATGCCAGGAAGAACAGCCATGTTGAGCCTGTGGTTACCTCTTACCTCTAGGTGTATGAGAAACACAGTAGTAAAACACCATTATCACCTGTAAGAATTGTGTGGCAATTCGGAATATGCAAAGTTGAATAAAAATGCAAAACTCTACATGAATACTCAATTGGATTATTCTCCAGCTGGTTGAGAATACTTACGTAGTACTTGCAGGTATTAATTGATTTAATTCTTATAACAAATTTTTTAAAGGGTAGAAACAGGCATTGGAAAAAATTTTAAATACAGATTTAATAACTGACTCAGAGGAAAGTTATAAGAGTGATGGAGGATATCTGCCATCCAGACATTTGATGCTCATTTTGTTCTCCTAAAATAAGAATGTTTGAGCTGGGCGTGGTGGCTCATGCCTGTAATCCCAGCACTTTGGGAGGCCAAGGCAGGCGGATCACCTGAGGTCAGGAGTTCAAGACCAGCCTGACCAACATGGTGAAACCCCGTCTCTACTAAAAATACAAAAATTAGCTGGGTGTGGTGGCACACGCCTGTAGTCCCAGCTACTCAGGAGGCTGAGGATGGAGAATCTCTTGAACCCGGGAGGTAGAGACTGCAGTGAGCCGAGACTGCGCCACTGCATGACAGAGCGAGACACCATCTCAAAAAAAAAAAAAAAAAAAGGAATGTTTGGCTCCTCCCAAGGCTACAGAATGCCCAGTAGAAGCAATGCTTAGGGGGAGGGATGGTGGAGAATGAGGAAAGAACCAAAGTAGAAATCAGATTGACATTTATTAGACATTTTATTAGCTACAAATTTAAGGAAAAAAGACACTCAGAAAAAAAATCTCACACTACAGACATAATAAACTGTATTGTAAAAATAAAGCACTCAGAAAAATATCTTTATAATATTACTAGTAGGGTTACAAAAGTGAAAATGTATCTGATTGATTAGACCTACTGTTTTGGACAGTTTCTTGTGTAACAGAAAAAATAAAAATTATATAAAGGACCTGCCCAGTTGGGTAGTGTACTTGGTAGAAAGATCTTAAGATGCCAAAACATTTTTATTTGCATCTTCAGCTGGCATGAGAAATAATGCCAGGTGTGGTGGCTCTCGCTTGTAATCCCAGCACTTTGGGAGGCCAAGGTGGGCGGATCTCCTGAGGTCAGGAGTTCTAGACCAGCCTGGCCAACATCGTGAAAACCCATCTCTACTAAAAATACAAAAATTAGCTGGGTGTGGTGGCATGCACCTGAAATCCCAGCTACTTGGGAGGCTAAGGCAGGAGAATTGCTCGAACCCAAGAGGTGGAGGTTGCAGTGAGCCAAGATTGCGCTACTGCACTCCAGCCTGGCAACAGAGCAAGACTCCGTCTCAAAAAAAAAAAAAAAAAAAAAAAAAAATCCTGGCTAAAACAGTGGAACCCTGTCTCTACTAAAAATACAAAAAATTAGCTGGGCGTGGTGGCAGGTGCCTGTAGTCCCAGCTACTCAGGAGGCTGAGGCAGGAGAATGGCATGAACCCAGGAGACAGAGCTTGCAGTGAGCCGAGATTGCGCCACTGCACTCCAGCCTGGGCAACAGAGTGAGACTCCATCTCCCAAAAAAAAAAAAAAAAAAGAAAAGAAAAGAAAAAGAAATTGTTTAGCCATTGAATTAGAAGTCCTGTTAGTATAATACTGCCATTAGTGTACTGATCTGTTTGCAGCCATTGTATCGTGATATGTCTAATGTATTATTGTATGTATACTTTTCAAGAGCTTGTGAAAATCTGATATATTAGAACTGTGACAAGTGTAATTGGTTAGAAGTGTAATCGGTTAAACTTGGCCACCATGTTGGCCAAACGAATTACTTTGCAAATAAAGGGTACCCAGCACCAGGGTTTCTTGATGGAGGACTTTTAGTCCTGGGAGAGTCCTAAGCAAAGGGGGACCCTAACTTTTCCCTTTCATCAACTTTTAAGTGTCAGAAAAATATTTGTTGTAAAAAGATTTTAACTATAAAGGTTAAACCAAATTCAAGTTAAACATTTTTAACAAGAATACTTTATAAGTGATGCTTTGTAATTCATATGCATTACATCATGATGAACATAATATTTGGTTGTCTTTTGATTATTGTTGCTAAGCTTTAAGTGGTGACTGCCTGATCTTTCTATTTTGTTTTTCTCCTTGAGATCAATAGCTTATTTTAGGGCGTTGATACTTTGACAAACTTCAGATTGTCCTTGTCTGAATCAGTTATTTCATCAGGAGTGGGGACAAAGGTGATTGTTTTTCTAATTCCGTATTTTTTCCTATATTTATAAGCTGCTGTTATTCTCTAAAGAGGAGCTCTCCCTCATTTTCTAAGGCTAATTGGCCACTGTGAAGGAGTGCTTAATTCTTACTCTTTAATTACAATTTGCAGAGTAAGGAGTTAGTGTAATAGCCACCTCCAGTGGTGACAAATACGGTTGTTTTGTTATGTTTTGTTTGATTTTCTTTTTTGTTGATTCATCAGGAACTGTGAACGGTCAGATTTTACCCTACTTCAAAGTGAACAAGCTGGTCTTCCAGTCATGTTTTTTATCTCTGACGCAGGAGTCTTGTATCTTTTACCAGCGCTGGTAAAAGATACAAGACTCCTGCATCAGAGATAAAAAAAATAATAATTTATTACTCACAGCAAGAACAGTAGTCAGAGTACCAGCATTTTTTTCCTCCAGTTCCCAACCCCCAATTCATACAGAATGATGCAAAGAGAATGACAGCTGCACGCACTGTGGGTTGTGTACAGGAGAGAAATGCAGAGCTCAGAGTACTGGAGTCTTTTATAATGAGAAAGCCTGACTTTTCCAAAAGCTTGACTGCTTTTGCTCCAAAGGAGGACATTGTCTTTTCATTCTAGACAGTAACCATGCCTACCCTTTGCTCCAGAGGGAGACATTATTTCCATCTTCCAAGGCTGTTCACTATTCAAACATCCTCAAAAAGATAGTTCAGAATGTCTTCACTCACAAGACATGCGTAAGTGTGAGAGACCATGAGTATCATTATGTGCTAGTTGTTCTCCATCCTGGCATAAACCAGTGGCAGTCAGGCTTCTTTGATGTCTGGCTTCTGGTTGGATTAGCCAGAGAGGCATCAGCAAGGGACTGGAAAGGGGGCTAGGGTATTTATTCCTATCTCTCCACCCCATTCTCTCCCACCGTGCTGCAGTGCTGGTTCTGGCTGCAGTCTGTAGTTACCTTTCTTATAAGAGGACCCTCTTTCAGGCTACACGCTCTTTCCAGGCTCATTCTCTCCCATAGCTCCTTTAGGCCTATAGGTGGTAAAAGTATATTATTGTTGCCAGATTCTGTCCCTTATTGTGTTCTCATAACCCTGCCTATATCTCTGTAAATAATCCCTTCAGTACACTTTCTTCAGTAACGCTCTCTAAATATACTTTCTGTTTCTTGCTAGGATCCTGACAGGAACTTACAGATTTAGTTAAGTTTCAAAAGAGAAAAACTAGAAATTAATAG
This sequence comes from Homo sapiens, assembly GCF_000001405.40. Lineage (NCBI taxonomy): Eukaryota > Metazoa > Chordata > Mammalia > Primates > Hominidae > Homo > Homo sapiens. Next base: position 6,030,593 of record NC_000009.12, read on the forward strand.
AGCCAAGGGTTAGAAAGATAGTAGTTTAGCAAAAAATGATTTTAGAATATAGAAATATTATCCCAGTATGCTAATTTGTGCTAATATATTTTCTAATCAAGGTTTATAATTTATAATCTAAGGTCAGTAAAATATAAAGAAAGGCAATAATGTAATTTATTACATTAGCAGGAAAAATAGTAAGAATCATGTGAACATAGCAATAGATACCAAAAAGCATTTAATCAAATTAAAAGTCAATGAAAATGAAATATAAAGGGTGTTTTATAAATGAAGAGTCTTAGAATGAATTGTAAAATTCATTTAAAATAATTTCTTTAAAAATGAATTTTTAAAAGTCCTGTATTTAAAAACAAACCATCATAAATAATAGAAAAACACTGCAGCACTGCTGTTCGAAGTCTGATCCCCTGACCACCTGAAACAGGATCACCTAGAACATTTGTTGAAAATGCAAATCTCTAGCTTCCACCCTGAGCTACTGAAAAAATTTTTGAATCTGAATTTTTAACTAGCATCTCAGGTTCTCAGTTGATTCTTAGAACCACTGTAGTATAGTCATTCTTTTTTTTTTTTTTTAAGAGATGGGGTTGCCTAGGCTGGTCTTGAAGTCTTGGGCTCAAGCAATCCACCCTCCTTGGCCTCCCAAAGTGCTGGGATTACAGGCGTGAGCCACCATGCCCGGCCATTCTTTTATAATACTTTTACATTTTGAAAATTAAAGTAACAGTGAGCATGTTAAAAATCAAATAGTACAGCACAGAATGTAATGAAAAGCAGAGGTTCCTGGTTCCATATCTTCCAACCCTGAGTCCTCTCCTCAAAATCAGCTGCTTTTAAACTTTTCTGTTTTTACATTTTCTGGTGGTTATTTCCATAACTCTGATTAATAGTCATTGTCTTTTAAAACAGTAACAAAATGAGACACACTCCTGTTACCATTCGAGGAAAGACTGTGCTAGAAGTGCTGTCAAAAGTTCTTTAGATAGAACAGAGAAGGAGACAGTCTAATCATAGGAAAATAAAAATCACTGTCACTTTTTTTTAAATTTTTTTTTGTTTTTTGAGATGGAGTTTTACTTTTGTTGCCCAGGCTGAAGTGCAATGGCATGATCTTGGCTCACTGCAGCCTCCGCCTCCCAGGTTCAAGGATTCTCCTGCCTCAGCCTCCCGAGTAGCTGGGATTACAGGTGCCCGAGACAGAGTTGCACCATGTTGGCCAGGCTGGTATCTAACTCCTGACCTCGTGATCTGCCCATCTCGGCCTCCCAAAGTGCTGGGATTACAGGCGTGAGCCACCACACCTGGCCTTGTTGTCACTTTTTAATGTGACATGTATGTTTAGCTAAAAGCACTAGAGATAACAGTTAGATAAAAATATAGAGGATAAGGGCCAGGCATGGTGGCTTACGCTTGTAATCCTAGCACTTTGGGAGGCTGAAGTGGGCAGATCATGAGGTCAGGAGATGGAGACCATCCTGGCTAACACGGTGAAATCCTGTCTCTACTAAAAATACAAAAAAAAAAAAAAAATTAGCCAGGCGTGGGTGGTGGGCACCTGTAGTCCCAGCTACTTGGGAGGCTGAGGCAGGAGAATGGTGTGAACCCGGGAGGTGGAGCTTGCAGTGAGCCAAGATCGCGCCACTGCACTCCAGCCTGGGCAACAGAGCGAGACTCCGTCTCAAAAAAAAGAAAAAAAATATATAGATAGATAGAGAGAGAGAGGATAAGGTAAATACTCAAAAATCGATAGCATTTCCTATTTTCTATTGACCCAGGCTTAGGGAATACAATAATTTTTTTTGTTGTTGTTCCACTCTGTCGCCAGGCTGGAGTGCAGTGGCGTGATCTCGCCTCACTGCAACCTCCGCATCCCAGGTTCAAGCTATTCTCTTGCCTCAGCCTCCCAAGTAGCTGGAACTACAGGTGAGCACCACCATGCCCAGCTAATTTTTGTATTTTTGGTACAGGTGGGGTTTCATTATGTTGGCCAGGGTGGTCTCGATCTCTTGTCCTCCTGATCCACCTGCCTTGGCCTCCCAAAGTAAAATAATTTTATGAAGTACAATGAAACAAATACTTGGATAACTGAATTTGGGGGAAAGAAAAGGTTATTTTGAAATTTTAGGAAGAAAATAAATGAGTAAAAGAGTCATAATTTGCTTCTAATGTTAAAGGCTAAATGCAATAGAAATAACACTTTTCATATTAATGTACCAGTTAAAGCACTATTCTTTAATAAAAAGAGCCTTTTATTAAAGGCTCTTTAGGATTTTATAGAAGTTGATGACACACTGATAAAGAAATTACTTTGAAAAATAAAAGGTCAGACACCAAAAATATTAATGTGTTTATTTTACTTATTTATTTTTAAAGACAGTCTTACTCTATTGCCCAGGCTGGAGTGCAATGGCACAATCAGAGCTCACTGTAGCTTCCAACTCTGGGCTCAAATGATCCTCCCACTTCAGCCTCCTGAGTAGCTGAGACTGTAGGCATGCACCACCACACTTGGCTAAATTATGTTTAATTTTTATGCTAGAGTACCAATATCAGACACTGTTTTACAAAATGGAAACAATCCAAATCAGTAGTTATTAAATCAAATCCATGGAGAATGTAATAAAATAGATTTCAAAAGTAAATCCCAACTATCATAAGAATTTAGTATGTGACAAGTCAAAAGCAAAACAATTGCTAGTCCTGGCATGAAGGATTTGGATGAGGTGGAAGTCTGAGATATCTCTCTTGCTGTCAGCTGGATTCCATCAGGTGACAGGTTTCCTATGTAATCTGGGAGATGTGTCACAAGTGGCAATTAGAGATATATATTTTGGCAATTGGAGATATCTAGTGTTTTGTGGTTACTAGTAAAAAATAATTAAAGTAGTAATATTAAAATATTTTTAAAACGTGAAGTTCACTGATAAATGCCAAGTCAAACATTGGGGAGAACAAAAGTAAATCAGAGACAAAGTAGCAAGTGAGACACAGGAGGACTCAGACTATCCAGTCAGTTTTTACCAATCTTCCTTGCAAGTTACTTTGGATACATTTTATTCACATGTTCGTATATGAGTGAATTTCATCTGAGGATGTTTTAAAAACACCGATTGGCCTGGCCTGGGCACAGCGGCTCATGTCTGTAATTCCAGCACTTTGGGAGGCCAAGGCGGGTGGATCACCTGAGATCAGGAGTTCGAGACCAGCCTGGCCAACATGGTGAAACCCCTGTCTCAACTAAAAATTCAAATATTAGCCAGGTGTAGTGTGATTACAGGTGTGTGCCTGTAATCACAGCTACTTGGGAGGCTGAGGCAGGAGAATCACTTGAACCTGGGAGGCAGAGGTTGCAGTGAGCCAAGATCGTGCCACTGCATTCCAGCCTGGGCAATACAGTGAGACTCTGTCTCAAAAAAAAAAACAGAAAAAACAAAAAACTGATTGACTTCTGACAAAAAACAATTAACATTTAAGAAATATTTATGGGTCAATTCGTTTAATAATATGAAGGGATGGTACATCTCACACCATGTACATAAAAATAAGCTCTAGGATTCCTGCAGCAAGATAGCTGACTAGACACAGCCAGGAAGAACATCTCCCACCAAGGAAGCAGATCTTCAGAGGGAAGGCATTGAGAGGGGTTGGAGGGAAGACACAGAGGCTGGGCTGAATGGAGAAGAAGTTGGGAACCCTGTGTGAGGCTACCACTACTTCTTGCCTGTGAGTTCAACAGGCAAGAAGCAACTCTCTCATGCTATGGACCTCTGGAATCCCAGCAAGAGGAGACCCCTCTACCATTAGGGATACTGGAATTGGCAGGGAAAGCTGCTTAAGGAAGTGGTAGGGCCAGAACTCCAGCTGGAGAGCTGCTCAGAGGATTTGGTGAGGGAGTGTCTGGAGACGCCAGGGACACCCATCCCCCTAAGCTCAACTTACTCCCATAGGACACTTTAGCCCTAGGTGAACTGTTAGACCTGAACTCTGAATGGTGGTCTTACCCATGAGATGAGGTCAGTTGGACCTGGGCAGCTCTTGCTCTGCTGGCCTCTCCTGGGGCTCCAGCCTGGCTGTGCCTGCTTGCAGGGCAGACCCCAGGTACCTCTTGAGGTCTGGATTGTAGCTTCTGCACTGGCAGACCAGTCCTGACTAGCAGAGTGCTCCAGCAAAGCTGCCCATAAACACACAGCAGCCCACTTGGGCCCTCCCCTCACTGCAGCCTCCGCCATCTGCCTTGCCCGCAGGTACTTGCCCACAACCATTCCCTCTCCCCCCATCACTTTGCCAGTGTATGTGTGTACTAGAGGTCCTAGCCTTCCCTTCTCCACCAGCACACACATGCACATGCCTCCTACCATGCCAGTGCTGCCAGAGTGAGTGCACCCCGCTTCCCCCTCTCCCCACTGCACAGCCATTGTCATGAGAGTATTGGCAGCACAGGGCCCACTAGCGTTAACATGCACAGAGCATGCACACAGTCCTGTACCCGCCAGTGCCCTGCCCCTGTGCTAACACCACCACCAATGAGAACACATGCACAGTCACTGGCAGGAGCCCCACCCCCCTTAGTCATACTGCCACCACTGCTGCTGTAAACACTCACATGAAGGCCAGTACCCCAGCACCCACTAGCATCCTGCTGCAGCTGACCAGGATGTACTCTGTTGTGCTGCTGCTGACACTGCTGCCGACACGTGCAAAGAGGACTGATCTGACTGCCACTGCTCTACAAAGTGCTTTGGCTGGCACCATCCATCACAGTGTTGTGACCAGCAGTCTGGGAGCATTTTGGTCCCTCCAGTGCAACAGGTTCCCAACCTTGAGGAGCCAGAGAACAAAGCTAGGGTCTGATACCAGTCCCCTAGAGTTAGAGCATGCAGTCAGGAGTCCTGAGCTGAGCTTTGGCCCCCTAAAGCCTTCCAGTAATGAAAACAGTCCACTGAACCCTCCTTATACCACAATCAAACCCCCAAATAAGCCCAGAAATAAGGTTGCACACCTAAAACCATCTGATCTTCGACAATGCTGACAAAAACAGGCAATTAGGAAAGGACTCCGTATTCAATAAATTGTGCTGAGATAACTGGCTAGCCATATGCACAAGATTGAAACTGGACCCCTTCCTTATACCATATACAAAAATCAACTCAAGATGAATCAAAGACTTAAATATAAAACCCCAAACTATAAAAACCCTGGGAGACAACCTAGGCAATACCACTGTGGACACAGGAACGGGCAAAGATTTCATGATGAAGATGCCAAAAGCAATCACAACAAAAGCAAAAATTGACAAATGGGACCTAATTAAACTAAAGAGCTTTTGCACAACAAAAGAAACTACCAACGGAGTAGACAACCTGCAGAATGGGAGAAAATACTTGCAAACTATGCATCTGACAAAGTTCTAATATCCAGAATCTGTAAAGAAAAACAAACTTACAAGAAAAACAACCCCATTAAAAAGTGGGCAAAGGATATGAACAGACAGTTTTCAAAAGAAGACATACATGCAGCCAATACATGTATGAAAAAAAGCTCAATTTTACTGATCATTAGGGAAATGCAAATCAAACCACAATGAGATACCATCTTACATCAGTCAGAATGGCTATTTAAAAGTCAAAAAATAACAGATGCTGGCAAGGTTGCAGAGAAAAGGGAATGCTAACACACTGTTGGTGGGAGTGTAAATTAGTTTAATCATTGTTGAAGGTAGTGTGTTGATTCCTCAAAGAACTAAAAATAGAATTACCATTTGACTCAGCAATCCCATTACTGCGTATATATCCAAAGGAATATAAAATCATTCTATCATAAAGACACATGCACACATATGTTCATTGCAGCACTATTCACAATGGCAGAGACATAGAATCAATCTAAATGCCCATCAATGGGAGAATGGGTAAAGAAAATGTGTTACATATACACTGTGAAAAGGAATGAGATCATCTCCTTTGCAGGAACATGGATAGAGCTAGAGGCCATGACCCTTAGCAAACTAATGCAGGAACAGAAAACCAAATACCACAGGTTCTCACTTATAAGTTGGAACGAAATGATGAGAACGCATGGACAAAAGGAGGGGAATGACACACATGAGGGCCTACCAGAAGGGTAGAGGTTGGGAGGAGGAAGAAGAGCAGAAAAATAACTCTAGTACCTGCGTGATGAAATAATCTGTTCATCAAACCCCTGTGACACAAGATTACATATATAACAAACCTGCACATGTACCCCTGAACCTAAAATAAAAGTTAAAAAACAAAATAAAAAACCTAAATAGATGAAGACAAAATATTTTCAAAAGTCCATAAAGCAAATAAATTGTGTATCTATTCAACTTTGTTGGGGAAAAATAAGTTCTTCATCTTCAATGACATGTTGAATATTGGAAATCTTATAAGTATGCTTAAATAAATATAAGAAACTCAATTAGGTATAGCAAAATACATATCAGTTAGAAAGCAACAAAATATAAAACCATATGGCAAATCTTATAAGAATGTACCCTTTAAAGAAATGATACAAATATGCAAGACCAATAAATACCAATAAAACTCTTTTAGGATAATTTATAGAATGTGACTACACAGTAACCATGAAATTACTTAAAAAGTCAAAGGGTCAAAGGTAAAAAAAATTTACATCCTATAGGCTAAATGACCAGAGAAGATAATTTATTGACAAAGAAATATATAATCTAAGTCACAACATGAAAAATTTCCAATTTGGTAGCGATTAAAGCAAAGCAAAATAAAGATACAACCACATTTCTACATAATTATCCAAGATAAATCAAACCAACAACACAGCATTGGTGAATCGTTGGAAAATAAATATATTGCTGGTAGTCTTTGAGGACTTTGCTGAGAATCTACAGCAGCGGTTACAAAAGTGTTTGATGTAGCAATTTTGTTTTGAGCAATAGATCCTAAGTGGATGATATAAATGAAAACAAAAATCAGACGTATGTTTCTCTACAGTAGATATATGTTAGAGTACTGAAAATTGAAAATAACTCAACGATGGGTGGAATAATTGTTGAATAAACCATGATACTTTTTTCAAAATATATGTATTTTTTATTTCAATAACTCTTCCAGTACAAGTGGTTTTTGGTTACATGGATGAATTGTACAGTGGTGAAGTCCAAGATTTTAGTGCACCTGTCACCCCAATAGTTTACATTGTACCAAATATGTAGTTTTTTTATTCCCCACCTCCTACATTCTTCTGAGTCTCCAATGTTTCTTTGTTTTTTTTTTACTCAAATGGTTTTTATTTTCCTATCTGACATTTCTAACAAAACGCCAGGTAGACGGAGTTAAAAAGAATCCACCGCACGAAAGGTAAACAAAACAGACCCTCAGAAACTCCCTGGCAAGGATGTTCCCCTCCCCAGATTGGCCCAGTTTCACCAGCAACTGGTCTCAGCTCAGCCTTATGCCTTTCCACTGACAACCCCCACCCCTCCACATTCTCGTGATTCAGACCAGCTAAGTCTCCAATGTTTGTTATACCACTCTGTATGCCTTTATGTACTCATAACTTAGCTTCCACTTACAAGTGAGAATACGGTATTTGGTTTTTCATTCCTGAGTTACTTCACTTAGAATAATGGCCTCCAGCTCCAACCAAGCTGCTTCATAAGACATTATTTTGTTTTTTTAACGGCTGAGTAGTATTCCACAAGTGTATATATACAACATTTTCTTTACTCACTCATCAGTTTATGGGCACGTAGGTTGGTCCCATATCTTTGCAATTGTGAATTGAACTGTGATAAACACATGCATACAAATGTCTTTTGATATAATGACTGACTTATTTTCCTTTGGGTAGATACCCAGTAGTGGCATTGCTGGGTTAAATGGTAGATCTACTTTTAGTTCTTTGAGAAATCTCCATTCTGTTTTCAATAGAGGTTGTAATAATTTACATTTTCACCAGCCACTGCTGATGAGTGTTTACTTTTCACCACATCCACGCCAACATCTATTTTTTTTTTTTGACTTTTCAATAATGGCCATTCTGGCTCTGGCAAGGTGGTATCTCATTATGGTTTTTATTTGCATTTCCCTGATGATTAGTGATGTTGAGCATTTTTTCATATCTTTGTTGGCCATCTGTATATCTTCTTTTGAGAAGTATCTATTCATGGCATTTGCCAACTTTTTTGATGGGATTATTTGTTTTTTTCTTGCTGATTTGTTTGAGTTCCTTGTAGATTCTGGATATTAGTCCTCTGTCAGATGCATAGTTTGCAAATATTTTATCCCATTCTGGGTTGTCTGCTTACACTGATAATTATTTCCTTTGCTGTGCAGAAGCTTTTTAAGTTTAATTTGGTTCTATTTACGTGTTTTTGTCTTTGTTGCATTCACATTGGGGGTCTTGGTCATAAATTCTTTTCTTAGGCCAATGTCCAGAAGAATTTTTCCTAGATTTTCTTTTAGAATTTCTTTGGTTTCAGGTCTTAAAGTCTTTAATTCATCTTTAGTTGATTTTTGTGTATGGTAAGAAACAGGGGTCCAGTGTCATTCTTCTACATGTGGCTTGCCAGTTATCCCAGCACCATTTATTGAATAGGGTGTGCTTTCCTCAATTCTTATTTTTGTACATTTTGTCAAAGATCAGTTGGTTGTAAGTATTTGGCTTTATTTCTGGGTTCTCTATTCTGTTCAATTGGTCCATGTATCCACTTTTATACCAGTACCATGCTGTTTTGGTTACCATAGCCTCGTAGTATAATTATAATTTGAAATTAGGTAATGTGATGCCTCCAGATTTGTTCTTTTTGCTTAGGGTTGCTTTGGTTACTCAAGCTTTTTTTTTTTTATTCCATATGAATTTTAGGATTTTTTTCTAATTTTATGAAAAATGATGTGAGTATTTTCTTTCTTACTTTTTTTTTTTTTTTCTATTTTTTGAGATGGAGTTTCACTCTTGTCGCCCAGGCTGGAGTGCAATGGCGTGATCTCAGCTCACTGTGACCTCTTCCTCCTGGGTTCAAGGAATTCTTCTGTCTCAGCCTCCTGAGTAGCTGGGATTACAGGTGCCTGCCACCACGCCGGCTAGTTTTTGTATTTTTTAGTAGAGACGGGGTTTCACCATGTTGTCCAGGCTCATTCTGAACTCCTGACCCAAGGTAATCCACCCGCCTTGGCTTCCCAAAATAATGGGATTATAGGCATGAGCCACCTAGGCCAGCCTGATGTGGGTATTTTCATAGGAATTGTATTGAATCTGTAGATTCCTTTGGGCGGTATGGTCATTTTCACAGTATTCATTCTTCCAATCCAGAGCATGGGATGTATTTCAATTTGTTTGTGTCATCTATGATTTCCTTCAGTAGTGTTTTGTCATTCTCCTTGTAGAGCTCTTTCACCTTCTAGGTTAAGTACACTCCTAAGTATTTTATTTTATTATTTTCAGCTAATTGTAAAAGGGATTGAGTTCTTGATTTAATCCTCAACTTGGTCATTGTTGCTGTATAACAGTGCTACTGATTTGTGTACACTGATTTTTGTAACCTGAGATTTCACTGAATTAATTTATCAAATCTAGGAGTCTTCTGGAGGAGTCTTTAGGGTTCTCTAGGTATACAATCATGTAATCGGCAAACAGATAGTTTGACTTCCTCTTTTCCAGCTGGTGTGCCCTTTGTTTCTTTCTCTTGCCTGATTAGTCTGACTACCACTTTCAGTACCATGTTGAATAGAAGTGGTGAAAGTGGGTATTCTTGTCCTGTTCTAATTCTTAGCGGGAATGTTTTCAACTTGTCCCCATTCATATGTTGTTGGCTGTGGGTTTGTCATAATGGCTTTTACTGTTTTGAGATATGTTCCTTCTATGCCTAGTTTGTTGCGGGTTTTTAATCATAAAGGATGCTGGGTTTTATCAAATGCTTTCTCTGCATTTATTGAGAGAATAATATCATTCTTGTTTTAAATTCTGTTTATGTGGTGAATCACATTTATTGACTTGCATATGTTGAATCATCCCTGCATCCTTGGTATGAAACCCACTAGAACATGGTGAATTTTCTTTTTGATGTGCTGTTGTATTTGGTTTGCTAGTATTTTATTGTGTTGACAATGTTTGCATCTGTTTATCAGGCATATTGGTCTTTAGTTTTCTTTTTTCATTATGTCCTTACCTGGCTTTGGTATCAGGTGATATTGGCATCATAGAATGAATTAGGGAGGATTCCTTCTTCCATAATCATTTGGAATAGTTTCAGTAGGGTTGGTACCAATTCTTCTTCCTCTTCTCCTCCTCCTCCTCCTCCTCCTCCTCTTCCTCCTCCTTCCTCCTCCTCCTCCTTACTTCTTCATCTTCTCCTTCCTCCTTCTTTTCCTTCCTCCTTCTTCTTTCTTCTTCTTCTCCTTCCTTCTTCCTCTTTTCCTTCCTCCTCATTCCTCTTTCTCCTTCCTCCTCCTTCCTCTTTCTCCTTCCTTCTTTTTCCTTCTTCTTCCCCTTCCTCATCCTCCTTCTTCTCCTCCCCCTCCTCCTCCTTCTCCTCCTCCTCCTTCTTCTTTTTTTTCTTTTTTGAGAGAGAGTTTCACTCTGTCACCCAGGCTGGAGTGCAATGGCATGATCTCAGCTCACCGCAACCTCCGCCTCCTGGGTTCAAGTGCCTTGAACCCAGGCACTCAAGTGCCTCAGCCTCCCAAGTAGCTGGGATTACAGGGGTGCACCACAGCACCTGGCTAATTTTTGTATTTTTAGTGGAGACAGGGCTTCACCCTGTTGGCCAGGCTGGTCTTGAACCCCTGACCTCAGGTGATCCATCTACCTCGGCCTCCCAAAATGCTGGGATTACAGGCATGAGCCACCATACCCAGCCCGAATTCTTCTTTGAATGTCTGCTTGAATTTGGCTGTGAATCCATCTGGCCCTGGAGTTTTTGTTGTTGTTGGCATTTTTTTTCTATTGCTGATTCAATCTTACTGCTTGTTATTGCTCTGTTAGGGATTTTTATTTCTTCCTAATTCAAGATAGAAGAGTTGTATGATTCCAGGAATTTAACCATTTCCTCTAGATTTTCTGCTTTGTGTGCATAGAGGTGTGCATGGTCTTCTTGAATGATCATTTGGATTTCTGTGGTGTCAGTTGTAATGTCTCCATTTTCATTTCTAGTTGACCTTATTTGAGTTTTCTCTCTTCTTGGTTAACTAGTGATCTATCAATTTTGTTTATCTTTTCAAATAATAACTTTTTGTTTCATTGATCTTTCGTATTTTTTGTTTCCACTTCATTTAGTTCTGCTTTGATCTTTATTTTTTTTATTTTCTTCTGCTAGCTTTGGGTTTGTTTTTTTCTTGTTGCTCTAGCTCCTTGAGGTGTGATGTGAGGTTGTCAATTTGTGATCTTTCGGGCTTTTTGATGTAGGCATTTGGCACCATAAACTTTCCTCTCAGCACTGCTTCTGCTCTATCCCAGAGGTTTTGATAACTCATGTCACTACTGTCATTCATTTGAAGAATTTTAAAATTCCCATCTTGATTTAATTGTTCACCCAGAAATCATTCAGGAGAAGGTTGTTTAATTTCCATGTATTTGTATAGTTTTGAGGGTTCCTTTTGGAGTTGATCTCTAGTTTTATTCCACTGTGGTCTGAGAAGATACCTGATATAATTTCAATTTTTAAAAGTTTATTGTTTTGTGGCCTATCATATGACCTATCTTGGAGAATGTTCCATGTGCTGATGAAAAGAATGTATATTCTGCAGTTCCTGTGTAGAATGTTCCATAAATATCTGTTAGGCCCATTTGTTTTAGACTGAACTTTAATTCCAGTGTTTATTTTTGATTTTCTGCCTCAATGATCTATCCAGTGCTGTCAGTGGAGTGTTGAAGTCCCCTGCTATTATTGTATTGCTGTTGCACTCTTTTCTTAGGTCTAATAGTAATTGTTTTATGAATCTGGGAGCTCAAGAGTTAGGTGCATATATATTTAGGACTGTAACACATTTTTGTTGGATTGATTATATTATTATTGTATAATAACCTTCTGCAGTCATTATACACTAATAGCTACTCCTGCTTGCTTTTGGTTTCCATTTGCAAGGAATATCTTTTTTCACCCCTTTACCTCGAATCTGTATGAATCCTATGCATTAGGTGAGTCTCTTGAAGACAGCAGATATTTGGTTTGTGATTTTTTAAAATCCATTCTGCCAATCTGTATCTTTTAAGTGGAGCATTTAGAACATTTGAATTCAATGTTAATAATGACATGTGAGGTACTGTTCCAGTCATCATGTTGATTGTTACCTAGATACTTTGGTTTCTAGTATTTCTGGTATAGTTCATTGTGTTATTATTTTATAGGCCCTGTGACTTTTATGCTTTGAAAAGGTTCTATTCTGGTGCACATCAACTTTTTGTTTCAAGATTTAGAACTCATCTTAGCATTTCTTGTAGGGCTAGTCTGGTAGTGACAAACTCCCTCAGCATTTGCTTGTCTGAAAAAGACAACTTCTTTTTCTTTTATGACACTTAGTTTTGCTGGATTGAAAATTCTTGACTAACAGCTATTCTGTTTAAAAAGGCTAAAGATAGGACCCCAATCCCTTCTGGCCAGTAAGGTTTCTGCTGAGAAGTCTGCTGTTAGTCTGAAAGGTTATCTTTTGTAGGTTACCTGATGCTTTTGTATCACTGCTCTTAGAATTTTTCATTCATGTTGACTTTAGACAGCCTGATGACTGTATGCATTGGTGATGTCCTTTTTGCAATGAATCTCCAAGGAATTCTTTGAGCTTCTTGTATTTGGAGGTCTAAATCTTTAGCAAGGCCAGGGAAGTTTTCCTCAACTATTCCCTCAGATAAGTTTTCCAAACTTTTGGCTTTTTCTTTTCCCTCAGGAATACCAAGGAGTCTTAGGTTTGGCCATTGTACATATTCCCGTATTTCTTGGAGACTTTGTTCATTTCTTTTAATTCTTTTTTTCTTTATTTTTGTCTGTTGGGTTAATTCAAAAGTCTTGTCTTTGACCTCTGAAATTCTTTCTTCTACTTGGTCTAGCCTATTGTTAAAACTTTCCTCTGCATTTTGTAATCCCCTAAATGTGTCTTTCATTTCCAGAAGTTCTGGTTGGTTTTTCTTTAAAATATATATCTGTTCAGAAAATTTTTCATTCATATCCTGAATTGTTTAAAAAATTTCTTTAAGTTGGTTTTCACTTTTCTCTTGTATCTTCTTGAGTAACTTAATAATCAAGCTTTTGAAATCTTTGTCTGGTATTTCAGATTTCTTTCTTTTTTTTTTTTTTTTTCTTGAGATGGAGTCTCACTCTGTCGCCTAGGCTGGAGTGCAGTAGCACGATTTTGGCTCACTGCAACCTCTGCCTCCCAAGCAATTCTTCTGCCTCAGCCTTCCAGGTAGCTGGGATTACAGGTGTCCACCACCACGCCCAGCTAATTTTTGTATTTTTAGTACAGACGGGGTTTCCCCATGTTGTTCAGGCTGGTCTTGAAATACTGACCTCAGGTAATCTGCTCGCCTTGGCCTCCCAAAGTGTTAGGATTACAGGCGTGAGCCATCGTGCCCAGCCTAGATTTCATCTTGGTTTGGATCCATTACTGGATAGCTAGGGTGATCTTCTGGGGATATTACAGAACCCTGTTTTGTCATATTGCCAGATTTATTTTTCTAGTTCCTTCTCATTTGAGTATACTATTTCTTCTAATTATTTTTTATTTCTTATTCAACTGTGTTTATTTTTTAATTTCTTTTTTTCTCCCTTGAGGATGTGACTTTAATGATTACAGTTTTTTTGCTTTTGTTTTTTTTTAAATAACCGAATTCAGCTCTGAATGCTTTCAGGGTTAAACATTCTTTATGAGTTTCTTAGTTATAGAGAGTCTTTTTATGATGGCTTTCTCAGATGCTGGGTGTAGTAGCAATATGCATGGTGTGTGAGCAGATTCACTGTCTCCTGTGGGAATGGCAGAGGCCTCTTGAAGCTTATCTCACTCCCCAGTGGTGTGCACTTTTTATTTATTTATTTTTCCCCCAGTATTTCATTTACTGGGTTGAACAGTTCAGGCTTCAGGCCAGTAGAGCAGGTGTCCATGGTTAAACATTGGCTGTGGCTAAAGCAGTTGGGTAAACGCAATACCCAATGGTGGGCAGAGGTCCCAGCCTTGACAGAAATGGCTGGGGGAGTTCTCAGTGAAACACACTGAGGTCTTATCAGGAGGAAAAGTGGGAGCCACCTCAGCTTCCCTGCCAGTCCAGCAGGAAAGCTATCCACTTTCCAGTCAAACTCCTGACCCAGTGTTCTGGCTATTCAGATCAGACAGGCACCTCTTTTCATTTGCAGGAATGTTGATATTCCATGTAGAGAGGGATGGTGATCTCTATTCCTCATGCAAGTCTGAACCTGGAGGGTACTCCTTCTGTGGGGATGCAGTCACCCTAAAGTGTTCCCAAAAGGCTGTCTACTGTTTGCACCCATGCTGAGCTCCTATGGGAGAAGCCCCAGCTGTGTCTGCAGTGGTGGGTGAGGGGAAGAAGAAATCCCCTTCTCCAAGACCCTTCATGAGCACCAGGGCTGCCTGTTGGGTAGAGTCATAGACTTTCCCCCACTGGGCTCAGCACTGCATCTGTACCTCTGCTGAAATAAACTTCCCACAAGAAGAAAGTCCTGGGACTCAAGGTTTGCCACCTGGATTCTTTTGTCCCATGGGGGTACTCCCTTGATAAGGTATACCCCCCTTTCCCCAGGAGTAGGAGTCCCTGAAGGCCAGACTACTGTGAATGCTGCTGCTCCTCTGTGTCTAGCTGTCCAGTTGGGCTGCCATCCTCCAGGCCGGTGCTAAGGAATGTCTGCAAGGGATCCAATGATGTGACCTGTCCTCAAGTCTCCCAGCAGTGGGTACCAGCACCAGATCAGATAGAGGTGGCTGGGGAGTGATGTAGACTCTGTGAGATTCTTTGGTTATAAATAGCCTTGGTGTGTTGGCTTTCTCAAATGCCAGCTGTAGTAGTAATGAACTGGTCACACGGACAGACTTAGGACCTCCTGGTTAGTAGGGTAATGAAAGCAATTGTGATAGCTGAGGTCATGCACAAGTTTTCGCCTTCCTGAGCACTGTGTTCTTCTGCCTGAAGATGCTGTAGTGGCTGTATCAGCTGGCCTCCATCTTTGATCGTTTCATCACATCACTTCCTAAAAAATGTGCTCATGTGCCAAGCTACCTCTCTTCCTTCATTCACGTATTTCCTGAAATGTGACCTTCGTTTGTGCTTGCCTTCTGTTACCCAGGGGAAGTACTCTGGTATCTCAGGCAATGAGCAGGGCCATAGGGCTCCCCAAAGTTTCTGTCCTTTGTGTTAGGTGATTAGCTCTGGTGGAGGGGCAAAGCCAGGTAGAGGCTGGTTCTTGGTGTGCAGACGCAAGCAGTGGCCCCAGTGGGGATCAGAGCAGTTCTCTGGCTGCTGGAGCACTGTTCCATGAGGGAGTACAGCTGCTTCTGCTGAATAGAAGAGTCTACAAGGGGAGTGGGGAGCAGCAGGTGGCAGTAAGCCGCACCTAGTTTCCATGCACTTGGCAAGGCAGGTCTCGCACCTGGAATGTTCCACTAGCAGCAGCTCACTGGGTTTAAGGCCTATGATCAGAACTCAAAACTGCCGCAGACCATAAGCCTTCTCCATGGAGGCAGATATTGAGGCTTTCAGGCCACACTCCTCCTGGTCTGCCCAAGAAGCAGGGGCACGCAGCTCCTGCTTAATCTCCATTGGGAGCTTCTCTCGTCCTGTGACTGCTGCCTGAATTAGCTGGCTGACTTCTAAAGTGAAGTACCCTGTGAGGCAGGATCAAGAATGGCTTCCCTCTGTCCCCACTGGAGACTGGGAGTGCACACACAGCATGTCCCAATGCTACTCCTTCTCATATGCTCCCCACCGTTCACTGCATTAGCTCTAGCACTGGGTAGGGTTAAAACCTTCCCTTGTGGCCTGGATTGCCAGGTTCTCCGGTGGAAATGTATATCCCAGAGGCAGCTTCTCCCTGCTCACACTCTGGGGATTTTCAGGTTTACGCCTGGCTCATGGTGTAGGCTGCAGCCTGCCGCTTCTTTCAAAGGGTCTGGTTTCCATCAGTTTTCCTGTTAAGTTCCTGTGTTGCTTCTTGAAATAAAGTTCACAGTGTGAATCTCTACACACAATTTTGTCTTTCCAACTGGGAGAGGCATGCTAATGATGCCTCCAATCCGCCATCTTGGAAAAAACACCCACGATACTTTAAGACATGTTGAAATGTTTATATGGAAAAAAGAGGATACACAATATGTACACACTATATATACTTTGTATAAAAATATGGCTTTATGTTCATTGGTTTTTTTTTTGTTTTCATATAAAGTTTCTTAAGAGCTCTGATTTGTTTTAAAGATGTTGCTTTGATTTACATAACAATTCAGTGCAATATTCTAAGCTTGTGGCATTTACTCGATCTTTACCCCTGTTTTTTTTTAATGGAGAAAATGATGTATCATTAAAAATAAAGAAAATGTGATAGAGATGTCATAATGGCTGGACCAATGAATATGCTCCTACTCATATACTCCCCACCACTCATTAAATTAGTTCTAGCACTGGATAGGGTTAACACCTACTTAACTCTTTGAGAATAATAAAAGACCTTTTCGATTAGCATCATCACAAGTGATTCATTGACTGTGGGTCAGAACATTTCCTACTCTCAAAGAAGTTAACTTGTCTGAAGTCATACAATTAGAAAGCAGCAGAAGAAGACCGGAACTTAGCCTTTCTGGCTCTCAAGCTGTCCCTGGTGTGGGAACGGGATGCAAAGTACAAATGGAAAGGATAGATCATGAAGGAAAAAATGGACACGCTTTTACTGAGAAGGAAGAGATCCTGGATGAGATGCACGTGAGGTAAGTTTGCAGTTGAAGTGGTAGGTAGGCAGTAATTGAAGGAATTTTTTAAAACTAATGATCAGGCTGAGGTGGGCAGATCACCTGAGGTCAGGAGTTCGAGACCAGCCTGGCCAATGTGGTGAAACCCCGTCTCTATTAAAAATACAAAAATTAGCCAGGCGTGGTGGCAGGCGCCTGTAATCCCCCCTACTCGGGAGGCTGAGGCAGGAGAATTGCTTGAACCTGGGAGGCAGAGGTTGCGGTGAGCCGAGATCGTGCCATTCACTCCAGCCTGGGGGACAAGAGTGAGACTTCATCTAAAAAAAAAAAAAAAAAAAAAAGAATGATCTCTATGTCTTTATTATTTATTTATTTAGAGATAGGGTCTCACTCTGTCACCCAGGCTGGAGTGCAGTGGTGTGATCTCAGCTCACTTGCAGCCTCGACTTCCTGGGCTCAAGTGATTCTCCTGCCTCAGTGTCCTGAGGAGCTGTCACCACAGGTGTGCACCACCATGTCTGGCTAATTTATTTATTTATTTTTATTTTTTGTAGAATCGGGTCTTGCCATGTTGCCTAGGCTGCTCTTAAACTCCTGTGTTCAAGCAACCCTCCTGCCTTGGCCTCCCAAAGTGCTGAGATTTATAGTCAGGAGCCACTACACCTGGCCATGGTTGCTATTTCTTAGGGAGGCTATTGTCTATAAGTGAAAGGGTAAGAGTTTGAGGAAAGAGTCAAAGGTTTAGAAGAAGCCATGGGAGTGGTGGGGTGAGAGGTGAGGGAAATGAACAAAGATAAATATAAGAACAGAAAAGAAAAGAATTGTCAACCTTTGTCCAGTTGAGATTAGAAACCAGGTAATTACAGTGGTGACAATCCACCAATTCATACTCTAAAGTGAAAAAGCCATACCATTGGTTTGATTCCATTTTATAAAAAAACAAAGCCTGTAGTGTGTGTAACACATGTGTAGGAAAATGTGTCCCTCCTAGGGAAGAGAGCGCTTTGTTTCTAGAAGGAGAGTGTTTTTGAGATTAGGAGAAAGGACTGTCACTTTTACTCTCTATTCTTCTGTATGGTTTGAATTTTTTATGACAGAAATGTATTTTTTCCAGTACTTGTGTAAAACATGCAGACTGTGAAATGATGGTCTAGTAAGGGTTCCTGAGCTGGGGCATGTCTCTGTCTCCACAGAGATCATTTAGGACCTATTCTACAGTAATTTGAAGCTTCAGAGCGAGCAAAAGTCCCACCTGGCTCCTTCTAGCACAGCTTGCATCTCAGCCTCCCAAATAGCTGGGACTACAGGCCCCCACCATCACGCCTGGCTAATTTTGTTTTTGTATTTTTAGTAGAGACGGGGTTTCACCATGTTAGGATGGTCTATGATCTCCTGACCTCATGATCCACCAGCCTCAGCCTCCCAAAGTGCTGGGATTACAGGTGTGAGCCACCGTGCCCGGCCTGGAACAGCTTTTAATAAACAGATGCAAGCACTATGGCTAGCTGATACCTCCCACCCCAGCAGCAGTGGGATCAGGTATCACTAATCTTCCAGAGCGGGCTCTGTTTTAGGCCACAGGTGCAAGCTGTGCTAGGAGCCAGGTGGGACTTTTGCTGGCTCTGAAGCTTCAAGCTACTGTAGAATAGGTTCTAAATGATCTCTGTGGAGACAGAGACATGCACCCAGCTCAGGGACCCTTTTTGTGGTATTAATTCGTATGGGTTTTTTTCTTTTTCTTTTTTTCTCTTTCCCATTTCCAAGAAGATCCATTATGTACCTTTTCCTTGGGGATTACCTAGTAGGAGAAAAGCAGTTGTTCAAAGACAAACATTTCTCTTGTGTTTTGTGAAAGCTCCAATTCATCAAGGAGATTGTATTAGGTAGGGAGAGTGGCAAGGAGGAGGAGAAGGTGGGAGTCCTTGCATGGAAAGATATAGAAACAGAAAGTGTATATTTCTGCCAACTTTATGGAAGAGATGAAAGATGTTCCATGAGAATTGGGAGCTACTGTTCTGGTGTCTAGATTTCCACAGGTGTGGGGTATATAGGTGAGAATGAATGGTAATACCAAGGCTCCCAGCCCTGGAAAATATTACTGTGCCCAAAAGGAAGTGATTTGTTAACTACATACTTCCAGGGGACTAGTGGGCTTGGGTAACGAACATCTCAGTGGTGGCTTACGTGGATCAAAGCCTGGAGAGGGTTTTCTATTTATTTTTGTCTTGCTAAGACCCATGGGAACTTTTGTATTACTCAGTTGGATATTCCCTTGAAGTCACAGTTTGAGGTAAAGCCTTGAATGCAGGTAATTTACTTAGGAATTAATCCAATGGAACAATAGTATGAGACAGAAAGTAAGGGAAAGTTAACACGAGGTTGCATTATTTAGTTGGTTACTGCTATGGGCTCAAAAATTGTTCACTTGAAGGGCCAGGAACAAGCAAGAGAAGCATTCATTCATCTGCTCCTGCCCCCTACTGGTTGGGGCAACAACCTCTCTGGTTTGTGTGTATGGTAACTGCTGAGTAGGCACCTATGGGCACACATAACAAGGACTCAGAGAAGCCCTGAAGCAGGAAGTGAGAAAAACAAAGGTTAAGTCTGAGGTGAGATACTGTCAGTGCAAAGAGGTGGAAGCCTTCAGAGACCTTTTTGTCACAGCTGGAATCTGAGCTGAGGCTTAGAGGATGTGAAGTGGGGCTGATACATGTTCCCTGTGGAGTCTGATACAGGGAAAGGGGCTCAATAATGACTAAGCAATATGGGGCATAGAGACTTAAACATTTTTTTTTCTCCTGATTAAAAAAGTAATACAGGCTGGGTGTGGTGGCTCACACCTGTAATCCCAGCACTTTGGGAGGCTGAGGTGGGAGGATCACTTGAAGCCAGGAGTTTGAGACCAGCCTGAACAACATACTAAGACTCTGTCTCTACAAAAAAGTTTCTTAAAAAATAACTGGGCATGGGCATGGTGGCACATGCCTGTAATTCTAGCTACATGGGAGGTTGATGCAGAAGGATCACTTGAGCCCAGGAATTTGAGGTTGCAGTGAGCTGTGATTGCACCGCTGCACTCCAGCCTGGGCAACAGAATGAGAGCCCCCAATTCTAACAAATGTAATATATATATCTTTGGAGTCAAAATGAATTTAATTTGATTAAATGCAAATGTAATCCTTCTGATTTATCCTTGTTTTTGGTCTAAGGTTTATTCCTGTTATAGTAACACAATGCCTCATATAACAGGCATGTCTTAGTCTGTTTTTGGTTGCTGTAACAGAATACCTGAGACTGGATAATCTATAAAGAAAAGAGGTTTGCAGTCAGAATGGCTATAATTAAAAAGTCAAAAAATACCGGGTGCTGCAAAGGGGAAAAAGGAATGCTTATACACTGTTGGTGGGAGGGTAAATTAGTTCAACCATTGTGGAAAGCAGTGTGGTGATTCCTCAAATTGCTAAAAACAGAACTACTGTTCAACCCAGCAATCCCATAACTGGGCATATACCCAAAGGAATATAAATCATTCTATCATAAAGGCACATGCACGTATATGTTCACTGCACCACTATTCACAATAGTGAATACATGGAATCAACCTAAATGTCCATCAATAATAGACTGGATAAAGAAAATGTGATATATATATGTATATATATACCATGGAATACTAGGCAGCCATAAAAAAGAATGAGATCATATCCTTTGCAGGATCATGGATGGAGCTGGAGGCCATTATCCTTAGCAAACTAATACAGGAACAGAAAACCAAATATCGCATATTCTCACTTATAAGTGGGAGCTAAATATTGAGAACACATGCACACATAGAGGGAAACAACATATGCTGGGGCCTACTGGAGGGTGGAGTGTGGGAGAAGGGAGAGGATCAGAAAAAATAACTAGTGGGTACTAGGCTTAATACCTGGGTGACAAAATAATCTGTACAACAAACCCCCATGACATGAGGTTACCTATATGACAAACCTGCACCTGTACCCCTTAACTTAATAAAAAGGAAGAATAATAAGAAGAAAGAGGAAGAAAGAGGAGGAAGAAGAAGAGGAGGAGGAGAGGAAGAAGAAGAGGAGGAGGAAGAGGAAAAGGAGGAGGAGGAAGAGGAGGAGGAGGAGAAAAGAGATGTGTTTTGGCTCATGTTTCTGGAAGCTGGGAAGTCTGAGATTGAAGAGCTGTGTCTGTTGAGGGCCTCATGGTGCTTCTTAACATGGTGGAAAAACAAGAGACCACATGACAAGAAAAGAAGCAAGAGTGAAACAAGAAAGCGGAACTCACCTTTATAATAACCCACTCTTGTGATAATAACGCTCCCTCCCATGAGAACTAACTCACTCTTGTGAGAATGGCATTAATCCCTTCATGAGAGTGGAACCCCTATGACTTAAACACCTCTTATGGACCCTACCACCTTTTAACACCATTACTTTAGGAATCAAATTTCAACATGTGCTTTGGAGGGAACAAACCACATCTAAACCATAGCAAAGCACTAAACAACAACAACAACAACAATGTTAGTTCCTTTTTTTCTAATCATACATCAGTTAAGCACACACATGTATATACATACTTGTCTAAAAAATATGAGGAAAAATTCTTAGGAAGTTCTGTGATTCCATTGTGAGTTTATACTGGTGTCATGTCAGCATTTGGCTCTGAATTTTCAAGAAACTGACCCGGGATCTCTTTGCTTCCTAAAATAGTTGTTTTGGGATCTGGCATGTATCTCCATTCATTATTCTGCAAAGAATCCCTGTAAAGATGGCTCCATTTAGAGCACAGCTCCTCAAACTTTAATGTGCACACAAACCACTCAAACTGATGCTCATCTACCATCTCTGCTTTGTGTTTCCCCTTGGCACTTATCTTCTAACATACTACGTATATAACCTACTCATCCTGTTTATTGTTTGCCTCCTCCACTAGAATGTAGACTTAATGAAGGCTGACATTTTGTCTGTGTCTCTGGTGACTCGCTCAAAGTAAGCACTCAGTGTCAGCACTCCAATACATATTTGTGGAATAAATGAATAAATACATAAATTCATCAAAGTAAGTTGCATTTGAAAGTATAATGAGTATTTGCTAGATATTAAGCATTGTGGGAGGTAGTTTGTGGAATCCCAAGACAAAATAACACTGGAAATACTTGGAGTCTGAAAACATGCTCAGACTAGATGCCTCTGCTATGTGACCTCTCCTGGCTCTCAGTGAATTTAAACAGGCTTGGTGCTATCAGTCATGCTCTTACATCATGAGAGCAGCTTACCTAGAAGCTTTGTACTCTTATACCTGAAATAAGGTCAGCTGAGGAGGGTAAGGTTTTACTAGTACTGTTTTAAATTTTAGGAAAAAAAAGTAAGCTCTCAATTCAGCCTTTCTTATTATAAATAAATCCAATCCCTGCCCCCCGCCCCCCCCCCCCCACAAAAAAAACACTGGGCAAAAACCAAAAACAAAACACTGGGCCCCTCCCTTCAGGAGTTGACAGGTTAGTGGGGAAGACAGACATGTATAAATAAATGTAATAAAGACAGAATTATCAAAACTCTGGTACAGATAGAAGCCGAATACTGTAAGAGCCCAAGGAATCAAGTCTGAATTGTGACTTGGGACAGCAAGGGGGTACTACATGAAGGTGGAAACATTTGAGCGATGGTAGAATTTTTACCGATGGGGATGAGGAAGAAATTTCACGGAAAGGGAACAACTGGAGCAGAGGCCTGGGGACATAAATATATTCTTAATGTTTTATTCAAGGGATAATAATCTCTATTGTAAATGACCTGTGGAGCACTGTGTGGACAATAAGTGAGAAAAGGTTAACTGGGACCTGATAGTATAGAAACATGAAAATCAGTCTTTCATATTAGGGTCTTCTACTGTAGCCACATATGAAAAAAAATACTTGCTCAGGCCCTGCATGAATTATGCATGTGTATTTGAAAAGCTCCCTAGGTGGTCCTGGTGGGAGCTAAGATGATGACTTAAAAGATGATGTGGAAGGCAGTGTGAGAAGTGAGATGACTGGAGGAGGGAGGAACTGGAGGCAAGGGATCTGGGTGGAAGATTTGCAAAACCAGGGGAGAGTTTGTGGAGAAAGAAGACAAATCCAGTTCAAGTTATTGGAGAGATTGGCAGCACTCTTATCTGCTAAATATTGAGGGTAACTCAAGATCCATAGGCTAGAAGCTAGGTTCAGTGATCCTTCCTCTTGCATTTCTGGCTCCATGAATTTCTCCTTTCTTTATTGGGAACATGTAACACAGATTCTAACTGGTCTTGGTATGTAGTATAACATAGTAATTAAGAAGCATGATATAAGGTCAAAGGACTTACCTTGCTCCATGACCTTGGGTAAGTCCTTACAGTTTCTAAGCCTCAATTTTCTCATCTGAAAAAAGGAAAAAATAAATATATTGAGAGGATTGAACATGCAAATACTTGGTTGAGTACCTAGCTGTGATAATCAAAGTTATGTATGCTCTGCTGCAGTAAGCATTAATCCCCAAATGCCTGTGGTTTTAGATGAGATTTATTTTTGAATCATGTTACTTGTCCACTGTGGATCAGCAGGGGGACTCTGCCCATTGTAGTTACTCAGGGACCCAGGCTGACAGAGTAGCTACCATCTTGAATATTGTTAGTACTTATGTCAAGGGGAAAGAGAACTCTGGAGGGTCTGGCACCAACAATTCAATGCTTGGTGCAGAACAGATACATGTCTGTAATCCCAGTATTCCGGAAGGCCTAAGCGGGAGGATTGCTTGAGGCCAGGAGTTCAAGATTAGCCTTGGAAACATAGTGAGACCCTGTCTCTACAAAGTTTAAAAAAGAAGAAGGAGGAGAAGAAGAGGGAGGAGAAGGAGGAGAAAAGAGATACATACCATCCCTGCTGACAACTTATTGGATATTGGCCAGGGCCAATCATATGGTCCTACCCACTACAGGAGGATTAAGAAGTGCAGTCCTACCATGTACTCAGTAGATGGGGGAGCCTGAAATATCTGGTAAGGCTTTATTACTACTATTTACTTATAAACTAAGATCTGCAATGTTAACTATCTTCCTTCCTGCACCTTGAGTCCTCTCCTTCCTGCCTCTTCCTTGAGTTCCCATTCCAGGGGGCCGCCGTCCAATAGCTCCTCTCACCTAACTGGCAACAGAGTCCTCACAGTGCCCTCTAGTGGCACCTAGAGCTACTTCATTAGCCCTTGGAGGGAACTTAATTCTGAGGCATCTGGAGCAAATTTACCCAGCAGGGCTGAATAACATTAATTGTCGAGTTTGCTTTACTTTGTAAGCCTCATAAAAGCATTCAGGATAAGCCCTTATGCCTTGAGACTACCCTTTCAGGAGCACTCTGTGGAATCTATCCTTCCTTTTTGGCAAGAATATCTAAACTTCAATAATTTAAAGGACCTAGATACAAAACCCAACATGTTTTCACTGTGTAGATGCTTTCTATTTTATAAACTCCCCTACTGTCTCCAACAACCTTTCCTTTCTCATAAACCATATAAATACTTATAGAGATAGAGCCAAAACCATTATGTAATTCCTGAAAGCCTATCTGCAAACTCAACTAGAATAATGATCCTTAATTATGAGAACAGAGAGGAGTTGCTTCTGAAGGAACCAAAATGTCATGTTCCCAGTCTTGTATTATGGCTTCCTAACTAGATTCCATGGACACCTGACCACAACAGTATTTTCATATAATTGATTTCCTTTGTAATTCCATGTATTGTATTTTATACATTTAAAAACTTTAATATGAGAAGAGGCCCAAAACTTCACCAGTCCGCTAGAGTCACTTGGCATCTTAAAGTTGTAAGATGGAAGTTGTATTTGCCAGTGTGAGGAAACATTTTAAATCTTGCCACAGGGTGGTGCTATTGCTTTAAGGGTAAGAAAGAGTAAGTCAGCAGGTTGAACAAGAATCTGTTACCTCCAAGAAGATTGAGAAACAGAGTGGTGATGTGGTCACAGAAACTTCGCAATAGTCTTAGTCTTAAGTGGTAGTTCCAAATTCCTAGCAGATAAAATGCAAATCCATTAACTAAGAAATTTTGGTCTAGTATATAAGATGTGGTTGGTAATGGGTTTTCCTATTTTAAAGTAGTATATAATACAAAAATTATATACCCCTCAATGTTCTGAGGAGCTATTAGCCAACCAATTACCTAAACATTCATTCTACACAAGATTAAAGATTTTCTTCAACACACAGGTGGGTGACTGTGGTATTGTTTCTCTCAACCGTGTTGTCAGAGTTTTATTTTTCCTGTTGGCTCCATTCTGGGTTTTTGTACGTAGACATCATACTTCACATATACTGAATTCCAGCAAGGTGTAATCATGATGAGATGCACACGGCAAGTTCAAAAGTAGAAGACACAACTCCTGAATAGGAACTGATAAATCAAATGATGAAAATTGCACAAAGAACCCAAGGAACAAACATAAAACAGAGTTGGTTATACTGGCAAAAGCAACATATACTTACAGATAAGACAACTTACTTCAAAACAATCTGGGGGAGAAGGTATAGTCAAAATAAGATGATTATGTGATAATTGTTAAAGCAGGGAGATAGGTAATTTGGAGTTCCTTATATAATCTTTTTTTATACATTTGAAGTTTTTCATTACAATAATTAACATATCCATAAAATAATATAATGTTAAAGGGTTGAATTTTTGGTGATCAATGAGTATATACCAAGCCCTTATTGGAAGGGAAGGAAGGATGAACACTGATGCAGAAGAGGTTGTAAGTCACAGAAAATGGATAAACTTCAGGAAGGTGTGATACTGAGTTGTGGTACTCAATCCCTATTTAGATTAAATTTTTTTTTTTTTGAGAAAAAGGTTTTGTAACTTTTTTCTTTTTTCTTTTTTAAATTATACTTAAAGTTCTAGGGCACATGTGCACAATGTGCAGGTTGTTACATATGTATACATGTGCCATGTTGGTGTGCTGCACCCATTAACTCGTCATTTACATTAGGTATATATCTCCTAATGCTATCCCTCCCCCCTCCCCCCACCCCACGACAGGTCCCAGTGTGTGATGTTCCCCACCCTGTGAACAAGTGTTCTCACTGTTCAATTCCCACTTATGAGTGGGAACATGTGGTGTTTGGTTTTCTGTCCTTGCAATAGTTTGCTCAGAATGGTGATTTCCAGCTTCATCCATGTCCCTGCAAAGGACACGAACTCATCCTTTTTTATGGCTGCATAGTATTCCATGGTGTATATGTGCCACATTTTCTTAATCCAGTCTATCATTGATGGGCATTTGGGTTGGTTCCAAGTCTTTGCTATTGTGACTAGTGCCACAATAAACATATGTGTGCATGTGTCTTTATAGCAGCATGATTTATAATCCTTTGGGTATATATCCAGTAACGGGATGGCTGGGTCAAATGGTATTTCTAGTTCTAGATCCTTATGGAATCGCCACACTGTCTTCCACAATGGTCGAATTAGTTTACAGTCCCACCAACAGTGTAAAAGTGTTCCTATTTCTCCACATCCTCTCCAGCACCTGTTGTTTCCTGACTTTTTAATGATCGCCATTCTAACTGAGATGGTATCTCATTGTGGTTTTGATTTGCATTTTTCTGATGGCCAGTGATGATGAGCATTTTTTCTTTTTTTCTTTATACCAATGAAAAGAAAAGTCTTATTTTTTTAGGTAAATTAGGTACAATAAAGGATCAGTATTACAAGCTTCTACAATGCTTGAAACACATCAAAATGTCCTTTATACATTTACATCTTTGTCTTTTTCCTCATTTTCCTAATTAAGCCATTAATTTTCTCAGTATTGCACGCAAACAGGATAAATAAATCAGTATCCAATTTTTTTCCTAAATTGCTGGTTTTCCTTTAGCATTATTTTCTATTCATTTTCCCTGTATTTGTCTTACCCTTCAGGAATATTACTTATTTAAAAGAACATTGAAGGCTAGTTTATGATGCTTACCATAATGTGTAACAATATTTATTTATTTATTATTTATTTATTTTTTATTTATTTTATTTTATTTTATTATTATTATACTTTAAGTTTTAGGGTACATGTGCACAATGTGCAGGTTAGTTACATATGTATACATGTGCCATGCTGGTGTGCTGCACCCATTAACTCATCATTTAGCATTAGGTATATCTCCTAATGCTATCCCTCCCCCCTCCCCCCACCCCGCAACAGTCCCCAGAGTGTGATGTTCCCCTTCCTGTGTCCATGTGTTCTCATTGTTCAATTCCCACCTATGAGTGAGAATATGCGGTGTTTGGTTTTTTGTTCTTGCGATAGTTTACTGAGAATGATGATTTCCAGTTTCATCCATGTCCCTACAAAGGACATGAACTCATCGTTTTTTATGGCTGCATAGTATTCCATGGTGTATATGTGCCACATTTTCTTAATCCAGTCTATCATTGTTGCACATTTGGGTTGGTTCCAAGTCTTTGCTATTGTGAATAGTGCCGCAATAAACATAAGTGTGCATGTGTCTTTATAGCAGCATGATTTATAGTCCTTTGGGTATATACCCAGAAATGGGATGACTGGGTCAAATGGTATTTCTAGTTCTAGATCCCTGAGGAATTGCCACACTGACTTCCACAATGGTTGAACTAGTTTACAGTCCCACCAACAGTATAAAAGTGTTCCTATTTCTCCACATCCTCTCCAGCACCTGTTGTTTCCTGACTTTTTAATGATTGCCATTCTAACAGGTGTGAGATGGTATCTCATTGTGGTTTTGATTTGCATTTCTCTGATGGCCAGTGATGGTGAGCATTTTTTCATGTGTTTTTTGGCTGCATAAATGTCTTCTTTTGAGAAGTGTCTGTTCATGTCCTTTACCCATTTTTTGATGGGGTTGTTTGTTTTTCATGTGTCTCTTGGCTGCATAAAAGTCTTCTTTTGAGAAGTGTCTGTTCATATCCTTTGCCCACTTTTTGATGGGGTTGTTTGATTTTTTCTTGTAAATTTGTTTAAGTTCTTTGTAGATTCTGGATATTAGCCGTTTGTCAGATGAGTAGATTGCAAAAACTTTCTCCCATTCTGTAGGTTGCCTGTTCACTCTGATGGTAGTTTCTTTTGTTGTGCAGAAGCTCTTCAGTTGAATTAGATCCCATTTGTCAATTTTGGCTTTTGTTGCCATTGCTTTTGGTGTTTTAGTCATGAAGTCCTCGCCCATGCCTATGTCCTGAATGGTATTGCCTAGGTTTTCTTCTAGGGTTTTTATGGTTTTAGGTCTAACATTTAAGTCTTTAATCCATCTTGAATTAATTTTTGTATAAGATGTAAGGAAGGGGTCCCATTTCAGTTTTCTACATATGGCTATCCAGTTTTCCCAGCACCATTTGTTAAATAGGGAATCATATCCCCATTTCTTGTTTTTGTCAGGTTTGTCAAAGATCAGATGGTTGTAGATGTGTGGTATTATTTCTGAGGGCTCTGTTCTGTTCCATTGGTCTATATGTCTGTTTTGGTACCAGTACCATGCTGTTTTGGTTACTGTAGCCTTGTAGTATAGTTTGAAGTCAGGTAGCGTGATGCCTCCAGCTTTGTTCTTTTGGCTTAGGATTGTCTTCGAAATGCAGGCTGTTTTTTGGTTCCATATGAAATTGAAAGTAGTTTTTTCCAATTTTGTGAAGAAAGTCATTGGTAGTTTGATGGGGATGGCATTGAATCTATAAATTACTTTTGGCAGTATGGCCATTTTCAGGATATTGATTCTTCCTATCCATGAACATGGAATGTTCTTCCATTTGTTTGTGTCCTCTTTTATTTCGTTGAGCAGTGTTTTCTAGTTCTTGAAGAGGTCCTTCACATCCCTTGTAAGTTGGATTCCTAGGTATTTTATTCTCTTTGAAGCAATTGTGAATGAGAGTTCACTCATGATTTGGCTCTCTGTTTGTCTGTTATTGGTGTAGAGGAATGCTTGTGATTTTTGCACATTGATTTTATATCCTGAGACTTTGCTGAAGTTGCTTATCAGCTTAAGGAGATTTTGGGCTGAGATGATGGGGTTTTCTAAATATACAATCATGTCATCTGCAAACAGGGACAATTTGACTTCCTCTTTTCCTAATTGAATACCCTTTATTTCTTTCTCCTGCCTGATTGCCCTGGCCAGAACTTCCAACACTATGTTGAATAGGAGTGGTGAGAGAGGGCATTCCTGTCTTGTGCCAGTTTTCAAAGGGAATGCTTCCAGTTTTTGTCCATTCAGTATGATATTGGCTGTGGGTTTGTCATAACTAGCTCTTATTATTTTGAGATACGTCCCATCAATATCTAGTTTATTGAGAGTTTTTAGCATGAAGGGCTGTTGAATTTTGTCAAAGGTCTTTTCTGCATCTATTGAGATAATCTTGTGGTTTTTGTCTTTGGTTCTGTTTATATGATGGATTACGTTTATTGATTTGTGTATGTTGAACGAGCCTTGCATCCCAGGGATGAAGCCGACTTGATCATGGTGGATAAGCTTTTTGATGTGCTGCTGTATTCGGTTTGCCAGTATTTTATTGAGGATTTTTGCATTGATGTTCATCAGGGATATTGGTCTAAAATTCTCTTTTTTTGTTGTGTCCCTACCAGGCTTTGGTATCAGGATGATGCTGGCCTCATAAAATGAGTTAGGGAGGATTCCCTCTTTTTCTATTGATTGGAATAGTTTCAGAAAGAATGTTACCAGCTCTTCTTTGTACCTCTGGTAGAATTCTGCTGTGAATCCATCTGGTCCTGGACTTTTTTTGGTTGGTAGGCTATTAATTATTGCCTCAATTTCAGAACCTGTTATTGGTCTATTCAGGGATTCAACTTCTTCCTGCTTTAGTCTTGGGAGGGTGTATGTGTCCAGGAATTTATCCATTTCCTCTAGATTTTCTGGTTTATTTGTGTAGAGGTGTTTATAGTATTTTCTGATGGTAGTTTGTATTTCTGTGGGATCAGTGGTGATATCCCCTTTAACATTTTTTATTGTGTCTATTTGATTCTTCTCTCTTTTCTTCTTTATTAGTCTTGCTACCAGTCTATCAATTTTGTTTATCTTTTCAAAAAACCAGCTCCTGGATTCATTGATTTTTTGAAGGGTTTTTTGTGTCTCTATCTCCTTCAGTTCTGCTCTGATCTTAGTTATTTCTTGCCTTCTGCTAGCTTTTGAATGTGTTTGCTCTTGTTTCTCTAGTTCTTTTAATTGTGATGTGAGGATGTCAATTTTAGATCTTTCTTGCTTTCTCTTGTGGGCATTTAGTGCTATAAATTTCCCTCTACACACTGCTTTAAATGTGTCCTAGAGATTCTGGTATGTTGTGTCTTTGTTCTCATTGGTTTAAAGAACATCTTTATTTCTGCCTTCATCTCGTTATGTAGCCAGTAGTCATTTAGGAGCAGGTTGTTCAGTTTCCATGTAGTTGAGTGGTTTTGAGTGAGTTTCTTAATCTTGAGTTCTAGCTTGATTGCACTGTGGTCTGAGAGACAGTTTGTTATAATTTCTGTTGTTTTGCATTTGCTGAGGAGTGCTTTACTTCCAACTATGTGGTCAATTTTGGAATAAGTGTGATGTGATACTGAGAAGAATGTATATTCTGTTGATATGGGGTGGCGAGTTCTGTAGATGTCTATTAGGTCCACTTGGTGCAGAGCTGAGTTCAATTCCTGGATACCCTTGTTAACTTTCTGTCTCGTTGATCTGTCTAATGTTGACAGTGGGGTGTTAAAGTCTCCCATTATTATTGTGTGGGAGTCTAAGTCTCTTTGTAGGTCTCTAAGGACTTGCTTTATGAATCTGGGTGCTCCTGTATTGGGTGCATATATATTCAGGATAGTTAGCTCTTCTTGTTGAATTGATCCCTTTACCATTATGTAATGGCCTTCTTTGTCTCTTTTGATCTTTGTTGGTTTAAAGTCTGTTTCATCAGAGACTAGGATTGCAACCCTTGCTTTTTTCTGTTTTCCATTTGCTTGGTAGATCTTCCTCCATCCCTTTATTTTGAGCCTATATGTGTCTCTGCATGTGAGATGGGTTTCCTGAATACAGCACACTGATGGGTCTTGACTCTTTATCCAATTTGCCAGTCTGTGTCTTTTAATTGGAGCATTTAGCCCATTTACATTTAAGGTTAATATTGATATGTGTGAATTTGATCCTGTCATGATGTTAGCTGGTTATTCTGCTCATTAGTTGATGCAGTTTCTTCCTAGCATCAATGGTCTTTACAATTTGGCATGTTTTTGCAGTGCCTGGTACTGGTTGTTCCTTTCCATGTTTAGTGCTTCCTTCAGGAGCTCTTGTAAGGCAGGCCTGGCGGTGACAAAATCTCTCAGCATTTACTTGTCTGTAAAGGATTTTATTTCTCCTTCACTTATGAATGTTATTTTGGCTGGATATGAAATTCTGGGTTGAAAATTCTTTTCTTTAAGAATGTTGAATACTGGCCCCCACTCTCTCCTGGCTTGTGGAGTTTACGCCGGGAGAGCCATTGTTAGTCTGATGGGCTTCCCTTTGTGGGTAACCCGACCTTTCTCTCTGGCTGCCCTTAACATTTTTTCCTTCATTTCAACTTTGGTGAATCTGACAATTATGTGTCTTGGAGTTGCTCTTCTTGAGGAGTATCTTTGTGGCATTCTCTGTATTTCCTGAATTTGAATGTTGGCCTGCCTTGCTAGGTTGGGGAAGTTCTCTTGGATAATATCCTGAAGAGTGTTTTCCAACGTGGTTCCATTCTCCCCATCACTTTCAGGTACACCAATCAGACGTAGATTTGGTCTTTTCACATAGTCCTGCATTTCTTGGAGGCTTTGTTCATTTCTTTTTACTCTTTTTTCTCTAAATTCCTCACTTCATTTCATTCATTTGATCTTCAATCACTGATACCCTTTCCTCCACTTGATTGAATCAGCTACTGAAGCTTGTGTATCCATCACGTAGTTCTCGTGCCATGGTTTTCAGCTCCATCACGTCATTTCAGGTCTAATCTACGCTGTTTATTCTAGTTAGCCATTTGTCTAATCTTTTTTCAAGGTTTTTAGCTTCTTTGTGATGGGTTCAAACATCCTCCTTTAGCTCAGAGAAGTTTGTTATTACCGATCATCTGAAGCCTTCTTCTCTCAACTTGTCAAAGTCATTCTCCATCCAGCTTTGTTCCATTGCTGCTGGCTAGGAGCTGCATTCCTTTGGAGGAGAAGAGACGCTCTGATTTTTATAATTTTCAGCTTTTCTGCTCTATTTTCTCCCCATCTTTGTGGTTTTATCTACCTTTGGTCTTTAATGATGGTGACGTACAGATGGGGTTTTGGTGTGGATGTCCTTTCTGTTGGTTAGTTTTCCTTCTAACAGTCAGGACTCTCAGCTGCAGGTCTTGGAGTTTGCTGGAGGTCCACTCCAGACCCTGATTGCCTGGGTATCACCAGCGGAGGCTGCAGAACAGCAAATATTGCAGAACGGCAAATGTTGTTGCCTGATCCTTCCTCTGGGAGCTTCGTCTCAGAGGGGCCCCTGGCTGTATGAGGTGTTAGTTGGCCCCTACTGGGAAGTGCCTCCCAGTTAGGCTGCTCGGGGGTCAGGGACCCACTTGTGAAGGCAGTCTGTCAGTTGTCAGATCTCAAACTCAGTGCTGGGAGAACCACTACTCTCTTCAAAGCTCTCAGACAGGGACGTTTAAGTCTGCAGAAGTTTCTGCTGCCTTTTGTTCAGCTATGCCCTGCCCCCAGAGGTGGAGTCTACAGAGGCAGGCAGGCCTCCTTGAGCTGTGGTAGGCTCCACCCAGTTAGAGCTTCCTGGCTGCTTTGTTTACCTACTCAAGCCACAGCAATGGCAGACGCCCCTCCCCCAGCCTTGCATCTTCCTTGTAGTTTGATCTCAGACTGCTGCACTAGCAGTGAGCAAGCCTCTTTGGGCGTGGGACCCTCCGAGCCACACACGGGATATAATCTCCTGGTGTGCCGTTTGCTAAGACCGTTGGAAAAGCACAGTATTAGGGTGGGAGTGTCCTGATTTTCCAGGTACCGTCTGTCATGGCTTCCCTTGGCTAGGAAAGGGATTCCCCAACCCCTTGCACTTCTTGGGTGAGGCGATGCCCCGCCCTTCTTTGGCTCACACTCCGTGGGCTGCATCCACTGTCCGACAAGCCCCAGTGAGATGAACCTGGTACCTCAGTTGGAAATGCAGAAATCACCCATCTTCTGTATCACCCACGCTGGGAGCTGTAGACTGGAGCTGTTCCTATTCGGCCATTATGGAACCTCTTTTTTCTATCAGATCTAAAAATTAGTTTTTATGAAACTTTAAGTCTCTTGGACCTCTGTTTGGGAATAGGTGAGTTTGGAGTAAGGGAATTGGCGAGAGTCAGCCAAAACCAGGTGTTAGGAAAGACAGGAGACTCTCTCTTCAGCATTTTTAGGCAAAAGGGTCAGGAAGAAAGCTGGTCTTTCCTATTATCCTTGTAAACTCTTCATGGTTTTAAAAACAGAAGACTTAATTAGTTTATTTTTAGTAACTATGACCCACTTGAAGATATTTGTTTTGAGAAATCCATTATATGTTCATTGACAAAAGAACTTTTCGGTTGTTATAAATGCATGTCCATGGAATTTAGTATTTTTGAAAAGGTCAGATAGAAAGGCTTTTTAATCCATGAATGCCTCCATATCTGCTCTAACCATGAGAGAAAAAAAAACGCCTTTAAATTGACCCTTCTTAGCATTCAGAAAACCCCTCATTTTTTACTTTTAGCAGAATAACTAAGGAAGACCTATTTTTACTTTTACAAGGACAAGTAGGAATTGCAACTTACTCTCTATCAATACAAGAGTAGTACTTTATCCTGTTGTATAAAATAAACAATTTATTAATGGTAATGCAATACAGTTTTATTTAAACCAAAAATACCTATAAGCCAATTAGTAATGCAGTCATTTAAAAATCATCTAATTAGTAAGCCGATTTTTTTTCTCCCATATCTTGTCTACCATTAAGATTCCACCATGAGGCTGGAGTCTGCAAGGGAGGATGTGACTTAAAGGAAGTGGAAAGCATGAATGTTGCCCTTTTGGGTTCCACGGGATTGTGGGGAAGAAGGGAAACAGATTGAAGAGAGATGAAGGGTGAGGATCAAGTGGCCTAGTGTCCACTCTCTGAGCTTTGACCAGAATGAGAGCATTCATGTTGAGGGGCATTGCCTTGTTCCACATTTGGGGCTCCAGAGGGAGCTTCTATACCAACTGGGAGCAGCCACAGCAGAGATCTCTGTGGCACAGCGTGATTGCATAGCGTTTGGGCCTGAGTTAAGTTTTCCTGAGTTGTCCTTGGTTTCTAGATGGCAAAGATGAAAATCCCTGTATATTGCTGAAGGGGCATGAGGAAGGTGGGCCTGCTATGGGGTCTGCTATGGTAAAAATGGCACAGCTTAGGTAGGCATCATAGCTCAGGGCTGGATAGGGAAAGGCAGTGTCTTAGAGGAGTCTTCAGCATCAGTTGAAAGCCAAGTCAAGGCTGAGCCATCTGGAAGAGCATAACCTGGTTCTGAAGAAGCTGAGGTACCACACTGCACTTCAGCAGCACTGGCCAGGAGAAGGCACAGGGATGGGGCCAGTCACCCTTGAGCACTCACCAGGGAGCACTGGGGAATAGCCACTCAATGGCAAAGACAAGCAGTGGCCCAGATGCCATCACAAGGATTTGAGGACTTCATGTCACCTCTGCTGTCATTGAACACTCAGCTATTGCCCTTGTTCTATGAACCCAGATGACAAAAAAGAGAGGCTCTGGAAGAAGGTGGTGAAAATTTGAGAGACTAAACTACTAAAAGAGATTTAGTGCTTATCTAAAGGGTTATTTAAATTATTTCAGTAGATTAAGTTTATTGGAGTGGCATAACAGTTAGTGGTTCCTCTTCCCCACAATACCTGACAAGTGGGAGCACATGAAGGGAATCTGATTCATTATTCACCGAAAAAGATATTACTGTACATGTTCTCTACACATCTGAGTGTAGTATAAGTATTTTTGAATCCTTGTTTATACAACTGCTGTAAATAAATACAAGTATTTTATGTATAGAAACTAAAGACCTTTAAAAAATCAGAACCCTGTATAATGAAAAGATTAATGAAAACTCCTTTAATGGCCTCTTCATAGTTTAAGTTTATGACTGATACTGCCTTTACTTCAGAAAAGAGATACAGATAGTTAACAACAAAATAAGAATAGCTAATGCTGACTGAGTGGTTTTTCTTTCTGCTAGGTAGAAAGATGTTTTAGATGTTCTAAAGTATATTGTTGAATCTACAAGGTAGCAGCATTGTATTATACCTATTGGACAAATGAGAGAAATGAGGCTTAGAAGGGTGGAGCAACTGGCCCAAGTTTTCATAGCTAGGAACTGGGAGAGATGGGCTACAAACCTACTTAGCTTTCATAGCCTGTGTTTTTAACCACTATGCTATCAGAATAAAAACTTAAATATCTTAGGGAAAGAGGCAACAATTATATCCAAAGAAGGCTAGCATAGTCTTCATAACCAAACCTTAAATTTAGCTTACCAAACATCCAGAGCAACTAAAACTTATCTTTGTTTATCAGATGACCAGGAACTGAACTCAAAAGGGAATTATGAAAAGTAACATTGGACATTCTGCTCGATAAAGTTTACAAAAATTTTGCCAAAGAGCTCAAGAAAATAAGCATATCTGCTAACTAAGAAAATAAAGGTAGCTTGGACTTTTTGCAATGTGTCAGATATTATGCCAGATCCTTCACATGAATTATCTTCTCTAATGCTCACAATAAATTCTCTGAAGGTAGGACTTTATTGTTCTTATTTTACAGATGGTCACTGCCAGGACCAAGATGCTGCTAATGTATACTGGAATAGCCCCATGGTTTACCTGTGATTGGCATCCATCCTGACTGGTCTGTGCCTATGCTCTCACTTGTTATACATTTTAAATATCATCTCTGTCAACTTCCAGTGAAAACGTTAGGGAGTCAAGATATGTCCTCAACCAGTGAGAGCAATCCCTGCTTTGAAAGCACTTTTGCACCAATGAAATATAAATATATAAACAAATAAATTCCAAAAATGTAAAGCCATTATTTCAAATGATTTTAAATGGCCAAACTGAATGTTTTGGCAGCTTGGTGACTTTATGGAAAAAAATAAATTGCTGATGAATTGGCAACTTGGTTAAAGTCCTTTTTTTGGGGAGTGGGAAGCAATAAAATGGGAGGATCGGAAAAGAGCAATTTATAATCATTAGGTTTGCTGTAGGTCACATTTTGTTTCTGATGTACGGTATCAAGGGATGTTTGTGGTGAATTTAAGTGCTAGGCATAACCCTGGGGCCAAGCAAATGGTGGGCAGGTATAGGAAACAGGAATTTGGCTCAGGCAGAATGAGTGGGAACTGAGGGGAGCCACTCTAGTAAGCATAAGTTCAATGAGGATGTCAAAGCAGGTCCAAGTATGGCCTGATTATCATAAGGCAAAGAAAACGAAAACAATTGAAGACATAATAAATGCCTGCTGAAGTTTTAACAGAAACGCAAGTTTTTCTCTTGGCCCTTCAACTCATGGGAGAGTCTTTTAGAAACAGCACAAGTGCGCTCTTTGCTTCTTCTTGTTTCTTCCTCCATCTTGTTGTTCAGAATGTGGATACTGAACGTGGTCCATCTTGGACCATGAAGTCAAATGTCTACAAAAGGAGCAAGAAGATAGAGAGAACTTGATCTCTGCACCAAACCATGATGCACCATACTACCTCTAGATCTCTGATATGGACTTTGATTTGGGGGGAATAAATGTCTGTGCTACCTGAACCATTATTGTGTTGGTTGTTGATCACCTGCATCTGAACTTAATCCTAACTAATAAATACCACTTACCATAGGTAAAGTTTACCAGGACGCAGACTGCAGT
This sequence comes from Homo sapiens, assembly GCF_000001405.40. NCBI lineage: Eukaryota > Metazoa > Chordata > Mammalia > Primates > Hominidae > Homo > Homo sapiens. The sequence continues at coordinate 6,067,454 of NC_000009.12, forward strand.
GAAGATTGGCATGAGGAAGTATATTAGGGGGTGCCCTTGGAATCCACAATTGTGGAAGGGAAGGAGGCAGGATTGGACAGATGGGGAAGATGAGCTGTGATGTAATCACAACAAAAGCCCCAGCTGACTACATGAGAAGCTCTCATGCTGGCATGGTCATTGAGGGTTATCCTGAGTAGGGGATAGGTAGCCCAGCCTTTATGTGCTCATGCTGACCAGCCATTCTGTGTGGGCTGCATCCAGGGAAGGGAGTGTGACTTTGGTTGAGGCAGATCTTCATAGTCAAAGAACTTCCCAAAGAGGGATGACAGCTGAGGTCTTACAGCAGGTTGGGGAACCTGTTCCTGGTAGTTGAACAGGATGGCACGGCACAGCCCCCAGTCTTAAAATAAGAACCACTTGTTCTTATTTTAAGATGATGTATTTTTGAGTTACTGATGGCTTGAAAGTGGTACTCAATCAGTTTTAATGCTTTCAGTTGCAAGTAACAGAACATCCAACTTAAAGGAAAGGGGCAAGCTTGCAGGAAAGGATCTTTAAGTCATCTACATTTGGGTATAAATGACAGCCACAGAGTATTTACCCTTTTTGGGACGTAATTTTATCAGGAGACCAAAGCTTTTAGCTAAAAACATAAATTTCAAACATTAGGACAGTCATTTTACAGAAACAAAATAAATAATTTCAAAGAAACTATTACCTTCTTAAAGACTAGACTGCGATTGTGAACCCCTGAAGTATCCACAGATCCTGAAGAGTGCCCAGCTGTCTTGACAAGGAAACGGAGAGTCAAGAAGTTTAGTGAGGTCAACAAGAATCCTGCAGCATCTCATCTTCCAGATCTGCAGCAGCCTGTGTTGCAGTCCTACTAAGCTGAAGGCTTAACCATGTCTGCCAGTTCAGGGTACGGAACCCTGGTTACTATTTACTTTCCTTCTTTCTTCCTATAGTGGATATTCTCCTTCAGTGGCCACACAACATCAAAGATTCGCCTTCATTTTTGTATTTTCTACATTGTGTGTACTACCTTCTCAATGTAGAAGCCAGAAAACTTACACATGCTCAGATTCCTGTGTAGTTATAGTGCAATCATGTGACCTATTTTCTATGAATCATATGTATCCACATGAGACCAGGATTTCTTCAAGGGCAGTGTGACGAGATAGTCACAGACAGCGGGAGTGATCTTCTGGTACTTTATCCTGAGCATTATAGATGTTTAATGACAATGACAGTGACATTCCCCCAAAAGCACCCGCACCCCCGCCTTACCCAAAGTGTGGTCTGGGCACTGGGTTTGGCTATGTGGCCTCAGAGTCTGGCCTCTGATCCTCCCAGAGAATCTGTGAGCTATCAGTTATTGTTTAATGAATCTCTCCACCTTATTTTTTTCTTAGACTAGCTAGAAAGGATTCTGTTGTTTGCAGGCTAACAATATACTCCTGAAAGGCAAATACAGTCAGTAAAGGCCCATATCAGCCAAATCCCACCTTACATGTATTAGTATATTCTGAATTTTTCACTCATTAATATCCTGACTTCTGCTTTAAATCTATAGCCTTAACCTTGCACCACATGTCTTACATTCACTTTCTCTTTCCTATAAGGAAGTGGTGCTAACTGAATGACATGGGTGTCAGCAGAACATGCTGTGGCTTCACAACAATGGTTTGTAATATTATGAGATAGCTTTGTTCCTTTTCCTTTTTGTTTCTGATCTGTTTTTGTTTTTCAGGGAGATGAAATTGCTAAGGTAATCTTCAAAGGCAAGGCATCAAAATGGTCCTTTTTTTTTTTTTTTTTTTTTTTTTGAGACAAGTTCTTGCTCTGTTACCCAGGTTGGAGTGCAGTGATGTGATCATAGCATAATAATGCAGCCTCAGCCTGCTGGGCTCAAGTGATCCTCCCACCTCAGCCTCCCAAGAGCTAGGACTACATGTGTGCGCTAATTTTTTAATTTTTATTTTTGTAGAGTTGGGGGGGTCTTGTTATGTTGTCCAGGCTCATATAAAATCTTAGCCACTAGAAATACCATTTATGGCCAAAACCACATATCAAGGACTTGACCGCCCTTTCCCTACATGGGTGTTTCCCTGAACTGTTTTTTTTTGCTGTTGTTGTTTTGGAGACAGAGTCTCTGTTGCCCAGGCTGGAGTGCAGTGGCACAATCACGGCTCACTGCAACTTCCACCTCCTGGGCTGAAGCCGTTCTCCTGCCTCAGCCTCCCGAGTAACTGGGATTACAGGCCCGTGCCACCACACCCAGCTAAATTTTGTGTTTTTTTTGTAGGGATGGGGTTTCACCATGCTGCCCAGGCTGCTCTCGAACTCCTGAGCTCAAGTGATCCACCTGCCTCAGCCTCCCAAAGTGCTAGGATCATAGGTATGAGCAACCATGCCCGGCCCTGAACTGTTCTTAACCTTCAAAATAGCGAACAACGACCACTTCTAGCCTGACACCCAGTCCACAGGGAGACTCATGACTGTCTGCTCTCTTATTACTTAACAGCGATTGATTTTGAGATTGGGCAATGTTATGGGGATTGACTTATTGAGAATATTTTCTGACGTTTTCTTTTTTTGGAACTGCTTTAGAAGTGATAATGTGAACATTCTCCAATGACACATGCTTTTGCTGCTGCAATTATACAAGCGCAAACAACTGTTGCACTTGGATGTGCCCAGGACCTACAGTCTTCCTCTTTGTGCATGATATGTGGGAGCTCAGGCATGGAGAAAAATATCAGAAAATCAAAGTTCTGATGGGCTTTGAGAGGGCCAGGTTAATATACTTTTAGTTTTACTTCTGTTAAGATTAGGTTAAAAGTTCCATATTATCATCATCTTTAAGTGCTAATTATTTACAAGATTTCAATGAAGAATTCTAACAGAAGAATCCATATTTAAGATCTGCAGTAGACTGAATTAAAGGCCTAAATTCTTCATCTTTTCCTGTATCCATGCCATTTGCCACCTAACTTTTCAGTTTCTCCCTCTAAAGCAGGGTTTCTTAGTCTCAGCACTATTGACATTGGGGCTGGATAATTCTTTAATGTGGAGAGCTGTACTGGGCATTGTAGGATGTTTAACTGCATCCATGGCTTCTGCCTAATGGATATCAGTATATTACTCACCACCTGCGATTGTGACAACCAAAAATGCCTCTAGACATTGCCAATATCCTCCCGTGGGGGACAGAATCTCCTCTAGCTGGGAACTACCACTCTAAAGATGGGTAGTTCTCACACTGACTTCGGACTCAAGCAATGTAACTTTCTGTGTCAAAGAAAAACTTGAAATATGTTTGTGTAGTGAAGCTTGCTCTCTTGTGCCTCTTATATCACCATGAGCAGAATGTCTCCAGGGAAGCTGCTCTGTCTTCATTCTGAGCCCTAGAATGAAGCATCTGGGGCACAGCCACCTTGGCTGATTCAAGAAGTGTGTATCTGAAGAAGTATGATCCAAAGAAGTAGGACCACCCCAGCTACCAAGTCCTGAAGTAGAGTTGTTTCATCCAACTTCAGACATGTGAGAAATAGATGGACATTGTATGCCACTGAGATTTTGTGGTTGTTTGTTATGCGGCAAAAGCTGACTGATACAGACCACTTAGCCAAAGTAAAGTATATTCAACTCTTAGTTATATTTATTGGATTTTTTAGTTGCTTACTATGTCTTGAGACTCTCCCTCACTCCTGTTTCCTTCCCTGATTGTAGCTAATCCTCTCTGTCAAGGATGCTTCTGCTTCAAACTAATCCTTCCAGCTCTCTTTTGAGAGATACCTGCAACCACTTGACCACCTACTTGATGTGAATTTAGGCAATGAACTTGGATTGTTTGTCCTTTTAGTATTGAATTTTATAGGGATTCTTTATACGTTCTGGATACAAATCCTTTGTCAGATATATAAATTGCAAATATTTTCCCCAATCTGTTGCATTTTTTCAGTTTAATAGCATCTTCTGATGAGCAAAAAGTAAAAGTAATTTTGATGAACCTAATCTATCTTTTTTTGTCTTTTCTGGTTAGAGCATTTTTTGTTCTAAAAAAGCTTTGCCTAGATTGCAAAGATATTCTCCTCTCTTTTCTTGTTTATAGTTGTAGCTTTAGTGTTTAGCTTCTATAGATTAACTTCATAGTCTTAGCTTTTGTATTAGGGCTATGAGCTACCTTGAATTAATTTTTGTGAATGGTGTGTGTTGTGGGTCAAGATTAATTTTCATTCATGTAAATACCCAGTTTTAGTAAATTTTAATATAATATCTTATGTTATTGAAAAAAGCAGGATGTAAAATATATACTGTAGGGTCAGAACCATTTTTAATCTTATTTAAAGAAATAGGAAATAAATGCAATCAGATTAATAGACGTTGTCATTGGTAGGACTTCGGGTGAGTTTTTTCTTCTTCCTACTTTTCTGTATTTTCCAGTTTTCTATTCTAAAGTTATATTAATGTAATAATTTGGAGAAAAGCTCTAGTTTTCTTTTCTTTTCTTTTTTTTGAGACAGAGTTTTGCTCTTGTCACCCAGGCTGCAGTGCAATGGCACAATCTCGGCTCACTGCAACTTCTGCCTCCCAAATTCAAGGAATTCTCCTGCCTCAGCCTCCTGAGTAACTAGAATTACAGGTGTGCACCACCACGTCTGGCTAATTTTTGTATTTGTAGTAGAGATGGGGTTTCACCATATTGGTCAGGCTGGCCTTGAACTCCTGACCTCAGGTGATCCACTCACCTCAGCCTCCCAAAGTGCTGGGATTACAGGCGTGAGCCACCATGCCTGGCCGAAATTGCAAGAACCTTTAAGGTGATCCCCCACAAACTGGAGCTAGGATTAAGGTGGTTCCTCAGGCCTTTGTTCTGCCTACAATGTTCATGAGAGTTGCTTTCTAGGTTTGATTGCTGCTCAAACATTCAAAATCTGAAATAGCAAAGAAAGAAAAAAGAGGAAATCTATTCCAAAGCAGCTACTGTAACTGAAAGTTGAATGCATGCTGAGAAACAGTATTATAATTTGATATAATTTGATATTTCAGCCTTATTTATTCTGAATTCCTAAAGCTTTGTAGGTATCCAATGCATTATGAAAAAATATTATTTACCTAGAAGCCTAGGGTGCCAAAGGGTATACCTTCTGTGTTTTATTTGGCCTGTGGACAGGGGAAATATTACATAATTCTGTAACTAAGGCCATCTCTCTGCAACTTCTCCATAGCATTCTGTGTCCTTGACCTTTACATAGTGGGCTGTACTGTCCCTGTCACAATGCTTGTGCATTATTCTTCTCTCAACCAGACCTCCTTATTTACTCCTAAGTAGCTAACTCTTATATTAATATACTGTCTCTAAACCCCATTCACTCCACCCAGACCTTTGCCCCTTCCTTTCCTCCTAGACCACATGGTTAGTTATTTCTAGTAGATTTGTTCTATTACCACAACTACCTTTCCTCCTATAGTTTCCTCCTTGACAGTGCTAGCTTCCAGAAAACATTTTGCTACACAGCCTTGTAACATTGTCACCTGTCATATTACAACTGATATGGGAGTGCTGAGAAGCGAAGAGCATCGTCCCTTTAAATGACACGGAAGCGGAAGCGGGGAAGGGAAGTGCTGGGTAGAGTAGGGCGTGGTCCCTGGCTAGGGATCCACCCCCAAGGACCTAGCGAAGGACAGGCACTCCTGCCTTGGAGCCTAAATGTTGCATTTCCCAAGACCACCCTGGCCTGCCATGCCCCATTCTGTGCCTATAAAAACTTGAGACCCTAGCAGGCACACACACACAAGTGGCTGGACAGAAGAAGACACAAATAGCTGGTCATGGAGAGCACGCCGCAGAAGAGCATGCTGACAGGCACCAGCAGGCCATCAACCAGCAGAAGACGAAGTTTGGCCAGAGCGGTTGGAAAAGGGTCCAGCGGCAGGACTCCAGGGAAAAACCGTCTCCCTTCTGACTCCCCGATCTGCTGAGAGCTACTTTCACTCAATAAAACCTTGCACTCATTCTCCAAGCCCACATGTGATCTGATTCTTCCGGTACACCAAGGCAAAAACCCCAGTGATACAGAAATCCCTCTGTCCTTGTGATAAGGAAAGGGGTGTAATTGAGAAGGTTAACACAATCCGCCTATAGACAGCAAACTAAGAGAGCGCCCTGTAACACACGCCCACTGGGGCTTCAGCTGTAAACATTCACCCCTAGACACTGCCATGGGGTCAGAGCCCCACAGCCTGCCAGTCTGTGTGCTCCCCTAGAGGTTTGAGCAATGGGGCGCTGAAGAAGTAAGCCGCACCCCCATTGCATGCCCTGCGAGGGGGACAAGGGAAACTTTCCTGTTTCACAACCAGAAAACAAATGGCATTGTAGGTAACATGGGAAGAATTAGTAAATAAAAATCAACAGAACTGCAGTTCTATAGAGAATCTGACTAACCAGGATAGATTGTTTCCAGAAAGCATCAAATTTCAGAAATATGTAATCTGGGCAATGAGAACAAAGACAGCTTTAAAAATATAAGGCAGGAAAAGTAGGATATCATATAAAGGTGGGTCATGTAGGGAAAATTTGGGAAAGACTCCAATGTCTGAGTGTCTTCAGTGGAAAATTAGGCCTCATTTAGCACATAACCTCCAGGTTATCTGATTCTATGAGGTTTGTGCCTTTTTATTATCTTTGAGCCATTTTATAACTGTAAATTTAGACAATGACTAGCGATGCAAATTATTCTTGTTCCTGTTGTGCAAACGAGTTCTGTCTAGTGGAGTGACAATTGTTTTCCCTACCCCTGTCCCATGTGGAATAAGCCAGTTTTACTTTATTTGTTAATTCATTTCAGTATTCTTAAGTGTCTGTATATATGTGTGTGTGTATGGCTCTTAGAATTCTCCTTTGAACTGGTTGTCATGACTTACTGGTCCCTTGGATAAGAGTAAAATAAGGCTGGGCACAGTGGCTCATACCTCTAATCCCAGCACTTTGGGAGGCCAGGATCACTTGAGGCTAGGAGTTCAAGACCAGCCTGGGCAACACAGCAAGACCCTGTCCCTACAAAAAAAAAATTTGGCTGGGTGCAGCAGCACCTACCTGTAGTCCTAGCTACTTGGAAGGCTGAGGCAGGAGGATTGCTTGAGCACAGGAGGTCGCGGCTGCAGTGAGCCTTGATTATGCCACTGCACTCCAGGCTCAGCAACAGAGTCAGATCTTGTCTCAAAAAAAAAATAAGAAAGTAAGTAAAATTTTGACAACGTTTATTTTATATTTGTATGAGTCATTATTCTGCCTTTAAAAAATATCTTTTAACAATAATTTAAAGACATTAGTTAAAAAATAAATTTAGGAACTGTGACAATAGGGTCTTCCTTGCACAAATGGGCCTAGCAGAAATCATGGCAAAATGCAAGTCCCAGTTTGAATCTGGGAACTTCGTTTCCACTCCAATTAGGTGCCAGAACCCTGAGTTAGTGGAGAAATGCCATGTACTCAAGAACTCAGATTTGGGGGCATTATGTGGGATACCTGGCCACTCCACTTTGCATTTCAGAGGTTTACCACCTGGTGGCATTCCCCAAAACTTGGGGCTTCTGTCATCATACAAGGAGCAGCTATGGTTATTTATAAACCTTGTCATTTTGTAAGTGAGTATTATGGCTGTTAGGTTTGGCTAGCTGCTTCTTGTTTCAGTACAAAGTGGTGCAGCCCCAGAGAACTGCACCTGGAATGGAGTTGTGTCAGTATAGGGATTCACTCATTTTTTTCTAAGGTCCAATCCTGGATTGTAGTGCTATTCTCTTCCTCTGTTCCTGTTCCTGTGTTTCAGAGTTCAGAATGTTCCTAAAAGAAATTTCAGAATGAAGCAGACTGAAATAAGAAAATTCATTATTTTTTCCAGTCTACCATGCTACTCTAATCTAATTGACTTCCTGGTTATACTTTCCTTTCCTCTCTACCTCCCTCCTCCAGGCTCTCTTTGCTTCCCTTTCAGCTAACAGGCTTATTAGGCACAACCTCTTTACATACACTTTCCTGCCTCCATTCTTTTACTTTTCTTCTCCTTACTCTTGATCAGCCTGAATAATTCCATCAAGCCACCAAACACCTCAACCATTACACTGGCATGGCGTAAAAGAGGAGTGTTCACCTCACCCAAATTCAAAGACATAGTCCTGAACTACTCTCTTCCATCTTTTCTTTCAGAGGCATCTTTTACTCTGTCGCCCAGGCTGGTCTCAAGCCATTCCCCCACTCACCTCAGCCCCAAAGAGTTGGGATTCCAGGCGTGAGCCACTGTGCCCGGCCTCCTCAATCTATTTTTTACTCTTATTGCTTTCTGCTTTCTGATTCTTCTGGCTAATGATTTGACTGCCATGTTGACCTGTACTTTGGACTGATGCTAGATATGATTTATTTTTAGCTTTATTAGTTTTTCTTAGCAATTATGATTTTCTGCTTTGCATGTATTGCATTCAAACTGTCTTGAATAAACACTTTCTCAATTTATCTTAGTCCTAAAATCCTTCCCCTCTTATTCTGCATCCAATGGCAAAGCTTCCTGCCAGCTCACTCAGGGCTTCATTAGAAAGTGGTCATTTCCAGCCGGGCTTGGTGGCTCACACCTGTAATCCTAGCACTTTGGGAGGCCAAGGCAGGCGGATCATGAGGTCAGGAGTTTGAGACCAGCCTGGGCGACATGGTGAAACCCCGTCTGTACTAAAATACAAAAAAAAAAAAAAAAAAAATTAACTTGGCGTGGTGGCATGCACCTGTAGTCCCAGCTACTTGGGAGGCTGAGGCAAGAGAACTGCTTGAACCTAGGAGGCGGAGCTTGCAGTGAACTGAGATTGTGCCACTGCGCTCCAGCCTGGTGACAGAGCGAGACTCTGTCTCAAAAAAACAAAACAAAACAAAACAAACAAACAAAAAAAAGTAGTCATTTCCTTTCCATCTCAGAAGAGTCATCTAATCCAGTGTAGTCTATATAGTAGTTACTCAATAATGTGAATGTCAATGATGGCTGCTAGGAGTTTCCAAGTAGAAGAAGAGTGGCTCAAATTTTCTGTTATTTGCCTCACTTTCTACAGCCACATTCTGTTAATTTCACCCTAATGGCCCTCATCCTGGAACCATAATCTACCCTTAGAAATATACACTCACCAGGCCGGGCGCGGTGGCTCACACCTATAATCCCAGCACTTTGGGAGGATGAGGCGGGCTGATCACAAGGTCAGGAGACTGAAACCATTCTGGCTAACACGGTGAAACCCTGTCTCCACTAAAAATACAAAAAATTATCTGGGCATGGTGGCAGGCACCTGTAGTCCCAGCTTGTCCAGAGGCTGAGGCAGGAGAATGGCGTGAACCCAGAGGCAGAGTTTGCAGTGAGCCGAGATCACACCACTGCACTCCAGCCTGGGTGACAGCGCAAGACTCCATCTCAAAAAAAAAAAAAAAAAAGAAATATACACTCATCAAACAGGACAATGGTTTCCCAGCAATCCTAGTTATGGTTAAATTATTCTCAACGTTTCCTTTTCCAAAAAATGCTGCATTTCCTCTCGATTCCACCCACATAATATGACTCCTCAACTTACACAAAGCCATGCATTATTTCTATTTTTTTCTTCTCAGAAACATTAGTCATCTTCAAGACTTTCTCTTCCAAGCTTCCCGTCATATGCATAGTTGCCCAAACCTGAAGCCTTTGTTGTCATCTTCCAATCTTCTTTCTCTCCCAGCTTCACTTCTTCTCTCAACCGAATCAATCCCATTTCGTCCCCTCCTTTGTACTAAGACTCAGACTGTTTGAGTTCAGACACTCATTACTCCTTCCTGGCGTTAACACAATGTCTTCATATCACTCACTAGAGGTGAAGATACCATCCTAAAGATTACCTCTGTCCCTTCTTTGCTCTTGCTTTTTCAGTGATGCCTTCAGAGACATATTTCTTCTTTCCTTTTTTTTTTTGGCAGGGGGTGTTATAGCAGCAATAGGACAGAAACATTTTTCAAAGGATGTGCCAAGGAACAGTTACATCCGGGCTTGTTAATTATTATTTGTAAAAACAATTTATAGGCTTAAATAACTGGGGAATATTGAGTTAAACAAAGATGATATGGTTTCTTCGCTTAAGACTTTCGGGCCGGGTGTGGTGGCTCACGCTTGTAATCTCAGCACTTTGGGAAGCTGAGGAGGGAGGATCACCTGAGGTCAGGAGTTTGAGACCAGCCTGGCCAACAAAGTGAAACCCCGTCTCCACTACAAATATAAAATTTAGCCGGGCATGTTGGCAGAAGCCTGTAATCCAAGCTACTCAGGTGGCTGAGGCAGGAGAATCGCTTGAACCTGGGAGGCAGAGTTTGCAGTGAGCCAAGATTGTGCCACTGCACTCCAGCTCGGGTGACAGAACGAGACTCCATCTCAAAAAATAAAAAAAAAAAAAAATACTTTCAAAGCCTGAAACATGATACTTATTATGAATTGCTAAGGGAATATGGGCTCCAATCTATTATTCAAGTATTATCTCATTGTATATTCTGAACAAAATATAAATTCTATTATACTTTTAGCCTCAGTGAGGAAAATCAAAAAAGCAGTTTGGAAGGTTAGTTTCCAGAATTTAAGATACAAGTATTCAATTGCAAAGGCTTTATATTCTAAAATTTCTTTAGAACAGGAAATTAATAAATGAGATATGCGGATGGGATTTCTTTGCAGCCCAGAAGAAATTCAGAAGGGGCCATTGGGCAAAAACACCTTTAAATGTCTGAGCCTCCAGGCTCTGACAGAGAGAAGAAGATTAATTTCAAACCTACTTATTATATCACAATTGTGCAATCCAATGGATACTTTTCAGTGCTTGCCTTACTTGTGTCCCTGTGGTCTTTTTGTCTTGGAATTCTTTCCTCTGTCAACTTCCATTACCCCATCCTACTATTTTTCCTTCTACTTTTGAGACTGCTCTTTCTCAGCTTCCTTTCTGTATTTTTTTACATAGTAATATCCCTAAAGAGTCCTTCTTACTCTGGTTCCTCTTATCATTCTCTGTACTCTCCTTCAACTGTACTACTTGTCCTGATAACTCAACTGCCCACCAAATATCTCTGCAAAAGCCGCACATTCACTGTGAACTCAATGTGTACAAACCTAAACTCACCACTCACCCCAAACCACTAAATTCTCTAGATTCCAAATCAGAAGAGTCTCTTGTCTCCTCCATTTTAGTAAATGACACCACCAGCCCTCTATAGCTTTTTAGGTGTGGGAATATGATGAGGTTTCTTTTCAAATAGCCTGATCAATCCTTTATTCTTTAATTCATGGTACCCCCCACCCATTTTTTCTTTTTCTTTTTTCTTCCTTTCTGCCTTTGTTACATACCCAGAAACACCACAGTACCGGGCGTTATCAGTACCAGCTCACATTCCTTTCCTTATTTGGAAAGAAGACTAGCTCTCTAGCTCACTGCAGACACCCCTACTCCTTTCCCCTGTCTCCCTTATATGCCCACCTTATCTAAAAAAGGTTCAAATGTTTAGCCAATTGGGACTAGTTTAGATTGTAGGGCCCGACCCCGGCCAATGGGGAAAGGGTACAGGGTCAGGACTTGCATTAGGAATAAAGGCTCTCATGCCCCTTTGTTCAGGTGTGCTCTCATGGTGACCGGCCAAGGAGAAGCACCCCTCTGCGCAAAAGTAAAATTGCTTGGTTAAGAATCCTTTGTTTGAGTGTTCAATTTCCTTAGGATTTTGGGCATTATTCTCAACAATTCTGGTGCCCAAATTCTGGGGCTCAAATACTCTCCTTTGGGAAGGGGGTCTTTGGTCACCTCACCCAGGGGTCCCACTGTCTTGTTATGGTGGCCAGAGGGTGAGGGGGGTCAGGGCCCACCCATTGTGATGAATAAATCTGGGTTCTCAGCAAAGCAGGGAGGAGAGGCTTGCAAGACCGTGGCAATAAGAGGACCAGGTAATTCTTGTGCATGGAAAAAGGTAGGAGACTTCACAAAGGTGACAAAGTATTTCCTTGGTGGTCAGGATAATTTGGAGTTTGACAGTGTGTGAATGGGGCTAAGCATTATGGTTGTGTGGAGTGAGTGAGTCTTCTCTGCGGTTTCGTGTTGCCATCTATCGACTAGGGGCAGGAAGAGTCACAGTAGACAAAGAGAAAGAAGGGTACAAGGAGCCTCCAGAGGGGTGAGCTATAGGATATGCAGGAAACCCTTAACGGGAGAGGCTAAGCCTCCAGAAAGGGGGAGGTAAGACACCTCCAACACAACAGGTTGAACCCCCTCTTAAAGCCTCATTGAGCCTCTAGAAAGAGGGGGGTAGACACCTCTAACAGGAGAGGTTAGAGCCCCCCATAACCCCTAAGATGGGGAATGTTTCATGTAAGACAGGAAAACTAAAGAGTCAAGAGAGCAATGAAATTCCTTCTGATAGCCCCTTGGGGCTTATGCTAAAGTATTGGAAAGATAATGAGAGGACCAAGTATAAACGAAAACAGCAGATGATAAAATATTTTTGTTTTATTTGGGCTCGAGAACCCATCCTGAAACCCTCACTTTTCTGGCCAAAATTTGGGTCAAATGAGGAGCGGATTTGTCAGCTCTTAATTGAGCATGTTAATGATAAGAGCCCTGTTTCCCAGGAAGAAATTGATTACACCCTCTATTGGTGGCAGGGACCTATCCTCCTTTACCCTTTAGACTCCGGAGGGAGAAAGCCAGAAGCCAACCCCTCTGGCAGGGAAAGAGTTCCCATGTCTAGACAACCCACACCCACTAACACGTGGGACCCTCTAGATCACCTTCCTCCATTCAGTGCCCCCATCCCACTCCTCCAGTTCCTGTTTCAGGTCCCTCCCCTGCTTGTGTCACTCTTCCAGCTGCCCCCAATCCCGCCCCTCCGGTTCCCGTTTCAGGTCCCTCCCCTGCTTGCGTCACTCTTCTGGCCGCCCCGATCCCGCCCCTCTGGTTCCCATTTCCGTTTCAGGTCCCTCCCCTGTTTGCATCATTCTTCTGGTTGCCCCCCAGTCCCGCCCCTCCAGCTCCCGTTTCCATTTCAGGTCCCTCCCCTGCTTGTGTCACTCTTCCAGTTGTTCCCGATTCCGTCCCTCTGGCTGCGGTTTCGGGTTACTGCCCAGCTGTTTCAGGCCACTCCCTCACCTGTGTCACTTGCCCGTGTTCCATTCCCCCAGCTGCTGCTGCAGATCCCTCCCCGACCTGTGGTTTCTATACTCATATACTCATATTGCTCCTCCTGCCTATAATCCTCACTTTGCAGAATTACCATCTTGTGAGCCTGCCCCCCTCCTCAACAAAACTATTAAGTATCCCTCTTTAAAGGGGCTTCAATGTGAAATAGAGCAATGTAAAAAAGATATTCGAAACTTTCCATTTCCCTCCACACCTAAAGAGCCAGATCCAACTTTCTTTCCTCTAAGGGTGGTACCACAAGGACAGGGGGTGGCTATTGGCTTTGTAAACTCTCCCTTGACCAGTTCAGAAGTCCAGAATTTAAAAAAGGAGCTTAAGCCATTATTGGATGACCCTTATGGAGTAGCAGATCAAATTGATCAATTTCTAGGGCCTCAGATATACACTGGGCTGAGTTGATGTCCATTTTGGGTGTCCTCTTTTCAGGGGAAGAACGAAGTACGATTCGGAGGGCTGCTATGGTGGTTTGGGAATGTGAGCACCCTTCTGGTCAAAATGTTCCTCCTGCAGACCATAAATTTCCCACCCGAGACCCCCAGTGGGACAATAACAATGCAAATCACTGGGAAAACGTGAAGGACCTAAGGAAGATGATAATAAAAGGAATTCGAGAATCAGTACCCCGAACTCAAAATCTTTCTAAAGCATTTGATATTCAACAGGAAAAAGATGAGGGACCTGCTAGATTCTTAAACAGATTGAGGGAGCAAATGAGACAATATGCAGGCCTTGATTTGGAAAACCCCCTTGGACGAGGAATGTTAAAACCTCACTTTGTTACTAAAAGTTGGCCAAACATTTCAAGAAAATTACGAAAGATAGAAAGTTGGGAGGACCAGCCTCTGAGTGAACTGCTCAGGGAGGCTCAAAAAGTATATGTGAGAAGAGATGAGGAAAACAAAAACAAAAACAAAAGACAAAACTCATGTTTTCTGCCTTCCAACAGATGGCTCCAAATCCATATATCTCTAAGCAGGGCTTTCAAGGGGCCAGAGATTATAAGGGGCCTAAACCCTCCTTTAGAGGACTGAAGCCTCCATCTGGAGGGTCAAGGTCCTCATTTAATAAGCCCCCTAAGTGGTATAGGGGAGCAAGGGCTGAGAATGCTAAGACTGAGACGGAAGAAGGACAAGATAGAGGCTACAGATGTGGAAGAACAGGCCACTTCAAGAGGGAATGTCCTGAAATAAAGAGAGAGAGAGAAATTTTTACACTCATGACTTCCGAAGAACAATAGGGGAGTCAGGGGCTCTGCCTCTTTTATTTTGAGTCCCACCAGGAGCCCTTGATAAATTTGGAGGTAGGACCTAAACATGAATTTATCACCTTTTTAGTTGATTCAGGAGCTTCACACTCCTCTGTTTGTTTCCCTCCACCTGGTCTTACCTGCTCTTCGGAAGAAGTTTTAGTCAGCGGGGTAAAAGGAGAAGGATTTAAGGCAAAAATTTTTAGAAAGCACAGAAGTCAGATATCAAGATTGATTTACTCATATTCAATTTTTATTAATTCCTGAAGTGGGAACTAATCTATTAGGAAGGGACTTAATGGTAAGGCTAGGTACAGGCCTTCGAGTGGGCCCTAAAGGATTCCTCACTTCACTACATTTACTCACTGCTGTAAATGAGAAATATATTCATCCTGATGTCTGGTCAAAGGAAGGAAATAGAGGGAAACTCCAAATCTCTCCAATACATATCAAACTAAAAAATCCTGGGGAAATAGTAAGGAGAAAGCAGTACCCCATTCCTTTAGAGGGCAGAGTAGGGCTAAAGCCTGTAATTAAGGGTCTCATTAAAGATGGGCTTCTTGAACCCTGTATGTCTCCTTACAATACCCCAATCATGCCTGTCAAGAAATCAGATGGGTCCTATTGATTAGTGCAAGACCTTAGAGCTATTAATCAAGTAGTCCAGACCACTCACCCCATTGTTCCTAACCCTTACACCATTCTTAGCAAAATTCTATACAATCATCAGTTGTTTACATTGACGGATTTAATCTGGCATGCCCTTGGCTAAGGATAGCTGAGATATATTTGTTTTTGAGTGGGAAGACCCCCACTCAGGGCTGAGACAACAATATTGATGGACAGTCTTGCCCCAGGGGTTCACAGACTCCCCCAACCTCCCTCTTTGGTCAGATCCCAGAACAAGTACTAGAGAAAGTCACAGTCCCTAAGCAAATATGCCTGCTTCAGTACGTAGATGATCTTCTTATATCTGGTAAAGATATAAAGGAAGTAAGTGACTTCTCTACACATATTCTCAATCACTTGCAATGTGAGGGGTTGTGGGTCTCAAAAGGGAAACTTCAGTATGTAGAACCTGAAGTTAAATACTTAGGTCACCTAATCAGTGCTGGTAAATGAAGAATAGGCCTTGAAAGAGTGGAGGGAATTGTTTCTCTACCCCTGCCTCAAAATAAACAAGAACTCAGGAAATTTTTAGGACTAATTAGATATTGCTGTTTATGGATTGACACATTTGCATTAAAAAGTAAACTTCTATATGAGAAACTTGCCCAGTGCAAACCTGATTGTCTCTTGTGGACTTCTGAGGAAATCCAGCAAATTGAGGAATTAAAAGAGATGCTCATAACTGCCCCTATTCTAGCTCTACACTCCCTAGAGTTTTTGTTAACGTAAATAATGAGGTAGCTCTAGGAGTTCTTACCTAAGGGCATGGAGGCAATTGACAGCCCGTGGCCTTCTTGTTAAAGGTCTTAGACCCAGTCACTTTTGAGTGGCCCCAATGTATCCAATCCATCACGGCTACAGCAGTATTAGTTGAAGAAAGTAGGAATTTAACCTTTGGAGGAAAGTTAACAGTAAGCACACCCCACCAAGTTAGAACTATTTTAAGTCAGAAAGCAGGAAGGTGGATCACTGACTCAAGGATTTTAAAATATGAGGCTATCCTACTGGAAAAAGATGATTTAATATTAACTACTGAAAATTCACTTAATCCAGAAGCCTTTCTGATAGGGGATCCAAACTTAAAAAGAGAGCACGCATGTTTAGATCTGATTGATTACCATACAAAAGTTCGACCAGACTTAGGAGAAACTCCCTTCAAGAGAGGGGGGCACTTATTCATAGATGGCTCCTCCTGCGTAATTGAAGGGAAAAGACATCATGGGTATTCAGTGATTGATGGAGAAACGCTTGAAGAAGTAGAATCAGGAAGACTGCCTAATAATTGGTCTGCCCAGACATGTGAACTGTTTGCACTCAGCCAAGCTTTAGAACATTTACAAAACCAAGAAAGAACTATCTATACTGACTCTAAGTATGCCTTTGGGGTGGCACACACATTTGGAAAAATTTGGATGGAGAGGAGTCTTACCAATAGTAGAGGCCAAGATTTAGTTCATAGAGAACTAATTGCTTGTGTCCTCTATAATCTCCAATTGCCAGAAGAGATAGCTATTGTACATGTCCCAGGGCATCAGAGGGACTTGTCTTTCACAAGTCGGGGAAATAATCTCGCAGATCAGATAGCAAAGCAAGCTGCCGTTTCTTCTGAAATGCCTGTTTTTCATTTAACTCCATGCCTTCCTTCTCCTACTGCAACCCCCATTTTCGCTTCCATTGAAAAAGAGAAGTTAATAAGAATAGGAGCTAAAGAGAACACAGAAGGGAAATGGATATTATCAGATCAAAGGGAGATGTTGTCAATACCTCTCACGAGGGAGATCTCGTCTCAATTACATCAGGGGACCCAATGGGGACCCCAAGCAATGTATGATGCAGTTCTCCAGGTTTATGGGTATATAGGAATTTACACCCTGGCCAAACAAGTTATAGATAGTTGTTTAATACGTAAAAAAGACTAATAAGCAGATTCTAAGGAAATTGCCCCTTGGAGGAAGGAATCCAGGGCTGAGACCATTTCAAAGTGTTCAGATTGATTATACCGAAATGCCCCCAGCTGGTTGCTTAAAATACTTAGTAGTAGTAATAGACCACTTTACCCACTGGGTAGAGGCTATCCCATTCTCAAGTGCAACCACCAATAATGTAGTCTAAGCATTAATTGAAAACATCGTACCCAGATTTGGACTAGTGGAAAATATTGATTCAGATAATGGAACCCATTTCACTGCACATGTCATTAAGAAGTTAGCCCAGGTACTAGATATAAATTGGGAATATCATACCCCCTGGCATCCATCCTCCTCAGGAAGGGTAAAGCAGATGAATCAGACTCTAAAAAACCACTTAAGTTAGTTTTAGAACCCGATTGCCATGGACTAAATGTCTTCCTATTGCTTTGTTAAGAATCCAGACTGCCCCTTGGAGAGATATTGGCCTTTCCCCTTATGAAATGCTCTACGGATTGCCCTACTTACACTCTGCTGCTGACATCCCTACATTTGAAACTAAAGATCATTTCCTCAAAATCTATACACTTTGTCTATCCTCTATCTTCTCCTGCCTTAAGACTAAAGGTCTCCTAGCACAGGCGCCACCCCTGGAGTTTCCAGCACATCAACATCAGCCTGGAGACTATGTCCTCATCAAAGGGTGGAAGGAAGGGAAACTCGAACCAGCTTGGGAAGGACCCTACCTAGTGCTCCTAATTACTGAGACTACAGTCCGGACAGCGGAAAGAGGATGGACTTATCACACCCAAGTCAAAAAGACGCTGCCACCTTCAGAATCATGCACTGTCACTCCTGGGCTCACCCCCACCAAACTAACTCTAAAAAGAGATTACTAATCACTTACTTATTTTCTTTTCAACAGAAGGTCATCTTGTCATCAATGGTAACTCAGGCTAGCCAACCTTTAACCCTTCTGTTTGACGTCTGTTCAGTCATCCCGTGCGGAGATGAGCAAGCTCAAAGGAAGGTATCCCATGGTGATAAGTATCTATGTCCATACTGCAAAGAGTCAACCAAGTATAAGTATGGAACTTCAAAACGTCCCTGTAGTGACTGGGCAGATGTTTGGTGGACCACTAAGTACAAAGGGTGGACAGCCAGGCCGCCTGCTTCAAATAGGTTACGGGGACTAAGACAAAAACTCCAACTAGTCCGTGGCCACACCCCACCAAATTGTAAGCTGTTGCACTGTTACCCCTTGTTGCTGATTATAAATCATCCCTGGACAATAGCCCAAGAACCCTCTGTATTTGAACGGTATGGGTTAGAAGCAGATGTTTCAGGATAAGGCCCTATAGGAATCTTCTCCCTAAGGTTATTTAAACCACTGGTTAACAACAATAAAGGAATTCAGGCCCAGAGTCCAGGAGACATGTGGAACCCAACGCTCTCCCCAGGTATAGCGAGTCCAACGTCCTCCTCACATCTCCAAAATGACCCAACCAAGGTAACAGTTGTGGAGGTAGAAAACTTAAGGCAAACTATAGCTCTAGAAACAGGATATCAAGATGCAAATGCTTGGCTGGAAACAATTAAATATTCCGTCCGCACTTCAAACAAAAGTGAATGTTACGCTTGTGTGCACAGTAAGACCAGAAGCCCAGATTGTCCCCGTTCCGCTTAGATGGTCTTCCAGCTGACCGGGCATGAGCTGTATGGTAGCTCTCTTCCAAAACCCCTCAGCCTGGGGCAATAAATCATGCCAAGCTCTTTCTCTGCTGTTCCCTGAAGTTCGACACCCTGTGGGTCTGCCCCCGAGGGCCATTCAGCATCCATCTCCCAATGCCAATTTTACTTCATGTCTCTCATGACAGGGAGAAAACTTGGCATTCCTGGAAGCCTTAACAGGATGCAGTAAGCTTAAGTCCTTCCAAGAGCTTACCCATCAGTCTGCCCTTAGCCATCCTCGAGAGGATGTGTGGTGGTATTGTGGTAGACCAATACTGGACACTCTGCCAAGTAACTGGAGCAGAATTTGTGCTCTAATTCAATTGGCCATCCCTTTCACCCTGATATTTCATCAACCAGAAAGGACAGGAACCAAATATCATCAAACAAAAGAGGCCCCCACCATGGGTCCTTCAATTCTCATGTTTATATAGATGCCATTGGGGTCCCAAGAGGATTGCCAAATGAATTTAAGGACCAAAATCAAATAACTGCCGGATTTGAATCTATGCTCTTCTGGTGGTTAACTGTAAATAAAAATGTGAATTGGATAAATTACATTTATTACAATCAACAATGATTTATTAATTATACTAGAGATGCTATTAAAGGGATGGCTGAACAACTAGGACCCACCAGTCAAATGGCCTGGGGAAATAGGATAGCATTAGACATGATATTAGCAAAGGAGGGTGGAGTTTGTGTCATGATCGGGACCCAATGCTGTGCTTATATCCCTAATAATACTGCTCCTAGTGGGACCATAACTAAAGCATTACAAGGTCTTACTGCCTTATCAAATGAACTAGCCAAAAACTCTGGACTAAACGATCCCTTCACAAATTTAATGGGAAATTTGTTCGGTAGATGGAAGGGACTTATGTCCTCAATCCTCATGTCTCTGGCCATTGGAATAGGGTTGCTTATTCTTGTAGGATGTTGTATTATACCCTGTGCCCAAGGACTAATATAAAGACTTACTGAAACAGCTCTCACTAAAACCTCTTATGATCCTCCTCCCCCTTATTCAAATTAGCTTTTCCTTCTAGAAGACCAAGTAGAACAACAGAGCCAAATTATGCTAAAAAGATTTGAAGAGAAAAAGTTATAAAAAGAAGAAGGGGAAATCTGTGGGATATGATGAGGTTTCTCTTCAAATAGCCTGATCAATCCTTTATTATTTAATTCATAGTATCCCCCCACCCCTTTTTCCTTTTTCTCCTTTTTTCTTCCTTTCTGCCTTTGTTACATGCCCAGACATGCCACAGTACCAGGCGTTATCAGTACCAGCTCACATTCTTTCCCTTACTTGGAAAGAAGACTAGCTCTCTAGCTCATTGCAGACACCACTTCACCTTTTCCCTCTCTCCCTTACATGCCCACCTAATCTAAAAAAGTGTCAAATGTTTAGTTAACCGGGAATAGTTTAGACTGTACGGCCCAACCCCGACCAATGGGGAAAGGGTACTGCGGCAGGACTTGCGCCAGGAATAAAAGCTCTCGTGACCCTTTGTTCAGGTGTGCTCTCATGGTGACTGGCCAAGGAGAAGCACCCCTCTGTGCAAAAGTAAAATTGCTTTGCTAAGAATCCTTTGTTTTGAGTGTTCAATTTCCTTAGGATTTTGAGCGTTATTCCCAACACATGACTTCTAAAACTGTTATTTTTTTTCTGTAGTAATAATTCTTTATTTTCATTTGCCTAGTGTGCTGTGCCTTTATTAATTAGTCCCAATTTTTCATGGAGCAGCATAGCTACTGTCAGCAGGAAAAAATGTCTCGAATAATTGGTTCCATTTTGCTCCTAGAGTCTTTAATATTCCTGACTCAATCTGTATCTGTTTCTCTCTAGGCTTTCTGTATAACCCTCATTCTTCACTGTCAATCTGGAAAATCTCTACTTTTCTCCTGTAATGGATTCTACATTTCCTATATCCCATGTCTTCTACTTTTTGGGTTTATTTTTGTGAAGAGACTGATGGTTATATACTTAATATTCAATTTTTTCTATTTCTAAGGGGAATCACAATTTATTTGTGGGTGGTAGTGTGTCCAGCCAAAACCTATATTTCTCAGTTCACCTTGCAGATAAATATGGCCCTGTAACATGGTTCTGGTTGCTGTAACATAAGCAGAAGTTTTTGGGTGAGGCTTCCTAAAAAAGCTCTTAAGAAGATGGGAGTGGACAGTCTCAGCTGGCATGCACATTGTGTCCTTTACCCTTCCTTTTCTTCTTGCAGGGAATAAAGATGTGAGTCTTCCCATTGAGAGAGAATGTATAAGTCACATGGACTTAATAATTTAGTTCTTTATAATTTAAAATTTCTCACCATAAATTGATAAATTGACATTCTAGTGCATACGTCACTCTACGGACCTATTTAATTAGAGTTTACCTTGAGAGATAAACCCGGTCTTGATATTTTTCAAATTAGTTTTCTTAGACTACAAGATTGAAGAAAAGACTATGAGAAATTCTTCACAGCTTGTGAGGCTTTTTAGGAGTTAGACACTACCAGCCTCACCTGGCAACAACCTAAATACAAAAATAAAAATATAAATGAAATACATAATATAAAAATAAAGCTTTTCTTTTGAAATTCAGGGGATTGCATATTTGTATTAATACATAAAAGCTCCACTGAAGAAAAAACAAAATGTGACTTAGAGGCAACCCATGAGGAGGCGTAAAAGCTTTCTTCTTCACAAGGCTACCCCACGCTGGCTAACGATTTCTTCAACCAATTATACTGTCTCTTGCGGAATTTGAATGTGAGACATACAGAGAAGTACACAAATGGTAGAGAAACACAGAAACAGACAGCAATGCAGAAAACACTATAAAAGTCAAAGCCATCAGGTAGCAAAGTCATGAATAAGCAGAAAATCATGAATAAGTTGAAACAATATCAGGTGGTATGAGTTGTGTGATACCTTGATGATGATCCATATCTCTTTGAAACCTGCTGAAAATATGTAGATAGTTTCACATTTCTCATTTTCTCATTCATCTTTATAATGTACCACTTAAGATGATCTTAGTGGGCCTATGTACCTTACAACTTTTAATAGTTATTAGCACAAATATTTCCCAAATCTATTACCTCATATTCGTGCCCATTTCCCTGCCCAGATTAAGCCTTCATTGTTATTCATATAGATGACTAGAAAAATAATTCATAGCTTCCCAGCTTTCACTTTTCCATCACATAACACAGATCTTATCATGTCACTCTCTCTGTGTTCATGAATAATGCATATGTGAGAACTGGATGTCATAAAACAGTGAATCATGGGGTTGGCTGTAGAACCATTCCATCTGTGTATGTGCATAGGCCTGGGAGATTGAGAGTTGGAGGAGCCTTATCATACACTTTGAGTAGGGAGGTGAGAACCAGAAAATTAGAGGTAGTTTCATTCACTCCTCTGGTTTCCATCACCTTGTATATGCTGATGACCTCTACTTCAATTTCTCCACCCTCTTCTGACCTTAGATGCATATAGCCAACTGTTTACCCCACATCTCCGCTGGGAGGACTTATAGGCACCTGAATCTCAACATGTCTAAAACAAAGCTCATCAGCTTTCCCTTCCTGTGAGGGTGATTTCATTTCTCTCTTTAGAGACTGGCATCACTATTTGTTCAAGCCAAAAAACCAAGAGTCCTCTCCCTCTTCTTCTCCCTCATTCTTCATTTATAAGAAATCACCAAGTTCTCTTGATTTTACTTCTTTAATGTTTTTTTCAATCTGAGCTCTTCTCTCTATTTCACTGAATTACTTTAATCTGATCCATCTCTCTCATGTAGGTAATTCACAGGTCTTTCTCACCTAATCTAGGATCTTCCCAAATGCATTCACTACGCTGCATCCATCCACAG
This sequence comes from Homo sapiens, assembly GCF_000001405.40. Classification (NCBI taxonomy): domain Eukaryota; kingdom Metazoa; phylum Chordata; class Mammalia; order Primates; family Hominidae; genus Homo; species Homo sapiens. The sequence continues at coordinate 6,090,096 of NC_000009.12, forward strand.
GTGGCTATTTAAGTAAATTATGATACACCTATACAATGTAACACTGAGTAGCCTTTAGAAAGAAGGAGGCAGATTTGCATGTGCTGAATATTTGATAAAAATGCAAATAACTGAATAGCATGTATTGTATTATCTTCCTAGGCAAATTTACAAAGTATATGAAATGTTGTTGCTATAGTTTCATTTGTTTGCCCCCCTCCAAATCTCATATTGAATGTTGAAGCCCAGTGTTGGGAGTGGGGTCTAGTGGGAGATGTTTGGGTCATGGGAGCAGATCCCTCATAAATGTCTTGGTGCCATCCTCTTTGTAATGAGTGAGTTCACACTGTGCTAGTTCCTGCAAGTGCTGGTTGTTAAAAATAGCCTGGCACCTCCCAGCTCTCTCTCTTGCATCTTCTTCACCATGTGACCTCTGCATACACCAGCTTCACTCTGCCTTCTGCCACAAATGAAGGGGGCCTGAGGCTCTCATCAGAAGCAGATGCTGGTGCCATGGTTCTTGTATAGCCTGCAGAACCATGAGCCAAATAAACCTCTTTTCTTTATAAATTACCAGCTTCAGGGTAATTTATAAAGTCTGTTGTGTTGTTATCACAATACAAACAGACAAAGACAGCTGTCATATGCACATGTAGATGATTTTAATTATTTTTCTAAGGATTCCAAAGAAAATGCCTACAGGGAGAAATACTCAGAGCCTAGAGTGGTTGAGGCAGAGGATGTGGATACTTTCCTTAAAAGGCAGAGGGTGTGGTGACCTTCTGTTATGAAAAATTCTAAACATACACATAAGTAGGGAGAATAGATAATTCCTTTCTTCATGATCACCCAGCTTCAATAATGATTAACTTGTAGTCAATCTTGTTTTGTTTATGTCCTCACTCACTCTACTTCTAGTTCTACTGTTATTATTTTAAAGCAATTTTCAGGTGTTACAGAATTTCATTAGTGGAATACTTCAGTATATATCTCTAAGATAATGTTGTCCAACAGGATTCTCTGCAATGATGAAAATATCCTATATATGTACTTTCCAATACTATCTACGAGCCATACATGGCTAATCAAGCACTGGAAATGTGACTGATGTGGCTGAGGAACTAAACTTTTTAAGTTTTTCCTATTTTAATTGACTTAAATCTAAATGTAAACAGTCACGTGTGGCTAGGGGCTACACAACTGGACAGTATAGCTCTTAGATATAAGGATTCTTTTAAAAATTTATAACTAAAATAGACCAGGCCAGGGTGGCTCATACCTGTAATCCTAGAACTTCGGGAGACCCAGGTGGGAGGATCGCTTGAGGTCAGGAGTTCAAGTTTACAGTGAGCTATGATTGCAATGCTGCACTCCAGCCTGGGGAACAGAAAGAGACTCTGTCTAAACAAACAAACAAACAAACAAAACAAAACACAACTGAAATATGTCACATCTAAAAATGAGTACCATTTCCTGAATATTATCAATTTCCAATTGCAGTGCTCAAAATTTTTCAGATATATCATAAATATTTTTTGTTTGCTTTTTTTGTTTTTGAAATGGGTCTTGCTCTGTTGCCTGGGCTATAGTGCAGTGGTATGAGCATGGCTCATTGCAGCCTCAGTGTCCTGAGTAGCTGGGACTGCAGGTGCACATCACCATGCCTGGCTTTGTTTTGTTTTATTTTGTAGAGATGAGGTCACTATGTTGCCCAGGCTGGTCTTGAACTCCTGAGCTCAAGTGATCCTCCTGCCTTGGCCTCTCAAAGTGCTGGGGTTACAGGCATGACTCATTGGTCATAATTTTAATAGTTGCTTTGCTTGAAACTAAATCCATACACTTTATTGTTTGTTGATATGTTTCTTAAGTTCTTTTAATCTAAAGTTTTGATAAGGATGCATTAATTTTCATTTTATGCCAACCTACATAGTTTGAATTTTTAAACAATTTTAAACCATGAATATATCATTTTTAATCACTAGTGTACCATCAGAGATTGTCTAGGTGGTAGGACTATATGCCAATACTTGTTATTATTAAAGAATGCTTGCCTTTTTTTAAGTACAAATCTTTTAATATGATTTCTGTGCCCTAAAGGGCTCTTCTTTTAAGCTTCTAAAATTTAATATCCAAATTCTTTTTTTCTACTTTTTTTCAACTTTTATTTTGGACTCAGAGAGTACATACGCAGGTTTGTTATATGGGCATATTGTGCGATACTGAGATTTGGGGTATGGATTATCCTGTCACTTGGGTAGTGAGCATAGTACCCAATAGTTAGCTTTGCAGCCCATGCCCCTCCCTTCCCTCCCATTTCTAGTAGTTCCCAGTGTCTGTTGTTCCATCTTTATGTCTATGTGTACCCGATGTTTAGCTCCCACTTGTGAGAACATGCAGTATTTGGTTTCCTGATCCTTTATTAGTTCACTTAGGATAATGGCCTCCAGCTGCATCCACGTTGCTGCAAAGGACATGATTTCATTCTTTTTTTGTGGCTGTGTAGTATTTTATGGTGTACATGTACCACATTTTGTTTATTCAATCCAGAATTGATGGGCATCTAGGTTGATTCCATGACTTTGCTATGGTGAATAGCACGTTGATGAACATGTGAGTGCATGTGTCTTTCGGTATAATGATCTATATTCCTCTAGAATATACCCAGTAATGGAATTGCTGGGTGGAATGGTAGTTCTAAGTTTTTGAGAAATCTCCAAACTAATTTACATTCCTACAAAAAGTATATAAACACTTCCTTTTCTCTTCAGCCTCACCAGCATCTGTTTTTTTTTGTTGTTGTTGTGTTTGTTTTTTCTTTAAACAATAGAATAGCTATTTGGACTAGTGTGAGATGGTGTCTCATTGTTGTTTTGATTTGTATTTCTCTGATAGTTAGCGATGTGGAGCATTTTTTTTATATGTTTGTTGGCCACCTGTATCTCTTTTCTTGAAAAGTGTCTGAGATAATTTCTCTTGCTGTGCAGAAGCTCTTTAGTTTAATTAGGTCCCGCTTAATCAATTTTTGGTTTTGTTACAATTGCTTTTGGAGACTTAGCCGTAAATTATTTACCAAAGCTGATGTTGAGAAGGGTATTTCCTAGGTTTTCTTCTAGAGTTTTTATAGTTTGAAGTCTTACACTTAGATATTGAGTTAATTTTTATACATGGTAAAAGGTAAGGGTCCAGCTTTATTCTTCTGTGTATAGCTGGGCAATTATCTTAGCACCATTTATTGAATAGGGAGTTCTTTCCCCATTGCTTATTTTTGTCGACTTTGTTGAAGACCACATGGTTGTAGGTGTGCAGCTTTATTTCTGGGTTCTCTATTCTGTTTCATTGGCCTATGTGTCTATTTTTGTGCCAGTATCATGCTGTTTTGGTTACTGTAAACTTATGGTATAGTTTGAAGTTGGGTAAGGTGATGCCTCCAACTTTGTTCCTTTTACTTATGATTGCTTTTGCTATTCAGGCTCTCTTTTGGTTTGATATACATTTTAGAATGGTTTTTTTTCTATTCTGATAGGAATAATATTGAATCTGTAAATTGCTTTGGGCAGCATGGCCATTTTAATGATATTGATTCTTCTAATCCATGAGCATGGAATATTTTTCTATTTATCTGTGCTGTCTCTGATTTCTTTTAGCAGTGTTTTGTAGTTCTCCTTGTATTGCTCTTTCACCTCCTGGGTTAGATGCATACCTAGATATTTCATTATTTTTGTGTGGTTATGGTGAACGGGATTGTGTTCTTGATTTGGCTCTCGGCTAGAATTTTATTGGTGTACAGAAATACTACTGATTTTTGTACATTGATTTTATATCCTAAAACTTTACTGAAGTCATTTATCAGTTCTAGTACTCTTTTGGCAGAGTCTTTAGTGTTTTCTAAGTATAGAATCAAATAATCAGCAAACACAGATCGTTTTACTTCTTTTCCAATTTGGATGCCTTTTATTTCTTTCTCTTGGTTGATTGCTCTGGCTAGGACTTCTAGCACTATGTTGAATAGGAGTGGGCATCCTTGTCTTGTACCAGTTCACAAGTGGAATGGTTCCAGCTATTGCCTGTTCAGTATGATGTGGGTTTGTTATAGATGGCTCTTATTATTTTGAGGTAAATTCCTTCAATACCTAGCCTACTGAGGGTTTTTATCATGAAAAGATGTTGGATTTTGATATGGTTTGTCTGTGTTTCTACACAAATCTCATTTTGAATTGTAGCTCCCATAATCCCTTATGTTGTGAGAGGGACCCAGTGCGAGATAATTGAATCATGGGGGCAGTTTCCCTATACTGTTCTGGTGGTACTGAATAAGTCTCATGAGATCTGATGATTTTATAAGGGGAAACCCCTTTTACTTGGCTCTCATTCTTTCATGTGTGCTGCCATGTAAGACGTGCCTTTCACCTTCTGCCATAATTGTGAGGCCTCCCCAGCCAGGTGGAACCGTGAGTCCATTAAACCTCTTTTTCTTTATAAATTACCCAGTCTTGGGTATGTTTATATCAGCAACGTGAAAACTGACTAATACAGATTGCATGAAAACTTTTTCTCCATCTATTGAGATGATCATATGGTTTCTACGGTTTTTATTTTTTTTTCTGTTTATGTGGTGAGTCACATTTATTGATTTCTGTTTGTTTAACCAACCTTGCATTGCAGGAAGAAAGCCTAGTTGATCGTGGTCAATTAACTTTTTGATGTGCTGTTGGATTCCATTTGCCAGTATTTTGTTGAGGACTTTTGTGTCTACATTCATCACAGATATTGGCCTGAAGTTTTTTTTCCACTGTGTCTCTGCCAGATTTTGGTATCAGGATCATGCTTGTTTTGTAACACAAGCAAGGGAGAAGCCCCTTCTTGATTTTTTAGAATAGTTTCAGTAGGATTGGTACCAATTCTCCTTTGTATGTGTGGTAGAATTCAGCTGTGACTCCATCTGGTCCAGGGCTTTTTTTGGTTGGTAGATTTTTGTTGTTGTTGTTGTTTTGTTTTGTTTTGAGATGGAGTCTCACTCTGTCGCCCAGGCTGGAGTCCAGTGGCGCGATCTCGGCTCACTGCAAGCTCTGCCTCCCAGGTTCACGCCATTCTTCTGCCTCAGCCTCCCGAGTGGCTGGGACTACAGGTGCCCGCCACCACACCCAGCTAGTTTTTTTTGTATTTTTAGTAGAGACGGGGTTTCACCATGTTAGCCAGGATGGTCTCGATCTCCTGACCTTGTGATCCACCCGCCTCAGCCTCCCAAAGTGCTGGGATTACAGGCGTGAGCCACCGCGCCCAGCCGGTAGGTTTTTTAAATTACTAATTCAATTTAAGAATTTGTTGGCCGGGCACGGTGGCTCACGCCTGTAATCCCAGCACTTTGGGAGGCTGAGGCGGGAGGATCACGAGGTCAGGAGATCAAGACCATCCTGGCTAACATGGTGAAACCCTGTCTCTACTAAAAACACACACAAAAAAATTAGCCGGGTGTGGTGGTGGGCGCCTGTAGTCCCAGCTACTCAGGAGGCTGAGGCAGGAGAATGGCATGAAGTCAGAGGTTGTAGTGAGCTGAGATCACGCCACTGCACTCCACCCTGGGTGACAGAGTGAGACTCCATCTCAATAAAAAAAAAAAAAAAGAATTTGTTATTGGTCTCTTCAGGTTTCACTTCCTTCCTGGTTCAACTGTGGGAGATTGTATGTTTCGAGGAATGTATCAATTTCTTCAGATTTTCTAATTTGTGTGCATAGGGATGTTCATAAATCTCTAAGGATATTTTGTATTTCTGTGGGATAAGTTGTAATGTCATCTTTGTCATTTCTGATTGTGCTTATCTGGATTTTTTTTTTTGTTTCCTTGTTCTCCCAGCCCTAGTGATGATAGCTTCTTTCTTCAATATCCATATCCAGGATGCCTTTAGTGTTGTCTGTTTGTCTTGCCAGTTCTCCAGTGCCTGTTAACAACTTTTTTTATATTAAATAGGTAATAAGATATCATGTAAGTAATCATCAGTAAACTTTCAGGTCATCTGTCCATTTATCAATTAGCTATCTTTTCCTCTGTTTACCTATTTTTCTTTCTATTGATCTAGCCAATGCATTTTTATCAGAAAATTTCCATGTTTTTTGTCTGTTTGTTTGTTTTTTTGAGACAGAGGCTTGCTCTGTCACCAGGCTGGAGTGCAGTGGTGCGATCTCAGTTCACTACAACCTCTGCATCCCAGGTTCAAGTGATTCCCCTGCCTCAGCCTCCCAAATAGCTGGGACTACAGGCGTATGCCACCACGCCCAGATAATTTTTGTATTTTAGTAGAGATGGGGTTTCACCATGTTGGCCAGGATGGTCTCAATCTCTTGACCTCATGATCTGCCCACCTCGGCCTCCGAAAGTGCTGGGATTACAGGCATGAGCCACCATGCCCTGCCAAAATTTCTATGTTTTGTGGAGACCACTTGACAGTCTGACTTGATGTAAATAATTATCTTCAGAGTATAGTTTGAAGTATACCTCTGGTCCCAGCACATCTCCCTCACTGCCTGTTGCCTACCAAAACTTCCACCATTAGCGGAATCATCCTCTTGGGATAAATTTTCTATCTCTGAAGATTCTCTTAAAATGCAGATGTAATCACCTGATGAGTTCTTCCTGCCTGCATCACAGACAAAACCAGCTCACTGAGACCATGGTATTGCAGTAAAGAAAGAATTTGATTAATGCAAAGCCAGCCACATGGAAGATGGAGCTATTACTCAAATCTGTCTCCTCGAAGCCTTGAAGGTTGGGGTTTTTCAAGGATTGCTTGGGGGCAGGAGGTAGAGAATGGGGCAATCAACCAATGTTGACTGGTTGGGGATGCAATCATTTGGGTGTGGAAAAGAGTCCTCCTGAACTGAGTCAGCCTCTGAGCAGGGGCCACAGACTGGTTGAATCATGGGTTGTGTGTTCTGACCTGGATCCATGACCCATATTTCAACCAGTCTGTGGCCCCCACTTGGAGGCAGCCAGTCAGCCAGTTATCAGAAATACAAAAGTATGAAACAAAACCTCAAAAGGCCAATCTTAGTTTCTACAATAGTGATGTTATTCACATGAGTAACCAGGGAAGTTACAAATCTTGTGACCTCTGGAACAACGGCTGGTAATCGTTTAACTATGCTTACATCTTAGCAGAATTCAGGACCCTCTGGATGGCAGCAGGAGGCAGCCAAATGCCTAGGCAGATAGGGGTGGGTCCCCAGTGAAACCCCACCTCCAAGCCAAAAACAGCCTGAAGGCTGAAAACCCAGACTGCTGGTCCTGGATGAAACCCGCAACCCAGAGGGAGAACTTCTGCTCCTGTTTGCCTGCACTTTCCTGATTGATTCTTTCTGAATAATGCCTTTTAACCAATCAATGTTGCCTTTTCCAATACTACCTAGGCCTGCCCCTTCCCCATTCTGAGCCTCAGATGCAGCCATATTGAGGGGGCTTACCACCCCCACATCCTCTCTCTGCTGAAAGCTGTTTCATCACTCAATAAAACTCCCTGTCTTGCTCACTCCTTGAATGTCAGTGCATCCTCATTCTTCTTGGGTGCAGGACAATAACTTGGGAACCAGTGTATAAGCCAGACTTGGCCTGGGTGGGCTGAGTAGGCAGGCCATCTCCTGCAGCAGGTAAAGGCCATCTCCAGCAGCAGGTAGTGGGGCTGAGTGAGGCCCAGGTGGTGCATCACCAGCCAGAGGTTCCTGGCTTGCAAAGTGACCAAGAAGAAAATTTTGTGTTACTCTCATAATCCTAACCTTGGCCTTTTGTTAGTTTTACAAAGGGGGTTTAGTTTTGGGAAGGGCTATTATTATTCTTGCTTTAAGGTTCAACTATAAATTAAACTCCTCCCAGAGTTAGCTTAGCCTACGTCCAGGTATGACCAAGGACAGCTTGGAGGTTAGAAGCAAGATGATGTCAACTATGTCAGATTTCTCTTACTGACATAATTTTGCATTGGTGGTTTCAGAGATATTCCTCAGCATGTAGAGTATGGTGTCATTCATATCATAACATAGATTAGCAGATCATATTGTTTATTCACCTGTCAGAGCAATGGCAAAAAGGAGCACAGAGCATTGTAAGTTTTCATAACTTGAACATGAGCCCTTGTTTTCCTATATCCTTGGGATTTTCTTGGTGACTTGTATGCATTATGCTCTGAATGAGTATGTGTCAATAGCATGAGGCAGTTGAGGTGGGAGAAAATGAAACAGAAGATGGAGTGTGGCACAGGAGGCAATGTTAGAGTGTGGCAACTTCTCAGCCAGGAGGTGGTCTCAGAGCCATGGCCACCTGAAAAAGGGAAAGGAGCAGAGAAATGGCAGGAAGGAGTGCTGAGGGTAAACTTTGCTTATTTCAAAAGTCCTGTCTCAGACTGGTCCCCTGATGCAGAGATTCTGCTTAAGGGAAATTAAATTGGCAACAAATAATCTTTTCCGAAAACTGTGATAAGAAATTATTGCTTGCACCATAGCACTGGCCTTCCTTTCCTGTACTGTCATTCTGTATCAGTGTAAAGTTAGTCATAAGATCATGTTTATTGAGAGTCCTTGACCCAGGCAAACTCAGGATGTGGAATAATCCATGGATGGAGAAATTGTATTTCTTCTCTTATTAGGAAAGACTAGTTTCCCTTAAGCAGCTGTGGGATGGGAAACTGACAAAGACTTACTCATTTAGGCTCTGTTATTTACAACTCTTTTTCATTCCTGCTTACAAGGTTTTCAGCACTGACACTTTTTATCAGCCTTGCACTTTTCTCTTCCTCTCCAAAATTTGTCAGAGAAATGTTTATCTATGTCAATATCTATGTCCAAATCTATATTTCTTTATTTTTTTCTCAGCACAGCTTCCCTTACAGAGGCCTTCTTCATATGCTAAGCAGCATTACAGAAGTACTAAAAAACTACAAAAAGATGGATCACTCTCACTATACAGGTATTTGATTGCTCTTAGGTATTCAGAGGGACTTTATGGTCTGGAGCCTGATGTCCTGATTGCAGGCTGTGAGCGGAAAAGAGGAGAAAGGAAACTAATGTGATAAATAGAACAATTGGACTTTCACTCATGTAGGCAGAGTGATGGGTTAATACTGAGTGTCAACTTGATTGGATTGAAGACTACAAAGTATTGATCCTGGGTGTGTCTGTGAGGGTGTTGCCAAAGGAGATTAACATTTGAGTCAGTGGGCTGGGAAAGGCAGACCCACCTTTAATTTGGGTGGGCACAATCTAATCAGCTTCCAGCGTGGCTAGAATATAAGCAGGCAGGAAAATATTGAATATTAGGAATGGAGTTCTTTCATGGTTTTGGGGTTTTCTGGAGTTGGCTGCTTAATATGATTAGACCCCAAAATGCTAAGGACTCTACTTCTAATAGTATAGAGAACACTGATAGTCCTTGATGTGAACTGTAGAGAGTTATGCAAAATAAATGCATTTGGCACTTCTGATTCATTACTCATGAGAGGCAAGGAGTTTAGTGACTCTATAAGTAATACCTTTGACCATATGTGGAGAACCAAGGAACATAATGAAGCTGGTTGGTTGCTCCCAAGTTCAGTGGACAAAGTGATGAAAGAAAATTATGAACTCAGGGATTCTGTCTTCTGGCTTCAGAAGCTGATACTGAGACTCAAATCTGCTAAGATTGCCCTGAGTGAGAGTCTTATCTCCTGTAGAGAAAGAGTTGAAATTGTGGAAAAACAGAGACAAGCTCTTATCATGCAAGTGGCTGACCTGCAATGAAAGGTGCATGCACAGCCTCACCATGTGTCTATTGTTAAAATGAGGGCATTGATTGGAAAAGAATGGGAGCCTGCAACTTGGAATGGGGATGTTGGGAGGACTCTGATGAAGCTGGGGACACTGAGTTAGTAAACTCTGATGAACCTTTTTTGCCAGAAGAAACAGCTTCCCCATCCCCAGTAGTGGCAACATCCCCTCCCCATCCTATGCTGCCATAAGCCTTTACACCTTTGTCTGAGGAGATAAACCCTGCCTTGCCTGAGGCAACAGTGATGGCCTCCCCTGATGGGCAGTTGCCTGGCAAGATAATGTTGATTCTCCTCAGTAGTCACTACTAACGCCCCTGTTTTGCTTCTAGACCTATAACTAGACTAAAGTCCTGGGGGGCCCCTAAAGGTGAGGTTGAGATTGTGACCCATGAGGAGGTGCCCTACACTCAAAAAGAACTGCTTGAGTTTTCTAATTTACATAAACAGAAATCTGGAGAACAGGCATAGGAATGGATATTAAGGGTGTGAAATAATGGTGGAAAGAACATAGTGTTGGATCAGGATGAATTTATTGATTTGGGCCCACTAAGTAGGGACTCTGCATTTAATGTTGCAGCTCAGGGAGTTAAAAAAGGTTCTAATAATTTCTTTGCTTGGTTAGCTGAAATATGGATAAAAAGATGGCCCACTGTGAATAAGCTGGAAAAGCCTGATCTCCCTGGGTTTAATGTAGAGGAAGGGATCCAAAGGCTTAGGGAGATTGGGATGGTAGAGTGGATTAGTCACTTTAGACCTACTCATCCCAGCTGGGAGGGTCCAGAAGATATACCCCTGACAAATGCCTTGTGAAATAGATTTGTGAGGGCAGCACCTACATCTTTAAAGAACCCTGTAATTGCTCTTCTCTGTATGTCAGATCTAACAGTGGGAACCATAGTCGCTCAACTACAAAATTTAAATACAATGGGAATAATTGGATCCCAAGGTGGCAGGGGCCAAGTGGCAGCACCCAACCGTCAAAGGCAAGTTGGGTGTAGCTACCATAATGGACAGCAGAAACAAAGGGGCAATCAGAATAGTCTGACTGGTGTAGAGCTCTGGCGTTGGCTAATAAATCACGGTGTTCCTGGAAGTGAAATTGATAGGAAGCCTACTGCATTCATACTTAATTTATATAAGCAGAAAACTTCGAGGTCAAATGGACAAAAGACTTATTTGAATTTGAATTATAAAAACAGAGAATCATGGCCCCTCAATCAATTTCCAGACTTAAGTCAGTTTATAGACCCATAACCCCTTGAATGAAGGGGAGGCCATGTCCCCTTGAGGAAGGACCCCACTACATTACTGACAATTTATGCAGTAAATCTTTCTCCCATCCTTCCCCAAGGAGACCTCTGGCCTTTTTCCAGGGTAACTGTGCACTGGGGAAAGGGAAATAATCAGATATTTCATGGACTACTGGACACTGGCTCTGAGCTGACGTTGATTCCAGGGGACCCAAAACGTCATTGTGATCCTCCAGTTAAAGTAGGGGCTAATAGAGGTCAGGTAATTAATGAAGTTTTAGCTCAGGTCTGACTTGTAGTGGGTCCAGTGGGCTCCTGGACTCATCCTGTGGTCATTTCCCTAGTGCCAGAATGCATAATTGGCATAGACATACTTAGCAGCTGGCAGAACCCCCACATTGGCTCCCTGACTAGTAGGGTGAGAGCTATTATAGGGCAAAAGGTCAAATGGAAGCCATTAGACCTGCCTCTACCTAGAAAAATAGTAAATCAAAAACAATATCACATCCCTGGAGGGATTGTGGAGATTAGTGCCACCATCACGGACTTGAAAGATGCAGAGGTGGTGATTCCCACCACATCCCTGGTCAACTCTCCCATTTGGCCTGTACAGAAGACAGATAGATCTTGGAGAATGACAGTGGATTATCTTAAGCTTAACCAAGTGGTGACTCCAATTGCAGCTGTTGTACCAGATGTGGTTTCATTGCTTAAGCAAATTAACACATCTCCTGGTACCTGGTATGCAGCCATTGATGTGGCAAATGCCTTTTTCTCCATTCCTGTTCATAAGGCCAGTTTGCCTTCCACTGGCAAGGTCAGCAATATACCTTTACTGTCCTACCTCAGGGGTGTATCAACTCTCTGGCTTTGTGTCATAATCTTACCTGGAGACATCTTGATCGCTTTTTGCTTCCACAAGATATCACACTGGTCCATTACATTGATGACATGCTGACTAGATCCAGTGAGTAAGAAGTAGCAAACACACTGGAATCATTGGTGAGACATTTGCGTGCCAGAGGATGGGAAATAAATCTGACTTTCAGGGACCTTCTACCTCGGCAAAATTTCTAGGGGTCCAGTGGTGTGGAGCCTGTTGAGATATTCCTTCTAAGGTGAAGGATAAGTTGCTGCATTTGGCCCCTCCTACAACCAAGAAAGAGGTACAAAGCCTAGTGGGTCTCATTGGATTTTGGAGGCAACACATTCCTCCTTTGGGTGTGTTACTCCAGGCCATTTGTCAAGTGACCTGAAAGGCTGCCAGTTTTGAGTGGGGTCCAGGAGAAGGCTCTGCAACAGGTCCTGTCTGCTGTGCAAGCTGCTCTGCCACTTGGGCCATATGACCCAGCAGATCAGATGGTACTTGAGGTGTCACTCGCAGATAGGGATGTTGTTTGGAGCCTTTGGCAGGCTCCCATAGGTGAGTCACAGTGGAGGCCTCTAGGATTTTGGAGCAAGGCCCTGCCATCTTCTGCAGATAACTACTCTCCTTTTGAGAGACAGCTCTTGGCCTATTACTGGGCTTTGGTGGAAACCGAACGTTAGACTATGGGTCATCAAGTTACCATGCATCCTAAACTGCCTCATGAACTGGGTGCTTTCTGACTCATCTAGTCATAAAGTGGGTCATGCACAGCAGCATTCCATCATCAAATGAAAGTGGTAAATACATGATCAGGCTTGAGCATGTCCTAAAGGCACAAATAAGTTACATGAGGAAGTGACTCAAATGCCCACGGTCTCCTTTCCTGCCACCCTACCTTCTCTCCCTGAGCCTGTGCCAATAGCCTCAGGGGGAGTTGCCTATGATCAGTTGACAGAGGAAGAGAAGACTAGGGCCTGGTTCACACATGGTTCTGCACAATATGCAGGCACCACCCAAAAGTGGACAGCTGCAGCATTACAGCCCCTTTCTAGGACATCTCTGAAGGACAGCAGTGAAGGGAAATCTTCCCAGTGGGCAGAATTTCCAGCAGTGCACCTGGTTTTGCACTTTGCATGGAAGAAGAAATGGCCAGGTATGTGATTATATACTGATTCATGGACCATAGCCAATGGTTTGGCTGGATGGTCAGGGACTTGGAAGCAGCATGATTGGAAAATTGGTGACGAAGACATCTGGGGAAGAGGTATGTGGATGGACCTCTTTGAGTGGTCAAAAACTGTGAAGATATTTGTATCCCATCTGAGTGCTTACCAACAGGTGACCTCAGCAAAGGAGGATTTTAATAATCAAGAGGATAAGATGACCCATTCTGTGGACACCACTCAGCCTCTTTCCCCAGCCACTCCACCATCGCCCAATGGGCCCATGAAAAAAGTGGCCGTGGTGGCAGGGAAGGAGATTATGCATGGGCTCAGCAACATTCCACTCCCTAAGGCTGCCCTGGCTATGGCCACTATTGAGTGCCCAATTTGCCAGCAGCAGAGACCAACACCGAGCCCTCGATATGGCACCATTCCTTGGGGTGATCAGCCAGCTACCTGGTGGCAGGTTGATTATATTGGACCTCTTACATCATGGAAAGGACAAAGGTTTGTCCTCACTGACATAGACACTTACTCTGGATATAGGATTTCCTATCTTGCATGCAATGCTTCTGCTGAGACTACCATCCGTGGACTCATGGAATGCCTTATCCACCATCATGGTATTCCACATAGCATTGCCTCTGACCAAGGCACTCACTTTTTGGCTAAAGAAGTGCAGCAGTGGTCTCATGCTCATGGAAGTCACTAATCCTACCATGTTCCCCATCATCCTGAAGCAGCTGGATTGATAGAATGGTGGGAAAGCCTTTTGAAGTCACAATTACAAGGCCAACTAGGTGACAATACTTTGCAGGGCTAGGGCAAAGTTCTCCAAAAGGCTGTGTATCCTCTGAATCAATGCCCAATATATGGTACTGTTTCTCCCATAGCCAGGATTCACGGGTCCAGGAATCAAGGTGTGGAAGTGTGACACCACTCACGATCACCCTTAGTGAGTCACTAGCAACATTTTAGCTTTCTGTTCCCACAACATTACGTTCTGCTGGCCTAGAGGTCTTAGTTCCAGAGGGAGAAACTCTGCCACCAGGAGACAAAACAATGATTCCATTAAACTGGAAGTTAAGATTGCCACCTGGACACTTTGGACTCCTCCTACCTTTAAGTCAACAGGCTAAGAAGGGAGTTATAGTGTTGGCTGGGATGATTGACCCAGGCTATCAAGATGAAATCAGTCTCCTACTTCACAATGGAGGTAAGGAAGAGTATGCATGAAATACAGGAGATCATTAGGGCATCTCTTAGTATTACCATTCCCTGTGATTAAGGTCTTCCATCATGGAAAGGGCAGAGGTTTGTCATCACTGGAATAGACACTTACTCTAGATATGGGTTTGCCTATTCTGCATGCAATGCTTCTGCCAAGACTATCATCTGTGAACTCACGGAATGCCTTATCCACTGTCATGGTATTCCACACAGCATGGGAAATTACAACAGCCTAACCCAGGCAGGACTACAAATGATCCAGACCCTTCAGGAATGAAGGTTTGAGTCACTCCACCAGGTAAAAAAAAACACAACCTGTTGAGGTGCTTGCTGAAGGCAAAGGGAATACAGAATGGGTAGTAGAAGAAGGTAGTCATCAATATCAGCTATGACCACGTGACCAGCTGCAGAAACGAGGACTGTAATTGTCATGAGTATTTCCTCCTTCTTTTGTTAAAAACATGTTTGTGCAAGTATACATTTGTACTAAAAAAAAATTCATTTTATTTCCTTTCTCCTTCATCATGTGACATAGATTTATTGACTTCACATCAGCATTTAAGTATTAACTTTATGTAATAGTATTTGGTTTGGGGATTGGGGTGTTTCTGGTTGTATGAAGGATAGTTGTATTATGTTAGGCATAATTATGACTTTATTATTGTCTTTATTTGAAGATTATGTATGATCTCAGGAGATGTGTAAGGGTTCAAGTTGACAAGGTGTGGGCCTGTTGTAGTTAATACTGAGTGTCAACTTGAATGGATTGAAGGATACAAAGTATTGATCCTGAGTGTGTCTGTGAGGGTTTTGCCAAAGGAGATTAACGTTTGTGTCGGTGGGCTGGGAAAGGCAGACCCACCCTTAATCTGGGTGGGCACCATCTAATCAGCTGCCAGCGTGGCTAGAATATAAGCAGGCAGAAAAATATGGAAAGAGAAACTGACCTAGCTCCCCCAAGGCTATATCTTTCTCCCATGCTGGATGCTTCCTGCCCTCAAACATCAGACTCCAAGTTCTTCAGATTTGGAACTGGGACTGGCTCTCCTTTCTCCTCAGCCTACAGATGGCCTATTGTTGGACCTTGTGACTGCATGAGTTAATACTTAATAAACTCCCCTTTATATATATATATATATATATATATTCCATTAGTTCTGTCCCTCTAGAGAACCCTGACTAATACAGGCAGCAAATATGTAACTGTTCACAGCATTTCACTTCATTCCCAGAATTGACAGGCAAGCAGTCATATGTCCTTCCTTTATGCTCATGGGTCCTATGGATGCAAGGTAGTGTTTTCTAAAAAAAAATAAAATAAATAAAAAATCAAAAAGATAAGAAAATTTGAAGGTATCAGGGCTGGTTTTGAATCCTGGCTCTGCTCTGACGCTTATTCCACACCCCAGAACAAGTTATTTAATCCCTGTAAGTCCCACTGTGCTCATCTGTGAGATGGGAATATCAATCCCTACAATGTTGGGTTGCTAGAAAAGATACATGAGATAGCACCTGGAACAGAGCAAGTACTTCATAAAAGTTGGTTTTTAGCCCTAGCCCTTTATGCCTCCATTTCCTGCCTTTGATCATCATTGGTGTGAACTTTTCTGCCTACTGAATAATAGAGAAATGCTTTGTGATGATAAGAACATAGCAGAGAATGAAGTGTGTAAATTCTGGGGCAGAGAAAATTCTCTGGACTAAACACACTTTAGTGTACATGAACATCCCTCCAAATTTTATCAGGCTGGTGCCTATATGTTTCAGCTTAAAATATACTTCCTGATAAGCAGAAAGAAAATTTTAAGTAATAGATAAATAACGTGTACACATGGACATACAGTGTGGAATGATAGACATTGGAGATTCCGAACGTGGGAAGAAAGCATAGGGTAAGAAATTACTTAGTGAGTAAAATGTATATTATTCTAGCAGTGAATACACTAAAAATTCAGGCTTTACCACCACTCAATATATCCATGTAACAAAATTGTACTTGTACTCCCTAAATTTATACAAATAAAAATTAACTTCTCTCTCTCTCTCTCTTCCTGGAGGAAAATAACTAGTAGGTTTCTTTTGGGTTGGATAGGACTTATTTGCTTTTCAACACCCAAAGAATAACTTTGAAAATGTTATTTTCAAAATAAATTGAGTGTTCCCTGGAAGTTGCTGTATTTTTTTAATTGGTTATTTTGGAGTAGTCTAGAAGACTTCCCTACAATTATTGTTTAAGCCTTAAAATAAACCCTTTAGTATACAAATTTGAAAAAATTAAAGCTTTCTTGAAAATAGATTTATATATACTCTATCAGAGTGCAAGCAGGAAACAGAAGCTACACCAGTTACTTGAACATAGAGACTTTAAGGAATGGTTGGTAACTAGGTAACTGAAAGGATTAAATTAACAAACAAACAAACAAAAAAACAACAATGAAAGTAACATGGAGATAGCAACTGCAGGAAGCAGCTACCACTCCTGGGGCTGGGGATAGCAGAGGGAAGTGCTTGGATTTATTAGAAGTTAGAAACTTTGAGAAAGGGCCCCACAACTTGTGCTGGCTGTGAGCTGGGATAAGCAGCCCTGTGGGCCTGCCACTGAAACCTTTGAGGACAGGGCACTATTTATAGCTCACTTGTGTCTATGAGGTGGGGGCATGATGAAGCTGTTTTTGCGAAAGTTGCAAAAACTGCAAATTGGAATCAGCTGCTGCTATGGAACGGCATGGGTGAAGAAGCACTCCTGGAGTGATCTTACAGAAACCACAAGCTGACAAGCCTATAGGGAACAAACTGAAAGGAACCTGTCCTTTCTCTCTCCTCCAGCCTGGCTGTCTCCCTCTGTAACACCCTCTAGTGACAGAGCCTAACTGGAGCAGCTGGCAAAGCTAAAAATGATGTTTTGAGTCCCAGGCCTGAATTGCATAAGTGTATAGAGAAGGGTAGCTGAGAGACAATAACTTAATGTAAAACTTGTTTGAAAATAGACCTCTAATGCAAAGGAAAGACACGTTGAGGAATTGATATCCTCTCATTCCTTTTTCTTCCCAACTCCTAATTCAAGGCTAAGAGAATGTTCCAAATTGTAATGGTATTTGGAGGATGATACAAGATGAAATGTGACCCAACATTTCTTTTCCACCTTGCCATGACTCCAGTGGCTCCAAGACATTTGTATTCCACAGACTGGTAAAATTTTCTATTTGTGGCAACTGACTTAGAGTTGATTGCTTTTTATTTTGTCTAGTGATAGCATTAAGTACCCAGTAGCATTTCATTAAAGAAAGAATATTTCAACCACCAAAACTCAGGAAGAACATAATCTCAGAGTAACGAGTAGTTCTTACATGGATGATTTTGCTTTTTTGAAAAACCCATTGTTAAAATGCAAATACTGAGGGACAGAAATAAATTAATATTTCTTATTTTTGTTTTTAAAAAAACTTTCTTTTGTTTTTATTTATTTATTTTTGAGACAGAGTGTCGCTCTGTCACCCAGGCTGGAGTGCAGTGGCGTGATCTCGGTTTACTGCAAGCTTTGCCTCCCGGGTTCACGCCATTTTCCTTCCTCAGCCTCCCAAGTAGCTGGGACTACAGGAGCCTGCCACCATGCCCAGCTAATTTTTTTTGTACTTTTAGTAGAGACGGGATTTCACCATGTTAGCCAGGATGGTCTCGATCTCCTGACCTCGTGATCTGCCCACCTCGGCCTCCCAAAGTGCTGGGATTACAGGCGTGAGCCACCATGCTCGGCCTCTTTTGAGACACGGTCTTGCTCTGGCACCCAGGCTGGAGTGCAGTGGTGTAAATACAGCTCACGGCAGACTCAAATCACCTGGGCTTAATTGATCCTCCCACCTCAGCCTCTTGAGTAGCTGGGACTACAGCCACCACACCTGGCTAATTTTTAAAAATGTTTTGTAGAGATGGGGTCTTGCCAAGTTCCCTAGGCTGGTCTTGAAATCCTGGGCTCAAGCAATCCTCCTGCCAAAGTGCTAGGATTGCAGGCATGGGCCTCCAAGCCCAGGTGAACAATCTTGATATTCATAAATTTGCATGGGTTTTACAGTTACAGTAATTGTAATAATCTGTAATTATTAAGAGCTTACTATGAACTAGGATTATGATGAGCACTATATATATGATTTAATCTTCCTCGTAAGTCTCCCAAGTGGGTCCCATTATCATCCCCATTACACATTAAGGAAAATGAGAATTGGTGAAGATGTGAGCCTAAGGTTACACAGCTAAGTGGCAGAGCTATGCCTAGAAGCCAGATCTTCTGACAACAAAGTCTGGCTGGGCTGCCTGGCTACCCATACCTCTCTGTCTGGAATCCCTTTTACATATTCCCTATATGGATTCCTACTGAAGGTATGGGCCATGGGCCCAGGCACCACTGACTTTATCATATGGCCCTGCCCTCCTGGACAAAGCTTGTTCTAACTTTCAAGATAAAGATTATATAACTTTCAGCTACAGCCTGGCTACATGTTGTTCCCTGACCTTGTATTATTTGAGTTCTTTTCTTAAAATGAACAAACTTCTCTTGGCTTGAGATATTTATGTTACCATTCCTTGCATTCTTTCTGTTTTTATATTCTTTGCAAATAATCCTTGCTTGAAGTGTTCAAAATCTCCCCCAAGATGGGCACCCCTGGTAGACTCAGAAAGCCTGAGCTGCTGCTGTGCAGTCCAATATCTACTCACGCTGTTGAGGCTGGAGAAGGGGAGATGGAAATGGTGCTCATAGCCTTCCAGCTTTGTCTGCTTCAGTGGCTCAGTGGCTGTTTGCAGATGGAGTTTTCGGCTGGGGCTCAAGCCCTAAGGTTGGAATACTAGCTTCCCTGACTCCTTGTTTCCTGCTCCTTCTCTCACTGTTCTGAGTAGTGGTTCTGTACCATCTGCTTAATGCAAATAATGCAGTATTTTATTCCTCTTTAATGAACGTAGACACTTGTGATGGAAAGACACATAACACACAGCATGCACAGGGAGGGGATTTATGAGTTCTGACCCAAAGTCGGGGCAGTGAATGCGACCTCGTACACAGAGATTCATTAGAAAGTCTCCAATGTCAACATATGGCATTTTTTTACTCAGTACTGTCAGGTAGCTTTTATTTTATCCCTTTACTCGTGAAAAAACAGATTCAGATGCATTTGCCACAGGTATCGTAACTAGCTAGCCACTGTCAGAATCATGATTACAATGGAAGGATTTTGATTCCTGTTCCAAGACTACACTACCTCTTGGCAAAAATAAAAGCATTCATTCATTCTTCATTTATTCAGCACATATTTTTCTAATACTTTTTCTGTGCTAGGTTTTGGGGAATTCCAAAGGGAGCAGAATATGATCACTGATGTCATGGTGAATATAGTTCTGTGTCAGATCAGACATGAGTCAGATAATCATATAAATAAAAACATTAACTTTGTTTAGAAGTAAGGGAGTGATAGGTAGCCCCAAGAGAACAGATGACAAAAATGAGGTTAGTAAGAATTCATGTAAGATGGGTTAATCATATTTAAAAAGCAAGAATTTAAATAAACACCAAGCAAAAAAAAAAGTTTCTTTTCTGAAATCATCAATGATCAAGAAATCACCACTACACGATATATCCATGTAACAAAACTGCATTTGTACTCCTTAAATTCATACAAATTTAAAAAGAAACCTTAGATGTGTCAGTGTTTGAAGAAAATCATATCTTTTTCATCTGTGATGCCACCAATCAGATCACAGCTGATCTGATTAGAGGCTAGATTGCTAACAGCTGCTAGCTCCTTCGGGCTGCAGAACTTGTGGTTAAATTTGATACTTAGGAACACAAATTTTTAAAAATAAATTGCTTATTCTGGTTTCTTTTAGCAGAGAAATTTTCCTCTCTTGTCACCAGGCAAGTCTACTTGGATTACTCCCCATGGTTAGAGTAAGAAAACCTTCTCTTTTCCTTGCCCTTTAGCTGGGCCTAGACTCAGTGGAAGTTAAAAGACATGAAGACACAGGCCTATGAGCCCTCAAACCATCTCTTCCACATAGGACACAGCCCCTCTGGCCTTTTCACTTCTGGAAAGTTGCTTTGCTGTCTCCCCCACAAGTCCTAGAAGTCTACATATTCATCTAGCAGCCTGTTTCCTTTGTGGGCTTCATGCAGATGAAGTGCTAGGTAACATTTTATGTTTCTCTCTTTACAAAAGTAATACAGGTTTCCTATAAAAAACATAGAAATGTGAGATGTCACCACTCATTGTTATCAAGTTCCTATTGTTTCTCTTTGTTTTTCAAAATTGAGAAAGAATGGAATTATAGACTCCTACATTTCCTTTTGCTTTAAAAAGATATTTCATAAAATAATTGCCCCCAACCTAACCTTTCTGGTTCTTTTACGCTTTTAGACAAAGCAGATCAACTGAAAACCCCAGTTACAGTGGATTGTGGGGTGCAGGGGTGAGGAGAGAGGGGAGGCAGTGGGTTTTAATCTTGCTTTTACTCTATATTATACTTTGTGGTCTCTGTCAATGTGAAAAAGACTTGAGCATTCCATCACTGTTGGTATAATTGTCTTAGACCTCCAGAGCCACTACTTTTACATGTGGTAGTCTTGAGTTGTGCAGTGTACAATGTGCACAGCGGTACCCTTACTCACTCTTTCTGCTCTGTTCCAGGTCTATTCAACTTCTTTAGCCTTTCTCTTGGTCTCTGATTTACTGTTCAGCACCCCTTAGCCTGAAACTTCATGAGTAAATTTGGGCTTCCAAGTTTGGCCCTTTTATACACAATTTGTCTTTATCAGTGTGGCTAGATTTAGCAAATAAAAATACAGGACACCTGGTTACATTTTGGGGACATATTTATACTAAAAATTATTCACTGCTTGACTGCAATTAAGATTTATTATAGTTGGGCATCTTATATTTTATCTGGCAACTCTTATCCTGACCCTAGCTGTTTTAGGACTTGGATGTGTTTGCTGATCCCTCTGCCTGCTCAGGTCTCTTTAACCCTACCCTGGGTAATGTTCATGTCCTCTAGGGGACAATCGATTTTCTCACAGGAGGTGTAAGAAGCAAAGTTCTTCTGATTGAGGAGCATGGAGGAACACGATCTAGCTAAAATAAACGAATCTTGCCTCACAATTGTCTATCACTAGCAATTTCCTATGTGTTTATATTATATCTGTTACATTGCAAGTTCCTGGAAGACAGGGACTTGATTTTTTTCTTTAGCGTCACAGTAGGTTTTATTAAGATCAGAGAGATGCAATTGCAATCAAATCAATCAAGCTCTAATATACTGGCTAATAGACTTCTAAGAAAACCAAGCTTCACTGAAAAAAAAAGAACAACTAAATATTTTTTAAATTCAATTTATCATGCAAGTGTGAGTAATTTACTTTCGTTTGTTCAATTCTCACATAGCTCAATTTATAAGTATTGGAGGCTATAGGTTTAAGAAACATATTTGTGTAAAGTTGCTGACCCACATAGCATTTACCACCATACTATGTTGTTTATCTTGAGAGGCTGAATATACAAATAAACACTGGCCAGACCATATATGACAAAACAACTCTGACCATAGTCTCTGCAGCAACCAGCCCAGGAAGTCCAACCACAACCTTTGTAGCCATTGGCCCAAATTGGTCAGAACCTGGTCAGTGACTCCCAGCTTTCCTAATGTTTGCCCTCACTTCTAACCCAGAACCAACCAGAGCAAGAAAATATGCTCCCCAAACCAATCATAGAGGATGCCAGCTTCTACATAGCCCACATCCAGCTTCCCCAGGCCAACATCTTTTGATCAGGGCACACTTGAAGCTTTTCCTTTTTTTTCTCCTATAAAGCTTTCCCACTCCTCTGTGAGTCTCTGTCAAACAAAAGTGATGGTACCTGACTTCCTCGCAAGCTCTGGATGAATAACCTCTACCTGTTCTAATTCAGATTGTCTTTGTCTATTTCCACAGTGTTTACTAGGATCTCTATACAGAATTTCTTCAATGGCAAGATTAACCCCGCCCATGTTTAGGAAATCATTTAGGGCCACTGAATATCAAATATGGTCCCAGAAAAAGTGTTGACACTGGTTCAGACTTGGGTGAAGAGTCCTTTGATCTAGCTCAAATCTGTGATAATTTGATATTACTCAATCCTCTTTCCAGCTCATCTCAGCAAAAGTCTCACTGCTTGTGAGTGTCCTGCATACAGTCTGATTTGGGTGGTTGTTTTCTTTGTGGAACTAATCAGAGGTCATATGACATTTACCTCTGGATAGTTCAAATTGACTATTTCCTTAGGTCTATTTTGCCCTATTCACTGAGAAATGTATGGTCTCTGATATTAGATTGTTTCAATTCGAATTCCACCAATATCTTGTATTCATCTTGTGAGTCTGGAAAAGTATATGGGCTTATTTAAGTCTTAAATTGCTTATTTAAAAATTGTGATAGTGACATTAGCACCTACCTTATAGGGTTGTTTGAGAATTAAAGCATAATTTCTGTAAGACAATTACCAAAGTCCTAACATGTAATAGTTATTCAACAAGTAATAGCTATCATTATTACTATTATTAATCGAAATAGGTGCTTATATTTCCAAATTAACAATCTTTTGTACTTTTGATGTGACAATATGTGCATTAAGTGGTACAAAGAATTAAGGCATTGTCTTCATAATTACGTGATAGCAACTTTCTTCTTTATTAGAAATCAAGCATCTCAGAACCTTCATGATTGGCTATTAGGCTTTTTGACCTCAGCATTGTCAATGGCTTTTACTGGTAGGGCAAGTTACAGCTAGTAACTTGGTCAAGGTTTTTGGATATGAACTTTACTTTTTAGAGTTTAAACCAATGTACGTTTAAAATGTGATACTCCAGAGGCACAGGAAAGTACATGACACAGCCAACTGAAGAGGTAGCATGTCCTAAAATATTTTCTCTATTCTCTTTTGAACTCTGTTATAATCAAAGAAATCTTTATGGTGAAATGCTCATTTTGCAGACATGCCATGTGTTTTAATTTCAAAATTGAACAAAGGAAAAATCCCGGGGCATTTTATGTGCATTTTTGTTAATGTGATCACAGATACAAAGTTAGTCATTCAATCCCAAATGAGACATGATCTCACTGGGAGGGAAAGGACACGTCAATCGCACTGCCCGTGCACTCCTGTCTCCTCACTGATGTAAGGGATTTGTTCTGGGAAGTCTCTAGCAAACATTTTTGGAACAGGTATTTTGTGAGAATCTCCGTTTTTGTCACAAAAGTCACTCAGTGGTCTAACTGGAACCAAGAATGGAATGAGTTACCTTATTAAAAATTTTAAATCAAACAGTGTTTATTTTGTTTGGTGGGTTTTAGAAGAAATTAGAGGAGCAGCAGGTCATGATGGAGAAGCAGGGGATCTATCAGGAGCACCAGGAATGCTTTTTCAAAATATATATATTCTATTAGATTAAATGTTACTAAGAACAGGCCCTCAACACAGCCCCATATAGCATATTTTCCCACTTTTCTACAGTGGCTATTTTAAATATTTTCCATTCTCTTCAAATCTCTACTCTTGTCTCCTTTATCAACTACCCATAATGATGGCAGCAGCGGGCCATCTGGAGTGGCCACCACCATCATGCTGGCTGCAGTAGGGAGGCGTGGCCAGGCCTGCACACTCCATGGAGCCAGTGGGAGCTGGGGACAACCGGGAGCCCCACCTCTTTCGAGTTGGGGCGGGAGCTCCCTGGGTGCCACTGCAGCTGCCCAAACTTCAGCTGCAGACCTGGGCCTCCTGCTCCACAGAGCAGGCAGAAGCCCCGTCCCCCCACCCCCCAGTCACAGTTGCAGCCACCCAAACTGCAGAGGCTGTGGACCCAGGCATCCCTGCACTTTTGGGGGCCTGGGAAGGCCCCCTCTACCATCGCAGGCTCAGAAATGCCTGCTCCCACTGACTGGCTTCTCCCTGCTGTTGGCACCCACTCTGATCTTAGAGCAAAGTCAGGGCCAAGCCTGGCCACTGTCACAGCCCAGCTGGGTGTGCACACGCTTGGGCAAGTGCTGACATGCCAGCCCCCTGCCACCTTGGCCCCCTCTGGACTTTGGGCACTGACAAGCATAGGAGAGAAGCTGATGGAGGGCTGAAGGCAGCTCAGTGCTTGTCTGCAGGCGCCCCTTGGCACCTACAGCCTGGACGCCATGAATGGCAGCAGGAGCCAGACACGTTCCTTGGAGGAAGGGGGTGGCCTGAAGGCTGGGGGCCAGGCTGCCAGTCCCATGAACTGGCGTGAGAACTTGCGATGCCTTTTCTGGGCCCACCCATGGCTGTCCATGGACCAACTAGTGTGTGCACTTCCTCCCCTCTGAGGTGCACAGCTCCGGGCTCAGCCAGAACTGAGCAGATGTCAGGATGACTGGTTGCAGAGAGGAGCTACCCACTCCAGGGCCTCTTCTCTGCTGAGAGCTGCAGAGACAACAGGACAACCTACCTGCAGAGAGGAACTACTCACTCCAGGGCATCCTCTGAGCTACTATTGCTCAATAAAGCTCCTCTTCATCTTGCTTGCCCTCCATTTGTCTGTGTACCTCATTCTTCCTGGGTGCAGGACAAGAACTTGGGACCCACTGAATGAGGCTAAAAGAGCTATAACACAATCAGGGCTAAGACATGTCCCTTGCTTGCCACATTGTGGGTGAAGAGAAGAAAAGAAGAGCTGAAGCTCTTTGGGGAGCTTAGACTTGGGAGCTCCCTGAGCCAGGGCTGTGACTCCCTCTTTGGGGCCCTGTGGTTTCTGGCATCTCCAAGCTTCTGGGTGCCACTGTGCTCCCAGTGCTAGCTGTGGAAGCTGTTTGCAGTATGCCTGGTCCAGCTGCAGCCTCACAGAGAGCTGGCACCTGGGCTGGCACCTGGAGCTGCCTGCCCCACTGCAGCAGTAGCATGTCTGGCTGTGCAGTGGCTGGACCCCATGCTTGCCCACACACACCTTACTGCTCCATGCAATCTCCCTTGGCAGGTGTGGGATCCAGACCAGTAGTGTGAGCTGAGCGCAGTCTGTCAGGCAAAGTGGGCAGAATGAGCCCCACGGGCCCAAGCAAAACTCAGGCAAAGGTGCCACCAGCCACAGGTTTCTGACCAGAAAAGCGACACTCTAAAGATCCTGTAACACTATTCAACAGGAAAAATACAATCACAAACTTCTTGTCTCCCAACCTATATACCTAATTGCATCTGTACCAATTCTTTCCTTGGAAAAAGACTTGACTCTTGCCCATCCCTCTACTCTGCTTCACCTCCTTTACTTTCCCTTTCCTCCATTATGAATTTCTAATTTAAAAAATTTTTTATTTCAATAGGTTTTTGGGGAACAGGTGGTATGTGGATACATGAATAAGTTCTTTAGAGGTTATTTCTGAGATTTTGGTGCACTCATCACCTGAGCACTGTACTCCATACCCAAGGTGTAGTCTTTTATCCCTCACCACCCCTCACCCTTTCCTCTGAGTTCCCAGAGTGTCATTCTTATGCCTTTGCATCCTTATAGCTTAGCTCCCACATATCAGTGAGAACATATGATGTTTGGTTTTCCATTCCTGAGTTACTTCACTTAGAATAATAGTCTCCAGGTGGGGCATGGTGGCTCACGCCTGTAATCCCAGCACCTTGGGAGGCTGAGGCAGGAGGATCACCTGAGGTCAGGAGTTCAAGACCAGCCTGGCCAACATGGTGAAACCCTGTCTCTACTAAAAATACAAAAAACTAGCTGGGTGTGGTGGTAGGTGCCTGTAATCCCAGTTACTTGAGAGGCTGAGGCAGGAGAATCCCTTGAACCCAGGAGACAGAGATTGCAGTGAGCTGAGATCACATCACTACACTCCAGCCTGGGCAACAAGAGCAAAACTCCATCTCAAATAATAATAATAATAATAATAATAATAATAATAATAATAATAATAGTCTTTAATCCCATCCAGGTTACCATGAATGCCATTGTTTCATTCCTTTTTTTTTTTTTTTTTTTTTTTTTTTTGAGACAGAGTCTCGCTCTGTCACCCAGGCTGGAGTGCAGTGGTGCCATCTCGGCTCGCTGCAAGCTCTGCTTCCTGGGTTCACGCCATTCCCCTGCCTCAGCCTCCTGAGTAGCTGGGACTACAGGTGCCTGCCACTGCACCCAGCTAATTTTTTGTATTTTTAGTAGAGATGGGGTTTCACCCATGTTAGCCAGGATGGTCTTGATCTCCTGACCTCGTGATCCGCCCACCTCGGCCTCCCGAAGTGTTGGGATTACAGGCATGAGCCACCGTGCTCAGCCAGAAGTTTTTAATTTTAATAAAGTGGGTATTAGTCTGTACTCATGGTGCTAATAAAGACATATCCAAGATGAGGTAATTAATTTTAGAAAAGAGATTTAATTGACTCACAGTTCTACATGTTGCGAAGGCCTCACAATCATGGGGGAAAACAAGGAGGAGCAAGTCACATCTTACATGAAGGCAGGGAAGAGAGAGCTTGTGTAGGGGAACACCCCTTTATAAAACCATCAGATCTTGTGAGACTTATTCACTATAATGAGAACAGCATGGAAAATACCTGTCCTCCATAATTCAATTACCTCCTACCAGGTCCCTCCCACAACATGTGGGAATTATGGAAACTACAATTCAAGATGAGATTTGGGCAGGGACAAAGCCAAACCAGTGTGCATATTAAAATATTTCCACTTTCTTTCATGGTTTATGCTTTTGTTGTTGTGTCTAAAAACTCATCAGCAAGCCAAAGGCCACATAAAATTTTTTCCTACACTTTCCTCCAGAAGTCTTGTAGTCTTGCATTTAGGTCTTAGATCCATTTTAAGTTAATATTTGTGAAAGGTATAAGATCCGTGCCTGTGTTGATTTTTCAGCATATGAACGTCAAGTTGGTCCAGCACCATTTATTGAAGACTATTCTTTCTTTGTTGAATGCCTTTACTCTGTCAAAAATCATTTAACTATATATTTGACTATTTCTGAACTCAGCTTGTCCCATTGATCTGTGTGTCTATTCCTTCATCACTACCATCCTGTCTTGATCACTGAAGCTTTACAGTAAATCTTGATATTAGGTAATGTGAGTCTTCCAATATGTTTTTTCTTCACCAGTATTGTACTAGCTATTCTAGGACTTTTACATTTCTAGACAAATTCACGAATTGGCTGGTCAATATCTATAAAACCTCTTGCTAATTTTTTTTTTTTTAGATGGAGTCTTGCTTTGTCACCCAGGCTGGAGGGCAGTGGCGCAATCTCAGATCTCTGCAACCTCCACCTCCTGGGTTCAAGTGATTCTCCTGCCTCAGCCTCCCAAGTAGCTGGGACTACAGGTGTGCACCGCCATGCCCGGCTAATTTTTGTATTTTTAGTAGAGATAGGGTTTCACCATATTGGTCAGGCTGGTTTTGAACTACTGACCTCGTGATCTGCCCGCGTTGCCTTTCCAAGGTGCTGGGATTACAGGCATGAGCCACCGCGTCCGGCCTTATTTGTAGTTCTTATAGGTGGGGATTGAAGTTCTTCAATTGTTTTGTTCTATTTTATAAATAAGATTATAAAAGGCCAATGAGTGCCTGGCTAGAGATAAGTATAATGTGCTATCTCTTTAAAAAGCTTTTCCTTCTATTACGGAACTTTGGAAAAATGTTAAAAACCTTTTGAAGACTTTCTCATTACAGAATCTTCAATGGTAGTGTCCAAGCTAGTTAGCTGGTTGTTGTGCTCCCTAAAACATGGGATTATTTAACACTATATACAAAAATGTTTGTCAATATTATTACTATTAGCTCCTAAACAGAAAAAAATGACTGCTCCCACTACCACCTGCAATTTGTTGAGTCCTATCATATGCCAGATATTAGTCTAATCTTGGAAGACAGCTAGTATTATACTCAAATCAAAGAAAAGGAAACAGAGGCACAGAGGAGTTATATAATGTGCTCAATGCCAT
This sequence comes from Homo sapiens, assembly GCF_000001405.40. Lineage (NCBI taxonomy): Eukaryota > Metazoa > Chordata > Mammalia > Primates > Hominidae > Homo > Homo sapiens. The sequence goes on from NC_000009.12 coordinate 6,118,347, forward strand.
AGAGCTAGATTAGCAGGAAGCTAGAATTCTGTTCCAAATCTTTCTGGGCTTCTTCTCAGTATATCTTTTCTATTTCTAGAGCTGTGGCCATTTTTAGGGGTCTGTTAACATTGTGAATAATTCTGTGTAATTTTCTGTTTATTATTTTTTTTCATTCAGCTAAGAAATTTATATTTCAAGATCTCTTCATTTGAAGTCTTCAGAATTAGTGTTTTTTATATCTGTATAAAACCTCTCTCATTGCTCCATTTAAATAGATTTTCATGTGTAAGACTTCATAGGGGTAAAGAAGGCAGTCACAAATGCAAGGATCAGGAAAGTGTCACCTATAGGATCCTCCATCAGTTTTTCTACCTATCAAGGCTTCTGTGAGACTGGAGGTATAGGCTATCTTTGAAATAGAGGAAGAGTTTGGGAACCACTGTAACAAGTCAATCACTGTGAATGCACTGGGAACATGAGTTAGAACTATTAAAGATGGCTGAGTTTACCCAAACAGTGGACTTGGAAAAAAAAACCACACCAAACTATTATCTCATAAGAAATAACTACTTCCTTTCAGACGATGTAGTTACCATTCCTCTGAAACACTAGAGGAAGATGGATTTAAAAACTTTCTAAGAGATAAGAAAATATAACTAGTCATTGGTCCACTGTGAAATAAGATGAAAATCAGATAATTAATCTAGTGCCCAGAAGAACCTGCCTTATCTTGGGAAGACAGAAATGTATCCAAAAATGTATCCTCAGGGAGGGCCAACCTTCCTCTTAAAAAAACAAAGAAGTGGCAATTCCACAAGAACCTAAAACTCCAAAGAACTATAGAAACTTCACGTCCTCATGCATAAAATCTAAATAAGTTGACATATTTTTCTAGAGTCAATGAATATTTAAATGGATATATGGTATTAGTTATAATCATATTTTTATGTCAGACATTATTCTTTACATTTGAACTAGCTTCTTTATATCTCATTATTTCAGCTCCAGAGAAATAGAAATCTGTGTCCACCTAATTGAGACAAGCTGGTTCTCTACAGGAAGGTGCAAATTAGCTCAGAAGTCACAGATTGTGGGGCATGGTGGCTCATGCCTGTAATCCCAGCACTTTGGGAGGCCAAGGTGGGCAGATCACTTGAGGTCAGGAGTCCGAGACCAGCCTGGCTAACAAGGTGAAACTGTCTCTACTAAAAATACAAAAATTAGGTGGGCATAGTGGCCTGTAACCCTATTAGGGAGGCCAAGGCAGGAAAATTGCTTGAACCTGGGAGGCAGAGCTTGCAATGAGCTGAGATCTCGCCACTGCACTCCAGCCTGGGTGACAGAGAGAGATTTCGTCTCAAAATAAATAAATAAATACATAAAATAAAATAAGAAAAAAAAAGTCAGATTATCGATTAACTGTGACATGGTGGGGAAAAGGTCTTGGACATTGGGAAGACAGCAGTATGTCTAAAATTTTAAAACCAAGAGAGTCCTTTTTGGATGCTGCCTCAATTTAAAAGGGATTTATTATCCAAACTTAGTATCAGAATAACCATTTTCCCTCTGTTGTTTTTAGTAACAGTTGTATTAGGGTATAATTCATATAACATAAAATTATCCTTTTAAAGAGTACAATTCAGTGGTTTTTAGTGTTCAGTTGTGCATCCATCACCACTGTCTAATTCCTGAAAATTTTCCTCATCTCAAAAGAAACCTATACTCATGAGCAGTCATTCCCCATTCTCACCTCCCCTCAGACACTGGTAACCACTAACATACTTTCTGTTTGTCCCGATTTCCCTCTTCTAGACATTTTTTAATAAGTCAAATAATACAATGTGTGGCTTTTTGTATCTGGTTTGGAACTATTTCTCTTTTGCATTCATCTTCTAGACAAAGCTTTACAAGATGTTACTGTTGTGCCCAGGAACTTTTGAACTCTCTGTTTTTTTATAAATTTCTACACCCTGTGCTTGAATCATCCATGTCAACTCTGAGTCCTCCCAGCATTTCTCTGTGGGCTGTACTGCTGATATTTCCAGTCTGGGCCCAACATGACTGATGTGACCCTACAGAGAAAAATCCCAATCAGATCGCAGTTCCACCAACTGTGCTCAGAAAGGTCATGAGAAGGCTTCTATGTGCTACTTCCTGTGGTTTTCCAATTAATATTAATATATTAATATTAATTATATATAATTAATATAATTGTATATAATTATATTAATTATAATTAATATAGTAATAAATGGTACATAAAAATTATTTGGAATTACAGTTGCTAAAGAAAGCTCTCTGTGGCAGATTACATTATTTTGAGGCCAGTTTTCGAAACAGATCCTTATAGTTTGGTTGATGGGTTTAACACTATTATATACACATTCCTGCTTTGCCAAATGAGTAAAACATTCCACAAAGGTTATTAATAATATCAGATAACTAATAAACTGACAAAACTAAAAAGTAAAAGAAATTATAAAAATAAATTGAAAATCACCCATCCAATTACTTAGAAATGACTTTTTAATTTTCTGCTATTTATATTATCATTTTCTTCAGCTACAACAAGTATTATTTAAGGATCATGCTTATTCCTTTTTAATCCAACACACTAGTTTTTATTTTGTTTCTGTTTTAAAATTATGATGGTATAAAAGCAAATTTTTAAAGAAAAAATTCATCTATAATCCTCATAATGCTAGGAAAATTGTTGCTATTTCCCTATTCATTTTTTTCTTTGATTTCCAGAAAACTTTTATAATTAATTGCCTTAAATGCCTCGATAATACATTTTCTTCTATATTTTTGTAGAAAAATGTGGGGAACCCCCACACATCAAGTTTCTTTCATATACCAGCTAGAAAAGATGCATTTGCTGTTTCTAAGTTTCTTATAAGTTTGTGCCTGCAAACACTGGAATCAGATAAATCCTATGTTACATGATTACTATAATTTTAAAAGTTTATTTCCATGTGGACCTTTCCATAGAATTTCTCCAAGCATGCCAGCTGGCTTCATTAGAGCATGCAAGCAAGAGGGCAAGAGAGCACGAGCCAAAGAGAATACGCTCCCTTTCTGCTTTTCTACATACGCCATTTTTTTATAACTATAACACAGCTTGCATTCATTTGTGTGTTGTTCTTGTTCCATTTAACCCAATTAATTTATCCCAGATACTACAGAATGACTTTTAAAATTTCACAACAGATTATTCTATATTTTACATAATATTTTACTTACAAATTCTCCAACTGTTGTGTAATATGGTGGTTTCAAATTTTTCTGAAACATAATTTGGGTAAGGGGCATGCTGAGTCTACCTCGGGGAAGAAATGAAGGAGACCTTGGGCATGGGCAGGGCCCCAGAGACTGTTTTTAAAACTCTATCAAATAAAGGAAGATTAAGGCTAAGTTTAGAGCCTGGAGGTAGTAGGACAGAAGGTCCTGGCCAGAACCTCTTGCTGATGTTAGAGGGAAGAGATTTGAGGTCCTCCTCAGCTCCTGGCACTGCATTAGAGGAGAGTGCACACAAGATCACTCCTCTTCCGTCATCCACTTCCCAAAGAATTTCCTGTTGACTCCTCCCTAGGAGCAGCCACAAACTTAGGTTGACCAGATGGCTGCTTGATGGTTACATCAGGTACAGGTCATTCTTCCTGAGGGTTGGTGGAAGAGCTGGCCCATCTGCAGGGAGCAAGCTCTCTCCACTGGGAAAGGAGTACCATGGCCCTCAGGGCAGTCATTGGATTCAGTAGCACTGGCAGGAGCAGAGCTGGTGACTGTCATTTTCTGAAGCCAATGTATCTCTTCTCTAAATCTGCTTGAGTTCAGCTCTTCCACCTGGTTCCCTGATTTAGTGCAGGGCCCACTGTCTACCCCATCAGCCAAATCCCATGCCTGGATGTCCGTGTGACACTGTCAGCTTCCTCAGCTCCTCAAATCCATTACAATGAAAAAAAGGTCTTGATGCTTCTGACCAAGTATTTCGTACTTACTTTACAGAGGAACACTTCTGTAAACAGACAATCTACTCCATGACCAAATATTGTCAAATGGTCAAAGGAATTAGTGAATAAGTGGATGACTAAATAAAGGCTTTTCTGTGTGTAGAAAATGGAAAGCTGTAGTAGTAGACTATTTAGTACTAGACTCTTCCATTTAGATTAAGCATCTATTAAAACAATTCTGACCAATCACAGTTTACTGTGGATTGTTTGCATCTGGCACATAGGAAGAGTTTAATAGAACTGGTCTGGTTTTCACACTATGTTCACAATCACCAGCAACTTTCTTTTTCCTTTTTTTTTTTTGTTCTGGCCAAAGACAATTATTCAAATTGGCAGAGCTGCTTTTTTGCCATGTTTAAAATAATAATATTTAAAAAATATCCCGATCTGGTTTCTTTAACAAATAAATAACAAACAGAAAAGGCGAGGAAGGTCAATCTTTAGAGAACGAAAGAGGCTTAAAAGACAACCAAATGCAGAAGAGGCTTTTGTTTGGATCCTGATGTAAACAAATAGAAGGTTAAAAAATATGTGAGAGAGACAAGAAAATCTGAACTCTGGAAGGAAATTTTATAACATTAAAGAATTAATGAGGCCAGGCACAGTGGCTCATGCTTGTAATCTCAACACTTTGCACAAAGCTGAGGCAGAAGGATCGCTTAAGCCCAGGAGTTTGAGACCAGCCTGGGCAACATAGCAAGACCCTATCTCTACAAAAATTAAAACAATTAGCCAGGCATGGTGGTATGCACCTGTAGTCCCAGCCACTCTGGAGGATGAGGTGGGAGGATCTCTTGAGCCCAGGATTTGACACTGAGCTATGATCACACCACCACACTCCAGCCTGGGTGACAGGGCAAGACCCTATCTCTAAAAAAATTTTTAAAAATTTAAAATAAAGAATTAGTGTAATTTTTAAGGTGTGATAATGGAGTTTTTCTCTTTCAAAAAAGAGAGTCCTTATCTTTTATGGAAACATAATAAATTATTGACAGATAATTTGAGACAATGTCTGGGATTTGCTTCAAATGATCCGGAGAGGTGGTGGGAGTGGGTGGGTAGAAAGTGGACTAAACAAGACTGGCTCATGTGGCTGTTAGGCTGGCCATGACCTCTCATGTCCCACTTCGCCTCGAGGCCCTGACTCTCCCCACCTCCTGGCTACACCTTGCATCCTTTCAACTTCAGCTCCTGCTGGTAACTACCTCAGTTACTAATTCAGAAGTAGCAGGAACTTGGAGCCAGATGTCCCATCTCTTCTATAATTACATCTGACAGCTCAGGTTACTCTCTGCAGCACAGAAATAATACTCTCCATGCATCTGACAGGCTTAATTTAGCTAGATGTCATTCAAACTTTTCTCATGGGCAGAAACCTGTTCTCAAAATAAAATCATACATAAAATGTCTGTATATGAACATATGAAAGTTGAGCCACTTTCACGGACACTGCTCAGCCCTCTCCAGACCTGTGCCTCTGCCTCAGTACTCAAGGGTTCTGCAAAAGAGAATGTGAAAACCACACATCTGTGTGCTAGTTCATGTCCAAGAAAGTGCATGTTCTAAGACCAGCTGGGAGGGATGATAGATGTGGGGCTATACCAAAGAAGCGCTCCTCCTTGGAGCGTGGCTGGACTGAGCATGATGAGAAATGAGGCAGGAGAAGATACAGTCAAGGGTCTGTAATCTGACTTTGGGCACAGCTTCTGCGCCAGTCTATGGTCATGTTTTTCCTCCAGATCTGCTATTGTGGAGCCAGCCTTGGGCAACTTCATCCTCACTGTGAGACCTGCCCTACTCTTGCCCACTATGGTAGTTTGCCCATCCTACCTTGATATGCAAAGGCATTTTGCATTCAGGCTGCCCCTACTCACAGTCACTTTCATTTTTCCCTGTACATGAGGATTTATTTTGTCACTGATTTACCAATGAGTCCAACCCCAGCATATGTCATGCTTTACAGAAAGTCTATGAGTTTTCTTATTTCTAAGAACTGGATAAATATTGGTCAGGTTCAGGATAGCTTACCATGTATAGGAGAATCATTTATTTGGGAACTTCTGATTTAGTAAGTGCTAAGCTACCTGGAACGATTCATGATTTCCTTCTATTAGAAGTATACCTGGGATGTGCCTCCTAAGGCCCAAGATTCTTTGTCAAAAAATAGCTGAAGAAGAATGCTATAGATATGGATCTTAAGGGCTGAACTTTCTGGATTCTTACTAGTATATTATGTTAATGCACATTCACAATTTTTCTCTTTGTCAACTTTAACATATATTCATCAGCTAACAAATTTAGCTGTAGTACTCGTGAGGTCAAAAACTTGAGGCTTCTTATTAGTAGTTGTAATTGTGGTTGTTGCTTTTTAAAAGACTTTATTTTTAAAGTTTTAGATTTACAGGAAATGTTACTGTTTTAACCTACACATGGTCCTTGTGTTAATGGCACAGGATCCTTTTTTGTTGTTGCCGTTATGGATGTAACTAAATATTCAATCCATTCAAGCCTAAGAATATCGATTTCTCTAAGACTTTAAAAACATCTTTTTTGTTTTTAACGCCCCTTTTATTTACCCTTCTTGGCTTCCTTAACAGTAAGAAGCCAGAGAAGCTAAATTGTCTGCCTGATTGCTTAAAGCAGTGCTTGCCAAACTTCACTGAATAGCACACATAGCAAATTACAACATTTGTACAGCCAGCTTGGATAACCAGGAGAGGCATCTCCAATCTAAACTGACCTGGGGATTCTGGTTCAAGAAGAGCCTGAGGGGATCATATGTCCTTATATCTATAACTCTTCCACACCACACGTGGTGGAAAGCCCAAGAGGACTAGGATGGTGGATGGAACAGGAAACAGTTCATGGTGACAGGTGGTCCAAACACACCATGCTACATGCTCTAGGGCAGCAGATGCTAGTATTTGAGAGTACTGACTTTGTTAGTCATATCTGAGTTTCTATCTGGGCTTTATCTTGTTGTCATTCATTCATTTATTCATTCATGGAATGTGACAAAGGATACCAGCAATAGAGTGAAAAGACAACCCAAAGAAAATAAAGTATTTCCAAATCATATCTAAGAGATTAATACCCAAAATATAAAAATAAGGTTTAACAAAAACAAACAACTGAATTAAAAAATGGGTAATGACTCGAATAAACATTTCTCCAAAGAAAATACACAAATGGCCAATGAGTATATGGAAAGATGCTCAACATCACTAATCATTAGGGGTATGATTAGCAAATCCAAACCACTTCATACTGGTTAGGATGGCTATTACCAGAGAAATGAAAAATCAAGTGTTGGCAAGGATGTGGAGAAATGGGAATCCTGGTGTATTGCTAGTGGGAATGTAAAGTGGTGCAGTCACTGTGGAAAACAGCAATGTCAGTTCCTCAAAAAGTTCAACATAGAGGCTGGGCGCAGTGGCTCACACCTGTAAATCCAACACTTTGGGAGGCCAAGGCAGGCAGATCACAAGGTCAAGAGTTTGAGACCATCCTGGCCAACATGGTGAAACCCCGTCTCTACTAAAATACAAAAAAATCAGCCAGGCGTGGTGGAGCATGCCTGTAGTTCCAGCTACTCAGGAGGCTGAGGCAGGGGAATCGCTTGAACCTGGGAGGCAGAGGTTGCAGTGAACCGAGATCGTGCCACTGCACTCCAGCCTGGTGACAGAGCAAGACTCGGTCTCAAAAAAAAAAAGTTCAACATAGAAATACCACATGATCCAGCAATTTTACTTCTAGATACACATGTGAAATATTGAACATAGGGACTCAGATACTTTCACACCCATGTTAATAGCACATTATTCACAATAGCCGAAAGGTAGAAACAACCCAAATGTTCATCAACAGATGAATGGATAAACAAAATATGGTGTAGATATACAATGGAATGTCATTCAGCCTTAAATAGGAATGACTTTCTGGATGTATACTATAAGATGAATGAAACTTGAAAACATTATGCTAAGTGAAATAAGCCAAACACAAAAGGACAAATATTTTATGATTCCACTTATATGAGTGTGTTAGTCCATGTGCATTTCTATAAAAGAATACCGGAGACTGGGTAATTTATAAAGAAAAGAGGTTTGGTTGGCTCACTGTTCTGCAGGCTGTAAAGGAAGCATGGCACTGGCATCTTCTCAGCTTCTAGTGAGGGCCTCAGACAGCTTACAATCATGGCAGAAGGTGAAGGGGGAACCAGTGCATCAGACAGCAACAGAGGGAGCAAAAGAGCATGGGAGGAGGTGCCAGGCTCTTGAAACAACCATCTCTCATGTGAACAAATAGAACAAGAACTCACTCATTAACATGTGGAGGGCACCAAGCCATTCCTGAAAGATCTACTACCCCCATGACCCAAACATCTCGCACCAGATCCCATCTCCAACATCGGGGATCACATTTCCATATGAGATTTGGGTGGGACAAATCTCCAAACCATATCAATGAGGTACCTGGAATAGTTAAATTTGCAGAGACAGAGGGTATAACAGAGGTTTCAGGGGCTGGGAGAAGGGGAAAATGGGGAGTTATTATTTAATGGGATAATGAAAAAGTTCTTTGTGATGACTGAAAGCTCTGGAAATGGGTAGTGATGATAATTGCACAACACTGTAAATGCATTTAATGATGGTAGATTTCATGTTCTGTAAAAAAGTTTTTTTAAAGATGAAATAAACATCTTCAGATATATGAAAGCTTTGAGAATTTATTAGGCACTATGCTTGAAGCTTTATTTGTACTGTTTTACTTAATTCTAATAGTTCTATAAAGAAGATATAAGCTCTATTGTATAGTTGAGGAAACAAAGACTTGAAAGACAGACTTGCCTAAGGTCAAAGACCTAGTAAGCGGGTAAACAGTGATTTAAACCTAGGCCCCCATATTTCTAAAACCCATGGCTTTTCCACTATATTATTTTTTTAAATTAGGTTGTAAACTCCTAAAGGCTATGATTACTATACTTTCTCTGGTTTTATAATATCCCTCCCTTGACTTCTAATCACATCCAATAGCACATAGCACTCTTGACTGAAAATGTTAAGACAATTTATTATTCCTACTGGAAATTCCAAATACTCAGACACTTTTAAGTAGGTAAATTACATATAATTCACCATTTTATATCCAAAATTTGATTATTTCTCCTTTTAAATCTTTTTATTTCAAAATATAAAACTGTTTTTATCAAAAATAAAATATGCGTTGATTTTTAAAATATTTTAAAAGTCCAGCCAAGTAAAAATGTCCTCATAATCTTATGTCCCAGAGATAATCCTCCAAACCATCATGTGAAAATTTGATCATTTTAACTTCATGCCAACTTATATAGTTTTGCAAATTAAAAAATAATAATTATAATTCCTGTTTCAGTCCCTCTGGTTGAAATTAGCAACCACTACTGAAACAAAAAATTTAAAAGTCACACATTCAAAGTTTACAAAGCTAAGTATAAAAGAAATATAAGTAAACTTTTAAGTTTTTAGCATTTATAACTCTGAGATAAATCTTAAAAGTTCACTAAGATTTTTGACATACCTGTATTTCTAAGTCAGTACATAAAATTTTACCTTATATTTTTAACTACCAGATACCTTATTTTGAATAGCTGTGTCACAGTTCAAGGTCTCAGGGAGACCTCGCTTTGGTTTCCATCTTTATGAATCGAAATATTTCTCTCCTTATTTTTCCTTTAATCAGGAGAAGGGGGTTTGGTAAGCTGAGACATCTCCTTTGAGGATGCAAGGGTCTGTGGAAGGGTGGAAAAGCAGAGAGGAAAAGGCCTCCCAAGACACAAGACCCACACATTCCTGCTCACATGATCTTGCTTTCACTTCTGGATTGGGTTGCAGGTGCTGCTCAGCTAATACACCACACAGGCTGCAGGGAGGCAGAGCTGGCAGCGGAGACCTATTGGATCAGGGAATCACCCTCCCTAGCTACTCCCGCCTTAGAAAGAGCTTCAGTGGTCCAGGATGCTTTTGCCAAGCTAGAAGCCTATGCTTTGTCAACAGATTCTTAAAGCACAAAATCTGGTTTAAAAGCTTCTCACTTCAGACTTAGTTAGGTGACTCCTACAATATAACCCAGTAACTACGCAAGCTTCACTTGGTCAACAGGTCAAAACTAAAACTTACAAACTGAGCATCAATAACGGTAATAATTGTTGTGGATTGAAACATATTAAATATGTTTATAACTTTGAGTTCATAATGATGCCATCACTTCTTGGCCTTTTGGCTAAGATCATATAATGATGGAAAAAAAAACAACAACCCTAATTGTTGACCTGTGGAAGATGCTAAGGAACCAACTATTTATTTTGAAAAGTAGTAGTAAGTAAACTGCAAGGCTCAAACATTTATCCTGAGTTTACAATACAAACTGTACTATTGGATAGCTAAATACCAGATGAGAAGACGTGTCTTTTGATATAATATGCAAAAAAGTAAATAAAGAAGAAATGATAGAATTGGAATACCATTTTGCAATATCTAATGAATTAAGGATATAAACATTGAGCTCCAGGGCTGCTGATAATGCAAACCAGACAGTATGTGCCTCTTGGCGAACAGCCCAACATCAACTTTGAAGCACTCTTCATTCTAAAAAATCAAACTTCATTCTGATTATCCTTTAGATCCAACTACTGATGTGTTGAAAGTATAGAGGACAGAGATGCACATTTGGGTGATAAAGCTATAAATAAAAATAAGGAAGCAATTCCCCAAAAGGTTAGGACCGTGATTACTCTTAGTGAGGTGCAGGGGCCTGTATTTGGGAGGGGCCTCATAGAGAACTTCTGGGATGGCTGGTAAGGTTCTATCTCCTTTCATGGGTGCTGGTTAAAAGAATGTTTGCCCTCTAATGATTCATTAAGTGGCACATTTGTTTTATGCCTTTTTCTGTGTATGTGTTATTTTTAACAATAAAACACTTCTAAAACTAAGTTAAGTCTGAAGACAATTTTGGCAGATTTAGGTTTGCAGTGATATATAGGGAGCAGAGTCAAGAATCAGTTCCAAGAGAGCAGGGTGGACAGAGGCATCATGTTCCAAGGGTTCTTCCAGAAAGCAAAGGGAAGCCCCAGCTGCCTGCTGGGAAATAACAGCCATGAGCTGTAGCTCAGGCTCTGGGGACCAGAGGAGAATGGAGGAATTCTGGGAACTGTTGGCTAGAGGGAAATTGGTAGAGAAGGTGCCTAGACTCATAAAATGTTAAGAAGGACAATATGATATGGCTTTGGATTCCATCAAAACCTATTCCTGCTGTGAAAAAAGTTTGGCAGGCTGGGTGCAGTGGCTCACACCTGTAATCAGGAGTTCGAGATCAGCCTGGCCAACATGGCAAAACCCCACCTCTACTAAAAATACAAAAATTAGCTGGGCATGGTGGTACGTGCCTTAAATCTCAGCTACTCGGGAGGCTGAGGCAGGAGAATCACTTGAACCTGGGAGGCGGAGGTGGCAGTGAGCAGAGATCGCGCCACTGCACTCCAGCCTGGGTGACAGAGTGAGACTCCATCGAAACAAACAAACAAACAAACAAACAAACAAACATGGTTTGGCAGTGCCTCAAAAACTTAAACATAGAATCACCGCATTCTCTAGCAATTCTCCTAAATAAATGTACTTAAACAAATCAATGCACATACATGTTCAAAGCAGCACTATTCACAGTAGCCAAAAGGTAAAAGCAACCCAAATGTTCATCAAAGGATGAAAGGATAAACAAATTGTGATATACATGTAACTATAAATATTATTTGGTCATGTAAAGAAATGAAGTAGTAATACTTGCTACAACATGGCTGAACTTTGAAAACATCATAGTAAATGAAAGAAACCAGATACAAAGGGTCACATGTTGTATGATTCCATTTATATGAAATATCCAGAATAGGTAAAATCTATAGAGACAGAAGGCAGATTGGTGGTTGTCAGGGGATAGGGGAATGAAAAATAACTGTTTAATGAGTATGAAGTTTCCTTTTGGGGTGGTGTTTTGGGGCTAGATAGAGGTGGTGGTTGCACAACAATGTGAATATACTTAATATCACCAAACTATAAGCTTAAGAAGACTATAATAGTTATCTTCATGTTATGTGTATTTGAACACATTTACTACAATTAGAAAAATCTTAAGTTTAACAACCTAACATCACAACTAAAAGAACTAGAAAACCAAAAGCGAACAAATCACAATGCTAGCAGAAGACAAGAAATAACCCAAATCAGAGCTGAACTGAGGGAGCTAGAGAAACAAAAAAACCATTCAAAAGACAAACAAGTCCAGAAGCTGGTTTTTTGAAAAAATTAATAAAATAGATAGACCATTAGCTAGACTAGTAAAGAAGAAAAGAGAAGATTCAAATAAACACAATCAGAAACAACAAGGGGGATATACCACTGACCCCACAGAAATACAAACAGCCATCAGAGAATATTATGACTAACTCTATGCACATAAACTAGAAAATCTAGAAGAAATGGATAAATTCCTGGACACATACCCCCTCCCAACACTGAACCAGGAAGAAACTGAATCCATGAACAGACCAATAAAGAGTTCTGAAATTAAAGCAGTAATAAACAGCCTACTAACAACAACAACAAAAAAAGCCCAGGACCAGGACCAGACAGGTTCACAGCTGAATTCTACCAGATGTACAAAAAAGAATTTTTATCATTCCTAATGAAACCATTCAAAATTTGAGGTGGAGGGGGGCTCCTCCATAACTCATTCTATGAGGTCAGCATCATCCTGATACCAAAATCTGGCAGAGATACAACAAAAAAAGAAAACTTCAGGCCAATATCCTTGATGAAGATCCATGCAAAAATCCTCAACAAAATACTAACACACTGAATCCAGCAGCATATCAAAAAGCTTATCCACCATAATCAAGTAGGCTTTATCCCAGGGATGTAAGGTTGGTTCAACATATCTAAATCAATAAATGTGATTCATCACATAAACAGAACTAAAGACGAAAACCTCCAGGATTATCTCCATCAATGCAGAAAAGGCTTTCAATAAAATTCAGCATCCATTCATACTAAAAACTCTCCGTAAACTAGGTTTTGAAAGAACATACCTCGAAATAGGAGTCATCCTAATACATAAAGGTGGATATGTAAGAAATAAAATGTTTTATTTTTCTCTTATCCAACCTCATTCTTATTTGAAGATTTTATTTCATCAGAGTGGCAGAAACAAGATTTCGGCAAATCTGGATTCTCCTCTCCTTTTACCAGAGCTGTATCTAAATCCCTGAGGCTTATAAAGTGTGAAGACCTGGAGAATGCAGTGGTACATTAGGATCTGTCTCTGCCTCCCTGATAGCCCTGGAATCATCCAGAGGCTGAACTGGCTACTGGACTAAAAACATTGGTGCTGAGATAATATAGTAATAATGACAGATTATCTTTTCATAGTGGTTACCATGTGCCAGGAATTAACTAAACACTTTGCATACATTCATTCATTAATTTAATTTAAACAGCAACATTCAAGGTGGCACTCTCTTAACAAATGAAGTCAAATGACACATAAGTTGCCTGATTTGTACAAGGTCACAAAGGCTGGTGAATGGCAGAGCTAGTACAGGAACCCATGGAGTCTGGCTCCAGAGTCTGCATGTTTAACAAGTCCATCATACTATTCCTCAGGCTTGTCTGTGAGACTCCCTTCAAGAGGTCAGCAATCACTGCTGTTTCCCTGACACACTTGAGGTCTCAAGAATTTTTCTGTTGCTTCTATCTCTGGAACCCTGTTTTGGGTATGCTCTGTTTGCTGGTCAGGCACGCCACCCAGAAATTGGGCAGAGGACCACTTGCCTTTCAACTCTCATCTACCTCCTTTTCTTTTTCTCTGACCTTCCCTGGGGAATCCTATTCTAGTCTCTAGGGGGAAAGCATTCTCTCTATTAATATTGCTGTTTTCTTTAAACAATTTGTTTTGTTTTCAGACTTTGAGTTTTTAGAAGGCAAAGCAAGAAATAGTCTCCTGAAAGTATTTGTGTAAAAGAAAGGGGAATGGTAGGAAGTTAGGGAAGAAGACAGAGGGAAATATCAAAAAGAAAAAAGAAGCTAGGTAAAACATTCTGCCAGAGTGGCCTCTGGTTAAAGTGAGTCGATTTGACTACCACGTTTATTGTCTTTCTGAGTACTGCTAGTTTTCTCAGGGTGTCCCTAAAGACATTTCATAAGTGTACTCAACCAATCATCAACAATGCTTTGTTCTGTTCCCTGGAGTTACTAGATGTATACTTTTTAGTATCCTGGACTACCATCTCATCACTGATGTAGTGTGGCTTTAGTCATTCTTTCTCTGTCACAGCATTGAGGTAGGAAAAGGGCGCTGTTTTTCAAAAAGCTGGGAGTCTAGTTTGGTAGATTGATTACAAAATGGCCTCTCTATTCTACTTTCTTATACTGATGCCCATTGTGATAAGACTTTGAAACCACTCTCATCAGAAAGTGAAGTCTACTTCCCTATTTCTTGAATCACGGCTGGCCTATGACTTGTCTAAGTGGCAGAAGTGTCTGTGCTCTTTCCCTAAGCCAAAGGCCTCAAAGCCCTTGCCCAGTTTACTCTCCCTTGCTCCTCTGCCTGCACCACAGGACAACGTAGCAAAGCCATTCTTCCCAGCCGAGGCTGTCTTCATCAACCAAAGGTCAGTCAACCACCAACAGGTGAGTCCCAGCTATGACAGAACCACTGACAAGATCAGCAGAATCCACAGACTTGAAATAAATGGTTGTTTTGAGCCACTGAGTTTGGGAATGGTTTGTTATACAGCACTATTGTGGCAAGAGATAAGTGCTCCAACTGTGAACTCTCAGTTTCTTAAAAGGTTCCTGGTTTGGGGACTGTATCTGTTTTTAAAGCTCACCTACATCAGTACTCTGGCACAAATCCCTTAAAAGACAGAGTTGAGAGATAAGAACACCCCACCTTAGGGCAGGGGTATAGGAACCTAGGAACTACTTTTGTGCTGTGAGCGGAGAGCAAAGACTCAACTTACCCATTTCAAATATTGCAAAACATTGTCAGCCTTTCCTTAAAGCCTTGGGACCATAACAGTTCACTTCTGTTCTTTTCTCTTTGGTCTGAGACAAGTAAAGAGGTATTGCTTGGTTTCACCAGAAATACCAACGTGGGCACTGGAATCCCAGACCCTAGTTTGAATATGACTGTTAAAATCATCTACTGTTGTTTCTCTTTCCGCAGTAGACCAGCCACTCTTCAAGGACCAAGACCATTCATCTGTGTCCTCAGAACCCAGAAAAATGCCTGGTCCAGATAAAATATTCAGTATATGAATTAAATAATAAATAGATCAGGAGTGTCAAGACATTCAAATCTGAGAAATGGTAGGTAGACGAGAGTGTGGCAATCAGAGACTGCAAATGTTAAGACTGGCTCACAAAGGAAACTGGGATTTCTAGCGGGGAGGAGAAACTGGTAAGGCAGGATGTGGTCAAGAATAGTCAATAGGGCCTGGCTAATGGTGTCAGATGCAGATGCTATGAAAGATGTGGAACTGGTAATTGCTTAATCAGAGAGTACTGGTTAAAATACAGGAAATCTGGGGTAATGAGGCAGAGAACCAGGATACTTTGAGGTCAGGGATGAAAACTAGAATTTTTTTCTTTTTTTTTTGCCTGAGAAACTTGCTGCTTTGAAGAGGCCCATGTATTAATTGCTTTGATCTTCCTTTTCTTACAGCTCTTTCAAGGGCAGAGCCCTCCTTATCCTGAAGGAATCTTATCCTTAGCTATAGTATGTACTCTCTGCTACAAAAAAGGAAGAAATCTTGAGGCCTATTGGCATTCTCCCTGAACATCATGAAGGTCCTCTGTGTGTGTGTGTGCGTGTGTGTGTGTGTGCATGCACGTGTGACGGGGTCTTGCTCTATCTCCCATGCTGTAGTGCAGTGGCACAATCATGGCTCACTGCAGCCTTGACCTCCTTGAGCTCAGGTGATCCTCCTACCTCAGACTCCAGAGTATCCGGGACGACAGGCATGCACCACCACGCCGGGCTAATTTTTAGGTTTTTTTGTAGAGGCAGGGTTTCGCTGTATTGCCCAGGCTGGTCTCGAACTCCTTGGCTCAAGTGATCTGCCCACCTCCACCTCCCAAGGTGCTGGGATCACAGGCATGAGCCACCATGCCCAGCCAAATGTTCTCATTAATATGGTAAACAAAAATTGCTAATGGCCCCTTGAATAACTGAGATATAATTTTGTTAATTAAGGTTAATTTTTGTCGCCATGTTTCTGGATTTCACAGAACTATAATTTGTTGTTACTGTAGTTGGGTTTGGAGGACTGACATAGGGTTGCAAACATCTCTTTTAACAATCAAGTAGGAATGGAATAATATCATAATAAACATCAGTATTTACCAAAAGGGAATAGTTGGCCACCTTTCACTCATACATGTATATTGCATTGTCCTCATTTTTCTCATTTTTGTCCTAGCCCAGTGAGAGCATTGTCTTGGGTCCATACCAGTCTATTGGTCTAAAACTGCTAGAATGAAGAATAGAAAATTGTTCAGTAGGCAGCAATAACAAATCTTGCACTTTAATGGACTATAACAATGAATCACCAGAGAAATATGACATTAACGGCCTGGAGTTAACCACTCCCCCCAAAATTTATTGCTTCTATAGAAAATGCAGTGTCTTTTCTGTTGTCCTGGAGCTATCGAACCACACCTAAAGTATTTTGATAAAGAATTCTTTGCCAAACCTGAGTGTGCCCCAAAATTAACCCTCAAGGTGATGGGAGGATTTGCAACCATATTATACAATGAGCTAAGACTTATGAGCTGAGAGAACGTGTGGGTATATTTGCAGGAATGAAGGGAATAGTGATTAAAGGGTATAACTTTTGAATGGTCTGCCCAGTGTACAAGCCAATGACTTACCCAGGAACCTTCCTCAGAGGGCCTCAGAGGCCCACCTTTTCCCCAGCAACCAAACTATGACCTTGCTCCTCGAGCCATGGTTGACCAAACCTAGGCCAGCTGATTGTCTCCCAGAGTTTGGAATTGGGACTTAGATAGTTTGAGTTGGTGTTTGGCTAAGGGAGTGTCAAGAAGAACTTATAGAAAGAGGTCTTCAAAATCAAAAAGCCTTCTCAGAGAGCAAGTATGTGTCCCTTACCTGAATCAAATCTCTCCTCTCCCTCTCCTCCTCCTAAGTAGAGAAAGCTGGCAGCCATTTGCCAAGGTTCTTGGTCTGAGGGATTCACATATCAGAAAATTATTTCAATCACATAAAACCGTTAAAGAACCTACAAACTCTGAGAGGCTGTAGTACAAGATGATGTCAGGTGATTCCATGGATGGATTCTTTTACTTTAATGCTTATGTTGATTAGTTTATTTTCATGTATTTCAGTAAAAGAAAAAAAAATACTTCTAGGACATCAAGCTCATGAATTAATGAATATTGTTTAGAAAAAGGGCTAATCGGAGGAGCCAAGATGGCCGAATAGGAACAGCTCCGGTCTACAGCTCCCAGCGTGAGCGACGCAGAAGACGGTGATTTCTGCATTTCCATCTGAGGTAGCGGGTTCATCTCACTAGGGAGTGCCAGACAGTGGGCGCAGGTCAGTGGGTGCGCGCACCGTGCGCCAGATGAAGCAGGGCGAGGCATTGCCTCACTTGGGAAGCGCAAGGGGTCAGGGAGTTCCCTTTCCGAGTCAAAGAAAGGGGTGACGGACGGCACCTGGAAAATCGGGTCACTCCCACCCGAATACTGCGCTTTTCCTACGGGCTTAAAAAACCGCGAACCACGAGATTATATCCTGCACCTGGCTCGGAGGGTCCTACGCCCACGGAGTCTCGCTGATTGCTAGCACAGCAGTCTGAGATCAAACTGCAAGGCGGCAGCGAGGCTGGGGGAGGGGCGCCCGCCATTGCCCAGGCTTGATTAGGTAAACAAAGCAGCCAGGAAGCTCCAACTGGGCGGAGCCCACCACAGCTCAAGGAGGCCTGCCTGCCTCTGTAGGCTCCACCTCTGGGGGCAGGGCACAGACAAACAAAAAGACAGCAGTAACCTCTGCAGACTTAAATGTCCCTGTCTGACAGCTTTGAAGAGAGCAGTGGTTCTCCCAGCACGCAGCTGGAGATCTGAGAAGGGGCAGACTGCCTCCTCAACTGGGTCCCTGACCCCTGACCCCTGAGCAGCCTAACTGGGAGGCACCCCCCAGCAGGGGCACACTGACACCTCACACGGCAGGGTATTCCAACAGACCTGCAGCTAAGGGTCCTGTCTGTTAGAAGGAAAACTAACAAACAGAAAGGACATCCACACCAAAAACCCATCTGTACATCACCATCATCAAAGACCAAAAGTAGATAAAACCACAAAGATGGGGAAAATACAGAACAGAAAAACTGGAAACTGTAAAAAGCAGAGCGCCTCTCCTCCTCCAAAAGAAGGCAGTTCCTCACCAGCAAGGGAACAAAGCTGGATGGAGAATGACTTTGACGAGCTGAGAGAAGAAGGCTTCAGACGATCAAATTACTCTGAGCTACGGGAGGACAGTCAAACCAAAGGCAAAGAAGTTGAAAACTTTGAAAAAAATTTAGAAGAATGTATAACTAGAATAACCAATACAGAGAAGTGCTTAAAGGAGCTGATGGAGCTGAAAACCAAAGCTCGAGAACTACGTGAAGAATGCAGAAGCCTCAGGAGCCAATGCGATCAACTGGAAGAAAGGGTATCAGCGATGGAAGATGAAATGAATGAAATGAAGCGAGAAGGGAAGTTTAGAGAAAAAAGAATAAAAAGAAATGAGCAAAGCCTCCAAGAAATATGGGACTATGTGAAAAGACCAAATCTACGTCTGATTGGTGTACCTGAAAGTGATGGGGAGAATGGAACCAAGTTGGAAAACACTCTGCAGGATATTATCTAGGAGAACTTCCCCAGTCTAGCAAGGCAGGCCAATGTTCAGATTCAGGAAATACAGAGAACGCCACAAAGATACTCCTCGAGAAGAGCAACTCCAAGACACATAATTGTCAGATTCACCAAAGTTGAAATGAAGGAAAAAATGTTAAGGGCAGCCAGAGAGAAAGGTCGGGTTACCCTCAAAGGGAAGCCCATCAGACTAACAGCAGATCTCTCGGCAGAAACTCTACAAGCCAGAAGAGAGTGGGGGCCAATATTCAACATTCTTAAAGACAAGAATTTTCAACCAGAATTTCATATCCAGCCAAACTAAGCTTCATAAGCGAAGGCGAAATAAAATACTTTACAGACAAGCAAATGCTGAGAGATTTTGTCACCACCAGGCCTGCCCTAAAAGAGCTCCTGAAGGAAGCGCTAAACATGGAAAGGAACAACCGGTACCAGCCGCTGCAAAATCATGCCAAAATGTAAAGACCATCAAGACTAGGAAGAAACTGCATCAACTAACGAGCAAAATAACCAGCTAACATCATAATGACAGGATCAAATTCACACATAACAATATTACCTTTAAATGTAAATGGACTAAATGCTCCAATTAAAAGACACAGACTGGCAAATTGGATAACGAGTCAAGACCCATCAGTGTGCTGTATTCAGGAAACCCATCTCACGTGCAGAGACACACATAGGCTCAAAATAAAAGGATGGAGGAAGATCTACCAAGCAAATGGAAAACAAAAAAAGGCAGGGGTTGCAATACTAGTCTCTGATAAAACAGACTTTAAACCAACAAAGATCAAAAGAGACAAAGAAGGCCATTACATAATGGTAAAGGGATCAATTCAACAAGAAGAGCTAACTATCCTAAATATATATGCACCCAATACAGGAGCACCCAGATTCATAAACCAAGTCCTGAGTGACCTACAAAGAGACTTAGACTCCCACCCCACTGTCAACATTAGACAGATCAACGAGACAGAAAGTCAACAAGGATACACAGGAATTGAACTCAGCTCAGCACCAAGCGGACGTAATAGACATCTACAGAACTCTCCACCCCAAATCAACAGAATATACATTTTTCTCAGCACCACACCACACCTATTCCAAAATTGACCGCATACTTGGAAGTAAAGCACTCCTCAGCAAATGTAAAAGAACAAAAATTATAACAAACTATCTCTCAGACCACAGTGCAATCAAACTAGAACTCAGGATTAAGAATCTCACTCAAAACCGCTCAACTACATGGAGACTGAACAACCTGCTCCTGAATGACTACTGGGTACATAACGAAATGAAGGCAGAATAAAGATGTTCTTTGAAACCAACGAGAACAAAGACACAACATACCAGAATCTCTGGGACGCATTCAAAGCAGTGTGTAGAGGGAAATTTATAGCACTAAATGCCCACAAGAGAAAGCAGGAAAGATCCAAAATTGACACCCTAACATCACAATTAAAAGAACTAGAAAAGCAAGAGCAAACACATTCAAAAGCTAGCAGAAGGCAAGAAATAACTAAAATCAGAGCAGAACTGAAGGAAATAGAGACACAAAAAACCCTTCAAAAAATCCATGAATCCAGGAGCTGGTTTCTTGAAAGGATCAACAAAATTGATAGACTGCTAGCAAGACTAATAAAGAAAAAAAGAGAGAAGAATCAAATAGACGCAATAAAAAATGATAGAGGCGATATCACCACCGATCCCACAGAAATACAAACTACCATCAGAGAATACTACAAACACCTCTATGCAAATAAACTAGAAAATCTAGAAGAAATGGATAAATTCCTCAACACATATACTCTCCCAAGACTAAACCAGGAAGAAGTTGAATCTCTGAATAGACCAATAACAGGAGCTGAAATTGTGGCAATTATCAATAGCTTACCAACCAAAAAGAGTCCAGGACCAGATGGATTCACAGCTGAATTCTACCAGAGGTACCAGGAGGAACTGGTACCATTCCTTCTGAAACTATTCCAATAAATAGAAAAAGAGGGATTCCTCCCTAACTCATTTTATGAGGCCAGCATCATTCTGATACCAAAGCCAGGCAGAGACACAACAAAAAAAGAGAATTTTAGACCAATATCCTTGATGAACATTGATGCAAAAATCCACAATAAAATACTGGCAAAACGAATCCAGCAGCACATCAAAAAGCTTATCCACCGTGATCAAGTGGGCTTCATCCCTGGGATGCAAGGCTGGTTCAATATACACAAATCAATAAATGTAATCCAGCATATAAACAGAGCCAAAGACAAAAACCACATGATTATCTCAATAGATGCAAAAAAAGCCTTTGACAAAATTCAACCACCCTTCATGCTAAAAACTCTCAATAAATTAGGTATTGATGGGACGTATTTCAAAATAATAAGAGCTATCTATGACAAACCCACAGCCAATATCATACTGAATGGGCAAAAACTGGAAGCATTCCCTTTGAAAACTGGCACAAGACAGGGATGCCCTCTCTCACCACTCCTATTCAACATAGTGTTGGAAGTTCTGGCCAGGGCAATGAGGCAGGAGAAGGAAATAAAGGGTATTCAGTTAGGAAAAGAGGAAGTCAAATTGTCCCTGTTTGCAGACGACATGATTGTATATCTAGAAAACCCCATTGTCTCAGCCCAAAATCTCCTTAAGCTGATAAGCAACTTCAGCAAAGTCTCAGGATACAAAATCAATGTACAAAAATCACAAGCATTCTTATACACCAGCAACAGATAAACAGAGAGCCAAATCATGAGTGAACTCCCATTCACAATTGCTTCAAAGAGAATAAAATACCTAGGAATCCAACTTACAAGGGATGTGAAGGACTTCTTTAAGGAGAACTACAAACCACTGCTCAATGAAATGAAAGAGGATACAAACAAATGGAAGAACATTCCATGCTCATGGCTAGGAAGAATCAATATTGTGAAAATGGCCATACTGCCCAAGGTAATTTACAGATTCAATGCCATCCCCATCAAGCTACCAATGCCTTTCTTCACAGAATTGGAAAAAACTACTTTAAAGTTCATTTGGAAACAAAAAAGATCCCGCATCGCCAAGTCAATCCTAAGCCAAAAGAACAAAGCTGGAGGCATCACACTACCTGACTTCAAACTATACTACAAGGCTACAGTAACCAAAACAGCATGGTACTGGTACCAAAACAGAGATATAGATCCATGGAACAGAACAGAGCCCTCAGAAATAACGCCGCATATCTACAACTATCTGATCTTTGACAAACCTGAGAAAAACAAGCAATGGGGAAAGGATTCCCTATTTAATAAATGGTGCTGGGAAAACTGGCTAGCCATATGTAGAAAGCTGAAACTGGATCCCTTCCTTACACCTTATACAAAAATCAATTCAAGATGGATTAAAGACTTAAATGTTCGACCTAAAACCATAAAAACCCTAGAAGAAAACCTAGGCATTACCATTCAGGACATAGGCATGGGCAAAGACTTCATGTCTAAAACACCAAAAACAATGGCAACAAAAGCCAAAATTGACAAATGGGATCTAATTCAACTAAAGAGCTTCTGCACAGCAAAAGAAACTACCATCAGAGTGAACAGGCAACCTACAAAATGGGAGACAATTTTCACAACCTACTCATCTGACAAAGGGCTAATATCCAGAATTTACAATGGACTCCAACAAATTTACAAGAAAAAAACAAACAACCCCATCAAAAAGTGGGCGAAGGACATGAACAGACACTTCTCAAAAGAAGACTAATTATGTAGCCAAAAAACACATGAAAAAATGCTCACCACACTGGCCATCAGAGAAATGCAAATCAAAACCACAATGAGATACCATCTCACACCAGTTAGAATGGCAATCATTAAAAAGTCAGGAAACAACAGGTGCTGGAAAGGATGTGGAGAAATAGGAACACTTTTACACTGTTGGTGGGACTGTAAACTAGTTCAACCATTGTGGAAGTCAGTGTGGCGATTCCTCAGGGATCTAGAACTAGAAATACCATTTGACCCAGCCATCCCATTACTGGGTATATACCCAAAGGACTATAAATCATGCTGCTATAAAGACACATGCACACATATGTTTATTGCGGCATTATTCACAATAGCAAAGACTTGGAACCAACCCAAATGTCCAACAATGATAGACTGGATTAAGAAAATGTGGCACATATACACCATGGAATACTATGCAGCCATAAAAAATGATGAGTTCATGTCCTTTGTAGGGACATGGATGAAACTGGAAAACATCATTCTCAGTAAACTATCACAAGAACAAAAAACCAAACACCGCATATTCTCACTCATAGGTGGGAATTGAACGATGAGATCACATGGACACAGGAAGGGGAATATCACACTCTGGGGACTGTTGTGGGGTGGGGGGAGGGGAGAGGGATAGCATTGGGAGATATACCTAATGCTAGATGACGAGTTAGTGGGTGCAGTGCACCAGCATGGCACATGTTTACATATGTAACTAACCTGCACAATGTGCACATGTACCCTAAAAGTTAAAGTATAATAAAAAAATTAAAAAAAAAGAAAATGGGCTAATCTCTTTAAGTAAGAAAAAGATGAGTTTAAAGAGAACTATTACATAAATAATAGTATATAAGAAAAACATAATGAGAATGAGTCACAAAGGAGGCTCAAGTACCCCCAAAATGTTTTCAACAAAAGCAACTGAAATGTTAATGCCCATTGATCTTATTAGTAATACAAATTGACACATAATAAACCAAACAGTGAAACCCATTGAGGCACTGGGCTTTAAGAAACTGGCTTGGATGATTCAGAGAGTGGGTAATAACTAACATCTTTTGGGTGGATAAGACCTGTCAGGCATCATTTAAATGCTCTGCAAGCATTAATTTAAACTCATTTGATTTCTAGAACACCTTTACGTGGTAGGTGATTATTGTTATGCCCATTTTCTAGATGGGTTAACTGAAGGACAGAGAGGTTAGTAACTTGCCCAATTATCTGCCATTTGTAAGTCACAGAGAACCTGCTTTTCCTTAAGTCTGACAACCCAGTCTGCTTATTTTGAATGTGAACTGGATTTTGGTTTCTTGGTGCTATATATTAGTCATTTATAACTCCCCTGTGTTAGCACAATGCCCTGTACTTTGTAAGAAAAATGAAATAAAAAATAAATGAATGAGTAAAGGAATACGTGTGATGATGGTAGCAGTTTGAAATGACCCTAAAATTTTCTCCACATTTATTTTCCACTTAAAACAATAAGAGGCAAACCAATCAAAGTACCGAATGGAAGTGCCAGGTCAAAGGATTCCCTTCTCTCACACACTGGGCTGTGGCCACAGCTAGGACTTGGCAAACCCTCAACTCAGCTTCTTAGAAGCATGATGAGGTAAACCGAGGGCTTACTTGACTCTGATGCCTTAAAAAGTCCACTTTGCCTACTGTTGCCCCATGGCCCTTTCAATTTGACTACTCCATTGCTGTCATAGTTCTCTTTCCTCCATTAAGAATGTTCATAAGACCTGGAAGAAATTCTTCCAATTGGTCAGTTATCCTGCCAAGTGCAAGTATCTCAATTATTATTTCAGTGCTGCCTGGGAGACTTGGAAGAGGGTGTGGGAAGGGGAGAAGGGACAGTGACACTTTAGGCCTGTCTTGTGCAAGCCAGGCATAGCTGCCATGACTTCAGGGAACAGGGATTTCAAGCTGGGGCTCTTTGCTGGACTGTGAATGGAGTGTTTCCTCCTTTCTAAGTTGTCTACTGTCCTTGGCAGTTAATCCATTGGTATATGTTTCAGGAACAAATATGAAACTTTAATCCTTTTAACAAGTGAATTTAAACCTTTTGTATTATGGTCATATCTAGGGCAGGGGAAATCCTTCATTCCATAGCTTCCTCCACTCACTTCTCCACCCTGCCTAAATTATGTACAAATTGTGTGCTCTATGGAAGGCAAGGCATTTTCTGCTTTCACAACTTGTGGCTATACTTGGCAATTATTAAATCAATATGTGATTCAGGAACAAATATGAACTTTAATCCCTTTGGCAGGTAAAGAAGACAAGTCTTTTCATATTCAGCTCAAGAATTTGGTCATGTTAAAGCCATACTAATCCATAGAAAAAAATAAAGTTTATAATTCATCATATTGTTTTCCCACTATTCCCAAATGCTCACTCATGGACAGAGAGAAGGAAAACAGATACAGGTCCAGAATCTTCTTTTGACTTTTCTAATCTCTCTAATTAATTTTTTCACTCATTCATTTATTCATTCAACAGACATGAACCATCTTCTATGCTTTATACTTAGCTGGGCCTTGCTGGGCTTGATTCCAAGCTGCAGGTTGGTCCAATAGGCCAGCGGTCTCCAATAGGCCAGCGGTCTCCTTTTTGGCATCAGGGACCAGTTTCATGGAAGACAATTTTTCCACAGACCGGTTGGGGAGTGGGAGATGATTTGGGGATAAAACTGTTCCACCTCATAAGAATCATCAGGCATTAGCTTCTCATAAGAAGCATGCAACCTAGATCCCTCGCATGCGCAGTTCACAATAGGGTTCACACTCTTATGAGAATCTAATGCTGCCACTGCTCTGATGGGAGGCAGAGCTCAGGCGGTAACGCTCACTAACCCACTGCTCACCTACTGCTGTGCGGCCTTATCCTAACAGGCCATGGACTGGGTACTGGGATTTGGGAACCTCTGCAGTAGGCTATACAGGACATTTCTTTTTCCCTCACGGCAATGGCAGAAATGCAAAAGGGCAAGCCCAGTTTCAAATCTGCTAACATCCCATTGGCCAAAGCAAGTCACATAGCCAAGCTCTAAAAATTCTATGTTCAGAGAACACAGCCTTCCAAAAGGAAGGCCAAATAAACATTTTCAGACAAATAAAAACTGTGAGAATTTGTCACTGCCAAAGAAAATAATAGAATTCTTCAGACAGAAAAAAATGAATACAGATGGATGCAGACACATGAAAAAGAATAAAAAACAACTTAGAAGGTAAATAAATTAATCTAAATGAATTTCGACTGTATAAAACAGCCCCAGTAAAGTTTTAGGGCATACACACTGTGTAAATGTAAACAGAGAATTTAATATATAAAAAATTTATATGTGTCAGCAATTGTCATAAATGGTAGAAGGGCAAGTGGATTTAAATATTCTAAGGTCATTACTTTTTCCCAAAATTGACCCGTACAATAAATACAATCCTGATTTTAAAAATCAATAATATTTTTTGTGGGGGTGGACAATGAGAATGTAATAACTAATTCTAAAATGTATATAAGGATACAAAGGGTCAAGAATAGCAAACATGCACAGCTCAGTTATTAGGCTTTCATTGTCTAGTCTTTCAATACACGCATATCTTTACTATTTGAAAGGTGTTACAGCTGTCGAAGAATCGTTGTGGACCTGAGGATAATTTCTTGCAAAGCTGAATGCAAGGGTACTGTCATTCATAGTGTTGATATAAAAATACCAGAAATCTTCACTTTTGCTACGTAGATATAGCATTGGGCTATTATGTTACAACACTGAAATATATTGATTTATTTTTAAAATACTTTTATAAGAAAAA
Source organism: Homo sapiens (assembly GCF_000001405.40). Classification (NCBI taxonomy): domain Eukaryota; kingdom Metazoa; phylum Chordata; class Mammalia; order Primates; family Hominidae; genus Homo; species Homo sapiens. Next base: position 6,144,890 of record NC_000009.12, read on the forward strand.
AAGAATAGCAAAGATAATTTTATCTTTCTTAACCTCTTATGAAAAGTGTCAAACATATACAAAAGCAGACAGAAAAATATAATGAACCTATTACCCATCTTCAATAGTTTTCAGTTCATGGTCAGTATTGTTCTATCTATACCCCCATGCCCACTTCTTCATGTAATTTACTTGTGCTTTCAGGGCCTACTCAGGTCCAGTCATGTATATACCACTTCCACTTGATAATGAAGTGTTGCTGTGCATGCCATGCCCAACTTTATGTCTCGGTGAATCAGATAATACCCAGTTATGATGAACCACTATAGTCACATGGTAACTTGGTAGTCTGTGGTCAAGTGTTGATTTTTACTAAGGCCCAGCAGCAGGCAAAGAGCTGCCTCTCTCATTATCTGTGGTGATGGCAGGGCCCTGTCTCAAAAATCCTAAAGGCTTGTGCTGTCATTCACTTATAGGTGCCTGGCAAAGACTCCAAACAGCATCCCTATCTGCCACCAACACTTCAAGCACCATTAGATCTGCTGGATCATATGTCCCAAGTGGCAGAGCAGCCTGTACAGCAGCCTGGACCTGTTGTGGAGCCTTCTCTTGTTCTGGGCCCTAATCAAACTAGTAGCTTTTTGGTCACTTGAAAAAGAGGCTGGGTAACACACCCAAAAGAGGAATATATTGCCTCCAAGATCCAGATAGATCCACGAGGCATTGTGCCTTTTTCTTGGCTGTACGAAGGACCATATGCAACAACATTTTCTTCACCTTAAAAGGGCTATCTAAACATGTCCCATACCACAGGACCCCTAGAAATTTCACTAAAGAAGGCCCCTGAGTTCTAGTTGGATTTATTTCCCACTCTTTGGCATACACATGTCTTACTAGTCTAGAGTAGTTGCTATATTTGCTAACTGGGGCCAATCAGCATAATGTCATCAATGGAATGCACCAGTATTAACCCTCGTAGAAGGGAAAGGTGATCAAGTTCCCTGAGAACTAAATTATGACATAGAGCTGGAGAGTTGATATTCCCCTGAGATAGCACACTGAAGGCACATCGCTGGCCTTGCCAGCTGAGGGCAAATTGCTCTAGTAGGCCTTATGGACAGGTATGAAGAAAAAGCTGTCTGCAAGATCAATAACTATATATGAAGAAGCAGGAGATGCGTTAATTTGCTGAAGCAATGAAACCACATCTGGTACAGCAGCTGCAATTGGAGTCATCACCTGGCTGAGATTACGATATCCATTGACATTCTTCAAGATCTCTCTGTCTTCTGCACAGGCCAAATAGGAGAGGTGAATGGGGATGTGGTTGGAATTACTATCTGTCCATGCTTCAAGGCTTCACACTAATCTCTGCAATTTATCCAGGATGAAATATTGCTTTTGGTTTACTATTTTCCTAAGTAGAGCTCTCATGGCCTCCAATTGGCCTTTCCACCAAAATAGCTCTCACTCTGTAGGTCATGGAACCAATATGAGGATTCTTCCAGCTGCTAAATATGTCTATTCCAATTATGCATCTAGAACTGGGGAAATAACCTGGATGGTCTCAGGGACCCACTGAACCCACTGTGAAATGAACCTGAGCTAAAATTCCATTAATCACCTTACCTCCAAAGACCTCTGTTAGGAAATAAAAAATAAAAAACCCACAAACTGTTTTTTCCTCTGCTCTCACATCGCAGCAACAATCACCACAGAAGATCCGTGACTAAATGTGTGGGGATTTCTCCCCACCAAAAAGCAAGCAAGCAATTCTGTACCAACTAGGTGTCCTCCAATTCAATTAATTTTGATGCTTTCTACCTAGAGATAACCTCAGAAACCACAAGTTGAGGGCTCAGTCTCTAAGACTGTTCTTCCTTCAGACACCAGTTATAAGCCCAGGCCTCTGGAACTTCTGATCAACTGGCTTCAAGTTGGAGTTCCCACAACCTCTTTTTGGGGTTTGATTATTTTGCTAGAGGAGCTCACAGAACTCAAGGAAATACTTGAGTTCTGAAGCACTGAAACCACAGGACCCCTAGAAATTTCCTCAAGGAAACACTTGAGTTCAGTAAGCTGCTCAGAGGCAAGGTGTTGGGGAAGGGGCATACAGCTTCCATGCACTCGTTTGGTGTGCCACCCTCCAGGAACCTCCAGGTGTTCAGCTATCTGGAAGCTCCCCAAACTCAGTCTTCTTTGTCCTTTTATGGAGACTTCATTGGATAGACATGATTGAAGCATGAAAAACCATGTAGAAATGTGATTGGACAAAAAGGATATGATCTAATAGTAACAGTCTGAGTGGGAAAACCCAGAAAGACCTCTATATTTAGATTCTTGGCCTCTATGTGTAGCATTTCTTCCTCCAGGGTATGGGACAGGACCCTCTCTAGAATGCAGGCCTTATGACTTACTATCAAACAAGGTAGTTCAGATAATTTCTTTATGGACAGAAAGGTGGGGGCTTATGGCTGGCTTTCAGGAAACAGAGTTCTGGTTTCTATGATTCAATCTGGGGAAGAAAGACTCTAGTTTCTAGGGATGGCCTTGAGGGAGAATGAGAGTCAGAAATAGGGCCAGAGAAGGTCAGAGAGAAACTTTTGCTTCTGAGGCCTAAAACACCCTAACATTATAACAGAAGACTGTAACAAGGACTATGGGAGTTATGAGCCAGAAACTGTGAATGAAAAGATATGCATATTTACACATCTGTGCATAACATTACAACCTTCTGGACTGAATGGAAGGCCACAATGATGTTTTGGATCACCTGGAATCAGTCAGTTCAGAGCCAGTGTCTAAGTAGTTCTCAAAAGCTCTGATTATTTTCTTTTCCCCAACGCACAGTTACCCTGGTGAAAGGCAGTAGGTACCTTTGGGGAAAGCTGGGATAAAGATTAGCAGTATACATTTTTGGTAATTTACTTGGGTTCTTCCTAAAGGGAATCCAGCCTCTACTTCATTCGAGGGGTTCTGAGCCTATAAACTGACTTAAGTCTGGAAATCGATCAAAGGGCCATGTTTTTATGATTGGGGTTAGATGTTTGTTCACTTGACATAGTTTTTTGCTTGTATAGATAAAGTGAGAATTTAGTAGGCATCCTATTTCACTTCTAGGAACACCATGATCAAGTAACCAATGTTATAGGCCTGCATGAGTCAGACTATTACGATTGTTGCTTTGACTCTGCTGTCCATTGTGGTAATTACACCCGCCTTGCTTTTGGCAGCTGAGTGCCACAATTTGGCCCCTGTCATCCTGGAATCCAATCACTCCTAATTCATTTAGGTTTTCTTATTGAATGGCTACGGTTACCACTCTGAAGTCTGGCCTACAAAGGAGAGCTATCACAAAGCCCTTCACAGATGCTGGGGCTACCCTCGCAAATGTATTTCTCACATTCATGGTGAAAGATAGGTCTTCTGTATCCTCCCAGTGTGAGTGAGTAGGTCTTAAATACAAATCTACTCTAACATTTCAATATTCCCATGCTGTGGTTTGAATGCATCCCTCAAATTTCATGTGTTGGAAACTCAATCCCCAAATTCATATATTGATGACTTTTGGAGGTGGGGCCTGTAGGATTAGTTAAGGTCATTAATTAGGATTAGTTAAGATCTTTAGAGTGGAACTTCCATGACAAGACTGGTGGCTTTATACAAGAGAAAGAAAGACCTGACCTGGCACGTTCTTGCCCTTTTGCCATGTGATGCCCTCCACCATGTTATGATACAGCAAGAAAACCCCCAACAGATGCTAGAGCCATGCTGTTGAACTTCCTGCCTCCAGAACTTTGAGCTAAATAAACTTAGTTTCTTTATAAATTACCTAGTCTGTGGCATTCTGTTATAGCAACAGAAAACAGACTAAGACACCCTAAGCCATTGAATCCTTCCTCTACATTAAAACAAGTGGGGGTCAGGCATTTCCAATTTGCCCATGGTTTAGCCAACCACGTAACCAAACAATTAGAGCCCTTTCTGACTCCCCAAACTGCAACATTACATGAAAAATCTCTACTTAATGAGTTCATATCAATAAATTCTGCATGATCCAAGTTTACGTTCCTTTCACCATTACCCCACACTGTTAATATCCACTCCTGCATATGTTGCCAAGATTTCTGCTTGTATAAATTAGAAAACTCAAGTATTAATACCTTTTTTTTTTTTTTGGAGTGTAGTACAACTCCTCATGGGTCACACTTTCTACTTCACCCTTAGGGGCCTGCTGAGACTTGAGTCTAATTACAGTTCTAGAAGCAAAGAGGGATGATGGGGTGGATTCTGAGGAGAAACAGTGTTGTCTTGCATGGCAACTGCCTCAGGACAGGCCATTACTATTTTCTCAGGAAATGCTGGGTTAATGCCCTTAGATGGAGGTGGAAAAATTGGTGGAAAGGCAGATACTACTGGAGTTGGAGAGGCCACGTCTTCTGGGGGTGAGGAGGCCTCTTTCATTGGCAAAAAAGACTCATCACAATTTAGGAGTCTAAGTTCCCAGTGAAAAATTCTCCCTGGGACCTGAAAGCTTAAGGAAATGAATAACTCCTTCCTCCTCAGGCTCAGTGCCAAGGCGCAAGGCCACTTGCACCAGCAGTGTGCGTGAGCGGGATAGCAGAAGCAGGAAGAGAGCTGGCCGGAAGACACGTACTCCCTGAAGACTGAGAGAGAGGTGGTCTGGGTACTATGTAGCAGTCACATTGGACTGGGGCACTTCCTGTTTACAGGAGACTATAAAACCCCTGCCCCATCCTCATTTGGTGCTGACGCCATTTTAGGCCTCTGCCCGCCTGCACCCAGGAGCTCATTAAAACAGCGTGTTGCTCCATGCCACCTCGTGTTGTCTGCTGGCACGCTCTTGGGGTTCGAACCAATACAGGAGCCTCGCACCCAGCTTCATCAAGATCTTCCAGTATGTCCCCATCCCAACTTATAGGATGCTATTCTTTCCCAATCAATGCCCTTACTTTAATAGTAGATACCCTGTGAGGATGGGAGTTCAACTTGCATTGTAATTCAGCCAATCATAGGATAAGGTTCTGCATTTGATTTTTCAGCAATTTCAGCCCTGTGGCTATAGGAGATGAGGCTGTCTTTGAGGGTATATCTATAGATTCTTAGGTCATTTGTTCAGTGCTTAAACTAGGAATTCAAATATCTGAGCTCATCCTTTTCTTTCACTACTTTATCCAGCAACATTAGGAGCAATAAACAAATGTCATTATGTTCCCTAATTTAAAAAAAAAAAAGTCTAAAAGTATATAACATATAAAGTTACTTAGCCCATTACATTCTATAAGTTGTTGATTAGGTATATCCAATGTAGATATTTTGTGTATCTCTATAAGCAGGTTATGTCATGAACTTTCTTTACTACTGGAAATAGAGTCACTAATGTCTTTAAATCTAATCAAATTAGGGACCCAATTCCAGAAATCATAGAGCCAATTCAGAAAATTCATCTGTAAAATTCTATTCCTCTAGAACCACTCTTGATGCCAAAATCTATAGAAGTTAGGGTTTTCCAGAGAGACAGAAACAATAGGAGATATATATATATAAAATAAAATATAATTAAACAATAATAAGAATAATTTATTATAGAAATTGGATTTATGGAGATCAATACATCCCACGATTTTATATCTGCAAGCTGGAGAACCAGGGAAGCTGATGGTGTAATTCAGTCTGTCTAACAGTCCAAGAACCAGGATTGCTAATGTTGGCAGGAGGAGAAAGGTGTCCCATTTCAAACAGAAACAAAACAAATTTGCCCTTCATCTGCCTTTTTGTTCTATGTGGGCCCTCAATGAGTGGATGATGTCTGCCTACATTGAAGAGGGTGATCTTGTTTACTCAACCGATTCAACTGCTAATCTCTTCTGGGAATATTCTGACAGGCACACACAAAAATAATGTTTTGCCAGCTATCTGGGCAACACTTAGCCTGGTCAAGGTGATGCATAAAATTAACCACAACTCAAATGTCCACCAACTGATAAATGGATAAATGAAATGTAGCCTATCCATACAATGGAATGTTATTCAGCTATTAAAAGGAATAGAGTACTGATATATGCTACAACATGAACAAACCTTGAAACAATGCTAAGTGAAAGAAGCCAGTCACAATCTCTATCTTTCTCTATCATCCGTGGCAATCATTCACTAAGTCTTCTCAATTCAACCTGTTTTAACATTTCCAAAAAATAACACTTCATATTCAAAATTCATTTGGTTGTGAGCAAAGGAAATTTACTCAGACCAACTTACACAGATATCCTTTTAGTAACAACTCCTGAGGTGTGTCTCTTCCTAAATTCCAAGGGTAAGAGAGTGCAGCCGAGTCTCATGAAAGACTGACCTGCTCTTACTATGATCATCAATGAACTTCCTATAGTCAAAACTAAAGGACTCTTTTCCATTCTTATCCTACTTGACCACCCCACAGAATTTGATACACTTTATTCTTTCTTGAATCATGCACACATGCTCTCTCTCTCTCTCTCAGAATGGGAAAAGTTGTTTTACACAAGAAGTTCCAATATAGGGTTTCTCCATGTATACATAATTCATTGGTTTAATAATGTCATCCATATTCCTTCCATGTTTTTATTCTACCATCCTCCTTTGGTCAGCTTTGTCCCTCAAAGTATCTCCCTTCACAGTCTCCAATAGCTCTGTTTTCTTTTAAATCTTAGGTCTTGCTTCTGGGGTCATTTTTGGGAGTTCCTGTAGCAGCTTGAAGCAGCCAGAATGAACAAAAAGGATCCTGTCCTCCAAATATTGGGGATCTGTATTTGGATTGCCAATCACTGCTTCTGATCACAGTGGTACAGACAAAGAAGTGAACAGCTATTGTTTCACCTCTACCCTTTTTGCAAGCCCCTCCCATCCATCTGAGATGACTTCCAGGGGATTCAAAGGACCAGGGCCATTTTTCCCCCTTAATATTTTTGATTCCCTTTTGGGAACCAGACGTTAAAGACTAGGACTTTCAGAAACAACTTCATAGAGGGGGAAATTAGAAAGTGACCATGCATACCCAGGGAAAGGCTCAGGCTCAGAAAAGACCTGAAAGGACCTTAAGTTTATATATATCAGACATACAACAATAAAAAAGAGTAAACAAAAACAATGACTAAATCTAGCAAACTCTGGAAAAGGAGAAGAACTTGATTTCCAGATTTACCACATTTTTAGATTCAAATGTCCAGTTTTCAATGTCAACCAAAAAAAAATCACAAGACATACAAAAAAAAAAAACAAAAACCAGGAAAGTATGGTCTATTCAAAGAAAAAAATAAATCAACAGAAACCATCCCTGAAAAAGATATGATGTCAGATATACTAGATGAAGACTTTTAAACAGATGTCTTAAAGATGCTCAATATTCTAAAGAAAGATGTGAAGAAAGACCAGAAAAAATATATGATACATGAACAAAATGGAAAAATCAATGATGATACAGAAAAACCTAAAAATAAACCAAAAAGAAAGCAAGGAGTGGAAAAATAAAACCAAGATAAAAAATTCACTACAAGGACTAAAAGACATACTTGAGCATCCAGAAGATAAAAATAGTGAAAGGTGAAGATAGAACAATGGAAATCACTGAGTCTGAGGAATAGAAAAAAGGCCGAAGAAAAATAAATAAAACCTAGATAAGCTGTAGGACACCATCATATACATTTTGGGAGTCTCTGAAGATTAGAGAGAGAGGCGGGTAGAGAGAATATTTTAAGAAATAATGGCTGAAAGCTTCACAAATGTGATGACAGACTTGAACATAAACATACAAGAACTCAACAAACTCCAAATAAGAAGAATTTAAAGAGACTCACCCAAAAACACATTATAATCAAACTTTTGAAAACCAAAGACAAAAACAGAATCTTGAAAGTGGCAAGAGAGAAGCAATTTGTCACTTACAAGAGATCCTCAATTAGAATATCATCAGATTTCTCATCAGAAACTTTGGAAAACAGAAGCCAGTGGGTTAATAAATTCAAAGTGCGAAAAGAAAAAGAAACCTGTCAATCAAGAATCTTTTATCTTGCAAAACTCTCCTTCAAAAGCGAGGAAGCAATTAAAATATTCCCAGATAAACAAAAGCTGAGTGAGTTCACTACTAAACCTGCCGTGCAAGAAATGCTTACGTCTTGCAAGGTGAAATGTAAGAACACTAGACAGTAACTCAAAGCTATATGAAGAAATAAAAATCTCAATGAAGGTAAATACATGGACAATTATAGAAGCTAGTATTATTGTAACAATGGTTTGTAACTCCATTTTTTGTTTTTTGCATGGTTTGAGATTCATACGTTAAAAACTATTAGTCTAAAAGCTAGTATTATTGTTAACTTTGGCTTGTAACTCCTATTGACAGAAATTAAGGCTGTTGAGGCAGAAATAATTTGATAAAGGTTTATTGGAAGCCAAATGTGAGGATCAACCTGGGAAGACACATCAGAAAGTTGGGAGTGTTCCAGAATCTGTTACAAGTTGGAAGGCTTTTATAAGTAAGTTTAGGAGAAGGGAGAGGGGCTCCTCATAGTGAAGTTGTCCTTTTTCATTGGAGGGTACAACACAAAGATTGGCTGCAAAGTATGACATACAGGGCAACATACAGGTTAAAATTCTATGCACAAGACAATCAGTGAAACTTCATGATTCAGAAACAAATCACCAAAACATTATGATTCAGAAACAAATCAGCAGCCTTTTTGATGTCAGTAGGTTATAAATTAATCATTATACGTCAATAATTTGAGAAACTCAGATAAGATTCTTTACTCATGAACAGGATGTTGCCATGAATCACAAGACTGCCCCAAGATAGGTTAATTTAAGAAGCCCTGTTTACTTTTAAAGTAAACTGCCAAATATGAACTGTAGGTTATCACCCCACATTTTATTTTCTACTTTTTTTTTTTTTTTTGAGATCGCATCTTGCGCTGTTGCCCAGGCTGGAGTGCAGTGGTGCAATCTCGGCTCACTGCAACCTCTGTCTCCTGGGTTCAAGAGATTCTCATGCCTCTGCCTCCCCAGTAGTTGAGATTACAGGTGCCCGTCACCATGCCCAGCTAATTTTTGTATTTTTAGTAGAGACAGGGTTTCACCTTGTTGGCCAGGCTGGTCTCAAACTCACGACCTCAGGTGATCCAACCACCTTGGGCTCCCAAAGTGCTGGGATTACAGGCATAAGCCACCATGTCTGGCCAATCTTCTAGATAATTTAAGAGACTAATGTATGTAAATAAATTATTACTTTATGTTTTGGGGCATGAAATATAAAAAGATGTAATTTTATGACATTAACAACGGAAAGAGGTGGGGACAGAATTGTAAAGAAACAGAGTTTTGTATGTTATTGAAGTTAAACTGGTATAAATTCAAATTAGAGTATTATAACTTTAGGATGTTAAGTGCAATCCCCATTAAACCATAAAGGAAATAGCTAAAGAATGTACACAAAAGGAAATGGAAAGAAATTTTAAAATTTCACTGCAAAAAATCAACTAAACATGAAAGAAGACAGTCAATAAATGCAGGAAATGAGAGGCAAATAAGCTATAAGCCATAAAAAACAAATAGCAAAATGAAAAAAATTAAGTTTCTCCTTATCAGTATATACTTTAAATGCAAATGGATTAAACTCTACCATCAAAAGACAGGGATTAGCAGAATGGATACATACATGGTCTGACTATTTACTGTTTACAAAAGACTTACTTTAGATCCAAAGATATAAACAGATTAAAAGTGGAAGCATGGAAAAAATATTCCATGCCAATAGTAACCAAAACACAGTAGGAGTGGGTATAATAATATCAGACAAAATAGACTTTTTTTTTTAACAGGGTCTCACCCTGTCACCCAGGTTGGAGTGCAGTGGCACAATCTTGGCTCACTGTAGCCTTGACCTCCTAGGCTCAAGCAATCCTCCTACCTCAGCCTCCCAAGTAGCTGAGACTACAGGTAAGCGTCACCATGCCCCGCTAACTTTTGTATTTTTTTGTAAAGATGGCATTTCACCATGTTGTCCAGGCTAGTCTAGAACTCCTGGGCTCAAGTGTTCCACCTGCTTCGGCCTCCCAAAATGCTAGGAGCACAGGCATGAGCCACTGCTCCCAGGCGAAATAAACTTACAGGGCTATAGTGGACAAAGAAGGACATTATATATTAATAAAAGACCCAACACAGCAAGAAGATATTCAATTATAAACATTTACCCATCTAAGGACAGACCATCAAAACACATAAAGCAAAAGCTTACAGAATGAAAGGGAAAAAGAGATAGTTCTATAACAATAGTTGGAGACTTCAATACCCAACTCGCAATAATGGTGAGAACAACCAGACAGAAAATAAGCAAGGAAACAGAAGACTTAAACAATGCAATAAACCAACCAGACTAACAGGTATATACACAATCCTCTCTCCAACAACTACAGTATACAAACTTTTCTCAAGTGCACATGGGACATTTTGCAGGATACATCATATGTTAGGCCACAAATTAAGTCTCAATAGATTTTTAAAAGATGGATATCATACAAAGTATCTTCTCTGACCAAATGACATAAAGTTAGAAATCAATAACCGAAGTGAAATGGAGAATGTATAAATTTGTGGAAATTAAACAACAAACTCTTAAACAACCAAAGTAAAAATCACAGGGGAAATTAGAAAATACTTATAGACAAATAAAAATGAAAACACAACATGCTAAATCTTATGGGACAAAGCAAAAGTAGTCTGTGGGTGGAAATTTATAGCTATACCTGTTTACATTAAAAAACAAGAAAAATGTCAAATCAACATCCTAACTTTACAAGTTTAGAATAAGAAGAACAGGCTGGGTGTGGTGGCTCATGCCTGTAGTCCCAGCATTTTGGGAGGCTAAGGCAAGCAGATCACTTGAGCCCAGGAGTTCAAGACCAGCCTGAGCAACATAGTGAAATCCAATCTCTACAGAAAATACAAACATTATCTAGGCATGGCGGCACATGCCTGTGGTCTCAGTACTCAGGGGGCTGAGGTTGGGGAATTGCTTGAGCCTGGGAGGTCAAGGCTGCAGTGAGCTATGATTGCACCACTGCACTCCAGCCTGGGTGACAGAGTGAGATCTTGTTGAAAAAAAAAAAAAAAGAAAAGAAAAGAAAGAAAAGAAGAAGAAGAACAAACTAAACTCAAAGGTAGCAGAAAGAAGGAAATAATAAATATTAGAGCAGAGGTAACAAAATAAAGAATAGAAATAAAGAGAAAAATCAACAAAACCAAGAGTTAGTTCTGTGACGAGATTAAGAAAATTGACAAATGTTTAGTTAGTTGTATTAAGAAAAAAAGAGAGAACACTCAAATTACTAAAATCAGAAACAAAAGTGGGGATATTACTGCTAATTCTACAGAAATAGGAAGGATTATAAGAGAGTACTATGAACAATTGGGTATTGACAAATTGGATAACCTAGATGAAATGGACAAATTCCTTGAAACAGAAAGCCTACCAAGACTAAATCAAGGAGAAATAAATAATCTGAATAGACCTATGACTAGTAAAAAGATTTAATTAGTAATGAAAAATCTTCTGACAAGGAAAAGCCCTGAACCTGATGACTTTGCTGATGAATTCCACCAAACATTTAGAGAAGAATACCAATCCTTCTCAAACTATCCCCCAAAAATTGTGGAGGGAACCCTTCCTAACTCATTCTATAAGGCCAGCATTACTCTGATACCAAAGCCAGTCAAAGACACTACAAGAAAAGAACATTATGTCATAAAATTCATTTTGCTGATATTTTGTCAAGGATTTAAAAAACCCTTTTAATATTTTGACTATTTAATGTCAATGTTAACCCTTTTAACATTATGACTATTAATGGAAAAATCCTTGACAAAATATTAACAAAACTGATTCAGCACCATATTAACAGGACTAAATACCATATACACCATTACCAAGTGGTATTTATTCCTGTAATGCAAGGATGATTCAACATATGAAAACGGATTAACAAAATATACCACATTACACAGTGAATAGAAACAACCACGTGATCATCTCAATTGATACAGAAAAAGCATATGATAAAATTCTATACCCTTTTATGATAAAAACACTCAACAAACTAGGAATAGAAGGGAAGTTCCTCAACATGATAAAGGGCATTTATAAAATTTTCATGGCAGCTTTCCACTCAATGGTGAAAGACTGAAAGCTTTTCTTCCAAGATCAGGAACAAGGAAAGATGTCTGCTTTGTCTGCTTCTATTCAACATAGTACTAGAAGTTCTAGCCAGAGAAATAAGGAAAGTAGAAGAGATAAAAGGTATCCAAATCGGAAAGAAAGAAGTAAAATTCTCTCTGTTTGTAGATGATATAATTTTATATGTAGAAAACCCTAAAGATTCTACAAAAAACTGTTGGAACTAATAAATAAATTCAACGAAGTAGCAGGATACAAAATCGACACACAAAAATTAGTTTTATTTCTATACACTAAAAATGAACAATATGAAAAAGAAATTATTAAAATTCTGTTTGTAATAGCATCAAAATGAATAAAATACTTAGGAATTAACTAAATAAGTAAAAGACTTGAACAATAAAACCGACAAAACATTGCTGAAAGAAATTAAGACATAAAGAAATTGAAACAAATTTCATGTTTGTGCATTAGAAGAAAATATTGTTAAAATGTCAATACTACAGAAAGAGATCTTCAGATTCAGTGCAACCCCTAGCAAAATCTCAATGATTTTTATTTTTTATTTTGCAGAAAAACCCATCCTAAAATTCATATGAAATTTCAAGGGATCCTGAATAACCAAAAACAATCTCAAGAAAGAAGAAAGCTAGAAGACTCACACTTCCTAATTTCAAAATTTACTACAAAGTGACAGTCATTGAAACAGTATGGTACTGGCATAAAGGCAGTGCCATAAAGGCATAAAGTCAGACATACAAATCAAATAAATAGGATTGGGAGCCCAAAAATAAACCCTCGCATGTATGGTCAAATAATTTTTGAAAAGGAAGCCAAGACCATTCAATGGGGGAAAGAACAGCCTTTTCAACAAATGGTGGTGGAAAAACTAGATATCCACATATCAAAGAATAAAGTTGAAACCTTACCTAATTATATACAAAAATTAACTCAAAATGGATTAAAGACCTAAATGTAAAACTTAAAACAATAAAACCCTTAGAAGAAAACATAGGGAAAAATTTCACAACATTGGACTTGGCAATGATTTCTTGGCTATGACAGCAAAAACACAGGCAATAACAACAAAAAAATAGATTGGTCTTCATAAAAATTTGTGCTTGAAAAACTACTATCACCATCTGCTGCATAATCCACCTCTAATTGGCTTGTGAGTTTCTTTTCTTACACATGAAATTCTTGCATTATTTGAAATGGTTTCAGAGCAATTTATTCAGCACGTATCCCACCCTCCTGCCCCCCGCCCTTTCCTTAGAGACAGGGTCTCACTCTGTCCCTCAGGCTGGAGTGCAGTGGTACAATCATGGCTTGCTACAGCCTAAAATTCTTGGGCTCAAGTGATCCTCCTGCCTCAGCCTCCTGAGTAGCTAAGACGACAGGCTCATACTTCCATGCACAGCTAGCTTCCTTCCTTCCTTCCTTCCTTCCTTTTTTTTATTTTTTAATTTTTTTTGTAGAGACAGTTTCTCGCTCTGTTGCCCAGACTGGTCTCAAATTCCTGGTCTCAAGCAATCCTCCCGCCTTGGCCTCCCAAAGTGCTGAGATTACAGGCATGAGGCACCGTATTTGGCCTTTTTTTTTCTCATTAATTTGTTCATTGATTCTTGTTCATACAGTCTTTTTACTTCCTTAGGTTACAATCCATTTATACCCAGCTGAGAAAGTGTCTGTTTCTCATCTTATTTTTTCCAAATATTTTATAGTAATCTTACTTGTTAATTTCCCAGGTGAAATATAACCAGGAAAATTTTGTCCATTTCTAAATTCTGATTGTGTTAAATTCTTCTAGAATTTCATCTGGAAGTGGGGTAAACTATGAATTACTCAATTACTCAGAGAGGAATTGAAGTTTTTAAAAAGAGCTTCAAGAACACATATTTTTATATATTTACTCAAATCTTCTTTTATATTTTGTATACATCTCACACATTTATTTTTAGGGGTATTCGGTGTGTTTTTTAATTGCTATTGTGGCTGGAATATTTTTTTGCCATCACACCTTTTAACAGGTTGTATAGAAACAAGTTAAACAGTAAGTAAAAAAAAAAAAAAAAAAAAGGCAACAGCATGAGAGAAAATAACCTGCAAATTATATATCTGATAAGAGATTAATATCCAGAATACATGGCAAACTCCTAAAACTCAAAAACAAACAAATGAATAAAAAACACAATTCAAAAATGGGCAAAGGAGTTCAATAGACATTTTCCCAAAAGAAATATAAATGAAAAGGTGCTAAACATAACTAATCATTAGAAAAATGCACATCAAAACTCCAATGAAATACCACTTTACACTCATTAGGATGGTTACTATCTAAAACAAAACTAAACAAAAGTAAAGGTTAGCAAAGGTGTGCAGAAATTGGAACACTTGTACACTGTTGGTGGAAATGTAAAATTATACAACCACTGTGGAAAACAGCATGCAGTTTTTCAAAGTTAAAAATAGAATAAAAAATAGAATTACCATATGAACCATCAATTTCACTTTTGGGTTTACACCCAAATGAATTGAAAGTTGTATCTCGAAGATTTATTTGTACACTTGTGTTCATAGAAGCATTATTTACAATAGCTAAAACACAGAAGCAATCCAATATCCATCGACAAATGACTGGATAAGTAAAATGTGGCATATCCATACAACAGAATATTATTTCAGCCTTAAAAAAGAAGGAAATTCTGCAATATGCAACAACATGGATGAACTTTAAGGACATTATACTAAGTGAAACAAGCCAGTCACAAAAAAAGACAAACACTGAATGATTCCACTTATATGAGGTACTTAAGAGCAGTCAAAATCATAGAAACAAAGCAGAATAGTGGTTTCCAGGAGCTGGGGGCAAGAGAAAATAGGGAGTTATTGTTTGTTTAATGGGTATAGAGTTTTTATTTTACAAGATGAAAAGAGTTATGGAGATGGATGGTGGTGATCACTGCACAAAATTATGAATGTATTTAATACCACTGAACTGTATACTTAAAAATGGTAAGATGAGGCCTGGTGCGGTAGCTGATGCCTGTAATCCCAGCACTTTGGGAGACTGAGGCGGGCAAATCACCTGAGGTCAGAAGTTCCAGACCAGCCTGGCCAACATGGTGAAACCCCATCTGTACTAAAAATACAAAAAAATAAGCCAGGCATGGTGGCACCTGCCTGTAATCCCAGCTACTTGGGAGGCTGAGGCAGGAGAATTACTTGAACCTGGGAGGTGGAGGTTGCAGTGAGCCGAGATCATGCCACTGCACTCCCAGCCTGGGCAACAGAGTGAGACTCTGTCTCAAAAAAAAAAAAAAAACAAAGGGTAAGGTGATAAATGTTATGTATATTTTATCATCATAAAAAACTGGAAAAAATACATAATCTGCCTTATTTCATTTATTTCTATGTAATCTCTCTTTTCATTATCAATGCTTTAAATATATCTTTATCTTTGGTATTATGCAGTGTCTAGTCATGAATCGCTTTATTCTGATGTATCTAATCATGAGTTGCTTTTTAAAAAAAAAAACCCTAAATGGTATACAATATGCTTCCTCAGCATGTGGACTCATGTATTTCATCAATTCTAAAAGTTCTCAGCCATTATCTCATTAAATTTGTCCCTCCTTCATTTTCTTTAGTCCTTTCTTCTAGGGCTCCAATTATACATATATTAGCTCTTCTCATACTATCTTCTAAATTATAAACTTCTTTTTCATATTTTTATCTCTTCTCTTCTCCTCTCCTCTCTTTTCCTCCACTTGCCCTTTCCTGAATTCTAGGCATTTTATCCTGTTCTGCTTCCAGTTAATCAGTTCTCTAATCACCTAAACCACTGTTAACTTGTCCATTAATTTAAGAAATTTCTACAATTATACTTTCATTTCTAGAAGTTTTCATTGTTTGTATTAAAAATAGTCATTTATTATAGTCTACATACTCATCTTTTGTGAAGTATGCTTTATTTCTTTAAATATTTATACATAACTTTCTTACATTATGTATTTGAAAATGCCCATATCTGTAGTTCTTAAAGCTCTAAATCTATCATTTGTTGCTGCTGCTGACTCTTCCTCATGGTGGCTTACCTCCATGCATGCCTAGTGACCTTTGATTCTCTTGACCATCTCTTTCCCATTAACTTATAAGAAGAAACAAAGCCCTGGGAGAATATTTGGAAATTAAAGGAGTGCTCCCATTCTATTTCTGTCTTTGTTTCTGTATCTGTCTCTCTGTCTTCCTGTCTGTCTTTTTCTCTCCCCTCGACCTCTTCTCAGTTCACAGGTTCTTTCATCTCTGTTTCTCTCTCTATGTCATTTACATTCTCTTTCCTTTTTCTGAGGCCATGCAGTTCTCTACTTCTTTTTACGTTTTATAGAAGATGGCTGTCCCACAGTTTATATAATCCTCAGTTTCAGTCACACACGGGGACTAACTGACTGAGAAATAGAACCTGACTGATCCATCTCAGGCAAATGTACCCCCTGATCCAATCAGCTGTAACTACAGGTCAGGAACACATAGCACAAAGATGGCTGTGGACTTCCCAGCCCTGAGGAAGAGAGGACCAATTCTCAGACAGGAATAACTGAGCAAAAATATGTCTTCCAAACACCCTGTCCTCTCAATCCCTGTTGTTGTTTCTGCCTTCATTCATCATTTCACTATGAATGGCTGCAAACATTTCCTGACAACTTGCCTTTCTTCCAGCCTTTTCTTCTCAATCCACTCTCTACCAGAGTGATCTTTGTACAATGAAAATCGCATCATGTTACTTTCCTAATGAAAACCCTTCAAGAATTCTCTATAACCTCTATGACAAATTCCAGACTTCTTAGGTTGGCTGGAAGAAGTAATTTACTAATTTGAGTCCTAACGCCTAATCTTTTTCTTTACCATAATCCTTCCACCCTAACTCCAGACATTCCAAAGAATATTTTGCTTCCCAAAATTTCCTGAGTCTCTCATTCCTCTCTGCTTTCACTCATGATGCTCCATCTACCCGCAGGGCCCTTCTTCCCCTTGCCAGCTTGGCAAATATCTATCCATCTATGAAGAAACAACTTGCTTCTTCTGGGAGGCTTTTTTCCTAAATCCAATTATCTATTGGGAATTGACCTCATTTTTTGTGTCATCCCTATTCTTTTTTATTTTTTATTTTTTCTTTAGACAGAGTCTCACTCTGTCACCCAGGCTGGAGTGCAACGGCATGATCTTGGCTCACTGCAACCTCCACCTCCCGCGTTCAAGCAATTCTCCTGCCTTAACCTCTCAAATAGCTGAGATTACAGGTGCCTGCCACCATGCCCGGTAATTTTTTTGTATTTTTAGTAGATACAGGGTTTTACCATGTTGGCCAGGCTGTTCTCAAACTCCTGACCTCAGGTGATCCACCCGCCTCAGCCTCCCAAAGTGCTGGGATTACAGACATGAGCCACTGCACCCAGCCATCATCCCCATTCTTATAAGCCATACAGTACCTTTCACACTCTAACCCAGTGATTTGTTTGCCTGCCTGCTCCAGTCGTCATTGAACTATTAGCATTTTTAAGGTAGGAACTGTGTCTTATTATCTTCATATTTCCATTTCCTAACACAGAACCTGGTACATACAGTGTTCAAAGAAATGCTTGTTGAATAGATGAATAATTCCTTCTTCCTGTGCTTCTGTGGATGTTTCAAATCAAAGGATCTCATAGCCCTTGGACTCATATTCTGAAAGAAAGAGCTAACATAGAATGCCACCTCTAAATTTTTTCTAGAAATATACATATTGTATCTTTTTCAAATTGCCAATGTTAATTCCCTCTGACCATGGAGGATATCTGTGAGTGGACTAGAAATTAAGTTTTCTAAAGCTCTCAATGAAAGACCCCAAGCCAAATAGAGAACCAGTGGCATTTTCAATCTAAAATAATTTAAAACCTTCAACATAGGTGTCACTGAACTAAAGCTAAGTGAGGAGAGCTTAAATTCCAGCCCACTAGGTAAAATGGCATTTGAATAATCAAATTCCAGGAAGGGCGCCAGTTCAGGGCTCAGCACACATCTGAGGGCCTCAACTGTGTGTGTGTGTGTGCACACGCGCGTGTGTGTGTAATCTCCACATTTCCTAATAAGATCTTTTAAGTGAAAATTACTGACTGTAATTTTTTCAAAATACAGAAGTAATTTTTAATAAAATAAACAAAAAAACAAAGTTAACTTTATGTGTACTCAGCACACACATACACAAACACAGCTTTATTCAACATCTTATTCAATTGTGTAAGCTGCATTCCTCACTCAACATATTTCTGTGTTAATCAAGTTTTTATGACTCCATTATATTCCACATTATGGATGTATCATAATTCATTTATCCAATTCTCTATTAATAGAGAATAGTGCTTACTATGAGTCCTAGACATCTTATATATACAAACCTGCTTATTATTCACAACAATCCTATGAAGTAGGTACTATTATTATCCACATTTTGTATATAGGAAAATTAAGGCACAGAGAACTTAAGTAACTTGCCCAAGGTCAGATACTTTATACATGGTAGAGGTAGGCTCCAGAGTCTGCTTTTGATGATTATGCAATATTATTTCTCTGAAACTGGGGTTAAATTGATTAGTAGCTGGTTGTGAGCAAGGATAAGTAGGAAGGTTACATTTTGCTGAGACTTTGTGTTAAATATGGCTAAGAGCACATGTTCTAAGTCAGGCTGTCTGGCTTCAGATCCCACCTTTGCTACTTATCAGCCCTGTAGCTTTGGGTTATTTGATTCACTTCCTATATCTCACTTTTCTCATCTGTGAAACAGGGTTAATAACAGTGCCTACTTCAGATAATGCTATTAGCGCCAACTATTAAATACTTAAGCCTTCAGATAGATGATAACTTTTATTAGAACACCTTGATTCACCATGGGGCAATTTTCCTGAATTGTAGAATGACTCCCACAAAAAAAAAAAAAAAAAAAAAAAAAAAAAAACAGAAAAAAACTGCCTTTTTAAAACTCACTTAGCCTTCCAAGTCCAATCTTAGGAGATAAGAGAACTAGCCCTAACTAGAAATAATGGAAAACAGAAAGAAACATATCTGCAAATCAGTGGTGCTATATTACATATAGTGGGGAGGAAATGGTTCCATAATGCCCAAAAAGGTACCTGAACTGAAGTCACTATCCTTAAAGTTGAGTCTTTGACATTGTGCATTTTCTCCTGATGTCAAGAGGGCTGGCTCAGGTTCCAGAGAAATCTAGACAATGGTGGAGTGGAAATGACAAGGCAGCTTTCCCAAGACAGAAAAGCATGTGAAAAAGTGAGCATTAACCCTTTTTCCCCACTAGCTTTTAAATTTGTTAATTTTTGGCATCCTTAAAGTCTCACTTCCCTAAAGCACAGCCTTAATTACCCTGCCTTAGCTGTGATTCAATAATAAAGAAGAGTTATTGAGTGCATGAAATAAGCTAGCACCTACACTTGACATTTATTATCTCATTAACTTACCGCAACCCAGTGAGGTGGAAGGAGCCAATGTATGCCAGAGGTTTTGTGTGTGCGGTTTTTTGTTTTGTTTTGTTTTGTTTTTAAGAGACAGGTCTCTCTATGTTGACCATGCTGGCACTCCTCCTACCTTAGCCTCCCAAGTAGCTAGAACTACAGGTGCATGCCACTACCCCCCACAGAAAAAGTTTTAAATGGCATGCCCAAGTTGACTTAGGTAACAAATGACAGAGCCAGAATGAATCCAGGAAGCCCACACACTTAATGGCACAGTTTTACATGGCACAGCTTCTCCGTGTGGTAATGGTCAACCAGTTAGAAATGTTAAAGATGGAAGGAGCCTTAGGAATTCCCTAATCCAAAGTTTCCCAAAGTGCAATATATATCCCTATCTAGTATAAGAGGTGACTTTAAGGGGTGTAGAGATAAACATTTTAAAAGTAATATGTATGTTTTTATATTAACATATAGTAGAAAATATAGCTAACATATCAAAACTGTGATTTCAGTCACAATGTATTAATATGTGTAAAGTGTTGGTATATCATAAGTGTTGTGTAAGTGTTTGCTATGATGACCTAGATCATTATGATGAGACTAATTTTTTAAGAGTCAATCTTGAAAATAATAATAGTAAAAGCAGTACACAGAAATAGCAAAAGTCATAAAATTGATTCTTAAGTTACTAAAGTTTGAAAATACTAAACTCTTCCAACTTCTTTGTAACAGCACAAGCTTTGAATTACTGTTCGGAATTATTAGGTTGAGCCATATTAAATTGCCATTTGTATAGCATCAGTATGGTCAAGTACTGGAAATGCCGTTTGGCTCAACCTAATATTCAAGGCTCTTCCTATACTTATTAACTGTGAGAATGTGGGTAAGTTATTTAACCAGGCAATGAAGAGGGTCCAGCTCTTTGTCTATATTGGTAATTTTTGCTCCTTTTGCTTCTCTTGCTAAATGTCTCTGCTCTCAGGCCTGGTCCTGCACTACGTATAATCTCCTGCTCTGGGTGGGCCCAGAGAATGCCCCATTGTGGCATTCTTTCCACTGACCACAGGCATGGCCATGGAGGCTTTCACTGCCTTTCTCAAGACCAGAATAATTAGTGGTTGCCTCTTCAGGTGTCTCCTAGCCACCCCACGCTGAGGGTGCTATGAGCAACTTGGGAATAATCTTTATCATTCATGAAAACCTTGATTCAGTGCTGGGAAAGCTAACCTTTCCACTCCCTGATCAGGTTTGTTTTCCCTTTATCAACTCACAGTATAAGCTTCCATCCCCATCTGCTGTACTCTCATTAGGCTGAGATTACCTTATAAAAACATAGGTGGAAGCCGTCATCCTATCATATGACAATTTCTGCCCTGAAACACACAGAAAATTAACCATCTGCTCTGATTTAAAACAAAACAGCTCCAAACTCAGACTACTAAAGCTGGTGTATTCTACCTATAAGGAGATGCAGAAAGTAAAAGGTATTTTTCATTGTTGTGTGACCTTCTTATATTGGTAAGGACTTGACTGAAATTGATATCTGGAAGTATCCTGCCACTTGGACCTTTCTCTATTAGTCTTGGAGTGATATGAAAAGAATATTATTTCAAGTATTGCCGGGGTAGGATTCAGTGAGGCAATAAATCACATGCACAAAAGGTATTTTTCTTTGTGAAGAATAAGAATGTGAGCTACCAGATCAAAACTGACTTGGAAGGCAGAATTTTAACACTTTTTTTTTTTTTTTTTGCAAACTAAGTGAAAAAGACACATTTGGAAAGTGATCACATGCTGTTAGTGAGCAACTTAATCAGTTTTGTTCTGAGTTTGAGGGTAATTAACTAATAAGAAATCATGGTTCAAAACAATAAAACTTTAACACACAACATGAACATGTTCAAAGATGGTCATGAATGTCCATATTTGTGAACATAGAAATGTTTAGGCAGGTACCTGACCTTCCCTCAAATCATAGATCCCACTGAGAGTCTCCTGTTTTCTGTGCATATTCTCAAGCCACAGGTGTTAACTCCCTTTCAACTTCTACTAAAGTTTTCCCGTCCTCTGATAGCCATTTTTCACATGTGAAAACTCGTTTCCATCTTTCACAAATGTAATATGCTACAGTGAGTGAAATTCAGCAAAGGCAAGACGAGACACAGCTGAGCGGTCAGAGAGGCATGCTCTTTGTCAAAGTAACTCCAGCTTTAAAATAACTCTCATTCAGGATCACTTGAGCCCAGGAGTGAGCTAAAGTGATTCAAGTGGCCTCACAATCTGTTCAACAAATATTTTGGCATTACAAAAAGAACCTTTTCAAATTTATTTTTTAGTTTCCTTGGCAAACGGGTTAACCAAAAGGATCTTCTGTAAGTGGACAAGGATTGAGAAAACTAAGGAATTTGATCCATTGAACCTATTGTCACGGAAATGCAGTGGTTTTGTATGGACCTAAATAATTTGGGCAACATAGCGAGACCTTGTCTCCACAAAAGAAAAATTGAGGCCAGGCGCGGTGGCTCACGCCTGTAATCCCAGCACTTTGGGAGGCCGAGGCAAGCAGATCACAAGGTCAGGAGATCAAGACCATCCTGGCTAACACGGTGAAACCCCGTCTCTACTAAAAAATACAAAAAATTAGCCGGGCTTGGTGGCGGGCGCCTGTAGTCCCAGCTACTTGGGAGGCTGAGGCAGGAGAATGGCGTGAACCCGGGAGGCGGAGCTTGCAGGGAGCCGAGATCGCACCACTGCACTCCAGCCTGGGCGACAGAGCAAGACTCTGTCTCAAAAAAAAAAAAGAAAAATTGAAAAATGAGCCAGGCATCATGGCATGTATCTGTGGTCTCAGCTATTTGGGAGGCTGAGGCAGGAGGATTGCTTCAAGCCCAGGAAGTTGAGCCTGCAGTGAGCCATGATTGCACCACTGCACTCCAGCTTGGGCAACAGAGTGAGAGCCTGACTCCAAAAAATTAAAGAAAATATATGTAAATAAGTGAAACAATAAATAAAAAATACTCAAACACACATGATGGGAAGGTATGATCTCGAATACACATGATGGGAAGGTGTGATCACTTGCAAAGAGTTATCATTGAAAAAGTTAAATTCATAAAAGCTAAGTGTCTACTGCAGCAAAAATTACATATCAAGTGAGAACGTAATTGTTTAAAAGTGCCTGAGACAGGTGCAGTGGCACATGTCTGTATTACCAGCTACTTGGAGAGCTGAGATGGGAAGATTGCTTGGGCCCAGAAGGTGGAGACTACCCTGGGCAAGATAGTAAGATCCTGTCTCTAAAAGGAAATAAAAGTGGCTGAAAGAAAAAAAAACTTGCTGAACATTCTTGTGAACATCCTTGTGTTCCAGTGCCCCAACTGCAGTCCATACTATAGAACTGTTCAGAGCCTAGAAGCTGCTGGAGCCAGAGGGTGGAGATGAGCCATAGGAGAAAACTGACCAGAGCTGCTAGAAGAAATAAACAACAATTTGACCTAATAACAAGAGCACTTAAAGAGATATAAATATAGCAAAATCAAAATATACTGGGGGGCTAACAAGCCATTATTTATGAACCTCCCTTCCCACCCAAGTCACCTCCTTTATGTGTGGTAGGATGTCCCCAGTCTAAGATTTAATCTATGTTCAACGTTCCAGGTTCTGTTTTGGGATTTCCGTAAAAACTAACCCTTTTCTCACCATGGACTTTCAAAAGCCTGGTTTTAAACTCAGAGCTGAGCAATTTCTTTCTGCCTAGACAGTATCTGCCTTTCCTTCTCTAGGGCAATAAACCTCAGCCTCAGAGGCTAATCTTCCTGTCAGAGGGGTTATGAGAAGAATCCATTATCAAGAAAAGAAAATACTTCAAGTGGTATTTTGACATGATACCAGGACACAAGAAATGATTATACCCAATTCCCAGATAAAATTATATTATGAGCACCTCCTCAAATTTGCATTCTCTGGGACCTAGGGATACGTCCTTTAAAGGTGCATCAGGAGGGAACATGTCAGAGCTCAATGCTCTTCCTTTCCTAAGTCAAGTGCATGAGACCCCACACTCCTTCTGATTGTATGGCCTTGAACTCAGGAACTGTGCATCATTTTTCTTTGTATCCTCTGTGCTTTAAGCAGCACAGTGCACATTGCAGTTGTTTAGGTCCATATAGAACCACTGCATTTCTGCCACAATAGGTTCAATGGATCTAATTATTTAGTTTTCTCAATCCTTGTCCACCCACAGAAGATCCTTTTGGTTAACCACTTTGTCAAGAAAACTAAAAAATAAACTTGAAAAAGTTCTTTTTGTAATGCCAAAATATTTGTTGAACATATTGTAAGGCCACTTGAATCACATTAGCTCACTAAAACGTCTATCGCAAAGTCACAGTCTTATGTTACTGAATTCTTAGAATTCTTATTCTCCTCTAATCCCACAGAAACAAAAATTGCTTAAAGTTCAATCTATCTTTAAAGAAAAATATTAAAATTTGTAATGTCTGTGGATAACTAGGAGGCAAGAAAGTTGAAAACTGAAATCCTGCGTCATATATCACTAGTAGGTCTTACCTCTCATTGTTTTTTGACATAAAGCAATTATTGGATAATTCAGCTTGGTAGAGAGGCTGAATTGTGATATTTGGGGTGTCATAAAAGGCAGTATTTGCAAGATCAAGTGGGAGACATAATACACAGAGTAAAAAATATACAGGGATAGGAACTGTAAGGGAAAAAAACCCAAGAGACTACAGGCTAAATAAACCTAACCCATGGATAACTGAAGTTCTAGAACGAGAAATAAAAACAGATAGAGACAAGGTAATAATACTAAACTATTAGAAGAAAATTTTCCTGAAATTAAGAAAATTTTAAATCTGCAGTTTGAAGTATTCAAGTTATGTATAGGAATGCTGGAAAAATAAAAAGCCTGATAAAATTTCTAAACTTTTAGGATAAATTTTAAAACTTCCAGACAGAAAGAATCTATGCTATTATATTAATAAAGATGCTTTCTGGTGGTGAGTATCAGAAACATCAAAGTGACTTTAAAAATAAGGAAACTGTATATATACATATCTCATATACACACACGTGCACACGTACACACACAAAGCCCAGGGGTAAAACCACTCTAGAGTTAGTTAATTCAGTGGCCTAACTGCACCAGTAAAGACAGACCAGGTTTTTTTCAAACTAATAATTCTGCTTTATCCTCAGACTACCTTCTTTCATGGCAAAAATTACAGCATCACAATGTCCAAAAGCAGCAAACGAATTGTCTCTCCTCTTGTCTTAGTGGCAGTAGCTGTTGATTACCTATCCAAGATCCACCATCTTAGTGGCAGTAGCTTAGTGGCAGTAGTTGTTGATTACCTATCCAAGATCCACCATCCTCTTCTTCTTCACTAAAAGAACCTTGATTTTGTGCCCAGCTAAACACACTTTCTAAGACTTCTTTTTGGTCAAGGGTGACCATGTGATATAATTTTGGACTATAAGATGTAAGCAGAAAGAAGTTTGTGTGATGGTTAGTTTTATGTGTCAACTTGACTGGACCATGGGGTCCCCAGATGTTTGTTTAAACATTATTCTGAGTGTATCTTCAAGGGTGTTTATGGATGAGATTAACATTTTAATCTGTAAAGCAAATTGCTTGCCATAATGTGGCTGGGCCTTATTCTATCAGGCCTAAATAGAACAAAAAGTCTGACTCTTCCCTGAGTAAGAGAGAATTTTCCAGCAGATGGCCTTTGGACTTCATCAGAAATATCAGCTCTTCCTGACTGATGACCTTTAAAGTGGGACATCAGCTATCCTTGAGTCCCCAGTCTGCCAACCCATTCTGCAGATTGGACTTGCCAGCTTTCATAATACTGTGAACCATTCCTTATTTATATTTATTCATCATATATATGTACACACACATATATGTAAATATATATATTTACATTATATTCCATATATATATTCTGTTTCTCTGAAGAACCCTGACCAATCTAATATATTTTGCTAAATGGTTTCTGGGAAACCATAAGCTTTCTTGATATGAAAGGACAGTAGCATGTGGTACAGACATTATCCTACCTATTTTTCCTTCTTCTTGCTTTGAAGTGATGACTGGAGCTAGAACTGCAGCAGCCATCTTGCAACTATGAGGGAAAGGTCAAAGAAACTAGAGATGTATATGCCCTGATATCAGAAATGCAACATCAGCAACTGCCTGCCTCTGGGCTTTTTGCTATCTGAGAAAACTATCCCCCAATTTTTAAAGGTCATTTTTGTTTTATGTTATTTTGAATTGAAAACTTTCCTAATTGATAGAGTAGTGATCTCAAATGCTAGAAAACTTTTCTAAAAAATATTTCTTACTAGACTTTCCTTGATGTATCATTGACTAGAGCAGAGTCACATGCTCACTCCTAAGCTAATTAGAAGTAAATGACCTTTTCATGATTGACTTAAACAAATCAAAATCTACAATTCCAGAACAAGAAATGGGATAAATACCATGGAGAATAGGATAATACCTGAGAAAATCAGTGCTGATGTTAGGAAGCCAGTAGATGTTGAGTGGGTAACCAAGTGTGTCTGCCACACTTACAAAGGAAAAAGAATCAGATAGGCATCAAACTTCCTGAATACATACTAAAATCTAAAAATGAATTACGTTATTTCTATAGGCTACCTCCAAAAGTGAGCTGAAACCCAAAAATTCACTGTCTAGCCCTGTCAGGATAAAAATATATATTTGCAGAAACTCAGGAATTCAGAGAACATTAATCACATACTTCATGTGAGAAAAACACTGCTAAACTACAAATGTTAGGACAGAGATTTCAAAATGAGGGGAGAGGAGAAGTAATAAGCAATACATCTGGCTCTATATGTAGAAAAATATAAGTGAATAGTGGCAGAGTGACCAAGAAATTATAATTTTAATTCTAAATAAGGATTTTTAAAACAAAAACTACATATTGCAAGGAAAAATATAAGAATCTTTGGGTCTTAGAGTACTAAATATTTCAATACTTGGATCTTAAAATATGATTTTAAAAACTCTAGGATTTGATAGTAGTGGGTGGAAAACAGATTATGGGAAATGAAAGCATTCTAACAACAAATTAATTAGTTACAGTTTGTTTTCTTTTCTGTGTGGCTTGTTTTCTTTTCTTTACAGCTGGTTTTCATTTCCTTTCAAATTTAAAAGAGTGTATTTAACATTCCATCTTAAGGCAATGTGATAACCATGAATTCTTTGTGTGAGAAAGGAAAGAGGGAGGTTAATTTTTAATGAAAGTCGATAGTGTAGAGGAAAGAGGGTCTTCCCTGGCATCCTTCAGCCATTTACAACATTTTACAAAACAATGCAGGTAAGGGAAAAGCTTTCACCCATAACTAGAGGAAAAAAGGTTCTAGCTGCCTAGGTTACAGCAGCCTGTGATGTGACTCAAGCCTCATAATTCACATTTTTTAAGGCTCACAATAATTTAGAGTTCCAACAGCTTTGACTTTGAATTACTTATTTTCACAATAACACAAACAAAACTTGATATAATAAATGCATATATCCTTAGAATTGACAATATATATTTTATATGACCATGATTTGTACAAAAATTGTATTTGCTGCAAAAAACATTAAAATATAAAACAGTAAAGATTTTTAAAACCACAAACTCTGATCCTCATCCAATAAAATCAGAAATATATCATATAAAAATGAAGTGACAAGAGGGCAGAATAGAAGGTAACCCGCTCATATCTCCCTATAAGAATTCTGCATCCATCCATGGTAAAAAGTCACTCTGCAGGAGCCTCAGGATTGAGGTAGGAGTTTGTGAAACCCTAGTGAAGTCCAAGACATCAGAGGATCATTTGCAGAGGGAAGACCTACACATAGGTGGCTGATCCACCAAGCTTGTTCCTGGGTTCAAGCCAGAAAATGACCCAGTCTCCCAAGGGGTTTGGATACAACCCCACTTGGCCTTGATCCTGCAACCAAAGCCATCTGCCGAGGAGTCAAGAAGGAATTGTGCACACTAATAGAAAGGCTCATCTACCCACTGACAGTCGTGTTGGCAGTCAATCTGAACGTTGCTCTCTGGTTCTGCTCCAGCCCCCTCAGGTGAGGTCCCAGCTCAGAGCTGCTTACATAAGGATCCAGAGGGAGACTTGCCCATAACTTGCAGCCCAGTAGTCTGAGCCTCTCAGACAGGCTAGAGCTTGTAAACCTCTGTTCCACAACAGATACCAAGGAGGCCCAGTCTCAGCTCTGGCCTCTCACACTGCAACCAAGGAACTATTCCATCTTTACAGAAACTTGCTGGGAGAATGTGTCTCTCTGAGCCAATGAGACAGGGCTCTCCAGGTTCTGCCCCACAGCAGATGTCAAGGGGGCCCCATCTCAGCAACACTCCATCCTGCTGCAGTTGGGGAACTATCCCATCTATGCTGATACCTGCTTGGAGATGTATACCTGTTTAAGCCAATGAGAAGGGCTCTTCAGCTTGTCCCACAGCAGATCCTGAGGGGCCCTAGTAACCGCTCTGACTCCCCCTGCTGCACAGAACTATCCCATCTATCCAGAGACCTACTAGAAGATGCGTACCCATATAAACCACTGGGATAAGCATGCCAGTGTCTGTCTCACAGCAGGTCCCTTGGAGGTCCAGCCTCAGCTTTGGTCTTTCCTGCTGCAGTCGAAGAACTACCCTGCTTGTGCAGGGTACTGCTGGGTGACATATATCTGTCTGAGCCAACAAAATAGGCCCATCAGCTTCCTTCCCATAACAGATCCTGAGAGGGACCAATTTCAACTCCAGCCTCCCTTGCTGCAGGTGGGGACCCATCCCACATGTGCAGAAACCTGCTGAGAGGCATGCACAGGTGGGATGGGTCCCCAACTGGGGATAGCCATCCATCTTGGCCACCAGGACAGTCTTCTGGATTCAGGTCCCTGTCCAGCATTCCCACACAGCCCAAGTACCCTCCTTGAGTCTTCCCCTGATCCTTCTGGGCTGGAAAGCTGTGCCAATCTCATAGTCCTCATGAGACTTGCAGCAAGCCTGTACTTAGAGCATCTTCTACTGCTGAGATGGCTGCAGAGGTCAGAGGCTCAGAGAAAACAATAGTCAGACTGTATAGAATCCCTACAAGGATAAGCACAAAGAAAGCTAGACTACAAAGACTAAAATATTAAATAAATACTTAACCTATCAATACGCAGACATCATTTCATG
This sequence comes from Homo sapiens, assembly GCF_000001405.40. Taxonomy (NCBI): domain Eukaryota; kingdom Metazoa; phylum Chordata; class Mammalia; order Primates; family Hominidae; genus Homo; species Homo sapiens. The sequence continues at coordinate 6,173,830 of NC_000009.12, forward strand.
TTCACAGCATTAAAAACACACACGGAAATATGACTCTTCATATGGAAAAACTAAGGTGCCAGAGGCTGACCCTAAAGGGATAGAGATATGCACTTTCTTAGACAAATAATACAAAATAGCTGTTTTAAGAAGCTTGATTGACTTCTACAAAATACACATAATCAATTCAGAAATGTATCAGAGAAATTTAACAGAGATTAAAATAATTAAAAAAAAAAAAACCCAGAAATCCTGGAGCTGAAAAATACAATGAATGAAAGGAAAAATGCAATAGATCAGCAGAACTGATCAAGCTGAACAATCAGTGAGCTTGAAAACAGAATATTTGAAAATATACAGTCAGAGGAGAAAAAAGAATGAAAAGTATAAAGAAAGCTTACAGGAATGACAGGACAACAATAAAAGAGCAATCATTCATGTTACTTAGTTAAAGAGGGAAATGAGAAAGACAAGAAGGTAGAAAGCTTTTTCAAAGAAATAATAACATAAACCTTCCAAACCTGGAGAAAGATATAAATATCCAGGTACAGGAAGGTCAAGGGTCACCAATCACTTTCAACCCATATAAGAATACCCTTAGGTATTACAATCAAACTCTCAAAGATCAAAGACAAAGAAGCGATTATGAAAGCAATGAGAAAAAAGAAGCAAATAACAGATAAGGTAGATCTGAAATGCCTGGCAGCAGACTTCTCAGTAGAAACTGTACAGGCCAGGAGAGGTGAGATGATATATTCAGAGTGCTGAAAGAAGTAAACTGCAAAGCAAGAATACTGTTTCCAGTAAAGCTATTCTTCAGAAACGAAGGAGAGATAAAGGCTTTCCTAGACAAACAAAAGCTGAGGGAATTTGTTGCTACCAGACCTGTCCTACAAGAAATGCTAACGAGAGTTCTTTAGGCCAAAAGAAAAGGATACCAATGTGATTGTTACACTAATATTGTAATTGTGGTGTGTAAATCAATTAAATCTTTACTAAGAAGACTAAAAGATAAAACTACTAAAAACAATAACTACAACAATTTATTAAGAGATTAGCAATATAAAAATGTAAATTGCAGTATCAAAAATTCAAAATGTGTGAGGAGAGGGGAATTAATATGTATAAGGTTTTATTTTGTTAGTTTGTTTCTTTTTGTTTTTTTGTGATCAAAGCTAAGTTGGAATCAGTTTTAAGTAACTTGTTATAACTATAGAATTTTTTGTAATCTTCATATTAACCACCAAACAAAAACTTATGATAGATATACTGAAAATAAAAAGCAATGAATTAAAACATACTACCAGAGAAAATCACTTAACCACAAAGGAAGACAGTGAGAAAGGACGGAACTGGAGGCCTTTGGTAAGCCAGGCACAGAAAGACAAATATCGCATGTTCTCATTCATATGTGGGAGCTGAAAAAGTGGATCTCATGGAGATAGAGATTAAAATGGTGCTTACCAGAGGATGTAAAAGAAAGGCGAGGGAGGTAGGGATGAAGAGAAGTTGGTTAAAGGATACAAAAACATAGAAGGAATAGGTTCTAGTATTTGATGTATAGTAGGGAAATTATAGTTAACAATAACTTATTGTATATTTCAAAGTAGCTGGAAGAGAAGATTTGTAATGCTCCCAACAGAAAGAAAAGATACATGTTTGAAGTGATGGCCATCCTGATTACCCTGATTTTCTCATTACACATTATATGCAGGTATCAAAATATTGCATGTACAACTATTAAATATCAATTTTTTAAAAATTTAAAAATCAAAAACACTTTTCAAAAAGAAACCTGTAAGTCCTAATGATGGTGGAGTAACCATAACACTCCTATACTGCCTATAGGAGTATAGAAAGAAAGAAAAATGAAAGTACACATGAAAGAAAAATAAATTTCTATTTGGATAAAAGAAATAGATAATATAAATAAATACGATCTTAAAAATTAGAAAAAGCAATCAAAAACCCAAACTAAGAAAATAAAAGCTAAAATTGATGAAATAGAAATTTTTTTACATGGAAGAAGAATGCATCAACTGAAAAACTATTCCTTTGAGAGGACCAATAAAAACAACAAGCTTCATGAGCCTGATTATGGCAAAAATAAAATATGCCCACAAGAAAAAATATACATGATTAGGAATGAAAAATGATAACTATCAAAGAAAGAGATTTTTTAAAAAATTGTAAGAGCCAGGTATGATGGCTCATGCCTGTAATCCCAGCACTTTGGGAGGCCAAGGCAGGAGGATGGCTTGGGGCCAGGAGTTCAAATAGCCTGTGCACCATGGTGAGACCCTGTCTCCCACAAAAAAACTAAAAAACTAGCCAGGCATGGTGGCTCATACCTGTAGACCTAGCTACTCAGGAGCCTGAGGCAGGATAATTGCTTGAGCCCAGGAGGTTGAAGATGCAGTGAGCTATAATTGTGCCACTGTACTCTAGCCTGGGTAGTAGAGTGAGACCCTGTCACAGAAAAAAAAAAAAAAAAATATATATATATATATATATATGTATATGAATATTATATGCACATCTGTCAAAACAAATTTGAGAACCAGGAGGAAATTGCTGATTTCCTAGCAAAATACAAATGTCTAAAATTGACCTAAGAAATAGAAAACATTAAAAGGCCAATTTCCATAGAATAGATTTGAAAGGTGATAAACCATAGCTGTCCAAAGATGTCTGTGTTCTAACCCCTGAATATGTGAATAAAGTATGTTATTTTATATGGCAAAAGGAACTTTACAGTTGTGATTATGTTAAGGATCTAGACATAGAGAAAGTACCTTGCATTAATTCCAGGTGGCCCCAATGATGTAATTGCAAGGGTCTTTATAAGAGGGAGTGTGGTAGGCTGAATAATGGCCCCCAAATATATCGAAGTCTTGATCCCTGGATCCTATGAATATTACCTTATATGGCAAAGGGATTTTGCAGGTGTGATTAAATTAGTAATTTTTTTTAGATGAAGAGATTATCCTGTATTAGCTGGGTGGGCCCTAAATATAATCACAAGTGTGCTTGTAAGAAGGAGAAAGAGGGAGATTTGACCACAGTAGAGGGTGATGCCATCATGGAAGCAGAGAGAGATTTGAAGACGTTATACTGCTACCTTTGAAAATGAAGGAAAGTGCAATGAGACATGTAATGCAAATGGCCCCTAAAAGCTGGAAAAGGCAAGGAAACGGATTCTCCTCCAGAGCCTTCAGAGGGAGTGCAGTCCTGCTGACACCTTGACTTTAGCCCAGTGAAGCTGATTTTGTACTTATGACCTCTATAACTATAAGAGAATAAATTTGTGTTGTCTTAAGCCCCTAAATTTGTGGTAATTTGCTACAGTAGAAATAGGAAACTAACACAGGTGAATTTTTCTTTAATTTTTTAATTTTTTATTTTTTATTATTATACTTTAAGTTTTAGGGTACATGTGCACAATGTGCAGGTTAGTTACATATGTATACATGTGCCATGTTGGTGCGCTGCACCCACTAACTCCTCATCTAGCATTAGGTATATCTCCCAATGCTAACCCTCCCCCCTCCCCCCAACCCACAACAGTCCCCAGAGTGTGATATTCCCCTTCCTGTGTCCATGTGTTCTCATTGTTCAATTCCCACCTATGAGTGAGAATATGCGGTGTTTGGTTTTTTGTTCTTGCCATAGTTTACTGAGAATGTTGATTTCCAATTTCATCCATGTCCCTACAAAGGACATGAACTCATCATTTTTTATGGCTGCATAGTATTCCATGGTGTATATGTGCCACATTTTCTTAATCCAGTCTATCATTGTTGGACATTTGGGTTGATTCCAACTCTTTGCTATTGTGAATAATGCCGCAATAAACGTACGTGTGCACGTGTCTTTATAGCAGCATGATTTATAGTCCTTTGGGTATATACCCAGTAATGGGAATGGCTGGGTCAAATGGTATTTCTAGTTCTAGATCCCTGAGGAATTGCCACACTGACTTCCACAGTGGTTGAACTAGTTTACAGTCCCACCAACAGTGTAAAAGTGTACCTATTTCTCCACATCCTCTCCAGCACCTGTTGTTTCCTGACTTTTTAATGATTGCCATTCTAACTGGTGTGAGATGGTATCTCATTGTGGTTTTGATTTGCATTTCTCTGATGGCCAGTGATGGTGAGCATTTTTTCATGTGTTTTTTGGCTGCATAAATGTCTTCTTTTGAGAAGTGTCTGTTCATGTCCTTCGCCCACTTTTTGATGGGGTTGTTTGTTTTTTTCTTGTAAATTTGTTGGAGTTCATTGTAGATTCTGGATATTAGCCCTTTGTCAGATGAGTAGGTTGTGAAAATTGTCTCCCATTTTGTGGGTTGCCTGTTTACTCTGATGGTAGTTTCTTTTGCTGTGCAGAAGCTCTTTAGTTGAATTAGATCCCATTTGTCAATTTTGGCTTTTGTTGCCATTGCTTTTGGTGTTTTAGACATGAAGTCCTTGCCCATGCCTATGTCCTGAATGGTAATGCCTAGGTTTTCTTCTAGGGTTTTTATGGTTTTAGGTCGAACATTTAAGTCTTTAATCCATCTTGAATTGATTTTTGTATAAGGTGTAAGGAAGGGATCCAGTTTCAGCTTTCTACATATGGCTAGCCAGTTTTCCCAGCACCATTTATTAAATAGGGAATCCTTTCCCCATTGCTCGTTTTTCTCAGGTTTGTCAAAGATCAGATAGTTGTAGATATGCGGCATTATTTCTGAGGGCTCTGTTCTGTTCCTTTGATCCATACCTCTGTTTTGGTACCAGTACCATGCTGTTTTGGTTACTGTAGCCTTGTAGTATAGTTTGAAGTCAGGTAGCGTGATGCCTCCAGCTTTGTTCTTTTGGCTTAGGATTGACTTGGCGATGCAGGCTCTTTTTTGTTTCCATATGAACTTTAAAGTAGTTTTTTCCAATTCTGTGAAGAAAGGCATTGGTAGCTTGATGGGGATGGCATTGAATCTGTAAATTACTTTGGGCAGTATGGCCATTTTCACGATATTGATTCTTCCTACCCATGAGCATGGAATGTTCTTCCATTTGTTTGTATCCTCTTTTATTTCATTGAGCAGTGGTTTGTAGTTCTCCTTGAAGAGGTCCTTCACATCACTTGTAAGTTTGATTCCTAGGTATTTTATTTTCTTTGAAGCAATTGTGAATGGGAGTTCACTCATGATTTGGCTCTCTGTTTGTCTGTTGCTGGTGTATAAGAATGCTTGTGATTTTTGTACATTGATTTTGTATCCTGAGACTTTGCTGAAGTTGCTTATCAGCTTAAGGAGATTTTGGGCTAAGACAATGGGGTTTTCTAGATATACAATCATGTCATCTACAAACAGGGACAATTTGACTTCCTCTTTTCTTAATTGGATACCCTTTATTTCCTTCTCCTGCCTCATTGCCCTGGCCAGAACTTCCAACACTATTTTGAATAGGAGTGGCGAGAGAGGGCATCCCTGTCTTGTGCCAGTTTTCAAAGGGAATGCTTCCAGTTTTTGCCCATTCAGTATGATATTGGCTGTGGGTTTGTCATAGATAGCTCTTATTATTTTGAAATACATCCCATCAATACCTAATTTATTGAGAGTTTTTAGCATGAAGGGTTGTTGAATTTTGTCAAAGGCCTTTTCTGCATCTATTGAGATAATCATGTGGTTTTTGTCTTTGGTTCTGTTTATATGCTGGATTACATTTATTGATTTGCATATATTGAACCAGCCTTGCATCCCAGGGATGAAGCCCACTTGATCATGGTGGATAAGCTTTTTGATGTGCTGCTGGATTCGGTTTGCCAGTATTTTATTGAGGATTTTTGCATCAATGTTCATCAAGGATATTGGTCTAAAATTCTCTTTTTTGGTTGTGTCTCTGTCCGGCTTTGGTATCAGGATGATGCTGGCCTCATAAAATGAGTTAGGGAGGATTCCCTCTTTTTCTATTTATTGGAATAGTTTCAGAAGGAATGGTACCAGTTCCTCCTTGTAACTCTGGTAGAATTCAGCTGTGAATCCATCTGGTCCTGGACTCTTTTTGGTTGGTAAGCTATTGATAATTGCCACAATTTCAGCTCCTGTTATTGGTCTATTCAGAGATTCAACTTCTTCCTGGTTTAGTCTTGGGAGAGTGTACGTGTCGAGGAATTTATCCATTTCTTCTAGATTTTCTAGTTTATTTGCGTAGAGGTGTTTGTAGTATTCTCTGATGGTAGTTTGTATTTCTGTGGGATCGGTGGTGATATCCCCTTTATCATTTTTTATTGCATCTATTTGATTCTTCTCTCTTTTTTTCTTTATTAGTCTTGGTAGCGGTCTATCAATTTTGTTGATCCTTTCAAAAAACCAGCTCCTGGATTCATGGATTTTTTGAAGGGTTTTTTGTGTCTCTATCTCCTTCAGTTCTGCTCTGATTTTAGTTATTTCTTGCCTTCTGCTAGCTTTTGAATGTGTTTGCTCTTGCTTTTCTAGTTCTTTTAATTGTGATGTTAGGGTGTCAATTTTGGATCTTTCCTGCTTTCTCTTGTGGGCATTTAGTGCTATAAATTTCCCTCTACACACTGCTTTGAATGTGTCCCAGAGATTCTGGTATGTTGTGTCTTTGTTCTCGTTGGTTTCAAAGAACATCTTTATTTCTGCCTTCATTTCGTTATGTACCCAGTAGTCATTCAGGAGCAGGTTGCTCAGTTCCCATGTAGTTGAGCGGTTTTGAGTGAGATTCTTAATCCTGAGTTCTAGTTTGATTGCACTGTGGTCTGAGAGATAGTTTGTTATAATTTTTGTTCTTTTAAATTTGCTGAGGAGTGCTTTACTTCCAAGTATGTGGTCAATTTTGGAATAGGTGTGGTGTGGTGCTGAAAAAAATGTATATTCTGTTGATTTGGGGTGGAGAGTTCTGTAGATGTCTATTAGGTCTGCTTGGTGCAGAGCTGAGTTCAATTCCTGTGTATCCTTGTTGACTTTCTGTCTCGTTGATCTGTCTAATATTGACAGTGGGGTGTTAAAGTCTCCCATTATTAATGTGTGGGAGTCTAAGTCTCTTTGTAGGTCACTCAGGACTTGGTTTATGAATCTGGGTGCTCCTGTATTGGGTGCATATATATTTAGGATAGTTAGCTCTTCTTGTTGAATTGATCCCTTTACCATTATGTAATGGCCTTCTTTGTCTCTTTTGATCTTTGTTGGTTTAAAGTCTGTTTTATCAGAGACTAGGATTGCAACCTCTGCCTTTTTTTGTTTTCCATTTGCTTGGTAGATTTTCCTCCATCCCTTTATTTTGAGCCTATATGTGTCTCTGCATATGAGATGGGTTTCCTGAATACAGCACACTGATGGGTCTTGACTCTTTATCCAATTTGCCAGTCTGTGTCTTTTAATTGGAGCATTTAGTCGATTTACATTTAAAGTTAATATTGTTATGTGTGAATTTGGTCCTGTCATTATGATGTTAGCTGGTTATTTTGCTCGTTAGTTGATGCAGTTTCTTCCTAGTCTTGATGGTCTTTACAATTTGGCATGATTTTGCAGCGGCTGGTACTGGTTGTTCCTTTCTATGTTTAGCACTTCCTTCAGGAGCTCTTTTAGGGCAGGCCTGGTGGTGACAAAATTTCTCAGCATTTGCTTGTCTGTAAAGTATTTTATTTCTCCTTCACTTATAAAGCTTAGTTTGGCTGGATATGAAATTCTGGGTTGAAAATTCTTTTCTTTAAGAACGTTGAATATTGGCCCCCACTCTCTTCTGGCTTGTAGAGTTTCTGCCGAGAGATCCGCTGTTAGTCTGATGGGCTTCCCTTTGAGGGTAACCCGACCTTTCTCTCTGGCTGCCCTTAACATTTTTTCCTTCATTTCAACTTTGGTGAATCTGACAATTATGTGTCTTGGAGTTGCTCTTCTCGAGGAGTATCTTTGTGGCGTTCTCTGTATTTCCTGAATCTGAATGTTGGCCTGCTTTGCTAGATTGGGCAAGTTCTCCTGGACAATATCCTGCAGAGTGTTTTCCAACTTGGTTCCATTCTCCCCGTCACTTTCAGGTACAACAATCAGACGTAGATTTGGTCTTTTCACATAGTCCCATATTTCTTGGAGGCTTTGCTCGTTTCTTTTGATTCTTTTTTCTCTAAACTTCCCTTCTCACTTCATTTCATTCATTTCATCTTCCATCACTGATACCCTTTCTTCCAGTTGATCGCATCGGCTCCTGAGGCTTCTGCATTCTTCACGTAGTTCTCGAGCTTTGGTTTTCAGCTCCATCAGCTCCTTTAAGCACTTCTCTGTATTGATTATTCTAGTTATACATTCTTCTAAATTTTTTTCAAAGTTTTCAACTTCTTTGCCTTTGGTTTGAATGTCGTCCCATAGCTCAGAGTAATTTGATCATCTGAAGCCTTCTTCTCTCAGCTCGTCAAAGTCATTCTCCATCCAGGTTTGTTCCGTTGCTGGTGAGGAACTGTGTTCCTTTGGAGGAGGAGAGGCGCTCTGCTTTTTACAGTTTCCAGTTTTTCTGCTCTGTTTTTTCCCCATCTTTGTGGTTTTATCTACTTTTGGTCTTTAATGATGGTGATGTGCAGATGGGTTTTTGGTGTGGATGTCCTTTCTGTTTGTTAGTTTTCCTTCTAACAGACAGGACCCTCAGCTGCAGGTCTGTTGGAATACCCTGCCGTGTGAGGTGTCAGTCTGCCCCTGCTACGGGGTGCCTCCCAGTTAGGCTGCTCGGGGGTCAGGGGTCAGGGACCCACTTGAGGAGGCAGTCTGCCGGTTCTCAGATCTCCAGCTGCGTGCTGGGAGAACCACTGCTCTCTTCAAAGCTGTCAGACAGGGACACTTAAGTCTGCAGAGGTTACTGCTGTCTTTTTGTTTGTCTGTGCCCTGCCCCCAGAGGTGGAGCCTACAGAGGCAGGCAGGCCTCCTTGAGCTGTGGTGGGCTCCACCCAGTTCGAGCTTCCTGGCTGCTTTGTTTACCTAAGCAAGCCTGGGCAATGGCGGGCGCCCCTCCCCCAGCCTCGTTGCCGCCTTGCAGTTTGATCTCAGACTGCTGTGCTAGCAATCAGCGAGACTCCGTGGGCGTAGGACCCTCCGAGCCAGGTGTGGGACACAATCTCCTGGTGCGCTGTTTTTTAAGCCCGTCAGTATTCGGGTGCGAGTGACCTGATCTTCCAGGTGCCGTCTGTCACCCCTTTCTCTGACTAGGAAAGGGAACTCCCTGATCCTCTGCGCTTCCGAGTGAGGCAATGCCTCGCCCTGCTTCCGCTGGCGCACGGTGCGCGCACCCACTGACCTGCGCCCACTGTCTGGCACTCCCTAGTGAGATGAACCCGCTACCTCAGATGGAAATGCAGAAATCACCCGTCTTCTGCGTTGCTCACGCTGGGAGCTGGAGACCGGAGCTGTTCCTATTCGGCCATCTTGGCTCCTCTCAGGTGAATTTTGATCTACCATTAAAACAAGGTGCCAGGACCGGATGTTTCGTAACAGTGCTCTCTCTAACTCTTAAATAACAGATAGTTCTAATCCTATTTAAGCTCCTTCATTTATTTTATGAAGTCAGCATAATCCTAATTCCAAAGCCAGATGGAGAATATAAAAATGTAAAACTCTTACAAATGAATCTAGATACAAAAATTCTAAATAAATTATTAGTAAACAAAATCTAGCCTCTAATAAAATGAATATTACCAAGTTGTGTATATTTTAGGAATGCAAATGTATGATCTAAAATCAATCACTTATCACTCATTACAACAGCAAATTAAGGAAGATAAACTACATAATCATATCAACACTTGCTGAAAAGGTGTTGATAAAATTCATCCATCTCCCCTAATAAAACCTCAACATAACATAGAAATAGAAGGAAATCGATGAAAAAAAATGAATGGCAAGTACATGAAATATAATAAGCTCTCATTCATTTAATATATACTTAAGTAGTTCCTAGTACCAGGCACACTCTGGTGATACAACAGTGAACATGATAGATACAATCTGTGCTCTGCAAGGCTTACAGTACAGTGGGAGTGACTGGAAATTTATTGGAGGCTTTGATGTGGAAGAAGGATATGGAAATCCATGAGAAAACACTATGCTTAGTCAGGGCCATGTGACAATAGAATTTCTGCAGACAGTGACAATTAAATTGAGATCTGAAAAGTGAGAAAGATGTATACAGATTAAAGAGAGGTTGGTTGGAGAAAATATTTCTGGGATAGAGAATAACCCTTACAAAGGCCTGGATAGGAGAGAACGAAAGTAAGTTGAGTATGGCGAAAGTACAGAGCAAGAGCTCAGGATGAAGTGTGTAATACAAACTGCGAAGAAAGGCTCAGCCCAGATCAGGAAGGCTTTGGAAGCCAAATTTAGGAGCTTGGACTTTACCCTACATGCAATGTGAAGACATGGCTGGGTGTTAAGTAGAAGAGTTGCACTGGTTCTTTTGTTTCCCATACCTCCAGATCCATTCTCTGCCCTGGAAATCAGATCCCCATAGGGTCTGTCACCCACTCTCCCTTGCCTACTGGCTTCCAGATGGGTTCAGCCAATGCGGTGCCTTTTCCCTGGGTCCCCTTGCTTCAGTGCTACACCCGATAGTAAATGTATCCCTCCTTGAACACAGGTCCTGCCAGGCAGCCCTTTTGTGGCTCCAGCTTTCACTGAGTAACTATTTCTTGTCTCTTCAGACCTACAGATAAATATGGCTTCCCCTGTTTCTAGTCTCTTTCATTCTGCCCACACCTCTGTAAGTAGCCCTTTCATCAAAGCTTTTCATTTGAACCATCTGAATTAAAGTCTATTTCCTTTTGGGACCCTGACTGATACAGGCATGATTAGGTCAGATTTGTGTTTTATAACAATCCCTCTGGCTGCTTTATGGAAAACAGATTGGAAGATGGCAAAGACCGGCTCCAAGGAGACCATTAAGGAGGCTGCTGTAATTCTGGAGGTAAGAGAGGATGGTGGCCTGGGCTCAGGTAGCAGAACTGGGGTTCAGGAGTGAGGAGTTTAACTCCTGGCCAAAACCGTATGTGTGATATTTCAGGCCCAGCCACAGGCAATTGCAAAGGCTTTGCCTGGAAGGCCTCATAGGAAAAGCTGCCCTTCCCACACCAGACTTGGTACAGAGCCAATGCATTGCAGTGTCTGAGGAGAGTTGCAGTCAAAGATTCAGGCCTCCTGGCCAGCTATGCTCTTATACATATCTGCATTCATGGCCCAGGCACCTCCATTTGGAAGTCTTCTTCTTTTCAGGGAAGCTTGAAGACACTTTACCCACTCTGACTCAGTACTCGATATTTTCTACTTGCAGCCCTCCCATTCTTCCTCACTTCTGGCTCCAGGGTCCATAAAACTGCAGGTGCCTTTTGGTTGGAGATCCCTAAACAGTGAGTTGACTCCACCAACACACTGTTCCACTGGGGGAAATGAAACAAAGGGGAGTCAAGGTTTGACTGTTACTTTCATTTTGGCTATTTTTAATCAGCTACTCTAACGCCTGAAAGCTTAGCTGAGTGGCTGATGGAAAGAAGCATGTAGATTCCAGAGATATTTGGACGATAGAGTTGACAGGATTTGGCCATTTATTAGATTGGGGGATGGGGTAGGATAGAGAACAGTGAGGGAAAATAAAAAGCCAAGGAAACTGCATAGGTGATTTGGGCAATAGAGTGGATGGTGGTGCCATTCACTGGACCATGAAACAAGGAACAGGAGCTGAGTGGCAGGAAAATACTTTCATCTGGGGCATGACACTTCAGAGAAGCCTGTGGGTCATCCAAGGCAGATATTCAGAAAACAGCTGGATATGTAAAAAGGAATTTAGCGGAGAGGTCTGAATTGTTATGTAGATTTGAGAATCATTCATTAATAAATGGTAAGTATAGATATTGGCATGAATAAAATGAAGCTGGGAGAATACATAGAATGAGAAGAAAAGATGGCCTGAAACTGAGGCTCACCATGGTCTCTTTTTAGACTTGTCCTCTTTTGGTTCTCTAGATAATTCTCCAATGATATGTTTTTCTATGACCCTCTCAAAACCTTTCTTAAACTTACTAAATAAAATAGAGACAGCAGGTTATAATGACAGAGCTTGGAACATTATAGATACTCAGTAAATGTGCACAACCTTCCTTTCTAACTCTGTATTTCTCAGGATTGTGTTAAGAATCCTGAGTTAATTAAGGTTCCTGGCTAAAGACAAAGCTATGTCTAAATGAAGGCAGCTGTTATCATACTTGCAGGTGCTATATTTCTTTAAATAATGAGTTTTATATATTTACTGTAAAGGATTCTTTTAGTTCACATATTATTTCTCCTAAACAGCAAAGGATACCACCTTTAAACCAAACCAAACCAAGTCATGCCTCTGAGTGAAGTTGTAGAATAATTTTTTTGAAACTTTAACATTTTAATTTTCTATTAGCAAGCTAAAACAAAGCAGAGGCTAAATTCCATAGTCTCCAGAAATATGGGGATCGCTATATGTAAGTGTATTAGTCCATTTTCATACTGCCCAAGACTGGGTGATTTATAAAGAAAAGAGGTTTAGGAGCCAGGCACGGTGGCTTACACCTGTAATCCCAGCTACTTGGGAGGCTGAAGCAGGGAAATTGCTTGAACCTGGGAGGTGGAGGTTGCAGTGAGCCGAGATGGCGCCACTGTACTCCAGCCTGGGTGGCAGGGCGAGACTCCATCCCCAAAAAAACAAAACAAAACAAAACAAAAACAAAAAGGGAAGGAAGGAAGGGAGGGAGGGAGAAGGTGAAGGGGAAGGGGAAGGGGAAGGGGGAGGAATAAGAAAAAGAAAAAGAGGTTTAATGGAATCACAGTTCAACATGGCTGGGGTGGCCTCACAACCACGGTGGAAGGCGAAGGAGGAGCAAAGGCATATCTTGCATGGCAGCAGGCAAGAGAGCGTGTGCAGGGGAACTGCCCTTTATAAAATCATCAGATCTTGTGAGACTTATTCACTATCATAAAAACAGCATGGGAAAAACCTGCCCCCACGATTCAATTACCTCCCACTGGGTCCCTCTAATGACAAGTGGGGATTATGAGAACTACAACTCAAGATGAAATTTGGGTGGAGACACAGCCAATTCATATCAGTAAGTTCATCCTGAAAGGCTGAGAGTAAAGCTATCATAAAGATGGGGATTTCCTGCTTTTCTCATTCTGTTTATATTTTTACATCCTGTTTTGTCTAAAGTGTTCTTTTGAAACAAAGACCTGGAAAGAAGTCCAAGTAGACTCTGACCTCTCTTGCATCTCCTGTACCCATATTGGAGGTAATACATATCCCATACTTCTATGAAAAGAATGCAGGTCTTGGAATCAGGCTGACTTGGGCTCAAATATGAACTTCATCACTAACTAGATATGTGAGCCTTAATTCTTCTGTCTTTGTAATGAGAACTTCTTTGGGGTTCTGATCTGGATTAAACAAAACATTGTGTATAAAGCCCCAGGCACATAGTAGGTGCTCAACATAGTAAGTGCTCAATAAGTGGTAGCCACAGTGATATTTATTATGAAGTGGGCCAGACTTTGGGAGGAAGAAAGAAGGTAAAGAAAGATATAGACCAAATGGGAAGATAATGTCATGGCTTTAATTCACTTTTCATGGAAATTAGAAGAGATTGTGAGTAACAGAAGGTCACTTGGGGAGCTGTCCAGGGTGCAGAGGATGCCAAGAAATATTTATCTGATTGAAGAAGAGAGTTGAAAGTTCATTAAAACTTCTGTTTACATTTGAGCAAAACCTGCTCTTAATAATTACTCTCAAAAGTTGCAAGCTAAAGTAACTAGATAATTCAATAAATATATAGATACCAGGTCTGAGGCTCAGAAGGACTGTCCAGGGTGGGTCACCAAGCTCCAGGCCACCAGACTAGCGACAAGAGTTAGGCTGCAATTCCCAGGAAGGAAGAATGGAAGCCATTATCCCAGAGGAATATAGAATAGGCTATATTCTATAGGGTGGAGGGAGGAAAGTAGAGAACAGTACCTGGTAACAGGGACTGCAGGGGTAGCTGGTTTTGTTTGTGTGTTTTCTGCTCAGGAACAATTTCCATATCTTTGGGTGACAGATCCCTATTTTACTTTGCCAAAATTACCTCTCCTAGTGAAGGTGCAGGCCTTCCCAAGGTTACCAATTCATTTTCTTCCTTTGAATGTTGAATCTTCAGTAGATATTTAAAAATGAAAAATGGTTAGTATGAATTCCTCTGAGCTTTGCAGCACTCATCCCGGGGACACTGACTCACAACACAGTTTATATGAAAAGAGGGGATGCTCATCATCCCCTGAAGTTCAAGACGAGGCTGAGAAACATAGTGGGACTCTGTCTCTACAAAAAAAAAATTCTAAAAATTAGTCATGCTTGGTGGCACACACCTGTAGTGCCAGCTACTCGGGAGGCTGAAGCCAGAGGATAACTTGAGGCCAGGAGGTCGGGGCTGCAGTGAGCCATGATTGCACCACTGCACTCCAGCCTGGGTGACAGAGTGAGACTTTGTCACAAAACATAACAAAACAAATAACTAAATAACAAAACAAATAACAACTCCCTGGGAAAGCTGACTTTTAGCTTAATTCCTGCCCTTCAATATTCTCTATATTGTAAGGTGCTAAAAATTTACAAACTAGATTCCCAAGTTTCCTAACTAGGTAGTTTCCAGTTAGATTTTCCCAAAGGCAGGTCTCAGAGAAAGACCAGAAGGCAAAAGGGAGAAGCTATTTTATCCTCCATTTTCTGTTTCTGGATCTGGCAGTAGCCACAGGCAGCCACAGGATCCAGACGTCTTGGCAGTGAGTCCAGTAACATCAAGGGGACTATGGGCTCCCAAGTTCTTGCAGCTTCTGTAAATGTGCAAATTCTCAGCCTCTTGAAAGGTAACAGCAGCAGTGGTTTCAATAGCAGCAGCAGCAGCATTAACAAAAGGATGCTGGCAACCTCAGCAACATAGCTCTTTTGAATTCTGGGTACCATCACTGGCCCTTTTTGCCCCTCCTTGGATTTTATTCTCTCTGTTTGAATGCCTAGAGAAATTCTGCCTTTCTAATTGAACACCAATTAATAACTGAGAGTGATTTACTATTACACTTTTGGTGGGAATGTTAACACATGAGTACAATCAGTAAGATGCAGTACAATTGAACAGACTTGTGTTTAAACCAGGCTCCCCCACCTATTAGCAGTGTTATCTTAGGCAAATAACTTAACCAAACCTCAGTTTTCCTTATCTGTAAAATAGGGATGATAGAATCCCTCATAGGAATGTTACATAAATTATGACGTAACGTTTTATATGTAATGATATAATGTATGTAAAAAGTACCTGGCACAAAGGCGTTCAACAAATTTTGGTTTCCTACATCTCTTTCACCCAGCACTTGCTTGGTTATGGCTTAGGTGCATGAACACAGACACATTCCAGAGATGTTTGACTCAGTCAAGCTTCTATCAGGAACTAGGGTACAATAGAAATGGATTACATGAGGAAGTCAGATATGGAGGAAAAATGAAGTAGTTGCTGACAGGGAGTGTTAAATGGGATTTCTAGAAAGGACACTTCTCAGAAGAGAAACATGATGCACAACAAATTTTAAACCCTTACTTAGTGACAGCCTAATTCAAATCACAAACATAGGTCTATACTCAGAAAAATTATGTTCGTACACACTCTTTGGAAGAGAGAAACCCTGGCTGCTGGTCTTATTGTGGATACCTTCATAATTCACTTGGAAGATGGAACAGATTATTATTATTATTATTATTTGAGACAGGGTCTTACTCTGTCACCCAGGCTGGAGTGCAGTGGCACAACCTAGGCTCACTGCAACCTCCACCTCCCAGACTCAAGTGATCCTCCCATCTCAGCCTTCCAAGTAGCTGGGACTACAGGCACGTCACCACACCCAGCTAATTTTTTGTTTTTTGTTTTTTGTATTTTTGATACAGACAGCATTTCACCATGTTGCCCAGGCTTGTCTTAAAACTCCTGAGCTCAAGCAGTCTGCCTGCCTTGCCCTCTCATAGTGCTGGGATTACAGGCATTGAGCCACCGGACCCTGGCCAGAAGATACAAAATTATTTTGTATCTGTCCGTGGAGACATTTCACACTTATTATAATTTAGTATAAGTCATGGTGAATGTAAAGAGACAAATATGGCTTTTCACAAGGTGCCCCTTTGACCCTTCAGAGCACTAGATCTCTAAAATGAAGTATTTGGAGTCCAAAAGATATAAATAAGAATAAGAGGTCATGATGGTGTCTTCATGAGAAAAGATTGGGAATTAAAGATGTTTATGCTGAAATAGAATTATAAGATACTAGTAGTGGATGATGCTTTAAAGACTCTCACCTCTCATATTTTAGATCAGAGAACCTAAGCTCAGAGGAGGAAACTGTTCTTAAATTACACAAAAATTTGGAGGCAGAAATGTCACCAGGTTTCTTATATCTGGGAAAGAGACCAAAAAAAAGGTATTATCCTTCTGGAACAGTCTTGGCCAGAGCCTTTCTCCTCTAAGAGTGGGACTGGACAATGGAGCCAGGTCAGTGGTGGGTCTGTGCCATTGACTAGTGGAGAGCTCCCACATAAAAATATGCCACCCTTTGAGTGCAGCCACGGATGTTACAATCTAGTATTGAGTAAATGGACACTTGATTTTACATATCTCCTTCAATATATTTCATCATAATATTAACTGTCATAACTACAAATTATCAAAAATTCCCTACTTTTGAAAAATGTACATAAAATGAAGAATGATGGCTCTCCTCTGTCCTAGCAAGGGACAAAGATTGGCCTAGAAAGCAGGTCTCTTGATATCCAGTCCGATGTCCTTTCCAGTTTCCCCAAAATAATAGTAGCATTCAAAGGTATTAAAATATAGTGCCTTACATGGGTCCAAAAGGCAGATTTTGTTCTTGCTTGAAAAGAGAGCTGTAATAAATAGTCTAAATTTCTAGCAGGCATAGTAGAAGAACCTAAGGTAAATGTTTTAATTTTATGCTAATGGTTACTAAGGATTATCATAGAATTACCATTTTTGGGGAACTTGAAAAATAGGTGTGACAATTTGAGGGATGAAAAGATAACCAAAAAATAAATTTAGCTCCTGCTGTTGCCACTGAATGTGATGACAAATGATACAGAGAGGTCATTCTCACAAGACCTAGGCTAGGCCAAGGAGAATGAAGAGGAGACATCACACCAGCATTTAACTTAAGAAATCAGCTGTGTGGGTGGCTGTTGTGGTTGCTTTTAACGACTAGTTAAAAAAAAAACAGATTTATTGAAATAATTAATAATTCACATACACACAATTCACCCACTTAAAAGTGAACAGATCGATGGTGTTTATACTATATTCACAGTTGTGTAACTTCAGCCAGAATATTGGAATATTTTCATGACCTCAGATGAAACCCCATACCCATTAGCAGTTCCTCCCTTTCTCTCCCTTCTTCCCACCCCAGACCCTGGCAACCACTAATCTACTTTCTATCTCTTTGGATTTGCCTATTCTGGACCTTGCATATAAATGGACTCACACAAAAAACTCACTGATACGTAGTCTTTCGTACCTTGCTTCTTTCACTTAACATAATGTATTACAGGCTCCTTCATGTTGCAGTATGTACCAGTACTTCATTGCTTTATACTGTCGAATAATATTCCATTGTGTAGAGCGTATACTGAGGAGTGAATAACTGGGTCATATAAGAACTCTACGTTTAATCTTTTGAGGAACTTCCAGATTATTTTCCAAAGTGGCTGCACCATTTCACATCCCTACCAGCAAGATCTGAAGGTTCCAACTCTCCACATCTTTTTCAATACTTGTTATTATGTCTCTTTTATATTTTAACCATCCTATCATGTATGAAGTGATATCTCACTGTGGTTTTGATTTGCATTTCCTGATAGATAATGATATTGACTCTTTTCATTTATTGTTGGCTATTTGCATATTTTCTTTGAGAAATTGCCTTTTTTTGAAAGATAGTTTTGCTGGACATAAACTTGTTGATTGACAACTTTTTGTCTTTCAGTACCTTCAAAATGTTACCTTCTTGCCTTCTGGCATCCATTGGTTCTGATGAGAATTCAGCTGTAAGCATCATTGGCATTCCACTATACATGATCAGTCCTTTTTCTCTTACGCTTTCAATATTTTTGCTTTGGCTTTGGCTTTGAACATTTTTACAGTAATGTGTTGTGTGTGGATTTCTTTGCATCTATCTCACTTAGAATTCATTGAGTTTCTTAGATATGTAGAGTAATAATTTGTATGAAATCTGGGGACTCTTCGACCATGAATTCTTTGAATACTTTCTGCTCTATTTTCTGTCTCCTCTCCTTATAGTACACCAATTACACTTATGTCTGCACGGTTAATGGTGCTCTGACACTTTTTTCCCATTATTTTTCTCTCTGTTCTTGAGATAGCTTAATCTCTCTCAGTCTCTCTTCAAGTTTACCCATGTTTTTCTTCCTCCAAAACCAACAACTGAAGGTACCAAATAGAGAATAAAAACAGATAGATACTGAGGGAAGTCAATGCTGGGCAGAAAAGAACAGACATCAACTCCCATTTTGCGTATGTGTGTTTTCACCATGTGGGGTGGCTAAAACTCTTATAGAAAATCCTAGTTTTACTGGCTTAAGAATCAGAGAAAAGGACTTGTGTTTGGGGAACTAGATCCACTGGAAAGTGAAGAAGAAACTCCCAGAAAGGAGAGAGCCAAACAATGGGTCTCATATTCTAGGTACAAAATTTTCCCAAATCTCTGAGTGATCCTTGAACATGACTATTGGGGAAAGACTCAAAGCAAATTAGTTAAAGTTAAAGGAATTGAAGTAAAATTTCAGCTACACTCATCACAGTGGAAATACAGTGTTACAGTTTCATTCTATAAAAGTTAAATATATGCTTAAAATCAGTACTATTCAGAGGAACATTCAGATTCCGGAATTTTTACAACACATCATTCACAATATTGAGGATGCAATCCAAAATTATGCAACATTCAGGCCGGATGCAGTGCCTCACACCTGTAATCCCAGCACTTTAGAGGGCTAAGGCAGGCAGATCACCTGAGGTCAGGACTTCAAGACCAACCTGCCCAACACAGTGAAACCTCATCTCTACAAAAATACAAAAATTAGCTGGGCATGATGGTGGGTTCCTGTAATCCCAGCTATTCAGGAGGCTGAGGCGGGAGAATCATTTGAACCTGGGAGGCGGAGGTTGCAGTGAGCTGAGATTGCATTATTGCACTCCAGCCTGGGCAACACAGCGAGACTCCATCTCAAAAAAAAAATTATACAACATTCAAAGAAGCAGGAAAACATGACCAATTCATAGGAGAAAGATTAATAGAAAACAAGCTAGGATGACCCAGATGTTGGCCAACAATTATTTAAAACTGTATATTAAAATGATGCTCAGTAGTAAAAAGGAAAATATGCTCACAGCTAATAAAAAGTGGGAAATTTCAGCAGAAGAAAAGAGATTATTTTTTTAAAGCCCAAATAGAAATTCTAGAACTGAAAAACAAAACAGCTGAAATATAAAATTAACTGGGTAAGCTTAAGAACCAAATGGAATGATGGAGGAAAGAAACAATGGACTTACAAGTCAATAGAAATTATCTGATTTGAAGAAGGCAGAGAAATAAATTTTAATTAACAGAGCCTATGGATCTGTGAGACAATTCAAAACTGAAGACCTGAAAGAAGACGAGAGAGAGAATTGAGAGGAAAATCATGGCCCAAATTCCCTAAACGTGGCATAAAACATATAGTTACAAATTTATGAAGCTTAGACAGAATTAGTAGAAAAAACACTCCTATTTACATCATAATCAAACTATGGAAGAAAAATATTTGAAGACAAAGAAAAATGACACATTGAATACAGGGAAACAATTAAAATGATGGCTGCTTTCTCATAAGAAGCAATAGAAGGGGAGTCACAAGACAGTGAAACAGAGTTCATGTCCTTTGTAGGGACATGGATGAAATTGGAAATCATCATTCTCAGTAAACTATCGCAAGAACAAAAAAACCAAACACCGCATATTCTCACTCATAGGTGGGAATTGAACAATGAGAACACATGGACACAGGAAGGGGAACATCACACTCTGGGGACTGTTGTGGGGTGGTGGGGGGGAGGGATAGCATTGGGAGATATACCTAATGCTAGATGACGAGTTAGTGGGTGCAGCGCACCAGCATGGCACATGTATACATATGTAACTAACCTGCACATTGTGCACATGTACCCTAAAACTTAAAGTATAAATAATGAAAAAAAAGAAAAGAAAAAATGTACACCAATAAATTAAATAACCTAGAAAAAATATTAAAAAGCATAATCAAACTAAAAAAATAAATAAATAAATAAAGTACAAGGGAAAAGCTTGTCCACTTGGAATTCTGCATTCAGCAAAAATGTCTTTCATTATTGAAGGTGAAATAAGAGTATCAGGGAAAGAAAAATAAGAGAATTTATAACCACCATATCGGTGGTGAAACCAAACAAACAAACAAACAACAAAACTGAAATAAATTCTTCTAGTCTAAAAGGAAATAAACCTTCCTATGTGCCAGGGCCCACCTTAGGCACGGAAATACAAGTTTGAGTATAATGAGGTTCACCATGGAGTTTATAGCTTATAGATGAAATGGAAACCAAACATTGTACTTCATGGCAGTACCAATGGGAGCAGGAATGCCTGGCCTCAATAACAATAGGAGCCAGAAACCACACATGTATTTACTAAAATGTCTTTCAAGAGGGCACACCTGTAAGTCTCTGCATTTTGCCACTTATACAACTTCATCTTTGAGCGCTTACATAGGGTCAGATTACCTAACAATAGCTGTAAGCCAAGACAAAATTGGAGGAGGAGAGAATTAGTAGATACCTGATACAGGATATAAGGGCTAAGCTTTAGATTTTTCTATCCTGACTCGATCCAGGGTATTTGGTTTCTATTGTTTTTCACTAAATAAAGATAGGTCTTTCAACAATCCCAGCTTCTGTGGAATTAGCTGAAAATAAACCAAGAGCTAGAGACTCAAAGTATTTACAGTAGATACATTTGAGTAGGTATATTGCTCAAGTCACACTGTAACTGCCCAGTGGGTTCATTTTGCCTGCTGCCCAGATAAACTCAATTTATTAAGACAGAGGAATTGTAATAGACAAAGAGTTTAATTCATGCACAGCCAGCTAAACAGAAGACAGAAAATTCAGAGATTGGAGTTTTTTAAGGGCAATTTGGCCGGTAGGGGGCCAGAGAATGAGGAGTGCTGAGAAGTTGGGTTGGAGATGAAATCACAGGGGGTCAAAGTGGGTTCTTCTTGCTGTCTTTGGTTTTTGGACAGGATTGCAGAACTGGTTTAGCCAGATTACTGGCCTGGATGGTGCTAGCTGGTGCATCAGAATTTTAGGGTCTGAAAAACATTTCAAGCACTAATCTTGGGTTTTACAATAGCGATGTTATCCCTAGGAGCGACTGGGGAGGTTTGGAATCATGTGGCCCCTGGCTGAGTGACTCCTAAACCAAAATTTCTAATCTTGTTGCCAATTTGTTCGTCTTACAAAGGCAATCTGGTCCCCAGGCAAGAAGGACATTCATTTCTGGAAAGGGCTGTTATCATCTTTGTTTCAAAGTTAAACTACAAACTGAAGTCCTCCCAAAAGTTAGTTTGGCCTTTGCCCAGGAATGAACAAGGGCAGTTTGGAGGTTGGAAATAAGATGGAGTCAGTTAGGTGAGATCTCTTTCACATCATAATTTTCTCACTGTTACAATTTTTGCAAAGGCAGTTTCAATACCACAGTTAGATCAACAAATATTTTGAAAATGGGAAAAAGGGCCTTTTCAAATTAATTTTTTAAAGAGATAACCCCAGAAGGTCTTGTATGGGGTGGAAAAGCAATAGGAAAATTATATAATATGATGATTCTGTGAAACTAGTGGGTCAGAAATAAGTGTTTACAGGCCAGGGCCTGGTGGCACCAGAATGAGCTCTTGGAAGTAGCTGGCTTTGTGTGTTGGGTCCATATGCTGGTGCACCCATGTGGCTGCATACCTGATCTGGGTGGGTGCCGAGGCATTGTCACCCCTGAGCATTGCCTAGGCATTTCTCGTGGCCCGCTAGAGACCAGTCCCACTCCCTTGTCCCCTCCTTCCCCTGCACTCTCTAAGAAGTTCATCTGCTCCTTCCAGGACTGTATGTAGCACCAATTACAATAAGGTCCAGATGCTTGAAGAGCACCTATGCAAGCACACGAGGAAGAGACCATTCATTTGTGACTATGAAGGGTGTGGCAAGATTTTCCTCAGGGTCTACCACCTGAGTCACAACATCCTGATTCATATGGGAGAAAAGCTGTTTATGCACTAGTGGCTGTGACAGAAAATTCAACACAAAATCAAACTTGAAGAAATATTTTGAACACAAAGATGAGATTCAGCAAACAACATATATGCAATTTTGAAGGCTGTAAAAAGATCTTTAAGGATCAGTAGCTGAAAATCCATCAGTGCCAGCATACCAATGAACCCAGAAAGGATGTGGGAAATACTGCCTGACCCAGCAGGCTGAAACGACACACGGAGGTTCAGGAGGGCTAGATGTCAAAAGAGATGTTCCTTTGTGGCAAAAACATGGGTTGAACTTCTGAAATATGTGAGGAAAAAAAACCCATATAGAGGAAATAACATGTGAATATGGCAGAAAATTTTTAAACACAAAGATTATCTTAAGCAATATATGAAAACTCTTGCTCCAGAGAGAAATATTTGCCAATGTTCAAGAGAAGGCTGTGGTAGAACCCACATGACTGTATTTAATCTACAGAGCTGTATCCTCTCTTTTCATGAGGAAAGGCACCTATTTGTGTGTGACCATCCTGGCTGTGGCAAAAGGTCTGCAATGAAAGTCTCACATAGACATACCATTGCAACAAGAAGAAAATTAAACTCAGAGTAAAACCAACTCATGAAAAACGGAGTTCGGTGGGGTGTAATGGCTCATGCCACTTTGGAAGGCTGAGGCAGGCAGATCATTGAGGTTAAGAGTTTGAGACCAGCCTGGGCAATATGGCAAAACCCCGTCTCTACTAAAAATAGAAAAATTAGCTGGGCATGGTGGCGTGCGCCTGTAGTCCCAGCTACTCGGGAGGCTGAGGCAGGAGAATTGCTTGAATCCGGGAGGCAGAGGTTGCAGTGATTCCAGTCACGCCATTGCACTCCAGCCTGGGTGATGAAGCAAGACTCCATCTCAAAAAAAATAAAATAAAAAGAAAAGTACAAAGGGAGTTTGGCCTCTGGTCTCAGTGGATATACCCCTTCTGAAAGGAAACAAAAATAAGGTTTACCTTTGTCTAAAAATAGAAAGACACTGAACTGTACTAGAGACGTGGTGCAATAACTTAAACCTCAACTAAATATCACATTACTTTGTTTAAAGGACTACAAACCAGTGAGCTTTCTTTCTTTCAGAGGCGTATTTTTTAATTAAAATCACTGATGCAGAACAACAATGTGTTTTCCATGTGCACTTGGTCAACACCTATATCTTTACTGTGTCTCCTATGAGCAGGTACTGGACACGGAGGATGTAAAAAAAAAAAAGAAATAAAAATGAGGCACCATCAGGGATTTCCTCCAGGAGGCAGTGTCACTCTAGAAAGACATGAGTGACCCAGGGATTATGTCGCCAGCTTCAATTCAGTCTAGATTCCTGGCCCTCAGAGAGACATGACTGCTGAGGGCAGTAGCCTAAAAAAGGAAACCCCTGGCCTTTTGGCTGGATGCCTCTGTGCACCCCTCCAGGCCCACTCTCCACCTCCCACAACCCTGCTTTATGACCACAGAGGCTGACTTTCTAGGCTGCTCCACTGGGCAAACTTTCTCTCAGTCAAGGTGGTGGGATTTAGTGAGCTTTCACTAAGTGATGCTTCATGGCCAACAACCTCAGATTATTACGATAAATATCACTTCCTATTTCACGTTACATAAGGGCTCGGGGTAGGTGGTACATCTGTGGCTGTGTGGCTCAGCTGCAGGTGTGGTGACACCACAGGTCTGTTGCATATGTCTGTCTTCTCATCCAGGGACCCCTACTGAAGGATCAATCATTCTTGGGGCATACACTGAGGTTAGAGCTTTTCTTTCCTGAGCTTCCTCCTTACCAGGATTTTGTGGTTGGCAGATTCCCTGTACTGAATCCTTAGCTGCTGCCTAACAACCCCTTCCTAGAGCTGTGTTCTCTGGGCCCAGTCTCTGCTCCTTCTTGACTCTTGGCTACAGAAAGTAGCACCATCCTTGAAAGAAATGCAACCCTGCCAGTACCGTGATCTTTGTCTGGTGAGCCTGGTGTTGGACTTCTCTGACCTGTAAGATTATACATTTGTATTAGTTTGAGCCACTAGGTTTGTGGTTATTTATTATGGAAGCAATAGAAAAGTAATAAAATCTCTCTCCTGTTTTCAGGTAGTAAAGGAAATCTTGAGCCTTGAAAAGCACACTCCTGGGATGATGAAAAGAATGCAACCACTGAGTGTGCCAAGTAGCTTAGCATCCGCTTAGCTCTTCCCGAGATTGTAAACCACTCTTCCTGATCTGAACCACTCTTCCTGAGATTGTAAACATTGCTCAAGGCTATTTACCTTAGAAATAAGGAAATTTGCAGACTCTATAAAACATCCCTTACAGTTGGTAAAACTTACTGCTGAATCAGTTAAACAATAAGGCCTTGCGTGAAAGGAAAAATAACGTGAGTTGGGGCAGCCCAAGTGGGAAATGCCTCTGCATAGGGGAGTGGCATGAGAAAACGACACTAGTGGAAAGGAGTAGGGGGTGTTCCATGGCGGGGATGAAGTTGCCCAAAGTAACCACCCTAACAATAGATGATCTGGAAGAAAGGACCATAGACTGGTACAGAAGCTGTATCCAAAGTCAGACTACAAATCCTCGACTTATCTTCTCCCACCTCATTTCTCACCACGCTCAGTCCAGCAATACTCCAAGGAAGAACACTTCTTTGGTGTAGCTCCCACATATCTTCTCTCCTGGCTTGTGATATGCACCTGTCATAACTTCCTGGGAGGGGAAGACTGAAGGCTGTTTCTCTTAGAACATGCTGTTTCTCTTAGAACATGCTGTTTCTCTTAGAATTTTCTCAGGTATGAACCAATGCAGGACATTCCTATAGATTGGTGGTTTTCAAATCTCTTCTGCAGAATCCTAGAATCTCGAGGCCTCCCGCAACTGGGATAGTTTAAGCAATAGTGATCTTATTCCCCTTACTTCTCCTTTGACTACAGGAGCTCTGCATCTATATGTTGACATGTATGAATTCTGTGTTGAGATTTTATTTGATGTAAGTTTGTGCTTTTAAGAAAAATCTGAAAACTACTGAGCAAAATCAAGTGTAGTAGTGCATGGAGAGAATATTTTCTGTCCCAGACTTGCCTGAGAGCTCACTGTAGAAAAGATTGGGCATTTGATGCCAAGTATAGTAGTCCCCCTTATCCATGGGGGTTACATTCCAAGACCCCCAGTGGATGCCTGAAACCATGGATAGTACCAAACCCTCTATATTATACTGTTTCCCCCCATACATACATACCTTTGATAAAGTTTAGTTTATAAATTAGGCACAGTAAGAGATTAATAATAACTAATAAAATAGAATAGTTATAACAAAATACTGTAATCAAATTTATATGAATGTGGTCTCTCTCTCATTCTCAAAATACTGTAATATTTTCAGACCACTGTTAACTGCAGAAAGTGAAACTGCAAATAAGCAGGGAGTACTGTACCTGCTATTTCTCAATTAGTGCAGCTTATGGATTACTTTTCTAGGCACCAGGGATGGAAACAGAGAGGGAACTTGGCCTCTGTGATTTCCACAAAACAAACAAAAACGAGGCTTATTGGTGTATAGCAGACTAGACAGTTCTAAATCCTGGCACCATTCAATTGACAGGCAGCACTTTCCTTTCTAGCTACATCTCTTATCAAAGAAAGAATGAACTAGCAAACAGGTTGAGAGTAAAATCAAACATTGGCTTGATGATCTCCCAGGAAGGGCAGTTGTCTGCTGCCCAGCACTTCTCTTCACCCATAAATCCACAATACAGCGCGTTGGGATCTGTCCAGTGATCACTGAACAAGGGGCATGAGGAGCACAGGTAGACTACATTTTCCAGAGATTTTCATGTTTATATACTGGATGCTAATGAGCAAACCTCTAATGGAGGACCCACTGATTATTTTTCTAAAGGGTTAAATACGTGTTCTAAAAAAAAAAGTGTTAAGTAAAATTTTTCAGAATTGGCTGTGGAGCACGTAACTCACTCTTCATACCATGTGGGGATGGTAGGCATTCTAGAATGTCTTCCTTCTATCCCTCAGCTCCTCTCTCTCTCCCCCTTCTTCTCAATCCCATCATCTTCCCCTCACAGAACTCTCACTATGTATCACTTCCTGGTGTCCCTGTTCCCTTCCTCAAGACATACCATCCTTACCTCTCCACAATACAATGTAGATTTCAGCCCTAAGTCATCCAGAATCTTGCAACCTGTCGTCACCTGAGACTTCGTATGCCTGTCACTAGGGGATCTGCTCTGGCTTCCGCTCAGTGTCCTCCACGAGGAAACTCTGGTCCCTTTCAAAGGGGGAGGAAGGAAATGGTGGTGCTTCGATTTCAGCTCAGTCTCTTTCCACGAAAGTTTCTTCACAAGAAGGCAAACACAACTTATTAATGAAAGAATGTCTCTTTTCTTCCTACTAGCTGGTCTGGTCTATGTGAAGAACATAGATCTTTATCATCTCGATTGTGACCTGACTTCTTATGAAATAATCACCCTGGTGTAATGGTCCTAAAATACTAGACTTCTTTCCTGACCTGGATTTTTCAAATTAATGGTGTTTTATCATAATCTTTTTATTGTAAGGACTAGCTTAATTGCCTTGTGACCAGAGAACATGGTTTGTTTGAAACAGCAACCCTCATATATTCTGTTGGGAGTGTAAAATGGTGCAGCCACTACATAAAACAGTTTGGCGGTTCCTCAAAAAGTTACACATGGTATTACCATATGGCCCAGCAATTCCATCCCAAAGTATATACTCGAAGAATTGAAATCAGGTATTTAAATGAAAACTTGTACCTAAATGTTTACAGTAATGCCATTCACAATAGCCAGATGGTGGAATCAATTAAAATGTTCACCAACTTATGAATAAATAAATAGAATGTGGTATATTGACATAACAGAATATTGTTGAGACATAAAAAGGAATAAGGTACTGATACTTGCTACAACATGAATAAAAACATTATGCTAAGTGAAAGAAGCCAGACACAAAATATCACATAATGTATGATTCCATTTATATGAAATATCCAGAAAAGACAGTCCACAGAAATAAAAAGCAAATTGATGGTTGCCAGGGGCTAGAGGTAAGGGAAAATGGGGAATGGATGCTTTATGCATACAAGATTTCCTTTTGGGGTGATGAAACTGTTTGGAACTAGACACAGGTAATGTTACACAATATTGTGAATGTACTAAATGCTACTGAATTGTACATTTTAAATTGGTTAATTTTATATCATGTGAATTTTACCTCAATTTTAAAAAATTACTTTTAAGTGGACATTTTTGTAAAAGCTGTTTCATATTCTCCACATACTCAACAATAGTTATTTTTCCTTTTTTTTTAAAAAAAAATTACATGCATCCTAGTGGGTGAAAAGTAGCATTTCACTGTGGTTTTGATTGGCATTTCCCCAATGACTGATGACACTGAACATGTTTTCATGTGCTTGTTAGCCATTTGTATATCTTCTTTGGAGAAATCCCCATTGAAAGCTTTTGCCCATTTTAAAATTCGGTTACCTTTTTGGTTTTGAGTTATAAGAGTTCTTTACATATTCTGCATATTAGATCCTTATTAGATATATGATTTGCAAATATTTCCTTCCATCCTGTACGCTGTATTTTCACTATCTTGATAGTGTCATTGAATCACAAATATTTTAATTGTATTGAAGCCTAGAGGTGGTGGCTCATGCCCATAATCCCAACACTTTAGGAGTACAAGGCAGGAAGATCACTTGAGACAATTAGCTTAGGAAACATTGCAAAACCCTGTCTCTATAAAACATACAAAAATTATCTGTGTGTAGTGGCATGCACCTATCATCCCAGCTACTTGGGAGGCTTAGGTGGGCGGATTGCTTGGGCCCAGGAGGTCAAGGCTGCAGTGGGCCATGATCATGCCACTGCACTCCAGCCTACGCAACAGAGCAAGACTCTGTCTCAAATAAATAAATAAATAATTGTAATGAAATTCAATTTACCTATTTTGTTTTTACTTCTGCTTTTGTTGTCATATCTAAAAAATCTATTACCAAATCTAAAGTCATGAAGATTTACTCCTATATTTTCTTCTAAGAGTTCTATAGCTTTAACTCTTACATTTAGATTTTTAATCCATTTTGATGTATTTTGTATATGGTGTGAAACAGAGGTCCAACTTCATTCTTATGAATGTTGATATTCAGTTGTCTCAACACTATCTGTCAAAAAGACTATTCCTCAAGACAATTCCTTTCCTCATTGATTTTTACTCCCTTGTCAAGAACCAATTGATTATAGATGTGAAGGTTTGTTTCTGGACTCTCAAATTTATTTCACTTATTTATATGTATATCCTCTGTCAGTATCATACTTTATTACTGTTACTTTATGGTAAGGTTTGAAATTGGAAAACATGAGTACTCCAACTTTATTCTTTTTCAAGATTGTTTTGGCTTTTCTGGGTCTAAAATTCTGTATCAATTTTAGAATCAGCTTCTCAATTTCTACAAAGAATCCAGCTGGAATTTGGCCTAGAGAATGTGTAGAATATTTAGATCAATGTGAAGCATGTTGCTATTTAATAATATTAAGCCTTCTTAGTGATAAACATAGGATGTCTTTCCATTCATTTAAATCTTTTTAAATTTATTTCAACAACATTTTGTAGTTCTCAGTATTCAATTAGTTCACCTCCTTAGTTAAATTTATTCCTAAGTATTTCATTTTTGACACAATTGTAAATAAAATTGATTTCTTAATTTTCTTTTCTGAGACATTGATATTGTGTAAAAATACAATTGTTTCTTAAGTGCTGCTCCTGTATCTGTAGCTTTGCTAAATTCATTTATTACCTCTAATAGTTTTTTGTGGGTTCTTTGGGATTTTCTATATATAGAATTATGTCATCTGCAAATAAAGATAATTTTATTTCTTCCTCTTCCAATTTGTCTGTCTTTTATTTATTTATTTATTTATTTTGCCTAATTGTTCTGGATAAAATTTCTGGTACGATGTTGAACAAAAGTTTTGAAAATGGGCATTCTTCAGAAGACACCTCATACAGGAAAGCCCTGGCTGGCATCTGGCAGGTGCCCCTCTGGGACAAAGCTTCCAGAGGAAAGAACAGGCAGCGATCTTTGCTGTTCTGCAGCCTCCGCTGGTGATACCCAGGCAAACAGGGTCTGAAGTGGACCTACAGCAAACTCCAGCAGATCTGCAGCAGAGGGGCCTGTTAGAAGGAAAACTAACAAACAGAAATGAAGAGCACCTCCACTTAGAGACCCCATCTGAAGGACACCAACATTAAAGACAAAAGGTAGATAAATCCAAAAAGATGGGAAGAAACCAAAGCAGAAAGGCTGCAAATTCTAAAAACCAGAATGCCTCTTCTCCTCCAAAGGATCACAACTCCTCACCAGCAGGGGAACAAAACTGGATGGAGAGTGAGTGATGAATTGTCAGAAGTAAGCTTCAGAAGGTGGGTAATAACAAGCTCCTCTGAGCTAAAGGAGCATGTTCTAATCCAATGCAAGGGAGCTAAGAACCTTGAAAACAGGTTAGATGAATTGCTAACTAGAATAACTAGTTTAGAGAAGAACATAAATGACCTGATGGAGCTGAAAAACTCACCATGAGAACTTTGTGAAGCATACACAAGTATCAATAGCTGAATTGATCAGGCAGAAGAAAGGATATCAGAGGTTGAAGATCACCTTAATGAAATTAAGTGTGAAGACAAGATCAGAGAAGAAAGAATGAAAAGCAACGAAGTCTCTAAGACTAACATAGTCTCTAAGAAATATGAGAATATGTGAAAAGACCAAACCTGCGTTAGATTGGTGTACCTGAAAGTGATGGGGAGAATGGAACCACATTGGAAAACACTCTTCAGGAGATTATCCAGGAGAACTTCCCCAACCTAGCAAGACAGGCCAACATTCAAATTCAGGAAATACAGAGAACACCTCAAAGATACTCCTCGAGAAGAACAACCCCAAGACACATAATCGTCAGATTCACCAAGGTTGAAATGAGGAAAAAATGTTAAGGGCAGCCAGAGAGAAAGGTCGGGTTACTCACAAAGGGAAGCCCATCAGACTAACAGTGGATCTCTCTCCAGAAACCTGACAAGCCAGAAGAGACTGGGGGGCAATATTCAACGTTCTTAAAGAGAAGAATTTTCAACCCAGAATTTCACATCCTGCCAAACTAAGCTTCATAAGTAAAGCAGAAATAAAATCCTTTACAGACATGCAAATGCTGAGCGATTTTGTCACCTCTAGGCCTGCCTTACAACAGCTCCTGAAGGAAGCACTACACATGGAAAGGAACAATCGGTACCAGCCACTGCAAAAACATACCAAATTGTAAAGGCCATCGACAGTATGAAGAAACTGCATCAACTAACGGGCAAAATAACCCGCTAGCATCATAATGACAGGATCAAATTCACATATTACAATATTAACCTTAAATGTAAATGGACTAAATGCCCCAATTAAAAGACACAAACTGGCAAATTGGATAAAGAGTCAAGACCCATCAGTGTGCTGTATTCAGGAGACCCATCTCACGTGCAAAACACACACAGGCTCAAAATAAAGGGATAGAGGAACATTTACCAAACAAATGGAAAACAAAAAAAAGCAGGGGTTGCAACCCTAGTCTCTGATAAAACAGACTTTAAACCAACAAAGATCAAAAGAGACAAAGAAAAGCATTACATAATGGTAAAGGGATCAGTGCAACAAGAAGAGCTAACTATATTTAGGATGCATCCAATACAGGAGCACCTGGATTCATAAAGCAAGTTCTTAGAGACCTACAAAGAGACTTGGACTCACACACAGTAATAGTGGGAGACTTTAACACCCAACTGTCAATATTAGACAGATCAACAAGACAGAAAATTAACAAGGATATTCAGGACTTGAACTCAGCTCTAGACCAAGTGGACCTAATAGACATCTACAGAACTCTCCACCCCAAATTAACAGAATATACATTCTTCTCAGCACCACATCTCACTTATTCTAAAATTGACCACATAATTGGAAGTAAAACCCTCTTCAGCAAATGCAGAAGAATGGAAATCATAACAGTCTATCAGACCACAGAGCAATCAAATTAGAAATCAGGATTAAGAAACTCACTCAAAACCGCACAACTACATGGAAATTGAACAACCTGCTCCTGAATGACTACTGGGTAAATAACGAAATGAAGGCAGAAATAAAGATGCTCTATGAAACCAATGAGAACAAAGACACAATGTACCAGAATCTCTGGGACACATTTAAAGCAGCGTATAGAGGGAAATTTATAGCACTAAATGCCCACAAGAGAAAGCAGGAAAGATCTAAAATCAACAAACTGACATCAAAATTAAAAGAACTAGAGAAGCAAGAGGAAACAAATTCAAAAGCTAGCAGAAGGCAAGAAATAACTAAGATCAGAGCAGGACTGAAGGAGATAGAGCCATGAAAAACCCTTCAAAAAAATCAATGAATCCAGGAGCTGGTTTTTTTTAGAAGATCAACAAAATAGATAGACTGCTAGCCAGACTAACAAAGAAGAAAAGAGAGAAGAAGAAAATAGATGCAATAAAAATAGATATAGGGGATATCACTACTGATCCCACAGAAATACAAACTAACATCAGAAAATACTATAAATACCTCTACACAAATAAACTAGAAAATCTAGAAGAAATGGATAAATTCCTGGACACATACACCCTCCCAAGACTAAACCAGGAAGAAGTCGAATCCCTGAATAGACCAATAACAAGTTCTGAAATTGAGGCAGTAATTAATAGCCTACCAACCAAAAAAGTCCAGGACCAGACAGATTCACAGCCGAATTCTACAAGAGGTACAAAGAGAAGCTGGTACCATTCCTTCTGAAACTATTCCAATCAATAGAAAAAGAGGGAATCCTCCCTAACTCATTTTTTGAGGCCAGCATCATCCTGATACCAAAACCTGGCAGAGACACAACAACAACAAAAAGAAAATTTCAGGCCAATATCCCTGATGAACATTGATGCGAAAATCCTCAATAAAATACTGGTAAACCGAATACAGCAGCACATCGAAAAGCTTATCCACCATGATCAAGTCGGCTTCATATCTGGGATGCAAGCCTGGTTCAACATACGCAAATCAATAAATGTAATCCATCACATAAACAGAACCAATGACAAAAACCACATGATTATCTCAATAGATGTAGAAAAGGCCTTTGACAAAATTCAACAGCACTTCGTGCTAAAAACTCTTAATAAACTAGGTATTGATGGAACATATATCAAAATAATAAGAGCTATTTATGACAAACCCACAGCCAATATCGTACTGAATGGGCAAAAACTGGAAGCATTCCCTTTGAAAACTGGCACAAGACAAGGATGCCCTGTCTCACCACTCCTATTCAACATAGTATTGGAAGTTCTGGCCAGGGCAATCAGGCAAGAGAAAGAAATAAAGCGTAGTCAATTAGGAAAAGAGGAAGTCAAACTGTCTCTGTTTGCAGATGACATGATTGTATATTTAGAAAACCCCATCATCTCAGCCCAAAATCTCCTTAAGCTGATAAGCAACTTCAGCAAAGTCCCAGGATACAAAATCAATGTGCAAAAATCACAAGCATTCCTATACACCAATAACAGACAAACAGAGAGCCAAGTAATGAGTGAACTCCCAGTCACAATTGCTACAAAGAGAATAAAATACCTAGGAATACAGTTTACAAGGGATGTGAAGAACCTCTTCAAGGAGAACTACAAAACACTGCTCAAGGAAATAAGAGAGGACACAAACGAATGGGAAAACATTCTATGCTCATGGATAGGAAGAATCAACATCGTGAAAATGGCCATACTGCCCAAAGTAATTTATAGATTCAATGCTGTCCCCATAAAGCTACCATTGACTTTCCTCACAGAATTGGAAAAAACTACTTTACTCTTCATATGGGACCAAAAAAGAGCCTGCATAACCACAACAATCCTAAGTAAAAAGAACAAAGCTTTAGGCAACACGCTACCTGGCTTCAAACTATACTACAAGGCTACAGTAACCAAAACAGCATGGTACTGGTACCAAAACAGATATATAGACCAATGGAACAGAATAGAGGCCTCAGAAATAACACCACACATCTACAACCATCTGGTCTTTGACAAACCTGACAAAAACAAGAAATGGGGAAAGGATCCCCTATTTAATAAATGGTGTTGGGAAAACTGGCTAGTCATATGCAGAAAACTGAAACTGGACCCCTTCCTTATACCTTATACAAAAATTAACTCAAGATGGATTAAAGACTTAAATGTAAGACCTAAAACCATAAAAATCCTAGAAGAAAACCTAGGCAATACCATTGAGGACATACGCATGGGCAAAGACTTCATGTCCAAAACACCAAAAGTAATAGCAACAAAAGCCAAAATTGACAAATGGGATCTAATTAAACTAAAGAGCTTCTGCACAGCAAAAGAAACTATCATCAGAGTAAACAGGCAACCTACAGAATGGGAGAACACTTTTGCAATCTATCCATCTGACAAAGGGCTAATATCCAGAATCTACAAAGAACTTAAATTTACAAGAAAAAAATGCACAACCCCATCAAAAAGCGGGCAAAGGATATGAACAGATACTTCTCAAAAGAAGATATCTATGCAGCCCACAGACATATGAAAAAATGCTCATCATCACTGGTCATTAGAGAAATGCAAATCAAAACCACAATGAGATACCATCTCATGCCCGTTAGAATGGTGGTCATTAAAATGTCAGGAAACAACAGATGCTGGAGAGGATGTGGAGAAATAGGAACACTTTTACACTGTTGGTGGGAGTGTAAATTAGTTCAACCATGGTGGAAGACAGTGTGGTGATTCCTCAAGGATCTGGAACTAAAAATACTATTTGACCCAGCAATCCCATTATTGGGTATATACCCAAAGGATTATAAATCATTCTGCTATAAAGGCACATGCACACATATGTTTACTGCAGCACTATTCACAATAGCAAAGATTTGGAACCAACCCAAATGTCCATCAATGATAGACTGGATAAAGAAAATGTGGCACATATACACCGTGGAATACTATGCAGCCATAAAAAAGGATGAGTTCATATCCTTTGCAGGGACATGGATGAAGCTAGGAACCATCATTCTCAGCAAACTAACACAAGAACAGAAAATCACAGAAAATCAAACACCCCATGTTCTCACTCATAAGTGGGAGTTGAGCAATGAGAACACATGGACACAGGGAGGGGAACATCACATACCGGGGCCTGTCAGAGGGTGAGGGACTAGGGGAGGGATAGCATTAGGAGAAATACCTAAAGTAGATGATGAGTTGATGGGTGCAGCAAACCACCATGGCACATGTATACCTATGAAACAAAACTGCACGTTCTGCACATGTACCCCAGAACTTAAAGTATATAAAAAATTTAATAAAATAAAATGTTGGGCTAAAAACAAACAAACAAACAAAAAACAAACCAAAAAAAGAAAATGGGCACTCTTGTCTAGTTTCTCATCTTAGGAGGAAAGCTTTCAGTCTTTCATCATTGAGAATAATGCCACTGTGAATTTTTCATAAATGTCCTTTATCAATTGAGAAAGTTCCCTTCTTTTTCTAGTTCATTGAGGGTTTTTATCATTAAAGGGTGACAGATTTTGTCAAAAGCTTTTTCTGCATCTATTGAGATAATTATATGGGTGGGGTTTTTTCCTTCATTCTATGGGTGTGATTTATTACATTGATTGGTTGTTATATGTTGAACCACTCTTGCATTTTTGGTATAAACCTCACTTAGTTATGACATAGAACCTTCTTAGAATGTTGCTGGATTTATGCAGCAGTTCTTATAGGGCAGGTCTACTAGTGATGAACTCCCTATGTTGCCCTGTTTTTCTTTATCTGATAACATCTTAATTTCTTAATGTCTTACTTACTCTCTCATTTTTAAAGAATAGTTTTTCCAGATATAGAATTTTTGGTTGACAATGTTTTTCTCTCAGCCTTTTAAATATGTTGTCCCACTGTCTTCTGGCCTCCATGGCTTCTGAAGAGAAACTAGCTGGTAATCCTACACATGAGTATCCCTTATACATAGTGAGAAACATCTCAGTTGCTGCTTTCCAGATTTGCTTTTTGTCTTTGGCTTTTAACCGTTTGGTTATAGTGTATCTCAGTGTGAATCTTTTGAGTTATCCTGCTTGGAGTTCATTGAGTATTTCGAATGTTTAAAATCTTGGTTACTAATCAAATTTGGGACATTTTTACCATCATTTTGCCAAATATTCTCTCTGTTCCATTCTCTCTCCTTTCCCTATAGGACTCTCATTGTCCACCTGTTGGCATGCTTGATGATGTCCTACAGGCCTTTTAGACTCTGCTCATTTTTTTCCCATTCTTTTTGCTTTCTTTTCCTCGGACTGGACCATTTCAATTAACCTATCACTGGTTCTTGCTTCTGACTGCTCAAATCTGCTACTGAATCCCTCTAGTGAATTTTTTATTTCAGTTATTCTACTTTTCAACCTCAGAATTTCTATTTGGTTCCTTTTTATAATTTATATCTATTATTTCTATTATTGATATTCTCTATTTGCAAAGACATAATTTTCATGGTTTCCTTTAGCTCTTTAAATATATTTAAGACAGCTGATTTAAAGGCTTTGCCTAATAAGTCATATATCTGGTCTTTCTCAAGAATGATTACTGTCACTTTTTAAAGTCCATACTTCATTGTTTGAGTGTCTCATAATTTTGTGTTGAAAGGTGGACATTTTGCACATTATAATACAGTAACTCAGGAAATTCAGTTCTCCACATCCCCATGGTTTGTTGTTGTTGCTTGTAGTGGGTTGTTGTTATCTGTCTGTTTAGTGACTTTTCTAAAACATTTTTCTACAGTCTGTATTCTTTGTTATGTGTGGTCACTGAAGTCGGTGTTCCATTAGCTTAGTGGTCAGCTAGTGTTATGACAATGATTTCCTTAAACAACTAGAGCCAAAAATAGAAGCTGAAGAAAGAAAAAGAAAAATTATTCCCCTAGTGTTTTCAGATTGGCTCTGTGTTGGGACATGCCTTCAACGCATAGCAAAGCCATTTACAACTCTGCTTTGGTCTTCACTTCCTGCTTGCATGGAACTTGAAAGTCAGCCAGAGGTGAAAGCCTGGGGTCTTCTCAGGACTTTTCTGAACATGTCTACCTTCCTAGCAATGAGTGTTGTCTTCTTGATTCCCCAGTATATGTGGGAACTTTTCAAAGTCCTTATTCCCCTCATGTATCTCCTTTTCTAACCTCTTTCTTCC
This sequence comes from Homo sapiens, assembly GCF_000001405.40. Classification (NCBI taxonomy): domain Eukaryota; kingdom Metazoa; phylum Chordata; class Mammalia; order Primates; family Hominidae; genus Homo; species Homo sapiens. The sequence goes on from NC_000009.12 coordinate 6,210,564, forward strand.
CTGGCTTTTTTGATATGTCTATTGCTTGTTCTGACTGTTATCCCTTGCCCCAGGCTGCTGCAGCCAATACTTTTACCTTTTAATGCCTTTGGCAAATGCCACCTGAGAAGCCATGCCAGCCCTGGAAACACTTTGAATCAGATGAAACAAAGGCAACTCGTCACACTAGTCCTTAAGGGAGCCCCCAGACAGGCTGAAACACACAATCACAATTATTTGAGAAAAAGGTCCATTTAGTCCCTCTGGCACTAGCAGCATGCACCTGGAATATGGGCGACCATCCTGATAACTGCCATTGATCTGGGGGATGGCAGATGAGGGATAGCAAGTAGGCAATTTAAAATGCCACAGCACTCTCTTCTGCAATGCATCAACTTCTTCTTTCTTCATTAACTTTTCCATGGCTGTCATAAGCTTTCGACTATATGCAGAGTTCTGTGAAAGTTGATTTTGACAGTTTTCGCCAGCTTATTAGTTGTTTTTGCGGAGAGATAGACCTTGAAGTTCCTTATTCTGCCATTTTTGGTGACATCAATTGAAATAATTCTACAACTGACTTGATAGATAAGAATATGTTTAATTTTGCAAATGTTCCATGTGTGCTTGAAGGGAGTATGTATTCTCTGCCTGTTGTATTGTGTTATTTATATATCCATGTGTCCCAGCTCATTGTGTCAACCAAAATTTCTATATTCTTCCTAATGCTTTTCCTGCTTGACAACGTTGCTAAGACATAACAAATTTCCCATTAGGATAATAGATATTTGTATCTCTCTCTGTAATTACTTTTATTTTCATTTTATGTAGTTAAGACTGTGTTAACAGGTGTTTGTGGGTGGGGATTTATTTCTTCCCAATGAATTTAATTTTATCATTATTCAGTAGCCTCTGTTTTGTTTTGTTTTGTTTTGTTTTGTTTTGTTTTTGAGATAGTGTTTCACTCTTGGTCTATGCCTAGGCTAGAGTGCAGTGGTATGTTTAAAGCTCATTGTAGCCTTAAACTCCTGGTCTCAAGCACTCCTCCTGCCTCAGCCTCCCAAGTAGCTGGGACTACAGGCATGTGCCACCATGCCTAGCTAATTTTTAATTTTCTTTTGTAGAGACAAAGACTATATTGTCCAGGCTGGTCTCAAATTCCTGGGCTCAAGCAATCCGCCCACCCCAGCACCCAAAACACTGGGATTACAGGAAGGAACCATCATGCCCGATATATTGGTCAGGGTTCTCTAGAGAGACAGAACTAATAGAATAGATATATAAAGGAGTTTAGTAGGTATTAACTTACAGAATCACAAGTTCCCACAATAGGCTGTCTGCAAGCTTGAGGAGCAGGAGAGCCAGTCTGGGTCTCAAAACTGAAGAACTTGGAGTCTGATGTTCGAGGGCAGGAAGCATCCAGGACAGGAGAAAGATGTAGGCTGGGAGGTTAGGCTAGTCTCTCTTTTTACATTTTTCTGCCAGCTTTATATTCGCTGGAAGCTTATTAGATTGTGCCTACCATAACTAAGGGTGGATCTGCCTTCCCCAGTCCACTGACTCAAATGTTCATCCCTTTTGGTAACACCCACACAGACACACCCAGGATTAATACTTTGCATCCTTCAATCCAATCAAGTTGACACTCAGTATTAACCATCACACCTGACCAGTAACTTCTTTGTATCTTTAGTATATGTCTCTTTAAAACAGCATTACATGGATCTTTTCTTTTCAAGTCTAAGTATCTTAGCTTCTTCGACTGGCACCTTTAGTCCATGTAATGAGATTATTGACATATTTGTGTTAAATCTATCATGCTTTGTTTTTTCTCTTGGTATTACCTTTACTATGCTTTTTTGTCTCTTCTTTCTTGATTTCTGCTGGATAGACTGCTATTTTTTTCTCATTCTGTTTTTCTCCTCTAATCATTTGGAAGTTAGTTATATGTCCAATTTCTATTATTCTGAATTTTTTCTAGAAATTTAAAAATGAATACAGAGCTCAAAATTCAGCAATATTTTTACCCTCTTCCTGAGCAATACAATATACTTGAGAACTCTCATTCCTATCATCATCTCTCCAGACATATAGGCTATTTTTGTAATGTATTTAGTTCTAGTTTGTTTTTCTTAACCTTACAAGATATTATTGTCAGTATTTACCGTTAATATGTCTTAGCATTACCTCAATATCTATCATACTTTTGATTCTTCAATTCTGCTTATATTCAGGCCTACCATTTGGGTTCACCTTCCTCCATGTGAAGTATACCCTTTAAATTTTCATTTTTTAAGGTCTGTTGGTAGCAAAACATCAATTTGAACTTTCTTCCTTTGGGAATAAAATTGTGCAACCAGATCAAGTATATGTCTATGAGTCAGCAAAATTTTAGACAGTCACCCATATACCTTGCATCTACCCTGAAAGGAGGAAGTTAATAAGGCAGATTTGGGATTTGGGAAGTAGTGGGGTTAGGGATGAAGAACTATAAAAGTCACAAAACCTGGGGTAACCATATCTCAGTGTTTTCCTATTATTCTGGTCAAATGATTAATAACATTCTTTTCATTCTCAAAAATTTATGATTCAGATAACAAATTATACGATTACTAGAATAAAGTCTGTATGACCTAACCCTTAGTCGTCCTGCCTTCTAGAGCCATGCTTTCATCTTCATTCAACTAGCTACTTGAATAGCATGGAGTAACTTGTGGCAGTCCAATATTACCATTGAGTACAACCAGAAAGGCAGATCAGGAGAGAGCTGCTGAAGCACGAAGGATGAGGGGCTAAGATTCCATGGAGAGATTAGCTAACAGTAGTTAGCTACTTTTTAATAGTTACGAGAGCATTGGCCAAGGCAGGGAATCTGTATTTTACCAAGGTAGGAGGTCACTGCCAGGAGACAGAGAAATCACTGTTGATCGGTGTTGTGGGAATGAAGAGACAAAATTGGAAATTGGAAGGGCCAGGCCCCCAGCAAGAAGAGAGGGCTGGAGAACTGAACCTACATATAATGAGTTTCCTCTTCAAAACACTTGCCGAATTACGCAGCTGCATGGGGGCAAAGGCAAAAAAAAAAAAAAAAAAAAAAAAAATCAGCCTCTTAAAAGCAGAGCTGTGGTTTTAGCAGCCTTTTTGGTTTTGTTCTTGTTTCATAAAAAGTCAAGAGTTATAGTTCATGACTGCTGGGAGAAAATTGAATAATTTTTAGAAATTGTTTCATCCAGGCCAGACACAGTGGCTCACGCCTGTAATCCCAGCACTTTGGGAGGCCAAGGGGGGCAGATCACGAGGTCAGGAGATCGAGACCATCCTGGCTAACACAGTGAAACCCCGTCTCTACTACAAAATACAAAAAATTAGCCGGGCATGGTGGCGGGCGCCTGTAGTCCCAGCTACTCAGGAGGCTGAGGCAGGAGAATAGTGTGAACCTGGGAGGCGGAGCTTGAAGTGAGCTGAGATCACGCCACTGCACTCCAGCCTGGGCGACGGAGCGAGACTCCATCTCAAAATAAATAAATAAATAAATAAATAATTGTTTTATCCAAAAAAGAGCATAAGCCAGGGGGACAAAATAGCAGAGAAAAAAAGTAAGATAGTAGAAGCAAATTCAAATATATCAATAATTACAATAGATGTTCCAGTTCAAAGACAAATTATTGTCAAACTGGGAAAAAAAACCAGTATACTACTTATATGTGACACATCTTTAATGTAAGGACACAGAAAGTTTGAAAGAAAAAAGATGAAAAGAGATACACTATGTGAATACTAACCAAAAGAATGTTTGCAAAGCTCTGCTAATGGAGAAAGCAGACAAATGGACAAAGCAGACTTTAAGGCATGAAGCATAATTAGAGATAAAAAGAGAAATTTTTGAAATAATGAAGGAGGGTTCAATATACATAATAAAGATACATTATTCATCCTTTGTAATTTCCTCAGTATTTGCAAGAATTCCCAGAGTAGAGTATGCTAATATTCCCTTGGCTGTTACTTGTCACCCCTCCCTCCTATTTATTGCACACAGCTCAATTCCTGATTCATTCTTGTCATGTTGGCATCCTGTCCGCTTGCTTCACTGCTTTATCCAAAGGGCAGACATAGCCATCTTTCTTCATTACTCACAAATGCAACACTATGGCTTGTAGCAGATGATTGCTCAGGTTTGGGGATGATTAAAGGGGATTACTGCACAGAAAATGAAACAACTTTAAACAAGATAACAGAGTTCCTTAGTTGTTTTTTCCAAAGGGGACTCCATCATAGTCACATTTTCCCAAGCCTGGTCAGCCATCTGTTGCTGTCTCATTTTCTCTTTCCCCTGGATTCCAGAACCCTAACATTCTATCCTTCAACATGCCATGAGAAAAACTAAAAAATTCCTATTTCATTTTACAGTAAACTTTTTTCTGCTGCCCCTTTGTTTCAAGGTCACCCTTCTAATCTTGTAGATTGAATGGATGTAGAGGCTTGCTAGGGTAACAGTCCATCACAATATCCTTCTAAGTACAGCAGCAGTCTTCCTTCCAATGTGTGATCTTAGGATGTGGAATCAGTCCAAGTCTTAAAAGAGCATTACTTCATCCCTTTATTTTCTGCTACAGATGCCAAACGAGATGGAGAGAGGGTGAGTAGGAGCAAAATTTCTCATGAGGTAAGAAGAACAACTTCTCATGGGATCTATAGTACAGGATTTGCTTTTGTGATAAAGTATTATCTTCTGCGAGATTTTTGAGATGAATAGAAAGAAAAGATGAACAGTGGGGAGCAGGAAAGCCCGTCAGATATGTTGGAATACAGAGTATTTCAGAGCTTTTATTTGCAGACGAGCTGCTTATTACTGATAGGCCAAAGGGGGTCGCAAATTTCTATTATAAAGGAATTTGGAAGAATACACTGATCTCTTAATGAAGTTTGTAAATTAAGAAGCCAACGGCCAAAAGTGAATATATAAATGGCAACAGAATTTCAAAATGGACAGTGCTGAAGTTGAAGTTTAGGAGTTCAACTCCAAAGAGAGCCAAAACATAAAGTTTAGGGGCAGAAGAAGAATCATAATTGCTGGTTTAAAATATTCAGATGGAGGGAGGACGCAGAAAGTAGTGAGCCTTAGATGTTGACAGAATTGTAACTCTGTTGGCTCTTTACATGAGATTTCAAGCCTGCTAAAATCTCACCCGCCCAGATCTCCCTTCTAAGGCAATTTGGGTCTCTGCCAAACTTTGGCTAATAAAAAGAGTCTACAGACTCCTCCGAACACAGAGCTGCAGCTCTTCAGGGAAGAAATCAAAACAAGATCACAAGGTAAGACTGAATATTCTGGGAGATTTTTAGTCAGATTTTGCAAAGTTAAACCTTGGGAACCATGGAGAACTGTGTTTTTTTTTTTTTCCTGAAAAATAAATGATAAGGCCAATTTGTTATTATTGCTAATAGCAGTAAAAGTCAATGACAATAGCTGTTACTAACTTATAATTCCATTTGCTTTCCTTTGGGTGATTTGTAAAATTAATAAATTGCTGAAAGAGATTGTAATAGTTTTTATAGTAAATTCTGCCCCCTCCATGAAACTTTATTTTATTTTATTTTATGTTTTTTAAGAGATGGGATCTTGCTCTGTAGCGCAGGCTGGAGCACAGTGGCGTGATCCTAGCTCACTGCAGCCTCCAATTCCTGGGCTCAAGCAATCATCCCATCTCAGCTTCCCAAGCAGCTGGAACTACAGGCACACGCCACTATGCCTGGGTAATTTTTTTAGTTTATGTAGAGATAGGGTCTTTGCTTTGTTGCCAGGCTGGAAACTTTATAAAGCAAGTTGATAATTCTACTTCTAACTCCTAATGCTTACTCAAGACAAACATGCTTGCAATTGTTTACAAGTGGTTTTCAGTAAAAGGGGGACATCACTAAGTGTGGTGGTTCAAGCCTGTAATCCCAACACTTTGGGAGGCCGAGGTGGGTGAATCGCCTGAGGTCAGGAGTTTGCAGCCAGCCTGGCCAAGAGGATGAAACCCTGTCTCTACTAAAAATACAAAAACAAACAAACAAAACTAGCTGGGTGTGGTGGTGGGCACCTGTAATCCCAGCTACTCGGGAGGCTAAGGCAGGAGAATCGCTTGAACCCAGGAGGTGGAGGTTGCAGTGAGGCAAGATCATGCCATTACACTCCAGCCTGGGTAACAAGAGCTAAATGTCATCTCCAAAAAAAATGATGGAAACTTTGAATAAAAAATAGCTTCACAAAGAGGATTAGAGATGCACTAAATGAAGTAGTTTGGAATTGTTCTTTAGTTCTTTTTTCTTAATGGGACCTGACCCTGGACTTTAATCTCTGATCTGCACAGACAAAACCAATTCACTGAAACCATGGCATGGCAGTGAAGAGTTTAATTGACACAGGGCCAGCCAGCCATGCCACAGAGGATTCAAAGTTATTATTCAAATCTCCCCAAAAATTTGGAGGCTAGGGTTTTTCAAGGTTAGTTTGATGGGCAAAGGGCTTAGGGGAATAGGTGCTGCTGATTGGTTGGGAATAAAATCACAGGCATGTGAAAAATGGTCCTCGTGTATGCACTGAGTCTATTTCTGGGTGGGAGCCACAGAGTAGTCACTGGTCATCAGAAATGCAAAAGCCTGAACAGACATCTCTGAAGGTCAATCTTAGCTTATACAATAGTGATGTTATTTACAGTAGTCACTGGGGAAGTTGCAAATCTTGTGACCTCCAGAATCATGGCTAGTAATCATTTTACTATGCCTACATCTTAGCAGAATTCAGGACCCTCTCAAACTCCTAACTTGGTGGTCTTTCATTATTTTTACCAAGGTGGTTTACTTTTGGTGAAGGGTTATTATCATTTAAACCATACCCTAAATTTCTCCCAAAGTTAGCTTGGCCCAAGCCCAGGAATGACCAAAGGCAATATGGAAGTTAAAAGCATGATGGGGGTTGGTTATGTCAGATCTCCTTCACTGTCATAATTTTCTCACTGTTATTTCTCACTGTCAGTTTCAAATACAAGAATTGAGAGGTACCACCCCCTCAAAAATAAACTTTTGTGGAAAAACAAGGAATTGATACCCTAAGTGGAGAAATTCAAAAGCTCATCAGTTTTGCTACTATTCTTCATTTACAGACTTTCCTTTGAAGATTGTTTTCTTTTCTTTATTCCTTGCTTTCTGCCTCCTCACAATTTTCTCTGCCTTTTCTTTCCACACATGAATATATGCCTCCAGACTATTTTAATTAAGAAAATAGCACAAATCCAAAAGTATGTCCTGTGGCTGCATACAAGTCAGAGACTTGAGAGTGAAGTGTCTAGGGCAAAGACCCGTATTTCCTCCTCTGCACTGTGCTTCTCCCGCTGAAGCATCCTTCTGTGCCACACTGGGGTCCTATACTGTTTCCAACAGTCTTACTTATTGCTTCTCAAATTTGTCTTTTGAATACTTAATGCTCCTCTTTTGATTTCCACCCAGAAAATGTACCTCTCTGAGTTCAGAAAACTTCAGAATCCTCTATTTCCCAAAGTTTAGGGTGATTGAACTGAATCACACAGCTCGGTATTGTCTGAAACAGTTAAGAACTTCTAGCACAAGCATCGCACTTTCCTCAGCTCATATTTCACATTTTCTCCATTCTTCTCTGAAAGGATCCTGGACCTTCTACCAATCTTTGATTGGTTACTTCATAATTGATTTCTTAAGTAACCTAGATGTTTATCTCTTTCACATCATTGTTTAGCTTACAGTATCTACAGCCAGAAAGCACCTCTTTCCCTTTCCCATTTATAGAGAGAAAAGAATCCTGAGGCAAACTTTCACTTAGGGATTGAAATAGCCAGAACTGAAAACAATGGAAGAGATTGAGAAACAGGAAATGTCACTCTTGGCCAGGGTTTCCCAGTGATTAAGGAAATAGAGCTTACAACTAACTTCGGGGAAATAGGCATGAAATTCAATTGTGAAAAGTTAAGCTCCATCAGGGAATTAAATCATTACAGGGAAATACTGAAGAAGGGTCAGCATTGAGATAATATATATATGCATATATATATATACACATATATATTCTCCCTATATATATATTTTTTCTCCCTATACATATGTCCCCATATATATATCCCCATATATATATGTTCTCCATATATATATATGTTCTCCATATATATATATGTTCTCCATATATATATATGTTCTCCATATATATATATGTTCTCCATATATATATATGTTCTCCATATATATATATGTTCTCCATATATATATATGTTCTCCATATATATATGTTCTCCATATATATATATGTTCTCCATATATATATATGTTCTCCATATATATATATGTTCTCCATATATATATATATATATATATATATATATATATATATATATATGTCTACATCAGAAAATTTATATGTCAGTAAATCTGATACCATAAGGGTTTTTCTGGAGATGTCAGTCAGACTGTGCCAAAATCAATGTATCTTTCATTCAAGTTGAAATTTTGGCAAACATGGTGGAAATCAAGAGGTTCATTGGAATTCACCTTCTTTGTATCTCAGTTTGTAGCAGGAACATTTAGAAACATTAAGACCAAATATAAACTCCTGAAACAGCAGAAAGAAAGGGACCTTAATTCTATCAACAACAAAATGATTGGGTTGGGTTCAAGAACTTCAGGAAATCATGGTAGAACGTCTAATCTCTTCGGTTTCCTGTAGATTCTCTGGTGCTGATGTCTGCAAGCAAAAGTAACTTTTAAGGGGACACAACCTTAGTGGGCCTCAAAAAGTTCAGGCAAAGTTCAGTATGCAGGGAGTGGTAAGGGGGAGTGAGGAATTGGGGGCGCTTCCTCCCTATAGCGGACTCCTGGCACATGCTGCTCATGTTATTATCGGTAGATTACAGTATACCTACGAAGGTATTTATTTTTGTTTTGTATTTTTTAAGTGAAGAGTGCAGTATAGCATAATAGTAAAGACACAAATTTTTAGAGGCAGTCAGGCCTCCAGTCCATCATCCATCATTGACCAGCTGTGTAATTTTGGATCTTACTTAACTTTCCTGAGCCTGAATTTTTTTCTCTTGTGTAAAATGTGAAACAAACAAGCAACAAAATCCCACTCAAGACAGGTGTTGTGATGGGTAAAACAAGTTAGAAGCAGTCATCAAAGGTAATTTATTAATCACTGACCATTTACTAAAAGTGAGACATTTATCTTCCACATTATCCCTCACAGCACCTCTGTGAGGTAAATATTATCTCCATTTATGAAATTGAGACAGTGGGATTTGAAAAGATTTTAATACTAACCCAAAATCATAAAGTCAGTAAATTTCAGATCAGAGATTAAAGTCCAGGGTCAGGTCCCATTAAGAAAAAAGAACTAAAGAACAATTCCAAACTACTTCATTTAGTGCATCTCTAATCCTCTTTGTGAAGCTATTTTCTTATTCAAAGTTTCCATCATTTTCAAATATGAAAATATTGATGAAGTGACATTAAAACCTTCTGTCTATTTCCTTCAGGGCTACATTCACCTTTTGCCCTAGGGAAAGAGTTCCTGCCAGCCATTGTTCTCTTCTGTAACTTTTTTTTGCCATTCCCATTGCTATTTCCAGAACTAAGAAGTTCACCCACAAACTTGGCTGAGCGCTTTACTTTTAATCAGCACCCAGTTTACATCTAATTCCCCTCCACTTTGAACATTCCATAAATTAAATGATTGTCATAATTTTCCCTAGCCATATTAGTGCATCTGAGACCTTTTGCAATGGTAAGAATGTTTTGCTCATTATTTCCGACATAGTTCCTAGCAAAGATTCAATATTTCCTTAGAGTTTAACAGAACTTCATAGTTTTGTGTGTCTGCTGTGCTCAAATCTCAGCCACTCTAACTTCTTAGCCTGCTGGCTTATTACTGGCAATTGTTTAAGAAATGCTATTTAAGCTGTTTGTAATTTCTTTTTAGGGGACTATATGCTTTTCTCCACTTGTTCTTTTCTTTGGAGAATTATTAGACCCAAACATGAACTTCCTCAAATCTGAATTTATTAGTTCCAAAGTTTTTCCTCCCTAAATTTTATTTTTCCATTATCTCTTATACATATATATTATTTGTCCACATTCTTTAGCAATCCTGTTTAACAATACTTGATCAGTAGTCAGCATAACTGCTTCATATTTGTAAATTATTGTTATTGTTATTATTATTATTATTTATTTTTGAGACAGAGTCTGTCACCCAAGCTGGAGAGCAGTAGCTCGATCACAACTCACTGCAGCCTTGACATCCGGGGCTCAGGCTATCCTCCCACCTCAGCCTCCTAAGTAGCTGAGACCACAGCCATGTGCTGCCTCACCTGGCTAATTTTTTTACATTTTGTAGAAATGAGGTCTCACTATGTTGCCCAGGATGATCTCAAACTCCTGGGCTTAAGTAATCCTCCTGCCTCAGCCTCTCAAAGTGCTGGGATTACAGGTGTGAGCCACTGTACCTGACCCATAATTGTTAAGTTTCCTTTAGTAATATTTCATTCTAAACTTTTGAACAAGTTTCAGGCACAGAAATAAGTACCAATATTCATTCTGATGTAATTTGGTGACTATCTCCAGCTTCCTGTTTTTTCCCCCATAAGAAAAAAGGTCCATATTACCTGCACGTATGGTGGCATTATTTTTTCTTCACTGACTTATTCAAGAGCCATATGGTTTGTGGAAACTTAATCACAATTGTCAGTATGTGGTGGTCATTTAATATAAAAAATTAGATGCTATTAACTCAAAGGAGTATAAGCTGTTTTACAAAAAATGTTTGGAGGATACCGTGCCTAGGACCTGACAGGTAATGCTTACATCTGGCTGTCCAATTATTACTACTTTCCATTATGTCAAGTGGAAGAATTTCTGCTCAGTGCTATAAGGCCCATGAAAGCAGATTCAACATTTAGAAGCATTAAGGTCATTTGCACTGTGATGTGACAGAAAAAAATATTTTTAAGTCTTTATATTTCTTAATTCATAAAAGTATAAAACTTAGAAGTCTATTATTTTGTCAGCATCCAATTTTTTTCTAGGCATTTATGGCAAAAGCTGGTAAAAGAGCATCTGGGTTTAGACCCGTTGGTTCTCCTTACTATCTAGGTGGAACCATGCAGCAACTAGTAACCTCTAGAATGGCAGTTCGCTGTACATATTTTATGAAAAGTGTCTTGGCAAAGGAAAGGCTACCAATTATATTTATTTCTCTGTGCATCAGTGGGTACACTCAAGAAGAAGTCATATCTGTCCAGAGTGGGAAAATAATTTAGCCTTATCTTTGGGGAGAAGAGAGGTGTTTAACAGAGTCTTTTCATTTTAGTAGCTTTCACACTAAGCCCAGCTACCAGGTAAGTAAGGCTGAGCCAACTAAGAATTCCACAGAGAAATAATGAAGTCAGCAATTTGGGGAATAGCTGGAGTAGCCCACAAAGGAGGCAAAGTGAAAAGCTTGTCATACCATGGTGGTCAAGCTTCCAGACCTTTGAGTTGCATTTTTAGATCACCGCACAAGGCAGTTCTGTTAAAACTTTATGGAAATGAAATATCCAGGGTGCAGATTGTGGCTTATTTTATTCAGATAAATGACCAGGAAGTTTCATATCTATGAGAAGAAAGCCTCTGTACTCTTCAGTTTTAAATGGCTTGTAATAATCAAATTTAATTTCATCTAACAATGTTGTGTGTTAGCAGGCAGCCATTTGGTTGTACAATAAAATCTCATGCTTTCTACCCAGGTGATATTCAAAATATTTAATAGCTGGCATGGCATTAGCAAAGAGAAATAAGAAAGGAACCAGCCTTGCAGCATACCAGCTAAATACCAGCATTGAGAGGGACTCTCATTTTGGCTTTTGACTATGCCAGCTAAGTTGAATGGTGTGGCAGTGAAAGTGTTGTGGAATATATTACATGCTTTACAAAACTTTTCATAACCTGTTCTATAATATCAGTTATTTCTGTCGCTATTCAATAAGCATATCTCAAACATGAGAAAAAAAGCCTGCAAAAGTTATGCTTTCTGTAACTTTAGTCTTGGCACAAGGAAAAACTTTCACATATTTTTTGTTTTAGTCAAATTGTCACAATTTAGCACATGGAATCCCCTTTATACTAGCCAACTTGTTCTTTTAAAATATAACCACAGAATTTTAAATAATGCATTCCTGCTTTCAGGCAGCAATTTCTTTTTAATTTTGAAAGTGTTGATGTTGTATTAACTGATTTTTTTTTTACTTGGTAGCTACATTTGTTCCTGGAGAATAGGGAACAGTTGACTTTATGAGTAGAATGTTAACTGAAGATTGATTTTCTTTCTTTCAAGCTTTTTAATTCAGAAATATATCATACACATAAACTAATATGTGGAACGCATATGTAAGTGTAAGTTCTGGAGAAAAATAATAAAACAAATACCTGTGTATTTATCATCCAGTTTAAAAAATAGAATATTCCTTATACCTTTGAAGGCTCCTCTGTGTCACTACCTAATTGCATCTCCTTTGGTTTCCCCCAGAGGTAACAACCAAGAATTTGTGTTTATTTTTCCTTCCTTTACTTTAGAATTTTATGAAGTTTGATTTTCAAAGTCTTGGCAATTCATTTCATTTTGTCACTATTTGTCCCACAATGACTTAAGGCATGATTTACATGTATATGATATTCATAATCATTTTATAGACAAATTTATAAACACAAAAATTTTTTGTAAATGAACGTAACTGATGTTTTACTGTTTTGCAAAAATAGAATAGTAATAACAGTACTATTACTGGTAATCTGCACTTTTTTTTTTAAAAGAGTACCTCAAAGAGTTACTTATAAGTTTTTAAAATCTTGTTCTGATACAAAAGATTTTCAGTTTATTTTTTCTATTTTTTGATATATCATGTTTTTCTATCATATATAATATTATTTTCTTGATTTTTAGCACAGGAATTTACATATCCATGTTATACTAAAATTTTCTTTAAAACATAACATTATTTAAACATTAAAATGTTTTAAACAATTCAACCATAAAGATATTATTAAGGCAATGTCCAGAATACATTAGTTGTTTGCCATTTCTTTAAAGGATTTAGAAAAAGTCAATGCAGATTATACTTACATGAAAAATAAAGATAATTTATATCACTTGATATACTTTTAGCTGCAACTGGGGAACACAGAACTGAACAAGGCTTAAAACTTAAGGACACTTTTTGCTCGCTTAATCAGAAGTTTCGTCGGGCAGTTTCAGAGTTGGTGTCAAAAATCAAGGATATCATCAAGGACTCAGGGTCTTCCCACCCTTCTACTCTACCATCCTCAGAGCATCTATGATCTCTCTTCATGGGAAAAAATGGTTAACCCAGCTCTGAGCATCAGATACTCAGAGGAGCCAAAGGAGTAGAAGCCAAGAAGCGCTTACTCCTCACATGCCCCTTATTTCAAGGAGAAAAATGTTCCCAGAAGTCCTAGGCCAACCCCTTCTCTTGGTCCTAAATTTTAGAGACTAAAGTCCTTCTTTCCCTATTTATATAAGCACTTAATTCATCCTTTCAGAAACTCCTCTTGTTATTCCTTGCTATTTCCTAAAGCTGCCTTCAGATGAAGGCTCCCAGAACCAATTCCAGTAGCATCTAGTGGCATATCTATGTAGTGGGAATAGAACTTAGGCACACTTTCACTGGCTCTAACTATATAACTGTAAAATCTGGAATTAATATCTTATTAATGTTTTATGTGTTTGAGAAATGTGCCATACCCAAATTAGCCTGCTTTTCTACAAAGGAACTAATTTAAAGATATATATTGCATCCTGTTTTGAAGATGGGTATCAAAATCCAAAGCTTTGCCATCTGAAAATCTCATGCTTCTCTTTCAAAACAAACAGCAAATCAGCTGATAGGATTTAGAGTACTGCCCAAAGAACTATTCTTGTTAGCATTTGTAATTAAGTCATGCAAACCACTTTAGGCTTTAGAATCTGGGTACTATTCCCAGAATCAAAAGTGACTTAATAGGCAAGTTCTCACCCTTGGTTAAGCAATCTGTTTGATTGTATTGTTGCCAATTTCAAATGCTCTCCTACTTTTTGGCATGTATTTGTGGTGAATTATGAATAGAAATAATTTTTCATGCATACATGCACATACATGCAATAGTATCTTTTCATGAACAAACAGGGTGATACATTTTGATATATCGGCATTACCTACCCTTGCAAACTGTTTTCCTTTGTGGATCTAAGGTATGAACTTTTCAGAAAACAATCCAAGCCAGGTCCAAAGCAGTGAACTCAGGCAGAATAGATTTTTTTTTTTTACAGTTTTGTGAATTTATTTGATCTACTGACTCAGGTATATATAATACATGCTGTGGCTTGGCACCTGCCTTTCCCCTGTGTATTTCTCAGCAAAGCCTTTGTATATGCTGAGATTTGCACCCACCTCTTGTCACCCTCACCACCTTCTACAGAATGCTGTGCCAGAACTGATTTCCATGACTGAGATTTAATCACATTTTCTAAAACTTTCTCACACTACCCTCACACTGTGTTATAAGCTAGAAGGAAACAAATCAAGACTGCATCCTCTTACCCCCATCCAAAAAATGTGAGCAGTTTCATTGGTTCCTGGTGATGGGATATTGCCCTGTGTAACAATTATTCAAACAATTATTAAATTCTATACATGAAACATAAGGAATCACCAAAAAGTTCCATGATAAACTGAAACTCTACTTTTCTTCACATTTTATTTTTCTTTGTTGTTGCTGAATAAAGAAATGGCAGCAGGATAGAGGGAAGAGCAGTCACAACTATTGCTCTGTGAGTTGAGAGACCTGAGTTCTGGTCCTGGCTCCACCACATACCCATTTACTAGCTGTGTGACCTTGGGGAAGACCCTCCGCCGGCTCTGAGTGGCACTTTCCTCATCTGTAAAATAAGGAGTTTTAGGCCACCTCTGCAGTTTTTAATAATGCTCAGTTGACTGCAAGAAGCATCTTGGTTCTGCAAATATCAAATGTTTATTTCACAAGTTCTAGGGCTACTCTAAGACTGTAAACTTCCATCCATATTGGACGGGTGATTTTTTTCCTCCTCCAAATAGTTTTATTGTCCTCAATGACTGACATTACAATCTTCTCTTTTCTCTTTCCTTTTGAAACAAGGTCTCACTCTGTCACCCAGGGGCTAGAGTGCAGTGATGTGATCACAGCTAACTATAGCCTGGACCTCCCTAGCTCAAGCGACCCTCCTACCTCATCCACCTGAGTAACTGGGACCATAGGCACATACCACCATGCACAGCTAATTTTTCTTTTTTACGTTTTGTAGAGATGAAGGCTCATTATGATGCCCTGGCTGATCTCACTTTTTTTCTTTAATATTCTGCAATTTCATAACTAATATATGAAGATGTGGATTTTTCTTCTCTCTCTCTCTTTTTAGAGACAAGCTCTTGCTCTGTAACCCAGGCTAGAGTGCAGTGACATAATCCTAACTCACTGCGGCCTCAAACTCCTGGGCTCAAGCAATCCTCCCACCTCAGCCTCCCCACCAGCTGGGACTACAGGTGTGTGCCACCACACCCAGCTAATTTTTTTAATTATTTTTTTTTAAGAGATGGGGCCTCGCTATGTTGCCCAGGCTAGTCTTAAAACTCCTGGTCTCAAGAGATCATCCCACCTCAGCTTCCAAAAGTGCTGGGACTATAAGGCTTGAGCCACCACCCCCAGCCCTTTCTTTCTTTCTATCTGCTTGAAATTCATTGAAACTCTTGGATCTAAGGATTAGGATCTTTCAACAATTCTGGAATGTTGTCAGCCATTATTTCTTTAAATGTTGTTCCATCTCTGTTCTAGCATCTCCTTCTACCATTCCAAATAGTTATAAAACAGTCTCATTTTTCTTCCAAGTCTTTTACCCTCTTTTCATATTTTCCACCTCCAAGTATCTCTGGATTGTATTCTAAGGAATACTTCAGATATGTTCTCTAGGTCACTGACTCTTTTCACTTGTGTTTAATCTTCTGTTTAATTGAACCATTGAGTTTTAATTTCAGTAATATATCTTTTATGTCTAGATATTCTATTTGGATCTTTTTCAAATATACATGTTCACTGTTCATATTTTCAATCTTTTAGAATACTATCTAACAATATTAAAATCAGTTATTTCTGCTTGTTCTAATACACAAAGGCTTTGTGGCTTTCTGCTACCTGTTCCTTTTGTGGGTTCTCACCATGGTGTCTGGTATTCTCGTTTGCTTTGCAAATTTTGACTGCAGACTACTCATTTGTCCTGAAGACTTTTCTGTGGGAATGTTTGGTGGTTTGTGTAGCAGCTGAGTTCTTCAAGATAAGACTTGTATTTGCCTTGGGGCACTGCCAACCTAAAACTACTTTATACTTAATTTTCTATTTCAGGCTTTTGGAAGCACACAAGTAGTTTGATTTCAGACTACAAAGCCATGTAGGGGCTGACTTGTCCTGAGAAGGTAAATTCTTAGAGATATGTGTTTCCTTCCAGCAAGGGCTGGAGTTGAGACAGACAAGGTTTCTGGGTATTCCCTTCTGCCGAGTTTATTTATCTTGATCACCCTTCTATTGTGAATGTAGCCCTTTGAGAGTCCAGGTTTATGCAGCAGTTTACTGTTAGACTCTCCATCTTAGACATATCCTAAGCTTTATCTCCTGGTCCTGATTCTTTATGTAATTCTTCCTCTTTGTCTCTAGGATATAGTAGACAACTTTAGAAAAAAGCCAAGTTTGCTAGCCTCCCATTCATGCCCCCTCAATGTTGTTTGAAAAGATATTTAAAAATACATCTTGCAGCATTTTGGTTGTTTTTATCAGGAGGGCTGTTCATGGTAACTAACCCATTATTATGCTGGAAACAGCATATTTCATTAAATAACTTTATAATGAGTAAATATAAATGTAAACTTATGAAGCATATTTATATTAATAAGTTAATGATTTTGTCTTCTGTTATCTATTAGGCTTCCATGCAATATTCTTTTTTCAGAAAAGGATTCTACTCTTTACAAAGTTTTGAAAACTTCTTCCAACCATTAAGTGTAATGCTTTCTCCTTATAATGCTACTAAATCTTCTCTAGCTTGACTACCACTGATGGTATATGAACTGAGCCTCAGTCTATCACCCTCCTTACAAGGTCAAATAATTCAGGTGGAATGGGCCTAATGACATATTTTCAAACTTTTAATTTTGTTTTCTTACCAGTAAAACCTCTTCTACCTAGAAAACTTTCTAGGTAGGGGTTTTCTGCTCTGGATGCAGGGGCTAGGGAGGAAGATCTGGAATGCAACGGATTTGGATTCCTCCACCCCTTTCCTGAAGTACCTCATGAACTCTGAAAATGTTCGCTTAGGGTTTCAGCTATGAGGCCTTGGGCATTTACTTGATCCCTCTGTACCTCAGTTTCCTCATATATAAAAGAGGGATAATAATAATGCTACCCTAACAAGATTGCTGTAATAATTGAATAAGTTAAATATGTGAAGCACTTAGTACAGTTCTTGGCACATAGTAAACACTATATAAGGGCTAATTGTAAAAAATACAGGAGAGCTAGGCATGGTGGCTCATACCTCTAATCCAAGCACTTTGGGTGACCAAGGCAGGAGGATCACTTGAGGCCAGGAGTTCAAGGTTGCAATCAGCTGTGCACTTCAGTCCTGGTTACAGACCAAGACTCTGTCTCAAATAAAAAACAAAAACAAAAAAAGGAGAATTTTTATTTAACTCTACATGCTTTTGCTAAGTATTTCATACTCCTTTGAATTTTTACAAGATTCAGAATTTTTACATTACTTGTCCAATTTTATGTAAAATGCATTTAAAAAGTAAAAGAAGAAAATGATCTCAACTTTAGAGTTAAACTAAAACCAAAGGTCTCTATGTTCCATGTTGTTTTTTTTTTTCCATACATTGCTTTCTTCTAGCAGTGAGAACTTTCTGAATCCATTAAACAACAGCCAGGCATGGTGGCTCACACCTGTAATCCCAGTGCTCTGGGAAGCCAAGGTGGAAGGATCACTTGAGGCCAGGAGTTCGAGACCAGCCTGGGCAACAAAGCGAGACCCTGTCTCTACAAAAATAAAAATTTAGCCGAGTGTGGTGGCACACACCTGTATTCCTAGCTACTTGAAGACTGAGGCAGGAAGATCCCTTGAACCTAGGAGTTCAGTGAGGCAATGATCATGCCACTGCCCTCCAGCCTAGGTGACAGAGCAAAACACTGACTCAAAAAAAAAAAAAATCAGCTTTCAGATATTTGGGTACTAAAGAAAAAAACAAGTAAAAACAAAAAACCAAAAAATGCTGCAGACTCTGTGGACTTTTCTTTTCACTGTAATTTTGTCCTGCTGTAAGGTTAGTAGAAAGGAGAAGAGGAGATCACAAGGCTGAGGCAGAATTTGTGTGTTTTCTGAGGATGGTACCCTTTGTGTGAATAAGGGGCTAGTGCAGCTGCCAGTATAGAAGGGGCCCTGGGAGAAGGAAATAAATGAGCTAAATGAGGAACCTGTACAGGAGCACAGGAAAGAGTCAAGGAGGAAAATGCTGGCTTTCACATACCCTCCTTGTTTTGAAGACAAGGAAACTGAGACCTGGAGAGCTGTAGGGACTTGAGGGAAAGGAGAAAATCCTAGGTCTAAGCTTGGGAAGGGGATGCCAATCTACCTTTGCTTCTTCAAAGATTACTACAGACTTGATCCACTGGGGCCCTCAAAGTATGTGAGGCATGGGAGGGGGCCCAGGAGGGGAATAAAACAACTTGTACTGAATAATTTGAAATGTTCAGTCACACTAAAACTGCAGAGCCACAGGCCAGCTGGAAAGTCAGCTTTTAAAAATGCTTTACAAAGAGCACTGACCCAAGAACAAGAAGACGTGCGTTCTATTAGACTGAGGCATTTAAGACTGTCATTTCTGTAAGTCAAAATGGTGAAGTAGTGCCAGCTTCATAACAGCTCAACCAGGGAATCTACCTCCACTGCTCTGCAGATCTTTGGGATTTGGGTAGGGTCCCCACATCTGTCTAGTGGATGATGCCTGCCTTACTTAGTTTATAGGGTTTCTGTAAGCACTGATCCAAATTACACAACATTTACTGAGTGCCTGCTGTGGATAATTTCTGGGGAAATAAAGATGACTAAAGCACAACCCTTGTTCCCAAGGACCTAGCAGTGGAGGAGGTAGGAAAACAAACAGAGTTGGATCTATTATTATATATATAATAGATAAGGAAGGGAGAGAGGAAACAATAAAGTCGGCTTGATTGTGGGTTGTCAGGGAGATCAAAACATTTGAATTGGCCTCCAATGGTTAAACAGAGTTTCCCAGACAAAGGGATGAGGTAGCACTAGCAAGAGGAATAGTTTGAGCAAAGCCATGAAGGTGTGCAAGTGCATGGTGAATTGAGGAATGGTAAACAGTCTAATTGGTCTAAATGTAGAGAGTATGGAGGGAGGGGTAAGTAAGGTTGGAAAAGTTGATGGGGCAGGTAGTGCCAATGTATAGAAATGACTGGATAAGACCACATCCAGGAAAACCATGGCAAAGCACAGAAGTACTTTACAAGTGATAAGTACTGTTTACCTTAAAGACATAAAACAAAGCTTCCCTAAAATCTCACACTATCCCTCCCTCTTCTCACGAGGGCTTTGGCTTGAGTCATAGATTGATCTACTAGGTATCTTTATAGAGTATTTCCTTTCCCTAGGAGAAGTGTTCTCCCCAGGGTCCAGGAAAGTGGCAGATGGAAACTTTCAGAGTGGTGGAGGGTAGGGGACAGGAAGTGATCCAGATTGGGTGAGGAAGGTGCTGTCTCATTATTCCCCAAACTTCTATCTTCCCTTTTTCCATATCATGTATTCTAATCTCCCTTAAGAAAGAAGTGAAACTGCTACACCCAAGGGAGTAGAGGATTGGTGTGTCACACTCCCCTGTGCTCCCATCCCCCGCTTCTCCTCCACTTCTGCCCCTTTGCAAAATCTCCCAGAATGAAGTCATATTGTGTTGGCAAACTTAGTCATAATCCCCATTTCCTCTCCTTATCAGCCAGGACCTGTCTTCTTCCACTGATTCCACTGGTATTGCTTCCAGTACCCAGCAATATGTTCATTCATCCCACTATATCCTCATAGATCCTCTTCCCATTCAAGAGAAACCAAGCTTGACAAGGAGATGAATCAAATATAAGGTCCTGGGATTCAATTATGCCCCATTCTACCAATGTTCTCCATGAACTAAGAGAAAGAGCCAGATAGCCCTAATATCAGATTCTGGCTTTGCTACTTCTTACCTATGTGACGTTTTGCAAGAGCCACTATTTCTTCACTTCTAAAAGGGAGACAATCATATCCAAACTCCAGAAACACAGTGACATTAGAGATAATATACATAGAGCATCAGTCTTACAGAAGACGCCAAACATTGCAGCTACTACTATCATCATTATCATCTTCACCACAACCACCATTATTAAGCATCTGAATTAATGCAGACTCCTGGCTGGTCTCATCCCTTCCCTCTTATTGCCCTCCATCTGTTTCTCACATGATAGTCACAGCACTAGTTTAAAAATAAAAATCAAATCACATCCCATGTTACTCAAAACCCTTCTTTGGCTTCTCAATGCACTCTGAATGAAATCCAAGCTTCTTCCTTTGGCCTCCAGGGCCCAGCCCAACCAAGCTTCTGTCCCCTTCTCTCTACAGCCCCTTCACATTATGCTCTCCCCATTGCCCGCTCTGCTCCAGCCACACTAGCACTCTCTGTTCACTGAGCACTGCGGCTTCTGTCCATCTCAGGGCCTTTGCCCCTGAGGTTTTCTCTTCCCTGTGTCTCTTCCCTTTCATATGTTCCTCACGCCCTTTGGGTGCAGTTTAAATGTCACCTTCTCTGACTACACTACCTTAGTACCATTCTACTTTATCTTCTTTACCAGTCCAATTCTTTTTTATCACTGTTCATTAATAACATATTTGTACAACTATGTGAATAACTTCTATCTCCCCAATAGAAAGTAAACT
Source organism: Homo sapiens (assembly GCF_000001405.40). Classification (NCBI taxonomy): domain Eukaryota; kingdom Metazoa; phylum Chordata; class Mammalia; order Primates; family Hominidae; genus Homo; species Homo sapiens. Next base: position 6,231,637 of record NC_000009.12, read on the forward strand.
CCAGGAGGGCAAGACAGTTTGCTTTGTTCAGTACTGTATCCCCAGCACCTAGCCCAGTACTAGAAGTAGTATTTTATTTATTAATGTTTTTAGGCAGCACTCCATGCTGTAGTACAAGCAAATGCAAATCCAGCATCATTTGTGCCCTCAGGATCTCGAGGAGGTTAGGATTTCCTTACAATCATTCCCAGTTGTGTCTCTTTTCAGAGAATTTACTCTCTAGGACATCAAAGGTCAAACTTTCTCTTTTCTGTATTATCTAAATTTTCCACAATGAGTATGCATTTTTAGTAAGAATTTCTCATAAACTCAGCATTGTAACAAGACTCATCACAGCAAATCAGTCTGATTAAATGAATTTATTTTGAAAGTAAAATTCACAATAAAAGAAGAAAGTCCAACAGCCAACTTAACATTCTTAAAGGTATTAGCATTTAAAAGTGGGAAATTGCTAATCAAAGAGCATTGTCTGACATATAAGAGGTTAGTGATTCAATAAATGATTTTCCAGCTGATCAGATGTAGATAATATGACAATGTGAAATGAAAACATTCATGCAGCACCCCATGAGTTAATGATGGTGGAATACATAGTCCTTGGCATGCAAAGGGTGCTCAATATTTGTTGGATGTAAGTTTCTGGAAGATTTCTTCAGCCAAAGAGAAAACTACGCAAATTTGCATCTTTGAAAATGAAAATACCTCATATATTTCTCACTGTTGTTGTTGTTCAGAGGTGAATGACCAACTAATAAATTTCTATTTAAATTATTTTATTTAATTATTATTTCTTGACAGATTAAAATCTTTCAGGTTGTTTCCCTAATTTAAATGTATGTCATTTCCTCTGGGATGTTCCCCACCCACACACAAGCATACTCCTTACTCTCTCCCTCCTTTTCCTTCAAAAGCACTATTTCCTATGATTATCTAAAATGTGACTTTCCCCTGGTGATGCCATATTCTTAAAACCCACTCCATTTTCTTGTGTGCACATTTCCCAGGGCTAGTAGAGAAAGCCTTTCTAACCCCATCCCCAACCCTGGGCCCAACTACTTAAACTAATCTCTTTCCTTTCTGGTCACTAGGGACCCTGACCTCCTTTTCTGTTCACTATTGCCTCTGCTGCTGTCACCCTTGGTGATTTCATTGCTGTTGTCACCCTTAGTGACTGCTTTGACTCTTTAACACTCCTCAGCAGTTCACCCAAAAAATCTCATTCTGACCACCATCATCATCAGAACATCTTTCTCTCTAAGATAAGGAACACTGGAATTCTTCTGTTTATGAACAAACTCCCATCTTTCTACTTCCTCCACTCCCATTTAAAAAATTCCTTTTTGAACCATTTTTTAAAATTGTGGTAAAACATACATAATATAAAATTTACCATTTTGACCATTTTTAAGTGTACGGTTCAGTGGCATTCACATTGTTGTACAACCATAACCACTCTCCATCTCCAGAACATTTTTTTCATCTTCCAAAACTGAAACTCTATGCTCACTGAACAATAACACCACATTCCAAAGTTAATTCTTTTTTATATTCTCTAAGGATCTGTTTCAGATTTTTCCCACTTATACTTAAAACTTCAAACCAATGCTTATTTCTCTTAATCTCCGTCTCTTTCAGAACCTACATTACAAAGATTGAAGCCATTTTATAAGACCCTTAAGTTCACATCCCTAGACCTTAAAACTTCACATCTTCTCTCATTCTCTCACTAGTTCCTCCTCTACTGCAGGAAGAAGTGTGCCTCCTCCTTTTCAAAGCTGATCCTTCCACTTGTGTTCTTTCCCCCTCTCTTCTGTATCTCCTCTGGAAATATTATGTAAGTTTTCCTCTTTTCATTGGCTACTTTCTTTCTGCATTGAAGCATACTCAAGAGTCTATCACATCCCAATATAAACCTCAATATTAATGACAATAATAATAACAAACATATTGAGTCTCTACTGTGCACCAGCTACTGTGCTAAGCGCTGAAAATATATCTTCTCATTTAATTCTCACAACAACCTAATGAGTTAAATTATGAAATTATTATGGGTAATATAACAGTTATTATGAAAATTTTCATTATTATTAAGAAACTGAGGCTTCAGAGACATCAAGCAACTTGTCCAAGGTCACCTAGCTAGTAAGTAGCATCTTCCCTTCTCCACACTACTGTGTAAAGATACCATTCTTTCTTTCTTTGTTCCCTTTCATTACTGTATTATACTTCTTGGAAATGTCTTACTTCCTCCTTCTCCACTCTGCGCAGTCCAGTGCAGTTGTTTTGAGATTCCCACCATACTTAAATGACTCCTCCAATGTCTCTTAATCTTCAACCAGGTCTCTATAGTACTCATTACCAACTGTTCCTGCTTTTTGAGACAGTGTTCTCTCTTAGCCTTCATAATATGAACTCTTCTTTTTTCTGCTTCTCTGTCTGGTCTTCTTATTAACTTCGTTTCTCCTCTTTCCCCTTACATGTTAGATATTCCAGAGTTTCATCTTCTTACAGCTTTCTCTTCCTGCTCCACACTCAGCCAAGACAATCTCATTCACTCCCACACAATAAACTATCATGCCTTCACAAATGAAGAGCAAATCCACATGGCTAAGTTTGGCCTCTGGCCACCTAGTTCCAACTCCCTGCTGAAATGTCCATATAACTGTTCCTCAAGTACCTCAAACTCCATCTGCCCTACATCAAACTAATTCCCTGTCCCTGTCACTGAACTCCCCACCTGAGTTTCCTATTATTAACCACTGGAATTATGTCCACTTCCCTTCACCACCCTGCTTCCCCTCATCCCCAGTCCAGAGCAGGTACACCCACATCCAGAAAGAGCCGAGGAGGCATTGTGGCAGACGTGCCCCTAAACTGGGAGTGAGACTTGGGTTTTAATCCTGACTCAGCCACTTGGTAACTGCATGACTTAGTGGTACAGAACAGGAATCTCTGGGGCCCTTACTCACACCAACCTGCAAGGACTCTATGAAGTACCTGTAGCACTCATCATTCCATCCCCTCCTCGTTAGTCCCATTAACATTGCCCTCACTAGGTCCTCACTGCTTTTTGCCTGGGATATTTTAACTGGCCTCCTAACTATTCATTCTTTTTGCCTCCGTCTCCTTCTTTCCTTCCTTCAGATGGTGCTTCACACAGACATAAAATTATATTCACAAAACACACTCTAGATGATGTTTCTCATTTGCTTTAGAAACTTTCAAAAGATTCGTGTTGTCCACAGGATAAAATTCAAACTCCTTATTGTAGCATTCATAGTCCTCTGCATACTGGTCCCAACATAACATGTGAAACTTCACTTTGTCTGAACTGAATTTCAAATGTAGTTGTGGTATGTATTTGGAAGGAAAAAAAAATCCCAAATGTATTCTTTTTTCACTATCTTTATTTTTTTCATTTTTGGTGACAAGAGTCTCACTCTGTGGTCCAGACTGGAGTATAGTGCTATCAGAGCTTACTACAACTTTAAACTTCTGGGCTCAGGTGATCCTCCCACCTCAGTCTCCCAAGTAGCTAAGACTGCACGTGCACACCACCCAGTCCAGCTAATTTTTAAAAATTTTTTCTGTAGAGACAGGATCTCTTTATGTTGCCTAGGCTGGTCTTGAACTCCTGGCCTCAAGTGGTCCTCCTGCTTAGGCCTCCCAATGCACTGGGATTACAGGCATGAGACACACACCCAGCCCTGACTTATTCTTTATACCAAAAGTAACACTGAGTCAATCAAAGATTTATGTATAAACTATTAAACATTAAAGTTTTAGATAATATCATAAGTAAATTTATTTATAATCTTGGAAGAGAAAAGGTATTTTGAAGCAGAACACAAAACCAGAAGTTCTCAAAGAAAACACTGATTATATTTTACCACATAATATTTGAAAACTTATGTATGGCCAAAAAATGCCATTAGTGAAATCTAAACATAAATGACACAGGGGAAAAAGTTGTAACACAAATCACAGACAAGGGTCTAATTTCTTAGTTTAGGTAGAGTCCTTAAAATCAATAATTTATAGAAATTAACAATACACATTTTTTAAAAGATGCTCAATCTCATGAAATAAAGGAATAAAATTCAAAACTATCAGATAGTTTACACTCTTTAGAAAGGCAAACATTTCAAAGGTAATGACACTCATTGTTGCTAGAAAGATGGAGAAAAGGGTACTCCCCTGGATTGTTCACAAAACTGTTAATTAATACAAGTTTTTGGAAGTCAATTCATTAATATCTGTCAAGCTATAAGATACATGTACCCTCTGATCCAGCAATTCCACTACTAGGAGTTTATGCTACCAATAAACTTATAAATATTTTCAAAGAATCACAACATACACCCACACCCACCCACACCCATACACACACACACACACACACACACACACACACACACACACAACTGTCAGTTGCAACACTGGCAATATTAGAAAACAAAAACAAAAATAAAATCTGGAAACAGCCAGTGTTAATCAATAAAAGACTCGTTAAGATATATTTCTATGATTGAATGCTATTTATAATGTTACTTGTAAAAGAATGTTTCTAATATGTGAAAATATTTATGATATAGTGTTAATTGGAAAATGCAAAAAAAAGCTTAAAATATATTTGCAGTATGATTCTATTTTTTAAATAAAAGAGATGTGTATAATTTTTTACATAGAAAAAAGAATGTCAGGATCTACCACGCATACACTTTCCTGTCATTTACATATTTTCTAAGTGCACATGTATCTTTTTTATAATCAGAAAAAAATTACTTTAAATGTTTTCAACTTTCTGTAGAAAAGAGAAAGGAAATTAAACAATCTGTGTCCTTCTATATTATATGTTATGCAATAAACACTGCCTAGAGCCTATATTGCAAAGATTTTATAAAAGTTAATGATTAACTAAGTGTAACTCTTTGACAGTGCTACAACTAGGCCGGGTGCAGTGGCTCACGCCTGTAATCCCAGCACTTTGGGAGGCTGAGGCAGGAGGATCACTTGCGGTCAGGAGTTCAGGACCAGCCTGGCCAACATGGTGAAACCCCATCTCTATAAAAATACAAAAAAAATTGGCCAGGTGTGGTGGCATACACCTTGTAGTCCCAGCTACTTGGGAGGCTGAGACAGAAGAATTGCTTTAATCTGGGAGGTGGAGGCTGCAGTGAGCTGAGATCGTGCCACTGCACTCCAGCCTGGGCAGCAGAGGGAGACTCTGTCTCAAAAAATAAATAAATAAATAAAATGAAAGTGCTACAGCTAAAATAATCTCTGTTTAGGATCTGACGGTAGGAAAAAGATAAGCTCCCACACGTTCTAATGCATTTAAGTAGCTCCATCTGCATTGCCTCATACATCAATACTGTCATCCAATGTTGCTTAATCCATGTGTGTGTGTGTCTATATAAGTAGAACTGGGATGTAACTGCCTTAAATACTACAATTGCTGACTACAGGAAACCTCATCATCTGAGACCAGCACTTTATAAATTAGGTGAGTATCATAACCAGTGTGCAGGGATATCTGCTGTATATCATTGGGAATAGCAGCAAAAAAGAACAAGTGATGTTCCTATTGCCATATGTTCTGAAATATTTCTGATATAAAAATAGGGGAGTAATGAGTCAATTTTAGTATGAAAAAAATGGTGAAAAGAGTGATCAAGGCAAAGAATTTGCAGGTTATTTGAAGAAAATACTTTTTCAGAATAGGATTTGAAAATATTTCCTGACTATGCTTTTGACTTATCATGTGGTTCTATAAAGGGTGTTGACTTTCTCTGTGTCAATGACTCCATTGTAAATGTGGTATTTTCAGCTTCTCTATCTTGCTCAATTATACAAGCCAATACTGGTTTACAGCAAAGTTCTTCCAAGTGCGTTCTCTCAAACTAGTCCATGAGGGTGATAAGACGGGAGAAAAAGGTTATGAGATCAAATAACTACTGAAAACAATAGTTAAACAAAGGTACCCATGAGTCTTCAATAAAGGACTATCAACACCTTTTCTATGCTAACATGACTCTGACTCTCCTAGAGATAGAATGTAGATTGGAACATTTCCCATATTTATTTGAAAATATAACTTTTTGTTAAAATATTCTAAGATTATTAAAAAAAGTAACTTTTTTGAATGACCAGGAATTGTTTTTTCTAGGATATAAGTATCTTTGGGTAGAAGAGAAAACAAACAACGTCAAGGCAATGCAGTTTTTATGTTAGTAAAGTGTTACTTCATTATCTACTGTGTGCAGGTTACTATTTAAACTATTTTATATACAACTTAAAATACAACTACAATTGGGTTCCCTATCTTATTATTCCAAATGCGTGATTACAAATTAACAACCATATTCAGAAACTTATTATTTCAAAGAAGTTGGACAACTGCTTTGTGTATAAGAAAGGCTGAGTGTTTGGAGTTAAATTCCCAGTTCTGATTATTTTCTTCCTGTTTTGAGGCGGAAAGGGAGAAAGAATGGAGGGAGACAGGATAGGGAAGTACTGGCATCAAGATGGAAGTCAGGAGGCTAGATTCTGTTCCTGGTTCTGTTTCATAATCCTGGGTGAGGCACTTAATCTTCAGAGTTTCAGTCTACTCATCTGTAAAGTTAGGGGCTCAGTAAAATGATATGTAAGATCCTCTGCTTCTAAGCATTCTTGACCAAAAAAGGTAGGAGAATCAGAGGAAGAAAATAAAAGTTCATGTGAGGTCTTCAAGCTGTGTGAGCACAACATTTACTCCCATGGCAAGACTGAGGGACAGAATAGGTAGTCTTCAACTGGCTGACCATTGAGGATTTTGCACATGGGACTGGATGTAAATAGGTGGCATGCACATAATGTTATAGCAGTTCTACCTAGACAAGATCATCTGGAGTTTCAGCCTCCAGAGGTTTGTCCAGGGACAAAATAGGGTGCCTAAAGTTTACCTTCTAACGAGTCCTCTAATCCAAGAACTCAATGCTCTTCTTTTAACTGCTAGAAGAGATTATTCATATGAAGCTCATAAGAGATTTAAATTGTAACCACTGCTGGGATAATTTGGTTTGTTTGTTTGTTTGTAGTGTGGCAAAACAGGAGGCCATACTTAAAAAGAAGAAGCAATAATTATTGATAGAATTGCAGGCAATGTCAGAGAGTTTAAGACTGGAGAAGAAGTCCTGCTCCCTCCACAAACCACAGCACAGTGTCATACCCTGATGTCGAAGCCAGATTGCAGAACCATACTAAGAGAATATGGAATTTTCTGCAATTTATGATACAGAACTCCATATTTTTTCAGTACGATACAGTGACCCAGCTTGATCATCAAGGTATCACATCGATTGATGTCCCTTGCTTGAATCAAGTATTAAATTGGGGGTTGCAAGATGGTGATTTGTCTGATTCTGAGAGAGAAAGAACAAAGAAACCAGCTAGGCAAATAGGGCAAAGTCCTCGGCAGAACTGCTCTTCTAACAAAGAGCAGCCTGAGAGATCAAGCCGCAAACATAGAAAAGGAAGCAAGCTCCAGCACAAAAGAGTGCCTTCTGTGTAATCAGCAAATTTCAAATTTCATATACATTCAGTTGGCCTCAGTGAACACATTCCTTTCCTTTTTTGGTTATATTCAAATAAGGAAGCTTGCTCAGGAGGGCATGCTTGGAACATGCCTACAGCTACACAGATAAGGGGAGTTACACTGAGCTAGGCATGTCCACAATGGAGGATTCTATCCCCAACACGTGCACAGTAAGGGAAGTCAAACAACATGAAGTAACTTAGGCTACGAGCCCACATGCACACTGGAAGGACAGCGTGGGGGTTGTCAGAAATTCATGCCTTCTGCAAATGACACACCTAGTCCTAACCAGTTTTTCACACCTTATGTAAATAAAGTACCCCCTCCCCACTAGCTCATTTATAAAAACCCTTGTATTCCACTATAGAATAGCAACCCTTTTTCAGGGCCCCTCTCTGCAGCAGAGAGCTTTCTCTCCTTCTTTCATTTATTAAACTTCTGCTCTAACCTCACCCTTGGTGTGTCCACCTTCCTTGATTTCCTCAGTTGTGGGACCAAGAACTCCGGGTGGCATCCCAGACAATGAGGCCTATTTCAATGCTATCATTCCTTCTGTAATGACTAGACCCCTCCCTATTCAACTAGCCTCACTAGTTTTTTAGTGACTCTGCTTTCTGGCACAACAGGATGTTCCATGTTCACCACTACTTTACCAGCTCCAGATCTGGAGCAGCTGTTCCTTTCGGTGGAGAAAGTACTAAGAAACTAAGATATGGGCACACTGATATTGCTGACTCATATTTAACATTCCATAGGTTTTCTCATGACTTCTTTTATGTTTGTGTCTCCTTTCCCCTACAGTCAAAACCATGTAACATAATGTATCTACTTATTTGCTCTATACTAAAGTATAACAAAACAGTCTCAGAACTTCAGTACCAGTATTTCCACTATCTACAAAAAGAGTCCAACTTTGTAAAATAGTTGAAGAGATTTATTCTGAGCCAAATATGAGTGACCACGGCCTGTGACAAAGCCCTCAGGAGATCCTGAGAACATGTGCTCAAAGTGGTTGGTGTGCATTTTGGTTTTATGCATTTTAGGGAGACATGAGACTTCAATCAAATACATTTAAGAAATACATTCATTTGGTCCAGAAAGGTGGGATAACTTGAAGCGTGGGGTGGAGGGGTTCAGCTGGGAGATGGGTAAGGGATAAAAGACTACAGTCAACTGGGATCAATAAAAAGGAATGTCTGGGTTAAAATAAAGGATTGTGGAAACCAAAGTTCTTATTTGCAGAGGAAGCCTTCAGGTTGTAGGCTTCAGAGAGAATAGATTATAAAATGTCAATTCTAATACAGTGGTATTTGTGTATCTAAACATATCTAAACACAGAAAAAGTAAAGTAAAAATATGGTATGAAGATTTAAAAATGGTGCACTTGTATTGGGCAATTAACCATGAATGGAGCTTGCAGGACTGGAAAATGAGTCTAGGTGAGTTAATAAGTAGTGAGTGAATGTGAAGGCGTAGGTCGTTACTGACCACGACTATAGACTTCATGATCACTGTACACTTAGACTACACTAAATTTATTTAAAATTGTTTCCTTTTTCCATAATAAATTAACCTTGCTTACTATAACTTTTTTACTTTATAAACTTTTAGTTTTTTTAATGTTTTGACTCTTGTAATAACACTTAGCTTAAAATACAAACATCATACAGCTGTACAAAAATTTCTTCCTTTATATCCTTATTCTATAAGCTTTTTTCTATTTTAAACATTTTTAATTTTAATTTTTTACTTTTTACGCTTTTTCCTTAAAATCTAAGACACAAACACACACACCCTAGTCTAGGCCTACACAGGGTCAGGATCATTAATATCACTGTCTTTCACTTCCATATCTTGCCCTACTGGAAGTTCTTCAGGGGCAATAACATGCATGGAGCTGTCATTTCCTATAACAATGTCTTCCTCTGGAATACCTTTTTGACAGAACTGCCTGAGGCTGCTTTACAATTAACTTGTTTTTTAATAAGTAGAAGGAACACAATCTACAATAATGATAAAAAGTATAGTATAGCAAATACATAAACCAGTAACATAGTCATTTGTTACCAAGTATTATATACTATGCATGATTGTATGTGCTATACTTTTATACAACTGGCAGTGCAGTGGGTTGTTTACACCACCATCACCACAAACACGCAAGTAATGAATTGTTCTAGGATGTTATGATGGCTACAACAGCACTAGGTGATAAGAATTTATCAGCTCCACTATAATCTTGTGAGACCACCATTGTATATGTGCAATCCATTGACCAAAGCCTCATTATGCAGTGCAGAGTACCATATCCTAGCATGAATGCATAGTTAGAATACTACGTTCAAACTTTACTGAAATAATTATTTCCTCTATATGGTTATGTTACCAATTTGGTAGTGAGCTAGCCACAGTTGTTTCCGTTTGTTTTTAAGTTGAGACAAATGAACTAATATTATATTTTAATCCAACAGAATACTGAAAAATGAAGCCTAAAATGAAGTATTCAACCAACAAAATTTCCACAGCAAAGTGGAAGAACACAGCAAGCAAAGCCTTGTGTTTCAAGCTGGGAAGTAAGGACTTAAGTTATCTCTGAATGTTTTACGCACTATTTTTATCTGTTATCAAATATTTATACTCCAATGTTTATACATGCTATCTTATCAAAATCTACTAAGAATACAAGAACTAAAATAAAAAGAGATGGCACATAAGGGTATAATACAGCAGACTGGTTTTGAACCAACCATATATAGCCAACTTTGGCATATTTGATACATCACCAGGCAGGAATAGCTGAGATAATCTGAACCTGTGAATAGTGATAAACTTAATTATAGCCTTTTATATCAACCACTTTTTGCTCCACACACCTCCTGCTGCCAAACCCCCAAAACCTTTTCCCTGATAAACTAGCAAACTTTTAAGCAGGTCCACTTTTATTCAACAAATATTCATTAAGACCTTTGGTGGTATCAGGCATGTGGTCTTAACTTGCGACTACTGATGAAGAAGAGAATAACAGATGAAGATATTTGAATAATCATCTTAGTCAATTTGTGTTACCATAGAAATATACCTGAAGCTGGGTAATTTAACCCTTTTTCCATTTAGAAAAAAAAGTGCAGCTTGCTGCCAGCGCTTATTTAATTTTACATAAACATCTCTTTGAGGCTGAAGCAAATCTGATTTTCAATGCAAAAATAGAATACAAAAACTGTTCTTGGAGTTATTTCTAAACAGAACTACCATCAGCATTGTCTATTTCAGAAAAAATGAGATTCACCAAATGAAACTTCAGCAAGCAACTAACTGTTCAAGAAGTGTTCAAGAATGTTAACATCACATGTAGGAATGCTACATTTTCCAGGATTTGACATTTTCAGCGATCAAGAATTACTATATTTTATCAATGAAAATACCACTACTAAAAACATAAATAGAATGATGTCTTTTGTTTCCAAAGTTGATATACTAGAGAGATGTAAAAATAATAATAAAAGCAAGATCTTTCGTGGCAAAGTTATCTTAAACACTGCAGAAGCACTGCCAGTAATTATTCTCTGGGCAAATGGGAAAGGGTTAAAAACAAAAGAGGTTTATTTGGTTTACAGTTCTGCAGGCTGTACAAGAAGCATGGTGCTAGCATCTGCTTCTGGTGAGGGCTTCAGGCTATTTCCACTCATGATGGAAAGGGAAGGGAAACCAGTATGTGCAGAGGTCACATAGGGGGAGAACAGAGGGAGAACAGAAGCAGGAGAAAGAGGAGAGGAGGGACCAACCTTTTTTCAACAACCATCTTGCAAACTAAGAGTGAGAATTCGCTCTTGTGAGAATGGCACCAAGCTGTTCATGAGTGGTCTGCCCCATGATCCAAATACCTCCCACAAGGCCCCACCTCCAACAATGGGGATCAAATTTCAACAGGAGACTTGGTGGGACCAAACCAACCAAAGCCAAACCATAGAAATAAAGCAGAACCAACAAATGATGCTCAAGTCTATCTAGCTGCAAACTCAGAGTTTGTAGTAAGACAGAAGGTAAGTAAAGTCAGGTGGCAGCTATAGCTCTGAGATTAAAGGGCTGTATAACTCTTTGATCCTTAAAATTATCTGTCCTAGGAAAGAAGCATGCAAATTTATTTATTTATTTATTTTCTGTTGAGACAGTCTCACTTTGTCTCCCAGGCTGAAGTGCAGTGGCACCATCTCATCTCACTAAAACCTCTGCCTCCTGGTTCAAGCGATTCTCCTGTCTCAGCCTCCCAAGTAGCTGGAATTACAGGCACACACCACCATACCTGGCTAATTTTTTGTATTTTTAGTAGAGATGGGGTTTCACCAGGTTGGCCAGGCTGGTCTTGAACTCCTGGCCTCAAGTGATCCACCCGCCTCAGCCTCCCAAAGTGCTGGGATCACAGGCATGAACCACCGCACTTGGCCAGAAAGCATGCAATTTTAGGATCTGTTTTTCATATGGGAGTAGTAACACAAAAGTAAGTTAATGGAGCCTTGGTGAACAGGAAAGAAAATGGAGGATAAGGAATGATGGTGGGGACTGGCATAACCTTGTCCTTCATGCTCCTTTCCATTTCTCTGTACATCTTTAAGGCTAGAAAAGAAAGCAGAGTTAATATCATTTCTGTCTCATTCTGTCTTCCCTGAGGCTGTGGCCCACCCACACTGTTCTTTGGTGACCAGGGAAAGCACTAATTTGACTGTGGTTTCTGAACAACCAGGAAATCACAGCAGAACCAATCCTTTTACTTGTAGCTGAGTCAAAATGCTCTCTGTAGAAACAGTGACTCAGTGACTTTGCATCCCTAAATTGCCTCTCATAAAAAGTACATTTTCTTTGTACCTCAGGAAGTATGGGCTCTTTATAGAAACTGGAATGAGGGAGTGGGCTAGAGTTTATGCCAGAGTTGGTGGTATTGATACAAAAGTTAAAATGTAACCCCTCCTTTAAGGGAACAGTGGCCCTAACTACTTACCTATACCATTTAGAGGACAGTGATAAAAATAATCTCAAACTCATTTGTATGGCTTTACAAATACATCACATTATTTTAATTGGCCCTTAACAGATCTTTCTTTCCAATAATATTGGCTCAGTTAAATATTGTCCTCCCCTCTTATTTGCAGGAAATATGTACCAAGACACCCAACAGATGCTTAAAACAATGGATAGTAATGAACCCTATATATACTATGTTTTTTCCTACAGATACATACCCATGATAATGTTTAATTTATAAGTTAGGCACAATGAGAGATTAACAATAACCAACAAAAAAGTGGAGCAATTAGAACAACATACTGTAATGAAAATAATGTGAATGTCTGCTCTCTCTCTCAAAATATCTTATTGTATTTCACTGTGGGTAACTGAAATCATGGAAAGTAAACCCACAGATGGGGGCAAGCAGGATAGAGTTACTGCACTAAAACTGTGATTATTTAAACAATCCTGGTGAAAAATTTGACAGATATCTCTGGGGTATGTGACAGGTGTAAACTGCTTCTCAACTCAAAATGCAAGATATGTCATATCTTGTTTTTCTAAATAAGCTGCTGCTCTAAGATGCCAAGACACAAGGCAAGAAAGCACATTTAATTCCTTCTCTTCTCTTGAGCTACCAGGATCCAACACAAGCCACAGTTCACAATGCTACAAAACTTAGTAGCCAACCACTGCAGGTGTCCCCACAGTCAGTCCCACATTGTGGTCACCCACAGGGCATTTTGCCTCTAATGCCAGCAGGGTACAGGACTTCATGACCTGGAGGAAAGCCTCTCACAACCCTTCCCTTCCCCGTTTCCAGGAAGCTACTTCCCTACTTCCCAGGGTCAGGCTTTCCTCTTCTCCTACTTTCTTTCCCCCACATCCATCAACACTTTCTCTTCCCTAAAAATCCAGCCGTCTTCATTCATGGATCTAGCCAGAGGTCACAATATGGGAGCCTTGGGATAGATCCATCCAGCAGGAGTATTTTATTAGGATTGAACGGTGTTATTGATATTTTCTAATTGAGTCAATTTTTAAAAAATAGGATATTTTTAATGAAAATCTAAATGTGTATAGTTTCTCTAAAAAAATCCAAAGATCTAGAAACACTGGGTCCATATCTTGCATGGCAATAGTTGGCTAGAACTGAGTAGAGATCAACCCCTTTAGTTTGAGTCTATCCATAGAAGATCTGTTACAGTAAAGGAGATTTGACTTTATCCTGTAGACAGTAGGGAATCATTGAAAATGTTGAACTGAGGAATGATAAAATATTTTTACTTTACAGAGATCACATTGGTGAAGTGTGATGATAGTAGTGTGATGATAAAGTGAGGAGGCAAGAGTAGAAACAGAAACTGGTTAGAGGTCTACTGCATTAATCTAAGGGACTAATGATGAAGGTGTGACCTAAGACAACAGAATAGAGAGGACGGACTAGATTTCAGATATATTCAGAAGGTGAAATCAAAAAGACTTAATGACAGATTGAATGAATTGTAAGAATGGAAAGAAGGAAAAATAAATGATTCTCAGCTTTTTGATTTAAGAATTGGGTAGACGCCAGGTGTTGTGGCTCAAGCCTGTAATCCCAGAACTTTGGGAGGCTGAGGCGGGCGGATCATGAGGTCAAGAGATTGAGATCATCCTGGTTAACACGGTGAAACCCCGTCTCTACTAAAAAATACAAAAAATTGCCTGGGCATGGTGGCGGGCGCCTGTAGTCCCAGCCACTTGGGAGGCTGAGGCAGGAGAATGGCATGAACTCGGGAGGCAGAGCTTGCAGTGAGCCGAGATCACGCCACTGCACTCCAGCCTGGGTGACAGAGCAAGACTCTGTCTCCAAAAAAAAAAAAAAAAAAAAAAAAAAAAAAAAAAGAATTGGGTGGATAATGATAGATAGTTGTACTATTTCTCAAGATAGGCAATTCAGGAGAAATATATTGGGGGCAGAAAAAGATAAAGACATTTTTTATTATAAGGACTGCCATGGTTTGAATGTCCCCTCCAAAACTCATGTTGAAATGTAATTACCATTGCGATAGTATTAAGAGGTGGAACCGGCTGGGTGCGGTGGCTTATGCCTGTAATCCCAGCACTTTGGGAGGCCAAGGTGGGTGGATCACGAGGTCAAGAGATTAAGACCATCTTTGCCAACATGGTGAAACCCCGTCTCTACTAAAAATACAAAAATTAGCTGGGCACCGTGGCGCACGCCTGTAGTCCCAGCTACTCAGGAAGCTGAGGCAGGAGAATTGCTGGAACCCAGGAGGCAGAGGTTGCAGTGAGCCAAGATTGCACCACTGCACTCCAGCCTGACAACAGAGCGAGTCTCCATCTCAAAAAAATAAAAATAAAAAAAAAGAGAGGTGGGACCTTTAAGGGGTGATTAGGTAATAAAGGCTCTGCCCTCATTAATGGATTAATGCCATTGTCATGGGAGTGGGTTAGTTATTACAGGATTGGGTTTCTGATAAAAATGATGAAGTTCAGTCCCCATCCTTTCTTTGCCTCATGTGCACTCTCACCATGTGTGATGTCTTCCACCATGTGATGACACAGCAAGAAGGCCCTCATCAGCTACAGCCCCTCAATCTTGGACTTCTCAACCTCCAGAACCAGACACCAAATAAAACTCTTTTCTTTATAAATCACCCAGTCCATGGTATTTTGTTATGGCAGCAGAAAAGAGACTAAGACCAGTGTACTTTAGTTTAAGGTAGCTGCAGGTCACCCAGGTAGAGATATCCAGAATTCAGAAGATATACACAGAAAGAGACAGCTATGCTTCAAAGTAGCTGGGTCAAAATGACTTGGGGAGAAAGAAAAACAGATAGAAAGCTCAGGAAAAAGACCAAAGATAGAGTTACAGTTTGGGGAGTCATCAGCCTCTAAAAAGGTGATTGAAGTCATTGGAGCAAGCATGATTGCCCAGGAAGAAAGTTTAAGAGTGAGAGAAGAAAAAAAGTCAAAACCCTGAGGAAAACCAACATTTATGAGCAGACAGTAGAGGGATAACTAACAAAGAGACAAGGTGCAGTAGTCAGAGAGAAACAAGAAGAACCTAGGGAAACTGGTGACATGGCATAAGGAAAGAGGGGTTCAAAGAAAGAAGTGGTCCTGAGAGTCCAATGCCACAGACAGGTCAAGGGTAGTAAGCAGTTAAGAAGACACCTTGGTAAAATCCGTGCTTGGGGAAGAAACGAAAGACGGAGTGATTCACCTCTGTGGTTTCCTATCAGCCATAGTCTAGTTCTCTGAGTGGCAGAATTATAGAAAGATTTCCAGGGCCCTTCCTATTTACTCACAAGAAATCCCTGAGGGATTCATGCTGCTGTTATGATTAAATTAGCTATGGGAATTTTCTTAAAATTCATACTAAGCCATTGCCCTCAGCGAGCAGGCAGGATAGAGACATGGAAAGTGGTAACAGCCCTTATATACATTTGAGCTGGCTCTTTGACCCCAGTGGAGTGCTCTCTCCTGCAAAGTCCACATGTCCAGGCCAGCTTTGCACTTTCCTCTCCAGAACACAACCCTCACACTTTCAGCTTCCCAAAACACCAAAGCATATGTTCTTCAAAATTCTCCTGATGCAAAGTGTTTTCAATACTTCAAATGTAGTAACCCCCATCCTTGAACTATAACCAGTGCTTGTCCTACTAGATGCTAGCCCCCACATGTACATCTTTAACTTTCTTATCTCCTAAAGACTTCCACATCTTCAGTACTTCCTCAGTATTGTGACCCTCACTTTTAACTACCCAAGACTGATATCCTGTTCCCCCCAGAGTCCACACTCAGTATTAGGCATGCCTATCACGTTCCCATGTGATGCTGACTAAAATATAAAGAATATAAGGAGTGAGTGTTCTTTCAGTTATCATATTATGCCTTTTAGCTCTGAAAAGACAATGTGATATAGTTGCTATGGTTTGAATGTTTCCACCAAAACTCATGCTAAAATTTAATCACCATTGTAACAGTGTTGAGAGGTCAGATCTTTTTTTCTTTTCTTTTCTTTTTTTTTTTTTTTTTTTTTTTGAGACAGAGTCTCGCTCTGTCGCCAGACTGGAGTGCAGTGGCACTATCTCAGCTCACTGCAACCTCCGGAGAGGTCGGATCTTTAAGATGTAATTAGGTCATGAGAACTCCACCATCATAAACAGATTACTGCTGTTATCATGGGAGTGGTTTGGTTATCAAGAGACTGGGTTTGTTATAAAAGTGAGTTCTCCGGATTTCCTCTCTGACTTACTCACTGCTGCCTTCCACCATCAGATGATCCTCACCAGATGCCAGCATAATATTCTTGGATTTGCCTGCCTCTAGAAGTGTAAGAAATAAATTTCTATCTTTTTTTTCTTTTTTTAGAGACAGGGTCGCACTCTGTCACCCAGGCTGGAGTGCAGTGGCATGATTATAGCTCACTACAGCCTCAAACTCCCAGGCTCAAGCAATCCTTTGGTCTCAGCCTCCCAAGTTGCTGAGACTACAGGAGCAGGCCACCATGCCCAGCTACTTTTTTTTTTTAAATTTTTTGTAGAGACGGTCTTACTGTGTTGCCCAGGCTGGTCTTGAATGTCTAGCCTCAAGCAATTTTCTTGCCTCAGCCTCCCAAAGTGCTGGGATTACAGGTGTGAGCCACAGCACCTGGCCAACAAATTTCTTTGCTTTATAAATTACCAAGTCTATGGTATTCTGTGATAGTAGCAGAAAATGAATTAATACAACAGTCAGTAAAGTATTGTATTAAATTACTTGTCAGGAGAATAAGTACAATGCTGGCTCTGGCACTAGTTTTCTTTATGAATTATCTTTGTAAGTGTAAAAGCACTAAAATATAAATACAAGATACCACCGTTGATATTTCTGCATTAAGAATCAATGGTAGAGAGTTCTAGAGTGGGTGTGAATATAATTAAGTGGTCTCCCCTTATTAAATCAGTTGAAGATAGTTAAAGGTACCTACTCATCTGAATTGGAAGCAAGATGTGGATTAATTCAAAATAATAGCTAATAAAAGCTTTTCCACTTATCTTTAAAAAGCATTATTTTAGGAAGGCAAATCCACTGGAGAATTTTTTTAACTCATAAAATGAATCCCAGAGTCACAAATAATATTTTATTTTCTGAATTACTGTGACTAATTGAAATTTGACTTCATTGTATAAATTGCTTGATAATTCATTTACTACATAATGTTAAAAATTGAGATCCTATGACTCATGTGTTACAATTTTCTTTTCTACCTGATTCTGAAAGACTTTTTATGATTTTCCAAGTAGCAAATTTAATTTTCTTTTTGAGACTTAGATTTTTCTTTAGCAAAATGAAATAATTACTGAATAATTAACTTTTTTACTTTGACTGATTTAATTTGAATTTGCATTTTGTTAGTCCCTCAAATTGTAGTGTAGCATTTTCTTAGATGGCGGTAAGTGGATGGTGGTGGAAAGAATAGGTTTGATTTTAGGCACACTTCAGTCACAACTTCTCGCCAGCTCTGTAATCTTGGGCAAGTGTCATGACTCCTGAGAGCCTCAGATTATCATCTGTAAAATGGGGACAATAATGCCCATCTTGCAAGATTATTATGAAGAATTAAATGGAGACATATGTAAAATCATTAGCACAGCGTTTGGCCCACTGTAGACACTTAGCAAATGGTAGTTATTTTAATATCAGTAACCTTTGTAGACTTCAGCAATCCCTCCAAAATTATTAAAAGTGTTCTAGACAAGGAGAAAAGATTGCACATTTCATATGAGTAAAAGATACCCCTCAATTAGGCAAAGGTTGATATATGTTGGATACAGGTTCACACTCCCTCATATGGAATTCTGAAAACCAAAATTTTTTTCTAAAGACCTAAAGTTTTTCAGAACTTATTTGACAGCAAAATATGACCTAAACTCATTTCTTGTTCACATCAACTAACTCCTGATGTGAACTAACATAAGGTCTTTATTTCACTTTGTGTAAATTTTCCTATGTTTCAATATAAAATTAACTAATTTTGATTATGGGGTGCTGCCCCCATCTCTTCTGGGGTGCTACATATGTGCACTATATGCTCTATATTACAATCCTAAAATCTAAAAAACTCCGAATTTTGAAACACAGCTGAGTTAAGGATTTCTGATAAGATACTGTGAACCTGTACTTGCTTTCTTGGTCTGCTACACTCAGGATTTGTAGAAGGATAAAGATGAATGGAATGAAACAGTCTCACAAGTTTTTCAATTGTTTAGAATCCCAACAGAAGGCCAAAGAAGTTTGCCCCATGTACTTTATGAAGCTCCGCTCTGGCCTTATGATAAAAAAGGAGGCCTGTTACTTTAGGAGAGAAACCACCAAAAGGCCTTCACTGAAAACAGGTAAGGGGAACCGTACATTCTCTGGCAATAGTGATAAGTATCTGTTTGCCTTCACTTACCACATCTAAATATGC
Organism: Homo sapiens; assembly: GCF_000001405.40. Lineage (NCBI taxonomy): Eukaryota > Metazoa > Chordata > Mammalia > Primates > Hominidae > Homo > Homo sapiens. The sequence continues at coordinate 6,250,674 of NC_000009.12, forward strand.
AATTATTTTTCCTCACTCCAAGGTTCCTTTTGGAAAATATTAAGAATGATGAACTGGTTTTTAGCTATTTTTAAAAGGGCATATAAAGAATTTTCAATAGCATGAGAGAAATGATTATGTTATAATGTTAAGTGAAAACAAAAGATACATAACTATGTGTAAATATGTTTACAATATTTTTAAGTGTTTTTTTAATTTAAAGGAAATAGGTTTAAGCATTAATAGTGCTTGCCTTTTGGGTGTTGAGACTGTGGGTGACTAGTTTTCTTCCTCCTGATCTCTAATGAGTGTGCTTCTACTGGGGAATAAGTGTGCCAAGAGGTATCAATCCCTTTGGACCATGAAGTGGCCAAAGCCCTGGAGTCAATCACTACTCTCAGCAAGCAGCCTTAACTGGGAATCCTCAAAGGGGCATTTGTGCAGAGTGGGGATTGATGGTCTATCCCTAATCCCATCCGGTCTGCAGGTAGAAAGCACAAAAGACATCTGGTACTCGCTGCCTGTCAACAGCAGTCTACTGTGGAGTGCTTTGCCTTTGGTATATCAGGGGTCCAGAAATATACTAGAGCACTTCATGATTCAAGTATCACAGGTATGACTGGTTACAGGGGTGATGTGGGAGTGAGGAGGGAGGTATGACACAGGACCCCGGAAAGTGCTACTCCAGGTAGCAGTCCCAAGTCTGTGTCTTTAATGTGTACCAGAAACTTCTGCCCATTTGCAGCTGATGTACCCATCTAATAGTATCCAAAGTAGGTGCAAGGTAGCTGTTCTAATAATGTACATGCATTCTCTAGTTAGCACTCCATCATTATTTTGAAATACTTGCAATGGATTGGAATCCCATGGTCATTAGTTTTGGTGAAAATATGTTATCTTTTGGGAAAAAAACACATTTTCCCCCCAAATTTCAATATTTTGACCATGAAAGAAAAGAGCTATTATATTTTTAAATATAATTCTAACACTTTATACATTTTAAGTAGTAGTTAAGATGGTTTTAAATTTTATCACTTCCTTGTATAAGGTTCCAAGTTGATGATGACTTCAAGAAGTGAAGAGATCATCATTAAAAAAAAAACTTGGCCAGGTGTGGTGGCTCACACCTGTAATCCCAGCACTTTGGGAGGCCGAGGTTGATGGATCACCTGAGGTCAGGAGTTCAACACCAGCCTGGCCAACATGGCGAAACCCTGTCTCTACTAAAAATACAAAAATCTGTTGGTTGTGGTGATGTGCACCCGTAATTCCAGCTACTTGTGAGGCTGAGGCACAAGAATTGCTTGAACCTTGACAGAGGTTGCAGTGAGCCGAGATCATGTCAGGGCACTCTCGCCTGGGCAACAAGAGCGGCTGTCTCAGAAAAAAAACAAACAAACAAACAAAAAAAAACCCAACAAAAAACAAAACAAAACAAAAAAACCAACTTTACCTGGAAATTGCATTTGCCATTTCAAGCATTATTCCTGCTATAAATGTCCTAAATTCCCAGAAGCAACACTGAAGTTTTCTCATTAAGTATTTCTAAATCATTTACTTTAGAAGTTCATGTACAAATTCAGTATGTAACATTCTCCTTAATATTTTGTATACTATTTTTTTCCAGGCCCCATCTGAGTAGTCCCTAAATCTGCTCCAGTTTACCTCAGCAGGCTATAAAAATATTATCATTTTCTATGGGTATTTTGACACTTTTTAAAAGTTGGGAGCACTGCACTAAGTGTCCCTGTTATTTAGCCAGAGGAGAGAACAGGGCTTATATCCGCATTCTCCAGGACTGTCAGAAACTTCTGGGTAACTCCATACTTTATAGATGAACATTTATTTATCCATGTCTATCAAAATACAGTCCCTTCTTTACCACAGTCCCCAGACCAAGTGGTGTCATGAAGTGAAGGTTTCCTCAAGCAATGTCTGTTGCTTTCCATTTTCTTTTTCCCCACCAAACCCTCCCATAAGCACACTCACATGGCCTCCCAGGGCCTTCATGCAGGACACTAGCACCTTTAATCCCATTCAAGGGTCACATCTCAGCCTTTTAGCTATGTAAAACTTGTATCAAAGGCTTTAATCTAGCCAACAGTGACATACAAAATGCAACTCAAATTGCAAAAATGTTTTTTGAGGGAGCATTTTTTAAAAAGGTTGCCAAAAGAATTGTGCCTGACAAATTTTTGAATTCTTAACAACAGGAATTTCACCTATTACAGAGTATCTTGCTTCTCTAAGCACATACAATGATCAATCCATTACTTTTGCTTTGGAGGATGAAAGTTATGAGATATATGTTGAAGACTTGAAAAAAGATGAAAAGAAAGGTAGATTATTTTCTTTTTCTATAATAATGTAATAATGACTAATAAAAGTAAAACATTTTAATAAATCTACCAAACTTTAAACAATGGATTAACTTAGACATGGCAAACAGGTCATGCTGTGTGCTAACTCTAATGCATTGGCAGTGGGTGCCTGAATCCACTTCTATGTCAAGATGGATTCAGAAGCTTTGTCACGTTCATCAGAGAAGAATGCTGACATTGAAATGCAGTATCTGTTGTGAAAGATGGAAAGAGGGGCCACATGTATTTGCTATCTCTAAATTATCCACCAGATCTTTCTAGCCCTATTAGTATCACCAAAGTACAACCTTTATGCCACTGCTATGAAAAATATTTTAAATATTTTAATAACAACTATATTGGAGAATTCATCAGAGCATATTCGTGCATTTTTGAGACCTTTCTCAAAACCACAAAAGATTTGTTTTTATTGATATATAATAAAAGGGGAGGATATTTTCTGATGTTATGTGTGTGTTGGAACTGAAAACTTAACAAAATTGTGTCTCACCAGAGGGATTTTATGCATTCTCTTTCAGATAAGGTGTTACTGAGTTACTATGAGTCTCAACACCCCTCAAATGAATCAGGTAATTTGGAGGGCTGGGTAGCTGTAGTGCTTGAATTCTTAAGTATGGGGTAAAGATAAATCCAAAAAAATCCTTTTTGCCCCATAGGAAAAAAGATAGTCTCAGAAGGTTATCTCCAACCCAAGCTCATGGTAAAACCTTAGATTCTCAGAGGATGCATTCTCATCCATTTTACAGCTTAATCGTTAGGATAAAGTTTTGGCTACACTTAATACAGATCCAAAACAAGAGTGGTTTATGCTAGATAAAACTTTCTGTCTTAGCCAGGGCTGCAATGGCTCAACAAGTTGTCCAGGGAACCCATCTCCTTCTATCTTGTGGTTCTGCCAACATCTACATGGTTCAAGAGTACTTGGGAGCATGACAATGCCTGGTCAGCAGGACACAGAAAAACAGATGTATGCATTCTATTTCCCTTTAAGGGTACAACCTAGAAGTTGCACCTAACACTTCCTCTTATCTCACATTGGTCAGAACTCAGTTGTATTACTACACTTAGCCATAAGAAGGCAAGCTGGGGAATGTTCTATTACTATCCCAAAAGAGGAATGAATATTGGGTGACACTATGAGTGGCTTTACATGCAGACAGGAAAGCTGATGCCCCGAGAAGTAACCATTAGGGTCACAACTCTCCAATTAAAAAGCATATAAGAAAACTAATTTCTCTCCGGTTTATAAGTACCCTCTACTTATCAGTGCCTCTTGAACTTGGGTACAAATACTTCTAAGATACCTGTTAGTGAATGAAGTAATTATTTTATGTAACATCTTAGACTTTTTTCCTGGGTGTTGAATTCATTTAAATAAAGATGAGTTACAGTTCTTAACTTTATCATTTATACTTTCTTAATTGTAAGGTGACGGTGTTGATGGTAAGATGTTAATGGTAACCCTGAGTCCTACAAAAGACTTCTGGTTGCATGCCAACAACAAGGAACACTCTGTGGAGGTAAAAAAAAAAAATTTATCTATATCTATATATATGATTACAGAACTGTCATGAATGACTCCACCAACTTGTGTAGATTTGGGTGTTGGGGTATTTTGCAGAAGGATTTTTTTGTGTGCTATTGTATATAAAGCACAATCACTTACTACAAATGACTTGCTTCTAGAGTAAGGAAGGGAGGAAAGTGGCATGTATGGCTTTGCTATTGAAAGTCTGCTCTCTGCCAGCAGCAGAGCATCACCTGGGAGCCTGTTAGAAATGCAGGATTCTAAGCCCCCCAGAAATAAATCAGAATCAGCATATTTTAATAAATCTCCAGGAAATTCATATGTGCCTTAAAGTTTGAGAAGCACTGTTACATAGAATGATCTCAAATCCTTTCTGTTTGGCTTTAGGAACTACTATGTTCCTCTAGGAAACGTTTCTTTGTATAATATCATTTTCTTAAACAAATACAAAAAAAATTTCCATTCTGAGCCTGCTTAAGGGAGAGTCATAAGCGTTTCCATGTGCCAAGATTTATAAATAACCTAACATCTACATTCTGAACATAGAATTAATTGCATATTCTTCTTTAGTTAGCAAATGGCATTATTACATTGGTCATGATGTGTAATTATAACTATTTTGACAAACAAGCCAAAGGTAGAGGCATGGAAGAAAACAGAAGAGAGCATAATATAGAAGATAAATTATACAAACACAGAAAAATATAAAGCTAACTAACACAGCCATGTAAGGCCTTATTAACATAAATAGTGGATAGTAACCAGCATCTTCCTAAGCAAAACATTCCTAAACATATATAATCTAGTGTTTGGCATGTATAACTACTCAATAATAGAGCTACTTAGACTGAGCTCTATTATATAGCAAGCACTGGGCTAAATGTTTTACAAATATTATTTTATTTAATACTCACAGTAACTCTACAATGGAGTTGTTGTATTGGTCAACTGTTGCTATGTAACAAACCATCCCAAAACTTAGTGCCTCAAAATAATAATCATTTATATTTACTCATGTCTGTAGATATTTTGAGGATTGACTGATCTAGAAAACTGGTTAGACTAAAAAAAATGAGGCTTGAGAGATAAAGCAACATCCCCAAGATCTCAGAGATAGTACATGTCAAAAGAAGGGTACAAATCCAGAACTGTTGCATCCAGATCCAATCACCCTAATCCATACTGCCTCTCTATGTTGACTATCAGTGAATCAAATCAAATCCACCCACTACCCCTCTGGCCCTCTACTCACTTCTCCCCCTCTTCCCTCCACAACTCACTAAGCAAGCTTGCTAGAAATATCAAGTCATAAATAAGTATTCCCCTTTAGTTTCCAATACAGGCAGGTAAAGTTGACTCTGAACTTCCCATTCACATATGGATTGCTTTCTCTCTTGTTTCCTCAGCTCCATAAGTGTGAAAAACCACTGCCAGACCAGGCCTTCTTTGTCCTTCATAATATGCACTCCAACTGTGTTTCATTTGAATGCAAGACTGATCCTGGAGTGTTTATAGGTGTAAAGGATAATCATCTTGCTCTGATTAAAGTAGACTCTTCTGAGAATTTGTGTACTGAAAATATCTTGTTTAAGCTCTCTGAAACTTAGTTGATGGAAACCTGTGAGTCTTGGGTTGAGTACCCAAATGCTACCACTGGAGAAGGAATGAGAGATAAAGAAAGAGACAGGTGACATCTAAGGGAAATGAAGAGTGCTTAGCATGTGTGGAATGTTTTCCATATTATGTATAAAAATATTTTTTCTAATCCTCCAGTTATTCTTTTATTTCCCTCTGTATAACTGCATCTTCAATACAAGTATCAGTATATTAAATAGGGTATTGGTAAAGAAACGGTCAACATTCTAAAGAGATACAGTCTGACCTTTACTTTTCTCTAGTTTCAGTCCAGAAAGAACTTCATATTTAGAGCTAAGGCCACTGAGGAAAGAGCCATAGCTTAAGTCTCTATGTAGACAGGGATCCATTTTAAAGAGCTACTTAGAGAAATAATTTTCCACAGTTCCAAACGATAGGCTCAAACACTAGAGCTGCTAGTAAAAAGAAGACCAGATGCTTCACAGAATTATCATTTTTTCAACTGGAATAAAACACCAGGTTTGTTTGTAGATGTCTTAGGCAACACTCAGAGCAGATCTCCCTTACTGTCAGGGGATATGGAACTTCAAAGGCCCACATGGCAAGCCAGGTAACATAAATGTGTGAAAAAGTAAAGATAACTAAAAAATTTAGAAAAATAAATCCAGTATTTGTAAAGTGAATAACTTCATTTCTAATTGTTTAATTTTTAAAATTCTGATTTTTATATATTGAGTTTAAGCAAGGCATTCTTACACGAGGAAGTGAAGTAAATTTTAGTTCAGACATAAAATTTCACTTATTAGGAATATGTAACATGCTAAAACTTTTTTTTTTTTAAAGAGTACTGAGTCACAACATGTTTTAGAGCATCCAAGTACCATATAATCCAACTATCATGGTAAGGCCAGAAATCTTCTAACCTACCAGAGCCTAGATGAGACACCGAATTAACATTAAAATTTCAGTAACTGACTGTCCCTCATGTCCATGGCCTACCATCCCTTCTGACCCTGGCTTCCAGGGACCTATGTCTTTTAATACTCACTGTCACATTGGGCAAAGTTGCTTCTAATCCTTATTTCCCATGTGCACAAGTCTTTTTGTATTCCAGCTTCCTGATAACACTGCTTACTGTGGAATATTCATTTGACATCTGTCTCTTTTCATTTCTTTTAACTACCATGCCCTTGATATATCTTTTGCACCTGCTGAACTTCATTTCTGTATCACCTGACCTCTGGATGCCAAAACGTTTATTCTGCTTTGTCTGTTGTAGAATTTTAGATAAAGCTATTAATGGCAATATTTTTTTGCTAAACGTTTTTGTTTTTTACTGTCACTAGGGCAATAAAATTTATACTCAACCATATAATAACATTTTTTAACTACTAAAGGAGTAGTTTTTATTTTAAAGTCTTAGCAATTTCTATTACAACTTTTCTTAGACTTAACACTTATGATAAATGACTAACATAGTAACAGAATCTTTATGAAATATGACCTTTTCTGAAAATACATACTTTTACATTTCTACTTTATTGAGACCTATTAGATGTAAGTGCTAGTAGAATATAAGATAAAAGAGGCTGAGAATTACCATACAAGGGTATTACAACTGTAAAACAATTTATCTTTGTTTCATTGTTCTGTCAATAATTGTTACCAAAGAGATAAAAATAAAAGCAGAATGTATATCATCCCATCTGAAAAACACTAATTATTGACATGTGCATCTGTACAATAAACTTAAAATGATTATTAAATAATCAAATATATCTACTACATTGTTTATATTATTGAATAAAGTATATTTTCCAAATGTATGTGAGACTATAATGATTTTATCATATGATGACTCAATATTCTGAAATTTCTTTTTTTATTATACTTTAAGTTCTAGGGTCCATGTGCACGACATGCAGGTTTGTTACATATGTATACATGTGCCATGTTGGTATGCTGCACCCATTAACTCATCATTTACATTGGGTATATCTCCTAATGCTATCCCTCCCCCTTCCCCCACCCCACAACAGGCCCTGGTGTGCGGTGTTCCCCACTCTGTGTCCAAGTGTTTTCATTGTTCAATTCCCACCTATAAGTGAGAACATGCAGTGTTTGGTTTTTAGTCCGTGCGATAGTTTGTTCAGAATGATGGTTTCCAGCTCCATCCATGTCCCTACAAAGGACATGAACTCATCCTTTTTATGGCTGCATAGTATTCCATGGTGTATATGTGCCACATTTTCTTAATCCACTCTATCACTGATGGACATTTGGGTTGGTTCCAAGTCTTTGCTATTGTGAATAGTGCCGCAATAAACATACGTGTGCATATGTCTTTATAGCAGCATGATTTATAATCCTTTGGGTATATACCCAGTAATGGGATGGCTGGGTCAAATGGTATTTCTAGTTCTAGATCCTTGAAGAATCACCACACTGTCTTCCACAATGGCTGAACTAGCTTACAGTCCCACCAACAGTGTAAAAGTGTTCCTATTTCTCCACATCCTCTCCAGCACCTGTTTCCTGACTTTTTAATGTTCACCATTCTACCCGGTGTGAGATGGTATCTCATTGTGGTTTTGATTTGAATTTATCTAATGGCCAGAGATGATGAGCATTTTTTCATGTGTCTGTTGGCTGCATAAATGTCTTCTTTTGAAAAGTGTCTGTTCATATACTTTGCCCACTTTTTGATGGGGTTGTTTGAGTTTTTCTTCTAAATTTGTTTAAATTCTTTGTAGATTCTGGATATTAGCCCTTTGTCAGATGGGTAGATTGCAAAAATTTTCTCCCATTCTGTAGGTTGCCTGTTCACTCTGATGGTAGTTTCTTTTGCTGTGCAGAAGCTCTTTGGTTTCATTAGATCCCATTTGTCTATTTTGGCTTTTGTTGCCATTGCTTTTGGTGTTTTAGACATGAAGACCTTGCCCATGCCTATGTCCTGAATGGTATTGCCTAGGGTTTCTTCTAGGGTTTTTATGGTTTTAGGTCTGATATTTAAGTCTTTAATCCATCTTGAATTAATTTTTGTATAAGGCGTAAGGAAGGGATCCAGTTTCAGCTTTCTACATATGGCTAGCCAGTTTCCCCAGCACCATTTATTAAATAGGCAATCTTTCCCCATTTCTTGTTTTTGTCAGGTTTGTCAAAGATCAGATGGATGTAGATGTGTGGTATTATTTCTGAGGGCTCTGTTCTGTTCCATTGGTCTATATGTCTGTTTTGGTACCAGTACCATGCTGTTTTGGTTACTGTAGTATAGTTTGAAGTCAGGTAGCGTGATGCCTCCAGCTTTGTTCTTTTGGCTTAGGACTGTCTTGGCAATGCGGGCTCTTTTTTGGTTCCATATGAACTTTAAAGTAGTTTTTTCCAATTCTGTGAAGAAAGTCATTGGTAGCTTGATGGGATGGCGTTGAATCTGTAAATTACCTTGGGCAGTATGGCCATTTTCATGATATTGATTCTTCCTATCCATGAACATGGAATGTTCTTCCATTTGTTTGTGTCCTCTTTTATTTCATTGAGCAGTGGTTTGTAGTTCTCCTTGAAGAGGTTCTTCACATCCCTTGTAAGTTGGATTCCTAGGTATTTTATTCTCTTTGAAGCAATTGTGAATGGGAGTTCACTCATGATTTGGCTCTCTGTTTGTGTGTTGTTGGTGTATAAGAATGCTTGTGATTTTTGCACATTGATTTTGTATCCTGAGACTTTGCTGAAGTTGCTTATCAGCTTAAGGAGATTTTGGGCTGAGATGATGGGGTTTTCTAAATATACAATCATGTCATCTACAAACAGGGACAGTTTGACGTCCTCTTTTCCTAATTGAATACCCTTTATTTCTTTCTCCTGCCTGATTGCCCTGGCCAGAACTTCCAACACTATGTTGAATAGGAGTGGTGAGAGAGGGCATCCCTGTCTTGTGCCAGTTTTCAAAGGGAATGCTTCCAGTTTTTGCCCATTCAGTATGATATTGGCTGTGGGTTTATCATAGATAGCTCTTATTATTTTGAGATACGTCCCATCAATACCTAATTTATTGAGAGTTTTTAGTATGAAGGGATGTTGAATTTTGTCAAAGGTCTTTTCTGCATCTATTGAGATAATCGTGTGGTTTTTGTCTTTGGTTCTGTTTATATGATGGATTAAATTTATGGATTTGCACATGTTGAACCATCCTTGCATCCCAGGGATGAAGCCCACTTGGTCATGGAGGATAAGCTTTTTGATGTGCTGCTGGATTCAGTTTGCCAGTATTTTATTGAGGATTTTTATATCGATATTCATCAAGGATATTCGTCTAAAATTCTCTTTTTTTGTTGTGTCTCTGCCCAGCTTTGTTATCAGGATGAAGCTGGCCTCATAAAATGAGTTAGGGAGGATTCCCTCTTTTTCTATTGATTGGAATAGTTTCAGAAGGAATGTTACCAGCTCCTCTTTGTACCTCTGGTAGAATTCAGCTATGAATCCGTCTGGTCCTGGACTTTTTTTTGGTTGGTAGGCTATTAATTATTGCTTCAATTTCAGAGCCTGTTATTGGTCTGTTCAGGGATTCAACTTCTTCCTGGTTTAGTCTTGGGAGGGTGTATGTGTCCAGGAATTTATCCATTTCGTCTAGATTTTCTAGTTTATTTGCATAGAGGTGTTTACAGTATTTTCTGATGGTAGTTTGTATTTCTGTGGGATCAGTGGTGATATCTCCTTTATCATTTTTTATTGCGTCTATTTGATTTTTCTCTTTTTCTTTATTAGTCTTGCTAGAGGTCTATCAATTTTGTTGATCCTTTCAAAACACCAGCTCCTGGATTCATTGATTTTTTTGAAGGTTTTTTTGCGTCTTTATTTCCTTCAGTTCTGCTCTGATCTTAGCTATTTCTTGCCTTCTGCTAGCTTTTGAATGTGTTAGCTCTTGCTTTTCTAGTTCTTTTAATTGTGATGTTATGGTGTCAGTTTTAGATCTTTCCTGCTTTCTCTTGTGGGCATTTAATGCTATAAATTTCCCTATACACACTGCTTTAAATGTGTCCCAGAGATTCTGGTATGTTGTGTCTTTGTTCTCATTGGTTTCAAAGAACATCTTTATTTCTGCCTTCATTTTGTTATGTACCCAGTAGTCATTTAGGAGCAGGGTGTTCAGTGTCCATGTAGTTGAGTGGTTTTGAGTGAGTTTCTTAATCCTGAGTTCTAGTTTGATTGCACTGTGGTCTGAGAGACAGTTTGTTATAATTTCTCTTCTTTTACATTTGCTGAAGGGTGCTTTACTTCCAACTATGTGGTCAATTTTGGAATAAGTGCAATGTGGTGCTGAAAAGAATGCATAATCTGTTGATTTGGGGAGTTCTGTAGATGTCTATTAGGTCCACTTGGTGCAGAGCTGAGTTCAATTCCTGGATATCCTTGTTAACTTTCTGTCTCGTTGATCTGTCTAATGTTGACAGTGGGGTGTTAAAGTCTCCCATTATTACTGTGTGGGAGTCTAAGTCTCTTTGTAGGTCTCTTAGGACTTGCTTTATGAATCTGGGTGCTCCCATATTGGGTGCATATATATTTAGGATAGTTAGCTCTTCTTGTTGAATTGATCCCTTTACCATTATGTAATGGCCTTCTTTGTCTCTTCTGATCTTTGTTGGTTTAAAGTATGGTTTACCAGAGACTAGGATTGCAACCCCCGCTTTTTTTTTGTTTTCCATTTGCTTGGTAGATCTTCCACCATCCCTTTATTTTGAGCCTATGTGTGTCTCTGCATGTGAGATGGGTCTCCTGAATACAGCACACTGATGGGTCTTGACTCTTTATCCAATTTGCCAGTCTGTGTCTTTTAATTGGAGCATTTAGCCCATTTACATTTAAGGTTAATATTGTTATGTGTGAATCTTATCCTGTCATTATGATGTTAGCTGGTTATTTTGCTCGTTAGTTGATGCAGTTTCTTCCTAGCATCAATGGTCTTTATAATTTGGCATGTTTTTGCAATGGCTGGTACCAGTTGTTCCTTTCCCTGTTTAGTGCTTCCTCAGGAACTCTTGTAAGGCAAGGCTTGTGGTGACAAAATCTCTCAGCATTTGCTTGTCTGTAAAGGATTTTATTTCTCCTTCACTTATGAAGCTTAGTTTGGCAGGATATGAAATTCTGGGTTGAAAATTCTTTTCTTTAAGAATGTTGAGGCCGGGCGCGGTGGCTCACGCCTGTAATCCCAGCACTTTGGGAGGCCGAGGCAGGCGGATCACGAGGTCAGGAGATCGAGACCACGGTGAAACCCCGTCTCTACTAAAAATACAAAAAAATTAGCCACGCGCAGTGGCGGGTGCCTGTAGTCCCAGCTACTCGGGAGGCTGAGGCAGGAGAATGATGTGAACCCGGAAGGCGGAGCTTGCAGTGAGCGGAGATCGCGCCACAGCACTTCCGCCTGGGCGACAGAACGAGACTCCGTCTCAAAAAAAAAAAAAAAAAGAATGTTGAATATAGGCCCCCACTCTTTTCTGGCTTGTAGAGTTTCTGCCGAGAGATCCGCTGTTAGTCTTATGGGCTTCCCTTTGGGGGTAACCTGACCTTTCTCTCTGGCCGCCCTTAACATTTTTTCCTTCATTTCAACTTTGGTGAATCTGACAATTATGTGTCTTGGAGTTGCTCTTCTTGAGGAGTATCTTTGTGGTGTTCTCTGTATTTTGTGAATTTGAATGTTGGCCTCCCTTGCTAGGTTGAGGATGTTCTCCTGGATAATATCCTGCAGAGTGTTTTCCAACTTGGTTCCATTCTCCCCATCACTTTCAGGTACACGAATCAGACGTAGATTTGGTCTTTTCACATAGTCCCATATTTCTTGGAGGCTTTATTTGTTTCTTTTTACTCTTTTTTCTCTAAACTTCTCTTCTTGCTTCATTTCATTCATTTGGTCTTCAATCACTGATACCCTTTCTTCCAGTTGATCAAATCGGCTACTGAAGCTTGTGCATGTGTCACATAGTTCTCGTGCCATGGTTTTCAGCTCCACCAGGTCATTTAAGGTGTTCTCTATGCTGTTTATTCTAGTTAGCCATTCATCTAATCTTTTTTCAAGGTTTTTAGCTTCTTTGCGATGGGTTCGAACATCCTCCTTTAGCTCAGAGAAGTTTGTTATTACCGATCTTCTGAAGCCTTCTTCTCTCAACTCGTCAAAGTCATTCTCTATCCAGCTTTGTTCCATTCCTGGCAAGGAGCTGCGTTCCTTTGGAAGAGAAGAGGCACTCTGATTTTTAGAATTTTCAGCTTTTCTGCTCTGGTTTCTCCCCATCTTTGTGGTTTTATCTACCTTTGGTCTTTGATGATGGTGACGTACAGATAGGGTTTTGGTGTGGATGTCCTTTCTGTTTGTTAGTTTTCCTCCTAACAGTCAGGACCCTCAGCTGCAGGTCTCTTGGAGTTTGCTGGAGGTCCACTCCAGACCCTGTTTGCCTGGTTATCACCAGTGGAGGCTGCAGAACCACAAATGTTGCAGAATGGCAAATTTTGCTGCCTAATCATTCCTCTGGAAGCTTTGTCTCAGAGGGGCACCTGGATGTATGAGGTGTCAGTCAGCCCCTACTGGGAGGTGCCTCCCAGTTAGGCTACTCAGGGGTCAGGGACCCACTTGAGGAGGCAGTCTGTCAGTTCTCAGATCTCAGACTTGGTGGTGTGAGAACCACTACTCTCTTCAAAGCTGTCAGACAGGAATGTTTAAGTCTGCAGAAGTTTCTGCTGCCTTTTCTTCAGCTATGCCCTTCCCCCAGAGGTGGAGTCTACAGAGGCAGGCAGGCCTCCTTGAGCTGCGGTGGGCTCCACCCAGTTAGAGCTACTTGGCCACTTTGTTTACCTACTCAAGCCTCAGCAATGGCGGGCGCCCCTCCCCCAGCCTCACTGCCATCTTGCAGTTTGATCTCAGACTGCTGTGCTAGCAGTGAGCAAGGCTCCGTGGGCATGGGACCCTCTGAGCAAGGCACAGGATATAATCTCCTGGTGTGCCATTTGCTAAGACCATTGGAAAAGTGCAGTATTAGGATGAGAGTGACCCGATTTTCCAGGTGCCGTCTGTTATGGCTTCCCTTAGCTAGGAAAGGGAATTCCCCAGCCGCTTGTGCTTCCTGGGTGAGGCGATGCCTCACCCTGCTTCAGTTCACAATCCATGGGCTGCACCCACTGTCCTGCACCTACTGTCCAACTAGCCCCAGTGATATGAACCCAGTACCTCAGGTGGAAGTGCAGAAATCACCGTCTTCTATGTCGCTCACACTGGGAGCTGTAGACTTGAGCTGTTCCTATTCAGCCATCTTGGAACCAAGACCCCGATATTCTGAAATTCTTAAGTGAAAGTAAGCATATTCCAATCTACCAATGTTGGTATCCGGAGTAGGTCATTACCTGATAATTTTGGTTATTCAAAACTAAGTAATATTTTCAAGAGAAGAGATTGTGTCTTTTTCACCTTTGTACTGTCAGTGCCCATACTGGTGGGTGGCAAGAAGGTGTTCAATGACTTTTACTCAGAATCAAACATCTAACAGGTACCTGCACCAGAACCTTGATCTGATCATTCTGACTCCTTAGGTAGATAACTTTCAACTCAGCTCACTTATTTTCTGTGTTTAAGTTTCCTTTTTTTAAAAAAAAAATTTCCACCATCATTATAGTCAGTATAATTTGATTAAAATATTCAAATATGAGGTGGCATTTTTGTCACTTACCTGTATGTGTTTTCATGGTCCAAATACACATTACTGGAAAGAATTTGTTCATTTCATTGTATCAGGAAGGATAATTGTGTCAAAACTTACTTTTTCCTCATTTTATTTGTCTTCTTTAGGTTTTTATGTATTTACTGACTATCTTGAAATACTGTCAAGAAAATTTTATTTGAACGAGTAAAATGACTTAGAATCGGGAAGAAATAAGTAAGAGTTGAGATTCAGGGGGAATTTGGAAAGAAAATTGCCAACCTAATTTGAAAACAGCAGCTTGATTTAAAACTAAAACAATTTATTCATAATCCCCACTTCTGCAGAACAAAATAAGCCAAAAAATAATTTCAATCCTTGTGCCTCACACTGAAAAATTTCATGATGGATAGAAATCTTCAGCTGCAATCCCATTACTGGGTATATACCCAGAGGAATAGGAATACAAATCTTTCTACCATAAATATACATGCACACAAATGTTCATTGCAGCACTATTCACAATAGCAAAGACACGGAATCAACCTAAATGTCCATCAGTGACAGACTAGATAAAGAAAGTGTGGTACATATACACACTAGAATACTATGCAGTCATGAAAAAGAATGAGATCATGTCTTTTGTGGGAATATGGATGGAGCTGGAGGTCATTATGAATTTATAAATACAAGTAGACTGGGGTCTACTTGAGGGTGGAGGGTGGGAGGAGGGAGATGAACAGAAAAGTTAACTATTGGGTACTGGGCTTAATTCCTGGGTGATGAAATAATCTGTACAACAAACTCCCATGACATGAGTTTACCTATGTAACAAACCTTCACTTGTACCCTCTAACCTATAACAAAAGTTTAAAAAAAATAATTTTAAAAACAGAAATCTTCAGCTGTGGTATGCCAGTGGGTGGTTGGAGTAGTAGGCTTGTCCCAAAACTCCTTCTCCCTTCAAGTATAAGCCTATACAGCCCTGAAATCTCATCTTCTAGCAGTTATACATCAAATAGGTGCCATATGTACTGTGACTTTGCTAGGCACCATGACAGCACAAAAGAAACTTAAGCCATGCTCCTTGTTCACATGGAAATTAAAACATGTACCATATGTATTATTATTATTTTTTTTAAACAGAGTCTCACTCTGTCACCCAAGCTGGAGTGCAGTGGCATGATCTCAGCTCACGGCAACCTCTGCCTCCTAGGTTCAAGCAATTCTCCTGCCTCAGCCTCCCTGGTAGTTGAGACTACAGGTGCCTGCCAGCACGCCCAGCTAATTTTTGTATTTTTTTAGTAGAGACAGGGTTTCACCATATTGGCCAGGTGGGTCTCGAACTCCGGACCTTGGTATCTGCCTACCTCGGCCTCCCAAAGTTCTGGGATTACAGGCGTGAGCCACCATTCCCAGCCCCCTAAAACGTGTACCATATGTATTATAACTCCAACTCTGCAGTACAGTTGTACAAAGGTGAGAAAGATCAGTGTGGATTTGTCATCAGGGAAAGAAATATAACTGAATTGTCTATCCCCATACCCTAACACCCATCCCTATCTATTCTTATATCCATTCTCAAGGTCTTGTTAAGCAGGTTCCTCATGTAGGTCTTAGGTAAAAGGGGTAAATTCAGTTGTTTTAACCCCTTTAGTGGTCAGGATTATATATGGGGACTTAGGAATCTGAGGAAATAAATCAAGAGATGAAAGTGATTGTGAGTTGGTAGAGGGAGGATCGATGAATTATTTCCTGCTGAAGTGCCAAGATGACTGTGATGGTTAATATTAGGTGTCAACTTGACTGAATTGAGGGATGCCTACATGGCTGGTAAAGTATTATTTCTGGGTGTGTCTGTGAAGGTGTTGCCAAAGGAGAGTGACATTTTTGTTTGTTTGTTTGTTTTTGAGACAGGGTCTCACTCTGTCACCTAGGCTGGAGTGCAGTGGAGCAATCTCAGCTCACTGCAACCTCAGCCTCCCAGGCTCAAGTGATCCTCCCACCTCAGCCTCCTGGGGAGCTGGGACTACAGGCACGTGCTACCACATCCACCTAATATTTGCATTTTTTTGTAGAGCCAGGGTTTCACTATGTTGTCCAGGCTGCTCTCAAACTCCCGGGCTCAAGCGATTCGCCTACCTCAGCCTCCCAAAGTGCTGGGATTATAGGCTGAGCCACCGCATCCTGCCAAGATTGACTTTTGAGTCAGTGGACTGAAAAAGGAAGAACCACCCTCAATGTGGGTAGGCACCATTCAATCAGCCACCAGCACAACTAGAACAAAGCAGGTGGAAGAAGGGTGATAAACTTACTAACTTAGTCTTCTCACTCTCTTCCCTTGCCGGGCACTTGCTTCCTTTCCTCCTATCCTCGGACATCAGACTCTAGGTTCTTCAGCTTTGGACTCTGAGATTTGCACTAGTGGCCTCCCAGGGGCTCTTGGGCCTTCAGCCTCAGACTGAAGGCCACACTTTCAGCCTCCCTGGAATTGAGGCTTTCTATCTTGGACTAAACCGCTCTACCAGCTTCTCTTTTTCCCCAACTTGTAGATGGCCTATTTTGGGACTTCACCTTTTAATCGTGTGAGCCAATTATCCTTAATAAACTCAGATAGATAGATAGATAGATAGATAGATAGATAGATAGATAGATAGATAGAGTGTATATATACATTGTGTGTGTGTGTATATATATATAGATATATATATATCTATATATATATATCTATATAGCTATATATATATATATCTATATAGCTATATATATATATATATATCTATATCTATCTATCTCCTACTGGTTCTGTCCCTCTGGAGAACCCTGACTAATACAAAGATGAAATACTTGTCCAAGTTTAATTACAGTCCCTAGCACAGAGGATGCGCCCACAAAGAGATCACGTGAATCAGTGTCCAATGTATTAAGAGCAGGGTTGGTTTGCTGCTTATAGGCTGTGCAACTTTGGTAAGGTAAGTAACCTCTCTCAATATCTATTTCTCCTCTGTAAATAGGGAGTACCAAATATTGTAATTGTCTACCTAATATCCACAACCACCATCCCTACTGCTTTACCAATAGACCCTCATTTTTTTTTTTTTACCAGACAACAGTGCACACAACTAAAAATACACTCTTTCCCAGATTCCCATGCAGCTAGATGGGGTAACCATTTGGCATAGTTCTGGACAATAAAATATAAGCAGGATAATGGTTTAAGAAAAACTTCTTTTAAAAAGACATATTTGACTGGCATGCCCTTTTTCAGTCTTTTACCCCTTCTCTTCCTGCCTGAGCCATAGATAGGATGCTGAATGCAGAGCAGCTAACTTCTGACCACAAGGTGATGAGCATGGGGACAAAGGCCTACAGATTAGAAGTGGCAGGAGGGGCCCGGCCAGGCTCACGCCTGTAATCCTAGCACTTTGGGATGCCAAGGTGGGCAGATCACTTGAGATCAGGAGTTCAAGACCAGCCTGGCCAACATGATGAAACCCCATCTATACTAAAAATACAAAAATTACTGAGTATGGTGGCGCACTCCTGTAATCCCAGCTACTCGGGAGGCTGAGGCAGGAGAATTGCTTCAACCTGGGAGGCAGAGGCTGCATTTAGCTGAGATCACGCCACTGTACTCTAGCCTGGGTGACAAAGCAAGAGTCTATCTCAAAAAAAAAAAAAAGGCAGGAGGGAAAGATGAAGGAATCCTGGTGTAGTAGACAATATTGGTGCTCTGTCCAAATTCCCTTGGATTTCTTTATATTGGATTATTTGATACTATTTCCATATGTGCCACACACCCATACCACCACTATCTTCCATGTTCTTTCAAAATCCAGCATTTGTAGCTCTTGTAAGGATTGCCTTTGTGGTATTGATGCTGCTTTGCCCCCTCGCATGGAGAGATGAAAATGTCTATGAGTTTGCATTACTCCCACCAGCCTCACAAGGCTTTTGAAAGCCCAGCTCCCCAGTTCTTGGGTGGAATACCTCTGTCTTAAATTTCACTCAAAAATTCTCCCATGGGGCTCATGCTGAATCTGCCCTGTTCTGCACTTTAGCATGAGATCACATTCTTAGATTCCTGCTTGTCCCTGCCCTGTCTTGCCCTGCCCTGACCTGACTGCCTTATCAGTATTTCTTGGGAATACTTCCTTAGTAAATCACATTATCATAATCCTTAACTCAGGATCTCCTCCTGGGGAAACTAATGTAAGATACCAGGTCGCATGTGACATTGGAGAGCTGCCATATCAATCTTGTAGTACTAACTGCAAACTTTATGTTGAGAGAAAAATAAACCCATGTTTGCTTAAGCTAGTGTTGGGTTTTCTGTTGAATATGCCTTAAAGCAAACTTAACCCATAGAAGACATGAAGGTAACACCTGCTTCTCAGGCCACTGATAAGAATTGCCTGGCACATAGCAAGCACTCAGTGAAAGTTAGCTTAGAAAAACCAACCAACCCGACTGATAAGAAGAACACTTTTTCTTAGGTACAATTAGAACACAATCAAATGACTCCACAACTTTAAGAGAATTTATTTTCTGAGAGATAAAATACGAAGCAGAAATCAGAAAGATGAAATCTGACAGGTATTAATCTACAAAACGAATCTACGAAAGAAATAGATATTTATTTATACTTCTCAACCTACAAATAGGTTTCATAAATTCTTTCATATATGTCTTAGTTCATTCAGGCCATGATAACAAAATTAACTGGGTAGCTTATAAACAACATAAACTTATTTCTAACAGTTCTGTAGGCTGGGAAATCCAAGATCAAGGCACTGGCAGATTCATTGTCTCGCAAGGGCCTTTTCAACCTAGACAGCATCTTTTGGTCATAACCTTACATGGCCAGAATGGCTACCTAACTCTCTGGAGTCTCTTTTATAAGGCACAAATTCTACTCATGAAGGCTCCACCTTCATGACCTAATAACTTCCCAAAGGTCTCGCCTCCTAATACCATCACCTTGGGGGTTAGAATTTCAACACTTGGGGGGACACAACCATTCGGACCACAGCAATATGCATAGAATATTACATTATAAATATAAAAAATGTAATAGTAAAAATCCTTCAAAAGATCATTGCATAAAAGTGCAGATGTTCCAAGACACAGGAATTGGATAACTAAAAATTTATATAATAATTTATTAATATTAAATAGGTCAGAAAAAAATAGAGAAATCAAAAGTTGTATATTGAAAAAATCAATAAAATTGATAAACCTTTGTCTAGACTGATCAGGAAAAAAAAAGAAAGAGGACACAAATTACCATTATCCATAATAAGAGAGTTAACATCAGTAGAGATTCTAAAGATATTAAAAATAATAAGATGGAAATATTATAGGCATCACTACATCAATAAATTTGACAACCGTAATGAAAACAGACAAATTCCTTGAGAGGCACAGACTACCAAGATTCACTCAAGAAGAAACAGGAAACATTAATAGCCCTCTATCTATTAAGGAAATTAAATGTAAAGCTCAAAATCTCATAAGAAAACTTCAACCTTCATTAGTGAATTCTTCCAAACATTTAAGGAGAAATAATATGAAATATATACAAACTCTTTCAGAAAAACTGAAGAGGAGGAAGTTTTATTTAATTTTTCTATGAGGCAAAATACACTGATATCAAAAACAACAATACAAGAAAACTACAGACCAATGTTTTTCATCAACAGAGACACAAGAATTCTACAGAATTCCATAAAAATTTTAGCAGCCAGGCATGCTGGCTCACATCTATTATCCCAGCACTTTGGGAGGCTGAGGCAGGAGTATCACTTGAGAAAATGACGCTGTCAGAAACAGAAATGAGGAGGTGGGAAACAGAAATTAGTATGAAGGAAGATAATGAGTTTGTTAGGACAGGTTGAGGGTCAACTGACAATGGGATTATTAAATGGAAATACAGTTGGAAATATAATTGGTACATTCAAAAATCTTGAAGCACAGTTGGTAATCAAAACATTAGTTGTCTTCCACCATCCCTTTATTCAACTCCTCCCTCTTATACTTTTCCATTCATTCTTAAGTAATAGACAGTCCTACTGTCATATTAAGTTGCAAATACAGTCTCAACTCAATAATTAGAATGTCCAGTTCCATGAATAGACAAACCTCTGAACTCAGTTTAGCCTCCCAAAGCCTCTGCTGGTTCACTCTGCTCTATGTGGCCCCTCATGGCATGTGGGGTTGCTCTTTCCCCACCCTGTGTGTATATGTGACTAATAAACCACTGCCAATCTCATCTGACCGGTATTGGCTGTTGTGTGTTCAGCCATCTCAAGGTCCTCCCTTTCCTTAACTAACAGAGTGGATAGGAAGTGTTCAGAACAGCTGGAAGCCTGCTGCAGGTTGAGGAAGGAGTAGTTAACAGACATCAAGGACTCTCAGACCCCTGACCCTCTTCATTCCTCACTCCACATTGCCCTCCACACTCCCCTGCCCAAGATCATCAGCTCCCAGGGTTTTAGCTGCCCCTTTATTGACTGATAACTCTCCAGACCAGATATTCTTCCTGAGTTGCAAGCCAGCTGTGCTTCCAATTGCCTATGGAACAGCACCATTTAGATATGATGCATGGTCACTGATCACCTGGACTTTAGGTTACTTCTTTGCATGATCTTCTCTCTCACAGCAAGACCTTTTGGGTCTGTAATATCTGAGACTGAGATAAAAAAGAGACTTGCTTTATCCTGAATTCTGACACCTGGAGTTGCCTGCCTGCCTGTAAGCTTTCTCTTTATCAATCTTTGGACTTTCCTAGTCCCCCCTTCTTGCCTAGGCTGAGGCCCTAAGCTGCTGCTCACTATTCATTCCTGACATTGAGCCTAATATTTGCAAAGGCTGGAGTCCAAAGAGATGTCAGTATTATACAACGTCAAATTTATCTAAGACAAAAATAGTCAGGTTCTGCTTAAGGTACATGACATGATCAAAGCTTCCTTAACACACTAAACCTAAAGAGAAATGTGGCATTTTTATGGACTCAACTGCCAATCACATTTGAGTAGGACCATTCCAGAAACCACAGAACTAATCAATAAAGCAGCCACGGATTGTGGGTTACTTTTGTGTTGAGCCTCCATATTAATAGAAGCATGATAGACAAAAAAGAGCATGAACTTTGGTACTAGAGAGATCCTGGTTCTAATTTCAATTTCTTCCAGCTATGGGACTTCATTCCACTCTGAACCTCAGTCTCTTTGCCTATAAAATGGGGCTAATACATCACTTAGACAGGGATTTTGAGAAGATGGGATAAGGACATGACCGTAAGCACTTAGCACAATGCCTAGCATAAATTAGGTCAACCAGTGTTAATCCTATTTCTCCTCCTCCACATTCATTTATAATTTAAAACCCAACCAGCCTTTTTCTTTCCCCTCAAAAGAGGCCTACTTGTCAAAGAGTCACACTCAAGGAAAACAAACAAAGGAGGAACTGGCCAGATGCTCCCTTAGGTCAGAACATTGCAGCTGTATGAGTCCTCAAACAGAGTGTTTTGTAAGTTAAACACAGCCAAGAGAGCTAACTATGTTTCTACTTGTTGGTGCTGATAATATGATATTGTGCAATAGTGGCCTTTGCTTCTGTTAAAAGAATTATTTTATTCCATGACATTAAACAAACAGTTTGGAATTTTGGAATGAGCCTTAGCTGGGACACTACCAGTTTGGCCTAAACAGTATCTATTCAGTGAGCAATCTTAAGTAATTATGGTAAAGCATTTTAAGGAGAACAGGATGAACTGATTTAGTAATTCAGTTTCATGCAACTACAACTTATTTAATAGAATTTTTCCTATTTTTCCCTGGAACTATCACCAAGACCCCATTGCTAGAAACAAAAACAGTAAAGTACCCAATATTTGAAATTCAGCTATTTGGGGCAGCAGTCTCTCCCTTGACACATCCTTCCCCTTCCTTGTAAAAGAGGACTAAGAGGTGATAGAAGTCATCTTACTTTTTTTTTTTTTAGCAGGGTCTCGCTCTGTTGCCCAGGCTGGAGTGCAAAGAGGTAATCACGGCTCACTGCAGCCTCAACCTCCCACCTTATTAAGTGATCCTCCTGCCTCAACCTCCTGAGTTGCTGTCACTACAGGCATGTGCCACCACGCCTGGTTAATTTTTTTCTTGTTTCTTGTAGAAATGAGGTCTCACTATGTTGCCCAGCCTAGTCTTGAGCTTCTGGCCTCAAGTGATCCTCCTACCTTGCCCTCCCAAATTGCTGGGATTACAGGTGTGAGCCACTGCACCTGGCCAAAAAGTCATCTTTTTGAGGAACACTAAGTTTGTAAAGAGGAAAAAAATCCCCTTCCCTTTATTTATTGGAAACCAAAAGTGAACATTTCCCATAAAATAAAAAAATATGGCTAAATTTGGGGAGCCAGCCAAAGGATACTAATATTTGATTACTTGGCTGGTGCCTGCTCTACTACAGGTCCTGCCCAAATACTACTGAGCCAGGGAAGGCATGTTTAGGAAAGAATCTGGAATGGTCCAATAACAGTTTGAGAAACTTTATAAGACTGTTCTTTCAGTATTTGACAGAATAATTATACCAAAAAAAATCATTAATTATAGAGAAGACTGACAACACTATCAACTAAATTGACCTAGTGGACATTTACAGAACACTCTACCTAACAACAGCAGAATATACATTATTTTCAAAGCACCTAGAACATTCACCAAGAAACACAAAACAACTGAAATCACATTAAGTATGTTCTCAGGCTGGGCGCAGTGGCTCACACCTGCAATCCCAGCACTTTGGGAGGCTGAAGCGGGTGGATCGCTCGAGGCCAGGAGTTCAAGACCAACCTGGCCAACATGGCTAAACTCCAACTCTACTAAAATACAGAAAAAATAGCTGGGCATGGTAGTCCCCACGACTGTAGTCCTAGCTACTCCGGAGGCTGAGGCATGAGAATCTCTTGATCTTGGGAGGTAGGGGTTGCAGTGAGCCGAGATCATGCCACTGCACTCCAGCCTGGCCAACAGAGTAAGTTTCTCTCTAAAAAAAAAAACAAAAAACTTACCTGACCACATTAGAATTAAATTAGAAGTCAATAAGAGAAAGATATTTGGAAAATCTCCAAGTATTTGGAAATTAAACAATACTTTTCCATAACTATATACCCCAAAAAAATCACAACGAAAATTAGAAAATATTTTATTTAAATGAAAATAAATGTAATATGTCAAAATAAGTGGGACACAGCTAGAGTAATGTTTAAAGGGAAGTTTACAACATTAAATGCTTATTTTAGCAAAGTCTCAAATCAGTGCTATAAACCTCCACATTAAAAACTAGCAAAAGAAAAGCAAATTAAACCCAAAGCAAGAAGAAAAGATATAATAAATGGGAGAAATCAGTGAAATAGAAAACAAACAAACAAACAAAAAAACAAATAAATAAGCCCTGGTTCTTTAGATAGCTCAGAAAAACTGATAAACCTGCCACTAGACTGGTCAACAACAACAACAAAAAGATGTAAATTATCAATATCAGGAATGAAAGAAGAGGCATCACTATCAATCCCATAGGACAATAAGAGAATACTTTTAAAATATTTTTGTTAATATATTTGAAAGCTTACATGAAATGGACAAATTCCTTGAAATCATTACTCACACTCACTGAAGAAGAAATAGATAATTTGAATAGCCATGTTTATTAAAGAAATTGAAATCATAGTTAAAACTTTGCCACAAAGTGAACTCCAGGCCTAAATGACTTCACAGGTGAGTTCTAGCCAGCAATTAAGGAAGAAATTATACCAATTTTACACAAACTTTTCCAGAAAAATAGAAAGGAGGGAAACAAAAACTCATTTTATGATGACAGCATTATCCCCAATAGCAAAACCAAATATGTTTCAAGAAACTAAAACAGAACAACCAATATCCTTCCTGAATATCAACTCAAAAATATTTAACAAAATATTGATAAGTTGAAACCAGTAATATATAAAACATAATACATTATTAAATGTGATTTATTCCAGGTATGCAGGGTTGGTTCCACATTTGAAAATCAATCATAATCAAATTCATTATATCAACAAATTCAAAACCAAAATGATATCTTAATAAATACAGAAAAGGACTTGCAAAATTCAACATCCCTTTGGGATTAAAAACTATCAGCAAACTAGAGATAAAAGGGAACTTCCTCAACATGATAAAAATCATCTACACAAAACATAAATTTAACCTCATCTTCAATTCTGAAAGGCTGAATGCTTTCCCTCTATAGCAATCAGCAAGGATGTCTGTTCTCACTATGTCTATTTTAATATTGTACTGGAGATACTAACCAGCACAATCAGGCAAGAAGAAGAAATAAAAGCCAATAGATTAAAAAAAAGCAAAACTATCTTTATCTGCAGATGACATGATCTTATATATTGAAAATTCTAAAGAAGCAATGAAAAAAAGTTATTAGAACTTACAAGTAAATTTAGTAAGGTCACAAGACATAGGGCCAATATACAAAAATGTATGCAGTATATATTTCTTATATACTATCAAAAAATAATTATAAACTAAAATGTGAAAAAATATATACAATAGAATCAAAACAAAAAATACATAGGAATACACTTAACAAAATATTTCAAGGCCTATACCACAAAAACCATAAAATATTACTGAGAAAAGTTCTTAAAGATGTAACTAAATGAAGAGCTATACCACATGTATGCATAGAAATAATCAATATTAATATGTTAATTCTTCCAAATTTATCTATAGATTTAGTGCTATCCCTGTCAATGCCACAGCAAGTTTTTTCAATAGAAATTGATAAGCTGATTATAAAATTTAAATGAAAATCTCAAGGACCTAGAAGAGACTCTTAAAAAAAGTTTAAAAGAGCACTTGAAGTCTCACACTACCTGATTTCGAGACCAGCTACAAAGCTACAGTAATGAAGACAATGTGACCTTTAAAGATAGACATATAAGTCAGTGGAACAGAAGAGTGTAGAAATTGCTCCAACCATATATGGTCAATTGCCTTTCAACAAAGATGTAAATCAGTGGAGAAAGGATGCTTTTTCAACAAATGGTGCTTGGATAATTGGACATCTGTAAGAAAGAAAGGGGGGAGAAAGGGAGGAAAGGAGGTAAAAAGCAGGGAGGGAGGGAAGGGAAGGAAAACAAGGAAGGGAAGGAGAGGAAAGAAGAAAAGGTAAGGAAGCGAAGGAAAAAATGAACATCTGTCTTTATTTCATGTCACACACAAAAATTAATTTAAAAAGACACAGACCTAAATACAAGAGCTAAAACTATAAAACTTCCCTAAGAAAACGCAGGAAAAAATCTGTAAGAAAGAAGACATCTGTAAGAATCCGTAAGGGCATCTGTAAGAATCCGTAAGGGCATCTGTAAGAAAGAAGACGGAGGGAGAGAGGGAGGGAAGGAGGAAAAAAGCATGGAGGGAGGGAAGGGAAGGAGAGGAAAGAAGAAAAGGTAAGGAAGCGAAGGAAAAAATGAACATCTGTCTTTATTTCATGTCATACACAAAAATTAATTTAAAAAGACACAGACCTAAATATAAGAGCTAAAACTATAAAACTTCCCTAAGAAAACGCAGGAAAAAATCGGCACCTGACGCTGAGCAGCCGAGCATGCGACGTGGCCTGCACCTTGCACAGGGCCTAGGAACCCGTGGCCGCCTTGAGGGCTGAGGGTGGGCACTACCGACGCTGCCACGACCAGGTTCAGCCCTTGTTGCACAAATTCACCAAAAAAAAAGAAAAATGAATGGATAAGAGAAAATGGTATTGGAACAGTGGGAATCAGCAATTTTGCACAGGAAGCTTTTTGGGAGATGTTTACTGTAGTATGCCTGAAATTGGGACAAAATCGAACAAACGAGACTAGTTTAGTGCTTTGGAAAGTGTGAAAGCTGCTACTGAACTTTATTCTCCTCTATCAGAAGAAGTTACCAAAATTAATGAAGCTCTTGTAGAAAATCCAGGACTTGTCAGTAAATCTTGTTATGAAGATGGTGGGCTGATCAAGATGACACTGAGTAACCCTTCAGAACTAGATGAACTGATAAATGCAGAGGCATATGAGAAATATGTAAAATCTACTGAGAGGTGAAAATGGAACCCCTAGAAAAACTAGTATGAAACAAAATTATTTAAAAAGAGTACACACTCTATGATTCTATTTATATAGCATTCTAAAAAGCCAAACACTATATTAGACAGTAGTGGTTGCCTAGGGCAGGGATGGATTACAAAAGGACAACCTTTTGCAGTGATGGAAATGTCCTATATCTTGATTGTGGTGGTGGTTATACATCCGTATACTGCTAAAACTCATCAAACTATATACTTTAAAATGATGAGTTTTACTGTATTAAAACTATCCCTCAATAAACCTGACTAAAAACTAAAGTAGAATGGCAGTCGGCCTGATGCCATGCAGTGTGGAATTCACGTACTAGCCTGTGAGTGAAACCTTTTGACATTTTTAGAGAGAACTGAAAGTGCAATGGTTTTTATAGGGTCTTTTTGTTTGTTTGTTATTAACCAATTTGAAGTCTGGTACAATGCTAAATTCCGCAGTGGGACTGGAATTTGGTTTGCCTAGAATAACAGGAAAACAAACTGCTGCTTATAGTGAGAGGTGGTAGAATATAATGGTTAAAAAGAAAACATGATTAAAATAAGATGCAACTACACACCTATTCAAATGGCCAAAATCCAAAACACTAATAATATCAAATGCTGGCAAGGATGTTGCGCAACAGGAATTCTCATTCATTGGGGGTGGGAGCAAAATGATACAGCCACTTTGGAAGACAATTTGGCAGTTTCTTACAAAACTAAATATAGTCTTACCATATAACCCAGCAGTTTCGCTCCTAAATAATTACTCAAACACTTAGTTAAATTCTAGTCAAATACTTGAGTTAAAAAATTAAATCCACATAAAAACCTACACATGGACATTTATAGCAGCTTTATTCATAATGGCCCCAAATTAAAAGCAACCAAAATGCCCTTCAATAGATGAATGGGCAATCCAGACAGTGAAATACTATTCAGCAATAAAAGGAATGAGCTATTAAGTCACAAAAAAATATGGAGGATCCCTAACTTACTAAGTGAAAGAAGCTAGTCTGAAAGGCTACATACTCTGATCCCAACTACAGTCATGCACCACACAATGACATTTCAGTCAGTGATGGACCATATATACCACTGTATCACATAAGATTATAATGGAGCTGAAAAATTCCTATTACCTACTTATGACATAATCATCATAACATCCTAGCACAACACATTCCTCATGTTTGTGATGATCCTGGTGTAAACAAACCTACTGCACTGCCAGGCATATAAAACTATAGCACATGCAATTATGTACATAACTTTTTACATACACAAACATTGTACAACTGTATAAAAGTATTTTATTTATATCCTTATCTATAAGCTTTTTTCTATTTTTTAAATTTTTTAATTCTTTTTTTTACTTTTTAAACTTTTTTGTTAAAAACTAAGACACACACACCTTAGCCTAGGCCTACACAGAGTCAGGATCGCCAATATTACTGTCTTCCACCTCCACATCTTGTCCCACTGGAATTTCTTCAGGGGCAATAACACACATAGAACTGTCACCTTCTATGATAATGAGGTCTTTTTCTGGAATACCTGGAAAAATCTGCCTGAGGCTGTTTCACAGTTACCCTGAAAAAAACATAGAGAGTGGCGGTGTCTGTGATGGTCCGGAGCGAGGCCTCGGCCAATCTGGGTGGCGTGCCCAGCGAGATTAAAGATGCAGTACGCCACGGGGCCACTGCTCAAGTTCCAGATTTGTGTTTCCTGAGGTTATAGGCGGGTGTTTGAGGAGTACATGTGGGTTACTAGCCAGGGGTACCCAGACATCCGTATTGAAGGAGAGAATTACCTCCCTCAACCAATGTATAGACACATAGCATCTTTCCTGTCAGTCTTCAAACTAGTATTAATAGGCTTAATAATTGTTGGCAAGGATCCTTTTGCTTTCTTTGGCATGCAAGCTCCTAGCATCTGGCAGTGGGGCCAAGAAAATAAGGTCTATGCATGTATGATGGTTTTCTTCTTGAGCAACATGATTGAGAACCAGTGTATGTCAACAGGTGCATTTGAGATAACTTTAAATGATGTACCTGTGTGGTCTAAGCTGGAATCCGGTCACCTTCCATCCATGCAACAGCTTGTTCAAATTCTTGACAATGAAATGAAGCTCAATGTGCATATGGATTCAATCCCACACCATCGATCATAGCACCACCTATCAGCACTGAAAACTCTTTTGCATTAAGGGATCATTCCAAGAGCAGCTTGACTGACATTATGAAGGCCTGTACTGAAGAGAGCAAGCTGTTAGTACAGACCAAATGCTTTCTTAGCATGCTCGTTGTACCTCTTGGAAAACCTCAATGCAAGATAGCTTTTCCGTGCTGGCATATTTTGGAATTCTTCACATTCATGGAGTGCAATAATACTGTATAGCTTTCCCCACCCCCCACACAATCACCCAGTTAATGTGTGTTTTTTTTTAAGGTAGACATTACTACTTGTAACTTTTTTCCTTAGTCGTATTTGAAAAAGTAGAAAATTGAGTTACAATTTGATTTTTTTTCCAAAGATGTCTGTTAAATCTGTTGTGCTTTTATATGAATATTTGTTTTTTATAGTTTAAAATTCATCCTTTGGGAATCCAGTTGAAGTTCCCAAATACTTTATAAGAGTTTATCAGACATCTCTAATTTGGCCATGTCCAGTTTATATAGTTTACAAAATACAGCAGATGCAAGATTATGGGGGAAATCCTATATTCAGAGTACTCTACAAATTTTTGTGTATGTGTGTATGTGCGTGTGATTACCAGAGAACTACTAAAAAAACCAACTGCTTTTTAAATCCTATTGTGTAGTTCAAGTGTCATGCCTTGACCAATCTAATGAATTGATTAATTAACTGGGCCTTTATACTTAACTAAATAAAAAACTAAGCAGATATGAGTTAAATTTAAAAGTTTCAATTTATTGCTCAATGTTCCTGTTAACATTATATTTAACAATTGCTTAAATTTTTGTTTTTGATTTATGGATAATTTCTTAAGAGTACACACTTTAGACACACAAATAATGGTTCATTTACCATCTTTAGGATCATTGAAACTCATCTCACTAAAGAAAGTTCACTTGAAGCTCTTTATAGCATTGATACTAGGTGAACAGAAATTACCTGGCTAATAATTTGTCTAACATCATATATCAGAATTGTATTGTATATGATGAACAAAACTTAAAATTTTTTTAATTTAATTTTTAAATACTGTTTCAGAGTTCTAAAAAGGCAGTTTTTTAAAAAACTTAAATTGATAAAGACTGTAAGAATAATTTAGCAGAAATAGAACCACAATGTAGAAAAATAGTCATGTAACAGCAGTAATAACATACTTCAGCTTCCATATAGGGATAGAAGTGGTAGAGCCAAAAGTTATAAGGAAGTTATAAGGTACAGGTTGAGTATCCCTTTTCCAAAAAATGCTTGGGACAAGAAGTATTTCAGATTTCATAATTTTTTTCAAAGTTTGGAATATTTGTGTTATACTTACCAGTTGGGCATCCCAAATCTGAAATCTGAAATGTTCATGAGCATTTCCTTTGAGTGTCATGTTGGCACTCAAAAAGGTTCAACATTGAGTCCACTTAACACTTAGGTGTTAGGAGACCTAACTTTCTGTAACCTTATAATTAATTAACCTTATACTTTGTTTGTCATCGAATATTTGTTGAATGCATGTCAGGTAATAGTCTTGATTGTGATAGCTTCAAGGTGGAACATACTGTAATCTCCAGATGCTAGGAAGTTAGTCTAATAATTCACTGCAGAAAATTGATTAAATGGCTGTCCTTTTAATTAAGATTATGGAGCCATTAACTTAAGTTCTTCATATAGTGACAAGAGTCCTTAGAGATTGTTATTCAAGTTCCTTAGAAATTGTTATTTAGGTATAATATCATCTTGTCTTCGACTAGAGCTTGAAACCTTGTTATCTGATTGTGTACCACTCCAAATTCCCTGCCTTCTGCAAGTTGAATGTCTTGCTGAATGTGTCTAGGGGTTCATCTTCAGTAATCGACATTCCACTAGTGCCAGTTAACTTCTTTTTTTTTTTTTTTTTCCAGTTAACTTCATGACATGTAGACATTCAAAACTTGAGCCTTGGATGTTCCTGTGGACCTGACAGTTAAAAATATAAAGAACCTAAGATTCAAATCCAACTTTCTCTGTTTGCCTTGGGTTGAATAACTTATCTTTTGGAGAACAGCTTTAAGTGCCTTGGACACTGATAAAATTCAGCTATATTGTTGACACTCATCTCTTTTGTCTTATGCTTAGCCATATTTAAATCTTAAATTTAATAGAGTCTAGTGAAAAAATGAGTGGGAAGAATGAATATAAAAGTAATAATATAAGGAAAAAGGGAAAGTAAACTATTTAGAATGTAGTTTTGTTATATTCCCAGCATTTCAATATTTATTAGTTACTTGTAAATTACTGTGGCTGTGTAGCTTATAAATGTCTGTGCACTATATTAATTAGAAGACCATAGAACATGCCAGCAGGTTGGCTAATGCTATGGGGGATTTTACCACAGTTGCCATTGTGGAAGAAATTATTTGGTACATTAATAAAAAAAGTTGGTAAAACATGGTTTTATACCTCAGTGTATAAGATGTACAAGACAAATATGCTTATTTCTTTTTCTAGAATGTAAGTGATATTATTTGCTTATGACACTAACACTAGGAATGACAGAAGTCAATCAGCCTTTACAGCTATCAAAATATAATGAGATCCCAATGATGATTCTTTTTTACTTTGAATGTTAATTAGTTTGGGACTTTGATTGGCTGGCAAACATTTTATCATTGTCAGAATTTAATTTAGATTTCAAAAATAGCTTGCAGGATTTTAAACATGGTGTGGTATTCTAAAGCCTTTTTTTAAAAAAAGAGATCTTTTTGAGAGAAACAAATGAGCATTGTAAAGTTTGGGGACTTACCTCTGCAGCACTGTGAAAATAAACTTTTATTAAGCTGAGAAACAAACAAACAAACAAAAAAACAAATAGAACAAGTACACTAAAATAATAACAAGCCGAGTATGGTAGATACATAAACAAGTACAATAGTTTGTTTGATATCATTATTGATAACTATGGACTCTAGTTAGTAACAATGTACCAATATTGATTCATCAACTATAACAAATGTAACACACCAATGCAAGATGCTAATTATAAAGGAAGCTGTGGGGAGGTAGGAAGCAGTATAGGTGGGAATTCTCTCTACTTTCCACTCAATTTTTCTATAAGCCTAAAACTGCTCTAAAAAATAAATTTTATTAATTTATACATATATTTGTAAATGTAGATGATAGATGCAGACTACCTGAGTTTAAATCCTGGCTTTGTTCCTTACTTAGTTGGGTGAACTAGGCTAGTGATTTAATCTCAACTTTCTTGTGTATAAATTAGAAATACTGCAGTGACTACTACATTATAAGATTGTTTTGAGGATTAATATGCATAATTTCCTTGGAAACTTGCTATTTAAAATATGGTTCTTAGACATGCAACATTCTCATTCACCTGGGAGCAAGTTAGAAATGGAGAATTTCAGCCAGGTGCAGTGGCTCACACCTATAATCCCAGCACTCTGGGAGGCTGAGGCAGGCAAATCGCTTGAGCCCAGGAGTTCAAGACAAGCCTGGACAACATGGAGAAACCCCATCTCTACAAAAAATTTTAAAAACTAGTGGGTGTGGTGGCCCATGCCGGTAGTGCCAGCTGAGATGGGAGGATCGCTCAAGCCTGGGGAGGTCAAGGCTGCAGTGAGCTGTGATTGTGCCACCGCACTCTGGCCTGGGTGGCAGAACAACACCCTGTCTCAAAAAAAAAAAAAAAAGAAAGAAAGAAAAAGAAAAAGAAAGAAAAGAAAAGAATGGAAAATTTCACACCTCATCTCAGTCATACTAAATCAGCATTTTAACGAGATATACAGACTACTTATGCACACATCATTGCACTGATTCATGTGAATGGTTCCCCTAGTCATGCACCATGCGGCCTCTGAGAAAAGCACAATATTGAACTCTATCCTAGCCTCCCAGAGATTTTTAACCTCTACTTCTTCCAAGAATTTTTGTTCCTGGACTTAGAAGTCAGGGCAGAGGCAAGCCAGGAAAGGCAGCAAACCAGTTTAACTTCCTCCTCTCTCTCGTTGCCTTATATCTTCTTTTGCCCCTTTGCTCTCTGCCCCAATCCTCACAATAGTTAACAGCTACTTTACCCAAATATCAAACTAGCCAGAGAAGCTACTGAACATGATCATTTAAAAAAAAAAAAAAAAAAAAAAAAAGAACTTTCTTGGCCAGACGCAGTGGCTCACACCTGTAATCCCAGCACTTTGGGAGGCCGAGGCAGGCGGATCACGAGGTCAGGAGATCGAGACCATCCTGGCTAACACGATGAAACTCCATCTCTACTAAAAATACAAAAAAAATTACCCAGGCGTGGTGGCGGGCGCCTGTAGTCCCAGCTACTCAGGAGGCTGAGGCGGGAGAATGGCGTGAACACGGGAGGCCGAGCTTGCAGTGAGCCGAGATTGCGCCACTGCACTCCAGCCTGGGAGACAGAGCGAGACTCAGTCTCAAAAAAAAAAAAAAAAGAACTCTCGCAACTAGGAAACCTCTTCAGCCATTACTCTTCATCCCTTATTTGTTTGGTTGGGTTTTTTTTGACAATACTAGGACTTGGCCAATCTAAAATTCTAACAAAGCAACTTGCCAAAACTGAGAAGATATTGACAATCTGCCAGGCAGAGCCATCACAGCTTCCATTCTCATGCTCAAAAACAGAGGCTCCTTCATAGTGTGCCAAAGGTTTCTACTGTGTCAGTTAAATTCTAGTGAATAAGACCACAGTAGACTAAACTCTTTCCTAAAGCAACCGTCCTCCTTACAGAAGCCTTTGTTTTTTTAAAAAATTATATTTTAATTTTTATGGGTACATAGTAGGTATGTATATTTATGGATTACATGAGACATTTTGACACAAGCATGCAATAACAATAATAATAATCACATCAGGGTAAATGGGGTTTCTATCACCTCAAGCATTTATCTTTTGTGTTACAAACCAATTATACTCTTTTTAGTTATTTTTGAATGTACAATCAAATTACTTTTTACTATAGTCACCCTGTTGTGCTAGCAAATACTAGGTATTATTCATTCTTTCTATTTTCTTGTACCTATTAACCATCCCTACCTCCTCCCCAACTTTCCCTGTCCCATTGCTCTTCCCAACATCTGATAACCATCATTCTATTCTACTCTCTTTCTCCATGAGTTCAGTTGTTTTTAATTTTTATCTCCCACAAATAAGTGAGAACATGCAAGGTTTGCCTTTGTGTGCCTGGCTTATTTCACTTAAGGTAATGACCTCCAGTTCCATCCATGTTGTTGCAAATGACAGAATCTCATTCTTTTTTATGGTTGAATAATATTCCATAGTGTATATATGCTACATTTTATTTATCCATTCATCTGTTCATGGACACTTAGGTTGCTTCCAAATCTTGGCTATTGTGAATAGGGCTGCAATAAACATGGAAGTGAAAATATCTCTTCAATGTATCAATTTCCTTTCTTTTGAGCATGTAACTAGGAGTGGGATTGCTGGATCACATGGTAGCTCTATTTTCAGCTTTTTCAGGAACCTCCAAACTGTTTTTCGTAGTGGTTGTACTACTGTATATTCCACCAACAGTGTATGAGGGTCCCTTTTTCTCCATGTCCTTACCAGCAGTTGTTATTGCCTGACTTTTGGATAAAAGCCATTTTAACTGGGGTAAGATATCTCATTGCAGTTTTGATTTGCATTTCTCTGATGATCAATGCTGTTGTACACCTTTTCATATACCTATTTGCCGTTTGTATATCTTCTTTTGAGAAATGTCTATTCAGATATTTTTCCCATTTTTTTGTCAGATTATTAGATTATTTACCTACAGAGTTGTTTGAGCTCCTTAGATATTCTAGTTATTAATCCCTTTTTAGATGGATAGTTTGCTAATATTTTCTCCCATTCTGTGAATTGTCTCTTCACTTTGTTGATTGTTTCCTTTGCTGTGCAGAAGCTTCTTAACTTGATGTGATCCTATTTGTCCATTTTTGCTTTGGTTGCCTGTGCTTGTGGGGTATTACTCAAGAAATCTTTGCCCACTCCAATGTCCCAGAGAGTTTCTCCAATGTTTTCTTTTAGTAGTTCCATAGTTTGAGGTCTTAGACTTAAGTCTTAATCCATTTTTATTTTTGTATATAATGAGAGATAGGGTCTACTTCATTTTATGCATATAGGTATCCAGTTTTCTCAGTACCATTTATTGAAGAGACTGTCCTTTCCCCAATGTATTAAATATGTTATTGGTACCTTCATCGAAAATGAGTTCACTGTAGATGTATGGGTTTATTTCTGGCTTCTCTATTCTGTTCTGCTGGTCTATGTGTCTGTTTTTATGCCAGTACCATGCTGTTTTGGTTACTATAGCTCTGTAGTATAAATTGAAATCAGGTAATGTGATTCCTCCAGTTTTGTTCTTTTCGTGTAGAATAGCTTTGGCTATTCTGGGTCTTTTGTGGTTCTGTATAAATTTTAGGATTGTTTTTTCTATTTCTGTGAAGAATGTCATTGTTATTTTGATAGAGATTGCACTGAATCTGTAGATTGCTTTGGATAGTATGGACATTTTACCAATATTGGTCCTTCATATCCATGAACATGGAATCTCTTTCCAATTTTAAGGTCCTTTTCAATTTTTTCATCAATATTTGATAGTTTTCATTGTAGAAACCTCTTACTTCTTTGATTAATTCCTAGGTATTTGTTTTATTTGCAGCTATTGTAAATGGGATTGCTCCATTGTTTTTTTCTTACATTGTTCACTCTTGGCATATAAAAATGCTACTGATTTTTGTATGTTGATTTTTTATCCTGCAACTTTACTGAATTTGTTCATCAGTTTTTGAAATAGATTTGTGAGGGCAGTGCATGCATCTTTGAAGAGCATTAGATTAAGAATCTTGTAAAACACTGAATACCACAAAAATGAACAAGAGGAAAATTAACAAATCTATAATTTTTAATGCTAAATGCTGTAATTCATGATAAAGATATAACAAGAATATTTATGCATTAGATACTACAGAAACCAACTTTATGAAACAAAATCTACATGAGCTGCAAGGAGACTTAGAAACATGTTAATAATAGAATATTTTAATATATTAACTCTCAGCACAAAACAAGTAGACACAAAAAGTAAGGAGATAGCCAATCCAAACAATATACGTAATAACATATATCTTTTAGAGTTATGTTGAACCCTATACCTGAAAATAGAGAATGCAACTTTTCAAGAACCTGTGTAACACAAATACTGGTCATATATTAGATCACAAAGAAAATACTACTAATTTTCATAATGTAGAAATATTACAAACAACACTCCCTGATCACAATATGATAAAACTAGAAAATACTTACAAAAATAAAATCAGAAAGGTCTTTCCACCTGGAAATATTAAAATCTTCTACTATTAAACAACTCTGGGTGAAAGAAGAAATACAGCTGAAACTATAGAATATTCAAACAATGACAATGAAAACAACTACATATCAGAATCTATGGGATACATAATAACAGCCACCAGAGGAAAATCCATAGCAGCTGTTAAGAAAAAAAAAATTACCCATGACATTTGTTAAAACAGTAAAGCAGAGTTTATTCAGGACTATTGCAATAGTTACAGGGACTACTACGGTGAGGTTTTGAAGTACAGGAGACTGATTGGGCCCAGCTCCAAAAAGAATAAGGAAAAGGGGGAATTTATAGTCAAAGAGCAGAGTTGGGAGTAAGGGAGGTCAGTAGATAGAAAATTACTAAGAGAGTAGAGTAATCCTTGCTAAACTGACCTAAAAAGAATCTTGCTAACAGCAGGCCAAGGTAATCAGATATTACCTGGGAGATGGCGGAGAATGAGGAATTTGATCATATATTTAAGGGTAATCAAATATTGAGGGTGGGGGATTCTAGCTAAGCTGAGTTAGCAGGATTCTTGCTGAGGACATACCTAAAGATAGTGCCTACTTGAAAAAACAGCTGAAAGGAATCTAACTAGAATTTTATCACGGAAAGAATCTTTGCACAGTAAACACTTTTAATCAGTAAAGATAAATGATTGAAGATAAATGAATTAAAATTTCAGGTTAAAAAAAAAAACAAAAACAGAACAATAAAATAAGCCAAGATAAAGCACAAGGAAGAGACCGGGCACAGTGGCTCACGCCTGTAATCCCAAAACTTTGGGAGGCTGAGGCAGGCAGAGCACTTGAGGTCAGGAGTTTGAAACCAGCCTGGCCAACGTGGCAAAACTCCATCCTACTAAAAGTACAAAAATTAGCCAGGTGTGGTGGTGGGCGCCTGTAATCCCACCCATTTGGGAGGCTGAGACATGAGAATCACTTGAACCCGGGAGGTGGAGGTTGCAGTGAGCTGAGGTCACGCCATACACTCCAGCCTAGGCAACAGAGCGAGACTCTGCCTCAAAAAAAAAAAAAAAAAAAAAAAAGAAGCACAAGGAAGTAACTAATACAGATAAAAGCAGAAATTAATGAGGAAGGGAATAGAAAATTACAGTAGACCTAATTAATAAATTAAAATCTTGGGTTTTTGAAAGAACTAAGAAAATATACAAGCCACCAACTAATGTGATCCAGAAAAAAAAAAAGAAATCACAAATCTGCAAAATAAGAAATGACAAAGGGAAAATAACTACTGAAAGAAGAAATTTTAAAAATTATAAGATACTATTTTGTTGTATACCTCTATGGAAATAAATTTGAAAAACTAGATGGAGTGGATAATTTCCTAGAGAAATACAGATTACCAAATTACAATTAGCTTAAACAAACCACTTTCCATAGAAAAAACATAGAGAAAGTAAGAATTGCTCCTTACACAAAAACTATCAAGCCCACATGGTTTTCCAGGGAAGGCTTGGTAAGCCTTCAAAGAGCAGATAGTCCCAGTGCTCTATAAATTGTTCCAGAGCATTAAAAAACAAGCAAAACATCCCAATTCCCTTTATAAAGCAAGTGGCACTGGTACCTAAACCTGAAGTACATCATATATACCTAAAATCCATATCTATCTATCCTAGAACCGATGTTTTATTTAACTGGGAAAGACAGGAAGCATTTCCATTAAGATCAGAAAAGAGACCAGCATGCCTGCTATCTCGATTACTATTCGATACTTAATTAGGGATACTGGTCAATGCAGTTAGACAAGAGAAATTACTTAGGAGCATAAGAATGGATAAAGAAGAAGTAAAAATATTTCTACATTCCAGTGAAAGACAGTATCCCTGGATGACCCTAAAGTATAAGAAAACTAACTTAAACATTTAAAAATATAATAAGGTAGCAGAATATAAAATTAACATACAAAAATCAACAGCCTTCATATACACAAACAACCAGTTAGACAAATACTACTTGTGACGACAACAAAGAAAACTAAATATTTAATAAGCTTAGCGTGAGATGTGTGAAAACTATGTGTGGAGAATTTTTTAAATACTTTCAAAAGGCACCAAAGTAGACTTGAACAAATAGACATTGCCTGTCCTTGGATAATAAACTAAATATTAAATTGTCAGTTCTTCCTAGTTTAATTTAAAAGTTCAATAAAATCTCAATAAAAATAACAGTAAGCATTTTTATGGTATCAGACAAGTTAAAACTACAACTTAGCCAGGCGTGGTGGCTCACACATGTAATCCCAGCATTTTGGGAGGCCAAGGCAGGCGGATCACCTGAGGTCAGGAGTTCAGGACCAGCCTGGCCAACATAGTAAGACCTCGTCTCTACTAAAAATACAAAAATTAGCCAGACATGGGCTGGGCGTGGTGGCTCATGCCTGTAATCCCAGCACTTTGGGAGGCCAAGGCAGGTGGATCACAAGGTTCAGAGATCGAGACCATCCTGGCTAACTTGGTGAAACCCCATCTCTATTAAAAATACAAAAAAAAAAAAATTAGCTGGGCGTGGTGGCAGGTGCCTGTAGTCCCAGCTACTCGGGAGGCTGAGGCAGGAGAATGGCGTGAACCCAGGAGGCAGAGCTTGCAGTAAGCCAAGATCGCGCCATTGCACTCCAGCCTGAGTGACAGAGTGAGACTCCATCTCAAAAAAAAAAAAAAAAAAAAAAAAAAATTAGCCAGGCATGGTGGCATACACCTGTAGTCCCAGCTACTCAGAAGGCTGAGGCATGAGAATCTCTTGAACCTGGGAGACAGAGGTTGCAGTAAGCCGAGATCATGCCACTGCACTCCAGCCTGGGTGAGAGAGCAAGACTCCTTCTCAAAAAAAAAAAAAAAAAAAGCTACAACTTATATGGAAAAACAAATATAAAAAATTAGCCAGAAGAATGCAAAAAACAAAAAGCAAAAGAGAGCAAGTAAATAATAATAAGAGAGCAGATGCTATAACACACTATGAAGTCTCTATAACAAAAATAGTGTGGTTCTGGCACATGAATATACAAATAAACCAATTGAATACGATAGAAAGCTCAGAACAGACTTGAGGGCATTTGGAAATTCAGATCTGATAAAGCTGACACCTCAAATCATTAAGGCAAAGATGGGCTTTTTAATAGTTATCCTGGGAGAACTAAGTAACCATTAGAAAAAGATAAAATTAGATTCATATCTCACATGACATACAAGAATAAACTCCAAATGGATTAGGAAACTAGACATAAAATATTAAAGCCAGTTGAAACTTAAGTCCCCACAAAAACCTGCACAAATGTTTACAGCAGCTTTATTCATAATTGCCAAAACTTGAAAGCAACCAAGAAGCCCTTCAGTAGATGAACAGGTATATACACTTTGGTACATCCAGACAATAGAATATTATTCAGAACTAAAAGGAAAGCAGCTATCATGCCACAAAAAGATGTGGAAGCAACTTAAATGCATATTACTAAGTAAAAAGCCAATCTGGGCTGGGTGCGGTGGTTCACGTCTGTAATCCCAGCACTTTGGGAGGCCGAGGCGGGTGGATCGCTTGAGGTCAGGAGTTCAAGACCAGCCTGGCCAACATGGTGAAACCCTGTCTCTACTAAAA
Organism: Homo sapiens; assembly: GCF_000001405.40. Lineage (NCBI taxonomy): Eukaryota > Metazoa > Chordata > Mammalia > Primates > Hominidae > Homo > Homo sapiens. Next base: position 6,290,145 of record NC_000009.12, read on the forward strand.
ATACAAAAAAATTACCTGGGCATGGTAACAGGCACCTGTAATCCCAGCTACTACAGAGTCTGAGGCAGGAGAATCGCTTGAACCCAAGAGGCAGAGGTTGCAGTGAGCCAAGATCATGCCATTGCACTTCAGCCTGGGTGACAGAGCGAGAGTCCATCTCAAAAAAAAAAAAAAGAAAAGAAAAGAAAAGAAAGAAAGAGAGAGAGAGAAAGCAAGAAAAAAGCAGCAGCCAATCTCAAAAGGCTATATACCATATGATTCCAACCATATGACATTCTGGAAAAGGCAAAACTATGGAGACAGTAAAAAAAAAAGATTAGTCACTAATTTTTTTTAAAAAGTATACACACACACACACACACACACACACACACACACACACACACGAGTATCCTGATCATCTTCACTACCTCTCTACTCTGGTTGAATACCTCTCCTGTATACTGCCTGGCAATATGCTTCCTTTACTCTTCTTAGATGGTATTATAATTGTTTACTTCTCTGTGAGAACAGGCATCACACCAGTCATGTTCACCATTTTAGCCCTAGCTCCAGCAGAATGTAAGAATATGGTAGGTACTCAAAAATTATCTGTTGAATGAACACAGTAATAAGTGAACAAAATAAATCTATCCTCACTCCAGCTGATGACTGTATAGCAACAATTCCTCAAACCATTCTTTTCTGGAAGGGTCTGATTTAAGTCTATGTTGGAAAAACATAGCCAAGTTCCAATTAGAAAAGTTTTCCTGAAGGTCAGACTGACCCCAGAGTGAGCAGCTAATTTTCTAGTGGCCTGTGGGTCAATCGTACCTTTTATTACTTTTCCAAACATACGAAGGAAGCATTAAACAGCTTGGCTGAGTTTCATCTGTGAAAATGGTCCAGCTCTGGCCCCTGGAATAAAGTAGAACAGAGCCCCAGTTTAACATTCAGATCACTGCTGCTATTTTCCTTCTTTACCTTTAAGAGTTTCTGAATCCCATCCACCCTGAGCAGGAACTGTTACACTACATATAACTATAGTTGGAATGTTCTTTTTTGTTTTTGTTTTTGTTTTTGTTTTCACTTTATTTATTCCTTTGAAACAAGTCACTTAATACAGCATTTAGATATTTAAAGTTATATACCTCATAAATAAAATCAATGCATCTTGATGACAATGGCAAAATCACATAAGAGTTGTAGAAAATGAAGTTAGACATCTTCCAGGTAGCAGCAGTGCATTACTTCAAACAATGCTGGCAAATAGGCAAAACATTTTTAAAACAAGTAAACACTGTCCATCTTCATTAAGAAAAAATATTTTCTTATGCTGTTTTCCCATCCCTACTTTTTCAAGTCATATTCTAAAGCTCTAATTTGACAGTTTTTACTTGTGGTTTTCTTTCTGCGTCAGGAACCTCTGTCTCTACTGCATTAATACAGAAACTATAGGAATATTGTTGTTCTCTAACCCTTTTCACAAGCTATTCATATTCATTCTGTATTTAGGCTGAATTCAAATTTTTTTCAAGGAAAAATACTACTCTGCTAAGTACATATTTCCTGTAAACAGCTGGAGTCCTGAATGGCACCAGTGTGACTGAAAACTGACAAAAATTAGGTCCACTGGTCCTTTAAGTAACTTATGGGCTAATAACATAGGCTATACCAGTTTATAAAGTAGACTCACGTAATCATATTAGAAATTCTGAGCCTAAGATTATCCTTTCTGTTTACCTACAACTTAATCAAATTATATCTTCACTATTCCTAAACTCCTATATGTTGGTTAGTAATTTTAAAAATATAAGTATAAAAGGGCATCATGGCAAAATGCTTATAATTCATGGTTTCATACTTTAATGATAAGCTTTTTCACCTATGGCCATGCTACATTCTATGACAAGAAATGGGGAAGAAGGGTTGAGTTGACACAAAGGCATTGCTTTAAAAATGTTTGGAAAAGCATAATTCATGACTAGGAATGCATCTATTTGACAATCTCTTCTTTATCAGTGGTACTTTGTCCTCTTGGCCCTTTTCTCCCTTCACTCTACCATGAGGGGGTTACCAACCTCCTTTAAATGTATATGAATCAAGACCTAAATCAGCACCCTACACTTCAACATCAATAATAATTTTAAGTCAAATATTCAAAGCACTGTAAGCAAAATGCTAGATAATTTTGAGAAAAATAAACACTCTCCCACAACCAGGGATATTTAATATTCTTTTTATGTTGAATGAAATGTGCTGAAATACTGTAACATAAGAAAACAGCTTTAGTTAATAAACTAGCTTATTAAAATCAAGGGTTTCACTTTGGACTTAAAATGATGCCACTTGTATATGACACTTTTAAGGCCTCTGCCTCAAAAATCAGCTTCCTTATAAGTCTGTTTGGAAACAAGTTTTAAGGATTGAATCTTTTAGAAATTATCAGGAACGTTCTTTTGAGTTCTCAGCAGGCATCTCTCCTGGAGAGGAATCCATTTGAGACAACTTTAAAGCAGCCTCCAACTCAGGTAGAGATCCGAAATTTACACATGTATCCAGGATAGGTGACTGACACTCATGGATGATCCCTGGGTCAGTCTCTGACCTCCAGTCCAACTTATCTTCCTAAAAGTCCCTGTGCATTTTCTTCTGTCCCTTCCTTCTGTGAGGAGTGTTCCTGTAATCAGCTGTCCTGAGGTACCTAGGACCCACAGCTCACATATTTTTAGCATGCTAGGCTAATAAATATGTGTGTTTGAATATTAATTATCTTTTCACATTTTCCTTTGAGCAAAGCAGTACTCTATAATATACTCAAGTGAAATCAGATAAAGGCTTAGTTCGTGGCCAGGCACAGTGGCTCATGCCTGTAATCCCAGCACTTTGGGAGGCCAAGGCAGGTGGATCGCTTGAGGTCAGGAGTTCAAGAGCAGTCTGGCCAACATGGCAAAATCCCATCTCTACTGAAAATACAAAAATTAGCCAGGCATGGTGGCTCATGCCTGTAAGTCTGGCTACTCGGGAGGCTGAGACAGGAGAATCACTTGAACCTGGGAGGTGGAGGCTCCAAGATCATGCCACTGCACTGCAGCCTGGGCAACAGAGTGAGACTCTCTTTAAAAAAAAAAAAAAAAAAAAAAAAAAAAAAAACAGATAAATGCTTAGTTCACCTTTCGGCCCCTCTTTTTTCAATATGACACATTAACATCACAGATGACTTTTCTTGCTTCCCTATTATCCTTGAGGGCCCTTATCTTACAAGGAGACTGTCAGACAGCTCTGGTTAAGGGGGACCAATGAGGCCAAGGTTCCAAATACAAGTCTCAGATGGATCAAACAGCTTCTCTCTACCCCATGGGCACAAACTGCATCTGAACTATTTTTACTCACAATGCTTCTGACACCAAATATGGGGGCGGGGGGGGTGGTGGGTTCTCACACCAACCAGTTCTCCAACTCTCCAGATACCAAATGAGTGTCCCACAATTCACTTCAATTCTGACAATAACTACCCAGAGGTAGTATCAGACTCTACAGGCTTAAGGGTTCAGTACCACAAAACTACCCCCACTTCCAGACACAAGTCACGAGTTCAGGGGTTCACACAACCCCCTCTTCAGGTTCCATAATTTGCTAGAATGCCTCAAAGAACTCAGGAAAACACTTTAGTTGCTCTTACCAGTTTCTTATAAAGGATACAGCTCAGAAACAATCAAAGGCATAGGGCAAGGTATGGGGAAAAGGGTGCAGAGCTTCTACACCCTCTCTGGGAGTGCCACGCTCCCAGCACTTCGATGTGTTCACTAAACTGGAAGCTCTTAGAACCCCATCATTTAGGGGGTTTTATGGAGATTTCATCACATAGGCATGACTGAGGAAATCATTGGCCATTGGTGACTAACTCAATCTCCAGTCCCTCTCCCTTCCCCAGAAGTAGTGGGGAAACTTCCTTTTTTGAACATACAATAACTGTTTTTATTTGTTTTTTGTTTATATTACGTCTCATTTCCTTAATTTTTTTAATTTTTTATTTGAATGGCTTTAGGAGTACAACTGGTTTTGGCTGCACAGATCAATTGTAGAGTGGTGAAGTCTGGGCTTTTAGTGTACACATCACCCCAATAGTATATATTGTACCAAATGGTGATTTTTCATCCCTCGCTTCCCCTATCCTTCCTCTTTCTGAATCTCCAATATCCATTATACCACTCTGTATGCCTAAAAGACACTTTTCATTTTTATATTTTTTGAGATGGAGTCTCGCTCTGTCACCACGCTGGAGTGCAGTGGCGCAATCTTAGCTCACTGCAACCTCTGCCTCCTGAGTTCAAGTGATTCTCCTGCCTCCAAGCGATTCTCCCGCCTTAGCCTCCTCAGTAGCTGGGATTACAGGCGTCCACCATCACACCTGGCTAATTTTTGTATTTTTAGTAGAGACGGAATTTCACCATGTTGGCCAGGATGGTCTCGATCTCTTGACCTCGTGATCCGCCCGCCTCCGCCTCCCAAGGTGCTGGGATTACAGGTGTGAGCCGCCGCGCCTGGCCGATACTCTCAGGACTACAGATATTCTAAGGGTTTTAGAAGCTGTGTGCAAGCAACCCCAAATTTTTTAAATTATTTTACAGCACCCTAACTTCTACCCAATTTTGCTAATTGATCAAACAATTATATTAGCAATAAGCTCTTCCATTATACGTCCTGCTATTTGTAGCCCTCTGATATTGCCATTCTTATTTATTTTATTTACGTATTTATTTATCTTATGACAGGGTCTCACTCTGTTACCCAGGCTGGAGTGCAGTGGCACGATCTCAGCTCACTGAAACCTCTGCCTCCCAGGTTCAAGCGATTCTCTTGCCTTAGCCTCCCGAGTAGCAGGGATTACAGGTACACACCACCACGACTGGCTAATTTTTGTATTTTTAGTAGAAACAGGGTTTCACCATGTTGGCCAGGCTGGTCTCCAACTCCTGACTTCAGGTGATCCACCTGCCTTGGCCTCCCAAAATGCTGGGATTACATTCCGTTGCTTCTTAATCCAATCCATCACTCATGAAATTTCCAAGAATTTGGAGGTCCTTTCCAAGAACCAGGGACAAAGACCAGCCAAATCTCCCATTCCTACTCATATTTTAACCATTCTGAAACAACAAAATCATACTTTTAAATATTTTAATAACAATGAAATCATAATTTTAAAAATTTTAATAACTTGAGAATCTGCTGGGAGGTGAAGCCAAGATGGCCGAATAGGAACAGCTCCAGTCTACAGCTCCCAGCGTGAGCGACGCAGAAGACGGGTGATTTCTGCATTTCCAACTGAGGTACTGGGTTCATCTCACTGGGGAGTGCCGGAAAGTGGGTGCAGGACAGTGGGTGCAGTGCACCATGCGTGAGCCGAAGCAGGGTGAGGCATCACCTCACCTGCGAAGCACAAGGGGTCAGGGAATTCCCTTTCCTAGTCAAAGAAAGGGGTGACAGACATCACCTGGAAAATCGGGTCACTCCCACCCTAATACTGCGCTTTTCCAAAGGGCTTAACAAACGGCACACCAGGAGATTATATCCCACACCTGGCTCACAGGTTCCTATGCCCATGGAGCCTCACTCATTGCTAGCACAGCAGGCTGAGATAAAACTGCAAGGTGGTAATGAGGCTGGGGGAGGGGCGCCTGCCATTACCCAGGCTTCAGTAGGTAAACAAAGTGGCCAGGAAGCTCGAACTGGGTGGAGCCCACCACAGCTCAAGGAGGCCTGCCTGCCTCTGTAGGATCCACCTCTGGAGCAGGGAACAGACAAACAAAAGGCAGCAGTAACCTCTGCAGACTTAAATGTCCCTGTCTGACAGCTTTGAAGAGAGTAGTGGTTCTCCTAGCACGCAGCTTGAGATCTGAGAACAGGCAGACTGCCTCCTCAAGTGGATCCCTGACCCCCGAGTAGCCTAACTGGGAGGCATCCCCCAGTAGGGGCAGACTGACACCTCACATGGCCGGGTACTCCTCTGAGACAAAACTTCCAGAGCAACCAACGATCAGGCAGCAGCATTTGAGGTTCACCAATATCCACTGTTCTGCAGCCACCGCTGCTCAAACCCAGGCAAACAGGGTCTGGAGTGGACCTCCAGCAAAATCCAACAGACCTGCAGCTGAAGGTCCTGACTGTTAGAAGGAAAACTAACAAACAGAAAGGACATCCACACCAAAAACCCATCTGTATGTCACCATCATCAAAGACCAAAGGTAGATAAAACCACAAAGATGGGGAAAAAACAGAGCAGAAAAACTGGAAACTCTAAAAATCAGAGTGCCTCTCCTCCTCCAAAGGAACGCAGCTCCTCACCAGCAATGCAACAAAGCTGGATGGAGAATGACTTTGATGAGTTGAGAGAAGAAGGCTTCAGAAGATCAAACTACTCCGAGCTAAAGGAGGAAGTTCGAACCAATGGCAAAGAAGTTAAAAACCTTGAAAAAAAATTAGACGAATGGCTGACTAGAATAACCAATGCAGAGAAGTCCTTAAAGGACCTGATGGAGCTGAAAACCATGGCACAAGAACTACGTGACCAATGCACAAGCCTCAGTAGCCGATGCGATCAACTGGAAGAAAGGGTATCAGTGATGGAAGACGAAATGAATGAAATGAAGTGACAAGAGAAGTTTATAGAAAAAATAATAAAAAGAAACGAACAAAGCCTCCAAGAAATATGGGACTATGTGGAAAGACCAAATCGATGTCTAACTGGTGTACCTGAAAGTGACAGGGAGAATGGAACCAAGTTGGAAAACACTCTGCAGGATATTATCCAGGAGAACTTCCCCAATCTAGCAAGGCAGGCCAACATTCAAATTCAGGAAATACAGAGAATGCCAACAAGATACTCCTTGAGAAGAGCAACTCCAAGACACATAATTGTCGGATCCACCAAAGTTGAAATGAAGGAAAAAATGTTAAGGGCGGCCTGAGAGAAAGGTCGGGTTACCCACAAAGGGAAGCCCATCAGACTAACAGCGGATCTCTCGGCAGAAACTCTACAAGCCAGAAGAGAGTGGGGGCCAATATTCAACATTCTTAAAGAAAAGAATTTTCAACCCAGAATTTCATATCCAGCCAAACTAAGCTTCATAAGTGAAGGAGAAATAAAATCCTTTACAGACAAGCAAATACTGAGAGATTTTGTCACCACAAGGCCTGCCCTAAAAGAGCTCCTGAAGGAAGCACTAAACATGGAAAGGAACAACTGGTACCAGCCATTGCAAAAACATACCAAATTGTAAAGACCATCGAGGCTAGGAAGAAACTGCATCAACTAACGAGCAAAATAACCAGCTAACATCATAATGACAGGATAAGATTCACACATAACAATATTAACCTTAAATGTAAATGGGCTAAATGCTCCAATTAAAAGACACAGACTGGCAAATGGGATAAAGAGTCAAGACCCATCAGTGTGCTGTATTCAGGAGACCCATCTCACATGCAGAGACACACATAGGCTCAAAATAAAGGGAGGGTGGAAGATCTACCAAACAAATGCAAAACAAAAAAAGGCAGGGATTGCAATCCTAGTCTCTGATAAAACATATTTTAAACCGACAAAGATGAGAAGAGACAAAGGAGGCCATTACATAATGGTAAAGGGATCAATTCAACAAGAAGAGCTAACTATCCTAAATATATATGCACCCAATATGGGAGCACCCAGATTCATAAAGCAAGTCCTTAGTGACCTACAAAGAGACTTAGACTCCCACACAATAATAATGGGAGACTTTAACACCCCACTGTCAACATTAGACAGATCAACGAGACAGAAAGTTAACAAGGATATCCAGGAATTGAACTCAGCTCTGCACCAAGCGGACCTAATAGACATCTACAGAACTCTCCTCCCCAAATCAACAGAATATACATTCTTTTCAGCACCACACCACACCTATTCCAAAATTGACCACATAGCTGGAAGTAAAGCACTCCTCAGCAAATGTAAAAGAACAGAAATTATAACAAACTGTCTCTCAGACCACAGTGCAATCAAACTAGAACTCAGGATTAAGAATCTCACTCAAAACCACTCAACTACATGGACACTGAACAACCTGCTCCTGAATGACTACTGAGTACATAAAAAAATAAAGGCAGAAATAAAGATGTTCTTTGAAACCAATGAGAACAAAGACACAACATACCAGAATCTCCGGGACACATTCAAAGCAGTGTGTAGAGGGAAATTTACAGCACTAAATGCCCACAAGAGAAAGCAGGAAAGATCCAAAATTGACACCCTAACATCACAATTAAAAGAACCAGAGAAGCAAGAGCAAACACATTCAAAAGCTAGCAGAAGGCAAGAAATAACTAAGATCAGAGCAGAACTGAAGGAGATAGAGACACAAAAAACCCTTCAAAAAATCCATGAATCCAGGAGCTGGTTTTTTGAATGGATCAACAAAATTGATAGACTGCTAGCAAGACTAATAAAGAAGAAAAGAGAGAAGAATCAAATAGACACAATAAAAAATGATAAAGGGGATATCACCACTGATCGCACAGAAATACAAACTACCATCAGAGAATACTATAAACACCTCTACGCAAATAAACTAGAAAATCTAGAAGAAATGGATAAATTCCTCGACACAAACACCCTCCCAACACTAAACCAGGAAGAAGTTGAATCTCTGAATAGACCAATAACAGGCTCCGAAATTGAGGCAATAATTAATAGTTTACCAACCAAAAAAAGTCCAGGACCAGATGGATTCACAGCCGAATTCTACCAGAAGTACAAGGAGGAGCTGGTACCATTCCTTCTGAAACTATTCCAATCAATAGAAAAAGAGGGAATCCTCCCTAACTCATTTTATGAAGCCAGCATCATTCTGATACCAAAGCCTGGCAGAGACACAACAAAAAAAGAGAATTTTAGACCAATATCCTTGATGAACATTGATGCAAAAATCCTCAGTAATATACTGGCAAACCAAATCCAGCAGCACATCAAAAAGCTTATCCACCATGATCAAGTGGGCTTCATCCCTGGGATGCAAGGCTGGTTCAACATATGAAAATCAACAAACATAATCCAGCATATAAACAGAACCAAAGACAAAAACCACACGATTATCTCAATAGATGCAGAAAAGGCCTTTGACAAAATTCAACAACACTTCATGCTAAAAACTCTCAATAAATTAGGTATTGATGGGACGTATCTCAAAATAATAAGCGTTATCTATGACAAACCCACAACCAATATCATACTGAATGGACAAAAACTGGAAGCATTCCCTTTGAAAACTGGCACAAGACAGGGATGCCCTCTCTCACCACTCCTATTCAACATAGTGTTGGAAATTCTGGCCAAGGCAATCAGGCAGGAGAAGGAAATAAAGAGCATTCAATTAGGAAAAGAGGAAGTCAAATTGTCCCTGTTTGTAGATGACATGATTGTATGTTTAGAAAACCCCATCGTCTCAGCCCAAAATCTCCTTAAGCTGATAAGCAACTTCAGTAAAGTCTCAGGATACAAAATCAATGTGCAAAAATCGCAAGCATTCTTATACACCAATAACAGACAAACACAGAGCCAAATCATGAGTGAACTCCCATTCACAATTGCTTCAAAGAGAATAAAATACCTTGGAATACAACTTATAAGGGATGTGAAGGACCTCTTCGAGGAGAACTACAAACCACTACTCAATGAAATAAAAGAGGATACAAACAAATGGAACAACATTCCATGCTCATGGGTAGGAAGAATCAATATCATGAAAATGGCCATACTGCCCAAGGTAATTTATTGATTCAATGCCATCTCCATCAAGCTACCAATGACTTTCTTCACAGAATTGGAAAAAACTTCTTTAAAGTTCATATGGGACCAAAAAAGATCCCACATTGCCAAGACAATCCTAAGCCAAAAGAACAAAGCTGGAGGCATCATGCTACCTGACTTCAAACTATACTACAAGGCTACAGTAACCAAAACAGCATGGTACTGGTACCAAAAGAGAGATATAGACCAATGGAACACAACAGAGTCCTCAGAAATAATGCTGCATATCTACAACTATCTGATCTTTGACAAACCTGACAAAAACAAGAAATGAGGAAAGGATTCCCTATTTCATAAATGGTGCTGGGAAAACTGGCTAGCCATATGTAGAAAGCTGAAACTGGATCCCTTCCTTACACCTTATACAAAAATTAATTCAAGATGGATTAAAGACTTACATGTTAGACCTAAAACCATAAAAACTGTAGAAGAAAACCTAGGCAATACCATTCAGGACGTAGGCATGGGCAAGGACTTCATGTCTAAAACACCAAAAGCAATGGGAACAAAAGCCAAAATTGACAAAGGGGATCTAATTAAACTAAAGCTTCTGCACAGCAAAAGAAACTACCATCAGAGTGAACAGGCAACCTACAGAATGGGAGAAAATTTTTGCAACCTACTCATCTGACAAAGGGCTAATATTCAGAATCTACAATGAACTTTAACAAATTTACAAGAAAAAAACAAACAACCACATCAAAAAGTGGGCAAAGGATATGAACAGACACTTCTCAAAAGAAGACATTTATGCAGCCAATAGACACATGAAAAAATGCTCATCATCACTGGCCATCAGAGAAATGCAAATCAAAACCACAATGAGATACCATCTCACACCAGTTAGAATGGTGAACATTAAAAAGTCAGGAAACAACAGATGCTGTAGAAGCTGTGGAGAAATAGGAGCGCTTTTACACTGTTGGTGGGACTGTAAACTAGTTCAACCATTGTGGAAGTCAGTGTGGCGATTCCTCAGGGATCTAGAACTAGAAATACCATTTGACCCAGCCATCCCATTACTGGGTATATACCCAAAGGATTATAAATCATGCTGCTATAAAGACACATGCACATGTATGTTTATTGCGGCACTATTCACAATAGCAAAGACTTGGAACCAACCCAAATGTCCAACAATGGTAGACTGGATTAAGAAAATGTGGCACATATACACCACGGAATACGTGTATACCATGAATATGCAGCCATAAAAAATGATGAGTTCATGTCCTTTGTAGGGACATGGATGAAGCTGGAAACCATCATTCTCAGCAAACTATCACAAGGACAAAAAACTAAACACCGCATGTTCTCACTCATAGGTGGGAATTGAACAATGAGAACACATGAACACAGGAAGGGGAACATCACACACTGGGGACTGGTGTGGGGTGAGGGGATGGGGGAGGGATAGCATTAGGAGATATACCTAATGCTAAATGATGAGTTGATGGGTGCAGCACACCAACATGGCACATGTATACATATGTAACAAACCTGCACGCTGTGCACATGTACCCTAGAACTTAAAGTATAATAATAATAAAATTAAAAAAAGAAAAAAAGAATCTGCTGCTCGGCATCCCAAAGCACAATGGTTTAGAAGCCAAGTGTGTCTGACCCCTCCAGTATTTGACTGTTTGCTTGGGGTTTATTGTTTTGCATAATACAACAACCTAAAATGTCTCCAATATTTTCTTTCTTTAGAATATGAAACATGACTCTCCTCCCCTTCCCCGTCTCCCTGTTTCCCCCTAGAGTTTTCTTTCTTTCTTTTAAAAAACATAGAAATATAGCTTCTATCTGGAGCATAAATAAAGACGAGTAAGATTCAATTCTTTTAACGATGTGGATAAAATTAGGTTTTCTTAAGGGCACTCTTAAATATGTGAGCTACATGGAGAAAATATTCACCCTGACACTGCTGCCTTCACTAGAAAAGCTGTTATAATTTGATGGATGGTAAATGAACAATTCCTACAACTGCTGCTCTATTCATTAATTACTGAAGTAGGCTCAGCTATGAGAGAAAGGTAGTCCTCTCAGGCATTAGCCTGCTACCATTGCAGAAACAACTGACCACACCCTCCACGTGGCCTTTGTGTTCTCATTTTACCAGGGTGTAAGTCAGCTTCAAAAGGAAGATGGAGTACGTATGCAAGTTAGAGACTGACAAACTGATCTCAAAGTCAGTCTTGAAATTGCCTTTAAAAATCTTTTCATGTATACTCCCACTCTAGACTTGCCAAAATGCAGAGATTCAATTCAGCAAATTATTCCTCTTTTATAGCCAGTTGTTGACGCTGTACTCTTTATCCCTAAATGCTTGTGAATTATTTTTAAAGTGGAAGGAAAAAGAAGGAACATAATAAACCATGTTAACATTTCTTGAGTTTAAGAAACAATTTATTTTGAATTTTCCTGTTAGATGAAATGGCAGACACTGTTCATGAACTATATAACAGTTGGGATAGTCATAACATCCTTCCTCCTTGTTCATGAACAGGGAGGCTTATACCTGTCAATAAACATTTGAGTTGGTTTCCATTTCTTGCTATTACAAACTGCACTGCTATGAACATTCCTGCACTTCCTTCACATGTCTCTCAGTGCAAATGTGCAAGTGTTTCTCTAGGGGGTGGGACTGCTGAATCATGGTTGGTATAAGCATTTTTATGCCACATTTTTTTCAAAGTGGTTATACCAGTTTATATGCTCACTCAAAGTATATGTGTTCCTCTTGCTTCATCTTCTCACCAACACTATTTATTGTTAGATTTAATTTTTGCCAGTCTCATGGGTGGGGTAACATGGTATTATGTTATGGTTTTAATTTGCATTTCCTTAATTACTAATGAGGTAGAATATTTTAATAGGTTAATTGGCTATTCTGCTTTCCTCTACTATGAAATGCCTATTCAAGGTTTTGCCCATTTTCTATTGACTCTTAGAAAAAGATATATAAAAGTTATGTGTATATCCTGGGTACTGACCTTTTGTCAGTTACATCAACTGTAAATGTCTTTTCCCAGTTTGTGCCTGTGTTTTCATTCTCTTTGCTGTATTTTGGTAAATAAAAATTCTTAATAGAGTTGAATTTATGAATCTTTTCCTTTATGGTTTGTCCTTTTTTCTCTTATTTAAGAAATTCTCTCCTACTTCAAGTCATTAAGACATTTTTCTATATCATTGCTAACAATTTCATAATTTTGTCTTTCACATTTAAATCTTAATGTACCTACAAGGGGTGCAGTGGCTCACGTCTGTAATACCATCACTTCAGGAGGCTGAGGCAGGTGGATCACTTGAGGTCAGGAGTTTGAGACCAGCCTGGCCAACATGGTGAAACCCCATCTCTACTAAAAATACAAAAGTTAGCCAGGCGTGGTGGCAGGTGCCTGTAATTCCAGCTACTCGGGAGGCTGAGGCAGGAGAATCGCTTGAACCCAGGAGGCAGAGGTTACAGTGAGCTGAGAGTGCGCCACTTCACTCTAGCCTGGGCAACAGAACAAGACTCAGTCTCAAAAAATGTTTTTTAATTAAAAAAATAAATCAATGCACCTAGAATTCATTTTTATCACATGGATGGATAGTCAACTTCCTTGGCATCATTTATTCAAACATCTACTCTTTCTCCACTGATTTGCTTTAAGTTTCCATATATGCAAAGATCTATTTCTTACTCTCTATTCTATTCCATTAATCTATTTGTCTATCTTTGAACACGTAGCTTTATAAATCCTAATACCCAGGATTCCAGTATAGCAAGCCTCCCAACCTGTATTTCTTCAAAAATGGCTTGTCCATTCTTGATATTTTGCATTTACATATGAATTTTAAAATTAGCTCTTAGGGCTTAAATACACAATTGAGACTTTGATCAGAATTGCATTGAATTTCATGCTCCTGTGACACTAGCATGAGTCCTTCCCCCAGTTCTACAATTAAGACTCCTAACAATTCATTTATCCAGCCAAAAAAATACTTACAAGAGCCTAGGATATGGCAAAAATTATAGTGAACAACATGGATACAACGGTGCAGAAAACAGAATTAGTCCCTGCATTTGTCAAGGCTTCAGAGAAGTGGAAGTTGTGGGAGAGGGACAGAGGGAAGAATAGTAGTGTACTAATTATTTTTCCATTTGTTTTCATTCCATTTTTCATTTGTAAGGTAGGTTAATCATTTTGAAGTCCCCTAGCTTACCTAACCTTTTACTTTGTGTACTAGTCAGGGGTCTCCAGAGAAACAGAACCAACAAGATGTGATAGAGAGAAAGGGAGGGTTATTTTAAGAAATTGGCTCATGTGATTATGGAGGCTTAGTGAGTCCAAAATTGGATGAGATAGACTAGCAGGCTGGAGACTTAGGTAAGAATTGCAATTAGAGACCAAAGGCAGTCTGCTGGCAGAGTTCCTTCTTGCTCAATCAGTCTTTGTTCTATTAGAGCCTTCAACTGATTGGATGAGGCCCACCCCCATTATGGAGGGCAATTTGCTTAACTCAAACTCCACCAATTTAAATGTTAATCTTATTGAAAAACACCCTCACAGAAACATCTAGAATAATATTTGACCAAATATCTGGGCTTTGTGGCCCAGCCAAATTGACACATAAATTTAACCATCTTTTTTTTTTTTTTTTTTAGACAAAGTCTTGCTCTGTTCCTAGCCTGGAGAGCAGTAGCACACTCATGACTCACTGCAGCCTTGACCTCCCAGGCTCAAGCAATCCTCCCTCCTCAGTCTCCCTAGTAGCTGGGACTACAGACATGCACCACCATGCCTGGCTAATTTTTGTATTTTTTGTAGAGACAGGGTTTCACTATGTTGCCGAGGCTGGTCTTGAACTCCTGAGCTCAAGGGATCCACCTGCCTTGGCTTCCCAAAGTGCTGGGATTACAGGCATGAGCCACTGCGCCTGGCCAAACTATCACATGTTTTATCCTTTCCTCTTTCCTATGTCCTTGAATCCACTTTTCTTTCTTGTACAAAAGGAGAACTTGAGTAGGAGGAGGGAAAAAGGGATAAAAGGAGTATGTGTCAAGGACAACCCATCTGACTCCTTCTTTTTCTTCAGGTTTAAGCTGTGAAGAAGGGTTCAACTCTTCAGCCTACCTGACTGACGCTGAAGCCCCTGCAAGTAGCATTGTGTTCATATTCGCCTCCCTCAAAAGCTCCTAGTACATGCATAGTTTATGCTGCCAACCTTGCTATAACTAAAGAAAACAAATCTTATAAAGTAGAGTGTTTCTTAGGAGATGATAAATATAAAGTTGTTTGGAGTTTTTGTTTGCTTATTTCAAATCTGAAAGGGCCCACATAGATTTTCTATACTAAAAGAAATTTAGTTTTCAACCTGGAATAATAGAAATAATAGAAACTAATTATTTAAAGTCGTATAAAATCAGAATCTGGAAAAGAAAAATTTGTTGAACACAAAACAAGAGGGCTCTTTGGGGGATATTGGGAACATATGTGTTTGTTTGTTTTTATTTTTATTTATTTAGTTATTTTTTATTTTGAGACAGAGTCTTGCTCTGTCACCCAGGCTGGAGTGCAGTGGTGCAATCTTGGCTCACTGCAACCTCCGCCTCCTGGGTTAAAGAGATTCTCCTGCCTCAGCCTCCCAAGTAGCTAGGATTACAGGCACTTGCCACCATGCCCAGCTCATTTTTGTATTTTTAGTAGAGACAGGGTTTCATCATGTTGGCCAGGCTAGTCTCAAACTCCTGACCTCAGGTGACCCACCTGTCTTGGCCTCCCAAAGTGCTGGGATTACAAGTGTGAGCCACTGCACCCAGCCTGTTTGTTTTTAATTTTTTGTAGAGACAGGGATCTCCCTATTCTTGCCCAAGTTGGTCTTGAGCTCCTGGACTCAAGTGATCCTCCTGCCTCGGCCTCTTAAAGTGCTGGGATTACAGGTGTGAGCCACTGCACTAAGACTTAAGTTTGTTTTTCTAAATCTCTCTTTCACACAAATGAAAAAAAGATATACCAAATAACAAAATGTATCCTGCTTGTAAAATAATGTAAAACAGTTTCTTCAAGATGGGCATAAAGCTCAACTTATACATAGAGAATAGCAGTCTACAGCATTATA
Source organism: Homo sapiens (assembly GCF_000001405.40). Classification (NCBI taxonomy): domain Eukaryota; kingdom Metazoa; phylum Chordata; class Mammalia; order Primates; family Hominidae; genus Homo; species Homo sapiens. Next base: position 6,306,076 of record NC_000009.12, read on the forward strand.
AGATAAATGTGCAATACACAAACCAGAATTCACCTTGGCTCAATTGAACAGTCCACCATCAGAAGAGTTTACACTACCATCTAGTGGTTCATTTAGTGAAAAGACATTTGTACTCTTCAAAATGTTTCAGCTAGATAGGCAATCTAGTAGATACAAATAAACCACTTTGTCCTGAGAAAAAACAGGCTAAGATCAACAAAACAAACACTTAGATATATGGTAGACCATGGTGGACAGGCTATTGGACTAAAAGCCTCAGATGTGACTTCTAGCTCTGAGATCTACTATTCACAGCTGTGTGACTTTTGGACACGTCATTTTACCTCTCGAAGCTTGTTTCTTATTTGTTAAATGAAGTGACTGCACTAGACTGGTGTTTCTGAAGTAGTAAATTATAACATACTAGCTAAAATCAATATAATAGATCATGACCAGATTTTTTTTTAATTTAAACAGAACAAAAAAATCAGAGTACATCCCTTACTATGGGTCACAGCTAAAAGAGTTGGAAAGCCTCTATGGTTCCTATCAGCTCTAAAACTCCATGTTCCTATGAATTGTGGACATCAGTTCTGCCTCAGAGTGCTGATACAGAGTTTATAGCTGCCTAATTTATAGTTACACATAACCTAGAACTGTCTGCTCACTGACCAGGGGTGATATCTTTTATTTCTCTCCTATAACTCAAAAAGACTCCAATCAAAATAGATGGAAATATTTTCCTGGCTGTGATTATATGTTTTTTCTTTTCCTACAGAGACTACCACCAGTCTTTCTAATGCAATGTTTCTCAAATCATGGTCCAGGGACCAACTGCCTCAGATTCACTTGGGGTGCTTCTTTAAAATACATATCCTTGCCTCCCCTCTCCCACTACCAGACCTATCAAATTAGGATCTCTAAGCACACAGCCTAGTGATCTGCACTGTTTTCAAGTACCCTAGCTGATTCTTATGTACCCAAAACCTTGTGAAATTTGAGTTTGAGCTCTTGGCAGGTAATATTGTTGATCCATCTCCATCTTAACATCCTCTCTGCTATCTCTGTCCTTTCTCTACTCTTTACTTCTAAAAGAATATACTTGCACGTTGCTAGCTCAGAAGAACAGATCTCTAGTATCTAAGGGAGAATTACGCCAGCTGAAGTGCCAGTAATTTCCAGGTCTAAGATCTACAGCAGCTAATATATTATCTGAAATAAAATATGATTTTTAACACATTAAGCTATACTGAACAGACAGCAGGTAGCCATTGTTCCTTTCCACATAATCATGCTTGATACTTATAAACAAAGCCCAAATACTTTTTCTCCCAAATTTCTTAATACTTTTGAGTATTTGTGGTCTTTATCCTTGCTACTCAAAGTGTAGTCCATATACCAGCAGCAGCAGCATTGCCTGGGAGATTGTTAGAAATAGACTCTCAAATTCTACCCCAGAATTGGAATCATCTGCATTTCAACAAAATTCTCACAGGTGAGTTGTATGTACTTTAAACTTTAAGAAGCACTGCTCTATAAATAGTGGGCATGAAATAGTCAATCAGTAAATGCAAAGCAGCTGCAGCCAGGATTTCTTTCTTTTTCTTAAAAAAAAAAAAAAGAAAGAAAAAGCCTGTTGTCCAGGCTGGAATGGAGTGGTGCAATCCTGGCTCACTGCAATCTTGACCTCCCAAGTTCAAGCAATCCTCCCTCAGCCTTCCAAAGTGCTGGGAGTACAGGTGTGAGCCACTACGCCTACTCAATAGTCTTTTAAAACCTGGAATCTGTTCTCTTTCTTTTCAAGAAAGTAAGGGCCCTAACACCCCTTCTGCCTATGTAGGAAAGCTAAGAGCAAACCACAGGAGGGGAAGTCAAGAGGGGGAGGGAGAAGACCACAAATCTCCATATAGTTGTTGAAGGTTCTGAATTAAATGAAGTGATTGCAGGTGGAGATACAGAAATGGTTGTTATCACTATGAAGTCCCTGATATAAGAAAACAAGCAAGTCAACCCTAAAATAAACAGAGACATAAAAAGACCAACTTAAATCTGGTAGCATGCTAAAACAAGACTATAGTAATGCTTCTCTAACTTGGCAATTGCAGCAAAGATTCCATTAGCTACCTACAGTCACCAAGGCAGATATTATTGTTTCCTGAATGTTCACCTGTTACATAACTTCTGTCACTGATGTCACAGTATTTCAGGGAAACTAAGTCTGTTTGGGGGAAACTGCCTGGACAGAAATAACACAATTTTAAGATTTGAGGCCTAAGGGGTTGATGTTTTTGGTGCTAATGGAAATTGAAAATAAAACTGTTCGAAACCATCCTGGCCAACATGGCAAAACCCCATCTGTACTAAAAATACAAAATTAGCCTGGCTGGTGGCGCATGCCTGTAATCCCAGCTACTTGGGAAGCTGAGGCAGGAGAATCACTTGAACCTGGGAGGCGGAGGTTGCAGTGAGCCAAAATCGTGCCATTGCACTCCTTCCTGGGCAACAAGAGCGAAACTCTGTCTAAAAAAAAAAGATAAAACCGTAATTGTAATATCCTTGACATTAGAGGTAACTTCTTTCTTAAATGAGGATGAATAGAGAAACCAAATATCAATATCAATAAATGCCCAGTAAGATCAAATATTCCATCTGGCTCTTGGAACAAAGGAATCTCCTTCCTGTTATTGGGGGGTATCTCTCCTATGCTGACATCTCCTGCCCTGCTTAAACTAGTCTGCAGGTCTGTATCCACTTTCAGCTCTCTCTCTGGCTTGAATTTGAATTAACCTCTTTGCGAGCAGCCTAAATCTCTGTTTAACACATTCATATGTATCATGTATTCTATCAATTACATCTTCTTAAAGAAGCCTTTTCCAGAGTCTTCTGAAATGCTCCAATCTGAACTAGTTGCCTTCGATGCCTTAGTGCATTACCCTCATCCTAGAGTCTACATCATTAATCCTGGGAATTCCTTTGGTCCCATCTGTATCACCCATTTCATGTACCCTAAGTCTTCCTCTTCCTTGTTTTGGTGGAGCATATCCTCCAGTAACTTTCTGAGTATGAAAAGGTCTACATGGTAGGTAAACTATGAAATTTTGCATGTCTTAAGATGTCTTTATTCTGCCTTCACTTTTGATTGATAATTTGGCTGGGTACAAAATTCTAGGTTAAATTTTAAAGGCATTGCTCCATTGCCTCCTAGATTCTACTACTGCTTTTGAAAAATCTGAGGCCATTCTGATTCCTAGCCTGTTGTATTTGACCTTTTTAAAAAAGAAAACCTCTCTTTTTCTCTAGGAATTTATAGAATCTTCTCTTTGTCTCCTGAGTTCTGAAATTTCACAGTGATGTACCTTACAAACTTAGGTTGAAATGGATTCTTTTAGTTCCAGGGAATTTTCTTGAATTATTACACTGACAGTTTTCTCAGCTCTATTTTCCCAGTTGTTTTTGGAACCTCAAGTGTTAGACCTCCTAGAATGCCTTAATTTTTTTTCTTTTCACTCTTATATTTCATTTCCTTTACTTTTTGCTCTATCATCAGAGATGTCTTCAACTTTATTGCCTAATCCTTCCATTGAGTTTATTGCTTTTGTGATCACATGTTTAGTTTCCAAGACCTCCTTTTTATTCTGTAAATATTCTTTTATAGTGTTCTCTTTTTTCATTATTATATCTTCCCTCATGTCTCTAAGAATATTAATGATAATTTAAAATTGTTATTCTTCTCCCTACATTGTCTTTATCTTTTCCAAATTATTTTTTATGTTTGTATGTTTTGTTTTCTTTCTTTTGTATATAAAGCCTTCCTCAAATGTCTGATAATCTTTGGTTGCCTTCTCATATTTAACAGTGAGGGGCTAAAAAGCTAATTGGAAGCTCTGAGTATCTGAGTAACACTTCCCACTGTGAGCTCTGTCATTAGATATTCTACAGGGCCCTTCTAGTTGGGAACTTCCAATATCAGTAGGTGATATGCCAAAAGCTGTTTGGTAGCTAACCTGTCAGCCACTCTGCCTTCTATCTTTGCTAATAGAACACTGACTTTTTTAGATAATTTGTCCAATACAAAGTATGCAATAGTCCCAAGGAAGCAGAAGCAGCTAAACAGTGTATAATACAGCATCCAAAGGGCACAGCAAAGCTTTGCCATAGATTGGGGAAGCATCAATGCTAAAGGAATGCAATCCAGGAATGGATAGCAGAGCTGAGATGACAGGTGTAACTAAAGCCACATAGGTAGCTATATCATGACTCTAGGCTATGTCTGTCCACTTGCAGCAATACTACAGGAAGTGACTGGGGAAGAGGGGAATCAAAGGAAATAGGAGGCACCAAAAAATATCAGAGGTACAGATACTGGGGAGGAAAACTGAGGCCAAAGGCTACTCTACACATAAAGCCAAGATTGAGGGATGGAAGGGAAACCTGCAACTCAGAGATTACCTATGCAGCCTGAGCTCTTTTTGGAAAGCATGCATCAGGTTGCTGGTGTTACTGATTGGACTGCCACCATCTTCAGGACTGCCTCAGGAATTGGTGAAGGCTCGAGTCTGTAGATGGGAATCATCATCTGTAGAAAGTTGGGAAAGACATTGAGCAGAGGAAATAAGACAGTGACAGACAACATGTAGAGCTTGCTAGAAAGGGAAAATAATTCATATAAGGGCAACATAGTTGAAGCAAAAGGGAAAAGACTGATAATTACTTATACACACCATTATGGCCATACCTACTATAAAATATAAAAATACTTCCTTACTAGTTGGCACATAGCAGCTCTACTAAGTCCTCAAAGTGTCCTCCTTTCCTTACCCTGCCACCTCTTAGTCCCTCCTGAGATGGTCTAGCATAGAAGGCCTCTTGGACCCTGCTTCAGCCACTGTCCATTCTGGTTGCTAATGCTCATGCATCATCAGTTATTCCATATTTTGCTATGTTCCTGAGAGGCTTAACCTACATTGTGGCTATATGTGTGCCTGTCTGAGTCATTCGATTGCATGCAAATGAACAAATTCACAAATATTTTTGCATAAGCAACCCAACCATTTAATACCTTTATAAATATGAGTGCAGAGATATTCCAAGAGGTCGTGGAAAGAATTTTCATCAATAAAGAGGTCTTTCTCATACTAATCTGAGGCAACCTGGAGGCTCTCTGGTCTACATAGCAATTCTTTATATCTTTCCAGGTCTATGAGACATCTGTAGTATTTACCAACCTAACAAGCCCCAGTAAAACAGTTTCAACTCAGGTCTTCCTGTTAAAGATGGAAGATTGAACACAAGAATGTATCTCCACATCCTCCAATAAGATCATTAAAATGAAGTAGAGGGAATTATATGCTTTTAAGGCATAATCTGTAAGGACAAAGAGATTAGGAGAAGAGACAACCACAACAAAAATGAGGAAGCTAAAAAGTAGATGGAAGAGTAGCAACCTACATGGAAGATACAAGAAATTTGAGCTGGTAGTGGAGAAAGTAAAGAATCAAAGCAAATCACACTGCATAATCACCAAAAATCTCAAGAACTGGCAGCAACAGGTGTCTCTAGAAATGAGAGGGAGAAGGGCAGTGGTGCAAAAGTGGGACTAAAAACACTGGTTGAAAATCTTGTTAAGGAGTTAGACAGCCCTACAACTTTCCCCAGACTCTAGTCAACTAACCATGGTAAAGATCACTGCAGAATGCTGAACGTTTATTCTCTGGTGAGGGCAAAACAGATGGTCTGTGGATTGAAGAGCACCAGGCACAAATGAAAGCAAGTGTTTTATACAACAAGGAGATAATTTAACAAAGCCACAGATGGCCAATAAAGATCTTTTTATTTTTAAATTTAACTATAACCAAAGAAATATAAATAAAAACAGGAAGATATTTTTCTATTAACCTGGCAAAGACTAATGATAATACCTAATATTAATGAGGACACAGAAAAACAAGCTCTCTGACATTCTGCAGGTGGAAGGTAAATTGCTAAAAATTCTTCTGGAGATGTTATATATCAAAAATCTTAAAATCGGAGCCCAGACAATCTACTTCTATGAATGTATCATATGTAAATTGGAATAGACATGTAAGATTTAAATAAAAGAATGTGTATAATAAGCAAAAAGAAAATCTGGAATCAATCTAAATGCCCAAAAGTAGATGATTAAACAATTACATATTTATACAATTAAATATCACTGAACTGTATAGTTTGCTTCTGCAACTTCAAACTGTACCCAAACTGTACTTTCTCCATTCTTTTCCACCGTATTCCATGCCCTAGAAGGCTAATCTTTAGAGATTACATCAAACAGGTTCCCTCACCCTTTGGCTTCAGGTTGGGTTTTTGCAACTTTTATGTAAATCTAAAACTATTCTAAAAAGAAAAGCTTATTTTTTAAAAAGTATGTAACCAAATAATTTGGTTTTTACTTCCCATATCCACCCATCCCTTGAAGTATTTTTTGGTGAGATGTCCAACAGATAAGCAGCCAGAGTGATATAAACACAGAGAGGGAACCAAATGAGAGACTTTGTTTCCCATGCCAGAGAACAAACTCCAGGCAAAGAGGATGGGTTTTGTCTGGTTGCTCTTAGAAAAATTCTGAAATTTAGGTAAAAATCTCGAACACAAATGAAAATAACATGTAATTTATCCAGCTCTTTTTCACCAACAAGTATGTAATTTGTGCCTTAACCTAAAGACATTTGAAAAGTTGGTACTGACAATTCTAAGTGGTATTTCCATGCTTCCTGTTCATTACAACTACAACTACATAAAACAGACCTTTCATACAGTCTTTCCCAGCACCAAAGTGCAACTGTGGGGTTTTATTCTGTAATATATTTGACACTTTCAAAAGGCAACTCTGACTAACCCCTAAGATGACAGTAGGACATCTCCTCTGTTAAGGAAAAGCCCCAAACTAGAATGTCATGGAGGGAGGCTTCCTTAACTAGGAGACACCTGAAAGGAGGGCAAGAATTAGGCAGGAGATGAGCACTCCAGGAAGACAGCAAAACTGACAAAGGCCTGAAGGTAAAAGAGCACGGTGAATGTATTAGTCCGTTTTCACACTGCTGATAAAAACATACCTGAGACTGGGCAATTTACAGAAGAAAGAGTTTAATTGGACTTACAGTTCCATGTAGCTGGGGAAGCCTCACAACCATGGCAGAAGGTAAGGAGCAGCAAGTCCCATCTTACATGGATGGCAGCAGGCAAAGAGAGAATGAGGAAGGTGCAAAAGCAGAAGCCCCTGATAAAACCATCAGATCTCATGAGACTTATTCACTACTATGAGAACAGCATGAGGGAAACTGCCCCCCATGATTCAATTATCTCCCACCAACTCCCTCTCACAACATGGGGGAATTATGGGAGTACAATTCAAGATGAGATTTGGGTGGGGACACAGAGCCAAATCATATCAGTGAACTTGCAGTTTTCAGAACTATAATAATTTGCTATGCCAGAAATATAAAGTGTATGACAGGAAATGGTAAGAAATGAGGCTAGAGAGGTAATTACTCGACTATGTTTCAGGATATATTTCAAGAAGGGGAAGTCTACTGTGAACAAATATGAAGAAAATAGTATTAAGTACATGTGCAGAAATAGACTTCAGATAGGCCAAAAGCCTGGGATGGCACACCAGAGAAACTAACCTTTGAGTCCCTCAGTGTCTCATTAAACAACTTACACTGATGATAGAATGTATAAATATGTTGTGATATATGCATTCCATGAAATATTATATGGTAGTGAAAATGAATAAACTATTGCAACTATCAACATGGATGGATATTAAAAACAATGGGCAGATCACAGAAGAATACATGAGGTATGATTCCATTTCTTTAAGATTCAAAACCAGACAAAACCAAATAATACATTGTTTACTGATACATATACATATACGTGGTAAAATCTTGTAAAGAAAAAAAAGAAATGATTGCCCCAAAATTTAGAGTAGAGATTAACTTGAGGAAACAAAAAAGAATGAGAAGGACATGCAGAGAGCTTCAAAAACATTGGAAATGTACCATTTCTTTAGAAGGTCCATTGTAAATTCCAGTAGAATAATCAAGCAAAACCACTAGTGTTTGTAGCTTGCTGCATTACTACTGTATTTCTTCAATTTTAAGATGGATGTTTTGTGACATTTTAATGTCTTTAAAATTGGGATTTGCTATGGTTTGTATATGGTTTGGTTTTTAATTTTATCTTTATTATTTAAAATTTTTTTTAGAGTCAGGGTCTCACTCTGTCACCCAGGCTAGAGTGCAGTGGCATGATCATTGCTGCAGCTTCAAACTCCTGGGCTCAAGCAATCGTCCTGCTTTACCACACCCAACTAATTAAAAAAAACGTTTTTGAGGGAGAGCTCCTGGGATAATGGTGGATGGGAGGCAGGACTAGATTGCAGCTCCAGACAGAGCAGCATGCAGAGGGTTGCATTGTGAATTTTAGCTCCAGATTGACTGCAAGAACGAACCAGCAATCCCGAGAGGACCCAGAGACCCTCTGAAGAAAGCAGGCTGACCCTGCAAGACCCAAGAAACGCCCAAATAATGTGAGTGCCCCAACTGCAGAAGTGGGAAAGGGAGACCCTCCTTTCCTGAACACACACCCCCACTGGAGAAGTTGAAGGTCTGTTTGCAGGAGAAGTTTCTGACTTTTCCTGGAGCTGAGTCAAGTTAGAGAGCCAAGTGAAATACAGGGGTAGAAGAAGCAGCAGAAAGGCCCTGGGGGCTCGCTGGGTCCCCAAGCAGCTAGTTCCTGCCTGGCACCACAGGGATCCATTGCGGGGGTGGCCAGAGGAGCAGGGGGTAAAACTCCACAGGGAGAAGGAATTCTCTAGCCTAACTTTATAACAATTTGAATGGGGTGAGAAGCCTCCTGGCCAGAACTCAGGGGAGGGCATGAATCCAGCGTGCAGACTTCACAGACAGGGGAAGAACTAAAGCCCTTTTCTTTCTCAGCTGGAAGGTGGATAGCATTGGGACAGTTTTCAAGCCCATCTTGCCCTCCACCTGGAAACAGACTAGGGGCTGTTGGGGAGGACACAGTGGGAGTGAGACCGGCCCTTCAGTTTGCATGGGAGCTGGGTGAGGCCTAAGACTGCCAGCTTTCCCCCACTTCCCTGACAACCTGCAAGACTCAGCAGAGGCAGCCACAATCCTCCTAGGTATATAACTCCAGTGACCTGGGAATCTCACCCTCATCCCCCACAGCAGCCTCAGCAAGACCTGCCCAAGGAGAGTCTGAGCTCAGACATGCCTAACCCCACCCCTACCCAATGGTCCTTCCCTATCTACCCTGGTAGCGGAAGACAAACGGCATATAATCTTGGGAGTTCTAGGGCCCTGCCCACCACTGGTCCCTCTCCACACTACTATAGCTGATGCTTTCTGGAAAGCACTACCTCCTGGCAGGAGGCCAACCAACACAAAAATAGAACATTAAATCATCAAAGCTAAGAACCCTCACGGAGCCCACTGCACCCACCACCACCTCCACCGGAATAGGCACTAGTAAGCATGGCTGAGAGACCCATAGATGGTTCACATCACAGGACTCTATGCAGACAACCCCCACCACCAGCCCAGAGCCAGGTAGACTCGCTGGGCAGGTAGACTCGCTGGGCAGCTAGACCCAGAAGAGAGACAACAATTACTGCAGTTCGGCTCACAGGAAGCCACATCCATAGAAAAAGGGGGAGAGTAATACATCAAGGGAACACCTCATGCAACAAAAGAATCTGAACAACAGCCTTCAGCCCTAGATCTTCCCTCTGACAGAGGCTACCCAAATGAGAAGGAACCAGAAAACTAACCCCGGTAATATGACAAAACAAGGCTCTTCAACACCTCCCCAAAAATCACACTAGTTCACCAGCAATGGATCCAAGCCAAGAAGAAATCCCTGATTTACCTGAAAAAGAATTCAGGAGGTTAGTTATTAAGCTAATCAGGGAGGGAACAGAGAAAGGCAAAGCCCAATGCAAGGAAATCCAAAAAATGATGCAAGAAGTGAAAGGAGAAATATTCAAGGAAACAGATTAAAGAAAAAAAACAATAAAAAATTCAGGAAACTTTTGACACACTTGTAGAAATGTGAAATACTCTGGAAAGTCTCAGCAATAGAATTGAACAAGTAGAAGAAAGAAATTCAAAGCTTGAAGACAAGGTCTCCGAATTAACCCAATCCAATAAAGGCAAAGAAAAAAGAATAAGAAAATATTAACCAAGCCTCCAAGAAGTCTGGGATTATGTTAAATGACCAAACCTAAGAATAATTAGTGTTTCTGAGGAAGAAGAGAATTCTAAAAGCTTGGAAAACATATTTGGGGGAATAATTGAAGAAAACTTCCCCAGCCTTGCTACAGACCTAGATATCCAAATACAAGAAGCAAAAAGAACACCTGAAAATTCATCGCAAAAAGATCTTTGCCTAGGCACATTGTCATCAGGTTATCCAAAGTTAAGATGAAGGAAAGAATTTTAAGAACTGTGAGACAGAAGCACCAGGTAACCTATAAAGGAAAACCTATCAAATTAACAGTAGATTTCTCAGCAGAAACCCTACAAGCTAGAAGGAGTGGGGCCCTATCTTTGGCCTCCCCAAACAAAACAGTTATCAGCCAAGAATTTTGTATGCAGTGAAACTAAGCATCATATATGAAGGAAAGATACAGTCATTTTCAGATAAACAAATGCTGAGAGAATTCACCATTACCAAGCCACCACTACAAGAACTGCTAAAAGGAGCTCTAAATCTTGAAACAAATCCTGGAAACACATCAAAACAGAACCTCTTTAAAGCATAAGTCACACAGGACCTATAAAACAAAAATATAAGTTAAAAAGCAAAAACAAAAGAAAATAAAACAAAACAAAAAACGAAGTTCACAGGCAACAAAGCACATGATGAATGCAACAGTACCTCACATTTCAATACTAACATTGAATGTAAATGGCCTAAATGCTCCACTTAGAAGATGCAGAACCACAGAATTGATAAGAACTCACCAACCAACTATCTGCTGCCTTCAGGAGACTCAACTAACACAAAAGGACTCACATAAAATTAAAGTAAAGGGGTGGGGAAAAAAGGCATTTCATGAAAATGGACACCAAAAGCCAGCAGGGGTAGCTATTCTTATGTCAGACAAAATAAACTTCAAGGCAACAGTGGTTAAAAGAGACAAAGAGGTACATTATATAATGGTAAAAGGCCTCATCCAACAGGAAAATATCACCATCCTAAACATATGCACCTATCACTGGAGCTCCCAAATTTATAAAACAATTACTAACAGACCTAAGAAACGAGATAGCAACACAATAATAGTGGGGGACTTCAATACTCCACTGACAACACTAGACAGGCCATCAAGACAGAAAGTCAACAAGGAAACAAAGGATTTAAATAATACCTTGGAACAAATGGACTTAACAGATACATACAGAATATTTCATCCAACAACCACAGAATATACATTCTATTCAACAGCACATGGAACTTTCTCCAAGACAGACCATAATATGATAGGCCATAAAACGAGCCTCAATAAATTTTAGAAAATTGAAATTATGTCAAGCACTCTCTCAAACCACAGTGGAATAAAACTGGAAATCAACTCCAAAAGGAGCCCTCAAACCCACGCAAATACATGGAAATTAGATAACCTGCTCCTGAATGAGCATTGAGTCAAAAACGAAATCAAGATGGAAATTTAAAAATTCTTCAAACTGAATGACAATAATAACACAACCTATCAAAACCTCTGGGCCCGGATGCAGTGGCTCACACCTGAAATCCCACCACTTTGGGATGCCGAGTCAGGCGGATCATGAGGACAAGAGATCGAGACCATCCCGGCCAACATGGTGAAACCCCGTCTCTGCTAAAAATACAAAAATTAGCTGGGTGTGGTGGCACTTGTAATCCCAGCTACTTGGGAGGCTGAGGCAGGAGAATCACTGGAACCCGGGAGGCGGAGGTTGCAGTAAGCCGAGATCGCACCATTGCACTCCAGCCTGGTGACACAGCGAGACTCCATCTCAAAAAAAAAAGAAACCTCTGGGATACAGCAAAGGCAGTGCTAAGAGGAAAGTTCACAGCCCTAAACACCTACATCAAAAAGTCTGAAAGAGCACAAGCAGACGATCTAAGGTCACACCTCAAGGAACTAGAGAAACTAGAACAAACCAAACCCTAACCCAGCAGAATAAAAGAAATAACCAAGATCGGACCAGAGCTAAATGAAATTGAAACAACAACAAAAAAAAACAATACAAGCTGGGCATAGTGGCTCAAGCCTGTAATCCCAGCACTTTGGGAGGCCGAGGCAGGTGGATCACCTGAGGTCAGGAGTTCCAGAACAGCCTGACCAACATGGGGAAAACCCATCTCTACTAAAAATACAAAAATTAGCCAGGAGTGGTGGCACACGCCTGTAATCCCAGCTACTCAGGAGGCTGAGGCAGGAGAATCACTTGAACCTGGGAGGTGGAGGTTGCAGTGAGCCAAGATCGCACCACTGCACTCTAGCCTGGGCAATAGAGTGAAACTCCCTCTCAAAAAACAAACAAAGAAGAAACCAATACAAAAGATAAATGAAACAAAAAGCTGGTTATTTGAAAAGATAAATAAAATTGTAGACCATTAGCAAGATTAACCAAGAAGAAAGAAAATCCAAATAACCTCACTAAGAAATGAAACAGGAGATACTACAACTGACACCACTGAAATTCAAAAGATTATTCAAGGGTACTATAAACACCTTTACACACATAAACTAGAAAACCTAGAAGAGATGGATAAATTCCTGGAAAAATACAACCCTCCTAGCTTAAATCAGAAAGAATTAGATACCCTGAACAGACCACTAACAAGCAGCGAGATTGAAATGCTAATTAAAAAATTACCAACAAGAGAAAGTCCAGGACCAGACGGATTCACAGATGAATTCTACTAGACATTCAAAGAAGAATTGGTGCCAATCCTTTTGACACTATTCCACAAGATAGAGAAACAGGAAGGAACCCTCCTTAATTCATTCTATGAAGCCAACATGACCCTAATACCAAAACCAGGAAAGGACATAACCAAAAAAGAAAACTACAGACTGATATCCTTGATGAACACAGATGCTAAAATCCTTAACAAAATACTAGCTAACCAAATCCAACAACATATCACAAAGAGAATCCACTATGATCAAGTGGGTTCCATACCAGGGATGAAGGGATGGTTTAACATACGCAAGTCAATAAATGTGATACACCACATAAACAGAATTTAAAACAAAAATCACATGATCATCTCAGTAGATGCAGAAAAAGAGTTTGACAAAATCCAGCATCACTTTATGATTAAAACTCTCAGCAAAATCAGCATACAAGGGACATACCTTAATGTAATAAAAGCTATCTATGACAAACCCACAGCCAACATAATACTGAATGGGGAAAAGTTGCAAGCATTCCCTCTGAGAACTGGAACAAGACAAGGATGCCCACTCTCAACACTCCTCTTCAACATAGTATTGAAAGTCCTAGCCAGAGCAATAAGACAAGAGAAAGAAATAAAGAGCATCCAAATCAGTAAAGAGGAAGTCAAACTGTCACTGTTTGCTGACTATAAGATCATTTACCTTGAAAACCCTAAGGGCTCCTCCAGAAAGCTCCTAGAACTGATAAAAGAATTCAGCAAAGTTTCCAGATACAAGATTAATGTACGAAAATCAGTAGCTCTTCTGCACACCAACAGCAACCAAGTGGAGAATCAAATCAAGAACTCAACCCCTTTTACGATAGCTGCAAAAAAAATACTTAAGAATATACCTAACAAAGGAGTCGAAAGACCTCTACAAGGACAACTATAAAACACTGCTGAAATAAATCATAGACAACACAAACAAATGTTAACACAACACAAACAAATGTTAACACAACCCATGCTCATGGATGGGTAGACTCAGTATTGTGAAAATGACCATACTGCCAAAAGCAATCTACAAATTCAACGCAATCCCCATCAAAATACCACCATCATTCTTCACAGAATTAGAAAAAACAATTCTAAAATTCATATGGAACCAAAAATGAGCCCATAACCCACATAGCCAAAGCAAGATAAAGTAAAAAGAACAAATCTGGAGGTATCACACTACTTTATTTCAAACTATATTATAAGGCCATAGTTACCAAAACAGCATGGTACTGGTATAAAAATAGGCACATAGATCAATGGAACAGAATATAGAACCCAAAAATAAACCCAAATGCTTACAGTCAATTGATCTTCAACAAAGCAAACAAAAAACATAAAGTGGGGAAAGGATAACCTTTTCAACAAATAGTGCTGGGATAATTGGCTAGCCACCTGTAGGAGAATGAAACTGGATCCTCATCTCTCACCTTATACAAAAATCAACTAAAGATGGATTAATGACTTAAACCTAAGATGTGAAACTATAAAAATTCTAGAAGATAACATTGGAAAACCCCTTCTAGACTTTGGCTTAGGCAAGGATTTCATGACCCAAAAGTAAATGCAATAAAAACAAAGATAAATAGCTGGGACCTAATTAAACTAAAGAGCTTTTGCATGGCAAAAGGAACAGTCAGCAGAGTAAACAGACAACCCACAGAGTAGGAGAAGATCTTAACAATCTATACATCTGACAAAGGACTAATATCCAGAGTCTACAACGAACTCTAACAAATCAGTAAGAAAAAAACAAACAATCACATCAAAAAATGGGCCAAGGACATGAACAGACAATTTTCAAAAGAAGATAGACAAATGGCCAACAAACAAATGAAAAAATGTTCAACATCACACACTAATGATCAGGGAAATGCAAATCAAAACCACCATGCAATACTCCTGCAAGAATGGCCATAATCAAAAAACCAAAAAACAGTAGATGTTGGCATGGATACAGTGAAAAGGAAACATTTCTACACTGCTGTTGGGAATGTAAACTAGTACAGCCACTATGGAAAAGAGTGTAGAGATTCTTTAAAGAACTAAAAGTAAAACTACTATTTGATCCAGCAATCCCATTACTAGGTATCCACCCAGAGGAAAAGAAGTCATTATTTGAAAAAGATACTTGCACAAGCATGTTTATTGCAGCACAATTAACAATTGCAAAATTGTGGAACCAACCCAAATGCCAATGAGTGGATCAAGAAACTGTGGTGTATATATATATGTGTGTGTGTGATGGAATACTACGCAGCCATAAAAAGGAGTGAATTAACAGCATATGCAGTGACCTGGCTGAGATTGGAGACTATTATTCTAAGTGAAGTAACTCAGAAATGAAAAACCAAACATCACGTGTTCTCACTGATATGTGGGAGCTAAGCTATGAGGATGCAAAGGCATAAGAATGACACAGTGGACTTTGGGGACTCGGGGGGAAGAGTGTGAGGAAGGCAAGGGATTAAAAGACTACAAATATGGTGCAGTGTATACTGCTCAGTTGATATGTGCACCAAAATCTCACAAATCACCACTAAAGAACTTACTCATGAAACTAAATACCACCTGTACTCCAATAACTTATGGAAAAATAAAAATAATAGTAATAATAATAATAAAATTTTGTGTAGAGAGGGGTCTTGCTGTTTCGCTCAGGCTGGTCATTGCTTGAACTACTGGCTTCAAGCAATCTTCTCACCCTTCCCAAATGGCTGGGATTACAGGTGTGAGCCACCACACTTAGCCCTGGATATGGTTTGTTTGGCCCTGTCAAGTCTCAGGTTGAAATCTGATCTCCAGTGTTGGAGGTGGGGCCTGGTGAGAGGTGTCTGGATCATGGGGATGGATCCTTCATGAATGGTATGGTGCCATTCTCAAAGGAGGGAGTCAGTTCTCCCCCTTAGTTCCCGAGAGAACTGGTTGTTGAAAAGAGCCTGGCACTTCTCTTGCCATGTGATGCTAGCTCCTCCCTCACCTTCCATCAGGAATGGAGGCAACATGAGGCCCTCAACAGAAGCCAAGCAGATGGATGCTGACACCATGCTTCTTGTACAGCCTGCAGAACTATGAGCCAAATAAATCTCTTTTCTTTATAAATTGCCCAGCCTCACGTATTCCCGTATAGCAACACAAACAGACTAAGGCAGGATTGTATCTTAAAATTAATGTACAATATAGATTTTTCCTCCTAGAAACCTCTTATTAAAACAAAGATATGTCTTACAACTGATTGTGCCTCAGAATCAAGGAAATAAAATAGTTATTATGCTATAGAAGGCATGACAGTTTTAAGACAAAAATAGCTAAGCTCCTAGGGAGTAGAGTACAGGCTGTAGTTTACTGCATTGCAGCAAATTCACCTCAATGGCCATAACCTTTAAAAAGATTGTAACTTTTCCATTAATAGCCTGATCGCCACCAGACTCGTGTATGTACAATCACAGCACTTTGGAGGCCAAGGCAGGAGGATTGCTTGAGCTCAGGAATTCAAAACCAGCCTGGGCAACATGGTAAAACTCCGTCTCTACTAAAAAAAATTTTTAATTAGCCAGATGTGGTGGCACTTGCCTATAGTCCTGGCTACTTGGAAGGCTGAGGGCTGAGGTGGGAGGATCACTTGAGCTTAGGAGCCTGCACCACAGCACTCCAGCCTTGGTGATGGAGCAAGATCCTGTCTCAAAAATATAATAAAATAAAATAAAAATGTAAAATAACCTGATTGTCCTCAGGCTTCTACAGCCTGTAGATACAAATGAATCTAATTACTCTGGCCCCCACATTTTGTTAGTTCCAACCCCTCAGTGCCAAGCTTCAGGACTTCAAGACTCCCTTCTCTGAATATCCCCAGTTACTTCTGGGAGTCCTCTATGCTCAGGACTAGCTCTTCCATGTGCTTCTGCTCTGTCCTTTCTGTAGATGTCCATTCTGTGTCCCGCCACTTGACAGAAGTATCTCCTGCTGCCACTCTTAACCCTGCACCCTGAGAACCCTACCTTCCCAGGAGAGAAAAAATATATATGCCCGATCCAGGAGATATATCTCCTGGTACTCAAAATTTGTACATCTTTCAAATAAATGTCTTGCCAAATTTTCCTGCTTAGTTAAGGGTCATACATACAGAAACCTACCACTGGCTCCTTCAAGTAATCTGGATCCCCTACAGACTTTTTAGCAACATAGTTACCTTAGTTTTATGCTACTATAACAGAACATCACAGACTGAATAATTTATAAACAATAGAAATTTATTTCTCATGATTCTGGAGGCTGGAAAGTCCAATATCAAGCCACCAGCATCTGGTGAGGGCCTTCTTGCTGCATCATCCCATGGAAGAAGGTAAAAGAGCAAAAGAACATGAGAGAACAGAGAGAGAGAGTCAAACTCATCCATTTATCAGCAACCCACTCCCAGAATAATTAACCTATTCCAGTGATAACTGCATTCATTCATTCATGAGGGCAGAGCTCTCATGACCTAACCATCTCTTAAAGATCCCATCTCTAAACACTGTTGCACTGAGGATTAACTTTCCAACACATAGGTTTTAGGGGACACTTTCAAACCATAGCAACAATCTATGCTTTTGCTGTAACTGCATGTAATTCAAGGAGAGTGTTGGTTGGGCTGAAGTGGGTGAAGGAGAGTGAGAAGCAAGTGGCAGTCTTATCCTTTTTCCATCCCCTACTCCATTTTAAGGCATCCCCCAAATTTCTAGATCATCACTAGAGAAACATACCTAGATCCACCAGTGTTTCCGCAAGCACTCCAGTCTCTGGAAAAAAATACAGTGTTTACAGATTCCTTGCTACTCTACATAGGTCTTTATATACAAAGCTTTTATGTTTCAACAAGAAGAACCCTCATTTTTTAATCTAGGGAAGTTCCTACATCATTTGATCATTTTTCTTTCCCTTCTTTCCATCCCTCATTCTCCTTATGATTCCTCTTCTACCTCTAAGACCTGAGGAAAAAAAAAAAAAAACTTCCTCCTTGAAAGCCCCTTCCTCCCTTACGTATTAACCCATGTAAATGGGCATGACAGAGGAGGGGAATACAGTTCTTCAGACACAACTGGACTCTGAATCTTAATTTGATTCCCCCAGTACCCCTACCACCATTATATACCACCAAAGAGGGTGAATAACAGCAATAAGCTCTAATGTTGATTTAATACACCGATAGTATATTTTGATGTCAGACAGGAAAATCCTAACCTATAGTACACCTAAGTATTTTTAAGCTAATTAGTCCAAATAGGAGAGCTGCTGAAAGAAAATATCATCCTCATCCTAAATGAAGATCAACTTAACCACTGAAATATGAAGACTGATAGCAGTAATGCTTGCTGTTGTAAACTGCAGTCAATATTCCTGTTCATGCTGGAGAATATGGAGAGGTGACTACATATATTATTGATGGAGCTGGGCTATGATGTGAGATAGTAGTGAAAATAACTTGCAAATTGAAATCAAATATAATATTCTGGCTTTCCACAAGAAAAGCCCAACTACCAATTTTCTCTTACTCTTAAAACATTCTGACTGGAGTAGGGTTTCAGCTATGTGCCTTATTTTCAGGCTTAATTAGATATTTAAGTATTTTTCCTTGCATTCAGCTAGAATTATAGTAGTTGAACACCAGAAAAAAAACTGTTTAAATATTAGAAATAAAGCCTTAGAGAACTCACTAGGTTAAATCTAGCAGTGCAAATGACCAGACTGCAAGGTGAGTTGTCAGTTCTTTAGAAGCAATCTGAATCATCAATGTAATCAGAAAGCTCTATATTGATCATTTATAACAAAATAAGTCAAATGGTTAAAACTGCCGGCACTGATACAAGTTCCTAATCATTTCCAAACTTGAGTATCACTCACTACGATCTAACTTCTTCTATTCCCAAATAACCCAGACCTGCTGGAGGATATGGCTTTGTTTTCATATTCAAGCTTTAGGAATTTATTTATAGAACATAATATATACAGGCTTCTACATATAAAGAGAAAAAATCATTTTATTATACCACTTACCTTTACTTTACAAAAGATCAGTGTAATCCATCACCCTTACTAGAGACATAACTCAGTTCTTTCTTTATCAAAAATGGGTCAGTGGTGTCCTCCTTGGAAACAAAGGATATCAAACCACTGTAGGATTACAAATAATCTCAAGCTTTTTCTTTATAGTTCCTGAATCAAATACTTTGGCTATTTTTAGTATTTAAATAAATAGCATCAAAAAGCTTTCAGTTTTATATGAAAAGTTTTATGAGCCTTTCTGTGTAATATAGAGGATTCCATTGTCTCATCTAGAGATGTGAAATTTTACAATTATGGGGTGAGTGTTTGGTATTTTACACCTTAAAAGGATAGCTTATACAAACAATTGGTTACTATCACTATAAATTAAATAAAATTTCATTTGATAGATCTATGTTTTCAAAACATAAATATTGTTTCGTATGTGCTTATGCATAAGCCTAATAAAATGGATTGTTCCATTGTATTACTTCTTTAGCCAGGTTTACTCAGGAGATCAGAACACTGCCAATAAGGAGCATCCTTTCCAGAGGCTATTGTCTTTTTTTTTTTCTACTTTTATTTTAGATTCAGAGGTACATGTGCAGGCTTGTTACTTGGGTATATTGTGTGATGCCAAAGTTTGGGTTATGAATGATTTAATCACCCAGATACTGAGCAGAATACCCAGTGGTTAGTTTTTCAACCCTTCCCCCACCCACCCACTTCCCCCTCTAGTAGTTCCCAGTGTCTATTGTTGTCATCTTTATGACCATGAGTATCCAATGTTTAGCTCCCATTTATAAGTGAGCACATGTGGTATTTGGTTTTCTGTTCCTGCATTAATTCACCTAGGATAATGGCCTCCAACTGCATCCATGTTCCTGGAAATGACATGATTTCATTCTTTTTTATTCCTGTGTAGTATTTCATGCTGTATATATACCACATTTCCTTTATCCAATCCACTATTGATGGGCACCTAAGTTGATTCCATGTCTTTGCTATTGTGAACAGTGCTGTGATGAACATATGAGTGCATGTGTCTTTTCAATAGGATGATTTGTTTTCTTTTGCATATACACCTAGTAATGGGATTGCTGGATTAATGGTAGTTCTGTTTTAAGTTACTTGAGAAATCTATAAACTGTTTTCCACAGTAGCTGAATTTACATTCCCACCACAAGTGTATAAGTGTATAAGCATTTCCTTTTCTCCATAGCCTTCTTAACATCTGTTGTTTTTTGACTTTTTAAGAATAGCCATTCTGACAGGTGTGAGATGTTATCTCATTACAGTTTTGATTTGAATTTCTCTGATGATTAGTGATGTGGAACATTTTCTCATATGTTTTTTCATATGTTTGTTGGCCACTTGTATGTCTTCTTCTGAAAAGTGTCTGTTCATGTCTTTTGTCTATTTTTTTTTTTTTTTTTTTTTTTTTTTTTTTTTTTTTTTGAGACGGAGTCTCGCTCTGTCGCCCAGGCTGGAGTGCAGTGGCGGGATCTCGGCTCACTGCAAGCTCCGTCTCCCGGGTTCACGCCATTCTCCTGCCTCAGCCTCCCAAGTAGCTGGGACTACAGGCGCCCGCCACTACGCCCGGCTAATTTTTTGTATTTTTAGTAGAGACGGGGTTTCACCGTTTTAGCCGGGATGGTCTCGATCTCCTGACCTCGTGATCCGCCCGCCTCAGCCTCCCAAAGTGCTGGGATTACAGGTGTGAGCCACCGCGCCCGGCCACATTATTGATATATAGAAATGATACTGAATTTATATCCTGAAACTTTACTGAAGTCATTTATCAGTTCCAGGAGCCTTTTGGTGGAGCCTTTCGGGTTTTCTGGATATGGAATCATATCATCTGAAAAAGAAATAATTTGACTTCTTATTTTCCTATTTGAATGACAGGGTATGTCTTGATGTGGGATCTGGCAACTAAGTGTCTGAAAAGCTCAGTTTTGCTATGAGAAAAAAAACCATTCTCTGTCAAAAGGAATCAAGGCTTAATAAAAGATTTCATAGTATACACTGAAGGATGAGGAAGCTTATAAAGAAAATAGGCATCAAGGTTGGTGGTTGAAATAATACAGAGAAGTAAAATCAAGTGCAAGTTCAGATTTGGTGATTTGGAGTCTCAACTTTGAAGAGACAATGTGTGTTCTATATTATGTAGCATAATTCAGGGATTTCTTTACCCTTTAGTCTCAGGTTTGAAAGAGGAGTTCTGATTCAGAGTCTGGGAGTGTTCCTGAAACCACTAGTGTTTCTACAGGCAATAGAGGAAAAGTCTACCCTCTGGAACAAATTGGTTTTTAGGGAGTCCTTGCTGCCCTTTTCAGGCCTTTAAACACATAGCCAAATCCTCCATCAGCCTTCATGTTTACAAGAACAATTCTCACTTTTTAACTTAGGGAAACACACCACTCAGGACAAGGCAATAATAAACACTACTAAATTATGTGAAAGGGTTATAGAACATAAACTCAAAGGAGGGCTGAAGTTGGTTTGAATGCACAGCTGGATGCTTCATTGTAGCCACATAGGCATGAGTAGGGCAAACTGCTGAAATTTGCTGAGGATCAAATTATGTTCCACAAGATCATGCTCGCAAGAATTACAAGAATATCCAACAAAATCACTAGAGTCTAAGACTTGCTCAAGAATATTCTCTGAGAATAGGCAGCCATAGAATGAGCTAAGTGAAGCTCGACCACAAGACCTCACTGGATTAACGTCCTGATTTTTCCATTGCATAAGTTTACTCTCGGCAGAATTACGGTTGGGGGGAGGTTGGGGTGGCAGGTTGGCAGGGGAGAGTGGATCCACACTCTGATAGATCCTATTTAACTAGTTTTACTTTACTGTGCAGACTACCTCCCACAACAGGTAACCTTGAATGTAGGCAGACATGCTTCCAGAAATGTGAGTGGAGGTAGGGCGGAATAAAGAAAATGCAACTGCAAAACTGAAAATTCATACTAGCACAATGATGTTTAAATGATTTTCAAGTGTTGGAGCTGGTGTGGTGGAAAACAGTTGCCTGACGCTTTGGTTTGAAGGCCAGGGCTTGTCATTTACCATGTCAGGAGAAATTCCTCTCTTTTCGACAATAATCTCTGCACTGCCTACCTCAGGAGGTCCTCGCAATGCCAAAATGCCGCCAGTGTGGGTTGCGCCTCAGCTGAGCACTGATTCTACAGCCTCGCGGTTTGGGCGGGAAGTCCCACCTCCGCAACCCTGACCAGCCCGGCTCCCCACCCCCACCACCCGGAAGTGAACACCACGAGCTAGCGTGTCTACTTCACAGGCCAGGTCGTCAACTCAACTGTCAAGGTGTCCATTGTACCAGCTGGGCCATGGATCCCTCCCGCCTGAAATCTGACTCCACCTGCCAAGAGTCTGAGCCTGCAGGCCTAGATTTCGACTCTGCTGGCCAAGATTATTTCTCTGCAGCCCAATAATTCGACTCTTTCTACCAAGAATTGGACCTGGACTCTCTTAACGAAGATCTTCTTTCCCAGTCCATGCCACATGCCAGGACAGAGACCTCTGTGGGCACATATGAATCCCACTCGACTTCTGAACTGGAGGATCTGACAGAGCCCGAGCAAAGAGAGCTCAAAACCAAACTCACTAAATTGGAGGCTGAAATTGTAACCCTACGCCACGTACTAGCAGCCAAAGAGAGACGCTGTGGGGAACTCAAGAGGAAGTTAGGCCTCACCGCCTTGGTAGGGCTGAGACAGAATCTGTCCAAGAGCTGGCTTGATGTTCAGGTCTCCAACACCTATGTGAAACAGAAGACATCAGCTGCTCTGTCCACCATGGGCACTCTCATCTGCAGGAAGCTTGGAGGCGTGAAGAAGTCGGCCACATTCAGATCTTTTGAAGGTCTGATGGGGACAATCAAGTCCAAAGTCTCAGGGGGCAAAAGAGCTTGGCCCTGACTGTCTTTCTTCTGCGGAGGGTGGGGTTGATCTGCTCTCAGTTTTGGGGTGTGGGGAAGACCCACTCCAGATTCCGGGGAGTGGGAATGAGCCACTCCCAGTTCTGGAGAGTGAGGATGACCATCTCCACTTTCTGGAACCAGAATGAGCCCCCTTGGTAACCTTGCCTGGTACTAAACCAGTGCAAGGACCCCCTTCCCTTATTACATTTGCAACTCTGCCCAACAAAAACAAGCAAGCAAACCACAATGGTAAAGTGGTTAATTCAGGAAATTGACAGAATCCAGTTTTGAGAAAAGAACACAGATATTTGCTGCTTTTAAGATAGAGAACCCAAAGTTTTGTACCTGGTTATTTTTCACTTAAGTTTGTAGACGAAATGTGCCATTATATTAGCTTTCCTGAGACTGTATCTAATGGGCAAGTCAGTGGCTCCAGAGGGGTCTTAGGCCAAAGCCCAAACTCTCTTTTGGAAAACTAGCTTATTAGAAAGCCAAAGTAGAGTTCTGTTTAAGCTTGAAAGAGGTATGAAGTAATCTGTAGTGTTTTTTTGGTTTGTTTGTTTGTTTTCCCTTCCCCATTTCCTTCCTTCCCTCAGTCTCAAAGTCACCTTGAAAGCTTCACCTGGCCTACAACTTTTATTTTAAAAAGATGATCAAGAAAACTTCATCTTCTCTGAGACTCAGAAAAAGAGGGGAAAATAGTGGTAGTGCACTAATTGTTACATTACTAATATAGCTTTTGTAAAACTCGTTTGTTTTCAAAGGTCTGGACTAAGCAAAACAACAGTGTCAGTTTAGGAAATTATTACTACTTTGAACACAAACTGAAATTGCAACTTTGCCTTGTGCTTTGTTTATAATTTCTTTATATATCAAAATGAGTGTTTTAAAGTTTAACCCTTGAAGCAGCATGTCTTTGCCATAGCAGCACTTCACTTAAAAGGAAGAAATTGCCTCTCTGGCAGCAATTCCTAGTTAGTTACCACCTCCAGCTGAGGGGCTGGAGGAAAACAGGTATAGCCAAATTCAAGAAAGATAAACCCCTGTCTCAAGGAACATTTTAAAAAGAACGTCTGTCCCCTGTGATGCTGGCTGTTATGCCTTTGAATGGACCTAACTATACATCTTTGCTCTTAACTCCAAGTCTGCCCTTCTTTTTAGGAAACCCTAAAGGAGAAGGAAGCAGAATATAACCCTCTGGAGAGCTCAAGACAGTAGGAACCTGGACGGTGCTTGTTTGAATTTTCTGATATCTGATTTTCACACGAATATACTTTTTGTTTGTTTTCCTTTTCCATTTTCAAAATGCCAAGATCTGGGAGCCTCTTTCACTCCTCTAGACACACTGCCTGAGATAGAAGTTTGCATCTTATTGGCTGTGGGCAGAGACTAGGACCCTTATGGGTACATTTCAGTAATCTCTCACTGCCTAAAATGGTAATCCCTCCAGCCTAAGAGGATGATTCTGTTTTGTTGACTCTTGAATGCTCCCCCAACATTCCTTTGGTTTTCCTATAAGCAAAACCAAATACCACTATAAATACAAAAGCATCTGGTAAACTGTAAAGTTACTCATGTATCCCAACCCTCCACAGATTTCTGAAGACAAAGTTTTGCTTGGATTAAAACAAGATGTTTTACTATTTTGCATGTTCGATTTTTAATTTGTTGTGTTTATCAACCAAAATGGCTTTGTATGCTGGAGAACAAGAGGTGAGCCTGCAGCATACAAGAAATGAAAGTAGTCCAACAGGCAAAGGCTTTGAC
The DNA here is from genome assembly GCF_000001405.40 of Homo sapiens. Classification (NCBI taxonomy): domain Eukaryota; kingdom Metazoa; phylum Chordata; class Mammalia; order Primates; family Hominidae; genus Homo; species Homo sapiens. Next base: position 6,330,788 of record NC_000009.12, read on the forward strand.
ATATTTCAGGAAGGCTTGTGTTAGGGACAATCTCAGACTATTATCATGGGCCAAACCTGAGAGATGTTATATTTTATTTAATAATTTCTACAACAGTAGTAAGTTTCCCCAATAAATTCTCAACTCCGTAAAAGTAGTAAAGTACATATTTATTTTTGCTGATCATTGTTTTCCCATTTCTGGCTTAGGATTGATCTTCAATAAATACACGTTAAATCAAGGAAGGAATTAACATCATATACTTCAGACATCAAATATGGAATCCAAGAGACTATCAACAACATGAACTTGTTCACAAGTTCCTTCTGCTTTTAAACAAAAATATCGTGTTTATTCAAAGCCAATCTGAGACCCTACTCTGTATCAAGAACTGTCCCAGGTTCTGAAAGCATAGAATTAGACATCGTATGTGCCCTCTAGAAACACTTAGACTTTCAAATCATTATAATTCAATGAGTCCTAAAATAGAGCTGTGTGCCAGAGATAAAAGAAGTCCTGAGGAAGGGGTGTTCAACTCTGTCTTGGTAGGTCAGTAAAGACTTTAGAGAGACAGAAAGTCTTAGAGGACTAGGAGAAGTTTGCCAGACAGACAAGAATAGAACATTCCAGACAACATGCAGAGGAACTGAGTCACAAAGGAATGTATAAGAATGGCATATTCTAGGAACTAACACTGTGGCTAGAGAGGAAGGGGAAATGGTGTTACATGAGTGAGGGAGGGGAAATGGTGTTACGTGAGTAAGAAAAAATAAGCAGGGGGCAAAATCATAAGTAGTCTTACATACTACATTAGATATCAATATTTAAGCCTGTAGGAAATGGGAGGCATTGAAGCACTTAAGTAAAAAAGTAACTATCAAATTTTTGTTTTAGATTACTCTGGTCATCAGAGAAATAGATTAAGTATTTAAGAGGTAGAATCTCTCAGACTTAGGAACCAACTGCATGAGGCGGGGCTTGGGGGGATAAATTTGCAAGATAATAAGGATGTAGAATTGAAAAGGCCTGATATTATTGAAGCTGGAGTTGCACATTCATTTTGCTTTGGCTTTTTTGTATCAGTGGTCATGGGCACCAAATAAAATGCTTCCATGAACATTTGGATTCTGGCTCTAAAGTTTCCTCGAGATTTCCTTTTTCCACCAGCTTCTACCCTTCCTATGCATTGGCTTTCTTCATCTTCTTCCCTGTCTACCCACAAAACTTGATCATCTCCACTCATCTAGGCCTATTTGGATTTTGTAGCCTAGCTTAAGTCTATTTAACTTGGCCAATTCAGGATGCTATTTTCAATAGTTCGTAGAATATGTGGATACCCAAAGATTCACATCCTTAGGTTTCGCTCAGTACCTGAGAACTACTAGATGGGAATGATACTGAAACAAAATTTCCTGAGGCTCTCAGTTTTCTGGGACTTTAATTGTCCATGTGAGTGAAGGGATTAGGATAGAAAATCGAGACAAGATGACATGGCCTTGATGTTTATGTCTTCCCACCCCAAATTTGTAGGTCGAAATCCTAACCACAGGGTGATGGTATTGGGAGATGGGGCCTTTCAGGAAGTGATCAGCCCTCATAAGTGGCTTATCAACAAGCCGAAGGGAGCTTGTTTGCCCTTTTCACCATGGGAGGACACAGTGAGAAGGCACCATTCATAACCCAGGAAATAGGCCTTCACCAAACACTGAATCTGCAGATATCTTGATCCACCTCCAGAACAATAAGAGATAAATTTCTGTTAAGATACCCAGTTTATAGCAGCCCAGATGACTAAGATACAAGAATTGAAAGTTATACTTCCCACAGATAACACTTTCCATGCTGCTGGCAAGGATGATGATAGAATACCAAGCCCTATGTTCATTAGTATCATACATGCCCCAGAAAAATACTAGCATCACTCCCAAAGAAATTCGCCAGCATTTTCTAGAGGCTCCTCTGCTTTCTGATCCATCAAAATGCCAAGTTTCAGATTTGAAAGAACGTACTTTTATTACATGCTCTACTCTCAAGGCTTGTGTGGACTAAAGAGAGGTGATTAGCAACCACTGACCCAGAACTGTGCAGGTTTCCTGATAGTGCCAGGCAATGTGCTTGATGGCTCCACCTATCAAGGGGACAATGATGGCACAGGTTGATTCCGCTAAGGATTTGCATCTGGGCACAGAATTTCACTTTCTTGCCTGCGGACTGTAATGTAAGGAAAAAGGATGAGCATCACTCTACTGAAACAACTGTGGAGAGAGGATTTCATAAAGATGATAGAGTGGGAGGCACAAGAAATCTGTCTCTCTACTTAGATAACAATTGAGCTGGTGAATCAATGTGATGTAACAATTTTGGAACACTAGAATGTACTGAAGGCTTGCAACTTCCAGGGGAAGGCTTGAACAATAAATTGTAGTTAATTTCAGTACTCTGAACACAGTACCATCTACACATCCCCAGTCCCAGCCTTGTAACTGGCAAATGTGCATATGTTTCTGGAACAACCTGTACATAGCTTGTGAGAGCCAGGGTTGGCAAAAAGGACCATGTCTTCTAGATACTAGAGATCTGTGCTCTGATCGATCATTGATTGCTGCTTCTGCTCACAGAGATGCAGACAAAGAGGTGGGCAGCCATTGTTGTTGTACCTATCCCCACTGTGGCAAGCCCCTCCCCACTAGCTGAAGTGACTTCTAAGGGACTTAAAGGGCCAGTGCTCTTTTTTCTCCTCTTCATTTTTCTCTTTTTCCTCTTTTGGGAGCCAGACATTCAAAAACAACTGCATATATGGAAAAAATTAGAAAGTGATTATGCATGCCCAGGGAAAAACTCAGAAAATACCTGAGAAGACCTTAAATTTATATTTCAGGTTAATCCTTGGAACAGAGATAGCCTACAAGAATAAAAAATAATAATAATAAAAACAATAACAAAAAACATTAAATTCTGGGAAATGGGGGGAATCTAATTACCAGAGTTACCATGTTACTAGATTTGAATGTCCAGTTTTCAAAAAAAAATCAGAAGGCATACAAAGAACAGGAAAGTATGGCACATTCAAAGAATAAAAATAAACCACTTGTTCTGAAAAAGAACACATGGCAGATATAGTAGACAAATACCTTAAAACTATCTTAAAGATGCTCATAGAACTAAAGGGAGATGTGGAGAAAAGAAAATTATGCATGAACAAAATGGAAATATAAATAAAGATATAGAAAACTAAGGGGAGAAAAAGAAATTCTGGAGTTAAGAAGAACAATAACTGAAATGAAAAATTCACTGGAGGGATTCAAAAGCAGATTTGAGCAGACAAAAGAAAGAACTAGTGAATCTGAGAAAAGAAAATGAAAATTATTGAGTCTAAAGAACAGAAGGAAAAAAACATTGAAGAAAAGTAAATAGAGCCTAAGGGACTTACAGGACACCATCAAGTGGATGAACAAAACAATGTGAGAATTCCAGAAGGAAAAGAGAGAGACAGAGAGAAATGAGCAGAGAGTATATTTAAATAAGTAATGTTAGAAAACTTTACAAATTTGAGGAAAGATGTAAATATACACATCTAAAAAGCTTAACAAACTCCAAGAAAAATGCACTGACAGAGACTCACACAAAAACACATTATAATCAAACTTTGAAAGACAAAGACAAAGAAAGAATCTTGAAATCAGAAAGAGAAAAGCAATTCATCACACACAAGAAATACTCAATGAGATAATCAGCAGATTTTTCAACAAAAACTGTGAGGCCAGAAGGCAGTGGATCAATATATTCAAAGTGCTAAAAGTACAAAAAGCAAAACTGTTATCCAAGAATCCTATATTTGGCAAAATTGTCCTTTAAAAGTGAGGGAGAAATTAAGACATTTCCAGATAAACAAAAGCTGAGTTAGCTCATTACCACTAGACCTGTGGCTGTAACTCATAGCCACACAAAGAAATAAAGATGTTAATAAAGGTAAATACAGAGGCAAGTATAAAAGCTAGTGTTACTGGAACAATGGTTTGTAACTCCACTTTTTGTTTTCTATACAATTTAAGAGATTAATACATTTAAAAACATATTAATCTAAAAGTTAGCATTATTGTAACTTTGCTTTGTAACTCCATATTTTATTTTCTACAAAATTTGAGAGAATACTCCTTGAGAAGAGCAACTCCAAGACACATAATTGTCAGATTCACCAAAGTTCAAATGAAAATTTACATTTAAAGAAATATTCATTTAAATACATATATTCATTTAAATACATATATTCATTTAAATACATAAATTCATTTAAATACATAAATTCATTTAAATACAAAATGTAAATGAATACATTTAAAGAAAGTATTCATTTACATTTTTGGACTCACAATGTATAATAATGTAATCTTGTGAAAATAACAATCAAAAGAGGTGAGGGCAGAGCTATAAAGGAGCAAAGATTTTGTGTGTTACTGAAGTTAAGATGGTATAAATTCAAATTAGAGTGTTATAACTTTTTGTTTTGTTTTTTTGTTTGTTTTTTGAGATGGAGTCTCGCTCTGTTGCCCAAGCTGGAGTACAGTGGCATGATCTCGGCTCACTGCAAGCTCCGCCTCCCAGGTTCACGCCATTCTCTCGCCTCAGCATCCTGAGTAGCTGGGACTACAGGTGCCCACCACCACGCCCGGCTAATTTTGTTTTGGTATTTTTAGTAGAGACGGGGTTTCACCATGTTAGCCAGGATGGTCTCAATCTCCTGACCTTGCAATCCACCCACCTCGGCCTCCGAAAGTGCTAGGATTACAGGCGTGAACCACTGCGCCCAGCCTAGAGTGTTACAACTTTAAATACCAAATGTAATCCCCATGGCAACCTTAAAGAAAATATCTGTAGAATGTACACAAAAGAAAATGACAAAGGAATTTAAATATTTCACTATAAAAATTAAACACAAAAGAAGACAATAATGTAGGAAACAAAAGGTAAATAAGATGCATGGCATATAAAAAACATGCAGCAAAATGACAGATTTAAATTCCTCCTTATCAGTAATTACTTTAAATGTAAATGGAGTAAACTCTCTAATCAAAAGACACAGATTGCCAGAATGCATAAAAATACATGATCTAGAGAGGTTCCAAGACAGCCAAATAGGAACAGCTCCAGTCTGCAGCTCCTAGCGTGACCAACGCCGAAGACAGGTGATTTCTGCATTTCCAACTGAGGTACCAGGTTCATCTCACTGGGGCTTGTCAGACAGTGAGTGCAGCCCACAAAGCAGGGTGGGGCACTGCCTCACCCGGGAAGCCCAAGGGTCCAGGAATTCCCTTTCCTACCTAAGGGAAGTCATGACAGACTGTATCTGGAAAATCGGGACACTCCCACCCTAATACTGCACTTTTCCAACGGTCTTAGCAAATGGCACAGCAGGAGATTATATCCCACACCTGGCTGTAAGGGTCACTCGCCCACAGAGCCTCAATCACTGCTAGCACAGCAGTCTGAGATCAAATTGCAAGGCAGCAGCGAGGCTGGGGGAGGGGTGTCCGCTATTGCTGAGGCCTGAGTAGGTAAACAAAGAGGCCAGGAAGCTCCAACTGGGTGGAGCCCACCGCAGCTCAAGGAGGCCTGCCTGCCTCAGTAGACTCCACCTCTGGGGGCAGGACATAGCTGAACAAAAGGCAGAAGAAACTTCTGCAGACTTAAACGTCCCTGTCTAACAGCTTTGAAGAGAGTAGTGGTTCTCCCAGCACCAAGTCTGAGATCTGAGAACTGACAGACTGCCTCCTCAAGTGGGTCCCTGGCCCCCGAGTAGCCTAACTAGGAGACACCTCCCAGTAGGGGCTGACTGACACCTCATACAGTCCAGTGCCCCTCTGAGACGAAGCTTCCAGAGGAAGGATCAGACAGCAACATCTGCTGTTCTGCAATATTTGCAGTCCTGCAGCCTCCACTGGTGATACCCAGGCAAACAGGGTCTGGAGTGGACCAGCAGCAAATTCCAACAGACCTGCAGCTGAGGGTCCTGACTGTTAGAAGGAAAACTAACAAACAGAAAGCACATCCACACCAAAACCCCATCTGTACGTCACCATCATCAAAGACCAAAGGTATATAAAACCACAAAGATGGGGAGAAACCAGAGCAGAAAAGCTGAAAATTCTAAACATCACAGCCCCTCTTCCCCTCCAAAGGAATGCAGCCGCTCACCAGGAACGGAACAAAGCTGGACGGAGATTGACTCTGATGAGTTGAGAGAAGAAGGCTTCAGAAGATTGGTAATAACAAACTTCTCTGAGCTAAAGGAGGATATTTGAACCCATTGCAAAGAAGCTAAAAACCTTGAAAAAAGATTGGACGAATGGCTAACTAGAATAAACAGTGTAGAGAAGTCCTTAAATGACCTGATGGAGCTGAAAACCATGGCACAAGAACTACCTGACGCATGCACAAGCTTCAGAAGCTGATTTCATCAAGTAGAAGAAAGGGCATCAGTGATTGAAGATCAAATAAATGAAATGAAGTGAGAAGATAAGTTTAGAGAAAAAAGAGTAAAAAGAAACAAACAAAGCCTCTGAGAAATATGGGACTATGTGAAAAGACCAAATCTATGTCTGATTGCTGTACCTGAAAGTGATGGGGAGAATGGAACCAAGATGGAAAATACTCTTCAGGATATTATCCAGGAGAACTTCCTCAACCTAGCAAGGGAGGCCAACATTCAAATTCACAAAATACAGAGAACACCACAAAGATACTCCTCAAGAAGAGCAACTCCAAGACACATAATTGTCAGATTCACCAAAGTTGAAATGAAGGAAAAAATGTTAAGGGCGGCCAGAGAGAAAGGTCAGGTTACCCCCAAAGGGAAGCCCATAAGACTAACAGCGGATCTCTTGGCAGAAACTCTACAAGCCAGAAGAGAGTGGGGGCCAATATTCAACATTCTTAAAGAAAAGAATTTTCAACCCAGAATTTCATATCCAGCCAAACTAAGCTTCATAAGTGAAGGAGAAATAAAATACTTTACAGACAAGCAAATGCTGAGAAATCTTGTCACCACCAGGCCTGCCTTACAAGAGCTCCTGAAGGAAGCAGTGAACATGGAAAGGAACAACTGGTAAAAGCCACTGCAAAAACATGCCAAATTGTAAAGACCATTGATGCTAGGAAGAAACTGCATCAACTAATGAGCAAAATAACCAGCTAACATCATAATGACAGGATCAAATTCACACATAACAATATTAACCTTAATGTAAATGGGCTAAATGCTCCAATTAAAAGACACAGACTGGCAAATGGGATAAGGAGTCAAGACCCATCAGTGTGCTGTATTCAGGAGACCCATCTCATGTGCAGAGACACACATAGGCTCAAAATAAAGGGATGGTGGAAGATCTACCAAGCAAATGGAAAACAGAAAAAAGCAAGGGTTGCAATCCTAGTCTCTGATATAACAGACTTTAAACCAACAAAGATCAAAAGACACAAAGAAGGCCATTACATAATGGTAAAGGGATCAATTCAACAAGAAGAGCTAACTATCCTAAATATATACGCACCCAATACGGGAGCACCCAGATTCATAAAGCAAGTCCTTAGAGACCTACAAAGAGACTTACACTCCCACACAACAATAATGGGAGACTTTAACACCCCACTGTCAACATTAGACAGATCAACGAGACAGAACGTTAACAAGGATATCCAGGAATTGAACTCAGCTCTGCACCAAGTGGACCTAATAGACATCTACAGAACTCTCCATCCCAAATCTACAGACTACACATTCTTCTCAGCACCACATCACATGTATTCCAAAACTGACCACATAGTTGGAAGTAAAGCACTCCTCAGCAAATTTTAAAGAACAGAAATTAAAACAAACTGTCTCTCAGACCACAGTGCAATCAAACTAGAACTCAGGATTAAGAAACTCACTCAAAACTGCTCAACTACATGGAAACTGAACAACCCGCTCCTGAATGACTACTGGGTACAGTAGTCATTTATTTCTGAAGGCAGAAATAAAGATGTTCTTTGAAACCAATGAGAACAAAGACACAACATACCAGAATCTCTGGGACACATTCAAAGCAGTGTGTAGAGGGAAATTTATAGCACTAAATACCCACAAGAGAAAGCAGGAAAGATCTAAAACTGACACCCAAACATCACAATTAAAAGAACTAGAGAAGCAAGAGCAAACACATTCAAAAGCTAGCAGAAGGCAAGAAATAACTAAGATCAGAGCAGAACTGAAGGAAATAGAGACACAAAAAACCCTTCAAAAAATCAATGAATCCAGGAGCTGGTTTTTTGAGAGATCAACAAAATTGATAGACTGCTAGCAAGACTAATAAAGAAGAAAAGAGAGAAGAATCAAATAGATGCAATAAAAAATGATAAAGGCGATATCACCACTGATCCCACAGAAATACAAACTACCATCAGAGAATACTATAAACACCTCTACGCAAATAAACTAGAAAATGTAGAAGAAATGGATAAATTCCTGGACACATACAACCTCCTAAGACTAAACCAGGATGAAGTTGAATCCCTGATTAGACCAATAACAGGTTGTGAAATTGAGGCAATAATTAATAGCCTACCAACCAAAAAAAGTCCAGGACCAGATGGATTCACAGCCGAATTCTACCAGAGGTACAAAGAGGAGCTGGCACCATTTCTTCTGAAACTATTCCAATCAATAGAAAAAGAGGGAATCCTCCCTAATTCATTTTGTGAGGCCAACATCATCCTGATACCAAAGCCGGGCAGAGACATAACAAAAAAAGAGAATTTTAGACCAATATCGCTGATGAACATCGATGCAAAAATCCTCAATAAAATACTGGCAAATCGAATCCAGCAGCACATCAGAAAGCTTATCCACCATGATCCAGTTGGCTTCATCCCTGGGTTGCAAGGCTGGTTCAACATATGCAAATCCATAAATTTAATCCATCATATAAACAGAACCAAAGACAAAAACCACACGATTATCTCAACAGATGCAGAAAAGGCCTTTGACAAAATTCAACAGCCCTTCATGCTAAAAACTTTCAATAAACTAGGTATTGATGGGACGTATCTCAAAATAATAAGAGCTATTTATGACAAACTGACAGCCAATATCATACTGAGTGGGCAAAAACTGGAAGCATTCCCTTTGAAAACAAAACTGGCACAAGACAGGGATGCCCTCCCTCACCACTCCTATTCAACATGGTGTTAGAAGTTCTGGCCAGGGCAATCAGGCAGGAGAAAGAAATAAAGGGTATTCAATTAGGAAAAGAGGAAGTCAAATTGTCCCTATTTGCAGATGACATGATATTTAGAAAACCCCATCGTCTCAGCCCAAAATCTCCTTAAGCTGATAAGCAACTTCAGCAAAGTCTCAGGATACAAAATCAATGTGCAAAAATAACAAGCATTCCTATACATCAATAACAGACAAACAAGAGAGCCAAATCATGAGCGAACTCCCATTCACAATTGCTTCAAAGAAAATAAAATACCTAGGAATCCAACTTACAAGGGATGTGAAGGACCTCTTCAAGGAGAACTACAAACCACTGCTCAATGAAATAAAAGAGGACACAAACAAATGGAAGAACATTCCATGCTCATGGATAGGAAGAATTAATATCATGAAAATGGCCATACTGCCAAAGGTAATTTATAGATTCAATGCCATCCTTATCAAGTTACCAATGACTTTCTTCAAAGAATTGGAAAAAACTACTTTAAAGTTCATATGGAACCAAAAAAGAGCCTGCATTGCCACAATCCTAAGCCAAAGAACAAAGCTGGAGGCATCACGCTACCAGACTTCAAACTATACTACAAGGCTATAGTAAGCAAAACAGCATGGTACTGGTACCAAAACAGAGATATAGGCCAATGGAACAGAACAGAGACCTCAGAAATAACACCACACAGCTACAGCCACCTGATCTTTGACAAACCTGACAAAAACAAGAAATGGGAAAAGGATTGCCTATTTAATAAATGGTGCTGGGGAAACTGGCTGGCCATATGTAGAAAGCTGCAACTGGATCCCTTCCTTACACCTTATACAAAAATTAATTCAAGATGGATTAAAGACTTAAATGTTAGACCTAAAACCATAAAAACTGTAGAAGAAAACCTAGGCAATACCATTCAGGACATAGGCATGGGCAAGGACTTCATGACCAAAACCCCAAAAGCAATGGCAACAAAAGCCAAAATTGACAGATGGGATCTAATTATACCAAAGAACTTCTGCATAGCAAAAGAAACTACCATCAGAGTGAACAGGCAACCTACAGAATGGGAGAAAATTTTTGCAACCTACTCATCTGACAAAGGGCTAATATCCAGAATCTACAAAGAACTTAAACAAATTTACAAGAAAAAATCAAACAACCCCATCAAAAAGTGGGCAAAGTATATGAACAGACACTTCTCAAAAGAAGACATTTATGCAGCCAATAGACACATGAAAAAATGCTCATCATCACTGGCCATCAGAGAAATGCAAATCAAAACCACAATGAGATACCATCTCACAGCAGTTAGAATGGTGAACATTAAAAAGTCAGGAAACAACAGATGCTGTAGAGGCTGTGGAGAAATAGGAGCACTTTTACACTGTTGGTGGGACTGTAAACTAGTTCAACCATTGTGGAAGACAGTGTGGCGATTCCTCAAGGATCTAGAACTAGAAATACCATTTGACCCAGCCATCCCATTACTGGACATATACCCAAAGGATTATAAATCATGCTGCTATAAAGACACATGCACATGTATGTTTATTGCAGCACTATTCACAATAGCAAAGACTTGGAACCAACCCAAATGTCCATCAATGATAGACCTAATTAAGAAAATGTGGCACATATACACCATGGAATACTATGCAGCCATAAAAAAGGATCAGTTCATGTCCTTTGTAGGGACATGGATGAAGCTGGAAACCATCATTCTGAGCAAACTATCGCAAGGACAGAAAACCAAACACTGCATATTCTCATTTATAGGTGGGAATTGAACAATGAGAACACTTGGACACAGGGTGGGGAACATCACACACCGGGGCCTGTCGTAGGGTGGGCTGAAGGTGGAGGGATAGCATTAGGAGATATACCCAATGTAAATGACGAGTTAACAAGTGCAGCACACCAACATGGCACATGTATACATAATAAACCTGCACGTTGTGCACATGTTCCCTAGAACTTAAAGTATAATAACAAAAAAAAATACATGATCTAAGCAAGACGGCTCAGCAGAAGCCCTAGTGCTTGTCCTCCTCACAAAGACAGCCAGAACAACAAATAAGATATATTTTTACAAAAATAGTGGAGAGAGAGAGCAGAAGTACACCAGAGGAATAACAGAAACTTGGGATGGCCATATAAAGAATACAAGAAAATGCCAGGACTGAACCATCTCATTCCCCAACTGGAATCAGCTGGGAACAAGGAGGAACTTCTTCCTATAGTGAGGAAATAAAGCAAGAAGTTCCCAGCAGCTCCCATCAACTCCTTGGACACCTACAGACCTCACCACTGGAGTCCTCTGGAGTCCTCACAGACACTAAACCCAGCTAAGGGAGCTTCCTGGAGTCCACATAGCTGTGTTCTTCCCAGAGAAGGAGCAGACACTGCGGCTCACACAGCTACTGCACTATACCATCTTAGTGTTGGTACCATGGCTGGAGTGTGTCTTGCTCTGGGGTTGAGTAGCCAAGGCTCCCTTTCATGTCTGAGGCTAAGCCACCACTAAACCACCCCATCCCAGTGGCCTGACACACTCAAGCCAAGATGCAAGCTGCTGTTATACCCTTCTCCACAGAACCAAGCAGACGTGGAGCCACTCTACCTACCCCTACCACTGCCCCTTTGGGCTGGAGCTAAAGTAGTACTCTACTTCCTAGGAAAATGATACCTTGGCAAGGCATGTCAGTCATACCTCCCCAGTGCCTAAGTTGAATCAGTCCTCTGCATTCCAGGAAATGGTGCCTTGGCTGCCCAGAGTAGTCGTGACCCCAGTACCTAACCTGAAGTGGTACCTTGCATTCCAGGGAAATAGCACCTGGGCTGCCCAGGACAATCACACACAACCAGGCCTGAGCTGAAGTGGCATATTGCCCCCTGAAGAATCAATACCCTGGATCAAGTTGAGCAGTTGTGTTAGGGCTGAGCTGATATAATAAAGAGGGTCATTATATAATGATAATGGGATCGATCCAGCAAGAGGAGTATATAACAATTCTAAATGTACCTGCACTGAATACTGGAGCACCTAGATATATAAAGCAGTATTATAAGATCTAAGGGGAGAGATAGACTCCAACACAATAATAATTGGAGACTTCAACACCCCACTTTCAGCATTGAACAGATCATCTAGAAAATCAGCAAAGAAACATTGAATTTAAGCTGTACTGTAGACCAATGTCTAACAGACATTTACAGAACATTTAAACCAACAGCTGCAGAATACAAATTATTTTCATCAGCATATAGACCATTCTCCAGGAGAGATTACATGTTAGACTATAAAACAAGTCTCAATATATTTAAAAGAATTTAAATCATATTAAGTATCTTTTCTGATCATAATGGAGTATAAATAGAAATTAATAAAAAGAGAAACTTTTGAAATTGTACCAATACATGGAAATTAAGCAGCATGTTCCTGAATAATTAATGGGTCAATAAAGAAATTAAGAAGGAAATTTAAAAATTTTTTGAAACAAATGAAAATAGAAACAACATACCAAGACCTATGAGATGCAGAAAAAGCAGTATTAAGAAGCAAATTTATAGCAATAAATGCCTACATGAAAAAATAGAAAGCTTTCAAATAAGCAACATAGCAGTGCATTTCAACAAACTAGAAAAGTGAGAACAAACTAAACCTAAAATTAGAAGGAAAGAAATAAGATCAAAGCACAAATAAAACTGAGACAAAAAAAAGTATCAATGAAACAAAAAGCTGGTTTTTTAAAAAAGATAAAATCAGTAAAGTTCCACAAGTTAGACTAATCAAGAAAAGAGAAAAGATCCAAATAATAAAAATCAGAAACAAAAAAAGGAGACATTACAACTCATACCACAGAAATAAAAAGTTTCCTATCAAAGAAAAGCCCAGGACCCAGTGGCTTCACTGCTGAACTCTACCAAACATTTAACGAAGAACTAATTAACAATTCTTCTCAAAGTCTTCCAGAAAATTGAGGAGGACAGAATTCTTCCAAACTTATTCTATGAGGCCAGCATTGCCTTGATACCATAACTAGACAATAACTTTAAAAAAAGAAAACTATAGGCCAATATCCCTGATGAAGATAGATGTAAAAATCCTCAACAAAATACTAGCAAACCAAATCTAGCAGCACATTAAAAAGATAATTCACTATGATCAAGTGAGATTTAGCCAATGGATGCAAGGATAATTCAACATATGGAAATCAATAAACGTGATACATCTGATTAACAGAACCAAGAACAAAAACCATATAATCATTTCAATAGATGCTGAAAAAGCATTTGATAAAATTCAACATCACTTTATGATAAAAACCCACAACAAACTTGGTATAGGAGAAACATACCTCAAGATAATAAAGGCCATATATGGCAAACCCAAAGCTAACATCACATCTAATTGGGAAAAATTAAAAGCCTTTCCCCTAAGATCAGGAACAACACAAGGGTTCCTATTTTCACCACTTTTACTAGACATAATACTGGAAGTCTGAGTCAGAGCAATTAGGCAAAATAAAGAAATAAAGCACATCCAAATTGGAAAGGAAGAAGTCAAATTGTTCTTGTTTGCAGACAACATGAACTTATGTGTAAAGAAACCTAAAAGCACCACCAAAAAAACTCTTAGAACTGATCAACAAATTCAGTAAATTTGCAAGATACAGAATCAACATTAAAAAATCAGTAATGTCTCTATACACCAACAGAGAACTATCAGAAAAAGAAATCAAAAAAGCAATCCCAATTACAATCACTACCAACAAATACCTAAAGAAAATTAACTGAGGAGGTAAAAATCTTTATAAAAAGAACTATAAAGCACAATGAAAGAAATTGAAGAGGACACCAAAAGTGAAGAGACACTCCTTCTTTTTAAAAATAGAAAAAAAAAAACTAAAATATGCATGGAACCACAGAAGATCCTGAATAGCCAAAGCAATCCTGAGCAAAAAGAATAAAGTTGGAACCAGGCATAGTGGCTCAAACCTGTAATCCCAGTGCTTTGGGAAGCTGAGGTAGGAGGATTGCTTGAGTCCAGGAGTTCGAGACCAGCCTGGGCAATATAGCAAGACCCCATTTGTATGAAAAAGAAAAAATGAACAAACCTGGAGGCATCACACAACCAGACTTCAAAATATACTATAAAGCTATAATAACCAAAATAGGATGGTACTGACATAAGAACAGACATATAGACCAATGGAACAGAATAGAAAACCCAGAAATAAATCCATGTATTTAAAGCCAACTAATTTTTTTTCTTTTTCTTTTTCTTTTCTTTTCGAGTCAAGGTCTCACTCTATTACCCAGGCTGGAGTGCAGTGGCAGGATCACAGCTCAATGCAGACTTGAACTCCTGGGCTCAAATGATCCTCCCACCCCAACCTCCTGAGTAGCTGGATTACAGGCACAGGCCACCATAGCTAGCTAATTTGTTATTGGCTTTTCTTTTCTTTTAGAGAGATAAGGTTTTGCTATGTGGACCAAGCTGGTCTCCAACTCCTGACCTCTAGCAATCCTCTTGTGTTGGCCTCCCAAAGTGCTGGGATTACAGGTGTAAGCCACCATGCCCAGCCTGCCTATTGATTTTTGACAAAGAAACCAAAAACACTGATAGAGAAAGGAACAGTCTTGTCAATAAATCGTGCTGGGAAAACTGGATATCCATAAAGAGAACAATAAAACCAGGCCAGGCATTGATGGCTCGCACCTGTAGTCCCAGCACCTTGGGAGGCCAGGGCAAGCAGATCACTTGAGCCCAGAAGTTCATGACCAGCCTGGGCAACATGGTGAAACCCTTTCTCTACAAAAAACATAAAAAATTAGTCAGGTGTGGTGGTGCAAGCCTGTAATCCCAGCTACTCAGGAGGCTGAGGTGGGAAGATCGCCTGAGCCTGGGAGGCAGAGGTTGCAGTGAGCTGAGATCATACCACTGCACTCCAGCCTGAGTGACATAGTGAGAACCTGTCTCAAAAAAATGAAAAAGAAAAAAGAAAAAGAAAACCAGACCCCTATCTCCCACCATGTACAAAAATCAACTCAAAATGGATTAAAGACTTATGACCTGAAACTATGAAACTATTAGAATAAAATATAGGGGAAATACTTAAGACATTGGTCTGAGCAAATATTTCATGTTGAAGACCTCAAAAGTACAGGTAATGAAGAGAAAATAGACAAATCGCATTATATCAAACTACCATAGCAAGAGAAACAATCAACAGAGTGAAGACAACATACAGAAAACTTGGAGAAAATATTTACAAACTAGTCATCTGACAAGGGATTAATATCCAGAAAATACAAGGAACTAAAACAAGTCAGCAGCAAAAATACCAAATAAACCAATTTTTAACTGGTAAAATGAACCAAATAGACATTTATCAAAAGGAGACATATGAATTGCCCACAGGTATGTGAAAAACGTGCTCAACATCACTAATCATCAGGTAAATACAAATAAAACCACAATGAAATATCATCTCGTCCCAATTTGAATGACTATTAATTTTTTAAAATGCTGGTGAGGATTCAGAGTAAGGAGAACTCTTTTACACTGTTGGTGGGAATGTAGATTAGTATAGTTATATGGAAAACAGTATAAATTATCATCAAAAAACTAAAAATAGAACTACCATATGATCCAGCAATTCCACTACTGGGTACATATCCAAAGGAAACAAAATTAGTATGTTGAAGAGACATCTGCACTTCCAGGTTTACTGAAGCACTATTCATAATAGCCAAGTTATTGTATCAACATAGGTGTCTACCAACAGATGAATGTATAATGAAAATATGGTATATATACACAATGAGACACTATTTAGCCAGAAAACAAGAACCAAATTCTCTTTCATGGCAATATGAATGAGTATGGATGGGATAGCATTCTGTTAAATAAAATAAGCTAAGCCCAGAAATGTAAATATGACATGTTATCACTCATATGTGGAAGCTAAAAAAGTTGATCTTACAGAAATAGAGAGTAGAATATTGGTTACTGGAGGCAGAGAAGGACAGGTGGGAGGGAAGGATAGACAAAGGTTGGTTAACAGATAAAAAAGTACAGCTAGAAAAGAATAATAAATTCTAATGTTCTATAGCATTATACAATGACCATAACAATTTATTGTATATATATATATGATTTATTGTGTGTGTGTGTGTATATATATATATATATATATATTTTTTTTTTTTTTTTGAGACGGAGTCCACTGTGTCACCCAGGCTGGAGTGCAGTGGCACGATCTCAGCTCACTGTAAGCTCCGCCTCCCAGGTTCATGCCATTCTCCTGCCTCAGCCTCCCGAGTAGCTGGGACTATAGGCGCCCGCCACCACACCTGGATAATTTTTTTGTATTTTCAGTAGAGATGGGGTTTCACTGTGTTAGCCAGGATGGTCTCGATCTCCTGACCTCATGATCCGCCCTCCTCCGCCTCCCAAAGTGCTGGGATTACAGGCGTGAGCCACCACGCCTGGCCTATTGTATATTTTTAAATAGCTAGAAGAATTGATTTCAAATGTTTTCAACACAAAGAAATGATAAATGTTTATGATTGTAGATATGCTAATTACCCTGGTTTGAGCATTACATGTTGTATACATGTATCAAAATATCACAATGTAGCCCATAAGTATGTACAATTATCAGGTATCAGTTAAAAATAACAATAAAAGTAAAACATATGTAACCTAACTATATGCCATCTGTAAGAGACTCAATTTAGATTCAAAAACAGATTGAAAGTGAAAAGATGGAAAAAGAAATTCCATGCAAATAGTAACAAAAAGAGAGCAGGGGTTGCTATACGAATATCAGACAAAATAGACTGTAAATCAAAAAAGCTCATAAGAGAGAAAGGACATTATACATTAATAAAAGAGTCAATATAGAAAGAAAATATAAAATCATACACATTTACTCACCTAACGACAGACCACCAAAATACATGAAGCAAAAACTGACAGCATGAAAGGGAGAAATAGAGAGTTCTACAATAATAGTTGGAGACTTAAATATCCCACTGTAAATAAAAGAACAACCAGACAGAAGATAAGCAAGGAAGGAGAGGACTTAACAAAATAAACCAACTAGATCTAACAGACATATACAGAACACTCTACCCAACAACAGCAGCATATACATTCTTCCCAAATGCACATGGGACATTTCCCAGGATGGATCATATATTGGGCCACAAGTTAAGTCTCAATTGATTTTAAAAGATAGAGGTCATAGGCTGGGTGCAGTGGCTCACACATGTAATCCCAGCACTTTGGGAGGCCAAGGTGGGCGGATCACGAGGTCAGGAGATCAAGGCCATCTTGGCTAACACGGTGAAACCCCATCTCTACTAAAAACACAAAAAATTAGCTGGGCCTGGTGGCGGGTGCCTGTAGTCCCAGCTATTCAGTAGGATGAGGCAGGAGAATGGTGTGAACCCAGGAGGTAGAGCTTGCAGTGAGCTGAGATCACGCCACTGCACTTCAGCCTGGGCAACAGAGCAAGACTCCATTTCAAAAAAAATAGAGGTCATAAAAAATATCTTCTCCGACCACAACAGAACAAACTTAGACATTAATAACAGAAGTAAAACTATAAAATTCTTAAATTTGTAGAATTTAAACAACATACTCTTAAATAATCAATGAGCTAAAATGATATCACAAAGTATATTAGAAAATACTTATCAACAAATGAAAACCAAAACACAATATACCGAAACTTATGGGATGCCACAAAAGCAGTCCTCAGTTGGAATTTATAGCTATAAATGCCTACAACAAAAAAATGAAAAATATATCAAATTTTTATACAACTTCACAACTTAAGAAACTAGAAAAAAGAAATACAAATTCAACACGAAGCTAATGGAAGGAAATAATAGAGACTAGAGCAGAGATAAATGGCAGAGAATAGAAACAAGAACAGCGAAAATTAATGAAACCAAAACTGATTTTTTTGAAAGATCAACAAAACTGACAAGGCGTTAGCTAGATGGGGAAAAAAAACACAGAAGACTCAAGTTATTGAAATTAGAAATGAAAATGGAGACATTTCTGTAGATTTTACAAAAGTAAAAATGATTATAACAGACTACATAAGCAAATTGGAGAAAGTGGATGAAATGGACAAATTCCTAGAAACACAAAATCTACCAAGACTGGGTCATTAATAAATAAAAAATCTGGATAGATCTACAACTAATTTGAGATTGAATCAGTAATGAAAACAATTTCCCAACAAAGAAAAGCCCAAGATCGATGGCTTCACTGGTGAATTCTGCCAAACATTTACAGAATTAATACCAACCCATCTCAAACTTTTCACAAAAAAATTGAACAGGAGGGAATACTTTGCAACTCATTCTATGAGGCTAGCATTGCCCTAATATCAAAGCAAGAAATCACTACAAGAAAAGAAAACTGCAGACCAATATCCCTTATAAATATTGATGCAAAAATCCTCAATAAAATGTTAGCAAACTGAATTTAGCAGGACAGTAGAAAAGATTTTGTATCATGATCAAGTGGGGTTTAATCTTGAAATGCAAGGATGGTTCAACATAGAAACGATCAATATAATTGATCGTTTTGCCTCACATTAACAGAATGGAGGCAAAAAAAAAACATGATCATCTCAATTGAAGCAAAAAAAAAGCATTTGACAAAATTCAGTACACTTTCATGATAAAAAACACTCAACAAATTAGGAACAAAAGGCAACTACTTCAACATAATAAAAGGCACATATGACAAACTCACAGCAAACACTCAATGACGAAAGACTGGAAGCATTTCCTTTAAGAAAGGTGCAGAGAGTTGTGTGACCACCTAGACTCACACCTTAGCCAGGATTAGGGACAGGATACAATTCCAAATAAGTGAGTATGAATCAGGTCATGAACTTATCTACCACAGAAACCCTCTCTACTTGTTAAATCTCATACCCCTGCCAGAAATGAGAAAAGTCACCAAGGTTAAGGTAATAGAAATCACCAATTCTTGTCTTCTGATTCTCCCTGCACATCTTCATGTATATCTACTCTCTCAGTTTTCTGGTGCCCTCAGCTCACCCAGACCATATTATTAACCCTATGCCACTTCAATCTCCCTTAACAACCCTGTGAGGGGAACCTGAGAGTCTCATTAACTGGGTTCTGGATTTAGGGTCACTGTTGTCAAAACTCTGGTAACTGTTCTCACTAGAAAGTTATGGATCAGAAGGGCAGTCTTGGGAACCAGTGGGAAAGCTAGGGAAACACTACCACCCTGACTAGGAGGAAGAGCCTATGTTCATAGCATATTATTTTTGTTTTATGAAAAAGTTTATCTGTTCACCCAACAAATATTTGTTGCATTTTTACCATGTGTCAGGTACAGTTTAGGTGCTAGGGATACAGCAGGGAGCAAAACAGACCAAAATTCTGTTTTAGGCAGTGTGGTGGCTCATGCCTATAATCCCAGCACTTTGGGAGGCCAAGGCAGGAGGATGACTTGAGGCCAGGAGTTCAAGACTAGCCTCAGCAACATAGCAAGACCCTGTCTCACTCTGTCGCCCAGCCTGGAGTGCAGTGGCACAATCTCGGCTCACTGCAACCTCTTCCTCCTGGGTTCAAGTAATTCTCCTGCCTCAGCCTCTAGAGTAGCTGGGATTACAGGCACGAGCTACCACACCTGGCTAATTTTTGTGTTTTTAGCAGAGATGGGGCTTTCACCATGTTGGCCAGGCTGGTCTGGAACTCCTGACGTCAGGTGATCCACCCACCTTGGCCGCAGGTGTGAGCCACTGCACCCGGCCAAAAAAATTTTTTTTAATTAGCCAGGTGCTGTGGCGCATGCCTCGAGTCCTAGTTAATTAGGTGGTTGAGGCAGAAGGATGGCTTAAACCCAGGAGTTTGAGCTTACAGTGAGTTAGTTACAGTCACACCACTGCACTCCAGACAGGGTCAGAGCAAGACCCTGTCTCTTAAAAAAAAAAAAACAACTGTCTTCATGGAGTTTATGTTCACATTGGGGGGGAAGTAAATTAAATTACAACATAATAAACATCCATATATCCATTGCAAGCTTAAGACCCAGCATAACTATTTACCAGCCTATTTACATACCCTCGACTCTCACCAGAGCCTTTCACGTAGCCTCCTGATGGGGTTGGTTGAGGAGCTGAGAAAGGGGTGCACCTTCGCAGCAGTCATTGTGGACACCTTCTTTTATTCCTGGCCTGCTGTCACGCTGAACCTTTTTTCTCCCTCTAAAGTCCTTGCTTCTGTCTGACTCCAAACCTTTGGCTCTCTGCAGCCCAAATTTTGAGCCTACCTGTGGCCCTTAAAACTTGGTATTTAAACCAGGTATTCCCATCAAATGCCTCTTATCTTTTCCTAACAGATTTTTTCTGACTTAGTTTGCCCCTTGATCTCTGACCTTCTTGCTCGCTAAGTAAGAAAGCCTGATAAGCACATCAGAATCTTATAGAAGAAGATAGGCAACTCACATGTTTGGGGTCACCAAAGATTGGCCAATTTGCAATATGTACATTTGTCAAGGAGGCAAACATATTTATAAAAATAAAAGCTAGCATTTATATGCCACTTACTGTGGACAAGGAACTATTCTAATGTTTTTCATGCCTTAATTCATTTAATCCTTATTATAGCTCTTTAAGATAGGTTTTTAATTATTCCTGTTTTACAGATTAAGAAACCAAGACTCAAAGAAATTGATGGGGCTCAGGACATGCTACCCCAAAAATATGGCACCTCAGCATTGTGAACATTTTAAGCTGAAGAAATTTGAGAAAACAATCTGGGCACCTGTAATCCCAGGTACTCAGGAGGCTGAGGCAGGAAGAAGGTTGCTTGAGCCCAGGGTTTCAAGGGTGCAGTGAGCTATGATCACACCACTGCATTCCAACCTGGGCAAGAGAGTGAAACCCTATCCCTTTAAAAAAAAAAAAGGAAAGAAAAGAAATTTGAGAAAACAGCAGAAGCAGGAAGGCAAGTCTCACTTTCCTCATCTCCCTCCCTTCTCCCATCAAGCAGGTCATAAAACCTAGGAAGGATTTTCTGACCTTTCCCTGAAGCAGGTTATAAGACCCTCATGTGAGAAGTGTCTTCCTATGCCTGGGAAAGAGGAACATCTTTATCTCTGAAGATAAAGGGTCACAGAGAAGAATCTGACTTGTTAAGATTCCAAGGACTTGCTAAGTTTCTCCCAGTTTATTACCATTAGATCACACCCTTTTTCCTGTCATATTTCTCCACAACTACCCATTCTTCATCAAACCTAGCATTAAAAAAAACCCACACACAACCCTCAGGTTTAATGGTTTCTTCAGATTTTTATTTCTGTATGAAGTCTCCAAGTCATGTAAAACTTACATTAAATAAATTTGCGGGCTTTTCTCTTATTAATCTGCATGTTGTTACAGGGACCTTAGCCATGAACCTAAAATAGGTAGAAGGAAAGATATTTTTCCTTCCCTATGAGGTAAAGTAACTTTCCCAAAAACACACTGCTAATAAGTGGCAGAAATGGGGTTTGAACAAGGATTCTGAATATAGACCACCACCCTCCTTATCCATTATATGGCATATTTATAACACCTGACCCTCCAACCAACTAATCGACCTGGGCCTTGTCTGAAAGGCAATGGAGGTTCTAATTATTTTTGTATGTGATTAAAATAAATGTTCTTCCTTCGGATATCCATATAGCTAATTCCCTCACATCTGTATGGAATAAATTACGTCCCTCCCCAAATTTATATGTTGAATCCCTAATCCCCAGCATTCAGTGCAGTATCCGACACACAGCAAGTGATCAATAAATAAATGACAAGAAGAAAGAAAGCTCAGGAATTGACTGAGTCTTCCTCAGACCAAACTCCATGGGACAGGAAGGAGGCAGGGCTGAGCCAAGAAGAGGGACCTGGCTTATGCTTAGAAATGGGGTAAGCATGATGACAAATTACAGCTTCAACAAAAGATCAGGGTAGCTGGAGTCAGAAAGGCAAATTCATCCAAACCAAGAAGGCATCTTAAGACGCTAAAAACTGAAGAGCATGAAGGAAGCCAAAGACTAATTCTGCCATAGATCTGGTTGTTAAGCCTCGTGGCTCTTTTTTTTTTTCTTTCTTTTTTTGAGATGGAGTCTCGCTCTGTCACCCAGGCTGGAGTGCAGTGGCGGTCTCGGCTCACTGCAACCTCCACCTCCCGGGTTCACGCCATCTTACCTCAGCCTCCCGAGTAGCTAGGACTACAGGCGCCCGCCACCACGCCCGGCTAATTTTTTGTATTTTTAGTAGAGACGGGGTTTCACCTTGTTAGCCAGGATGGTCTCGATCTCCTGACCTCGTGATCCATCCACCTCGGCCTCCCAAAGTGCTGGGATTACAGGCGTGAGCCACCACGCCCGGCCAGCCTCCTGGCTCTTAATCCTCTGCTCACCTCACCTGCTCAGGTGTTGCCTCCAGAATGCTTTAAAGTATTCTGTTCTGACACTCTTTTGACCTTAGCCCAGGCAGGATTGATGGTGATCTAAGGAAAGATACGCAAGTCTACTCAGCTCCTTCAAAAGTTTCCTTCTGCCTGAGCATAGTGGCTCATGCCTATAATTCCAGTGCTTTGGGAAGCTGAGGCAGAACAACCGCTTAAGCCCAGGAGCTGAAAACCAGCCTGGGCAACATAGCAAGACCCTGTCTCTATAAAAAACAAAAATTAGCTGGGTATGGTGGCACATGCCTGTGGTCCCAGCTACCAGGGAGGCTGAGGTGGGAGGATTGCTTGAGCCTCAGTTCAAGTTCGAGGCTTCAGTGGGTTATGATTGCACCACTGCATTCCAGCCTGGGTGACAGAGTGACACCCCATCTCTAAAAGAAAAAAAAAAGTTTCCTTCCCTTCTAGAACTTCAGAGTTTTAGAAAAGAAAATCCTTAGCGTGCTCTTCCAGGTGACAGCTCAAGGAGTCTCTTCAGACTCCACTGGAAATCTCTTGCTTGGGCCAACCTTCCCCTACTGTCCATCCCTTTGCCACTTGAATTTCACCTCTCTCCATGGTCCCTTTTGATGGCATCTTAGTTGTGGTTTTTACTCCGAGGTACTGTCTCTTGAATTACTTTACTCAGCAGTCTCTGAGCAGCCCAACCCTGCATCCCGGGCTCCTGCCCCTGCAGGAAGGGATTTAGCGAAAAGGAATAAAAAGAATATCTGTAATACACCCCTTCTTCCAGCAACCTCCCACACTCACACCTCTTCTTCAACACAAGGGGGTGCTACTCACATGGTCATTTTACACTATTCTGCACTACACAAACTTCATTGTGATGTTCTTCACCCCCATACCTCCATCAGCCACAACTCTTGAAGAAATGTTTATGAAAGCCTAAATCTAGGATTCCCCCTGAAATGTGGATGAATTTTACACCAGTTCCTTAAGTTGAAAAATATTTGCCATTAATGAGGGCTTAAACCTTACCTGTAGAAATAATTTGCAATACAAGAAAAGGGTCAGGGAAATTTTTTAACTCCATAGAGTATGGGACTAAATCCATGTATTTACTTCCAAGCCAGGCAAGTAGAGGGGACTCTATTCTGATCTAAAATGAGAAGAGAAAAATGCTTCTCTCAAGGAAGAGGTTGTTTGTGGCAGTGAAGGGAGAAGCAAGAGGATCAATGTTGAGGGTCAGCAGATGAAAAGAAAGGAAGTAAGCCAGGAGCTGCCCAAGCTGATCAAGAAAGACTCACAGCTTCTCACGAGGTGGCATCCTCCAACTCCCAAACTCTGAAGGCCTCCAGCTCCACATCTCATTACCTTCCTCCCAATCATCTTCTAGGGAGAATTTTCTGCCCTAGGCTACAGAGGCTCAGAAATGAGGGAAGTTGGGGAAAGGAAGATTCCCCCATGCCTGGCATCCTTAGCTGGTCCCACACATCTTCCTATAAAAATACTCTTCATGGGCCAGGTGCAGTGGCTCAAGCCTGTAATCCCAGCAGTTTGGGAGGCCGAGGCGGGTGGATCACAAGGTCAGGAGTTCAAGACCAGCCTGGCCAACATGGTGAAACCCCGTCTCTTCTAAAAATACAAAAATTAGCTAGGCATGGTGGTACACACCTGTAATCTCAGCTACTGGGGAGGCTGAGGCAGAAGAATTGCTTGAACCCAGGAGATGGAGGTTGCAGTGAGCCGAGATCGTGCCACTGCACTCCAGCCTTGGTGACAGAGCAAGACTCCATCTCAAAAAAAAAAAAAAAAAAATGAGGTGGTCAAGTCCTGTAATTCTGGAACTCTACTTCAGAGGATTATGGATTAAACCTAGCTAACCACCAGGCAGACATAATGTGGTTACTATGGAGAACGCATCCTGAGTCCCACAGAACTTACTTCTGCAAACGAACCGCTGGAATTCTGCCATTCTGACATGGGGACTGCTTGTGTAACCCTCAAATGAGGGAGGAAGATGTATTGACATCTTTTGGACCTGTTAGATTCATAAGACAAGGAATAATTTTGTATCCTTTTTGCTTGAGAGCTTTTCATATTGCCTTTTGATCATTCTGGAGATCAAGAAATACGTTCCCTTCCTTCTGGTCAGGTTTTAAAGAATTCTGAGGCCTCTGGCTGGCACATTCACTGATTCCTATAGAATCAAAGCCATGATTTTGAGTCTCACTTGCTTAGAAATGTAAAGGAATGAGTAAAAGTCGGAAGGAAGTTTAATTTTAGCTTCTTTGGGCTTTTTGATCATGAAAACTAAAGCATATCTGATACAAATACACTTTACTGAAGTTCAGAGAGTTAAGTTTGTCTAAATTCAAATTATTAAACTGCATTTTAGCTGCTTTAGCATAACTGTGTGAAAGAGCACGTGAAACAGAGAGAAAATGACTCATGCAGTCTTCTCAGTGAAGCTGAAAGTCTAGTTAACCCTGAAAAGATGCCATTACTAAGTGAGCTCTAGCTCATTGTTTATATGCAAGCTAGGCCACCAAATCATATTTATCCTTTTTGGGAGGCCCTTAGCAAAACAATGGAATCAATTTCTAGTACATGAGAATATTTCCACACTGCAAGTTTTTCTGAAAAAAAGAAACTACATCATGATTTGAAAACAGGCTTTTTCATATGACACTTCAGTAACAAACATTTTCACATGTAAGAAATGTCCTGCACTTTTTTTTTTTTTTTAGAAATCAAGGTCTCACTGTGTTGCTCAGGCTGGACTTGAACTCCTGGGCTTAAGCTATCCTCCCACCTCAGCCTCTCAAGTAGCTCAGCTTACAGCCACTGCACCTATGTTCTGCAAATATTTAAAGATTATTAATCAGTGTGAGGACAGTGATAGAGTCCAGTAAATGTCCATATCATGCATTTGAGTACTTGCTATGTGCCAAGGACTTCACATATATTATCTTCTCTAATTCTCAGTAAAGCCCTTTGAGAAAGGAATTAATACTCCCATTTTACAAATGAGAAAATCAAGGCAGATGTTAAGGAACTTGCCCAAGTCTTCATAACTTATAAATGGCACCGCAGACATTTGAATCCAGGTCCACCTGACTCAGAGCCAAGTTCTTAGCTACTCTGTTGCCTCCCAAATGGCAGAAGTTCTGCTGCCACTATTAAACATTAGCCATTATTACCAAAGATTGCCCAGGGGCTTCTGTATAATGCAACATCACATGCAAAGCATTTCTAAAGGTTTTCTCTATAAGGAAGAGGCCATTTGCTAAAGGAAGGCATTCTTGAATATTATCACCAGTTTAAAAAAACCTCTAAAATTAAAATAATATACACTTTTTGTGCAATAGATATTCTTTAAGCAAGCATCTTTTAGAAGTAGAGTATGAATAATGCAGTCTGCATCAAGAACAGGAATTACATCTTGTAGGAATATAGATGACCTGCTTAAGGATAGGGAGACAGGCAGAAACAAATGGACATGTACATACACACTACTCTGCTACCACCCAAGAAAAAGAAGAGGCATGGTTGTGTGCCAGTCTCACCTCTAGCCTTGCACAGAAGCTTGTTAATACTGGGAGGCTCAAACCTGGTGACCTGAGCCAGCTCATTGCATAATCCTTTCTTTAGGCTGTGGCTGAACTGTGAAAGTTTGTATTAGTCCCTCTCACTTCCCCCAGGATAGCTGAAAAAGCTGTGGAGGTCTTAACCCTTCCTCCTGGTAGATGAGCAATGCCTATCAGTTCTTGTGGGTAGACCTTCATTTACCCCCTCCAAAAATGACTGTGGGGCTTCAGGAGCAGGACCGTCACCCTCCATGTCTCCTAAAGTACAATGTGTTGGAAACATAATCAGTTTGCACCCACCAATGCCCTTGCCCGTTCCCAACCAAAGCTCTGGATATTCATAAATCATTATGACTGTTTGATTTCAGAGAGTTTTTGCTGAATTGCCTCTGAATCCCTCTGGATTGTTGAATAGAGGTAGACTTGGCTTCCCACAGCAGCTGCTAGCCCCAGCTGTATCTCCATCCCAACCTCAACTGATTGGGTGAACCCAGCAGAAGCCTGTCCTCAGGGGTCTGAATTTTCCTCCTGTAATATCTTATTCCCTAGGTTCAGGGACAAAAAAAAAAGGTAAAAAAAAAAAAAAAGATTAAAAAAAAAAAAAAGCAGACCATTGCCTTGTTGCCAGGGCAATCAAGCAGATTTCTCTGAATTCAGTGGCCCAAAACAAAATATTCAATTTCGCCTTGCTGAGAGGCAGAGGTTGTTCTAGCTAGGGTAAAAGTTACTTTCCAAGGGGACAAAAATGGAACAGTATTTGCTATGTGGCATCAGGAGGTCAGAAAGGCCAAGTAAGTCAGAATCCATTAGAGAAGGCTACATTTGAAAGCTGGCAAGACAGAGAACTAATATGTAACCCAAATACCAGAGATTGAAATGTCAGACAAACTGGATTCAGTTTATAAAAAGGTAAGAGGCAAATGAGGGCATCCAAGGGTATTGCTGTAAAAAATCTCAGGGTGTTTGTAAGTAAAGGCGAAGCCATCATGAAACACAAAAGGATACTCAGCCAGATTTGTCAGCCTCATAGCAAAGTGTGCAGCCTTCTACCTCCTGCCCAGCTCTTGGGTTAGCTGGAACAGGTACTGTTTCCAGTTCTAGGCCCAAGTGTGTGCATCAGTAAGTCATATAATAGAAAAGCTCCTTCCTCAGGGCTGTGATATCATTTTGGCTACGTCCTTATATTATGGCCTACTTTAACCTCTACTTGACCACAGACTAGCTAAAATCTCAAGCTCTTTTTGCAGAAGGTCTTGTCTCAAAGCTTTGCAGATAAACTCATACAAGATCCCAAGTCAGCTCCCACTTAAGGGTCTGCAGCTGTAAGTGCCGTCTGACTGGCAGACAACCATCCCAACAAAACAAAAATCCAAACACCTTCTCATGGTCTTCAAGGTTTGGCTCATCAATTTATCTTATTACCAAGCTTCCTATGCTTACTTTTATCCAGCCTCAACAGTCTTTTTGTTCCCTGATTATGCCAAGCTCTGGTACCACCTCAAGATCCAGGACCTGCCCTGAGTCCCGAACTTTATAGGGTCCCATCTTGCTGAATTTCTTTCTGCAAACTCCTTCACTGTAGGGTGAGGTCTACATGCCAAGGGATATGCCTAGCAGGACCCAATACCTCCCACACTTCCAGATCACACTTGGGATTCCTGGGACCACAGAATGCTCTGCCCAAGTAGCCTCAAAAATGCTCCTAGGGCCTGCAAACCCTCTTCCCTAGGTCCAACCCCCTGCAGAGACCACGCTCACTGGTATGTACATCTCTAGACTCTGTTACACAGCATATTATGGAATACAGTGAAATGGAAAATGACAATTAAACAAAGAAATAAAATTACTCAACATGTTTAGTTAGTTCTGCTCAGAAAAATAGAGTTAAATTAAAAGCTGTACCTTCAGCTGTGCCCTGAAGGTACACCAAAGCTTTGTTAAACCAGAAAGCCTGGGAACCTCAGAGCTTGTCTCCCCCAAGAGGCCTTTAATTCTTGCCTTTTTCACTGAAAATGCAGGAACTTGCTCCAGGTCTTCCAAATACGCCCAGCACCTCAGAGGTTTGAGGATTAAACTCAGCATTTCACAGGTTGGCTGCTAAACTAATGCTACAACCCAACTTTTATCATTAATGGTAGAAACTGTCTCCTTAAAATATTTTCCAAATCAGAATGCCAATCATATTTGGATTCTGGCACAGAGATTTTAAATATTTAGTACTTGCTATCTTAAAAAGAACTGCTCATGAACACTGGCTTGCTGATACATATTACATGATAAATGTAAATAAAAGTTATCAGATGCTACATGGCTATTCAAAGCCTCTATACCTCCAATTAATGTTAATTTTATTAAGGAATAGTAAGTCAATTTATAAGCTAAGACATCTGGCTAGTTATTCCAGAGGAAAATAGAGTTCATATTTCTGTTGTGCAAGTATTTCTAAATGCCACCTGCTGTTAACTTTTAAAAGCAATCTTTGATTTTTACTTCATTCTCTCTATTAATTTTTATAGAAATAGCAGAGAGAAACTGTATTTCAAAAACTCACTTCTGCTTATCTACATAGTTGTTTTCCTTTCTAAAGTCAACCACCTGGTTGGGTAAGGCGAGAGTGATGGCCATTTTCTTAGCTCAGATTTCTTAGAAAACAGAACATGAAGCAAACTTTGTGCTAATTCTTTGTTAGCGATTCAGTCCCAGGGAGGTAAGAGTGAGGGGAAAAGGCAGGTGAGGCAGGAAAGGAGAAAATAGTAACACAAGATTGATTGTGTGTTTACTGAGCTGGCCACACCTATGAAAGAGATCTAACAAGTTTCTTGGTAACGTGGGATATCACCAGAGAGGCTAGTTGGAATCCCTGCCCCTTGGAATCTTTGTGGGTTTTTTTGGTTTTGTTTTGTTTGTTTTGCTATGTTTTTTATTGAGATGGAGTCTCACTGTGTTGCCCAGGCTGGAGTGCAGTGGTGTGATCTCAGCTCACTGCAACCTCCGCCTCTGCCTCTCGGATTGAAGCAATTCTCCTGCCTCAGCCTCCCGAGTAGTTGGGATTACAGGCGCGAGCCACCACGCCTGGCTAATTTTTGTATTTTTAGTGGAGACAGGGTTTCATCATGTTAGCCAGGCTGGTCTCGAACTCCTGACCTCAAGTGATCCACCCGCCTCGGCCTCCCAAAGTGCTGGGATTACAGACATGAGCCACCGTACCCAGGCCTCTTGGAATCTTTGAAGGGCAAGGAATTTATCTACCAGCTTTTTCCCATCTCCTTTCTCCCGTTGGCAAAATTTGCCCCAAGAGACATTAAATTCATGCTGTGCCTGCCTGTCCTGTAAAGCCAAATTGATTTGATTCCTCCTACTAATGGAAATTAGAAAAAAAAGCATTAATAAACTGATCCTGCATAAATCCTAGAGGATAAATTGATGTGCTTCTGTAAAGATGATCATATCTGCCGGGCGCAGTAGCTCATGCTTGTAATCCCAGTACTTTGGGAGGCTGAGGCGGGTGGATCACTTGAGGTCAGCAGTTCGAGACCAGCCTGGCCAACATGGTGAAACCCCATCTCTACTAAAAATACAAAAATTAGCCGGGCGTGGTGGTGGGCCCTGTAATCCCAGCTACTGGGGAGGCTGAAGCAGGAGAATCACTTGAACCCAGGAGGTGGAGGTTGCAGTAAGCCAAGATTGCACCATTGCACTCCAGCCCGGGCAACAAGAGCAAAACTCCATCTCAAAAAACAATAATAATAATAATAATCATAATCATATCCTATCCCCTGACATGAGTGGAACCACCACCAGACTGGGCATATGGGGGCTCACCATCATCTGCTATGATCCATCTGGTTTTAAGAGAAGTGGCAAGAATTGAAAGGGAATGGGATGAGGACCACCTTACCCCTCTCCTACAGGCCTACATTCTTCAAGTCTGATAGTGGTGCTAATTCCTGCAATATTTTCTGGGTTAAGATATGGTTTTAATTTACATTCTTGTCTGAGGGTGAGGGTATAGTCAGTTTCTGACACTTCTACTTGGCTTTTCTGAAAATAACAGTTGTTCATTTACACAGTGCAGGGAACTCATGTGAGGGGTCTGATATCTGTTCCACTTGATACTCTTTCCATTTATATATTCAAGGACTAGGAAAATAACTACTCACTAATTCTACTGTGAAGTGAATTGGGGCTAAGACTCCATTTATCATCTGACCACCATAACTCCTATTGTAACTAGAGGACCAGAATGGCATTCAGGATCTCCTAATGTAAGTACCAGCTTAGGCTTTATATCTCACAGATTTTAAAAGCCTGGATATTCCCTTTCCCTCTGGCACAGTTATTCTGATAAATGGCCACTGGTCCTTTTAGGGAAGGATCACAAAAATATTTGGTGGCATTACCAGGTTCTTCTTCAAGGGGAGGATTTCCTCTTGAGTCAATGGCCTCTAGGTCTATAAATCAATTTAGTTCTTGGGACTGGGTGATTTTTCCATAGCAGTACTGATGTCAGCTTTCTACTTTCCAGCTTTCAATTCTCTTTTGTCATACAAATCAGGCAACAACCTGGTCAGTTATCCATTTATCTTGCCCCTAAAATTGCCACATATTCATGTAGGTCAAAACACTCTAATAACCACCCTGACTCTGATGCCCATTACAATAATTATGTCCATCCCACCTCTGAGAATTAAGTCCTGCCACTGGTCTCTATCATTCTGGAATCCCATCATCCCCATTGATATTAGGCAGCCTGATTCCATGAACTGCAGAGAACAGGTACCAGCAAGCTTCCTAAAGAAAGGAATATACCCAATATTAGTATATCTCCCATTGTTTTGGAAATATGAATTTTCTCTGGCTCCTTCCAGAGAAGACAGTTAGTAATGGATTCTCAGATATATCCATTCTAAAGTTCCTACATCTTTGATTCATATGTCCCGTTTACTCAATATAATGCCAAGATGTCTGACAACTTTACTCACATACTCTAGGGCATTATCATGTCCAAGCTTCAAGGAGCCAACCTAATAGTATATTTAGACCAGCCCTAGGTCCCAGAACACTGAATCCCGAGTCATGGGAGAAGATCCCATAACCAGTGAATTCTCTCCTATTCATCTTTATATTTTTCCCCCAACGTGATATCCTCAAAATCAACTTCTACACATGTTGCTGGGTTTCCTGCTTGTATATAATGGTCAAATTCAGCCATTTGTTTGATAAGTAAGCTATTTCTTCCCTGAGCAAGGACTGTACCTTCCCTCTCAGGCTATGCTGAAGTACAATCCTGGTTATTGGCCTGGAAGCAGTCGGGTGTGGTGGAGGCAGCTTGTGAGGCGAGCAAATATCATCTTGTTAGGCACCTGCTTTAGGTGAGATTCTTGCATAGTCTCTAGGCAGGGGGAAGCAGTTATCCTTTAGCAAAGGGGAGCAGATGGATTGCATTGGCCCAGAAACTTCAGGTGAATTTTCAGTTCAGGATTCTTAGGTTTATTCATTCAGATAGCCTTATCCCAAGTCTGTGTGCCCTCTTCACCATCTGGGACCAGACTATAATATAGTATATTCATTGAAGCTGCAAATTTAATTTCCTTTACATCTCTACTGTCCTTATAATTAGAATCTGGATCTGATTTTCTATTTGTTCTACCCTGAGGCCCTACTGCTATTGAGACCTCTGGTTTTTAGAGGATCCCTTAAGTTCACAATTAGCTTTCCTGAGCCTACCATTCTCTTTTTATAAGACTGGCACTGACACCAAAATTAGCCACCCATACAGCCTTACAATTTTCCACATGCTGATCTCCCAATGCCTCTCCTTCTGCTTTGTATCTCCTCCCAATAAACCACAAGCAAAAGCTGCATAAATTGTGATCCCACTGCAAGAGGTTATTATGGCTCCACTTGCCACTAGCAATGGGGTCTCCATTGCCTTTAGTCAATAGGCAATTGAAATTCCATCCTGAGAGTTTGCTTTTTTGGGCAAACACTAGAATTCATTTGCTTAGCCTTAGTTCCCTAAAAAAAAAAAAAACAAAGCCTGAGGGAAAGCTTTTATGCTAATATTTTATTAGAGGGTGCAGGGAAGAAAGAGTGAGGGAAAAAGAGGAATAGCGCTGAGCGTGGCAGCTCATGCCTGTAATACCAGCACTTTGGGAGGCCAAGGCAGGAGGATCACTTGAGCCCAGCTTGGCAACAGAGTGAGACCCTGTCTATATAGAAAATTTAAAAATTGGCCAGGCGCAGTGGCTCATGCCTGTAATCCCAGCACTTTGGGAGGCCGAGGCAGGCAGATCACAATGTCAGGAGTTTCGAGACCAGCCTGGCCAACATAGTGAAACCCTGTCTCTACTAAAAATACAAAAAATTAGCTGGGCATGGTGGTGAGTGCCTGTAATCCCAGCTACTCGGAAGGCTGAGGCAGGAGAATCACTTGAACCCAAGAGGGAGAGGTTGAAGTGAGCAGAGATCACACTACTGCACTCCAGCCTGGGTGACAGTGCGAGACACCGTCTCAAAAAAAAAAAATTAGCTGGATATGGTAGCATGCACCTGTGGTCCTAGGTACTCAGGAGACTGAGGTGAGAGGATTGCCTGAGCCCATAAGTTTGAGGCTGCAGTGAGCTGTGCTCATGCCACTATGCTCCAGCCTAGGTGACAGACAGAGATGCCGTCTTTAAAAAAAAAAAAAAAAAAAAAAAAAAAAGGCTGGGTGTGATGGCTCACACCTGTAATCCCCACACTTTGGGAGGCTGAGGTGGGTGGATCACTTGAGGCCAGGAGTTTTAGACCAGCCTGCCCAACATGATGAGACCCTGTCTCTACTAAAAATACAAAAACTAGCTGGGCATGGTGGTGCATACCTGTAGTCCCAGCTGCTCGGGAGGCTGAGGCAGGATAATCACTTGATCCCAGGAGATAGAGGTTGCAGTGAGCTGAGATCCCACCACTGCACTCCAGCCTGGGCAACAGAGCAAGACTCTGTCTCAAAAAAAATAAAAATAAAAAATAGGCCAGGCATGGTGGCTCACGCCTGTAATCCCAGCACTTTGGGAGGCTGAGGCAGGTGGATCACCTAAGATCAGAGGTTCAAGACCAGCCTGGTCAACATGGTGAAACCCTGTCTCTACTAAAAATACAGAAATTAGCTGGGCGCAGTGGCAGTCACCTCCCAGCTACTTGGGAGGCTAAGGCAGGAGAATCACCTGAACCTGGGAGACAGGGGTTGCAGTGAGCACAGATCGTGCCACTGCACTCCAGCCTGGGCGACAGAGTGAGACTCTATCTCAAAAATAAATAAATAAATTAGTTAATTAATTAAACAGTAGGGCAGGGAAGGAGAAAGGGCAAACACAAAGGAGTGTATTACTAAGCTGACCACAGCTTTACAAGGCACGCAACTAATCGCTCAGTGTCATGGGATCTTTCAAGAAAGACCACATGAGTCCTGTGTCTTGAAATCATCTGTCAGGGAGAAGAAGGTGGACAATTTATCTGCTTCTCCTTTCTGACTCCTGTCTCTTTTTAGCCAAGTTTGCCCCACAGGGCATAATGCCTCAGTACTTCCGTGTTCTCTCTGGGCATCCCTTAGTTCCAGATGGATCAGATAGGGGTCTAAAGTTCCTGCCATTAGCAGCCAAGAACCATGGAACCCATAGGGTTAGACGGATCTGTAAAGGCACATAACCTAGCACAAGTGAGGGGAAAATGACATCTCACAACTAGAGCCATACAAACTTATAAAAACTGTCAAAGAGAAACCAACCTGGACACACTAGTTAAAGAAACTAAAGTCAGATTCTACTCAGTAATTACTGCAGTAGGGAAGACAGTCCAGTGTAATCAGAGCTCAACTTCAGTCCATGTAGAAGTCACTGGTGTTTTAAACAGAGAATGAGGGAGTAAGGAGGAGAAATGAGCTGGGGCTTGAGCAGTCAGGGAAGTGAGAAATTACAAAAAGTGGGTTGGTGGGTTGGTCAATGTGATTAAGCCATGTGGGTTTGCTAACTGGTGCTTATCTAAGTTAGGCTCCTACCCTCCCACAGAGACTAGGAGATTGTTCCCCTATCTTCAGGTGTTGACTGAAATAAATTCTTTTGGCAGCCTTGAGCTTTCCCAAGTAGAAACTTAAAAGGAAGGAGAGGGCTGCAGGTCATCCCAGGATAAGACCTTGAGCTACAAACTATGCTAGGGTTTGTTCGGTTCTCTTATTGTGTGTTTGGGTGGCAGGAGGCTGTGGGGGGAGGTGGGAAGGGAGATGAATGAAATCATTTATACTGAGTGTCTGCAACTCTTATAGGCCAAGGTTGAGGCTTAGTCAAAAAGAGCCCAAGTTTGGCCAAATAGAGTCTTTGTCAGGACATCCACGAACTAAGGGCTGTATAGTGTCTGATACATATCACTATTTGGCATCAGCCAATTCTCTTGTCTAGAATATTCCATACCATCATACAATACCATAGATGCAAAAGTGAGCCTTATAAAGCTAGTACCTTTACTGCCTTTCACTCATTTATTCATTCATTCATTCATTTACTTACTTATTACTTACTAACTTTCTTTGGCCTTTTATTTCAAGCATTTTTTAACTTCTGGAGAAATGATGATTATGTTCAATGAGATATATATAAGATAGCATCAATAAACATTAGTTCTCTTTTCTGTCAAACTTCACTAAGAGATCCTCTGATAACAACTCTTTGTTTTCCCAGGTGATTCTCTCAACAAATTTCCTGTTTAGTGGAGCCCTGGATTTTCTGACTCGTGTTCATGTATTTTGTCTCACACTTCTTTGAGTAGGCTAGGGCATTTAACAGTTCCCTGCCTGATTCACAGATGGAGTCAGGCCTTCTGTGACTCCTACTTTGGCCTTCTAGAGCCACAGATACTCTCTTCAGATTTCAACTCTGCCCAGACCCCTGGGCATTCTCTTGCTAACATTCATTGACTCTAGCAGGCCAGCCCTGGCTCTTCAGGCCGACTCAGTGTCCTAGGGCCCTGGTTTGGAAAGGAAAGTTCAAAAAACCTTCACCTCAGTAAGAAAAGCATCTTCCTTTGCAGCTGGGTACCATTCCCTCAACCTTTACAAAATAGCAAGAAAACCTGATAAATATCTCCCACTCTTCTCTGCAAAGCACTGGATAGCTACACTACAATTTAGTCAAGATGGATGAAGCTGCTGAACCTCTAAAGGAGTTAGTAAATTAGCTCTGGTTTTCCACTGTCCAAAGAGAAATGGGTGTTTGTTGTTATTGTTGTTGTTATTTAGGGGATAACAGGCATTACCTCCTACTTATTACAAATTCAGGTTTTAGCATTATTGACATTAGATATGTGACTTTTAGAAAACAAACTCCTGGGCCAGGTGTGGTAGCTGACGCTTGTAATCCCAGCACTTTCAGAGGCTGAGACAAGCAGATCCCTTGAGCCCAGGAGTTTGAGACCAGTCTGGGCAACATGGTGAAACCCTGTCCTACAAAAAACAGAAAAATTAGCCAGATGTGGTGGCATGTGCCTCTAATCCCAGCTACTTGGGAGGCTGAGGTGGGAGGATCACCTGACCCTGGAAGGTGGAGGTTGCAGTGAGCCAAGATCATGCCACTGCACTTCAGGCTGGGTGACAAAGTGAGACCCCATCATAAAGAGAAAGAGAAAGATAACAGCTACTTGGGAGGCTGAGGTGGGAGGATCACCTGACCCTGGAAGGTGGAGGTTGCAGTGAGCCAAGATCATGCCACTGCACTTCAGGCTGGGTGACAAAGTGAGACCCCATCATAAAGAGAAAGAGAAAGATAAAGAGAGAAGGAAGGAAGGGAGGGAGGGAGTAAGGGAGGGAGGGAGGGAAGGAGGGAGGGAGAACCTCAGTCTACCTGCTTTAGGTTTATTTAAATTCAGTTTAATGGCAAAGTGACTTTGTGTTAAAACTAAGAGGAGCTTGCTATTCAGAAATTGTTTAATATTATAGTCAAGAATCTAAATTAGCTGAGTTACCTCCAAATTCTAATCCAACTTTGTGAAAAACCTACATGGTGTGCCTCAGAGGATATACCTCTACTGCTAAGATGCATTTAGACTTTTCAAACCTCTAGCTTCAATTGTTTTAAGAAATCTAAACATGAGATTGTCAAAATCACTATCACCAGAAAACATGGGCCAAGAGAATTCTTTTCCTGAGAGTCATTTATCTAGAAACAATAGATTGGGAATAATAGTTTGGATAAAGAAACGGAATTAGCTAGATGGGTTACTTTGTTATTGTAACCAAATGATTAGAAGACTGTGGACAAATAAGAATCATAGTATCTCATCCTTGAGTTAAACATTTTTACTAACATCTACTTAAGAAATGCCTGGTGCGCTTTTTTGCAGACATTTTGGACTTGCCCCAAATCAGAATCTGTTAGTATGGCATGTCAAGAATCTACATATTTTTAACAAAGCTCTCTAAGTGATTCTTGTGAACACTAGTTTGAGAACCAGGGTAAAAGGAGACGAGCACCCTCATACACTGCTGCTAAGAGGGCAAATCAATAAAACTCTCCTGGAAGGCAGTTTAGTAGACACTCTCAAGCAACTCTAAGTTACCCGAGTCACCAGATAAACTGACACTCTTTTCCCTCTATAAAACCCACTGCTGGCCATGGCCCATCAAGTTCTTAATGGCAATAGGCTACTCTTTCATCTGCTCTTGAAATTGTGAATCATCTGCTAACTAAGGGTCAGTTTTGTGTGTCTTCTAAAAACTTTTATGCTGATTGATTTATAATATTATGTAAAATAAAAGAAAAAGAGTTGTTTCAGGGAAAAGAAATTTGAATACTTTGGACAGATTCTAAAGGCAAATTACACATATAGAAATGATGTCAAATCAGGAGTAAAAGATTGGGGGAGGGGTAGCAACTGTGAATAACTCTATACTCAGATTGCTTTATAAATTTTTTCGGTTCTTGCTCTGCCTTAAAAACAGAAAAAGTAAAAATCTTAGACAATTTATTGTAGATGTCATTTATCCAGGAGTGATTACATAGACCATTGTAATCAGGGAACCCATTGTCAACAATAATAAATTCCTTAGCACTAAAATTTCATTTACACGAGGAGGAGGCAGAGCAAGACAGCTGGATAGAAGCCTCCACCAATCATCCTCCCCACAGGAACACCAAATCAAACAACTATCCATACAAAAAAGCATCTTCATAAGAGCCAAAATCACATGAGTGATCACAATACCTGGTTTTAACTTAGTATCACTGAAAGAGGCACTGAGGAGGTTAGGAAAGACAGTCTTGAATTTCCAGGGCCACCACTCCCTCATCCCAGGGCAGCAGCTATGTGGCATGGAGAGAATCTGTGCACTTGAGGGAGGGGGAGTACAGTTTTGCACTGGAACTCAGTGCTGCCCTGTCACAGTGGAAAGCAACACTTGGCAGAACTTAGCTGACATCTGCAGAGGAGCATTTAGACCAGACATACCCAGAGGGGAATCACCTATCCCAGTAGTTGGAACCTAAGTTATGGCAAGCCTTGCCACCACAGGCTAAAGTACTCCAGCATCCTAAACAAACTTGAAAGGCAGTTTCAAGTTAATTAGGCCACAAGGATTACAATTACTGGGCAAGTCTTGGTGCTATGCTGGGCTCGGAACCACTGGATTTGGGGGACAAGCAACCTGGTAAGACACCAGCCAGGGTGTCCAAGGGAGTGCTTGCACCACCCCTCCCTCAACCTCAGGCAGCACAGTTTGCAGCTTCAGGAGATGTTCCTTCCTCCATTTGAGGAGAGAAGAGGGACGGGTAAAGAAGACTTTGTCGTACATCTTGGATACCAGCTAAGACACAGTAGGATAGGGCACTGGGCAGAGTCCTGATACCCCTATTTCAGGCTCTAGCTACCAGATGATATTTCTAGACACACCCTGGGCCAGAAGGGAACTCAGTGACTTGAAGGGAAGGGCCCAGTTCTGGCAGGATTCATCACTTGCTGACCAAAGAGCCTTTGATTCCTGAATAATCAGCAGCAATATCCAGGCAGTACTCTCCATGGGCCTTGGGTAAGACTCAGAGATGTGCTGGCTTCAGGTGTGATGCAGCACATTCCTAGCTGTGGTGGCTATGGGGAGAGGTTCCTGCCTGAGAAAGGTGAAGTGAAGAGTAAAGAGGACTTTGTCTTGTAGCTTAGGTACTAACTTGGCCTCCATGGGGTAGAGCACCAAGCAGGCTCTTAGGGTCCCTGATTCCAGGCCTTGGTTTTTGGATGGCATTTCTGGACTTACCTTGAGCCAAAGGGGAGCCCGCTGCCCTAAAGGGTGAGTCCCAGGCTTGGCAGCATTCACTACAAGCTGACTGAAGAGCCCTTGGGCCTTAAGTGGACATCAGTAGCACCCTGGTACTACTCCCCATGGGCCTGGGGTGATGAAGGATGCAAGGAGAGGCTCCTATGCCTGCAGAAAGGGGAGGGAAGAGTGGGAAGGACTTTGTCTTGTTGTTTCAGTGCCAGCTTAGCCACAATGGGATAGAGCACCAGGTGGATTTCTTGGGTTTCAAACTCCGGGCCCTGTCTCCCAGATGGAATTTCTGGACCTGCCTGGGGCTGGGGAGGATCTTGCTGCCCTGAAGGGAAGACAAAGTCCTGGCTGGCTTTACTACCTGCTGATTGAAGAGCCCTAGTGCCATGAGTGAATATAGGCAGTATAGCTAGGCAGTGGTTACCAAAGGCCTTGAGCAAGACCCAGTGCTATGCTGGCTTCAGGTCTAACCCAGCACAATCTGAATGCTGGGGGCCACAATGGTGCTTGTGTCACCCCTCCCCTAGCTCTAGGCAGCTCAGCACAGAAAGAGACTCTGTTTGTGTGGGAGAAAGTAAGGGAAGACAACAAGAGTCTTATGCCTGGTAATCCAGAGAATTCTTCTGGATCTTATCCAAGTCCACCAATATGGTACTTCTATGAGCTTACAAAAGCAACAGCAATACTGCGCTTGGGGTGCCCCCTAATGCAGGTATGGCTGCCATAGGCAAAAGCTTAAATCACAACACCCAAGTCCCTTTGAACACCTGGAAAGTCTTCCCAAGAAGGGTGGGTACAACAAGCCCAGACTGTGAAGACTACAATGAATACTTAACTCCTTAAAGCCCAGACACTGACAAACATCCACAAGAATCAAGACCATGTAGGAAAACATGACCTCACCAAATGAACTAAATAAGTCACCAGGGACCAATTATGGAGAGACAGAGATATGTGACCTTTCAGAGAGAGAATTCAAAATAGCTGTGTTAAAGAAATTCAGTGAAATTCAAGATAACACAGAGAAGGAATTCAGAATCCTATCAGATAAATTTCTTTCTTTCTTTATTTTGAGACAGGGTCTCACCCTGTCATAGGCTGGTCCCCAGTGGCATGATCCCAGCTCACTGTATCCTCTGCCTCCTGGACTCAAGTGATCCTCCCACCTCAGCCTCCCAAGTAGCTGGGACTACAAGTGGGCGCCACCATTCTCAGCTAATTTTTGTATTTTTTTTGTAGAGAGGAGGTTTTGCCATGTTGCCCAGGTGGGTCTCGAACTCCTGGGCTCAAGTGATTCAACTGCCTCAGCCTCCCAAAATGCTGGGATTACAGGTGTGAGCCACTGCACCTAGCCCTATTGGATAAATTTAACAGAGGCCCACTAGCCTAGAAGAAAAAAATGGTTTTCTGGGCTAGGCCCAGGGCCTCTGCTGTGTGCAGCCTAGAGACTTGGTGCCCTATGTCCCAGCTGCTCTAGCTGTAGCTAAAAGGGGCCAAGGTACAGCACTCAGGCCATGGCTTCAGAGGGTGCAAGCCCCAAGCCTTGGCAGCCTCAACATGGTGTTGACTCTGCAGTTGCACAGAAGTCAAAAATTGAGGTTTGGGAACCTCCACCTGGATTTCAGAGGATGTACGAAAACACCTGGATGTCCAGGCAGAAGTTTGCTGCAAGGGTGGGGCCCTCGTGGACAACCTCTGCCAGGGCAGTACAGAAGGGAAATGTGGGGTCAGAGCCCCCACACAGAGTCCCCAGTGGGGCACTGCCTGGTGGAGCTATCAGAAGAGGGCCACCATCCTCCAGATCCCAGAATGGTAGGTCCACCAACAGCTTGCATTGTGTGCCTGGAAAAGCCACCGACACTCAATACCAGCTTGTGGAAGCAGCTGGGAAGGGGGCTGTGCCCTGCAAAGCTACAGGAGTGGACCCACCCAAGGCTGTGAGAGCCCACTTCTTGCATCAGCATGCCCTAGATGTGAGACATGGAGTCAGAGGAGATCATTTTGGAACTTTAAGGTTTTATGACTGCCCTATTGGATTTCAGACTTGCATGAGGTCTGAAGCCTCCACCCAGTGGACAGGTTAGTTGGAGTTTCTCCAGGGAACCCCTCCACCTGGCTGTCTCATTACCCTCTCTAAAGAAGTACATCTAACTGCTGTTAGATTAAGGACAAAGACTGATCTTAACTGCTTCCTGTGACAGAGGGCACTGTTTTGGGAAACAGCAATCAAAGTTCCCTCAGAGGCCTATTTAAGGGTTCCCAGCAGAAGGGGCCATCGTCAGAGGCTCCGGTTGCATGATTGCTTGGAGTTTGATGGCCTGAAGGCAAGAACAGACAAACTGGGTTATTAGAAAACATGTATAAAATGAAATAAGGGGAGGGGTAAGGATTCCGTGGCCTTTTACCAGCTTTCAGAGAGAGGGAGGCCAAAAGCCTGACTGGCAGAGAAACTTTACCCTTTCGCTGGCATGTTGGGCTTCTGGGTTCTCTTCCCCTGAGTCCAATCCTAAGCCAACCAGTTTAAGGTTTGGGAAATTAACTTTTTCCAGTTTGGAGGACACATCTGAGGTGAGTGTCCTGGAGGCACAATTGCCTATCTGTGAAAAGAGGACAGAGGAGAAGAAAGGAAAAAAAGAAGGCTTTTTTTTTCAAAGGAGTCTCAGGGTTCAGGATGCATTCAAAAGAGGTACAGACTGAAGATGAATGGCTACCCATCTAGAAAGAGGGAAGCAGGTATCCCTGGTTTCCTTCTCCTCCTAGCAGATACCCAAGGTACATGAGGGAGGGAAGGAAGAGCGTCCTCTTTCCCTCTTCCATCCTTGCATCCCTGAATCCCGGTGACCTTGGCAGGTCCCACCATGATTGCCAAAGCAGCTTGCACCCATGAAGCAGGGGGTTCCTAGAGAATAGGAATTATCCAATCTCATGTATGCCTCTATTCACCCTACTATCAGTAGCCTTGGAGTTCCCTAGATCTCATTTATGCCATGGATATTAACGTGGCCTTTATCCATGAAACAGGAAGCTTGGGCTTGGCTTAATTGGCAGGAATCAGCCATGCTTACCTGCGCTGTGCCTTTTAACCTCTGTTGTCATTTGGCTCTGGATCCATTAGATCCAGTTTTCTTTCATAGGGCTTTGACCCAAAGCTTGGAATTGAGTTTGGGACAAAAATATGTCTCGGGGGGTTGCATGGACTCCTTGTCATAAACCAAATGCTAAGATGAAACTGTGGAACTATGCTAAGATGAAACTGTGGAACTAAGTCCTCCTCCAACAACGGACAGGAAAGAATGTCTTGTGACACAACCAGATAACTGGTGGCTATAGTTATGCTTGCTAAGATTTGGGTGCATGGTGTTTCACTTTGGTTAGCTCCCTTGGTCTTACTTTCCCAAAAAGGAAACCTCCGAGTGTTGGGTATCCTATTTATTCCCATCACCTTGCAGGATTTGCAGGATAATTGCTCAACTAGAATACTGATTCAGATTTTAACATTACCCATCCCTTTTGTTCTTTTTGAGCTGCAGCCAGGGATTGCTGGTTGGTTCACAGGGGCAAGCAGGGTTTAAAAACAAGTAATGAGTTTAGAATTTAATGATAAATGTATGATAAGTTTTGAAACATGATTTCTCTCTCTCCAGTCCTCATTTTTGTTAAAAAATCATCATAGGACTGAATGGTTTTCAGAACAGACCTTAGTCTTATACTTGGTCTGATTATTTGCATAAAGTGTGGCAAGAATAATTATTTCTACATAGGCCTTTTGGAGTGGCTTTGATGGAAGTTTCTTCTACAAGTAATCTCAGATAATACCTTTT
This sequence comes from Homo sapiens, assembly GCF_000001405.40. Taxonomy (NCBI): domain Eukaryota; kingdom Metazoa; phylum Chordata; class Mammalia; order Primates; family Hominidae; genus Homo; species Homo sapiens. The sequence continues at coordinate 6,373,158 of NC_000009.12, forward strand.
AAAGTTGAGCCCAACCAAGGGTTTGTATCCTCAAACATCTGTGAATTCAGTGATCCTTTCCTGTTAAGGTCCCAAAATAAACTTGGAGCTCCTGAACCTGTTAGAAAGTGACATTCTTTACTGACCACAGGTCAGGAACCCTGTATAGGGAATGGATAGACAAAGGTATGAGGCCAGTTTCCCCAATGAGCTTTTATTGGCTCTGCAAGTTGAGATTGACTCCTTAAAGAGAAGCAAATCCTTCCAGTCAAAGCCTTGGTAAAATAACCACTTTCTCCAATTGTGTTCTGTTGCAAAAGAAAAATGAATTCTTATTGCACTGATGCAAACAACTATATTGCCATAAGAATACTCACAGATAGTCTCCAAATTCTAGAGGAACCGGGCAGAGAGAAACAAACATGCTCCAAATTTTGATCACAGGAGTGTATACCTTACTTAATTATTAAAGGCCATAAATAGTTCAAAATAAGTTTCCTTGACTCTGAAAAACAAAACAAGGATCAGTAATATTCCAAGCAAAAGTAAAAAAAAAATTTGCTTAAGGCTGGGCGCAGTGGCTCACACGTGTAATCCCAGCATTTTTGGGAGGCCCAGGCAGGCAGATCACTTGAAGTCAGGAATTTGAGACCAGCCAGGCCAACATGGAGAACCTCATCTCTATTAAAAATACAAAATTTAGCCAGGCATGGTGGCACAAGTCTGTACTCTCAGCTACTCAGGAGGCTGAGGGAGGCGAATCACTTGAAACCAGGAGGTGAAGGTTGCAGTGAGCCGAGACCCACCACTGCACTCCAGCCTCAGTGACAGAGCTAGACTCCGTCTCAAAAAAAAAAAAAAAGGTTTGCTTCAGCTTCCTGAGTTAGTCCATTTAGATAAATCTTGTTTTCCCTGATATTCATGAATATTTCTGCTCTTTATGAGTCCTGTACATTTTCCTTTATTCCAATGTTACAATCTCTAAAGTTATCAGAAGCCTGTATGTGAGAGCACCTGTTAAAGTTCTATAGCTTATTATAAACCATCTTTGAAAGGATTAAAAGGTTTTTCTCCAAGATGGCTGAATAGGAACAGCTCCAGTCTACAGCTCCCAGCGTGAGTGACGCAGAAGACAGGTGATTTCTGCATTTCCAACTGAGGTACCGGGTTCATCTCACTGGGGCTCGTTGGACAGTGGGTGCAGGACAGTGAGTGCAGCGCACTGAGCATGAGCTGAAGCAGGGCAAAGCATCGCCTCACCCAGGAAGCACAAGGGGTCAGGGAATTCCCTTTCATAGCCAAGCAAAGCTGTGACAGACGGCGCCTGGAAAATCAGGTGACTCCCACCCTAATACTACACTTTTCCAATGGTCTTAGCAAATGGCACACCAGGAGATTATATCCCGCACATGGCTTGGAGGGTCCCACACGCACAGAGCCTCACTCATTGCTAGCACAGCAGTCTGAGATCGAACTGCAAGGCAGCAGCGAGGCTGGGGGAAGGGCGTCGGCCATTGCTGAGGCTTGAGTAGGTAAACAAAGCATCTGGGAAGCTTGAACTGGGTGGAGCCCACCACAGCTCAAGGAGACCTGCCTGCCTCTGTAGACTCTACCTCTGGGGGCAGGGCACAGCTGAACAAAAGGCAGCAGAAACTTCTGCAGACTTAAACTTCCCTGTCTGACAGCTTTGAAGAGAGTAGTGGTTCTCCCAGCACGCAGCTTGAGATCTGAGAATGGACAGACTGCCTCCTCAGGTGGGTCCCTGACCCCTGAGTATCCTATCTGGGAGGCACCTCCCAGTAGGGGCAGACTGACACCTCACATGGCCGGGTACCCCTCTGAGACGAAACCTCCAGAGGAACAATCAGACAGCAACATTTGCTGTTCAGCAATATTCGCTGTTCTGCAGCCTCTGCTGCTGATAACCAGGCAAACAGGGTCTGGAGTGGACCTCCAGCAAACTCCAACACACCTGCAGCTGAGGGTCCTGACTGTTAGAAGGTAAACTAATAAACAGAAAGGATATCCACACCAAAATCCCATCTGTACGTCACCATCATCAAAGACCAAAGGTAGATAAAGCCACAAAGAGGGGAAAAAACAGAACAGAAAAACAAAATTCTAAAAATCAGAGCGCCTCTCCTCCTCCAAAGGAATGCAGCTCCTCACCAGCAATGGAACAAAGCTGGACGGAGAATGACTTTGACGAGTTGAGAGAAGAAGGCTTCAGATGATCAAACTTCTCCGAGCTAAAGGAGGAAGTTTGAACCCATCACAGAGAAGTTAAAAACCTTGAAAAAAGATTAGACTAATGGCTAACTAGAATAACCAATGCAGAGAAGTCCTTAAAAGACCTGATGGAGCTGAAAACCACGGCACAAGGATACGTGATGAATGCACAAGCTTCAGTAGCCGATTTGATCAACTGGAAGAAAGGGTATCAGTGATGGAAGATCAAATGAATGAAATGAAGCGAGAAGTTTAGAGAAAAAAGAATAAAAAGAAATGAACAAAACCTCCAAGAAATATGGGACTATGTGAAAAGACCAAATCTACGTCTGATTGCTGTACCTGAAAGTGACGGGGAGAATGGAACCAAGCTGGTAAACATTCTGCAGGATATTATCCAGGAGAACTTCCCCAATCTAGCAAGGCAGGCCAACATTCAAATTCAGGAAATACAGAGAACGCCACAAGGATACTCCTTGAGAAGAGCAACTCCAAGACACAGAATTGTCAGATTCACCAAAGTTGAAATGAAGGAAAAAATGTTAAGGGCAGCCAGAGAGAAAGGTTGGGTTACCCAAAAAGGGAAGCCCATCAGACTAACAACTGATCTCTCGGCAGAAACTCTACAAGCCAGAAGAGAGTGGGGGCAATTTTCAACATTCTAAAAGAAAAGAATTTTCAACCCAGAATTTCATATCCAGCCAAACTAAACTTCATACATGAAGGAGAAATAAAATCCTCTACAGACAAGCAAATGCTGAGAGATTTTGTCACCACCAGGCCTGCCCTAAAAGAGCTCCTAAAGGAAGCACTAAACATGGAAAGGAACAACTGGTATGAGCCACTGCAAAAACGTGCCAAATTATAAAGACCATCAATGCTAGGAAGAAACTGCATCAGGGGAGGAGCCAAGATGGCCAAATAGGAACAGCTCCGGTCTACAGATCCCAGTGTGAGTGATGCAGAAGACGGGTGATTTCTGCATTTCCAACTGAGGTACCAGGTTCATCTCACTGGGGAGTGCCAGACAGTAGGTGCAGGACAGTGGGTGCAGCGCACTGTGCGCGAGCCAAAGCAGGGCGACGCATCACCTCACCCGGGAAGTGCAAGGGGTCAGGGAATTCCCTTTCCTAGTCAAAGAAAGGGGTGACAGATGGCACCTGGAAAATCGGGTCACTCCCACCCTAATACTGCGCTTTTCCGACCGGCTTAAAAAACAGCACACCAGGAGATTATATCCCGCACCTGGCTCGGAGGGTCCTACACCCACGGAGTCTCACTCATTGCTAACACAGCAGTCCAAGATCAAACTGCAAGGCGGCAGCGAGGCTGGGGGAGGGGCACCCACCACTGCCCAGTTAGTTGTTTGATTAGGTAAACAAAGTTGCCAGGAAGCTCGAACTGGGTGGAGCCCACCACAGCTCAAGGAGGCCTGCCTGTATCTGTAGGCTCCACCTCTGGGGGCAGGGCACAGACAAACAAAAAGAGAGCAGTAACCTCTGCAGACTTAAATGTCCCTGTCTGACAGCTTTGAAGAGAGTAGTAGTTGTCCCAGCACGCAGCTTGAGATCTGAGAACAGGCAGACTGCCTTCTCAAGTGGGTCCCTGACCCCCAAGTAGCCTAACTGGGAGGCACCCCCCAGAAGGGGGTGGACTGGCACCTCACACAGCTGGGTACTCCTCTGAGACAGAACTTCCAGAGGAACGATCAGGCAGCAGCATCTGTGGTTCATCAATATCCACTGTTCTGCAGCCACTGCTGCTGATACCCAGGAAAACAGCATCTGGAGTGGACCTCTAGCAAACTCCAACAGACCTGCAGCTGAGGGTCCTGTCTGTTAGAAGGAAAACTAACAAATAGAAAGGACATCCACACCAAAAACCCATCTGTACATCACCATCATCAAAGACCAAAGGTAGATAAAACCACAAAGATGGGGGAAAAAAAGAGCAGAAAAACTGGAAACTCTAAAAATCAGAGTGCCTCTCCTCCTCCAAAGGAATGCAGCTCCTCACCAGCAATGGAACAAAGCTGAATGGAGAATGACTTTGACGAGTTGAGAGAAGAAGGCTTCAGACGATCAAACTACTCTGAGCTAAAGGAGGAAATTCGAACCAATGGCAAAGAAGTTAAAAGCTTTGAAAAAAAATTAGACGAATGGATAAGTAGAATAACTAATGCAGAGAAGTCCTTAAAGGACCTGATGGAGCTGAAAACCAAGGCACGAGAGCTATGTGAGGAATGCAGAAGCCTCAGTACCCGATGTGATCAACTAGAAGAAAGGGTATCAGTGATGGAAGATGAAATGAATGAAATGAAGTGAGAAAAGAAGTTTAGAGAAAAAAGGATAAAAAGAAACGAACAAAGCCTCCAAGAAATATAGGACTATGTGAAAACACCAAATCTACGTCTGATTGGTGTACCTGAAAGTGACGGGGAGAATGGAACCAAGTTGGAAAACACTCTGCAGGATATTATCCAGGAGAACTTCCCCAATCTACCAAGGCAGGCCAACATTCAAATTCAGGAAATACAGAGAACGCCACAAAGATACTCCCCGAGAAGAGCAACTCCAAGACACAGAATTGTCAGATTCACCAAAGTTGAAATGAAGGAAAAAATGTTAAGGGCGGCCTGAGAGAAAGGTCGGGTTACCCACAAAGGGAAGCCCATCAGACTAACAACTGATCTCTCGGCAGAAACTCTACAAGCCAGAAGACAGTGGGGACCAATATTCAACATTCTTAAAGAAAAGAATTTTCAACCCAGAATTTCATATCCAGCCAAACTAAGCTTCGTAAGTGAAGGACAAATAAAATCCTTTACAGACAAGCAAATGCTGAGAGAATATGTCGCCACGAGGCCTGCCCTAAAAGAGCTCCTGAATGAAGCACTAAACGTGGAAAGGAACAACCGGTATGAGCCACTGCAAAAACATGCCAAATTGTAAAGACCATTGATGCTAGGAAGAAACTGCATCACCTAATGAGAAAAATAACCAGCTAACATCATAATGACAGGATCAAATTCACACATAACAATATTACCTTTAAATGTAAATGGACTAAATGCTCCAATTAAAAGACACAGACTGGCAAATTGGATAAAGTCAAGACCCATCACTGTGCTGTATTCAGGAAACCCATCTCACGTGCAGAGACACACATAGGCTCAAAATAAAGGGATGCAGGAAGATCTACCAAGCAAATGGAAAACAAAAAAAGGCAGGGGTTGCAATCCTAGTCTCTGATAAAACAGACTTTAAACCAACAAAGATCAAAAGAGACAAAGAAGGCCATTACATAATGGTAAGGGGATCAATTCAACAAGAAGAGCTAACTATCCTAAATATATATGCACCCAATACAGGAGCACCCAGATTCATAAAGCAACTCCTTAGAAACTTACAAAGAGACTTAGACTCCCACACAATAATAATGGGAGACTTTAACACCCCACTGTCAACATTAGACATATCAACGAGTCAGAAAGTTAACAAGGATATCCAGGAATTGAACTCAGCCCTGCATCAAGTGGACCTAATAGACATCTACAGAACTCTCCACCCCAAATCAACAGAATATACATTCTTCTCAGCACCACACAGCACCTATTCCAAAACTGATCACATAGTTGGAAGTAAAGCACAACTCAGCAAATGTAAAAGAACAGAAATTATAACAAACTGTCTCTCAGACCATAGTACAATCAAACTAGAACTCAGGATTAAGAAACTCACTCAAAACCGCTCAACTACATGGACACTGAACAACCTGCTCCTGAATGACTATTGGGTACATAACAAAATAAAGGCAGAAATAAAGATGTTCTTTGAAACCAATGAGAACAAAGACACAACATACCAGAATCTCTGGGACACATTTAAAGCAGTGTGTAGAGGGAAATTTATAGTACTAAATGCCCACAAGAGAAAGCAGGAAAGATCTAAAATTGACACCCTAACATCACAATTAAAAGAACTACAGAATCAAGGGCAAACACATTCAAAAGCTAGCAGAAGGCAAGAAATAACTAAGATCAGAGCAGAACTGAAGGAAATAGAGACACAAAAAATCCTTCAAAAAATCCTTCAAAAAATCAATGAATCCAGGAGCTGGTTTTTTGAAGAGATCAACAAAATTGATAGACTGCTAGCAAGACTAATAAAGAAGAAAAGAGAGAAGAATCAAATAGATGCAATAAAAAATGATAAAGGGGATATCACCACTCAACCCACAAAATACAAACTACCATCAGAGAATACTATGAACATCTCTAGGCAAATAAACTGGAAAATCTAGAAGAAACGGATAAATTCCTTGACACATACACCCTCCCAAGACTAAAACAGGAAGAAGTTGAATCCCTGAATAGACCAACAACAGTCTCTGAAATTGAGGCAATAATTAATAGCCTACCAACCAAAAAAAGTCCAGGACCAGACGGATTCACAGCCAAATTCTACCAGAGGTACAAGGAGGAGCCGGTACCATTCCTTCTGAAACTATTTCAATCAGTAGAAAAATAGGGAATCCTCCCTAACTCATTTTATGGGGCCAGCATCATCCTGATAACAAAGCCTGGCAGAGACACACACACAAAAAAGAGAATTTTAGACCAATATCCCTGATGAACATCAATGCGAAAATCCTCAATAAAATACTGGCAAACTGAATCCAGCAGCACATCAAAAAGCTTATCCACCACAATCAAGTGGGCTTCATCCCTGGGATGCATGGCTGGTTCAACATATGAAAATCAATAAACGTAATCCATCATAGAAACAGAACCAAAGACAAAAAACACATGATTATCTCAATAGATGCAGAAAAGGCCTTCAACAAAATTCAGCAACTCTTCATGCTAAAAATGTTCAATAAATTAGGTATTGATGGGACGTATCTCAAAATAATAAGAGCTATTTATGACAAACCCACAGTCATTATCATACTGAATGGGCAAAAACTGGAAGCATTCCCTTTGAAAACTGGCACAAGACAAGGATGCCCTCTCTCGCCACTCCTATTCAACATAGTGTTGGAAGTTCTGGCCAGGGCAATCAGGCAGGAGAAGGAAATAAAGGGCATTCAATTAGGAAAAGAGGAAGTCAAATTGTCCCTGTTTGCAGATGACATGATTGTATATCTAGAAAACCCCATTGTCTCAGCCCAAAATCTCCTTAAGCTGATAAGCAACTTCAGCAAAGTCTCAGGATACAAAATCACTGTGCAAAAATCACAAGCATTCCTATACATCAATAATAGACAAACAGAGAGCCACATTATGACTGAACTCCCATTCACAATTGCTTCTAAGAAAATAAAATACCTAGGAATGCAACTTACAAGGGATGTGAAGGACCTCTTCAAGGAGAACTACAAACCACTGCTCAATGAAATAAAAGAGGATACAAACAAATGGAAGAACATTCCATGCTCATGGATAGGAAGAATCAATATCGTGAAAATGGCCATACTGCCCAAGGTCATTTATAGATTCAATGCTATCCCCATCAAGCTACCAATGACTTTCTTCACAGAGTTTGAAAAAACTACTTTAAAGTTCATATGGAACCAAAAAAGAGCCCGCATTGCCAAGTCAATCTTAAGCCAAAAGAATAAAGCTGGAGGCATCACGCTACCTGACTTCAAACTATATACTAAAAGGCTACAGTAACCAAAACAGCATGGTACTGGCACCAAAACACAGATATAGACCAGTGGAACAGAACAAAGCCCTCAGAAATAATACCACACTACTACAACCATCTGATCTTTGACAAACCTGACAAAAACAAGAAATGGGGAAAGGATTCCCTATTTAACAAATGGTGCTGGGAAAGCTGGCTAGCCGTATGTAGAAAGCTGAAACTGGATCCCTTCCTTACACCTTATACAAAAATTAATTCAAGATGGATTAAAGGCTTAAATGTTAGACCTAAAACCATAAAAACCCTAGAAGACAACCTAGGCAATATCATTCAGGACACAAGCATGGGCAAGGACTTCATGTCTAAAAACACCAAAAGCAATGGCAACGAAAGCCAAAATTGAGAAACGGGATCTAACTAAACTAAAGAGCTTCTGCACAGCAAAAGAAACTACCATCAGAGCGAACAGGCAACCTACAGAATGGGAGAAAATTTTTGCAACCTACTCATCTGACAAAGGGCTAATATCCAGAATCTACAAAGAACTCAAACAAACTTACAAGAAAAAAACAAAGAACCCCATCAACAAGTGGGTGAAGGATATGAACAGACACTTCTCAAAAGAAGACATTTATGCAGCCAACAGACACATGAAAAAATGCTCATCATCACTGGCCATCAGAGAAATGCAAATCAAAACCACAATGAGATATCATCTTACACCAGTTAGAATGGTGATCACTAAAAAGTCAGGAAACAACAGGTGCTGTAGAGGCTGTGGAGAAATAGGAATGCTTTTACACTCTTGGTGGGAGTGTAAACTTGTTCAACCATTGTGGAAGTCAGTGTGGTGATTCCTCAGGGATCTTGAAGTAGAAATATCATTTGACCCAGCCATCCCATTACTGGGTATATACCCAAAGGATTATAAATCATGCTGCTATGAAGATACACGCACACGTATGTTTACTGCGGCACTATTCACAATAGCAAAGACTTGGAACCAACCCAAATGTCCAACAATGATAGACTGGATTAAGAAAATGTGGCACATATGCACCATGGAATACTATGCAGCCATAAAAAATGATGAGTTCATGTCCTTTGTAGGGACATGGATGAAGCTGGAAACCATCATTCTCAGGAAACTATTGCAAGGACAAAAACCACACACCACATGTTTTTACTCATAGGTGGGAATTGAACAATGAGAACATTTGGACACAGGAAGGGGAACATCACACACCAGGGCCTGTTGTGGGGTCGGGGGAGGAGGGAGGGATAGCATTAGGAGATATACCTAATGTAAATGACGAGTTAATGGGTGCAGCACACCAACATGGCACATGTATACATATGTAACTAACCTGCACATTGTGCACATGTACCCTAGAACTTGAAGTATAATAAAAAACATATATATATAAAGAAAAAAAGGATTAAAACAAGACAAAAATTGTCTGTGAATAGGAAAATATCCAGCATAGTTACAGTGAGAAAAAAAATTGACTAAGAAGTTTGGTTGTCTCCATGGCTTACAATAACTTAACATAAAAACCTTAATTATGATCAATAGCATATACTCAGACATTAGAATTTTAGAAATCCCATACAATTTTGGAACATATATTAGCATTATTCAGCAAGATATAACCTAAAGAAGATTGAGCATCATTTTGGCAATCCCATGTACCTAGACATGTTGAATAATCCTTTTTATGTCTCTTTTCTGGACACTTCAAGGGCCTTCTGATGTATTCAAAAAGCCAGGTGCCAGGGAAGACAATTTTGTAACTGAAGTTTTATTTTGGGAAGGCTGTTAAATGTTCGAGGTTTAAAACACTTGGTATTATGAAATAGAATTCCAGACTACCATAAGTTATTTATTTTGCCAAAATGATGACTCAGAAATTTTAAAGAAGCATAAACCTTTTATAACCCTTTATAAATTTTGCCATAGAGCAGATTAGTGCCTTAGGAAAGCCTTGTTATGCTTTTATTTCAATGCTCAATTTACAGAAAAACCAGATAATGCCCTTTTTGGAATTTAGACAATATGTTCACACAAAGAACCTCTTCTGCAAGATTTCCACAGTTCTTCCACCACTTCTCTGAACCTTCAACTTTTTCCTAATTTAACTCAAAACAATCCTTTAACCCTAGGCAAAAGTTTATATTTCCATGCCTTCTTATAACCGTTTACTAAAAAACACATTTTACTGTTCTTACACACCTTAAATGTAAATCTATTTCCAGTAGCTCCAATTAACTCCTAGCAATTTTTAACTTTAAGGTAAAACTTGGTAAGTTGCCTTAATTGTGTGCTAACTACAGCCAAGGTTAGTCTTCTTAGTTAAGGACATGGTTAGTTCCACATGTCCCCAGGCCTTACCAGTTGTGAAGCTAGCAAGTCAAATAGTTCTCAAAACCCAAAAGGCAATTTGTAATCTCAAACACTTAGCAAACCTTGCATCTGACCTGCATTTTACCAATAGTCTTTAGTGCTATTTTTATTTCTTAAAGTCATGTGAACTTTTTCTTAAAGATTAAAGTCTGGCTCACGCCTGTAATTCCAGCACTTTGGGAGGCTGAGGTGGGAAGATCACGAGATCCAGACCATCCCGGCTAACACTGTGAAACCCTGTCTCAACTAAAAATACAAAAAATTAGCCAAGCGTGTTGGTGGGCACCCGTAGTCCCAGCTGCTTGGGAGGCTGAGGCAGGAGAATGGCATGAAGGTGGAGCTTGCAGTGAGCTGAGATCATGCGACTGCACTCCAGCCTGGATGACAGAGCAAGACTCCATCAAAAAAGAAAGAAAGAAGGAAAAAAAAAAGATTAAACTCATGTGAACTGAAAGGTACCACAGCTTTTAACTTCCCTTTAAACAATATTAGATCTAAGTGCTTGTCTTTCTTTAGGCCAAATTAATTAGAGCTCTTTTTACAGACATCACACACAGTACACACACACACAGGCAGAAGAAAACCCAGGCACTGGGTGGGGCCCTTTAAGAGTCAGCACTAGGAAAACATGCAGATATCAAACCAGAAAGAAACTTATTCCCTAAGACAGGATTGCTAAACAAAGCCTTGCCACCAAAGTTATAAGAGTCAGAATGTAAAACAAGATGGAGGCTTGATTTCATAACCAAAACTTCGCAGAAAATATAAACAGTGATAGTTGGATGGACTGGCCTAGCAAAATATATTCTAAAAGAAAAAAAATAAACTTTAAAAGTTAACTTGTGGATGGGATAGAGAAGGGGAAAGAAAAAAAATAGTTTAAAACTGCCTGGGGAAAAACCTCTTATTCTTATGGAAGTGGTTTCTCCACCAGGGAGAAAAGTTTAATTATTTTCTGATGTTGCTGAATCTCTTGGCCAGGGAAGGGGAAGGCTCCAATGGTTCATGGCAGAAAACGCCAGCCAGCTACCCCCAGTGCCTTGGGCCATATGTTCAAGCCTGGCAGCGAGTTGGCGGGTGGAGGGTAGCTGCTGCTCACCAGTCAGTCCCGAAAAAGGAGGGAAAAGGCCATGAAAAGACCTGGGAGTGATAAGGGGTGGAGGCATGGTTTCCCCCACCCTCAAAAGTCTGAGGATGAAAAGGCTTAGAAGCAACAGGACAGGTTTTGAGTTCCCATTTCACTCACCACTTCTTGAGCCCCACACTGGGTGCCAAATTATTGCAGGACTTTTCCTTAGTTCAGCTAAGGATGGGGTCCTTGTCTGTCCCACAGCCACAAAAATTTAGGCTCACAGACTGAGGGGTGAGTAAAGCAGGGTTTTATTGGGTGAAAAGGAAGAAAAGGAGGAAACAGGGACTCTTGCTAAAACAGAGTCCCTGTTAGAGTGCTTCCCACCTGCTGTTTGAATCTCAGGTTCCACACAGGAAGAGGAGGGGTCAGCCTCCTTCTCGCTGAAAATGGCATGAACCTCCAGAGGCTCCACCCCAGCGGACAGGCTGGTTGGAGTTTCTCCAAGTTGTCCCTCCCACCTGGCTGTCTCATTATGTGTAAGTCTCATGATAACCTTAAATCAAGAAACATATAACATACACAAAAAAAATTAACAGCAAGAAATTAAAGCATACAACCAGAGAAAATCACCTTCACTAAAAGGAAGACAGAAAGGAAGAAAAGAAGAAAGAGAAGACTATAAAACAACTAGAAAGAAATGGCTGGAGTAAGTCCTTACTTATCAGTAACATTGAATGTAAATGGACTAAACTCTCCAATAAAAAGACATAGAGGCTGGGCTCAGAGGCTCATGCCTATAATTCCAGCACTTTGGGAGGCCAAGGTGGATGGATTGCTTAAGCTCAGGAATTCAAGACCAGCCTGTGTAACATGACAAAACCCTGTTTTTGCAAAAAAAAAAAAAAAAAAAAAAAAAAAAACTAAAACTTAGCTGGGCATGGTGGCAAGTGCTTGTAGTCCCAGCTACTCGGGAAGCTGAGGTGAGAGGATCTCTTGAGCACAGGAGGTCATGGCTGCAGTGAGCCATGTTCACACCACTGCACTCCAGCCTGAGTGACAAAGTGAGACCCTGTCTCAAAAAGGAAAAGAGAGAGAGAGAGAAAAAAAAAAGACCCAACAGTCTGTTGCCTAAAGACACACATAGACTGGTTCATCTTTTAGTCTTTCTACTCAAGAAAGATATAAGTAGTTTACACACAATTACAATGTTATAATATTCTGTGACATGCAAATGGAAACCAAAAAAAAAAAGCAGAAGTAGCTATACTTATATCAGACAAATTAAATTTCAAGACAAAAACTATAAAAAGAGACAAAGAAGGTCATTATATAATAGTAAAGGGGTCAACTCAGCAAGAGGGTATAACAGTTGTAAATATACATGCACCCAATACTGGAGCACCCAGATATATAAAGCAAATATTATTAGAGCTAAAGAGACAGATAGACCCAGGCTGGGCGTGGTGGCTCATGCCTGTAATCCCAGCACTTTGGGAAGCCGAGGCGGGCAGATCACCTGAGGTCAAGAGTTCGAGACCAGCCTGGCCAACATGTAGGAACCCTGTCTGTACTAAAAAATACAAAATTAGCCAGGCGTGGTGGTGCATGCCTGTAATCCCAGCTACTTGGGAGTCTGAGGCAGGAGAATCGCTTGAACCTGGGAGGCGGAGTTTGCGGTGAGCCGAGATCACACCATTGCACTCCAGCCTGGGCAAAAAGAGCAAAACTCCATCTCAAAAAAAAAAGAGAGAGAGATAGATAGACCCCAATATGATAATAGCTGGAGACCTCAACACCTAACTTACAACATTGGATAGATCATCCTGAAAGAAAATCAACAAAGAAACATCAGATTTAATCTGTGCTGTAGACCAAATGGACCTAACAGATGTTTCCAGAGCATTTCATCCAATGGCTGCAAAATATACATTCTTCTGTTCAGCACATGGAATATTGTCAAGGATAGGCCATATGTTATGCCACAAAACAAGTCTTAAAAATTAAAAAAAAAGAAATTAAGAATCCTCTCCAACAACAATAAAATAAAACTAGAAATCAATAACAAGGAATTTTGGAAACTATACAAACATACGCAAATGAAACAATATGCTCCTGAATGAGCAGTGGGTCAATGAAGAAATTAAGAAGAAAATTTAAACATTTCTTGAAACAAATAATAATGAAAACAAAATATACCAAACCTATGGGAAACAGCCAAAACAGTACAAATAGAAAACTTTATAAGAAGTGCCAACATCAAAAAAGAAGAAAAACTTCAAATAAACAATCTAATGGTGCATCTTAAAGAAAAAAAAAAGCAATAGCAAACCAAACCCAAAATTACTAGAAGAAAGAAAAGAATAAGGATCAGAGCAGAAATGAATGAAACTGAAATGAAGAAAACAATATAAAAATCAATAAATTGAAAAGTTAGTTTTCTGAAAAAGTGAACAAAATCAACAAAACTTTAGCCAGACTAACTGAAAAAAAAGAGAGAAGACTCAAATAAATAAAATCACAGATGAAAAAGAAGACATGCTTTTCTCCCACTGATGCCACAGAAATTGAAAGGATCCTTAGTGGCTACTATGAGCAACAATATATCAATACACTGGAAAATCTAGAAGAAATGGATAAATATCTAGACATGTACAACCTACCAAAATTGAACCATGAAGAAATCCAAAATCTGAACAGACCCATAACAAGAAATGACATCAAAGCTGTAATGAAAATTCTCCCAGCAAAGTACAGCCCAGGATCCAATAGCTTCACTGCTGAATTTTACCAAACATTTAAAGATGTTTGGTAAGTACCAATCCTACTCAAACTACTTTTAAAAAATAGAGGAGGAGGGACTACTTCCAAACTCATTCTATGAGGCCAGTATTACCCTGATACCATAACTAGACAAAGACACATTTTTTTAAATTATTATTATACTTTACGTTTTAGGGTACATATGCACAATGTGCAGGTTAGTTACGTATGTATACATGTGCCATGCTGGTGCGCTGCACCCATTAACTCGTCATTTAGCATTAGGTATATCTCCTAATGCTATCCCTCCCCCCTCCCCCACCCCACAACAGTCCCCAGTGTGTGATGTTCCCCTTCCTGTGTCCATGTGTTCTCACTGTTTAATTCCCATCTATGAGTGAGAACATACGGTGTTTGCTTTTTTGTCCTTGCAATAGTTTACTGAGAATGATGATTTCCAGTTTCATCCATGTCCCTACAAAGGACATGAACTCATCATTTTTTATGGTGCATAGTATTCCATGGTGTATATGTGCCACATTTTCTTAATCCAGTCTATCATTGTTGGACATTTGGGTTGGTTCCAAGTCTTTGCTATTGTGAATAGTGCCGCAATAAACATACGTGTGCATGTGTCTTTATAGCAGCATGATTTATAGTCCTTTGGGTATATACCCAGTAATGGGATGGCTGGGTCAAATGGTATTTCTAGTTCTAGATCCCTGAGGAATCGCCACACTGACTTCCACAATGGTTGAACTAGTTTACAGTCCCACCAACAGTGTAAAAGTGTTCCTATTTCTCCACATCCTCTCCAGCACCTGTTGTTTCCTGACTTTTTAATGATCACCATTCTAACTGCTGTGAGATGGTATCTCATTGTGGTTTTGATTTGCATTTCTCTGATGGCCAGTGATGATGAGCATTTTTTCATGTGTCTATTGGCTGCATAAATGTCTTCTTTTGAGAAGTGTCTGTTCATATCCTTTGCCCACTTTTTGATAGGGTTGTTTTTTTTTTCTTGTAAATTTGTTTGAGTTCATTGTGGATTCTGGATATTAGCCCTTTGTCAGATAAGTACGTTGCGAAAATTTTCTCCCATTTTGTAGGTTGCCTGTTCACTCTGATGGTAGTTTCTTTTGTTGTGCAGAAGCTCTTTAGTTTAACTGGATCCCATTTGTCAATTTTGGCTTTTGTTGCCATTGCTTTTGGTGTTTTAGACATAAAGTCCTTGCCCATGCCTATGTCCTGAATGGGAATGCCTAGGTTGTCTTCTAGGGTTTTTATGGTTTTAGGTCTAACGTTTAAGTCTTTAATCCATCTTGAATTAATTTTTGTATAAGGTGTAAGGAAGGGATCCAG
The DNA here is from genome assembly GCF_000001405.40 of Homo sapiens. Taxonomy (NCBI): domain Eukaryota; kingdom Metazoa; phylum Chordata; class Mammalia; order Primates; family Hominidae; genus Homo; species Homo sapiens. Next base: position 6,388,615 of record NC_000009.12, read on the forward strand.
TTTCAGCTTTCTACATATGGCTAGCCAGTTTTCCCAGCACCATTTATTAAATAGGAAATCCTTTCCCCATTGCTTGTTTTTCTCAGGTTTGTCAAAGATCAGATAGTTGTAGATATGCGGCATTATTTCTGAGGGCTCTGTTCTGTTCCATTGATCTATATCTGTGTGTTGGTACCAGTACCATGCTGTTTTGATTACTGTAGCCTTGTTGTATAGTTTGAAGTCAGGTAGCGTGATGCCTCCAGCTTTGTTCTTTTGGCTTAGGATTGACTTGGCGATGCGGGCTCTTTTTTGGTTCCATATGAACTTTAAAGTAGTTGTTTCCAATTCTGTGAAGAAAGTCATTGGTAGGTTGATGGGGATGGCATTGAATCTACAAATGACCTTGGGCAGTATGGCCATTTTCACGTTATTGATTCTTCCTACCCATGAGCATGGAATGTTCTTCCATTTGTTTGTATCCTCTTTCATTTCATTGAGCAGTGGTTTGTAGTTCTCCTTGAAGAGGTCCTTCACATCCCTTGTAAGTTGGATTCCTAGGTATTTTATTCTTTGAAGCAATTGTGAATGAGAGTTCACTCATGATTTGGCTCTCTGTCTGTTATTGGTGTATAAGAATGCTTGTGATTTTTGTACATTGATTTTGTATCCTGAGACTTTGCTGAAGTTGCTTATCAGCTTAAGGAGATTTTGGGCTGAGATGATGGGGTTCTCTAGATATACAATCATGTCGTCTGCAAACAGGGACAATTTGACTTCCTCTTTTCCTAATTGAATGCCCTTTATTTCCTTCTCCTGCCTAATTGCCTTGGCTAGAACTTCCAACACTATGTTGATTAGGAGTGGTGAGAGAGGGCATCCCTGTCTTGTGCCAGTTTTCTAAGGGAATGCTTCCAGTTTTTGCCCATTCAGTATGATATTGGCTGTGGGTTTGTCATAGATAGCTCTTATTATTTTGAGATACGTCCCATCAATACCTAATTTATTGAGAGTTTTTAGCATGAAGAGTTGTTGAATTTTGTTGAAGGCCTTTTCTGCATCTATTGAGATAATCATGTGGTTTTTGTCTGTGGTTCTGTTTATATGCTGGATTACATTTATTGATTTGCGTATATTGAACCAGCCCTGCATCCCAGGGATGAAGCCCACTTGATCATGGTGGATAAGCTTTTTGATGTGCTGCTGGATTCGGTTTGCCAGTATTTTATTGAGGATTTTTGCATCAATGTTCATCAAGGATATTGGTCTAAAATTCTCTTTTATGGTTGTGTCTCTGCCCGGCTTTGGTATCAGGATGATGCTGGCCTCATAAAATGAGTTAGGGAGGATTCCCTCTTTTTCTATTGATTGGGATAGTTTCAGAAGGAATGGTACCAGCTCCTCTTTGTACCTCTGGTAGAATTCGGCTGTGAATCCATCTGGTCCTGGACTTTTTTTGGTTGGTAAGGTATTGATTATTGCCTCAATTTCAGAGCCTGTTATTGGTCTATTCAGAGATTCAACTTCTTCCTGGTTTAGTCTTGGGAGAGTGTATGTGTCAAGGAATTTATCCATTTCTTCTAGATTTTCTAGTTTATCTGCGTAGAGATGTTTATAGTATTCTCTGATGGTAGTTTGTATTTCTGTGGGATTGGTGGTGATATCCCCTTTATCATTTTTTATTGCATCTATTTGATTCTTCTCTCTTTTTTTCTTTATTAGTCTTGCTAGAGGTCTATCAATTTTGTTGATCCTTTCAAAAAACCAGCTCCTGGATTCATTAATTTTTTGAAGGGTTTCTTGTGTCTCTATTTCCTTCAGTTCTGCTCTGATTTTAGTTATTTCTTGCCTTCTGCTAGCTTTTGAATGTGTTTGCTCTTGCTTTTGTAGCTCTTTTAATTGTGATGTTAGGGTGTCAATTTTGGATCTTTCCTGCTTTCTCTTGTGGGCATTTAGTGCTATAAATTTCCCTCTACACACTGCTTTGAATGTGTCCCAGAGATTCTGGTATGTTTTGTCTTTGTTCTCATTAAGATAACTACAGGCCAAGATCCCTGATGAACATTTATGCAAAAATCCTCAACAAAATACTAAGAAACCAAATTCAACAACACATTAAAAAGAATATTCAAGCCAGATGTGGTGGCTCCTGCCTGTAATCCCACCTTTGGGAGGCCAAGATGGGAGGATTGCTTTAGTCTAGGTGTTTGAGACCAGCCTAGTTTTGTAGAGACCCTGTCTTTACAGAAAATAAAAAATCATCTAGGCATGGTGGTGCATTCCTGTTCTCAGCTACTTGGCAGGCTGACGTGGGAGGACTGCTTATGCTTGGGAGGTCAAGGCTGAAATGAGCTATGTTTGCACCATGGCACTTCAGCCTGGACAAAAGAGTGAGACCCTGTCTCAAAAAAATATGTAAATAAATAAATAAATATAAAAAACATTCATCACCACCAAGTGGAATTTAATCCCAGGAATGCAAAGATAGCTTAACATATGTAAATCAATCAATGTGATACAGCATAGCAACAGAATGAAGGAGAAAACCTATATGATCATTTAAATCAATGCTGAAAAAGCACTTGATAAAATTCAACATCCCTTCATGATAAAAACTTTCAAAAAGCTGGGCCTAGAATGAACCTACCTCAACATAATAAAAGCCATATATGACAGACTCACAGTGAGTATTATACTGAATGGGGAAAAACTGAAAGCCTTTCCTCTAAGATCTAGAACATGACAAGGATGCCCACTTTCACCACTATTATTTGACATACTACTGGAAGTCCTACCTAGAGCAATCAAACAAGAGAAATAAATAAAGGGCATTCAAATTGCAAAGGAAGAAGTCAAATTATCCTTGTTTGCAGATGATATGATACTATATTTGGAAAAACCTAAAGCCTCTACCAAAAACCTATTAGAAGTGATAAATAAATTCAGTAAAGTTGCAGGATACAAAATCAACATACAAAAATCAGTAGCATTTCTATATGACAACAGTGAACAATCTAAGAAAGAAATCAAGAAAGTAATATCATTTACAATAGCTACGAATAAAATTAAATACCTAGGAATTAACCAAAGAAGTGAAAGTTCTCTACAATAAAAACTATCAAACATTGATTAAAGAAATTGAAGAGGACACAAAAAAATGGAAAGATATTCCATGTTCATGGGTTGGAAGAATCAATGTTGTTAAAATGTCTATACTACCTAAAGCAATCTACAGATTCAGTACACTCCCCATGAAAATATCAATGACATTCTTCACAGAAATAGAAAAAACAATCTTAAATTTTATATGGAACCACAAAACACCCAGAATAGGGAAGACTATCCTGAGCAAAAAGAACAAAACTGAAAGGATTACATTGCCTGACTTCAAATTATACTACAAAGCTGTAGTAACCAAAACAGCATGGTACTGGCATAAAAACAGCCACATAGGCCAATGGAACAGAATAGCGAACCCAGAAACAAATTCATACATCTACAGTAAACTCATTTTTGATGAAGGTGCCAAGAACATACATAGGGGAAATGATAGTCTCTTTAATAAATGGTGCTAGGAAAACTAGATACCCGTATGCAAAAGCATGAAACTAGACTCCTATCTCACATTGGATACAAAAAGTCAAATAAAACTGGATTAAAGACATAAATCTAAGACCTCAAACTATAAAACTACTAAAACAAAATATTGGAGAAACCCTACAGGACATTGGAGTGAGCAAAGATTTCTTGAGTAATACCCTACAACCATAGGCAACCAAAGCAAAAATGGACAAATAGGATCACATCAAGTTAAAAAGTTTCTGCACAGCAAGGAAACAATCAGCAAAGTGAAGAGACAACCCACAGAATGGGAGAAAATATTTGCAAACTATCCATCTGACAAAGGATTAATAACCAGAATATCAAAGGAGCTCAAACAACTCTGTAGGTAAAAATCTAATAATCCAATTAAAATGGGCAAAAGATCTGAATAGACATTTCTCAAAAGAAGACATATAAATGGGAAACCAGTATATGAAAAGGTGCTCAACGTCATTGTTCCTCAGAGAAATGTAATTCAAAACTACAATGAGATATCATCTCACCCGTTAAAATAGCTTTTATCCAAAAGACAGGAAATAACAAAGGCTGGCAAGGATGTGGAAAATAGGGAACGCCTGTACACTGTTGGTGGGGATGCGAATTAGTAAAACCACTTTGAAGAACAGTTTGGAAATTCCTCATAAAACTAAAATAGAGCTACCATATGATCCAGCAATTCCACTTCTAGGTATATACCCAAAAGAAAGAAGATTAGTATATGGAAGAAATGTCTGCATTGTCATGTTTCTTGAAGCACTATTCACAATAGCTAAGATTTGGAAGCAATCTAAGTGTCCACCAACATATGAATGGATAAAGGAAATGTAGTACATATACATAATGGAGTACTATTCAATTCAGCCACGGAAAAGAACAAGATCCTGCCATTTGCAACAACATGGATGGAGCTGGAGGTCATTATTTTAAGTGAAATAAACCAACCACAGAAAGACAAACTTTGCATGTTATCACTTATTCGCGGGAGCTAAAAGCTAAGACAATTGAACACATGGAGATAGAGAATAGAATGATGGTTACCAGAAGCTGGGAAGGGTAGTGGGGGGGAGAAGAGGGGACAGTTAATGGGTATAACAACATAGTTCAATAGAATGAATAAGATCAAGTATGTGATAGCACAACAGGATGACTACAGTCAACAATAATTTGTTGATCATTTAAAAATAACTAAAGTGGCCAGGTGCAGTGGCAAACACCTATAATCCCAGCAGTTTGGGAGGCTGGGGCAGGCAGATCACTTGAGTTAAGGAGTTTGAGACCAGCCTGGCCAACATAGTGAAACCCTATCACTACTAAAAATTCAAAAATTAGCCAAGCATGCTGGTGCACACCTGTAATCCCAGCTACTCAGGAGGCTGAGGCACAAAAACTGCCTGAACCCAGGAGGCGGAGCTTGCAGTGAGCCAAGATCGTGCCATTGCCTTCCAGCCTGGGTGACAGAGTGAGATTTCATCTCAAAACAAAACAAAGCAACAACAACAACAAAAACTAAAGTGTACAATTGGATTGTTTGTAACACAAAGAAAGGATTAATGCTTGAGGTGATGGATACCCCATTTACCCTGATGTGATTATTATGCATTGTATGCCTGTGTCAAAATATCTCAGGTACCCCATAAATATATACACCTACTATGTCCCCACAAAAATTAAACACTATTTTTTTATTTCATCTAATTTTAGTGAGTGAATGTGCATGTGTGTGTGTGTGTGTGTGTGTATGTGTGTGTGTACAGAGAGAGAGAGACAGGGAGAAAAAGAGGGTCTTGCTCTGTCACCCAGGGAGTGGCTCAACCATTGCTCACTGCGGCCTCGACCTCCCAAAAATCAAGAGATCCTCCCATCTTAGCCTCTTAGGTAGCTGGGTCTACAGGTGCATGCCACCATGCCAGGCTAATTTTATCTATTTATTTATTTATTTATTTATTTATGTAGTAAAGACTGAGTTTCATTATGTTGCTCAGGCTGGTCTTGAACTGCTGGGCTCAAGCTAGCCTCCCACCTCAGCCTCCCAAAGTGTTGAGATTATAAAGATGAGCCACCGTATATTTATATTTTTAATGTATTTTTAAGTTAAAATAGAATGTTTCATATATATATATTTATAAAATATATTATATTATATTATATTTCTCTATTTAACCAGCTGTTTTGATTAACAGGCCGTTTACCAGCTTCTGTCTCTTTGGTTAAGTGAGCTTCAATTCTTTGCGTCAAAATATTCATGTTATTTAATTCAATAATTAGATGTACATCTAGGCCAGGCATGGTGGCTCACACCTGTAATCCTGGCACTTGGGGAGGCTGAGGCTGGTGGATCATTTGAGCGCAGGAGTTCAAGACAAGCCTGGCCAACATGGTGAAACCCTGTCTCTACTGAAAATACAAAAATTAGCTGGGCATGGTGGCAGGCGTCTGTAATCCCAGCTACTTGTGAGGCTGAGGCAGGAGAATCGCTTGAGCCTAGAAGGCAGAGGTTGCAGTGAGCTGAGATCACACCACTGCATTCCAGACTGGGCAACAGAGTGAGACTCTGTTTCAAAAAACAAAACAAAAAAACATGTACATCTAGGAATTTATTCTAAGAAAATAATCATTTATGTTCAGAAATATAGATGTGTATGTGTGTGCTCACGTTGGCATTGATTATAGTAGCAAAACTCTAAAAGCTTCCTAAAATGTCCATCAATTGAGATGTGTTATAATGGAATATTATGCAGAACCATCAAAAATATTAAAATAGGTTTACATATAATGAGAAGGAAATGTATTTTGTTAAGTGTTGAGCGAAAGCTATACACACATAGAAAAATGTCTGAGAAAGGATGGGGAGGGGAGAAAGAGTTGGGCAGGGGGAAAAGGGGAGAAATATTCTTTGTTCTGGAGAATATTAGGGTGAGGCATACATGTATATAAAGATTTATTTTCCTCAGAACACATTATAGAGCAAAAGCAATAAAGATATGTTACCTGGATTTTCAAATAAAATTAAGATATTTACAGTGGATAAACTCTGTGGTTATAGTTGCTGGTGAAAAAGAACAGATTGTAAATTTTTCTGACTTGAATGTTGAAAATTAAATTAAGAATGCCTTCTATGTCTATAACTTTAAGTGATCATAATATCATATTTGAAACTCTGATGACGGGTTTGGACTTTTTAAAAAGAGGAAGAATTATCTGAGAGCAAGCACACCAAAACTTGCCAGCACACAAGAAGCACTTCAGATCTGCAGAGTGAACAGCCACAGGTTCTTCTCTTGCCTCTATACTGTGTTTATTTATAAAGCAGGAAAGCCAAGTCAGAACAACAATCATCTTTCAAAACAATTTATCTCAGCACAGTGTTTGTCTTTGAGTTTTGTGTGCACTACATATTTGTTTTCTCACTGCACAGTTTTAGAATGTATTCATTTGAATTATTGGGTCCTTTGTTTTTTCAAGGAAAAGATTTAATCTTAACTACCTAGCTTTAGAAAGCAAAATCTCTCTTGCTTTTTTTTTTTGGAGACAAGGTCTCACTCTGTCACTCAGGCACTCAGGCTGGGGTGCAGTGGCATGACCACTGCTCACTACAGTCTTGACCTCCCAGGCTCAAGCAATCATGACCTCAGACTCTCAAGTAGGTGGGACTATAGGCATGTGCCACCTTGCCCAGCTAATTTAAAAAAAAATTTTGTAAAGAAGAGGGCAATCTCACTATGGTGCCAGGACTGGTCTTGAACTCCTGAGCTCAAGTGATCCTCCCTCTTTGGCCTTCCAAAAAGCAAAATTTTTTACCAATTTAGGATTTAATATGAACCATTAAAAAAAGGAGCTTTGAAAATAATCACATCTAGATTTTTTAATTTGTAAAGTAAAAAGATCAGTTTTCTTTCCCACAGTGTCAGCTTTCTATTCAGTTGTTTTTTTGTTATTTGCCAATGATCTTATTTCTATTTTAGATAAGTTGACCGAATTTTCTAAGCTCAATATTCAACATGTGGCTACAATTCATTCAGTTTTTAGCCATCTGAATATCTATCTGGCTGAAGTAATTTTTAAATCCCTAAATTTGTTCCAGGGGTTTTTCTAATAGTAATTCATCCTTTATTTAAGGTATTTTGCTCTTTATAATTGGGAGTAAGTTGTAATCTTAAAAGGAAGGTGGTTAATCAGAGAATTTCAAGTTCACAAGTGTAGCATTACCTCATTGGCCTTTCTAGCTGCCTATTTCATGGACAAAAATTAGATCCCTCTTTGTGGATAGGAAATAAAGGAGAAAAATAGGGAAGTTCAGGAGTCTTCAAGACTGAAGAAAGCCTTTAAGAATGAAGCCAGGCAGTCCTGAAATGGAGTTAGACATCAATTGTGGACTGAATCGTGCCCTCAAACCCAAATTCATTATGTTGAAGTCCTAACCCTCAATGTGACTATATTTGGAGAGAGGGTCTTTAATGAGGTAACAAGGTTAAGTGAGAACATAGGGGTGTGGCCCTAATCCAATTTGACTGGTGTTGTTAGAAGAAGAGGGAGAGACACTGAGGATGCACATACAGAGAAAAGGCCATGTGAGGACACAGAAAGCAAGCAGCCATCTATCTGCAAGCCAAGGAGAGAGGCCTCAGGAGACAACCAACCTGCTGATGCCTTGATCTTGGACTTTCAGCCTCCAGAACTATAAGAAAATAAATTTCTGCTGTTAAGCTACTCCATTTCAGGACTGCCTGGCTTCATTCTTAAAGGATTTCTTCAGTCTTGAAGACTCTCCTGAATTTCCCTATTTTTCTCCTTTATTTCCTATCCACAAAGAGGGATTTAATTTTTGTCCATGAAGTAGGCAGCTAGAAAGGCCAATGAGATAATGCTACACTCGTGAACTTGAAATTCTCTCATTAACCACCTTCAGTTTGTGGTATTTTGTTGTGGCAACCCTAGCAAGCCAATACACTGTCTGAAGCATTTAAATCACCAATATTTTAAAGCCATAGATAAATGCCTGCCAATGAGAATAGAAACACTTCTGGCTGGGCACGGTGGCTCACACCTGTAATCCCAGCACTTTGGGAGGCTGAGACGGGTGGATCACCTGAGGTCAGGAGTTTGAGACCAGCCTGGCCAACATGGCAAAACCCCATCTCTGCTAAAAATACAAAAAATATCCAGGCATGGTGGCACATGCCTGTAGTCCCAGCTACTCAAGAGGCTGAGGCGGGAGGATTGCTTGAACCCAGGAGGTGGAGACTCCAGTGAGCTGAGATCATGCCACTGCATTCCAGCCTAGGTGACAGAGTGAGACTCCATGTCAAAAACAAAAGAAAGGAAGGGAGGGAGGGAAGGGAAGAAGGGAAGGAAGGGAGGAAGGGAAAGATGAAAGAAGGAAAGAAAAAGAAAGAAAGAAAGAAAGAAAGAAAGAAAAAAGAAAGAGAGAAAGAAAGAGAGAGAGAAAAAAACGAACGAACTTCTTAGAAGTGATACAACAGAAAGTAATTAACTGAAGACTATAATAAACTGGTTCTATACACAATAGAAAGTAGAATGACCATGGGTCTGGATGTTTTAATGACGACACCATGGTTGAGTTGACTGCTCCAGAACTGAGCCCTCTTCAGAGCCATCATCCTAGTCATTATGGACTGGAACTGATCCAGAAAAGATACAAGAAAATCAGAGGAATTCTATTTCCTCTATGTACTGCTATTATGTCTAGTATTGGCCTAACTAGACTTTCTTCTTCGATGGAGACAGTCAGGAGTCTCTTTTCTATGTCTACTAACTTTCTAAAACTATGGAACCATCAAGTGCAGTGGCTCACACCTGTAATACCAGCACTTTGGGAGGCCAAAGCAGGAGGATTGATTGCGCCCAAGAGTTCAAGACCAGCTTGGGCAACATAGCAAGACTTCATCTCTACTAAAAATAAAAAAAAAATTAGCTGGACATGGTGGTGCACACCTGTAGTTGCAGCTTCTCAGGAGGCTGAGGTAGGAGAATCGCTTGAGCCTGAGCAGTCAAGGCTGCAGTTAGCTGTGATTGCACCACTGCACTCCAGCCTGGGTGACACAGCAAGACCCTGTCCAAAACAAAAAACAATGAAAAAAACAATGGGACATACAAAAATTGTTTATCAATATTTTCATAGTTGTGGTGAAAGTCATTTTTCTGAAGTTCTTGAATACAAAATCTGACAATGGCACATTCACTGCCTCAATTACATTCACTCTCTTTGTCTTTTGACCTTTTGATAATTAAAATTCATTTAGCATATTTGCTGATTTTTGTATAAAGTTATTTATATGTGCCAATTTCAACCACATTCATTTCCTAACCTATGATTTTTCTTCCACTGCTCTATGAATTTCAGAATAATTGAAATCCTCAAGGAATATATGTTAGGTATAATCCCCTCTTTTAAAAAAAGTTGTATCTTGTTTCAGTTTATACCCGCCAATCTCAGTCTCAGAAAGCTAAATGAAAACATATTCTGGCTCTTTGTTTTGGCTTTTAAAAATTGTACACATCAGATATTTTCAATACACACACACACACTCCAGTAGGTCTCATTATTTTCTATCTTCTCTTTCACATGCCCCTTTAGACTCTTCATTGAAGAACCTAAACCACATTGTAAGTCAAGCTCACTGTCCTCTACTTTCCCTACCCTTGTCTCACGTCAAGGGGTTCATCTCCATCCAGTCCTGCATTTGTCAATGCTGCAGCAGTCTGTGTTCACATAGCTCCTAATCACCTCTTTGCAATGGAGTTTAGCTTATTTCACTCCTAGGGGGCCTTGTAAATTTTAGAATCACCAGCTTCCCTCTCTGAATCATGTGGTTCCAGTTATATTGGTTTTGGGAGAGAGGTGAAGCAGGTCAGGCTGCTCTGCTGTTTACAGCCTGTCTCTTTAATTCTCTGCCCACTGCACTCGTAACAGGACTAACATGAGGCTGAAGAATGGCTAACAGTTTTCTGAAGAATTGGGAAAAAGCTAGAGTGAATTACAGTGTAAGAAAAGCATAGAACTAGGTGTGGTGGCATGTGCCTATAATTCCAGCTACTGGGGAGGCTGAGGCTAAATTCCTGGCTTGAGCCCAGGAGTTCAAGAGTAGCCTAGGCAACGTAGCAAGACCCTGTCTTGGAAAAAGAAAAAAAAAAAGCCCAGCTGAGAAAAAAAAATTACAGAAAAGCACAGAACTGGTGCTATGGGTCCAAAGGAAAAGAAATTAGCCTTTCATATGGGTCTCCTAGGGTGAGCACCACAGTTCCTAGACATGCTCCCACATTGTTTCAAAGTTCACTCTGCACAGAGAGCTTCTTCTTTACCCTTTTCAGTGAGATTCTACACTTTGCCACTTTAGGAATATCCTATTCCCTAACACAGAAGTGATGTACTTCTCCTAGACCCTGTGCCCTGTGCCCCACCACACCCTAGGGCAATTCACCTGAAGCTAAATATTTCCCTAAATTTTCATTGTGTCTGGAAAGATAGTACACAGAAGCTTCAGCAGAATTGTTCGATTTTGGGAGACTCAAAGTATGCACACTTTCACAAAATATTTGCTAGTTTAGAGTGAAGTTATGCCTCCTTATTCCTGTGTAAATCTAGTAGAAAACACATGTGCATGCATGCACATGCATCACACATGCACGCATAGCACACGTTCCCACATTCAGACATACCCATATATGTGTGCATATACACAGCATACATACATGTACACATACATACATGCCTGCATGTGCATGCATGCACAGTACCATACCTTTCAAAAATCAGAAGAACTAAACAATCTCTCATCAATACCCTTAGCTGCAGAACCTATAGAAGATTATAAATGTAGCTTTTCTTTACCTTTGGCCACATTAACGTTTTTTGTTGTTGTTGTTGTTGTTGTTTTTGAGGCATAGTCTCGCTCTGTCCCCAGGCTGGAGTGCAGAGGCATGATTTTGGCTCACTGCAACCTCCATCTCCCAGGTTCAAGCCATTCTCCCACCTCAGCCTCCCGAGTAGCTGGGACTACAGGTGTGTGCCACCACTCCCAGGTAATTTTTGTATTTTTAGTAGAGATGGGTTTCTCTATGTTGGCCAGGCTGGTCTCGAACTCCTGACCTCAGTAATCCACCTGCCTAGGCCTCCTGAAGTGCTGGGATTACAGGCGTGAGCCACCGCCCCTAGCCTCCACATCAAATTCTTATGCTGGGTTTTCACCCTAATTAAACTGTGAAAGAGGAGGAAGAAATCTTTTCCTTTTTAATATCTCTATACAGGTCAATCTTGAGGCCAGGGATAGAATTTATGCTTTAATTTATACCACCAATAGATAAAAATAAAAAGTCCCATTTTTCTAACAAGAACATCTATATAATTATGTGAATATAGGCATGCGTAAACATTTAATATACATACATTAAAGTGAACAAATCACAGGTGTATAGTTCAATAAATATTTATATATATAAACCACCCTGTGGTCACTACCCAGGTCATAATATAGAATATTATGATCACCTAGAAGGTTCCTTTGCACCTTTCCCAGTTAATACGACCAATTTCTCCACTCCCCAAAGTTTTTACTTCTAACACTATGAATTAAGTTTGCATATTTCTGAACTTTACATGAAGTTAGTCATACAGAATATGCTTTTTTTACTCAGTGTAATGATTTAGAGATCAATTCATGTTGTGGTGTGTATCAGTAGTTCATTCTTTTTTGTTGCTATGTAGTATTCCATTATGTAAATATACTATAATTTGCTCATCCATTCTCGTATTTGTAGACATTTAGGTGGTTTTCAATTTGGGCCAATTACAACTAAATCTATTACAAACATTCTTGTACCTTATTGGACATATGCACTAATTTCTATTGCATACATAGCTACGAGTAGAATTGTTCCTAGACTAGGTACATAGAAACTACCCAGCAGGTTTCCAACTTGGTTTAATCAACTCACACTCCACCAGCAATATATGAAAGTCCCAGATGCTCTATATTCTTGCTAATACTCAATATTATCAGCCTTCTAATCATTAGCACATGCTAGCGGGACATACATTTCCTTGATAGTGATATTTAGGATCTTTTCATAGGTGTGGAGGCCATTTAGATGTCCTCTTTTGTGAAGGGCCTGTGCCTATTTTTTTCTCTGCCCCTCTCCCACTGAGCCTATTTTTAATTAGGTTGTTGTTCACCCATATTATTAAAATTGTACATATTTGTGACACATTTTAAGAAACTAAATACAGTCATCCCTGGGTTTACAGGGTATTGGTTCCAGGACTCCCATGTATACCAAAATCTACACATGCTCAAATCCCACTGTAGGCCCTGTGCATATTTGAAGTCAGTCCTCCATATAAGTGGATTTCGAGTCCCTCCAATACTGTATTTTTTATCTGTGTTATATTGAAAAAGAAATCTGCATATAAGTGAACCAATACTTATCAGCCAAAAAGATACCGATGACCAGTTAATGCTGGTAAACTTTGATCTACCTTAACCTTTGTGACTCAGTGTAATTTTTTCTAAGCCTAACTAAGGGAAAATTATATATTTTCTTGAGTGACTCCTCAGAATATATCATAGTGAAAGACATTAAGGATTATTGTTTTGATTGTTTAAAATTAATAGTAATTGCTATGAATAGCAATTCATAAAAATTGCTTTTAAAAAATCACAATACAGTTGATCCTTGAACAACACAGGTTTGAACTGTATTGGTTCACTTATATGCCGATTTCTTTTTCAATAGATTTCTTTTTCAAAATTCAGATTTCTTTTGCAAAATTCAGCCTGAACCAGCAATGTATGAAACATACTCACAACAATAATTTGTGGTAGACTGAGGGATTGAAAGATTATGAAAAATAGAGGACAAGATGTTACCAAAGCTATAAAAGGTTATCAATGAGTAATCTATTAATCTATTATAATTAGGGTTAGGAAGAGATGGTGTTTTAGATTAATTATAAAGATGACCAGGCTGGGCACAGTGGCTCACACCTGTAATCCCAGCACTTTGGAAGGCCGAGGCGGGCAGATCATGAGGTCAGGAGATCGAGACCATCCTGGCTAACACAGTGAAACCTCGTCTCTACTAAAAATACAAAGAATTAGCCAGGCGTGGTGATGGGCACCTGTCTGCAGTTCCAGCTACTCAGGAGGCTGAGGCAGGAGATTGGCATGAACCTGGGAGGCGGAGCTTGCAGTGAGCTGAGATCGCGCCACTGCACTCCAACCTGGGCGACAGAGCAAGACACTGTCTCAGAAAAAAAAAAAAATGCAAAATTAACCAAATGTAGTGGTGCGTGCCTGTAATACCAGCTACTCAGGAGGCAGAGGCAGAAGAATCGCTTGAACCCTGGAGGAGGAGGCTGCAGTGAGCCAAGATCACGCCATTGCACTCCAGCCTGGGCAACAGAGCAAGACTCTGTCTCAAAAAAAAAAAAAAAAGATGACCATAATTATTCCCCTCCCAATATACACACTCCTTTGCAATGAGACTTTGCAGCTCCTCCTATCAAGAGGAAGAATCAATTTTCCCTCTCCTTGAATCTGGGCTGGCCTTGTGACTTGCTTTAGCCAATAAAATCTGTTGAGGTGATCCTGTGCCAATTCCAGTCTTGGACCTCAAGAGGCCTTGGAGGCTTCCACTGGCTCTCTTAGAACCCTATCCAGTCACTGTGTGAATAAGTCGAGGCTAGACCCACATAGTACACTGACAGATTATCTTGGGTAAGAAATACTCTGCCAGAAGATCCTGAGATGTGCATGGAGACAAGTTTGACGGGTTATAAATTGTATTGCAATTTACAAAGGAAAGCACTTGAGGCTGGGTTTGGTGGCTCACACATGTAATCCCAGCACTTTGGGAGGCCGAGGCAGGTGAATCACTTGAGGTCAGGAGTTTGACACCACCCTGGCCAACACGGCGAAACCCCATCTCCACTAAAAATACAAAAATTACCAGGGAGCAGTGGCACACACCTGTAGTCCCAGCTACTCGGGATGCTGAGGCAGGAGAATCGCTTGAACCTGGGAGGCAGAGGCTGCAGTGATGCAAGATTGTGCCACTGCACTCCAGCCTAGGTGAAATAGCAAGACTCCATCTCAAAAAAAAAAACAAAAAAAAAAAAAACAAAAAAAACTTGAGGTCAGGAGTTTGAGAAAGCATTTGCGTATCAACAAGAGCAAGGAAAATTCTGCCCACCTTTTTAAAAATGCATTTTTGTCGAAGCCCTGAAATCCTTGCCTGCCTGCCAAACAGTTTAGCTTTACTAATATCATCATTTTATTATATTATAATGGGATTTATTTGGATAATTACTTAGATAATTTGTTGCATTTTGTATATATTACTTTATACCACTTAGTAGAAAATAGAAAAAGTGAAAGTACTGCTTATAATGACAGTGCAATTGGGAGCAAGATGGACTCATTAAGTTTGCCAAAAGCAATAGTCAGCTGGCACAGTGGCTCACGCTTGTAATCCCAACACTTCGGGAGACTGAGGCGGAAGGATTGCTTGAGCTCAGGAGATGGAGACCAGCCTGGGCAACATGGAGAGAACTCATCTCTAATAAAAATCAAAAAAATTAGCTGGGTGTGATGTGTGCACTTGTAGTCTCAGTTAATTGAGAGGCTGAGGCAGGAGAATCACTTGAATCCAGGAGGTTGAGGCTGCAGTAAGTCCTAATCACACCACTGCACTCCAGCCTGGGCCACATAGCGAAATCATATCTCAAACAAAACAAAACAGCCAACCAAACAAAACCCAAAAGCAATAGTCATTAGTTTCAACCTAATGTTTATTGGACTAAAGATGATCTACTGTGTACTCAATAATTAAGGGAAATAACAAAATTAAAGAATATGAGAAATATGCTAGATTAACTCAACTCTTGCTCAAAAACCTCATTTAAATGATAGTAAAGGAATATTTAATGTAATTCAAAAGAACAGAAACAAGATACTAACACATCCTTAGAAGATGAAAAGCCTATGGATTACTTGTTGATCTCTACCCCAGAGAAACTCTGCACACAGTGGAATGTACAAGAATGTTTAGAACATTGTTTGTAAGAGTAAAAAATAGAAACAACCTGAATATACATCAAAAAGAGAATGATTGGCTGGGCATGGTGGCTCATGCCTATAATCCCAGCACTTTGGGAGGCTGGAGCGGGAGGACGGCTTCAGCCCAAAAGTTCCAGACCAGCCTGGGCAACATAGCCAGATTTCATCTCTACCAAAAAAAAAAAAAAAAAAAAAATTAGGCAGGATGGCATGTGCCTGTAGTCCTAGCTACTTCGGAGGCTAAGGTGGGAGTATCACTTGAGCCCAGGAGTTTGAGGTTGCAGTGAGCTAGAAACGTGCCACTGCACTCCACCCTGGCCACAGAGCAAGACTTCATCTTTAAAGAGAGAGAGAGAGAGAAGAGAGAATGACTACATTATGGTATACTTAAACAATGGAATATGATAGATTAGTAAAAATGAATGCCATGGAACTAGGGTCAGCAAACTGTGGCCCACAGGCCACATCCTATACTCTGATACCTATTTTTGTAAAAAAAGTTTTGTCAGAACAAAGTTTTATTCATTCATTTATATACTGAGTGGAGCTGCTTTTGTAGAACTGTAGAATGAAGTAGTTGCAATACAGATCATCTGCCTTCAAGATCTGACATATTTACCCTCTGACCCTTTAAGAAAAAGTTTGTACTAGAGCTACACGTCAACACGAACAGATCCCAGAAAACTAATAATGATTTTAAAAAAGCAAGTTTTAAAGTTATAAAAAAATCATGTTAAGTTTAAAAAGACACCCAAATTTATTATTGTTTAGAAATACACATACACATATTAAAAGTATAAAGATGCACATGACAATAATAAATCCCCAATTCAAGACAATGTTTATCTCTTTGGAAAAGAGAGAGAAAAGGGAATGTAAGCAGAGAGGGGTTTTAACTATTCGAAACATTTCTAAAGCAAGGTGGTGAATACAAGAGTGTTTACTATATTATTCTCTCTACCTTTTAAAATATGGCTAATATATTTCATAATTTTTTTTCAGAGATGGGGTCTTGCTCTGTTACCCAGGCTGGAATGTAGTGGCACAATCATGGCTTAGTGCAGCCACAAGCTCCTGAGCTCAAACGATCCTCCTGCTTCAATCTCCCAAGTAGCTGGGACTATAGATGTGCACTACCACATCTGAATAATTTAAAAAAATTTTTTGTAGACACATGGTCTCTGTAGGTTGCACAGACTGGTCTCAAACTCCTGGGCTCAAGCAATCCTCCCACCTCTATCTCCCAAAGTGCTGGGATTATAGACATGAGCCACCATGCCTGGCCCATATTTCATAATTTTAAAACTCTGTGGTTGTACTAAAAAGGGATTGAAAAATTAGATAGAAGAGTTGTGCAACAGATTCTATTTTCCAAAATTGGCTGCAATAATATCTTCCATCCCATGTGCTCTTCTTACAAAGTGACTTTGACACTCCTCCCACTGAGATGTGGGGTCTCTATTTACTCCCCTTGAAACTGAGAGTGCTTTTGTGAATGTTTTGATCAAAAGAATATGATAGAAATGACACTGTGGTCAGGCGTGGTGGCTCATGCCTGTAATCCCAGCACTTTGGGAGGCCAAGGCAGGCGGATCACTTGAGGTCAGGAGTTCAAGACCAGCCTGGCCAACATGGTGAAGCCCCGTCTCTACTAAAAATACAAAAATTAGCCAGACATGGTGGTGTGCCTGTAATCCCAGCTACTCGGGAGGCTGAGGCAGGAGAATCGCTTGAACCCAGGAGGCAGAGTTGCAGTGAGCTGAGATCACGCCACTGCACTCCAGCCTGGGCATCAGAGTGAGACCCTGTCTCAAAACAGACAAACAACACCAACCAAAAAAAAAAAAAAAAAAAAGAAATGACACTATATGACTTTCAAAGCTAAGCCACACAAAGTCATACAACTTCCACTTTGCTCACTAGAATTCTCACCCGTCTTTGATGTCTTCAACCACCATGTAAGCAGTCTGACTGCCCCTGAGGTGGCAATTCTGTGAGTGTCCAAACTAGCCCACAGAGAGAGACCACATGGAGAGATCCTGAGACTTCTTAAGGAAAGGAAGAGAGAGAGGAGACAGGAAAGAGGAGAGACAGAGAGAGAGACGGGGGTCGGGGGGCGAGAGAGAGAGAGAGAGACAGAGAGAGAGACCTAGCTAGGTCCTAACTAACCATGTCCTTGTTCTTCCAGTTCTGGCCCCATCTGATGATACTGGCATGAGAGACCTTGAGCCAGATTCAGGCTTTTAAACTGAGCCGTTTCTGAACTCCCGCTCCACAGAAACTGTTAGAGATAGTAAAGTACTTTTATTATAAATCTCTAAATTTTTTTTGCAAAGTAAGTTGCATGTGACAACCTAACTGGAAGTTGAACCTTAAGTTAACCCCATCATTAGGATGTTGAACCCTAAATGATGTCACACACAAAATTACAACAAATTTAAAGATCTAATTGTCTTTCTTTTGTGATTCTGGAATTGGGTAACATCTCATTCTATAAAACAGAATGGGTGTTCTTCCAAGCTGAGCAGAGGGGGTTGGCTTTATAGGCAAAGGGCTGAAGAAAGCAGAAAGCAGATTGACCGTTTCAAAGTTACTTTCCTCATACGGTTAAAACAGAGTGAACTTTTTTTTTTTTTGAGACAGAGTCTGGCTCTGTTGCCCAGGCTGGAGTGCAGTGGCACGATTTCAGCTCACTGCAACCTCCACATCCTAGTTTCAAGCGATTCTCTTGCCTTAGCCTCCCAAGTAGCTGGGACAACAAGCGTGTGCCACCACACCCAGCTAATTTTTGTATTTTTAGCAGAGACAGAGTTTCACCATGTTGGCCAGGCTGGTCTCGAACGCCTGACCTCAGGTGATCCGCTTGCCTTGGCCTCCCAAAGTGCTGAGATTACAGATGTGAGCCACCATACCTGGCCTAGAGTGAACTCTCTTATCATGCAGGCTCAGGTAAACTGGGGCCCCTCTGATTGGTGGCTGTGTTGCTATGAATTTCCTGGTTTATTTATTTATTTATTTGAAAACTAGCCCCTTTCAAAGTTCAGTTTTATTATGTGGCACTTAGCACAGGTGACTCCATGCTGGTTTGGTCTGGTCTGCTGGGGGTTAGTAGAGGATCAGTCTAATAATTTTTTTTTTTTTTTTAAACAGAGTCTCGCTCTGTTGCTCAGGCTGCAGTGCAGTGGCAGGATCTCAGTTCACTGCAACCTCTGTCTCCTGGGTTCAAGTGATTCTCCTGCCTCAGCTGGGATTACAGGCATGAGTATCTGGGATTACAGGCAAGCACCATCATGCCTGGCTAATTTTTGTATTTTTAGTGGAGATAGGGTTTCACCATGTTAGCCAGGCTGGTCTTGAACTCCTGACCTCAAGTGGTCCTCCCACCTTGGCCTCCCAAAGTGCCAGGATTACAGGTGTAAGCCACTGGCGCCCAGCCCTCCTAAATTTTGTTAAACACTGTCATCAGTATAAGAAATGAGCTAATTGATTCAAAGACCCTCAGAAATGTTCGGCAATAGGAATGACAAATTGCAGAAGGCAGAGGAAGGCATAAGATTGAAAATGGGGATACATTGCAAGTCTTTAGTGAGAATCCCAGGTCCCCACTCCTACCTGAGCTATCGGATTGTCCAAAGAACCAGGGTCACTCACTGCAGAAAAGAAGTTTATTCTTTGGACAAAGTTCAAAGTTATTTGGACAAAGTTCAAGGGGAAGCCTCCAGAGAAACAAGAGGGTCAATTGAAAGCTAAAGAACACTGGCCAGGGAGGAAGGAGACCAGAGGTTTAAACTTTAACACTCTTTCATTGGTTACATGTCCTTGTGCAAATCATTTCACCATTTGCTAAAGAGAAGGTTAGACCAGAATGAGCTCTAAAGTAGATTTTCATAGTAAAAATATGTGATTCTATTAAAAAGAAAGAGCACACTTTGACTAATTTAATATGACTAATTTAAGTAATGAGCAACCATATTAAGTGCTTTTTAGCCAATGGAAATTCTAGTGCATTTCTTGTAACATGTAGTCCTTTCTAAAATAGCATTAGAGATTATAATCCAAATCCTCCAGTTAAGAGAATTTAATGGTTTCCCCGCCCCATGGGACCAATGATAAGAGTATGGAACACGATATAGGGAATGGAAAGAATATGCATGCATCTAGGACTAGCGACTGCAAATATGTAACAACCCCTGAACCCAAAGCAACAGGGGAGGGAAAGATAGGTTACCAGAACATGGAAGAGCGAGTCACGTGGAGCAGGTCACCTGAAGAGGACAAGTGACATCATGCAAAGGCAAGAGACAGCCTGACTTGGTCTTGCAGGGAGAAAGCCACGGGAATATCCTGATCTCATTCTCTTCGTATCATGCAGGTTTTTGTCTGTGCTCCCTCCCCGTTGGTCAACCTCAGTTGGAAGCTTGAGGGTACTGCCTCTATATTCTTCCTACTCTTGGACTCTAGGACTGCAAACAGGTAGAGAGTGGCCCTGGAGGAGAAAAAGGAAGACATCCAACATAAAAGGGCAGATGAAAAGGTATTAATCATAGCTTCAGAGGATAGGTTGTAATTCATTCTTTAAAAATAAGTTACTGGCTTTGAGACAGTAGTTAAGAAACAAGACATTCTGAAGTATAAGATTCTGGAATTTGTTCTACAATCAACCTTTTTCTGTTTTGCCTCTTGACTTGAACAAATATTGGATCATGACTGATGGTACAAACTTTAGTATTTGCTTTTCATCCATGTAAATAATTTCTCTTTATTTTCCCTGTTCATATCCAAATGGTTTCAGCTACACACTTGGTAGTAAGGTATGATATGCCAAAACTGTCTTGGCTGAGCACTGTGGCTCACTCCTGTAGTCCCAACACTTTGAGAGGCTGAACCAAGTGGATCCTTGGGGGCCAGGAGTTTCAGACCAGCCTGGCCAACATGTTGAAACCCTGTCTCTACTAAAAATACAAAAATTTGCCAGGCGTGGTGGTGCATGCTTATAATCCAGCTACGTGGGATACTGATGCACAAGAATCGCTTGAACCTGGGAGGCACAGGTTGCAGTGAGCCGAGATTGCACCGCTGCACTCCAGCCTGGACAACAGAGTGAGATTCCATCTCAAAACCAAACAAACAAACAAAAAAAAACCCAACTGTCTAATATTGCTGTTTTTGTCAGAGAACTATTTTGTTTTTACAACTGGGCAGATGCCTAAGCACACAACAACAGTATTGCAGGCAAAGAGAGAAAACAGTACACAGTACTACATGGAGAAACACAGGAAGGGTGTGTTTTGTTACATATACAATCATTACTTGCAGTTATTTGTTTATACCCTAAGTCGCCTACTGCATATGTAAATTTATGTTTCCAGATGTAATTCATTTGGTCTGCAGGACAAATACATCATTTTTGAGTCTTACATCTCTAAACTCTGTGCTTAACAATATAGATTGTTTGGGATCTATACACAAATCCTATACAGTCTCAGTAGATACCTAATTTTGAGACAGTCATCTTATCCCCTCCCCACCCCTGCAGTTCTCCATTAAAGCCCCATCACATTAAGAAAGATAAATCTCATAAGAGTGTGTACAGGAGGTCTTAAAAAGTCCCTCTTTAAGAACTTTCCTATTTCTCTTCAATACGTCAAACTTCTATTTCCAGTGGTCAGTTAGACATCTCCAGCTAGACAGATGCTATATTTTGGATGCATTTCAAATGCAACACAGCTCATTTGGAACTCATTGTATTTTCCCGACTTGCCTCCTCTACAAGTTCAGAGCATCACCATCTGCTCGAGCCATCAATTTAAATCTCCTAAGCTAGAAACTTGGGAACTGTTCTCAACATTCCATTTTCCTCATCCTTTATATCCACAATCCTACAAGTTTTATAGGCTCAATTTTCTAGAATACTCTGGAATACATCCTCTCCTCTCCTACTTACCGCCACTAATTTCACCAAAACTGACACAATTGCCTCCTCTGTAAACTTTCTGACAATAAGTTCTCCCCTCATGTCCCTCTTCCTTACTTTTTCCCTAAGGCATCTGTCCAGATTCCTTTTGCTATTATTTCAAATGCATATTTAATTACATCCATCTACTCCTTAAAAATCTTAGTTTTTCCCTGGGGCCCACAAAAATCATCTGCTTTGAATGTTAATTTTCACACACTGCCCTTTTCTATTTAGTCAACCATTCTCTGATTTGCAGTCTCTTCTGACCTGTAAAAAATGCACACTTTTTTGTCTTTGTTTAAGCACTCTTTCCTCTTTGGGCATACTCTGTTTATCTAAATCTTCTCCATAACAGCAGTACTAAAATAATTTATTGTGTACTACTAAGGGATAGTATGCAAACCACTTTACAATCATTAGGTTATTTCAAGCACCATTTTACATTGAGGAAATTGAGGATGTTATTTGTACAAGATCACATTTTTAAGCAAGCAGTAAAACTGGGATTATAATTCCGGTCTATCTCAATCCATGAACTGAACATTTAAATGCTGCCTCCTACTACAATGTATCACATAACTCGTGTCAAGTTGTACAGTTATTTTTAAGCTTCCAGATCATTCTAGTTCCCCTTTTCTTAATCATTCTAGTTCTCCTCTCATCTGTAATCATGGTTTGCGCCAACATCAGTGTTTAGTACTAAGTTATTCTTTAATATTTTATTTTTGTTAAATCTTATCTCAACTAGATTGTAATTTGTTTTGTGAGAGGTAACTAAAAAAAAAATCCTAACGTAACTCCACAAAGCCATAGTATAACGTTATAATAGTAAATAGCATAACCTTATAATAAATAGTTTCGCCTTATTGAGGTAGGTAGTAAGTGTGCTTTAGGTAGATTTGGTTGGTGCAAATGTAATTGTGGTTTTTGCCACCGAAAGAAATGGCAAAACCCCAATGACTTTTGCACCAACCTAAATATCATCTCATTTACATATGTAATAAATACTCAATATTTGCTTTAATTAAAATAGGGGTAGACAAGTGAATTATATTTAGAGGTTCTAGGTGACTGAAATTTTCACAGGGGCAGAAACCCAAAATATGTATGTGCAGTTAATTTTTTCTGTCTCTTCTGTGTTGGGCCATCTTTTTTTTCTCTTTTTTTTTGAGATGGAGTCTCACTCTATCGCCCAGGCTGTAGTGCAGTGGCGTGATCTCAGCTCACTGCAGCCTCCGCCTCCCGGGTTCAAGCAATTCTCCTGCCTCAGCCTCCCGAGTAGCTGGGACTACAGGCAACTGCCACCATGCTCAGCTAGTTTTTTAATATTTTTAGTAGAGATGGGGTTTCACCATGTTGGCCAGGCTGGTCTGGAACTCCTGACCTCAAGTGATCCGCCCACCTCGGCCTCCCAAAGCGCTGAGATTACAGGCCTGAGCCACTGCGCCCGGCCTTTCTCTTCTTTTTCATGATATACTACTGGATTTGTCTGTGCTTGTAATTATTTTAGCTGTTTATTAGTTTATTACAAAAAAATGGTACTGTACCTTTATGGGAATAATTAGCACCTATGTGAATATTTAAGTTACCGATTTTGGCAAATGTGAAGTCCAAGTTGTCTTGTTTTGTTTACGTTTATATCCTCTCTCCCTTCTTGAGAAGACATATTTTCATTTAAAATAAACCCACTTGGCCGGGCGCGGTGGCTCACGCCTGTAATCCCAGCACTTTGGAAGGCCGAGGCGGGTGGATCACGAGGTCAGGAGATCGAGACTATTAGCCGGGCGCGGTGGCGGGCGCCTGTAGTCCCAGCTACCCCAGGGAGGCTGAGGCAGGAGAATGGCGTGAACCCGGGAGGCGGAGCTTGCAGTGAGCCGAGATCGCGCCACTGCACTCCAGCCTGGGCGACAGAGAGAGATTCCGTCTCTAAATACATACATACATACATACATACATACATAATAAATAAAATAAAATAAACCCACTCACCCCCACCCCGACTCCCCAGCTGTAGCAGGGAAGGATTAAGAAGGCGGGGTGGGGGGTGGGGGAAGCCCTGTTAGGTAGTGCTGCGTTGGGCCCACTTCTGAGGGTTTAATCCTAGTAGGGTCTTTGGAGTTCTTTCTTCGGAGGCGCGTAGCTCTGCATTATTTAAAACTGTTTCCCGCAAACCCGCAATCCCTTAGGCCAAAGGCACCCCTAACGCGGAAAGTCTACGAACGGAAATGTCCGGAGTTAGAGAGCGGCCTTTCGGGCAGCTGCCCCGACTTCTCCAAGGCCGGAGGGCCGGCTGGGAGCGCTGCAAGCCAGAGAGGGCGATCCCAGCGGGACCCGCGGCCTGAGGATAGGCCTGGAGCTGCCGCCTCCGCCAGGCGACGGGAAACCCTCGGAAGTGGGTTTCCGCGCGAAAGTAGCATTGCGGCCAGGCGGGAAACGTGTTCGCGAAGCAGGAGGGCCCCCGGGGCCTTTCCCGGGCGACCCGACCCGCCAGGCCGCGTGGCGGGAGCTTTCCTGTTGAGCGCGGTGGAGCGCACACATTTCCTTCAGTTCTTTCTCGGAAGTTTAGGCCGCACCCACCCGCGCCCCCTTTCCAGGATTATACAAGTGCACGCCAGGGTTTCTTATTTTTGGTGTGTTTTTGAGACCAAAGAACCATATCCGCTAAGCCTGAGGAGGCACCCGCCCCCTCAGCTCTGAAACGAGGCCTCAAAACGGCAACCGATGTGGTAGCCGCGCAATCTTCCGAAACCCAAAGGCTAGAGGGCGTGCCCAGTGGCCAGGTGCAGGCGGTGGGGCAAGTAACGGCTTTTGGTAGCCCCGCCCCTCCGACCCGCCCTCTCCGCGCCTGCCCATTTTCGTTCCCTCGGGTCTGTAACCCTCTCCCGGGCCGCTTCCTCTTTAAGGCGGAGCCCGGCGTGGATCTCGCGAGATCCGGCTTGGCGCCGTGACCTCCATGTGGGAGCTCCAGCTCTATAAGTAAACACTCTGCGCGGCGCAGACATGGCCTCTTCCTATCTTTGAGGCGGTGTCTGCGGCAGCGCCTCAGAGTGGTTCCGGTCGTCTCTCCTCAAGTCGGCTAGTCGGGCGCGCGCGCTGAGAGTCGTCGCCGCCTGTCGGGCCCGGCGTCCGGTCGGTCCGGTGGGCGCGCTCGCCCGCCTGCCGCTGAGGGCCCGAGCCGCAGGGAAAGCGGCGCGGGCCGGGCGGGGCGCGGCGCCCAGAGCTCAGGGGGAGACAAAGGGGACCGGTTCCTCTCTAGGCGCCAAGATGTGGATACAGGTTCGCACCATTGATGGCTCCAAGACGTGCACCATTGAGGACGTGTCTCGCAAAGCCACGATTGAGGAGCTGCGCGAGCGGGTGTGGGCGCTGTTCGACGTGCGGCCCGAATGCCAGCGCCTCTTCTACCGGGGCAAGCAGGTGAGGCGCGCCCGCCGCGCCCCTAGCGAGGCTGGGGGCCGGAACAGCTGGGCTCCTCTGGACGCACCGGTCCGAGGGCTCTGTGCGCCGCGCGCGCAGGGCTCACCTGGCTCCGCTGCGGGTGGGCAGCCCCCGCGAGGCGCGGGGTGCGGGGCCCAGTCCCGCCGAATGGTGGGGAGTGGGTCCCTGCCAGCCCCAACTGGAGGTGCGCCGCGCGGGGTCAGAAGTGAGGGCGTCCGGAGCGCAAATATCTCGCCGTTTGTATTTGGTAGGACAGCGGCCGTAGGCACTGGGTGCCCAGGTCCCTCGCTTCCCGCGCTCGGCGGGGCCTGGGGCCCCCAGAGGGCGGGGAGGGCAGAGGGCTCTGGCGGCCATGCCACCGCGCGGGAGACCCGGAGAGCTGGCTAACCCGGCTGAGCGTTCGCCTGGCTTCCGCGGCTCTTCCGCGTCTTCGGCTCTCAAACAGGGGAAACTCGGGCATTGAGCTCTCAAGAATAAGAACCCTAACTCTGCTTCCTGACTGTGGTAGGATTCGCGCAAACTGAAGATTCGAAGGGTTTCCAGAACTTCTGGTCCCTCTCCCTCGCCGCCTTTCCTAGGTTTGGAATGTCTCGAGGGAGGTTAGAGACCTGGGCATGAAGAAACTGTCGGTTTAACCGGGGGCCGGGTTTACGAATGCCCTATATAAGCCAAGAGTTTTATTCCCGAAGTGAAAAGGAGTGTAAGACTGTTTGCTTTTCTTACTTCTCGCCTTCTAATACTCATGTCGTTCACGCTTTAAGCATAGCACTGCAGCATAGCCAGCGGTGCATACTTGAAGGCTGTCTGTGGGCATCTCTGGTATTTTTATGGTCTGGCCAGTCTAAGTTTTTTTCCTATTCCACAAGTCTCTTACAATCTATATCCCTAGCCACTCAGACCCATCGTATTTTTCTTTGTCTTCATGTTGTTGTTAATACACTAAAAAGTTGGCATCCTGAGTTGATAGACCACAGTTTGGCTCCAATCCTGTGGTTTTAAATAAGTGTAGCTCTTTGATTTGGTAGAAGTAGCCTACAGTTGCAAACTACTTAAAAGGAATATTTTCCTCCCCTTCACAGGCTTAGTCTTCGAAGACTGTCCAGAAATTTCATAGTAACAAATTACACTTTGGGAAGGAGAGAGCTTTTTTTTCCCCTTTCCTTCTCTCTTTAAAATAATGTTATAGCACCTTTGATTTGTGTTTGCAGCCAGTTTTGTACTGACTTCTTAGTGTTTGACTTGTAAAAACAGGTATTTAGTTGTAAGCTTTGCTTTTGAAATAATTGTACACTTGTTAAATACTACATAGATTTGCTTTGCTGTGCCTCAAGTGGCTGATACCGTTTCCTTTTGATCACAAGTGAAAAAGCATGTAATCGTTTGATGCATTTTATTTTCTAGCTGGGGACAAATAGTACATGAATTCCTAGGACACTGGTGATTTCAGCACCAGAGATAGAAATGAAGGATGTTCTTGGGCAACACTCCTAAAATCTTTATTATCAAATATGCTAAAATAATTATCACATATGGGATTGGGTTAAATTCAAGGCAACAAAGTAGACTTTCAGTAAACTAGGAAGCTCATTCCAGATTCCAGGGAAAACTGAGGATAACCGTTGTACTTCCTCTTCCAGGGTCCTAGTGGGTAATTCACTACTTGGGTTTCTTCAGCCCAGTGATAAACCAGTAGGGTAGAGGAATAGACCTTTGGTGCCAGCCATTAACTTGGAAACAGAAAAGGAAGGTCATTGGTACCAGCTGTGTGTTCACTTTCTTATGCGCTGACAAGTAGCTATGGCAATGAGTGTTATCTTTCGTGGTCTCTGGAGCTCCACAGATGAGGTAGCCAGCCTGTAGCAGGTAACTACTGGAATGGCATCACAGAGAGTCCCCGTCCTGTAAAATACCATGTCCTCATTGGAAAAAGGTACCCCTACTTCAAAATACTTTACTGCCACGTAGTGAAAAATGTCATAAATTGTAGACAATACATTTATTTTTATTTAAGTGGTACCCGCCCCCCATACTCCATTCGTATGTTAGGCTCCAGCTTTTAATCTTTGGTATGTATCAGAATCGCTTGTGGATATTTATTATAGATGTTCAGCTCACCCCAGAACTGCAAGTAGTTGAATTTAACAAGACCCCACGGGAGATTCTGATAACACCAGAGTTTAGAAAATGAATGTTGATAGATAGTCTCCCACTAGTCTCTTACTATTCAAAGTATGGTCCCTGGATTCTCAGGACCAGCAGCATTAGCTTTACCTGAAATCCTCACGCCAGACCTACTGAAGCTGACCTACTGAAGCAGAATCTGTATTTTAACAAGATCTCCAGGTGATCTGTATGTAGGTGAAGTTGGAGAAGGCAGTGTTAATTGACTCCACTTTTTTTGTTGTTGTTTTTGTTTTTTTTTTAAGCCGGAGTCTTGCCCTGTCGCCAGGCTGGAGTGGCGCGATCTCGGCTTACTACAACCTCTGCCTCCCGGGTTCAAGCGATTCCCCTGCCGCAGTCTCCCAAGTAGCTGGGACTACAGGCGTGCGCCACCACTCCCGGCAAATTTTTTGTATTTTAGTAGAGACGAGGTTTCACCATTTTGGACACGATGGTCTCTATCTAGGACAGGACCTCAGGTGATGCGCCCACCTCGGCTTCCCAAAGTGCTGGGATTACAGGCGTAAGCTACCGTGCCCAGCCTTGACTCCACATTTGAGGGTCAAAATGGAGACCTGCAATTCAGGGCTATAAGTTTTGGTTAGAGTAGGATAACATGCTGTGAACATTCTTATCTGGGAAGTTGAGTTTGAGGCACGCGGGGGATTGGGTCTTTTTAAGGAAGAGATTATGTTGGTGGATCTCTAAATCTTTTTTTTTTTTTTTTTTTTTTTTTGAGACGGAGTCTCGTTCTGTCGCCCAGGCGGGAGTGCTGTGGCGCGATCTCCGCTCACTGCAAGCTCCGCCTTCCGGGTTCACGCCATTCTGCCTCAGCCTCCCGAGTAGCTGGGACTACAGGCGCCCGCCACTGCGCCCGGCTGATTTTTTGTATTTTTAGTAGAGACGGGGTTTCACCGTGGTCTCGATCTCCTGACCTCGTGATCCGCCCGCCTCGGCCTCCCAAAGTGCTGGGATTACAGGCGTGAGCCACCGCGCCCGGCCTAAATCTTTTGAGAATCCAGAGCTTTTCCTATTTTAAAGGATTCTCTCTCGTCATTCTTTCACTCCTTACCACTATAGAGGTGGTCTTAAAATAGATAACAATGTGGGGCATGAACTATAGTTGAAGAAAAAAGTTGCCTCTCCCACTTGGTTTTCACACAGAATATAAAAGTACTTGCCTATTTAAAGGAATATCTATGTATATATTATATATGATGTATATAACATATATAATACACACATATATAATATGTGATGGATACGTGAAAGTTGTTTTGCCCTTCACTGGCATCCCTAGTCAGTAGTTGCTTGGGAATGACTTCCCACTGCCCTCTCAGCCACTTCCACTTGGCATTTGCTTTCTAGTATTCCCTTGCATCATTGTTGCAGTTCCTCTTGTTACCTGGAGTTTCTTCTTTCAACTCAGTAAAATTTCAAGAGTGGTCTGACAAAAAATCCTAACCATTTTTGCTTCTTAAGTATTGTAAATACTGCATCTCCATCTTCGAGTATGGCAGTTCTCAAACATTTGCTTTTGAGACATTGATGGACCTAAGTTACATGCTTCTGACTCACAGATGTTTGTGATTTCTAAATGACCGCTTCCTTTTTTCCCTACTTAGAGCTTAATTTGAGTGTCAGAGATAACTTTCAATCTTCACTTTCATTAAATGTGGAAGAACTTCGGTACTTTTCAAGTAAATCATCTCAACACTTCACAGCTCTTCATAATATGTGAAGCTTTGTGGAATAAAGTTGTGTGGAACTTGTTATTGCGGTAGATAAATGGTCACTATTGTAGGAAGACTGGAGGAGTACCTATGAATTAGCGAAGGAGTGGATAATCTGGGTTTAAAAAGCCTGTCATAGCAAGCATGAGGAAAGGTGGTTATATGTTACTGTGGATGTAACTTATAGGGTCTCATGCCGTGATATGCTTAGACATGGTGCTCTTACGACATTTTTTCCTGTCAAATCAAATTTTAAAAAGCACCAGTTGAAACAGTTTGTATTTACTCCTGACCGTCATTTAGTAGAAACTAACCAGGAGCTGACTGTAGAAATACCCTCAACGTCACTCTGACTCTGGTCCCTCAAACCTAAGTGGAAAAATGTTCTTTCAATTTCCAGCAGTTTTATCACTTTAACTGCTATCTTCATTTTTGGAAATATGCTACTAGTTAATTTGCATGTTTTATACTGTTAGTTTTTTTTAATTATCTTTAAGCACTTTCATTTAAAAATAGTCATAATGTTTGTCAGTTGTATGTTACGCTTTTTCAGCTCCTCCAGAATTAGTAAGGTATTTTGTTTTGGGTTTTTTTGTGGGGGTGTTGGAGAATGTCAAAATGATGGTGTGAATGCAGTGTTTGCTCCTTGAGTTTTTTGGGGTTTTTTTCCCTCCACGGGAGTTCAAGACTAGAGGATGTTCCTTTTTTTTTTTTTTTTTTTAAATCAAGGAAGCAATATTCCCATCCCTATCCTTATCAGGGCTTACTTGCTTACTGACTTGGAATACTACTTTGGCTTATTTAGAGTAAGCATGGTAACTTGTGAGGTAGTACATAATTTAATTCCCTGACTGGGAAACTTGTGAAATTCTTGATCCCTTGTTCTACTTGACAAATGTGAATACCTGTAGTGTTTGAGATTGTGCTTGTTGGGTTCTTGGACCACCTGAGTTCAAATTACTGATCTAGTAGATTAAAAGTTTTAAATTCAGGACATACTTTTATTTCCATTTGGTTGACTTCTCAAATATGATGTTACTGTGTTAGAGTTGTGAATGTTGAAAAGTAATACATATGAAGAGTAGAAAATGAGCAATTTAAAAATTGATTATGTTTCTGGGAAAGTGATAGTTGTGGCCTGAAAGGAGTTTAGTTTTCTTGTTTCACTGTATCATAGTGAAATTGCCAACTGAACTTTATAAAGAAACAAAATGGAGACTTAATTTCCTAGGGCTGTTGTACTAATGTACCAAAACCTGGGTGGCTTAAAACAATAGAAATTTACTGTCTCACAGTTCTAGAGGTCTAGCAAGGTGTCAGCAGGGCCGTCCTCTGATAGCTCTAGGGGGAGAACCCTTTACACTTTGCCGGAAATTTTCTTTCTTGGCTTATATTAGGTACATCACTCCAGTCACATGGCTGCCTTTTTCCTGTGTCTTCACATTGTCTTCCGGCTGCATCTTTCCAAATGTCCCCTTATTATGAGGACACTAGCCATATTGGATTAGGGCCCTAATGACTTTGTTTTAACTTAATTACCTCTCTAAAGACCCTATCTCAAAATGAAGTCACATTCTGAGGTACTGGGGGTTAGGACTTTAACAAAAAAATTTTGGCAGGGACGCAACTTAGCTCGTAACAGTAGGTTTTACATTTCTTTTGTTAAATTTATTTTCTGATTACCTCTTTAAAAGACTGTTTCCAAATAAGGTCACATTCTCAAGTACCATGGATTAGGATTTCAACCCATAACCCTTACCAAAATATGGGTGGGTTGCAAATAATTTATTCACTATTCTTCCTGGAAGACTTCTTGATAAAACTTGATAATTGCAGATCGATAGAATTAGAGAACTTCAGGCAAGTGGAGTAACATGAGCAAGAATTAGAATTATCCCTTCTTGTTTTTTTTTCTGCTTGACTTAAAAAATAAAAACCTACTGATAATGCTTTAGAAAGATAACATATTTGACTTAATGTGTTTTTTAAAAAAGTGAAACACTGAGCTGATGACTTAATGTCTTTATGAAAAATAAGGTCATAAAACAACTTTGAAAATTCACATTTCTTGAAGTTGATTCAAGCACTGATTAAACATAAAACTTGAGAAATTAAATCTAGTTTAGAGTTTTTCTGTGTAGGTCATAAGGTCACAGCCACAATGAAACATTTTGGGATTTATTTATTTATTTGTTTATTTTGAGACAGGGTCTCACTCTGTTGCCCAGACTTGAGTGCAATAGCATGATCATGGCTTACTGTAGCCATGACCTCCTGGGCTAAAGTGATCTCCCACCTCAGCCTCCTGAGTAGCTGGGACCACAGGCATGTACAATCACACCCGGCTACGTTTTTTTATTTATTTATTTATTTTTATTTTTTGTAGAGATGGGGTTACCCATACTGGTCTGGAGCTCCTGGGCTCAAGTGATCCTCCCACCTTGACTTCCCAAAATGTTGGGATTACAGATGTGAGGCCCGGAGCCCAGCCTCCCCCGCCACCTTTTTTTTTTTCTTTTTTGACAGTCTCCCTCTGTTGCCCAGGTTGGAGTGCAGTGGCGCAATTTCAGCTCACTGCAACCTCCACCTCTGGAGTTCAAGAGATTCTCTTGCCTCTGCCTCCTGAGTAGTGGGATTACAGGTGCGTACCACCACGCCCAGCTAATACTTTGTATTTCTAGTAGAGACGGGGTTTCACCATGTTGGTCAGCCTGGTCTCAAACTCCTGACCTCGTCATCTGCTCTTTTCGGCCTCCCAAAGTACTGAGATTACAGGCGTGAGCCACCGCGCCCGGCCCATTTTTTTTGTTTTAATGGCTAGCAGTGTTCTCTGTAGTGAATATGGAGTAATTATTAAGAATTTATGGCCGGGTGCGGTGCTCACGCTGTAATCCCAGCACTTTGGGAGGTCGAGGTGGGTGGATCACGAGGTCAGGAGATCAAGACCATCCTGGCAAACACGGTGAAACCCCGTCTCTACTAAAAATACAAAAAAAAATTAGCCGGGCATGATGACGGGCACCTGTAGTCCCAGCTACTTCAGGGAGGCTGAGGCAGGAGAATGGTGTGAACCCGGGAGGAGGCGCTTGCAGTGAGCCAAGATCGTGCCACTGCCCTCCAGCCTGGGCGACAGAGTGAGACACCGTCTCAAAAAAAAAAAAAAAGAGAGAGAGAGAATGTATTGGGGTCCAGAGAAGACACTGACATCAGAGGCCATTAAGTATTAAGAATGGTTTTAAAATCTCTAAACTGTAGTGCTATGGATTTTAAGTTTGGCTAGGACATTTGAGCAACTAAAAATGTAGTAAGATACATTTTAGAGAAGCATTTCACTATTCTTTCTTTATTTTCTAGTTGGAAAATGGATATACCTTATTTGATTATGATGTTGGACTGAATGATATAATTCAGCTGCTAGTTCGCCCAGACCCTGATCATCTTCCTGGCACATCTACACAGATTGAGGCTAAACCCTGTTCTAATAGTCCACCTAAAGTAAAGAAAGCTCCGAGGGTAGGACCTTCCAATCAGCCATCTACATCAGCTCGTGCCCGTCTTATTGATCCTGGCTTTGGAATATATAAGGTATGTTGTTTTCTTCAGACTTACTGTTGTGAGAATACAAATAAATTTATTTTCTGTTCAGGATGTTTTGAATAAGTAAACATTGATTGCCATTTGAAAGTAAAGATTGGGATGTTAATATCATAACTTTTAAAAGTAGTCTTTTAAAAATTGATATGAAATACGTAGACAAATGTACAAGATGTATATGTACAGTTTAAAGAGCAATAAAGGAAATACTTGTGTAATTGCACCAAGGTTAAGAAGTAGATTGATTTAAAATACTTTTTGTTTGTTTGTTTGTTTTTGATAACGGAGGCTTGCTCTGTCACCCAGGCTGGAGTGCAGTGGCGCACGCAATCTTGGCTCGCTATGACCTCTGCCTCCCAGGTTCAAGCAAATCTCCTGCCTTAGTCTCCTGATTAGCTGGGATTACAGACGTGCACCACCACGCCCGGCTAATTTTTGTATTTTTAGTAGAAACAGGGTTTCACCATGTAGGCCAGGCTAGTCTCGAACTCCTGACCTCAGGTGGTCCGCCCACCTCAGCCTCCCAAAGTGCTGGAATTACCGGGGTGAGCCACCTCGCCCAGCCTTAAATACCTGTTTAAAGCCTCGTGTGTGTCCCTATCAGAACACTTCTCTCTGTGTCTCCCTAAGAGGTAAACTGCTTATTCTTTTATACTCTTTTTGTTTTTTATTTTTGCTACTTACGTATATTTCTCTAGGCAGTATGTTTTGTCTGTATTTGAATTTTATATAATGGAATTCTACTTTTTCTCAGCATTGAAAGATTCTCTGCATATAGCTGTGTTTTATTCCTTTTCACTATTATGTCATTCCATTTTATTAACATACCGCGGTATATTTAATCCATAATTCATAGATATCTGGGCTGTTTCCAGTTTCATCTGTTTTAAACAGTGCTGTTTTGAACCTTCTGTTAACCTGGTGCATATGTTCAAGAATTTCTACCTAGGAATAGAAGTGCTAGTTGTTCACCCACAGGGTACTGCCAAACTACTATACTTGGTTCCATTGGTCTGTTTGTCTATCTGTGTTCCTATTCTCTTGCCTCTGCCTCCTAAGTAGTGGGATTACAGGCGCGTACCACCATGCCTGGCTAATTTTTATATTTCCAGTAGAGACGGGATTTTACCATTTTGGTCAGGCTGGTCTCGAACTCCTGACCTCCTCATCTGCCCTCCTCGGTCTCCCAAAGTGCTGGGATTACAGTTCTGAGTACTGTAGCCTTATAGACTGTTTTGATCTCCCTTTCTCCTATCTCCCCAATTTCTTTCCTCTTTCAGGGTCTCTTGGCTTTTAATATTTGCATACAAAAAACTGTAGAAATAGCATATAAAGCTCTACAAATCTGATGGGATTCTATGGAGATTGCATCTATAGATCAGCTTGGAGAATCGACATCTTTACAATGTTGAGTCTTTTAATTCATGAACATTAAAAGACTTGACTTCTCCATTAACTTAGATCTTTTCTTTTTTTGAGACAGGGTCTGGCTCTGTCACCCAGGCTGTAGTGCAGTGACGTGAACACGGCTCGCTGTAGCCTTGACCTGCTGGGGTCAAGTGATCTTCCTGCTCGGCCTCCCAAAGTGCTGGGATACAGGCGTGAGCCACCATGCCCGGCTAACTTAGATCTTTGATATCTTGATTAGTTCTTTCTTTACATATTTAATATTTTGCTTTATTTCTGGTAGCTTTGTTTTTGATGCAATTATTATATATGGTTATCTTCTAAAATAGTAATCTGTTTGCTGATATAGAGAAATGAAATTGATTTATTTGGCTTTTGTAACCAGCAACCTTTTCAAATCTAATAAATTGTGTAGAAATAATCGAATGGCAGTTTTGCTTTATCCTTTCCTATCTTTGTAACTTCCTAATTCTTATCAGTTGCGATAAATGGGCACCTATACTGTTTTTCAAAGCATTTAAGACCAAAAAATTGGTAGATGAAGTAAATTACTCAAGATTATTCAAATGGAGATAATTTTAGATATATGGAAAAATGCCAACAGATCTACATATGTATATAGAAAGATTAAGAAGAGATTAGAACCATGTTTCCAAAGAAAGTACCAGGCTTGGATGGCTGAATTGTTTTAAACCTATGAGGAGTAGATCATTATAATGTTACCTAAGTTGACCTACAACATAAAGAAGGAAAGCTTCCTATTGCTTTATAAATTGAGTTTAATACTGATACTAAAACATGACAAAAAGCACATCAGCTTCACTAACATTGACATAAAACCTAAGTTCTAGTCAGCAAATAGAATTATGGCTGTATTTGCTGATTTAACTTGCTTTTAAAAAATTATGGCTGCTTATTAAAAATATATTACTTTAAGCAAATATGGTTTGTCAGGATGTGGGGACAGTTCATTATTATAAAATGTTTCAATATAATTCATTGTACTAATAAGCCAAAGAAAACATATTAATTTAAAATGTTTTCTGCATTTAAATACAAATTTGAGTCATTAGTGATTTTTTTTTTTTTTTTAAAGAAAAGTCTCGGCCGGGCGTGGTGGCTCACACCTGTAATCCCAACACTTTGGGAGGCCGAGGCGGGTGGATCATGAGGTCAGGAGTTCAAGACCAGCCTGGCCAAGATGGTGAAACCCCGTCTCCACTAAAAATACAAAAAATTAGCTGGATGCGATGGCAGGTGCCTGTAATCCCAGCTACTCCGGAGGCTGAGGCAGGAGAATTGCTTGAACTTGGAGGGCAGAGGTTGCAGTGAGCCAAGATTGCGCCACTGCACTCCAGCCTGGGCGACACAGTGAGACTCAGTATCAAAAAAAATAAATAAATAAATAAAGGAACTCTTGATAAGAGGAATAGACAGAATAGGTTAATATTTTAAACACATTCTATACCGGTATTCCCTTTAAAGACGAGCTAGACAAGGAAGCCAATTCATGCTTCCTTATTTGACATCTTTCTGGAAGTACTAGATAATGCAATTAGGCAGGAGAACAAAATAAAGTGTAAATATTAGAGAAGGCAAAGTTGCAGCCTATGGATACCTGGGAGAGCTGAGAAAATGTTTTAGAAAGTTATGAGCAGTCACTAAAGTGGCTATCTTCAAAGTTAACATTGAGCTGCTGATAGCTCAAGGAATTAATGCGTGAATTAGAACAGGAAAAAAATTTGCAATAACAAAAGGTAGAATCTGGGAATAAGTTAAGACTTATGTAAATTAAAACAGTGCTATATAGTGGTCACAATTAAGAGAGAATTTTTAGCACTGAAAGCCAACTTGCCATTTTTTTCTATATTACTCTGATTTCATCCACCTTTTAAATACCAATACTTAATACATTTTTTACATTATTACTTTTTTATTTGTGTTACCACCTCCATCATTACTTTTAAAATAAACTTATTTTAGAACAGTTTTAGATTTGTAGCAAAATTGAAGATAGTAGAGAGAGTTCCCATATATCCCACACCTAGTTTTCCCTCTTAAGATCTTAAGTTAGTGTGGTGTATTTGTTGAAATTAATGACCCATATTTTCTTAGCTTTTACCTCATGTCCTCTTTTTGTTCCAGAATCCCACTAGGATACTATACTGTGTGTAGTTTTTAAATCTCCTTTGACATTGACTGTGACAATTTCTCAGGATTTTTTTTTTTTTTTTTCAATTACCGTGACCATTTTGAGGAGCTCTGGTCAGGTATTTTGTAAAATCTCCCCCTGTTAGGATTCATTTGTTTTCCTTATTTGTCTGGGTTTGTTTTGGGGAGGAAGACCGCAGAGGTATTTTCATCACGTATATAGGGCACATACTATCAGTATTCTATTTGCTAAGTATAACTTAGGTTTTACATCAATGATAACATTAACACTGATGTGAACCTTAATCATCTGGCTGGGGTAGTGTTTGTCAAGTTTCTCCACTATTAAACTACTCCCACACCTCCTTCCTGTCTTTCCATACTGTACTGTTGGAGAGAAAGTCACTGTACAGTCCACACTTAAGGAGTGGGAAGTTAATGTACTTCACTGCCTTGAGGGCAGAGTATCTACAAAAAATTATTTAAAATTACTCAACATGGGAGGTGTATTTATTCAGACATTTACATCAGTATGAACTCATGATCAAATTGTTCCACTTTTGGCCTTTAGAAACTCGTTTATTTGATGGCTATGTCCCTTTGACATACCCCCATTATTGTGGGTGTTTTGTTTTTCTTAAGCATTATCTTACTTTCTGGCACTACAACATGCTTCAGGTACATCTTGTATATTTCCTGCTTCAGTCCTAGAATCAACCATTTCTCCAAGGTTCCCTGTTTCCTTTAATTGTCAAAGGATAGAGGCCGGGCGCAGTGGCTCATGCCTGTAATCCCAGCACTTTGGGAGGCTGAGGAGGGTGGATCACTACAGGTCAGGAGTTTGAGATCAGCCTGGTGAACATGGTGAAACCCCATCTCTGCCGAAAATTAAAAAAAAAAAAAATTAGCTGGGCGTTGTGGCACATGCCTGTAATCCCAGCTACTCGGGAGGCTGAGGCAGGAGTATCACTTGAACCCAGGAAGCAGAGGTTACGGGGAGCCGAGATCGCGCCACTGCACTCCAAGCCTGGGTGAGTGAGACTTCGTCTCAAAGTAAATAAATTAAAAAAAAAAAAATCAAGATCTCGGCTCTAGGTATGCTTCTTACTGTTGGTGTGTCATTGCTTTTAGAGCCTTCAACAGACAGCAAGGAAATAATACATATTTGTACTAACCTGTGTATATATACATCTATGAATATTTATGTAACTATCTGTATATTAAGTTTACATTATTACTTTTCATCTTTGGCCAGAGTTTAGAAGCTGCTGCTTTTGAATTGATTGTTTGGGCATTGACAGGATGGATTTGCTTTCAAAGGAGGGCCAGTTTATGTATCTGCACATCTGAGATTAATCAAAGTTCAGCAGTTTGGGTCAACTTAAATTTCTGTTTAGCAAACTTCTCAATACTCCACTATTCCTTCCTCTTCCCTCCCCAATCGAATTCGGAAGAGCATCAGGAGAAATTACTTCTCTCAGGAGGTCTTTGCTTTTTATTTTCAGTGTTAGTGCTTTGGCTGTGAACTACAGAATTTAAACTCTATTTGACATCTCTTCTATTTCCTATTACTATGTGGTATAGATGTTAAAGACTTGAGCTTTGCCAGGAGACCTGGTTTCAAATTTCAGTTCAGCTGCTGCTTGGTTATACAAATTGGCAAGTAAATCTTACATTAAGGTTCCCTTTCCCCATTTAGGAGCACATTGGAATCTAGTAATAAAATTCTCAGAAGGTTGCTGTTCATACAATAATAAATTTAGAGCTGTTTAATCTTAGTTGAAGCTACTGTAGATTTATTTACTTTTTGGGGGATGAACCTTAGTAATTGTCATAGGTATTTGAAATTTTGACTGGTGCCTTTATATTTTTCAGATAGAAGTACATATTTCTGGATAGCTCATTCCATAAATAGGTGGATATCTAGCATATGTTTGTAATCGGTATTCTGCCTTCACAGAATTTTTATCACATACTGACTTGTTGACTAAACTGAAAACCATTTAGAAGCTGCTACTTTTGAAATGATTTGCTTTATTTTTATTTTATTTTATTTTTGAGATGGAATCTCTCTTTGTTGCCCAGGCTGGAGTGCAGTGAGCCATCTCAGCTCACTGCAACCTCTGCCTCCTGGGTTCAAGCGATTCTACTGCTTCAGTCTCTTGAGTAGTTGGGATTACAGGCACCCGCCACCATGCCCAGCTAATTTTTGTACTTTCAGTAGAGACAAGATTTCACCATGTTGGCTAGGCTGGTCTTGAACTCCTGACCTCAGGTGATCACCTGCCTCGGCCTCCCAAAGTGCTGGGATTATAGGCATGAGCCACTGTGCCTGGCTTGAATTAGTTTGTTTTATATTTGCATTGGGTTTTTTGTATTTCCCATAGTGCAAGTCTGAGTAGTTAATATATAAAAACTTTTAAGTTGATTATAAGTCACTTAAAAATTGGGCGTTGTATTGCTTTTGTCTTGAATTCTTGGTTATGCCACTTGGTAAATATTTTTTTTTATACATGTAGAGCTTTCTATAGTTGAAATTGCTTTATGGATGAGCAAACATTTTTGGACTTTTCCTTCTGACTGAAATATTCTTTGAACATCATGATAAGCAGGTACAAAAGATGAATTTTCAAATTAACTTTATTCAAAACTGGCATAGGTAAACATTTAAACAGTATGTTAAGATGAAATTTTAGGCCAGGCACAGTGGCTCACACCTGTAATCCCAGCACTTTGGGAGGTCGAGGCAGGCAGAGCACCTGAGGTCAGGCTTTTGCAACCATCCTGGCCAACATGGTGAAACTCCGTCTCTACTGAAAATAAAAAAATTAGCTGGCTGTGGTGGCGTACGACTAATCCCAGCTACTTGGGAGGCTGAGACGGGAGAATCACTTGAACCCAGGAGGTGGAGGTTTCAGTGAGCTTAGACCGCGCCACTGCACTCCTGCCTGGGTGACAGAGCAAGACCCCATCTCAAAAAAAAGAAATTTTAATCTGAAGTTATTTATTGCTCAATATCATTATTTTGCTCTGTTTGATAACTGAGCAATATTTAACCAGTTTCAGATATTTTCATATGTTATTGCAAGAAACTAGATACCACTACTACATATGGAGAGCCTATGAAAGATTGTACAGAGGCTGGGTCCATCCATTCACATTATATGTGCATTTAACATAAATTGAATCACACTGGGTCTAGATTGGGAACTAATTTTCTGAAGCAAGATGGACATTCGAACCTAAGTTCGTTTTAATTTTGGTTTTTGTGTATGGAAGCTTTTTATGATGCCAGAAAGATCGTACTTTCAAGTGGCTGTCATCCTGGACTAAATAATGACTGTTTAGAATGATGATGGTAAGCCTTTACAGTTTAGCTGAGCATGTGGCACTGTTAAACTTCTTACATGTTTTCTTATGCTCATTGTATAATAGAAAGTACTGGAAAGAGGAGAATTATCATTGATAACTTCTTATTTCTTTTGTCCACAGTACAGTTCTTGATGTTTAACCTTTTTGATTATGAAATGTATTAGACAATACAAAGAGCACGATCACTGTCTATAAACACCATCCAAGTTATGAAATAGAATAACAATACTCCCAGGAACTTACCAGGTGCCTCCTCCTGATTATAACTCCCTCTTCCCTAGTTGTAACTGCTACCCAGACTTCTATGGTAATCATTTCTTTGTTCTTTACTAACTTTCTTATTAATATTAACCTTTAACAACCTATTAATAATCTTTAACTTATTTATGCAACCCTAATCCCTAATTTTCTGGTTTCTGAACTTTATGTAAATGGAACCATATTGCTTTTGCTTTTTTTTTTTTTTTTTTTTTTTTTTTTTTTTTTTTTTGAACGATCTCATTCTGTCACTTGGCTGGAGTGCAGTGGCATGATCATAGCTTACTGCAGCCCCAACCTTCTGGGCTTAAGCGATCCTGCTGCCTCAGCTTCCTGAGTAACCGGGACTACAGGTCTGTGCCACCATACCCAGCTAATTTTCAATTTTTCGTAGAGACAGAGTTTCACTATGTTGTCCAGGCTGGTCTTGAACTCCTGGGTTCAAACAGTCCTCCTGCCACTTCCTCCCAAAGTGCTGGGATTACAGTGTGAGCCATCACACCCAGCCCTGCATTTTAAAATTTGTGATTAAAGAAAGATGGGGCCGAGTGTGGTGGCTCATGCCTGTAATCCCAGCACTTTGGGAGGTGGAGGACAAGTGGATCACTTGAGGTCAGGAATTCGAGACCAGCCTGGCCAACATGGTGAAACCCCATCTCTGCTAAAAATATAAAAGGTTAGACACTATGGTGGTGGATACCTGTAATCCCAGCTACTCAGGAGGCTGAAGCAGGAGAATTGCTTGTACCTGGGAGGCAGAGGTCGCAGTGAGCCAACATCGCACCACTGCACTCCAGCCTGGGCAACAGAGCAAGACTCTGTCTCAGGAAAAAAAAAAAAAGGAAGATGGTACAATGAGAGAACAATTTTCAGAGTTGGAGAACCTGTATTCTCAGCTTAACTCCCACATTTTTTACCTGTGTATCTCTTGAGCAAATGTATTTCATGTCTGGACCTCATTAGAAAATGGGAATTATTTTGTATTATAATTAAAGGAGGTAAAGTATGTAATGGTAAACAGCTAATGTTTACCAGCAGTATGGTAATAAGACTGTACTCTGAGGTTTTGTGGTTTTTTTGTTTCTGTTTCTTTTAGACAGAGTCTTGCACTGTCATGCAGGCTGGAGTATAGTGGCGGGATCCACGCCTGGCTAGTTTTTGTGTTTTTTAGTAGAGATGGGGGTTTTAGCCATGTTGGCCAGACTGGTCTCGAACTCCTGACCTCAGGTGCTCCACCTGCCTCGGCCTCCCGAAGTGCTGGAATTACAGGCATGAGCCACTGCACCCGGGCTATACTCTGAGTTTTAATGAGTCTTAACATTGAACGTATATACTTAGTAAGGAGACAGTTGTTTCATTTGTGTGTACTATATGCTTGCTGGGTTGGCACGTTACATGAATTTTCTCACTTTATTTCAAATACACTGCAAGATGCTGGGACAAATTAAGTAACTTGTTCATGGTTACACTTAGTGGGTGATAGATGAAGAACTTGAACCTAGGTTTACCTGCAGAGCTGGAGTGTTTTCTGCAAAACAAATGGTACCTAGCATATAGTAAAACCATCAAATATTTGCTGTTGGTATTTTCTTTTTTTAATGATTGCCCCTTGCCTCCCATACTTCAGGTTTTAAAAATATTAGATATTTGGACAGGGGAAACTTTTTGTCTAAATGTGGCTTTTCTTTTTTTGAAATGGAGTTTTACTCTTTTTGCCCTGAAGTGCAATGGCACAATATTGGCCCATTACAACCTCCACCTCCTGGGTTCAAGTGATTGTCCTGCCTCAGCCTCCCAAGTAGCTGGGATTACAGGTGCATGCCACCATGCCCGGCTAATTTTGTACTTTTAGTAGAGACAGGGTTTCGCCATGTTTGCCGGGCTGGTCTTGAACTCCTGACCTCAGGTGATCCATCCACCCTGGCCCCCTAAACTGCTGGGATTACAGGCGTGAGCCCCTGTGCCTGGCCCTTAATGTGGCTATATCTTTGATGTGAATGAATGCAGCTCTTAAGTGTAGAATTATGTGGTTGGCTTAAACTTTTTTTTAGCTTTTTAGTTCAACTCCTCTCCTCCCCATATTAATCTTTTAAAAATAATTGTATATTTTATGATGTTTTGACATCTTTGGGGGCCTTACTGGCTGAGGAGAGACTGCCCTTTTTCCTAGAGCTAGCTTATTCCTAGAGATAGTAAACAGCTGATCAGTGAGCCTGCCTTTTATATACAAAAACATGTAATCCCGAGTCCATGCACTTAACTACCTCCCTTATCTAACTCTTAAACACCAAGCCAATATTCCGCCCTGATCACCCACAGCCAGGTACCAAACAACTAGAGGCCACCCCTACAATCCAAAGCCCACTGACATTATTCAAACTAGCCATCTTGTTTCCCCTGCCTTGCCTTTCCCATGGAAAACACAATAAAGGCTCTGGGCCCTAATTTTCCCCTGTTCCCTCTGCCTCCTGACCAAACCTAGTGCTTTCCTGTATTTCCCCTTCTCTTGGGGAATGAGTAATTCTTCTTTCAGTGGCATTGGCTTCTCCATGTTGTCACTTAGTTACATCAATAAATTAAAATCTCATGAGTATAATTCAGATGCTCCCACATAGGCAAATTCTGTTTTCCTCTTTTGTCTGCTATTTTGCTACTCCTTTAGCTAATTACTTCAGTTCTTAATTTGTACTAGATTACTTAGTTACCATGGCAGGATCTTCTGTGTTCATATTAATCATACAGGCCTAAGTATTT
The DNA here is from genome assembly GCF_000001405.40 of Homo sapiens. Taxonomy (NCBI): domain Eukaryota; kingdom Metazoa; phylum Chordata; class Mammalia; order Primates; family Hominidae; genus Homo; species Homo sapiens. The sequence continues at coordinate 6,431,094 of NC_000009.12, forward strand.
TTCCTCTGAACTGCCTTTAAAATCCAGGCTTTATAACACAGCTTTAACATCTTGCATGCATCTTGGCCTATTCAAATTTTGCTTGACTTAGTATGTCTATCCAATGTGCAGAAAGTTTTGAATTTAAGAGCATTTCTGTCCCCACCCAGTTTATGTGCATTTCTGTGAGTGCTTACTCACAGCAATACTTAGTAGGGTACTTACTATATTTAGTAGGATAATCCTTTTTTTTGGCCAGGCAGGGTGCCTTGTGCATGTAATCTCAGCACTATGAGAGACCAAGGAAAGAGGATTGTTTGAGGCCAGGAGTTCAAAACCAGCCTGGGCAACATAGCAAACTCTGTCTCTACAAGAAGTAACATTAGCTAGGTGTGGTGGCATATACCTGTAGTCCTAGCTGCTCAGGAGTTTGAGTTCAGGAGTAGGAGGCTGCGGAGAGCTGTGATCACACCACTGCATCCAGCCTGGGCAGCAGATAGCCTGTCTTAAAAAAAAAAATTCTTACGTCCAGTTGTAAATCTAGGTTTACTATATTCAAAGAATGCCCTACCTTTGTGAGCTGATATGTTCTATGTGTTGATGTTCAAGCAATGGCAGTATTTTGAGGTTGATTTAGGTGTCTGTTAACTTTAGTTTATTGTTAGATGTTAAGGTAGCCAGCTATTAGATCTGCCTGCTAGTATCTTACATTTGATAGGCAAATTCAGTACTTCATTTGTGCCGCCTCGTGTTCCTTAGTAAGGTTGATGATATAGCTTAATGTGTTTTTGCTGTTACCATTTTAGTATCAACTATATGCTGCATTCTCTGCTATGCAATATTTTTATAGTAATATATGAAACTTACATTTTGATTTGCTGCGACAGAGTAGTAACCTCAGTTTATTCTCCCAAGTATGATGGACCTTAACATTGATTATTTTCATTTTTACTGTGTTGTCTACAAGAGACTAAATGTCTTTAAATTTGTCAGTGATTAGTATGGGAGAAATGAGCCTATGTTTATTTAATACATGAATTAATTTATGTAATGTATAACATGCTCCATCTCTGATTGTTTGTCCTACCCAGCATGGTTGGCTCTTAGGTTTTTATTTTTTCCTAAACTGTTCATTCTTGTGTAATATTAAACTTTATGTCTTTCAAGCTATTTCATTGCTACCATGTTCATTACATACAGTGCCTTTGGTCAAATGTACCTCTTCTGGTAGTGACAGTTGATAGTTTTTGTTTAGTCTGTATTCTTTCTACCCTCTGTCATTTTGTGGTTTGAAACCTTTTTATATTTTCAGTAACTTATTTCTAAGTTCCTCACTTACCTTTGAAGTTCCTGTATACCTGTCTTGTCATTTATATCAAGGTTCATGGTATGATGGCAAGAACATAAGCTTCAAAGTCAAGATGTCTTCAAATCCTAACCTTACATTTCATTAGCTTTAACCTAGAGGAAGTTAATTTCTCAGAGCCTTTGTTTCCGTATTTTGTAAAATAGGAATTAAACTTCTTAGGGTTAGACATATCTAAGTAAAGAACCTTGCATAATATCTGGCATACTGATATTTAACTTACTTCTCCCACGAGGTATGCCATCTATTAGACACCTTAAGAGTGGTGTCTTCTCCCTTCAAGGAAAAGATAACTTGATGAAATAGTGATCTTGTGTTGATTTCATTTTTTCCTTTTTAAGGGCTTAAAAAGAAAGTTGAAGGAATTTCTCTTGGTTGTTGTCCTAAAAGGGCTCTGGCCATTTTTTTTTTTTTCTTTTTGAGACAGAGTCTTGCTGTATTGCCCAAACTGGAGTGCACTGGCACGATCTCCGTTCACTGCAACCTCCACCTCCCGGGTTCAAGTGATTCTCCTGCCTTAGCCTCCTGAATAGCTGGGATTACAAGCATGCTCCACCACGCCTGGCTAATTTTTGTATTTTTAGTAGAGACGGGGTTTCACTATGTTGGCCAGGCTGGTCTTGACCTCAAGTGATCTGCCCCTGCCTTGGCCTTCCAAAGAGCTGGGATTACAGTGTGAGCCACCATGCCTGGCCTGATCTTTTAAACAGCGTTTAAAAGGAGAGGATTTGTTTTTTAAACCTTTCATTTCATAACTCTTAATTCTCTGATACACCTGTTTTTTAATACTCCTTCCTTTTGTCAGATTGCATGGGTTAGTTGTGGATCAGCCACTGGAATTGACTACCTCCATTTTGTGTCTTACGCCCTGTTCATTTTTATATTTTATCTTTGTTCTTTGAGGTGGTAGATAAATGTATTTGCCTAGTGAGTTACTAACTAGTGATCGAACTTCACCATTTTGTATAGATGGGTTCATTAGACTCTTTTTTTTATTGTGCATAATTCTCTCATTTTCAAGTTTTGTTTTCTTTTTAATACTTTACTGTTTTCTGGTTGGACTGTGTAAGTTATCTTTAGGATTATGAAGAAATTAATGGAACAGATTAGTCATATTAGCTTAAAGTCCTGGCTTTTCATTAGTGTCATTCTTACTGGATGACTTGCAAGAATGACTCTTAGGTACAAAAGAATAATATTTTCAAAAGTCTAGTGTATACGTCAGTAAGGCGTAAAGAAAACACCTATTTCATTGAAGGAAATGAGGAAGAAAGTTAGTTTTCATCTTAGTCAATAGATTTAAGATAGCACAAATCAGAAAGAATAGTTTTGATCTAATCTTATTAACCACTTTAAACATGAGTAGCTGCAAATATTGTTTACCATGATAACCCACAAATAACTTGAGTTACATTAAGGTTTTTGAAGCAGTAGACAAAATTAAGCTTCATTAACTGATTTTAAACTTTTTTTAGGTAAATGAATTGGTGGATGCCAGAGATGTCGGCCTTGGTGCTTGGTTTGAAGCACACATACATAGTGTTACTAGAGCTTCTGATGGACAGTCACGTGGCAAAACTCCACTGAAGAATGGCAGTTCTTGTAAAAGGACTAATGGAAATATAAAGCATAAATCCAAAGAGAACACAAATAAATTGGACAGTGTACCCTCTACGTCTAATTCAGACTGTGTTGCTGCTGATGAAGACGTTATTTACCATATCCAGTATGATGAGTAAGTGCTCAAGCTATTGAGGACTTTATTCATATTTTCATTTGTAGAAACCAAAGCCTTCTATTTCAAGATTATTTTAAATAGTCTTTCTGAAGAAATCCTTTAGAGGTTATGTTCATTTGTTACTTTTTGGTTTTGGTGGTTGTACTCTAATTTAAAGGTCCTTTTAGCTCTCGATTATCTCTGGTTCTTAAGTGGTTTATTTTTTAGTATCACAATACTGGCTTAATTTAGGGTGTATGGGTTTCTGTTTGTCTTTTTCTCTATTAGGTGGGCTTTTTTTGAGATGGTCTCTCTCTGTCGCCCAAGTTGGAGTGCTGAATGGCACAATCTCGCCTCACTGCAACCTCAGCCTCCTGGGTTTAAGTGATTCTCCTGCCTCAGCCTCCCAAGTAGCTGGGATTACAGGTGCATATCACCACGCCTGATTAATTCTTGTATTTTTAGTAGAGATGGGGTTTCATCATGTTGGCCAGACTGGTCTCAAACACCTGACCTCAAGTGATCTGCCCCCCTTGGCCTCCCAAAGTGCTGGGATTACAGGGGTGAGCCACTGCGCCTGGCCTCTATTAGGTATTTTGATATGTATTTTAACAGTATTTTGGAAACTGTATTTTATAATATGTAGTGTAATAGCATTAGAGTGACATCTATATGTGTATGTTTTGGGGGGTGGGGACCGGGTCCCACTTTGTTGCACATACTGGAGTACAGCAATGTGATCCTGGCTCGCTGCAATCTCCGCCTCCTGGGCTCAAGCGATCTTCCCACCTTAGCCTCCCAAGTAGCTGAGAATATAGGCATATGTATTACCATGTTTGGCTAGTTTTTTTTTTTTTTAATTTTAGTTTTGAGACAGATTCTCACTCTGTCACTCAGGCTGGGAGTACAGTGATGCAACCTCCACCTCCCCAGGTTCAAGCTAGTCTCCTGCCTCAGCCTCCCGAGTAGCTAGCATTAGAGGCGCGCACCACCACGCCTGGCTAATTTTTGTATTTTTACTAGATATGGGGTTTCACCATGTTGGCCAGGCTGGTCGCAAACTCCTGATCTCAGGTGATCTGCCCGCCTCAGCCTTCCAAAGTGCTGGGATTACAGGCGTAAGCCACCACACCTGGCCGGCTAATTTTTTTGTAGAGATGTGGTCTCACTATATTGTCCAGGCTGGTGTTGAACTCCTGGGCTCAAGTGATCCTCCCACCTCAGCCTTCCTGAGTGCTGGGATTAAAGGCGTGAGCCACTGTGCCCAGTGCAAAATTTTTTTTAAACAGCTTTTTATTGAGATAGTTCACATACAGTTTACCTGTTTAAAGAGTATAATTCGTTGTTTTTGACGTACTACCACAAACTAATTTTAGAACAACCCCCCAAAAAGAAATCTCATACTGATTATCAGTCACTCCCCAGTCCCACTTCCCCAAGATAATAGGATTTATTTATTTATTTATTTAGAGACAGAGTCTTGCTCTGTCACCCAGGCTGGAGTTCAGTGGTGCGATCTTGGCTCACTGCAACCTCTGCCTTTCAGGTTGAAGCGATTCTGCTACCTCAGCCTCCTGAGTAGCTGGGGGCTACAGGTGCTTGGTACCACACCAGGCTAATTCTTCTATTTTTTAGTAGAGACAGGGTTTCACTATGTTGGCCACGGTGGTCTCGAACTCCTGACCTCAAGTGATCCACCCACCTTGGCCTCCCAAAATGCTGGGATTACAGGCCTGAGCCACCACGACCGGCCCAAAATAGGTTTTAAACTGTTAGGATGGAAGTGGTATTAAGAACTTGTCTTGAGGGTTTAGATTCTGACAGTAAACTATTGTCTTTATCCATTTAAAAAATTGTAGTACGAAAGTTACTGTTGGGACAGATTTAGTATATTAAACACACTAAATGACCTTAAGTCACTAATCAAGTAATACATTAATATGTATGGAAAATATTATGCTACCAAATTCTTAACAAGTACGAGTTAGAAATCCTAGAACGCTTATTATTTTTCATACCACAAAACAGTATAACAACACTTCAGTATTCAGATTTCCAGGATATCTGGAAATGAATCAAAAGTAGATCCCTTTAATCTTTACTTTTCTGGTACTTATTGTGGTTGTGGCTAAGCGGCCAACACTGCTTACTTGACATGATAGATGGTAATAGTACCAACGATTATCTGAGTATTTAGATCTGAGATTGGCCAGAACTGAACTGAGGCTGGGGTAGAAAGGGGTTGAAGTTGGTGTATTAATAGTAAGTGGTCTCTGGGTTTATAAATGCTGTGTCAAAACAGGTAAATAAGTAGAATGTTTTAAGTTCTTGAGATTTGTTGTGGAAAGGGGAGAAACAATTAGGAAAACTACTACCTTGAATCTGATTCTGGCCAATAAGAGTTATTGTTTGGCAAATAATATTATGCAGAATGGCACAACATAGACATAGAATAAGGAACTTTAAATAGTGAACTAAGGCTTATTAAATTTTACAGTTTTAGGGGCTCTTAAAGTTGCTTTTGAAGTAAGACTATCCAATGGATAGGACCTACCCTTCAGTTTGGTGTATCTTAGAGCACAAAACACAGTACCTTAGCATATATTTGGCAACTTTTTTTGTCAGTTAGAATGAATGTTAAGTAAAGGGGAATCTAAATCCAACATGTGTGAAAAGACTAAAATTACCTGCCCTAAATAATTTTACGTGATGGAATTAAATGTTTCAATGCTGGCAACTTAAAGATACGATAGCTGAACTTTCTTTGAAAAATGAAAGATAACAGAAGCTTAGTAACAGGTAAATGTCACCTCTTTAAAAAGAGGAAAGGACTATATAAAATATGAGATGTATAACATAAATAAGCTCCTGGATAAAAGAATCATTATGAGCCCGATATGGTTGTGATACAAAGCATGTTAAAGTTTCATTCTTTGTGATCATTAGAAAAATGAATTATAAAATATAATGAAGTACATGTTGATTTCAGTAAGTCATCAAACAAGTTCTTCTTTGAATGGAGGATGCATTGAAGAAAGCTGGTATAGCCTAACAGTAGTAATAAGCAGATTTTTTATTTTATTATTATTATTTTTTAGACAGAGTCTCGTTCTGTTGCTCAGTCTGGAGTGCAGTGGCACGATCTCGGCTCGCTGCAACCTCTGCCTTGCAGGTTCAAGCGATTCTCCTGCCTCAGCCTCATGAGTACCTGGGATGACAGGTGCCTGCCACCACGCCTGGCTAACTTTTGTATCTTTAGTAGATACGGGGTTTCACCGTGTTGGTCAGGCTGGTCTTGAACTCTGGACCTCAGGTGATCCACCTACCTCAACCTCCCAAAGTGCTGGGATTACAGGTATGAGTCACTGCACCTGGCCAGATTTTTTTATTGAGTAGTAAGCTCCAAGTGAGTCGATAGAATGTGGTTGTCATATAGTTATGCTGTAAATCTGTTTTGCTTTATTTTATTTATTTATTTTTGAGACAGAGTCTTGCACTGTGGCCCAGGCTGGAGTGCAGTGGTGCGATCTCAGGTCACTGCAACCTCCACTTCCTGGTTTCAAGTAATTCTCGTGCCTCAGCCTCCCAAGAAGCTAGGATTATAGGCATGCACCACCACACCTGGCTAATGTTTGTATTTTTAGTTGAGACTGGGTTTCACCACGTTGGCCAAGGTGGTCTTGAATTCCTGATCTCAAACACCCACCTTAGCCTCCCAGAGTGCGAGATTACAGGTGTGAGCCACCGCACCCGGCTAGTTTCATTAGAAGTAAGATACCTAGTACAAACCAGATGATGCTGCTGTTGTACTGGACTGGCTATTCCCTACTAGGAATATTGTCCTCCAGCTCTCATGCCTTAAAAACAATACCATCAGGACCTGGTGCATGTTCAGAGTAGGACTCAAAATGTAAAACTACAGTGAAGAGTAGCCAAAAAAACTAAATACTTAGCTTGAAAGACCTGGATTATGATTGTTCCCATATTGTAAAAGCTCTTAGAAGAGATTTCTGTATAACACAGAAGGGAAGTTTCAGGATAACCTAAACTTCCTACCAGTCAAATATCTCTGAAGATGGAGAATGGTCTGCCTTGAGAAGTAGCCAGTAAACTAGCATTGGCCATTTTCAACCATAGATGGGAAGACTTATTGGAGATGATGCACTGCAAAGAGAATCTATGAAGTTAGTAATTGTATTAGATGACCTGTAATGACAGCATGTCATTTTTACCTCTAAGCCAGTGTCTCTCAAAGTCACATTTTTGTACTTTAACTAAATAGGCTTTAAGTGCTTATAGGTTACCATCCCATTGCATTTATGGCTTTATGGTATTTCTCTCAAAGAACTACTTTTTCATTTTTCTCCTAGAGTGATAAGCATTATTTGGCAAACCTGTGCACAATTGTGTCTGCAAACCTCTTGAGTGTAGCAGTGTAGTTTGAACAAGCTGTCATTTAGCAAAAGCAGGGAGATGTATTGTACATGAGATGAAAGAAACCTGCCTCTGGAATTATTCTGGGGTATGCAATGTTTGTCAGTTAAAATGGAGCTGTTTAAAAGCTGTTTTTTATAGTAATCTACGTATCTAATAGATTACTAGACCAGATTATCAGTCTTTGAAATGAAGCTTCATTAAAACAGAATTCGTTGCTGAATTAGGCCAAGATAAATAGCTATTCTCTTGCATTTTCAACTTCTACTCCAGTCAGAGCAGAGTTAAAAACAATCTTTAGTCTATGAGGAATGATAGCCATTATAGATTTATGATGTTTCTTCTTAGGTAGAGGAGTTTCAAACACCAAACCAAAAAAATTTAAGATATAGTAGAAGATGTAATTCTAAAATATAACTGAAATAATTTGTTTCCTAATTTATCTCCACTATTCCTTCAAAAATTACAGATACAAACACTAAGTTTATGAAAAACAGGTTATGTTAAGAGATTTGAAATGTTTTAAAATTTGAGTTTTACTAGTTGCTTGTAAATGGTCCTTTTCTATAGATTTCTTGGTGAACATAGGCTGAATTGTTTTTTGTTTGTTTCTTTGAGACAGCCCTGCTCTATGGCTTGGGCTGGAGTGCCGTGGTGTGATCTTGACTCACTGCAACTTCTGTCTCCCGGGTTCAAACGATTCTCCTGTCTCAGCCTCCTGAGACACAGATGTGCACCACCACGCCCGGCTAATTTTTGTGTTTAGTAGAGATGGAGTTTCGCCATGTTGGCCAGGTTGGTCTTGAACTCCTGACCTCAAGCCTCAGTTTTGGGATTACAGGCGTGAGCCTTCTTGAATTGTTGAAGGTTTCTTGTGAATATTCGATTGTCAGCCTTAAGGCCTACGTTAAGCTGTCAACTTTGTGGTTCACACCTTTATGCAGATAGTGCAAAGCAAACATTGGGTTCACATCATGTACAAAGTAGATAGATATTTATAAGTTTTTTTTCTGGATTGCTGTTCTATGTCACTTATCTGTCCTTAACCTTGTTTTAGTAGAACTCAACCTAATCAGTACTCAGGGAGAACTTTGACAGCAGAATTATTAAATTTAAACTCTAGAGATTTAGATTTCAAGGAATTCTTAAGTCATTTTTAAAACCACTCCTTTAGTGGGCACATACAACTTGGCTGTGAGAACTACCTCCCCTTACCCAAACCCTGGTTACTGGAGAGAGACTATACTTGAATGAAAACTCTTGTTTCTAGTGGTATTTTGAACAGAAAAGGGAGGAGGACTTAAGCAAAATGTTAAGGTAATAGAGGCAATTATAAATCATTAAGTGGTTAATGTAAAAGAAAAAAGGGAGAAAACATCAAATTTTCTTGTTTCATTTTAGTAAGTGTGTACTGTTCAGTTGTATATCTTCCTCAATGTTCTGTATTCCCATCAATTATCCTTTCTGTAGTTAAGATATTAAAAGTTAAGATTAACATTTTTAAGGGCCCTAAACATCTAAATTCACAAAACTGACAGCAGTCTTGCAAGTAGAGACCCTGAAGCTATTGTTGAAGAGTCAGGATGTTGACTGAGGGAAGTAGTGGTCTTGAAGGGCAGTCATTTCATTAGTGTTTTTAATAATATCTGTGGCATAGCTTATGATATTTTAGAGAATGTTGTCTTATGTGCCGGACTCTGAGCATAACTTCTTACACAGATGCTATGTAATATTTAGCATGATTATAATGTTAGCTACATTAAATCTCATATGAGGAAACCAAGGATTAATTATATAATTAGCCAAGGGTCACATCTATTAAACTGTCTGACTCAAGAGCCCAAGAGTTAACCAATATGCAGTATTGTGATTCAGCACAGACATGGTACATATAATTGATAATAGCCAACTTTTCTATGTTGCTGTCAGAGGTCAACATTTTATATAAATATTTAATTGCAAGTATGAGCTGAAGACTTGCTTTAGACTTTGCCTGGGATTTAAAGCAAAAAGCACACACGCAACTTCTATTGAGCTAAACCGTAGGTATGTCAACAACTTAGGGTATCCTGCCAAATTTTATCTGTACTCATCATTTGGCTGCGAAAATCTTTATCCTGCTTTTGTATATAAAAAGCATCTGCTTTCAGTGGATTTTATTTAGATTAATTTTAGTTACTTAGACTAGTGTTCCTCAACCCTGGCTACACATTGTCTAGGAAGTTTTCAAAATAATCGGTGCATGAGACCTCTCCGCATAGAATTTCTAGTATAATCCTTCTGAGGGAGCCCCCTTCCCTCTCCCTGGCATTGATGTCTTCAAAAGTTGTAATGATTCTAATCATTCCCTGTGATTCTATTTCATTCCCTGTGATTCCCTGTGATAATAATTCCCTATGATTCTAATGTCTAGCCATGGTTGAGAACCACTGCCTTAGTTCATTGATTCTCAAAATAATGGTCCTTGGCCAGGAGCATCAGCACCACGTGTTAGAAATGCAAATTCTTGGCCTGTGCAGTGGCTCATACCTGTAAACCTAGCACTTTGGGAGGCCAAGGCAGGTGGATCACTTGAGCCCAGGAGTTCGAGACCAGCCTAGGCAACATGGCAAAACCCAGTCTCTACAAAAAAAACTCAGCCACCTATGGTGGTGTGCACCTGTAGTCCCAGCTACTCGGGAGGCTGAAGTGGGAGGATGGCTTGAGCCCAGGAGGTGGAGGTTGCAGTGAGTGAAGATTGTGCCATTGTACTCCAGCTTGGGTGACACGGTGAAAACCTGTCTCTACCCCTCCCAAAAAGAAAAAAAAAAAAGCAGAATTAAAAACAAAAGAAATGCAAATTCCTGGGCTCACTCCAGGCATATGATGAATCAGTCCTGGAGTTGGCTGAGCAGTATGTGTTCTAATAAGTCCTTTGAGTGGCTCTGATGCATACTCAAGTTTGAGAACAAATCATTGATAAATTCCTTTTGACCCAGCCTTATCCATTACTATCAGGCAACTGCTGCCAAATAGCAGTATAGGGGAAAGGAGTTGATATATGACAGTTTAACTAAATATATTTTAAAGACCAAAGATGATATGCAATACCTGAAGAATCTGAGCATTCATTCTTATTTTAGTATGTCTAGGTGGTTTGTGGCCGGTTTTTTTTTTCCATTTTATTTCCTTATAGACATAAATTATTGGAACTAATTCTTTTCTAAAATTATATTTCATTCAAGCTAAATGATCTGTAGTTGACTTTAAATGAGGGACCATTTCTCCACTATACAGTCTTTACCCATATTAATTTTTCATAGAAATTAATGTCCATAATGTATTTATGGGGAAATTTGTCTGTTAAATTCTTGAGTGGGGGAAATACTATGTAATAGTTGACTGTTCCGAGATCTAAGGTTTTTCTTGCTCTGTTGCCCAGGCTGGAGTCCAGTGGCACGATCTTGGCTCACTGCAACCTCTGCCTCCTGGGTTCAACAATTCTCATGCCTTAGCCTGTCGAGTAGCTGAGATTACAGGTGCCTGGCACCACGTCTGGCTAGTTTTGGTGTTTTTAATAGAGACAAGGTTTCACCATGTTGTCCAGGCTGGTCTCAAACTCCTGACCTCAAGTGATCACCAGCCTCAGCCTCCCAAAGTGCTGGGATTACAGGTGTGAGCCACCACCTCCAGTCAGTCCTTCTAAGACAAGCTTCCTGAACGGGAGATGGGATTGAAATAGATGTCAGATTCTTCCCTGATTGTAAAATGCTTTTCCTTGAAATGTTTCCAGTGGATGAAGCAGCTCAGTCTCTGGTCATTACAGAATAATCAATCCATAAATTTTCAATCAGTTCAAAAGTTCTCTAAACATTGGCATAAGGTTTTGTTTTGTTTTGTTTTGTTTTGTTTGTTTTGTTTTGTTTTTGAGACAGGGTCTTGTTCCATCACCCTGATTGAAATGCAGTGGCACAAACATGGCTCACTGCAGCCTCGACTTTCTGGGCTGAAGTGATCCTCCTGCCTCCGCCTCTCATGTAGCTGGGACCACAGGTGCACACCACTGTGACCAGTTAATTTTTGATTTTTTTTTTTTTTGGGGGGGTAGAGATGGGGTCTCACTTTGTTGCCCAGGCTGGTCTCGAACTCCAGGCTCAAGCAATCCTTTCACCTCGGCCTCCTAAAGTCCTGGAAGTACAGGCCTGAGCCACTGTGCCTGGCATGGCACGAACTTCATGATGATATGGTCTAGGCTTTAATTTTTAGGCCATAGTTACCACACTACCACCTGTTCTCTTTATCCTCTTAAAACCAAGGATTTAACATGTACTGTCGGTCAGTCTTACAGTTCAGTTAAAAAGGTAAGTGTAAGGAAACTATTCTTGTTAGTGACTTGCTTTTCCTTTATTGCTTTATTTAACTTAGTGGTCTAATTTAGAGGTCTCGGGTTATAACTTTTAGCTGATTTCTATAAGAATAAAAGTAAGCTAGAAAACACCTAGTAGTTTGAACAAGGAAGTGTCTATGTAAAGAAGGAAAATTCTTATGAAAGTTAATATGTCTGTATCTGATCTTAAGAATGAAGCTACCTTTGGCTAGGCAAGTTGCAGTCTTTAACTGTGGGCAAATGATCGCCAGGAGCCTTTTCATAGTGAAGCCCAAATTAAAGTAGCTTAATCCAATAATTCTCTTGTTAAAATAACACAGTGTGCCAAGCAGTATACAGATACTTTACCTGGATTATCTCATGTAATCTTCATAGAAACTCAGTGAAGTGTAGATGTTTTCTTATGTGTAAAGTGGGAATAACTGAGGTTTAAAGAAGTAACTTGCTCAGTGTTAGAGAGCTAGTAAGTAGCAGGCAGATTCCAAAAAGCGCATGCTTGCAACTACTCTACCATACTACCTCTCATTTTAAGAGAAGCATGCTTTTAAAAAACTATTGTAAAACACCATCTATCTATAGCATGTCAGTTTGTTTAAATAACTTAAAAATTTCTGTTTATCTCTCTAGTCAGAATGCTTTCACAGAACAGATACTATAAACCAGAGAAGTTCTTTTTCTTGTCCATAAACACCTGTATGTACTTCTCTGTGGGGGAGAACACATACTTTTTAGTATTAAAAGGGTTGCTTAAACCAAATAGGTTCAACTGTTACTTTTAATACAGTGTCAAGGCTTTACCATGGGATTGAAATCAAATGAAATGTTACAGCATCACTTAGAATTTTGTGGGTAACTTAGGCTAGGCTATAATTAAAAACTCATCTGGCAAACGTCTTAAAATATGTTGTCTTTGCTCCCAGCATTCTTTAAGATTTCTGGAGCTATTCTCAGTCTGTGGTACATGATTTTGAGTAGCCTTAATTGTGGCTACTGCAAATAGAAGTCAGTGAGCCAATTCTGAATAAAATCAAGTGGTATTTTTAGATGAAAGTTTTTCCAAAAAGTAACAAAACTGATTTTCTTGAGTATATTGATGTAGTGATCTTTTTTCTAAGAGTTCCAAAAATGTTTTTAATAGTGTCAAATGTAATTATTTCTAGGTTTTGATGGGAGAGAGAGTAGATTTTTCTTGAATTAAGTGTCATGTCAGTCTTGAGTACAGGAGGGAACTAGAATGAGTTGTTTAATTTCAGAACCCTGGTAAAATAACCTGTCTGCTCTATTGCTTCTTGGTTGTTATTGGTGTCTTTACCAAAGACTTAGAGTATTTCCTCTAACTGTCTATGACTTGTAGGCTCCTGAGTGGATGGTAATCAAAAGGAGGAAGGAATAAGTTAGATATGCATTTCATTTTCTCGTTGCTCATGTGTTGCAAGATCACTTAGTACTTAGAAAAAGAACTTTACAGATACCAGTTGATTTCACCTCTTCAAACTTATATATCGTCCCTTTACATTTATGCTTCTCAAAGATGGTCAGAAACACTGCATTTTCACCCATGTAAGGTGTTTAAGAAACAGATTCCTGAGGGGACCCTCTCTCTCCCTGCTTCCTCATTGTGTGGGCCTTGGGTAGGGCCTAAGAATCCGCTTTTTTTTTGGTTTAGACTGAGTCTTGCTCTTGTTGCTTAGGCTGGAGTACAATGGCATAATCTCAGCTCACTGCAACCTCCCCCTCCAGGGTTCAAGTGATGTCTCCTGCCTCTGCCTCCCAAGTAGCTGGGATTACAGGCACCCACTACCACGCCTGCCTAATTTTTGTATTTTTAGTAGAGACAGGGTTTCACCATGTTGGCCAGGCTGGTCTTGAACCCTGACCTTAGGTGATTGACCTGCCCCGGCCTCCCAAAGTGCTGGGATTACAGGCATGAGCCACCAAGTCCAGCCTAGGAATCTGCTTTTCAAAGAGGTACCACGCTGGCCATTAAGTATACGGAGCAGTGGTTCTGTCACAGGCTACATAGTTTAGGCACTAGATTTAGAATTTGGGTTGAGGCCGGTCATGGTGGCTCACACCTGTAATCCTAGCACTTTGGGAGACCAAGGTGGGAGGATCATTTGAGCTCAGGAGTTTGAGGCCAGCTTGGACTACATAGCAAAACCCTATCTCTTATTTAAAAAAAAAAAAAAAAAAAAAGATTTTGGTTTGAATTCCAGGTCTTTAGTTTATTATTAAGGTTTTTGTTTTCTCTTAAATTTTTCAGCTTTTAATTTCCTTATCTGTCAATAACTATTTGACCTGTGTTATTTATGTATTGATTGATTGATTGATGGAGTCTTGCTCTGTCTCCCAGGCTGGAGTGCAGTGGTATCATGTTGACCCACTGCAACCTCCACCTCCCAGGTTCAAGCGATTCTCCTGCTTCAGCCTCCTGAGTAACGGATTACAGGGGCATTCCACCACATTCGGCTAATTTTGTACTTTTAGTAGAGATGGGATCTCACCATGTTGGCCAGGCTGGTCTAGAACTCCTGACCTCAAGTGATCCACCTGCCTCGGCCTCCCAAAGTTCTGGAATTACAGAGGTGAGCCACCACGCCTAGCCTCTTTATTTATTTTTGAGACAGGGTCTTACTGTGTCACACAGGTTGGAGTGCAGTGGCACAACCACAGCTCACTGCAACCTTGACCTCCTGGGTTCAAGTGATCCTCCTACCTCAGCCTCCTAAGTAGCTGGGATCACAGGTGCATGCCACCATAACTGGCTAATTTAAAAAATTTTTCTTTTTGTAGAGACAGGGTCTCCCTATGTTGCCTAGACTGATCTCAAACTCCTGGGCTCAAGCAGTCCTTCCCCCTTGGCCTCCCAAAGTGCTGGGCTTACAGGCATTAGCCACTGGTCCTAGCTCTTTCTTCTAATAATATTGAAAATAACCTGGTGATAATGGTATAAAACTTTTTGCTTTTCATTTACTAATTAATAAAGACAGGTTGTTTTGGTAAATACTCTTCCCCCCCCGCCACCCTTTTTTTTTTTTTTTTTTTCCTGTTTTTGAGATAGAGTCTCACTCCCGTCACCCAGGCAGGAATGCAGTGGCATGATCTCGGCTCACTGCTGCCTTGACTTCCCTGGCTCAGGTGATCCTCCTGCCTTAGCCTCCTAAGTAACTAGGACTACAGGCATACGTCACCTCACCTGGATAATTTTTTTTTTTTTATACAGTCTTGCTCTGTCACCAGGCTGAAGTGCAGTGGCTCAATCTTGCCTCACTGCAACCTCCGCCTCCCAGGTTCAAGCGATTCTCATACCTCAGCCTCCCAGGTAGATGGAATTACAGGCGTGTGCAACCACACTTGGCTAATTTTTAGTAGAGACAGGGTTTTAGCATGTTGGCCAGGCTGGTCTCGAACTCATGGCCTCAAGTGATCCACCTGCCTCAGCCTCCCAAAGTGCTGGGTTTACAGGCGTGAGCCACCATGCCTGGCCTAATTTTTTTTAATTTTTAGTAGAAGCAGGGTTTCGCCATGTTGCCCAGGCTGGTCTCAAACTCCTGGGCTGAAGTGATTCGTCTGCCTCAGCCCCGGTCTACATACTCTTAAATAATACTTAGATCTGGGCACAGTGGCTTATTCCTGTAATCCCAGCAGTTTGGGAGGCCAAGGCGGGTGGATCACTTGGGGACGACAGGCGTTTGAGACCAGCCTGGCCAACGTGGTGAAACCCCGTCTCTATAGGAAAATTTGCTTGGTGTGGTGGTGCACACCTGTAGTCCCAGCTACTTGGGAGACTGAGGCAGGAGAATCACTTGAACCCAAGAAGTGGGGATTACAGTGAGCTGAAATGGCGCCACTGCACTCCAGCCTGGGTGACAGAGTGAGACTCTGTCTCAAAAAATAAATAAACAAACAAATAATACTTATAAGTTTTATTTTTGGCATACTTTTTGTTTTGAGACAGAGTCTTGCTCTGTCACCCAGGCTGGAGTGCAGTAGCACAATCTCGGCTCACTGCAAGCTCCGCCTCCCGGGTTCACGCCATTCTCTTGCCTCAGCCTCCCAAGTAGCTGGGACCACAGGTGCCTGCTACCACACCCGGCTAATTTTTTTGTATTTTTAGTAGAGATGGGGTTTCACCATGTTAGCCAGGATGGTCTTGATCTCCTGACCTCATGATCTGCCCGCTTCTGCCTCCCAAAGTGCTGGGATTACAGGCATGAGCCACCGCGCCCAGCCAGCACACGTACCTTTTAACCTAATTATGTTGTTTCTACTATTAGCAAAATAGATGTCAGGCGGTCATACTTTATTATATATTTGATTAAGACCTTTTTATATAAAAGCACAGTTTTCTGTTTAGTAAGTTGGACATGTTTCCAGACATTTGTGGGCCTGGTCTCTCCCAAACACTCTATATTTTGAACATGGTACTTGCTCCTCAGTGAAAAATTGCTGTTTTATAGTATGATGGAAATATGCATACCTAGCTTTGAGAGTATAAAGGTAGAGGAGATATTTTAGTTCCTGAAGGAGAACAGCAGTATACAAGGATAAAGAAGCAGAAAATATGGGGCTACCTGAGAGTAGATTAATACAGCTGGAGTGTAGAAAGCATATAGTGAGTAAGAAGAAATGAAACTAAAGGTAAATAAAGATTTCCAGTTAAACATGGCAGGTTAAGATACATGTTTCTTTCCACTCCTTCCTAAACCATCCTAGAAGACAGTAAAATAATAAATCCATAAACCCCCGAGGACAAAAAAAGGCACAGAAATCAAAACACAAGAGAAAGCAACAAAATTTTGGAAGGCACAACACTAATTAACATTGCCTAGTTTAGCAGGCCAGAGAAAACTGAAACCTATGTACGAGAAGCCAACAAACAAAGCAAGCAAATTGGTGTTGGAGAACCTTGGGGAAGGCTCAGGCCTTGAATTCACTAGGTAGTTTGGAGGAAGGCATGTGGAATAGAACTAAAAACAAGAGGATTGGTTAATTTGTATTAACATTTTAACCACTTTTAACCCTACCTAGTGTTTAAAACAGGAAAGAAGACATGCTCTCCAGGAAATAGGATTCAATATAGGAGGTAATGGAAGGAGATGCTAGCATGAAAGCTGTGGACCAGGCGTAAAGCCTACAAAGCCTACAATCTGGACAAAGCAAGGTGTCCAGATTGGAATTTGACAGAGGCTCTAGAAGAAATGTTTCAAAGTTGCAAAAAGACAGAGTACCTAAGATGTCTGAACAGTTTTACAACTGTGTAGGAATGTAGATAAATTAATGATAGGTACATAGTAACAACCAAAAAGAGCAACCAAATACTCAAAGGAAAACACAGTTGTGGAAGGAAGGAAATGTAATTAAAGCATACTTCATTACTTATCTGTGAATACTATTTAGTTAACATGTAAAAAATATTGATTTTACAAACTACATAGTTTCTATAATATGTTCAAGAAGAAGAAAAAGTTTGTCTCTGTTAAGTGTATGGATTCTAGAGCCAGGTGATCAGTTTGAAAAACGTCTCTGTTTTTATTACCGTCCAAATAAATAACTTCTATGCTTCATCTGTAAAATGGGGATAGAATAATGCCAGACTGTCCTAAGGGTTGTTATAAGTATATGTGAACGCTTAATGCAGTGCTGTGTGTTAGTAATTATAAGAGGAGGATGGAGGCAAGTGAACTGTATTTGGTGGATGTTAAGAGTAACAGTTTAACAACAAAAAATACAAAGCATGCTGTTTGAAAATGTGGAGGTAAATAAGATAAGAATGGAAAGTTTTCGCCTCTTGAGTAACAGGAGTTAAGAATGTGGTAGGTTGTGGCAGTAGACAGACTACTTGTCTTCATTGTAAGCCTTGAATGTCACCTTTTAAAGTTTGTACACATAAGGAAAAACTTCAAAAAATAGGAAGAGCCTTTTGTGTTTAGCCAGTGTTTGGATTTTCAATTGCGTAGCATTTGTGTTTATTACGGAAATCTTTAAACATCGCAGAACAAGCAGTATCATGAGCCCATCACCTTGCTTTAACCATCATCAACTCATAGCCAATTTTGTCTTTACCTTTACCAGCACCTTTGAGCACCACTGTATTATTTTGAAGCAAGTCCTGAACCTTATATGATTTCCATTGCAAATGGCCTCATTTGTGGCCCTAGAAACTGGATCCTAAGAAGTAAAGGTCTTAAGAAAGACCTTTACTGACCAGCTGCAAGTAGTGCAGTTAGCTGATCGTCTTCAACTACAGCACTTTCTAACTCTGCCACAGTGTTTGAAGCAAAGCTATGCTCTTTCTTGGCCTCCCTCAGCCAGTGACCAAGTGTGACAGTGCTTCTGGATTTGGCAATTTCTGCCCAATGTTAATTTCACACCTGAGCTTACCATTAGACTGGCCAAGATGTTGTCAGAGTTGAACAGCACTCAGGCTTTTCCTGCCCCTTCCTTCTTTCAAAATGATAGACCAGCATCATGGTCTAAGGGCTTTTACTGCCTAGTTCTCCTTTCTTTCCCTGTCTTTCATAGGTGTTACCTTCATCTTGTCGTCTGTTTCCCAGAGTATCCAACGGACAAAATGGCTTAAAAAGGATTCTTTTTAGAGTTTGCAGAAAAGAGTTAACATCAGATCTGAGACTGGTATCCCTAAAATGGTCAGCTTATATGGGTTGGCCCTGGCCTGCTGTTTGGAAACCTTAGATTTCAGGAACATTCCCATTATTTTCTGATTAAAAATAGTTCTCTGTGCCTAAACTGTTTTTGCAAACAGTATGGTTTATGCTGAACACTTGCTTCTGGGAGTCTGGAATTCTGGTATGTGCTAGGCAGTACCTGTTATCAGCCCCTAATTATCTTGAATGCTCTAATCTGCCCTAGCAGACAATATTTCCCATGTGTTGTCACAGTTGGTTGTTGGAGGCATTAAGCATGCCCTGTGTGACTCTACTAGGAGATGACTCTTAGAGAGCTTGTGTCTGGTTTCCTCTGGTCACCTCATGTGCCTTTTCCCTTTGCTGATTTTGCTTTTCATTGTTGTTTGTTTTTTGTTTGTTTTTTGACTGTATTAACTCAGCCATGGGTATAGCTTCATGCTATAATGTGTAGAGGAGTCCTGTGAGTTCTGCTACATCATTGAACCTGGGAACAGACTTGGAAACACTGACATACAAAGTGTAACAACAAATGTCACATAAAATTCCCAATGATTCCTTAACATCAAATAACCAATCAATGTTCATAGTTCCTTAATTATCTATTTAAAAATGTACTTAGGTTGTTCAAATAAGGATCAAAAACAAACCCCACCCATTACATTTAGTTGGTAAGTCTCTATCTACAGATTTCTTCCCCTTCCCCCCCCCCCATTTATTTAAATAAACTGTGTCATTTGTCTTGTACAATTTTCTCAGTCTGGATTTTACTGATCACATTCCTGTAGTGATATTTGACACATTCTTCTGTTATGTGTTAGTTTCCTGAGAAGCTAATAATTAAAGTTTAATTTGATTTAAACTCTGTTAGATAAGACTACTTGAGAGACAGTGTTTGTTTACCTATGGCATGGTATCCCATCAGGAGACACATAATACTTTTCTGTGGTAAGATTCAGGTGTTGTCAGCCTGATACACTCAAAATTTGTTACCAGCTTGTATTGTAATTCCCTAGAATCTTTCAAAGGTTGACCGGTGAGATTGATACTTTTAAGTATTATTATGAACTTCCAGTGCCTTTTAACACCTATTTTTAACCTATCCCAGTTGTTACTTTGATGCTTATATTGTCTCATCTTTAGCCTTTGGAAGATCCTTCAAGTTTAAAGTGACATAATAGTTTTTGAATGTTTCTTTGTGTTCAGGTATAACAGAATGTTCCAGCCCTGGGTTCAGCCATGTCTAGGAATCCCAGTTATTTCGAATTGGAAATGGTATTTAGAGCACATAGTCTGTGCTGCTTACTGATATGTGTTTGGTCATGTTTCTAGGTCTTTTCGTTGGAAAAGAACTAGGAAATAATACTTAAATATACCATGGGTGAATATTGATAGTTCCAATTAAATTTAGAGGAGGAAAGGGTTACAACTTAACCTCTGTGGTTTTATGTTTATTTTCTCTTAACCTGAAAATCACAGTTCCTAGTGATATCACTGATTTGCTTTATCCTACTCACGGTAGTTTCAGACTAACAATACTTTCATATTGCAAACAATAGGACTACTGAAAAGTTACGTGTTTTTTTTGTCTTTAGGAAATATATCATTTGGGCTGTCTAGTGAACTTGGTGTGCTTTCACATAACTTGTAATTGTTTATCCTGGTGGTGTTAGGCTACCAGTTGTGTAGTTTCGTTCATTATGCTTTTGGTTTTTAGGGATTTCTCACATTTTGTTAATTGTGTTTATAATTATGTGACACATTACATAGTTCTGTAGTTAAATCTCCAAAACAAAATATACTAAGAGAAATTGAGCTTCCATCCTGATTCCTTCTATCTTGTTTCTTACCTAGTTTTTTTTTGTTTTTTTTTTTTGTTTGTTTGTTTGTTTTTGAGACGGAGTCTCGCTGTCGCCCAGGTTGGAGTGCAGTGGCGCGATCTCGGCTCACTGCAGGCTCCGCCCCCCGGGGTTCACACCATTCTCCTGCCTCAGCCTCCCGAGTAGTAGCTGGGACTACAGGCGCCCGCCACCACTCCCGGCTAATTTTTAGTTCAGACGGGGTTTCACCATGTTAGCCAGCATGGTCTCGATCTCCTGACCTCGTGATCCGCCTTTCTCGGCCTCCCAAAGTGCTGGGATTACAGGCGTGAGCCACCGCGCCCGGCCTGTTTGTTGTTGTTGTTGTTGTTGTTGTTTTTGAGACAGAGTCTCAGTCTGTCACCAGGCTGGAGTGCAGTGGCACGATCTGGGCTCACTGCAGTCTCTGCCTCCCTGGGTTCAAGCGATTCTCCTGCCTCAGCCTCCCACCTAGTTTTTTAAGTAACAATGTTAGTTTGGTTTACGCTTCTGTTTTAATAAAAGTGTATTGTGTATATATGCATTTGTATATATGCCATATACCCATATCTAGTGTATATATGTGTATTTATACATATATACACTAGATAGAAAATAGAAACTACACATACCGTTTGCACCTTATTTTTTTTAAGTTCATATATCCTGGAGATCACTTCCTAGTATGTTTCTCATTTCTTTTTTATAGGAGCACAATATTCTATTATGTACCTGTATTATGTTATCTTAAGGGTTTCTGTTATGGACGTTTGATTGTTTTTAGACCTGTTACAAATAGTGCAGCTATAAATAGCCTTGTGTATCTTTTCATCAGGATTTTATTTATGTCCAGGATACAGTCCTAGAGGTGGAATTCCTGGGTCAGAAAGCAAATGTATAGACAGTGTTTCTGGTAATTAACAGATGCCCCTCTAAGAGGGGAAAATACCACTTTGTATTTGTCAGCAATATATGAGAGTACTTGTTTTCCCATAGCCTGTCAACAAATTGTAATCAAACTTCATAAAATATTTTAAGTAGGTCTGTGTCTTAGAATCTTCATTTTGGCAGAAATATGATATGGATTGAAAGGTGTGATCCTAAAGATGGGGAAGTGTGTTGGGCCTAGTCTGAGAAAGGTAGATTTTAACTAAGGATATAGAGTTACATTAAACAGTCATTAACAGGTTATCGTAAATGGGACTAAGTAACTGGATAAAGGCAACATAAGATAAATTGGAGATAACTCTTACACTTCTAAGAGCATGAAGGGTTTTTCTCAGAGAATACTGAGCACCAGCAGATTATGGGGTAGGGGGATTCCATTTTGGATGCTTTGCATTTGAGGTGCTTCTGGGACATTTCAGTTTGGGGTGTAGATGGTTATATGAATCTGAAAAGTTTAGGCGAGAGTGGAGCTTTAGAGTTGTCACTGTATATTTTAAAATATGTGTAGCTGAAGATGCCCAGGAAAATATTAGGTAACATTTGAGCGCATAATAGGTTCCCGACTTTAAGAGTAGTTTTATGTTCCTTTTCTGTTTTTTTGTTTTTTCTTCCCCCTAGCAATTGACTTACTGTCTCCTTGGTTAGAATTTAAAAATGTATGCTTCATTTTCATGACTTACCTTTTACAGACTTAACTATGTATGTGTATGAGTACAGATAGAATATATATAATCCACTATATAATTCTCTCCTGAGTTTGTACAAATTTAGTTTTGGTGCAGGAATAGCTTAAATTCCCTTGCTGTGGTGCCCTGTCTCCATATAAACATAACTGTATATACAATTTTAAAACTTTGTTGAGGTTCTCTACTTAGTTCAAAATCTTTCCATTCTGGGTATTTAATTTTGACAGAGTTAGGTTAATGGAGGTGGTTCTTTTGCCACTGAAATATGCTTTTTACAGTGTTATTTAAAAACATACAGAATGATGATAATGTGTTGTCCAAGTAATTTTCACTTTACAGCTGAGAAAGGAATATTATCTGAAATAGAACAGGTTTCTGTCTTACATGGACTTAAGAATATTGAGGCAGGAAATGAATTTACAACTGTGGAATTAGAAAAGCATTAAAAGATCTAGTTTAACCTCATTTTATAGATTGAGAAAAATGTTTGTTATTTTTCTGACCAAACCGTTGTGAAACAACACGAGTGTATAAATACCAGATGTTGGGCTACAGACTTTAAATTTAGGTTTGACCATTAAAAAATGGGATTGGCCAAGGCGGGCAGATCACGGGGTCAGGAGATTGAGACCATCCTGGCTAACATGGTGAAACCCCGTCTCTACTAAAAATACAAAAAAACCAACCAGGAGTGGTGGCAGGTACTTGTAGTCCCAGCTACTTGGGAGGCTGAGGCAGGAGAATCGCTTGGACCCAGGAGGCGGAGGTTACACTGAGCTGAGATCATGCCATTGTACTCCAACCTGGGCAACAGAGTAAGACTCCGTCTCAAAAAAAGAAAAAAAGTAGGGATTGAAATGGAGAAGAGTAGAACTATAGACATAATTTTGTACTTGTCAGGTTCCTTCTTTAAGATTATTTCTGCATAATAAAAAAATACTAATTGACATTTACTTTACCCCCATTATGTACTGTTCTAAGTGATTTAAAAGACTTCTCATTTTAGTCCTCAAAACCACCATATGAGATACAGTTACCATTAGGTACGTTTTACGGGTTAGGAATATAGTCCAAAAGATTTGGTAACTTTCCCAAGTATACACAGTGGCCAGAAGCTAAGTTGAGGGGTTGGTGGGAAGTTGAGGGAGAAGCTAAATTGGGAATCTAAACCTAGGCAGACTGAAAATAGAACATCTTTTGAGTGAAGACACCAGGATTGATACAAGGATCCAAAACCTTGTCACATGAGTTGAAGGAAATTCATTAAAAATGGTTTGAATTAGGAAAGATGATGATTGAGGCTGGCAGGGACATTTAGGCTAAGTGTTAGATCTGTTGTGGCAAGAGTGTGTCGATTTCTTCATGGACTTAAGGCATAGAATGAGTTCCAAAAGCTTATCTTTGATTCAGTATCAAGTACCTTCTCTTTCCTATGTCAGAACTACGTGAACACAGAGTGGCTTTTCTTAGAGTTAAAACTGCCCCCCAGCCCCCATCACCTACGTAAGATCCCACACAGGATTAATATCTATTTAATCGAAATGAGTTAGGTACACTATTAGAGTCCTGAGCTTACATAGTCCTTGTTTGATTTGGAAGAGCCAGAGCTAGCTCCTTCTAACTTCAGGCCCACTTTGGTTTTGAGCAGGCCACTCTTAGTTGGGTAACGGTTCAAGATTTCTTCCCTTAGTTTCTACCTTTTTAATGCTGCCTCACTCTAGGATATGATATTTAATATCATAAATACTAATTCCTGTATTTCTATGGCACAGTGGGTTTTTAAACTTGAGCATGCATCGGAATCACTGAGGGGATTTGTAAATGTAGATTGCTGGACCTCATTTCCAGAGTTTCTGACTAAGGGTCTGAGATGGAGCCCAAGAATTTGGATTTCCAGATGATGTTGATGCTGCTGATCTTGGGACCATACTTTGAGAACCACTGCTGTAGTAGCCTGGCCTACCTTTGATAGATTGAGCTTTTTAAGAGTAAGAACCAGATGTTACTCATTTCTTTGTCCCTCTACTACCTAGCAATACATAGGAGCAGCAGCTTTTTTGTTTGTTTGTTTGTTTGTTTATACTTTTAAGTTCTAGGGTGCATGTGCACAACGAGCTCGTTTGTTACATATGCATACATGTGCCATGTTGGTGTGCTGCACCCATTAACTTGTCATTTACATTAGGTATATCTCCTAATGCTATCCCTCCCCCCTCTCTCCACCCCACAACAGGCCCGGGTGTGCGATGTTCCCCTTCCTGTGTCCAAGTGTTGTCATTGTTCAATTCCCACCTATGAGTGAGAGCATGCGGTGTTTGGTTTTTTGTACTTGCGATAGTTTGCTGAGAATGATGGTTTCCAGCTTCATCCCTGTCCCTACAAAGGACATGCACTTATCCTTTTTTATGGCTGCATAATATTCCATGGTGTATATATGCCACATTTTCTTAATCCAGTCTATCATTGATGGACATTTGGGTTGGTTCCAAGTCTTTGCTATTGTGAATAGTGCTGCAGTGAGCATACTTGAGGAGCAGCAGGTCTTAATTTTATAGAAGCCAGTGTGGACTGTTACTGATTTCTTTGGTCTGATGATATCAGGAAGTTAGGCCTAAAAGTGAAGAACCTGGCTCAGCATGATTGCTTATGCCTGTAATCCAAGCACTTTGGGAGGCCAAGATGGGAGAATTGCTTCAGCCCTGGAGTCTGAGACCAGCTGGGCAACATGGTGAGACCCTGTCTCCACAAAAAGTTTTAAAACTAGCCAGGCATAGTGGCATGCGTCTGTAGCCCCCGCTTCTTGGGAGGCTGAGGTAAGAGGATTGCTTGAGCCTGGGAGGCCAAGGCTGCAGCGGGCATGATCACACCACTGCACTCCAGCCTGGGTGACAGAGTGAAACCCTGTCTCTAAAAACAATAAATAAAAATATGTAAAATTGAAGAACCTTATAAAGCTTTAGGTTCAGGTCAGGTTAGGTTTGTAATACTTACTATTAGGAAATATACGTACAGCCAAGTTACTGATAGAATTTTTACATGGTTTTACTTTCTGATGAAATTTCTTGGCTTTTTTCTTTTTAGAATGTTTCTAGAGAGCTGGCTACATGTAAAAACTAGAATCTGTTTTTTCCTGACTTTTTAATGATCGCCATTCTAACTGGCGTGATATGGTATCTCAGTGTGGTTTTGATGTGCGTTTCTCTAATGACCAGTGATGATGAGCTTTTTTTCATATGTTTGTTGGCCGCATAAATGTCTCCTTTTGAGAACTGTCTGTTCATATCCTTTGCCCACTTTTTGATGGGGTGGTTTGTTTTTTTCTTGTGAATTTAAGTTCTTTGTAGATTCTGGATATTAGCCCTTTGTCAGATGGATAGATTGCAAAAATGTTCTCTCGTTCTGTAGGTTGCCTGTTCACTCTGATGATAGTTTCTTTTGCTGTGCAGCAGCTCTTTAGTTTAATGAGATCCCATTTGTCAATTTTGGCTTCTGTTGCCGTTGCTTTTGGTGTTTTGGACATGGAGTCTTTGCCCATGCCTTTGTCCAGCATGGTATTGCTTAGGTTTTATTCTAGGGTTTTTATGGTTTTAGGTCTTACGTTTAAGTCTTTAATCCATCTTGAGTTAATTTTTATATAAGGT
Organism: Homo sapiens; assembly: GCF_000001405.40. Lineage (NCBI taxonomy): Eukaryota > Metazoa > Chordata > Mammalia > Primates > Hominidae > Homo > Homo sapiens. The sequence goes on from NC_000009.12 coordinate 6,456,716, forward strand.
GTAAGGAAAGGGTCCAGTTTCAGTTTTCTACATGTGGCTAGCCAGTTTTCCCAACACCATTTATTAAATAGGGAATCCTTTCCCCATTTCTTGTTTTTGTCAGGATTGTCAAAGATCAGATAGTTGAAGATGTGTGGCGTTATTTCTGAGACCTCTGTTCAGTTCCATTGGTCTACATGTCTGTTTTGGTTACTGTAGCCTTGTATAGTTTGAAGTCAGGTAGCATGATGCCACCAGCTTTGTTCTTTTTGCTTAGGATAGTCTTGGCTATACGGGCTCTTTTTTAGTTCCATATGAAATTTAAAGTAGTTTTTTCTGATTCTGTGAAGAAAGTCATTGTCAGTTTGATGGGGACAGCATTGAATCTATAAATTACTTTGGGCAGTATGGGCATTTTCACAATACTGATTCTTCTATCCATGAGCATGGAATGTTGTTCCATTTGTTTGTGTCCTCTTTTTTTTCGTTGAGCAGTGGTTTGTAGTTCTTTTTGGTGAGGTCCTTCACATCCCTTGTGAGTTGTATTCCTAGGTATTTTATTCTCTTTGTAGCAATTGTGAATGGGAGTTCACTCATGATTTGGCTCTCTGTTTGTCTGTTATTGGTGTATAAGAATGCTTGTGATTTTTGCACATTGATTTATATCCTGAGACTTTGCTGAAGTTGCTTATCACCTTAAGGAGATTTTGGGCTGAGATGATGGGGTTTTCTAAATATACAATCATGTCATCTACAAACAGGGACAATTTGACCTCCTCTTTTCCTAATTGAATACCCTTTATTTCTTTCTCCTGCCTGATTGCCCTGGCCAGAACTTCCAACACTCTGTTGAACAGGAATGGTGAGAGAGGCCATCCCTGTCTTGTGCCAGTTTTCCAAGGGAATTCTTCCAGTTTTTGCCCATTCAGTATGATATTGGCTATGGGTTTGTCATAAATAGCTCTTATTATTTTGAGATACATTCCATCAAAACCTAGTTTATTGAGAGTTTTTAGCATGAAGGGGTTGAATTTTGTAGAAGGCCTTTTCTGCGTCTGTTAAGATAATCATGTGGTTTTTGTCATTAGTTCTGTTTATGTGATGGATTATGTTTATTGATTTGCATATGTTGAACCAGCCTTGCATCCCAGGGATGAAGCCGATTTTGATCGTGGTGGATAAGCTTTTTGATATATGCTGCTGGATTCGGTTTGCCCGTATTTTATTGAGGATTTTTGCATCAATGTTCATAGGGATATTGGCCTGAAATTTTCTTTTTTTGTTGTGTCTCTGCCAGGTTTTGGTATCAGGATGATGTTGGCCTCATAAAATGAGTTAGGGAGGAGTCCCTCTTTTCCTGTTGTTTGGAATAGTTTCAGAAGAAATGGTACCCACCTCCTCTTTGTACCTCTGGTAGAATTCAGCTGTGAATCCGTCTAGTCCTAGGCTTTTTTTGGTTGGAACTTGTTATTGGTCTCAATTTCGGAACTTGTTATTGGTCTATTTAGGGATTCGACTTCTTCCTGGTTTCGTCTTGGGAGGGTGTATGTGTCCAGGAATTTATACATTTCTTCTAGATTTTCTAGTTTATTTGTGTAGTATTCTCTGATGGTAGTTTGTATTTCTGTGGGATCAGTGGTGATATCCCCTTTATCATTTTTTATTGTGTCTATTTGGTTCTTCTCTCTTTTCTTCTATGTTAGTCTGGCTGGCAGTCTATTTTGCTGATCTTTTCAAAAAACCAGCTCCTGGATTGTTGATTTTTTTTTTTTTGAAGGGTTTTTCATCTCTCTATCTCCTTCAGTTCTGCTCTCATCTTAGTTATTTCTTGTCTTCTGCTAGCTTTTGAATGTGTTTGCTCTTGCTTCTCTAGTTCTTTTAATGGTGGAGAGGATGTGAAGAAATAGGAACGCTTTTATACTGTTGGTGGGAGTGTAAATTAGTTCAACCATTGTGGAAGACAATTCCTCAAGGACCTAGAACCAGAAATACCATTTGACCCAGCAGTCCCATTACTGGGTGGTGTATACCCAAAGGATTATAAATCATTCTACTATAAAGACACATGCACATGTATGTTTATTGCAGCACTGTTCACAACAGCAAAGACTTGGAACCAACCCAAATGCCCGTCGATGATAGACTGGATAAAGAAAATGTGGCACATATACACCATGGAATACTATGCAGCCATAAAAAAGGATGAGTTCCTGTCCTTTGCAGGGACATAGATCAAGCTGGAAACCATCATTCTCAGCAAACTAACACAGGAACAGAAAACCAAACACCACATGTTCTCACTCATAAGTGGAAGTTGAACAATGAGAACCCATGGACGCAGGGAGGGGAACATAACACAGAGGGGCCTGTCGGAGGGTAGGGGGCTAGGGGAAGGATAGCATTAGGAGAAATACCTAATGTAGATGACAGGTTGATGGGTGCAGCAAACCACCGTGGCACCTGTATACCTAAGTAACAAACCTGCACTTTCTGCACAGGTATCCAAGAACTTAAATTTTAAAAAAAGAAAGAAAGAAACTGGAATCTTTCCTTTCTCTTTCAGGGAAAATGGAGACTATCGGAATATGCCAGGTTCATGTTCTTATAAGTACTGCAAAATGGCAGAACTTGATGAACTTGTACAAAGATCAGAAAGAGGCCATCATCTAGTCCTGTTAAAACTTAAACTTGGGGCCGGGTGCGGTGGCTCATGCCTGTAATCCCAGCACTTTGTGAGACTGAGGCGGGTGGATCACCTGAGGTCAGGAGTTCGAGACCAGCCTGGCCAACATGGCAAAACCCCGTCTCTACTAAAAATTCAAAAATTAACCAGGAGTGGTGGCACATGCCTGTAATCCCAGCTACTTAGGAGGCTGAGGCAGGAGAATCACTTGAACCCAGGAGGTGGAAGTGGCAGTGAGCTGAGATCACACCACTGCACTCCAGCCTGGCTGACAGAGTAAGACTCCATCTCACAAAACAAAACAAAAAACTTGAGGCCTGACATGGTGGCTCATGCCGGTAGTCCCAGTACTTTGGGAGTCCAAGGCAGGGGGTTGCTTGAGGCCAGGAGTTCTAAACCAGCGTCATGAACATAGTAAGACCCTGCTTCTACAAAAGAAAAACATATTAGCTGGGTGTGGTGGCACGTGTCTGTAGTACCAGCTACTCAGGCAGCTCAGGCTCGGGGATTTCTTGAGCCCAGGAGTTTGAGGCTACAGTGAGCTATTATCGTGTCACTGTACTGCAGCCTAGGTGGCAGAGTGAGACCTTGTCTCAGAAACCAAAACAAAACTTGGGTTAAAAAAATGTAGAGCAAGAGCTTATGTTTTTATCACCCTCCCCAGTCCCCTACTTTCCCAGCTAGCAATGAACGTCTTAATAAGACTTTAACAAGAATAGTTTTGCTCTGGGAAGTCAAATCATGAGTGTATATCATTTAAGTGCCATTACAAATATTCAGTCTCCCATTGCGAATATCTAGATTATAACAGTAATACGTGACTGAATAGATACATAACATATAGTTTATTCTAGAAAAATTGTATATAGCTCCCTCAAAGTAGATGATTGTGGTTCTTGAATGCGGGCTGAACACTTACTTGCCTGACAACCTGCAAGCCATGAAGAGATCCACATCTCCAAGGCCTAGTGGGAATGGGGAGACAGTTCATGCTGATATAGAAACTACCCTGTAGGTATCGCAGTACAGGTGAGAAACCAACATGAAGTAATAACACCTGCTATTTAAGGACACTTCAACCTATTTTACTCTTTCTCTTAGATGATTAACTCAGCAAATTAGGTTTTTCTGTACATTGCATAAAACTTTAGTTGTCTTTGGTAATCATAAGCCATATGGTTTTCTCTCTCCTCAGATACCCAGAAAGCGGTACTCTAGAAATGAATGTCAAGGATCTTAGACCACGAGCTAGAACCATTTTGAAATGGAATGAACTAAATGTTGGTGATGTGGTAATGGTTAATTATAATGTAGAAAGTCCTGGACAAAGAGGATTCTGGTTTGATGCAGAAATTACCACATTGAAGACAATCTCAAGGACCAAAAAAGAACTTCGTGTGAAAATTTTCCTGGGGTAAGATTGTCTTCACTGGTGCCATTTAATTAACTGAATTGATCAAGGAATGTATTTTTAGGTATTAAGCACGTGTACCTTAGTAAAAAAAGATGGAGTCTATAAAAGATGGAAATTTCCATACTGAAGGAGAATATTTTTATAAATTCTTAAGAATTTTTAAAAGTTAAGAATGGCTTAGATCTTCAACTTTAAGGTTGGAGATACTGTTTGGAAGAATGTTGGAAATAACTGAGTGTTTTATTACAGAAATTCTTACTTCCTCATAGGATTCTTATAGATTGAACAAAACAATATATAAAAGCATTTTAATAACTATAATTGCTATGAGGATCTGTGTTGATGTAATAGCAGTGGATGACTACTTAACCAGCTGTCTGCTGGACTTCTAAGACTAGCTGAAATTTTCCTTCATAGTGATTTTTCACCTTACAGAATTTAAACTTAATGAAGAGAATTCAGAATGCAAAATGTCACCTGAATCAAATCCTTCAGATATTTCTATCATTTCTTTCTTTTCTTTTTTTCTTTCTGTCTCTCTCCCTCCCTCCCTCTCTCTCTCCCCCCCCTCCTCCTCTCCCCCTCCTCCTTCTCTCCTCCCCCCCGCCCCTTGTTCTGTCACCCAGGCTGGAGTGCAGCGGCATGATCTTGGCTCACTGTAACCTCTGCCTCTTGGGTTCATGCAGTTCTCCTGCCTCAGCCTCCCAAGTAGCTGGGACTACAGGCGTATGACACCACGCCCACCTAACTTTTATATTTTTAGTAGAGATGGGGTTTCACCATGTTGGCCAGGCTGGTCTCGACTCCTGCCCTCAAGTGATGTACCCGCCTCTGCCTCCCAAAGTGTTGGGATTACAGGTATGAGCCACTGCGCCCAGCTTTCTATCATTAATTTTTTAAGAAATACTTTCAGATGTTTCCCAAAGTGATAAAGTACTAGGCGTTATTTGAGTTACTTTTTTACACTTTGGAAAACATTATCACTCTTTTTCTGTGTCTGCTGCTTCTGAATAATTTGCTGAATAGTCACTAATTTCCTTTTTAATAAATAAAATCTGTTAATCATTTCCAGTTCTTTATTATCAGTAATTACATAAACATCCTTGTATATGCATTTTTGTGCATTTCTTTTCTTTAGAATAAATTGTTAGATTTGTTTTATTGAGTGCCGAGGGTTTTAGAATAACCCTGACAATTTTTGTTTTTAAAAAAAAAAAAATAAGAGAAACAGCTAAACGAATATTTGTGTCAAGTTCTGATTAACTGGATTAGTGATACAAGGTGACAAATCTTGGAACAATGATTAAAAATCTAAAGCGAGGATAGGCAAGCTTATAGCCCACTAGCTGCCTATTTTTGTAAATAAAGTATCATTGGAACACAACAGTGGCCATTAATTTATGTATTATCTGTGGCTATTTTTGTGCTCCACAGTATTGTTGAATAATTGCAACTGAGACCATCTAGCCTGCAAAGCCAAAACTACTTACTTTCTGGCTCTTCGTGGGAAAAGTTTGCTGACTCCTGAGATTTAAAAAAAAAAAAAAAATGATGCGAGGTGTTGAAAACTTAACATTTTAGAGAACAGATTTCAGAACTTCTTACAAACAAAAGTGTGATTCTATTGCTAGACTAAGGGTATAGCTCAGTCACAGACTTCTAAACAACTTGAAACCCTGATATGGATGCAAATCATGAAGAAGGAGAAAGCCCCTAAATAAACTGGCTATGTTAGGAGCCTTTTAACCTACTTGAGTGTTGGAAGTAGAAAGCATGTGTACACAGTAGGATAACAGCACACATAGCATTGAGCTAAAAAAGCTTGCTATTAAAAAAAGATTTCCTGGCTGGGTGCAGTGGCTCATGCCTGTAATCCCAGCACTTTGGGAGACCAAGGTGGGCGGATCATGAGGTCAGGAGTTCGAGACCAGCCTGGCCAATATGGTGAAACCCCATCTCTACTAAAAATACAAAAATTAGCTGGGTGTAGTGGCACGTGCCTGTAGTCCCAGCTACATGGGTGGCTGAGGCAGAGGAATCACTTGAACCCACGAGGCAGAGGTTGCAGTAAGCCGAGATCATGCCATTGTACTCCAGCCTGGGCTACAGAGCGAGACTCTGTCTAAAAAAAAAGTTTTCCCAAGTGATCCTGAGGTATAGTTAAGAGTGGGAACACACTGGCTTTAGAAGTGGAACTGAGACTGAGTGGGCCAGGTGCCGTGGCTCACGCCTGTAATCCCAGCACTTTGGGAGGCCAGGGTGGGTGGATCACCTGAGGTCAGGAGATCGAGACCAGTCTGACCAACTAGTGAAACCCTGTCTCCACTAAAAAATACAAAATTAGCTGGGTGCGGTGTTGCATGCCTGTAATCCCAGCTACTCGAAAGGCTGAGGCAGGAGAATCACTTGAACCTGGGAGGCGCAGATTGCCGTGAGCTGAGGTCATGCCATTGCACTCCAGCCTGGGCAACAAGAGTGAAACTTCGTCTCAATAAAAAAAAAAAGACTTGAGTGGAAATTATGGATAGGCAAATACCGGCTTGATAAAGAGAATGGTTATGTGATAGCTATCCCAACAGTACAATAAAATGTAAAGTATTATTCTTTGTCATTAAAGTTTTTACTAGAAACGTTAGGAACACAATAGCTAAAAAGGAACCAGTGTGGCTTATGGATAGAATTTTTTTTTTTTTTTGGGAGATGGGGTCTCGCTCTGTTGCCCAGGCTGCATAGCAGTGGCACAATCCCGGCTCACTGCAACCTCCGCCTCCTGGATTCAAGCAGTTCTCCTGCCGCAGCCACCGGAGTAGCTGGAACTACAGGCGCATGCCACCATGCCCATCTCATTTTTTGTATTTTAGTAGAGACAGGGTTTCACCTTGTTGTCCAGGCTGGTTTCGAACCCCTGAGCTCAGGCTATCTGCCTGCCTCAGTCTCCCAAAGTGGTAGGATTATAGGTATGAGCCACCGTGTCTGGAGAAAAAAAATTTTTTTTTTTAATGATTAGAAATCTTTCATCCTCACTGGTAAGAATGGATAAATAACAGGTTGAAAGAACAAATGCATTCTGCTGTTGATAGGCATTTTGGGGCTGTTAGAAACAGTGCTGCCATCAGGTTCTTGTACCTATACCTGTATCCTGGCACTTGTGTGCATTAGTTTCTGTAGGATGTATCATGCCTAGGATTAAAATTACTAGGTTGTAGAACCTGTGCATCTTCAACTTGAGTAGATAGAACCAAGTGTCTGTACCAGGTTACAGTTCTGCAACAGTATGAGAGTTCCTGTTGTTAGTTTTCTCATCCATGCTTAGTTTTTTCAGACTTCAGTTTCCACTAATCAGGTGGGTATGTAATAGTATTTCATTTTGGCTTTGATTTGCAATTCTCTGACTCCTAGTGGGGTTGAGAATCTTTTCGTATTTTTATTGACAAGTTGGATATATCTTTTGTGAGGACCTGGTTCCAATTTGGTGACTTTTTTTGTTGTTAATTAAATAATGTGTCTGATTCATTTTTAGGAGTTCTAATTACGGAGACTAGACTATTTCAGTTATATGTGGCAAAAATACTTTTTCTAATTCTGTGGCTTGTCTTTTTCTCCTTACGATGTTTGAATAGTAGTTTTCTTAATTTTAATGCAGTTGAGGTTATCAAAGTTCAAGAAAGTTTTTTTTTCCTTTATGCTTGTACTTTCTATGTCTTTCTTAAAGATACTCTTGTATTACCTTCTAAAAGCTTTGTGGTTTTGCCTTTCTTTAGGTCTTTAATTGACTTGGAGTAGATTTTTGTGTACAGTGTGAGTGAGGTAAGGGTCTAATTTAACTCAATACATATGAATAAACATTTTTCCTAGCACTGTTTATTGAAAAGCCCATTTCCCTCCCATTGATCTTCAGTATCACCTCTGTCATATCAAGAATCTTATATTTGGTGAATCCTTTTGACTTCTCTATTCTGTACCATGGGTCTGTTTTTTGTGTATCTTTGTATCAGTTCCACACTTTCATAATACAACAGAGCACATGATCCTGCCTTGTTCTTCAAGTAGGTTTTATATGTTCTTAGCTCTGTGTACTTCCATTTGAATTTTGCAGTCATCTTTTCTCTTTCTGGTATATAGGAATACAAGTATCCTTTGATCTTGGACTCAGTAGCTTTACTAGATTTACTAATTTTAATTTACATGTAGATTGTTTCAAAATGTTTGGAATTATAATCATCTGTGAATTATTACATTTTTGTTTTGTCTTTTTCTTTACTTTTGATTTCTTCTTCTTGTCCTTATTCACCAGTTGGGCCCTGAATTACATTGTTGAAAATAAGTAGTGATAACAGGCATCTTTTTCCCCTGCTTTCCAAGAGAAAACATATAAAATTTCATCAATAACTACAATGTTTGATATAGGAATTTTGTAGATATGCTCTCCTAGATTTGGTTTGACAGTGTTTTGTGTAGGATTTTTACATTTGTATTAATGCGTGAAATTTACATGTTAATTTTCCTATCTCAGTGTCCTTCACGGATTTATGCTAGTTTCACAAAATAATTTGGAATCTTCTTTTTCTTTCTTACGGTAGAGTTTTGTGTCCTTGTCTTGAATGTTTGGTAGAACTTCTCAATAAAGTCATCTGGGGCTGAGTTTTCTTTGTGGGAAAGTTCTTTTATGGTCAGTTCGGTTTCTGTAATGATCAGAGGACTATTCATGTTTTCTATTTCTTGAACTAAAATTTAATTTTCTAGGAATTTATCTATTGCATCTAAATTTTAAAATCTGTTGTCATAAATTTTTTTGGTACCTACATCTTTTTAATGTGTTAATCTGTTACGATGTTTTTTATTTCTGAATTTAGTTTGTGACTTTTTGACCATTCTCATCAGAGGTTTATCGGTTTTATTAGACTTTTACAAAGAACTAACCTTCAGCTTTGATCCTCTCTATTGTATTGAAGGTGCAAAGGAAGAAGCAAATAGAGGACATGATTTTTAATCTGCCTTGGAGATTTGATAAGGGAACTTGGAGTTAAAGTTCATGCTTGTTTCTGTTTTTAATTTGTGAGTACCAAAAAGTACATATGCTTGAACTGTCTAATTCTAGTTATCAAATTCTATTTTCATGTTGTCATTTTCTATTTATTTTAGCTTTGAAAAAAATTGAAAACAAGTTTGGGATTCAAAAACATTTTTTAAAATAATTTGTTCACTTACTACTGTAATATAATATTTACTACCATGTGAAGTTATGCTGATTTAGATATTTGTAAGTAAAGTAGTATTTGAATCCTATAGGAAGAAAATTAATTTACCTTATTAAAACTACAGATAAAGGCCGAGCATGGTGGCTTGTGCCTGTAATCCTAGCACTTTGGGAGGCCAAGGTGGGCGGATCAGTTGAGGTCAGGAGTTCGAGACCAGCCTGGCCAGCAGGGTGAAACCTCATCTCTACTAAAAATATAAAAATTATGGCCAGGTGTGGTGGCTCACGCCTGTAATCCCAGCACTTTGGGAGGCTGAGGCGGACGGATCACCTGAAGTCAGGAGTTCTAGACCAACCTGGGCAACGTGGTGAAACGCCATCTCTACTAAAAATATAAAAATGTTAGCTGGGCATGCTGGTGCACGCCTGTAATTCCAAGTCCTTGGGAGGCTGAGGCAGGAGAATCACTTTAACTCAGGAGGCTGAGGTTGTAGTGAGCAGAGATCACGCCACTGTACTCCAGCCTGGGTGACAGAGTGAGACTCTATCTCAAAAAAAAAAGGAAAAAAAAAAAAAAAAAAAAAGCTACAGATGCATTTTAGGTTCAGTGTCATTTTTACAGAGTTTTATGTATTTACTAAATTTTTTTCATACTTAAGAAATTTCTATAGTGATATACTTCTTATTGAACATGGCTTCTTACAGAATATATACTTAATATGCATATCAAGTTGTAAGTCACTGGTCACTGTGCTTCGGCCATGCTGGCCTCCTTGTGTTGCTTGATCACGCAAACATGCTCCTGCCTTGGGGCCTTTGTACTTGATGTTCCCTCCTACACAGATACTCATTTGACTTACTCTGTCTCTTATTTCAGTTCTCTGCTCAAAAGTATCTTCAGAGTTACCTTTCTTAATCACCCTTTTTAAAATCACATACATACCAGACATAAGCTACTTAAATTCTCCCTTACTCTGACTTTTTCTGAATTCTTTATTTTATTTATTATCACCCCATTTGTATTTAGTTTCCTATTGCTGCTACAACAAATTACCACAAACATAGTAGCTTAAACAATAAAGCATAGTACAGTTTGGAGGTTAGAAATCTTAAATGGATTTGAATTTCACTAGGCAAAAATCATTGTTAGCAGGGATATGATTCAGTTTTGTAGACTCTAAGGGAGAACCCATTTTCTTGCCTTTACCATGTTTCAGACGCCTCCCACATGCCTTAGCTTGTTACCTGCTTTCTCCACCTTCAAAGCCAACGATGTTGCTTCTCTTTGACAGTTCTTTTTGTGGCTACATCCCCTTCATATTCTCTCCTCTGCCTCCCCTTCCCCTGTGATTATATTGGATCTGCGTGGATAATCTTCCCATTTCAAGGTTTTTTATATGCAAAGTCTTTTTTGCCATATGAGGTAACGTATTTATAGGTTCCTGGAATTAGGACATGAACCTCTTTGGGGCCCATTGTTCTGCCTGTCATACCACTGGAATGTTAATGTTTTGTTTGTTTTGTTTGCTGTTGTGTGCCAGGCCTTGTTCTAGGCACTAGTTACAATAGATTTTCAGTACGGTATTTCATAGATTCCGAGAGAATAGTTTTTTTTTTTTTTTTTTTTTTGGTATTTTAACATCTCTGAAATAAAAATGTATCTTAAATTTGCTGTTGGGCTGACAGAAGTTGAATTCTTTCAAAGATTTGAATTTGCTTGTTTACTAGTCACTTGGGAGTGCCATTTAACTTTAACTTAAATACTCTGCTTGAGCCTTTTTAGACCACATAGGTAGCATGAATTCAGGCCTCTGAACCGGACTGAATCCTAGCTTATCATTTAATTCTTGGAGGATGCTTTTTTTTCCTTATACCCAGTGGCAGTATTGAAACAAGAATTTTTTCTATCTGCAAGGTGTGGTTTATTTCTCATTTTAACTGTGAGAATGGGTTGGTGTCTAAGCTTTATTTGAAGGTGTTCCTTAGACACCTCATCACAGTCTTTTTTTCTTACTTGAAATTACATAATGTGTCTTATAGTTGCTGATTACCATTTAGTGTCCCAGCTTTATTTGGGAATTCTTAGACTGCCTGATTTCAGTCTAGTTTCTTTTTTATTAGTACATAAATTGTTTTTACAAGTATCGGCCTATTAGATTCAGTGAAATAGGATATTTCTTGGGGAATGAATTGATTATATGCATGTTTTTATTATGATCAATGGCATTTAGTTTTGTGCATAAAGAGTGTCTTGATAAGCCTTTAACAAAAATGGTACATAAGTGAAAAAGTGGCTTTGGCCTTGAATTTGTGACATTTATTGAATCACTTAAAGTAGTACATGGAAAGCACCTGTTTGCAGGTAGGGTGGGACAGCTGGCAGTAGATTAGTGCTTTTAGCTAAAACAACTAAATAGCCCGATCAAATAGTCATCTCTTTGAATGCACCAGAGAATCAAAGAGAACCAACTGCGGGTATGTCTCTGGAGAGGTAAGAATCTCATAAGGCAGGTAGCTTTGTAGTTGTGTTTTGCCCCTAGGGAATCTGCTAATTCTGGATGCAGTGTAAAATCTAGTTCAGAGCAGCTAGGAGTAGGATGGAAAAAGTCAGCAGAGTTTTTGGCAGATATTTGGGATGCCTCAAGCATATGGCCTGCTTTCACCTTTGGGCTTTGGTTGAATACTGGACTTCTGCTGGACAAGAGGCTGGAAATGTAGTAAAAAGTGGCATTTTCAGCAGTCTTAGAAGGCATACACTGGATTTTAGGGTAACTGGTGTAATGGCTCCACAGAATATGTAGGTCTTTTAGTTTGAAAAGTGGATGGCTAAGGCATACAGGTAGACTAAATCTTACTTAAAGACTGTAAACCAGCCTTGACTCAGCATAGATGCTGATTAAATGTTAAACCACCACATTATCTCTCCAGCAGTAGGAAGGTTGAACTTTCCTTTATATAAGATAATATCTGAAGCTTTTGGCTCCATGACGGAGGCAAAAATGCCATTCTGCCAAAAGACGGTGCCACATAATCAGAAAACAGAAGGAATACCAATTATGGGAATAGACCCATAGGTGATCTTGATAATTCAAGTTATCAGAGAAACTTTCAAGTAACTGTGATTAATATGCTGAAAACATGGTGAATTTCAGCTGAGAATTGGAATTCACAAAATAATTATATGGAGATTCTAGAACTGAGAATTATAGTTTCCTAAGACCTTGTTAAATTGATTTAATAACAAATAAGGGCCAGGCACCATGGCACACGCCTATAATCCCAGCACTTTGGGAGGCCGAGGCAGGTGGATCATGAGGTCAGGAGATCAAGACTATCCTGGCCAACATAGTGAAACCCCGTCTCTACTGAAAATACAAAAATTAGCTGGGCGTGGTGGCAGGTGCCTGTAGTCCCAGCTACTCGGGAGGCTGAGGCAGGAGAATCACCTGAACCTGGGAGACAGAGGTTGCAGTGAGCCAAGATTGCGCCACTGCACTTCAGCCTGGCGACAGAGCGAGACTCTGTCTCAAAAAAAAAATTAAAAAACATAAAAAAATAACAAATAAGACACAGCAGAAGATAGGATTAGGAAACCAGAAGATAAGTCAATAAAAACTACCCATACTGAAACATGTACAAGAGTGTTAGACACATAGGACTTGATGAAAGGTGTGTGTGTGTGTGTGTGTATGTATATATATACACGTATATACATACATATACACACATATATGTGCATATATACGTGTATATATATACACGTATATATACACACGTATATATGTGTGTATATATATGTATATATGTGTATATATATATTTATATTTGGAATTCCTAAAGAAGAGAGTAGAGTGAAAACAGTATTTGAAAATATAGTAGCCCAAAATTTCCAAAACTGATTAAAGATACAAGTTCAGGTCAAAGAAGTTCTGTAAATTCTAAGCAGGATAAATATAAAGAAAATGCACAGTGGTATATCACAAACAAGAATGCTAAAAACTAAAGATAACACAGTGAAGATGACCAAGTTTTCATTAGAAGCAATTTAAGCTAGGAGACAGTGGAATGGCATGTGAAAATACTAATTTAAAAACATTCCCAGCTGGGCGTGGTGGCTCACGCCTATATAATCGCAGCATTTTGGAAGGCCAAGGCGGGCAGATCACTTGAGGTCAGGAATTCAAGACCAGCCTGGCCAACATGGCAAAACCATGTCTCTACTAAAAGGAAAAAATTTAGCCATACGTGGTAGTGCACACCTGTAACCCCAGCTATTTGTGAGACTGAAGCAGGAGAACTGCTTGATCCTGGGAGGTGGAGGTTGCAGTGAGCTGAGATCGTGCCTAGGTGACAGAGCAAGACTCCATCTCAAAAAAAAAAAAAAAAATTTCCCAACTTAAAATATCTTTTTCATGAAGATACCTGTCAAAAATAAAGCCAAAATAAAAATATTATCAAATAAAACCTGAAAGAATTCACCATCAACAGACAGGCACTAAGAGAAATAATAAAGGGAGTTATTTAAGTGGGAGGAATGAGATTCCCGATGGAACATCGAAATATGGGACAGAATTAAGAGCAGGGAAAGGGTAAATGTATGAGTAAGTATAAATAATTTTTTTTAAATAGTGAACTTTAAAATATACATAGAAAAAAAATGCGTGACAACAATAATGCAGAAGATGGGGTTGGTAAATGAAGTCGTGAGATTCTGGCATCATTGGGGAAGTAGTGAAAGTAAAATTTAAAGTAGATTATATCAGGTTTGCACAGTCCAATCTCTAATGCAACTACTAAAAATAAAGGATTTTTAACAAATTAACACACTGAAAGTGAAAAAATAAATATTAGTCTAATCCAAAATAAGGCAATTGTGACTAAAAGAAGCAGATAAAGTAGAAAACATACAGTAAAATGGCAGAAACAAACACAACTGTATCAGCCTTTATATTAACTGTGAGTCAAGCATTTCAAGACAATGATCAACAAACTAGATTAAAATAAAAAAATCCACATGCTACTCTTAAGAAAGACTCCTTAAATATAAAATCACAGAAGTTGAAAAGAGGTGGATGGTTGGGATTGTAAGAAGATGACAACAGCAAAGACTTTTCAAATCCCCTTAAATGTCCTGGTAATATAGAGCAAAATATTACTAAATTATCTAATTCACAAACTCATGGACAGCATCTACAATGAAACAGGGTGGTATGGTATCATAACCCCCAAATAGCTGGTGGGATAAACAGTGGAAAGCTTCAAGACCTGTGTAGTATCAGTGGCTGTGCAGGAGAAATATGTGTTGGGCCCAAGAATTCCAAATAATGAATTAGCTCAGCAAACTAATTTGAAAATAGCAGCTATGGTAGCCATCTTTTAAGGTAACCCCCAGTGATTCCTGCTTACTAATACTCACCCTCATGTGGTTTTCAGCCATACTTCACTAGGGTGGCTCTTTGTGACCAATAGAATATGGTGTAAGTGATGCTGTACCACTTCAAGATGAGGTTTTAAAAAGATACCAGCTTCCATTTTGGGTGCGCCCTCTTGGATCACTCCCTCTGAGGGAAGCCAGTTGCATGTGATGAGGCTATCCAGGCAGCTTTTTTATTTTCCCTGAGTAGAGCCTTTAAATGAGACTGCACCCCTGACCAATGGCTTAACTGCAATCTCATGAAAGATCTTAAGCCAGAACTACCCAGCTAAGCTACTCCCAGATTCCTGACCCACCCCCATATGAGTAAGTACAAGCAGTTTGCAGTAAGATCTGAAGGGGCTAGAGTACTCTTTAAACTCTTTAAATTGGTCGGTTAAAGCTCCATTCCAGGACTAAAGCTCTATATTGAGAAGAAACTGGTGGGAATAGGTTCCAAACTAAGTAGGACCAGGAGAATAGAGACAAAGGAAAAAGGAGTCCGGTTAGAAATAGGGGAGGAGAATATAGCCAAAAGATTTCAGTAAGTAAGCTTCCATGCTGTCTTTTTAAAATTGTTTTTGAGGTATAACTTACATACAGTAATATGTACTTACCCTTAAGTGTATCTTAAATACAGTGAACATTGACAAATGGATATACGCATGTCACCACTAATCAAAACACAATGTTTTCATCACTCCCAAAAGTTCCCTTGGGTCCCATTACAGTTACCGCTACCATCTGTAGCATTGGTCCCAGACCACCACTGATTGGCCTTCTATCAGATTAGATTTTAGTCTCCAGAATTTTGACTCTTTCTCCAAGAAATGTGTACTCTAGCTGCTAGCAAAAAGTGAAGTTAGACCCTTTAAAGGGTTTAGGAAATTTATCTTATGAAAATAAGCGAAAGGATCGATGTTAAATTCTGTATGAAGTTAGAAGAGAGTGAGAAAATAAGGAACAGTATAACATGCTTACAAGGAAAACATTCCAGAAAAGCATTAGTCAAGTAAAGGAGAGCCAAGGATTTTAAGTCAAGCCAAACTAGCCTTTAGTATAACAGCTATAGACAAATTGTCATTAACTTCCAAAACTGGGGGAATATTGTTCTCATGAACCCTTCCTAAGGAATCTTCAGGAGAACTAGGTTCAGACAATCAAGATGACTGAAGATAATTTGAAATAAAGAGTTGCGCTAAACATTTAAAATATTTTTACATTTAGAAACAGAACTAACTGAACATAAAGGAGAAAGTATAGTATGTACTGGCTCTATGACCTGACACAGTTAGCTATATTATAACTAAAACGTAGAAGGGAAATATGCAAAAAATTTAAAGTGTTTTCAGTAATTGACAGCTGGCAACAATGTCTTGCGTGTAATGTGGGATAAAGCAAAGGAGTATTTGTAATATTCTAATTTTGGTGTCCTTAAGAACTGGGATTTTTCTGGTTGGGGGAAAAAGGAAAAAAGACACATAATTTTTTTAAAAAGTAAATATCCTTTAGCCCTGAATTTGAATATAAAATACTAGCATGAACTCATGAGATGTTTTGTGTTTGAGTGTGTATATTAATGTGTATGTTTAAAATGTATAGGGTACAAACAGTAATCAACCTAGTTGCAGTAAGCTTTCCTAGTACCTAACTATGGTCTCGAAATACCTTTCCCACTGAAAGAAACTCCTGGCTGGGGGCAGAAAATGGGCAAGATGAACCTGGAATATCTTGTCATGCAAATAAGGAGTCCCACAAAGTCTGCTAAGTTCTCGTCAGAAGGATTTGGGAGTCAACTGGAAGCTCCCACTGGTCAAAGATGAGACAATTTGAACATTGATAAGAAAAATAAAGTGGGTTGAGACATACCAAATATATTTAAATCCATGAGTCCATAGTAACACAGTCAGTATGGAAGTTGTTAGAGAATGATTTATTTTTAAAACTGCTAAGTCAGCATTTTATCTTTGTTATATGAGCTATACTACTGGGTCACCAACTAGTTTAGTGAGGTCATTTCTCTGTAAAATTGTGCCAAGTAAATGAGATGAGAAAGGAATGATAGAATGGGAATATCAACATTTTCTAATCCCCAAAGAATTAATGTAGGCATTGAGCATTAGTAGCTGCCGTCAGGAGAGGAAAAGAGATAAATAAATAGGTACTTCCTGATGGAAATAGACCTATGAAATTATCTTACCAAGAAAATGAACCTAAATCTGATTGAGACTGAGTCTTTAGCCCAGGAGTTGGCAATATTTTTCTTCTGTAAAGAGCCGGATAGTAAATAGTTTAACATGGGGGCCAGATGGTCTGTCACAACTACTTAACTCCCCTGTTAACAGCATGAAACCAGCCATAGATAATACAAAAATCAGATGGCATAACTAAGTTCTAATAAAACTTTATTTTTAAAGTTTTTTGACCTACGCTCCAGATCAGCTACCAATGTACAAGAAATGCGAATGACAGAAAAAACTGTTTAACCCATACTTTGGGAATGCAAATATCAAAAATCAACACTGTGAGAAACACTATAGGACAAATGGTTGGACTTGTTAACAGATTTCAAGGAGGAAAGAGATGGCATGTGAATTTATAGATTAGAGACTTTTCAAACACAGGCAAAACTGTTTTAGGGAGGTAGACAAGTGACATGAAAAAAATTAAGGTAAATATAACTTCGGAGGACATGAAGTTGTCATTGTGAGGGGACAAGGTGAGGGTTTCTGAGGTAGTTGATATTCCTATGTCTTCTGTCATTGGTGGTCACAACGGATGTGCATGTTGATAATTGGTTAAGCTATGCATTTATGCAGTTTTTTGCATTTGTGTATATTTGACATTGAAAGTTTTTAAAGAAAAGGTGGAAGGATGGAAAAAGTCTTCAAGCAAGTGCTAACCAAAAGAAAGTAAACTTTTGATTCAGAATGCATTACTAGAGATAAGATATTCAGTAAGATTTAGGCTTCTTAAATCTGTAGCTAATAAAGCAAAAGCCAACAGATTAAAAGGAGAAATGGGCTGGGTGTGGTAACTCATGCCTGTAATCCTAGCACTTTGGGAGGCCGAGGCGGGCAGGTCACCTGAGGTCAGGAGTTCGAGACGAGCCCAGCCAACATGGTGAAACCCTGTCTCTACTAAAAATACAAAAATTAGCCGGGTATGGTGGCGCAGGCCTGTAATCCCAGCTACTTGGAAGGCTGAGGCAGGAGAATTGCCTGAATACAGGAGGTGGAGACTACAGTGAGCCAAGATTGCACCACTGCACTCCAGCCTGGTGACAGAGCGAGACTCCATCTCAATAAATAATACAAACAAACAAATAAATAAATGGAGAAATGTACAAATCCACACCCGTAGTAGGAAACTTTGAAGAAGTATATACAAACAAATATGAATTGAGTCTGACAAGTATGGTGTAGTATTTGAAAGACTTTATGAAAAGGGCATCTTATTTTTGCCTAGAAATTATATTTATTGGAAATTTATTTTTTGTAGATTTTTTAAATAAATTGTTACAGAATTATCCCATATAATTACATTTTCACAAAAGTATATAAAAATATATTGCTTACATAAAAGAAATGTTAAAATTCTACCAAAGGACAAAACAAACAGAAAACATACCTTATTTCTTGATAGAAAGGTTTAATATTGCACAGATTTAACAGGAAGTTATTTAAATCTTTCATTTTAATTGACAGAGTGCCATTTTATCTAGTCTTTAAATTTACAAGTTAGCTACTTCTTACCAGATTATCTAATGAAGTCTGTATTTTTTTTCTCATATTACACTATGAATGTTAACTAATCACTATGGACTTTTCCTACTATTGAAAACAATAGTTCAGAATGATTGGAATAGCTCTAATCTCAATTTATAAATAGACAGATTTCAGTGAGATTCCAAACTGGCTTTTAATTATTATTTGTATATACCTTAGATTTTGCTGGCAGAAGTTAACCTTTCTTCCTTTTTTAAACAGGGGTTCTGAAGGAACATTAAATGACTGCAAGATAATATCTGTAGATGAAATCTTCAAGATTGAGAGACCTGGAGCCCATCCCCTTTCATTTGCAGATGGAAAGTTTTTAAGTATGGATTTTTGTTTTTGGTCTTAGACTACATGTGTTGTACATGATTGAACTTTATTTTTACTGGTCAGTGAATAACTTGGAAGGAAGTATAAAACTGTAGACCATACAAATTTATTTTCAAGACAACAGTTTTGATCTAAGATTCATTTTGTTTTAATGAATTTTTCCTAAATGATTAAGTGTTATTTTTGAAGAAATATATTATCTTGGTATTTTATTGCTATTATTTTATTTTAAAAATATTTATGGATATATAATAGTTGTAGATATTTAAGGAGTATATGTGATATTTTGATACAGGCATACAGTGTGTAAATGATCAAATCTGGGAAACTGGGATATTCATCACCTCAAACATTCTATCATTTTTTGTGTGTGTTGGGAACATTCTAAATCTATTCTTTTAGCGATTTTGAAACATACAGTAAATGTTAACTGTAGTCCCCCATCGTGCTTCTGAATACTAGATTTTATTCCTTCTGTCTAACTGTATCTTTGCACCCTATAGCCAACCCTTCTTTATCCCCTGTCCCACTTCCCTTCCCAGACTCTGATAACCATCATCATTCTATTCTCCACCTGCACAAGATCAATTTTTTTTGGCTCCCACATATGGAAGAGAACATGTCACATTTGTCCTTCTGTACTTGGCTTCTTTCACTTAACATAATGTTCTCCAGTTTCATCCATGTTGTAAATGAAAGGATTCTATTATTTTTTATGGCAGAATAATATTTTATTGTATATGTATATACCATATTGTCTTTTTATCTGTTGATGCGTTTCTTGCTGTTTCTTCTGTTATAGATTCTGTCCAAAGAAAAAGCCTGTTTCTGTAATTTTGTTAGCCACCCAAGTTTAGTTTTTAATAATGAGATTTATTTTTACACGAGTAAAGCCTTAGAATTATAGTGCTGATTGAGCCTTGAATTTCTGGGAGGTAATAAATGAGGCTTATATAAACATTTGAAGGTTAGAATGCAGCTGTACCTCTTCATTTAACGGATTTTTCTTACTTGATATCAAATATTTGGTAACAGAGACAGGATTAGATTCTAGGTCTTTTAATTCATGATGGGGCTTTTTTTGTTTGTTTTTTGTTTTTTGTTTTGAGACAGTTTTGCTCTTGTTGCCCAGGCTGGAGTGCAGTGGCGCAATCTCGGCTCACTGCAACCTCTGCCTCCCGGGTTCAGGTGATTCTCCTGCCTTAGCCTCTCGAGTAGCTTGGATTACAGGCACCCACCACCATGCCTGGCTAACTTTTGTATTTTTAGCAGGGACGGGGTTTCACTGTGTTGGCCAGGTTGGTCTCGAACTCCTGAGCTCGTGATCCGCCCAACCCAGCCTCCTAAAGTGCTGGTATTACAGGCATGAGCCACCACGCCCGGCCTCAGGCATTTATTCTTAAAACCTCACACTTGATTATTCTTTTTGGTTCCTTTCTTTTCATTAGAAAAGCTGTATGCTGGCTGGGTGACAGCAGTTTGGGAGGCCAAGGTTGGTGAATCACCTGAGGGGTCAGGAGTTTGAGACCAGTCTGGCCAACCTGGTGAAACCCTGTCTCTACTAAAAATACAAAAATTAGCTGGGTGTGGTGGCAGGCGCCTGTAATCCCAGCTATTCCGGAGGCTGAGGCAGGAGAATTACTTGAACCCAGGAGGCAGGGGCTGCAGTGAGCTAAGATTGGCACCATTGCACTCCAGCCTGGGTGACAGAGTGAGACTCCATCTCAAAAAAAAAGACTGGGTGTGGTGGCTCACATCTGTAATCCCAGCACTTTGGGAGGTTGAGGCGGGCAGATCACCTGAGGTTGGAAGTTTGAGACCAGCCTGACCAACATGGAGAAACCCCATCTCTACTAAAAAATAAAAAAATTAGCCAGGCGTGGTGGCACATGCCTGTAATCCCAGCTACTCGAGAAGCTGAGGCGGGAGAATCGCTTGAACCCGGGAGGCAGAGGCTGCAGTGAGCCAAGATCACGCCATTGCACTCCAGCCTGGGTAACAAGAGCAAAACTCCATTTCAAAAAAAATGCTGTTTCCATGGGCTTTTCTTTATGAGATTCATAGATATAAAAAATGTTTTAAGACTAGACTTGCTATAATTTTGTTCTTAATAGGGCGAAATGACCCTGAATGTGACCTGTGTGGTGGAGACCCAGAAAAGAAATGTCATTCTTGCTCCTGTCGTGTATGTGGTGGGAAACATGAACCCAACATGCAGCTTCTGTGTGATGAATGTAATGTGGCTTATCATATTTACTGTCTGAATCCACCTTTGGATAAAGTCCCAGAAGAGGAATACTGGTATGATTATCAGGTTTTTGTTGTTGTTGTTCTTGCTGTGTAAACATGAAATATGTATTTGAACCACCAAAAGTAGATTTCTAAAGATACATAATATAAAAGTGCTTAAAATGTTATGGCCAGTGGTTACTTAGCATTCATAGCTCTATTCAATTACTGTAACAACCTCTGAACCATCTCTTGCTCCATTTTTTAATCCCTTCCGTTTCTTCTCTGATAATAGACTCTGTGTTCATTCAAAAATGCAAATCTGATCATGTTGCTTTGTTGCTTCAGATGGTTTATGTTGCCTTACAGGAGGACCCTGTGTGATATTTAGTTGCTTCTCCAGCAGTATCTCTTACCACTTTCCTCTTTCATTTCCCCAAATACTCTACACTGTAGCCAGATTAAATATCTTTCAACTCCTTAAGTAAGCCATGTTCTTTTTCAGGTTGTCACACTTGACATATTTTTATCCTGGAAACATTACCCTCTTTGGTTAACTTCAAGACGATACTAATCCTTCAGCTTTTCAGTTAAATGTGGCTTCCTCTGGTAATCCTTTATGGATGGTCCTCTACCCCTAACCATGTTAGATATCCTTGTTATGTTCTATAATAGTACTTAATATTTACTAAACACTAACAAAGTGGTTTATATGGATTACTGTATTTAATCCTGTGACGTTGATACATTGAAGAAGGCTCCAATTATACTTGCCAAAATCTATTTTTCTCCTATGGCGTGGTGATAACTACAAAAAGAAGTTATTAGAAAAGAGACTGGGAAAAATGTTTCCAAAGTTGAACCTTTTAATACCATGTTAAGGAGGTTTTTTCTTTTTAAACTATGTGCCATATTGCTACTGGTGAGCGTTTTTAAGTAAGACGGACGACTGAGTCAGAAATAACTGATGTCACAAGTGGGTAATTGGTATCTGTGAAAAATAGATTGTTCCTTTGATCTCTCCCTAACCTGTTGGGAAGGCAATTGCTGTATTATGACAGGCTGTAGAGGTGAGAGAAAGGGGGAAAGGATATATCTTCTTCCTTTTACCTCCTACTACTACCTCATATGATCACACTCTGAATTTTACCATCGCTAATAACTATTTCCTCTGACGTCTCATATTTTCCTTCTTTCTTGTTCAATGGATGACATATTCCTGCTTCTCTAAAATACGCTCTTTCACCTGCTCTCACAGTTCCATAGTCTTTCCAGAAACTTCACTTCTTCAGTTAATTCCTCTCCCACGTTGCCATTACTAGATCATTCTCATTAGCATTCTAGAATCTCTTGAATTTTCAAAATACACACAAACCTTCCTTGATCCCATTTCTCCCACTGGCTGCCTACCCCGTTCTCTGCTTCTTTCATGCAAAGATTCTCAAGAGCTATCTCTACTAATTGTTTCCATTTCCTCTCCTATTCATACTTCAGCACTCCAGTCTAGCTTTCCTTCCACTGTATCTGCTTATGTCAGGTTCACAGACACTTTTTATGTCTAAACCTAAGGGTCAGTTCTCATTCCTTACTCAACTGCTTAGCTGGTTACTCTGTTTTATAGATTTGAGATCAGGTAATCCCGATTTTCTACCTACTTCACTGGCCTTTCCTTCTTAGTCTCTTGTTGGGTTCCCGTCACCTACCAGATTTCAGAGCACCCCATCCACTCCCACCCCCAACCCTGCCAAAGCACCATCCACTTCTTTTCTATGCTAGGGAACTATGCTTGTTCCCTAGATGATCTCGTCCAATTATGAGATGTTAAATACCAAGCTAATAGTTCTGAATTTATGTCTTCATATCTAATTTCCCCTGGGCTTTATATTCCTGTATGCAGTTGGTTAGTTGACTGGGACCACAAAATTAGTCCAGATGGAGTTCTTGATTTCCACAAACTCCCTAAAATCCTGCTCCTCCCCCAGTCTTCATTAAATAGTACTAATCATTTTATCTACTTGTTCATGCCAAAAAGCTAAACTTCATCCCAATTCTTCTTTTGTTCTTTCACATACTCTACCTCAATAGATTTTGACAGTTCTTAATATTTCTCCATTCTCACCTCCCAGCCCAAACTACCATCTCTTCCTTGAACTTCTGTAACGGATGTCTAACTAGACTCTTTGCTTCCATGTACTATCCGTTCTCCCATAGCAGCAGAATGAGCTTAAAAAGGCCTGAATTAGATCATTCATCTGTTTGAAACCCTCTGATGTCTTCCTATTTCACTTAGAATAAAAAAAATCTAAGCCCTTACCATTTATGACCTGGTCCATATCTACTCTCTAACTTCGGTTGCTTATCACTAACCTGTTTACTTACTAACCTTGGTCTCTACCCACCTTTGTCTTCCTCAAAGCATACCATTTCTTTTTATGCCTCAGGACCTTTGCACTTAACTGTTTCTTTGCCAGGAATGCTTTTCTTAGGTTATCTACTGTAAGAAGCATACCACTTCTAGTCACTCTTGTCACATATAACCCTGATGTATTTCCACTTAACACTTTCTGAAATTCTTTCCGTATATGTTCTGGCTTTCCTTCACTACTATGTACAAACATTTTTATCACAAACATTTATCCCCAGCACGAAAATAGTGCCTTGCACATAGGAGGTTCTGAACAAACCTGTTGAAGGAGTGAATCAATCCCAGAGATGACTTTAGGATGGTATAATTAGAAGAGTGTTTTGTATTACTCTGGAATATATCTCTACATTCGTATCAAGGTCTTTCGCTTCACCTGAAACTCCTTAACCTTAAATCTTTTCTGCTTCTCCAAATCATGTTGTCTGGATATTTAACCTGTGCACTAATTTTCTCATCAGAGAGATAATACTTGCTTTAAATCACAGAATCTTTAATACAGTTAGTTATAAAGATGAGCCCATCAGATAAAATACAGCTTTTCTTTAGGACAGTTTATTTTTGGAAGCCTTCCTGATTTCCCAACTAGAAAGGACTTTACTTCATAGTATTTAGTGCCTTCTCAAACATAATTTGCTCAAGATCAGGGACTGAATTATTTAAATTTTTCTCTCCTATAGTGCTCAACAAAGTATCTCATAATTGGATTGACTTGTGGGCATAGTCTTCTTTGCTCTAAAAGCTACGTAGAATAGATAATTGTGAAATAGAAAGTATGGGCAAAGAAATTTAAGATTAATTGGGCAGTAGCCATTAGATCTTTGTTAGAGTATTCCCAGAGTTTCCTTTGCTTGGTGACATAAGAATAGCCTCCTCTCATTCTGTAGACGTATACCTTGCTTTTTAGAAAAGATTCAAGGCAGTTTACGAAATACAAGTTACAGTAGGGTAATCAATTACAAATAGGCTAAAGGACAAACAAGCATAAGCAATTAAAATGAAGCTAGCGATAAGGTTAATATAAACAAACATCCTTGAAGTCCTGTATACTTGTTATATAAACTACCATTTTTCTCTGGGAATTCTAATAACCAATTTAGATGGGGAGTTGTATCTGTTACACAGTTGAATGTTCTAGGAAGATCTAGCTACTTTTGTTTTAATGACAGGAACTTCAAATTTCTATTCTCAGGGTTAGTGATAAGTTTAGAGTTCATGGTATCATTTTGAATCTCATAGCTTTGAGTTTTGAACTGAATTTGAGGATTTATAAGTTATCTAAAGGAATGACAAGGATATTTTTAAAGCCAGCCTAACCATGTAAATATTTTGAAAAGTTTAGTATTTTAATGCCAGTTAAAGCTCTGTAATGTATACCAAATAATACATCTTAAAACTTGCTCTTACCTAGGAAGGCTAATATTCTGTTACTAGCTTTAATATGGTATTGTGAAAATGCCTTCGTTCTTTTTTTTCTTTTAAAGGTATTGTCCTTCTTGTAAAACTGATTCCAGTGAAGTTGTAAAGGCTGGTGAAAGACTCAAGATGAGTAAAAAGAAAGCAAAGATGCCGTCAGCTAGTACTGAAAGCCGAAGAGACTGGGGCAGGGTAAAGAAGAAATTCCCCTTTTCTTCCTAATAGCAAGTTATAATATATAATGTTTTAATACCAATAGTAGTAATGGTATAAAAGATTAAACAGTATCATTATTTGTTAATATCAATGGTACTTAAATTACATAAACAGTTGGGTTCCTAGTCACATCTCAGAATTAAGGGCTTTCATTAAAATTTAACATAACTGATTTCTCAACGTTTGTTTTGCGTCTTGTAGGGAATGGCTTGTGTTGGTCGTACGAGAGAATGTACTATTGTCCCTTCTAATCATTATGGACCCATTCCTGGTATTCCTGTTGGATCAACTTGGAGATTTAGAGTTCAGGTATGTTTTAACTTGGGCTTAGTTGAAAGGGGAGAATTGGCTATCAGATTATAGCAATGTTAATGTCTGTTGATTGTAAGTGAACCTAACACATGACATTCACTTGTTAGAATGAAATATATTTTTTAGGATGGGTGTACTCTTCCTGGAGGTTAACAAAGGAACATACATCACAGAATTGGGCATTAGCTATGCATTTTCATCACTTTGTTTTTACTGTTCTGTTATAGTTGTGGTAGTAACCATTATTGTTAAGCTTTCTAAACAGCCTTTCCTGCCAAAAATTTAGCATTTGAAATATTAAACTTGAATCATGTGGCAAATTCTCATTGAATGTCGTGGAACTCTAAGCTTGTTTCAGGTGTTGTTTTTGGGATTTATCCTCCTGAACAAATGCTAAGACATTGGGCAGAGGAAGTGCCAGCTAATCCAAGAATAAAATAATTTCCCATTTCCAATTACAGACACCCAGGATTCTGAATATTAAATAAGAGGGGCCTTTTTTTTTTTTTTTTGAGATGGAGTCTTGCTCTGTTGCCTAGGCTGGAGTGCAGTGGTGCGATCTCAGCTCACTGCAAGCTCTGCCTCGTGGGTTCACGCCATTCTCCTGCCTCAGCCTCCAAAGTAGCTGGGACTACAGGCGCCTGCCACCACGCCTGGCTAATTTCTTGTATTTGTAGTAGAGACGAGGTTTCACCGTGTTAGCCAGGATGGTCTCGATCTCCTAACCTCGTGATCCACCTGCCTTGGCCTCCCATTACAGGCATGAGCCACTGCGCCCGGCCTGGCTTTAATTTTTATATTGAATGGCCCTGGTACTTAGACCTTTAATACAATATAACATTTAGATAACATACACTTATCCCTTGGTATCTGTCGGGGATTGGTTCCAAGATCCCCTATAGACACCAAAGTCTGTGGATGCTCAAATTGCACACAAGCTCAGGCTGGTGTGGTGGCTCACACCTGTAATCTCAGCACTTTGGAAGGCCGCAGCAGCCAGATCGCTTGAGGCCAGGAATTCAAAACCAGCCTCGCCAACATGGTGAGACCCATCTCTACTAAAAATACAAAAATCAGACAGGTGTGGTGGCAAGCGCCTATAATACCAGCTACTCAGGAGGCTGAGGCAGGGGAATTGCTTGAACCCAGGAGGCAGAGGTTGCAGTGAGCCGAGATTGTGCCACTGCACTCCAGCCTGGGTGACAGAGCGAGACTCTGTCTCAAAAAAAAAAAAAAAAAAAAAAATCCTTTATACAATGGTGCAGTATTTTCATATAACCTATGCACATCCTCCTTTATATGTTAAATCACCTCTAGATTACCTATAATACCTAATAAAGTGTAAATGCTATGTAAATAGTTGTTAACACTGTATTGTTTGCAGAATCATGACAAGAAAAAGTCTGGACAGATTCAGTACAGACACAGCCGTCTGTTTATTTTTCCCAAATATTTTTTACTCTCTCGACTTGGCAGATGTGGAACCTGTGGGCCAACTGTAATACATAAAAATGGCTTGAAAAGCTATGTATATATTAAATACTAGTAAATAATTTATATTTTAAAAACGCGCCCTACTTTTATCTTTTTTGTTTGTTTGTTTGGAGACAGAGTTTCACTCTTGTTGCCCAGGCTGGAGTGCAATGGCACGATCTTGGCTCACCACAACCTCTACCTCCCGGGTTCAAGCAATTCTCCTGCCTCAGCCTCCCAAGTAGCTGGGATTACAGGCATGCACCACCACGCCTGACTAATTTTGTATTTTTAGTAGAGACAGGGTTTCTCCATGTTGGTCAGGCTGGTCTCGAACTCCCAACCTCGGGTGATCTGCCTGTCTCAGCCTCCCAAAGTGCTGGGATTACAGGCGTGAGCCACTGCACCCGGCTTCATCATCATTTTCTGTTTCTCAGAGGCAGCCACTTTAAAATTTTAGTTGTCTCCTATGCATTTACCTTCTTATTTCTTTCTTTCTTTTTTTTTTTTTTTAAGAGACAGGGTCTTGCTCTATCACCCAGGCTGGAGTGCAGTAGCAATGACAGCTCACTGTAACTTCAGACTTCTGGGCTCAAGTGATCATTCCACCTAGCTAGGACTAAAGATGTAAAGATGTATACCACCATGCCTGGCTGTGTTTTTGTTTTGTTTTGTTTTTTGGTAGAGACAGGGTCATGCTATGTTACCCAGGCTAGTCTCAGACTCCTGGCCTAAAGCAGTACTCCAGCCTTGGCCTCCCAAAGCACTGGGATTATAGGCTTAGTGGCGGCGGTGGTGGCAGGTGTGGCAGCAGCTTCTCCTCCTCCTCCTCCTCCCTCCTCCCTCCTCCCTCCTGTCTCTTCCCTCCTCCCTCCTCCCCCCTCCTCCTGGATGCAGTGCCATAATCACAGTCCCCTCCTGGGCTCAAGCTGTCCTTTACTCTGAGCCACCAGAGTAGCTGAAACTACAGGCACACACCACCACACCCAGCTGATTTTTGTGTTTTTTTTTTTTTTTGTAGAGTCTGGGTTTCACCATATTGCCCAGACTGATCTTGAATCCCTGGGGTCAATTTCTCCTGCCTTAGTTTCCCAAAGTACTGGGATTACAGGTATGAGCCACTGTGCCTTGCCCTACCTTCTTATTTCTATTAATAAATAATGTATTTATACTGTTTTTAATTTATCTTTTAGTTGTATTCACTTCTTTCTTTTTTTTTTTTTTTTTTTTTTTTTGAGACGGAGTTTTGCTGTTGTTGCCCAGGCTGGAGTGCAGTGGCACAATCTCGGCTCACCGCAACCTCCGCCTCCTGGTTTCAAGCAATTCTCCTGCCTCAGCCTCCCAAGTAGCTGGTATTACAGGTATACGTCACCATGCCCAGCTAATTTTGTATTTTTAGTAGAGATGGGGTTACTCCATGTTGGTCAGGCTGGTCTCAAACTCCCGACCTCAGGTGATCCACCCGCCTTGGCCTCCCAAAGTGCTGGGATTACAGGCGTGAGCCACCGTGCCCAGCCATATTAACTTCTTTCTGTGGAAGATGAAACATTTAGTTTAATACTCTCTGTGTTCTCTTATCTTTGCAATAGTTGTATTATAATTTTGGTTGAACCAGTATTCAGAGTTTAGGTTATTATGACTTTGGATCTATAAATACAATAAAATACTGTATATAAATTGAATATACTACTATAAATATAGTAAAAATACACTTTGTGTATTTCTAATTGCCTTATTTTTTTGCATCTTTTTTCGTATACCTGTCTGTCACGTATTTATTTTCTAAACTCTGAAAGCCTCCTTATATAGTCTAAGATGACTATGAGGTTGTTTTCCTGAGCATCTAGTGAGATGGATTTGCTATTTAGAAAGTGGGGAAGATTTAGGAAAAACAGATTATTTTGGCCAGGGTTGATGAGGTGGGGAGATCAAATGGTACCTTCTGCTGAGGTGTTTCAAAAGCCAAAACCTTTCCAGGTTCTGTTGCTGTCACCTTCTTGTTGGCTTCTAAAAGCTTCTAAAGTGCCTTTCCACCCCCGCCCCCCGCCCCAAATTATTGTGCAAGCTTGAATTCAGTTTCCTTTACTCTGCTAAGAACAATTGTATTGGCCAGGCGTGGTGGCTCACACCATAATCCCAACACTATTGGGGGCTGAGGCTGGAGGATTGCTTGAGCCCAGGAGTTCAAGACCAGCCTGGGCAACATGGTGAGACCCCTGTCTCTACCCAAAAAAAAAAAAAAAAAAAAAAAAACAAAACCCAAAACCAATTGTATGACCAACAGATGAACTGCAATACCTTTTTCAGGGAGTTTGAAGTTCACAAAGAAGTGACACTTGTTTCAGTGAGGCAGGAATGAAGATATGAGGGGAAAAGCCGTCATCCATTGAAGTAGAAATGGATAGCATGTTTGGGTAATATTGAGTAGTTTTGGCTCAGGCATATATGTTCCTTGAAGGAGAAGCTGCACATAAGGCTAGGAAAAATAGATAGGAGCCATATTTAGAGAGGGTAATAAATCATGTTGACTTGGGTTTGATACTGTGTGACCACTTAATATATTTTAAGAAGTTGAAAGTCAAAAGCAGAATTATTTTTAAAAGAATCATCCAGTTTGTGATAGATAGGATGGGTTTGAAGGAGCAAAACTAGAGGCAGTAAAAAAAGGATCTGTTGTGAGCATTCATGACTCAAACTACGATTGAACAGTGGAAGTACAAGAAGATGGATTTGAGAAATTTAGGAGGTAAAATCAGCAATCCTTGTAACCAAAAGGGTTTGAGGAATAAGGGAGAAGAATGGGGCTAAAATAACTCCTGCATTTTTGACTTCACAAACTAGGTAGGCAACAGGGCCACTATCCAAGACTAGAAATAAGAGAGAAACGGTATAGACTGCTGGTAGTCCTCTTTTAGCTGAGTTGAGCTGGAAGTTCCAATAGACATAAGATGATTATTTACTAGTTATTGTGCAACTCAGAATTCTACGCAATCAGTTTTAGAATTCTCAGAACCTAAAGGATATGTTTGAGGAGATTTAAAATGAGAGAGCAAAAGATAGAACTCTGTGAGACTCACTTCTTGGATCTTTAGGTACCAGGAGATTTAAAATGAGAGAGCAAAAGATAGAACTCTGTGAGACTCACTTCTTGGGTCTTTAGGTACCAAGAATATATATGAAAGCATTTTGTAAATGTATCTTAACTGTTCAGAGGTATTTTGAGACTCTCTTTAATTGTTTTATAGGTGAGCGAAGCAGGTGTTCACAGACCCCATGTTGGTGGAATTCATGGTCGAAGTAATGATGGGGCTTATTCTCTTGTACTGGCTGGTGGATTTGCGGATGAAGTCGTAAGTCATTATACAACCTTACTCATTAGTACCTGCCTTGACCATTTGTAAAATAGAATAGCTTTGCCTAGGATACATCAAATACTGTTGTGTCTTTTTAGCACAGTTTTTGTTGAAGTAATCAGTTTTATACAAGTTAGAAAGTAAATCATTTGACAGTGTTTATTCTTTACATGTACTGGTTTGACTTATATGTGTTTGTTAAGTGATTATTATAAGGAAAACACATTCTCTATAGAGCTTTTATTTTTTTTTCCTTTTTTTTTTTTTTTTTTTTTTTTTGAGATGGAGTCTCGCTATATCACCTGGGCTGGAGTGCAGTGGTGTGATCTCAGCTCCCTGCAACCTCTGCCTTTGGGTTCAAGTGATTTTCCTGCCTCAGCCTCCCAAGTATGTGAGATTTCAGGCGCCTGCCATCACACCTGGCTAATTTTTGTATTTTTATGTATTTATTTTTTGAGGCGGAGTTTTACTCTTGTCACCTAGACTGGAGTTCAGTGGCTCAGTCTCGGCTTACTGCAATCTCCTCCTCCCAGATTCAAGCGATTCTCCTGCCTCCACCTCCTGAGTAGCTGGGATTACAAGTATGCACCACTGTGCCTGGCTAATTCTTGTATTTTTAGTAGAAATGGGGTTTCACCACGATGGCCAGGCTGGTCTCGAACTCCTGACCTCAGGTGATCCTCCCGCCTTGGCCTCCCAAAGTGTTGGGATTACAGGCGTGAGCCACCACACCTGGTCAATTTTTGTATTTTTAGTAGAGCTGGGGTTTCGCCATGTTGGCCAGGTTGGTCTCAAACTCCTGACCTCAGATGATCTGCGCACCTTGGCTTCCCAAACTGCTGGGATTATAGGCGTGAGCCACGGTGCCCATCCTCTATAGAGCTTTTTTTGGTCATTCTTCTTTAAGTTTTCTCTTTTAAAAAATAAAAACTGGTTCCAGTGTTAAATCTATAGAGTTTATTTTTTAAAATTAAACTTACTATTTTGAGATAGTTGTAGATTCACGTGTAGCATTAGAAACAATACAGAGGGCCGAATCCAGTGGCTCATGCCTGTAATCCCAGCACTTTGAGAGGCTGAAGTGGGTGAATCTCTTGAGCTCAGGAGTTCAAGACCAGCCTGGGCAACGTGGCAAAGCCCTGTCCCTACCAAAAAAACAGAGAAATTAGCTGGGTGTGGTGGCATGTGCCTGTAGTCCCGGCTACCCAGGAGGATGAGGCAGGAGGATTGCTTGAGCTCAGGAGGTCGAGGCTGTAGTGAGCCATGATCATGCCAGCGCAGCACTCCAGCCTGGGTGAACAGAGAGCAAGACCCTGTCTCCTTAAAAAAAAAAAAAAAAAAAAAAAAAAAAAAAAAAAAAAAAAAAAAAAAAAAAAAAATGCGGGAAGGGGATCCTGTGCCCTCTACCCAGTTTCTCCCAGTGGTGACATCTTGCAAAACTATATAGTACAATATCAGAACCAGGATATTGACACTATACAGTCAGGCTGAACATTTATATTACCACAGTTTCCATTATTGTGTTGCCCTTTTATAGCTACACCTATCAGACGTAGCCCCCCCACTGCTTCTTAACCTCTGACAACCACTAATCTTTTCTCTTTTTCTTTTCTTTTTTTTTTTTTTTTTTTTTTTTGAGATGGAATCTTGCCCTTGTCGCCCAGCTTGGAGTGCAATGGCGCCATCTCAGTTCACTGCAAGCAGCCTCCTGAATAGCTGGGATTACAGGCGGCCGGTTAATTTTTGTGTTTTTACTAGAGATGGGGTTTCTCCATATTGGCCAGGCTAGTCTGGAACTCCTGGCCTCAGGTGATCTGCCCACCTCGGCTTCCCAAAGTGCTGGGATTACAGGCATGAGCTACCGTGCTGAGTGTTTTTTTTTTGTTTTGTTTTGTTTTTTTTGAGATAGAGTCTCACTCTGTCTTCCAGGCTACAGGGCAGTGATGCGATTTCGGCTCACTGCAACCTCTGCCTCCCAGGTTCAAGTGATTCTCCTGGTGCAGCTTTCCGAGTAGCTGGGACTACAGGCATGCATCGCCATTGACTAATTTTTGTATTTTTAGTATAGGTGGGGTTTCACCATGTTGGCCAGGCTGGTCTCAAACTCCTGACCTCAAGTGACCCGCCTACCTCAGCCTCCCAAAGTGCTGGGATTACAGGCGTGAGCCACTGCTCCCAGCCTCATTTCTTCCTGTAATTTTCTCACTTCAAGAATTTTTATAAATGGAAGTATGTAGCATATTATATATTAACCTTTAGGATTGGCTTTTTCCACTCAGCATGATTCTCTGGAGATTGTGGCATGTATCAATAGTTCATTTCTTTTTATTGATGAGTACTAGTCCATGGTGTGGATGTACCACAGTTCATTTAATCATTTACTCATGGAAGAACAGCTGGGTTCTTTTGAGTTTTTAGCTATTACAGATAAAGCTACAGTAAATATTTGTGAACAGGTTTTTTGTAAACGTAAGTCTTTATTTCTTTGGAATAAATGCCCCAGAAGTGCAATTCCTGGGTCATATGTGGCAGTTGCATGTTTAGTTGTTTAAAGAAACTGCCAAACTGTTTTCTCCAGTGACTACCATTTTATGTTCCTATCGGCAGTATATGAGTGATCCAGTTTCTCTGCATCTCACCAGCATTCGCTGTTGTTGCTGTTTTTTGTTTTAGCCATTCTGATAGGTGTGTGTTGATATCTTATTGTTGGACGTGATTCGTTTGCTTATTTGCCATCTGTATAGCCTCTTTAGTAGTATAGCACTTCAGGTTTTTTGGCCATTTTCTAATTGGGTTTTTGTTTTTTTTTTTTTTTTTTACCATTCATCAGATATGTGGTCTTCAGGTATTTACTTGCTTTCATGGATTGTTACAAAGATGAATCAATATGAGTAGTTATGGAGAGAGAACACAAAATATAGTATGTTTTCAGACAAATAGAAAAGCGTGCTGGCTTTCTGAAAGGCGGATTTGGCAGTGCATTTACATTAACATGGCAAAGTAAATGGAAATGGAAATATTTAGGTTCATCCTTTGCATTCTTCTTTAGCATCCATATTTTGAAGCTATATCTTTGTATATTTGTCAGAAATACAAAAGATGTTATATAGTTTATTACAGTCAGCTCTTGGAATTTTTTGAAGGCTTTATAAATAAACCAACTAGAAATGTAGTCTCTTTAACATTTGTTTTTAGTGTCTGAGCAATTGTATTTGATCTGGTCTCTGACATTTGTTGTATTTGAGACTTGGGCCAAATTATTTAACTCTGGTAACTCAGTTTCCCCATCTGTAAAAAGAAGAAATAGTATTTTATGTGGAGAAGATGATTACATTAACTGAGATAATTTATGTGGCCCTTTGCACATAGCACGGACTCAAATGTTAGTTATATTCTCTGTAGCAGAATATTAAATAAGGCCAGTCACAGTGGCTCATGCCTGTAATCTCAGCACTTTCGGAGTCCGAGGTGGGCTGATCACTTGAGGTCAGGACTTCGAAACCAGCCTGGCCAACATGATGAAACTCCGTCTCTACTAAAAGTACAAAAATTACCCAGGCGTGGTGATGCATGCCTGTAATCCCAGCTACTTGGGAGGCTGAGGCAGGAGAATCACTTGAACCCAGGAAGCAGAGGTTGCGGTGAGCCAAGATCACATCACTGTACTCCAGCCTGGATGACAAAGTGAGACTCTGTCTTTAAAAAGAAGAAAAGAATATTATCTTAAATATATGAAGTTTATTTTCTTGTTTCCATGTTTTTGAATATACTTACTGGTCAAACGTTAAAACATTTGTGGAGATAAGTACTGATGAACTGCTAATTGTCTTAGTTAAGTCTGTTACATAATGTGAAGAAAAATTTTAGGACTAAGATGACATATAGGCCTTGATTGACAGCTAAAATGTGTCTGGAAATGTTTATATATTTTATAAGCATTTTCAACTTTTTGATCTTTCTATTGTAGGCAAGTATATCTATAGGATTAGGAAAAGGAAACCTGAATAAGCTTTTCACATTTAAGAAAAAAAGTTTCCTGAATTCTTGAATTTGGTATAAATTTCATGAAGCCAGTGATCTTTGTTCTGTCTGGGTGAATGGATGTAATACTCTTGCGTACCTGCTGATAACTGAGTTAATATTTTAGCCTAGTAACTTAAGAATTAATCAAATGCCAGTTTTAGTGCCTTGTATTTTGGTGACCTCTTCTGAGAAGTGAGGACCCACAAAGATGACCTCTCAGTTGTCTTGAGAAGTAGTTTGCTCAGTGTTCAGGAGAAGACTCGGAAGCCAGAGTCTGTTTGGTTTTGTGTCCTGGCTGTGGAGCCATCTCTTTTCCTAGTTGTGTGATTTTAGGCGATTTACTGAACCTCTGCCACATCTGTAAAATAAGATTTATAGCACTTAAAGGCTTGCTGTGAGGTTTAAATGAATTAATTATACGTAAAATGCTTCTCCTAACACCACCTAACCCACCAGTAGTAGATGTGTGTTACACTAGCAGTGGTACAGTTTTGCAGGGATGTAAAGGGTGTTATGAGAGAAGTTGGTAACATTTGAGGCTATGGTCTAGACAACCTTGAATTAAGTCATTAAAGGAGTTTGGAGAATGTTTGTCTTCATTGTGCTTTGGAATTATTTATCTGATAGTCTATAGGGAGGAGGCTGAGAAGTTTGGGATAAAGGTCTTCCACCTGATCTTGATGATGGCAAGAATGTGAGCATCCAGCTTGTTGTCTTAGGCAGTTGCTTTAGCAGCTTGGGAGAAGAATAGAGGTTGGGAATAACTGAAGAACTGAGTTACTTTGGGGCAGTGCTGTGTCCCTTGTGCAGATAGAGCTGCTTTATGTGAGCTCTTCCCAGGCAGCAGAACTTGTTTAGGCTACTGCCTGCCAGGCACAATTTAATGGATCATTGACTAGAAGATGCAACAAATTTAGGCTGATTATTTTTCCATAGGAAAAATATTTTATTTTTATTTTTTAATAGAGACAAGGTCTCGCTATGTCACCCAGGCTGGTCTTGAACTCCTGGGCTCAAGCAGGCCAACTGCTTTGGCCTCCCACAGTGCTGGGATTACAGGCATGAATCATTGCGCCTGGCCTTTCCATAGGAAAAATAGCCTGAAATAATATGGTTTGAGCTCTTACAGTCTTGACAGTTTTTTCCCTCGTGATAATATAATGTTTTTGTTGATGTAATGATTAAAGTACAAATGAGTTAATGGTACAGAATTTTAGCCATGTTTCCTTGATTTGCTGCTTGAAGAATAATCAGAAATGTTTTAAATACTATTTAGCTTACATTTGTCTTATTATGCTCTCTTACTTTCCATTACTTTTTCTTTATGGCACTCCCATAATAACTTGAAAAGTTGACAGAGTTATGAATATGAATATTGTGGAGTCTGTCCAGATACCGGGTGGAAGACTGGTTTTGATCAGTTTAAGAAGTATTCTAAACTGTTCTAGATGTACGTATTTATTAGAATTCCTTCTCATAGAATACATACTAAAGATTAAGTTTCGTAATACCTTGTTTAAAAAATATGTAGACCTTAATATTGGATTAACAAAAGGTGAAAGTAAATTTAAGGGTTTTGGACCAATAACACTTTAAGACCATGAGATGTTTATTTGTGGCTTTTAATCCAAGGGAAAAACAAAGTATAAATAATTGACTTCTATAATACGAATTTAGTAGACACAAAACATCATTGTCTAAGTTGTCTAAACTAATTAAAATGATCTTGCATTAAAGAATCACTATTTTGCTAGTGTTAGTAGGATTAATTGTGCACTGATAGTTACTTTTCTTAATTTGTTTCAAGTACTGAATCAGATAGAGACAATAATATCCATATAAATTTGTAGCTGCTATAGAAGTAATTGGAGAGCTTTTGGCTTTTTTTTTTTTTTTTTTTTTTACATTTAGTAGATACTTTATACTACTTTTAGATTTTTCAAATTTTTTCCAAATTTCTTCTTAATGGGAGGCTATTATTTTACCTGAATGTGTGATATGGGTGAACCCACAGAATGTGAAATAAAGGGAACTTAACTATGCTGTTAGAATTTTAATATGAAAGCCAGGGCGCAGTGGGTCATGCCTGTAATCCCAGCACTTTGGGAGGCCAAGGCGGGTGGATCACTTGAGACCGGGAGTTGGAGACCAACATGGCCAACATGACAAAACCCCATCTCTACTAAAAATACAAAAGCTAGACAGGCGTAGTGGCACATTCCTGTAATCCCAGCTGCTTGGGAGGCTGAGGCAGGAGAATCGATTGAACCTGGGAGGCAGAGGCTACAGCGAGCCGAGATCGTGCCACCGCACTCCAGCCTGGGTGACAGAGCAAGACTCTGTTTAAAAAAAAAAAGTTAAGGTGAAGTTTTTAGGTAAATTTGCTTTTGTAGTACTTATTTATTGTCAATGCCAGAATTTGAAATTTGAGGCAGCACACTTAGGTATGGTGTAGATGTCAGTTGGAAATTTGGTTATGGAGTGTTTGTTGAAGTGGTATTATCTATAAAGAACCTACAAGCTAGTATTGATAAGTTTTAACATTGAATTGAATAAAATATAATATTTAAATCCATAAGACCTTACCTTGTTTGTAACATTCTGTTGATTATTTTACTACATATATAGCATGAGACTAACCATATTTGGAGATGTTGAAAAGTATAATTTAAAGTGAAAGTGTTAGGTCAAGTTATATGACTTGAAAGTATACTACACACAAGATTGCATTTAAATTTTGCATTATTTTGGGAGATGCCTCAAGAGAAAATGTCAACTCATAACATCCTAATGAAATGTTTTGACTCTGAAATAAGAATTGATGAAATTATACTTGGGTTTAGCTTTCTTAATAAAGAAAATCTTCTCTGACAGGACCGAGGTGATGAGTTCACATACACTGGAAGCGGTGGTAAAAATCTTGCTGGTAACAAAAGAATTGGTGCACCTTCAGCTGATCAAACATTAACAAACATGAACAGGTACTACTATAGACACTGTTTAGAATTTGAACATTGAATAAAAGTTTCATTATAGGACTGTAAATTGTAACTTACGTTGCAGAGGAGAATTTCAAACTGGGAGTTAAAGATCTGAAATTAAAATTCCAGTGCCTGATTATGTAATTGTTTTTCAGCATCCTAACATATCTTTATACTGTTATTTTTTAAATGCCATAATTTCTAGTCTTACTGAATACATGTGATATGCATTTGAAAATGTTAACAACTTTGAAGGAAAGGAGCCTGTGTAATTTAAGTGAAATTGAGAATAAGGTGGCTTGTCTACTACTCCATTGGTCAAAGCTAAAAGTGACAAACTCCTTTTTAGAGTAAACTCAGTAATTTGAAATAAAGTTATGTTTGGGAGCCACATTTATGTACATAAATGAAACATAAGGTAACTTAATCAGATCTGTACTGAATGTACTTTTAGAATGTCTGCTAATCAGATATCTTCTAAGAGTTGTTAAAGGGAATGTTCATTTAGTTACAAAAGTGATCTTTTCTAACTAAATCCCCTTAAGACATTACAAAAGAGCCACCGTGTGCTGATCTTTATTCTATAGAAATACTAATGACATCTCAGCTCCCGTGGGTACAGAAAATTTATTAATTTCAAAATGTTTTATTTTATAAATGCATGCTAATACCAATATTAATAAGTAACCCAGACCACCAGATAGCAAAAATCACATTATAGTTTGTCCTGCTGAAATTTTTGTGAACATTTCATAAAGTTAACAGTTTTTATATCCTGTTACTAAGGGTATTTTGTCGATTGAGTAAAAGTGAGTGTTTTTCACTTTGAGTCTAAATCACTCAGTTTTAAGTAGTGTCCCCTTAATTTCTGATTACTGTGTGATGTAAAGAATATACCAGTATGATTTCAAGACTTTCATGCGTATCAATTTACATAGAATCTCTGTTTTTATGTGTTCTATATTGTTTCTGATAGTAGGATTATTTTTACTGAACCAGCAGAGGAGACAGGTCAGATTTGCTGGTGAAAACATTCTTGAGACAGGAGCTTAGCTATTCTTTTCTAGCAAGAAAGCAGTCCTTCAAGAAGAGTGTCTTAAAATAAATATTTTGATGTGTTTTTGTCAATGAAAATGTATCTCAAATTTGCAAAAGGACTCTTTCAAGTTGTCAAATCTGAAAATTATTTTTCCCTTTAATAATCGATAATTTTGCTTGAAAGGAACTTCCTTCATAACTACCCACCATTGTAATGTACATGTTAAGATTCCTTTCACACTTTTGGACAATCTGATAAGTACCGCTACAATCTCATTAGAAAATAATTGACAAGCAGTAAACATGTTTTCTATAAAGAGGAGATAGTGAAAATGAAATATCAACTGAAAACAATTTAGGATTGAATTATCAGAGAGACTTTAACATCTGGTCAGTTTATACGTTAAGTTGTGAATACGCCTTGTGATTGTAAAAGTGCTTGGGCAAAGGTACCTGTATGTCTTACAAACATGAAAACTGAGGTGAAAGGCACTTTGCTCTGACCCATAGTATACTCTTTGCCCAGTAGTGTATGGTTGAATTCATTTTTGCTTCTTTGCTAAGAGGTAGTTCGACACCTTCTTGCTTCTGAGTTTATTCCTATTTCTTCCCAGCTCTTCAAACTTTAAGAAACTGAAGAGGGCAGCAAAGTAACCTGGCCATCTTTTATCAGGGCAGTCAGAGGCACCTGACTGGCTGAGTGGCAGATAGATTAATGGAGGAGCTTTGTTGCTGTATTGCCTAGTTTCATCCTCTTGGACTCTTTTCATATACTTGAATAGCCTAATTATCTGAAGCCAGAAGTGAGTTGACAGTGCCAGTTAGTGGTGGCAGTAATTATGACTGAAGGTATCTGTGAGCATTAAAGCATTCCATTCAGTGACATGAATGAAACTTACCCTAGCTCTTTAAGATAAAATAGGTGTAATATCTCAATAGGTATTCTGTAAGACGTAATAGTAGCCCTAGAGTTGATGGCTGTGTTTTTTTCTACCTCTCAGAATTTTAATGCATCTTCCTTTTAGATTAAAAAAAAAAGGTAACTTGGGAAGCTTCAACTCTTTGACCACAGCTATATAAGTTATTTTTTAAAACAAAATACTTTCAAGTTTATTTACTCACTAAAAATATAATTATGGTCAAGACATTTCTTTTCAATAGGTTAGTCATTTTCTTGACGTCTATTTTTTTTAACTTGAGCCTGCATAAAAAGAATTAAACCCTGAAGAAGTATTTTATGTCATATCTGCTTTCACCAGATTGGGTATAGTTCTGTTTTTTGTTTGTTTTTTAAACCTTAAGTGTTCTCAGTGTTTTCTTTTCACTTAAGACGTAGGTGTCCTAGAGGAAAATGCTAATTTTAAACTGATTCTAAAATTGTTATTTTAAAATAGTAAAAATAACTTAAATACAGATTTTGGTACAACTAGGTTCTCCCAAGAGTAAGGTCTTCTAACATCTAATAAGCTCATTGATTTACTACTATTAGGTGAATGCATATACTAAATAAGTTCCAGCTAAGTCAGGTACTACTTCCAATTCAGTGTTCTTCTTTGACCATGCATTAATGCATTATCAGTAAAATGTAGTGATCTCAAGCAGCCAGAAGTCTTCATTGTCATTAGCACAGGCATTTGGATGCTTCAGGCTTATTGAAATTTATCTTTTTATGGAGACCTTTAAAGAACATTCTCATACACCACTTATTCTTAATATCTTTTAAACTTTAAGGATTCTCTATTGTCTGGAATGTGGAAAGTAGACCTGGGAAGGTCATTTGTACCTTGCTGACAAATTTATATTTCTGGATTTCTTTCTACATTATTCCAGCAATTCACCTTACACCCTTACCAAAGATCACTATTGAAAAAATCATTTGCTTTAGTTTTCCAACGTTCTCCCTTCCCCCAACAAACGTTATTTAAAGAAAAATTCCATGTATTTCTAGTTGTTTTCTATTATACGTGGCACAGATGTTATTACTTTCAGAAGAACCCTACAGGCTATCTGAGAACCAATCCCCTGGCTTGGGGGTGACATCAGAAAACTGATTTGTCTTCTCTGCTGGTGGGGGAAAGCATAATCCTATTATCTGGAATAATATGGAAAGAATCATAGAATCTTAACCATCAGGTAAGGTATAATTCACCTTTTAATTGAGCTAATGACTCGATTGTGTACTTGAAGAAAAATTACATGGTATAAAGACTTCTTTGTTGTTTTTTAGGGCATTGGCCCTAAACTGTGATGCTCCATTGGATGATAAAATTGGAGCAGAGTCTCGGAATTGGAGAGCTGGTAAGCCAGTCAGAGTGATACGCAGTTTTAAAGGGAGGAAGATCAGCAAATATGCTCCTGAAGAAGGCAACAGATATGATGGCATTTATAAGGTGCTCTATCTGGCATGACATCTTGTTTGTCATTCTTCCTGGGCTTTCAAGGCAGGGTTGTTGCAAGGAACTACTGTGGGTGGGCTCGAGGAAACAGTAGCCATCTTATATTGCTACTTTTTCTGGAAATTGAACAGATGCATAAAGCAAACTCTTAACTTCAGCACTTTACTTTTAAGGCTTATTTCGAGTTCCTAGGGGCAGAGTTGGGTTAAGGTTTTTTTTTTTAAAATGTAAGTGTATGTTCTCTATAATAAAGCCATTTAAGTAACTGGCTGTTGTATAACTTGATTTTTATATATCTTTTTGAATGATTTTAGTTGTAATAGATTTTCAAAGCAGCACATCATAGTAATAGATTTTCATTCTTTGTTTAAAAAGAGGCATTTGCTGCCATCTTTACGATACAAAATTCTGTTAATTAGCATAATCTTGTTACTCTATTAAATTTATAGCAGTCTGTCCTCATGGGAAGTACTGTAATAGGAATTAAGGTCAAAACTGTTTTAGTGAATATTCTTGACTTACTGTCCTTACAGCAAAGCAGAATATTCAGAAGTTGCATTTAGTTCTGGCAAAGATTATTTTGATACCACTAATGTGATGAATAAGTCTAAATTTTAAATCTCAAACTGGCACTGAAATATTGTGATTTAGGTGGTGAAATACTGGCCAGAGATTTCATCAAGCCATGGATTCTTGGTTTGGCGCTATCTTTTAAGAAGAGATGATGTTGAACCTGCTCCTTGGACCTCTGAAGGAATAGAACGGTCAAGGAGATTATGTCTACGTTTACAGGTTAGATTACATTTGTCTAGGCTGCCTGTGTGTTCATAAAAATATACACCTCTTCTATCTACATGCCTTAACACTGGATATAACCCACAGCAATTGACTGGTGGACTATAAGGGGTGAGGAATAAGATCATGCAAATAGACAGAGGAAAAGAAGAGAAAAGGTAGTATCCTAGATGTCAGACTGCCCTGGGACCAAGGGTTGTGCTTGGGAAAAGTTGGACCTGTTAATTAAAAGTAAAATATTTCCAAATCAATTTGGAAATGACTTGAAGTGTGAGGGAAAGGGATTCATAAAATTTAGGTATAGGAGGCCCTGGAAAAGGACATTTATCCTAGAGGGCACAGGGGGTGTCTCTCTGGTAGGGGAAGGGTGGGGAGGTGGCTTTATAAGAGTGGTCTGCCTTCTCCCTTTCTCACTTTTCCTCACCCCTTTTCTCTCTTCCCCCGCAAAGCTGCTTCCCTGCCCTGCCACCACCTTTAGTGCTTTGTCTTTTTTCCCCTTTGCCCATGCTCAGCTGTTAACCCATAAAGACTTCGTTGATTTTGTGTGCATAGTGGATGGTATGGCTGCATTAATCCCTTCACTGCCTGTATACCCTAGAATTTGTCCCTGACACTGACTTCAGAGCATGGTTTGAGTTCATCTCCCATCATTCCCCATTGTTGTGCTTCCCGTAAAAACTGCCAGCTTTATCATTTCCCCTGGCTCTGCCCACACTGCATGTGTAGGGGCTGAACTATGGGCAAGTGTCTGACCACCCAGGCAGGTGAGTGTGTGTCTTCTAATGCAAGTCTGTTTCTGTTTTTGTTGTCTTTTTAAACTCATAGAATTGATTGTTGAAAATAAGGCCATCAACTGCTAAAACAACTACTAAAATAATTCTTTTTAATATAAAAATAACTTTGTCAAATTCACTTTCAGAAGATTTTTCAGATGTCCCTGTTGAGAGCATTGTTCTAGATAGGTTATATTTGAAACTGTGAGCAGAAGCATGTGAGCCCATCTGCTATGATGAGTAATAGTCATTGAGGCCTGAAACATACAGTGCTTTAAGCATGACTGTTATTACAAAGCATGCTTCTCCCACCCCACCCACCCCCTCAAAGAAGGTAGCCATTGAAACATAAGGATGATAGATAGAATGTATTACTTCAAATCTAACTCTTAGCTGGTGGAGGATTTAGTAATTTAGTTGCTTTAGGTCTTGTAAAAGCTCCTGCCGCTAACTTTAGGAGATGAGAAGTTTGACCCTTAATGTTCTTGATATTTTTTTAGATCAACTCCACAATTTACTGTGATCCAATCCATCTGCTTTCTATCTGTTGTGCTCTATGATTGGTTCTCATTTACCTTCATTTCTGTATTCTACTTTCCTTAAACTTTAAGGAAATCTAATCACAACTCCTGAAGACTTACCTTTCTTAGATCTGAAACTTAAGATCAGTGTATTATAAAATGGAATCTCTTAGCAGTCACAGCTACATAAATTGGGATTTTAATAGTTGTCTGTGCTTTGAATTCTTTTCCTTTAAATGTCTGTTTCTTTTATGTAAAGTTTTTCAGTTTGGGGAACGTGTAGTCTTCCCCTCCCTTTTAATTTCTCACCAGGATCTAAACCCCCCTTCTCTGTGAAGCTTAAATCTGCATTGTACTCTCCCTCCTCCCCCCCCATCAGTATCCAGCAGGTTACCCTTCAGATAAAGAAGGGAAGAAGCCTAAAGGACAGTCAAAGAAGCAGCCCAGTGGAACCACAAAAAGGCCAATTTCAGATGGTAGGTAATGATTGCAAAATATAAATAATAATAACATACTTTTGTTGTTGTTGTTGTTGAGACGGGGTCTCACTCTTGTCACCCAGGCTGGAGTGCAGTGGAAAGATCTTGGCTCACTGTAGCCTTGACCTCCTGGGCTCAAGCGATCCACCTACCTCAACCTCTGAAGTAGCCCACGGCTGTACACCACCACACCTGGCTAATTTTTGTATCTTTTGTAAAGATGGGGTTTCTCCATGTTGCCCAAGCTGGTCTTGAACTCCTGGGCTGAAGGGATCCTCCTGCCTCAGCCTCCTAAAGTGCTGGGATTACAGGCAGAAGCCACTGCATCCAGCCAACATACTTTTTAATAAAGAGAAATATTAAGAAAATAAATTGAGACTTAAATGAAAGCAAAGGATTTGGCTGGGGGGGCATGGTAGAAGATGGATCTTTTGTTTAATAGTGTCAGAGCCAAATAGCAGGAAATAACAGTATCCTAAATTTTAGGGGAAATTAGATGCTGTTTTATGTTGGTTATCTTTCTGCTAAACATTACTTGTGCCAGTTAACTCTTTTGTTTCATAGTTCTGCTTAGAACCACTTGTAAGTCTGCTGATACATTTTTAAAATAAATCTAGATGACTGTCCAAGTGCCTCCAAAGTGTACAAAGCATCAGATTCAGCAGAAGCAATTGAGGCTTTTCAACTAACTCCTCAACAGCAACATCTCATCAGAGAAGATTGTCAAAACCAGAAGCTGTGGGATGAAGTGCTTTCACATCTTGTGGAAGGACCAGTATGTGAAGATTTTTTTAAATAATAACATTCTGATATTAACAAATGATAAATAATTGTCTCATGAAGTCTGTTTTTCACACATCAGTCAAAACTTCATCCTTCTACCCGGTTTTCTAATCCAGTGCCACTACCTTTCAGAAATAATCTGAGGCAACACATATACATGCGCCTAAATTTACTTTAAACCTCTTAGATGCTGGATTTTGACTTCTCTATGCCCAAAGTTACTTTACTTTGAGGTACTGTTCCTCAGAAGAATTTTCAGTTTGTGAAACATCGTCATTTTAATCTAAAAATCACCACGAAAGTTTTTGTTACAGTTCAAAGTTACCTAACCGCATAAGTCTTAAGCAGTTCAGCACAATTTTCAAAACCTACATGTTAAACTAAGTGGTAAAATTAACCAGATTATCTATTAAGTATTTTATGTTTCTAAATTTTCATTTTTTCTTAATCTTTAAATTAATCACATAATTTTAAAGTAAAAAGGAATCACAGTTAATTAATGTGTGGGCTTTGTGTTAAGCTGTGTTTTGCAAACAAGCCCTTCTTATCAAATCCCTAAAGTTGGAGTCTTCAAATATGAACTATCTCTTCATTCTTTCCTCACTTATTGTGTCTTTAATTTTACTTATAAATTTGAATCTTCTATTAAATATTGACCCCTTGTCATTTATAATACAATTACTTTTCTGTTTTCTTTCTCTCCAAAGTGTTGATGTGCCCCCATGTCTGTATGTCTTTTCTATCTAGGCTGAAAGCAGCAACACAAAAACTCTACAGAGTTTCCTTTGTGAGAAATAGTCATTATTATTAAGGAAGAATTTTTTAAATATGATTTTTAAACTTTTAGAAATGCTGAAATTTATCAAATATTTG
Organism: Homo sapiens; assembly: GCF_000001405.40. Lineage (NCBI taxonomy): Eukaryota > Metazoa > Chordata > Mammalia > Primates > Hominidae > Homo > Homo sapiens. The sequence goes on from NC_000009.12 coordinate 6,501,591, forward strand.
GATTTATATTGGAATCGTTACTTCCTTTGTCTATAAATGTGATACATTGAGTTATCTTTGGCAAAATGAAGCTTACATGTTTAGAGGACAGGGGAAAGTGATTACACTTTGAGAAGTGTTTACTTGTATTTTAGCCAAGACACCCAGGCGTAAGCAGAGTCTGACTTTGTTAGGTCACACTCATTTTCACTTATAGGAAATTAAGATACAGGAAGCAGTTGTTAATCAGCCTAATTATTCTCTGATTGGGAAAGATAGGGCTTGTTAGTGATAACTGAGGTGAGTTTCCACTGTAGGTGGGAGAGAAGCAATTACAGATGGAGGAAAAAGCCACCTGAGTGGTGTGAAAGTTGTCTTCCCTATGGGTAGTGTCCCACTGGGACAGATTCTGACCTTCCTAGGTCATATTATTGTGACCTTGCTGCTAGTGATTACTTTGGATGTTATGTACTATTGCCCTGGACAAGTTTCATGCCCATTCTCTTCAGATAAGCCAGGAACACATTTATTAAGCCAGAAAAAAACAGGTGTTAGCCAACAGTGACTTTAAATAAATACATATGTGTATATATATTTATGTCCAAACTCCTTCCAAAGGCCCTGTGATCAGCAGCCCTACCTACATCTGTAGTCTCCTCTTAAACTGGTACTCTTGTGCCCAGATTGCTTGACTGCAGTGGTCACTGTTTTATTTAAACATGCTCGACGTCTTGATACCCCTGGGCCTTTACATACATACTGTTACTCTGACTGGAATTCTCTTTTCATGTGTCTCACTCTTTCATATCCTTTAAGTCTGTATAAATAGATTCCTCAGAGAGATCTTCCCAAACTACCCTTTCTAAAATGGCAACTCTTTAAAATTTAGTTTAAAAAGTCCAAACAGATGGGGTTACTATGTTGCCCAGACTGATCTCAAACACCTGGGCTCAGGCAATCCTCCCGCTTCAGCCTCCTAAGTAGCTGGGTTTATAGGCATGAGTCAGTTTGCTCTGTTTCATCAGTTATTACTATCTGAAACAGTTTTTGTTTGTTTACTCTGCTGTAGGAACGTAAGTTCCAGGAGAGCACAGACTGCCTTTTTATTACCACTGTAGATGAGTGCCTAGCACATTGTAGCTACCTGTAACTCAAAATACCTGTATTAGATATACCCGTATTATAGGAACTGTGGAAGTACCAGGTTAAATATTGGTCATTAACAAAGGTGTTTGTTAGGGAGAGAGTACCTGTTATAAAGTTTCCAGCATCTCCACATAATTGCCATATTTTAAAAATGTGTTTATAATACTTTGTCTGTAATATATTTGACTTTAATGATCCATGTTCATAAATCAGTTAATATGAGACATCTTTTGAAATGTGACATTCAATTTTTAAATTTGAAACTTGTAAGGTTTTTTTGTTTGTTTGTTTGTTTTTGAGACGGAGTTGTGGTCTGTCTCCCAGGCTGAAGTACAGTAGCATGATCTCAGCTCACTGCAACCTCCACCTCCTGGGTTCAAGTGATTCTCCTGCCTCAGCCTCCCAAGTAGCTGGGATTGCAGGCACCCGCCACCACGCCCGGCTAATTTCTTGTATTTTTTTCTAGAGACGGTTTTGGCCATGTTGGCCAGGTTGGTCTAGCACTCCTGACCTCAAATGATCCACCCGCCTCAGCCTCCCAGAGTACTGGGATTACATGTGTGAACCACCATGCTTGGCCTTAACTTTTTCTATTAATATAAAAAATAAATATGAAATATACTCCCTTACTACCTAAAATAACTGAAGGATTATCTTTATGACTAGGAAAAAAACTAGTTTTCCTTCTAGCTTAAAAAAAAAAACCAGCCAAGATGAAATGGAGCCAGTAATGGCTTTTGAAGAATACAGGGTATCCATTTGATCATGTTTACATTAGGTGGCTCTACTTTTTATAATTTCCTCCTACTGTAAATAAACATTAGCATCAGGAAGGTATGGGATTTTAGGATTGAGGTAAAATATGACAGAATAATCCTAGGAAAATAAATGTTTTGTTTATGGTATTAGATACTACAGAGTATTGTTTCCTAGTGTTTTTTTTTAAGCTCCTAAAGACAAATATTCAAGTTTTATAACAGCAGAAGATTGAATAGATAATACATGTTCATACTTTGGAATACTGTGCAAAACAGCTTTTTGAAAAAAGGCAGTCAGTATGTAATGACCTTGAGACACGTTGCCCATGATTTTTTTATTTTTTAAGTGAAAAATAGTTTGTCCCTGGAATGTGACATTTAGGGGGACATTGACTTTTTAACATCATATATTGACTTTGCAACTTTTCCTACCCAATACTCTGATTTAAAACTAATGTGTATGGAATGGGATTTCTTTATATAACTTTGCTCTTCTCAGGTAGTTAAAAATCAAGAGTACTTGATTTTTTTAAATAGAAGACTTTTTTTTTTTTTTTTTTTTTTTTTTTTAAGACCGAGTCTCGCTCTGTCACCCAGGCTGGAGTGCAGTGGCGTGATCTCAGCTCACTGCAAGCTCCGCCTTCTTGGTTCACTCCATTCTCCTGCCTCAGCCTCCCCAGCAGCTGGGACTACAGGCACACGCCGCCACGCCCAGATAATTTTTTGTATTTTTAGTAGCGATGGGGTTTCACTGTGTTAGCCAGGATGGTGTCGATCTCCTGACCTTGTGATCCGCCTGCCTCGGCCTCCCAAAGTGCTGGGATTACAGGCGTGAGCCACCGCGCCCGGCCTCTAAATAGAAGACATTAAATGTGACTGAAACATTTTTATTGCTAAATAATAGATGGATATATTTTGGGATACATGTGAAATTTTGATATGTTCATATAACATATAATAAATCAGGGTAATTGGAATGTTCATCACTATAAACATCTTTTATGCTGGGAACATTTGAATTATTCTCTACTAGCTGTTTTGAAATACACAGTAGATGAATTTTATTAGCATATTATGAACTGCTAACTTTTCTTTCCTTATCCTTGGATACTGTTCTAGAATTTTCTGAAAAAATTGGAACAATCTTTTATGTGCGTTTGCTGTCAGGAGCTAGTTTACCAGCCTGTGACAACTGAGTGCTTCCACAATGTCTGTAAAGTAAGTAGAATTCCTTCCTCACTTTCCCTGTTAGGTATGAAGGCACACTAATTTCTATACCTGTTTTTAGCATGCTAAGAAGCATTTTCCGTGAAGCGGGATAGTTGCGGAACCTTCTAGTTAAGAAGCATTTAGTTACGTCTTGGTGGTAAATGCATGTTTTAATTAGATAGTGATAATAATTCAAATATGTGTCATTTGAGATATTCTATCATGTTTGGAATTTTGAGGAGGGGCTGAAATGGGAAAGAAGGTAAGAGGTCATTGCTCTTGTCTGTAATAGCTTATATGTTTTATATATTATAGCGCAAACTGGAGTGTTTTCATTAATAAATCATATAAAACAGTTTATACCTAGCATCATGCCCAGATGAATTGAATATTGTGTTTTCAGTGTGGTGTGAAAGGAAAGTTTGTGTTTTAGTCAAGCCAAGGTTTGAATCTTGCTCTACCCAGTGGTGATTATGTGCCCTAACTTCAGAACTTCAGTTTCTTTTATAAAATGGAAACAAATCTACATACGAGTTTGTGCCTGATCTTGAGTTAACTGTATGTTTAATGTATTTAGTGCTGCTAAATATATATATATGCGTGTGTGTGTGTGTATATATATATATATTTTTTGACGGAATCTCACTCTGTCGTTCAGGGTAGAGTGTAGTGGTGCGATCTGGGCTCACTGTAACCTCTGCCTCCCCATTTCAAGCAAGTCTCCTGTCTCAGCCTGTGGAGTAGCTGGGAGTACAAGCATGCACCACCCTGCCCAGCTAATTTTTGTATTTTTTAGTAGAGACAGGGTTTCACCATGTTGGCCAGGTTAGTCTTGAATGCCTGACCTAAGGTGATCCACCTGCCTCAGCCTCCCAGAGTACTGGGATAACAGGCATGAGCCACCATACCTGGCTGCTAAGTATATTTTTTGAAGACTCACCATATGTGTTAAGTGGTTTGGTAAAATATAAAATTCATTTCTAAGCAAGGGAATCCAGATTTTTTTTCCCCCTCTAGGGCTCTGTTTAGAAAGGACAGGGTTGAAATCTAACCCAGAAGATTAGGCTAGTGGCAACCATATGTAATCTCTAACTCCACCATTTTAGTAGATGAGGAAACTGATGCACAAATTACATAAATAATTTACCTGAAGGCTCCCAATATCTGCCAGAGATGAAACTAAAGCCATGACTGTAGTCTTTTCCATAGTGCAGATTCAAGCCTTTATGTTTGTTCATTCTGTACATTTCTCTCATTACCAGTTTCTGGTTCCTATTTAAAAGCATAAGTTGCTGAGTACTTACATGCTTTATGCTCAGATTAAATTGGATGTTTTTGTTTTTACCATAGGATTGCCTACAGCGCTCCTTTAAGGCACAGGTTTTCTCCTGCCCTGCTTGCCGGCATGATCTTGGCCAGAATTACATCATGATTCCCAATGAGATTCTGCAGACTCTACTTGACCTTTTCTTCCCTGGCTACAGCAAAGGACGATGATCTGCCTGCTTTCACTGTGTTGTTCATGGTGGCTTTTTGGACAATAAAGAATCTAAAATGGGTGGGGAGGGTGGAAGAAATGGTGGACTGTATCTCTCACGTTCTGAAGCAGCTAATCCTCTTTCCCACATAGCCATCATCTTGTGTGTGTAGTAAGAGGCCCATTTCTCAACTGTCTTTTAAATATCTAAAGGTAGTTCCTGTAACAACTAGTTTTAATGAGTAAAAAGTCAAAGCCTCAGCTCTAGTTGATATCCAAGTTATGATTTATTTTGCAACTACCTCAGGACAGAAAAGATTTATGGGGATTTTAAAAATCATTGAATAACTAGTTAAATGAAATTTTAGCTACACACTGCCTCCCAAATATTAGTTGTGCCTGGTTCTTGTAATTTGATTTTACAGAAAAGGAAATGACACTTGAGATCCTTGGAATGAACACAGCTTCTAAAGTGTGCATATACTTTTTTAACGTCTCTTCTTCCATTACAATGTGTGTTTTGCAAGGACAGGTTCATTTTTTTTAGCCCACTTTGTGAACTCCATTGTGCTTTTTTCTGGTGTTTTATGCAAGTTGACTACTAATGACTAATGAGAACAATAATGAATGCATTGTTGCTGCATTAGTGTAATGTGGTGTGGTTTTGCACTTAAAAGAGGTATTCATATGCTCTAGTTGTAAATGTTCATGAAAATCCACTTCTCTACTAGTCGAACTGCTTTTAGTGTCTCACCAGTGGTTTTACATCTGCAGAGTTTTGAGGGCTGTGCTGACCTTTGAGAGGATTTGAAATTGCTTCATATTGTGATCCTAAATTTTATATTCACTATATTCCCTAAAGTATACCTTAATAAATATTTTATGATCAGAAAAACAGCTCATTTTGCTTTACTTTTTTACACTTGTCTGGCTTATGTTATCAGTTTTAAAGGATCCTATATTTCTGGAGTTTTTCATTGTGCATCTCTATTGAAACATTTTTTTTACTTTGTACTGGTAATGAGAACCAGAATGAAATCTTAAGCACTCAGAACAAATTTCTTCCTCAGTTTTTGTTTGTTTGGTTGGTTTTTTGAGATGGAGTCTTGCTCTGTTGCCTAGGCTGGAGTGCAGTGGCACAATCTCGGCTCACTGCAAGCCCTGTCACCTGGGTTCGCGCCATTCTCCCACCTCAGCCTCCCAAGTAGCTGGGACTACAGGCGCCTGCCACCACGCCCAGCTAATTTTGTTTTTCTATTTTTAGTAAAGACGGGGTTTCACCGTGTTAGCCAGGTTGGTCTTGATCTCCTGACCTCGTGATACGCCTGCCTCGGCCTCCCAAGGTGCTGGGATTATAGGCATGAGCCACCGCACTCGGCCCTCAGTTTGTTTTTTGTTTTTTGTTTTTAAGTTTATTCTAATAGGAAAAAAATTTAAAATGGTAATCTAGTGACCATTTTCTGTAGTTTCTGTCCTGTGTTCAGTTTTAGTCTAATCAGTGCTACTTATTTCACAGACATAAGAATGTTTTAAAACGTTCTATTCTCTAAACTATACTGCTAGGCCAGGCACGGCGGCTTATACCTGTAATCCCTGTGGGACGCCAAGGTGGGAGGATTACTTGAGCACAGGAATTCAAGACCAGCCTGGGCAGCATTACAAGACCCTGTCTCTCAAAAAATAAAATCAGCAGGGTGTGGCGGTGTGTGCCTGTAGTCCCAGCTACTTGGGAGGCTGATGTGGGAGGATTGCTTGAGCCCAGGAAATTGAGGCTGTAGTGAGCCATGGTCACAGCACTGCACTTTAGCCTGGGTGACAGAGCAAGACCCTGTTGACCACCACACACCCCCAAAAAACTACATTGTTTTCATCAGAGAAAAGTTTTAATGTGATCCAGTCAGTCCTTGCATCCCTAAGTTCACAGCCATATAAATATCATTCGTTGAATACTTACTTTGTACTAGTCATTTGTATGTATTATTTGTATTCATTGAATTCTACCAACAACAAATGCTATCCCTGTCTTATGGGTGAATATCAGTGGCACAAAAAGGTTAAATAACTTGACCAGAGGTCATACAACAATCAAAAGGTGGATCTGTGCCATAAACTTAGGCAGTCTTGTGTCCAGAGCTGGTGATGTTTGCTATATAGGCAGGCCCTCACTCTTGGATATATGGCCAGCTAGTTTCAGTGCTTTTCCTGAATGTAACTAAATTCCAAATCAGGTTGTGGGAAATACCTGGAACTATGTCTCTTAGAGCTAAACGTTGGAATCATTTTTATTTTGAAGCATTGCATTTAAATAGGATCTTCTTAAATTGAAAATGAATCATTAAATTGCATCATTCATACTATATCCCCTCGTATTGGCCGCATTTCTGCATGAAGAGTGGGAAATGTCTTCCAGTTTCAGCTACTTGAACTGGTTTATTTCTACCACTTTGATTAGCAAAATAGCTGATTCCGACGGTTCCGCTTTGTATTGTCTGAACTCTAGCTATAACATGAGAGACTAGGAAAGAAGGCTGATGGTGGCTTAGCATATTCACAGATGGGAAGAACGGCCCAAAGCTTAGCAATTATTATTGAACCTTTGAGTCATCAAGGTTCTTTTACATAATATTTCAGTTGGTATCTAGAAAATGGGGACTTTTAGGACACATAACCACAATACTAAACAGTTTCTTTACATCATCAAATATCTAGTAAATGTTCCAATTTCCATAGTCTCAAATGTCATAAATTGCTGTTTTGTTTTCAGTTGGTTTGTCTGAATCAGGATCCAAATAAAGACCTCACATTGTGATTAATTGCTATCTCTTAAGAATATTTTAATCTGGGCCGGGCGCGGTGGCTCACGCCTGTAATCCCAGCACTTTGGGAGGCCGAGGCGGGCGGATCACGAGGTCAGGAGATCGAGACCATCCCGGCTAACACGGTGAAACCCCGTCTCTACTAAAAATACAAAAAATTAGCCGGGCGTAGTGGCGGGCGCCTGTAGTCCCAGCTACTCGGGAGGCTGAGGCAGGAGAATGGCGGGAACCCGGGAGGCGGAGCTTGCAGTGAGCCGAGATCCCGCCACTGCACTCCAGCCTGGGCGACAGAGCGAGACTCCGTCTCAACAACAAAAAAAAAAGAATATTTTAATCTGTATACATCCCCTCACATCCCCTCAATCTTTCTTCCCCCTCTTCCCCTTTGCAATTAGTGTGTTGAAATTGGATTGTTTGTTCTGAAGCATTTCTGACAGAACATAGATAATGGAACCCTGTGGTGTAGTTTAACATGTTTCTCTTTATTTTCAGTTAATTGGTAGTTTACAATTAAAGCATGACCAGATTCAGACTTGACTTTTGGGGGCAGGGGATGGGTAAGACTTTGTCATAGGTGATGTGGTTGTCCTTCAGGAGGTACATAATACCTGGTTGTCTCTTAGTCCTAAGTTTGAAAGAAGCTTTTTTCACGGGAATTTATTACATTTGGTAGGTTACAGTGATTACTATGAAGTAATCAATCACTTTAATTTGGATAGGATTTAAACTTTCTGGTTTTACTCACTTCTAAGTAATATGGTTCACTCGACAAATATGTGCATGCTAGTGTTTGAGTATATTGGTAAACTTTTGGAAGCTGGCAAAGTTTCAGAAGCTGGCAATCTAAACATCCATAACTCTCTCATAACCCTGTTATAACAGCTAACAGAAAGGGGCCCTACCTATATACTTAAAGCTTTGGATTTCAGTATAGATCCTGTTTGGAAGAGCTGAGTAGAGATCTGCTCTGATGCCCAATATCTGCTATTTGCCTATTAAGAACCAAACCTTTCCCTATTCTTCAGGACAGCCCTGATTGCAAGAATTGAGCTTGGTGGCCCGTTCACCTTGAGCTTACACTGGAAAGAGTTACCCTTGCTTGCCCACTCTGTCTGGTCCCTACAAGTAGACTGTCACAGTTCCTGAAGGAAGTGATATTTAGTAACCTGGCTTAATCTAATCCTACACAGAAAAAAGATGATATACCTTCACTGGATATAAGAAAATCGGAAGCTTCTTAGAGGGACCATGCAGGCAGACCAAGTGACTGCTGTTGAAAAAGATGAAGATGATCTTTCTTACTCTTTCATGACTAGATTCGCGGGTATGAAATTGCATTGTGTTGACAGAATAAAGCAGGCTGCCATGTGAAGAGTAATTTGAGATTAAAATTCTTGGAAGTAAACATGATTGTGAAGACAAGATGCAACAGATGAAACAATTAGATACTGCCAAAATTTGAATGTATTGCTGAGTAATATTTATGGATATGCCACGGTTTATTCATCTGATGGATATTTGGATTGTTTACAGGGTTTTGCTGTTACAAAGCTGCTGTGAGCCATTGTCAGTCTTTGGAAAACTCTTACAAAATTATGTACTTACCATACAACCCATCAGTGTCACTAATTGTTAACAAAAATGACATTTCAAAGTGGTTTATACCATTTTACCTTCCTGCCAGCAGTGCGTGAGATTTATGGTTGCCCCACATCCTCTCTAATACTTGGTTTTGTCAGTTTTTTAAAATTATAAACCACTCTAGAGGGTGTATAACTCCTGTGAGAGACAAGAATGGGTTGCATACTTGGTGACAGGGGAGTGGACTGTGGTAGCCATTTGTACTGTTCACCAGGTATCTTTGGCTCAGAAGTGCACGTGCTAGGATTGTTCTTCCAAGCTTCCTTGTGTTTGGATAGGGCCATGTGACGAGTTGGCCAGTTAGTCGTGAGCAGATATGCTGTATACCACTTGTAGGCAGGTCATTTCCTTGCCCTTCGGAGTTTTCTTTCTTCTTCCATGGAGACTAGTAACCCTCCAGATGGGACTTTTCTGTCAGCTTAGATCTCAGAATAAGAATGGTACAGAGCACCCAGCTAACTTGTGGTGAACATGCAACATGAGAGAGATGTAAAGGCAAGACCCTAAAGTTTTTGAGTTGTTCGCAGAGCATGACCTAGCCTATCCTGACTGATAAAAACATTCCTAACTTCCTCAGCCTAACAGCAGGTATGGAATTGAATTCATTCTATATTTTATCTTGAGACGGTCTCTGTCACAGTGACGTGATCATGGCTCACTGCAGTCTCTACCTACTGGGCTCAAGCTATCCTCCTGCCTCAACCTCCCAAGTAGCTGGGACTACAGGCATGTGAAACCTGTAGTTTGGCCAGTTTTTGTATTTTTTATAGAGATGAGGTTTCACCATGTTGCCCAGGCTTGTCTCAAACTCCTGAGCTCAAGCAATCCACCTGCCTCAGCCTCCAGAAGTGCTAAGATTACAGACGTGTGCCACCATGCCTGGCCTGGAATTGAATTTAGTTGGCCTTTTAATATTGAATCTAAAATTTTCAGTGTTTTAGAGCTAATTCTTTAATACCCAACTCAGTTGACTTAAGCGATTTATAAATTGGTTGGTAATATAGTAGGCACCCTCTAAGATGGACCCCAGTGATTTCCTACCTTTTGCTCTTCATGCCCTGGTGTAATCTCCTCCCGTTGAGTGTGGGCTGGACTTACATTGTATTGTAAACAACAAAATACAGCAGAAGTGATCAGATGTCACTTCCGAGGTTAGGTCACAAAAATACTGTGGCTTCCTACTTGGACCACCCTCTCTCTCAATCTGGGGGAAGCCAGCTGCCATGCTGTGAGCTGCCAAATGGAAAGGCACATGTGGCAAAGAACAGAGGTCTCCCACCAACAGTCCTGAAGCCTACCAAAAACCACAGAAGTGAGCTTGGAAGTGGATTTGCCTCCAGAGGGTCCTTGAGATGACTTCAGCCCTTTATTGCAACCCTGTGAGAGACCCTCAGCCACAGGTACCCAACTAAATCATTCCTGGATTCCAGACACAGAAAGATGATGAATGTTGATGTCTTAATCCATTAAGCCATGGGGTAATTATTATGCAGTAAAAGATCACTAATACAGATAGGGTGGCCCTGAGTGCCAGTTTGCCCAGGAAAGATCCAATTTGCACTTGTTGCTCCAAAATTATTATGAATAATACCGTTTGCTTTTCCTCCTTAAAGTGCCCCAGATTGGATAACATCACCCTCTTTACTCAATTGAGATCTTTTATGACATAACCGTGAATTCACTTTTATTTCTGAAATACTGTTTCCTTAACCACAGCCAAGAATTTTTTAACTCATTGATTTTCTTTAGGAGAAAATACAGGCATTTAAAGTAAGTCTCTAGTGAAGTCTCCAGTTAATAGATGAAAATGGTAACTGTAGAAAGTACAGTAATCCCATGGGCATTTTGCCTGGAAATTCTTTGACTCTAAGGAGCTTCTAAATAGATCTTTGCCAGTTTCTAGATGCCAAGAGAAATTTTTGAGGTGCCCCTCACTTCCAACATAAATTTACCCTTTATCTATTTGTGTGGAAGATTGTGAACTAGATTGTTCAAATACTTTATCGTTTGAATTTAGCTAGTTGATGTCTACTTAAGAAATCAGTAAATCTTAGATGAGCTTTTGGGCTTATATCCACCCAATACTAAATTACCCCCCGCCCCCAACATAAAATGTCTCTATTTGGGTCACAGATACTTAACAAAGTGTCACAAATGTGATCTTACCAAATCCATAAGTTATTATAGAATGCTCCATTTCTATAAAGAACAATCCCAATTCATGTTAAAAAAATTTTTTTTTTTTTTTTTTTTTGAGACAGAGTCTTGCTCTGTTGCTCAGGCTGGAGTGCAATAGCGCGGTCTCAGCTCACTGCAACCTCCACCTCCCGGGTTCAAGCGATTCTCCTGCCTCAGCCTCCCGAGTAGCTGGGATTACAGGCATGTGGCACCACACTGAGCTAAAGTTTTATATTTTTAGTAGAGACAGGGTTCCACCATGTTGACCAGGCTCGTCTCGAACTCCTGACCTCAGGTGATCCACCTGCCTTGGCCTCCCAAAGCGCTGGGATTACAGGCATGAGCCACCGCACCCGGCCTTTCTTTTTAAATTTTGAAGTAATTATAGACTCACAAGAAGCTGCAAAAATAGTACAGAGAATTTCTATGTATTTTTCACCCAGTTTCCCTCAGGGATAGCATCTTACGTAATCATAGTAGGTTGTCCAGACCAGGAGATTGACACTGGTACAATAATAGTAAGTAAGAGCTTACTTGAATTTCACCAGTTTTTATATGAACTCATTTTTGGGTGTATGTACGTATAGTTTTATAGAATTTTATCACATATATACATTCATTTTTTACATATATACATAGGGTGGTAGTGGTATAAACCACCACCATAATAGAAGATGGACTGTTTCATCATCAAAAAATTAATTCTCTCCTATTATCCTTTAGAGTCACAACTTTCCCCAACCCTAACTCATGACAACCATTGTTCTGTTCACCATCACTATAATTTTATCATCTCAAGAATGAAATATAAGTGGAATTTCATAGTGTGTGACTTTTTGAGACTGGATTTTTTCCCCCACAGCATGATAACCTTGACATCCATCTAAGTTATTGCATATATCAAATAGTTTCTTTCTTTCTTATTGTTGAGTAGTATTCCAGTTTATTCATCTGCTCATGCCTTGAAGGATTTTTGGGATGTTTCTAGTTTTTGTCTGTTATAAATAAAGCTGATAAATATTGCTGTGCAGACTTTTGTGTGGACATAATTCTAGGTGGCATGATAAGTATATTATTAGCTTTATAATAAATCATTTCCCAGCGTGGCTGTACCATTTTACATTCCCATCAGTAATGTGTGAATTCCAGTGCCATGTATTTTTGCCCACAGTAAGTATGGTCAGTATTTTTATTTTAGACATTCTAATAGATGTATAGTAGTATCTCATCATGGCTTTATTTTGTATTCTCCTGATGGCTGATGACTTAGTCATCACTTCATGTGTTTAGTTGCCATCCTACGTATCCATGAAGTGTGTCTTCAAATCTTTTGCCTGCGTTTTTTTGGATTGATTTTTACTGTTGGGTTTTAAATTTCTTATATATTCTGAATACTGGTCTTTTGTTAGATTTAATTTTTTTTTTAATTTTCAATTTTTGTGGGTACATAGTAGGTGTATATATTTATGGGGTACATGAGATGTTTTGATACAGGCATGCAATGTGAAATAAGCACATCACAGGGAATGGGTTACCCATCCCCTCAAGGCATTTGTTCTTCAAATTATAAACAATCCAATTATACTATTTAAGTTATTTTAAAATATACAATTATTATTGACTATAGAGTTGCCATGTTGTTCTATCAAATAGAAGGCCTTATTCTTTCTAACTAATTTTTTGTACCCATTAACTATCTCCACCTCCCCACTACCAGACCCCACTACCCTTCCCAGACTCTGGTAATCATCCTTGTACTCTCTTTGTCCATGGGTTCAATTATTTTGATTTTTAGATCCCACAAATAAGTGACAACAAGGGATGTTTGTCTTTCTGTGCCTGGTTTATTTCATTTAACATAATGATCTCCAGTTTCATCTGTGTTGTTTCAAATGACTGGATATCATTCTTTTTTATGGCAGAATAGTACTCCATTGTGTATATGTACCACATTTTCTTTTCTATTCAGCTGTTGATGGACACTTAGGTTGCTTCCAAATCTTAGCTATTGTAAACAGTGCTGCAACAAACATAGGAGTGCACATATCTCTGATATACTGATTTTCTCTCAGGTATATACCCAGCAGTGGGATGGCTGGATCATATGGTAGTTATATTTTTAGTTTTTTGAGGGACCTCAAAACTGTTCTCCATAATTTTTGTACTAATTTACATTCCCACCAACAATATACAAAGGTTCTTTTTTCTCCACATCCTCACCAGCATTTGTATTGCCTGTCTTTTGGATAAAAGTCATTTTAACTGGGGTAAGATAATATCTCATAGTAGTTTTGATTTGCAGTTCTCTGATGATCAGTGATGCTGAGCACCTTTTCATATACCTATTTGCCATTTGTATATCTTCTTTTAAGAAATGTCTATTCAAATTTTTTACCCATTTTTAATTGGATTATTAGATTTTTTTTCTATAAAGTTGTTTGAGCTCCTTATATATTATGATAATTAATCCCTTGTCAGATGGGTAGTTTGCAAATATTTTCTCCTATTCTGTGGATTGTCTCTTCACTTTGTTGATTGTTCCCTTTGCTGTGCAGAAGCTTTTTAACTTGATGTGATCCCATCTGTCCATTTTTGCTTTGGTCTTTGGTCGTTTGTGCTTGTGTGGAGTATTGCTCGACAAATTTTTGCCCAGACCAACGTCCTAGAGAGTTCCCCAATGTTTCCTTGTAGTAGTTTTATAGTTTGAGGTCTTAGATTTAGGTCTTTCATCCATTTTTATTTTATTTTTGTATATGGTGAGAGGTAGGGGTCTAGTTTCATTCTTCTGCATATGGGTATCCAGTTTTCCCAGTACCATTTATTGAAGAGACTATCTTTTCCCCAGCATATATTTTTGTTAGATATTTGATTTACAGATATTGTTTCCAGTCTGTTAGTTGCATTTTTTGTTGTAATGTTAGTTGCATTTTCATCCTCTTAGCAGGGTGTTTCAGAAAAAAGCTTTTAATTTTGATGAAGTCTGATTCATCAGTTTCTTATTTTATATGCATCATGCCTTTGGTGTCAAACATAATTTATGTTATTTTTTTGAGACTGAGTTTTGCTCTTGTCGCCTAGGCTGGAATGCAATGGCACAATCTCGGCTCACCACAAACTCCGCCTCCCGGGTTCAAGCGATTCTCCTGCCGCAGCTTCCCAAGTAGCTGGGATTACAGGTGCCCACCACCACCGCACACAGCTAAGTTTTTTTGTATTTTTAGTAGAGATAGGGTTTCATCATGTTGCCCAGGCTGGTCTCGAACTCCTGCCCTCAGGTGATCCACCCAGCTTGGCCTCCCAAAGTGCTGGGATTATAGGCGTAAGCCACTGCGCCTGGCCCAAACATAATTTTTTAAACTGTGAAGGACAAGAATCGTTTAATACCCAGATGGTTCCCCTTGCCATTGCTCTTTCCAAACTTAATTTTCTAAGTTTTTTTCTATTATTTCCTTTCTGCCTGAAGAACTTACTCTAGTAATTCTTTTAGATCAGGTCTGCTAGTGACAACTTGTCTTAGTTTTCCTTCTTACAAGAATGTCATCATTTCACCTTCATTCCTAAGGGATATTTTCACTTTCCTGGGTTGGCATTTTGTTTAGCACTTGAAAATATCTTGCCACTTCTTTCTGTCTTCCATGATTTCTGACAAGAAATCTGCTGTTACTCATATTGTTTTTCCCCTATGGATAATGCATTGCTCTTCTCTGGCTTCTTTCAAGAATTTTTGTCTTTAGTTTTCAGAAATTTGATTATGATGTGTTTGAGAATGAGTTTCTTCAGGTTTATCCTGTTTTGAGTTCAACCAGCTTCTTGAATCTAGATGTTTATCTTCTGTCAAATTTAGGGAGTTTCTAGCCATTACTTCTTTAAATATGGTTTCAACCCTCCACTCCTTCTCCTCTTCTGCTGGAACTCTAGTGACATGAATATTAAATATTTAATTACTGTCCCAAAAGCCTCTGAGAGTCTGTTCATTTTTATTTGGTTTATATTCTGTTGTTCAGATTGGGTAATTTCTAGTGATTGAGTTCACTGATTCTTTTATCTATCATCTACATTTCTTCTGTTGAGCCCATCCAGTAAGTGTTTTATTTGTGATGGTATATTTTTCTATTCTGAAATTTCCATTTGGGTCTTTGTAATGTTCTTTCAAGTTGAAACTGTCCTGTTTCTTGATAAGATCAGTAATTTTGCATTGTGTACTGGACATTGTGAGTACTATGAGACTCTGATTTCTATTTAAATCTATTTTATAAGGAAATCAAGCAGTTTAGGTTCAGAGTGCATGTTCTGGCCCGCTTTTATGGGCTGCATTTCAATGTAAATTTAGTTTTCAGAGCCTTTGCAGTGCTTTTCTAGTCGGCCTCGCTTGGGTGTTACCTAGAAGCCAATCTGAAACCTGAACTATAGCCATTCACAGTTCATTTTGCTGTGTTGAATTATGGTCGGTGTGATGCATGGTCTACTAGAGGGTCTGCCCAGGACTTCCTGCAAAGATTTAAAGAATCAATTTCTGTGGCTCCCTTTCCTCTTCAGTCCTACTTCAATCTCTACTTGGGGTGGATGGGGTGCTGCCTTTTTGCAGCCAATCACTCAGTGCAGGGCAGGCATAGTCTACAAGGGTCCACTCCACAGTCTTGGCCAGACCCAGTGACCAGGAAGAATGGGTGTGGTTTTCTCCCATGGTGTTCATGTGGAGTAGGCAGGTTTTTTTCTCCTGCGGCGTTACCCCTTTTCCCATTCATTTGGCTTTTTTTCTTTGTCTGTATCCATTGATGTTTTCTGGTTGTAGACCATTGCACCCAAGCCAAAAGAAAGCAAAAGAAGGCAAAAAGTAAGTATAGGAAAGACCCCAGGAAGCTTACTCCCAGGATATTCCACATATCCGAGAGTGCCTAGATTTTATTTATAATTAGCAAGAGGAATAGACTGGAATATACTTGGCTCCATCTTGTGTGGAATTTGAAGTGCCCAAAGCAGCCTTTCAAAGACAGATTTTTAATCTAAGAAACCATAACACTGTACCACAAATGAACTCTATTTCAGAGAAAACTGATATTTCATTTTATTCATTTATTTATTTATTTATTTTTGAGACGGAGCCTCACTCTGTCGCCGAGGTTGGAGTGCAGTGGTGCGATCTTGGCTCATTGCAACCTTCGCCTCCGGGGTTCAAGTGATTATCCTGCCTCAGCCTCCCAAGTAGCTGGGACTACAGGTGCACACCACCATATCCAGCTGTTTTTTTGTATTTTTTAGTAGAGCCAGGGTTTCACCGTGTTGGTCAGAATGGTCTTCATCTCCTGACCTCGTGATCCACCCGCCTTGGCCTCCCAAAGTGCTGGGATTACAGGTGTGAGCCACTGCACCTGGCCTAAGAAAAATAATATTTATTAAACACCTATGTGTCTTTAGTATATGACAGACTTCCCAACAACGTGACAAAGAAGCTATTTCTTTTGTTATTATAGCTAAACACTTCCAGCAGAAGGAAAGTAACATCTATGCTATGCTCTATGCTTATTGAGGTTTTTGTTTTTAAAATATGGAAACGACAAATACTGTAGCATGCAGATTATTCAGTATTGGTCGTTGTTAAGTACTTATTTCTTAAATAAAAGAATAAGACCAGGCGCGGTGGCTCACACCTGTAATCCCAGCACTTTGGGAGGCCGAAGTGGGTGGATCACCTGAGTTCAGGAGTTCGAGACCAGCCTGACTAACATGGTGAAACCCTGTCTCTACTAACAGTACAAAAATTAGCCGGGCATCGTGGCAGGCATCCAAGAGACCAAGGCAGGAGAATCACTTGAACTCAGGAGGAGGAGGTTGCAGTGAGCCAAGGGCATGTCACTGCACTCCAGCTTGGGCGACAAGAGCAAAACTCCATCTCAAAAAAAAAAAAAAAAAAAAAAGAAAGAATAAAATAATACAAATGAAGCTGACATACTTTCAGTCACACTTCCCATTCCCCTCCGTACCCAAGACATTACTGCAAAATTCTTGATACCTTTTCAGTGTTTTTTTATACTTAATGCACCTATGTACAGGTCTCAATAAACAAAATGTAGGTATTTCAAGTGTTATAATGAAAACATACAAATGATATATTGCTTGTATTCTAAACTTCTTTTTTCATTCACCTTTATCCTTTAGCATAGTCTTGTCTTTTAATGGGTAAGCTTTGTCTCTTTATGTTTAAGACAAGTAGCTCACACTAGTTTTACTTCCCTCCAAATTATCTTTTTTTAAATTTATTTTTATTTTTTATTATACTTTAAGTTCTAGGGTACATGTGCACAACATGCAGGTTTGTTACATATGTATACATGTGCCATGTTGGTGTGCTGCACCCATTAACTCATCATTTACATTAGATATATCTCCTAATGCTATCCCTCTCCCCTCCCCCCGACCCCATGACAGGCCCCGGTGTGTGACGTTCCCCTTCCTGTGTCCAAGTGTTCTCATTGTTCAATTCCCACCTATGATTGAGAACATGCGGTGTTTGGTTTTTTGTCCTTGTGATAGTTTGCTGAGAATGATGGTTTCCAGCTTCATCCATGTCCCTACAAAGGACATTAACTCATCCTTTTTTATGGCTGCATAGTATTCCATGGTGCATATGTGCCACATTTTCTTAATCCAGTCTATCATTGTTGGACATTTGGGTGAGTTCCAAGTCTTTGCTATTGTGAATAGTGCCGCAATAAACATACATGTGCATGTGTCTTTATAGCAGCATGATTTATAATCCTTTGGGTATATACCCAGTAACGGGATGGCTGGGTCAAATGGTATTTCTAGTTCTAGATCCTTGAGGAATCACCACACTGTCTTCCACAATGGTTGCACTAGTTTACAGTCCCATCAACAGTGTAAAAGCATTCCTATTTCTCCACAGCCTCTGCAGCACCTGTTGTTTCCTGACTTTTTAATGTTCACCATTCTACCCAGTATGAGATGGTATCTCATTGTGGTTTTGATTTGCATTTCCCTGATGGCCAGTGATGATGAACATTTTTTCATGTGTCTATTGGCTGCATAAATGTCTTCTTTTGAGAAGTGTCTGTTCACATCCTTTGCCCACTTTTTGATGGGGTTGTTTGTTTTTTTCTTGTAAGTTTGTTTGAGTTCTTTGTAGATTCTGGATATTAGCCGTTTGTCAGATGAGTAGATTGCAAAAATTTTCTCCCATTCTGTAAGTTGCCTGTTCACTCTGATGGTCTCTTTTGCTGTGAAGAAGCTCTTTAGTTTAATGAGATCCCATTTGTCAATTTTGGCTTTTGTTGTCATTGCGTTTGGTGTTTTAGTCATGAAGTCCTTGCCCATGCCTATGTCCTGAATGGTATTGCCTGGGTTTTCTTCTAGGGTTTTTATGGTTTTAGGTCCAACATTTAAGTCTTTAATCCATCTTGAATTAATTTTTGTATAAGGTGTAAGGAAGGGATCCAGTTTCAGCTTTCTACATATGGCTAGCCAGTTTTCCCAGCACCACTTATTAAATAGAGAATCCTTTCCCCATTTCTTGTTTTTGTCAGGTTTGTCAAAGATCAGATGGTTGTAGATGTGTGGTGTTATTTCTGAGGGCTCTGTTCTGTTCCATTGGTCTATATCTCTCTTTTGGTACCAGTACCATGCTGTTTTGGTTACTGTAGCCTTGTAGTATAGTTTGAAGTCAGGTAGCGTGATGCCTCCAGCCTTGTTCTTTTGGCTTAGGATTGTCTTGGCCATGTAGGCTCTTTTTTGGTTCCATATGAACTTCAAAGTAGTTTTTTCCAATTCTGTGAAGAAAGTCATTGGTAGCTTGGTGGGGATGGCATTGGATCTATAAATTACCTTGGACAGTATGGTCATTTGCACAATATTGATTCTTCCTATCCATGAGCATGGAATGTTCTTCCATTTGTTTGTGTCCTCTTTTATTTTGTTGAGCAGTGGTTTGTAGTTCTCCTTGAAGAGGTCCTTCACATCCCTTGTAAGATGGATTCCTAGGTATTTTATTTTCTTTAAAGCAATTGTGAATGGGACTTCACTCATGATTTGGCTGTCTGTTTGTCTGTTATTGGTGTATAAGAATGCTTGTGATTTTTGCACGTTGATTTTGTATCCTGAGACTTTGCTGAAGTTGCTTATCAGCAACTTCAAAATCTCTAAGGAGATTTTGGGCTGAGACTATGGGGTTTTCTAAATATACAATCATGTCATCTGCAAACAGGGACAATAGATCAGAAAAGATAATTTGGACTTCCCTCCAAATTATCTTTTCTGATCTATTTTCCATGTCAGTGTTTAGAATTTTAGTTATAGCTTATTTTTAAAATCCCAAGTTATTTTTAAAATATCTGACTTACTGATTTACTGACACATTTTATCTATTTCTTTGCTCACTATTTCTTGTTGAATACTTCAAGATGTTTTTGTGCCATTAGACCTTTCAGTGACAGTCTTTTTTTTTTTTTTTTTTTTTTGAGACAGAGTCTTGCTCTGTTGCCCAGGCGGGAGTGCAATGTGGCACGATCTCAGCTCACTTCAACCTCCGCCTCCTGGGTTCAAGCAATTCTCCTGCCTCAAACTCCCAAGTAGCTGGGATTACAGACGTGTGCCACCACGCCTGGCTAATTTTGTGTGTGTGTGTGTGTGTTTTTTGTTGTTGTTGTTGTTGTTTTTGTTTTTGTTTTTTTTGAGATGGAGTCTCCCTCTGTCGCCCAGGCTGGAGTGCAGTGGCACGATCTCAGCTCACTGCAAGCTCCGCCTCCCAGGTTCATGCCATTCTGCCTCAGCCTCCCGAGTAGCTGGGACCACAGGTGCCCGCCACCACGCCCGGCTAATTTTTTTGTATTTTTAATAGAGACGGGGGTTTCACCATGTTAGCCAGGATGGTCTCGATCTCCTGACCTCGTGGTCCGCCCACCTTGGCCTCCCAAAGTGCTGAGATTACAGGCGTGAGCCACTGTGCCCGGCCAATGTTTTGTGTTTTTAGTAGAGATGCGGTTTCATCGTGTTGGCCAGCCTGGTCTCGAACTCCTTACCTCAGGTGATCCATCTGCTTCGGCCTACCAAAATGCTGGGATTACAGGCAGGAGCCTCCATGCCCGGCCTCGCAGTGACAGTCTTTGAACAGTAAATATTCTCAATCTTAGCAGGTCTGAAAATGTCTTCATTTTTTTACACTGGTTTTAGAAAGTTAAATTGTCTGGGTTTAGAATTCTAGGTTGCTAATTACCTTTCTTCAGCATCTTGTAGATATACCACTGTTTTGGCATCTATTGTTGCTGAAAAAGTTGAATGTCAGTTTGATTGTCTTTTCTTTGAAGGCTATGTGTTTTCTAGTAGCTTCTGAGTTTCACTAAAATGTATCTAGATGTGTATTAATATCTATTTGTTCTGTTTTGGACTCATTGTGCCCCTTTAAATTGAAAGTGCATATCTTTAGTTCTGGACATTTTTATTATCTTTTAAATATATTTCTCCTTTCCCATTCTATCTCCTTTTCGATGTCTTACAAGTTTTTCTTCTACCCTACACAAGTTAACATCTATTAAATCCTATTAAATCCTCCCTCCGTGCTGTGTTCTAGGTGATTTCCCCACTTCGTTAGTTTTCTTTCTTCCAATTCCTTAAATTTTCTCATTAATTGTGTCTAGTCCGCAGTTTAACCTGTCTAAATAAGATCTAAATAATTTTTTTTGGAGAACTATTTTAAGCTTGTTTTCAAGTTTATCTGTTCTTGTTTCATAACCTCCTGTTCTTATTTATTGATTTTAGTCTTTTGAGCATTAAAACATACTTCTTTCAGAGTTCTTTTAATCTTTCTCTCATTTCTGATTCTTTAAGTGAGAATTTTGCCATTTGTTGGTCCTTAACATTGAATTTCATTTAAAAATAAATAAATTTGTATCTGCAAGCTTATCTTCTATAGGACTTTTCTTCTGAGAGGGTTTTGTTCATGGCTTCGTTATGGATGCAACTGCTTCCTTTGGAGAAATTTTTAGATTATTTCTGCTGGGGCCTTATATGGTTTTCTGAAACTGAACCAAATATTATGTTTTGTTAAATGGGACTCCTTCACCATGCAGATAGTATGAATTGGCTCTGTATTCACATGCAGCCAAGACTCTTGTTGGATGACTTTGTTTCAACCCATGACCTGAGATGGGGAACTTGTTTCTTGCAATGACTCTGGACTAGTAGATACTGATTTTTCAGTCCTTATATTGGAACAGGGCTTTCCCAATTCTAAATGTGCCCATTTCTGCTCTTTACTATCCAATATGACTGCAGCCTCAATTCCTAATATCTATTTCCCACTTTTTTGTTTTGTTTTGTTTTGAGATGGAGTCTCGGTCTGTCGCCCAGGCTGGAGTTCAGTGATGCAGTCTTGGCTCACTGCAACCTCTCCCTCCCACATCAAGCAATTCTTCTGCCTCAGCCTCCCGAGTAGCTGGGACTACAGGCATGTGCCACCACACCTGGCTAATTTTTGTATTTTTAGTAGGGATGGGGTTTCACCATGTTGGCCAAGCTGGTCTCGAACTCCTGACCTCATGATCCTCCCGCCTCATCCTCCCAAAGTGCTGGGATTACAGGCGTGAGCCATCGTGCCCAGACTTCCCCAGCATTATTGAAACCCCCTAATTCCTAAGGCACAACGTATCCAGTCTAGGAACCTCAATGGGCCATGTGGTTTCAAGTTCTGTGGGTTCCCTCTTTATTTCTACCACCTGCAGACTTCCTTTTCTTCTTTTAGAACCTATTTTTTCTATGGGAAATAGGTAAAGAGGAATATTTACTGAGGAAATTTAAGTGAGGAAAGCAGGAATATTTCACCAGCATGTACATGTCTTTGAAGTAGGGATGGGAATATTTCCATACATGTTCAGTCTGTATCCAAAAAGAGAAGTGAGTGCTGTTGGTATTATTCACCTCCATAAGTGAAATAATGTCTGAACAATACCAACAGTACTCACGTAAATGTCATTATCACCATTTTACAGAGAAGGAAGCAGTTTCAGAGAGTTAGTTACTTTCCCTAAGTCACAGCTAGTCATTAGTGGGTCTAGAATTTAAATTCAAAGCTATATGTTAGTTTTCACTATTTTTTCTGCCTCACTGTTTTTCGTTTATTTACTCAAGAATTTACTTTTACTTTATCTTATGTCCTTTTGCCCTTGACATCAGGTTTGGACAGTATTCCAAAGAGACCTGGCCAGGCATGGTGGCTCACGCCTATAATCCCAGCACTCTGGGAGGCCAAGGTGGGAAGACCTGCTTGAGGCCAGGAGTTGAGACCAGCCTAGGCAACATAGGGAGACCTCCTTGCTACAAAAGAAACAAAGAACTAATATGCAACCTGACTAAATTTCATCTAAAAATACCTGACAATGATTGTTGCGTGATGCATATTTCTTTTAGAGACTCCCCTTATTTTCATACTATAATTACCATGGGCTTTTTTCTTTTTATTTATTTATTTATTTATTTATTTATTTATTTATTTATTTTTTTGTGGGGGACTGAGTCTCGCTCTTGTCGCCCAGGCTGGAGTGCAGTAGTGCAATCTTGGCTCACTGCAATCTCCACCTCCCGGGTTCAGATGAGTCTCCTGCCTCAGCCTCCTGAGTAGCTGGGACTACAGGCATGCACCACCATGCCCAGCTACTTTTTGTGTGTGTGTGGTATTTTTACTAGAGATGGGGTTTCACCATGTTGGCCATGCTGGTCTCGCACTCCTGACCTCAAGTGACCCACCCACCTCGGCCTCCCAAAGTGCTGGGATTACAGGTGTGAGCCACTGTGCCTGACCGAGCTTCAGTCTTTTTTTTTTTTTTTTTTGAGACGGAGTCTCACTCTGTTGCCCAGGCTGGAGTGCAGTGGCACAATCTCGGCTCATGGCACCCTCTGCCTCCCAGGTTCACACTGTTCTCTCCTGCCTCAGCCTCCTGAGTAGCTGGGACTACAGGTGCCCGCCACCACGCCGAGCTAATTTTTTGTATTTTTTTTTTTTTTTTTTTTTTAGTAGAGACAGGTTTCACCGTGTTAGCCAGGATGGTCTCGATCTCCTGACTTCTTGATCCTCCCACCTCGGCCTCCCAAAGTGCTGGGATTACAGGCGTGCGCCACCGCACCCAGCCCCAAGCTTTATTCTTAAATGCAACTTACTTCTGGGAAATAATTGCTTAAGGACTATATTGAGCCTGCTTAACTATAGCACCTTCCTTCAGCCTCTTCTCCCGAAATAGCCTCATGCTTAGTAGCATTAGGCTTGAGATTGACGGCACTTCTATGAATGGCAGACACTGTCCCAAGCTAACAGCTGTCTTTTTGACAAAATACAGAAATAGTGTTGCTGTACTGATGCAGTAGCTTACACTTGTAAACCCAGCAATTTGGGAGGCTAAGGCAGGAGGACTGCTTGAGCTCAGGAATTTGAGACCAGCCTGGGCAACATAGTACGACCTCATCTCTTCTAAAATTCAAAAAAATAGCTGGGCGTGGTGGCATGTGCCTGTAGTCTCAGCTACTTGTGAGGGTGAGGCAGGAGGATTGCTTGAGCCAGGAAGGTCAAGGTTGCAGTGAGCCCTTATTGAGCCACTGTACTCCAACCTGGCTGATAGAGTCTTTATTTAAAAAAAAAAAAAAAGTGTTGCTAGCTAACCCTCCATTCCCACCCTCCAACATGTCTGATACCAGAGACTATACTCACTCCTTTGCTATTTGCAAGTTTATTTAATAGGCTACCCCAACTGCCTTGTCCATGGATAGAATTTTCTTCATTGTATCTTGGAATGCAATGAAGTAAGCTTCTTTTAACCAATAAAAACATCTAGATTTTGTATTTTGCATAACATTGATATTCCTTTGTAGTTCATATTGGATGAAATGTCTTGAACACAAACAAGTTATCTTTTTTTTTTCTCCCCATTCCTTATGCCAGACTTTTAAAGAAAGAGTCTGCATCTAGTTCAACTTCGGCTGCTTGCTACTTCTGCTGCAAGTAGCACTTTTAGATCAAGTTCCCAGTGGCAGCACCGGTGGGGGAAGTCTGCACTTTTTTAGGATGACTGACCTCACTCCTGGAGCTGTTGGATTCCACCCTGTTTTTGGGAGTTTATGACTTTGGTTGTTATTTAATGCACTTAAATCTTCTGAGTCTCACTGAGTTTTTTGTTTTGATTTTTCAAATGTTCTTCACAACTCTTTTGTAGGAAATTTAAAATGTTACACCCAGAACTGTACAAATATTTTACTAGTGAGGTTAAACTAAATGCAACAATGGAACAAACAGATGAAAAGCACACTAAGATTTCACTTGTGTCAGTTCTGAAAACCCTAGACCTCTTACTGCAACCAAGTTGTTTCCTTTCATGCCGTTCCACTTAAAAAGGAATTTGTAGGTTTTTTTTAGTCCTCCATAGATTCTGCTGAATTCAGAAGAAATTGCATGCAATCCCTAGCTTTGTTTCAGAAGTTAATTTGTGAAAGAATGAAAGCCATTATCTTTTTCTTGATGTAGGTTGAAAATGAAATAATCTTTTGTGTGTATGAATTTGTACAAATACTTCCCATAGGAACAATGATATGCAGGGGTGTCCAATCTTTTGGCTTCCCTGGGCCACATTGGAAGAATTGTCTTGGGCACACATAACATACACTAATGATAGCTGATGAGCTTAAAAGAAAAAAAAAAAAGCAAAACCTTATAATTTTTTTTTTTTTTTTTGAGATACAGTCTCGCTGTGTCACCCAGGCTGGAGGGCAATGGTGTGATATTGGCTCACTGCAGCCTCCACCTCCTGGGTTCAAGCGATCCTCCCCCCTCAGCCTCCCTGGTAGTTGGGATTATAGGCACGTGCCACCACACCCGGCTAATTTTTGTATTTTTAGTAGAGACAGGGTCTCACCATGTTGGCCAGGCTTGTCTCGAACTTCTGACTTCAGGTGATCCGCCTGCCTTGGCCTCCGAAAGTGTTGGGATTACAGGTGTTGAGCCACTACACCCGGTCAAAATCTTATAATGTTTTAAGAAAGTTTACAAATTTATCTTGGGCCACATTCAAAGCATCTGGGCCACATGCAGACCATGGGCTGTGGGCTGGACAAGCTTGATATGGAGGAAAAGGGTAGGATACTAGATTACCCTACAAAAGCCTATTAAACCATAACTTAGCAGTACTGCTTTTATGGAAAACCCTTTCCAGTTCTAGGCATCAGAGATCACCCCCTGCCCCAAATTCACAACATATTCAAACAAATGTTGGTATGGATGATTTGACAGCAGAATTGTAACAGAGATGTCAGAGACTTATCTCCATCCCCAGGGAGTTGTATGTATGGGAGGTGGGGAGTGGTGGGAAAAGCTCCAGACCAAAGGAACGTGTCCGAAGGCTGGGGAGTGAGAGCTTGGCAAGGTGAAAAGCAACAGCTGGGAGGCAGGCTCAAACCAGGACTAGAGGAGAAGCAGGGAGAGGGTATGATGAAGCACTCAGAGCAGCAGAGGATGAGAATGACATGTTATGAACAGAAGAGAAGGAAGAAAAAGGCCACAGTAAGGAAAAGAAAATAATATTCACACATACAAACATGCTCTGCATTAATCTTACATAGAGGGATAGTGACCCGCATCCATAAAAGGTGGTCTTCCAGCCCCTCAACCTGCCATCCTGGGATACTGTAATGATCCAGGGATGTTGCCACCAGCCCTACTCTCAGGGGCTGCTGCTCTCTGAACACAGTTTTCCTTATTTATTTATTGAGTTGGAGTCTCACTCTCTCATCCAGGCTGGAGTATAGTGGTGTGATCTCGGCTCACTGCAACCTCTGCCTCCCAGGTTCAAGCAATTCTCCTGCCTCAGCCTCCCAAGTAGCTGGGATTACAGGTGCCCATCACCACACCCAGCTAATTTTTGTATTTTTAGTAGAGATAGGATTTCACCATGTTGGCCAGGCTGGTCTGAAACTCCTGGCCTCAGGTGATCCGCCCACCTCAGCCTCCCAAAGTGCTGGGATTACAGGTGTGAGCCACCACACCTGGCCTTCTGAACACAATTTTCAACCTCTCAGACATTTTAATCCCTGGGATGTTCACTCCCTTCCCTATATCTTGTCTCAGATCTGGGCTCCCATGTGGTCCACTCAGTTCAGCAATCTTGCTGCCTAGTTGGTTGGGGAAGAGTGGAGGGTCAGGGAGAGACTTCTTTGACTCAGTGCTGGCAGGAGCAAGGAGCCAAGCAGATCAGAGCTCAAGGCCAAAGCGCCAGTCTGGGACTAACTGTAGGATCCCTGGCCAAAGCCAGGGAAAAGGGGGCTTTCTCTTAAAATGGTAAGACTTGCATAAAAGATGCAAGGTTAACTAAGACCAGCCTTATCCCTTAAAGGCCTAGAGTTATGGAAAGTTCCCTGAAATGTGAACAATGCAAGTTGAGAGGCAACCCTTTATCTGGATAAGGGGCATCAGGTTTCCAATGACAAAACTAGTGCCCCTCATTTAGAAAAAGGATTTAGGTGCCACTGCGGGGTGCATGAATCCATCTGAGACAAACAATTTAGAAGCTGAATCGTGAGCCCTTTTAGTGATTTGCAGGGCTCGCGACAGAACTGTTGGTCAGACGTTGGCCAGGGTTTGGGCTGTTTCCTGGAGCACGTAGGTCTCATGGGTTTTCAGATGGGGCCAGGGCTCTTGCTCTTTATCACACCAGGCTACCAGGTGAGGATTGCTCTCAGTGGCCTGTGGTGGGTCCCAGGTGGAAGTGGCTAGGGCCCAGGGCTGTGAGGATGCAGAGGGGATACCCAGTTCATAGGATGGGTGCGCATGATGGCCTCAGGCTCCCAGTCTTAAAACTGCTCCTCTCCACTCCCGCTGCTTCACTTGACTAAAAAAAACCACCTCTGCTCAAACATGCACAACATTGTGAATGTACTTAACTCATACATTGTTCCTGAGAATGGTTAAAGTGCTACATTTTGTATTATGTATATTTTTCCATGATATATATTATGTATATTTTGTATATTATGTATATTTTGTATATTATGTATATTATGTATATTTTCCATGATATATATTATGTATATGTATATATTATGTATATATGATATATATTATGTATATATACATATATTATGTATATATATACACAAATATATATTATGTATATTTTTCCATGATAAACAGAAAAATTTTAGGGGACACACTCTACACAAAGCCATTTCAGAGGCCCCATCTTCAAGCTCTGGCATTTTGTACATATCTTTAACAGAACTGCTCACAGCAGACATTGGAAATATGGGTTTCCATGGCAATGCGCCTCTTTGAGATCATTCAGTTTTTTGTTTTTTTGTTTTTTTTGAGATGGAGTCTGGCTGTGTCGCCAGGCTGGAGTGCATTGGCCGATCTCAGCTCACTGCAGCCTCGGCCTCCCAGGTTCAAGTGATTCTCCTGCCTCAGCCTCCTGAGTAGCTGGGATTACAGGCACGTGCTGCCACACTCAGCTAATTTTTATATTTTTAGTAGAGACAGGGTTTCTCTATGTTGGCCAGGCTGGTCTTGAACTCCTGACCTCAAGTGATCCACCCACCTCAGCCTCTCAAAGTACTGAGATGATAGGGGTGAGCCACTGTGCCCAGCCCACCATATTTCTTTTCTTTTTTCTTTTTTTTTTTTTTTTTGAGACAGAGTCTTGCTCTGTCACCCAGGCTGGAGTGCAGTGGAGTGATCTCGGCTCACTGCAAACTCTGCCTCCCGGGTTCAAGCGATTCTTGTGCCTCAGCCTCCTGAGTAGCTGGGATTACAGGCACACACCACCATGTCCGGCTAGTGTTTTGTATTTTTAGTAGAGACGAGGTTTCACCATGTTGGCCAGGTTGGTCTTGAACTCCTGAGTTCAGGCAATCCACGGGCCTCGGCCTCCCAAAGTGCTGGGATTACAGGCATGAATCACCACACCCGACCCATATTTCTTTTTATTTGTTGAACACATACTACTTGGAAGGCCCCGGCTCAGCACTGAGAATCCAACAATGGGTAAAATACGGTCTCTGCTAGAGAGACCAAAACAAAGAGACAAAAACTGAGTGAACATTAAAAAATTAATTGTGGGCCGGGCGCGGTGGCTCATGCCTGTAATCCCAGCATTTTGGGAGGCCGAGGCGGGCGAATCACGAGGTCAGGAGATCGAGACCATCCTGGCTAACATGGTGAAACCCGCCTTTACTAAAAATACAAAAAATTAGCCAGGCGTGGTGGTGGGCGCCTGTAGTCCCAGCAACTCAGGAGGCTGAGGCAGGAGAATGGTGTGAACCCGGCAGGTGGAGCTTGCAGTGAGCCGAGATCGTGCCACTGCACTCCAGCCTGGGCAAAAGAGCAAGACTCTGTTAAAAAAAAAAAAAAAAAAATTACCAGTTGTGCCCAGGGTACAGGAGGAAACAAACCAAGGGGCAAGATAGAAGATAACAGAGAAAGCCTATTTCATGGGGATATGAAGAAGGTATTTTTGAAATGATGAAATACAGAAAATGGCTAGGATGAAATACAGAGAATGACTAGTAAAGCAAGGTGACTGGGGACAGGGCTTCAAGGGGCAGTGCCTTTCAGGATAAGATCCGGGGCAGGGAAAGACTGGCACAAGTGTTAGGTAACACATGAGCAATTAATAGTGAAGGACAAGTGATTCACTTGACTCTTAATCGCCTATGTTTGGCTCTGCTATGTTCTGGGGGCAAGTAATGGATAATAGCCATGGAAACAACCTTGGCACTCAACTACAAACACTGTGTAAAGTAAGTAGAAAAGAATTGCTGTTTGCTTCCATTATTTACTGTCATACACTTGTCCTTCCTAGGAAGGGGCCGTCCCAGGGCCTGATGGCTAGCTTGCACTAAGCAGGGTTTCCAACTCAGGAAGGGCAGAGTCCCCAGGTCTGCAGTTGCCATGGCAGCAGGGTATCCTGTTTTGGCTGATAGGTACTGGAGCCAGTAAGGCTGGGTCCAAATTCTGCCCCTCCCTCTTACTGGCTGGTAGTGGGACTTTAGGCATCTCTTCATACCCTTCCCCACATGTGTAAGAGTGGAACATTGTGAGGGTCAAATGAGGTAGTATTTCAAACACTTAAAAGAATACCAAGCTGGGCATGGTGACTCACGCCTGTAATCCCAGCACTTTGAGAGGCTGAGGTCAGGAGTTGGAGGCCTGAGGTTAGGAGTTCGAGACCAGCCTGGCCAACATGGCAAAACCCCGTATCTACTAAAAGTACACAAATTAGCTGGGCCTCGTGGTGGGCACCTGTAATCCCAGCTACTCAGGAGACTGAGGCAGGAGAATCACTTGAACCTGGGAGGTAGAGGTTGCAGTGAGCCGAGATTGCACCAATGCACTCCAGCCTGGGTGACAAGAATGAGACTCTGTCTCAAAAAAAAAAAAAAAAAAAAAAAAAATTGCCTGATACCTGAGATGCACTATTTAATAGATATCATTTAATTATTGTGTAAAAAAGGAACCGTGAATCCCATCACTTCTGTACTGCTTTGTTAGGCTAAAGTAAATTGTTGTATAAACTTTTTAAATATAAAAATAAGTGGAATACTTGCAGATAATTCAATAGAGCACCCAGATCACTAGCATTAAAGCCTAGGGATACTAAGTAATGTTGGAGGAAGCAGCCATGCAAGAAACCAAGTAGTCATGATTAGAGCATTTGCTACTTCTAAGGCAAAGTCATTTGTGGCAGGCATGCTAGTTGCCAACCTAAAACCCATTCTCCCCACCTTTTTAAAAATTAACATACTCCTGATTTTGTTTGGGGCAGTCACATGCCCAGGTAACAGACTTCCCCACACTTTCTTGTAGCTGGGAGTGAGATTTGAACCAATTTTGGCCAGCTGCAGCAGTTACTGAGTGGAACATATTCGAAAACATTTCAAAAGAAGCAGATTTGGGTGGAAGCTGCCTTTTGCTCTTCTTTTTTTTTTTTTTTTGAGACAAGGTCTCACTCTGTTGCCCAGGCTGGAGTGCAGTGGTGCAATCTCAGCTCACTGCAACCTCTGCCTCCCAGGTTCAAGCAATTCTCCCACCTCAGCCTCCCAAGTAGCTGGGACTACAGGTATGCACCACCATGCCCGGCTAATTTTTTGTATTTTTAGTAGAGATGGGGTTTCACCATGTTGGCCAGGCTGGTCTCCAACTCCTGACCTCAGGTGATCCTCCCGCCTCAGCCTCCCAAAGTGCTGGGATTACAGGCATGAGCCACCGCGCCTGGCCTTTGCTCTTCCCTTTTAATCCTAACTAGAATGGGTATGTCAGACGCCTGGAAATGCAACAGCCTTCTTGAGACCATGCGGATGAAAATTTTATGCAAAGGAGGGCAGAGCGGGAAAACTGAAGGAGCACCAGTGCTTGGCTTATTACCTCTGGACTTAAATGAGAAAAGATAAATTGCTATTTGATTGACCTTCCATAGCTGGAGTACAGTTACATGCACTCTAACTCAGTTCCAACAAAAAGGGTCAAAGTGGTTTTCACTGTTGACCAAGACAACTGTTTCTTCAGCCAGTCGAAGGCAAAACTGATGATGTAACAATGGCTATTGGGTTGGGTGTTCTCATTGCCCTTCAGCTCCCACTGAATCTAGGTTGTAACGGTGGTAAAACTATAAAGTACACCAAGAGAAAGGCATTCTTCCGATCAAGATGCTTTTATTAGAATACTAATAAATGCAGATTAAAAAAAAAAAAACCTCACACAGAAAAAGAGGAGAACACTCAGAAATGTGATTACAGATTAGGCATATTAGAGGAAAAAGAGTTCTTCAGGGTATACAAAATGTAAACATTTGCCCTGGGATTTCCCACAGATGGCACAGTCCACATGGACTCTTTTGGAACAAAAAAATGTCTATTAAGTCTCCAGGATAGCCTCTATGACATCTGCAAACTTGCCACATTAAAAGTTAAAGTTCCTAAAACTTTCTACGCAAAACACAAAATGGCTCCCAATCCAGGCAACTGGCACATGTGGAAGCAGAATACCAAAGCAAATCCGTCTTCCAACCATCAGCTTCGACTCCCTCCAGCTACTGTATTTACATTTACCTTGACAGAGATTACAGAGATATACACAGTATATAAAACTCCTACTTGAGGCTGGGGTGGGAGATGAAATCTTTCTTGCTTATCAAATGCTCTGGGGAGAGGCATCAAATCAGTCCTTTAAACTTAGGGACAGAGGACTAAGAAGACGCCCTCTTTTGTTCAGAAAATGGAGACTCATAAACTTCCATGGGTGGGCAGGTACAAACCAGGTGCTGATCTCCATATATGTCATCAATCCGGGCAATCGTTGGCCAGAATTTGTTCTCTGGTTTCACGAAGGGCTGCAAAGGACAAAAGATGGAAATGCTGTGAGATGTTCTGGGAGGTTTCTCTTAGGGCAAAGGAGGTGGCAATGCTAGTCCCACAACCTAAGACACCATCAGCCCAGCAAATATTCTGAGAACCTAAAATCCAACCCTACATTACCATTTAAAAAAAAGAGGCATTTCCCAGGAGGCGTGTCCCTGATCACCACCCCTGTTAAGCATCCCTATGTGCTGTTGATATCTGGACCAGTTTATAGCAAAGTTGTGTTTGAAAGACTTCAACTGCTTAAAGAAGACTTTGGAATCTATGTTTATCTGCCCATTATATCCTTAAGTTTGGATATTTAGCTGACCTTCTCTTTTAACATAGGTCTAATTTATTTGCTATGTCATTTTCCATACAATTCAGTTGATTTAAAAGTTAATTTCTCGGCTGGGCGCAGTGGCTCGTGCCTTTAATCCCAGAACTTTGGGAGGCCAAGGCAGGCAGATCAGCTGAGGTCAGAGGTTCGAGACCAGCCTGATCGACATGGAGAAACCCCATCTCTACTAAAAATGCAAAATTAGCCAGGCATGGTGGCACATGCCTGTAATCCCAGTTACTTGGGAGGCTAAGGTAGGAGAATCGCTTTAACCTGGGAGGCAGAGGTTGTGGTGAGCCGAGATGGTGCCATTGCACTCCAGCCTGGACAACAAGAGTAAAACTCTATCTCAAAAAAAAAAAAAAGTTAATTTCTCATACTGTGTATTAAAATAAAAATTTGAACGATTAAAAAAAAAGCATCAGCTGGGCGTGATGGCTCACGCCTGTAATCCCAGCACTTTGGGAGGCCGGGGTGGGCGGATCACGAGTTCAGGAGATCAAGACCTTCCTGGCTAACACAGTGAAACCCCGTCTCTACTAAAAATACAAAAAATTACCCGGGCATGGTGGCAGGCGCCTGTAGTCCCAGCGGGAGGCTGAGGTAGGAGAATGGCGTGAACCCAGGATCATGCCACTGCACTCCAGCCTGGGCAACAGAGCGAGACTCCGTCTCAAAAAAAAAAAAAAAAAAAGAAAGAAAAAAAAAGCATCATTTTGTTTCCTCTCCTCTCCAATGAATACAGGATTTACCATTCTCATTATGTTTTTATACTATTACTGCATAGATCCATAAACAGCACATAGCATAATTTGGCACATTTTTAGCCTTCTCCCTACCTCACTCAAACAGACTACACAGAACCTTCTCCTCCATATAAGAATCAGAAAGGAAAGGAAGGTTGCACTGGGCGCCATCTCCCTGTCCCACAGTGGAGGGAAACACATTGGTCCACTGGGCAGGACTCGTATTCAGTTTTCCCCCACTCTGTTCCCTATGGGTTCCCAGATCTGTGGTTGATACTGTGTGACCTCGCCTCTGAAAGCCAATTTCTTTGCTCCTCATTCCTCTTCAAGACCCTTATTTCACAAGGTGCCCCACATATGGTTTCTGTAATCATGAGGCTAAGAGCGTACACCCGTCAGGATAGGAGCTGGCCCATGCCTTCCCAGCTGGCACATTCAGATTCAGAGAACTTACGAGTGGGAATGCTGCCACCTCTCTGGAATAAGGCCGGTCCCAGTGGGAAGATGTAACGCAGGTCAGGGAGTGTGGAGACATCTGAGACAGAGACACGGACAGAGGAGGGGTCAGAGCAATACACTCTCTTCTCCTCCTACCCTGCACCTCAACCGTCAATCTTCTGACAGGAGCCCAGGCAGAGAAAGCTGTTGTTTTCTTTCAATTTAGGGGGGTACAATGTGATTTATAATTGTGAAATATTTTAAATATCAGAACGTTATGGTAATAATCATCACATCCACCACCCAGTAAAGTCTAATGAGCATTCTGTCATATTTGCTTCATCTTTTAGAAAAAATTACCTACACGTTTGGTGCTGCCTGTATATCCCCATCCCAGTGCTAACCACTCTTCTGAATTCGGTGTTTACCATTCTCATCATGCTTTT
The DNA here is from genome assembly GCF_000001405.40 of Homo sapiens. NCBI lineage: Eukaryota > Metazoa > Chordata > Mammalia > Primates > Hominidae > Homo > Homo sapiens. Next base: position 6,535,138 of record NC_000009.12, read on the forward strand.
ATACTATTACTGCATATGTTAATAAACTGCATATAGCATAATTTGGCTCATTTTAAAATCTGATATCATCATATGAGTGGTATTATCCACTTGTATTATAACTCACTATTATGCTCTTTGAAATGTTTATTGCCATTTAAAAAAATAGCCTAAATCCTGAAAGAAGCAGGTGTCTTCAGAGAGAAAAGAGTAATAAACGGTGGTAAGCATAATCATCTTGTATGCCTCCATGACTCTGTGAACTCACCTCTAGAGAGGTGCCTGCCTTCTGCAAGTCACTGGTCCCTGCCCTCTCCTACAGGTAGGCAGTTTGGAAACCTGCCCCAGCTGCTGCAGTCATATCAGACTTGTTCTCTGGCTTACAGCCATGAAGACACAACCACAGCCTTCATGGTATTCTCCACTCCTGATCTTCCAGCTTAATATCTGGACTAACAAGAAACTTAGGACTCTGACCAGATGTAAAATTAACATGTTTTGGAAGCGGCAGAGTAATGCCCAACCAACTTTTCCCCAACATGGGGCATAAACATTGTAACATCCAGTCCAAATGTCAATCCAGTTTTCTCAGAGATAACTGCTCTAATATAAGAATGTGTGCTTGTACAGAGTTTGTGATGTGAATATGTAAATTTTATTTATGCCATAATCTCACTACAGTACATCAAACAGAGATGCAGAATGTTACAAATTCTCCAACTAGACAGCTGTGGACAGCTTCCACAACCACATCATCCTTGAGTAACTGCTATGCTGTTCAAGACGATGGAAACTTCAAAGTAACAACTGCATCTTCTCAGAAGAATTACCTTATTCTAGGGAAGAGTATCATCCTCAGTTGAGAGTTCGGGAGTTGCTGGTACACTGTCCAGACATCATTTTCTAGTTTAAGGAACATTTCAAGCAATGTTCCAGGGCCTACGCACCTTCAGCGGATTGACCCTGGGGTCGATGCGGCCCTCCTCAATGTCAGCAATTTCCTGCCGAATGCTGATCATGGCATCACAGAATCTGTCCAGCTCTGCCTTGTCCTCCGACTCAGTGGGCTCCACCATGAGGGTCCCTGCCACAGGCCAGGACATGGTAGGGGCGTGAAATCCTGCAAAGGGAGACAGGAGAACTTGCCTCACTGAAGGTCAGTGGCCTACCCAGTTTGGAAGAAAAGTTCGTATCCCTTCTTATATTTTATCCTAAGAAAATCATCAGATACATTTGCAAATGTATGTATGTGGGGACTCATCTCAGTGCTGTTCATAGAAGAAAAATTTAGGAAACAACCTAATATCCAACAATGGGGGATCAGATAAGCAAATTTTACAGAGCACCTATATGGTAAATAGACAACCATTCAAAAGTACATAAATGTGTTAAACTGGCTAAACATTCAAAAATATTAAGTGAAAAAAGCAAGCCACATAATGATATCCCATTTCTATATATAAATAAAAGGACAAAGTACTTATATGTGTATTTTATGAGGGAAGATGCCTTGAAGAAAACATAAAATGTTAACTCTAAATATGGCCGGAAAATGAGACTGGGATTTTTCTTTCACTTCGATTGTATTTTAGAGTCTTTCAGTAATTATCATGTATTATGTGCAATTAAGAGAAATAAAAATATTATAGCTTATCAAAAGTTAAATAATGAGATAACAAGTGTTAAAGACTCTGGAGCAAATCTTATTGTCCCCATTTTGTATGATAAGGAAACTGAAGTTTGGCCAGTATGTGGAAAGCCTTTGCCTTTACATTGAACACAGGCTCAGTGTGTTTCTGTTTCCAAAGGTTTTCACATGTAAGGTAGTGCAACAAGGTATGTAGTCAAGAGACAGATTTCCAGGACAAAAATCAAAAACAACATTTTCATTTCTTATAATTTTTCTGTAAAGCATTTTTTTTTTTTTTTTTGGAGACAGGGTCTTGCTGTATCGCTCAGGTTAGAGTGCACTGGCACACTCACGGCTCACTGCAGCCTCAACCTCCTGGGCTCAAGTGATCCTCCCACCTAAGCCTTCCAAGTAGCTGAGACTACAGGTGCACGCCACCATGCCCAGCTAATTTTGTTGTTGTTGCATAGACAGAGTTTCACCATGTTGTCCGGGCTACCGAGCTCAAGCGATCTGCCTGTCTCTGCCTCCCAATATGCAGAGATAACAGGCATGAGCCACCACACCAGGCCTATGAAACTTTTAAAAGCTGAAGAACAACTCCCAGGTTGATACACCTCTGAACTAATCTTGCCCCAATGTGCAGTGGTTCTCAAATTCTGGTGAGCATCATTATTACATGGAGTACTTTAAAGTAACATCTGCATGATTTCAAACATTCTCTACCAACATTTTATTTAAAAATGTTCAGGCCAAGTGCTGTGGCTCACACACCTATAATCCCAGCACTTTGGGAGGCCAAGGCCAGCGGATTGCTTAAGCCCAGGAGTTTGAGACCTGCCTGGGCAACATGGCAAAACCCCGTCTCTACAAAAAATACAAAAATTAGCTGGGTGTGGTGGTATGTGCCTGTAATCCCAGCTACTTAGAAAGCTGAGGTGGGAGGATCACTTGAATCCAGGAGGTGAGCCTGCAGTAAGTCAAGATCACAACACTGCACTCCAGCCTGGGTGACAGAGTAAGACCTTGTCTCTATTAAAAAAAAAACACTAACATCCAGATGAGTTGAAAGGACTGTAGGTGAGCACCCATATACCCACCACCTAGATTCTACAATGCTGTTGTTTGCTTTATCACATCTACTCATCCAGCCATCCGTCTTACTTTCTGACGCATTTCAAAGTACACTGCAGTCATTAGTACACTTCACTCTTAAACCCTTCAGCATATATATCATGACTAGAATTCAGTATCTGTTCACATATTTTTGTGATAAAACTTACAGTGAAATGCACAAATCCTAACTGTACCATTTAATGAGTTTTGGTAAATGCATACACCTTTGTCACTCAAACCAGACAGGGATTTTTTTTTTTTTTAAGAGAACAAGCTGATTACCTATCACGTCTGCCCTTAATTCCATGTGTGAGCAAATTCAGTCCAACATATCCTGCTGTAGTGGTCCCCATATTTTGAACCACCTGAGAAGTTCTTGCAAAAGAAATTCCTGCATCTGGGCCCTGATTCAGGAAGTCCAAGGTAGGGTCCAAAAATCTATGAGTCATAAAACATGCCAGGTGATTCTGATAATTGGTCTGATAATTAGCCTGGAACTGCTGGGTAAGGCAGTATGCCCCAAAATTGCCTGAAAAGACTCACACAGAAGCTGCGTGTTAAATATACAGATTATCAGCTCTCTTCCTTAAAAATTCACATTCAGCGGTTATGCTTTAAGACCTGGAAACTGTGTTGTCATGTTCATTGTTTTTCGACTTAGCTATTCATTTGGTCTCTCATTTATTAACACTATGTGTTGAGTGCCTACTATGTGCCAGGCACCTGGACAATTCTGGGCTTTTGGACAAGTGTGGAAACGGTTCTATCAATCTTCAAAACAACATTGAGGTCAGGAGACAACATGATTCAGAAACACTGGGTGGTGACTTCAGTTACCACCTCCCTGTGAGCCCCTCCTCTCTCTCCTTGCAAATGCTGTTGCAGTTAGATGTGTGAAGTAGGCAAGGCATCCACAAAGTGAGTGTGTTTTCCTGAGTCGGCCATTACCCAATCGCTAGCCGGGAGGCTGTCAGGGGAAAGGAGTTCTACTGTCAGGTTACAAGAGTTGCCAAGCAGAGATCTTGAGGATGGGATTGGTAATTTCATTAATGAAGCCTTTCTCTGGCTTTCCCATCTATTATCAGTGTAACTGCATAATAAGATCATTCATTCAAGAGAGGAGTGAGTCACACACATGGGATTCCCATTATGATGCAGTAGTGAAACTATTAAATTTAAAAGATTTTTTTCTTTTTTTCCAAAAACAAGTCATTAAAACTCAGAGAGGACTCCATATCCATTGAATGGCAATGTTCTCCCCAACTTAGCCTTTCTGAGAATTGAAAGATCCTTGATATTATTATCATTTTCATATTATTATAATAGTAATATTGGCTGGGCGTGCTGGCTCACACCTGTAATCCCAGCACTTTCGGAGGCCGAGGTGGGTGGATTGCCTGAGCTCAGGAGACTGAGACCAGCCTGGCCAACATGGTGAAACCCCATCTCTACTAAAAATATAAAAAAATAGCTGGGTATGGTGGTGTGCACCTGTAGTCCCAGCTACGTGGGAGGCTGAGGCATGAGAATCACTTGAACCCAGGAGGTGGAGGTTGCAGTGAGCTGAGATCACATCACTGCACTCCAGCCTGGGCGACAAAGTGAGACTCTGTCTCCCCAACCCCCAAAAAAGTAATATGGTCTTAATATTTTAATATTAATAACATTGTTCACTAGGAAAATGTAGTGAGCTGAGCTGAATGAACACCCACTAATGCACAGGTAAAGTGTCCGTGTCTTTCAAAATGCTTCAAAGAAAGTTGCATTTTCTTTGTGAAAACTACTACACTTATTTCTTCATCTCTAGAAGCAGCTGAAACAGCTACGCCATGACAGAGGTGGCTATAAAACTCCAATGCCATTTGTCTCTACCACTTCGATGGGTTACTTGCTCTGTCTCCTTTACCACTACACTCACTGCAACTCAAAGGGGTTTTAATTTTAATCTTAAACACTTTTCTTGGCTGTTAATGGATTCAAGATGCATATTTTAATATCTTCTGAAGGGCAGGACCAGTGCAGTCATAAGCAAACTTTTTTCTCTATTATTTTGGAGGTTGCCAAGAACCCTGAGCTCCCCATTTATCCCCCAGATCAGTTTACTGTGGTGCCTGCATTTTCCATTTGTGCTTTAGGAAGTGGTCCACAGCCAGCATGGGCGGCGGCATGAATGTCAAAAGCCACTTACCATAATCCTGGAGTCTCTTGGCCACATCCACAGCCTCAATATTTGCAGACTTTTTGAAGGGTCTCGTGTCCAAAATAAATTCATGACCCACATAACCTGTTCAGGAAAGTTGTTTCAGCCCAAGATTAGCATCAGCTTATTGTTTTACCCAAACAAATGAATAAGTAATTTAATAAATAAGTGCATCAGCTTTTTATGTGTATCAGCGAGGACCAAGAAGCCATGGGCACCGGGTAAGTTTATTATTGGCAATAAAGGTTTCATTTAGTCTTATTACAAATAAAAATGTTTAGCACACTGTGCCGATGTGTCTTATCTTCAGCTCACTACACACCTGTGAACCTGATTATGGCTAATGGCAGGTGGGGGGCATTACTGAACATATGACCGGAGGTGTCTGGGGATGAGATTATTTCTATTCTGCGGACATAAAATCTACTTGCAACAGTTAAATGTGTTGTATAGTCCTGATCCTTTTATACAAAATATTTCTAGAGCCATTGACACTTTTCAGCAACTTTACCCTCAACATCAAATAATTACTTTTGCGTATATATAGGTATGGATATATTAAACATATATCCATAAGACACATACAGAATTTTATGTTTCTTTGAAGGACCTTTTGATGTTTTGGTTTCAGGCTGCAAACAAAGAATTAGAAATACGCGACGTCAAACAGTATACCGTAAGTAACAAGGAGTTAATGAGGCCAAAGTCTGTGCGACCCAGTTCACTTTGTTCTACCAATGACATATCCCTTATTTGAAATTACAGATCTTTATTTGAGCCTCATGTGGGCACCCAAAAGTTTTGGATTTTCAGGCCAGGCACAGTGACTCATGCTGGTAATCCCAGCACTTTGGGAGGCTGAGGTGGGCAGATCGTTTTAGATCAGGAGTTCCAGACCAGCCAGGGCAACATGGCCAAACCCTAGCCCTACTAAAAATAGAATCACCTGAGCCTGGGAAGTCGAGGCTGCAGTGAGCCGCGATCACACAACTGCACTCCAGCCTGGGTAATAGGGGCAAGACCCTGTCTCAAAAAAATAAATATAAATTTTTAGAAAAAGTTTTAGATTTTCAGATTAGGGATATTCGACCTGTAGTTCATAAACAGGCTTCTTCTCTAGGTCCAGGCTGCCAGTAGCTCCCCAGAATGAGCTACTGACCACACAACCATCATCAGGAATAAACCATTAAGTCAGCGTTTTAATAAATAGACCAATATTCCTCCGGGGCTTCCCAAATTCCACGGTCCACCAACTGATGAATTTCCTTCCAGGAAAGTATCTACTCATGAGATAATGATGTACTCCTTCTTCTTAACCCACTTTCCTCACTCTCAGCAAAAATGAATCCACTTATAGAGACTCAGAGCAAGCATAACTTCTCAAGCCTGTGAAGAATAGCTCCAGTAATTAATAGCCCCTGAAGACAGTCTACGAACTGCTCTGCTTCTTATAGAATGAATAAACATGAAAGAGGTGGAGCTGGGCTCATTGGCTCACACCTGTAATCCCAGCACGTTGGGAGGCTGAGGCAGGCAAATCACTTGAGGTCAGGAGTTCAAAACCAGCCTGGCCGACATGGTGAAACCCTGTCTCTACGAAAAAAAAATTACAAAAATTAGCCAGGTGTAGGGGCGGGTGCCTGTAGTTCCAGCTACTCGGGAGACTGAGTGAGAGAATTGCTTGAACCTGGAAGGTGGTGGTTGCAGTGAGCCGAGATGGCACCACTGCACTGCAGCCTGGGAGACAAAGCGAGACTTCATCTCAAAAAAAAAAAAGAAGTGGTTTTGTTTGAAAATAAAACTATAAAGAGCGTAAGACTCTGAATATACTGAAACTGCATATTTTTAAACCACGCTTGAAGAAAAAAAAAAAAAACTTCAAAAACATTGAAATAGGGGCCAGGCGCGGTGGCTCAAGCCTGTAATCCCAGCACTTTGCGAGGCCGAGGCGGGCGGATCACGAGGTCCAGAGATCAAGACCATCCTGGCCAACGTGGTGAAACCCCATCTCTACTAAAAATACAAAAATTAGCTGGGCGTGGTGGCGCATGCCTGTAGTCCCAGCTACTTGGGAGGCTTAGACAGGAGAATTGCTTGAACCCGGGAGTCGGAGGTTGCAGTGAGCGAAGATCATGCCACTGCACTCCAGCCTGGTGACAGAGCAAGACTCTGTCTCAAGGAAAAAAGAAATTGAGACACAGTTGAGCGCTCCGTCACTCAGGCTGGAGTGCAGTAGTGCCATAACAGCTCACTGCAGCCTTGACCTCCTGGGCCCAAGCAATCCTCTCAGTTCAGCCTCCTGAGAGTAGCTGGGACTACAGGTGTGCACCACATGCCCAGCTAATTTTTGTATTTTTTGTAGAGATGGGGTCTCACTATGGCTAGGCTGGTCTCAAACTCCTGGGCTCAAGTGATCCCCCCACCTCAGCCTCCCAAAGTGCTGGGATTACAGGCCGTGAGCCACTGCGCCCAGGCAAAACATGCTTTCTAACAATGATGGGGAATAAACTGTAAGGAGTATGATTCAAAAGCAGAAAATTCAGCCGGGCATGGTAGCTCACACTTGTAATCCCAGCATTTCAGGAGACCGAGGCAGGAAGATCGCTTGAGCCCAGGAGTTTGAGACCAGCCTGGGCAGCATAGTGAGAGCTTGTTTCTACAAAAAAACAAAAAATTAGCTAGGTGCAGTTGTGCCTGCCTGTAGTACCAGCTACGTGTAAGGCTGAGGTGGGAGAATCATTTGAGCCCAGGAGGTCAAGGCTGCAGTGAGCCGAGATCACATCACTGCATTCCAGCCTGGGTGACGGAGTGAGACCTTTTCTCAAAAAAAAAAAAAAAAAAAAAAAAGAGGTAGAAAATCCTATTCATGGGTAGGTAAACATAGGGAAAAAATGCTGAAACAGAATAGTAAGTGGAATGTTCAAGGGGAAAATCATTAGACTAAGTTTTTATCAACTATTAATACCAGGACTCTTAAATGCTCAGCTGAGGATTGCTTGAGCTTGGGAGTTGGAGACCAGCCTGGGCAACAAAGCAAGACCCTATCCTACAAAATATTTAAAAATTAGCCAGGTGTGTGGCAGACATCTGTAGTTCCAGCTACTTGGGAGGCTGAGGTGGGAGAATCGCTTGATCCCAGGAGGTTGAGGCTGCAATGAGCTATGATAATGTGACTGTACTCCAGCCTGGGTAATAAAGCAAGACCGTCTCTTAAACAAAACAAAATGCCCTGATTGTGACAATGATTGGAGGACGAAGGCTAATGGAAGCTCACTGCTCGGAATGACACCAGACAGCAGGGAGGGGAGGAGGGGAGAGACACAGTGGGGGAGGAGGCACTCTTGCTGGCAGCGCAAGAGGAGAGTCTTCCAAGCAGAGGTTCAGTAATAGCTGAAAGGCACCGTCAAGCCAAGCCCAACACAGCACTGCTAATACTACAGTGCCATCTGAAGAGGTCCCCACCATAGCCAAGAGGTTTAGGAAGAGCTCCATTTTCTAAATGAGGTTCAGATGTTATTTTCTAAATCCATACTCTATTGCGTTCAAATAGAAACTGCGGTGGAATTCCAGCATCTCTCTCCATCTCTATGTGAGCCCTGAAAGGGATGAAATTTCAACTTGGTGGCTGTCAGAAGCCAGATCCTAAGATGTTCTTTGCAGCTTTTAGGACACACAAACCTGCTATAGGGCAATGTTGGGGCGATATCAAGTGGAAACTGAATAAACCACTCAGCACCAACTTTTCGTGTTAACAGAGTAGGTGTTTCTGCTGGACCTAACAGTGACTACAGCTGAGAAGGTACCACGTGAAAGGGGCAAGGAGGACAGGAGGGGGGGGGATGAAGGAAAAGCAAGGTAAACGTTGGGTGGCTATCTAAGTGGGAACCACCGCCCCCATATGTTGATTGTCTTCTGAGGGTAAGAACAATATGGGAGTGTGCTGTGAAAAAATAGGGCTGCTCAAAACCCTCCTTGAGAGAAGGGACCAGACCTTACTTATCCCCCATCCTCAAGGCGGCTGCTGAGGAATAAATGAACTCACTGGGTAACTACTCTGGAAAGCTCTGCTGGGCAATCAATGCTTGGTCAAGCCTTTTAGCTGAAATCCACAGAACATGACTAACAGAATCAAACCTCCCGGCTGTTTCCCTGTAGTTCAAGCGAGAATGAGGTTTCCCCGAGAATGAGGTCAGGTAAGCGGGACTGAGCAGGGTCACTTGTGAGCCAAGGATGTGAGGGCCCAGCCCCTGAGGCCCCTGCCCACCCATACAGCAAGGGCCACCTGGAAACCTCCGCAGGGACAGGTATTTGCAGGCAAAGTCGCTGTTTGTCTGATGGAAAAACAAAAAAAAAGGCAGAAGACCTGAGGTCAAGATTTCAAGATAAGCCTAGCCAACATGGCGAAACCTCGTCTATACTGAAAATACAAAAATCAGCCGAGTGCAGTGGCGGGCACCTGTAATCATAGTGGGAGGCTGAGGCAGGAGAATTGCTTGAGCCGGGGAGGCGGGGGTTGCAGTGAGCCGAGATTGCACCACTGGACTCTAGCCTGGGTGACAGAGCAAGACTCTGTCTCAAAAAAAAAAAAAAAAAAAATGGATAGGCATATAAGAAATTAAAACATAAAGAAAACGTTGGGATACTAACAAAGTCATCTCCTCCTACTAATGGGAACTCCATTCAGATCAAACCTTTGCCTCCTATAAAAGTAGACAGCTGTGGATTTTTGCAATTCTTCCTTTAAAATGTATCAACTTGCCGGGGCAATGGCTCACACCTGTAATCCCAGCACTTTGGGAGGCCAAGGTGGGTGGATCACCTGAGGTCGGTAGTTTGAGACCAGCCTGACCAACAAGGAGAAACACTGTCTCTACTAAAAATACAAAGTTAGCCAGGCATGGTGGTGCATGCCTGTAATCCCAGCTACTCAGGAGGCTGAGGTGGGAGAATCGCTTGAACCCGGGAGGCAGAGGTTGAGGTGAGCTGAGATTGCGCCATTGCAATCCAGTCTGGGTAACAAGAGCGAAACTCTGTCTCAAAAAAAAGAAAAAAAAAAAAGTATCATCTTACCTGAGGTAATTCCTTTCTTTCCTCATTCTAGCAGAATACAGTCATGCATCACTTAATGAAGGGAATACGTTCTGAGAAGTGCATTGTGAGATGACTTTGTCATTGTGCAAACAGCATGGTGTACTTACATAAACTAGTTGGTAAAGTCTACTATATATACCTAGGCTACATGGTACAGCCTCTTGCTCCTACTGTACTGAATACTGTAGGCAATTGTAACACAATGGTCCGAATCTGTGTATCTTAACATATCTCAACATAGAAAAGACAGAGCAAAAATACGACATAAAACATAAAAAATGGTACATCTGTGTAGGGCACTTACCATGAATGGAGCTTGCAGGGCTGAAGTTGCTCTGGATGAGTCAGTGAGTGAGTGGTGAGTGAACGGGAAGGTCTAGGACATTCCTGTATACTACCATAGACTTTGTGAACGCTGTACACTTAGGCTATATTAATTTATTTAAAAAAACTTTTTTCTTCAATAATAAATTAACCTTAGCTTACTGTAACTTTTTTTATTTTTGAGACAGAGTCTCAATCTGTTGCCCAGGCTGGAGTGCAGTGGCGCAATCTCGGCTCACTGCAGCCTCCTATTCCTGGGTTCAAGCGATTATTATGCCTCAGCCTCCCGAGTAGCTGGGATTACAGATGTCCACCACCATGCCTGGCTAATTTTTGTATTTTTAGTAGAGACGGGGTTTCACCATGTTGGCCTGGCTGGTCTCGAACTCCTGAGTTCAAGTGATCTGCCCGCCTCAGCCTTCCAAAGTGCTGGGATTATAGGCGTGAGCCACCATGCCCAGCGTACTGTAACTTTTTTACTTTATAAACTAAATTTTTTAAACCTTTCTGACTCTTTTGTAATAACACTTTAAACACAAATACATTGTACAGCTGTACAAAAATATTTTCTTTTTCAATGTCCTTATTCTATATGCTTTCTTCTATATTTAATTTCTTTTTACTTTTTAAACTTTTTTGTTAAAAACTAAGACACAAACACACACCTTTGTCTAGGCCTACAGATTCAGGATGCTCAATATCATTGTCTTCCACCTCCTCATCTTTTTTTTTTGAGACAGTGTCTCACTCTGTCACCCAGGCTGGAGTGCAGTGGCACCATTACAACTCACTGCAGCCTCAACTTCCCAGGCTCAAGCAATCCTCCTGCCTCAACCTTCCAAGTAGCTGGGACTACAGGTGTGCACCACCATGGTGGTTAATTTTTTCTTTTTTTTTTTTTTTGGAAGAGACAGGTCTCATGATATTTCCCAGGCTGGTCTCAGACTCCTGGGCTCAAGCAACCCTCCCGGCTTGGCCTCCCAAACTGCTGGGATTGCAGGCATGAGCCACAGCACCTAGCCCCACCTCCGACATCTTGTCCTCTGGAAGGTGTTCAGGGACAGTAACACACACGGAGCTGCTATCTCCTGTGATGACAATGCCTTCTTCTGGAATACCTCCTGAAGGACCGCCCTGAAGCTGTTTTACAGTTAACATTTTTTTTTTACAGTAGAAGGAATACACTCTAAAATAATGATGGGGGCCAGACGCAGTGGCTCACGCCTGTAATCCCAGCATTTGGGGAGGCCAAGGTGGGAGGATCACCTGAGGTCAGGAGTTTGAGACCAGCCCGGGCAACAGGATGAAACCCTGTCTCTACTAAAAATACAAAAATCAGCCAAGCGTGGTGATGAACACCTGTAGTCCCAGCTACTGGGGAAGCTGAGGCAGGAGAATCGCTTGAACCTGGGAGGCGGAGGTTGCAGTGAGCCAACATCACACCACTGCACTCCCACCTGGGTGACCAAGCGAGACTCTGTCTCAAAAATAATAATAATAATAATAATAATGATAAGAAGCATTATGTAGTGAATACATAAACCAGCAGCATAGTCTTTATCATTATTATTAGGTACTATATATTAAATGTAAGTGTCATACTTTTAGACAACCCGCCTCAGCCTTCCAAAGTGCTTGGATTACAGGTGTGAACCAACACACCCGGCTGCTACTAAATAAAATTAAACGTGAGGAAGTTTAAAATATGAACAAATAAGCAATTAGGGAAAAAACCAATAGGATGCAGTTATATGTCTTTTTAAGATATGGAAACAACATGATTTTAAGCTGTGAAATCAGAGAGTCAGCTGTGAAGGAGAAGGAAGTAGACAGAACAGATGGGGGAACACAGTTACCCTGGATGGACAAGGCTGGCACTAAGAACTAGGGAAACATTGAGCGCATTGGCTACATATACTAAAACAATAAGGTCATTTTCACCTATCAAATTGGCCATGATATATTGTTTACTTGTTCTTCTGTCTAGTTCTCAGTCCTCACTAGGCCCCTGTGTGATGGCCACTCTCATATGTTATCACTGTGAGATAAATTGGCACAAAGTCTCTGGGAAAAAAATTGAAGCCATACATGTCAAAAGCTTCAGTGCATTTATATCCTCTGAGATAATAATTTTTTCTATGACTCTCTCCTAAGGAAATTATCAGGCAAAATTCTTTAAAATTTCAAGCAAAGGATACTCACGGCCACATTGTAATAAATGCAAACAAAGGGAAGAAAAACTATACAATTGGTTAAATCATGGCACATCTACACAATGGAATTGACAGTGCCACTTTCAAAGAATATTTAGTGACAGGGGAAAATGCTCATAATATACATTTAAAAAATAGGCTAAAAACTGTATTTGTAGGCCAGGTGCAGTGGCTCACACCCATAACCCCAGCATTTTGGGAGGCCGAGGTGGGAGGATCACTAGAGCAGAGGAGTTCAAGACCAACCTGGGCAACAGAGCAAGACCCCGTCTCTACAAAAAATATATATATAAATAAATTAGCCAGGTGTGGCGGGTGTATGCCTGTGTTCCCAGCTACTTGGGAGGATGAGTTAGGAGGATGACTTGAGCCCAGGAGCTGAAGATTGCAATGAGCTGCCATGGCACCACTGCACTTCAGCCTGGACAACAAACTAATAAAACTATCTGTAGTATGATCAATTGTACAAACAAAGAGGAGAAGAAATACAGAAAATATTAGTAATGGCTATAACTGATTGATGGAACCATGGACCATTTACATTTTCTTTGTCATGCTTTATTATTTTCCAAAATGTCCGTGTTGAGCATATATACATTATTTATGTAATCTGATGAAATAAATATTGAAGCTATTCCTTAAAGCCAATACACAAGCAGGATACATTTCACAGAGCAGGAGCTAAGCTAGATTTGAATTAATCAGAAGCTCTTGTCACTTCTTTAGTACCCACTTCACAGAAGCATTTTATTGTGCTGCTTAGAGACATGTTGCCCACAACTGTGTTTTCTGCTCTCTGGGGAGCATTTTAACCAGCACTTCTGGTTATTTGGTCCTATTCTTTTTCAAACTGTGGAACCACCCCTTTGGATACTGATTTATAAGGTAAGACCAGCCATTAAATTAAAGATCACAGCTATAGAGCTACATTCCACCTGGACCAGAGAAACCAAGATCCCATAAGCGCTTTGTTGCTGTTGCCCAGGTGCAGGCGGGTGGGCTGGTTCCTGACGTCTGTCTCTCTGATCTAAGCTCCAGGTCCTGGTCTCTGTCCTGCTCTTACTCTGGGCCCATAGCAAGGACTTGTACCTGGTTCTCAGTTCCAGCCTTTCCCTTCCAGGGTGACTTTGTTCCCCCATCTGTTTTTCTCTCAAAGGTATCTTTGCTCTCCCTTCTCACAGCTTAAAATCATGTTGTTTTCATAGTTAAAAAGAAAATATAACTACATCCTACTGAAGCAGCCCCCTCCTCCTTCACTACCTGCAAACATGGAATCCTTTTCCCCTCTCCTTCCCGACCTCCATCCACATCTCAGCCCATTTTAAACACCCAGCGTCTGCCTCACCATTGTGCCCAAACTACTTTCAAAGGCTACCAAAGGCTTCCTAATTGTTATAGACAAAGGTTCCTTTTAAGACTCATAATTTAAAATCAGATGTCAATCATACCTCAGTAAAAGCAGAAAAAATCTAAATAAACTTAAGTAAGATTAAATCAGCCACCCGCTCTTTACAGTGTCTCTCCTTATTATGCGTCATCACGTGCATTTGTCTGTTGACTGCCAGAGAAACAAAGCAGGCGCAGCCTCCACTCTCTCCTGGACCCTGGAGTCAGATGGACAGAGCCAGACAATACCAAGTGGGAGAGCAGCTGCTCCGGGGTGGGGTCGGGGGTGGGCAAGAGGAGGGAGTGGAGGCTGCAGGGAGGAGGTGGAGCCACACGGCAGCAGGAGGGCCAGGCAGGGGTGTTGAGGGAGAGGCACTGTGCCAAGCACTGCCAGGGTTCTAAAGCTGCCTCAGGTGTGGAGTGCCCCTCACCAGGCACCCAACTTCTCCCTCCCTCTTAATGTAGCCATCTACTTGAGGCGTTTTGTTCTGGCTTCTCACCTTCAATATTCTTTCCTGGGGCCTCACCACTTCCAAGACTCAGCTATTAGGTCCTGAGCCCACAGCCCAATGTGTAAAAGGATGCCTGGTTTTTAGTTCCCTCCCATCACTTCCAGGGTGACTTTGTTCCCCTGCCTATTATTCCCTCTACTGTAAGCCCTAGAGGCTAGCTAACCTTCAATCACAGGTGTGATTACAGGATTGCAGGTGTGAGCCACCACCCCAGCCCCTTGCTACCTCTAAGGCATGTTTCCCCCTTGCCGCCGTCTTAATGATTGTAACGGTCTCTTCATGAATCCCTACCCTCCCCTGCTCAAAAACCTTTAATGGCTATTGTCCAGCTCAAGGGTGAAGTCCAGAGCCTTCCAAGGCCTTCAAGGCCCCACGCTACATTTCCAGCCTCATTGTCATTTGCTCCCTCTCCCCTATCCCATCCTTCACTCCAGACCAGAGAGCTTTCTTTTCTCTGGTTTGCTCCTGTGTCTCTGCTTACTCAGGCTCTCATCGGCTACGCTGGCTTCCAGGCCCATCTCAAATGGCTCCAGCAAGAAGGCGCTGTCAACCATTCTATCCTGCCTCTACCCAGTCTGAGTTACTCTACTCTTTCAAGGCATATCATAGCACTTTGTAAATAATTAGCTTATGGTATTTATGTACACATTTCAGTGTTGTGGAATCTTTATTGACCTGGGCTGCTGTGTAGACTAGGAGCCTAGGAGAAACCTGCATATAGTAATGCCCCTAAACAGTTAACTAAAGTGGTGTTATGGCTGGGCGTGGTGGCTCATGCCTGTAATCCCAGCACTTTGGGAGGCTGAGACAGGTGGATCACCTGAGGTCAGGAGTTCGAGACCAGCCTGGCCAATATGGTGAAACCCTGTCTCTACTAAAAATATAAAAATTAGCCGGGCATGGTGGTGCACACGTGTAGTCCCAGCTACTCGGGAGGCTGAGGCAAAAGAATCGCTTGAACCCGGGAGGCAGAAATTGCAGTGAGACAAGATCCTGCCACTGGACTCCAGCCTGGGTGACAGAGCAAGACTCTATCTCAAAAATAACAAGATAAAATAAAATAAACCCGAGTTATTTCCAAGAACTCTACACTATTTTCTGATATGTGCTAAGAAATAGAAGTCTCTTGCCCATGTCAGAAAAGCGCATCTAGGTCAAACTTAGTTTGGCCAAGAAAAAAACCAAAGTAATGATAGATTAAAGTTGATACTTGCCTCTTGCACCCCTGAAAAGAATTCTGTAGTGTGTTTCTAATCGCTTGGCCATGTAGTTGGCATTTAATATCGCAGTTTCCGTGGCTTGTTTAAGACCCTTGCCTCCCATCATCTGCAACAAAGGGAAAAAGAGCCATTAGCCATTGAACAGGCAAACACGAATGTGAAGAAACCAACCAAAAGACACCCCCAGATAAACTCCACCCACAAAGGAAGGCAGCCCACCATGACTCTGGAGTAAAGATGAGTGGAAAATTCCAACAAGGATATCTGTCAGATCCCTGTAAGCCTGTAATACATTTTTGTTTTCTTCTTTTAATAGTAGTTTTACGTTCTTTATTGTAGTAGCAAAGCCTACAACAGGGCAAGCTGACTACTGACTACTGTGTTATCTAAAGAGAGAAAAGAATTGTTCTTAAATTACATGTGTTTTGTGATTTTTTTGTTTGTTTACTATGAATTTGAGAGGTCTTGATAATTGCCAGGAATCCGATGGGATCTGGGCCAATATCTCCACGGAAGCAATTTTGTCTGGTTTATTTTCCCATTGTCCCTAGTAGAGGCTGCTTATGTTTAAAAACTGCTCAATCTTGTCCTGGTAGTTAAGAGTCCCTGTGATCATAAGGGATACACATCATCACTGCAAAGAGCTTCAAATCAAGACTGCACCAATTCTTATGGCCTACTTTCTTCCCAGAGTACCTCACATGTGATGGAGTTGGCATATATATTAAATACATAACTAATGTAAAGAGAATGAGAGAGCACCAAATAAAACAACAGTAGTACTTTGGTATCATTAAGGGGGTCCAAAGTAAAAAGGGGCCACATTGCTCCAGGCTGGTCAAAGAAGGGTTCCTAGATTAAGAGCCAGAACTTGGCTAGAAACTTAGAAATAAGTAGAATTCGGATAGGGAAAGAGAAAGGAGAAGGTATACCAGGTGAGAAGAATGGCAGAAATGAAGGCGTGGAAGGGGAGGGCACATGACTGTCATCTGGGAGTGGATGTAGGGCAAGGTGAGTTGTGACTCCATTTTTAAGCCCAAAACTTCTCTAGGAAGGACTTCGACTTTGTCCAGCCAACCACTGGCTCTCAACCTATGTCTCATGGGGGGATTTTTTAAAAATGCAGACGGCTTAAGTCCAACCCTACATGTGCTCAGTTTGGTTCTCCTTGGAATGGGGCCTAGGCATGTGCATTCTGAAAGAATCCCCTAAGGATTTCGTGCAGGCTAGTGAGAACCAGGTAAAGCAACAGGAAGCCACGAGAGATACGTGGGGGCCTAGGGTGAGTCTAGCAGTCCTGTAGGTGCGCCTGTGGAATTGCAGCAGGGAGAGAAGCAGCTAAAGCTAGAGTCCAGGGGATAAGTAATAACAGCCTGAAATAAGAGAAGGCCCAAGGCCAGAGGGGGCAGCTTAAACCCTACTTTATTTATTTAGTTTTTAAACTGAGGCACCAGCTGTTGTTCCAGGCATGTAGCCAAACCAACCTTGGGGCATTTATTTCCTATATGTGGGAAGTCATCTCCAACCCAAATATGTTCATACAAATAACCCAGATTTACAGAACCCAGAGATCAAAAGGGAAGTGGAATTTGATTCTGCTTACAAAGAAGCAGACCTTTATTCTGATTGCTTGTGTTGTTTGCAAAACAACTTGAGTATCATTTTTAAAAGCAAGTGTTAGTGTCTGAGGTACAGAATTGTTCCGGCTTCCAAGAAACTTTTCGTGAAGAATCATAAATGCCATGCTGTTCCAGAAATAAACAGTCAGCTCCACAGAGTCCTCTGGAATGATTGGCATAGCTGCGTTTTGGGGGTTTTGTTTCAGTGGGAGCCCGCCTTCCTTTAAAGAGGGGCACTGCTTTGGGGAGACTGCTCTAATGAGCAGCCAAACAAGTGTTCTTATTCACAGTCTTGTCAGTCCAGGAGGTGGGCAGGGCAGTGTGAACAAGAACTGTAGAAAATCAACTCTGGCCCTGGTGTTATTTGGAATAAGACAAAGGAAGGAAGCCTGTACTCTGACTAATTACGCAGAGAGCACAGCACCACAAACCCTAAAGGCCAAAGAGCTCTGGGGAAAAACCAGAGAAGCAAATTTCTGCTATTTTTCATCTTCTCCTCTGGCCCCCCCCAAGAAATATATAGCAAAGTGAGATATATAGCAGGATCTCAGCAAAGTGGAATAATTAGTACATGCACTGCTTTTCACTCGGAAGGGGCTATATAAATCCTGCAGGAAACCAAAGGATGCGGCCAGAACATCCATATGACTCATGGAACTTAGCTGTGTCTGGAAAAATATATCTGATGTTTCAGTTTCTCTGATGTTAAACCCACTCTGAGAACCCAAAAGAAGTAGTGTAATGAAGGAGAGATGAAATGATTTTTAGCTCATCTCTTCAGGAAGGTTTCTTCCACCCAGGCCATCAGCAATATTCTTTGAACCACATCTCAGATCATGAATTTATTTGTTTTTAAGCCAAGAAGTCTGCAGTATCCGGTCCCCATGCATGCCTGACGCCCCCACCCACCTGCACACCTGCACATACTCCCAGGCCTCACCTTGATATAAGCCCAGGAAATGGGCAAGATGGAACTGGAGCCCCATGGGGCCGCACTGACGGTTCCCACAGGACAGGCATCCTCATTCCGCTTTAGTGAAATGACGGGATGATTGGGCAAAAACGGGGCGAGATGTTTCTTCCTGTATTTTTTTTAAGTGCAAATTCAGAAAATGTAAACGATTCAGTTTAATCTAATGGGAAGGTTCTGGGCCCTCCCAGAAAGCCTTGTTCTTAGCAGAGGAGCTCTGACAGTGGAAGGGACTCTCCACCTGCTGGGAGGCAGATGTTCAGGAAGCGATCCTTCCTTCCTTCCTCCTCTGGTGGAGGTCCACCAGCCATCAGTGTCCCAGGGCTCACCCAAGAAATGTGGTGGAGGGCTTGATAGAGGCAGGCAGCCATAAAACAGTGGAGTTCCATGTCCCTCCCTCCCACTCCCAGCCCCATTCCCTCACCCCTATACACTTTCCCAAGATGGACATAGGAGGGGCTGATGAGAAGATGCCCCATGGGCTGACATGAACATCATTCTCCCCACCTCCCTGACAGCTGAAGCACTGGAGCTCACACATTTACTAGAAATAATCATCATCAAAATGAATCTCACTTTAACCGTAGTCCAAGAAAAAAAAAACAAGAAAGAAGAAAAAAGTAAGAAGGCCAAGCTTCCAGCAACTCTGAAAACTGACTTCTTTAGCATATTTTTGGGAGACTGAAGCAGCTCAGGAAAACAGCTGCTCTCATCATCATTTTCCCAAGATGATTTGATTTCAGTGTAAAAAGTTATCCACAGCTAAGAAATATTCCTTCAGTCCTACTCTGGCTTCATCCAATTATTTCTAGTAACCAGGTTTGTTTCTTCCTTACTTATGTGTTACTTATCTCAACACCTTACATCTAATTCACTTTCAATGGAACCATTAGCTGATTTTAAAAAAGAAAAAAAAAATGCTAGGAAATCCAAAAGTCCGAAAGGCACTTTCTAGTGCCAATATTCCAGTTACAATACGTATGCTCAGGTGAAGTTCCCTATTCATTATTCTGTTAATAAACCTGCTGTCTATGTGCAACTGGAAGCTCAGTGAGGCCAGATGCTATGGTTAGTAAAATCTAATTACGCTTTTCTTTGGAAATCCCCTAAAAGCACCCATTTTGCTGCTCCTCCCCCAGCCCCTACAAGTGCACTACACCGATGAGGGTATCCTCAACACATGAAGACTTTGATGGGATGAGTAGTCTATTTAGGGCCACTCCTTCATTCTGTCTCCAAAGCCATCCTGAAACCAGCAGCCCAGAACTTACACTCCGATGGGCCCCATGCCAGGACCACCTCCTCCGTGGGGAATGCAGAAGGTCTTGTGAAGATTTAGGTGCGAGACATCAGACCCGAAGTCTCCAGGGCGACAGATTCCCACCTACCACAAAGGCAAGGGCCAAAAGCAAAAGTCAAGAGCTTGGAAGCACCCTCCAGTGTGAAGGCCATGGCTGGCCGGTGCTGCCTTCTCCCCTCAGAGGAAAAGCAGGCAGAGCCACATCCATGGTGTTCACAGAAATGTCCTCTATACTGGCCCAGTTCCGTAGTCACAAACTGGCATCCGATAGGCAGAGTGCTTGTGGTTGCTATGGAAATAGCAACTGACCATTTAGTCCAATTTAGATTTAAAAATATGGATTTGAATACACAGTCTCTTCCTAATTATCCACACACCACAAAGGGAGAGAAGTGTCTCTAACACAAGAAAGGGCAGAACCTCCATGTTGTTGAAATAGGCAACTCTTCCCTGAGCAGCGCTACCTTCCCCTGCGTGGTCGGCTTTAGTATGATGCACGTTACCGAACGGCCCCGTTGGGCACAGTGATGGAAGGGGCTGCGGGGGCACCAGGGAGGAGGCTGAACTGAGAGAGGGAAGGCAAGGCTCGCAGTCTTCCCGAGATGACCCAGATACCAGGCATGCCATCCCACTAGCCTTCCCACCACTTGGGTGTTAGGACTAATTTTGATGGTGACCAAAGGTACAGAATTCATTTATGCTACAGAACCAATAGACAATCTCTGGATTACACTTGTGAAATGAATGAGAACCAAAGAAAGGCTCTAAAATGGTAGGAAAAAAAAAAGAGGTCGGGCGTGGTGGATCACACCTGTAATCCTAGCACTTTGGGAAGCTGAGGCAGGTGGATTGCCTGAGCTCAGGAGTTCAAGACCAGCCTGGGCAACACAGTGAAACCCCATCTCTACTAAAATACAAAAATAAAAATAAAAAAATTTAAAAAAATTAGCTGGGTGTGGCAGCATGCACCTGTAGTCCCAGCTACTCGGGAGGCTGAGGCAGCAGAACTGCTTGAACCCAGGAGGTGGAGGTTGCAGTGAGCAGACATCGCACCACTGCACTCCAGCCTTGGCGACAGAGTGAGACTCCATCTAAAAAAAGAAAGAAAGAAAGAAAAAGGAAAAAAGCAAACACCAATAAGAGTCTCAAAAAGATTGTGTCACTCCTCTCCTGCAGGGGCTCCCAACAGCATTTCTTCAGAGGTTCACAGTACATAGATCCTCTGTCCCCCAAGTAATCAGGATTGGGCCCTTTGAGCCCCCATTTCACAGCTGATAAAGCTGATGCCAGGATAAGTGGCTTTCCAAGGCCATGAGAGATCAACAACCACCAGTGGTCAGGTCGTGGGTCTGAGTTCCCTCAGGCAGGAAGCCTCTCAAGAAGTCAGAATTTTTTTTTTTTTCCACATATCCATTTTCTCAGTGGGAACTAAGGGCGGGCCTCTTCAGTTCCCACCTGAGCATTCATATTTGCCCCGTCTAGGTAGACCTGTCCTCCATGTTGATGGATGAGGTCACACACGTCACTGATGTTCTCTTCAAACACCCCATTGGTGGATGGGTATGTAATCATGATAGCTGCTAGGTTCTCCTTGTGCTTATCCACCTGTGAAAGAAAAGGGGTAGAGAAGGACATGGAGGGAGGATATGTTTCTTTCTTGGCCAAATCCTCGCCTTTCATTTTAAAGGATGAAGAAAGATGAAGTCTCAGTCTTTACTTTCCTGGAACTGTCTCAAAGTACAATGACAGCAATAAAAAAAAACCACAGCCATTACTCCCTTCACAAATCATTCCAAAGAAATAATAAGATCCTGGCTGGGTGTGGTGGCTCATGCCCGTAATCCCGGCACTCTGGGAGGCCGAGGCGGGCAGATCACCTAAGGTCAAGAATTCGAGACCAGCCTGGCCAACATGGTGAAACCCCGTCTCTACTAAAAATACAAAGATTAGCCGAGCATGGTGGCAGGTGCCTGTAATCCCAGCTACTTAGGAGGCTGAGGCAGGGACAATTGCTTGAACCGGTGAGGTGGAGGTTGTAGTGAGCCAAGATCACACCACTGCACTCCAGCTTGGACAACAGAGAGAGACTCCACGTCAAAAAAAAAAAAGAAAAAAGAAAAAAAGAAATAATAAGATCCTTTCAGGCTAGGTCTCTATGGTCCAGACCAAAAGGACTATTCACAAGATTTTTGGATATTTTGGGCCCAACTCTCTAAGGTGGTTTTCCCTTGGTTCAAGTCATCTCAATAACGATTTCAGACGTTTGTGGTTCTAGGTGCGTCCATTCTCATAGTTAATCTCTCTGCTCATCTTCTCATATCCATTCCTTTCCCTTGCCTTCTGTTGAAGTTAAAATTCCCAAATTACAGCTAGATAGGAGGAGTAAGTTGTAGAGTTCTATACCACTGCAGGATGACTATATTTAACAATATATAATTTTGAATAGTTAGAAGGAGGATATTGAACGTTCCCTCAACACAAAGAAATGATACATGCTTGAGATGATGGATATGCTGATTACCCTGATCTGATCTCTATACATTTGATGTATAGAAACATCACTATATACCCCATGACTATGTACAACTATTGTCATTTAAAAAGATAAAGAACAGAGGCCAGGCGTGGTAGCTCACGCCTGTAATCTCAGCACTTTGGGAGGCTGAGGCGGGCGGATCATGAGGTCAGGAGATCGAGACTATCCTGGCCAATACGGGGAAACCCTGTCTCTACTAAAAATACAAAAAGTAGCTGGGCATGGTGGCACACGCCTGTAGTCCCAGCTAATCAGGAGGCTGAGGCAGGAGAATTGCTTGAACCCGGGAGGCGGAGGTTGCAGTGAGCCGAGATCGTGCCACTGCACTCCAGCCTGGGCGACAGGGTGAGACTCCGTCTCAAAACAAACAAACAAAAAGATAAAGAACAGGAATTGGAAAAAAAAAAAAAAAAAGAATTCCCACAAGAAGTGTTTCTGTAAATAAAAGTCTTCTTTATTCTTTCCTTTTACAGAAGGCAAGCATATATAAAAGTCACATCCCTGTTTGTTTTCCTGGCCAGCATATCAGAGCAGGCATGTTTGAGAACATGGGGGTGGCCAGGGAAGTCATGTCCTATATTACTATAATGGAGGGACTTAATAATTTCAACTACTGGCCTGGAACACTTGTTGGAAAAAAGCTTTGTGGAGCAATGGAAGGGTAGAGGTGGATCGAAGAGAGGTGCAGCATTGTGGATTTTCAGCTTCCTTTAGAAGGCAACTGCACAGAGTTCACAGTCTCCATGCCTAATAACACCACCATCAAAATCACATTGCTATTCCACTGGTTTCCTTCCCGCTTAAGATGCAGCTGCCAGTCCGCTGGTGGGAAGCAGATACGGTTGCTAAGCAACTTCTTCCTGGAGGTTGGGAGGTTGAGAGTGGGGGTTGGTGGAAACCAAGCTGCATGATGCCAGGAATTCAGCATGATGGGGCTGGCACAGTCATGGATATTTGCAAAGCTGACATTTGTGTTACAATTCCTGACACGAAGATGTGTAAGTGTGACTGCCATTTTGATTATTAAGTGGGGAAGGCGAGAAGGAGAGGGAAGATTGGGCAGAAAGAGGCAGGCAGGTTCTGCAAGGAGTACTCTTACTACCACCATGAATAATTCATTCAGTTTTTTACACAAGCTGGAATTAGAAAACGGGGATTTCTCCCTGTTGGTGATGGGAGGGGTAGAGTAGACTCTGGTCAAAGGAAGAACTGCAGACTTTTCATTAGAATGCAAGAGAAGACATTTACATAATCCATCAAGTCCCTGATCCCCACCAGCACTCCCCATCCCGGCCTCTCCCATCTGCTAAGGAGAAGACAAGTACCATGGCCTTGAGGTGAACTGCATCGATATTCCCATATTTATCCACCTCCACAGGCTGAATCTTCATGCCTGCCATGTGGGCACTTGCTGGGTTGGTCCCATGTGCTGATTTCGGAATGAGGCAAACCTACAGAATAGAAAGGAAGCAAAGAAAGAGCAAAATCATCATCAGACTATGAATAATGACAGAAAAGTACTACAACATGCTTGTAGCACAAATTAGACACCACCTGTTTTTATTTAGGCTGAACACTAGTGCTTTAAAATCTGCTACAATTTAATTATTTGTCATTGCAAAGCAATGTCCAAAAAAAGTTTCCATATGAATCCCTAAATATTGTTCCCTGAAGATGCTCAGGAAATCAATACAATCTTCCTTTATCCCAGTACAATAAAAATAGGCCTGGACTTATTCTAACCTTGTCTCAGTTAGGATACACAGAAAGCACCTTAGAAGAACATGAGACTGGAAGTTAAACTCAAGGACTCAGGGCCCACATCACAGCTTCAGTGCTCTGCTTGGCTTATCCAGGACAGATGATAATGACAGACGTTAATTCCAAGGCCTCCCAGTACCAATACACCAATTATATCAATATTTATCGGATGTTTACTCTGTAATAAATTATTAGTTTCTATAAGAACCATAAACTAAGCATTAATAATGATCAACCCGGCCAGGTGCAGTGGCTCACGCGTGTAATCCCAGCACTTTGGGAGGCCGAGGCGGGTGGATCACCTGAGGTCAGGAGTTAGAGACCAGCCTGGCCAACATGGTGAAACCCCGTCTCTAGTAAAAATACAAAAAATAGCTGGGTGTGGTGGTAGGCGTCTGTAATCCCAGTTACTCGAGAGGCTGAGGCAGGAGAATTGGTTTAAACCAGGAGGTGTAGGTTGCGGTGAGCCGAGATTGCGCTATTGCACTCCAGCCTGGGCGACAAGAGTGAAACTCCGTATTTAAAAAAAAAAAAAAAAAAAAAAAAAGATCAACCTGGCCGGGCATGGTGGCTCACGCCTGTAATCCCAACACTTCGGGAGGTGGAGGTCAGGAGTTCAAGACCAGCCTGGCCAACATGGCGAAATGCTGTCTCTATTAAAAATACAAAAATTAGCCAGGTGTGGTGACGCACGCCTGTAGTCCCAGCTACTCAGGAGGCTGAGACAGAAGATTCGCTTGAATCCGGGAGGTGGAGGTTGCAGCGAGCCGAGATCGCGCCATTGCACTCCAGCCTGGGCAACAGAGCAAGACTCCGTCTCAAAAAAAAAAAATAGCTAAAAATAAAAATGACCAACCCCTACCCCGGGTTCACACAACTCACTCACTAACAATGGTGGCCTGTGAATGACTGTCTAGAGTCCAGAGATGCAGCAGAAACATGGACAAGGGGATGTAGCTTCAGGTTAAGGAAATCAAGGCAAAGTGCCTCAAGAGCTGAGCCTAAGTTAGAGCTTACAGCTGCACTGAATTTTTATGGAAGCTGGACAGTAGGTGCAATGCTAAAATTCTCAGACTCAAATCATCCTTCATTTCCTCCAAACAACCATGTGGACACAGGCTCTTGTAGAACTGACGATGTGTCCCAGTGGGAAAGTAAGTCAGAAGGTTTTCCCCAACAAAAAGCATCAAGGAGAAGCCATGATTACCCTGAAAATCATCCTCCTATTTTTTATCCCACAGAGAGATGGATGGGCATTATTGAAAATAGGCTATGAAGTTAAATCTTAGCTTACAGCTCTTTCCTCAAAAACAGCAAAGGAGTCTACTTAAGAAAAATAAACGTGTACAAAAAGAAAACATTAGCCAAAGGCAAACATGAACTACTTTGCACTCTTCTACTGTCAGAAGGTTTGTGTCCCTTTAGAACGGCTGTTGGTCTCATACTGGTTATGTCACGTTGTCCTCAAATCCGTTTTCTTGTTTGAATGCTTCCCTTTTGTAGTTAATTTTTTTCTTTAATTTCTGAGGACCCAAGCTGGAGGCACTGTCCTCTCTCACAGGTATTGCTAGTCTACAAAAGGATCGTTGGATGAAAGGATCCCTTCAGGGCAGAATATTGATAAGAAGGAGAAAGGGGAATGTTAAAAATAAATATAAAATATTCATAGAAAGCCAAAATGAAGAATTCATACCAGGTGAGTTCTGTTGAAACACAAACATATAAAAACGTCAACCACCCTGTGGTACACTGAATAACGGGCTCCCAAAGACATCCCTGTCCTAATCCTCGGAACCTGTGGGTGTTTCCTTATATGGCAAGGGGGACTTGCAGATGGGATTAAGGTAAAGAAAGATCTTGAGATGGAAAAATTCTTCTGGATTTTGGGCTGGGCCCTAAATATATTCTTAAGTGTCCTCATCAGAGGGAAGCAGAGGGAGATGGGACCACAGAGGGAGCGGGAGATGTGCTGACTGAAGCAGGAAGCTCGAGCCAAGGAACGCAGGAGGCCTGCAGATGCCAGGAAAGGTAAGGAAACAGATTCTCCCCTGTCTCCCCCAGAAGGAATCAGCTCTACCAACACTTTGACTTTAGCCCAGTGAAACCAATTTCTGACACCTGGCCTCTGCAACTATAAGAAAATTAATGTGTGTTGTTTTAAGCCACTAAGCCTGTAGAAATTTATCATAGCAGCCATAGGAAACTAATACACATCCTGGTACAAGGAGCGATGGAAAGAGAAGTCACAGTGGCTTTGTGAAGCACTCATTTATATGTTGCTGTCAGACATTTCTGGTTTTCTATGAGGATTTAGAGGACTTTAATTATTCTTTATAATGTTAAGTTTTTCCTCAGTTTAAAATTGTAGTGTTGGCCGGGCGAGGTTGCTCATGTCTGTAATCCCAGCACTTTGGGAGGCTGAGGCAGGCGGTTCACTTGAGGCCAGGAGTTCAAGACCAGCCTGGCCAACATGGTGAAACCCTGTCTCTAATAAAAATACAAAAAATAGCCAGGCATGGTGGTGCACGCCTACAGTCCCAGCTACTTGGGAGGCTGAGGCATGAGAATCACTTGAACCCGGGAGGCGGAGGTTGCCATAAGCCAAGATCATGCCATTGCACTCCAGCCTGGGTGACAGAGTGAGAGTCTCTCTTGGGGGAAAAAAATTGTATTGTTGTGAGGGATATGGAAGTAACACGACCCAGATTTGAAGTTTTGGTTTATCCAAAGCAAATCCAGCATTTGGTGCATTGATGCCCATTTAGGGGGTGCTATGTTTTCTCAACTCCCCAGGGTGCCGCGTGGCATAGAATAGCATGAGGTCATCTTTAGACTTGTTGAATGAGTGAAGGGTTAAGGAGATCTCCTGTGCAAGGGAAACTAATGTCTTACCACTGGTAAAATCTAACAACCAAAGGCCACTACTTTGTCTCAGGCAGTTGGGAAGAAAAAAATATTCCCATACAGGTTTTGAGCTTTCTTTGTTGATTTACATATAACATAATTTGTTTCCTTTGGTCAATGTTTTCCCTTTGTATAGGAAACTCAGACTCTGAACAGCAAACCTAATTGTTTTTCTTTAGAGTTTTTATTTTTTCGTAAGATCTGGAGGTCTGCTGAGTAAGTCAGGATTTGACTGACAAATTGAAATATTAATTATAAAGTGTTAAAGGCCATGCCTGGTACATGGTAATTGCCATATAAGTGTTTGTTAAATAAATTTGTATTCTCCCAAAGTAAACTCATAAATCAAGAAGTTAGGCATTCCATTTTAGGAACCTCTGAAATTTAACCTAAGAGAAAATGTGAAAATAACTTCAAAAAGCAGCTTGAAAGAAAAGACCCATCAGGAGCCCAGGCACTTCTGTAGCACATGATTTCCCCACACTCCCTGCACATGACTTCCCCACACTCCCTTTCAAAAAAGAATGATATATTTTGCTGGATTCCATTAGAATCTATTGTGTGGGAGCAGCTGCCTCAGACATCAGTGATGTGAAAAAATCTTCCCTGATTAGTGAATACTAAATCATTTTCTTCTCTAACTAAGAAAGTTGGCTTTAATTAAAAAAAATTTTTTTTTGAGAGGGAGTCTTGCTCTGTTGCCCAGGCTGGAGTGCAGTGGTGCGATCTCAGCTCACTGCAACCTCTGCCTCCTGGATTCAAGTGATTCTCCTGCCTCAGCCTCCCTCAGTAGCTGGGATCACAGGCGTGCACCACCATGCCTGGCTAATTTTTGTGTTTTTAGTAGAGACAGGGTTTTGCTATGTTGGCCAGGCTGGTCTTGAACTCCTGACCTTAGGTGATCTGCCTGCCTTAGCCTCCCAATGTGCTGGGATTACAGGCATGAGCCACCATGCCCGAGCTAATTAAAATTTCTGATCCAGAAGGATGCCAACATTTCCAGGCTAATGAGCTTTGTATTTCTACCAGCTCAGTGGCTGGAGGGCTTCCCTGCCTCTCCCTTTCCCCCTCTCCCTGAAGCACAGCACCCAGCCCCTCTCCCTCCTGCAGAGTGAAATGGCCTCTCATGACACTTCAGTGATGGCAGGATGGGCAATGGGGCCAAGAGAAACATCACACACAGTGGGTGGAGAAGGGAAGGAGGACAGGAAAACACAAAGAGAGGGAACAGGAACCAGAAAGAATCCACAAGTCACGGAAGAACCCCGCCCAGGCCAAACCCAAAGGCCTTTCATTCTTTCTCCTTGGCCTTTCCAGTTTGGTCCCCAGCTGCTGGACATTCACAGCTACTTCCTGGTGTCAGATTGGGAAATTTGGGAAATGGCGAGGGGTGGGAAGCATTACTGCGTGGAAAGAATCTGGATTTTAGCTGGCCCTTTGCCATTAGCTAGTCACCTGCTTTCTGCAAACACTGCTTTCTGCGGCCTCTCCGCCAAGCAGTGGAGGAGTCGGGTGGAGATGTCACACAGGACAGGCTGCCCCTTTCCAGCATCCCCAGGCTCCTGGGCACCTCGTGGTGAAAGATACTAATGAAGAGGAACTCCAGAGACGACCTCAGAACATGGAAGCCATGAGGGAAAAACAGACAGGAGAGAATCTGGCATTGTTTTACTGGCTGGACACCTGGAGCTCCAAAGTTTCCTTTCTGATTCTGTGAAAGTGCCGAGACTCTCAGGTCCCAAGAGCAATTATAGTTCTAAACTAATCATTCCTTAGAAAGCTGAGAATTCAGAACCACGAATGAACAAACTGTGGGGGAATTTCAGGGTCTGTGTCTGTCTGGTTGACCACTTCACTTCTCTCTGGACTGGCAAGCAGTCCTTGACCAGGGTTTAATCATTTATTCAATTCACGAATGGCCTGTTTTTCAAAGATCTTTAGACATGAATTCTAGGGCCAGGTGCAGAGGGTCATGCCTGTAATCCTGGTCTCCCTAGCACTTTGGGAGGCTTCCTTGAGCCCAGGAGTTCAAGGCTGCAGTGAGCTATGAAGAGAAAAAAAAAAGGGCCAGGCGCAGTGGCTCACACCTATAATCCCAGCACTTTGAGAGGTCCAGGGGCGGGTGGATCACCTGAGGTCAGGAGTTCGAGACTAGCCTGATCAACATGGTGAAACTCTGTTTCTACTAAAAATACAAAAATTAGCCGGGCGTGGTGGCGCATGCCTGTAATCCCAGCTACTCAGGAGGCTGAGGCACAAGAATCGCTTGAACCCAGGAGGCAGAGGTTGCAATGAGCCGAGATTGGGCCATTGCACTCCAGCCTGGGGAACAGGGCGAGACTCCATCTCAAAAAAAAAAAAAAAATTCTATTCCCCAACCAAGATGAAAGCCTGGAAAGACACACCTGTGGAATCAGGATGAACTATGCAAGGGAAGGAGGGAAAAAAATGTTCCTTCGTTTCCCCTGTTATGAAAGGGAAGTGAAACACTTTCAGCATTCTTTATTGCAAATTCCAGGCAACTAGCCATAAGTAACCTTCCAGTGGTAATAAAACCAGAAATGGACTAAGATCGGGCCACTACCACTCCACCCTACTTACTTAGCCAGCCAGCACCACCCTATCCCCTTTGTCTGCAACTCTCTAGTATCAGCAGATGCTTTTGCCCTGCTCTCGGCTCCTAGGCGATGCTCCTATTAAGGACTTCCGCCCCACAGCTCAGTACAAACTCTAGCATAGCACTGGCCATCAAAATGAAGGAACCAGGAACACAGGCCTCCTCTGGCACAAGCTGAGGCCTGAGTTAGGCCACTGCTACAGGCACTGCCCCTGGGGGGAGCGAGTGGTGTCCATTAGTACCTGCTGGTCCCCACAGTGGTCCCCAAGAGGCGATTGGGATCCTGGAGACCAGGTTCTCATATCCAAAGCAAACATTGAAGCAGGACCGTGAACTCTGCTTTATGCCTTTTTTGGTGCTTGAAGTTGAGAATCATCTAATGGAGAATTTATTTATTCAACAAATATTGTTTGAGCATACTATGACCAGAACCGGGCTTCAGCACAACAGGGGTTACTGAAGAATTAAAGCATGGTCTCTGCCCTTCATCCAGGCCCAGGGCCGGGGCTGAGCCAAGGAGAGGATGCTTGCAATGGCAACATTCCTGCCCTCTTCCTCCCTCTGCTCCCTAGAGAGCAGTTCCACAGCCAACTGGCTGACGTTTGCATTCTGGGTTTGAGCAAGTCTTTTATCTCTGAATGTTTTTCCTCAAAATGGTCAAGTGGGATGTCTTGGAAGCAAGGATCATAATGGCTAGTTCACAGAAATTTGTTTCTTGACTATATGTTCCCTCATCTGCTTCCAAGAAGGCTTGGAGGGAGTGTCCCACAGAAGGGACCCTGAGAGCCAGGACCTCTGTGCCCCATGGTGAGCAAGCGCCACCTCCTGCCATACTCACCGTTCTGTGCCCCTCTCCTTTCTGGTTTAAGTAGGCTCGGATAGTGGCCAGTCCAGCATATTCTCCCTGGGCTCCGCTTGCAAAGACAAGAAGAAAGGGATCACGGTTAGGTCTTCTGGCTTTCATTTACTCATTCAATATTTATTGGGCCCTGGCCAGGGGTTCACCAGCACGTGACACATGGTCACTGTCCAGACGCTGAGAGAAGCTCATCAAGGAGCTCTGCTGGAGTCAAAAGGTCTTGAACAATCAAAACAATCAAAGCAACAGCATCCAGTTTGTGCACTACAGCTCAACCACTCCTACCCAAAGATGGAGCTTTCTATATCCTTGCTCAGGACCACGCATTGAAAATAGCCTTTTGTTATTATGAAAAATTTCAAAACTATACCAAAATACAGTGAAGAACAAAAGGAACTACGACGTGTGTGTCAGCCAGCTGTAACAATTTGGTTTACGGTCAATCTTGTTTCCTATTATATTTCTCACTAACCACTTTCATGCTGAACTATATATTTTGAAGCAAACTTCAAACATCCTATCATCAGTTCAAATGTCAATATGCAGCCTTCAAAGATAAGTATTGTTTTTAAAAATATAACTACAGGCCGGGTGCAATGGCTCATGCCTGTAATCCTAGCACTTTGGGGGGCCGATGTGGGCAGAGCATTCGAGCTCAGAAGTTCAAGATCAGCCTGGGCAGCATGGCGGAACAGTGTCTCCACTAAAAGTACAAAAAATTAGCCTGGTGTGATAGCATGCATCTGTAGTACCAGCTACTGGGCAGGCTGACATGGAAGGATCACTGGAGTCTGTGAGGCGGAGACTGCAGTAAGCCGAGATGGTGCCACTGCACTCCAACCTGGGTGACAGAGTGAGATCCCGTCTCAAAAAATAAATAAATAACTACAAACACAATTGTCACACCTAGAACAATGAACTTCAGTTTTTTCCTTTTTTTTTCCCTTTTCTTTCCCCCTTTAAATGGGTAATGTGTCAACATCTTAACAAGGTTTAAGGAAGACACACCTATGAGGTGAAAACAAATCATCACTCTATAATTTCTTAGTATTACCAAATATCGAGTCAAGGGCCTGATCAGCCCCAAAAGAATGAGGCACTTTTAATGTGACACCATTCCTGGCAGTCTCAGGTTCGGCTCTCCCAGGCCCCGGATGCAGATGGCTGTTAGGGGCTGGCCATCCTCATCTCAACGGTCCTGGAAGGCACCACTTTCAGGGCATATGCCATGACTAACATTCCGGTGAGCAATGCTGACTCAATCGTAGACTGTTATTTCATGTTCCCAGTACCCTGTGCAGGAAGGGAAGGGAAATGAGTAATAGATGTATCAGTCCCATTCAAAATGTGTATGTCTGCGAAGCTGAAGGCAAAAATTAAATACTAAAAAAAGATACAAAAATTTAAACTTTAAACAAATGAAAATTTAAAAATAAAATAACTTTTTTTAATGTTACCCACAGAAAATCGGTAAGAATTTTAAAAAATGTGTATGTTCTCCATGCCATCACCCCCATTTTGCACACAAAGAAACTGAGGTCTGAGTGCTACATGCCAAATGGCCAACAGTGACAGATGAAGACTTGGGTGTGGAGTCAGCCTGCCTCCCAGAGCTACGGGCTCCCTTTGCAAGCAGTGCTGCTCTTCTGAGCACACTGTGCTCTCCAAGGACGGAGAGTTGTGGGAGCAAATGCTGATTTTCTTTCTAGCAGAAGTCTTGTCTGATTGATAGAACTGGGGGGTTTAGCTAAAATAAAAAATAAAAAAAAAAAGAAAGAAAAGAAGAAAGAAAGCCTGTCTTACAAGACCTGAGTCACCCCGTTCCTCGTCACCCGCACTGAGTCAGCTGCAGCTATCTCCGCTCTCTTCCAAGAAGAAAGGCAAAGACTGCTCTTCTGTTTTCCTGGCTTCTGAAAAACAAGTCCTAGCCTATTTGAGGTTTTTTCATTTTGAGGACAAGAAAATGAATATGCCGTGCTTCAGGAAACCACTCACATCACAAGTAACTTCATCTCCCTGTGCCTATGTGCCTGAGAGATGTGTAAAATGGGGATAGTAACAGTACCCATCACACAGGGCAGATGTGATGTGTAGTGAGATCATCAAGGTCAAATGCTTCTCAGCCAAATCCTGCCCATTCTTCAACTGGCTACAACTCTCTGCAAAGCCTTCCCTAAAGCCACCAATCCAGCTCTGTCACTTCCTCAGAGAGGCCTTCCCTGAAGGCAAGAATTTTGTCAACCTTGTTCACAATTGTATTCTCTATTCCAAGAACACTGACATAAAAAATATTTGATAGATTGATTAAAGAAATAATCCTCTACCTCCTCCAAATTATCATAGCATTTTACTCTACAATCTTATCTGACATTAATATCCTATACATGTACTGGACATAGAAAATTATTACCGATTTCACATTTACTTTGTATGCCTGTCTTATCTCAATTAGAGCATAAGCTCTGACAGTAGGGTCTAATTCTCAGAGTTCTGTATATTCTTCAACAGGGAATATATAGAACAGTACTCTGCATGTAGTAGTTCTGCAATAAGTATTTAGTAAATATTTTAAAAATTGAATTCCTCCAGCACAGGCAATCAATATGAATGTCATCCTTTCCCCTACAGTAAGGAACCTCAAGAAAAACATTTTATATTTACCCCTATGTTTTTCTCATGAATTCTATTCATCTGACTTTCTTGAAAGGCCAATCAAGGTGTAGACTAGGAATGAAGGAAGAAGCAGATTACTGGCTATGAGCCAGTAGTGTAGGAGAAAGACTATATGCTAAAGACTTGATCAGAAATGCTGGATTTCTCTCTCTCTCTCTCTCTCTGGCCTTAAACATCTATAAAAATCAGCTATGTTTCAACCCAAAAAGTGCAAATGATATATTCAAATGTGACACAAGGATTACTACTGGGGCATTAGTAAAACAAATTGTTAGTGCCACCTGTTGGTAGAAAAGTCTTATGAAAAATAATTGCTTATCTACATAACCCAGACTAAGCAACCATCAACAAACTATTATATATGGAGGACAGGCTAGGTCAGTGCTTTTCTGACATCTGTTTAAAATGAAGTAGTGAATGGTCTGGAGCTGCAGGGCTGGCCAGTGAACGGGGAGCCTCAGAAACACCAAGTTTATGTGAGCACAGCTTAAACTGTCCTAGAAAAACAAGGCCCTCCATGCCGGGCGTGGTGGCTCACACCTGTAATCCTAACACTTTGGGAGGCCAAGGTGGGCGGATCACCTGAGATCAGGAGTTCGAGACCAGCCTGGCCAACATGGTGAAACCCCATTTCTACTAAACATACAAAAAATTAGCCGGGCGTGGTGGTGCATGCCTGTAATCCAGACTACTTGGGAGGCTGAAGTGGGAGAATCACTTGAACCTGGGAGGTGGAGGTTGCAGTGATCCGAGATCACACCACTGCACTGCAGCCTGGGCCACAGAGTGAGACTCCACCTCAAGAAAAAAAAGAAGAAAAGAAAAACAAGACCCTCCAGTGTATGGCATTTACTCAGGCTGATTAAGGAGCTGCTGCTTAATGCAGAATGGGGAAATTGAGCAGACAACTTCTTCCAAAACTCAGATTCATTCTACAAAGAATCCACAAGAAATTCAATAGACCAGAAAAAGTAGAACAACTGAATAACAGGTATAAGAGCCCACAAGGTGAAAACAGCTGGAGTTGATGGAATTCAACAGTATTGTGATGACTATAACCCAGGCCCTTTCAGTATCAGTGTATCATCACAGGTGTGCAAGTTCAGGAGCAATACTCAATGTAAACTTAAAAAAAAAAAGAATTTGTAGATGACATGGCAGAGATAGGGTGAGGGTGATAGTTCAGAAGAGCTAAAAGTTCCTTTGCCAAGGTTGGAACGGGAGTTCAAAGAAAAAACAAATTTTAAAGATTTTAAAAATTAATTTATCTTTCCCTTTACTAAGAACCCTAGCCAAACATACTGAGAATTAGAAATGGATGTTGTGCCGGGCGTGGTGGCTCACTCCTGTAATCCCAGCACTTTGGGAGGCCGAGGTGGGTGGATCACAAGGTCAGGAGTTCGAGACCAGCCTGGATAATATGGTGAAACCCCATCTCTACTAAAAGTACAAAAATTAGCTGGGTGTGGTGGTGGGCACCTTTAGTCCCAGG
Organism: Homo sapiens; assembly: GCF_000001405.40. Taxonomy (NCBI): domain Eukaryota; kingdom Metazoa; phylum Chordata; class Mammalia; order Primates; family Hominidae; genus Homo; species Homo sapiens. The sequence continues at coordinate 6,569,540 of NC_000009.12, forward strand.
TACTCAGGGAGCTGAGGCGGGAGAATTGCTTGAACCCGGGAGGCGGAGGTTGCAGCGAGCTGAGATCGCACCACTGCACTCTAGCCTGGGCAACAGAGTGAGACTCCATCACAAAAACAAACAAACAAAAAGAAATGGATGTTGCAGACCAGGCACAGTGCCTCATGCCTGCATGCCTGTAATCACAGCACGTTGGGAGGCCGAGGCGAGCGGATTACCTGCAGTTAGAAGATCGAGACCAGCCTGGCGAACATGGCAAAACCCTGTCTCTACTAAAAATACAAAAATTAGCCAGGTGTGGTGGTGTGCATCTGTAATCCCAGCTACTTGGGAGGCTGAGGCAGGAGAATCGCTTAAAGCAAGGAGGTGGAGGCTGCAGTGATGTAAGATCGCGCCACTGCACTCCAGCCTGGGCCACAGAGTGAGACTCAGGCTCATGGCCGGGGGGATTAAAAAACATCGTGGCTAACTTTATAGACACCATAAGCAATTTCTCAGATGGTGACTGCTTTGGAATATTTGGACATGGGTCACTGTAGCTGCATGCTTTTTATATATGCAAAAAGTAACATGAAACCCATTTTGCAAGACTGCAGAATGCACTAAAGTAATAATTTATGGTGAACACCAGCAGTCACCAAAACTCCCACTGAATCACATTGTAATTATATGGAGAAAACAGTATTTGTGTTCTCAAATAGAATGTTGTATTTTTATACAAGTCAAAAGATGTTAAAAATGTGCCATAAGAAAAGACCACGCTGTGGATTCTAAAGTTTTAAAAATTATAGTACCAAGAAATTAAGATTTATATATTTTTGAATTACTAAATATCTAGATTGACCATATCTATTTTTGTTTTAATTTTCCCTAAATATTCTGAAAATCATTTTATAGTTTTTAACACACCATCATAGTTTGTGCACGGATGGCCACCTTTAGTGTGTGATTTCAGTGAAGTTCCCATTGAAGTTATTTATAAGCAGTGGACCTATTTTACTTCTTATATTTGAACTTCTTAAGAAGTTTCTTGACCAGGCATGGTGGCTCATGCCTGTAATCCCAGCACTTTGGGAGGCTGAGACGGGCAGATCACCTGAGGTCAGGAGTTCGAGACCAACCTGGCCAACATGGCGAAACTTCGTCTCTACTAAAAATACAAAAATTAGCTGGGCGTTGTGGCAGGTGCCTGTAATCCTAGCTACTCAGGAGGGTGAGACAAGAGAATCACTTGAACCCAGCAGGTGGAGGTTCCAGTGAGCTGAGATCGCACCACTGCACTCCAGCCTGCGCAACAAGAGCAAAACTCTGTCTCAAAAAAAAAAAAAAAAAAAGTTTCTCGGGGTATGTTTTTAAAAAAAATATTTTATTACATTTAAAATGATACCTTTTCATGAAAAATATTTATTTTATGAGTGATAAATTATAAGTTTAAATATGAGGTGAATTTGTTCCCTTCAACTACCTATAATATCTATAGCATCCAGCATACAGCCCTTTGTACAAAATGTAACATTTAGAAGCTAAAATATACATCATCCTCCCCCAAAATAATGATTTTCTTATAGACACAAGCAAGATTATTCTAAAATGCATATGTAAAGGCAAAGTAACTGGAATAGCTACTTTTTTTAAAAAAAAAAGAAAGAAACTGGCACAAATCAGTTCATCTGATGGCAAGGCTTATTAACAGTAGCCCCCTCTTATCTGCAGGAAATATCTTCCGGGACACCCAGTGGGTGCCTGAAACCATGGATGGCACCCAAACCCAGGTGTACTACGATTTTTCCTATACATACATACCTATGATAAAATCTAACTTATAAATTAGGCACAGTTACAGATTAACAACAATAACTAAGAATAAATAGAACAATTACACCACCATACCAGTATCACTACTCTTGTGCTTTGGGTACACTACTAAATAAAATAAGGGTTCCTTGCAATGAGACATTGCAGTGAGATCGTGCCACTGTACGATTTCACTGTTCCTTGAAAGCGCTGTGATAACATAGCAGTTGATCTGGTAACCAAGGCAGCTACTAAGTGACTGATGGGTGGGTAGCATATACACAGTGGATATGCTGGACAAAGGGCTGATTTACATCCCAGGTGGGATGGAACAAGATGCTGCAGGGTTTCATCACACTATTTAGAATGGTGTACAATTTAAAACTTAGGATGAATTGCTTATTTCTCAAATTTTCCATTTAATATTTTTGAGCCAGTTGACCATGGGTAACTGAAACTGCAAATAAGTGGGGACTATCATATATAGCTACAATAATCAAGCCTATGTACACAGAGATCACACATAGATCAATGGAATAGAATATAGAATCCAGAAATAGATCCAAACAAATATACCCAACTATTTTTGACAAAGTTGCAAAAGTAATTCAATGGAGGAAAGATCGCCTTTTCAATAAATGGAACTGAAACACTTAGACATCCATAGGCACAATCTAAGTCTCACAGCTTATATAAAAATCACCTGTAAATGGATCATGGACTTAAATGTAAAACATAAAACTATGAAATTTCTGGGAAAAACAAAAAACAGAATAAAAATTGTTGGGATCTAGGGTAGATTTGAAACCCAAAGCACAATTCATAAAAGAAAAAAATTGATAAATTGAACTCCATCATAATTAAAAACTTTTTGCTCCCATTAGGGTTACAAGGACAAGCTACAGAACGGGAGAAAGTATCTGCAAACTACCATAGCCAACGAGCAGTAAGTACAAATGCAATTCAGAAAATGATGCTGGGAAAATGACATGTGGACATGCTGTCAATGTGCTTAAAAGTACGAAGGAGGGTTACATTAGGATGTTGAAAATCAACTGGGTTTTCATTGGTGCTGAGTTTAGAGGTGTGTGTGGGAATGCAGAGCCTTTCAGTGGCTTTATTATCTGGGGGAATTCCCTCTTTTGTGTGAGTCTATGGGAGAGACACGGTCCTACACTCCCCTATGAAAGCAAAAAGGATTAGACATTCCCAGTCACTAAACACTAATAAGACATGGAGGTGTGAAACATCCTGTGCAATACTCCAGCCAGGACATTATGAATCTGGATGGACAGACCAAAGGAATGGGACAGTTCCATATTTCCCACAGTGAAGATGGTGACTCTTCGCATGGTGAGACTCCATTTTCTTCTCTGCTGCCAGCCTTTCTTGGGTCTTACTCACTGCTGAAGTCTAATTCTCCAGCTTTTCCATCAACTCTGTGAACTGCCCAATAACTTCCCTGTAAATTATTTTTCTGCTGAAGTTAATGCAAGCCATTTTCTGTTGTTTGCAAACAGGAGCCCTTAGGTGGCACATACTGTTAAATGTTTCCTACAACAAGATCATGTTAAAGTCACTCATTCCCAGGCAGATCTCACAAACAGGTATTTCCTGCAGCCACCCGGGAGTTTCTCTCACCTCTAATATCAAAGTTGTTTTTTATTTGCTGCCCTTTTCAAAGCTGTCTGGCTCCAAGCAAATTATTCCTCTGGATCCCATCTGTCACGTGGACATAATGCTATCTATTTCACAGGTGAACTTAAAATTTTTATGATAGAATACATTTATGTGGGCCAGGCATGGTGGCTCACGCCTGTAATCCCAGCTACTAGGGAGGCTGAGACACAAGAATCGCTGTAATCCCAGCACTTTGGGAGGCTGAGGCAGGTGGAGGCAGGTGGATCACCTGAGGTCAGGAGTTCAAGATCAGCCTGGCCAACATGGAGAAACCCTGTCTCTAATAAAAATACAAAAATTAGCCAGGTGTGGTGGCACACACCTGTAATCCCAGCTACTTGGGAAGCTGAGACACAAGAATCGCTTGAGCCCGGCAGGCAGACGTTGCAGTGAGCTGAGATCGTGCCACTGTACTCCAGCCTGGGCAACAGAGCAAGACTCTATCTTAAAAAATAAATAAATAAAAGAATACATTTATGTGATTTTTTAAAAAAAAATCCATCATCAGTGCAGAAGGGTTATAAAGCAAAAGAAGAAGAAAAAAGCGACCCCCATCCATCCTACCCAGTGTCACCCCCCAGAAGGAAATACTTCACAGTTGCTTGTGATACGTAAGGGTTTGGTGTTGGACATCTTTGATGTCAGACTCCCCTCATCCAAACTCTCCTTTACGTTGAGAAACAAAAACGATGCAAGTGAAACATCAGCTAAGAAACCGATACGGTAAAAATGATGGCAGTAAAGTGATCCTAACAACCACTGTCGAAATGACCCACTTCAGTTCATGGCACCTTCAGAGGACCACTCTCAAGAAAATAAGGGAAAAATGGGTGCAGATTCCTATCTACCAGGTGGAAAAAACAGGTGACTAACAATTTAACAGTACAAATACCTTGCAAACGGTATGATTTTAACCAGTGAAACTCCATGTACTGCATGTCTCAAGTACCCTAACGTTAGCCAGGTCTCTATCTCTATGGATTTAAAATCAAAACCCCTCAACACAACACTCTGTAATGTTCTTACCAATCTGTATCAATTTGACATAAGTTTAGTTCCATAATTAACCTTTGCTATCTAGTCAAAAAACGTAGATAAATCAGCTGGTATCAGAAGAGCGCCTCAGAGCAGTGGTTCTCACGCTCAGTCTAGTTCCCAGACAATAGAAAGCATCAACATCACCTGGGAACTTGTTAGAAATGCAAATTCAGGCCAGAACTTCGGGAGGCAGATCACCTGAGGTCAGGAGTTCAAGACCAGCCTGGCCAACACAGTGAAACCCCATCTCTACTAAAAATCAAAAATTAGCTGGGCGTGGTGGCGGGTGCCTGTAATTCCAGCTACTTGGGAGGCCGAGACAGAAGGATGGCTTGAACCTGGGAGGTGGAGGTTGCAGTGAGCTGAGATTATGCCACTGCACTCCAGCCTGGGCGACACAGCAAGACTCCGTCTCAAAAAAAAAAACAAAGAAAAGAAAAAAAAAGAAAAGAAATGCAAATTCATAGGCTCCACTCCACGAATACTGAATCAGAAATTCTGGGGTGCAGTCCAATGTTAGAACCACTGCCCTAAAGTCTAACAAACTTCAAAAATCAAAATATACTCTTGAGAGTTAAGGAAATTGGGAAAGAGGAGTTCCTTCTCACTGCTTTACATTTCCCGAAAGACGGCTCTCCTCATCCCTCACCCTGCTTTTTTCCTGGCATTCTGACTGTTTCTTTGGGAAATCAGAGAGGGCTTACAGGTCTCTCATATTTGGCCCCCAGAGTACTCTGTTTCTGAAGCTGCACTAGGCTCGGTGGAAAACTTACCAGAAATGATCAGTGATGTCAACCATGAGCTCAGGAAGGGAGGGGAGGGAGACGGCAAATAGTGGGCTTTTGACCCTCCCTGCACTAAATTATTTGTGATATGCATATGATAGCCACATCCATCTTGCTAAACCTTTCTCTTTGGTGTTCCTCCAGGCCAAATTGCTCTCCAACCCAGTGATGCACATTAGAATTAGAGAGTTTTTTGCTTAAAAACTCTCCCACTTCTTAGCCAGGTGTGGTGGCGGGCACCTGTAGCATCGGTTAACTACTTGGGAGGCTGAGGCAGGAAAATCGCTTGAATTCGGGAGTCAGAGATTGCAGTGAGCTGAGATCATGCCACTGCACTCCAGCCTGGGCGACAGAGTGAGACTCCATCTCAAAAGAAGCAAAAAAAAAAAAAACAAACCCCAAAACTCTCCCATATGGGCTCCATCCCCAGCGAAGATTCTGATGTAACTGGTTTGTGCAGTAGGTAGGGCATCTGTGTTCTTCAAAAGTCTCCCCAGGTAATTCTAACATGCAGCCAGGTCCAAGAACCTCTGGTAAACCTAGTGGTTTTCACAGGCTGGTGGCCAAACGAGCTGCCTCAGCATCACCTGGGGATTTGTTAAAAATGCAAATTCTGGGGCCCTACTCCAGACTTACTGAATCAGAAACTCTGTAGGGTGAGGCTCAGTAATTGCACAAGCCCTCCAGGTGATTCTCATGCACAATTAATTCTGACAGCCATTGAGAGCCCTGTTCACACCACAATTTAAGAATCTTCCCATGAAGGAGATTCTGGGAAAAGCAATGGCCACCTCCGTCTACATTAACAATCACAGTTTGCAGTTTTTAAGGACAAAAACAACTTCCTCAATTTTTTAAGCCAAGTGAGCTAATAATAATTCCAACTTGTCTTTCACTTTACATATCCATGGGAGGTGTTAATTACTCTTTCTGTCTGCCTTAAACATCACATCATAATTCTAAACTAGCAATTCCTAGAATGTACTTATGAGCTGCTGAATGATTTGAAGAGTGGCAAAGTGTTATGGAGAAAAAGCTGAAGCAAGCCCCGCTGGGCTCAGTGGGAAATGAAAAGGTAATTAAATATTATTTGGCTGTTTTCTACACCAAGCTGGAAACCCTCCCCGGGGTTTATGGGTAGAACAAATAAATAGGAGAAAATAGGGATAAGCTTCTTGACATTTTTTCTTTCAGGCCCTTCAAACACCCTTGGGATCAAAATGTCCTAAGGAACTAGGCAGACCAGTGAAGGCTTGGCTACATCAAGCAAAGTTATCTTGACAAAATTTATGGTTATTGTCTTAATCCATCCAGGTGCTATAACAAAATGCCAAAAACTGGGTGGCTTATAAACAACAGAAAGCTATTTCCCATTGTTCTAGAGGCTGAGATGTCCAAGATCCTAGAAGCCAGCAGACTTAGTGTCTAGTGAGGGCGCACTTCCTGGTTCATAGATAGCTGTGGTCTTGCTGTGTCCTCACATGGTGGAAGGGGTAAAGAGCTCTCTGGGGTCTTTCTTAAAATAATGGCACTAATCCCATTCAGGATTGTACAACCCTCATGACCTAATTACCTGCCAAAGCTCCCACCTCCTAATGCCGTCACCTTGGAGTTATAATTTATTTTTTTCTTCTTCTTATTTTTTTTGAGATGGGGTTTCACTCTTGTCGCCCAGGCTGGGGTGCAGTGGTGCGATCTTGGCTCACTGCAACCTCTGCCTCCCAGGTTCAAGCAATTGTCCTGCCTCAGCCTCCCGAGTAGCTGGGATTACAGGCCCCTGCCACCACACCTGGCTAATTTTTGTATTTGCAGCAGAGATGGAGTTTCACTACGTTGGCCAGGCTGGTCTCAAACTCCTGATCTCAGGTGATCCGCCTGCCTCGGCCTCCCAAAGTGCTGGGATTACAGGCGTGAACCACCGCGTCTGGCCTGGAGTTAGGATTTCAACAGGTGAATTTTGAAGGAATGCAAACATTCAATCTATAGCACTTATAAAACCTTTTTATGATCCATATTGACTGTCTATTCCTGAATTAAATCTCATTCACTTTTCTGTTGCTAGAGAAACCTACAACATGACTTGGTAGGAAGCCACATAACAGAGCCTTAAAAACCTCACATTTTCTAGATCCTAACCTTTCCCTTGAGCTGATGAATTCTCTCTTAGAAAGAAAATTCACCAAAGAGAAAGGTCCCTGCTGCAGCATATATGTGGGCAGGGAATGACTGCAGAAAGAACAAAAGCCTTCTGTGCGCATAACACAGAAATGCCCTGGATGAGAAGACAGCGCGGAAAGGCACAGCAGCAAGGATGAGGCAGAGCCAGCAGCGCCACACGCAGAGAAATCCAGATGCAGGCCTGAAAGTTACATTTCATTCTGCTACTTGGTCATTTGAGAACCAGAGAGTTGTATTCTGAGTCCACTTGATGTTAAATATTATCCTATTCTGCAGAGTTTGAACTGGGTGCCCTGGGAGACTACCTCACTGTATTTATTAGGATAGAGGTGCCGCTAGGGCAGATGGAGGTGGTTATGTTTTGCCTCCAGCCCCAGGGCAAGCTTCAAAGCCAACCTTATCCCATATCCATCAGCTGATGGAGGAACCCTCTGAGATCAGGAGAACCAGGTGCAAATGAGCCTATAACCAACTTACTATGCATTTAGTTGTTTCACAATACGCATGTTCTCCACCATAAAAATATCTTTTTTGAATTGACTAAATAACATATGATCAAGGCTTTAAAAATTTTAAATAATCTAAAAACATAAGGACAAAAAGTAAAATCACCTGATATTCTACCACCTAGAGACAACTGTTTGAGTCCCATCCTTTCATACATCTTTCCACCTATGCCCCTGTGCACACACACACACGCAGTTTTACGCAGCTAACATCTGTTGTACTAAATTTTATTTCACTATATTTTATTTTCTTATAATTCCCCTCCTCTCCTGCTCCCCATCTCTACGTTATTGATTTTTTTTTGCTCGAATCCTGATTCTTTCCTTCCTTCTGCTTGCTTTGAGCTTAATGTACTTCTTTCTCTGTTGTTTTAGGGTGGAAGATTAAGTTGGTTTAAGATCTTTCTTCTTTTTTCTTTTTTAAAACAGGGTCAACCAGGCTGGAGTGCAGCGGCACCATCACAGTTCACTGCAGCCTCAACCTCCTGGGCTCAAGCAATCCTCTGGCCTCGGCCTCTCGAGTAGCTGGGACTACAGAAACACGCCACTGTGCCCAGCTACTTTTTTAATTTTTTGTAGAGACTAAGTCTCACTATCTGGTCCAGGCTTCTTTTTTTTTCGAGACAGGATCTTGCTCTGTCACAGGCTGGGGTGCAATGGTGTGAACATGGCTCACTGCAGCCTAGACCTCTGGGTGTAAGTGATCCTCCCACTTCAGCCTCCCAAGCAGCTGGGACCACAGATGCATGCCACCACACCTGGCTAATTTTTTAATTTGTACAAAGAGGGTCCCACTATGTTGCCGAGGCTGGTCTTGAACTCCTGAGCTCAAGTGATCCTCCCACCTCAGACTCCCAAAGTGTTGGGATTACAAGCATGAATCATGGCACCCAGCTCTTTCTTCTTTTTTAATGTAGTTATTTACAGCTATAAACTTTCCTGTTAGCACTGTTTTAGCTACAGCCCGTGATGTTTGATATGCGGTATCTTCATTTTAATTAGTTGGAAAGTACTTCCTCTCTTTTTTTCTTCTCTTAGAAACAGAGTCTCACTCTGTTGTCTAGGCTGGAGTGCAGTGGCGTGATCATGGCTCACTGCAGCCTCAACCTCCTGGACTCAAGTGATCCTCCCACCTCAGCCCCCAAAGTAGCTGGGACCACAGGTGCTTGCCACCATGCTAGGCTAATTTTTTTGGAGAGATGAGGTCTTGCTATGTTGCCCAGGCTAGTCTTGAACTCCTGGGATCAAGTGATCCTCCTGCCTCAGCCTCCCAAAGTACTGCAATTACAAGCATGAGCTACTGCACCTGGCTTCAAAGTACTTTCCAGTTCTCCTTGTGATTCCTCTTTGTTCCACTGGTTATTTATAAGGGTGTTATTTAATTTCCACATATTTGTGAATTTTGCTCATCTTTCTGTTATTTCTAGTTTCACTCCATGTGATCAGCCTCTGTTAATCTGTTTTCAACATGCCCTTATGTTCCTAAATGTTTGTTAAGAAATCATTTATTTCTCTATGTTTTTAAATTTGTTGACACAGGGTAGCATATACTATTCCTTTATAATTCTTTGGATCTTATCTATATCTGGGTATGTTCTTTCTCATTTCTTATTTGTATATATATATTTTTTCCTTAGGCAAGAAAAGAGTTAACTGATTTCACTGGATCTTTCAAATAATCAGTTTTTGTATTTATTAATCCTTGTGACTATTTTATCTTCTAGGTCATTCATTCTAGCTTTTATCTTTAATCATTTCATTTTTTACCATCATTTTGGTTATACAATTTTTTTTCACTTCCTCAGATGAATATTAATTAACTCTTCCATGTTCTCATCCCCAAATGCTGAATCTTCTGAATCTGTCTTCTGAGTTCCTTAACTTTTCCCTCACAGCCTTAATCTGTATATTTTGGGTTTTTGTTTTGGAATATTTCCTCCAAGTACCTTTCCAAGTCACTAATTTTGTTTTCAAGAGTATCCCATCCTGATTATTTATTTGATAATTTTATTATTTTTTTTGTAGATGGGGTCTTACTATGTCACCCAGGCTGTTCTCAAACTCCTGGCCTTACGTGATCCTCCTATCTCAGCCTCCCAAAGTGCTGGGACTGTGAGCCACCGTGCCCAGTCCTGATTGTTTAAAATTGAAACTCATGGTTTTAGTTGCAGAATGTCCTTTTTACTTAATACTGAATGTCAGCCAGCTCTGAGATCGAAGTTGTATTGCTATAACTAGCTGACTTTGCCTCACGCCAGTGCCTATAACGCTGGCTGCCCGGGCAACCTGTTCTGAGCACTCTCCCTGTGCTTCCTCTCTGTTGCTGGGTCCAGTGAAGTGTGCAACTAAAATTTTCCCTTTGCTGGCTACGGCTCCATTCACCCTTAGGGCTGAGTTCAGGTTGCTGCAACATCTTCAGCAGCAGAACCAGTCTGCAAGCTGTCAGTCCTCTGTTGGGGGCAGTGGGAGCATCACTGGGAGAATCTCCTCATCTACAAAGGCTAGAATCCACACAGTCTCAGAACTACGGAAGACCTGGCCCCACTCTTCATTTCCCCTGAAGCACCCTGAAGGCCAGAGAGACCTTCGACCCAGGAACATTCCTTCAGACAACTGCCTTTCGTCTCAGGGTTTGTGGATCTCCATAAGCCAAGTTCTCTTCAGGCCCCAAAGAACTCTTACCCTCACCCTAGGGCTCCTTGACTCTTGCAGGCTCTCTGCTTCTATAATTGCAGGACCAGCCCACACTGGGCCTGTTCTGTTGATAACAAAATGTTGAGTTACCTTATAACAGAGTCCACAGTTGCAAGTCATGTAGTCTGGGAATGTGCAATAGAAAAAGCTTTGACTTCTAACGACACCCAGAACCAGGGATTCCGCCCCTCGGAACCAACAAGGCTGGAAGAGAACCAGACCCTGCATGCCAGAACTTCTTCAGAAGTGAGGGGTCTACTGATCCGGAAGATGTAGGGCTCAGCATACCTTACCGTAAGCTGTCAAATCTGAAGCCCTCTAATTAGACCTTGCCAAGCCAGCATTCCCAAATCCCTTCCCCTGCCTTCTGATCCCTTAAAACTTGCCCCAGATCCCAAATAGAGGAGAGAAATTTCAGCTGACTCTTGTCTCCTTGCGGGCTGGTTTTGCAATAAATAAAGCCCTTCTTTTCTCAAAAGCTGGTGCCATAGTTATTGGCTTCTGTGCACATCAGGCAGCAAGCCCATCTGCTCCATAACACTTCCTGATCCTACCTGCCTATCAGTCCCCTTCTCCATTCAGGACCCACTCAGGCTGCCATCTTCCCCTGAAAGGCACTGGCATCTCTTCTTCCTTAATCTAGTTATATAATACTTATTATCCATTTGCCAAAGGCCATGCCTACTATAGGCAACCTGTAGCAGACAGGATCATTGTGCTGCTCACAGGTCTTTGTTTCATCCTGAAGCTTACTTCCAGCTTCTGTGGACAGCTCCGACATAAAATGACCGTATATGAACTCAAGCATCTCTGCCTCTCCACCTGAGGGTGTTCTCTGCCAGGCACGTTCTTGGTTGAAAGACAGCCCATAACTATCAAGCCTCAAGTATTGAGGGGTTAAGGCCCCCGGGGTGAAGCCTTCAACAAATGAAGAACAAGTGTTGCTAACTCCAGCTTCTCAGTCCTTCCCGGGCAACGAAGGAGCAGTTGGTAAATACTCTGGCTTCCTCAGCTCTTCACTGGGACAAATCGGAGGCATGTTCCATCCAGTCTCCCTCAGTGCCCCCAATGGGACTGATCTCTAGGATCCCATACAGTGATGGTGATAACCTGGTCACTAATACAACCTTTTCCAGCTTTCCTCACTTCCCTGTCTCACCTCTGTACTTCTCCACTGTGCTTTCCGGGATCAGCAACCACATAAACTTCTTGTACTGAAGTTCCTGTTTCAGGGTCTGATTTTGGGAAACCCCAAATAAGACACAAGCATACCAGAGGCATAGTGGCGTCTCTGACAGACAGTTACCAGCATTCAGGGCCAACTGGTATCTGGGTCAATAACATAGCATTTCCAGTGCAAAGGCCTCCTCTCCAGTCAGGGTCTATGTCGCTCTCATGGGTCAGGTCAAGGCAGATAATACAGAATATAAATCTAAATTGCACCATGGTAGATCATGAATAGTAGGAATGAAAAAGTTAATGTAAATAAAAATGGACTAAGAGTGGATAAAGGTTAGACTATCCAGGTTGACCAAAAGCTAATATTTACCAGAGAAGGCCACAGACATTATGCTAGATAAGGTGCAAATCCTTTATATTTATTGTATATTTAGAGTTGCCTTTGTGCATCAAAAAACACTGTAAACAGTGAAAAGGAAATTCATGGAATGATAGGTAATGTTTGCAAATCATATATCTGATAAGGAATTAGAACATATAGGCTGGGCGTGGTGTTCCCGCCTGTAACCCCAGCACCTTGGGAGGCTGAGGCAGGAGGATCACCTGAGATCAGGAGTTTGAGACCAGCCTGGCCAACATAGTGAAACCCGATCTCCACTAAAAATACAAAAACTAGTCAGGTGTGGTAGCGGGCACCTGTAATCCCAGCTACTTGGGAGGCCAAGGCAGGATAATTGCTTCAACCTGAGAGGCGGAGGTTGCAGTGAGCCAAGATTGCTCCACTGCACTCCAACTTGGGCGACAGAGCAAGACTTCGTCTCAAAAAAAAAAAAAAAAAAAAAAAGCCGGGCATGGTGTCTCACGCCTGTAACCCCAGCACTTTGGGAGGCCGAGGTGGGCAGATCACCTGAGGTCAGGAGTTTGAGACCAGCTTGGCCAACACGGCGAAACCCTGTCTCTACTAAAAATACAAAAAAATTTGCCGGCCACGGGGGCAGGCACCTGTAATCCCAGCTACTCGGGAGGCTGAGGCATGAGAATTACTTGAACCTGGGAGGTGGAGGCTGCAGTGAGCCGAGATGGCGCCACTGCGCTCCAGGCTGGACAACAGAGCAGGGCTCCATCTCAAAAAAAAAAGATATAAAGAACTGCTGGGCCGGGCGCGGTGGCTCACGCCTGTAATCCCAGCACTTTGAGAGGCCGAGGCGGGTGGATCACGAGGTCAGGAGATCGAGACCATCCTGGCTAACACGGTGAAACCCTGTCTCTACTAAAAATACAAAAAATTAGCCGGGTGTGGTGGCATGCGCCTGTAGTCCCAGCTACTCGGGAGGGTGAGGCAGGAGAATGGCGTGAACCCGGGAGGCGATCGTTGCAGTGAGCCGATATCGCGCCACTGCACTCCAGTCTGGGCGACAGAGCGAGACCTCGTCTCAAAAAAAAAAAAAAAGAACTGCTATAACTCAACAACAAATCTCCCAAGAAACCCAATTAAAAAATGGGCAAAGGACTTGAATACACGTTTCTCCAAAGAAGATGTACAAATGCATGGTAAGCATATGAAAAGATGCTCAACATTGCTAATCATTGGGGAAATGTCCATCAAAACCACAGTGAGATACCACTTCACACCTACCAGAATTGCTATTACTTGAGGAAACAGAAAATAACAAATGTTGGTGGGGGACGTGGAGAAATCAGAACCCTTGTGCACTGCTGGTGGGAATGTTAAATGGTGCAACCCCTGCAGAAGACAGTACGGCGATTCCTCAAAAAATTAAACATAAAATTACCCTATATCCAAAAACTCCACTTCTGAATATATACCAAAATAAAAACTGAAAGCAGGGACTCAACTAGATACTTGTACATCAATGTAAAGTGGCATTATTCACTATAGCCGAAAGGATGGAACAACTCAAGTGTCCCTCAATTGATGAAGGGATAAACAAAATGTGCTATATATATGCAATGAAATATTCCACCTTAAAAGGAAGTAGGCCAGGCGCAGGAGATCATGCTTGTAATCCCAGGACTTTGGGAGGCCAAGGCAGGAGGATCACTTCAGGTCAGGAGTTCCAGACCAGCCTGGGCAATGTAGTGAGACTCCTGTCTCTACAAAAACTTTTAAAAATCGCCAGGCATAGTGATGCGTGCCAGTAGTCCCAGCTAAGCGGGAGGCTGAAGCAGGAAGATCACTTGAGCCTGGGAGGCCAAGGTTGCAGTGAGCCAAGATCCTGCTACTGCACTCCAGCCTGAGCAAAAGAATGAGACCCTGTCTGAAAAAAAGAAAAAAGGAAGTAAATTCTGACACATGCCACAACATTGATGAACCTTGAAGACATTATGCTAAGTGAAATAAGCCAGACACAAAAGGACAAATATTGTATGATCCACTTATACGAGGTTCCTAAAGTAGTCAAATTCATGGAGCCAGAAAGTAGAATGGAGGCCGCCAGGGGCCAGGGAAAAAGGGAAAGAGGAACCGAAGAGTTACTGTTTAACAGGTCCTGAGCTTGAATTTGAGAAAATCAAAAAGCTCTCAGACGGATAATGGTGATGGCTGTACAACAGTGTGAATATACTTAATGCCTCTGAACTGTACACTTAAAAATACGTAAAGCAGTAAATTTTGTGTTATGTATATTTTACCACAATAAAAAATACTTTAGAGTTGTGAAATACTACTAAGGCTACTTCCTAAAAATTATGCTATGGTTATATCTGAAATATCATACAATAATGAAAGGGAAAGGAAACATTCAGATTCAAAACTTTTTGTGACTACAGAACTCTACAGACACATTGACTGACTCTAATTAGTCAGGTATAAATGAAATTACCAGGAAATGGTTCCTTGATGACACCTGTGACTGCACCTGCTATTTTGAGTATAACATCAGTGGCTGACATGGTATTCGAAATTCTCCCTCTGTGCAGAGTTGTCAAGAAACCTGTGTTTCTTCTTACAAAAAATGTGACGTGCATATAGGTCCCCTAGATTTCACTGGACTCTAGCCAGCAGTAAATCATGACAAATTAGCCAATATGTAAGCCCTGTTGTAGACACAGAATAATTATAAGACAAGAAATGTGTCACCCACTTGTGCAGAGATTAGCACAAATAAGCCAAAATAGGATTGAAACAAGGTTAAAAAAATCACTTATATATGGAATATGTGGTGTATCCCTTCCTTTTTTCTGCGAATTAAGACATCAAATTGCTTTACTCACCAGAAGCATGGCCCTTGTACTTTCTCAACAAAGAATAAGGCATTTTCTCATCTGTCACAGCAGCTTCTGCTCATGACCAGAAACATCCTTCATTCCTTTATCTAAGCCTAAACATTGTGCAAAGCCCCTGCCATGCTCAAATCAGCTCTTGGAAATGGATGGTATAGCTGGGAATCTCAGGAACTGGAGAAGACATCATTGCCAGGAACGACATCATGATGAAGATCTCTTACCCTCTGCAAGATTGGGATAGGGTGTGGAGTCTCACTGTCCATCATATGAATGAGAAAAATTAGGACAAAGAAAGAACACCAGGTATGTAGGGAAAAACAGCGGAGAAATGTCTAAGACACTGGTTCTCAACCTTGGCTGCAGTTGGAATCATGTAGGGAACTTTAAAGAAATACTCACGCCTGGGTCCCTTCCCTCACCCCAGTCATTCTCCATTGAGATTATGATTCAATCTGGGATTGTGATGTGGGCATCAGGGATGTTATAAAGTCACCATGGGATCTAATTCCTAGCCAAGGCTGTAAACCACTGCTTTAAGAAGACAAATTTCCTGATTCTTAGGTCAGTCTTCTGGGATCCTGGCTGGGATCACAATTTACTGCAAGAGCTAATAACCAGAATTAAAATAGTCTTGAAAAATCACTCTCCAATATGACAGTGAAAATGTGATTATATTCCGTCACTAGAGGGCGAAATTTCTTAATTTTCAACATTTAATAACTATCATAGACTCAAGGTTCAGAATTCACTGAGGTTTGTCTCTTAAAACAAAACAAAAATAAGTAATGAAGTTCTAAAGAAGGTATACTAAAGCTTGACTTTCATGCTATCAGCTCCTACCTATTTATGAAGTGAGACTTTAAGACGCAATTGAGAGCACTGTATCCTTTCATTGCCACATACCCTCTTCCCAAAGGGTTTGTATTTTATAGGGTGTATTGTTTTTACAAAGTAAATGGCTTTGCTGTGTAGTCTATGTTACAAAACAGAAGGTAGGGCATCTTGAAACAGAAATTTTGCATTACTAACCAGCTCCCAGAGGGGTCAACTCTGAGGCTGCTGGTAGAGAACTATACTTTGAGCAGCAGGAGGTGAAGAACCTAGGGGCAGATACCATAACTCATTTTCTAAAGATATTCTAAAATGTAAACTCACATACCGATAACATGATTCCTGCCCATCTATCATTCATCTATGTATGTATGTATGTATGTATGTATGTATGTATGTATCTATCTATCTATCTATCTATCATCTGTCCATCGGTCCATCTGTCATCTATCATCATGAAGGCAGAGAGACCACAAATCCAGGGGATTCCAAATTGACTGTGTATTAGAATCACTTGGTCTTGTCTTAAAAATAAAGATTCTAGGCCAGGCGTGGTGGCTCACACCTGTAATCCCAACACTTTGGGAGGCCGAGCCAGGCGGATCACCTGAGGTCAGGAGTTAGAGACCAGCCTGACCAACATGGAGAAACCCCATCTCTACTAAAAATACAAAATTAGCCAGGTGTGGTAGCACATGCCTGTAATCCCAGCTACTCGGGAGGCTGAGGCAGGAGAATCTCTTGAATGCAGGAGGCAGAGGTTGCGGTGAGCCGAGATCACGCCATTGCACTCCAGCCTGGGCAACAAGAGCAAAACTCCATCTAAAAAAACAAATAAATAAATAAAAATAAAAATAAAGAGTCTTAGTCTCACCCCCTGGAGGTTATGATCAGTGCGTCTGGAGCGGGGCCCGGAGTTTGTATTTTTAACAAGTGCTCAGGAGATTTTGCTGGAGGCTGTTGCTTTTGAAAATCACTGTTCTTCTTCAAAGTCTTTCCTTTACAAAGAAATTGAGGCTGGAAGAGGAGAAGGGACCTTTCAAAGTTAGTGACATTACCAAAGCAGGATCCAGGTTCTCCTGGCCCTGCTAAACTGAGACACTTGTTGGAATTCAGCATGTGTGCTTGATCCTTCTTCTTATGCTGTGTCACTGACAGGTGTAGTAAGCTAGCTTCCAAAGACAGTCCGCAATGAACGACATCTACCAAAATTCACACCCAGGTGTTGTCCCCTCCCCGATTCAATCTGGGCTCGCCTCGTGACTTGCTTTAATAGATAGACTAATCTGGAAGGGATGCAGTGTAACTTAGGAGGTTCGGCCATTAGAGATTTGCAGCTTCTCCATGCTTCATCTGGGAACACGCATTCTGAACCCCGACATTGTGCTGTAAGGAACAAGGAAGCTCAAGGAACTACAAGGAAAGCCCCATATGGAGAAAAACTATGGCCCTAGTGAACATCCTCAAATGCACTCCCAGCCCACAGCTCCTCACCAGCTATGTGAGGGAGAACACGATGCACCTTCTAGCCATGCTCTCCCCAGTGGAGTGGAACTGTCTAGCAAGTCACAGAATAACACAAAAAAGTTGTTGTTCTAAGCCTTTAAGTTTTGTGGTGTATGCTATACAAGAATAGATTGCTGAAACAATAAGAAAAGAAATGCCCTTACCTGTTTGGCTGGAAACAGACCTGGTCATAACCTGTGAGTTCACACAAATCCTTCTCAAGCTCTCGGAAAAGCTGCTGATATCCTTGAGCTTGATCCAGAGGCACAAAGGGGTGGATGTTTGCAAATTCTTTCCATGTGATAGGCTGAAAAGAAAGAAAACAAAAATGCATATATACATATTATAATAGCAATAGCAATAATAACTTTAATAATAATGACGATGATGAGAAAAGCTATGTGCCAGGCACTGTTCTAAGCGCTATACATATGTTAATTTATTTAAGTTCCACCACAACCTTATAAGGTAAGTACCGTTACTGTCTTCATTTAAAAGTGGGACATAGTTGTCCAAAAAGGGAACTTACACAAAAATACAATGTTTTGCTAACTTTTCAGGGAAGAAAAGCCCCCAAAACAGATTTCTTTCCATGAAACACAATGAGTTGCTTCAGGTATGGTTGGCATAAACTCTTATATAGCAATAGATTGTTCTCTTTCTTCACTAAGTGGAACAAGAAACAAACACAAAAGTAAATGGGAAGGCCAGGTACAGTGGTTCACACCTATAATTCCAGAACTCTGGGAGGCTGAGGTGGGAGGACTGCTTGAGGCCAGGAGTCTGAGATCAGACTGGCAAACACAGCAAGACCTTGACTCTATTTTTTAAAAAAATAGAGAGGGAAATATTCTTATCATGATATAAAATGATTTCTTTCGTCTGATATGATATGTCACTTCAGAATAAACGTAAGAAATGAAAGAAAGAAAAAAAAAGCTTCGCTAAAATGGATCCTGGCCTAGTAGAGATACTTGCCAACCACAACAGCGAGTTGCACAAATCTTCTGTTGACTTGAATCCCTATCTTTCTGATACAGGAATGATTTCTAGAAAGACGGCTTAAGGTTCGTAATTCTACCTGAGATTTAGAACTATAAACAATTTTTTTTAAAAAAGCTTTTAATATGACAGGTTTAAAAGGGGGTGGGGGTGGGGGAGGGATAGGATAGAAAGGCATAAATACCATATACATTTAATTAATTTTATTAAAAAATAATAAGTTTACCCATACATTTAAATGATGAAGTCGTGAGAAATACAGGGTTACTCCCAAGATTGGTGAATAGCAAGGTAAAGAATTATTAAAATAGTTCTTCAATCACAGAATCACAGTCCCAGTAGATTTCACTAGTTCTGGGCTTAGGTGGAAGCTAGAACACTGCCCCTTGCTGAGTATCCACTTACAGAAGTGAGCTACTTACTGCGAGTTCAGACGAACTGTTCAGTTTCATGGTGCAGGATCCCTTTAAGAAGAACATCCAAAATGTATCACATTAGTGATTTTCTATAGTCCATCAATCAACCCTCCATTCTCCCAGCATGGCCACCCCTTTGTTGCTCTTGGAGCATATTAGGTAGGACCAAGAGACGTGGGATTGGGGTAGCTTGGAAATGAGAAAAAAGGCCACAAATAACTACCAGTGGAATCATGCTGTGAACAAGGGAAATGTCTTTATTTTCCAGTTTCTTCATGTACCGGACAATGTTTGTTTCAGAGTGGTAGCTGTGAACACAAAACACAGAATTAGGGGCCCCAAAAGTAGATATGAGTCCATGCACATCCTCCTGACATATAAGACACACCGAAATCTACTTTCAAAATGCAGATCAATTTTGGCCACGGACAATATGTCAACTACACTCAGAGAGAAGGGCACAGACCCCCACAAACCTCAGAGGATGTCTTGGACAAGAAGCTGACTGTGGGTATGAGTTGAAGGTTGGGAAGAAGAGGATATAGGGCTCTTGGGAGTGAACTTCAGCCTGGCAATTATTCATCCCTGCTTCCTGACTGCCAAGGGAGCAGAGCCACCAGGAAACAAAGTGTGCTTTTCCCAAGTCAGGAACGGGATCGTTATGAGGATGAAATACTTGGGAGCCACGGCTGAGCCAGAATAACCAGGCCACAGCAGGCGAAATCAGCAGCAGCACTCTGCCTAACTCCCTAGCTGATTACCAAAGCACAAAACGCAGAAGTCACACAAGACACACAAACCTGTTGAACACTTGATGGGTGAGGAACGGGCTGGTCCTCTTGAACACAGACCCTGGAATACCTCTGCACTCCTCTCCCATGCTTTCAGCAACCAGTTCCTGAAGGAGAAACACAGAGATGATAGGGCCAGAACTGTGCCTGGAGCCACATGTGGACATCCAGGCTTCTGGGTGGCTGGGCCACAAAGCACTCAAAATGGATCAAATATATAATTTTACTTATTTATTTATTTATTTATTTATTTAATATTTTTGGAGGCAGGGTCTTTCTCTAGCACCCAGGCTAGAGTGCAGTGGCACGATCTCAACTCACTGTAGCCTTGGCCCTACTGGGCTCAATCCTCCTACCTCAGTCTCCTGAGTAGCTGGGGCTACAGGTGCATGCCACCACACCTGGCTGATTTTTGTATTTTTCTAGAGACGATGTTTCACCATGCCGCCCAGGCTGGTCACAAACTCCTGGGCTCAAGCAATCTGCCTGCCTTGGCTTCCCAAAGTGCTGGGATTACAGTCATGGGCCACTGAGCCTGGCCAAAGATGTAAATTTAAAAGCTAAAACTACTAAAACTTAGAAGAAAATAGGCCAGGCGCGGTGGCTCACACCTGTAATCCCAGCACTTTGGGAGGCCGAGGTGGGTGGATCACAAGGTCAGGAGATCGAGGCCATCCTGGCTCACATGGTGAAACCCCGTCTCTACTAAAAAATACAAAATTAGCCGGTCGTGTTGGCGGGTGCCTGTAGTCGCAGCTACTCGGGAGGCTGAGGCAGGAGAATGGCGTGAACCTGGGAGGTGGAGTTTGCAGTGAGCTGAGATCATGCCACTGCACGCCACCCTGGGCGACAGAGCAAGACTCCATCTTAAAAAAAAAAAAGAAAATATAGGGGCTAATCTGCATAACCTTGGATCTGGCAATGGTTTCTTAAATGTGACACCAAAGGAATAAACAATAAACATATATAAAAATTAGATAAATTAAATTTCTATAAAATTTGAAATGTGTGTGCATCAAAGAACATTATCAAGAAAGTTAAGAGACTGACTACCCACAGAATGGAAGAAAATATATGTAAGTCATATATCTGATAAGGATTTAATATCCAGAATATATAATCAATACATGGCTTGATCCTCATTCCTTGCCAGGCTAATAATATGACTAATACAGATTTAATACTTGTCCCCTCCAGATCTCAGGGTGAAATGTGATCCCCAGTGTTGAAGATGGGCTTGGCGCTGTCTTCACAGTAATGAGTGAGTTCTCACTCTACTAGTTCCCATGAGAACTGATGAGAAGTGATTGTTAAAAAGAGCCTGGCACCTCCCTCCTCTCTCTCTCTTCCTTTTTCTTTTGCCATGTGATGCCTGCTCCTCTTCCCCTTCCTTCATGAGAGGAAGTTTCCTGAAACCCTCACCAGAAGCAAACGCTTCTTGCACAGCACAGCCTGCAGAAACATGAGCCAAATAAAGCTATTTTATTTATAAATTATTTAGCCTCAGGTACTCCAATGCAAATGAACTAAAATAATGGCCCTCTTGACCCCTTAGTGATGCTCCAGAAACATTTCTCAAATGCATGAACCAAATATCTGTGATTAAATTTAGTGCAGAGTTCTACAGAGAAGGAGCTAACTCAGTCCTGTTTAATTGAGGTTTAAAAGAGAACACTGTGATGCTTCTTTGATCATTTATGAATGTTATCTGGTATAACCCTTTGAAGTCCTCTCTCAAAGAGGGCACAGATAAGCAAGACAGCACCACTCAGCACTCTGGAAGGTATTTCTACTTCCTTTCATCTATCCATTTAACAAATATTTACTTAGTGATTAATACACACCAGGCAGTGTAGGCTGTTGTGATTAACACCTTGCCACAGGTCTAGGTAGCTACTGTCGGCTCTCTTTCACTCTCATCCCATGGAATGGTAACTTTTCTCTTGCTTTCCCCCACTACTTCATTATTTTAGAAAGCAACTCATTACACTGAACTGCTTATAGCTTTCATGTACTCCCTCTCCCAGCCTTTGTGACTGCTTTCTCCAGTGTCTAGAACACTCGGACCCATCTTCCTTTCCCTCTTGTGCCATCTTGGTCTAGATAACTCCTGCTTATCTTCTTGGTAAGGAGCTCATCCTGTGAGCTCCCAGAACATCTTCACACATCAGTCACCTGGATTCTAATCTTAAGCTTGTTTATCTGAATCCCTAATAAACTGTAAGCACCAGGAGGACAAGAAGCATGTCTAATTCACCACTGTGTCTTCAGGGCCTAGCATAGCACCTGACACATATTGGGTCCTCAATAAATATGTATTAAATGAATATCATAATTTTCCAATGAATGACATAACCAAGATACAAATGTCTTGCATCTTTGTAGTAGAGGCAGTTTCTTTCTTTTTTCTTTTTTTGAGATGGAGTTTTGCTCTTGCTGCCCAGGCTAGAGTGCAATGGCGCAATCTCAGCTCACTGCAACCGCCGCCTCCTGGGTTGAAGCAATTCTCCCACCTCAGCCTCCTGAGTAACTGGGATTACAGGTATGTGCCACCATGCCTGGCTAATTTTGTATTTTTAGTGGAGACGGGGTTTCTCCATGTTGGTCAGGCTGGTCTTGAACTCCTGACCTCAGGTGATCTGCCCCCCCGCCCCCCTGACCTCCCAAAGTGCTGGGATTACAGGCATGAGCCACCATCCCCAGCCTAGAGGCACTTTCAATGAAACACCATTAACAATCTTTCCAACTAGCCTGGGTGCATAATACTGGCTGGAGCCCTACAGCAGTGACCTCCAGCTGTCAGCAGTGACTAGCAAGGGATAGTCAGTGGAATAATTTTAACAACAAGCTACCAGTGTCACACTTGGGCCCCTTCTCCCTCACACTCAGGGGATAAGCTACTTTTGCTACCACCTCCAATAGTTATGATGAGGAACGCATGTTTTTATTTTACTTACTGCAGATGACTCACAACCAAAGATCCACAACAAATCGTCCAGATCTTTTTCATTGACTGTTTCATCAAGAGAAATACCAAGCTACAGAAACACAAACAAAATGGAAAACATCAACTCTAAACTCCACATCACTGGAGGAATCCCAAGAGAGGTCAAAGGGGAGACAGTGCTAAACAAAATCCCATCATTCCAAAATATCAGGGTACAATTATCTCCACGCTAAGGCTTAGAGGAAGGTGGCTAGACCAGTCCCAGGTTTCACAAGGCTTCGAGTTTTGCCAGCCACCTCTGAACTCTAACATTCCATGGCTGCAGGACACTCCTTTTGAAGCTAGACATGCTTATCTTTTTCTTCCCTTAACCCACTTATCAGATATTGAGGAGATTTTCTTCCCTTAACCTGTATATCAGTTATCAGAGCCTTTATCTTAAAGTCAGTCATACTGTGAAGAGAGGAGTATTATGAACAAAATATGTGCATTTCAGTCCCACATATGAAAACACTAAGTCTAAAAGAAAGCAAAGGGTGAATGATCCTTTACTGAAAAGACCACAGTGTTGCATAATGTAAATAACACTTGTTTATGAAAAAATAGGACTGTGCCTAAAGTTTTCCTTTTTATTTTTTAAAAACAAAGAGAAAACCTTTTAATGAGAAACAATGTGAAAATTTGAAAAACTGGTAAAAATACTGAAAATTTGACTTACTGTGCCATCCTCAAAAAGCCGAAAATTGATCTGCCGCTGAGCGGCCCTGCCCAAGACCTCCTTCACTGAGCAGCCACACTGAATCTTCAAGGTATCAAAGAACAGGTCATGCTGGAGTTGATGCCCTGCTCGCTTGAGACCTACACAAGATAGGAGATCCCCCAAACTCTCATATAGAAACCTGCTCCTCAGCCATTGACATGTCACAGAATAATAAAGAGATAAATTCTACTAGACTCTTGTTGGTCCTGGGGAGTGCTTTGGTGATTGCTTTTTAAAAAACTAAACATGTTTATTATCATGCTGTAGAAAATTATGAAATACATATAAAAGAGTAAGGAAAATCAACATACAATTGCATTACTGCGTGTATTTTGGTGTATTATTTCTCAAGAAATGGGGGAGCAGGTAGTATCAGATATATATATATATATATAAAATTATACCTTTTTTTTTTTGAGAGATACAGTCTCACTCTGTTGTCCAGGCTGGAATGCAGTGGCATGATCATAGCTGATTGCATCCTCAAACTCCTGGGCTCAAGCTCATGCAATCCCCTTGCCTCAGCCTCCCAAGTAACTGGGATCAAGGACTCATGCCATCACACCTGGCTAATAATTTTTTAAATTTTTTGAAGACAGTGATCTTGCCATGTTGCCCAGGCTGGCCTTGAACTCTGGGACTCAAGCAATTCTCCCACCTCAGCCTCCCAAAACGATGGGATTATAGGTGTGAACCACCACACCTGGTCTCATCTATGCTTTCCTATAGATCACTATTTTAAACCATATTTAATGGCTGTACAATAGTCAAACATATGGATGAACCATGATTTAATCACTTTTTTTTTTTTTTTTTGAGAGATGGAGTCTCACTCTGTTGCCCAGGATGGAGTACAGTGGAGCAATCTTGGCACACTGCAACCTCCGCCTCCTAAATTCAAGCAATTCTCCTGCCTCAGCCTCCCGAGTAGCTGGGACTACAGGAGTATGCCACCACTCCCAGCTGATTTTTGTATTTTTAGTAGAGACAGGGTTTCACCATGTTGGCCAGGCTGGTCTTGAACTCCTGACCTCAAGTGATCCACCCGCCTCAGCCTCCCAAAGTGCTAGGATTACAGGCATGAGCCACTGTGCCTGGCCTATTTCTATTTTTTTATAGAGATGTGGTCTCGCTCTTGCCCACGCTGGTCTTGAACTCCTGGCCTCAAGCAATCCTCCTGGCTCAGCCTCCAGAGTAGCTGACATTACATACACGAGTAACCATGTCTAGCTCACTACATAGCAGCATTCTTCTGATTGCCAATGTAATGGGATAAATACTAGTTTATTGCTTTATTTTGTATCTCTTTCATTAATAATGAGGCTAAAATTCTATGTCTACTGGCCATTTATTTGTATACTTATTTCTTTTAAAATTACATTTAATGTCTTTTGCCTATTTTTCTATTAGGGTGTTCATCCTTCTTATGTTTGGGGCCGGTAGGAAAGTAAGAGTTCTACATATTAAAAATATCACAGCTTGCCAGGAGTAAAAGAGAAAAAAATATTAACACTCAGTCTAAGCCAGGCATGGTGGCTCACGCCTGTAATCCCAGCACTTTGAGAGGCCAAAGTGGACGGATTTCTTGAGGTCAGGAATTCGAGACCAGCCTGGAAAACATGGCAAAGCCCTGTCTCTACCAAAAATACAAAAATTAGCCAGACATGGTGGCGTGTACCTTAATCCCAGTTACCTGAGAGGCTGAGGCAGGACAATCACATGAATCCGGGAAGTGGAGGTTACAGTGAGCTGAGATCGTGCCACTGCACTCCAGCCTGGGAGACAGAGCAAGACTCCATTAAGCAAGGAAGCAAGCAAGCAAGCAAGCAAGCAAACAAGAAAGCAAGAAAGCAAGCAAGCAAGAAAGCAAGCAAGCAAGAAAAAAAGAAAGAAAGCAAGAAAAAGGAAATAAAAGAAAGAAAGAAAGAAAGAAAGAAAGAAAAAGAAAGAGAAAGAAAGAAAGCAAAACAACAAAATAATCATGGATGTTGAAAGTATTTTTCCTCGTTTCTCACTTGACTTTTAATTTTGCATATAGTATTGGACATGCAATATTTTCAATTTTACTCAAATTTATCAATTTTATTATGCCCAAATGTTTTAGACAGATTACCAACTCACCTTCTGACAAAATCAAAGTGGCATTATGTACCCTCCTAGCAATATGCTCCAGCCCATGGGAACCATGGTAGATTGCAAACATGGCAGCCATATTCGCCAAGAGGGCCTAAAAGATAAGAACATTTAAAGAATCACGTGATGGAGGACAATTAGTGGGAGGGTGTAATTACTTGACTTGGGATGTCAAAACTGAAGACAGCGACAAAACAAAATGATCAGATTTCCTACATTCTTTGATAGTTGGGGACAATTAATATATAACCTGCCTGACTACCTGAAAGGAACCATCATCCAAGACACCCTGGAGTTGTTACTATACTAAACCTTCACATTTGACCATTACGAAGGGCTTCTTCCATGCAACAAAATCATGTCACCCTTAAGGGCAAAGATCACACTACCATCAGACATTGAGAAGCAATGTTTAATGTTGGAAGACAGTGAAGCAATAAAGACCTCAGGGAGAAAAAGTGAGATCTGAGAATTTTACACTCAACCAGGCAATTCTTCAAGAATAAAAAGAAACAAGCAATTTTCAAACATTCAAGAACTTCAGGAATAAAATTCTCCTAAGAACTTAAATAAAACACTAGAGGCTGAACTTCTGCCAACCAAGAGTTGAATGGAGAATCTGTGGCAAAGGACTGGCAAAAACGGCAATGCGCACTTCAGCTGGGAGCGGGGTGGTGTGCAACTGTAGTCCCAGTGACTCCAGAAGCCGAGATGGATCACTTGAACCCAGGATTTCGAGGTTACAGTGACCTATGATTGCGCCACTGGACTCCAGCCCGGTTGACAATACAAAACCCTGTCTCTGCAAAATACAGTTGATGTTCAATACTGGGTCCATTTTGTTAGGTACATCTTTTTTTCTGCTAGACTACTAGAGGAAGTCTCTATGGAGCCAATGCAAAATAAGAAACAGTTTCCAAAGGTGAAGTCAG
This sequence comes from Homo sapiens, assembly GCF_000001405.40. Taxonomy (NCBI): domain Eukaryota; kingdom Metazoa; phylum Chordata; class Mammalia; order Primates; family Hominidae; genus Homo; species Homo sapiens. The sequence continues at coordinate 6,595,958 of NC_000009.12, forward strand.
CAAACAAGGAAGTAAATGAGGAGAAAGAGACATCAGAAAACATGGAAGTAGGCATTCTTGTACTAAAAGTCCTAGACAAAGTGTAAACACTCTTATGGACTCCTTACAACAATCAGAAATAAACACAGAAACTCCACAGCACTTTACAGCTGTGGAAAAGGCGAGGCTGAGGTAAAGAATCTGTGACACACTGTGCCCAAATGCTCATGGCTGTGTTGCTGGAAACAGAAACCCAGGCCTGACATTCACAGAATGCCCTGGCAGCCTCCACCACAATATTGTAGAGGTTGGTTCATGTCCCTTTTTAATCTACAGATGATTCCTTCCATAATCAGGAGGCTATATCACACGGCTGAACAACAAATTGATGAGAAGTATAAAACCACTTTTTAAAAACTTCAAAGGGCACTAGAATATCAAAAGAAGAACCAAAAAAATTAAAATAGAGACCAAGAAAATGACAATTTCTTTCACAAATTGAACAAACTTAAAAATACAAAGGGCTTGAATCAGTGGCTCACGCCTGTAATCCCAAGACTTTGGGAGGCTAAGGTGGGAGGATTGCTTTAGCCCAGGAGTTAAAGACCAGCAAGAAGAACATAACAAGACCCCATCTCTAAAATAAATAAATAAAATAACAATAATACAATTAAGGTACTTAAAAGCCTCAAAAGCTAATGAATGCTCAAAATCATTAGTTATTAGGGAAATACAAAACAAAACCACAGTGAGATTATCACTTGACATCCAATAGGATGGCTATAACCAAAGGATAGGAAGTAACAAGCATTGGTGAAAATACGGAGAAATTAGAATATTCATATGCTGCTGGTAGGAAAGTAAAATAATGCAGCCACTTTGAAAAATGTCTGGAAGTTCCTCAAAATGTTAAATGTAGAGTTATATGACCCAGCAATTTCACTGCTAGGAATATAACCAAAAGAACTGAAAACATTACATCCATACAAAAATTTACACAGAAGTGTTCACAGCAGGCTTATTTGAAACACCCCAAATGTTTACCAATTGATGAATGGATAAACAAAATGTAGCATGTCCAAACAATGGGATATTACCCAGCCATAGAAAAGAATTAAGTACACATTCATGCTACAATATGGATGAACCTTGAAAACCTTATGCAAAGAAGCCAGGTACAAAAGGCCACACATTGTATGATCCCATTTATATGAAATATTCAGAACAGGCAAATCCAGGGAGACAGAAAGTAGAATAGTAGTTGCCAGGGGCTATAGGAAGGGGAGAGGGATGAGGAGTGACTACTTCATAGGAATAGAATTTCTTTTTGGGGTAATAAAAATATTCTGAAATTAAATACTGGTGATAGTTGCACAACCTTGTAAATAGAGTAAAAACCATTGAGCTGTATACTTGCAATTGGTGAAACTTACGGTGAGTTACATCTCAATAAAAAAAGCTAATAAAGTGTAAATTATTCTTTACTACACCTGACTTTAGAAAAGCCAACAAGGCTGGATGCAGTGGCTCACACCAGTGATCCCAACACTTTGGGAGGCTGAGGCAGGAGGATCGCTTGAGGCCTGGAGATCAATACTAGCCTGGGCAACAAAGTAAGACTCCCATCTCTATTTTAAAAAGATTTTTATATTAAAAATAAGAAAAGCCAATGAAAGAGCTGCTCATTGTGGTAGAAGCTAAGAAATAAGAGAATATATGGCCGGGCATGGTGGCTAACGCCTGTAATCCCAGCACTTTGGGAGGCTGAGGCAGGTGGATCATGAGGTCAGGAGATCGAGACCATCCTGGCTAACATGGTGAAACCCTGTATCTACTAAAAATACAATAAATTAGCCAGGCATGGTAGCAGACACCTGTAGTCCCAGCTACACAGGAGGCTGAGGCAGGAGAATGGCGTGAACCCGGGAGGCAGAGCTTCAGTGAGCGAGATGGCGCTACTGCACTCCAGCCTGGGCGATGGAGCGAGACTCGTCTCCAAAAAAAAAAGAAATAAGAGAATATAAAGAACAGAACATAATGAAAATTCAGACATCTGTAGTAATGCCACAAATTTATAGAAAAAATTGTTTCTTTTCCTTTTTGTTTTGTAGAGGTGGGGTCTGATTCTGTCACCCAGGTTGGAGTGCAGTGGTGTGATTGCAGCTCACTGCAGCCTGGACCTCCCCAGCTCAAGCACTCCTACCACCTCAGTCTACTGAGTAGCTGGGATACTGGTGTGTACCACAACACCTGGCTAATTTTTGTACTTTTTTTATATAGACAGGAGTCTCACTATGTTGCCTGGGATGGATTTAAACTGCTGAACTCAAGTAATCCTCCTGCCTTGGCCTCCTAAAGTGTTGAGATTACAGGTGTGAGCCACCGCACCCTGTTTTTTCAGTTTTGTTTTAGAATGGGGCCTGCTGAGCCAGAATAGGCTCAGAGAGACTCCCTATAGAAAAATTTATTTAAAAAAGAATCATTAACACACTTTCAGAGATTAAAAAAGAGTCATGCCCCATCCACGATGCGAAACTAAGAGTGGACTCCCCCACCCACCCCAGTGACAAGAGAGAAGAGCAAGAGTGAGAAGAATGTGGAACAGCTGCTACAACAGAAGGCGGGGGTCAAAGACCTACAGCACAAAAGGAACAACTCAAAAGACACCAGTCATCTCCTAACAAAACAGGGAGACTTGCATGCTCACAAAGAGTGAAACTGGAGTTATGAGTAATTCTTGTATGCAATCAACTATGAAAAGGCACATATGCAGTGAAATAGACAGTGAAGAGTTAGAAGATCATCAGAATAAGAGGATGAAAATCAGACAAGCTGGAGTATGGCCATCTCCAGGGCAAACATTTTAACAATTGCTGGAAAAGATACAGACCTTTCAACCCAAGTTAAATAATAAATTATCAGCTATACATGAACTGGAAGAAATTAAGCAACAGGAACATAAGGCCGGGCACAATGGCTCATGCCTGTAATCCCAGCACTTTGGGAGGCCAAGGCGGGCGGATCACCTGAGGTCAGGAGTTCGAGACCAGCCTGGCCAGCATGGTGAAACCCCATCTCTACTAAAAATACAAAAAATATTAGCCAGGCATGGTCGTGGGTGCCTGTAATCCCAGCTACTCAGGAGGCTGAGGCAGGAGTATCGCTTGAACCCGGAAGACGGAGGTTGCAGTGAGCCGACATCACGCCATTGCACTCCAGCCTGGGCAACAAGAGAAAGACTCCGTCTCAAAAAAAAAAAAAAGAAAGAAACAGGAACATAACTGGTTCACTGCAGACAGCCCAAATTCACCTGGAAAATGAACCTAGAGGCAGAAAACTGAGGCCCTAAATGGACTTATGATCAGACGGAAACCTGGAGGAACCTGAGGAGAAACAGCAAGACAGGAGCAGTCAGCTGCACCGAAAGGGAAAACGTAAGCAGAGAATTCAACAAATGGAGGGTAAGCTACAGAAAGTGAGGCCACCATATAAAGATCACCATGTGGCCAGGCATGGCGGCTTATGCCTGTAATCCCAGCACTTTGGGAGGCCGAGGTGGGCAGATCATGAGATCAGGAGTTCGAGACCAGCCTGACCAACATGGTGAAACCCTGTCTCTACTAAAAATAGAAAAATTAGTTGGGCATGGTGGCAGGCGCCTGTAATCCCAGCTACTCAGGAGGCTGAGGCAAGAGAATCGCTGGAAACTGGAAGGCAGAGGTTGCAGTGAGCTGAGATTGGGCCGCTGCATGCCAGCCTGGGTGACAGAGCAAGACTCCATCTCAAAAAAAAAAAAAACAACCAAAAAAACAAATAAATAAATAAAGATCAGCTTGCTGTTCAACAGAGGAAAAGCCTGTGCCAACCACCTTTCCTTCCTATCATACTGGAAGAGCTCATATTTGAAAAGAGGTGGCACCTTCCTGAGGCAAAACATAATACAAAAGGACCAACTGAGGAAATGGCTCCAAAGACCCGTGGCTGCAGAACCAACTATAAGAAGATCTTATTGCCCACTGCCTTCCTGGAGAAGCTTTTCAGAGGTGGTTCTAGACGCCAAAGCCCTGAGACGAAAGAGCACTCTACCTCCCATTGAAGCACCTGTGACATCTCTCTCTGACACTTCATGGAAGAGATGCAATTACAGTGGCCAGGCACGGTGGCTCATGCCTATAATCCTATCACTATGGGAGGCCAAGATAGGATCACTTGAGCTCAGGAATTTGAGACCAACCTGAGCAACAAAGTGAGACCTCGCCTCTACAAAACATTTTTTTGAAAATTAGCTGGGCGTGGTGGAATGTACCCATAGTCCCAGCTACTTAGGAGGCTGAGACCGGAGAATAATTTGAGCCCTGGAGGTTGAAGGTTGAGGCTGCAGTGAGCTATGGCCATGCCACTGCACTCCAGAATGGACAACAGAGCAAGAATCTGTCTCAAGAAAAAAAAAAAAAAAGAAGCCAGGTGCCATGGCTCACACCTACAATCCCAAAATTTTGGGAGGCCCAGGCAGGACCATCACTTGAGGTCAGGCGTTTGAGACCAGCCTGGCCAACATGATGAAACCTGCCTCTACTAAAAATACAAAAATTATCTGGGTGTGGTGGCCTGTAATTCCAGCTCTTTAGGAGGCTGAGGCACAAGAATCACTTGAACCCAGGAGGCAGAGGTTGCAGTGAGCCAAGATTGCGCCACCCCATTCCAACCTGGGTGACGCAGGAACAGGACTCTATCTCAAAGAAGAAAAAAAAAGAAGAAGAAAAAAAAAAAGAGATGCACTTAGAATGGATCCTGTGCTCAGGAGTGGGCCTCCAACTGATCCTAGGGTTTGGCTGGGTTTCACAAACACTTCGACCTAAGCCCTGGAGCAACTTCAAGGAGCAGAACCCAGAACCCTGGTCAGAACCCAGGAAGCTCTTCCTGTTTTATCCCATCCTTTTAAAGAATGCCAGACATGGCCAGGTGCAGTGGCTCATGCTTGTAATCCCAACACTTTGGGAGGCCGAGGTGGGTGGATCATGAGGTCAGGAGTTCAAGACCAACCTGGCCAAGATGGTGAAACCCCGTCTCTACTAAAAATGCAAAAACTAGCCTGGCGCTGTGGCAGGCGCCTGTAATCCCAGTTACTCAGGAGGCTGAGGCAGGAGAATTGCTTGAAACCGGGCAGCAGAGGTTGCAGTGAGCTGAGATTGCGCCACTGCACTCCAGCCTGGGCGACAGAGTAAAACTCTGTCTCGAAAAAACAAAAAAAAGAATGCCAGTCATAATCTCCCAGTAAGAGTGCCTCATGACTACCACCATCCCCTCAAGCACAGTCATCACAAATGCCCTTGCTTTGCCTTCCTCAACCCATTCCTGGAGAGGCTCCTTCTCAGTCCTAAGAGAGGGTGTCTCAACTGCCACCCATAACAAACCTGGCCCAACGCCAAGAATACTAGAGACCCTGATATCCATCTTTCTATTTACATATATTTTAAGTCTGTATATAAAAGTGAAGACTGGCCTTTTTTGTCCTTTCTTACGCTTTGCCTGTTCAGGATCTGAAGATGTGATTATGGGTAAAATGAAACAAATAATGCTTTTTATTTTTTTTAGTATTAAAACATGTATGGTGAAGAGAAAGCATAGGCAAATGGTGTACATATAAAGAACACCAGTAAAACACAGTGTCTTTTTCTTTAACTTTTTTTGTGGGGGCAGGAGTTGGGGACAGAGTCTCCCTCTGTCACTCAGGCTGGAGTGCAGTGGCATAATCATGGCTCACTGCAGCCTCAACCTCCCAGATTCTGGTGATCCTCCCACCTGAGCCTCCCTAGCACCTGGGACTACAGGAGCATACCACCACTGACGGCTAATTTATTTTATTTTATTTTTCATAGAGATGGTGTTTCGCCATGTCGCCCAGGCAGGTTTCCAACTCCTGGGCTCCAGCAATCTGCCTGCCTTGGCCTCACAAGGTGCTGGGATTACAGGCATGAGCCACCGTACCCAGCCAATACTGTATTTTGGTTCTCATAAGACAATGAGCCTTCTACACCAATAAGATCTTGCCATTTCTGGTGTGCTCACTGCTCAGGAGGTGGTGAATAAATGAACAAATGAATGAATGAATGAGTAGCTCATTTCTGTGTATCGTAAGGCATTCAGTAGTCAGGTCAGACGTGTGATTTACCTGAGCTGTACAGATGTTGCTGGTAGCCTTGTCTCTCCGAATGTGTTGCTCCCTGGTTTGAAGAGCAAGACGATACACTTCTTTCCCAGTGGCATCTCTACACCAAGAATAAGGCATCCAGTTAGCACAGATAATCACAGCACTGGGAGATGCTATAAATAGAATTACTTCTTTCCTTCCCAGCTTGAAGTGAATTCAGCAAATGCACTTGGGTGCAAATTTATAAAGAAACAATTTCTAAACGTTCCTCATCTAAACATGATTACTGATTTTTTTTTTTTTTTTTGAGACGGAGTTTCGCTCTTTCGCCCAGGCTGGAGTGCAATGGCGTGATCTCGGCTCACTGCAACCTCTGCCTTCTGGTTTCAAACGATTCTACTGCATCAGCCTCCTGACACCACGCCCAGCTAATTTTTGTATTTTTAGTAGAGATGGGGTTTCACCATGTTGGCCAGGCTGGTCTTGAACTCCTGGCCTCAGGTGATCCGCCTGCCTTGGCCTCCCAAAGTGCTGGGATTACAGGCATGAGCCACTGTGCCCAGCAGGATTACTGATTTTTAGACTGTACTCTGAGACACCAAGATATATACAATAAGTCTAGGAATTTTGAAAGAAAATTTTGCAGGAATTTCCCAGACAAATACAATAATGGTGACTGGGAGGATTAAGTTTCACTCTGAACTTCTTAGGAGACACAGGAAAAGTGGAAATATACGACAAAATTGAAAAGACTTGGCTCTCTGTGGATTCTACACCACAGATTCCACCAATCACGGACTGAAAACATTCAAAAAAATAAAAAATAATACAACAATTAAAAATCACACAAATTTTATGAGCCGCGCATGGTGGCTCATGTCTATAATCCCAGCACTTTGGGGGGCCAAGGTGGGCGGATCACCTGAGGTCCAGAGTTTGAGACCAGCCTGGCCAACATGGTGAAACCCCATCTCTACTAAAAATACAAAAATTAGCCAGACATGGTGACAGGCACCTGTAATCTCAGTTACTTGGGAGGCTGAGGCTCAAGAATCACTTGAACCTGGGAGGCAGAGGTTGCAGTGAGCCAAGATCGTACCACTGCACTCCAGCCTGGGTGACAGAGAGAGACTCCGTCTCAAAAAATAAAAAAAAAAAAACAAATCACACAAATTTTTAAAAACAATACAGTGTAACAACCATTGCATAACATTAGGTGTTAATAAGATGATTTAAAGTATACAGAGGCCAGGCATGGTGGCTTACACCTGGTAATCCGAGCATTTTGGGAGGCTGGGGTGGGCAGATCACTTGAGCCCTAAGACCAGCCTGAGCAATATGGTGAAACCCTGTTTTTACAAAAAATTTAAAAAATTAGTTGGACACAGTGGCCACGTTTACACCACTGCACTCCAGCCTGGGTGATGGAGTGAGACTTGGTCTCAAAATAAATAAATAAATAAATAAATAAAATTTTAAAAAAACACACTTCACATTATCATCACATCATTGACTAATTCAGCTTACTCACTTATGTTAAAGTCCAGCTTTTATCAAAGGTCAAAAACATAATTTTTTTTTCTAAATTTCCCCAGTAATAATCCTGGAATGCATCTAGGTCCCCCGCTCCTTTTTTTTCCTTTTTTTTCTTTTTTTTTTTTGAGATGGAGTCTCGCTCTGCACCCAAACTGGAGTGAGGCAGCGCGATCTCGGCTCACTGCAACCTCCACCTCCGTGGTTCAAGTGATTCTCCTGCCTCTGCCTCCCAAGTAGCTGGGACTACAGGCGCCCACCACCACGCCCACCTAATTTTTGTATTTTTAGTAAAGACAGGGTTTCACCATATTGGCCAGGCTCGTCTGGGACTCCTGACCTTGTGATCTGCCTGACTCGGCCTCCCAGAATGCTGGGATTACAGGTGTGAGCCACCGCACCCAGCCCTTTTTTTCTTTTCTTTTCTTTTTTTTTTAAGGAACAAAGACTACTTCTGAACATCTACGTTTTTAATCTGAGAAGTTTCACCAATGAGAAGCAGTCAGGAAAGTACATTTGGAAATTTGGAAATTACTCAAATGGCCACGTGGCGGAAGCCTCTAGGAAGGAACGCGGAGCAAACTCAGTGTGTACTTTGCAGTCTCAGTGCATTTGTCTTTACAGAGCCACGTGGCATAATGCTTTTGAGAACGAAAACTGTCGAGACACAAAACATGCCTAAAATATTTAGTCTTTCAAGGCGTCCATCAATCTAAGCAAATGCGTTACATGACTTCGATACATTGTAAATTATACACAAAATTTTTCAAAAATTTACAAATTTATAGTATTTGAGAAGTACTAGCTCATATCCCAAACAGAATTGTTCTTCTGAATCTATGTTGTACATTTCCTTAACTGACTCAACATGGCCCAGTTGAATTCAGATAGAAATCAACATTTGTGATCAGAAGAAATCAGGGAAATCATAATCACAATAAAAGTAGAGAAACATGAGCCCCTTTACCTTGTTACCCCCACCATTCTTCCAGGCATCATTCTCACCAAGCTTTCTCGGACAGCAAAAAATGCTGCATGGGGTCCCCCATAGCCCAGTGGCACTCCAAATCTCTGGGAGCTGCCCAGGGCGATGTCTACCCCAAATTCTCCAGGTGGCCTCAAGATGCACAAAGCTAAAAGGTCAGTAGCACAGCAGGCCAGGCTCTAGAAAGGAAGTGAGAGAAAAGGAACAAGGTTGCTACCTTTCCCTGAGAGTAGTGGGAGAGTAGGAAATTATCTTAACTACAGGAAGACGGGCAGAGTGTGTTCACATCCTGTGAACTCCATTGCTCATTCATTCATTCAGTAAATACATACTGAGTGCCCACCATGTGCCAGGAATCCGGGAACAGAAAAAAGTAGCAGCAAGGAGTCAGGAAGGAGAGTTTTACCATTCCATGTGATAATGGTAAAGAAATTAAGGCACATGAAAAGACAGAGAGAGAGATAGGTAGACAGATACAAGTTGGGATACGCCTCCACGGACCCCCCACAAGAAAGGTATACCTACCCCACTCTGATGAGCTCTCTCCACGAGTTCCGTAAAGTCTTCCACCTTCCCCTCCGTGTCTGGGTACTGGAACAACACTCCACTGACATCTTTTCCACTGAAGTCCATTTCACAGGGTAACTTCAGCTCAGTGAGGACTCCAGTATATCTGGAAAGACAGACAACAAAGAACAATCGTGCTTTCGGTTTATAAGGGAAAATTAATTAACGTTTCTTTTCCAGTAAGACAGCATTCATTTTCTGTGCCCTCCCACAGTGGCCTCCCACCCCTGCCCACATCCCGTCCCACAGGCACTTCAGTGGTAACTACATCACAGCAACTCAAGCGCATCCAACAGCTCTGCTTCTGTTCCTCTCTTCTATCCTCTGACTCCCCTTTGCCCTTTCCTGTCACAATCTACTCCTCAGAGAGGCCCAAGAGCATTGCTTCCTAGGGCTAATGAGCCAATATTTGTTAACAACAGAGCCATCACCTCTTTCACTGGCATCACTCTTAAGTGAATGGAAAACCATAAGTAAGACAAGGAGGAAGAACTTCCTTAGATTCCTGAACTAATAATGCCAATTATATGTCAGAAACCCCCCCTCTGAAGGGATGGTGGTATGGGTAGGGGGAAGAATGCTCAACTTTTACAAAGGGAAAGCAAATATCTACCAATAGTGGTTGTTGCGAGGATTGTTTTACCTGATTACAGCACGAAAGAAAAGTACTACACTTTAAACTACATAGCATCTCACCTAGGGACTCTGCACACCCTCTGTAAACTACGTTTGCAAGGAATACACACAAAATCTTAACAGTTGTATGTGAGTCCCATTTTTCTCTGTTTTTCAAACGTTCCAAAACCTGATCAAAACAATATTTTTATTCTTTCTACAAAAAGAAAACAAAACGGGCCGGGCGCAGTGGCTCAAGCCTGTAATCCCAGGACTTTGGGAGGCGGAGGTGGGCGGGTCACGAGGTCAGGAGATCAAGACCATCCTGGCTAACACGGTGAAACTCCGTCTCTACTAAAAATAGAAAAAAAATTAGCCAGGCGTGGTGGCGGGCACCTGTAGTCCCAGCAACTCGGGAGGCTGAGGCAGGACAATGGCGTGAACTTGGGAGGCGGAGCTTGCAGTGAGCCTAGGTTCCCTCAACTGCACTCCAGCCTGGACGACAGAGCGAGACTCCGTCTCAAAAAAAAAAAAAAAAAAAAGAAGAAGAAGAAAACAAAACACAACTTACTATAAAGCAATGGCAATTGTGTATTTCCCCACTCAATTCTGACACAGTTTACTTACCAGAGAGATGCCCAGAAGAAAGTGAGAGGTAAGGCAAAACTCAGCAACCCCAATTTAAACAGCAAAAAACCCTGTTTCAGATTCACCTCCAATCAGTTTGGAAGTGAGAAAGAGAAAGAAACAGCAGAGATGAACATGACATTATACTGAGTTTAAAACACGAATCAAATTAATTACTTGGCTCGAGTCTGGACAACAGCTATTGTCTGTGGGTGGCAACGGGGATCAACGAGAAATTTCCTCCTCTTGTTGTGTCTGTTGAAAAGAAAAAGCACATTCCAACGTGAACATTAAATAAATAGGACTATCTTCTAAGAACGCAAAGCAAACATAGTACCGAGGGTAAGTCTAAGCACAGTATAAAAAATACTGAGTAGGCCGGGTGCGGTGGCTCACGCCTGTAATCCCAGCACTTTGGGAGGCCGAGGCGGGCAGATTACCTGAGGTCAGGAGTTCGAGACCAGCCTGGCCAACGTGATAAAACCTCGTCTCTACTAAAAATACAAAATTAGCCGGTGCATGCCTGTAATCCCGGCTACTTGGGAGGCTGAGGCCAGAGAATCACTTGAACCAGGGAGGCCGAGGTTGCAGTGAGCCAAGATTGCACCGCTGCTGCACTCCATCCTGCGTAAGACGAGCAAAACTCTGTCTCAAAAAAAAAATTTAAAAAAAAATTGAGTCATCAGTAACTAATGGCATTTACTGATTAGCATTCCTCATAGATCCAATTCCCATTCTAACCCCATTTAGAAAGTCAGTCTTAAGATGGTTCAATTTCTATGTTTACTCAATAACAATTTTTAAAAAATGGTTCAAAATGTTTCAAATATACCATGAGGAAAAAGAAAATAAAGCAAAGGACAGTGATTAGATACAAGTGTAAACTGGACAGGTGCGGTGGCTCACACCTGTAATCCCAGCACTACGGGAGGCCGAGGTGCGTGGATCACCTGAGGTCAGGAGTTCAAGACCAGCCTGACCAACATAGCAAAACCCCAGCTCTACTAAAACTACAAAACGTAGCCAGGCATGGTGGTGCACGCCTGTAATCCCACTACTCGGGAGGATGAGGCAGGAGAATTGCTTGAACCCGGGAGGCAGAGGTTGCAGTGAGCCAAGATCGCCTCACTGCACTCCAGCCTAGGCCACAGAGCGAGACTCTGTCTTAAATAAATAAATACATACATACATAAATTAATAAATAAAATAGTTTATTTATTTATTTTTATTTTATTTTTGGTGGGGGGAGAACAGGGTCTCGGTCTATCGCTCAGGCTGGAGTGCAGTAGCGCCATCACAGCTCACTGCAACCTCGACCTCCAAGGTTCAAGTGCTCCTTCCACCTCAGCACCCCGCCCCTACATAGTTGGGACTACGGGCATGTGCCACCATGCCCAGCCAATTTTTGTATTAAAAAAATAAAATTGGCCGGTCATGGTGGCTCACGCCTGTAATCCTTATACTTTGGGAGGCTGAGGTGGGTGGATTGCTCGAGCTCAGGGGTTCAAGACCAGCCTGGGCAACATGGCAAAACCCTATCTCTACAAAAAATACAAAAATTAGCTGGGCATGGTGGCATGGGCCTATAGTCCCAGCTGCTTGGGGGGATGAGGCAAGAGGATTACTTGAACTGGGGAAGTCAAGGCTGCAGTGAGCTGAGATCGTGCACCCCAGCCTGGGTGACAAAGTCAAACCCTGCCTCAAAAAAACAATTGAGGGCCGGGCGGGGTGGTTCACGCCTGTAATCCCAGCACTTTGGGAGGCCGAGGCGGGCAGATCACGAGGTCAGGAGATCGAGACCCTCCTGGCTAACAGGGTGAAACCCCATCTCTACTAAAAATACAAAAAAAAAAAACCCTTAGCCGGGCGTGGTGGCGGGCACCTGTAGTCCCAGCTACGTGGGAGGCTGAGGCAGGAGAATGACGTGAACCCAGGAGGCGGAGCTTGCAGTGAGCCGAGATAGCGCCAGTGCACTCCAGCCTGAGTGACAGAGTGAGACTCTGTCTCAAAAAAAACAAAATAATTAAAACAAATAAATTAACTCGGCCGGGCTCAGTGGCTCACGCCTATAATCCCAGCAATTTGGGAGGCCGAGGCGGGCGGATCATGAGGTCAGGAGATCGAGACCCTCCTGGCTAACAGGGTGAAACCCCATCTCTACTAAAAATACAAAAAAAAAAAATTAGCCGGGCGTGGTGGCAGGCACCTGTAGTCCCAGCTACTTGGAAGGCTGAGGCAGGAGAATGGCGTGAACCCGGGAGGCGGAGCTTGCAGTGAGCAGAGATCACGCCACTGTACTCCAGCCCGGGCGAAAGAGCGAGACTCCGTCTCAAATAAATAAATAAATTAATAAATAATAAATAAATAAATGAAATAAGATAAAAAGCAATTTTTTAAAAAAAGAGGGAAGATGAAAATTAGCAAAAAGCTGAGAATAATAACCAGAGAGGTGGGTGGATGGCACTCTTTTGTGGCTGTGTGTCCCTGACAGAAGGGAGAACCTGAACCCACCCCCAACGGCTGCTCAGGAATCAGAAAGGCCTATGGCTGGAATGCACCAGAGGCCTCTAAACTTGCTGACCAAGTATGGAGCTCACTCCCCACCCCAACTCTGCATAAGCCAAAAAAGAGGCTTACATGGGCATTCAGGGCTAGGAGCACAAAACCTAAGACACGGCCAGCATGTGTGCGTCTTTCCCAACCAGATGGCCATCTACATGAGAATTCCACCAGGAAGGTACACTCCTAAGTACTGGCAAGGCAAATAAGGGAAGCAGAAGAAATGGAGAACCATCCTGATTCAGTAAGTCCACTTCCAGAAATGGCTCTTCAGGAAATAATCAGAAGTTTTGACAAAGATTTATTATAAGGATGCACATGAAGTACTATTAATAACAGTAAGAGACGGAAATAAACTATATGTGTAATAGACGAGAGATTAAATAAATTATGGCACTTCCATGTAAGTGCCATGGAGATAATAGAAGTCCTACTCTATGGGCCTGAGAATCCACCCTTGACCACAGTGCCAGGACCTTTGTCACTACCCTCTTACAACCCCACCAAACAGAGACCCTCATGCCTTTACACTCAGCTATGCTGCCAAGGTTTGGAACAACGGAGAGGCTCCCGGGCACTCAGTCATGTGTGTGTGTTATGGGGGAGATCCTCACGTCTGACCCACACCTGCCCTTGAAACACCCTCACCCCCACCCCCAGCCACATCTATCCAAAGTCCACTCCTAATTGAGCTTCCCCCTCCCCTGCTCCCGCCCTCTGCCCTCCCAAAGCTAGGTGCCGAGTCAGCTGTTTAAGGTCACATTTCCACCCTAGCCTCACTGCCCTGCCTTGAGAGACCTCACCCTGTCCCCTGAACAACCCTGCTGGCCCACCCTCGCAGCCCCCAGGCCTGCGCTTGGCTGCTTCCCCAAGCCAGCACTTCCCAGTGGGGGACCTGGCACCGGCTCCCTGTCCTTCCTCCCAAAAATAGTCCCCTCACCAAATATGCAGATGTCTTTACCCCTCGCCTGCCAACCTCAGCCCTCCCGTCTGATCTTCCCCAACCCCAACCAAAATCCGGGTGGAGACACCAAGAAGGACCCTGAGAGGAAATATCCAACCTCTAGGTTTTTGAACCTGTTGAGTTTTTCAGTTTCTCTGAAAAGTCATACTCTAGAAAGCTGACTAAAGTAATATTCACAATATACTATAGAAAGAAAACAAGGCCAGGCGAGGTGGCCCACAACTGGAATTCCAGCACTTTGAGAGGCCTCTCACCTGTAGCACAGCTGCAGTGCCTCTGCGGCTGCAGTCCCCTCATCCAGCAGGGATGCATTGGCCATGTCCAGGCCTGTGATGTCACACACCATGGTCTGGTAGTTGAGTAAACTCTCCAGCCTCCCCTGAGACACCTCAGGCTGGTATGGAGTATACTGGGTGATCCTGCAAGGGAAACAAAAGGTCTTGTCCAAACTGACTGCTGTTTAGAGAAGCACACAAAATGCTATCATTTCAGAATTCAGTACCTGAAAATAATTTGCCTATCTTGAGGAGAATTACATAACACACCAGTAAGCTTCTTTTTGGCCTTTGTAAAGCTTAGAATTAAATCATAGTAACAATATTACCCTTTGTTTGGGGATAAGCAGTACTTATTTTTCTATCTCTCTGGTGTTGTTTTTTTGTTTTTTGTTTGTTGGTTTTTGAGACAGGGTCTCGCTCTGTCACCCAGGCTGGAGTGCAATAGCATGATCACGACTCACTGAGCCTCAATGTACAAGGCTCAAGAGATCCTCTGGCCTAAGTCTCCAAAGTGGCTGGGACAACAAGCACATGCCATCACGCTCAGCTAATTTTTGTATTCTTTGTACAGCCAGGGTTTTGTCATGTTACCCAAGCTGGTCTTGAACTCCTGAGCTCAAGCAATCCACCTGCCTCGGCCTGCCAACATGCTGGCATTATAGGCATGAGCCACTGCACTTGAGGCTACCTATAATATCATAAACAGAAATTTCATTTGCTATTATCTTTCCCCTAGATAAAAGACCTCATTCACATTTTACAATAGGAAAGCATCCAAGAATCTAACATGTAATACTCAAACATTTTATTTATTTATTTGGATATTTGTTTTATGTTAACCAGGAGAAGTTCTACATGCTAAGAAATTAATAGAGGTCTACTTAAGAATTCTCATTATCCAGTTACTAAGAGTCCATGGCAGTTAACTCTATGGCTATTGAAATTCCAGGATGGAAATGTTTAGAAGGCAACGTAAACATGGATTCTAACTTTATCTCCTTCAATTATTAGCCAAGAATGTGGCTTTGGATATGTCAGTTAGCCAATTTAGTTCCTTCATCCTTACAGGCGAGAGCTACCACACCTCACCTATTTTACTTGGGAGGTCAAGGCGGGCGGATCACGAGGTCAGGAGATCGAGACCATCCTGGCTAACATGGTGAAACCCGTCTCTACTAAAAATACAAACAATTAGCCAGGCGTGGTGGCACGTGCCTGTAGTCCCAGCTACTCAGGAGGCTGAGGCAGGAGAATCGCTTGAACCCGCGGGGCGGAGGTTGCAGTGAGCTGAGATCACGCCACTGTACTCCAGCCTGGGCAACAGAGCAAGACTCCGTCTCAAAAAAAAAAAAAAAATTAGTACATCATGAACATCTCCCACATCAGCAAATATGTTTTACAGCATCATTTTCAATGAATGCATAGTATTATATTCACACTGTCTAATTATCATTTCCTTTTTAGCAGACACTGCTTGTTTTTTCTGTTGTTTTCTGTGCTGTGATGAATTCTTTGGAACATTATTCTCTGTCTTCCTGTCGTATATCTTGTGCCTGTCTTTATGGATATACTAAGTCTTTCCTATTTATCAGATGGACTAGATTGTATGTGTGTATTCCTGCATGTGTATGTGTTTCTACATGACAAATAATGATTCCAAGTAAAATGAAAGTTTTTTATTACCCAAGCAATCTAAGCACTTGGCTGGAGTAGTGCCACATCTGTCTTCACGGTGTCAAGCCATGTGTGTAGATCTTGTCTGATTCAAGATCACAACTGCCTGCCTGTTGTCTATGCCTTTTGTATGACCCCATTTCTGTTCAGATTTCCCTTTCTATTTGCCTACACCATGTATTGTGTGCCTCATTCATTCCAGTTCACCACCCACTTAGAATCTGGCAAACTAATTTACAGTTGCTAAGCCAGTCTCTTCAAGCAAAAATCCATTCTGTTGTATACACACACACACACTCACTCTCTCACACACACACACAAACACACACTCTCTCACACACACACTCTTTCTCTCTCTCTCTCTCACACACACTCACACACATACACATAGCCGCACACCAACACCCCAATACAAGTCTCAGGAAATTATTTCAAAGTCTCGATATTGTACTGCTTGGAAAGGCAACCTCCCCACCACACTCCCTGTCAAAGATAAGAAGATGTTGGTTTCAAAGCTTTCAAAAAAGAAAGAAAGAAAAGTAATGAAAGAAAAGTAGATGGAGGCTGGGCATGGTGGCTCACACCTGTAACCCTTGCACTCTGGGAGGCTGAGGTGGGCAATCACTCGAGCCCTGGAATTCGAGACTAGCCTGGGCAACATATGAGACCTCACCTCTACAAAAAAATCAGGCCAGGCGCAGTGGCTCATGCCTGTAAGTAATCCCAGCACGTTGGGAGGCTGAGGAGGCGGATCACGAGGTCAGGAGTTCGAGACGAGCCTGGCCAATATGGTGAAACCCCGTCTCTACTAAGAATACAAAAATTAGCTGGGTGTGGTGGCACGTGCTTGTAGTCCCAGCTACTTGGGAGGCTGAGGCAGAAGAATCGCTTGAAACCAGAAGGCGGAGGTTGCAGTGAGCCAAGATCATGCCACTGCACTCCAGCCTGGGTGACAGAGCGAGACTCCATCTCAAAAAACAAAAAATAACCATGAGGCTGGAGGATAGTTTGAGGCTGCAATGAGCCATGATCACGCCTCTGCACTCCCGCCTGGGTGACGGGAGTGAGACTCTGTCTCAAAAAATAAATACATAAAATACAAAACGTTCTCGTTTTTATAAGTTTGTAAAAACAAGTAGATGAACCAAAATGTAAGCTGGTTTTCTCTGGGAGGTAAGATGATTAACACTAAATTTTCTTTTTATTGTATGTTCCAAATGTTAAAGAAACCAGCTACCATTCATTAACCATCTCTTATGGGTCAGGAACACATTTACCACCTTTTTTATGATTATGTTATACATGTTCTTTGTAACAAGTTGGAAAATCCAGATAACTATTGAGAAAATAAAATCACTTAATTTCCAAACTTTAACATAACTACAGTTAACATTCAGGTGCATTTTTTCCAATCTCTTTTCTACATCATAATCTATTTATACTAAAAGTAGTACTGGCCAGGCGTGGAGGCTCACATCTGTAATACCAACACTTTGGGAGGCCAAGGTGGGAGGATCACTTGCACCAGGAGTTCGAGACCAGCCTGGGCAACATAGCGAGACTCTGTCTCTACTAAAAATAAAAGAAGTTTTTGTATCTTAACTTTTTTCAGTTAACATTATTCCATGAACAATGTCTAACATAACATCTTTAAATACTATTCAAAAACATGATTTTAACTGCTCTATGGTATTAAATAACTTATGAAATAAATTATTTAAGTTATAATTTCTTCAGGTAAATCTTGATTTATTTAACGAGTTCCTTCCAGTTGAATACTTTTGATTTCAAATATTAGAAATAGCATAATAGTTAAGATCTTTATCTTTGTCTAAGGATACATTCTTAGAAGTAGAATTCCAAATTATATATGATAACTAGTTTTTTGGGGTTTTTATTTTTTTTTAGATAGAGTCTTGCTCTGTCACCCAGGCTGGAGTGCAGTGGCACGATCTCGGCCCAGTGCAACCTCCACCTCTTGGGTTCAAGCCATTCTCCTGCCTCAGCCTCCTGAGTAGCTGGGATTACAGGTGCGTGACACCACACCCAGCTAAATTTTGTATTTTTAGTTGAGATAGGGTTTCACCATGTTGGCCAGGCTGGTCTCGAACTCCTGACCTCAGGTGATCTGCCCACCCTGGCCTCCCAAAGTGCTGGGATTACAGGCGTGAGTCATGTGTAATTATCACGCCCACCCTGATAATTAGTTCTAAGGCTCCCAGAGCATAGTACCATGTTCCTCTCCAGAAAGAGCATATCTGTCTGCATTCTCTTAAACACTACAGTGATTCACAGATATCCTTGCATCTTCAAAACTACTAAGTATTAAGAAGCACTGGCTTTTGGTTTTTGTTTTGTTTTTTGAGACAGAGTCTTGCTCTGTCACACAGACTGGAGTGCAGTGGCCTGATCTTGGCTCGCTGCAACCTCCACCTCCTGGGCTCAAGCAATCCTCCCACCTCAACCTCCCGAGTGGCTGGGACTACAGGCATGCACCACCACGCCCAGCTAATTTTTATATTTTTTTGTAGGGATGGAGTTTCACCATGTTGGCCAGGCTGGTCTCAAACTCCTGGGCTCAAAGACCCACCCACCTCAGCCTCCCAAAATGTTGGGAATACAGGCGTGAGCCACCACGCCCAGCTGAAGCCCTGGGTTTCAATCTTTTTTTTTTTTTTTTGTAGGGACAGGGTTTCACTATGTTGTCCAGGCTGGTCTCAAATTCCTGGGCTCAAGTGATCCTTCCACCTCAGCTTCACAAATTGCTGGGATAACAGGAGTGAGCCACTGTGCCAAGCCTTAATCTTATTAATTTTCTACAGTCATGCATGGCTTAACAGAAATATGCTCTGAGAAATACATCGTTAGGTGATTTAGTCATTGTTGTGTGAACCTCATAGAGTGTACTTACGTGTACTTAGAAGGTATAGCCTACTACACACCTAGGCTACGTGATATAGCCTATCACTCCCAGGCTACCAACATGTAGAGCATGTTACTGTACTGAATACTATAGGCAATTGTACAACAATGGTTAAGTATTTGTGTTTCTAAATACAGAAAAGGTACAGTAAAAATACAGAATTACAATTTTATGAGACCACTGTCATATACACAATCTGTCACTGACCAAAATATCACTACGCAGGGCATGAGTGTACTTGTGAACTGGGATAAATAACTAAACGTCGCTCTAGCCAATATCTCTTGCCTCTCAATGGAAATAACATCACCTATATGAGAGATTTTTCTTAATGCTCAAATCAGACTAATGTACTGTCCAAAGGTTATTCAAGTGAATAATAGCAACTGTAAATTAGCATCTGTAAGTTATTTTGAATTCATAAGACATTCAAAAACTTTTAAAATCCCTAGCTTTCTGTCTATATGTGTCTGTGTATGTTTTAAGACTCAGTATACAGGCCAGGTGTGGTGGCTCACACCTGTCAGCACTTTGGGAGGAAAATCTCTTGGGGCAAGTAGTTCAAGATCAGCCTGGGCAACACAGAGAAACCTTGTCTCTACTAAAAATTTAAAAAAAAAAAAAAATTAGCCTGGCGAGGGGCCTGTAAGTCCCACC
Organism: Homo sapiens; assembly: GCF_000001405.40. Lineage (NCBI taxonomy): Eukaryota > Metazoa > Chordata > Mammalia > Primates > Hominidae > Homo > Homo sapiens. The sequence continues at coordinate 6,615,470 of NC_000009.12, forward strand.
TACTCAGGAGGCTGAGGCAGGAGGATTACGTGAGCCAAGGAGTTCCAGTTTACAGTGAGCTATTAGAGCACCACTGTACGCTAGTCCAGGTGACAGACGGAGACCTTGTCTTAAAAAAAAAAAAAAAGACCTAGTATATAACCAGTATTTTCTTTTTTATTGAAACGGAGTCTAACTGTCACCCAGGCTGGAGTGCAGTGGTGCAATCTCCACTCACTGCAGTCTCCTCTTCCTGGGTTCAAGTGATTCTCCTGCTTCAGCCTCCCAAATATCTGAGATTACAGGTGCCTATCACTAGGCCTGGCTAATTTTTTTTGTATTTTTTGTAGAGATAGGGTTTTGCCATGTTGGCCAGGCTGGTCTTGAACACCTGACCTCAAGTGATCTGCCCACCTCGGCCTCCCAAAGTGCTGGGATACAGGCGTGAGCCACCGCACCTGGCCTAATCAGGATTTTCTTTTCTGTTGTTTGTATACAGGCTTGTGCTATGCTACCCAGGCTGGAGTGCAGTGGCTGTTCACCTGTGCGATGATTGGGCACTACAGCCTCAAACTTCTGGACTCACATGATCTTCCTGCCTCAGCCTCCCAAGGAGCTGGGACCACAGGCACAAGCCACCATGCCTGGCTTAGGATCAGTATTTTCAATGACCCATTGGCTCTTGAAAAGTTGGAGTTTTTTTCGTTTTCATCTTTAAAAAAGTTTTTAAAGCATATGCTGATAGACCTTTCCTAAAAGCACTTCTGCAGAATTCTGTTTAGATATTATTACATATTTCCACTTAAAAACTATTTATTCAAATTAGTTACATCTTTTCTGTCCCTTATGTAATATTTCTCTCTCAATCCTTTCATAAGTCCAAGGTGAGGTTAATGTTATTTAGCATTGCTAAAGGTAGAGACCTTTAAAATTGTTGTCTTGCAAATATGCCAAATATGTAATCTCACTCCTTTTACATGTAAACTTCTTGTATTAGTCTAGAGGTTTTTGGCACTACTGAAATTAAACAGGTGTTAATGCTCTTAACAATGATCTATTAAAGGACAGTGAGCCTTGGATCTGAGAGATGACAAATAACCCTCATTTCAGGAGAAAAATACTATCAAAAGGCCTGCCATCATGTTTACAAGAGTTTGACTCAATTAGGTAAAACATAGTGATTAAGAAAACATGCCTGTCATCTATAATGTCTATGTTCCAAATGACTAATTCAACTGGTTTGTTCCTAAATATATTTTAACATATAAAAAGGTATCTGCACATCCAAGAAGGCATTTAGTTCAGCTCAAATAGGATGCTTGATATATTCAACATGGCATTAATATTTAACCCAAAATAATTAGTGTTCTCTATCATTTTGGCTGTGACTTTCTTTTGGAATTGGGAAAGGGGGTTATGGGGGTTTGCAGGACAAACACTCCTGAGATTCTCTCATTTTAATCCTGCTGACAAAAATATACCAAACAGAAATAGCTACAAGGAATATGTAAATGTTCTGATGTTATCAGTAGTTGAAAATTTGGAATAGTGAAACCCATAAAATAAATTCTAGACCTGATGTAAATTTTCTTTCAAGAGCCCAAATGTTTGTTTTCTTTCGAGGCTATGTCATCCATTTATTTTCCCCTCACGTCTCCGGAATTTGTTGGTTCCATCTCTATGGAAACCATTCAGAAGGATGATAATGTGAAATCTACCACCCACATGTGCACAGCCCTCCCTATCAGCGCTGGTGGGGTGTAATATCACTCTCTGGTTCAGATCAGCTTTCAGAGAATAGAAAGAAATAGTATTTAAAATGCACCTGAAAAGTAAATGAAAAGTACAGGACAACATCATCTCCTTCTCAAAACACTGGCTGCTCCTACGGTAAATTAACATCCGCCCACAGCCAGAAAGCAATATGGTGAATATTCTTTATGGCCACCAAGAGCAAAGGCTGCTGGCCAGTATTCAGATGGCTGGAATGCTGCAGCCCGTTCATGTACTTTTGAGGCTTTTCTTAAGGGGGAAGAGAAACAGGCCATTTTCTTTTGAAATTAACCTTGGAATTTACCATTCAAATTTTTACCAATACCACAATGAAAAAGAAGCCTTCATCAATGCAAACGCATTCACAGACGCTACAGAGAAACTAGTTCTTTGATTTTCCTGTCCCCTTATTAATAAAGTGGAGCATATTGAAACTAAGAGTTATGTACAGGGACAGCAATACTGGAATGATTGTGCTGAGAGATCTGGCTCCTATAATGATATGATAAAAATAATTGCATCTACGACAAAGCACATGCACCCACCAGGATTACATTTGCAATGATGGAAAAGCAGACAAAGATGCAAAGTGTTTATCAAATTGTTAACACTCATTGATTGGGAGCATGTACTTGGGTATTTCAAAAGCTCCTGTTGGTACAACTTATGATTTCCCACTTAGTGAAGCCTGCATTCCCTTAAGTAAAGTTGGTTTTTACATATGTTAATCTAAAAGCCAATCTGTGCCCCTTGCTAGGAATACTTTGAATTGCAGAGGCAACCACTTACTCTGTCCTCATGTCATGATGATCCTGCTAGAAATTAAAGTTACCTCTTCCACAAACTAACTTTTAAAAAATCACCTAGGAATTATCACCATACTCCATCTATGTCTGATTTGTTTCCATGCTGGAAATGAAAAGTGGACACCTATATTTTCAAATAAGATGTCTTCCTTTTAAGACTAATTCATCATTTGAAATAAAATTTCAACTCAGTGTTTCTGGTGTATAAAATGGCACCAATCCAAAAAGATGGGAAAAAAGAGCCTAGGAGTCCCCACCTTTCCTCCTCCACAGTTAGACATTATATCCCAGTGAACAGCAGAGGCAGATGTCCTTAACTGCCCAGGCTGGAGTGCAATGCTGCGATCTTGGCTCACCACAACCTCCACCTCCCAGGTTCAAGCAATTCTCCTGCCTCAGCCTCCCAACTAGCTGCGATTACAGGCATGCACCACCACGCCCAGCTAATTTTGTATTTTTAGTAGAGACAGGGTTTTTCCATGTTGGTCAGGCTGGTCTCAAACTCCCAGTCTCAGATGATCCACCCGCCTCAACCTCCCAAAGTGCTGGGATTACAGGTGTGAGCCACCATGCCTGGCCTTTTTGGTTCTTTACATCATACAGCAAACAGCAATGGAAAACAACAAAATAGCATGGAAGTGGACTAGAAGTATTTTCTCAAATGCAGGAGAAATGCTTTCAGTGTTGTTCTATCAGTGAGGACCAGAGTGGGCAGGAGACACAGACATGGATGGACAGACACACACACACACCACACAATCAGTGAGGACCAGAGTGGACAGGAGACAGACACAGATGAACACACACACACACCCCTAGAAGTAGGAGTGACTTGGCTGGGCGCGGTGGCTCACGCCTGTAATCCCAGCCCTCTGGGAGGCCAAGGCGGGTGGATCATGAGGTCAGGAGTTCAAGACCAGCCTGGCCAAGATGGTGAAACCCCGTCTCTACTAAAAATGCAAAAAATTACCCAGGCACACTGGCAGGCACCTGTAATCCCAGCTACTCGGGAGGCTGAGGCAGGAGAATCACTTGAACTCGAAGGGCAGAGGTTGCAGTGAGCCAAGATCATCCCACTGCACTCCAGCCTGGGCAACAGAGTGAGACTCTGTCTCAGGCAAAAAAAAAAAAAAAAAAAAAAAAAAAAAAGAAGAAGTAGGAGTGACTTATCTAACTGTTGAGGTAAGACTGGAATAAGTAACTGAGCATGCATAGCTCAGGCCTCTCTCATATCTTTTCTAGAAGAGCCTGTCTACAGAATGCACATGTTCTCTTTCTCTAGAAAGTGCTAGCAATAAAGCTGATATTATGATCTCCAACACCATGTCTTTTTGTCAGTCAGTTGTGAATCAAAAATTTTGGGGGTGGGAGGGGAAGGGAACACAATTATCTGTCCCCCTTAAAAATCCTGACAGAAGGGCCAGGCGCAGTGGCTCATGCCTGTAATCCCAGCACTTTGGGAGGCTGAAGCGGGCGGATCACCTGAGGTCAGGAGTTCGAGACCAGCCTGGCCAACACGGTGAAACCCCATCTCTACTAAAAATACAAAAATTAGCCGGGGGTGGTTGTGGGTGCCTGTAATCCCAGCTACTTGGGAGGCTGAGGCAGAAGAATTGCTTCAACCTGGGAGGCAGAGGTTGCAGTGAGCCAAGATCACACCACTGCACTCCAGACTGGGATACACAGCAAGACTCCGTCTGGGCAGGGTGGTAGGCGGGGAATCCTGAGAGAAGACAGTGGACCAAGATTCTCTCCCAGACTCCACCAATGACTCAATGAGATAGCTCAGAAGTAGCCTATGTCCCAGGGTCTCCAAGGAGGAGTAAAGGCCTGAATCTGCCCACCTGCAGGTTTCACATCTTACTCAAATACAGCACAGAAATTAAGCTGCAGAAGAGGAAGAGATGACCAGATCCACAATTTAGCATCCTAGTAGATTTTATGGGACTGGAAGTGGGAAGAAACTTCTATTTCCTCAACATTTGAGCAAGAACATTTCTCGATCCAGAGAAACCCGGTAGGTTCCCGGACATTGGAGACAGCACTAGGAGGTGGGTGTCAGTGTGGAGGCTCTGAGACTGCAAGGGGACAGATGGAGGATGGAGAGAATTATGCAAATCACAGTCATCCTGTTCCTGAACTGAGAAATACATTACCATCCTGAGTTCTCCAGTAAGTTCCGCAAAATCGTCTGTGGCACTGAGCAGTTATAATAGCCCATGCCAATATACGATCTCCAGATCTGGTTTTTGCTTGAAATGGCATGCAGAGTTGCAAGGATTTCATTTTCACCTAATTGTGGGAAAAAGAGAAATGTTACAGACAGATGTCTCAGAAAAGAGCTCTAATTACAGTTTAAATCCCTCATTTTGTTTGAGTATTTATGACAGAATAACTATATGGAAAATGTAAGAGTCATCCATCCAACCAACACTAAGTACTGTATGCGACATCTCAAAAAAAAAAAAAGTCCCCAAACAACACTCAATTTCTCCTCAAGGTTGGCCCCCCCATCACTGTTTTGACTGTTCCTTATTCGGTTCTGTTTGCTAGAACTGCCCATTTTAACACTTGCCTCATTCCAGGCTTTTTCTGTTCCCTTTCTATTTCTGCTGTATATACGCTAAATAAAAATTCTGTCTTACTCCCAGTAAAATACTGTGTTTTACCTTCTAAACTGCCTCATACTCTCTGGAAGTAGGCACAGCTTCAGTCTAATTAACACATAATCTACATTTTCTCTAAAATTGTTCTACTCAGTTGCACATTCCTCCTTTGTGTCACTGAAAGGGCAACTTATAAAAAGGCCATCACTCAACAATAGAAAATATCAGTTGTAATCAAAGACCCTCATGCAGGGCTGTGAACAGTGGCTCACACCTGCAATCCCAGCACTTTGAGAGGCTGAGGTGGGCGGATCACCTGAGGTCAGGAGTTCAAGACAAGCCTGGGCAAGGCGGTGAAACCCCGTCTCTACCAAAAAAGGCAAAAAATTAGCCAGGCATGGTGGTTCACACCTGTGGTCCCAGATTCTTGGGAGGCTGAGGTGGAAGGATCACATGAGCCTGGGAGGCAGAGATTGTAGTGAGCTAAGATGGCGCCGCTGCACTCAAACCTGAGTGACAGAGTGAGACCCCCATCTCAAACAAAAACAAAAGCAAAAAAACACACCCTTATGCAGTTTCTACCAGCATTCTCATGAAGGCACTTTGGTTATTAAGAAGTATAAATGTACTTGGATGCAGGTGGGACCCTTTCTCGGGTCATTCATATAATCACAAAATAATAATAGCATTTGACATTTATTGAACATTATTCCACCAGGAATTGTACCATATGCTTTTCGCACAGCCTAGGGTACTGAGGATTGAAGACGGTCACTTGGCTGAGGTCACACGACTTTAAATTAAAGGATTACTAATCCAATCTCACACTTTAACTCACTGGACTAAGTTGAGAGCTGCTACATGGACAGCTCTTATACTGAAGGGTCCTTTTTTGTTTTTTTGAGAGGGAGTCTTGCTCTGTCACCCAGGCTGGAGTGCAGTGGCTCGATCTTGGCTCACTGCAACCTCCACCTCCCAGGTTCAAGCGATTCTTCTGCCTCAGCCTCCTGAGTAGCTGGGACTACAGTCGCACATCACCACACCTGGCTAATTTTTGTATTTTTAGTAGAGATGGGGTTTCACCATATTGGCTAGGCTGGTCTCGAACTTCTGACTTCGTGATCCGCCCACCTCAGCCTCCCAAAGTGCTGGGATTACAGGCGTGAGCCACCGCGCCCTGCCACTGAAGGGTACTTTTTAGATAGAAATGACATCATTTGGTTCTTTCTTTACCTCTCTGCATAGAGATAGATCATGCTACTAAAATTTAACTGGGATTTAACTACTTAGGCAAATGGCTGTCTTCTTTAAGATCTTCTTGGGGACTCAGTCACTTAACCCTGGGAATTGATTATTTTATTTTTCCTCTATCAGAGAAAAACGTAGGTAAAGCAAAACCTAAGACAGCAAACTGGCAAGGAAGACACTTAACATTGTTTTAACCCTATTGAACTCTATCTGAATATTATTTGCATCAATCTTTATCCTCAAGTAAAATACTTTCACCCTCCACCACACACACACAGACACACACACACACACACACACACACACACACTCCGCACTCCACATGCTTTCCCAGGAAATAAATTCACAAGAGATATGGTCCCCCTCCCCCTCCCCCTCTCCCCACGGTCTCCCTCTCCCTCTTTCCACGGGCCGAAGCTGGACTGTGCTGCTGCCATCTTGGCTCACTGCAACCTCCCTGCCTGATTCTCCTGCCTCAGCCTGACGAGTGCCTGCGATTGCAGGCACGCGCCGCCACGCCTGACTGGTTTTCGTATTTTTTTGGTGGAGACGGGGTTTCCCTGTGTTGGCCGGGCTGGTCTCCAGCTCCTAACCGCGAGTGATCCGCCAGCCTCGGCCTCCCGAGGTGCCGGGATTGCAGACAGAGTCTCGTTCACTCAGTGCTCAATGGTGCCCAGGCTGGAGTGCAGTGGCGTGATCTCGGCTCGCTACAACCTCCACCTCCCAGCCGCCTGCCTTGGCCTCCCAAAGTGCCGAGATGGCAGCCTCTGCCCGGCCGCCACCCCGTCTGGGAAGTGAGGAGCCTCTCTGCCTGGCCGCCCATGGTCTGGGATGTGAGGAGCCCCTCTGCCTGGCTGCCCAGTCTGGAAAGTGAGGAGCGTCTCTGCCCGGCCGCCATCCCACCTAGGAAGTGAGGAGCGCCTCTTCCGGGCCGCCATCCCATCTAGGAAGTGAGGAGCGTCTCTGCCCGGCCGCCCATCGTCTGAGATGTGGGGAGCGCCTCTGCCCCGCCGCCCGGTCTGGGATGTGAGGAGCACCTCTGCCTGGCCGCGACCCCGTCTGGGAGGTGAGGAACGTCTCCGCCCGGCAGCCACCCCGTCCGGGAGGGAGGTGGGGGGTCAGCCCCTGCCCGGCCAGCCGCCCTGTCTGGGAGGTGAGGGGCGCCTCTGCCCCGCCGCCCCTACGGGGAAGTGAGGAGCCCCTCTGTCCCGCCACCACCCCGTCTGGGAGGTGTGCCCAACAGCTCATTGAGAACGGGCCATGATGACAATGGCGGTTTTGTGGAATAGAAAAGGGGGAAAGGTGGGGAAAAGATTGAGAAATCGGATGGTTGCTGTGTCTGTGTAGAAAGAAGTAGACATGGGAGACTTTTCATTTTGTTCTGTACTAAGAAAAATTCTTCTGCCTTGGGATCCTGTTGATCTATGACCTTACCCCCAACCCTGTGCTCTCTGAAACATGTGCTGTGTCCACTCAGGGTTAAATGGATTAAGGGCGGTGCAAGATGTGCTTTGTTAAACAGATGCTTGAAGGCAGCATGCTCGTTAAGAGTCATCACCACTCCGTAATCTCAAGTACCCAGGGACACAAACACTGCGGAAGGCCGCAGGGTCCTCTGCCTAGGAAAACCAGAGACCTTTGTTCACTTGTTTATCTGCTGACCTTCCCTCCACTATTGTCCTATGACCCTGCCAAATCCCCCTCTGAGAGAAACACCCAAGAATGATCAATAAAAAAAAAAATAAAAAAAGAGAGAGATATGGTACTTTGCCACAGTAGAGTAAGGAAAGAGAGTCTTGAAGTTATTAGTTTCATGAGTAATATAATCTAACTACCTTATGGAAGATGATCTTGCCTTCTTCCATTGAAAGTTTAGGAAATAAGTAAAAATGCAATAAACCCACATCTGAGAAGATAGGCAAGGACAACATCCCTAGGAACAATCATGCAAAAAGTCCAATCACCTCCCAAATAATCTTCTTAGGGGCAGAATGATTCAGACGCCCAGTAGGAGGAAAGATTAATTAGCAGTGCCTTGTAGGCGAGTCCGGCTTCAATTATGATCCTGTGCAGGGGGGACAGGTCCCTGTTCTGCGTTGGTCCAGCTCTCCAATGACAACAGTCTGTGAAGGGCTCTGTCTGTCAAACTGAGTTTAGCCTTTGGAAATAAAGCTGGATAGTATGATTCTTTTTACAATACAGTAAGATAATTCTACTGATGGTGTGGAAAGGTCACTGAGGGGAGACCCCGGCCCAGGGAGATACAGTAAGAGGCCAGCACTATAGTCCAGGAGGGAGATGGATAAGAGGAGTGTTACAAGTTGAATTGTGTTCCCAAAAATGATGCTTTGAAATCCTAACCCCATGGTACCTCTGAATATAACCTTACTTGAAAATAGGGTCTCCACTGATGTAACCAAGTTAAAATGAGATCATGCTGGATTAGGGTCAGCCGTAATCCAATGATTGGTGTCCTTATAAGAAGAGCAAAATTGGGACACACAGACACACATGCAAGAAGAATGCCATGTGATGATGGCAGCAGAGACTGGAGCAATGTATCCACAGGCCAAGGAACCTGGGAGAGAGGCAGGGAACTGATTCTCCTTCAGAGCTTCCAGAAATGAGCCAACCCTGCCAACATCTTGATTTCTGACTACGGAACTGGGAGTGAACAGGTTCCTGTTGTTTTAAGCCACCTAGTTTGTGGTACTATATTACATGGCAGCCATAGGAAACTAATTAAAAAAACTGTATCAGTCATTTTTAGGAGACACGATAATACTCTTGGGCCCAGCTGGCCAGTTAAAAAAGGCTCAGGTTGGTGGGGCACGGTGGCTTACACCTGTAATCCCAGCACTTTGGGAGGCTGAGGCAGGAGGATCACTTGAGGTCAAGGAGTTCAAGACCAGCCTGGCCAACATGGTGAAACCCTGTCTCTACTAAAAACACAAAAATTAGCTGGGCCTGGTGGCATGTGCCTGTAATCCCAGCTACTTGGGAGGCTGACACAGGAGAATCGCTTGAACCAGGGAGGCGGAGATTGCAGTGAGCTGAGATCACGCCACTGCACTCCAACCGGGGCAACAGAGCGAGACACTGTCTCCAGAAAAAAAAAAAAGGCTCAGGTGAACTCCAGCACTTTGCCAGAGACATGGTTTCCCACACATCATTAAGATTCTACTAGTGGAAGTAATCGACCCCAATAGCATCATTCTCTTTACTAACTAACATTATCCTCTGGCTTAAGAGAGCTGGTGCTATGGTTCTGGGATATGTTGGAAGTCTGTGCAGAGGGGTGCAGCAGCCTCCCCAACAATCCCTCAGTGACCCGGCCGGAGGTCAAACCAGCACCGCCAGTTATCCAGCCCAAAGATTTGCACTGATTGCTCTCTCACTCACACGGCCTGGCATGGGAAAGGGAAGCAATATGGCCTTGCAGTCACGTTGTTCCACAAGCAGCACGGCTGAGAGAACCAACTCAATGGCTGACTTTATTTGGCTGCATGCCTGGAGAAAAATAATATTATAGTAGTTGAAATAATTAGAAATAGCTAAATGGACATTGATGGGAGCCAAAAGGGTTACTGAAACCAACAGTCCTCATAGTAAGTGAAACCGCTAAGGTAATTCTTCCAGTGCAGGACTCTCCTTCCTCATACCCAGCCCCAGGAGACACAATAGGATTAGAGGGATAGGAATTTGGCTATTGTGCCAAGAGCCAAAATTACAGTCCCTCACTAGGTACTGTAGCAAAAATCTAGCTCCCGCTGCATATAGAGGTGCTCAAATGTGTTGTTTTGATTTTGCTTGTAGACTTTTGGAAGGTCTCTTTACTATGGTTTTATTTTCCACTCCTATGATAGTAGCCCTAGCTGTTATGTTCATTCCCACTGATAGGAAAGGTGGGGTTAACGTTTTATGGGTCTGCAGCAGAGGCCACCTCCTGAGAAGGAGTAGATAGGATCTCACCCAAAGGAAGGGGAAGAGTAGGACCCAAGTTTTCTGAAAAATGCACTTCAAGGACTCAGATTCAGGAAAGTCATGGAGGTGATAGAAGCCCTGGAGCTCGGGGCTAGAAGCTGAGAAGAATCCTGAACTAAATCAAACTCCAGATCGCTTCCCTCTGAGAACACAAAATGCCACCCCTCTGCCTGCCTTCAGCAAAAATCTATGCTCTCGCCCCATAGAGAGGTGCTCAAATGTGTTTAGATTTTGCTTGCAGACTTTTGGAAGGTCTCTTTACTATGGTTTATTTTCCACTCCTGTGATAGTAGCCCTAGCTGTTATGTTAATTCTCACTGATAGGAAAGGTAGGGTTAAAGTTTTATGGGTCTGCAGCAGAGGCCACCTCCTGAGAAGGAGTAGATAGGATCTCACCCAAAGGAAGGAGAAGGCTAGGATCCCAGGAAGGGGGTGGGGCACCACCCCAGTCCTGACAATTAGCTCCAGGAGACCAGTCAAGAAGCGCAATTGACTACAGAAGGAGCAGGATTGAAATAAAAAGATAAAAAATAAAAAGAAGCAGCTCAATTGAATGGGAGTATTGCGGAAGATAAAAATGGTAGTTTATTTTTTCACTTGACAGAAGAAGAAACACAAGAACTAAGATGGTGCCTGCCACTGTGTTTCAAGACTGTGGGTCTTTATAATTAATTATTTTGTTCTTCATTTATACTAATTGGCCTTTTAAAAATTTCAAGTGTTTCATTCAAATGTGAAAATCATCAGAGCTGCTATGGGGGATGGTGATGTCTGAAGTCCCTAGACTCTCAAGTAAAGAGAGATTTGAATTTTCCTTTCACAAGAAAACCCATTCTCTCATACCTCTCCGCACAGGTGTCCAGGAGGTAATAGGTAAAGGTCAAGCCCCTTGCGAGAGAGCCCTGACTACAGCCCAGTTCCCATCTCCCTCCCTTCAGTCACCACCTGCCACTCAGGCACTGGTCATGCCCTGCCCCATGTCCTCAAACAGTAAGGAAGAGAAGATGCCACATTAGACCAGCCAGGAACCCACTGGCCCAATTCATCAGTTCTGGGTCTCCAGATACAAATCAGCATCCTGCAGAGCAGCCACTGATGTCTTACACACTTTAATTAAATACCTGAAATTTTTAAAAGGCAAACTAGTGGGCCGGGCGTGGTGGCTCATGCCTGTAATCCCAGCACTTTGGGAGGCTGAGGCGGGTGGATCACAAGATCAGGAGATCGAGACCATCCTGGCTAACACGGTGAAACCCCATCTCTACTAAAAATACAAAAAAATTAGCCAGGTGTGTTGGCGGGCACCTGTAGTCCCACCTACTCGGGAGGCTGAGGCAGGAGAATGGCGTGAACCCAGGAGGCAGAGCTTGCAGTGAGCCGAGATCACGCCACTGCACTCCAGCCTGGGCAACAGAACGAGACTCCATCTCAAAAAAAAAAAAAAAAAAAGGCAAACTAGCTTAAATAAAGAACAAAATATTAATTATCTGTAAGACCCAGAAGCATAAAAACTGTCAAACATGAGACAAAGAAGTTTCTAAGGTGATAAATATATACTCTAGTCTCTATAGGACCACCCAAACTTCTCAAGCACCTGTGGACTCTGCCCCTATCCAGCTTGGGACTAATGAGTTTTCCTGGATTGGTTCTCATGATAGCTTGGTAGTTATGCCCAATTTTACCTTCTGTTGAGAACAAAGTGAGTTAATAGAATGAGCTGTCCCCTATACAACAAGTTAATGGACATTTTCGAGCCATTAAGAGTAGGTCCCTAGTCACGCTTCTTTCCATTCACTCATCCATTGCCCAACACTACAAAACTTCCCAACAAAAACTTCCCAGCTAGAAGCCAAGACAGTCTGTGACTTGATGAACAGAGGGGTAAGCTGCTTCTTACTGTGATAAAATCTAAGACCTCAGGCTTCCACACCCACATATAATAAAAAGAATTCCCCAAACATACAGCCTAGTGAGTGTCTGAATTGTTTCAAATGTTTGTTCACTGGTTGCCATTTCTCAGACCCACTCATGAAATATCACTTTGGCCAGATCTGCAGGAGAACAAACCCAGTGTACCTAGAAGCCCAGAGTTTGAGTAACTTTGGTGTCAAGATAGCAATAGATGCAGAGAAAAGGAGAGAAGACAGAAAAGTCCATGATCAGAGATCTACCTGCTGAACCAACCTGAAACTGAACTTCACAGAATCCAGTGTCTAAGTCCAAGTTAAGGGACATGATGATGTCTAAATAAAACCCCAAATCCTAACTAAGGACACAATTCCTACCACTGTACACCTCTTCTCCCGTGGAAAAGAGCTACCTTTCTAGAGGAAACAGTATGGGGTCCTTCAATCCCAAAGTGGCAGCCTTTTCCTCCTGAGTAGTAAAAGAAGCATTCTGAGAAGGTGATTGTGCCATCCAAACCTTGGAAAGCAAATGGGAAAAGGGAAAAAGAAAACTAGATTTTCCCCCCAGAGCAAAGCTCACAGCAGAGCACATTCCTCACCCTTTTCCTTTCAACTGGACAAAACCAGCTTGCTCCTGTGCACAAGCCTAATTCCTGAACATGAACTACAATGAAACTAACCAGGGGGGAAAGAGACCAAATGAGAAAAGGGGGAATCCATTAAGAAACGCTTGAAGGCTGGGGGCAGTGGCTCACGCCTGTTAATCCCAGCACTTTGGGAGGCCGAGGCAGAAGGATTGTTTGAGCCCAGGAGTTCGAGCCTGACCAACATAGTGAGACCTCGTCTCTACAAAAAAAAAGTCAAAGAATGAGACAGGAGGATTGCTTGAGCCTGGGAGGTGGAGGCTGCAGTGAGCAGTGATTGCACCAATGCACTCCCACCTGGGTGACAGAGTGAGACCCTGCCTAAAGAAAAAGAAACACTTGGAGACAAGATGGCATCTTCCGGATCCTTGCCTACAGCTATGCAGGGCAGCCAGCAGCTGTGCATTATTTTGCACTCTCAGCCATGAAGGAATTCAGGCAATCCTTCAGGAACCTACACAGTAAATTCTTTTCTTGCAGAATAAATGCCTGCTTCTGACCTTGTTTATTCTGCCTCAGAGCATTGCATAATCTCCTGGTCCTAATGTACCAAGAACAGAGTTCAGTGGCCTCTAGGCATCACTTCCTAAGAATCTGCAGGTAAGAACTTGCGCTGCTTCTGCTTGCTAAATTCTGCTTCTCAGAATTTAGAATGAATGCTTCCTCTTTACATCATTCCACATAAGAGCCCTTCTATAGCAACTCCTTTGCCACTGCGCCTAAAATAGCAACAGTTTTGCACTAACCACTGCATCAAATAAATACTTTCCAATAGCAATAAGATGATTTTGCTGTTAAATATTCATTTTTTTTTTTTTTGAGATGGAGTCTTCTGTTGCCCAGGTTGGAGTGCAATGGTGCGATCTCGGCTCACTGCAACCTCCGCCTCCTGGGTTCAAGCGATTCTCCTGCCTCAGCCTCCCGAGTAGCTGGGATTAGAGGCACCTGCCACCATGCCCGGCTAATTTTTGTATTTTTGGTGGAGACAGGGTTTCACCATATTGGACAGGCTGGTCTTGAACTCCTGACCTCAGGTGATCTGCCTGCCTCGGCCCCCAAGTAGCTGTTAAATTTTCAATACATTACTAGGACTAGGTTTTAATATCCTGTTTATGTGAATTTCCACAAGAACTGGAAAAATGTCATTAAAATGGACAGGCAATCTGTATGAGTCAAGATACCTGCTACAACTAAACACACACACACACACATGCACACATTGTTTCCCATCCTTAACCCATTACCCCAAACATAACCCTACAATTTCTTTTGGCCTCAATTATAAGGGAAAATGTATTCAGGTTTTGCTTTTTGCTTCTTTGACAATCTAAAAATGCTATACCTAAAGTTTTACACCATATATATATATACCCACAATATTGTTATCATTTATATTTTAAAAATAATTATATGTGCATCTGTTTATATATTAGCAGAACATCTTTGTGATGATTCACAAGAAATTGATAATAAATACAAGATAATAGATGTGGGAGGGAGGCTTGCTTTTCACTATATATATATATATGTATATATATATATTTTTTTTTTTTAAGAGAGACAAGGTCTCACTATGTTTCCCAGGCTGGTTTCAAACTCCTGAACTCAAGCAATCTTCCAGTCTCAGCCTCCCAAAGTGCTGGGATTACAGGCATGAGCCACCCCACCTGGTCTCCCTGTATATATTTTTGTGCTTTTGAGTTTTGAACAATGTGCCTATATTGTGTATTTGTAATTAAAATGTTGGGAGGCTGAGGCAGGAGAATGGTGTGAACCCAGGAGGCGGAGCTTGCAGTGAGCCGAGATCGTGCCACTGCACCCCAGCCTGGGTGACAAAGCGAGACTCTGTCTCAGAAAAAAAATAAATAAATAAAATTAAAATGTTGCATGTAGAATGAAATCCTCCTTGTAAAATACATGGGTACATGGGTGTACATCCCATCAGTCCCAGGCATCAGTAGGCCATCCACAGACCATGTTCTGGGGAGCCCAGCCAGCAGCGCCTCACACACAGCAGCCACTAACCGCGTCAGAGCCTCCCTCACTCTTCGCCCTCCATGTGCTTGGCAAGACACTAGGAAAAGGTCTCCAAGGAAATCATCAGGACTGAAAACCAACACACTCATATTTGAATTTGCCCAATGTCACCAGTTTGAGAAAGGCCTTTCTCTGCTAGAGGGTAAGGGGAAAGCTGGGGCCAGAATGTGAGGACAGAGACTGCCTGGGCAGATTGTTCTTGCCAACATCCTAATCCTCAGCTGTGAAGCTGAGAGGGAACCATGGGGTGGGGCTGGGGTGTCAATCAAGATAAACAGACCATGAATGACAGCATGGCAGGACTTTCTCATCTTTCTGAAGGGAAGTCAGAATTTGGAAGCAGATTCCATCTGCATGCTGATCCTTTCCCCAACATCACCCAGTCATTTATAGCACTCCTTTCTCTCCCCCATAGCCACCTGGATCAAGCCCACTTACGCAGTCCATAGAGCCAACTCCCTGTTACTTGTCAAGTTTCCTCCCTGGGCAGAGGAGGGTTTCACTAGCCAAGTCAGCTGAATCACGGAATGTGTTGAATCGTTCGAGAAAGCCAAGCCAATCCATACGCTACGCTCTGCACAGCGTACAGAGGAAACTGAACCTAAAACCCTTGCAGACCAGCAGAGCTGTGCCACGTGTAAGGATATGGTCAGGGCAGCGGCACGCAGGCCCAACCTGGGGCTCTGAGTCTCCTTGCTCTAAGCCTGCCAGGCTCTTCCCTGTCTTCTTGCTCAGCCAATTAATACCACGCCTCATTCAGTCCTTCCTGACCCTCAGGGGTTACCGCTCTCCTCAGGACACCTCCACTCAAAAGGAGCTGAGGCGTGTCCCATCTATGTTTCTGATGACTCCTTGGTCCCTTGTCTCCGTATGAGTGAGCAGTCTCTGCAGCTCTTCCTGATCACCCGAGAGATGCATAGCTTCAAGACCCTACCAGCTGTAGCAAAACCAAAACAACATTCACTGTGGGGAGTGGGACAAGGGATGATATGTCTTGTTATTTTACTCCTTGAACTTGGATCATACTCCTTCCTGTGGGAGGCCCCTTTTCATTTAATCTACAAATGTTAAGAAATGTACAGAGAAACATTGCAATTCATAGTATTTATCTGGAATACCAGCTGACCTATGTATTCAGGCCAAATGCTGAGTTTGAAATGAGAATCAGTGCAGGTCCCAGAGGATTTGTTTTCCCTCTTTGCTGCCCCAAAGGTACATTGTCATGGCCTACAGAGCAAGAACAAGAAGGGAAGACTGTGTCCTAAGAGTCCAACTCAAACAGTGTATCATGCTTGAGAAAAAGATAATTTTTTATAGATCAAAGGCATATGGGCTGGGCACAGTGGCTCATGCCTGTAATCCCAGCAATTTGGGAGGCTAAGGGAGGAGGATGTTTTGAACCCAGGAGTTTGAGACCAGCCTAGGCAACACAGCAAGACCCCCGTCTCTACAAAATGAAATAAATTAGTCCATGTGGTAGCACATGCCTGTAGTCCAGATACTCAGGAAGCTGCAGTAGTGGGAGGATCTGTTTGGCCCAGGAGGTTGAGGCTGCAGTGAGCCATGATCATGCCACTGCAGTCCAACCTGAGTGACAGTGAGACCCTGCCTCAAAAAAAAGTCATATGGAGAAATTTGCAGTCCAACCGAGAATCACACCAAGTAAATTGTAATCTCTTATAGTAAATGCTCAGAAAATACAGGTGAATCAATGTGTTGCAATGAAAATTCACCTAAACTTTCACGTATGGCTAGCCCAGGAACTCACCCATCACAGACTCATGATGATGAATCAATGCATAAATTGTTCTCACATTTGGTTCAACTACATCCCAAAATGTGTGAGCCTCAGAGAAACATTTATCAGTGGAAACCTGCAGCTATTAAGAAAGTTGTATAAAATAATGCAGTGTCTACAATAATTTCAGACTTCCCAAAATTTTATTTCTTCATTGTTCAGTCAGTTAGTATGTTGATGATACAGGCATTGAGAATTCTTACTAAAATTCTCAGTTTGCATTTTTGTATGAATACTCTGGACTTACAAAAAGTAAAGCAAACTTGAGTCAAAATGAGATCAAAGTTATCCGTACATCGTATAACTGAGACTTGTTTAAGCAAGGCACAGTGCTATTTGATGGAGTGGGGAAGAGGACATGAAGAATAGAAGTCACAACACAGATTCGCCCACAGCGACTCACGTCCCTATTCTCTAGCACGCGCCCCGGTTCAGCCCGGGCCCTCACTCCCAGCCTCCTGAGGCGGGTCACTGAGCTTGCAGGCAGAATGTGGGTGGGGCTGCCCCACCTCTCTCTCAACCTCACTGAGCTGACTAGTGGACCTTGAAGTCCTCCCCTCGGCTGAACTCAGTCACCACATTTCTCTGTTCCTGCTTCCAAGTCACTGACTGATGGTGGGGTGGAGGACACTCAAACAGGCCTTACAAATTCCCGCTATTCAATCTCAGCAGACCCTCCCTGCAGGCCGATCGAGGGTCCTCGCCACCCAGATGCTCTCAGCAGACCCTCCCTGCAGACCGATCAAGGGTCCTCGCCACCCAGATGCACACAATAGCTCTTCTGAAATTCACTTTTCCCTAGTACTCAGTCTCAGCCTTCCTGTCTCTCATGCAGAGAGATCGTCAGAAATGCAGCCCCTCAACTCCTCCCACCTCGGAGGATCCTTATGTCTTTATGCAGACTTTCTTCCCTCTTCTGCCTAAGAAAGGTCGAGAATACGACACAGGGGTCCGTAACTCCCTGCCTGAAAATATATCCTTCTGCCTCTGATGACTTCATCTCAGACTGCCCTGCCTCTCTCCTTCTGCATGTTTTATTTCCTTATATCCTGGCTTTTCTTTCTTCCCCACACTCCATCCCTGGGAAATTTCACTAATTCTCATGAATTTGTCGGAAAACTCACTAAATCTGCAACTCCATCTCTTCTCTCTCTGGATCTCTAGACTCTACTTTGCAACTTTTGCTTCAACTTTTCCAAATGCATGTTCCACGAATACCTCAAACCCAATTCTGCTCAAGCAAGACCCAATCTCTTCTTCCACTTCTCCCTGTTCCCCCTCTGTTAATCAATGACATCAACATCACTACCCCATCTAGAAACTGACTGACAGCCTCATCTCCTGCCTCTCTGGATCAACCACCACGTCTGTACAAAAACCATGCTTCTGGCCAGGCACAGTGGCTCACAACTGTAATCCCAGCACTTGGAAGGCCAAGGAGGGTGGATCACCTGAGGTCAGGAGCTCGAGACCAGCCTGGCCAACACAGCAAAACTCCATCTCTACTAAAAATACAAAAATGAGCTAGGCGTGTAATCCCAGCTACTTGGGAGGCTGAGGCAGGAGAATCTTTTTTTTTTTTTTTTTTTTTTTTTTGAGACGGAGTCTCACTCTGTCGCTCAGGCTGGAGTCCAGTGGCACGATCTCAGCTCACTGCAAGCTGTGCCTCCCGGGTTCACGCCATTCTCCTGCCTCAGCCTCCCGAGTAGCTGGGACTACAGGCGCCCGCCACCAGGCCCAGCTAATTTTTTTGTATTTTTAGTAGAGACGGGGTTTCACCGTGTTAGCCAGGATGGTCTCGATCTCCTGATCTTGTGATCCACCCGCCTCAGCCTCCCAAAGTGCTGGGATTACAGGTGTGAGCCACCGCGCCCGGCAGAGGCGGGAGAATCTTGAATCTGGGAGGTGGAGGCTGCGGTAAGCCAGGATTGCACCACTGTACTCCAGCCTGGGCAACAGAGTAAGACTCTGTCTCAAAAAGAAAAAAACAAACAAACCCAAAACCATGAGTCTCATGCCTCTAATTCCAGCACTTTGAGAGGCCAAGGCAGGCGGGTTGCTTGAGCTCGGAGTTCAAGACCAGCCTGGGCAACATGGCGAAACTCCATCTCTACAAAAAATACAAAATGTAGCCGGGCATGGTAGCTCACGCCAGCAGTCCCAGCTACTAGGGAGGCTGAGGAGGGAGGATCGCTTGAGCCTGGGAGGCAGAGGTTGCAGTGAACTGAGATCGCACCACCGCACTTGAGCCTAGGTGACATAACCAGACCGTGTCTCAAACAAACAAACAAACAAACAAACAAAAAACAAAAAAAAAACCCGCCATGCTTCTCCTGGGCTGCCCGAAGCCAGTGACTAAGCTCTGCCGGAAAACTAATGCAGACTCATTCATTCTCTGGAGATATAAGACTCCTCCCATGGGCAGCTGTAGCTCCAGGACTCCATGTGGGCCTGATGGAAACTCTCTTAGATCTGTTCTGTACTGTAAGACTCTTCCTACCCAGTCTTCATTCTGCTTCTCTCCCCTTCCACCAAAGTTAGACCTGCATTAGTTTGGAGGCTCCCCTTCCCTCTCCCGCTTCTCCCCCTCCCTCTCCTCTGATCTCAGAGGCACTCTGCAAAACACAGGATCAATCCTTCCACTTCCCTCTATAGTAACTTTTCCTGTCTACCCATTACTTAGAGGGGGGAAAATAAATCCCTTTTGGCTCTGAGCCCTCCATATTGTGGCCCCATACCTTGTTTTTCATGTCCCTCTGCAATCTAACATTCTAACCACATGGTCTATTCACCGTCCCTCAAATAACCACGTATTTCCACACTTCCATGCCTCTGCTCATGCCATAACTTCAGACGAAGTCTCCATCCTATTTGCAGACCCATCAAACTATTCAATATCTATTTCCTTATAAGTTATAACCTATAGCTGGGGATATCTTTATCATCTTTTACCTCCTGACTTTTGTACACCAAGTGCCTGAAGCAGTATCTTATCTTCTACATCTGACTCTCAATAAGTGCAGAATGGAAGCAGATGGAGGAAGCTGTAGAAGGAGATTTGGCAATAGTACCTTAATAACCCACTGATAACAAAGGTGATAGCAAACACCAATCCAAAAACCAAAAGCTAAGCAGTCTAGGGCACTTTATGTATGGGCAAATGGTCCTATGTACCATAATAGCCCTCAAGAATAGCACTATATTTATAATACAGTATAATTGATTTCAGTTTGATAGCACTGAATATGTTTTGAGGTTAGAGTAAGTTATAGTCATACCGCTGCACTCTAGTCTGGGTGACAGTGCAAGACCCTGTCTCTAAATAATAATAATAATAGGATCTGGGTGTGGTGGCTCACACTTACAACCCCAGCATGTTGGCAGACCAAAATGAGAGAATCATTTAAGCCCAGAAGCTTGAGACCAGCCTGGGCAACATATTGAGACCCCCATGTCTACAAAAAAATTTAAAAAATTAGCCAGGTGCTGTGGTTCTCCTTGTGGTCTAAGCTACTTGGAAGGCTGAGGTGACAGGACTGCCTGAGCCGGAGAGGTCGAGGTTGCACAGAGCTGTGATCATTCCACTGTAGTCGAGCCTGGGTGACATAGCAAGATACTGTCTCAAATAAAATAAATAAAATAAAATAAAAATAAAATGTTTTAAAATAAAAATGATAATAATGAACAGATGTTATACTACAGTTGTCTAAACCCCTAGAATGTGCAACACCAAGACTGAATCCTAACGTAAACAATCTTCACTTTGGGTGAGGCCAGGCGCAGTGGCTCACCTATAATCCCAGCATTATGGGAGGCCAAGGTGGGTAGATCATCTGAGGTCAGGAGTTCAAGACCAGCCTGGCTAACATGGTGAAACCCCCGTCTCTACTAAAGATACAAAAATTAGCCAGGCGTGATAGTTCATGCCTGTAGTCTCGCCTACTCAGGAAGCTGAGGCAGGAGAATCGCTTGAACCCAGGAGGCGGAGGTTGCAGTGATCTGAGATCGTGCCACTGTACTCCAGCCTGGGTGACATAGTGAGACTCCGTCTCAAAAAAAAAAAAAACACTTTGGGTGATAATGATGCATTAATGTAGGTTCAATTGTAGCAAATGCTCTGGTAGGCAATGCTGATAATGGGAGACTCTACGCTTGTGTGGAGGCAGTGGGTTTAATGGGAAATCTTTGTAGCTTTCACTCAGTTTTGCCATGAACCTAAAACTGCTCTAAAAAATAAAGTTGGTCGGGCAAGGTGGCTCACGCCTATGATCCTAGTATTTTGGGAGGCAGAGTCGGAAGGATTTCTTCCTGAGCCCAGGAATTCGAGACCAGCATGGGCAACACAGTAAGATTGTCTCTAGAAAAAATACAAAAATTAGCCGGGCATGGTGGCATGCGCCTGTAGTCCCAGCTGCTCAGGAGGCTGAAGTGCGAGATCACTTGAACCCAGGAGGTCGAGGCTGCAGTAAGCTGTAATCACACCACTGCACTCCAGCCTGGGCAACAGAGTGAGACCCCATCTCAAAAATAAAATTAAAAAACCCAAAATAGTCCAGGCACAGTGGCTCATGACTGTAATCCCAGCACTTTGGGAGGCTGAGGCGGGCAGATCACTTGAGGTCAGGAGTTCAAGACCAGCCTGACCAATACGGTGAAAGCCCATCTCAACTAAAAATACAAAAATTAGCTGGCTGTGGTGGTGGGTGCCTGTAATCCCAGCTACTCGGGAGGCTGAGGCAGAAGAATTGCTTGAACCCAGGAGGCGGAGGTTGCAGTGAGCCGAGATCGTGCCATTGCTCTCCAGCCTGGGTGACAGAGCAGAACTGGTTTTGTTTGTTTTTTTTTTTAAAAAAGTCCGGGCACAATGGCTCACGCCTGTAATGCCAGCACTTTGGAAAATCCCAGCACTTTGGAAGGCCGAGGCAGGCGGATCACTTGAGGTCAGGAGTTCGAAACCAGCCTGGCCAACATGGTGAAACCCCGTCTCTACTAAAATATACAAAAATTAGACAGGCGTGGTGGCAGGTGACTTAATACCAGCTACCTGGGAGGCAGAGGCAGGAGAATCATTTGAACCCCGGAGGCAGAGGTTGCAGTGAGCTGAGATCGAGCCATTGCACTCAAACCTGGGGGATAAGAGCGAGACTTCTCTCAAAAAAAAAAAAAAGATACTTTATCAAGATTGAGGGTTTTTTAATTTTGTTTTGTCTTGTTTTTTGAGATGAAGTCATTCTGTCGCCCAGGCTGGTGTGCAGTGGCGCAATCACAGCTCACTGCAACCTTCTCTTCCCTGCAACCTCCACCTCCCAGGTTCAAGCTATTCTCCTGCCTCAGACTCCTGAGCAGCTGGGACAACAGGCATGCACCACCACAGCCAGCTAATTTTTGTATTTTTAGTAGAGACAGGGTTTTGCCACGTTGCCCAGGCTGATGCTGAACTCCTGGCCTCAAGTGATCCATCCGCCTCAGCCTCCCAAAGTGCTAGGATTACAGGCATGAGCCACTGTGCCCAGCCAAGACTGAGATTTCTAGTTTGGGATTCTAATTTTAATAAGAAAGGAAAAACTGATCATAATTTATTTTAGGACTCAACACATTAAAAATTTTTTTTTACTTTTTTTTTTTCAAAGAGACAGGATGTTGCCCAGGCTGGTCTTGAACTACTCGGCTCAAGCAATCCACCCACCTTAACCTCCCAAAGTGCTGAGATTACAGGTGTCAGCCTGTAATCTCATCACTTTTAAAACAAATATTTTCACCCCTCCACTTTTACCATGATATACTTCGACATTTATCTGAATATCCCCCAAATAATTGATAGCATAATTATTTAAGATTCCATCAGGGATGATCCCGCAACAACATTCAAGTGCTTGCCGAATTATGTCTTGCACATTGCATTTCTCCATTTCCTTTTTCTCAGTGAAGGTACTGCCTTTGCTTGAGTTTTTGTTTGTTTGTTTGTTGTTTTTTTTTTTGAGACAGAGTCTCACTGTCGCCCAGGCTGGAGTGCAATGGCGCGACTTAGCTCACTGCAACCTCCACCTTCCGGGTTCAAGCGATTCTTCTGCCTCGGCCTCAGCGTCCCAAGTAGCTGGGATTACAGGCATGCGCCACCACGCCCAGGTAATTTCTGTATTTTTAGTAGAGACGGGGATTCACCATGTTGGTCAGGCTGGTCTTGAACTCCGGACCTCAGATGATCCACCCGCCTCGCCCTCCCAAAGTGCTGGGATTATGGGCGTGAGTCACTGCTCCCAGCTTCATCTTTGCTTCTTTACATTGAGAAGATATATTCCAACTCTTAACTCTGTCTTTCCATCCCATTTCACATCATTTCTGAACGCTCATGACATTTTACCCACAGCTTTCATGGCACCTAGAACTTTTTAACTGTCTGTCTGATCTATTTATATTAAGAAGGTAAGATGTAAGCCCCTTGGAGATAGTGACTATGTTTATTCAAATGTATATCCTCACTGGGCACGGTGGCTCCCGCCTATAATCCCAGCACTTTGGGAGGCCAAGGCAGGCAGATCACGAGGTCAGGAGTTTGAGACCAGCCTGACCAACATAGTGAAACCCCGTCTCTACTAAAAATATAAAAACTAGCTGGGCATGGTGGTGCGTGCCTGTAGTCTCAGCTACTCGGGAGGCTCAGGCAGGAGAATCGCTTGAACCCAGGAGGCAGAGGTTGTGGTGAGCCAAGACCGTGCCACTGCACTCTAGCCTGGGCAACAGAGCGAGACTCTGTCTCAGAAAAAAAAAAAAAGTATATCCTCAGAGTGTCTTTCAATAGTAGTCAGTAAACATTTAACAATTAGGCAACAAGGTGACAGTCCAATCTGCCTATTGAGAATTAATGACAAAAACAGAGCTTTTTCACAAGATGGCGCCGAAAGCGAAGAAGGAAGCTCCTGCCCCTCCTAAAGCCGAAGCCAAAGAGAATGCTTTAAAGGCCAAGAAGGCAGTGTTGAAAGGTGTCCACAGCCACAAAAAAAAAGAAGATCCGCACATCACCCACCTTCCGGCGGTCCAAGACCCTGCGACTCCAGAGACAGCCCAAATATCCTCGGAAGAGCGCCCCCAGGAGAAACAAGCTTGACCACTATGCTATCATCAAGTTTACGCTGACCACTGAGTCGCCATGAAGAAGATGGAAGACAACAACACACTTGTGTTCATTGTGGATGTTAAAGTCAACAAGCACCAGATTAAACAGGCTGTGAAGAAGCTCTATGACAATGATGTGGCCAAGGGCAACACCCTGATTCGGCCTGATGGAGAGAAGAAGGTATATGTTCGACTGGCTCCTGATTATGATGCTTTGGATGTTGCCAACAAAATTGGGATCATCTAAACTGAGTCCAGCTGCCTAATTCTAAATATATATATATCTTTTCACCATAAAAAAAAAGTATATATATATATATATATGGACAAAACAGATTCTGCTGTGAGGGACTACATATACAAATAGACAATTACCAGACCATATTTAAAAATAGAACTTTCACCCACACCTGTCCAGGAAACTAACCCGCTTACTTAGAATAAACAATCAAGGAAGCCAGCCTGCTACAAGTTAGACTTACAGAGAAAGCCAGATTGCTATCTCTAGTGACAATCCAGGAAACCGAACAACAACTTCCCTAACAATTGGCCCCAAATGGCCAGAACTCGATTAATAACTGATAGCTTCCCTAATTTTTGTCCCACTTCCAACATAGGACCAACCAGGCTAAGCCAAACATGTACCCATAACCAATCACATCAGTTGCCCGACTTCTAGTAAATCCTCAGACAGCTTCCCTTGTAAACAACCTCCAATCAGAACACACCTAAAGGCTTCCCTTTTTTCCACAATAAAGCTTTCCTCTCCTCTGCCAATATGCAAGTCTGACTCCCTTGCTACAGCAAGCTCATTACAGCCTTTGTTTCTCTCATTTAGCTAATCTTTACTGTTACAGTCATTTAATGGAAATTTATTGGAATCATCCTAAAGAAGAAATAATAATTCCTATAAGCTGGGAATTGAATGAGTCGGGAATGGCCAAAGGAAAGCCTTGTCACAGACTGCGGGGCCTACAGGCAGGACCTGGCAATGGGCATCATCTGGCTAAAGACAAGTCGTGGCCTCGGCCTGGGGAACAGCTGCCACGGCCTAGTTGCCCCTGGGGTCAGTTCAGGAGAGTGCGCAACCCAACTAGGGTGACAAAGCCAACACCTGCAGCTGCATTACACAATGCTCCCTCCCTCCGCTCACTGCCCTCCATTAACCATTTAGTAGAAATCACTCTGGAACATTCAGCTGGCACAAGTCCATCATTCTGACAACTCATCTCCTCAGTTCTAGTTGAATAATGTGAACATTGGAGGGTTTAGTTTCTCCTCTCTCTTCCACAAGCAATGTGCAATTTTGTGTAAACTTTAATCCCTGCAGTTTATCTATGATTAGTTCAGTCTAGTTCAGTCTAGTTGCCTTGAGATGAATTCACTGAAAAGACTACACAGCGAGGCATACCATAGCTAAAAGTAACTGGCTTTGGTCATAAAGTAATTTTTAACTTTGAATTAATTATAAAATGAATACCTACACTGCAGAAAATTCCAAAACTGCAAAGTAATTAAAGGAAAGCTAAAACCACTAATAAGGGCACCATTCAGAGAAATCAGTGTTGCCAGTGACACATATCCTTCTAGTCCTTTTGTTGTTGTTGAGTGCGTGTGGATGGGGAATGCAGGATTCACTTGAGCAGGACAGGATTTTGAACTGAATAGCTTTGCTTGTTTCTCTGAATAATGACTTACTTAGCAGCCAGTTCATGATCAAAGTATTTTGTCAAGGCACTTTCTGAATTGTCCAAGAAGAGGGGGAGCATCCTTAGTGACTGATGAACCACCCGTCCTCCCCTGGTTCTGTCCGGCCATTCTGTCCTATACATGTTAATCCCACTACCTCCAGCAGCCTCCCCCAGATTTATCTAGCAGAGCATCACTGCTCATTCTTCAGTATTGCACTTCCGTGACCCCTTCCCTTGCCCTAGCAGCAGGCTTGAGTGTTCCCACGTCTGTGCTGCCAGGAAGCTGCTGCGTTTCCACTGGGGCAGTTGGCATATGGCAGGGTGATTCTAGTGCAACTGGGTTTGTGCACATCTGTAAACTGGATATTCCAGGTGAGTCAGGACAGAAGTTTTCCACTTTGTACACCCACGACCTTGCAAAGGACAAAATGAAGAGAGAGCAAAGTAGTGGATGGAGTGTGGACAGTGGAGCTGGGCTGCCTGGGTTTGAATTCTGCCTCCATCACTTACCAGCTATGACCTTGGGCAAGTCATGCATCATCTGAATATCACGGTTTCTTCATTTTTAAAACAGAAGTATTAATGGTATTTTCCTCATAGGGTTGTAATATACATTAATACATGAAAGCACGTTAAAGAGTGTCCAGTACATGGTAAGCACTACATAAATGTCTGAGATTACTGAGTTATGTGTAATAAGTAACCCAAGTATTTCCAAACTGATCACAATCTTTACTCTGCAATGAAGACATTTAACACTCCTATAACTAGCTCTCACTACAGTTTTCTCTGTACATGGCAAATAAATATTTAATCCAGAATTCCTTTCTGACTACACTAGAACACAGGCATTCACATGAAGCCAAGTTTGAGTAATGGTGCTCCACTATTAAATGGAAATGCTACTACCAGAGCTTACATGCACCAATTTGCTCTCCCCACCTGGAGAATATTCATTCACCATGACACGTGCACACCTCAGAGTCAAAATTCATCCTTTGCAGATGCATCCTCCTCCACTCTCCCAACACCCCCAGCTCACTATTCCAAGAAACAAGCTTTGTTGGAGAACTGGTCCATTTCAGGGAATGGGGGGACTTCTGATTGTGCAATATTTTCTGCGTGAATCATCCCAAACTAGATGGAACAAGCTCAAAATGTCACAGAAGCTGCTAGGTTTAAAATTTATATGGCATGGGCATGGTGGCTCATGCCTGTAATCCCAGCATTTTGGGAGGCCAAGGTGGGTGGATCACCTGAGGTCAGGAGTTCAAGACCAGCCTGGCCAACATGGAGAAACCCCATCTCTACTAAAAATACAAAAAATTAGCCGGGCATGGTGGTGCACGTCTGTAATCCCAGCTACTCAGGAGGCTGAGGCAGGAGAATGGCTTGAACCGGGGAGGCAGAGGTTGTAGTGAGTAGAGATCATGCCACTGCACTCCAGCCTGGGCAACAGAACAAGAATCCATTTCAAAAATAAAAATAAAAAATAAAAAAATTAAGTTTATATTCAAGTTGCAAATTACTTTTCAGGAGCCCACTTCCACAGTGAAGAATCAGAATCCCTTAATGTTCAAATTATTCAGCTGGAACCAAGAACTAAACTAAAAAAGGATACACAACTTTGCCATGTTTCCCAGGCTCTAATGCTCTGAAAAGAACACTTTATTTTAGAGTATATATATTATAAAAATAGCTAACCTAAACATTCCCTGACTTTGAAAGTCTCAGGAAGGGATTCACTTGTTCAAATATTCACCTAAAATACCCTGCTTTAAAGATACACAACTCTTCACTCTTCACACATCAAATGAATTAGGATTCTGATTTTTTCTTTTCTTCCTTTCTCTTTTTTTTTTAGACAGGGTCTCACTCTGTTACTCAGGTGGAAGTGCAGTGGAGCCATCTTGGCTCGCTGCAACCTCCACTGCCCAGCTCAAGTGTTTCTGCCACATTAGCCTCCGGAGTAGCTGGGATTACAGGCGCACACCACCACACCCGGCTAATTTTTGTATTTTTTGTAGAGATGGGGTCTCGCAATATTGCCCAAACTGGTCTCAAACTGCTGGCCTCAAGCGATCCACCTGCCTAGACCTCCCAAAATGCTGAGATTATAGGCATTTGCCACCGTGCCCAGCCAGGATTCTGATTTTCTAAAATGGAAATAGATAAGGCTTCCCTCCGACCATCCCTAAATCTCAATTAGTTCAATTCAGCAAAACATGCAGGTTTTCAACGACCATCAGATTTGAAACCAACAAAGGCAGCAGCCCTCAGCATAGCCTGAGCAGCCAACCTGAAGCAGATAGGCTCCATACCTCAAATGTCCACCTTCAAACAAAATAAAGCTTGCCATCTGCACACTAGATCCTTTCTATCATAGCAACAAAATAAAACAGCTGCTCTCTCTTCATTTGACTCTAGAAGAAAAAGAGATAAGTATCTCCATGATTGAAAGTGAGATAACCAGATGAGATTTTTTTTAAGAGCTCAGCCTGTGCCCTTGACTTATGGATTGTCCCCCCACCCCATGGAAGTCAAATACCCACATAA
This sequence comes from Homo sapiens, assembly GCF_000001405.40. Lineage (NCBI taxonomy): Eukaryota > Metazoa > Chordata > Mammalia > Primates > Hominidae > Homo > Homo sapiens. Next base: position 6,643,612 of record NC_000009.12, read on the forward strand.
AAATACCCCTGAAAAGCAATCTTGGACCATTAAAAATATTTTAAACCTAAAATAAAATTCTAAGAAAGTCTATGACTAAACTGACCTTTCTTAAACAAATGTAAATCTTATTTGTGTGTTTTTCTAGAAAAACCATTCGGGGTAGGGCACAGTGACTCGTGCCTGTAATCCCAGCATTTTGGGAGGCCGAGGCAGACGGATTGCCTGAGGTCAGGAGTTCGACACCAGCCTGGCCAACATGAAGAAACCCTGTCTCTAATAAAAATATAAAAATGAGCCTGGTGTGGTGGTGCGCCCCTGTAATCCCAGCTAGTCAAGAGGCTGAGGCAGGAGAATTGCTTGAACCAGGGAGGCGGAGGTTGCAGTGAGCCGAGATCAAGCCACAGCACTCCAGCCTGGGCGACAGAGATTCTGTCTCAAAAAAAAAAAAAAAAAAAAACGAAAAAAAAAAGAAAAGAAAAGAAAAACCATTCGGACTCGAAAAGTACTGCTGTCTTTCAGTTGGTAAATAATAAAATTTGGACGTGAGGTAAGAAAACAATTGGAAGATACTGCGATCTAAAGAAGCCTGGGGGAGGGAGGCGAGATGTCTGGTCACTTCCCCAGTTGCACGACCTTAGGCAATTCCTAGATCCTTTGAGTCTATCCGGGTCTGCGCAGGTAATGACACCTCTCAACCCAAAGTATGAGAGCACCCTGGCCGGTGAGAGGGTGCCTGGGAAGTGGGGAATCTGCTACAAAACGCAGGGGAAGCTCGCGGGGGCCCTAGGATAAAGACCAAGAACCGCACAACACCGACTCTCTCCTAACACAAAACTGTCTGCTCCGAGAACCAAATATCCCACCTTCCCGCGGCTCCGGAGGTACCCGCCACTGTTTTATTTTAATCCACACATTCCCAGTCCTGAGCAATCCTTACCCCAGAGCTCGATTTTCAGGGAACCACAAAAGACAAATAGGCCAGAATAATCTAAGTCCAAGGGAGCCCTCCCGGCCACTTACAAACAGGGTCTTCCATTTTCAAGGGTCTTTTCAAACGGATGTTGGCAGGGACCGTCTTCTCGATCAATTCATCAATGCTCTAAAATTAAAACGCAAGGCAGAGGAAAGTGCCTCTGAGTTAAAAGAGTCACCTCTGTGTTTTGCGACTACAAAGCCTTGTGGGAACCTCATTGAAATCGCCTAATTAGGGTTCTTTTTAAAAGAAAAGGAAAACTCTGAGCAAGCCAGAATGATTTGGAGGAAAGAAAATCGTGAAGTGGGGTGGAGATTCCGCCACTCGGGGTTGGATTTCAGTTGCAACCGGAGCTAACCGGTAAGCCCACTCTTAATCAGGGGGTCTTCCTCCTCTTGCAAAGTTTAGGTCCATCCACAGGGCCACTTGGGCTGGGGGTGGTTTAAAAATGTACACTTTTGAGGCACGAAGACTGGGTGCAGGAGAAAGTAAGCTGTTAAGAAGTAAGAAGGCACGAGGACCAAAGGCACGAATTTGCTTCCACGCCACGGCCCGGGACCCAGGGTGCGGGGACCACGCGGAGCGCAGCAGAGCTCAGGGTAGGAGCCGGGAGGCCGCGCAGGCAGAGCCCGGGCAGGGCGGAGGGGAGGCCGCGGAGGGCCGGGTGGAGGTCCTTACCGCCAGCCCCAAGGTCTGCAGCATCTCTCTCTGGTCTTTGTCCCCAGGGCCGATGTGCCTCCGAGCGAAGTCGTCGTGTCTGGGCAGAAGGCGCTCCAGGAGGCGCGAGGCCCCAGCCGCGGCGCTGTCCCCGCCGCCACTGCTGCTGTCCCGGCTCCGCGGCGCCCAGCACGGCCCCGATCCCCCAGCCAGGCGGCGGCCGCCCCCGACCCCGCGGCCCAGGCGCAGCCCCCACGCCCTGGCACAGGACTGCATGGCCGCGGCCACCGTCCCCTGCCCCGGCCCGCAAGGGTCAGCCGCGCTCTTGGCCCCTCTCCTGGCCTCGGTCCCCCGGGTGGCGGCTGCGCCCGGCCTGGAGCCCCTTTCGCTGGACAGTCGGCCGGACAGATGGATGGACGCTCGCGGGCAATGAATGGGCGCTGCGCTCAACCAAGACACTCGCGCAAAGTTGTGGCTCCACCCAAGGCACCTGCTCCGCACACTTTAAGCGGCGCCCTGGAGGCGGGAGGTGGGTTGGGGCCAGGAAGCCCTTGGCCAATGAAAGTAGACAGAGGGGGAGGGGGCGGAACAGTTCCCGCCCCCGCCCCCTCTTCCTACCCTCTTCCCAGCCCTTCCGTGGAGTCCCGCTTCCCCTGGACCGGAGGCTGCCATCTCCAGTCCTACCCACTCCGACGCTGGCTGGTGCCGGGGGCCGGGACGCTCCGTACGCCGCCCGCCAGGGTGTGGAGCCGCACTGGGGCAAGATCAGGTGGGACAGCCCAAAGACTCCGGGCCAAGTTCCTGGGGGACTCGGCGGAGATGGAAGATGATTCTCGAAGCTCTCCATTTCCTTAATTTTGAGGTATCTTTCTCTGTCACATTTCATCTCAGGGAAATTAATATGGGCAGATGGCGGTTCTTTTATCTTTGCGGGAGCGTGATAAAGTTACTCAACCTCTCAGAGCTTCAGTTTTCTCATCTCAACAGAGCTGGATGGGATTTTAAAAAGAGATTATATGTACATGGAAAGCACTTGAACAGTAGATTTGAACACCCTCTCTATATTTCTTTTCTTTTCTTTCTTCCTTCTTTCTCCTCCTCCTCCTCCTCCTCCTTCTTCTCACTCTCTCTCTTTCTCTCTCTTCCCCCCCACCACATGTAACGCTATGGCTCACGCCTGTAATCGCAACACTTTCGGAAACCGACGCGGTAGGATAGCTTGAGCCCAGGAGTTCGAGACCAGCTTGGGCAGCATTGTGAAACCCTGTCTCTACAAAAAATACAAAAATTAGTGGGGCGTGGTTGCGTGCTTCTGAAGTCCCAGCTACTCTGGAGGCTGAGGTGGGAGGATTGCTTGAGTCAGGGAGTTTCAGGCTGCAGTGAGATGTGATCGCACCACTGCACTCCAGCGTGGGCCACAGAACGAGACTCAGGAAAAAAAAAAAAAAAAGAACTGTGTGTGTGTGTGTATATGTTTTTTTAAATATATGTACTGTATATACATATACGTGTGTGTGTAAAACTACAAAGGATATTTTGTTGTTGTTTTTGAGACGGAATCTCGCTCTGTCGCCCTGGCTGGAGTGCAGTGGCGCGATCTTGGCTCACTGCAACCTCCACCTCCCGGGTTCAAGCGATTGTCCTGCCTCAGGCTCCTGAGTAGCTGGGACTACAGGCACGTGCCACCACGGCCGGCCATTTTTTATTTTTATTTTTAGTAGAGACGGGGTTTCACCGTTTTAGGCAGGATGGTCTCGATCTCCTGACCTCGTGATCCGTCATTACAGGCGTGAGCCACTGCGCCCAGCAAAAGTACAAAGGATATTAAGATAGACATTGTTCACTGTCGTCTTACTTTGAAAGTTAGCCATCTAGAACTGGATTTTTTGTAAATGTACCATCTCCAGCTGTCTCATGACAGTTTTAGCAAGAGAATGAACTTTTAAAATTCCAGTTGTTCTAATATGGGGAAGAGAGGACAGAAGTAATCAGAACATTACTTGTACTTAGACTAGGGGAAAATAAAACCTGTTCTCTTTCTTGCTTATCTGCTAAGTTTCCTCCTCCAATCACCCTTAACAGATTCTGGGCTCCGTACCCAGGAGGCACAGACTATCCAGAGAGGCAGGAAAGTAGAGATGGAAAAGAGGGCAGGAAAATACACCACAAAGAACAGTAGGTAAAATGTCTGTATGGCAGACGGAGGCGGGTGGTGAGCTAGGACGGCTGGGCTGAATGTCTCCGAAAAGTTTTTCGGCCATTTGGAATTGAAATTACAACCTTCATAAAAGTTGGGAGATCTCCTCAGTGCCAGATGGTGGGGGTTGTGGGGAAGGATTGGAGGGAGGAGGTAATCTGCATTTATTCCTATTCCTGTCTATGTTGTTTCTATGTATCAGAGGGACTGGAAGCCAGGGAACAATAATTCCCAGATCCCTTTGGCTCCGTGGTGATGGATGTTATTTGCCTTCTGCCAAAAAAAAACATGTATATATACACACATATATGTATATGAGAATTGGGGCCGGGTGCGGTGGCTCACTCCTGTAATCCCAGCACTTTGGGAGGCCGAGGCGGGCAGGTCACTTGAGGACAGGAGTTCAAGACCAGCTTGGCCAAGATGGCGAAACTCAATCTCTACTACAAATATGAAAAAAAATTTAGCCAAGTTTGGTGGGCGTGCTTGTAGTCCTAGCTACTCAGGAGGCTAAGGCATGAGAATCACTTGAACCTGGGAAACAGAGGTTGCAGTGAGCGGAGAGCGCACCACTGCACTCCAACCTGGGTGATAGAGCAAGACTCTGCCTAAAAAAAAAAAAAGAGAGAGAGAGAGAATTGGGAAATGGAACAAAGGTAAAAACTGTTTTCTTATTTTCTGACTGCAGCAGACAGATGCATGGACCACTGCAGACATGACATGCTTCCTTACCAGCACCCCATCTTGAGGTAGCTGGGAAGCTGTATCCACCAATGGGAATGTCCTGCAGTTCCCCAGCAGGAATTTCTGTGTACTAGACTAGAGCTTCAGTGGTTGACCTGAAGATAGCGTTGGTATTCCCTGGTTTTTGCTCTTCCAGTTCTTCCAGTGGTTTTGTATGCACCCATTCCTGACATTTAATTCTCCTCTGCTTGAAATGCATTGAGTGTTTTTTGTTTATTTGTCTGTGTGATGTTGTGAAATACATATCTGGTATTCATCCCATTTCCTGGCCTGCAACTCCTAAAGTCTTGGGAATCTCCAGACTCCTGCCTTTTTGTATGCTAATGTGACTAACAGCTTCAGAATAGGGCTGGTCACTGGAAAGACAAAGACATAATGGGAGTTGAGACTTTCAGCCCCACCCTCAACTTCTCAGTAGGGCAGAGGGTCAATGATCAATGCTTAATCAATCATGCCTTCCTAATAAAGCCTCTATAAAAACCCAAGAGCCGGACGTGGTGGCTCATGCCTGTAATCCCAGCACTTTGGGAGGCCAAGGCTGGCGGATCACTTGACGTCAGGAGATTGAGACCAGCCTGGCCAACAGGGTGAAATCCCATCTCTACTAAAAATACAAAAATTGGCCGGGCGCGGTGGCTCACGCCTGTAATCCCAACACTTTGGGAGGCCAAGGTGGGCGGATCACAAGGTCAGGAGATCGAGACCATCCTGGCTAACACCGTGAAACCCCATCTCTACTAAAAATACAAAAAATTAGCCGGGCGTGGTGGCGGGCACCTGTAGTCCCAGCTACTCAAGAGGCTGAGTCAGGAGAATCACTTGAATCCGGGAGGTGGAGGTTGCAGTGAGCCAAGATCATGCCACTGCACTCCAGCCTGGGCAACAGAGGAAGACTCGGTCTCAAAAAAAAAACAAAAATAACACACACACAAAAACCCAAGAGGAGAGGTTTCAGAGAGCTTCTGGATAGCTGAATACACACAAAGTGGCACATGGGGAGAGGCCATGGAAGGTCCTCACCCCTTCTCCCATACCTACCTCGCCCTGCGCATCTCTTCATCTGTGTTACTTGTAATATCCTTTATAAAAAATCAGTAGACATAAGTGTTTCCCTGAGTTCTGTGAGCTATTCTATCAAATTAATCAAACCCAAAGAAGGGATCATGGAAACCCCAGCTTCAAGCTGATCCGTCAGAAGTTCTGGAGGCCTAGAATTGCAACTGATGTCTTGGGGACTGAGCCCTCAACCCTTGGGATCTGGCGGTATCCCTAGATAGAGTGTCAGAATTGAAGTGGAGTGCACCCAGCTGGTGTCTGCCTCAGAACCGACTGCTTGCTTGTTGGTGGGGAGAAATCCCCATATATTTCGGGATCATGGAAGTCATCTTCTTCTTTCTGTTTTTCCATTGAGACAGAGCCTTGGTCTGTTGCCCAGGCTGGAGTGTAGTGGTGCGATCTCAGCTCACTGTGACCTCGACCTCACAGTTTCAAGCAATTCTCCTGCCTCAGCCTCCAGAGTAGCAGGGACTACAGGCATATGCCACCACACGCACTAATTTTTGTGTTTTTTTTTTTTAGTAGAGATGGAGTTTCCCCATGTTGGCCAGGCTGGTCTCAAACTCCTGACCTCAAGTGATCCGCCCACCCTGGCCTCCAAAAGTGTTGGGATTACAGGCATGAGCCACCACGCCCAGCCAGATCATGGAAATCTTCTGTGTTGATTGTTGTAGTGTGGTGTGAGACCAGAGGAAGCACAGTTATAGTGCTTTTTCAAAACAGTTAGTTTTCCTGAATAAACCCAAACAAAGGCTATAATGGAAGCCAAAAGCAGATTGAGGAGGGCTTAATGTTTGGGTGAAAAAGGCAAGAGATTCCTGAGAGACACATTCACTCCCTGCCATTGTATGAGCTTTCAGGGAGTTTTTTCCTTTGCCTCCCCCTTTTCTTTTTTTTTTGAGTTTTGCTCTTGTTGCCCAGGCTGGAGTGCAATGTCCCGATCTCCGCCTCCCAGGTTCAAGCGATTCTTCTGCCTCAGCCTCCCGAGTAGCTGGGATTACAGGCATGCGTCACCACGCCCAGCTAATTTTTTCATATTTTTAGTAGAGACGGGGTTTCTCCATGTTGGTCAGGCTGGTCTCAAACTCCTGACTTCAGGTGATCCGCCCGTCTCAGCCTCCCAAAGTGCTGGGATTACAGGCGTGAGCCACCGCACCTGGCCTGCCTCCACTTTTGTTCCTCCCCTGCCCGTTCTGCTCTAGCACAAATATTTTGTCCTGAGCCAGCTTCCACCTCTTATTCAGAAGTCTCATCAGAATACTTTTCTTTTTTTTTTGAGACAGAGTCTCACTCTGCTGCCCAGGCTGGAGTGCAATGGCGCAGTCTCAGCTCACTGTAACATCCGCCTCCCGGGTTCAAACAATTCTCTTGCCTCAGCCTCCCGAGTAGCTGGGATTATAGGCACCCGCCACCATGCCCAGCTACTGTTTGTATTTTTAGTAGAGATGGAGTTTCACCATGTTGGCCAGGCTGGTCTCGAACTCCTAACCTTGTGGTCGGCCTGCCTCGGCCTCCCAAAGTGCTGGGATTACAGGCATGAGCCACCACAACTGGCATTCATCAGAATATTCTTATGTAAAGTCTAAAAGAAAGAAGACTTAAAAATAAGAAGAAAAAAGCAAAGAGAAGAAAAGAAAAAGAGAAGAGGATGAAGAAAGTGGACAGTAATGTAACAAACTTGGTGACATTTCGGGAACCATAGCCCTTGAAATGAATAAAGGGGCCAGGCACGGTGGCTCACACCTGTAATCCTAGCACTTTGGGAGGCCAAGGTGGGTGGATCACCTGAGGTCAAGAGTTCGAGACCAACCTGGCCAACGTGGTGAAACCCCATCTCTACCAAAAAATAAAAAAATTATCCAGGCGCGGTGGCACACATCTGTAGTCTCAGCTACTTGGGAGGCTGAGGCAGAGAATCGCTGGAACCTGGGAGGTGGAGGTTGCAGTGAGCCGAGTTCACCACTGCACTCCAGCCTGAGTGACAGAGTGAGACTCTGTCTCAAAAATAAATAAATAAATAAATAAACTTATATATGTGCAGTTGACAATGGTCTTTTTACGCAGAGCTATACATATAGAAGTTGTTCATGGGGCTGAGCATGATGGCACATGCCTGTAGTCCTAGCCGGGACCCAGGAGTTCTAGACCAGCCTGGGGAGCCCAGCGAGACCCCATCTCAAAAAAGTTGGGGGGTGTTGATGTAGACCCTAGACTTGAACAGTTTACAGGTGTCAAATTGTCTGATTCCAGAATTGCTCTGAATTCTGGCTATGGATAATATGGCATAAATTCAGATGAACTTCTTAGGCACTATGATGAAATTGGACCATAAGTGAAATTTTGGAATTAATTGGAAACCCTTCGTATCCATGAGGTCTTGGGGGTACTGCTCCAGGAGTCCCAGCTATTTAAAAATTTAAAAATTAAAAAAAAAAAAAAAAAAAGGCTTGGCATGGTGGCTCAGGCCTATAATCTCAGCACCTCAGGAGGCTGAGGAAGGAGCATTGCTTGAGACCAGGAGTTTGAGACCAGCCTGGGCAGCATAGCCTGGCTGTCTCTACAAAAAATTTAAAAATTAGCCAGGGCTGGGCACGGTGGCTCATGCCTGTAATCACAGCACTTTGGGAGGCCAAGGTGGGTGGATCACCTGAGGTCAGGAGTTTGAGACCAGCCTGGCCAACATGGTGAAACCTCATCTCTACTAAAAATACAAAAATTAGCCAGGCATGGTGGCGAGCGCCTGTAATCCCAGCTACTCAGGAGGCTGAGGCAGGAGAATCGCTTGAACTTGGGAGGTGGAGGTTGCAGTGAGCCCAGATTGCGCCACTGCACTCCAGTCTGGGTGACAGAGTGGGAATCCATCTCAAAAAAAAAAAAGCCGGTATTGTGACACATACCTGTGGTCCTAGTTATAATCACACCACTGCATTCCATCTTGGGCAACAGAAGACTCCATCTCTTAAATGAGAAAGAAATCGCCAGGTGCAGTGGCTCACGCATGTAATCCCAACACTTAGGGAGGCCGAGGTGGGTGGACCTCTTGAGGTCAGGAGTTCAAGACCAGCCTGGGCAGCATGGTGAAACCCCATCTCTACTGAAAATACAAACATTAGCCGGGCATGGTGGCAGGCGCCTGTAATCCCAGCTACTCAGGAGGCTGAGGCAGGAGAATTACTTGAACCCAGGAGGTGGAGGTTGCAGTCAGCCAAGATTGAGACACTGCACTCCAGCCTGGGCAACAGAGCAAGACTCCGTTTCAAAAAAAGAAAAGAAAGGGCTGGGCACAGTGGCTCACGCCTGTAATCCCAGCTCTCAGAGAGGCAGAGGAGGGAGGATAGCTTGAGCCCAGGAGTTCCAGACCTGCCTGGGCAGTATAGCGAGACCCCATTCTCCGCAAAAAGGAAAAAACAAAACAAAAAAAAGACAAAGAAAGAAAGAAAGAAATCTTCGAACTTGGAATGGGAACATGTTTGTAGCTTGGAATGAATTTTATTATCTTGAAACCCCAAATCCCACTGAGTCTCCTTTGATAGGTAAACCCATTCCTCCTGCCCTCTTTCATAAACTGGCAATACCTTGCATGAAGATCCTGTAATGACTTCGCTAAAGGCACTAACCTTGCAATGGAATGTCAATGCTTCTTTGCTTTCAGATCCACAACCAGAATCAGATCTTAACCATACCCCAAGAAGATGAGTAGAACATTTGACATCAGAGGAGAAGCTTACACAAGGAAAGAATTGCAAAATGTTGCTAATATATATTATCACCAGAGGGTTTCTATGGGAGTGGATTCTAAACCAGACAAAAAGGAATATAAAATTGAAATTATTGATTTATTTGTAGTACGAGAGATTCTGGATTCAGTGTGTTAGCTCAATCAGCCAGGAGTGGCTTTTTAGTTTGCTGAGTTGATTGATGAAATCATACTTAACAGTGCCTTCATTAAATTAGGTTAAGATACTAGGACTTCTGTCCGGGCACAGTGGCTTGCACCTGTAATCCCAGCACTTTGGGAGGCTGGGGAGGGTAGATCACTTGAACCCAGGAGTTCTAGACCAGCCTGAGCAACATGGTGAGACTCCTGTCTCTACAAAAAATATAATAATTAGCTGGGTGTGGTTGCATGCCTCTGTGGTCCCAGCTATTCTGGGGGCTGAGGCAGGAGGATTGCTTGAGTCTGGGAGGTTGAGGCTGCAATGCGTCATGATTGTGCCACTGCACTCCAGCCTGGGTGACATGTCTCCAAAAAAAAAAAACCTGTCTCAAAAAAAAAGAAATCCTAGAACGTCCTTGGAATAATAGAGAAGGATCTAAGTCTTGGTGAGAAAGGAATGTTGAAGTAGATTTGTCATGAGTAACACACTCTTCCGCACTTTCAGTGTATCCCTCAGAAGAAACCAGAGGACAATCCCTTCACCAGAGTATTGGGAAGTCCATTGGTAAGAGCAGCACCAGTGTTTTTGAAAAGTCCTGTGGCTGCGGTCCTCTACAGATATAAGATGGTGGTACACAATGGAACTGTTGAGATGGGCTCCTTGATTCTAATGTTAATGATGGAATCCTGGAGTGGTAGAAGCCAAGTGGCAGCACTGGTCAATGGAGATGAGCAACGTTGTCATAATGGGCAGTGGATCAGAGGGGTAACCCGTCAGGTGATCCACGGGGATCTTTGGTGTTCACAAATTGATGGGCAGACTACTAAAGATGTAACTTGATCTGGTGAACAAAAACTTGATATAAGTCTCCAAAATTGAGAGACCCAGCTTTTCAACCAATTCCCTGACTTCAGAGAGTTCACAGACCCAGATGAAGGGGAGGTTGAAAAAGGACTCTTGAAAAAAGATCTTACCAGGCTATGAGAATATACTATAAATCTTCCTTCTGAACTCCCTCAAAGATACCTGTGGCCATTTACTAAGGACACAAAAATACCCAGGCATCTTAGGTTACTAGAACATAAGATAATGGTAAACCCTACATATCTAAAACCACTCTGGGCTGGACATAGGAGACTGAGGCAGGAGGAGCACTTCAGCCCAGGATTTTGAGGCTTCATTGAGCTATGATTTTGACAATGCACTCCAGCTTGGGTGACAGAGCAAGACCCTGTCTTAAAAATAAATAAATAAAAATAAAGGCTAGGCTCACGCATGTAATCCCAGCACTTTGGGAGGCCAAGGTGGGTGGATCACTTGAGGTCAGGAGTTCAAGACCAGCCTGGCCAATATGGCTAAACCCCATCTCTACTAAAAATACAAAAATTAGTTGGGAATGGTGGCATGTGCCTGTAGTCCCAGCTACTCAGGAGGCTGAGGCACGAGAATCTCTCGAAGCTACTAGGTGGAGGTTGCAGTGAGCTGAGATCGCACCACTGCACTCGAGCCTGGGCAACAGAACAAGACTCCATCTCTAAAAAAAAAAAAATGAACAAATTGAAAATCAATAAATTTTTTTGACACATTAGGTAGGAACACGTAAATGGTAATATTTTTGATAAATTAAGGAAGGCTGAGTGTGGACAGGTTTGAGGGGGATGTCCAGAGCTTGCTTCATAGCAAAAGCTTACTCTCCGAAGGAAGGGACTGTGCCAGAGCTTTATCCCAGCTGAGGAATGGAATGCCTCGTACTCTAGCCTCCTCCAGCCTTCTTGTCTTACATAATGAAGGAAAAATAAAAGAAAACAGAATAAACGGGTCAGGGCTGAGAGGAAATCAACCAGCGACTCTGCAGCCAGAGAACACAGGACAGAAGAGAAAGGAACTATATCACTGGAAAAACAATTGTGAAGTTCATAGCCCAAGACAGAGGGCTGTGAAAACACCAGTATTTAATTGGAACATTATAGAACACACCCTGTTTCCAAAACTTAACTACAGCACCAGCAGGGCTTTCATAGTAACAACTGAAGGTGCTGCAATACACAGACTGCCCCTGAGGAAGAGTACCGTAGACCCCCTTATTTGTGGTTTCGCTTTTCATGGTTTCAGTTACCTGCAGTTAACCACCTTCTGAAACCATAAATGGAAAATTCCAGAAATAAACAGTTCATAAGTTGTTGGGTTTTTTTTTGTTTTTTTGTTTTTTGACACAGTTTCACTCTTGTTGCCCAGGCTGTAGTACAGTGGCGCGATCTCAGCTCACCACAACCTCCGCCTCCCGGAGTCAAGCGATTCTCCTGCCTCAGCCTTCTGAGTAGCTGGGATTACAGGCATGCACCACCATGCCCGGCTAATTTTGTATTTTTAGTAGAAACAGGGCTTCTCCATGTTGGTCAGGCTGGTCTCGAACTCCTGACCTCAGGTGATCCACCCGACTCAGCCTCCCAAAGTGCTGGGATTACAGGCATGAGCCACCGTGCCCAGCCAACAGTTCATAAGTTTTAAGCTACATGCTGTTCCAAGGAGCATGACAAAATCTCACACTGTCCTGCCCCATCGCGCCTGGGATGTGATTCATCCCTTCGTCCAGTGTATCCATGCTGTTTATGCTGTGCACCCTCAGTCACTTCGTAGCTTTCTCAGTTGTCCCATTCTCAGATTGACCATCAGGATATTGCAGTGTTGTGTTTTACTTAATAATGGCCCAAAATTTCAGAATAGTGATGCTGGCAATTTGGATATGCCACAGAGAAGCTGTAAAGCACTTCCTTTAAGTGAAAAGGTGAAAGTTCTTGACTTAATAATATGTACACCATGGAATATTATGCAGCCATAAAAAAGAATGAGTTCATGTCCTTGCAGAGACATGGATGAAAAAGGCGAAAACTAGTCAGGTGTGGTGGCATGTGCCTGTGGTCCCTGAAACTGGAGAGGCTGAGGTGGGAGGATTGCTTGAGCCACAATCACACTACTGCACTTTAGCCTAGTGATGGAGCAAGACGGAGGCTGGTCTTGAACTCCTGGGCTCAAGCAGTCTGCCCACCTGGGCCTCCTAAAGTGGCTGGGATTACAGGCATGTGCCACCACGCCCAGCTAATTTTGTATTTTTAGTAGAGACGGGGTTTCTCCATGTTAGTCAGGCTGGTCTCGAACTCCCAACCTCAGGTGATCCGCCAGCCTCGGCCTCCTTTAAGTGCTGGGATTACAGGTGTGAGCCACTGCATCCGGCCTTATTTTTGTATTTTTAGTAGAGACAGGGTTTCAGCATGTTGGCCAGGCTGGTCTCAAACTCCTGACCTCAAGTGATCTGCCTGCTTCAGCCTCCCAGAGTGTTGGGATTACAGGCGTGAGCCACCGCACCCAGCCAGAAGTGAAGTTTCTATATGAATGTCAATGTTATTGCACTAGGTTTAATGCCATGCTGTGACCTCTCAGATTCTTTTACTAAAGATGAGATATGACATATGCAGATTCTGGATTCCTAATAAAACAGCCAAGCAGGACTAGCTCCCAGGTGATACTTTCTTTCCCAAGAGAAGCAGAATTATAAAGGATTTAGATGCAAGGTTGGTACCTTAATATTCTTTCCTGGCTGGCTAAGTGTGAAGTGGGGAAGGAGGGAATGGAGGGATACAGGGGCCCTGTCCAAAAATATCACTTCCCACTATAAGCTAATTAAAGATACATTTGTGTTAACTAGTTTCTCCTTTGAAAGCAATTACTGCCATGCCAAGCCTCATTAACAACTCAGTATGACTTCCTTTAAAGAGAAAATCCACTCAGCTCTTAACTGGCCCTGTGAGTGTCCAGCTAGAGTCCTTGGATTTATCGAAGAGCAAATTTATGAAGTAGATACTTCTTCGTTTATTACAATTAAAGAGGAAAGGCAGATTCGAAAAGATAACTGTGGTCACAGGTGGTAGAGAAAATGCACTAGAGGAGGACCTGCCTTCAAGTATCTCATTGACCAGCACAGGATTGTGAAAGGACAGAAAGCCAAAGACTGATTCAAAGCCCAGAGGCCACTAATTTACTGTTAAGGACACACGGGCAATGTGCATAGAGCATTTGCTTCCACACCTGGCTATTACTTTGTGTGTTTGTGTGTGTGTGTATCAGGATTTTAATGTACAGCTGGCCGGTGACTCAACACAACCCCATGGCTCTGAACTGTCTCATTCAAATTGTAAGTTTCACGCATAAATAATAGGTACTGCTCTTTCTATAGATCCAATAGAAAATACTCTTTTTTTGGTTCTAGCTCTTTTCCTTGAAACTTTATTTATATTTAAATTTTTTACCCCCAGGCCTGGTGGCTCATGTCTGTGATCCCAGCACTTTGGGAGGCCAAGGCGGGCAGATTACCTGAGGCTTGGAGTTCGAGACCAGCCTGACCAACATGGTGAAACCCCCGTCTCTACTAAAAATACAAAAACTAGCCGGGCATGGTGGTGGGCATCTGTAATCCAAACTACTCAGGAGGCTGAGGCAGAAGAATCACTTGAACCTGGAGGCGAAGGTTGCAGTGAGCTGAGATCGCACCATTGCACTCCAGCCTGGGTGATAGAGCAAGACTGTGTCTCAAAAACAATACTGTTGCCCAGACTGGAGTGCAGTGGCGCGATCTCGGCTCACTGCAACCTCCGCCTCCCGGTTTCAAGCGATTCTCCTGCCTCAGCCTCCTGAGTGGCTGGGACTACAGGCCCATGCCACCATAACCTGGCTAATTTTTCTATTTTAGTAGACCCGGGGTTTCACTGTGTTGGCCAGGCTGGTCTCAAACTCCTGACCTCAGGTGATCCGCCTTTCTCGGCCTCCCAAAGTGCTGGGATTACAGGCGTGAGCCACCACGCCCAACCAATTTTTTTGTGTGGTTTTAAAGACAGGATCTCCCTCTGTCACCCAGGCTGGAGTACAGTGACATGATCATAGCTTATTGTAGCCTCTGACTCCTAGGCTCAAAAGATATTCCCATTTCAGCCTTCCAAGTAGCTGGAAATACAGGCACATGCCACCACTCCCAGCTTTGAAGTGTGTTGTTGTTGTTTTTAATAAAACTTTTTTTTAATGCAATGGATTTTTTTAGTTTTGTTTTGTTTTGAGACTGGGTCTTGCTCCATTGCCCAAGCTGGAGTGCCGTGGTGCGATCTTGGTTCACCACAACCTTGCCTTCCCGGAATCAAGCAATCCTCCCGCCTCAGCAGCACCTGCCCTCCCCACTGGGAAGCTAGGACTACAGGTGCTCACCACCATGCCCAGCTAATTTTTATATTTTTTGTAGAGATGGAGTTTCACCATGTTCCCCAGGCTGGTCTCGAACTCCTGGCCTCAAGCAGTCAGCCCCCGTTGACCTCCCAAAGTGCTGGGATGACAGGTGTGAGCCACTGCACCTGGCCCAATGTGTTTTTTAATGGAAAAAAAAATCGCACAGAAGACATTCATGCCCTGGCCAAGTCAGGGGGCTACCCCAAGTAAATCGTGATTTGCTGTGGGAATGGGAGCTGGATCTCAGTCCTGACCAAGATCCCTATGGATGAGTCCCGGCTCTGCCACTTACTGAAAATGTACATTGTAGCAGTTTACTTAACTTTATTCTGCCTCTGTTTCTCATTTGTAAAATACAGTCATTGTGAGTTTTGAATAAGTCATCATTTCCTTCCCTTCTTCTTCTTATACTACCAGAGTGTTAGTCTTTGCAAACCCAAATATTTAAAGAGACTGCTATTTTTATTTGCTTTTATCACAATGTTCCTAACTTGGGTAAATCAACATGATGCAATAAGATCAAGACCTCTTTGGTCGTTTACTGGGCTGAAATCTTGTAATAAATGCTCACAAGATATCAAATGGCAAAAACTATATCATTCAAAAGATGTGAGTATTATAAATCCAGAGTAATGTCTGGTACAGAATAAGAGAATTGGGGGGTACTTTAGCCACCCCCTAATCTCTGATACATATCTTTATATTAAATATCATGGATGGGCTGATTTGATGCCAGTCCCCTAGGTATTGAGCAAGTTGTGTAACCTCCGCAAACTCCTCCTGCAAGATCCAGGTCAGGAGCAGCCACTCAGACCCTAGGCTGAGCACGAATGCTAGAGGTTGGACCATTAGGAAGAAACAAGTCAGCACCTAGGCATCCTTTTACACAGGTTTTCAAAAAGACCCACTTACACACCTATCTGCCAGGGAGGTTCTGCTTTTCTTTTTTATTTTTATTTTTATTTATTTATTTATTTATTTTGAGACGGAGTCTCGCTCTGTCGCCCAGGCTGGAGTGCAGTGGCGCGATCTTGGCTCACTGCAAGCTCCGCCTCCCGGGTTCACGCCATTCTCCTGCCTCAGCCTCCCGAGTAGCTGGGAATACAGGCGCCTGCACTGCGCCCGGCTAATTTTTTTTTTTGTATTTTTAGTAGAGACGGGGTTTCACCGCGGTCTCGATCTCCTGACCTCGTAATCCGCCCGCCTCAGCCTTCCAAAGTGCTGGGATTACAGGCGTGAGCCACCGCGCCGGGCCTTTTTTTTTTTTTTGAGACGGAGTCTTGCTCTGTCGCCCAGGCTGGAGTGCAGTGGGGCGATTTCTGCTCACTGCAAGCTCCGCCTCCCGGGTTCACTCCATTCTCCTGCCTCAACCTCCCAAGTAGCTGGGATTACAGATGCCCGCGACCACGCCCGTCTAATTTTTTTTGTATTTTTAGTAGAGACGGGGTTTCACCGTGTTAGCCAGGATGGTCTCGATCTCCTGACCTCGTGATCCGCCCGCCTCGGCCTCCCAAAGTGCTGTGATTACAGGTTCCCACCACCACGCCCAGCTAATTTTTTTTGTATTTTTAGTAGAGACGGGGTTTCACCGTGTTAGCCAGGATGGTCTCGATCTCCTGACCTCGTGATCCGCCCGCCTCGGCCTCCCAAAGTGCTGTGATTACAGGTTCCCACCACCACGCCCAGCTAATTTTTTTTGTATTTTTAGTAGAGACGGGGTTTCACCGTGTTAGCCAGGATGGTCTCGATCTCCTGACCTCGTGATCCGCCCGCCTTGGCCTCCCAAAGTGCTGGGATTACAGGTGCGAGCTACTGCGCCCGGCCTTTTTTTTTTTGTTTTTTTGAGACGGAGTTTTGCTCTTGTTGCCCAGGCTGGAGTGCAATGGCCCAATCTCAGCTCACTGCAACCTCCGCCTCCTGGGTTCAAGTGATTCTCCTGCCTTAGCCTCCAGAGTAGCTGGGATTACAGGCATGTGCCACCATGCCCAGCTAATTTTGTATTTTTAGTAGAGACGGGGTTTCTCCATGTTGGTCAGGCTGGTCTTGAACTACCGACCTCAGGTGATCTGCCCACCTCAGCCTCCCAAAGTGCTCAGATTACAAGCATGAGCCACCACGCCTGGCCTGGGGTTGTAGTTTTCTAGCTTCTGTATTTACAGATAGGTCAAGAAGAAAGTTGGGACTCTTAAGTCAGAATAAGTTAATATGGCTATACATTTAAATGCTAATAATTCAATCATTTTAAAAAGGAGAGATTGATCAGGCATAGTGGCTCATGCCTGTAATCCCAGCACTTTGAGAGTTTGAGGCAGGACAGCTGCTGGATACCAGGAGTTGGAGACCAGCCTGGGCAATATAGCAAGACCCCATCTCTACAAAAAAGAAAAAGTTGGCTTGGTGCGGTGGCTCATGCCTGTAATCCCATCACTTTGGGAGGCCAAGGTGGGCCGATTGGGCGGATTGCCTGAGGTCAGGAAGTCAAGGCCAGCCTGGCCAACGTGGCTAAACCCTGTCTCTACTAAAAAATACAAAAAATAGCTAGGCATGGTGGTGGGTGCCTGTAATCCGAGCTGCTCGGGAGGCTGAGGCAAGAGAATTGCTTGAACCTAGGAGGTGGAGATTGCAGTGAGCCGAGATCGCGCCACTGTACTCCAGCCTGGGCATCAACAGTGGAACTCCGTCTCAAAAAAAAAAAAAAAGAAAGAAAGAAAGAAAAGGGCCAGGCGCGGTGGCTCACGCCTGTAATCCCGGCACTTTGGGAGGCCGAGGTGGGTGGGTCACGAGGTCAGGAGATGGAGACCATCCTTGCTAACACAGTGAAACCCTGTCTCTATTAAAAATACGAAAAGCCGGGCATGGTGGCGGGCACCTGTAGTCCCACCTACTCAGGAGGCTGAGGCAGGAGAATGGTGTGAACCCAGGAGGCGGAGCTTGCAGTGAGCTGAGATAGTGCCACTGAACGCCAGCCTGGGCGACAGAGTGAGACTCTGTCTCAAAAAAAGAAAAAATTAGCAAGACTTGGTGACATGCACCTGTCGTCTCAACTACTTGGGAGGCTGAGGTGGAGGATCACTTGAGCTCAGGAGTTCAAGGGTGCAGTGAGCTATGATTGTACCACTGCACTCTAGCCTGGGCAACAGTGAGACTCTGTCTCTTCAAAAAAAAAAAATAGGCTAGGCATGGTGGCTCATGCCTGTAATCCTAGCACTTTGGGAGGCCAAGGCAGGCAAATTACCTGAGCTCAGGAGTTCGAAACCTCATCTCTACTAAAAATACAAAAAATAGCCGGGTGTGGTGGCACACACCTATAATCCCAGCTACTCGGGAGGCTGAGACAGGAGAATTGCTTGAACCTGGGAGGCGGAGGTTGCAGTGAGCCGAGATCGCACCACTGCCCTCCAGCCTGGGTGACAGAGAAGAGACTCCGTCTCAAAAAAAAGAAAAAAAAATAGATAAAATTAAGTTGGGTTTTCTTTTTTGAGATGGAGTCTCACTCTGTCGCCCAGGCTGGAATGCAGTGGTGTGTTCTTGGCTCACTGCAACCTCCACCTCCCGGGTTCGAGCAATTCTGTGTCAGCACCCCCTAGTAGCTGGGATTACAGGCACGTGCCACCACACCCAGCTATATTTTGTACTTTTAGTAGAGACGGGGTTTCAACATGTTGGCCAGGCTGGTCTCGAACTCATGACCTCAGGTGATCCGCCTGCCTCGGCCTCCTAACATGCTGGGATTACAGGCATGAGCCACCATACCCGGCCAAAATTAAGTTTTAAAATATATATAATTAAGCCTAATATTAGTGGGGGGAGGGGATCACGGTGGAGGAATACACTCCCGAAAAATTTTTTAAAACAAAAATATTGAAAGGAACAGCTGTGAGTTGGTAGCCAAATTTCTTAAGGTGTTGCTTAGTTAGGCAAGGCTTAAAAAAGACAAATAAAAATTTAACAATGAAGATATTACATGAGAGGTCACATAGATGGCACACCCTGCCCTCTATGCCTAAATTCTCATATGAGTTGCATTTCCACCTTTCTGGCTCTTCGAGCAGCGACTTGGTGGTTGGCAAGAACAAGCTCCTTATGAAAGGCAGCAAAAAGGGAGCCAAGAAGAAGGTATTCGATCCATCTTCTAAGAAAGACTGGTATGATGTGGAAGCACCTGCTATGTTCAGTGTAAGAAATATTGGGAAATACTAGTCAGCAGGACTCCAGAAATGAAAATTTGTCTCTGTTTGCTCAAGGGTCATTTGTTTGAAGTGAACCTTGCTGAATGATGAAGTTGCATTTAGAAAAGTCAAGCTTATTATCGAGGATGTTCAGAGCAAAAACGCCTAACTTGCATGGCATGGATCTTAGCAGTGACAAAATGTGTTCCATGGTGAAAAAAGGGCAATGATTGCAGCTCATGTTAATGTCAAGACTGCCAATGTCTTGCTTACCAAGACTACTACTGCTTGCTTTGCCTATTCTGTGTTGGTAAAAAACAACAGTCGGCCAGGCGCTGTGGCTCACACCTGTAATCCCAGCACTTTGTGAGGCTGAGACAGGCGGATCACCTGAGGTCAGGAGTTCGAGACCAGCCTGGCTAACATGGTGAAACCCTGTCTCTACTAAAAAAAAAAAAAAAAAAAAATTAGCTGGGTGTGCTGGCACATACCAGTTATCCCACCTACTTGGGAGGCTGAGGCAGGAGAATTGCTTGAACGCAGGAGGCAGAGGTTGCAGTGAGCCAAGGTTGCACCACTGCACTCCAACCTGGGCAAGAGAGCAAGACTCCGTCTCAAAAAAAAAAAAAAAACCAGTCAGATACAGAAAACCTCTTACACACATACCAACAAGTATGCCAAGGAGATGACTGAAAACATGACCTGAGAGGTGCAGAAAAGTGACTTGAAAAGGTGGTCAATAAATTGATTCCAGATAGCATTGGAAAAGACAAAGAAAAGGCTTACCAGTCTATTTATCCTCTGCCTGATGTCCTGATTAGAAAAGTGAAAATGCATGCGGGGCGCAGTGGCTCACACCTGTAATCCCAGCACTTTGGGAGGCTGAGACGGGCGGATTACCAGGTCAGGATTTTGAGACCAGCCTGACCAACATGGTGAAACCCCATCTCTACTAAAAATAGAAAAATTAGCTAGGTGTGATGGCACGCCTGTAATCCCAGCTACGCAGGAGGCTGAAGCAGGAGAATCGCTTGAACCCGGGAGGCGGACATTGCAGTGAGCTGAGATAGCACCAGTGCACTCCAGCCTGGGCGACAGGGCAAGACTCCATCTCAAAAGAAAAGCGGCCCAAGTTTGAATTGGGAAAATTCATTGAGCTTCATGGTCAAGGCAGTAGTTCTGGAAAAGCTCCTGGGGACAAGACAGGTGCTAAAGTTGAATGAGCTGATAGATATGAACCACCAATTCAAGTATCTGTTTAAAATTCAGACTTTTAATAGTGACAAAAAGTCCTATTTGTAAACAAACAAACAAACAAACAAAAACCAGTTACTTGGCCTGGCACGGTGGCTCACGCCTGTAATCCCAGCACTTTGGGAGGCCAAGGCAGGCAGATCACCTGAGGTCAGGAGTTCAAGACCAGCTTGGCCAAGATGGTGAAACCTCGTCTCTACTAAAAATACAAAAATTAGCCAGGCGTGGTGGCAAGCGTCTGTAGTCCCAGCTACTCAGGAGGCTGAGACAGGAGAATGCTTGAACCTGGGAGGCGGAGGTTGCAGTGAGCCAAGATAGTGCCACTGCCCTCCAGCCTGGGCAACAGAGTGAGACTCCGTCTAAAACAAAACAAAACAAAAAACAGTTACTTGATATTAGTAAAATGCAATGAAGACCCTTACTGCTACTTACAGGTGAATGATCAAAGGTCATTCCTGAGATGTGAGTCTAACAAATGGGAGGGTTTTGGCCACCATAATGGAAACAGGGCTGTCCGTGAAGAGTGGGTCCAGGGTGTAGGAAGCTGACTAGCTCCAGAAAGGTGAGCTTGGGGGTTGGTGGGAGCATCGAAGGGGAAGGACAGAGCAGGCCAGTTGCTCCTGTGTGGTGGAGGTCAGAGGTCAGGTTGAGGGATCTGAGCTCCAGAGCTATCTCCAGGGGTTGGGTGAGGGGAAGTGAGTTAGCATACAGTGTTCAAGCAGGCTGTTTGGGAAAGGATTCAACCACACAGATCCAACCAAACCTTGAGGGTCACCTATACTTGAGCGAGAGCAAAGCTCCTTAAGGAAGCAAAGAAGTCTTGAGAGAGAGGAGGCAGGGCAGCATAGAGTCCTGGAGACCAAAGAGGAGAAAATGTCATAAATGGGGTGGGGACACTGTGACCAGACAACCCGGTGAGGTCAGAGGGAAGGGAAACAGGAAAAGACTGCATGGAATGTGTGCGCAGGAGATCCCTGTGACCTCTGAGGTAACAATTAACCCCAGGTCAGCCCATTTGTGCAAGGCTACAGAGTGAATGACAAGGAAGGAATGCACCCGATTCCAATCACTGCTTATGATGGCCAGTGATTAAAGATGGGAGGAAATCCCACAGTGGCTCAAGGGAACAGGAACAAGTTTTCAGAATGGTCAGACTTTGCCCCCCTTGTGGCATTGGGCAAAACACTTAAGTGGGTCACCTCACTGAGGCCTTTCCCTTCCACATGGAGTTTCCTGGCTTTGCTGGCCATGGTGGTGTAATCCAGCACTGCCTGGACAGAGCTTTACACCAACAGGTATCAGAGTCAATTCCAAAGTTCACTCAGTGACCAGCTTGTGAAAAGAGCAAATAAACCATGGGTGTTTTATCTCAAATGCCATTATCTCTGCAAAAATGACCTCTGGAATAGCACATAGAACATCCTCTATGCATTTTAGAAAGTGAGTGCATTGGATATAAAGACACTGCAATGGCCAGGCACAGTGGCTGACACCTGTAATCCCACCACTTTAGGAGGCCGAGGTGGGTAGATCACCTGAGGTCAGGAGTTCGAGACCAGCCTGGCCAATATGGTGAAACCCCTGTCTCTACAAAAATACAAAAAATTAGCTGGGCATGATGGCGGGTGTCCTTAATCTCAGCTACTCAGGAGGCTGAGATGGGAGAATTGCTCGAAACCGGGAGGCAGAGGTTGCAGTGAGCCAAGATCGTGCCATTGCATTCCAGCCTGGGCGACACAGCAAGACTCCATCTCAAAAAAAAAAAAAAGATACTGCAAGAAGACGAACAACTCATCCATACATTTGAAAATATTGAAGCCCAGACACATACAGCCTTCACAAAAAATGAAGAGGAAAAAAAGCCAAGTAGAGTCAAGATGAAACATATGCATGGGAGAAAAGAAGTAATTTTCCTTTACTCATCTTAGGGTCTCCAGCTGAGTCCCTGTAAACTAGTCTGGCAAAAGACAGATTAGCATGAGTAAAGCAAACAGAAGTTCACTAACTTGTGCATCTTGCATGTATACGTGGAAACACCCATATGAGTAACCCCAAGGGCTGGTTAGAACTGGGACTGATATAACATCTCAGACTAAACAGAAGAAAAGGAGTTTTGGGTTTCTGGGAATGGGGAGGCAAGTAGTGGGGAGATGACCAGAGAAAGTATAGTAAACAATGCTTGTTTAGTAAGATTTGTTCTGCAGATTTGAGTCAGTGCCTTTCCAATGGACAAGATTTGTTAAGAGTCTTCCTCTGGCTGGGTGCGGTGGCTGACGCCTGTAATCCCAGCACTTTGGGAGGCTGAGGCGGGCAGATCACGAGGTCAGGAGATCGAGACCATCCTGGCTAACACAGTGAAACCCCGTCTCTACTAAAATACAAAAAATTAGCCGGGTGTGGTGGCGGGCGCCTGTAGTCCCAGCTACTCGGGAGCCTGAGACAGAAAAATGGCGTGAACCTGGGAGGTGGAGCTTGCAGTGAGCCGAGATCGCGCCACTGCACTCCAGCCTGGGTGACAGAGCAAGGCTCTGTCTCAAAAAAAAGAAAAGCAGCAGCTCCCAAGAAGAGGAACAGACTCAGTCAGTTTCCAAAGGTCACTCTTTCATGCCGGGTGCAGTGGCTCACGCCTGTAATCCTAGCATTTTGGGAGGCTGACACAGGCAGATCACCTGAGGTCAGGAGTTCGATACCAGCCTGGCCAACATGGTGAAACCCTGTCTCTACTAAAAATACAAAAATCAGCTGGGCGTCGTGGCACGCACCTGTCGTCCCAGCTACTCGGGAGGCTGGGGCAGGAAAATCGCTTGAACCTGGGAGGCAGAGGTTGCAGTGAGCCTAGATCATGCCATTGCAGTCCAGCCTGGGCAACAAGAGCAAAACTCCATCTCAAAAAAAATAATAATATTTGTAAGCCAGGCCCAGTGGCTCAAGCCTGTAATCCCAACACTTTGGGGAGGCCATAGCAGGCAGATAGGTTGAGCCCAGGAGTTTAAGACCAGTCTGGGCAACATGGCAAAACCCTGTCTCTATTAAAAAAAGAAAGAAAGAAAGAAAAAAAAAGCAGTTGTGACTAGATAGCCTTTTCTCAAAGGTGGTTGCCCAGCCTCCTGAGTAGCTGGGACTATAGGTGCTTGGCACCATGATGGCTATTTTTATTTTATTTTATTTTTATTATTATTATTGAAATGGAGTCTTGCTCTGTCGCCCAGGCTGGAGTGCTGTGGCGCAGTCTCGGCTCACTGCAACCTCCACCTCCAGGGTTCAAGTGATTCTCCTGCCTCAGCCTCCGGAGTAGGTGGGATTACAGGCGCCTGCCACCGCACCCGGCTACTTTTTCTATTTTTAGTAGAGATGGGGTTTCACCATGTTGGCCTCGGCCTCCCAAAGTGCTGAGATTACAGGCATGAGCCACTGCGCCCAGCCTTATTATTATATTATAATTATATAAATATTATATTTTAATTATATTAATGTTATATTAATATTACATTGTATTTATATATAATATAAATATTATATTTAACAATATAAAATATACATTAGGTATTTTATTATTTTATTATAAAATAAAAAATAGCCGGCATGGTGGCAGGCACCTGTAGTCCCAGCTACTCAGGAGCCTGAGGCAAGAGGATTGCTTGAGCCCAAAAGTTGGAGGCTGCAATGAGCTACAAGCACATGTCACTGCACTGCAGCATGGGTGAGAGTGAGACCTGTCTGTAACAACAAAAAAAAGTTTTATAGCTCCCCTCTATATGAGACGGGGGTTTGTGGACTGGAGTTTTGTTAATTTATTTACCTACCCTTTATTTTAACATATATAAAAGTGCTTAGAACAGTGAATGCCTAGTGCATGTAAATACTATCAACTCTTATTATTATTCCCCTCTTCTACCTAGTAGAATTCTTTTAGTTTCGCCCTTGGCAATCGCGTTCCCAAACAGTATCCCTCAATTGCTGTTCCAACTGAGGCACTCAGAAGGATAGCTTGTTTTTGTGTTTTGGGTGGAAGTGGGGAGAGGGGAGAAGCCTTTGGTCTGATACAGGAAATCCCACCTGAATGCTGCCATCTAATGGTCACATTAAAAAATTAGATGCGCCCTAACAAACTAATCTAGTGTTTTCCCTCAGCAAAGAGCATTTTTTTTTAATACTTGAAGACTGTATTTTACTACCAATTTAATTTTTCTTTCTTCAGCAAAATCTGTTCATGAACCAAGTTCTCATGGAACTTAAGATTTTGTTTGATTCTTTCCAGGACCAGAAATTCCAAAATTATGCGGGAAAAATGGAAAAAAAAAATAACACTGCATGACAATGGACACTAAGTTCATAAAGAACTTCTTTTTAAAATGAGATATTATGAAAGAAATACCATGAAAAGAATAATCCTATGAGAACTGTTTTTAAGGACAGTAAATTTGAGCCTTGGGTCTTCATGATGGTACCACAGTTTATATAGAAAACTATGAATATACAAGACTCCAGGGGAAAAAAAGTCGGAATACATAATATTTAACATTGTGTATGACTAAAAATCTTTTGAGGGGAGCGGGAAAAGGACAGCCAACTGAATCTTTAAGAATACAGAAACTATGAAAAATTCCTGGGTCAAAGGGTGCTCCAAGTGGAACCACACTTTGTGGGGGGAAAAAACCCACAAGAAACTTCAGGTATTTTTTTTAAAGAAAAGAAAACAGTACTGAATAATTGCAGTCCCTTCCAAAAAGGAAATCTTAAGTTAAGGGGAAAAGATTTGAATAGCGTAAACGAGTCTGGCTCAGAAAGAAAACTGAACAACATATCCAAGATCTGTCCATAAAAGTAATGCCAGTCATCTTTATTTTTATTTATTTATTTATTTATTTATTTTGAGACGGAGTCTCGCTCTGTCACCCAGGCTGGAGTGCAGTAGCGCGATCTCAGCTCACTGCAAGCTCCGCCTCCCGTGTTCACGCCATTCTCCTGCCTCAGCCTCCCGAGTAGCTGGGACTACAGGTGCCTGCCAATGTGCCCGGCTAATTTTTTGTATTTTTAGTAGAGACGGGGTTTCACGGTGGTCTCGATCTCTTGACCTTGTGATCCGCCCGCCTCGGCCTCCCAAAGTGCTGGGATTACAGGCGTGAGCCACCGCGCCCGGCTGGTACATCTTTAATATTAAAGAAATGCACTATAAAAAAGTTCAGTCTCAGAATTGGTTTTTAAAAGCTCATTTGTGCTCCCTTGTATGTGCATAGTAAAGTTCCATGGGTTTGTTCACTTTCTAGTATTTCTCACTGACCAATTCCAAAGAAAAAGAGCAATTTAATACAGTGAACTGGCCACTGGCTGTTGCTATATAAGTGGTATACTGCTTCTCACTGGCTGTATCAAGGCTCATCTGGTTTGATTCACCTTTGCTTCGAAGTTCTTCTAAAGCTAACCTCACAGCCAGATACTTGGATAAGTAATCAACAGTGGTGTTACCAGAAGTCTTTATGTATCTTGTCTGTGCACTGTCATCTTTTTCCATAAGTGTGGGATGAGGCCTGAATATAATTCGATTTCACTAGCGCCATCCATTACTGGATCAATTTCCATTGCTGCATTGTTATTATCAAGCTCAAGCCCAGAATCATCAGTTGTTTTGGTTCATTTGTTACTAGGGCCTGCTTCATGATTGCTATGTGTGGAGGCATTACTACCGTGTGAACTGTCACCGTTATCTTCTGCTCCACTACCATTTTCAATCTATTGTTTCTTGCCTCGCTGCAGTTATCTTCAGTCCTTCTTCAATGCTGTGACTGAGTGCTTGCTGATTATTGTGCTTGCTGATCCTGACTAATACTCTCTCTTGATGAGCTTCATATTCATCACGACTTGGATAAATTTTGCTGATGAGTGCATCAAACTTTGGGTCTGGCCTTGGTGATCTTTTGGAAACTAGTTTTTTCCAACAGGTAAGACATTCTTTGTTGCCACTTCTAAGGGCTATGATGTTGCAGTCTGCACAGAAACGATGTAAAGACTCCTTTGTAGTCATGGTGTTCTTCAACATATCCAAACAAATTGGGCACATTAAATCACTGTGCAGACTTCGAGGTGAAACCACAATTTCTAAGCCATCTGTTATTGCCTTCTGTAAGAGAGTCACTGAGGTGTTCATTGTAACTCATATAAACTGAGTTCCCATGTTTTGCTTAATGGTTGAGTTCCTTTTGTCTGCACAGCCTGAGACATTGAGGCTCCCACCCCAGCCAGGGGCTCACTGGCCATGCAGGAGCGAGACTCGGGTAATCGGCTGCCGCGGCAGCTGGCACCGCCTTACAATATAGCGAGCCGCAAAGAGCATTTTAACACAAGCCTCCAGGGTTCCCGGACACCCCACTCTGTCCCCACGGATACCAAAATCTGCGCGTATCCGCGCATGTTCAAGTCCCTAATATATTCTGGTGCATATACTATGGTGTCAAATTTGTATGTAACCTATGTACATCCTTCCAAATATTCTAAATCTCTAGGTTATTTATAATACCTTAATACAATGTAAGTGCTATTTAAATGGTTGTTATACTGTGTTTTTTATTTGTATAATTTTTATTGTTGTATTATTGCTTTTTATTATTTGTTTTTTTCTGAACATTTTTGATCTGCAGTTGGTTGGATCTAGGATGTAAACTGCAAGTGTGGCAGGCCGACTGCACTGTTTTGTTACTAGAGGGAGTGAGAACACACCTGTGGACTTGAGCACCTTCCATTCACCAGTTGCTCCATGGGCATACTCTAATTCAGGTCTCCCCACAACCCTCTGAGTTAATATTTCTCTCCCCATTTTAAAGATGAGAAAATAAAGCCTAGACAGTTTAACTTGGCTTCTGTTTTGAAACTAGCTGAGAGATGAATTAGGCTTTGATCCATGTCTATCAGCTTCAACCTTCATGCTTTTTCTTCTGTACCCCAGTGCCTGTTAAATTTTGGAAATCCCAGAAACAGCCCACAAACTTGGGTTAATCTTAGAGATTTTGACAATGTCCTTTGAGAACCAGTGCACTACAGAAACACAAAACCCTTTGCATATTGTCATTGAATAAATTGTACCATTGAGACCTGAACCAAGAGTTTTAGATATGTAAGTTAGAAACAGTAGATACTAGGTGTAGTCGGTGCAAAAGTAATTGTGGTTTTTGACATTGAAAGTAGTGGCAGCTGGGTGCAGTGGCTCACGCCTGTAATCCCAGCACTTTGGGAGGCCGAGGTGGGCGGATCATCTGAGGTCGAGTTCGAGACCAGCCTGACCAACATGGAGAAACCCCCTCTCTACTAAAAATACAAAATTAGCTGGGCGTGGTGGCAGATGCCTGTAATCCCATCTACACGGGAGGCTGAGGCAGGAGAATCACTTGAACCAGGGAGGCAGCGGTTGCAGTGAGCGGAGATCGCACCACTGCACTCCAGCCTGACAACAGAGCGCGACTTTGTCTCAAAAAAAAAAAAATTTTAGCCAGGCGTGGTGGCAGGCGCCTATAATTCCAGCTACTTGGGAGGCTGAGGCAGGAGAATCTCTCGAACCCGGGAGACTGAGGTTATAGTGAGCTGAGATTGCACCACTGCACTCCAGCCTGGGTGACAAGAGCAAAACTCCATCTCAAAACAAAAACAAAAACAAACAAACAAAAAAATCTAATTTTAAAATAAGCTTGCTCTCAATGGTATTTTTTTTAAGTGGTAAAGAAAAGGAAACTAAAAAAATAACAAAAATCTCGAAGCTCCAGTCAATCTAAAGTCCAATAACCTCTCTCTCTGTTTTTTTTTTTTTTTTTGAAACAGGGCTTTGCTTTGTTGCCCAGGCTGGAGTACAGCAATGCAATTCTGGCTCACCACAACCTCTGCCTCCAGGGCTCAAGCAACCCTCCTACCTCAGTCTCTGGAGTAGCTGGGACTACAGGCACACACCACCACACCTGGATAATTTTTGTTTTTGAGACGGAGTCTCACTCTGTCGTCCAGGCTGGAGTGCAGTGGTGCGATCTTGGCTCACCTCTGCCTCCCAAGTTCTGCCTCAGCCTCCAGAGTAGCTGGGATTACAGGCATGCACCATTACGCCTGGCTAATTTTTGTATTTTGAGTAGAGATGGGGTTTCACCATGTTGGCCAGGTTGGTCTTGAACTCCTGAGCTCAAGTGATCTGCCCACCTTGGCCTCCCAAAGTGCTAGGATTACAGGCGTGAGCCACCACTCTGGGCCATATGTTATCATCTTTTATTTAACCAGACTCAATATGGACATGTAGTTTATTTCAGATTTTTACCAATACAAGATAATGCAGGAATAAACAGCTGCATACATAAACCTAACACATATTTCTGTGTTCACATTCAGAGAAAAACAGCAGTGAAACAAAAAGTGGCTTTAATCAAAACGGTCTTGAAGAAAACCAAGCATACAGGAAAAGACTTAAGAGAAAAATAACAAATAATCAAGCAGACTAAGCAGGGCCAGACTTAGGTGGTGGGAGGTGGAGTTTGCAGTGAGCCAATATCACGCCACTGCACTCCAGCCTGAGTGACAGAGCGAGACTCTGTGTCAGAAAAAAAAGTAGACTAAGCAGTAAAGTTGCCCAATAATTAATCCTCTTGCCCTAAATGTTCCAATTAAAGTTACATTGACAGAAATTGTTTTCTCAGAGACTGGGCTCTGGCTCTTCCTGTGTGCCATCATGGCAAAGTTGGAAGGAATCAGGATGTAATACAAGAATGGCAAGCTCTCTTACTCTGTTTTGTGTTGTTATAACAGAATGCCACCGACTGGTAATTTATTTTAAAAAGAAATTTATTTATCACAGTTCTGGAGGCTGGAAAGTTTAATATCAAGGTGCCAGAATTTCGTGAGGGCCTTGTTGGATGGGCAAGAGATGGGAAGAGGAAGCGGTCTCAACTCTTTCTTTTTTTTTTTTGAGATGGAGTGTCTCTCTGTTGCCCAGGCTGGAGTGCAGAGGCACAATCTCGGCTCACTGCAACCTCTTCTTCCCGAGTTCAAGCAATTCTCCTGTCTCAGCCTCCCTAGTAGCTGGGACTACAGGCACATGCCACCATGCCTGGCTCTTTTGTATCTTCAGTAGAGACAGAGGTTTCACCATATTGGTCAGGCTGGTCTCGATCTCATGACCTCAGGTGATCCACCCGCCTCAGCCTCCCAAAGTACTGGGATTATAGGCATGAGCCACTGCGCCCAGCCCCAACTCATTTTTTTTTATCAGAAACCCACCTCCATGATAACTAACCCACTCCAGAGATAATGGCATCAATCCATTCATGAGAGTACAGCCCTCATGACATAATCACCTCTTATAGGCCCCAATTCTCAACACTGCCGGGCAAAGGAAATGATCAGAAATCCAAGTAATGTTTCCAGACAGGCTCGCAAATCTTAGGCAGAGCTAAGATTGAGGTGAAGCAGAGAGGCTAAACTAGACACGGTAGCCTGTAAAGTCTGGGCTGTGCAGTTGGGTAGATCAGCGTTGGAGTCTCAGATCTGCCAATTATAGGAATTATTAACTTGGGCCAGACATTTAAACTCCTTGACCTTCATTTTTCCACATTTCCTCATCTTAAAATGCAGAATGATAATGAATCTTCCTCAAAGTTGTTAGAAGGATTAAATGTGATATGGGATAGCTTCCATGCAGAGTAAAGTGGACGGCATGGAGTGGGTGTTCAGTAACTGACAGCTATTAACAGGAAACACAGTTTTATCTAATTAGGGTAGAAGAGGCACTGTGGTTTGGCCTCAGAGGCTGAAACTAGATAGACCTCAATCCCAAAGCTCACAAAGGGGATGCAGGTGACAGTGGTGAGGGTCAGACCATGGGAAGCTAGGTCTCAGAAACCAGGGTGACCCATGAGGCCCATGAAGGGTGAGGGGACACAGGGGAGCACAGCCATGAGTTGAGTCCAAAAAGTAGGTCCTCAACAGAAACTCCTCTAATTCCTTTGATTCCACCAAAAAGCCCCTAGACCTGTACAGCTTTTACTTAGCTCCTTTTGTAGGCATTTCCCTCTCTCATCCAACTATGTTTGCCTAGGTTATGTTTCATGTTGACCAAACTTTCAATGTTTACTTTCTGCTTCCTGAATAGTATAGTCTTATTCCAGAAAGAGAATATAAGTCTTTTGTTTTCCTGGGAGGAGTGAGAGGAATCTAAATTCCTTCAGAAAAATATGGCAGCTCTCTTGATCATCTCATCATATCAAATTTATCCCCACACTCCCAGGATCCTACCTTTTCATTTACTTTATTTTATTTTTAAGACGGAGTTTCGCTCTTGTCGCCCGGGCTGGAGTGCAATGACACGATCTTGGCTCACTGCAATCTCTGCCTCCCGGGTTCAAGCGATTCTCCTGCCTTAGCCTCCCAAGTAGCTGGGACTACAGGCATGCGCCACCATGCCCAGCTAATTTTTATATTTTTAGTAGAGATGGGGTTTCACCATCTTGACCAGGCTGATCTCGAACTCCTGACCTCGTGATCCACCCGCCTCATGATCCACCCGCCTCGGCCTCCCAAAGTGCTGGGATTACAGGGGTGAGCCACTGCGCCTGGCCTACTTTATTTTATTTTGAAATAGGGTCTCCTTCCATCACCCAGGCTGGAGTGCAGTGGCACAATCATGGCTCACTGCAGCCTCAACCTCCCATGCTGAAGTGATCCTCCCACCTCAGCCTTCTGGGTAGCTGGGACTGCAGGCACACACCACCACGCCTGGCTAATATTTTTTATTTTATTTTTTGTAGAGACAGGGTCTCCCTATGTTGCGCAGCCTAGTCTCAAACTCATGGACTCAGGCAATCTTCCCACCTCAGCCTCCCCAGCTGTTAGGATTACAGTCATGAGCCACCACACCCAGCCTGATGCTACCTTTTAAATGCTTTGTGAATCTATACACTTCTTTAGACTTCACTATCATCACTATTATTCAAAATGCCTTCATCTTTTGCTAGACTCTCTGTCATCTCACTGGAGTCTTCATTTCCACTTGTGCCCATGCCCATTCTCCATTTTCAGCTAAGTAATACTGCATTATAAAACCCAACATTTGGCCGGGCATAGTGGCTCACACCTGTAATCCCAGCACTTTGGGAAGCCGAGGCGGGTGGATCACTTGAGGTCAGGAGTTCGAGACCAGCCTGATCAACGTGGAGAAACCCCGCTTCTACTAAAAATACAAAATTAGCCTGGCATGGTGGCACATGACTGTAATCCCAGCTACTTGGGAGGCTGAAGCAGGAGAATCGCTTGAACCCAGGAGGAGGAGGTTGCAGTGAGCCAAGACCGCACCAATGTACTCCAGTCTGGGCAACAAGAGCGAAACTCCATCTCAAACAAAACAAAACAAACAAAAAAACATAATTTGAGCACATCTCCCCCTGGCTTAAAAAATTTCTAATAATTCTGTTCCCACCATCTTGGTTCCTGTGGAGGCCTGCTGGGAATAGGAACAGGACTTCTAAAAGGAACTATGTCTGGAGAGCTGTGGTCCAAGGCCATTTTTGCCAGCTATAAGCAGGGTCTCCGGAACCAAAGGGAGTAGACTGCTCTTCTTAAAATTGAAGATGTTTATGCCCATGATGAAACAGAAGTCTATTTGGGCAAGAGATGCGCTTATGTACACAAAGCAAAGAACAACACAGTGACATCTGGCAGCAAACCAAAAAAACCAGAGTAATCTGGGTAAAGGTAACTTGGGCCCACGGAAACAGTGGCCTGATTCGTGGCAAATTCTGAAGCAATCTTCCTGCTAAGGCTATTGGACACAGATCTGAGTGATGCTGGACCCCTCAAGGATTTAAACTAATGAAAAGTCAATAAATAAATGTGGATTTGTGCTCTTGTATTTTATTTTTTTTTTTTGAGATGGAGTCTCACTCTGTCACCCAGGCTGGAGTGCAGTAGTGTGATCTCAGCTCACTGCAACCTCTGCCTCCCGGATTCAAGCAATTCTCCTGCCTCAACCTCCCGAGTAGCTGGGATTACAGGCGCGCGCCACCATGCCTGGCTAATTTTTTTTGTATTTTTAGTAGAGACGTTGTTTCACCATGCTGGTCAGGCTGGTCTCGAACTCCTGACCTCGTGATCCACCTGCCTCGGCCTCACAAAGTGCTGGGATTATAGGCACAAGCTACCACACTTGGCCTGTGCTCTTGTATTTTTAAGTGTATTAAAAAACTTACTACCTTAAAAAAAATTTCTAATTGTTCTATTATCAGGATGATGTCGCAATTCTTTTTCTTTTTCCTTTTTTTTTTTTTGAGAGGGAGTCTCGCTCTGTCGCCCAGGCTGGAGTGCAGTGGTGCGATCTCAGCTCACTGTAACCTCTGCCTCCTGGGTTCAAGCAACTTTCCTGTCTCAGCCTCCTGAGTAGCTGGGACTACAGGCGTGAGCCACCATGCCTGGCTAATTTTTTTGTACTTTTAGTAGAGACAGGGTTTCACCATATTGGTCAGGCTAGTCTCGGACTCCTGACCTCAGGTGAACCACCCACCTGGCCCTCCCAAAGTGCTGGGATTACAGGCATCAGCCACTGTGCCCGGCCAATGTCACAATTCTTTAACATTGCCCACAAAGTCCTATATGATGTGGCCAGACTCATCTTGGCAACTCTCCTCTTTGCTCAGAATGCTGCAACAGCACCAACCTTTTTCCAATTCCTGTAAGTTTTCGAGCTCTGTTCAATCTCAGGACCTTTGCACATTACATTCCCTCTGCCCACAAGGCTCACTTCACAACTTTTCACCTAGCCAGTTCCTCCTTCAGTTCTCTCACTAATTTGTAACTTATTCATTGAAACCTACCCAAATCTTCCAAATTAGGTTATGTCTTTCTGTTTTACACTTTTATAACACC
This sequence comes from Homo sapiens, assembly GCF_000001405.40. NCBI lineage: Eukaryota > Metazoa > Chordata > Mammalia > Primates > Hominidae > Homo > Homo sapiens. Next base: position 6,676,669 of record NC_000009.12, read on the forward strand.
CTGTACTTTGTCACAGCTGCACTTATGACAATTCTAATTAAATAACAGTTGCTTGGCCATGTGTGGTGGCTCATGCCTATCACTTTAGGAGGCCCGGGTGGGTCACTTGAGCCCAGGAGGTCAAGGGTGCAGTGAGCCATGACTGGCACCACTGCACTCCAGACGGAGCAACAGAACCATACCCTTTCTTAAAAAGAAAAAGATAGGTTGCTTCATTATTCTCGAAAATCTAGCTCTTTAATTGACTTCATTATTCTTCATTATTATTCACTAATTATTGACTTCATTATTCTTCACTGTTCTTTAATTGGCTTCATTATTCTCGAAAATCTAGCTCTTTAATTGCTTCATAAGTCCAAGAACTTACGTTCAAAGGTATAAATCAAGCGCACAGCACAGTTTAAGGCACATAGTGGGGACCTGGTAAATAATGAATGTCCATAATTACCCATATTGCATAGTCAATCATATCTATGTGTATATGCACATGTGAACACTAAAAGATACAAAACTAGAACAAAAAAAATTAGCTGATTTCCTGCATTCTCCCTGGAAGTTGGGGGTTGTTCTTTGCCTACTTAGCTAGTGGGAGAGGGACCCAACAGCTAAGAGACTAATTACAGTAAATCTTCTCCAAGTCTGACCCTGAAAAAAACGGCCTATCCATATAAAAAGAACTTGTCAACTAAAAAGGATAAGGAAAATCAGTCTGACTTTGGCTATCTCCCTATCAAAATTCAATTACCAACATGGTGAAACCCTGACTCTATTAAAAATTCAAAAATAAGCTGGGCATGGCGGCATGCGCCTGTAATTCCAGCTATTTAGGAGGCTGAGGCAGGAAAATCGCTTGAACCAGAGAGGCGGAGGTTGCAGTGAGCTGAGATTGCGCCACTGTCCTCCAGCCTGGGCCACAGAGCAAGACTCCATCTCAAAAAAAAAAAAAAAAAAAAGATACAGGAACTTAGCCTTCAGTAATGTATCTTCAGATATAAAATAAACAGACTGAAGAAAATGAATGAAATGTCAAACATCTATTTCCAGTTATGATGGGCTGGTTTATTCAACCAATGTGCCCATTGATAATAACTAAAGGTGCTGAACAGGCCGGGCACAATGGCTCGTGCCTGTAATCCGAGCACTTTGGGAGGCCAAGGCTGGCGGATCACCTGAGGTCAGGAATTTAGGACTAGCCTAGCCAACACGGTGAAACCTCATGTCTACTGAAGATACAAAACTTAGCCAGGCGTGGTGGTGGGCACCTATAATCCCAGCTACTCGGGACACAGAGGCAGCATAATCACTTGAACCTGGGAGGCAGAGGTTGCAGTGAGCTGAGATTGCGCCACTGCACTCCAGACTGTGTGAGAGAGTGAGATTCCATCTCAAAACAAAACAAAACAAAAGAATAAAATAAAATAAAGAGACTGAATAAAATATAAGGCACATTTCCCAAAACATCGAGTTGCTGATAAGATAGTAAGAAATTATTAGGATAAAAGCTAAGAGAAGGTGAGAACCCAGAGAAGCAAATGGAACAGAGAAGCACAAAAGCTATTCTTGCCCTGAGGATATTTGCTAGTCAGGCAACATCTAGTTCTGTTTTTAGTAGCCTCACAGGGCATGGAAACAGCATCCAACGTCTAGGGCTTTCCATGGTAAAAATGCTACTAGGTGACCCTTCCCATATTAAGTTGGGACACCATAGGCTATGCCCTAAGAGTGAAGGTGGACCAGCATCTCAGAACATTGGGAAAGGTTGCTTTTGCATTGACTATAATGGGAGTGGGGAGGAGGCAAAGCAAAATTTTTAAAATCCCATCTTTGGCCGGGTGCGGTGGCTCATGCCTGTAATCCCAGCACTTTAGGAGGCCGAGGTGGGCGGATCATGAGGTCAGGAGTTCAAGACCAGCCTGGCCAACTAGTGAAACCCCATCTCTACTAAAAATACAAAAATTAGCTGAGCATGGTGGTGCATGCCTGTAGTCCCAGCTATTCGGGAGGCTGAGGCAGCAGAATCGCTTGAACCTGGGAGGTTGCAGTGAGCTGAGATTGCACCATTGCACTCCAGATTGGGCAACAGAGTGAGACTTTGTCTCAATAAATAAATAAATAAATAAATAAATAAATAAATAAATAAATAAATAAAATCCCATCTTTAAGTAGATGTGGTCACTGGGCAGCTTTCGCCCAGGTTTGTAACCTGCATTTGCTTTGATCCAAAGAACTTCAACCCATGAAAGCTAGTCTCAGACTGAAAGGGCTTCAAGGAACCTAGCAGAAGCAAACAAAGATCTTCTCCAAATGAAGCCACAAGTACTTTTTCTCACAAATACTTTTTCAAGAACAAAAAGTAAACACACAAGGAAACAAGACACTGTGGGTGCACTGGCATGCACCTGTAGTCCCAGCTACTAGAGAAGCTAAAGAGGATCTCTTGAGTCCCAGGAGATTGAGTCCAGCTTGGGCAAAATGAAAAGACGCCATGGATGTATACACAACATAAACATCAGAAAGAAACTTGAAAAAGGCTGGGCGTGGTGGCTCATGCCTGTAATCCCAGCACTTTGGGAGGCCGAGGCAGGTGGATCACCTGAGGTCAGGAGTTTGAGACCAGCCTGGCCAACATGGTGAAACCTGACCTCTACTAAATATACAAAAATTAGCCAGGTGTGGTGGCAGGCGCCTGTAATCCCAGCTACTTGAGAGGCAGAGGCAGGAGAATCACTTGAACCCAGGAGGCAGAGGTTGCAGTTAGCCGAGATCATGCCATTGCACTCCAGCACTCCAGCCTGGGCAACAGAGCAAAACTCCGTCTCAACAACAACAACAAAAAATTAGCCAGGAATGGTGGCACACACCTATAGTCCCAGTTACTCAGGAGGCTGAGGCACGAAAATCGCTTGAACCTTGGAGAGGGAGGTTGCAGTGAGCTGAGATCAAACCACTGCACTCTAGCCTGGGTGACAGAGTGAGATTCTGTCTCAAAAAAAAAAAAAAAAAAAAAAACCTTGAAAAAAATTCAGACACTGGAATTATCATAATACAGATTACAAAATAATTATGATTACTATGTTCCAAGGAATAAAATAATCCAACATACCAATTAGCAGGAAATAGGACAGAGAAACATGTTGAAATGGTCTATGTATATGGAATCATCAAAGTCACAACTCTGGGAAACTCTGTAGAGTTAAAGGCCCCAAGTTCTTAAACGCTTTCAACGCTTTACCATTAAGTAGGATGTTTGGTGTATGGTGTTTTGCAGATACCCTCTATAAGATTAATTTCTCTTCTATTCCTGGTTTTCCATGAGTGTTTATCATGAATAAGTGTTAAATTTAATAAATTATTCTACATTTATTAAGATGATATTTTCTCCATTAATTAGTTAGTATCTTCAATTACAGTAATTTGTCTTCTCATGTTAAAACAACCTAATTTGGCTGGACGAGGTGGCTCACGCCTGTAATCCCACCACTTTGGCAGGCGGGTGGATCACTTGAGGTCAGGAGTTTCAGACCAGCCTGGCCAATACGGTGAAACCCCCCCACCGTCTCTACTAAAAATACAAAAAAAATTAGCCGGGCGTGGTGACGCACGCCTGTAATCCCAGCTACTCGGGAGGCTGAGGCAGGAGAATCACTTGAATCCAGGAGGTGGAGGTTTCAAAAAAAAAAAAAAAAAAGAACAAAACGTCTCAAAAAAAAACCCCCACAAAACAGAACAAAACAAAAAACCACATAACTTGGCTATGGTATTATTCCTTTCACATAATACTAGATTTTGCTAATATTTTGCTTACAGAGTTTCCCGTCTAGACTCATGAGCAAAACTTGCATACACTTTTCCTTCCATTCGCTGTTCTCGTCAGGTTTTCCTATCAGGGTTATGCTAGGCCATTAAAAAGTTTAAAAGTGTTACCCGCTTTCATCTTCCTTCCCCCTTTTATTCTGGAACTATTAAAGACTGGAATTATGTTTTCCTCTTATATATCGTTCAATTTGCCAGGGAAGCCATGGTGGCTTGCAGTCTTCTTTGTTGGAAGACTTTGGACTACTCTTTCAATTTGTTACTAAACTATGTAGGTTTCCCATTTCCCTAAACATGGAAACAGAAGACCTCCTAGGACGTCTCCATTGCGGGAGGGAGACTGCAGAGGTCTCCGGCCACAGGACTGAGGAAAACCGCAAAAAGACGCGGTCACTACTAGGCGGAGTTAAACTATGGAGCCGGTACCCCCAATACCCTGCCCGGCAAGGCCGCCTCGTGACGTCCCCGTCTGACAGAGTCCCTCCCCATAGGGCCGCGACAGAACCACCGCACGATGGGACACGCGAGGGTAAGCTCAGGTCTCAGCGCATCGTGTGGGCGTCGGGACAGCGTCCTGGGCACCTGTTCCTTCCACCTGCTCAAATCTCTTTCCCTTCTATGAAGAAGGGGGCTCCGGGCCCCATCCCCAGGGAGCAAGAAGACGCAGAGGACCGCGCCGGTTCAGGTGCCGCTGGAGAAATGGAATCTGACGGAGAAACTGATCTGGGGCGGCAGCCCGCTAGGTTCGCCTGACTCACTAAATGCTACTACAGTGCCCCACACGGACTGCCACGAGCGGGTCACGTGACTGGACTCTGGATCGGCTGTGCTGTGATGGCCGCGTAGCGCGCTGCTGTGCGCGCGAGACTATAAGCCTCTGGGCCGCCGGTGCCTCCGCGCGGTCACCGCCTCCACCCGCCTGGCCGCTTCCCTCGGCGCATGCGTAGCACACCGACTCCAGGATTGTTTCCCAAATCCCACTTCCGCCACTTCCTCCTCCCGAGACCAGCCAAGCGCGCCTGGCTGTCTGCCCTTCTTGGGCTCTTGGGGAGAACGTGGTCCGGGAACTGGCAGTCACGGGGAGGCAGCACAAGAGGTTTTCGCCCTCATGTGCTGGTGCAACTATCGCGACCATCACCCTGAGAACTGGAGGAAGGGTGCCGCAGGCAAAGAGTGGCGCGCCTGCAGATTCGGTTCCGCGCTTGGGGCTCTCGCGAGACCCGGCGCTGGAGTGTGGACCGCGCGTGCCGGTGACGCGTGGTGCAGACACGTCGCCGGTGCCTCTCTCCCTAGGCCTTCCTGGGGGTGAGCTTCCGTCCCAGACGTCTTCGGTCCTACACTGCTTCCATTTCTTTTTTTTTTTTTTCCTTCTTTTTTTCTTTGAGACAGGGGCTCATTCTATCACCCAGGCTGGAGTGCAGCGGCGCGATCTCGGCCCACCGTAAGCTCCGCCTCCCGGGCTCAAGCGATCCTCCCACTTCAGCCTCCTGAGTAGCTGGGACTCCAGGTGAGCGCCCTGCTAATTTTATATTTTTGGTAGAGACGGGGTTTCGCCATGTTGCCCAGGCTGGTCTCAACTCCTGGTCTCAAGTGATCCGCCTGCCTTGGCCTTCCAAAGTGCTGGGCTTACAGGCGGGAGCCACTGCACCCAGCCCTACGCCCCATCTTTCTGGGTTTCTGCCTGGTATTGTTACATCTCCAACAGGCTTAACTCAAAGCTGACTTTCCGCCTGTGCTGTATCTGCCCCATGGTCCTTTAGAGTATATAAAATATAAATGGCACTTTGGGAGGCCGAGGCAGGAGGATTGCTTGAGCTCAGGAGTTACTGACCAGCCTGGGCAACATAGTGAGACCCCCGTCTCATTAAAAAATAATAATGCAGGCAGGGCGCAGTGGCTCATGCCTGTAAACCGAGCACTTTCGGAGGCCAAGGTGGGCGGATCGCCTGAGATTGGGAGTTCGAGACCAGCCTGACCAACATGGAGAAACCCCATCTCTACTAAAAATACAAAATTAGTTGGGCGTGGTGGTGCGTGCCTGTAATCCCAGCTATTCAGGAGGCTGAGGCAGGAGAATCGCTTGAACCCGGGAGACGGAGCTTACAGTGAGTCGAGATGAGCCACTGCACTCCAGCCTGGGCAACAAGAGCGAAACTCCATCTCAAATAATAATAATAATACAAATAAATAAATGTACACACACAAATAAATGGACTTGATAGCGATTTTTTTAGGTTTTCAGCTGCCCAATTCAAGAAATGTATTTCTTCTTGTCCCTGATTTCCGTCACTGTCCCAAGGCAGTGGGATTAAAGCACCACTACCGTTTTTAGATCCTTGTGTTTGGCATTCCATGTCCTCCTCTCAAGACGTTTGACGTAACTTTCTCCATCTGCTCTGTTGAAACATATGCTTCAAAATCTTTTTTTTTTTTTTTTTGAGACGGAGTCTCGCTCTGTTGCCCAGGCTGGAGTGCAGTGGCGCGATCTCGGCTCACTGCAAGCTCCGCCTCCCGGGTTCAAGTGATTCTCCTGCCTCAGCCTCCCAAGTAGCTAGGACTACAGGCGCCCGCCACCAAGCCCGGCTAATTTTTTGTATTTTTAGTAGAGACGGGGTTTCACCGTGTTAGCCAGGATGGTCTCGATCTCCTGACCTCGTGATCCACCTGCCTCGGCCTCCCAAATTGTTGGGATTACAGGCGTGAGCCACTGCACCCAGCCTACCAGCCTAGACCTAGTTTTAGTTCCTTTTTTTGCTTCACTCCATTGTAGCTTAGGAAGCTAGTTTCAATTCCGGATTCTACCGTCTATCTGTATGACTGGGCCTTTGGTCAGTCTTTCTAAAATGAAGATTGCTCATTTTACAAATGAGTAAAAACTACCTGACATGTAGTGCAGGCTTTGTAAAGCACTCATCATGCTGCTTGTCATACTGTAAGCACTGATATGGCATAGGAAACCCAACCCCCAAACATAGCACCTTGGAAGTTGAGAAAACAGCATATACTGGAAGGCCACTGTCACATCTCCCTCACCCGTCTCTGAAGCAGGCCATAAAGCCTAGGAAGGTCATCCTCTTATCTCTCTTGAAAACCCTCATGTGGCAGGTGTCCTGCCCTATATCAGGGTGGAAGGAATGTCACACAGGGACACCAAGAATAATCTGAACAAACAGGTCTTGCTAATCTCATGCCCCCAATTTATTACCGTGAGATCATACCCGCTTTGTTCAATCATACTTCTGCACAACTATCCACTTTCTCAAACCTATGCATAAAAGTACACAGACTTTTCTTTGGGTCATTTCCTTAGGAAGACTCCCCATCATGTAAAACTTATATTACACAAATTTGTATGCTTTTCTCTTGTTAATCTGTATTTTGTTATAGGAGTCTCAGCCATGAACCTTACCATGGTTAAGGAAAACTTGCTTTTTCTTCTCTACACACTCAAATAAATTAGTTTGCCTCCTTTTCCATGCTTACCCAATATAAAATAGTAAAATGCCTCTTTTTTTTTTTTTTTTTTTTTTTTTCTGAGAGGGAGTCTCGCTCTGTTGCCCAGGCTGGAGTGCAGTGGCGCGATCTCGGCTCACTGCAACCTCCGCCTCCCAGGTTCAAGCAATTCTCCAGCCTCAGCCTCCTGAGTAGCTCGGATTATAGGTGCCTGCCACCACGCGTGGCTAATTTTTGTATTTTTAGTAGAGAAAGGGTTTCGCCATAATGGTCAGGCTGGTCTCGAATTCCTGACCTGAGGTGATCCACCCATCTTGACCTCCCAAAGTGCTGGGATTGCAAGCGTGAGCCACTGCGCCCGGCCTAAAATGCCTCTTAGTAAGACTTAATTTCTGTCCAGGCATGGTGGTTCATGCCTGTAACCCCAACACTTTGGGAGGCCGAGGCGGGTGGATCACCTGAGGTCAGGAGTTCGAGACCAGCCTGGCCAACATGGTGAAACCCCATCTCTAATAAAAATACAAAAAGCATTAGCCGGGCATGGTGGCGGTGCCTGTAATCCCAGCTACTCGGGTGGCTGAGGCATGAGAATCACTTGAATCCGGGAGGTGGAGGTTGCAGTGAGCTGAGATGGCGCCACTGCACTCAAGCCTGGGTGACACAGCAAAAATCTGCCTCAAAAAAACAAAATAAAAAATGAGAAAAAATACTTAATTTGTGCTGTGCCACCAAAAAATGTGCATGCTAGAAACTGTACTTTACACTATGACATTTTATGTAACTGTCTTATTTCCCCCATGAGACTGCAGTGGTCTCAAGGGTAGAGGATTGACCTTGTCCATATGTGTTTTCTAGGCTTCCATCATTTGCCACAGACTGAGACATGTACTAAGTTGTACGCCGTAAATACTTCATAAATAGTTACTGAAGGCATAAATAGGCAGAGAGTAGAGTTTGTTTGTTTGTTTGTTTGCTTACAAAAAAAGGGAAAAGAAAGCAAATGCTGAAAAAACTTGCTGTTAAACCATGCACGCACGACATGAGGTCTTTGTAATTGGTTCAGGAAGATTTCCTTCTCCCCATGCTCCACCCTCTTCATTACAAAGATGAAATTATTTTTATGTTTAATATTTATTTATTTATTGAGACGGAGTTTTGCTCTTGTTGCCCAGTCTGGAGTGCAATGGCATGATCTCAGTTCACTGCAACCTCCATCTCCTGGGTTCAAGCGATTCTCCTGCCTTAGCCTCCCAAGTAGCTAGGATTATAGGCATGCGCCACCATGCTCAGATAATTTTGTATTTTTAGTAGAGATGGGGTTTAGCCATGTTGGTCAGGCTGGTCTCGAACTCCTGACCTCAGGTGATCCGCCCGCCTTTGCCTTCCCAAAGTGTTGGGGTTATAGGTGTGAGCCACTGCATCTAGCCTTTTTTTTTTCTTTTTTTCTTTTGAGACAGAGTCTCACTCTGTTGCCCAGGCTGGAGTGCAGTGTCATGTGATCTTCGCTCACTGCAACCTCCTCCTCCCAGGTTCAAGTAGTTCTTCTGTCTCAGCCTCCTGAGTAGCTGGGACTACAGGCACCCGCCACCACACTCAGCTAATTTTTTGTATTTTTAGTAAAGACAGGGTTTCACCATATCGGTCAGGCTGGTCTTGAACTCCTGACCTCAGGTGATCCACCCGCCTCAGCCTCCCAAAGTGCTGGGATTATAGGCTTGAGCCACCACGCCCAGCCATGGCCTATTATTATTATTATTATTATTATTATTACTATTATTATTATTATTATTATTATTTTGTGACAGAGTCTTGCTCTGTTGCCAGGCTGGAGTGCAGTGGTGCTATCTTGGCTCACTGCAACCTCCACCTCCCAGGTACAAGCGATTCTGCTGCCTCAGCCTTCTGAGTAGCTGGGATTATAGGCGCGCGCCACGACACCCAGCTAATTTTTGTATTTTTAGTAGAGACGAGGTTTCACCATGTTGGCCAGGATGGTCTCAATCTCTTGACCTCATGATCCGCCTGCCTTGGCATCCCAAAGTGCTGAGATTACAGCCATATATTTATTATTATTATTATTATTATTATTATTTTGAGACAGGTTCTTGCTCTGTCACCCAGCCTGGAGTGCAGTGGCATGATCTTGGCTCACTGCAACCTCTGCCTCCTGGGATCAAGCAATTCTCTTGCTTTAGCCTCCCGAGTAGCTGGGATTACAGGCACACAACACCACACCTGCCTAATTCTTCTACGTTTTGTAGAGATGGAGTCTCGCCATGTTGCCCAGCCTGGTCTTGAATTCCTGGCTTCAAGTGATCCTCTAGCCTCAGCCTCCCAAATTGCTGGGATTACAAGGATGAGCCAATGCACCCAGCCTGTGTTTATTCTTTTAAATGATAGTAAAGTACAATAGAGGGAGAGAATTGCAGGTTATATTTTTTGTTTGTTTCTCTGTTTTTTATTTAATGTCTCCCCAGAAACCTCCATAGGTGCTTCACTTTCTAGTTTAGTTCCTGCTAATTTTAATAGCTCAAATGTTACCCTATCAGGGGTGTCAGTGGGAGAGCCCTGCGGAAGTGGAGTTCCCTGAGGAGGAAAGTTTCTACATTCAGAAAAGACTTGGCTTGGGTTTTGTCGGGAGGTAAAAATGGGTCAGTGACTCAGAAAAGCTTGCCTAAAAGCTGACATCTAGTGTTCATTTCTGAAAATATGTCCTGACATACTAACCCTGAGATTTTCTATCCCAAGAACTGTTTTTATTGATTTTATTGTTACGCACCAGATTTCAAGACCATTTGACTACCCAAAGAAACACAACTTAGAAAATAATTATGGTTTTCACTTTGTTTTAATCACAATACATATAATACTGCCAAAACAGGACTTTGGATCAACAGACATAATAGCAATTATTATTATTTTATTTTACTTATTATTATTATTTTTGAGACGGAGTGTCACTCTATTGCCCAAGCTGGAGTGCAGTGGCAGGATCTTGGCTGACTGCAACCTCCGCCTCTCGGGTTCAAGCGATTCTCCTGCCTCAGCCTCCCAGGTAGCTGGGATTACAGGCATGCGCCACCAGGCCTGGCTAAGTTTGTATTTTTAGTAGAGATGGGGTTTCACCATGTTGGCCAGGCTGGTCTCGAACTCCTGACCTCAGGTGATTCACCTGCCTCGGCCTCCCAAAGTGCTGGGATTACAGGCGTGAGCCACTGCACCTGGCCAGCAATTATTTTATTTATTTGAGATAGAATCTCACTTTGTTGCCCAGGTCTGACTTTGCAGTGGCACAAGCATGGCTCACCACAGTCTAGATCTCCTGGGCTCAAGCAGTCCTCCCGCCTCAGCCTCCCTAGTAGCTGATACCATAGGCCTGCACCATCGTGGCCAGCTTTTAAAATTTATTTTTGTAGAGACAGGGTCTCACTGTGCTGCCCAGGCTGGTCTCAAATTCCCAAACTCAAAGGATCGTCCTGCCTCAGCCACCTAAAGTGCTGGGATTACAAGCATGTGCCACCTTGCCTGACTCCAGTTGATTTTTCATTTTTATTTTTATTTTATGTTTTGGGAAGGGTCTTGCTTTGTTGCCCAGGGTGGAGTGCACTTGTGCAATCTCAGCTCCCCGCAGCCTTGACCTCCTGGGCCCGGGCAATCCTCCCACCTCAACCTCCCAAATAGCTGGGACTACAGGTACATGCCACCATGCTGGCTAATTTTTAATTTTCTGTAAAAACAGGAGTCTCACAGCCCAGCATGGTGGCTCACGCCTGTAATCCTAGTACTTTGGGAGGCTAGGGCAGGAGGACCACTTGAGACCAGCCTGGGCAACAGAGTGGGACCCCTCTCTCTTTTTAAAATTATTTTTTATCTTTTTTTTTTTTTTTTTTTTAAACAGGGTCTTGTTCTGTCACCCAGGCTGGAGTGCAGTGGTGTGATCTCAGCTCAGTGCAGCCTCAACTGCCAGGGCTCAAGTGATCCTCCCAACTCAGCCTCCCGCATAGCTGGGACTACAGGTGTGTGCCGCCATGCCTGGCTAATTTTTAATTTTTTTTGTAGGGATGGAGTTTCACCATGTTGCCCAGTCTGGTCTGGAACTCCTGGGCTCAAGCTATCCACCCATCTCAGTCTCCTAAAGTGCTGGGACTACAGGCGTGAGCAACTGCACCTGGCTGATCCATCATTTTTAATAGTGAGATATTTGAAATTTACTCTTCTAGTTATTTTGAAAGAGAAACTATGGCTGGGCATGATGGCTTATGCCTACAATCCCGCGCTTTGGGAGGCCAAGGCGGGTGGATCATCTGAGGTCAGGAGTTCTAGACCAGCCTGGCCAACATAGTGAAACCCCTTCTCTACTAAAAATACAAAAATTAGCCGGGCGTGGTGGCGGGCGCCTGTAATCCCAGCTACTTGGGGGGGCCGAGGCAGGAGAATCGCTTGAAGCTGGGAGGCGGGAGGTTGCAGTGAGCCGAGATCACGCCACTGCACTCCAGCCTGGGTGACAGAGTGAGACTCCATCTCAGAAAAAAAAAAAAAAGAGAAACTACATCGTTATTATTATTTTGTTGTTGTTGTTGGTTTTGGCCAAACTTTTTATTTAGTATGCTGTAGTTGTTTAACACACACTTAAATGGTCTTATTGGGGGAGGGGAAAGGAGAGGTTCCTGCAGATTCCCAAACAAATGTCAGAAAGGCAAAATAGCCAGCATTCTCCATTTGCTTTTTTGGGTTTACTGGGTGAATAGCACTTCCCTTACATAGGCATCTGATTTCAGGTTTTTCATACTGAGAACATTGAGATTTCAGCTGGAAGACACCCTGAAATCTTCTGAGTAGCATACCTCAACCACCCTCTAATAACTGACTTGTTTGTATAGGCAGAACGATTCATCTCTCCATTTTAGATGGCTAGATAAAACTACATCATTATTGATTATAGTCACTCTATTGTGCAGTAAATCTCAAAGCCTTCTATCTGAAATTTTGCACCCTTTGATTAACAATTCCCCATTCTCCTCGTCTCCACTCTCCCCAGCCTCTGGTAGCCATCATTCTACTATCTGCTGCTATGAATTTGACATGTTTGGATTCCACATATAAGTGAGATCATGTAGTATTTGTCTTTCTATACCTGGCTTATTTCACTTAGCATAATGTTTTCCAGATTCATCCATCTTGTCACAAATGATGGTATTTACCTACATTTTTGTTTTTGGAGACAGGGTCTCACTTTGTTGTCCAGGTTGGAGTGCAGTGGTACAAACACAGCTCACTGCAACCTCAACCTTGACCAGGCTCAAGTGATCCTCTCACCTCAGCCCCCCAAGTAGCTGGGACTACAGGCGTGAACCACCACACCCTGCTAATTTTTTTTTGTTTTTGATACGGAGCCTCACTCTGTCACCAGGATGGAGTACAGTGGTGCCATCTTGTCTCACTGCAACCTCTGCCTCCCAGGTTCAAGCAATTCTCCTGCCTCAGCCTCCTGAGTAGCTGGGATTACAGGTGCACACCACCACGGTCAGCTAATTTTTGTATTTTTAGTAGAGACAGGGTTTAACCATGTTGGCCAGGATGGTCTCAATCTCTTGCCCTCGTGATCCTCCCGCCTCAGCCTCCCAAAGTGCTGGGATTACAGGCATGAACCACCGTGCCCGGCCTGGACTTTTTTCTTTTTTTTGAGACAGGGTCTCACTATGTTGCTCAGGCTGGAGTGCAGTGGCGCAGTCTCAGCTCACCGCAACCTCTGCCTCCCAGGTTCAAGCGATTCTCCTGTTTCAGTCTCCCAAGAAGCTTGGGATTACAGGTGCCTGCCACCATGCCCAGTTAATTTTTGTATTTTTAGTAGAGACAGGGTTTCACCACATTGGCCAGGCTGGTCTTGAACTCCTGACCTCAGGTGATCTGCCTGCCTCAGCCTTCCAAAGTGCTGGGATTACATGCTTGAGCCAACGCGCCTAGCCAAAAAGGACTTCTATAGGAAGGACAAATAGGTTTCTCTAAAAAAGACAAATGTGTTTTTAGAAGAACAAATGGGAGACATGCAAACATTATCACAAACCAAACTTTCTTATATAGGTGTGAGTGGTCTTTTTCAGGTTCATAAAACTGCCAGAGAGGGGATTTATGGTAGGTTTATTCTGGGTCTCTCCCCTGGGAGTAGAAGCCACCCCAAACAGGAAATTTATGTCCGTCCTCATTTCTCAGAAGTTTCTACTTTTAATCAAATAAGGGAAGTCCCAAGGAAGCTTCTTTCTGCATCTGTTCCATCTCAAATGTCTTCAGCTTAAAATAATCTTTATACTAACTCCAGTGTTCTGAGTGGGACCCCACAATTGTATATTTAATCACCTTGTGAAACTTGACAAGTATTTAACCCAACATTTTCTGATTTGGAATATTTTAGAGAATGTGATTCATTAATAAATCATTTATCAAAAAAAGAGATCATTGGTTTGACAGTGCTGGGCTTACAGGCATGGGCCACCATGCCCGGCCAGCAGTATGTATTTTAGTTGACTGGCAAACAGACAATTGTTCCCTTTTTTCCTTTTTTAAATTTCAAGCCTTGTCACTGTGTCATAAGACAATTGTTCATGATGTCATAAATGTAATTTTTACTTCAATAAACTATAATACACTTGTAACATTCCAGGCTCTTTTTATTGTGTGTGTGTGTGTGTGTTCTTTTTTAAATTTTTAATTATTGGCTGGGCACAGTGTCTCATGCCTGTAATCCTAGCACTTTGGGACGCCAAAGCAGGTGAATCACTTGAGGTCAGGAGTTCAAGACCAGCCTGGGCAACATGGTGAAACCGCGTCTCTACTAAAAATACAAAAATTAGCTGGGTGTGGTGACACACATTTGTAATTGCAGCTACTCAGGAGGCTGAGGAATGAGAATCACTTGAACCCGGGAGATGGAGGTTTCAGTGAGCCGAAATCGCACCAGTGCACACCGGTCTAGGTGACAGAATGAGAATCTGTCTCAAAATAAAAAAAAATGGTTTTCAGGCCTTTCTTTTTTTTGTTAGAGACAGGATTTCACTCTGTCTCCCAGACTGGAGTGCAGTGACACAATCATAGTTCACTGCAGCCTTGAGCTGTTGGGCTCAGGGAATCCTGCCTCAGCCTCTTGAGTGGCTGGGACTACAAGCATGCCACGATGCCTAGCTATTTTTATTTATTTTTTATTTTTATTTATTTATTTTTGAAACAGAGTCTTGCTTTGTCACCCAGGCTGGAATGCAGTGGTGCGATCTGGCTCACTGCAACCTCCGCCTCCTGGGTTCAAGCAATTCTCCTGCCTCAGCCTCCTGAGTAGCTGGGACTACAGGCGTGCACCACCACACCCAGCTAATTTTTGTATTTTTAGTAGAAACGGGGTTTCACCATGTTAGCCAGGCTGGTCTCGAACTCTTGACCTCAGGTAATCCATCTGCCTCGGCCTCCCAAATTGCTGGGATTACAGGCGGTAGTCACCATGTCTGGCCAATTTTTAAAAAGATTTTACAGAGACAGAGTCTTGCTATGTTGCCCAGGCTGGTCTTGAACTCCTGGCCTCAAGCGATCCTCCCACCTGGGCCTCCCAAAATCCTGGGATTATGGGCATGACCCACCCCAACCATCCTGGTTTTTAGGCCTTTGTAACTAAATAATTTATTCACTCAAGTGACAACTCTCTGCTTCCATAGCAAAATACAAAGATTTATGAAAGATTTTTCCAGATAAAATCATTTAACTTTAGGCCAGGCGTGATGGCCCATGCTGTAATCCCAGCACTTTGAGAGGCTGAGTGGGTCAATCACATGAGGTCAGGAGTTCGAGACCAGCCTGGCCAACATGGTGAGACTCTGTCTCATTGTTCCTTAGAAATCCAAGAGTAGGCTGAGCGTGGTGGTTCAGGCCTGTAATCCCATAACTTTGGGAGGCCGAGGTGGGTGGATCACCTTGGGTCAGAAGTTCGAGACCAGCCTGGTCAACATGGTGAAATCCCGTCTCTACTAAAAGTACAAAAATTAGCAGGGCATGGTGGTGGGTGCCTGTAATCCCAGCTATTCAGGAGGCTGAGGCAGGAGAATCGATTAAACCTGGGAGGCGGAGGTTGCAGTGAGCCGAGATCATGCCATCGTACTCCAGCCTGGGTGACAAGAGTGAAACTCCATCTCAAAAAAAACAAAAAACAAAAAAAATTAAGAGGAGCTTCTGTTACAATAACTGTTTTAGTCAAAAAATCAGGTGAAAACAGAACTCAGTCAACTGAGAAGCAAAAAAAAGACAAGGTCTCAGGAGAGAAAAACAAACAAAAAACAAAAACACAAAGGCCTTTCAAATACGAACATGCACACATGCACACATACACACACACATCTTGGATGTTAACTTTTTAATTAAGCTGACTTTTAACCATTAAGCTCATTTTTAAAAAAATTTTTTTATCTTTTTTTTTTTGAGACGGAGTCTCTCTCTGTCGCCCAGGCTGGAGTGCAATGGTGTGATCTTGGCTTACTGCAACCTCTGCCTTCCGTGTTCAAGTAATTCTCCTGCCTCAGCCTCCTGAGTAGCTGGGATTACAGGCACGCACCACCACGCCCGGCTAATTTTTTTATTTTTCGTAGTGACAGGGTTTCACCATGTTAGGCTGGTCTTGAACTCCAGACCTCGTGATCCACTTGCCTCAGCCTCCCCACCTGCTGGGATTACAGGTGTGAGCCACTGTGCCCAGCCTTTTTAAAATCTTATTACCATATTTCAGCTAAGACAAAATGCTGTTATTTCAGAAATACAGGCATTGCTCTTTCAGTTTGGTCTGGCTGGCAAAAAGGTGGCCTTGTTATGTAAATAGAGCCCCTTTAGTAGTTAAAATTTAAAATCTTTTCTTTTCTCTTATATTTTCCCTCTTGTTGGCTGTTTTCCTCCCACTTCAGAGGCCTTGTTCCCAGTAATTTAGGGTTCCCCTTCTGATTTGACCAAGACAGAAACAAAACAGTTAAGCACAACTATTTCTGAGCGCCCTAAGTGTAAGCAGAAGTTAACACCAGCTGGTTGTTCATGCTAATTTTAGTCATTTAAAAGAATTTGCAAGACAGAATCCCAAACCAGTTTCTTACCTAGTGACGGGGCCAAGCCGGAGATCGCTCTCCACTGATGCAGAAGCAGATGAATTCGCCTTCCTTGGTGGAAGCGAATGGAAAAACTCCCACAAAAAGGGAGTTTTGTTTTTTTTAAAAAAAACAGCAAATAAACCTCAGACCCCCAGCTGAAAAATGCTGGAAGATCAGAGATTCTCGGAGGAAAGAGGTCCTGGACTTTGGCAAATTGTCTTGTCGGTTTGGGCTGTAAGGTGTCCAAGCCAACACCAAGCACCAAGAGGCGAACTGCTGCAGGCTGGGCCACTTTCATCTAGGATCCCTTCCTGATTACCAGATGTCAGTCGAGAAAAATGATGAGACAAGTCTCAATCATTTTAGGAGATGTATTTGTCAAAGTTAAGAAAGCGCACAGGAGACAGGTCTATGCTTTCTCCGAAGATGATTTTGAGGGTTCCAAATTTAAAGGGGAAAGGGCAGGATATTGAGAAGCACACAGTTTTTACATAAACAAAAGAGGCAGGGAAAAAATATGGGGAATCTGCATTTTACCTAAGATAATACGGACAAAATGGGGTAGGGGAACAATCAGGTACACATTTTTGTCTGGTGGGCTGGGGTGACCGCACCTGTAAAGCTAAGCTATCAATTTGCATTGTCGGCTGGGCACAGTGGCACACGCCTGTAATCCCAGCACTTTGGGAGGCTGAGGCGGGTGGATCACCTGAGGTTGGGAGTTTGAGACCAACCTGCCCAAGGTGGTGAAACCCAGTCTCTACTAAAAATACAAAAAAAAAAAAAAAAAAAATTAGTCAGGTGTGGTGGCGGGCACCTGTAGTCCCAGCTACTCGGGAGGTTGAGGCACAGAATTGCTTGAACTCGGGAGGTGGAGGTTGCAGTGAGCCGAGATCGCACCACTGCACTCCAGTCTCAAAAAAAAAAAAAAAAAAAATTGCATTGCCATGGTGAACTTCTTTTTTTTTTTTTTTTTTTTTTTTTTTTTGAGACGGAGTCTCGCTCTGTCGCCCAGGCTGGAGTGCAGTGGCGTGATCTCGGCTCACTGCAAGCTCCGCCTCCCGAGTTCACGCCATTCTCCTGCCTCAGCCTCCCGAGTAGCTGGGACTACAGGCGCCCGCCGCCATGCCCGGCTAATGTTTTATATTTTTAGTAGAGATGGGGTTTCACCGTGTTAGCCAGGATGGTCTCGATCTCCTGACCTTGTGATCCACCCGCCTCGGCCTCCCAAAGTTCTAGGATTACAGGCGTGAGCCACCGCTCCCGGCTGCCATGGTGAACTTCTAAGAACTCACCAGGAATTTCCTTGTGGGCAAAATATGGGGGAGGCATGTAGCTTTTCATCTTGTAGCCATCTTGTTTAGGAACCAAAAGCGCGAGGCAGTTTTGCGTGACCCAGTTCACAGCTTGACTTTTCTTTTTGGCTAAATGAGTTTGGGGTCCCAAAATTTAATTTCTTTTCACAGATTAATGCCATTATAAAGAGCTTGGTGGAGGGAGCTTGCGCTATCTCTTTTGCCCTTCTATCCCCACCATGTGGAACAAAGTGTTTCTCCCTTTTGAAGGATGCAACCTTCAAGGCATCATCTTGGAATCAGAATTGCCAAACCTGCCAGTGCCTTGATATTGGACTTCTCAGCCTCCAGAACTGTGAATAAATTTCTGTTTATGAATTATCCAGTGTGTGGGATTCTGTTATAGCAGCACAAAGAGATTAAGACACATTTAAATTTTAGGATTTACTCAATGCCTTCTGCTAGACTAAGATCCTTTCTGCAAATGCAAACACATTTTTTACTTCCTAGGCTTTAATTTAGGTTTCCTTTAAATAGAGTGAAATTACCCTATTTTTATGTATTTCCAATTACTCAAAAGTTAGATGTGGGGCAGTAAAAGAGTTAAATTCATTAACAGACATCTGTGGAGCAGCCTTTAGTTAACTTAACTTGAATGAGATAGCGTCCACTGTAACACAGATGTTTTGGTCAGTAGCTGGGTGTTCAAATGCATCCTTTCTATGGTGGGTCCCCCGAAAGGTTACAGACTTTTAACAATAATGCATCAAGTAATTAGGCATATATTGAAGCAATTAAGTTGATGATTCTGGTCATCAAATTGTTCCTGGCATCCTCAGAGGAAATTCAGAGGCTTGTGAATCAATACAAAGGAGGTTTTAAGTTAATAGCAACACAGGGGGATTGCACAGGTTTATCTGGACATTCATTTTTTCCAGTGGTCATGCTTTACTGTGGTTATATTTATGCTACATGGCCCAGTGGAAAGATGCAGCCTGTACTTGGGGCTTTTCAGAGATACCCGATAAGGCAATATTTACACCCAGACTTGGTAAGAGGGACTTGCACTTTACTGGCCCCTACATATCACAAACATAAGTTTAAAAAACAAAATTTTAACACATAAAAAACATAATTGAAGATCGAATTGGCTTTTGTTAGAGATTTATTTAGGCAACATCTCATCTAAAGATTTAGCAAAGGTGCTCTGTTGGGCATGGCAGAACAGTTTGTAAACGGTAGTATGAACAGGAACAAGGAAATAGAATAACACAAAAAGCAGAATGGTTAACATCAAGTTACTTCAGGTTACTTTTTTTTTTCTGAAATGGAGTCTCGCTCTGTCACCCAGGCCAGGCTGGAGTACAGTAGCGTGATCTTGGCTCACTGCAACCTCCGCCCCCAGGGTTCTAGCGATTCTACCTCAGCCTCCCAGGTAGCTAGGATTACAGGTGCTGGCCACCATGCCCAGATAATTTTTTTGTATTTTTAGTAGAGACGGGGTTTTGCCCTGTTGGCCAGGCTGGTCTCAAACTCCTGACCTCAGGTGATCCACCTGCCTTGGCCTCCCAAAGTGCTAGGATTACAGGAGTGAGCCACCGCGCCTCGCCCAGGTTACTTTTCTTGTAAGAGTTAAAGTAGAGAGGACTGCCTTATCATGCTGGCTAAAACTGGCCTGTTTAGGGATTTTGCTGTCATATCTCTCCTGAGTTCTTTCTTTCTTTTTCTTTTCTTCTTTCTTTTTTTTTGAGAGGGAGTCTTGCTTTGTTGACAGGCTAGAGTGCAGTGGTGCAATCTTGGCTCACTGCAACCTCCACCTCCCAGGTTCAAGCGATTCTCCTGCCTCAGCCTCCTGAGTAGCTGGGACTACAGGCACGCACCACCACACCCAGCTAATTTTTGTACTTTTAGTAGAGACCGGGTTTTACCATGTTGGCCAAGATGGTCTCAATCTTGACCTCATGATCCGCCCGCCTTGGCCTCCCGAAGTGCTGGGATTACACGCGTGAGCCACCACGTTCGGCCTATCTCTCCTGCTTTCTTGAAAGGTCATATAAACTTTAGCATGAGTGACTCCATTTTGATTTGGTCTGGTCTGCTGGGGCCTAGTGCAGGAGGTCAGTCTAAAACAATGGCCTCCTATAAATCTCATTTAACACATACTAAACTGCTAAAGCCTTAGGAAGATAAACACTTCAGCATATCTCTTGCTTTATGTCCTCAAAAAAACCCACAACTGTGTCCAAATGCTATAAATGCTCCTCAGCTGTGCATGGCCAATGTCAGAGACAGATACTACTTCAAAGACTGGAGAGGGTTTGAGTGGCAGAAGTACTTAAGCAGGAGACTGTAAAAATTATTTTGTCGGCCGGGCGCGGTGGCTCATGCCTGTAATCCCAGCACTTTGGGAGGCCAAGGTGGGTGGATCACGAGGTCAGGAGTTCGAGACCAGCCTGGCCAGCATGGTGAAACCCCATGTCTACTAAAAATACAAAAAATTAGCTGGGCGTGGTGGCAGGTGCCTACAGTCCCAGCTACTTGGGAGGCTGAGGCAGGAGAACTGCTTGAACCCAGCAGGCAGAGGTTGCAGTGAGCTGAGATCATGCCACTGCACTCCAGCCTGGGTGACAGAGTGAGACTCCATCTCAAAAAAAAAAGAAGAAAAAAAAATTATTTTATCAAATCCTTCCTTTCAGATAGTGTGATTGCAAGGGATTTTTTGTGCTTCTCTTCATATTTCAATGAGTAGTTCCAGGATCACTCATGAATTCACTTAGCACAGTATTTACAACACCTTTGGTTGAGAAACTTTAGGAATATTAAGCAATTTATACTATCCTTAAAGTTGTATATACACCTGTCAAAATCTAATACATGAGGCCAGGCGTGGTGGCTCATGCCTGTAATCCCAGCACTTTGGGAGGCCAAAGAGGGCAAATCACCTGAGGTCAGGAGTTTAAGACCAGCCTGGCCAACATGGTGAAACCCTGTCTCTACTAAAACACAAAAATTAGCCGGGCATGGTGGTATGGGCCTGTAGTCCCAGCTACTCAGGAGGCTGAGGCAGGAGAATCGCTTGAATGGGGGAGGCAGAGGTTGCAGTGAGCCAAGATCATGCCATTGCACTCCAGCCTGGGTGACAGAGACAAGACTCCATCTCAAAAAAAAAAAAAAAAAAAAGATCTAATACCTGAAATATGGTGCTGTTTGCTGTTGGCCGGGCGCGGTGGCTCACGCCGGGCGTGGTGGCTGGTGCCTGTAGTCCCAGCTACTTGGGAGGCTGAGGCAGGAGAATGGCGTGAACCCGGGAGGCAGAGCTTGCAGTGAGAGGGAGATCGCGCCCCTGCACTCCAGCCTGGGTGACAGAGCGAGACTCTGTCTCAAAAAAAAAAAAAAAAAAAAAAATATATATGGTGCTGTTAATGCTGGCTATGGAATGGATGTTGAATGCTGAAATCATGTTAGTTTTATTTTTACAAAAATATTTAACAGGCCAGGCATGGTGGCTCCCACCTGCAATCCCAGCACTTTAGGAGGCCAAAGGGTGGATCATCTGAGGTCAGGAGTTCAAGACAAGCCTGACCAACATGGTGAGACCCCGTCTCTACTAAAAATACAAAATTAGCTGGGCGTGGTGGTGCACGTGTGTAATCCCAGCTACTCAGGAGGCTGAGGCAGGAGAATTACTTGAACACAGGAGGCAGAGGTTGCAGTGAGCCAAGATCACGCCATTGCACTCCAGCCTGGGAGACAGAGAGAGACTCCGTCTCAAAAAACAAAAAAAAATATTTATTTACATTTTCCAGAAATTAAATAATATTGTTCATTTTTATTTGTCATTTTAACTCTAAATCTTTATATTCTTTTTATTATTTATTTATTTTTTTTGAGACAGTCTTGCTGTGTCGTCCAGGCTGGAGTGCAGTGGTGTGATCACAGCTCACTGCAGCCTCCAACTCCTGGGCTCAAGTGATCCTCCCTCAGCCTCTCAGAGCACTGAGATTCCAAGTGTGAGCCACTGTGACTAGCCCATGTTCATTAACCATAATATATTTTGCCATTTGGTAGTTCAGAAAATGTTAAAAGAAAAATAACTTTTAAAAAATATTGTGGGCCGGGCACAGTGGCTCACTCCTGTAATCCCAAGCACTTTGGGAGGCTGAGGCGGGTGGATCACCTGAGGTCAGGAGATTGAGACCAGCCTGACCAATATGGTGAAACCCTGTCTCTGCTAAAAATACAAAATTAGCTGGGCGTGGTGGTGCATGCCTGTAATCCCAGCTACTTGGGAGGCTGAGGCAGGAGAATCGCTTGAACCCAGGAGGTGGAGGTTGCAGTGAGCTGAGATCGTGCCATTGCACTCCAGTCTGAGCAACAAGAGGAAAACTCCATCTCAAAAACAAAATTGTGAAAGTAATTTTAATTTTTTAAAAGAACAATTTTATTTTAGTTGCCTGGGAAAAACACAAGTCACAGGAAGGATCTGTGACTGTGCTTTCCCAAATAATTTTAGTTTTTAAATTTTATACAGTAATGTTAATAATTAAGATTATTTGTGTTATATAAACTATATGTAGTTTACATTTGTTGAGGAAAATATATGAAAATTTGTAGACTCGGAACACAATTGCATTTTATATTTTGAGTCATGTAGATCAGGGATTGGGCAAGCTTTTTATTTTCTTTCTTTTTTTCTTTTTTTGAGATAGAGTTTCATTCTTATTGCCCAGGCTGGAGTGCAATGGTGCAATCTCGGCTCACTGCAACCTCCGCCTCCTTGGTTCAAGAGATTCTCCTGCCTCAGCCTCCTAAGTAGCTGGGATTATGATCCCACCCAGCCAGAACCTTACTTTTAATAAAGAACAGAATATCGGCTGGGTGTGGTGGCTCAAGCCTGTAATCCCAGCACTTCGGCTGAGGCGGGTGGATCACCTGAGGTCAGGAGTTCAAGACCAGCCTGACCAATATGGTAGAACCCCATCTCTACTAAAACTACAAAAATTAGCCAGGCTGGTGGTGTGTGCCTGTAGTCCCAGCTACTTGAGAGGCTGAGGCAGGAGAATTGCTTGAACCCGGGAGGCGGAGGTTGCAGTGAGCCAAGATCGCATCATTGCACTCCAGCCTGGGTGACAGAGCAAGACTCCAACTCAAAAAAAAAAAAAAAAAAAAAAAGAACGGAATAGACCAAGTGTTTGAAGACACTGCTAAGAAGGAAAAATTCTGGCCACGTGTGGTGGCTCATGCCTGTGATCCCAGCACTCTGGGAGGTCAAGGCAGGAGGATCACTTGAGCCCAGGAGTTTGAGACCAGCCTGGGCAACATGGCAAAACCCTGCCTCTACTAAAAATACAAAAAATTAGCTGGTCATGTAATCCTAGATCCTCAGGTGGCTGAGGTGGGAGAATCACCTGAGCCTGGAAGGTTAAGGCTGCAGTGAGCCGAGATTGTGCCTCTACATATCAGCCTGGGCAACCAGAGTGAGACCCTGCCTCAAAAAAAAAAAAAAAAAAAAAGTAAAACTTATATTGAAAAAATTTTAAAAAAAGAAAAATGTGAAAAAGTAGAGTCTCCTCATCTGAAAAATAGAATAATGGTAGTTCCTTTCTCTTTGTATGTAACGCTATCCATTTAAAGAACTTAGAACTCAGTAAGTACTAAAGGACCGTTAATTCATTCAACAAGCATTATTTGATCTAGGCACTTAGAATACATCAATCAACTAAGCTGACAAAGATTCTTCCACTTGCGGAGCTCAATCTTAGTGGAGGGATGGAGGAAATAAACAGTGCAAAATAAATAAGTGAAGGATAGAATATGCAGGAAGTTAAGTGCTATGGATGAAAGAAAAAGTACAACAGTGTAGCAGGGTCAGGAGTGCTGGGTGGTGGGTGGCAGTGCTGAATGGGTGATCAAGATGTCCTTTTTGGGTTTGTTTTTTTTTTTTTTTGAGATGGAGTCTCGCTCTGTCACCCAGACTGGAGTGCAGTGGTACGATCTTGGCTCACTGCAGCCTCCACCTCCTGGGTTCCAGCGATTCTCCTGCCTGTCTCCTGAGTAGCTAGGAGTAGCCTCCTGGGTAGCTGGGATTACAGGCATGTGCCACCACGCCTGGCTAATTTTTGTATTTTTAGTAGAGATGGGTTTTCACCATGTTGGCTAGGCTGGTCTCAAACTCCTGATCTCAGGTGATCCACCTGCCTCGGCCTCCCAAAGTGCTAGGATTACAGGCATGAGCAGCCATGCGCGGCCAAGATGTCCTATTTGAGAGGATAATGATAGCTGAGCAAAGGCCAAAGGAAATGAGGACATTAGCCCAAAAAATATGTGGGAAAGAATATTCCAGGCAGAGGGGGTAGCTAAAACAGGCCCTAAGAGAGAAGCATGGGGATCTTGTAGGATAACAAGGCCAGTGTGGTTTGAGGGAATGAATGGAAGGGGAGGGTCAGGCTGAGCTTAGAGAGGGTGCTCGGTATCCCATATGTGGCCCTCCAGACCACCCTTTACCTTCTTCCATCCTGCTGTGAGCCCAGGAGGGTGCCCTCTAGGGACTACACCCTTGCCATCTGGCTTTCTGTTGGATCTCCTAACAGGGCACCTACAAAAGAGAGCGAGTGAGGAGAGTCGGATCTGGGTATTCATCGCTCTTGCTCTCTCTAAGCAAGATGCTCACTGGCTGGCTGCATCCCACTGAAGGGTTCAACTCCTGACAGGTGGCTATCGCCTCAGTCCTCTCTGTTTTGGGGATCTGGTACCACTCAGTTCCTTGCCCCTTCCAGCGTAGGGATGCTATAAAGGCCCCGCTGTTACTAGACCCAAGGTTGTTGAACAATCATTCCTTTTCCTCTACTCACACCTTTTAAAATAACCCCTTTTAAAAATTCTCCTTAAACTATCCTAATTTGAACATGCCAGCTGTTTCCTGCTAGAACCATGACTAACAGAATTCAGGTCATTTCAGGCCTTGAAGGCTATTCTAAGGATTTTGGCTTTTACTCTGAATGAAACCAGAAGCCATGATAGTGTTTTCCGCAGAAGAGTGATGTGATCTGACTTAGCTTTTAAAACAGTCACTCCGGCTGCTGCATTGACACTGGGAGGCTGGGGCAGGGAGGGGAGTAGGATAGAGGCAGAGACAGCTGTTAGGGGGCTCCTGCAATGACAATACAGCTAACTAAGGTGTTCACTGTGGAGGTGGTTGAGAAAAGGTCAGATTTGGGACATGTTTTGAAGGTAGAGTCAACATGACGTCCTGATGACTGGAGGAATGGAAGAAAGCAGGCTTTGGCATAAACAACTAAAAGGATGGAATTGCTGCCATTTATAATGGGAAAGGCCATGGTGGAGTAGGTGTAGAGAGGAAGATCATGAGTTCAGTATTGACACATCAATTTTCAGATGTTTATTGGACATCTGTGTAGAGATGTCAAGAAGGCAGTTGGGGCCAGGCGTGGTGGCTCACGCCTATAATCCCAGCACTTTGGGAGGCCGAGGCGGGCGGATCACGAGGTCAGGAGATCGAGACCATCCTGGCTAACACGGTGAAACCCCGTCTCTACTAAAAATACAAAAAATTAGCCAGGCATGGTGGCAGGTGCCTGTAGTCCCAGCAACTCAGGAGGCTGAGGCAGGAGAATGGCATGAACCCAGGACGTGGAGGTTGCAGTGAGCCGAGATCATGCCACTGCACTCCAGCCTGGGCGACAGAGCGAGACTCCGTCTCAAAAAAAAAAAAAGAAAAGAAAAGAAAAAAAAGAGGGCAGTTGGATGTAAAAGTATGGCATTTGAGAAATGTATAACCAGAGATGAATGGCAGATAAAATTTAAACCCATGAGACATGGTAAGATCACCAAGAAAGTGAGGGTTAGATACAGAAGAGGACCATGAATTACACTTGGGGACACTCCAAATTAAAAGGTGGTGAGAAGAGAGAATTAGCAAAAACCACTGAGAATCAGGAGCAGAAACAGAAGTAGGGGAAAACCAAGAAAATGGGTGTCCTAGAAGTCAAATTTAAAAATCATGCTATACCAAGGCGTGATGGCCTGTGCCTGTAGTCCCATCTACTCAGGAGGGTGAGGTGAGAGGTGGAGGCTGCAGTGAGCCAAGATCAGGTCACTGCACTCCAGCCTGGGTAACAGAGTGAGACCCCATCTAAATTTAAAAAAAAGAAAAAAGGCCAGGCCCGGTGGCTCACGCCTGTAATCCCAGTACTTTGGGAGGCCGAGGTGGGCAGATCACGAGGTCAGGAGATCAAGACCATCCTGGCTAACACGGTGAAACCCCGTCTCTACTAAAAATACAAAAAAATTAGCCAGGCGTAGTGGTGGGCGCCTGTAGTCCCAGCTACTCGGGAGGCTGAGGCAGGAGAATGGCGTGAACCCGGGAGGTGGAGCGGTGGAGCTTGCAGCCACTGCACTCCAGCCTGGGCGACAGAGCGACAGTCTCAAAAAAAAAAAAAAAAAAAAAAAAAAAAAAGCATGTCAGGGAGAAGACAGTGATCTTATTTTGAACCAATGGAGGGAAAAACTGGGTGAAATGTCTTTGAGATAGCATGGGATATGAGTCATTGAGTCTTTGGTGATTATAGATAATTCAGTCACCATTATGTTTATGACTTGTTGCTCTTATCATAATCTCTCATCACCTTGTCTCCTAAGTAGACTTGGAAGCTCGATATTGTACACCTTATTAGGAAAATACTCAATTGTCTTCTAGTATAGGGAAAATTCGTCTTGTGTGTGGAGTAAACAACATTTTTGCCTTTACCACCATGAATATCATGTTCCCTTCATCCTCACTGTGTCCCTCAAAACCAAGAAAACATCTGGGAGTAGAGCTCGTAGAATGTTTCAAATAAGCTGAAATTAAGAGTTTTGTAGCATTGAAATGGAGTCTTTACATCAAAGTATAACTTGAAAGAAGAAACTTAGCAATTACCCTGCCCAAATCCATTGATCGTGTAATCTTTCTTAGCTGAGAACGTTACGGAACAAAGGCCCGCAAGGGCCTGGCAGTTGAGACACTTCAGGGCAGTTAAGAAAATTCATTTCACCTTTGCAGAATGTTCGGTACGTTTGGCCATCTGCCTCTGACAGCACAAAAGCCCTAAATTTAATACCCTGAAGAGCTAACGTTAAAGTGCAAAAACGAAGGTTGCAACAGCCCGACTTCGATACACTGAAAAGAACCAGGATACACCTGCACTTCTAATTTTTTCAATTTCAGCCCAAAGCCGGCCTGGTTCAAGCATTCCTCAGAAATTTCCAGCGCACGTTCCCCATCTGAAGGCTCACACCTGCGGGAGTAGAACACACTCCACACCGGTGCCGCCAACACACGGAATCTGCGCTCCCGGAAGCTTACAACATGGTCATTGTTGAAGTGCTCCCCTTGAATTGGTCGGGCGTGGTGGCGCGCTCGTGTGGTCCCAGCTACTCGGGAGGCTGGGGTAGGAGCATCGCTTGAACCCAGGAGGAGGGTGTTGCAGTGAGACGAGATCGCGCCACTGCACTCCAGCCTGGGCGACAGAGCGAAACTCCATCTCAAAAAAAAAAAAAAATCCTTAGGGACCGCCCAGAGGCTGGTGACACCTGCACTGGTACCTCCATGGCCGCGCCTCTGAGGTCACCGCTCCAGAAGGTCCCAGGCCGGCGTGGAAACCTATTACTAAGTGGGGCGGGTGGACACCAGCAGGTCCCGCCCTAAAGGAGTCCCGCGGCCGCTTGGGCCTCAGTTCCTCTTTCCTGCCCAAGTATCTCCCCAGCTCTGACGAAACAGGCAACTTCCAGACTGTGGCGTTAGCTCAGCGACTGCACTGAGCCGCCGGGAAGATCCTGGTCCCGTCAGCCAGCTGACCCACATGCGTTGCGGAGGCGCTGACCACCCCGCTTCGCTGGCTGGTGGGGGGTCACGTGAGGACCTCGGGGTCACGTGAGGTCCTCGGGCGCCGCAGGGAGGGCGGCATCCAAGTCTTTCCGCGCGTGCGCGAGCGTCCGCTGTCACTCAGGTAGAACAGTCTCAAATCGCACCGTTAGTACCGGCCCCCTTTGCCTTTCTACCTTGCCCCTCCGAGTCCCGACCCAAGATCCCAAGTAATCGTCTTCCCCCTGCACCAGGGCCGGGACCAGGCAGCCAAGAAACGCGGAGACAGACTACTGGGACTGCGACGTCTCCTCTCCTGTTCGCTGCGATATGCCGGCGTCGTGTTGAGCGGGCTGCGGACACAGACAGCCTGCCCGGCCCCACTGAGTGTTTGATCCCCATCCTCGCAGCTCTCTAGAGGACCAGAGTTGGCGGTGCAGCCCAGCGGAGCTTCGGTGGGTGCGGATGTCACTAGATGACAGACCCAGCCCTGTCCCTCAGCCCTCAGGGCCCTTTTCCCAAAGCCTACAGCCGCAGAAAGTTCTCTTAGGATATCCCCAGACCCTGCAGCCAGCTTTTCCATTTTTCCTTCCTGGGGCCAGTACTTTCTACAGCGTCTACAGCCAAAGTATCTTATCCCAGGAGGGCCTTTATAACCATCTGCGCCTTTGGGACTTTTCCCCACTTGTTGAAATCCATGGTCTTGGCCTTTCTAGTAGCCTGTCTCTCACGCTTAAGATAGTACATGCCTCCCATCTGTAAAAATGGATCATCCGCCGGGCGCAGTGGCTCACGCCTGTAATCCCAGCACGTTGGGAGGCCAAGGTGGGCGGATCACTATGTCAGGAGTTCAAGACCAGCCTGGCTAACATGGTGAAACTCCGTCCCTACTAAAAATACATATAAAAATTAGCCGGGCGTGGTGGCGGGCGCCTGTAGTCCTAGCTACTCAAGAGGCTGAGGCATGAGAATCGCTTGAACCTGGGAAGCGGAGGTTGCAATGAGCCGAGATCGAGCCACTGCACTCCAGCCTAGGTGATGGCCAGACTCTGTCTCAAAAAAAAAAAAAAAAAAAAAAGACTGTATACATTAAACTGATCCCACCTTTTTAGGCCTTTAGGACTCCACCTTAGGTTATCCTTTCCTCATGGCCCTTGATTATTAACCCATCCTAGGGCCATCTTCTCCTTTTCAGGGTGGAGGTTTGTTTGGCATGCTTTCCTCAGGCTGCTTTGTAGAAACGCATGATTCAAAACTAGGTACAGGCCAGCGCGGTGGCTCACACCTGTAATCCCAGCCCTTTGGGAGGCCGAGGGAGGCAGATTGCTTGAGGTCAGGAGTTCGAGACTAGTCTGGCCAACATGATGAAACCCCATCTCTACTAAAAATATAAAAATTAGCCGTGTGTGGTGGTGCACGCCTGTAATCCCAGCTACCTGAGTGGCTGAGGCAGGAGAATCGCTTGAACCCAGGAGATGGAGGTTGGAGTGAGCTGAGATGCCACCACTGCACTCTAGCCTGGGTGACACAGCGAGATTTTGTCTCAAACCAGACAAACAACAAAAAAACAACATCAGCTATAAATTTTCCTTTGGTGTATAGGTTAAGCACTTTTACCAAACAATGTTTTTCTTTGAACTGCCCTGGCATTATGCAATTCTGAACTCTTTGAAGGCTCCTGCTTAGACTTCAGCTGCCACCATGAGGAAGCCCAAGAAGCCTGTAAACCCTGAATATCTGAGTTAGGCCTCAGTCAGTTTAGGAAGTTTATTTTGCCAAAGGTAAGGATGCACACCCATAACACAGCCTCAGGAGGTCCTGACTACATGTGCCCAAGGTGGTCCCAGTACAACTTACTTTTATACATTTTAGGGAGACATCAATCAATATATGTAAGATGAACATTGGTTTTTTCCAGAAAGGCGTGACAATTTGACGCAAAGGCAGACTCGAGGCAAAGGCAGAACAACTCAAAGAGGGGAGTGGGTTTCCAGGTCATAGGTAGATAAGAGGCAAACGGTTGCATTCTTTTGAGTTTGATTAGCCTTTTCAAAGGAAGCAGTCAGATGTGTATCTCAGCGAGCTGAGGAATGACTTTGAATACAGTGGGAGGCAGGTTTGCCCTAAGCAGTTCCTAGCTTCAGTCTTCTCTTTAGCTTAGTGATTTTTGGGGCCCCAAGTTTTATTTTCCCTTCGCAAGCCCATATGGAGAACTGAGGCCCCTGCCTGAGAGTCCTAGCTGAGCTTACAGAACAACTTTCAGCCTTGGGAGTGAGGCCATTTGGACCTTCTTTGTTCTATACTTCAGAGAATGGAGTTATTTTTGAGATGTAGTCCATGAGTGTGGTTTGAGAAAAACAGCTACTAGCTGGTATGTTGCAGTTGGGTGGGAATGAATGGCAAGCCAGAACTGACAGAAAGGGAAGAATAGCCATGGTATCTCTGTGAAGTGGACATTCCAGAGAGAGAAGTGGGTATTCCAAAAGTGAGTGGGTTTGTGAGGAGCAACGAAGACATCCATCATGATGAAACAACAATAAGACCAAGTTTTGAGCTGGGGTGGAGAACAATTCTCTGGGTGGCCTCAGACCCCAACCCAGTTCTTCTTTTCATGCTTGTGGTTTAATTATTATTACTATTTTTTTTTCAGACAGAGTCTCACTCTGTTGCCCAGGCTGGAATGCAGTAGCACAATGTCGGCTCACTGCAAACTCTGCCTCCTGGGTTCAAGTGATTTTCCTGCCTCAGCCTCCCGAGTAGCTGGGACTACAGATGCATACCAACATACATGGCTAGTTTTTGTATTTTTAGTAGGGACAGGGTTTCACCATGTTAGCCAGGCTGATCTCCAACTCCTGACCTAAAGTGATCCAACTCAGCCTCCCAAAGTGCTGGGATTACAGGCACGAACCATTGCGCCTGGCCGTGGTTTTCAAGAATAACTGAAGAGCCAGGCGCGGTGGCTCACACCTTGTAATCCCAGCACTTTGGGAGGCTGAGGCGGGCGTTATCACCTGAGGTTGGGAGTTTGAGAACAGCCTGACCAACATGGAGAAACCCTGTCTCAACTAAAAAAAAAATACAAAATTAACCGGGCGTGGTGGTACATGCCTGTAATCCCAGCTACTTGGGAGGCTGAGGCAGAAGAATTGTTTGAATCTGGGAGGCAGAGGTTGCCGTGAGCCAAGATCGTGCCATTGTACTCCAGCCTGGGCAACAAGAGCGAAACTCCACCTCAAAAAAAAAAAAAAAGAATAACTATAGAATATGCTTGGAATGCAGTATCCTGAGATAGGGGAGGAACTGGCTGGAACAGCCTGGACTTTGTTTCTTTTTCCCCTAGAAGCGACATGTCCTCCAACATTTTAGCCCAGCAAGTCTTGTGGCCCCTGAGGATATAACCCAGAGAGGGCTGCTTTCTGGGATTTCTCGGCTGTGGTTCAAGTGGAGTACACACAGTTGAGACCCTGTCTGCCCTGGGCAGCTTTCTTGACCCTTGGGGGACCAGCTCACAATAAATCCTAGGCTTCTGTTGCTCCTTGCTGCCTATCCATAAGCAATAAACCTGCTTCAGCTCATTCACTCATGGGTAATTTTTGTATAGCTATTATAAAAGGGGTAATATGTAATGCTAAATACTCCAGTAACAATCATGGGGTTCCATTAAGTATAAATTGTGTGCATGGGTGTTGTATATCACTGGACTCAAGTTGATAACCAGTGTACAGTGAAACTGATTAACACTGAGTAGTACCTGGAAGGAATAAAGAATAGGTAGCGGCCGGGCACAGTGGCTCATGCCTGGAATCCCAGCACATTGGGAGGGATCACCTGAGGTCAGGAGTTCAAGACCAACCTGGCCAACATGGTGAAACCCCGTCTCTACTAAAAATTAGCCAGGCGTGGTGGCACACACCTGTATTCCCAGCAACTCGGGAGGCTGAGGCAGAAGAATCGCTTGAACCCAGGAGGCAGAGGTTGCAGTGAGCCGAGATCATACCACTGCACTCCAGCCTCGGTGAGAAAGCAAGACTCTGTATTCAAAAAAACAAAACAAAATAAAAAAAGAGTAAGTAGGTAGGTCCAGAGACTAAACATAGTGATATCTTGTGGCAGAAAGATGAATACCCATCACCTGTTTAGAAAGGCTTTTGCCTTATCCACTTACTTGTAGAGTCATCATACAGGAGATTGATAGTGATAGGAGGCAGGTAAATTTTTAGGCAGACAGGGATGGGTCCCTGGTGAAACTCAACCTTCGAGCTAAGGATAGTCTGAAGCCTGAAAACCAAGCTACAAGTTCTGGCTAAATCCACAAACCAGATTTAGAGATCCCATTCCTGTTTGGCATGCTCTTTCCTGATTGGTCTTTATCCTTCAGCTATTTTTTTATAATATATATTTATAATATATAATATTATATATTATATATAATTATATATATTATATATTATATATAATTATATATAATATTATATATTATATATAATTATATATAATATTATATATTATATATAATTATATATAATATATATATATGAGATGATGTATTGAATCATTACCTCCCTTCCCCAATTGGTCCTCTACACTTTTGTGCCTATTTCTGAATGGTGTTTTTCAAGCATACCCACAGACCAGTCAGCACACACTTCCCCATTTCAAGCCTATAGAAACCTCTAGACTCGGCCTCATCACTAGCAACCCACCTTTGGGTCCCATCTTGCTGTTGAGAGCTTTTCTTTTGCTCAACAAATTCTACTCTGCCTTAGTTACTCTCTGGTGTCCATGTACCTCATTCTTCTCAACCGTGGGACAAGAACTTGGAGCTCATTGAACTACAGTAGTAAAAGAGCTGCAACAAGATCTAATAAAATAATGCTTAAAGATACTATTATTAAATTACACTTAAAACATCAGGCATGGTGCCTCACACCTATAATCCCAGCACTTTGAGAGGCCAAGGTGGCAGGATTGCCTGAGGCCAGGAGTTTAAGATCGGCCTGGACAACACAGTGAAAACCTGTCTCTACAAAAAAATTTAAAAGTTTGGCCAAGTGCAGTGGCTCACACCTGTAATCCCAGCACTTTGGGAGGCTGAAGCGGGCAGATCACCTGAGGCCAAGAGTTCAAGACCAGCCTGACCAGTATGGTGAAAACCCGTCTCTACTAAAAACTCAAAAATTAGTTGGATGTGTTGGCAGGTGCCTGTAATCCCAGCTACTTGGGAGGCTGAGGCAGGAGAATCGCTTGAACCTGGGAGTTGGAGGTTGTAGTCAGCCGAGATCCCACCACTGCACTCCAGCCTGGGCGACAGAGTGAGACTCCATCTCAAAAAAAAAAAAAAAAAAAATTAAAAATTAGTAGGCTGAGGCAATACATGCCTGTAGTCCTAGCTATTCAAGAAGCTGAGAAGGGAGGATCACTTGAACCCAGAAATTTAAGATGTAGTGAGCTATGATCACTCCATTGCATTCTAATCTGGGGCCTGGGTTACAGAGTGAGAATATATTTCAAAAAAAATTTTTTTAAAATTACGCTTAAATTTAAAAACAAAGGCTCTTTCTCTTTTTTTTCTTTTTTCTTTTACTTTTTTTTTTTTTTTTTTTGGGACAAAGTCTCGCTGTGTCTCCAGGCTGGAGTGCAATGGTGTGATCTTGGCTCACTGCAACTTCCGCCTCCCGGGTTCAAGTGAGTCTTCTGCCTCAGCCTCCTGAGTAGCTGGGTTACAGGCGTGTACCCCCACGTCTGGCTAATTTTTTTGTATTTTTAGTAGAAATGGGGTTTCACCGTGTTAGCCAGGATGGTCTTGATCTCCTGACCTCGTGATCTGCCTGCCTTGGCCTCTCAAAATGTTGGGATTACAGGTGTGAGCCACCACCCAGCAAGGCTCTTTCATTCTTTTTTTTTTTTTTTTTTTTGAGACGGAGTCTAATTATGTGGCCCAGCCTGGAGTGCAGTGGCACAATCTCGGCTTACTACAACCTCCACCTCCCAGGTTCAAGCAATTCTGCTGCCTCAGCCTCCAGACTGGCTGGGATTATAGGCGCACACCACAATGCCCGGCTAATTTTTCTATTTTTAGTAGAGATGAGGTTTCACCTTGTTGGCCAGGATGGTCTCGAACTCCTGACCTCAGGTGATCTGCCCACCTCAGCCTCCCAAAGTGCTGAGATTACAGGCGTGAGCCACTGTGCCTGACTGGCTCTTTTTTTTTTTTTTTTGGGGGGGACACAGTCTTGCTGTGCCACCCAGGCTGGAGTGCAGTGGCATAATCTCGGCTCACTACAACCTCTGACTCCTGGGTTCAAGCAATTCTCCTGTCTCAGCCTCCTGAGGAGCTGGGATTACAGGCGCCTGCCACCACACCTGGCTACTTTTTGTATTTTTAGTAGAGACAGGGTTTCACCATGTTGGCCAGGCTGGTCTCAAACTCCTGACCTCAGGTGATCCACTTGCCTCGGCCTCCCAAAGTGCTGGGATTACAGGCATGAGTCACAGCGCCCGGTCTTCTTTCATTCTTAAATTAAAAAGTGTACACATTTCAGGGCAGGAACGGTGGCTCATGCCTGTAATCCCAGCACTTTGGGAAGCCGAGGCAGGCGGATCGCTTGAGCTCAGGAGTTTGAGACAAGCCTGGTAACATGGCAAAAATCCTGTCTCTACTAAAAATACAAAAATTAGCCAGGCCTGGTGGTGCATGCCTGTAGTCCCAGATACTTGGGAAGCTGAGGTGGGAAGATTGCTTGAACCTGGGAGGTTGAGGCTGCAGTGAGCTGAGATGGTGACACTGCACTCCAGCCTGGGCAGACCTGTCCAGACCCTGTCTCACACACACATACACACTATATATATAGAGAGAGTATATTATAATAATATTATTATATAATAATATATATAATATTATATATTATATAATATATATAATTATATAATATTATATATTATTATATATTATAATATTATATATTATAATAATATTATATATTATAATATTATATATAATATTATATATTATATATAATATTATATATTATAATAATATTATGTATTATATATTATATATGATGATGTGTTGAATTGCAACAGTGATTCTTGAAGGCATAAGTTAAATGCATAGGTCCTTTAATTATATAAATGCACAATATTAATTCATGTAAGTATCACATCACATCAAAGGCTGATTTTTTCAAAATATGTCTTAGTTCCTTAATCACTCCCAACATTCCAATAAAAAGCAAGCAGAAAATCCACTCTGCTTTTGATCATAAAGTGAAGACACAGAGAAAATTAAAGCCATAATACAAGTTAGAGACTGATGTTTTATATCATGTGCCCCCACCATGCATTTGCACCAGTTTTTTGCTGACGATGAAATATGAAGCAAACAGGCACACACAGATAGTGAGTCAGCCCAAATTAATGTAAACTATCATGGTAATAACTACTTAAAATTCATTAGGAGACCACAAGAAGTACAGAGCGTGTTCAGAAACCCAACAGCCAGCCTCCAAAAATAAAGCGAAAGAGAAAATATACAGGTCATTTCTTCTCCAGAGAATCAAGGGAGATTAAAATATTTCAACTGGGCTGGGTACAGTGGCTCAAACCTGTAATTCCAGCACTTTGGGAGGCCAAAGCAGGTGGATCACTTGAGGTCAGGGGTTCAAGACCAGCCTGGCCAACTTGGTGACATCCCATCTCTACTAAAAATACAAAAAATTATCTGGGCATGGTGGCAGGCACCAGCTACTTGGGAGGCTGAGGCAGGAGAATCGCTTGAACCCGGGAGGCGGAGGTTGCAGTGAGCCACTGCACTCCAGCCTGGGCGACAGAGCAAGACTCTGTCTGAAAAAAAAAAAATAAGAAAATCAACTGAAGGTAGACTGTTAGAATTTGTCACCCTTCTGTAAAATTTTTACAAGTATTTGCATGCTAAGAAGACAACTTTCAGAGTTGGCTAACAACGGTTAATGAGCATCCGCCAGATACAAAGCCCTATTCCATGTCAGCTGGGGTTGGTATTTAGAAATCCAAGGTAAGCAGGAGGAGAGTCTGTGGCCATAGCATAGTTCAGTATAACTACTAGCACTTGTCTGATGCAAGTAATGTAACTAAATGTAAACAGTCATAAACAATAAGAATTTATTGGCTCATAAAAAGGCAAAATTATTGTCAATATAGAATCATTTTTCAAAATCAATGATAAGGCTGGGCACAGTGGTTCACGCCTGCAATCTCAGCACTTTGGGAGGCTGAGGCGGGTGAATCACGAGGTCAAGAGATCAAGACCATCCCGGGCCAACATGGTGAAACCCCCGTCTCTATTAAAAATACAAAATTTAGCCGGGCATGGTAGCGTGTGCCTGTATCTCAGCTACTTGGGAGGCTGAGGCAGGAAAATCGCTTGAACCAGAGAGACAGAGGTTGCAGTGAGCCGAGATCGTGCCACTGCACTCCAGCCTGGTGACAGAGCACGACTCTGTCTCAAAAAAAAAAAAAAAAAAAAAAAATCAGTGATTACTGTCATTCTATGTCTATATTTTCCAGAGTCCACTGGAGTTTAAAACATCAAAATTTGACTCTATAATTTGCTATATTGTTACTATTATGAGCAATTGAGAAACTCATTTTTTACTAGTAATTAGTGTCTCTGAGGTGATTTCAAAGGTAATCATCTACATAATTGTCTTTAAAAGGATACAGCTATTGTGCAAATGTGGTTTATTATCAGAACTGAATGAATTATTTCATCTGGCAAAAAAATGTTAATTACAATTGAAATTTAAAGGTAATTCTACTTCAGGGACATAAATATAGTCATCTGGGTCATAATTTAGTAAATTGCCTAATTGGCTTACTTCAATAGCCAAGACTGTGAAATAATTGCAATATAACATCTGTTTCATACAGTGTTTTACTGCTTTAAAAATGCTTCTACTTTTTTGTTGTTGTTTTTGTTTTGTTTTTTGTTTTTTGAGATGAAGTCTTACTCTGTAGCCCAGGCTGGAGTGCAATGGCGTGATCTTGGTTTAATGCAACCTCTGCCTCCCGGGTTCAAGCGATTCTCCTTCCTTGGCCTCCCAAGTAGCTAGGATTACAGGCGTGCGCCACTGCACCTGGCTAATTTTTCGTATTTTTAGTAAAGACAGGGTTTCACCATGTTGGTCAGGCTGGTCTTGAACTTCCAACCTCAGGTAATCCACCCACCCCAGCCTCCCAAAGTGCTAGGATTACAGGCGTGAACCACCGCGCCCAACCAAATGCTTCTACTTTTAAAAATCAATGTATTGATATTCATAACTCTTCAGGGAAGTCAACAGCACTGATGTAGAATCCTTATTTTTCAGGTGAAGAAACTTGAGACACAGCTCTATAGTACAGTTGTCT
This sequence comes from Homo sapiens, assembly GCF_000001405.40. Lineage (NCBI taxonomy): Eukaryota > Metazoa > Chordata > Mammalia > Primates > Hominidae > Homo > Homo sapiens. The sequence goes on from NC_000009.12 coordinate 6,713,586, forward strand.
CTCAGTATACACAGACGATTGGTTATTGGTCTTATAACCATTACAGGACCCCCAAGTATAGCAAAATCCAAGCATACCCAAGTCCTGCAGCTGGCCCTGAGGAATAAGAGTATAGGAAAATTGGGCCCTCCCCATACAGGGTTTCACATCCCGTGAATACTGTATGTTCAATCTGCATTTGGTTGAAAAAAAGCAGTGTATAAGTCGACCCATGCAATTCAAACCCATGTCATTCAAGAGTCAACTGAGGCTAGGCTCGGTGGCTCACGCCTGTAATCCCAGCACTTTGGGAGGCCGAGGCGGGTGGATCACGTGAGGTCAGGAGTTTGAGACCAGACTGGCCAACACGATGAAACCCCATCTCTACTAAAAATACCAAAAAGTAGCAGGGTGTGGTGGTGCATGCCTGTAATCCCAGCTACTTGGGAGGCTGAGGCAGGAGAATTGCTTGAACCCAGGAGGCAGAGGTTGCAGTGAGCCGAGGTTGCGTCATTGCACTCCAGCCTGGACAATAAGAGCGAAACTCCGTCTCAAAAAAAATAAAAAAAATAAAAAAATAAGTCAAACAACTGGGTAAATAGTAGAGCTAGGTCTGAAGTATAGGCCTCCAGACTTCCAGTCCAGTTCTCCTTTGCACTAAGAGTACAGAAGACTACTTTAAAAAGCAGATCCTGCCCAGTGTGGTGGCGTGTGCCCTAGTCCCCAGCTACTCCAGGGAGGCTGAGGCCAAAGGATCTGAGCCTAGGACTTGGAGACCAGCTTGGGCAACATAGCCACCCCGCCTATTTAAAAAAAAAAAAAAATAGAGAGAGAAGCTGATACTGGCTCTGTGTGACTTTGAGCAAATTACTCAATCTCATAGTGATTGAGCAAATCACTCAATCTCATAGTGAGGCAGTTAGTTTATCTGTAATATGGGACTATTCACTGGGTAATAACTTCACTGAGGGTAATAGGTGCTAAAACCTGTGGAGCACTTAGAACAGTGCTGGACAAATACTAAATTCTGTATAAATGTTGGCAATTCTACACCACTTTAACTTCTGAGATGGAAGCCTTATATTGTATACCTTATTAGTAATATACTCAAGGACACATGTAGGGCATGTTTCAGTTTTGTGGATATTGAAATACAGGGAAAACCATATTTTTGACTCGCAATATTCCCATGTTTTCGGCTTCATTATATTCCCACAATGTCCTTCCAACCAAGTAAACATGTCAAAACTGTGCCAAGAATACTTCCCTGGGATCACACACCACTGAGATATTTAATTATTAAAGAAGCTGAAATCAAGAGTATTGCAGTATTAAAACAGGACACACACGAATCAAAGTGTAACATAATTTTAAATAAAAACTATGCAATTAGTCTCAGACCAAATCCATTAATGAGCATATGGAGTTACCTAACATTTTAGTATAAAAAATGTTAGGTCAAAGCCCCGGATGACCAGGCTGCAACACTGCAAATTGTTTATAAAGAAGTGTTTTGAAGGCCGGGCGCGCTGGCTCACGGCTGTAATCCCAGCACGTTGGGAGGCCGAGGTAGGTAGATCACCTGAGGTCAGGAGTTCGAGACCAGCCTGACCAACAAGGTGACGCACCGTCTCTACTAAAAATACAAAAATTAGCCGAGCGTGGTGGCAGGCGCCTGTAGTCCCAGCTACTCGGGAGGCTGAGACAGGGGAAATGCTTGAACCTGGGAGGCAGAGGTTGCAATGAGCCAAGATCGCCCCGCTGGAGCGCCGCTGCACTCCAGCCTGGGCGATTGAGCAAGACTCCTTCTCAAAAAAAAAAGTGTTTCCAGGAAGTGTTTCCAGGTTGGGTGCGGTGGCTCACGTCTGTAATCCCAACACTTTGAGAGGCCGAGGCGGGCGGATCACTTGAGGCCAGGAGTTCGGGACCAACCTGGACATAGGGAAACCCCGTCTCTACCAAAAAATGCAAAAATTAGCTGGGCGTGGTGGCACATGCCTATAATCCCAGCTACTCAGGAGGCTGAGGCACGAGAATCACTTGAACCCAGGAGGCTGCGGTTGCAGTAAGCCGAGATGGCGCCACTGCACTCCAGCCTGGGCGACAGCGAAATTCTATCTCAAAAAATAAAATAAAATAAAAAGCCGAAGGTCTTCAGAGCACCTAGGACCAGCGGAGGTTAAAGCTTATCTACAACAGCTTGCAGCAAGCTTGCTTTGGTAAACAGTCTGGGGCCAGGAGGTACCCACAGTCCTAGTTACGCCAAATTCAGGCCGAAGGGCGACCTGTCTCCGTGCTCCTGACAAACTTCCAGCCCCCGTTTCCCATCAGAGCCTCGTCCAGGTGTTCCCATTTAAAGGCTCCACCTGCGCAGGGCGGGTGCCACACAATGAGGAGAGTTTTGCAAACAAACGCGGCCGTTGCTCCAAGGTCTCGGGTAACCGATTGGCAAAACCTAGGTCTTCCCACTTAGGGAAGATGGCCCAAGAGCAAGAAGGCGAAACAAGAGGCCGCCGGACCCGCGAAGCCCCGAGCTCAGAGGTCGCCCAGTGCTCGGCCCCGCCTCTGACGTCACGGCTCGGTGGGACTCCCGGAGCCCGGATGCGCGCTGGGACTCGGTGCAGTCCAGCTCCACGGTCGCGCGTCCCACAGCTCCCTTCACGTCCGTTCCTCCGTTTCCCCACCTTGGGAGGGCCAGGACTTCCGAGGCTTTAGGGGGCAGGAAGCTGCGAGAAGGTGGCGCTTGCTTAGGTGAGGCGCGGAGGATGGTATTAGAGAGAGGAACGTGACTGGAAGCTCCCTGGCCATGGACGATCGCTGGGTTCTAGGCGCCTGCTCGCCCCAGCGGTTGACGGTCACGTGATACCCCCCAGTGTACCTTTCCTGCAGCGTGTTACGTGGCGCACAGAGAACGTCGCTTCCAGAGGACCGTTTTTTCGTAACTGGCAGTAGTAATCTGGCGGTTGACACTCTCGTTGCCTGTATAGGCTGATGGCCCACTCACCTTTTTAGCTGGGCTCCTGACCTGTCCGGCCAGAAAGTTGCCACTGGGGTAAGGTGGATGGCGTGGGGGAATAGGGAAGGGCCTCAGCACAGTTTCTGAACACTTCTTCCACACCGGATTCCGGAGGCCGCAGATAGGGAAAGCAAGGGCCAGTAGGGCAGTTTTCTCTTGTGTTCCCTATTCTTGTTGAGACTGTGAGGATGGTGGAGTGACCCTCTGGCTGACCTTTGTCCCTCCTGCCAAGACTTTTTCTTGCAGGACTATTCCCCACCCAGTGGGTGAGTTTGCTTACTTGGTGGGTGACAGTACCGTGACCACAACCAAGGATTTGACAAGGGGATGTTATTACTTGCAACAAGTAAGGAAACACTGGGGGTAATTCTTAAAGCGGTGCCTCCCTGAACAAAGGTGAAAACAGTGCTTTTATTAGTCGTATGTAGAGGTGGAGCAAAAGCCGTGCTGGTGCAGTTTTCTATCATGTTTCTACATACCTCGCATGCATAGAAAATAGCAAATAAGGCCGGGCGCAGTGGCTCATGCCTGTAATCCCAGCACTTTGGAAGGCTGAGGCAGGCGGATCACCTGAGGTCGGGAGTTCGAGACCAAACTGACCAACATGGGGAGAAACCCTGTCTCCACTAAAAATACAAAAGTAGCCGGGCATAGTGGCGCATGCCTGTAATCACAGCTACTCGGGAGGCTGAGGCAGGAGAATCGCTTCAACCCGGGAGGCGGAAGTTGCTGTGAGCCGAGACTGCGCCATTGCACTCCAGCCTTGGCAACAAGAGCGAAACTGCACCTCAGAAAAGAAAAAAAAAAAGAAAGAGAGAGAGAGAGAAAGAAAGAAGGGAAAGGAAAGGAGAGGGAAGGGGAGGGGAGGAAAAGAGGGACGGGACGCAGTGGCTCACACCTGTAATCCCAGCACTTTGGGAGGCTGATGAGGGAGGGTCGCTAGAGGCCAGGAGCCCAAGACCAGCCTAGGCAACATAGGGAGACCCAGCCGATATTGAAAAAAAATAGAGAGAGAAAGAAAATGGCGAAAAAGAAGCTCCTCCCTATGAGACAGGGCAGGGACCCCCTCTTAAAGGCTTGCTGAGTATCTAAGCATAGAAATAAAAAAAAGTCTTGAGTTCTTTCAAGAGAAATTACCAGCACATAGCTAGCCCTGAGAGTAAATAAGTAACTTAATAAAAAGTTAATAGTAGCTTAAAATGATAGCCAAGGAAGTTAAAATCATGGGGTATTTGGTTTTGTGTAGAAATGGAAGATAACATTTTAACATAGGTCTTTCAATTGTTTTTCAGAAACCTGGACCCCTACTGAATGGATCTGCTGGCACCTAGACCTCAGAGAAGGGGGAACTGAAGACTGAAGTCTGACCACTGTTCTTTGTTGAAAATTTCTTTCTCAGGGGCTTGGAGGGATCACATCTACAATCCTGAGCTAATATTCTCTTCTGCTGTCCCCAAAATTTAAACGAAGCTTCTCTTAACCCATTGCAAATGAGAAAAATCTTTGAATCTACCTATGACTATAAGCCCTTATTTCAAGATATCCTGCCTTTTTAGGCCAGAACCAAAGTGTAACCTCCATCTATTGATTTACAATTTTGCCTGTAACTTTGGCTTTCCTGAAATTTACCCCAGCCTTAAAAAAAAAAAAGAACAGAAAAAGAAAACTGCAAGGCATCAGGGAGGTCAGAATTTGGGCATGAGCTGCCTGATCCTCCTTGCTTTGCATCTTTGCAAATAGATGCCTTCAGCTGTGCATGATGGCTCACACCTCTCATCCCAGCACTTTGGGAGGGCAAGGCGGGAGGATTGCTCCATCCCAGGAGTTCGAGATCAGGGGCAAAATGCCGAAACCCTGTCTCTACAAAAAATTAAAAAATTAGCTGGGCATGATGGTGCACTTCTGTAGTCCCAGCTACTTGGGAGGCTGAGGCAGGGGGATTGCTTGAGCCCAAGAGGTTGAGGCTACATGAGCCATCATCGTGCCACTGCACTCCAGCCTGGGAAACAGAATGAGACCCTGTCTCAAAACAAAACATTTGAAAAATAACAAGTTCAGGTGCAGTGGCTCATACCTGTAATCCCAGCACTTTGGGAGGCCAAAGTGGTCGGATCACTTGAGGCCAGGAGTTCATGACCAGCCTGGCCAACATGGCAAAACCCCATCTCTACTAAAAATACAAAAATTAGCTGGGTGTGGTGGCTGGCAACTCTAGTCCCAGCTACTCCGGAGGCTGAGGCAGGAAAATCACTTGAACCCAGGAGGCGGAGGTTGAAGTGAGCCGAGATCACACCACTGCACTCCAGCCTGGGCAACAGAGCAAGACTCTGTCTCCAAAAATAACAAAAAATAAATACATGCCTTCCTTTCTACTGCTGCACAACCTCACTGTGTCAGGCAGGTGAGTGGACCCCAGTTAGGTTCTATAACACCTGGGCGAGGGTTTTTAGTATGGTAATAAGACTTAGCCACATTTTGTATCCATCTCAGGCATCTCTGGATCCAGCTGGTTTTTGTTTTGCTGAGGCTCAGCTTCTTCCTGGAACTTTTTGAAACAACACTCAAGGGTCTCAAGTGGGTATTTTTTCATGTTGTATACCCAAAAACCTGAAAACCCAGGGCCCTGGGTTACAGTATTTCCACGTCGTATACCCAAAAACCTGAAAACCTGGGGACCCTGGGTTCCAGTATTTCCTGGCGATCTTACCCACTACCACCATCTAGTCAATTTGAACCACCTCCTCAACCACCTATGAGGGCCTAAACACTCTTTCACTCCCTTTCCTGCCAGCACCCCTCAAGCTGATAAAAATACTTTGGTCTTTAAAGCCGACTGGAAATGCTGAGTCAAAATCAAATTTGGAATATTTAAAGTGGATTCAAAAATATTTCAGCAATGCAGACAATTGTGAATAATGAAGCTGTTGGTAATATATGTCTTGATATCCTATACAACAAACAAATTGTCTGAATATGTACGAGTGATTATTTTTTTCTTTTGTTTTTTTTTTTTTGAGATGGAGTTTAGCTCTTGTCGCCTAGGCTGGAGTGCAATGGCACGATCTTGGCTCACTGCAACCTCCGCCTCCCGGGTTCAAGCAATTTCCTGCCCCAGCCTCCCGAGTAGCTGGGATTACAGGTGCCTGCCACCACGGCCGGCTAATTTTGTATTTTTAGTAGAGATGGAGTTTCAGCATGTTGGCCAGTCTGGTCTCGAACTCCTGATCTCAGGTGATCTGCCCACCTCAGCCTCCCAAAGTGCTGGGATTACAGGCATGAGCCACTGCACCTGGCCCCTTTTTCTTATTTTTCATTACCAACAGTTTGCCCTGACAGATATACCAGTGATTTTTTGAAAACTGTGCAGTCACGGTTATTGTTGAGCCATATAATCTTGCACTTTTCAGTCCTGCAGGGCAAAAAGATTATAACAGAATGACCCCCACAGCTATCCACAATCGGATGTATTAATTTTTTTTTTTTTTTTTTTTGAGACGGAATTCACTCTGTTGCCTAGGCTGGAGTGCAATGGCACGCGACCTCGGCTCACTGCAACCTCCGCCTCCTGGGTTGAAGCGATTCTCCTGCCTCAGCCTCCCAAGTAGCTGGGATTACAGCCGTTTGCCACCACGCCCAGCTAATTTTTGTATTTTTAGTAGAGACGGGGTTTCACCATGCTGGCCAGGATGGTCTCGAACTCCTGACCTCAGGCGATCTGCCCGCCTCAGCCTCCCAAAGTGTTGGGATTACAGGTGTGAGCCACCGTGCCCAGCTAGATGTATTAATATTTATAGTTTATCTTCTTTTTTTTTTGAGATGGAGTTTTGCTCTTATTGCCCAGGCTGGAGTGCAATGGTGCGATCTCGGCTCACTGCAACCTCGGCTCTCTGCAACCTCTGCCTCCTGGGTTCAAGTGATTCTTCTGCCTCAGACTCCCAAGTAGCTGGGATTACAGGCATGTGCTACCACTCCCGGATTATTTTCTATTTTTAGTACAGACCAGGTTTCTCCATGTTGGTCAGACTGGTCTCAAACTCCCTACCTCAAGTGATCTGCCCACCTCGGCCTCCCAAAGTGCTGGGATTAAAGGCGTGAGTCACCACCCCTGGCCTTATAGTTTATCTTCTAGTGGTCTTCTATCCTCATTTGAAAATGTGAAAAGTGGGTACCTGAGATAATTCACCGACTCATTGTTTCTTGGAACCACAATTGATCTCAGAAGTGTAACCCTGTACTACTGAGAAGCTTAATCAAGGACAAATACAATCCCCTCACTCCACAGATGGCTGACATGATGGTCTGTGACCTGAAAGTTGTTGAATAGTTGGAGTGTTCTGCATTCATGTGGAAGAGGCTAAAGGATGTTTGATGAAGCACTATGGGCTGCCCTGGAAGAGGACTGAAGAAGCAGCTGCAGGTGAGTGCTGCTCTGAACATAATCCAGGACACTTTGTACATAGTTGGTGGTTCTGTCACACTTAAAGCAATGTTAATTTCTTTATTTTTATTTTTTTAGAATCAAGGTCTCTGTTGCCCAGGCTAGAGGGCAGTGGTGCAATCACACCTCACTGCAGCCTCAACATCCCAGGCTCAGGTGATTCTCCCACCCCAGTCTTCCCAGTAGCTGGGATTACCAGTGCATGCCACTATGCCTGGCTTTTTTTTTTTTTTTTTTTTAATTTTAAATTAACTTTTTTTTTTTTTTTTTTTTTTGAGACAGAGTCTCTCTCTCTCTCTCTCCCACCCAGGACAGAGGGCAGTGGCGCAATCTGGGCTCACTGCAACCTTCACCTCTCAGGTTCAAGCGATTCTTGTGCCTTTGCCTCCCAAGTAGCTGGGACCACAGGCATGTGCCACGACACCTGACTAATTTTTGTATTTTTAGTAGAGACAGGGTTTTGCCATGTTGGGCAGGCTGGTCTCAAACTCCTGGCCTTAAGCGACCTACCCGTCTCGGCCTCCCAAAGTGCTGGGATTACAGGCATGAGCCACCATGCCCGGCCCTCTTTTTTTTTTTTTTTTTCCTGAGACGGAGTCTCGCTCTTTTGCCCAGGCTGTAGTGCAGTGGCGTGGTCTCGGCTCACTGCAACCTCCGCCTCCCGGGTTCAAGCAATTCTCCTGCCTCAGCCTCCTGAGTAGCTGGGATTACAGGTGCCTGCCGCCACGCCCGGCTAATTTTTTGTATTTTTAGTAGAGACTGGGTTTCATCATATTGGCCATGCTGGTCTCAAACTCCTGACCTCATTATCTGCCCACCTTGGCCTCCCAAAGTGCTGGGATTACAGGCTTGAGCCACCGCGCCTGGCCCATTTTTTAATTTTTGTAGAGATTGGGTCTCACTATGCTGCCCAGGTTGGTGTTGAGCTCCTGGGTGCAAGCAATCCTCTTGCCTTGACCTCCCAAAGATCTGGAATTATAGGCATGAACCTCCATGCCTGGCCTAAAAGCAATGTTTAAATCCAATTAAAAATTAAAATTTGTTTTTGTAGTTGTAGAGGAACTGTTCCGTGCTGGTTCCCCAATAGCCTAGGACAACTCTGTTAGCCTTGACAAATTTGGCATCCAACCTGAGCCTGGTAAGGTCACGAAGCCTTTTTGGAAGAAAGAGGGATGTGGGCCAGGTTAAGGGCTGTGATAAGACTCCCTGGGATCTTGTAGTGCATGTTCTTGCCTAAGCAGTGAATTGGGAGGATTCAGTTTCCTCCCAGTGTCCTAGTTGTTACTAGACAGTGTGGGCTGGGTTAGATGAAATGGAAAAGATTTCCCTGGGTCTGATAGTACATGCTACCCATCAGTGAATATTTAGAGATTTGGAGGCTGGGCTTGGTGGCTCAAGCCTGTAATCCTAGCACTTTGGGAGGCTGAGGCGGGCAGATCTGTTGAGCTCAGGAGTTTGACGCAAGCCTGAGCAACATGGCAAAACCCTATGTCTATATATTTTTTTTTTTTTGAGATGGAGTTTTGCTCTTGTTGCCCAGGCTGGAGTGCAATGGCGCGATCTCGGCTCACTGCAACCTCTGCCTCCCAGGTTCAAGTGATTCTCCTGCCTCAGGCTCCCGAGTAGCTGCGATTACAGACATGCACCACCATGCCCAGCTAATTTTGTATTTTTAGTAGAGATGGGGTTTCTCCATGTTGGTCAGGCTGGTCTCGAACTCTCAACCTCAGGTGATCCGCCTGCCTCCGCCTCCCAAAATGCTGGAATTACAGGTATGAGCCACCGCATCCGGCCTACAAAAGATTTTTTAAAAAATTAGCTGGGTGTAGTGGCACACATCTGTGGTCTCAGCTACTTGGAAGGCTGAGGTGGGAGGATTGCGTGAGCCCAGGAGGTTGAGGTTGCAGTGAGTCGAAATCGCACGACTGCACTCTAGCCTGGGCAACAGAGCGATACACGACAGAGCAATACACTGTCTCATAAAAACAAAACAAAAACAAAAACAACAAAACTCAAACAGCAAGAGATTTACAGTGGTAGGATTGAAGCAGCTGCCTGAATGGTGTCTTAGTTGTAAAAGTTTGTAGATGCTTGGCTGGGCGCCATACACTTTGGGAGGCCGAGGTGAGTGGATCTCCTGAGATCAGGATTTCGAGACCAGCCTGCCCAACATGGAGAAACCCCGTCTCTACTAAAAATACAAAAAGTTAGCCAGGCGTGGTGGTGGGCGACTGTAATCCCAGCTACTCGGGAGGCTGAGGTATGAGAATTCCTTGAACCTGGGAGGCGGAGGTTGCAGTGAGACGAGGTCACGCCACTGCACTCCAGCCTGCGTGACAAGAGCAAAACTCTGTCTCAAAAGAAAAGAAGAAAAAAAGTTTGTAGATGCTGAGCAGAAGGCAACTTAAATCTGAAAGTAAGTCCAAAACTGTGCTTATTGGTGTGGAACTGCTCCTGTCACACCCCCGATCTCTTCCTCTCTCTTACCCTGACCTCTGTTCCTTTAAGGAAAGAAACGTCCACTCTGCTCCAGTCAACCCCACTGCTGGTGTCCTCTGCACTGCCTTGCACTCCCTGAAGAGAGCCTGGGCAACAGAGCGAGACTCCATCTCAAAAAAAAAAAAAAAAAAAATTGGGGACTATGTATATAGATTTACTACACTGAAGCCCTCCAGCAGTCTAAGAACTGATGCCTCTAACGAAGGAAAGGACTGCATGTTTCTGATGAAGCTACCATGACCTACCAGATTTCCAACGCCTGCCAAAATTAATCTATTTGTCTGTGGTAGAAGAGGCCATACCATTGTGGCCCTTGAAACTTACTGTATGATGTTTTATTTAGTGAACAGTTCACATACCCAAATGGTTGTAACTGATACTGCTGAATATATTGTAAGAACAGAAGTGTTAAGTATGTATAACACTTCTTTTGATTGTAAGGAATGTTCCCAGTGGGGAAATGCCATAATTAAAACAGTGATCGTGGGATGAATACATGATTAAGAGCTTACCTTCATAATAGTAAAACAGTACAGGATGCCAGAAGGAAGGGAGGAGAGGGGATAATACTACTATACTGATGAAGTAGCTAGAAGAAAGAGGAGTGCTTAAGGAAACTATCCAGCAGGCTATTCAGACTGACCTCTCATTTGGAACAGTTCTAATGAGCCTTTTCAGCTACAAGTGATGGTGACTGACAGTTACACTGATTGGAGCCTGTGGCAATAGGCAGTAAGTGCCATTTAGGGTTTTGGGCACAGCATTTGCCTGACACCGCTGCCTGGTATACTCCATTTAAGCAGCAATTGTTGGCTTGTTAGTGAGTGCTTTTGGACACTTAGACACTAACAAAGAAAGCATCAGCAGGTATTGTTATATTCTGACATGTCCATTCTTGGATGGATCAAAAATGAAAACATCAACAAAGAAGGTAATGCTCAGCGAGCATCCATTATTTAATGGAAATGGTATATCCAAGAAAGAAGTAAACTGGACATATTATTATTATTGTTATTATTATTATTATTTTTGAGACGGATACTTGTTCTGTCGCCCAGGCTGGAGTGCAGTGGCACGATCTCGGCTCACTGCAACCTCTGTCTCCCAGGTTCAAGCCATTCTCCTGCCTCAGCCTCCCGAGCAGCTGGTACTACAGGCACGCACCACAACGCCCAGCTAATTTTTGTATTTTTAGTAGAGATGGGGTTTCACCATGTTGTACAGGATGATCTCGATCTCTTGACCTCGTGATCTGCCCACCTCGGCCTCCCAAAGTGCTGGGATTATAGGTGTGAGCCACAGTGTCCGGCCTCTGGGTGTATTACTTTCTTATTGCCACTATTACAAATTTAGTGACTTAAAATGACATAAATTTATTGTCTTGCAGTTCTGAAAGAAGTCCAAAATGAGTTTCACTGGGCTGAAATCAAGGTGTTGGCAGGACTGCACTCCCTCCAGAGGCTCTGGGGGAGGATCGGTTTCCTTGCCTTTTCCAGTTTCTAGAGGCTCTCCTCATTCCTTGGGTCATGACACCTTCCTCACATTGTTTCAATCTCTTGCTTTCATCATCACATCTCCTACTTCCTCTTCTGGAGTCAAATCTCTCTCTGCCTTTTTGTTTTAAAAAATCTAATGTGATCCCCTTATCCTTGAGGGAGATCGAGGCCGAGGCCACTGTGACAATGTTCCACCAGGTAGCATGTTGCAGGGGTAGAGCGCAGTGTGTTTGGAGATGGTGCAGGAGGGACGACTTTAACTTGCAGCAACTGAGGGTGAACACATTGGGCTCTTGCTGGAGTGCATCTAGTGTGTGTGTGTGTGTCTTTCTCTGTTTCCACTCGAGTATCAGAGACTTGCTTATAACCTTTATGATATTTTTCTGGATAGTGGTAATTGCCTTGTATAATGTTTCTTTTGCTGAATAATTTTCCATCTTCTCTGTCGTATGTCACAGATTCTCTCTTTTTTATTTTTATTTTTATTTTTTGAGATGGAGTTTTGCTCTTGTTGCCCAGGCTGGAGTGCAATGGCACGATCTTGGCTCACTGCAACCTCTGTCTCCCCGGATCAAGCAATTCTCCTGCCTCAGCCTCCCAAGTAGCTGGGATTACAGGCACCTGCCACCACATCTGGCTACTTTTAAAAATATTTTTAGTAGAGATTGGGTTTCTTTCTTTTCTTTTCTTTTCTTTTCTTTTTTTTTTTTTTTTGAGACAGAGTCTGGATCTGTTGCCCAGGCTGGAGTGCAGTGGTGCGATCTCGGCTCACTGCAACCTCCACCTCCGTGGTTCAAGCAATTCCCCTGCTTCAGCCTCCCAAGTAGCTGGGATTACAGGCAACTGCCACCACACCTAGCTACTTTAAAAAATATTTTTAGTAGAGATGGGGTTTCTTTCTTTTCTTTTCTTTCTTTATTTTTTTTTTTTTGAGACAGAGTCTCGATCTGTTGCCCAGGCTGGAGTGCAGTGGCGCGATCTCGGCTCACTGCAACCTCCACCTCCCTGGTTCAAGCAATTCCCCTGCTTCAGCCTCCCAAGTAGCTGGGATTACAGGTGCACACCACCACACCTAGCTAATTTTTTTATATATTTAATGGAGATGGGGTTTCGCCGTCGCGGCCAGACTGGTCTCAAACTCCTCAGGCAATCCGCCTGCCTCAGCCTCCCAAAGTGCTGGGATTACAGGCGTGAGCCACCACAACCGGCCAGATTCTCTTTTTAAAACTGGTCAGCCCCTCAAACCAGAATAGGTTCAGAGAGACTTCCGAGATTCTCTATTTGTCTGAAGTGTAAATGTTTTGAAGGTTTTCTCGACTGACTCAATGTGATCAAGAATCTCTAATAGTTTGTGTCCCCCTGACACTGCTCGCTCAGTCAGTCCCACTGTCAGCAAGTTCTCTTTCCCTGTCCTTCTGGCCAGCTAAGTCAGTGATGACACATCTGGCTATCACCAGCTCAAAGCTGTCTCCTCAACCACTTTTACCAGGGAATGAATGCTTCAAGACCACAGTGCTCTCCTGCCTTGGAAACACCTTCGCCTTCCTCCGCTTCTCTTTGGCTACCATGGTCACCCTCCACACTGCTTTCCTCAACTCTCGGGCAGGTGGTCCCATCAATACCTCCTCCTCCTCCAAGGTTACCTCCCAAGGTGCCATTCATCACTGACAATCATGTTTGCACTACTAAAAGAATTGCCTTAATCTTTTTATCCATTTTTGGGTTTTTGGGGGTTTTCTTGAGACGGAGTCTTGCTCTGTCTCCTAGGCTGGAGTGCAGTGGCTCAATCTGGGCTCACTGCAAGCTTTGCCTCCCAGGTTCAAGCAATTCTCCTCCTTCAGCCTCCTGAGTAGCTGGGATTACAGGCATACGCCACCACGCCTGGCTAATTTTGTATTTTTAGTAGAGATAGGATTTCGCCATGTTGGCCAGGCTGGTCTCAAACTCCTGACCTCATGTGGTCCTCCTGCCTCAACCTCCCAAAGTGCTGGGATTATAGGCATGAGCCACTGCATCTGGCCCGATTCTTTATATTTGTAAAAAGCGTACTGTACTTCAATATATTCAAAATTAGACTATTATTTAGAAGTATATCAATTTGCAGCCAGGGCAGTGGCTCACGCCTGTCCTTTACACATATAAGATGGTAATACACGGCCGGGCACAGTGGCTTGTGCCTGTAATCCCAGAACTTTGGAAGGCCGAGGTGGGTGGATCACCTGAGGTCAGGAGTTCGAGACCAGACTGGCCAACATGGAGAAACCCCGTCTCTACTAAAAATACAAAAATTAGCCAGGTGTGGTGGTGGGCTCCTGTAATCCCAGCTACTTGGGAGGCTGAGGCAGGAGAATCCCTTGAACCTGCGAGGTAGAGGTTGTAGTGAGCCGAAATTGCACCATTGCACTCTAGCCTGGGCAACAAGAGCGAAACTTTGTATCATTAAATAAATAAATAAAAGGAAAGGCCGGCGCGGTGGCTCATGCCTGTAGTCCCAGCACTTTGGGAGGCCGAGGCGGGCAGATCACGAGGTCAGGAGATTGAGACCATCCTGGCTAACACGGTGAAACTCAGTCTCTACTAAAATAAAAAAAAAACTTGTACTAGTGTTGTAACTTTCCAAGTAAAAGTATCCCTAAAGGCCACTTCCTATCTGATTTTTCCCAGTAAATGAGGCAGGCAATTCTAAGATCTTCCACAAAACATCTAGCCATCTAAAATGGAGAGATGAATCATTCTACCTATACAAACAAGCTAGCTATTAGAGGGTGGTTGGGGTATGCTACTCATAAGATTTCAGGGTGTCTTCCAACTGAAATCTCAATGTTCTCAGTATGAAAAACCTGAAATCACATGCCTATGTAAGGAAAGTGCTATTCACCCAGTAAACCCCAAAAAGCAAATGGATAATGCTGGCCATTTTGCCTTTCTGACATTTCCTTGGGAATCTGCAAGAACCTCCCCTTTCCCCTCCCCCAATAAGACCGTTTAAGTGTGTGTTAAACCACTACAGAATACTAAATAAAAAGTTTGGCCAAAACCAACCATGAAGCTGCAAAAAAAAAAAAAAAAAAAAAAAAAAAAGTGTTATACACTTGTAATTTTATGAATGCTATGGGAACCATCCCAATCAGGGACAGCTGCAAAGAAAAAGTGTTAGTGGGATACATAAATAATTGCTTCTTGCCATTGGTGGGTGGGTTCGTATTTAAATTCTCTGAGTATTAAAAACCAAGTATTCTTGGCCGGATGTGGTGGCTCACGCCTGTAATCCCAGCACTTTGGGAGGCCAAGGCGGGTGGATCACAAGGTCAGGAGTTTGAGACCAGCCTGGCCAACATGGTGAAACTCTGTCTTTACTAAAAGTACAAAAATTAGCTGGGCACAGTGGAACGCGCCTGAAATCCCCACTACTCAGGAGGCTGAGGCAGGAGAATTGCTTAAACTCAGGAGGCAGAGGTTTCAGTGAACTGAGATCACGCCACTGCACTCCAGCCCGGGCAAGCAAGACTCCTACTCTGAAAAAACAAACAAACAAAAAACGAAGTATTCTTGGCCGGGCTCAGTGGCTCATGCCTGTAATACCAGCACTTTGGGAGGCAGAGGCGGGCGGATCACGAGGTCAGGAGTTCGAGACCAGCCTGACCAACATGGGGAAACCCCATCTCTACTAAAAATTACAAAAATTAGCCAGGGATGGTGGCGCATGCCTATAATCCCAGCTACTCAGGAGGCTGAGGCAGGAGAATCGCCTGAACCCGGGAAGCAGAGGTTGCAGTGAGCCAAGATTGTACCACCACACTCCAGCCTAGGTGACAGAGCGAGACTCCATCTCAAAAAACAAAACAAAACAAACAAAAAGTATTCTCATTAATGTGTGGCCAGAAAAAAATTGTATGAAAAAAAGGAAGAAGGCTGGGCGCGGTGGTTCACGCCTGTAATCCCAGTACTTTGGGAGGTCGAGGTGGATGGATCACGAGGTCAGGAGTTCAAGATCAGCCTGGCCAAGATGGTGAAACCCCACCTCTACTAAAAATACAAAAAATTAGCCGGGTGAGGTGGTGGGTGTCTGTAATCCCAGCTACTCGGGAGGCTGAGGCAGAGAATTGCTTGAACCCGGGAAGCAGAGGTTGCAGTGAGCCGAGATCACGCCACTGCACTCCAGCCTGGGCGACAGAGCAAAGCTCCGTCTCCAAAAAAAAAAAAAAAAAAAAAAAGAAGAAGAAAAGAAATAAATGGAAGAAACAGGGCCAGACGTTGTGGCTTATGCCTGCAATCCCAGTACTTTGGGAGGCTGAGGCAGGTGGAATGCTTGAGTACAGGAGTTCAAGACCAGCCTGGGCAAATGGTGAAACCCTATCCCTACTAAAAATACAAAAAACTAGCCAGGTGTGTTGGCACGCTCCTGTTGTCCCAGTTACTTAGGAGGCTTTGGTGGGAGGACTGCTTGAGCCCAGGGGAGTGGGGCGGAGGTTGCAGTGAGCCAAGATCACGCCACTGCACTCCAGCTTGGATGACAGAGACCCTGTCTCAAAAACAAAAAAAACAAATCTCCATAACTGATTATTTTTGCTGTATGTCTTGCCTATTGGAGCCTCTGGAAAAAAGGAAATAACATTAAAAAGGAGGTACTCTCCATATGGAAATATACTTTTAGAGTTTTAAAAAACTGATTTTAGTTGCTAATGAGCTCTTGTAAAATCAGATGTCTGACCCATAAAAGCTAATGATTTCCAGCCAGATGTGCATATTTCTGAGTGGGTCACTTTGGGCCTAAATACTGACGAGATAAAAAAGGCTTAATAAAGCCTTCCTTAGGCCGGGCATGGTGGCTTATGCCTATAATCCCAGCACTTTGGGAGGGAGAGGCGGGCGGATCACCTGAGGTCAGGAGTTCAAGACCAGCCTGGCCAACATGGCGAAAATTAATCTCTACTAAATATACAAAAATTAGCTGGATGCGGTGGTGCACGCCTGTAGTCCGAACTACTCTGCAGGCTGAGGCAGGAGAATCGCTTGAACCCAGGAAATGGAGGCTGCAGTGGGCCGAGATTGTGCCACTGCACTGCAGCCTGGGCAACAAAGCGAGACTCAGTCTTAAAAAAAAGAAAAAAAAAAAGGCTTGTCAGTTGCACCTGGAATATGGCCATGAGGCCTTGCAGCATTTTGGCTTTGCTTCTGCGAAGAAAAAGCAACAGGGCTTTTCGGAATCCTGATCCTAATTTCCTGGACCTGATTCTAAGCTGAAACTTGATACTTTATAGTATGGGCTTGTTAATAGAAAAACTTCAACTGAATTAAATTTAAAATAATTTAATTGAGCGGCTGGGCGTGGTGGCTCACGCCTGTAATTCCAGCACTTTCGGAGGCCAAGGCAGGAGGATCACAAGGTCAGGAAATCGACACCATCCTGGCTAACATGGTGAAACCCCATCTCTACTAAAAATACAAAAAATTAGCTGGGCGTGGTGGCGGGCACCCCTAGTTCCAGCTACTCGGGAGGCTGAGGCAGGAGAATGGCGTGAACCCGGGAGGCGGAGCTTGCAGTGAGCCGAGATCGTGCCACTGCACTCCAGCCTGGGCGACAGAGCGAGACTCTGTCTCAAAAAAAAAAAAAAGTAATAATAATAATAATTTAATTGAGCAATGAATGATTCATGAATCAGGTAGCCCCCAGAATCACAGCAGATATTCAGAGAGACTCCAGGGATGCCTCATGGTCAGAACAAATTTACAGACAAAAAAGAGAAGTGACTATAGAAATCAGAGGTGAGGTCCTTAAGTGGATTCGTTACAGCTCCGCGTTTGCCTTATTTGAACAGTTTGAACACTCCGCAGTGTATGAGTGGTTGAAGTATGGCTGCTGGGATGGGCCAAGACTCAGCTCTTGTTACAGGCAAATACTCCTAATTTAGTTTTCAATCTTGTGTACCTATTTAGTTAGGTTGCAGCTTGACCAAAAGGACTCAAATACAGAAGTACAGAGTCCTTCTCAGGCCATCCTTAGTTCGCTTTAACAATCACCCTCTTTTGGTCATTTTCTCAATTTTTAGAGATTGACCAAAACTTGAGTCATTGATGTCACTATCACCGTCATAAATGTACTTATTTGATATTGAAACTCACTGGGAAACAGAACACTGTGGGCTTTGCAAGGTGGGAACAAGGACTCAGTAGAGGGTACCTTCTTATACTGGGAACGTCATGTTTACAGGAGAAAAACAAAACGTGGTCTGTTCTAGGATCTATGAGTTTCCTTAAAGTCTTCATTTGATTATGTCACATTTAACAGAAGCAACTACATTTTTTTTTTGCTTTTTTTTTTTTTTTTTTGAGACTGAGTTTCACTCTTGTTGCCCAGGCTGGAGTGCAATGGCACGATCTCAGCTCACCGCAACCTCCACCTCCCAGGTTCAAGCAATTCTCCTGCCTCAGCCTCCTGAGTAGCTGGGATTACAGGCATGCACTACCTACCACACCCAGCTAATTTTTTTTTGTATTTTTAGTAGAGACGGGGTTTCTCCATGTTGAGGCTGGTCTCGAACTCCTGACCTCAGGTGATCCGCCCACCTCGGCCTCCCAAAGTGCTGGGATTACAGGCATGAGCCACTGCGCCCGGCCAAGCAACTCCATTTTTGTTTGGTTTGGTCTGTTGGGGCCTAGCGCATGAGCTCAGTTCAAAACAATGGCCTTCCATAATTTTGTTTAAAAAAATTATCCCTTTCTGGTCAGGTTCTCACTTAGCTGACAGTGTGACCAGAACTTAGGGCCTTAGCGCCATTTTCCGTTACCACCATTTTGGGTTTCTGGCCTCAGTGTGTCATTTATAGGTTACTGTGTCCTCATGGTTGCACATTTCTTTCAGCTCTTGTCATTCCAGTTGAACAGAGACCATTTGACATTCTAGAGATGGCTGCATGTAAACATTTAAAACCTTTGGGAGAATACAGTGCACCAGGGAGACTATTATCATCACTATCAGGAGGATAATACCAACAGTTTGGAGTATGTTCCTTACCCAGGGTCCCCATAAACCAAACCACCTAAAATCAAATAGATCAAAGAATGAGGCTGGGGCTGGGTGTGGTGGCTCACATCTGTAATCCCAGCACTTGGGAGGCCAAGGTGGGCGGATCACGAGGTCAGGAGATTGAGACCATCCTGGCTAACACAGTGAAACCCCATCTTTACTAAAAATACAAAAATTAGCCGGGCGTGGTGGTGGGCGCCTGTAGTCCCAGCTACTCGGGAGGCTGAGGCAGGAGAATCGCTGGAACCCGGGAAGCGGAGGTTGCAGTGAGCTGAGATCATGCCACTGCACTCCAGCCTGGGTGACAGAGCAAGACTCTGTCTCAAAAAAAAAAAAAAAAAAAAAAAAAAAAAAAAAAAAAGAATGAGGCCGGAAGTTGTGGCTCACACACCTGTATATAATCCCAGCACTTTGGGAGGCCGAGGTGGGTGGATCACCTGAGGTCAGGAGTTGGAAACCAGCCTCCCAAAGTGCTGGGATTACGGGCATGAGCCACCGCACCCAGCCAGAAAGGAAAATTTAAGAAGGTTAAGGAGGGAAGCCAGACATTGTTCATGCAGGGGAAGAGAATCAACAAATGGTGAAGGTCACACAGGTATCAACCAGAAAGTACTCACTTCCTAAACCGGGATTGAACCCAGCCCTCTATTGTAAAATGGCAGAGACCAAAAGAAAGTACCACCACGTGGTGGCTGGGTGTGATGGCTCACGCCTATAACTGCAGCACTTTGGGAGGCCGAGATGGGCAGATCATTTGAGGTCAGGAGTTCGAGACCAGCCTGGCCAGCATGGCGAAACCCTGTTTCTACTAAAAATACAAAAATTAGCTGGACGTGGTGGCACACGCCTGTAGTCCCAGCTACTGGGGAGGCTGAGGCAGGAGAATAGCTTGAAACCAGGAGGTGGAGGTTGCAGTCAGCCGAGATCATGCCATTGCACTCCAGCCTGGGTGACAGGGCAAGACTCCGTCTCAAAAAATAAAAAAAAGAAAGTACCACCACGTGGTTACAAGGTCAAGCTCCCAAGGACATAAAAGAAGATAGAGACCTCATCCAGTTTTGTTTTGTTTTCAGAGAAAGTTTGTAACTGACAAGTTTTCTGGGCTGGCTTGCCTATTAGCTAGCTAAGACAAACCAAATTTGACAAAGTTGCTCTGCTTAAAAAACAAAACTCAGGCTCTGGGACAGTTGCAGATTTGACTCGAAAGACAAAGCTGTGAAAACATCATGGATGCTGGCTGGACCAGCTGGGTCACAATTGCCTACAGAAAGGGGCTTATTTCTGATGGGACCATCTGAAATTGATCTGCTCATTGGCTCTTTGTTTCTGTTACAGAGACTGTTTGCATTTCTAAGTAGTGATTCCTGCTAAAGCTGCACACTGTGGGAGGGCACATCTCAGCAAGTGTGACCCTTTCACCCAGTACTGAGAGATCAGACTCTGGACCCTGTCTCAGGGCCATCTTACTGCTGCTAACTTCTTGCGTTTGGCTTTTGGTATTAGATGCAGTTTGCAACAGTGAACTGATACCTTGACTCTACTTCCTTTCTCCTGGTATACATGTTACAGGAAAGGGGTCCCGATCCAGACCCCAAGAGAGGGTTGTTGGATCTCGCGCAAGAAAGAGTTCAGGGAGAGTCCGTAGTGTAAAGAGAAAGCAAGTTTGTTAAGAAAGTAAAGGAATAAAAGAATGGCTATTCCATAGACAGAGCAGCCCCAAGGGCTGCTGGTTGTCTATTTTTATGGTTGTTTTTTGATGGTATGCTAAACAAGGGGTGTATTATTCATGCCTCCCCTTTTTAGACCATATAGGTTAACTTCCTGATGTTGCCATAGCTTTTGTAAACTGTCATGGCGCTGCTGAGAGTGTAGCAGTGAGGACAACCAGAGGTCACGCTCACATCTTGGTTTTGGTGGGTTTTAGCCGGCGTCTTTACTGCAGCCTGTTTTATCAGCAAGGTCTTTATGAGCTATATCTTGTGCTGACCTCCTATGTCATCCTGTGACTTAGAATGCGTTAACCGTCTGAGAATGCAGCCCAGTGGGTCTCAGCCTTATTTTACCAGCCCCTATTCAAGATGGAGTTGGTCTGGTTCAAATGCCTCTGACACACACAACTTAACAAGGCACCTTAATTTAGTGATTAAATGCAGCTGTCCCCAGAAAGAGATTGATCTTTTCTAGGCTGCTACCTGGATAAGTGATCAGGATGAAAAAGGAGTGGAAAGTTATGTAAACCCATGTTTGGTTTTTTTTTTTTTTTTTTTTTTTTAGATGGAGTTTCGCTCTTGTTGCCCAGGCTGGAGTGCAATGGCGTGGTCTCAGCCCACCACAACCTCTGCCTCCCGGGTTCAAGTGATTCTCCTGCCTCAGCCTCCCGAGTAGCTGGGATTACAGGCATGCGCCACCACGCCCAGTTAATTTTGTATTTTTAGTAGAGACAGGGTTTCTCCATGTTGGCCAGGCTGGTCTCGAACTCCTGATCTCAGGTGATCCTCCTGCCTCGGCCTCCCAAGGTGCTGGGATTACAGGAGTGTGTCACCATGCCTGGCCTGCATTCCTCTGTTTCTTGCCCTTTATTAGCATTTGGAGATAACATACTTGCCATCAGTCCTGCAAAGTAATTGCCGAGGCTGACTCCTTTCACAGTGATTATGGCTTCCTGAGTCAAAATAGGATTTTTTCTGTGTCCTGAGGATGTGACTTGTATATAAGCCTCTCACCTACTTAAAATATGTTTGTAAATGAAATGTTGGTAGATTCCTGTTCCATTGTTTTCTCTACAGGATCAACTACTGAATGTTCTTACACAAATGTTTTGTTTCTTGCACCAATAAGAGACTTCACAATGGAAGGTAGTCCCCAGTCTGTGCTAAGTCTGTGGCTGTGCAACTTTTCAGAGGGATCTATATGTCTGTCTAACACATCAACTCCAACCACACTCAAGTTGATAGGGTTTGGGTATTACTGCATTGCAGCTATTGTAAGAGTTTCTCATGGGTGGTCAAAGAGATGCTCCAAAGTTCAAATCTTCATGGTTCCAGCAGCCTATGCAATGACTGGGCAGTGCTAGGGGACAATTAGGCAAAGAGGCTACACCTGTCCCCGCCCCCACCCCCCAGCATCCCATCAAACTGCTTAGTGTGAAATTGGCTCTGCAGAAACAGAGCTCCCATCACCCATGTTGCATTATCACCTGACCTCTTTTGTTTTGGTGTTGTCTGGTAGGAAAATGGACACAGGGCGCTGGCATCTTTGCCAATCTTAGTATTGCTATCAGTATTAAACTGCCTGAATCTAAAAAGGGCTTGTTGTTTCTTTACCAATTAAATCTCTCAGCTTTGCTTGACAGCAGTGATATGCTTTGGCTGTGTCCCCACCCAAATCTCATCTTGAATTGTAACTCCCATAATTCCCACATATCATGGGAGGAACCTGGTGGGAGGTGATTGAATTATGGGTCAGGGCTTTCCTGCACTGTTCTCCTGATAGTGAATGAGTCTCATTAGGTCTGACGGTTTTAAAAACCAGAGTTTCCCTGCACAAGCCCTCTCTTTTTTGCATGCTGCCATCCATGTGAGACGTGCCTTGCTCCTCCTTGCCTTCTGCCAAGACTGTGAGGCCTCCTCACCCATGTGGAACTGTAAGTTCATTAAACCTCTTTTTCTTCCCAGTGTCAGGTATGTCTTTATCAGCAGCGTGAAAATGGACTCATACATTAAATTGGTACTAGTAGAGCAGGGCACTGCTGTAGATACCCAAAAATGTGGAAGCTACTTTGGAACTGGGTAACAGGCAGAGATTGGAACAGTTTGGAGGGCTCAGAAGAAGACAGGAAAATGTGGGAAAGTTTGGCACTCCCTAGAGACTTGTTGAATGGCTTTGACCAAAATGCTGATAGTATTATGGACAATAAAGTCCAGGCTGAGGTGGTCTCAGATGGAAACGCGGAACTTGCTGGGAACTGGAGCAAAGGTGACTCTTGTTATGTTTTAGCAAGGAGACTGGCAGCATTTTACCCCTGCCCTAGAGATTTGTGGAACTTTGAATTTGACAGAGATGACTTAGGGTATCTGGTGGAAGAAATTTCCTAGCATGAAAGCATTCGCGTGGTGACTTGGGTGCTGTTAAAGGCATTCAGGTTTATAAAGGAAGCAGAGCATAAAAGACTGGAAAATTGCAACCTGACAATGCAACAGAAAAGAAAATCTCATTTTCTGAGGAGAAACTCAATCCAGATGCAGAAATTTGCATAAGTAATGAGGAGCTGAATGTTAATCCCCAAGACAATGGGGAAAATGTCTTCAGGGAATGTCAGAGGTATTCATGGCAGCCCCTCCCATCACAGGTCCAGAGGCCTAGGAGGAAAAAGTGGTTCTGTGGGCTGGGCCCAGAGTTCCTGTGCTGTGTGCAGTCTAGGGACTTGTTGCCCTGCATCCCAGACACTCCAGCCATGACTAAAAGGGGCCAAGGTACAGCTCAGGCTGTTCCTTCAGAGGGTGGAAGCTCTAAGAGTTGGCAGCGTCCATGTGGTGTTGAGCCTATGGGTGCACAGAAGTCAAGAATTGAGGTTTGGGAACCTCAATTAGGAAGTCAGACTATCTCTGTTGTAGACAATGTGATTCTATACCTAAAAAACCCCAAAGGCTCTGTCCCAAAGCTCCTAGATCTGAAAAAGAACTTCAGCAAAGTTTTAGGATACAAAATCAGTATACAGAAATCAGTATCCACCAGGAGCAGTGGCTCACGCCTGTAATCCCAGAACTTTTGGAGGCCTAGTCTGGGGGATCACTTGAGACCAGGAGTTCAAGACCCGCCGGGCCACCATGGCCAAACCCCGTCTCTACAAAAAAATACAAAATTAGCCGGGCATGGGGGCACACACATGTAGTCCCAGATACTTGGGAGGCGGAGGCACAAGTATCGCTTGAACCTGGGAGGGGGAGGTTGCAGTGAGCCAAGATCACACCACTACATTCCAGACTGGGCGACACAGCGAGATTCTGTCTCAAAAAAAAAAAAAAAAAAAAAAAAGTTTTTCAGTCCCACTGGACTAGCCTGGGCAGCATAGCAAGATCTTGTCTCTATTTTCAAAAAACAAACAAATAAATATAATTAAATTGAAACAGAAAATTGACAAACGGGACCTAATTAAAGTAAAGAGCTTCTGCACAGTAAAAGAAACTATCAACAGAATAAAAAGACAACCTACAGACTGGGAAAAAATATTTGCAAACTATGCATCCAACAAAGGTCTAATATCGAGAATCCATAAGGAACTTAAACAAATTAACAAGCCAAAAAACAAACAACCCCATTAAAAAAGTGAGCAAAGGACGGTCAGGTGCAGTGGCTCATGCCTGTAATCTCAGCACTTTGGGAGGCCGAGGCAGATGGATCACCTGAGGTCAGGAATTTAAGACCAGCCTGTCTAACCTGGTGAAACCCCATCTCTACTAAAAAAAATACAAAAATTAGCTGGGCATGGTGGCAGGCACCTGTAATCCCAGTTACTTGGGAGCCTGAGGCAGGAGAATCGCTTGAACCCGAGAGGCAGAGGTTGCAGTGAGCCGGGATCACACCATTGCATTCCAGCCTGGGGGACAAGAGTGAGACTTCATCTCAAAAAAAAAAAAAAAAAAAAAAGTGAGCAAAGGACATGAACAGATAATTTTCAAAAGAAGACATACACTTGGACAACATGAAAAAATGTTCAACATCACTAATCGTTAAAGAAATGCAAACCACAATGAGATACAAACTCACACCAGTCAGAATGACTATTATTAAAAAGTCAAAAAATGACAGATGCTGGGCTGGGCAAGGTGGCTCACACTTGTAATCCCAGCACTTTGGGAGGCCGAAGCAGGTGGATCACCTGAGTTCAGGAGTTCGGAGCCTGGCTAACGTGGCAAAACCCCATCTCTACTAAAAATACCAACAATTTGCTGGGCATGGTGGCAGGTGCCTGTAATTCTAGCTACTCAGGAGGCTGGGGCATGAGAATCACTTGAACCCGGGAGGCAGAGGTTGCAGTGAGGGAGATCACACCATTGCACTCCAGCCTGGGCAACAAGACCAAAACTCCCTCTCAAAAACTAAACTAAACTAAACTAAACTAAACTAAACTAAACTAAACTAAAAAACAGATGCTGGCCGGGCCTGGTGGCTCACACCTGTAATCCCAGCACTTTGGGAGGCCGAGGCAGATGGATCAGCTGAGGTCAGGAGTTTGAGACTGGCCTGACCAACATGGAGAAACCCCGTCTCTACTAAAAATACAAAATTAGAAGGGCATGGTGGCACATGCTGTAATCCCAGCTACTCGGGAGGCTGAGGCAGGAGAATCGCTTGAACCTGGGAGGCGAAGGTTGCAGTTAGCAGAAACCATGCCACTGTACTCCAGCTTGGGCGACAGGTCCTCACTCTGTCCCCCAAGCTGGAGGGCAATGGCAAGATCAGAGGTCACTGGAGTCTCGACCTCCCAAGGCTCAGGTGATCCTCCTGCCTCAGCACCCTGGAGTAGCTGGGACCACAGGTGGGCACCACCACGCCCAGCTAATTTATTCATTTACTTATTTCAAGACAGAGTCTCGCTCTGTCACCAAGGCTGGAGTGCAGTGGCATGATCTTGGTTCAAGCAATTCTCCTGCTTCAGCCTCTTGGGTAGCTAGGATTACAGGGGCATGCCACCACGCCCAACTAATTTTTCTTTTCTTTTCTTTTCATTTTTTTTTTTTGAGAGACAGGGTTTCACCGTGATGGCCAGGCTGGTCTTGAACTCCTGACCTCAGGTGATCCACCAAAGTGCTGGGATTACAGGCATGAGCTATCACGCCTGGCCGCCCAGCTAATTTCTATATTTTTTGTAGAGATGGGGTTTCCCCATGTTTGCCCTGGCTGGTCTCGAAATCCTGGGCTCAATTTATTCTCCCACCTCAGCCTCCCACCTGAGCCTCCCAAAGTGCTGGGATTACGGGCATGAGCCTCCACATCCGGATTTTTTCCTTTGCAGATCTATATGTAGATATTCCTAATTATTATTATTTTGAGACAGAGTCTCACTCTGTCACCTAAATTGGAGTGCAGTGGTGAAATCTCTGCTCACTGCAACCTCTGCCTCCTGGGTTCAAGCGATTCTTGTGCCTCAGCTTCCCGAGTAGCTGGGATTACAGGCGCCCACATCCATGCCCAGCTAATTTTTGTATTTTTAGTAGATATGGGGTTTCACCATGTTGGCCAGGCTGGTCTTGAACTCCTGTCCTCAGGTGACCTGTCCCCCTGCACCTCCCAAAGTGCTGGGATCACAGGTGTGAGCCACCGTGCCTAGCCATTTTTTTCCTAATTAATTTGTGACCCAGAAAATCCTGTTTAAAATCTGCCATCTAGTGTGGGATTTGTAAAATGACAAATCACTGGACACAATCATGTGTTTACACTAAGGCTTCACTCCTGGACACCAGGTTTAAAACTTCTCAGCATCAAATAACATTATCCAGTAAAGTAGCATTAAATGTGGTTACCCATTTGGTTTTACTCACAGTTTTAGATAGCTAGATAGATAGATATGAGTATATTGATATGCAGGGTAGATTTTTTTTTTTTTTTTTGCAAGTTAGAGCTTTTGATCAGCAGGATATGGTAGTATTAGAAACCTTTAAATAGCCCAGTAAGCTGGAAGGAATGTGGCTCACAATTGTAATCCCAGCACTTTGGGAGACCAAGGAGGAAGGATTGCTAGGAGTTCGAGACTGCCCTGGGCAACATAGCATGACCCCCATCTCTAAAATAAATAAAAATGAATAAATAGCAAAGTAAAAGCTATCTCATAATTAATTTTTATTATTTATTTTTATTTATTTATTTTTGAGACGGAGTCTCACTCTGTTGCCAGGCTGGAGTGCAGTGGTGTGATCTTGGCTCACTGAAACTTCTGCCTCGTGGGTTCAAGTGATTCTCCTGCCTCAGTCTCCCAAGCAGCTGGGACTACAGGCGCGCGCCACCACACTCAGCTAATTTTTGTATTTTTAGTAGAGACGGGATTTCACCATTTTGGCCAGGATGGCCTCGATCTCTTGACCTCAGGTGATCTGCCTGCCTTGGCCTCCCAAAGTGCTGGAATTACAGGTGTGCGACACCACACCCAGCCTAATTTTTTGTTTTGTTTTGTTTTGTTTTTTTGAGACAGAGTCTTGCTCTGTTGCCCAGGCTGGAGTGCAGTGATGCAATCTCGTCTCACTGCAAGCTCCGCCTCCCGGGTTCACGCCATTCTCCTGCCTCAGCCTCCCTAGCAGCTGAGACTACAGGCGCCCGTCACCCCACCTGGCTAATTTTTTGTATTTTTAGTAGAGATGGGGTTTCACCGTGTTAGCCAGGATGGTCTTGATCTCCTGACCTTGTGATCCGCCCACCTCGGCCTCCCAAAGTGCTGGGATTACAGGCGTGAGCCACTGCGCCTGGCCTTTCACCCGGCCTAATTTTTATTTATTTATCCTTGAGATGAAGTCTTGCTCTGTTGCCCAGGATCTAGTGCAGTGGCACGATCTTGGCTCACTGCAACCTCCATCTCCTGGGTTCAAGCGATTCTCCTGCCTCAGCCTCCGGAGTAGCTGGGATTACAGGCGCGCGCCACCACATCCAGCAAATTTTTCTATTTTTAGTAGAGATGGGGATTCACTATGTTGGCCTGGCTGGTCTCGAACTCCTGACCCCAAGTGATTCGCCCACCTCAGCCTCCCAAAGTGCTGGGATTACAGGCATGAGCCACTGTATCCAGCCAGTAGTATAATTATTTTCTTTTTTTTTGAGACGGAGTCTCACTCTGTTGTCCAAGTTGGATTGCAGTGGGAGGATCTCGGCTCACCACAAACTCTGCCTCCCAGGTTCAAGTGATTCTGCCTCAGTCTCCTGAGTAGCTGGGACTACAGACGCATGCCACCATGCCTGGCTAATTTTTGTATTTTTAGTAGAGATAGGGTTTCACTATGTTGGCCAGGCTGGTCTCAAACTCCTGACCTCATGATCCGTCTACCTTAATTTTTGTTTTCAACTATGAAATATATTTTTAAAAACTCAGGCCAGGCACAGTGGCTCACACCTGTAATCCCAGCATTTTGGGAGGCTGAGGCGAGTAGATCATGAGGTCAGGAGAATGGGAGCATCCTGGCCAACATGGTGAAAACCCATCTCTACTAAAAATACAAAAATTAGCCAAGGTGGTGGTGCGTGCGTGTAGTCCCAGCTACTCAGGAGGCTGAGGCAGCAGAATCGCTTGAACTAGGGAGGCGGAGGTTGCAGTGGGCAGAGATTGCGACACTGCACTCCAGCCTGGGCAACAGAGCGAGACTCTATCTCAAAAAACAAAAAACAAAAACAAAAACTCAAGAGGAAAAGAATATTCTATTTACCCGGGTACATGCTATTTACTCGGGTATTTAGCCTTTTTATTGTTCTTCATTCATTTCTTATGTTCCTAGCTTCCTTCTGATGTAATTTCTCTTATATCTGAACTTATGGCAATTTATTCAGAGGAGTTTTGTTTGCAACACATTCTCTTAGTTTCCTTGTATCTAAGCATGTCTTTATTTCATCTTTATTCCTGAAGAATATTTTCATTGAATTTTGAGGTGGCAGCTCTTTTTTTTTTTTTTTTTTGTCTTTTGGTGACACTTTTTATTCAGCACTTTTTTTTTTTACTTTTTAAAAATAATAGAGACAGGGTCTAACTATGTTTCCCAGGCTGATTTTGAACTCCTGGTCTCAAGGGATTCACCTGCCTTGGTCTCCCAAAGTGCTGGGATTATCCACGTGAGCCATCATGCCTGGCCTGTTAAGCATTTTAAAATGTTGTTACACACACACACACACACAAATACAGTTTTTTCTTTTTTTTTTCTAATGGCTCAAAAACAATAATAAAATGTTTTTATTTATTTATTAATTTTTTTTTGGAGACGGAGTCTTGCTCTGTCACCCAGGCTGAAGTGCAGTGGAGTGATCTCGGCTCACTGCAACCTCCACCTCCCGGGTTCAAGCGATTTTCCTGCCTCAGCCTCCCTAGTAGCTGGGACTAGAGGTGTGTGCCACCATGCCTGGCTAATTTTTGTATTTTTAGTAGAGATGAGGTTTCACCATGTTAGTCAGGCTGGTCTTTTTAGTAGAGATGGGGTTTCACCAAGTTAGTCAGGCTGGTCTCGAACTCCTGACCTCGTCATCCGCCCGCCTTGGCCCCCCAGAGTGCTGGAATGCAGTGGGCAATACATTATCTTTCCCTGGCTATTTTCAAGATTTTCTTTGTCTATATTTTCAAAGTTTGATTGCAATCTATCTCAATTTGGATTCATTTGGATCTGTCTTTTTTATTCATTTATTTATTTTATTATCAAGCAGCCCCCTGAAACAGAGTTAGTTCAGAGAGACTCTCTGGGTTTTTTCTGTTAAGGTTCTGCTGGCCTTCGTGAGTATCAGTTATTGTCTTTTGCCAAAATTTAGAAAATTTTTAGCCATTGTTTCTTCAACTTTTTTTTTTTTTTTGTACTGCACTTTTTCTCCTTTCCTTCTGGAACTCTGATGTCATGAATATCAGCCCTTTGGTATTGTTCACAGATTCCTCAGGCTCCTTTATTTTGGTGGGGTGGGGAATTTTTTTTTTTTTAGAAGGAGTCTCACTCAATTGAGTAGGCTGGAGGGCAGTGGGGCGATCTAAGAATCGCTTGAACCCCGGGGCCTTTGACTCTAAGGCCCTCCTTGAGGCTCCCTCTCCTTCCTTGGGGAGTTTGACGCAGAAAATGGGGTCAAAAACTGCTGCCGCAAACATCTTCAGTGTCAGTAGCCAAGGTCTGGGGAGACCCATGGGGTCTCACCAGGAGGCTGAGGCAGGAAAATCGCTTGAACCCGGGAGGTGGAAGTTGCAGTGAGCCAAGATTGTGCCATTGCACTCCAGCCTGGGTGACAGGGCGAGGCTCAGTTTAAAAAATAAAACAAAAATCCTAGGTCTAGGTCTAAAAAGGAAAAAATCAATCAGCAAACATAAGTGTGGCTTTTAAGAGACATCCTTGTAGAAAAAAATGCTGCTGACAAAGGATTACTAATATGAAAATAATAAGGGATGAAACAGACTAAACAATACAGCTGCTAGGTAATCAATCAATCCTCTTGTCTTAAGTAGAGCTAATGAAATTAGGTCGACTGAAATGGTTTTGTCAGTGGTGGGGGCTTTACCCCTTCAACGACATCACTGAGGCACTTCGTTCAAGCAAAATTACATCTACCTTGCACATAACTATAACCAGCACCCCGCACAATTCAGGGCACACGGGAGGTATGAGGCACATTTTCATTTACTGAGTTAATGAGCAACAAGGATTATCAAGAGTGTGCATCTTTAGTCTCACAGTTATCTTATGTTGTTGTTAACTGTTATTAAGTAAGGAGAAGCTAGAACAAAGAATAACACAATATTTTCTGCTTCCTTTTTTTTTTTTTTGAGAGGGAGTCTCACTCTGTCACCCAGGCTGGAGTGCAGTGGTGGGATCTTGGCTCACTGCAACCTCTGCCTCCTGGATTCAAGTGATTCTTCTGCCTCAGCCTCCCTAGTAGCTGGGATTATAGGTGTGTACAACCAAGCCTGGCTATTTTTCTGTATTTTAGTAGAGACAGGGTTTCGTCATGTGGCTAGGCTGGTTTGGAACTCCTGGTCTCAAGCGATCCACCTGCCTTGGCCTCCCAAAGTGCTGGGATAACAGGCGTGAGTCACCATGCCTGTCCCAGATTTTCTGCTTTCTATATGGAATCTGCAGCTAGTCAAATTCACTTGACTTGTTGGGGTGGGGGACACCTGACAGCTAAGTGACTCACTAATGTGAAATCCTCTCCAATTTTTTTTTTTTTTTGAAATAAGGTCTCGCTATGCTACCCAGGCTGTTCTCAAACTCCTGGGCTCAAACAATCCTCCCACCTTGGCCTCCCAAATTATTGGGATTACAGGTGTGAGACACCATATCCGGCCCCTCTCCAGTTCTATGTAAAAAATCAGCTTCATCCAGATAACAACACTTTGTTACCTCTAAGGGGTGGGGTGGGTGGGGAGGCAGACTGACTTCTGGAGCCTCAATAGCAACAGCGTTTGGAAAAAAATTATTTCCAAACATAGGAGAACTCAGGATCTAATTCACATGTGATCTCCTTAAAAAACTAGTAACAGCTGCCGGGCACAGTGGCTCATGCCTGTAATCCCAGCACTTTGGGAGGCTGAGACGGGCAGATCACGAGGTTAAGAGATTGAGACCATCCTGGCTAACATGGTGAAACCGCATCTCTACTAAAAACTACAAGAATTAGCTGGGCATGGTGGCGTGCGCCTGTAATCCCAGCTACTCAAGAGGCTGAGGCAGGAGAATTGCTTGAACCTGGGAGGCGGAGGTTGCAGTGAGCTGAGATCGCACCACTGCCCTCCAGTGTGGCGACAAAGTGAGACTTCATCTCAAAAAAAAGAAAAAGAAAAAACTAGTAACAGCTTAATTTTTAAAAATATTTATAATAGAGACAGGGTCTACTATGTTGGTCAGATTGGTCTTGAATTCCTGGCCTCAAGCAATCCTCCTTCTTGGCCTCCCAATGTACTAGGATTACAGGCATGAGCTGCCACCCTCAGCCAACAGCTTAATTTCTGCCAGGTAAGGTTGTCTTTATTGTCCTTGTTGGAGGTTTGGGCACACAGACTCCAGGAGTGGTGTGCTCCAGGGTTGTGGGGAAGCAGAAGAGTCCTTGGGATGCTGAGAGGGAGAAGGACTGCAGAAGGCACCAGGGCAAGGTGGGGGGTGGGGAGAGCAGGGGATACCTGGGGCACTGAGAGAGCTAGGTGGGGCTAATACCCTGCAGAAACATGCCTCCAGCAGATATATGGGATGGAGGTGCACGGCCAGCCCTCTTCCTCCTCCTATTCCTCCTCCTCCACCTCCTGGTCCCTCTCCTTCCCTGCCCTTTCACCTTTGACCCAATAGGTCTCCCCAGACCTTGGGTGGTGGCACTGGAGATGTTTGCAGCAGCAGTTTTTGACCCCATTTTCTGGGTCAAACATCCCAAGGAAGGAGAGGCCTTAAAGTCAAAGGAGCATCTCAGGATTGAGAGTCAAGGAAAATTTGATCTTTGTTATGATAATGTTCCCTCCAATCTACAGTTCTCAAACTTTCTGGTCTCAAACCTTCTTAATGTTGAAAATTGTCTTCATGGGTATTTCCATCAGTATTTGTTATATTTTAAAACTGAGAAAAATTTAGGCCAGGGATGGTGGCTCGCACCTATAATCCCAGCACTTTGGGAGGCCAAGGCAGGAAGATCGCTTGAGCACAGTGGTTCATGACCAGCCTGGGCAACATAGTGAGACCCTGTCTCTACAAAAAATAAAAAATTCGCTGGTGTGCTGTTGTGTGCCTGTAGTCCCAGCTACTTGGGAGGCTGAGGCTGGAGGATTGCTGTAGCTCAGGATCACAGAGGAGGTGTGATGGCACCTCTGCGCAAGAGAATGTGGTCCTGTCTCCAAAAAAAAAAAAAAAAAAAATGCCATACTATATTTATTGTATTATGTTACATTACATTATATTTTATTTTATTTTTTTGAGACGGAGTCTCACTCTGTTGCCCTGGCTGGGGTGCAGTGGCGTGATCTTGGCTCACTGCAACCTTTGCCTCACGGGTTCAAGAGATTCTCCTGCCTCAGCCTCCCCAGTAGCTGGGACTAGTGCATGCCACCATGCCTGGCTCCTTTTTGTATTTTATTTTATTTTTTGAGGTGGAGTTTCGCTATTGTTGCCCAGGCTGGAGTGCAATGGTGTGATCTCAGCTCACTGCAACCTCTGCCTCACGGGTTCAAGTGATTCTCCCGCCTCAGCCTCCTGAGTAGCTGGGATTACAGGCATGTGCCACCATACCTGGCTAATGTGTTTTTAGTACAGACGGGGTTTCACCATGTTGGTCAGGCTGGTCTTGAACCCCCAACCTCAGGTGATCCGCCTGCCTCAGCCTCCCAAAGTGCTGGGATTACAGGCATGAGCCACCGCGCCCAGCATACTTTTTGTATTTTAGTAGAGACGGGGTTTCACTATGTTAACCAGGCTGGTCTCACACTCCTGACCTCAAGTGATCTGCCCACCTCGGTCTCCCAGAGTGCTGGGATTACAGGTGTGAGCCACTGTGCCCAGCCAGCCATTATATATATATATATGTTTTTTTTTTTTTTTTTTTTTTTGGAGACCGAGTCTTGCTCTGTCGCCCAGGCTGGAGTGCAGTGGAGCAATCTCGGCTCACTGCAAGCTCTGCCTCCCGGGTTCACGCCATTCTCCTGCCTCAGCCTCCCGAGTAGCTGGGACTACAGGCGCTCGCCACAACGCCCGGCTAATTTTTGTATTTTTAGTAGAGACAGGGTTTCACCGTGTTAGCCAGGATGGTCTGGATCTCCTGACCTCAGGTGATCCGCCCGCCTCAGCTTCCCAAAGTGCTGGGATTACAGGCGTGAGCCACCGCGCCCGGCCCATTTTGTATTTTAAAACAGAAAAGTTTAGGCCAAGTGTGGTGCCTCACGCCCGAAATCCCAGCACTTTGGGACACCAAGGTGGGAGGATCGCTTGAGCCCAGGAATTCCAGACTAGCCTGGGCAACATGGCAAAACCTCGTCTCTAAGAAAAAAACAGGCCAGGCGCGGTGGCTCACGCCTGTAATCCCAGCACTTTGGGAGGCGGAGGTGGGTGGATCACGAGGTCAGGAGATCGAGACCATCCTGGCTAAC
The DNA here is from genome assembly GCF_000001405.40 of Homo sapiens. NCBI lineage: Eukaryota > Metazoa > Chordata > Mammalia > Primates > Hominidae > Homo > Homo sapiens. Next base: position 6,746,823 of record NC_000009.12, read on the forward strand.
ACGGTGAAACCGTCTCTACTAAAAATACAAAAAATTAGCCGGGCGTGGTGGCGGGCACCTGTAGTCCCAGCTACTCGGGAGGCTGAGGCAGGAGAATGGCGTGAATCCGGGAGGCGGAGCTTGCAGTGAGCCGAGATTGCCACTGAACTCCAGCCTGGGCCACAGAGCTAGACTCCGTCTCAAAAAAAAAAAAAAAAAAAAAAAAAAGAAAAAGAAAAAAATTAGTCAGGTGTGGTGGTGCACACTTCTGGTTCCAGCTATTCAGGAGTCTGAGGTGGGAGGATTGCTTGAGCCCAGGGAGTTGGGGCTGCCATGAGCCAAGATCACTCCACTGCACTTCAGCCCGGGTGATAGAGCAAGACTCTGTCTCCAAAAAACCAAACCAACCAACCAACCAACCAACCAAAGAACCTGAGAACAATTTAAGACACAAGAATATAGATGGCCGGGCACTGTGGCTCCAGCCTGTAATCCCAGCACTTTGGGAGGCCGAGAGGGGCGGATCGCGAGGTCAGGAGATCGAGACCATCCTGGCTAATACGGTGAAACCCCGTCTCTACTAAAAATACATAAAAATTAGCTGGGCGTGGTGGTGGGCGCCTGTAGTCCCAACTACTCCGGAGGCTGAGGCAGGAGAATAGTGTGAACTCAGGAGGCAGAGATTGCAGTGAGCCGAGATCGCGCCACTGCACTCCAACCTGGATGACAGGGCGATTCAAAAAAAAAAAAAAAAAAAAGAATATAGAAATACACATTATCTTAGCTTTCAGGGCAATGGAGTTTTCTGGAAACAATCCACTGTATGCTCCTGAGTGAATGGGAACGGAAAAGTCAGATAATGTCATAGTATTATTATAAAAATAGTTTTAACCTTGCCAGTTTCTGGAACAAATTTTGAGAACCACTGCTCCAGAAAATCTTTGCCTGCACAACTTAGAGCAGGGCCTTTGCTGCTTGAGCAGCCCGCTCTGATCTAGAATTTAGAGGGAGTGCCCTGGAATGCCGTCCCTATCACTGCCTTACTGGCATTTGCCCTTTAGTCTGTGGAGGATTTCTTTCTAGGAAAGAACAGAGGCTGGGCGCTGTGGCTCACACCTGTAATCCCAGCACTTTGGGAGGCCAAGGCCGGTGGCTCACTTGAGCCCAGGAGTTCGAGAGCAGCCTGGGCAATATGGTGAAACCCTGCCTCCACTAAAACCACAAAAATTAGCTGAGTGTGGTGGCATGCGCCTATGAGGGAGGCTGAGGCAGGGGAATCACCTTAATCCGGGAGGCAGAGGTTGCAGTGAGCAGAGATCGCACCACTGCACTCCAGCCTGAGTAACAGAGCAAGACTTGGTCTCAAAAAAAAAACAAACAAACAAACAAAAAACAACAACAATTAAAAAAAAACAACAGGAATTGGCTGGGCGTGGTGGCTCACGCCTGTAATCCCAGCACTTTGGGAGGCTGAGGCAGGTGGATCACCTGAGGTCGGGAGTTCAAGACCAGCCTGACCAACATGGAGAAACCCTGTCTCTACTAAAAATACAAAATTAGCCAGGAGTGGTGGCACATGCCTGTAATCTCAGCTACTAGGGAGGCTGAGGCAGGAGAATCGCTTGAACCTGGGAGGTGGAGGTTGCGGGGAGCTGAGATTACGCCATTGCACTCCAGCCTGGGCAACAAGAGTGAAACTCCGTCTCAGAAAAAAAAAAAAAAAGATTTATTATTATTATTAGTATTATTAGTTTTAATACAAACAATCCCACAGCATTTATTGCCATCTTGTAAAAACATAAGTGTAATCAAAACAATATGAATAAATGTTCATATTGGACAAAGGACGTCTAAAAACAAACTGTATCCTTCTCAACAATTTCTCACTTCATTGATCATTTCTAGTTGGAGACACTTTGTAGCAGAGTAATATTATCTCCTTTTAGCATGATCCGACCCAGTTGTTTTCTTGACTTTGTTTTCGAATGAATCTCTTCTGCATCATCTAATACAAGGTTCATATACTCATCAAAACCAATGATACAGCCTTCTATCTGCATATTCACTTGCTCATAGAGCCACACCTGAATCTGCGATCTATTTTGTAAGTATCTGAAGATGAGGTTGATGGGCTGCACCATAACCTTCTGCACTTTCTGGCCCTGGCCACTGTATGCCATGGTGGAATTTCACAAAGAGCACACTTGCAAGCTTATTATTATTATTTTTATTTTTGAAATGGAGTTTTGCTCTTGTTGCCCAGGCTGGAGTGCAATGGCGCGATCTCGCCTTCCTGCAACCTCTGCCTCCTAGGTTCAAGTAATTCTCCTGCCTCAGCATCCCAAGTAGCTGGGATTACAGGCATGCACCACCACGCCCGGCTAATTTTGTATTTTTAGTAGAAATGGGGTTTCGCCATATTTGCCAGGCTGGTTTCGAACCCCCGACCTCAGGTGATTCACTCACCTCAGCCTCCCAAAGTGCTGGGATTGCAGGCGTGAGCTACCAAGCCTGGCCAGGAATCCTTAAAAAGGTGTCAGGATATCAATAGAAGTTTCATGAGCTAATAACTAATTTGAAGAGAACAGCCAACAAAATAGGACTACATGTATCTTTCTCATGATGGGGCTGGATAAAATCAGGTAACACTAATAAAGTCATCTAAGTGTGGGCAATATGGTGAGACCCCATCTCTACAAAAAATAAATTAAAAAAAATTAACCAGACATGGTGGTGCATGCCTGTGGTCCCAGCTACTTGGGAGGCTGTGACGGGAGGATTGCTTGAGCCCAGTAATTCAAGGCTGCAATGAGCTATGATTGCACCACTGCATTTCAGCCTGGACAACAGAGTGAGAGCCTGTCTCAAAAAAATAAAAAAATAAAATTAAAAAAAGGTAACCTGGCTGGGCGCAGTGGCTCATGCCTGTAATCCCAGCACTTTGGGAGGCTGAGGTGGGAGGATCACCTTAGGTCAGGAGTTCGAGGCCAGCCTGACCAACATGGTGAAACCCTGTCTGTACTGAAAATACAAAATTAGCCGGGTGTGGTGGTGCATGCCTGTAATCGCAGCTACTTGGGAGGCCGAGGCACAAGAATCACTTGAACCAGGGGGGCGGAGGTTGCAGTGAGCCAAGATTGTGCCATTGTACTCCAGCCTGGGCAACAACAGTGAAACTCCTTCTCAAAAAAAAAAAAAAAAAAAAAAAAAAAGAGTAACCTAAAGCCAGAGGAAAATGTACTTGCTGTGGTGTAGGCCAAGAAGAAAATGTAAGGCAATTTGTAGACAAGTTTAAGTTCATATTAAAATAATGAACAAGAATTTAGAAAATTTCTTAGAGGTAAGACAGCTCTTCATGGCCAGGCACGGTGGCTCATATCTGTAATCCCAGCACTTTGGGAGGCTGAGGTGGGCGGATCACGAAGTCAGGAGTTCGAGACCAGCCTGACCAATATGGTGGAACCCCATCTTTACTAAAAATACAAAAATTATCTGGGCATGGTGGCACGCACCTGTAGCCCCAGCTACTCAGGGGGCTACGGCAGGAGAATCGCTTGAACCTGGGAGGTGGAAGTTGCTGTGAGCCGAGATCGTGTCATTGCACTTCAGCCTGGGTGACAGATTGAGACTCTGTCTCAAAAAAAAAAAAAAAGCTCTTCACGAGGCAAAAGCACTTGAAGCGAAAGTGAAGCATAGCTTCTGTCTTATAGGAAGTTGAAATAGCCAAAACACCAAGTTCAGGAACAACTGAAAGCACATCATAGGTTTCCAAAAGGAGAGGAAAGAATCTCTTGATTATAAAAACGATGATGCTAAAGTTATGAATAATTCTCTTAAGTTTGACACTGAGGAGAAAAGTAATAGAAAAGAAATTGTATTATCTGGATTAGTCAATGAAGAGCCAGGGGCTCAACAAGGTCAGAAAGTGAAAGACAGAGAAGGCAGTTCTAGCTGCTATTACTGCATAATAAATAACCTCAAAACGTAGTGGTTTAGAGCAGCAGTGGTTTATCATTTTTTACTATTCTCTGGGTTAGCTGACAGTTAACTGCTGGTTTTGCCTGGGCTTGCTCTTGTGGCTGCATTCAGTAGGAGGTGGTTGGGCTGGAAGGTCAAGATGGCCTCACTTACCCATCTGGCAGCTGGTGCTGGCAGTCCACTGGGTGGGTACCTTGGTTATTTTTTCATGAAACCTCTCATTCTCTGGTAAGCTAGAAGAACTTCCTTACATGACAGTCTCAGGACCGTATCATAAGAGAGTGAAAGCAGAAGCTGCAATGTATCTAATGTCTAGCTTTGGAAGTCATATCACATCACTTCTGTCACATTCTGTTGATCAAAGCAAGTCAAAAGATCAGCCTAGGCCGGGCATGGTGTCTCACGCCTGTAATCCCAGCACTTTGGGAGGCTGAGGCTGGCGGATTGCTTGAGCTCATGAGTTAGAGACCACCTTGTGCAACATGGCAAAACCCCGTCTCTACAAAAAATACAAAAATTAGCCAGGCATGGTGGTGCACACCTGTAGTACCATCTACTAGGGAGGCTGAGGTGGGAGGATGGCTTGAGCCTGGGAGGTGGAGGTTGCAGTGAGCCAAGATTGCACCACTGCGCTCCAGCCTGGGTAACACACCCAGATCCTGTCTTAAAATTAATAATAATAATAATAATCAGCCTAGATTCAGCAGGTGGGGATATAGCTGATCTCTTGATGGAAGGAAGGGCAAAGTCACATTGCAAAGGATCATGGGAAGATCTTGTGGCTACATTTTACAATTTATCACAACAGGGAATGGATATGACAAGGACCCAAACTATATTAACATTAGTTCAAGAAGAGAGAAGCCACTTACAACTTTAGCTGAATGATGAGATCTCAATTATGCATAATCAGAACACTTAAGGAAGATGGAACAGGATAGTTGTTCACAATAGTCAGCTCAAGGCCCCTAGAAAATGTATTATAAAGCTGCAGGCTGAAAATTGAGCTCATTGATCAGACAGAATACCTTCTGGAAGAATTTGAGTAGAAAAGAAAAATCAGAGCAATTAGGTAGGGAGAAAGGGAAATATTAAAATCAGTGAATTTGATAAATTTGAGGTAAACTACAGAATGTGAAAATATCTTACAAGGCAACATTTTGTTCTGCAGAAGAAAGCCCATGACAATTAGGTTCTTGTTTGTGATACCAAAGGAGCTACTGCTGGAGAGATTAAGCAAGTCACATTCCTGAGTTAAAAATTAAGGAGGATGGCCGGGCGCGGTGGCTCACGCCTGTAATCCCAGCACTTTGGGAGGCCGAGACGGGCGGATCACGAGGTCAGGAGATCGAGACCATCCTGGCTAACACGGTGAAACCCCGTCTCTACTAAAAATACAAAAAATTAGCCGGGCATGGTGGCGCGCGCCTGTAGTCCCAGCTACACGGGAGGCTGAGGCAGGAGAATGGCGTGAACCCGGGAGGCGGAGCTTGCAGTGAGTCGAGATCGCGCCACTGCACTCCAGCCTGGGCGACAGAGCGAAACTCCGTCTCAAAAAAAAAAAAAAAAAAAAAAAAAAAAATTAAGGAGGAACAGGTAAAACAAAAAATTGGTAACGTTCTCAAAACCAGGGATTTTTTTTTTTTTTCCGGTGGAGTTTCGCTCTTGTTGCCCAAGCTGGAATGCAATGGCATGATCTCGGCTTACTGCAATCTCCGCCTCCTGGGTTCAAGCGATTCTCCTGCCTCAGCCTCCTGAGTAGCTGGGTTTACAGGCATGCACCACCATGCCTGGCTAATTTTGTATTTTTAGTAGAGACGGAGTTTCACCATGTTGGTTAGGCTGATCTCAAACTCCTGACCTCAGGAGATCCGTCCACCTCGCCTTCCCTGGAATTACAGACGTAAGCCACCGCGCTCAGCCTAAAACCAGGGATTGTTAAAGCAACTTCCAAAAAGTTATATTGTGGTCTCTTTCCAACTAATATATGAATTTTATTTATATATGCCAAGTGCTCTATTTCCTATTATAATCAGAGACTTTATAAAAATAGCAATAAAATATCTGTGTTCCTCAATGAAGATATCTTTTAAGTTCATGCCTGAGGTGGAGGAGCATTTTATCCCTCAGTGATGAAAGATGTCCTGTGATATTCCAGGCACTCTATGATCATTAATGGAAGAAGTGTGCTTGGACTGAAACCCATGCCTCACCCTAGTTCCAGGGGACCACTGAGGAGTCAGAAATAGCAGCTGCTTTTGATCTAAGCTCTGATGTAACTACAATACTAATCAGTATCTCAAGAAGTTCCTCTCCTTCTACCCCAATGGATGGTTTGGTTGACTCTGGCACAAATCCTAATCCTTATCAGGAATGGCCATGATAAGCTCACCTAGAGCAGAACTTCTACCTCTTCTTAGTCAGTTTGGACTGTCTTTCCAATGATAAGGATTTCATGGATCTAAAACTTTTCTTCCACCCTTATTTCTGAAAGTCTTCCAACTCAGGCCTAAGAGTAAGCACACCAGGCATTTACCTGAAATAATGGACTTGTTCCATGATTATTAAATCTATAAACACTGACTTCTATCTTTTATCTATCATGTCTTGGTCTATTTTGTGGTGCTATAATAGGATACCACAGACTGGGTAATTTATTTTTATTATTATTTTTAATTGAGATGGGGTCTCGCTATGTTGCCTAGGCTGGTGTTGAACTCCTGGGTTCAAGTGATCCTCCTGCCTCAGCCTCCCAGAGTGCTGGGATTACAGGCATGAGTCATCTCACCTGGCAGACTGGGTAATTTATAATGAACAGAAGTTTATCGGCTCGCAGTTCTAGAAGCTAGAAAGTCCAGGACTGAGGGGCTGTATTAGGTGAGGGACTTTGTGCTGCATTATCCCATGGCAGAAGGACAAAGAACAAGAGAGAAGAGGATGAACCCATTCCTGCAGTTACGGCATTAATTCATTAATAAGGGCAGAGCCCTCATGGACTAATCATCTCTCATTATTCCTGTATAAGTAACATACATATTTGATAAAGGTAAAGGTAAATAAAAACACTAAGTATTACTATCATTGAATTCTTTTTTTTTTTTTTTTTTTTTTTTGAGATGGAGTCTTGCTCTGTCACCCAGGCTGGAGTGCAGTGGCACGACCTCGACTCACTGCAAGCTCCGCCTCCCGGGTTCATGCCATTCTCCTGCCTCAGCCTCTGGACTAGCTGGGACTACAGGCACCTGCCACTGTGCCTGGCTAATTTTTTGTATTTTTAGTAGAGACAGGGTTTCACCGTGCTAGCCAGGATGGTCTCGATCTCCTGACCTCAGGTGATCCGCCCGCCTCGGCCTCCCAAAGTGTTGGGATTATAGGCGTGAGCTACCGAGCCCAGCCTCATTCAATTCTGTATATTTGTTTTGTTTTCTTTTCTTTTTCTTTTTTTTTTCTGAGATGGAGTTTTGCTCTTGTCATCGAGGCTAGAGTGCAGTGGTGCTATCTTAGCTCACTGCAACCTCTGCCTCCTGGATTCAAGTGATTCTCATGCCTCAGCCTCCCGAGTAGCTGGGATTACAGGCACCTGCCACCATGCCCAGCTAATTTTTGTATTTTTAGTAGAGACAGGGTTTAACCATGTTATCTAGGCTGGTCTTGAACTCCTGACCTTAGGTGATATGCCCGCCTTGGCCTCCCAATGTGCTGAGATTAGAGGCATGAGCCACTGTGCCCAGCTCAATTATTTATATTTGTAAAAAGTGTAGTGTACTTCAACAGATTCAAAATTAGACTATTATTTAGAAGTATATCAATTTGCAGCCAGGGCAGTGGCTCACTCCTGTATTCTCACCACTTTGGGAGGCTGAGGCGGGAGGATCATTTGAGCCCAGGAGTTTGACACTAGCCTGGGCAACATAGTGAGACCCTGACTCTACAAAGAAATAAACAAATTAGCCAGGTGTGGTGGTGTGCGCTTGTAGTCCCAGCTACATGGGAGGCTGAGGTGGGAGGACTGCATGATCCTAGAAGTGGAGGCTGTATTGAGCCGTGATAGTGCCACTGCACTCCAGTCTGGGCAACAGTGTGAAGATCCTGTCTCAAAGTAAAAAAAAAAAAAAAAAAAAAAAGCAGCATATAAATTTGCTGCATTATATATATTTTAAGAAACTTACAAGTATTGGCCAGGCATGGTGGCTCACGTCTGTAATCTCAGCACTTTTGGAGGCGGAGGCCAGCAGATCACTTGAGCTCAGGAGTTTGAGACCCGCCTGGCCAATGTGGCGAAACCCTGTCTACAAAAAATACAAAAATTAGGCCGGGCATGGTGGCTCACGCTTGTAATCCCAGCACTTTGGGAGGCCAAGGTGAGTGGATCACAAGGTCAGGAGATCAAGACTATCCTGGCTAACACGGTGAAACCCCGTCTCCACTTAAAATACAAAAAATTAGCTAGGTGTGGTAGCACGCGCCTGTAGTCCCAGCTACTTGGGAGGCTGAGGCAGCAGAATGCCGTGAACCCAGGAGGCGGAGGTTGCAGTGAGCTGAGATCGCGCCACTGCACTCCAGCCTGGGCAACAGAGTGAGACTCTGTCTCAATTATAAAAAAATGCAAAAATTAGCTGGGCATTATGGCACATGCCTGTAATGCCAGCTGCTCAGGAGAATGAGGCACAAGGCACGAGAATTGCTTGAACCCGGGAGGTCAAGGCTGCAGTGAGCCGATATGGCGCCACTGCACTCCAGCCTGGGCAACAGAGTAAGACTCTGTCTCAAAAAACAAACAAATAAATAAAATAAAATAAAAACAAGTATTGTCTCTGAGGTGATCTGATGATCTGTTCGTTAGTTCACATTACATATAAACTTCAAGGGGAATCTATGTATTGTTCATACAGCCTTCCATTAATATATTGCAATTGGGATTTAAACAATTGAATCTAAATAAAAAATTTACTATATGGCTAAAATGTTTTCACGATAATTCATAATATGGAGGTATTTTGATACATTAGGGACACAAGACTGCCCTCAGTGCCATGAGTCCAGTTGATTTTCTAGTAGGCTCTCTTCACTTTCCAAGACTGTGAAGCACTTAATGGATTCACATAGTGCTTTACAGCTTTTGAAGTGTTTTGACATTTTACATTATCTTCCTTAAAATTAAAAAGTGCTCAGTGAAGTTAGCAAGGTTCGTATATCCACTTCAGTTCTTCAGGTTAAAAAAAAGTCATACTCTAATTCACAATGGTAAAGAAATGTTATTTGTGCATCTGCAAATTCTGAAGAAAATGGATTTCAGGTTTCCAGATTTTTTATTCTGGTGCACAAGATTTCTAATATAGCATATGGCTTCCAAAAGACCCTAGCTGCTTGATTGTGGACATATTTCTTAACCGCTATGCTTCAGTTTCCACATCTGTAACAATGAGGTATTAATAGTACCTATTCATTGAATTATTATAAGTATTTATTAATACATGTGAAGCTCTGAAGACAGTGTGTAGCTCACATTACTGTTCTAAGTAAGTGTTAGGTTGCATATTTATTATTTTAGCATATCCAATTTACTTGTAAGGATGGTTGGGATCCTGACGTTACATGCACACATTTGGAAAATTCCCAGTTGAGTATACGTTAGCCAAGTTCAGAATTGTGTGTGGCCGGGTGAAGTGGCTCACGCCTGTAATCCCAGCACTTTGGGAGGCCGAGGCGGGCGGATCACCTGAGGTCAGGAGTTTGTGACCAGCCTGGCCAACATGGCGAAACCCTGTCTCTACTGAAAATACAAAAATTAGCTGGGCGTGGTGGCGGGCGACTGTAATCCCAGCTACTCGGGAGGCTGAGGCAGGAGAATCTCTCGAACCCGTGAGGCGGAGGTTGCAGTAAGCCGAGATAGCGCCATTGCACTCCAAACTGGGCGACACAGCAAGACTCCGTCTCAAAAAAGAGTGTGTCTGTGTGTGTAGCGGAACTTTGTTTTTAACAACTAAAGAAATATGGTGACCCAATAATCCCGTTAGCCTTAGCTCAATTAATCACATTCCATCTGTCCTCACAATGTTCACCCCAGTGAGAAACGAGTTCAAGCGCGTGGTAAGCGGTGTCGATATATTTTTAAAATTCTGTTATCAGTATAATGTAACAGAAAATTCAGCATATTAGCCCAACTTTGCTCACTGGTGTGAAGATATGCCCAATCTTTCTTAGCTAAGACGTTAGAGAAAACGCCACAAGGGACCCAGCTGGGAGCTCTGTAGGAAGTTTAAAAAAAAAATCATTCAGCTTTGCAAAACATCTGATGCTCAACCATCTGTCTTTGGCAGTACAGGGGCTTAAGGTCTGGTTGGTTCCTTCTGACACCTCGGAAGGCGGAGTTACAGAGGAAAAGCAACAAGTTGTAGGAAGTTAACTTATCTAGTCTCAGACGCTGGAGGCACCTGCATTTCTAGTCACTTCAGTTCTGGCCAAACTGTTATCAACTCTAGTTTCTGAGGGACCGCCAGCCCAGGATTCCTATTGGGGTCACCTTTGTGCCTCCCTATCTTAAGAGCACACTTGGGCGGGTCGGGGCGGGACGTGCTGGGTGTAGGTGACTCAACACCGGACAGTTTTGCTTCCAGAGGCTGACACGCTCCTGCGCGGTAGTTGTTAAAGGGTTGGGACACGAAGATACTCTTCGCCTATTCGGGATCTCCCATTGTGGGAAGGAGGCTCAGTGGTCCCGGCCACCGGGTGAAGGGAGAACGGGAACACAGCGCTGTCATCGCCGGAGAGCTGCGAGCCCCGACTTTCTCGCCAGGCTCTCCAGTACATTCCGAGGCTCCACCCCGGTAACGCCACGCTGACGTCCGCGCGTCGGAGGCCGCCATAGGTGCGCGTCGGCGCCCAGGAGGACGTGTGGCGCGTGGACTACATCAGGTCCAGCCCTGCGGGACCCCAGCCAGCGCTTCCGGGCAAGGTTCTGTGCACCTGTTTTCTCCTTCTACGCGAGTATCTTTCCCCTCCGGAAAGAATGGGATATGCCTGTGTCCAAAGGACAAGAAGATGCGCGCCAGCAAGCCTAAGTTAACCACAGCGCGGAAGTTGAGCCCAAAGCAAGAGCGTGCCGGGCACCTTTAAGCTGTTTGTAAGCCCACGTGACTCACCAAGTGCGGGCCCCAGCGGTCACGTGACGGCGCGCGCGCCCTCGCGCAGGGAGAGCCGGCGGTGCGCGCGCCTTCGCCGCTGCCTCCCACCCACCCCCTCGACGGGAGGGTGAGGCGCGGCGCAGTGATCGGGCGGCCGGGGTCCTGTGCGCGTGCGCAGCGAACAGCTGTCACCTAGTGCGGAACAAGTCTCCCAAATTTCCCAAATCTCCCTGGGCCGGAGGCCACTGTCTTCTCTTCCTCCTCCACCGAGTCGTGCTCTCGCCCCAACCCGCGCGCCAGGTAACCGCTTTTCCGGAGTCTGGGGGCCAGGGCGGGGGGAGGGTCCGGAGAGGTCTTCCCGGCACTGCCCCCCTCCGCGTGGGGCACGGGGGTGCGGGCGTCCGGGCGAGCGGCGACGCTGGGGCAGAGACGCTCCGTCCGTGACTGCAGCGACTGTCAAGCTGGGGAGGGAGCGGCCGGCCGCGGCCGCAGGGGAGGGATGCGGGGGCCGGTGACAGCCCGCTCCGGCCCTTACCGAGGTTCGGTACCCGCGCTCGCCGTTTTCCCGGGATCCGGAGTCGGGGTCGCCTCCTTGGGGCAGAGGAGCGCTCGGGCGGTCCTGGGATGCGGACCTCTTAACGCCGCCAGTCGGCTGTGGCGGACTCCAGGAAGGCCGGGCCTGGTGCACCCCTCGGGGCCCTCCCTTCCCTGGGAGTGTCACGACCCGCGGGGTGAGGGTGGGAGCTCCTCTCCTGACCACCCGTTGCAGGCAGTCATCCCGTCATTCGGGGTCGTCTTCAGCCCTCGCGGCTGTCCTTTTGGTGTTTCTTTCCCCCGGCATGGGGCCATTTCTTCCTGCAGTGCCTGGAGGAACCATGATGCGGTGTAGACGGCGGGTGCTTAAATAAATGCGAGTTGGATTAGGGCGCGTGGACTGCCAGGCACAGAACGTGGCGTGGAGTGGGGACGTGGAGGAGGGAGCCAGACAGGCCGGGGCTGTAGGCAGGAGCTTGGGGTTTTCCTCTGTGCTCCGCCAGTAAAGCCAGCAGCCGGGATTCAGATGCTTTCCGCGTGGACTTGATGCTGGGCTCCCCCTTTGCTGCGCGGTGCAAGCCTGCGCTGGCTGGCTCTGATTGTGGGCAATACTACCGGGAGGGGTTTTGTCAGGTTCCTTCTTCCGGAAGAGACAAGGTAAACTTTTTTTTGCGCTTGATAAACTAACCCCGAGAGGTGATTTATAAAGCACTGTTCGGAAATGTAGGTTAGAAAAGCAGAGTCACTTTTATCCTGGTGAAAGTTACTAGTAGGTTCCGGCCACTTAGGTTCACACTAAACTCTGCCCTATTTTCACCCATTTCAGTTTGCGGTATTTAAAAAAATGTCTAAATTCCGGGCAGCTTGGCTTTACTGTTTCTATGGCAACGGTGACTAATATTCTCATTTCGAAGTGTTGTGGTTGAAAACTAGTGGTTTTAATTTTTAAAGGTCCATTTTTTATTAGGAAGCAGTCGGCTCTGCTTTGCGATTATCGCTTGCTTTCTTACCTTGCTGGCCTCCGCGCAACCCGCCCATAGTTTGTTTTGGAACGGATTACACGGTTGTTCGGGTTTTTTAGGTGCTTTTTCTCCCAATTTCAGTGTTATGAAAAGTTTTCACATAAGCTTTACAGTATCCCGCAAACTTGGTAATACAGTACAATTTAAACCGAAGACTTATTTCTTTTTATTAACAGACTTTAGTCAGTTGCTTTTCTAAAGTTGAAAATCAGACCCGGCGCCGTGGCTCCTGCCTGTAATCCCAACACTTTGGGAGGCCGAGGCGGGTGTATCACCTGAGGTCAGGAGTTCAAGACCAGCCTGGCCAAAATGGCGAAACCTCGTCTGTACCAAAAATTCAAAAATTAGCCAGGCATGGTGGCAGGCGCCTGTAATCCCAGCTGAGGCAAGAGAATCACTTGAATCCTGGAAGTGGAGGTTGCCGTGAGCCGAGATGGCACCACTGCACTCCAGCGTGGGTGACAGACTGAGACTCCATCTCAAAAAAAAAAAAAAGTAAAAATATAAATAAATAAATAAATAAATAAATAAATAAAAGCTTTTAGTAAATGAATAGTCTTGTGCAACCATCACCACAATGAATTTTTGAATTTTTTTAATCCCCAAAAGAAGCTCTGTTCCTATTAGCTGTCATTGCCTAGTTCCCTCCAATTCTATCCCCTTCTGTCCCTAGGCAACCACTAATCTGCTGTCTGTCTCAATAGATTTGGCTATTCTGGACATTTTATATACATGGAATAATACACTATCTGGTCTTCTGTGAGTGACTTCTTTCACTTGGCATAATGTTTTTTAAGGTTCATCCATGTTGCAGCCTGTATCAGTACTTCATTCCTTTTAATGGCTAATATTCTATTATGGATACATCACATTTTGTTTATTCATCAGTTGGTAGACATTTGTGTTATCTCTGCTTTTGGCTGAGTAATGCTATGAATATTTGTGAACTAGTTTTTGTGTGGACGCGTGTTTTCTCTACTCTTGGGTATATATATATATATATATAATGTAATTGCTAGGTTAAACATCTGTTGAATGACTGCATGCGTAAGGAGGGATAGTTAGTCTTGGGTGATACTCTTTTTTATTTATTTATTTATTTATTTATTTATTTATTTATTTATTTTTTGAGACGAAGTCTCACTCTGTTGCCCAGGCTGGAGTGCAGTGGCACGATCTCTGCTCACTGCAAGCTCCGCCTCCTGGGTTCACACCATTCTCCTGCCTCAGCCTCCTGAATAGCTGGGACTACAGGCACCCACCACCATGCCTGGCTAATTTTTTTTTTATTTTTAGTAGAGATGGGGTTTCACTGTGTTAGCCAGGATGGTCTCGATCTCCTGACCTCGTGATCTGCCCACCTCAGCCTCCCAAAGTGCTGGGATTACAGGCGTGAGCCACCGTGCCTGGCTTGGTGATACTCTTTCAAGCCTTGAAGGGGCCTGTTGATCTTTCCCTATTCCACTGCCAACTTCAGTTCTCCAGTTCTCTAAAGTGGGGCTTTATTCTATGGTTAATGCTGTGTTTTCCTTTCCTGGATGTCTTTTTTTTTTTTTTTTTGAGACGGAATCTCGCTCTGTTGTCCATGGAGTCTCACTCTGTGCCAATGGCGCGATCTCGGCTCACTGCAACCTCTATCTCCCAGGTTCAGGCGATTCTCCTGCCTCAGCCAACCCAGTAGCTGGGATTACAGGCACCCACCATCATGCTTGGCTAATTTTTGTATTTTTGTAGAGACAGGGTTTCACCATGTTGTTCAGGCTGGTCTCGAACTCCTGACCTCAGGTGATCCGCCCACCTTGGACTCCCAAAGTGCTGGGATTACAGGTGTGAACCACTGTGCCCGGCCTCTGGATGTCAGTATTAAGATCATCCTGTTCTTTTTTTTTTTGGAGACAGGGTGTAACTCTGATGCCCAGGCTGGAGTGCAGCAGTGACAGTCTCAGCTCACTGTAACCTCTCTGTCTGCTGTGCTCTGGCAGTCCACCAGCCCCAGCCTCTCAAGTAGGTGGGACTACAGGTACATGCCATCATGCCTGGCTGATTTTTGTGGTCTTGCCATGGTACCCCGGCTGGTCTGAAACTCCCGGGCTCAAGCAGTCCGCTTGCCCCAGCCTCCCAAAGTGCTAGGATGACAGGCGTGAGCCACTGCACCTGGCCTGATCATCCCTTCCTGTTAGCACAGTCTTTATACTGCTCATGGTTATTCCCTTGATATTCACTTATTTGCTCTATATTTAGTGATAAGATAGGTACATTCTGTACTTTGATTAAGCTCAATATCTACTGAAAAATGTGTGTTCCCTTTTGTTAAATATTAGTATTTAATGCTTCTCTCCCAACCTCTGTCTCTTTTTTCTTTTTCTTTTTGAGATGGAGTCTCCCTCTGTCGCCCAGGCTGGAGTGCAGTGGCATGATCTCGGCTCACTGCAACCTCCGACTCCCTGGAGTGATTCTCCTCCTCAGCCTCCCGAGTAGCTGGGATTACAGGCACGCCCAACTAATTTTTTTCGTATTTTTAGTAGAGACGGGGTTTCACCGTGTTGGCCAGGATGGTCTCGATCTCCTGACCTCGTGATCCGCCTGCCTCGGCCTCCCAAAGTGCTGGGATTACAGGTGTGAGCCATCATGCCTGCCCATTTTTCTGTTTTTATTATACTTTAAGTTCTAGGGTACATGTGCGCAACGTGCAGGTTTGTTACATAGGTATACATGTGCCATGTTGGTTTGCTGCACTGATCAACTCGTTGTTTACATAAGGTATTTCTCCTAACACTATCCCTCCCCCAGCCCCCCACCCCACAACAGGCCCTGGTGTGTGATGTTCCCCTCCCTGTGTCCATGTGTTCTCATTGTTCCTTCTTTTCTTTTTCAGTTAAAAAAATTTCTGTTTGTAGAGATGGGGTCTCAGTGTGTTGCTCAGGCTAGTCTCAAAATTCTGGGCTCAAGTGATCCTTCTGACTTGGCCTCCCACAGTTCTGGGATTACAGGTGTGAGCCACTGTGCTTGGCCTGCAAGCTCTATTTCTGTTATGAATTTCTTAGGAGGTGTATCATAATTAAAGTCACAGTATCTTTTTTATCGCTACAAATGTAGACCATTTTGTGGAGCCTAAAATATAATTTTATAATATAAATACAATATATATTAGGTCATTGTCTTTATATTATATAATATATAATATAATATATTAGGTCATTGTCTTTTTTTTTTTTTAAGATGGAGTCTCGCCCTTGTTGCCCAGGCTGGAGTGCAGTGGTGTGATTTTGGCTCACTGCAACCTCCACCTCCTGGGTTCAAGCGATTCTCCTGCCTTAGCCTCCCAAGTAGCTGAAATTACAGGCACCTGCCATCACGCCCAGCTAATTTTTGTATTTTTAGTAGAGATGAGGTTTCACCATGTTGGCCAGGCTGGGCTCGAATTCTTGACCTCAGGTGATCCACCCCCTCACCCTCCCAAATTACTGGGGGATTACAGGCATGAGCCACCACACCCGGCCAGGTCATTGTCTTTTTTACTCCCCGACCCTCTAAAGATTCCCTACTTCCTCATCCTCCTTACCCTTCCGCTGGTGGGGGGGGATGGATGGGGGGTAGAGGGGGCGTGGTTACGATCTTCTAAATCCACACTTTCTGGGCCTAATCCTTTTCCCATACTAACAGTCAGAATAATTCCTTTAAGGAAGCCTATCCCCCCTGCTCCTGCTTCAAGGCTGCTTTCTCTAGGGAAAAAGTCCTAACTCTCAGCTCTGTGTGTGACTGCCCAGCCAGTCTCCTTCCTACCAAACTCATCTTTCTTCCTAGTTCCCTGAATGGGCTTGGTACTCTGCCCATGCTGTTGTTCCCTGTGCCTGGACTGCTACCCCAGTTGCACTTCTTTGATTGATTCCATCTCATTCTTCAGGAAGCTCAGCTCAGTTGTCAACTTCTTCAAGTTAGTGTTCTCTCAATCCTGCACACTGGCCATAGCAGCATTCTGTAGTCTCCTTCATAGTCTTAAGCAATCATGCCATTACTTGTGTATCTCTCTTCCCTCCCTACCCTCATGCAAGCCCAGAGAAAGGTTCCCACAAAAATATTGACAGTAGTTAGTAACTTCTGGGTGATGGAATTGTGGGTAATTTGTTTCCTTTGTGTTTATGTGCATTTTCTAAATTTTCTCCTATGAATCAGTGTTACCATTGTGAAGAGGGAAAATAAGTTAATAAAAATTCATGTTTGTTAGAAAAGCTGGGAAACAGGAGAAGATAGAGGAAAAAGAAAAATAATCAGTTATTGCCCTTTTCACATTGGAGAATGCACTTTTTCTTTTTTTGAGATAGAGTTTCGCTCTTGTTGCCCAGGCTGGAGTGCAATGTAGCGATCTTGGCTCACCACAACCTCCGCCTCCCAGTTTCAAGCAATTCTCCTGCCTCAGCTTCCTGAGTAGCTGGGCTTACAGGCCTGCGCTACCACGCCCAGCTAATTTTGTGTTTTTAGTAGAGACGGAGGGTTTCTCCGTGTTGGTTAGGCTGGTCTCGAACTCCCAACCTCAGGTGATCCATCCGCCTCGGCCTCCCAAAGTGCTGGGATTACAGGAATGAGCCACCGCTCCCAGCCAGAATACACTTTTAACAGTTTTTGTTTTGTTTTAATAACTTAGATGAGATTTTGTTATAGTTTCAGCATCAAGCTTTTATTACATTTTAGTTGTTGCTTGTATTACTCAGAGATTTCTAGAGAATGGTAGGAGTACTTACAATAGGCTGCCCAGTTGGAATTTCCGATGTTGAAATTCAGCTGATTATTAGAGAACAGAATATAGCATTAGATATATGTAGCATAGAACAGAATATAGACTATTAGGGTATGAGCACTTAAGTGCTAAATAACTCTTTTCCCTTTTTCCTTGAAAAATGTCCTAATTGGTTCATTTATATGTTTCATAGTACAAAGATTTCCCTTGCACAGTTGCTCATTATTTGTACTGTTTGTTTTATTTTTGATGGGTGGTATATTTTGCATAGTAGTGGATACATTTCTTCAGTAGATTAACTTGTACTATGTGCCATACACTGTGTCAGATGTGGACAGCAGTGAACACAATAGACTGGATTCCCTATGATTTCATGGAAGTGGATTATTTTAAGAGTGTGAATGTTTAGTTAACTGTTGCACTGTATACTGTTCAGATACACATGGTATTTCAGCTACTATGGTATTTATGAACTGCTACTGCATAAAGCCTCAAATTTATTCTGGATTCTTCTGGGTTTATATTGTATATTACTATGGGTGGATATTTAAGGAGCACAATGATGAGTCATCAAAGCCTTTGTGCTAATGACTTCTTTTTTTATATCTCCATCCAGTTCCAGGTATTAATTTGGCATCTCTACTTGTTAAGTATAACAAATGTAACTCTGATCTTTCCTCTCAGCTCTGCTTCTCTGGAATTTCTCCTGCATCTCATCTCATTTCATTGCTCACTCATTTCATTATGAGTTATCCAACACTTCATGGTTCCTCAGCCCTCACATCCAAAGTATCACTTAACACCTTGTAACTTCTGCTTCAGGAATAATATTGTGGGGATCAATCCGCTTGTCTCCACCTCCAATGCATTATCCTACCATTCACTCCCATCCTCCCTCCAATCTCTTTCCAGCATGATCTTTAAGGCCTATTGCCTTATTGGATTGTTCTCATAGGCCTCAGGATATTTAAAATTCCTGCCATATCTCTTTCTACCCCAAGCTCCACCCATGTCTTATCTAGATGGTTTTTCATGTTCTCTCTACCTATTGGCTTTTCTTTTCTTCAAACTGTATACAACCTTCCTGAATGTGCTGTTTTTTGCCTGACTGATTTCTCCTCTCATTTTCCCCCTTTTCATACATCTTTCTGATCTCTACTTGAAAGTACTTCTTCAGAGAAACCTGACCTGTTACTCATTTCTCTTCTCTGATTAAATCAGCTTCCCTAATGATGAGCTGTCTTAATTCCCTGTATTTTTCCCTAACACTTAGTGGTTTATAATTGTATATTTTTGTGATTATTTGATTGTTTCTACACTGTAAAGATTCTACAAGGGCAGAGACCAAGTATTTTTATTTCCTTCTATTCTATATAGCACACTGTTCCCTCACTAGCACTATAGTATAGGTGCTCAACGAACATTTATTGTGCAAATTAATGACTTTTACATATATGCAAAAATGAAGGAACTGTAAAACCAGGACACGCATTGGGAAATACATCTTACCCATCGTGACCCAACACACATAAATATATAAAATTGAAACAAAAGTTTCACAAAACTTTATCAACTATGCTGTACTCTATTTTCTTTTTCTTTTTTTTGCAGGGGGATGGAGTCTTTCTCTGTCACCCAGGCTGGAGTGCAGTGGTGTGATCTCGGCTCACTGCAACCTTCACCTCCTGGGTTCAAGCTATTCCCCTGCCTCAGTCTCCTGAGTAGCTGGGACTACAGGTGTGTGCCACCGCACCAGGCTAATTTTTGTGCTTTTAGTAGAGATGGGGTTTCACCATGTTGGCCAGGCTGGTCACTAACTCCTGACCTCAGGTGATCCGCCCACCTCAGCCTCCCAAAGTGCTGGGATTACAGGCAATAGCCACTGTGCTTGGCAAAGTAAATATTTTAAAATATATGAAAATATATTGTATAGGTTGAGTATTCCTTATCTGAAATACATGAATTTTATATTTTTTTCAGATTTGGGAATATTGCATTTTACTATACATTACAGATGCTATAGTTACAACTGAGCATCTGTAATCTGAGAATTTGAAATCTGAAATGAGCATTTACTTTGAGTGTCATGTTTGCCCTCGAAACTTTCAGATTTTGGAGTATTTCAGATTTTTGGTTTGAGATGCTCAACTTATGTATGATAATCGTACAAAAAGCTATAATTTCAAGTATTGATTTGCTGTTTACTGGGAAGGAATGGGAAAATTTTTGAAATTAGAAATGTCAGACTTAGGACAGTTGGCCCCCTTTAGTGGGGGTCTCGGTGTGGGACATTTTAGTGGAGTTCATAGTCCTGCTTCCATTTTTAGCATTGTACATTTAGAAATATGAACTTTTTCAGTCGACCGAGAGTGTCAGGCATTGGAAGACTAATGTCTTCAGTGTGGTTCCCTAATTAAACTGGCAAGAAGAACTAGAATCTGGATCTGAAATGCTTGTGTCTGCTCATTAGGGCTCTTTCTAGAAAGTCTCGGTCCCTGGGAAAGCACATAAATGATCACATAGTTTTTGGTGACAGGTAGGCAGGCCCCAGCTGATGGGTAGTGCTGAACAGGATTTTTTTTTTTTTTAACCTGCTGGGCTTCCCTGACCCTTGAGCATTCACCTCTGCTTATCAGAACATTCTTCTCTGCCAGTACGTTTTCTCTTGTTGAATAAGGTTAAAGAAGCGATAAATTCCTTCATTTGGCTCCCTTTTTACCTCCATCTTTGCATTTGTTTTTTGTACCAGATGTTTGTTTAAATTCCAGTCCTCAGGACAGGCTTTGTCTGATCATTAGTATATTGTTGATTCTGTTCTGTTCTGAGAGTCCATCAGATACTTTGAATGGTCACAGGCATCCCTTTGAGTGGGTGAACTGAAGTGTTTTTTTTGCAGGTAGTTTATCTCATTTTGTTTTTTATCTATTTAACTTTCTTTTTTGCTTTTTTTTTATTCTTTTTTGAGATGGAGTCTCGCTGTGTCGCCCAGGCTGGAGTGCAGTGGCACGATCTCGGCTCACTGCAAGCTCCGCCTCCTGGGTTCACGCCATTCTCCTGCCTCAGCCTCCCGAGTAGCTGGGACTACAGGCACCCCTCACCTCACGCCCGGCTAATTTTTTTGTGTTTTTAGTGGAGACAGGGTTTCACCACGTTCGGCAGGATGGTCTCGAACTCCTGACCTTGTGATCCGCCTGCCTCAGCCTCCCAAAGTGTTGGGATTACAGGCGTGAGCCACCATGCACGGCCCCCTTTTTTTTTGAGACGGTGTCTTGATCTGTCACCTAGGATGCAGTGCAATGGCATGATCTCGGCTCACTGCAACCTCTGCCTCCCAGGTTCAAGCGATTCTTCTGCCTCAGTCTCCCGAGTAGCTGGGACTACAGGCACCTGCCACCATGCCTGGCTAATTTTTGTGTTTTTAGTACAGATGGGGTTTTGCCGTTTTTAGTAGAGATGGGGTTTTGCCATGTTGTCCAGGCTGGTCTTGAAGTCCTGACCTCAGGTGATGTCCGCTTCAGCCTTCCAAAGTGCTGGGATTACAGGCGTGATCTTCTGTGCTTGGCCATCTGGCCATCTATTTAACTTTCAAAAAGGAATCCTTCCCTAAAATTTGGGCACATAAAGTGATACCTCTCAGTCTATAATATTCAGGCAGCTTTCATTAGCAGGAAGAATCTGGCCCTGAGATAGGTAAAATCATTTTCCTTTTTTTTTTGATAATTTTATTTATTTTTCTAAGTTTGTATTATATATACACACATAATATTTCTTTTAGTATTTTCAAATAGGCAATACAAGGTATGTAACAAGATATAAAATTCAGAAGGTATTAAAGGGTAAAATGTGTACATGGTTCTCACTTTTAGCCTTTAGACAGCTAGTTCCCTTCTGTCTAAAATTCCCTTTTAGGGAATATGAACTTTTTCAGTCGACCGAGAGTGTCAGGCATTGGAAGACTAATGTCTTCAGTGTGGTTCCCTAATTAAACTGGCAAGAAGAACTAGAATCTGGATCTGAAATGCTTGTGTCTTCTCATTAGGGCTCTTTCTAGAAAATCTCGGTCCCTGGGAAAGCACATAAATGATCACATAGTTTTTGGTGACAGATAGGCAGGCCCCAGCTGATGGGTAGTGCTGAACAGGATTTTTTTTTTTTTTTTAACCTGCTGGGCTTCCCTTTTAGGGAATTTTAGAGATATTCTATATAAATTTATGTGTGTGTTTACATTTTTTTACACAAATGGTTGTCTTCATGCTCCCTCACTCCTCAGTAACTCAATGTGTATTTCCTACATTTTTCTCCATAACTGCAGTATATCCATCAAAATCAGGAAATTAACACTGATACATTACTATCATCTAATTTTTAGATTCTTCATATTTCACTATTTGTTATAGTAATTAATGTTCTTCATAGCAAAAGTATCCAGTCCAGAATTGTGCAATATGTATTCTTGTTGTAGGTCTTTTAAGCATCCTTCAATCTCAAATATGGATTTGAGAAGGATTTTCATGATCTTGATTTTTTTTTCCTTGATCTTCATGGTCTTGATTTTCATGATCTTGACACTTTTTGTTTTTCTTTCTTTTTTTTTTAAAGAGGGAGTTTCACTCTGTTGCCCAGGCTGGAGTGCAGTGATGCAATCTCTGCTCACTGCAACCTCCACCTCCCGGGTTCAAGTGATTCTCCTGCCTCAGCCTCCCGAGTAACTGGGACTACAGGTGCCCATCACCATGCCCGGGTAATTTTTGTATTTTTAGTAGAGGCGGGGTTTCACCATGTTGGCCAGGCTGGTCTCGAACTCCTGACCTCAAATGATCCACCCACCTCAGCCTCCCAAAGTGCTGGGATTACAAGCGTGAGCCACTACACCTGGCCTGGAGTTTGTTCATTTTAAAAAAGGAAATTTTCATCAATACTCTTAAGTGAAGCTGGTTTGCAGTTTTCTTGGGTCGTTTTTAAGTTTTGTTACTCATTTTAGGCTTCTTAAGAAAGGATTTCTAAGCTTGCTGTTTTTTTTTTCCATGCAATCTGGAACATCTTAAATAACATGTCATACATTTCTTAAAAATTGATCAGAATTGTTTATCTAGTGGAGAGAAGATTTGTTCCTTATTTAGTGGGCTTTGGTGTGATCTTTTTCCTTTTTTTCTTCTCTTCTCTTTTCTTTTTTGGCAGCTGGAGAGCCTAGCAAAGAGGTCAGTTATATTTGGGATCTGGGTCCGGGATACAAAACTTGGAGTCAGTTCATTGCACCTATTTGCTGTTTGACCTTAGAAAATTTATTTCCATTTCTAAGTCTTGGTTTCATCATTTCTCAAATGGGAATAATCACAGCCTGCTAACTAACATCACAGAGAACTTTTAAGAATGAAAATGAAGTAACATATGTTAAAGCACAGTAAAGAACCAAGCAAATGCAAGACTTTTTTTTATAAGAAGGTTCTTTTTAATAAGACGTCAGTACTCAAAGAGTTGTCAATGAGGATAGATCTCAATATCATGCTACTGAAGGAGTTTGTGTAGATGGACAATGCCTCCTGCTCCAAGAGCAAGCACATGGAGAAAGGGTCAATGGACACATTTGTTTTGCTGTTTAACAACAAAGAAAAATTATGAATTAGACAAAATGTAGTCTAGATAGAATTTATTTTTGTGAACATTAATGAGGGTTTGGTCATGTATTTATTAAAACCATGTGTTACGCCATGCCCGGTGGCTCATGCCTATAATCACAGCACTTTGGGAGGTTGAGGCGGGTGGATCACCTGAGGTCAGGAGTTTGAGACCAGCCTGGCCTACATGAGGAAACCCTCTCTGCTAGTAATACAAAAATTAGCCGGGCATGGTGGGGCATGCCTGTAACCCCAGGTACTTGGGAGGCTGAGGCAGGAGAATCGCTTGATCCTGGGTGGTGGAGGTTGCAGTGAGCTGAGATTGTGCCATTGCACTCTAGCCTGGGCAACGAGAGTGAAACTCCATCTCAAAAAGGAAAAACAAAACAAACAAACAAAAAACACCAAAAAAAAAAAAAGAACCCCGTGTGTTGTAAATCAAGGAAAAATGTTGGGTAACAGACTATGACTTGACTTTGTGCTTATATCATGATTGTATTTAATTTTATTATAAGTTGGTTAAATATTTGAGACTTTGGGGAAATTAAACTTGTCAAGCTGTCAACTTATCAGTTTGGATTTATGGTTTCCTATTTCATTTTGTAGATATTGAAAATACATGTCAATATCTGTGTATTTCATGTCAAGGAAGCTGTGTATTGGTATCAGGATTGAGGGAATACATGATCAACAAATACTTTTCCAAGTTTCAGTGTCACAGATTGCATATGGCATGATAATACATCACATTCATTTCCCTCAAGTTTGTTTTTTTTTTTGACAGGTAGTTAACAAAAAATGTGCAAATTGCCATAATTCTCTAAAATAGTATTTCTTGCATTCATTAATAATGAAAAAAGCAAGGATGGTCAGATTATTGTGTTTGATGTTTTTCAACGTCTTTTTTTTTTTTTTTCAATATAGCCGGTATCGTATATGGTTTTTGCGATTTTGATCCTTTTTTTTTTTTTTTTTTTTCCTTTTGAGATGGAATCTCGCTCTGTCGCTCAGGCTGGAATGCAGTGGCGCAATCTTGGCTCACTGCAACCTCTGCCTCCCCGGTTCAAGTGATTCTTCTGCCTCAGCCTCCAGAGTAGCTGGGACTACAGGTGCATGCCACCACTCCCAGCTAATTTTTGTATTTTCAGTAGAGACGGGGTTTCACCATATTGGCCAAGCTGGTCTCAAACTCCTGACCTCGTGATCCACCCGCCTTGGCCTCCCAAAGTGCTGGGATTACAGGCGTGAGCCACTGCGCCCGACTGTGAATCTTTTTTTTTTTTTTTTTTTTTTTTTTTTTAAGAGATGAGGTCTCTCCAAGTTGCCCAGGCTGGTCTCAAACTCCTGAGCTCAAGTGATCCTCTTGCCTTGGCCTCCCCCCAAAGTGCTAGGATTACAGGTGTGAGCCACTGCACCTGGCCTGATTGTGAATCTTTAGGAATAATTGGAAAGTTTGCGTATTAAATTGTCTTGAAATATGTTTTCTAAGTATTTCAATTTTTTTAATTTATTTATTTTTTGAGACAGAGTCTTGCTCTGTCGCCCAGGCTGGAGTGCAATGTTACGATCTCAGCCCATTGTAATCTCCACCTCCTGGGTTCAAGTGATTCTCCTGCCTCAGCCTCCCGACCAGCTTGGATTACAGGCATGCGCCACCATGCCCTGCTAATTTTGTGTTTTTAGTAGAGACGGGGTTTCTCCATGTTGGTCAGGCCGGTCTCGAACTCCTGACCTCAGGTTATCCACCTGCCTTGGCCTCACAAAGTGCTGGGATTACAGGTGTGAGCCACTGCACCCGGCCAGTATTTCAAATTTAAGGCTTAGTTTTTATGTTTGAAACTAAGGATGAGTAGTCTCCATGGCCTCCCATGAGTCCTTCTGATAGGACTAAATAGGCTGGATAATCTCATAAAAGTCACAATGTAGAATTGCTGGAAAGCGCTGGTCCAGGCCACAGCTGGGTGCAGGGGCAGTACAGTCCAGTATTTGGTGAGGGGCTCGCTGCCCAGGCTGAGTGCTGGAGGGCCTCAATGGGTGACCTGCATGGTAGTTGCCAGGAAGCCAAAGCAGGCCCAAGGGGTTGTGACCTACCTGGGAGACTCAAGTAGCTCTTGCAGGTGTTGGGAAGCCTCTCCCCATTCCAGCCCCCCTGAGGGAGACAGTGCAAGCCCAGCAGGCTTTCAGTGTGAACTTAACACTCCTGTGAAATGCAAATTTTGGAAACTGTTGGAATGGCCTTGTTTGGCTGCCTTCTCCCTTTATCAATCCAGTTACATAAAAATAAGGATTTAGAAAGTAAATGAGTTAGGTTTCTAAATTAATATTCGTAGGAGAACAGTCTGTTTTTCTTTTTTTTTTGAGACAGAGTCTCACTCTGTTGCCCAGGCTGGAGTGCAGTGGCGCGATCTCGGCTCACTGCAAGCTCCGCCTCCTGGGTTCAAGCAATTCTGCTGCCTCAGCCTCCTGAGTAGCTGGGATTATAGGTGCCTGCCACCATGCCTGGCTAATTTTTGTATTTTAGTAGAGACGGGGTTTCACCATGTTGGCCAGACTGGTCCTTTTTTTTTTTGAGACGGCGTCTTGCTCTTGTTGCCCAGGCTGGAGTGCAATGGCACGATCTTGGCTCACCGCAACCTCCGCCTCCTGCGTTCAAGCGATTCTCCTGCCTCATCCTCCCAAGTAGGTGGGATTACAGGCATGCACCACCACGCCTGGTTAATTTTGTATTTTTAGTAGAGACAGGGTTTATCCATGTTGGTCAGGCTGGTCTTGAACTCCTGACCTCAAGTGATCTGTCCACCTCGGCCTCCCAAAGTGCTGGGATTACAGGTGTGAGCCACTGCGCCTGGCACAGATTATTTTCTTTGATTTTTTTTCTTTTACTTTTTTTTTTTTTTTTTTGAGATGGAGTTTCGTTCTTTCACCCATGCTGGAGTGAAGTGGCGCCATCTTGGCTCACTGCAGCCTCTGCCCCCCGGATTCAAGCAGTTCTCCTGCCTCAGCCTCCTGAGTAGCTGGGATTACAGGTGCGTGCCACCCCCATGCCTGGCCAATTTTTGTATTTTTAGTAGAGATGGGGTTTCACCATGTTGGCCAGGCTGGTCCCGAACTCTTGACCGCAGGTGATCCACCCACCTCGGCCTCCCCAAGTGCTAGGATTACAGGTGTGAGCCACAGTGCCTGGCTTTTCTTTTTCTTTTTTGTTTTTTTGACAAGGTCTCACTCTGTCACTCAGGCTAGAGTGGAGTGGTGAGATCATGGCTCACTGCAGCCTCGACCTCCCAGACTCAAGTGATCCTCCTGCCTCAGCCTCCTGAGTAACTGGGATTACAGGTGCACACTACTACACCTGGCTAATTTTTTAATTTTATTTGGAGAGACAGGGTCTCCCTATATTGCCCAGCCTTATCTCGAACTCCTGAGCTTAAGCGATCCTCCTGCCTCAGCCTTCCATTGTGCTGGAGTTACAGGCTGTGCCCAGCCACAATGTGCAAATGCTACCATAAATTACCATTTTTTAAAAAACGAAAGCAGATACTTTAGACAAATTATTTATTTAATGCCAGTGTCATTGTTGATGTTATAGTTTATGATTATTTAAAAGTTAAAGGTATTTTACCAAATGAGCTACACTTGATTGTCCATTTAATCTGTCAGTTTAATTTGTATAGGTATTCATAGGCCAGGCGTGGTGGCTCATGCCTGTAATCCCAGCACTTTGGGAGGCTGAGACGGGCAGATCACTTAGGCCAGGAGTTCGAGACCAGCCTGATCAACATGGTGAAATCTTGTTTCGACTAAAAATACAAAAATTAGCTGGGTGTGTTAGCGCACGCTTATAATCCCAGCTGCTCAGGTCGCTGAGGCAGGAGAATTGCTTGAACCCAGGAGACGGAGGTTGCAGTGAGTCAAGATCGCACCATGGCACCCTAGCCTGGGCGACAGAGTGAGACTCTGTCTCAAAAAAAAAAAAAAAAGTATAGGTATTGTAGATGTGTTACTGGTTGTATAATACAGTAAGATTGGGGGAAGAGACCTAGGCAAGTTATTTCCATTTTAAGGGCTTGGATACAAATGCATAACCAAACCCTAGGCATTTATTTTATTTATTTTTATTATTTATTTGTTTATTTATTTTTGAGATGGAGTCTCACTGCAAACTCCGCCTCCCGAGTTCAAGCAATTCTCCTTTCTCAGCCTCTTGAGTAGCTGGGACTACAGGCGCATGCCACTATACCTGGTTAATTTTTGTACTTTTAGTAGAGACGGGGTTTCACCATACTGGTCAGGCTGGTTTCGAACTCCTGACCTCAAGTGATCCACCTGCCTCAGCCTCCCAAAGTGCTGGGATTACAGGTGTGAGCCACCGTGCCTGGCCACCCTAGACATTGAAATTAATGTAACAAAATACAATGAAAAAACAGTCTACAGTCCTCTGTTGGGTTCACAGTCCTTCACCAGGCATGCAGGTTTGTCTTCCTTTAGGTAATATACAAACATATGGAACTGTCAAATTTAAAAACTCAAGAGTAATTGCTTGACATACAGAGGGATTTCTTAAAGAACAGTTTTACGCTGGGCGTGGTGGCTCATGCCTGTAATCCCAGCACTTTGGGAGGCCGAGGTGTGCGAATCACTTGAGCCCAGAAGTTTGAGACCAGGCTGGGCAAAATGGCGAGACCCTGTCTCTACTAAAAATACAAAAATTAGCCAGGTGTGGTGGCACACACCCGTAATCCCAGCTACTTGGGAGGCTGAAGCAGGAGAATCACTTGAACCTGGGAGGTGGAGATTGCAGTAAGCTGAGACTGTGCTACCGCACTCCAGCATGGGTGACAGAGTGTTTAAAAAAAAAATTTTAACATAGCATTAAAATATTTTCTTGCAGATATTTATAGAAATATATTACCTATATTGATTGTTTCATCTTAAAAAAGGTTTTATATGATACTTGGGGCATGCAAAAGACATGGTATAGTTCTATGAATTCACCCAGATATCACTGTATGTTTCTCTTCTATCTCATCCATCTTCTCTCCTTGGCAACCATGTCCTGATTTTTGTGTTCCATATGCCCTTGCTTTAAAAAAATGGATTTGTCTTTTATGCATTTATCCTTAAAGAGTAGATTAAATTTGATTTCAGATTTGTGAAAATGGACTTACGCTTTGGTTAGTTTAAGGCTTTCTGAGATTCATCCATATTTATTTTCTTTTTTTGAGATGGAGTCTCTCTCTGTTGCCCAGGTCAGAGTGCAAGTGCAGTGGCACAATCTTGTCTCACTGCAACCTCTGCCTCCTGGACTCCAGCAAGTCTTCTGTCTCAGCCTCCCGAGTAGCTGGGATTACAGGCATATGCCACTATACCCAGCGAATTTTTGTATTTTTAGTAGAGATGGGGTTTCACCATGTTGGCCAGGCTGGTCTTGAACTCCTCACCTCAAGTGATCAGCCTGCCTCGGCCTCCCAAAGTGCTGGGATTACAGACGTGAGCCATCCTGCTTGGTGATTCATCCATATTCCTGGGAGTAGCTATGATTTGTTAATTTTCACTGCTGTGTAGTTCCATCGGGTGAATATATTGTGATTCATTTCCTTATTTTCTTGTAGATTGATTTTTGAGTTTTCAGTTTTTAGTTCTTATGAAAATGCTGTAATGAACATTATTGTACATGTCTATTGTTGAACTTACGCTAGAATTTCTTGAGGCCCTAGCAAATGGTTTTTTTTTGAGATGGAGTTTCGTTCTTATTGCCCAGGCTGGAGCGCAGTGGCACAATCTCGGCTCACTGCAACCTCCACCACGCAGGTTCAAGCAATTCTTCTGCCTCAGCCTCCGGAGTAGCTGGGATTACAGACATTGGCCACCACGCCTGGCTAATTTTGCATTTTTAGTAGAGACGGGGTTTCTCCATGTTGGTCAGGCTGGTCTCGAACTCCTGACCTCAGGTGATCCGCCTGCCTCGGCCTCCCAAAGTGTTGGGATTACAGCATGAGCCACTGCGCCCAGCGACAAATGGTTTTTAAACAGTTGCACTGCTGATGTTTTGGTGCTTGGTAATTCCTTGTTGTGGGGACTTTTTTATGTTTAACAGCATCTACCCATTAGATGCAACTTGAACTCTTCCTCTTGTGACAAAAATGTCTCCAGGCATTGCCAATGTCTCAAGGATACAAAATCACCCCTGGTTGAGAACCATTGTTACTTTTGATACATGAACAATTAAAAATTATTTTTGTGCGTTCCGTATATCCCATAGAAGGATAACACACCTTTCTCTTTTTTATTTTTAGAGATGGAGGCCTCACTGTGTCTCCTGGTCTAGAATGTAGTGGTGCGATCGTAGCTCACTGAAGCCTTGAACTCCTGGGCTCTGGGTATTCTCCTGCCTCAGCCTTTTGGGTAGCTGGAACTACAGGCTTTACAGGTGTATGCCACCATGCCCCGCTCAACACATCTTTCTTTCCTTTTTTGAGATGGAGTCTCGCGCTGTTGCCAGGCTGGAGTGCAGTGGCACGATCTCGGCTTACTGCAACCTCTGCCTCCCGGGTTCAAGTGATTCCTGCCTCAGCCTCCCGAGAAGCTGGGAATACGGGCCAATGCCATCACGACCAGCTAATTTTTTGTATTTTTAGTAGAGACAGAGTTTCCACCATGTTGGCCAGGATGGTCTTGATCTCTTGACCTCCCAAAGTGCTGGGATTACAGGCGTGAGCCACTGTGCCCAGCCTCAACACATCTTTCTTTGGCTCAAGTCCCATTTATCTTCAAGGCCTGTCTCAAACCCACTTTTTTTTTTTTTTTTTTTTTTTAAGTTGGAGTTTTGCTCTTTTTGACCAGGCTGGAGTGCAATGGCGCTATCTCAGCTCACTGCAACCTCCACCTCCTGGGTTCAAGCGATTCTTGTCTCAGCCTCCGAGTGGCTGGGATTATAGGCACATACCACCACGCCCGGGTAATTTTTGTGTTATTTTTAGTAGAGACAGGGTTTCACCATCTTGGCCAGTGGGTCTCAAACTCCTGACCTCATGATCCACCCGCCTCGGCCTCCCAAAGTGCTGGGATTACAGGCGTGAGCCCGCGTGCTGGGCCTCAATCCCACCTTTTAAAGGCTTCTCCTACTGTGCCCATTTGTAGTCTTATCTTTTCCCCAGGAATTCCTATAGCACTTAGGTTTGTATATTGAGTTTGACCCTTAAGTTTTTATTGTCTTGTATTGTCAACTTTTCCAGGATTCCTCACCCTTCTGTATTTTCATCCCCTACCCCCAAGTAAGGAAACAACAGATTTTCACTTACTCTGTAGTCAGTTGTCTAATCTGTATTGCTGTTGTTGATTTCCTTTGGATTTTGGTCAATTTAGGCAGCTATCTGGGAAGAATTCTTTTTATTAATATTATACTTTTGGTGTTTTCATCTACAGCAGGGTGGAAGCAGACCTTAAGCACCCAAAGCTCTCTACTCCTTTCTGCCACTTACGTTCTCAGCAAAACCTCAGTAACTGCTAGGTTTTATCTTTTCAAAGCTGCTTTTGAGTGAGTTTGTTAACCTCTTGATGTTCATGTTAAGTACTTAAATGTTAGCTGCCCCAGCTGTTAAGTCATGCAAAGAGTCTTCCTTCAGCTTCAGCTGGGCACATCTCCGGGGCTGTGGGAGGACTTTTAGAATGACAATGTGATCTGCCTCATTTTATCTTTTCTGTAGTGAGTGTAGCTCTTTCAGTAGTGAATGCCTGTGTTTTACATTTTTGAGATTGTTCCCTTTACCTGTCTAAGACAAGAAAGTTGTTATATCTGTTCTCCTTATTGCCCCCAGGTCCTTGAAGTTAAAATTTTTTTTTTGAGACTTAGTCTTGCTCTGTCGCCCAGTCTGGAGTGCAGTGGCGCGATCTTGGTTCACCGCAACCTCCACCTGCTTCCACCATGTTTGGCTAATCAAATGTAACATTCTTAACAAGCCATCCTCTAGATTTAAAATGGTTTGTAATTGGAAACTGAAATGGTTTCCAACTGCAAGCCATAAAAACTTGAAATTCTTCAGTTTGATAGTCAGGATAACTAGTCCCATCATTCCATCATTTTTCTTCAAAACATACAGGTTTTCAGGCCTTTTTTTTTTTTTTTCTCCCCATAAAGACAGGATCTCACTCTTTCCCAGCCTGGAGTGCAGTGGCAAAATCATAGCTCACTGCAGCCTTGAACTCTTGGACTCAGGGAATCGTCCTGCCTCAGCCTCCTGAGTGGCTGGGACTACAGGCATGCCACCATGCTTGCCTAATTTTTTCTTTTTTTTTTTTTTTGAGACAGAGTCTTGCTCTGTCACCAAGGCTGGAGTGCAGTGGCATGATCTCGTCTTACTGCAACCTCTGCCTCCTGGGTTCAAGCAATTCTCCTGCCTCAACCTTCTGAGTAGCTAGGATTACAGGCACCTGCCACCACCCCTGGCTAATTTTTGTATTTTTAGTAGAGACAGGGTTTCACCATGTTGGCCAGGCTGGTCTTGAACTCCTGACCTTAGGTGATCCTCCCGCTTGGGCCTCCCAAAGTCCTGGGATTATGGGCATGAGCCACCCCACCATTCCTGGGTTTCAGGCCTTTGTAGCTAAATAACTTATTCACTCAAGTGACAGCTCTCTGCTTCCACAGCTAAATACAAAAGTTTATCAGATTTTTCCAAGGCCCGGTGCGGTAGCTCACGCCTGTAATCCCAGCACTTTGGGAGGCTAAGCTGGGAGGATCACCTAAGGTCAGGAGTTTGAGACCAGCCTGACCAACATGGTGAAACCCCGCCTCTACTAAAAATACAAAAATTAGCGGGGCGTGGTGGCACATGCCTGTAATCCCAGCTACTTGGGAGGCTGAGGCAGGAGAATCTCTTGAACCCAGGAAGCGGAGGTTGCAGTGAGCTGGGATCATGCCACTACACTCCAGCCTGGGTAACAGAGCAAGACTCTGTGTCACAGTGTTACATTTGTGAGATTCGTCTATCTAGGTGGAGATTTGGTGCCTTTTTTTTTTTTTTTTAATTATGAGAAGGAGTCTCATGTTCGCCCAGACTGGAGTGCAAGTGGCCTGGCTAATTTTTTGTATTTTTAGTAGAGACAGGATTTCACCATGTTGGCCAAGCTGGTCTTTAACTCCTGACCTCAGGTGATCCACCCACCTTGACCTTCCAAAGTGCTGGGATTACAGGCCTGAGCTACCTCACCAGGCCTGATTAAAGTCTTTTTTTTTTTTTTGAGATGGAGTCTCGCTCTGTCGCCCAGGCTGGAGTGCAGTGGCGTGATCTTGGCTCACTGCAAGCTCCACCTTCCGGGTTCAAGCCATTCTCCTGCCTCAGCCTCCCGAGTAGCTGGGACTACAGGTGCCCGCCACCATGCCTGGCAAATTCTTTGTATTTTTAGTAGAGATGGGGTTTCACCGTGGTCTCGATCTCTTGACCTCGTGATCTGCCCACCTCGGCCTCCCAGAGTGCTGGGATTACAGGCGTGAGCCACCGTGCCTGGCTGATTAAAGTCTTTTAATATGAAAAGACTTAGATTCAGAACTGAGCAGGGTAAGGAGAGAGTGGAAACCTGTAAGGCATTCTTGCTGGAGTAGATCTAGCAGAAGTAGCTTGGGTCTGAAGAAATAGTTCTGGCACGATTCCTGACCCCTAGATCATAACTAATTTGGTGTGTTCGTGAAACAAACAGGTTCCACAGCAACTTCCTGCTCCCCAGATCTCAGTCAAGGTGCTATGAACTTGGACCCTGATCTTCTGTTTGTAGTAGCAGTGGCAGTTCCCTTGACAGCTCCTGCTGCAGCAGTGTTCTGGGAGACATCCCTGGGGATTGAGCTGAGAGTCTGCTCTTGCAACCTTCAACAGTGCTCTAACACCAGTCAATATCAAATCCCTTTCTGCTTAAGTTAACCAGAGCAGTGTCTATGGGTAATTGAATCATGACTGATGCTATTATCAAATATAAACTGATGACAATGGCAAGTGGGAAACCTGCTGTTTTACAAATACCAGATGTGCATCACATGGAGGTTTATTCACTCCTATTTGCGTTTTGATAATAATCCTTTCTAATAATTGGTTCATTGGTGTAATCTTTATGAAATTAACCTGAGTGGCTCAAAATTCATTTTGTAGCACTGAATGCAATTACTAATTGAGCTATTTAAGCAAACTAGCCAGCCACCTACAGCTACTTAATCTTACTGGCCTACTATAGTAGCTCTGACTCACCCTTATCTTAACCAGATAAGGGATACCATACATTCTCTCTAAAGAACACCACTGACCTCACACACAGGGCTAAGTAGGCTATGCCTATTGTTAATATATCCAAATACCAGTTGAATACTCAGCAGGTCAACAGTATTTCCCATCCAGTTTATGCCAGCTGTGTAAGTATGAGATATAATTAAAAATTATGTAAATAGATTAGCTGTGAATACAGCGGTGTTATTGTTTCTACCAAATTTAAGTTGAATCCTTTGGAAAGCACCATTAAAGATGAGGTAATTTATTTTTAATCTCAAACGAGGTGTGGGAATTATAACAGTAAAAAGTTAAGAGATCGGGAATTTGTAAACATCTGCAAGGATTCTGGCTCATATTGCTTCTCAAGTATCCTAATTCTCATACTGTTATTAAAAACAAACCCACAAAAAAACGAAAGAGAAATTGGCCAGGTGCTGTGGCTCACACCTGTAATCCCAGCACTTTGGGAAGCCAAGGCAGGCAGATCTCTTCGAGCTCAAGAGTCCAGGACCAGCCTGGAAACATGGCAAAACCTTGTCTCTACAAAAAATACGAAAATTAGCCGGGTGTGATACTGTCCACCTGTAATCCCAGCTACTTGGGAAGGCCGAGGCAGGAGAATTGCTTGAACCAGGGAGGTAGAGGTTGCAGTGAGCCGAGATTCCGCCATTGTACTCCAGCCTGGGCAACAAGAGTGAAACTCCCTCTCAAAAAAAAAAAAAAAAAAAAAAAAAAGCGACTTTAATCATATTTGGAATGTCTCATATAATGTAGATTTCAGCTCTCCAGAATGCAGTCTCTTGAAGGTGCAGATTCTTCAGGCATTGAGCTCATGATTTCATTATGCCTATGATGATTCAGTCTTGGCTTTTTGGTCCCTTCATCTTTCTTGGGGCCTTGCATTCTCTTGATTCTACTTTTCTCTGCTGATCTCTTTCCTTCTCTCATTTTCTGTTTATGCATATAGCAGACAGTAGCTGCTGTAGCCCCTCATGGCATTGTCTCTGCTCTCTAGTTCTGAGTCCCGGGGAAGTGATTGTGCCAGGCTAGTCAATTGTAGTCTGTAGGAGTGGCTGCCTGAATTTACCCCTGTAGGCTGGGAAGCTTCTTTGGGGCAGGGGATTTTTCTGAATGGTCTTATTACAAGGGCCAAGGTATAGTTGATTCTCATTATTTGCAGTAGTTATGTTCTATAAAGTCATCATGAACAATGAACTAGTAAATACTGAAATGTTGCTCCTAGTGGAAGTACAAGTTTAGGTTCCTGTCACCCTCTGGTCAGAACATTTTCATCAACTGATCAATACATAATCTTGTTTTTTGTGTTTTTTTTTTAAAGACACTGTATTTAAAATATAATTGTTGATTTATTAACATTAAATTTGTTGCCAACAGCACTGTAACTCATGACTGAACCAACCTTATGTAACATGAATTTTTGTCATAAGCCATATAGCTATAGCCATAAACCATGGTATTCTTGTACTTAGAAACACAAGACAGCACTTCAGCATTATGCTTGGGAGCCATTTTAAGCAGCTAAATCACCAACAGACAGTGTAAAAGTGCAAAAATCATGGCACTAAATAGACCATAGAATGGACACTTGTTTGCATTATGAGAGCTGAAACAAGAAAGCCTTTGTTTGGCCTCAGCTGGGAATGTGTGCATTGGGCAATTCAAATTTTTCATTGCGCTATGCGTGTCTGTGAATGACCATACAAATGGTGATACAAATACTGATTTTGGGGTTATAAATAATTTTTTTTTTTTTTTTTGAGACAGAACCTCACTCTTGTGCCCAGGCTGGCTGGAGTGCAGTGGCATTATCTCGGCTCACCTGCAGTCTCAGCCTCCTGGGTTCAGGCTATTCTCCTGCCTCAGCCTCCTCAGTAGCTGGGATTACGGGTGCCTGCCACCATGCCCGGCTAATTTTTGTGCTTTTAGTAGAGACAGGGTTTCACCATGTTGGCCCGGCTGGTCTCGAACTCCTGACCTCAGGTGATCTGTCCACCTCGGTCTCCCAAGTGCTGGGATTACAGGTGTGAGCCACCATGCCTGGCCTGGTTATAAATTTTAGTGAGTAGGTAAATTTGTAGATACGGAATCTGTGAATAATGAAGATTGATGACGTGTGTGGAGTGCCGAGAGCATTTAAAAAGGACGTTGTCAGTTGGTGGGGAGTGTTGCCCAAAAAGCTTCATAAGGGAGTCAACGTGTAAGATAAAGTTGAAAGATGAGTTTTGCCAGATAGGCACCACTGAGGATAGGAGAAGCAAATAGCAAAGCAGTTATGAGTAGAATCTCAGATTAGGCTCATTTCCCATCTTCTGCTCCTACTAACTTGGGACCTTGAGCAAGCATTTTATTCTCTGTCATTAGTGAAATAGGGATATTCATGGTCCCTCTCTCAATGGAGTTCTTATGAGATTTAATTAAGAGAATGAACATTAATGCACTTAACAGATGTCTTGCTCACAGAAGGTATTCGTAACGGCGTACACGTGACACATATGTCTATATATAGCACAGCAAAGGAGGGAAATGGCTTCACTCCTTTGGGAACATCGAGTGGTTTAAAGTGAAGCAAAGGTTTCAAGTGGGCAAAAGGGGTCTTTGAGGAGGGAGGGGAAAGGCAGGAGCTAGATTCATGGCTCCATACTGGAACGATATTGAGCTATTGAAGGGTTTAAAAGAGGGATAGCATCATCAGTTTTGTGTCTAGAAAGTTTGCTTTATGTTTATATAGATGTATGGAAGAGAATTGACGGTGGTGAACTAAAGGTGGGAAAATCAGCAAAGACTCTTGGGGTGGTTGAAGAAAAGAACGACAGAAGTCACTCGGGATAGTAATAGTTGGTATGGAGACTAGAGAATGGATGTGAAAGATGCTCAGGATGTTGAATTGACTACAAAGGTCACCACTTAGAAGTGGAGAGTAAGAGAGGGTAGGCTTGGGAAGGCTCTTGGGATTCTGATGTTGGCCGTGCAGTAGAGGATGGGCTTGGTGTGTAGGAGATGCTTTCACTTTTCACTTCTTTCTCCACCTTTACCCTGGTAAAAGGTAGCTCCCACTGTTCTTGTTCTAAAGGGTTTTGTGGTCCTCTCTGCTTCCCTTTATTGCAGCACCTGACCTGTGGTATAATAACCGCCTGTGTACTTGTTCTTTCCTGCACTTGTAAGCTCTTTGAGGATTAGCTGTGGTCAGTGCTGGCCACAAAGAGGCAAGCTAAACTGTGGATGGATTGAATGAATAAGGACCAAGACTGGGATAGAGAAGCAGATTTTGGAGGACAGATTCGTTTTTATCCTTGTTAAGTTTTAGATTCATTATTGTCTCTATACAGCTTTATACTCATCTTCAAATGACTGTGCCTAGCAGACTGGACTGAGATTCATGAGAGAGAGGCCCATGTAGCATTTTTCCGAGGTGTATTGGGAAGGACAGTTGAGGCCAGCATGGATGAAATCTCCCATAGTGTCTGTGTTTGGTGGAAAGGGAAGATAACTGCAGAAAGAGACTTGCAGCATACCAATAGTGGAGGGGTTCGCTGAGGAATAGGGGCATGGAAAGGAGTTCCAGAGAGTGCAGTGACCATCAGAGAGTGAGGAGGGGCTAGTTGCCCACCACCCACAAAAGCTGTGCCTGGAGAGGCTTTTCTGGTTTCAGAGGCTGCAGAAGGGTTGGTAAGAGGACTAAAAACAACATATTGATTGTAGCAATTAAAAAGTTACTGGCAACTTTTTCTGGAGTGATTTCAATCCATTGGTGGAGGCAGACATCAGATTGCAGATGAAGATTTGAGTCAGGAGGTGAACTGACAAAGAAACCCCGTTCTCTGTTGGGGTTTGTCTGTGAGAGGCTGGGGAGAGAAGGCTGTAGCTTGGGTGAGTCTAGGAGGGGACATGACATACAGGAAGCCTTTGAAAGTTATATGGGAGAAATTTGAGCATCTGTAGGCAGTGAGGAAGAAGCTCATGGAAGATATTTAATTTGAATGTTTTTTTTTTCTTTCTTTCAAAGCCAGCATGCAGATGTTACTATAGCCTGGCAATATGCTAAATTCTTACATTTAGTGGCTTACTGGATCCCCATCACAATGCAGTTGGTTAGGTAATGTTACCCCATTTTACTGATGGGGAAGCAGAGGCCTCATTTAAGTAACTTTCCTGAGGTCACACAGCTACTAAGTGGAGGAGGCATGTGGGAGGGATTAAAATCCAGTTATTGTTCCTGGTCCTGAGGAGAAAATAAAAATCCAGTTAGGTCTGTTATGTCCTGCCTCAGCCTCCCAAGTAGCTGGGACTACGGGTACATGCCACCATGCCTGGCTAATTTTTTTTGTATTATTAGTAGAGACAGGGTTTCACCATGTTGGCCAGGCTCGTTGTGAACTCCTGACCTCCAGTGGTCCACCCACCTTGGCCTCCCAAAGTGGTGAGATTACAGGTGTGAGCCACCACACTCGGCCCACTGTATTCTTTATAGCAAAAGAAAAGAGGAAAAAAAAATCCTTTTGGTCTAGGATCCAAGGCACTCTGTTCCAGAACTATCTCCTTGAGTCTGCTCTTCCATTCCTACCCCTGGCCTCAGCAGGCAGGTGGAACAAGATGGAGTGGTGATCGGAATGGGATGAAACGGATGAAATAAAAGCTGCTTGGACTTGTGAGAGAGAAATGAGTCCTGGCTTAGGCAAAAATGGTCAGGAGGCTCAGGGAGTTTCTTTGCTGTGTTGCTTTCTAAGCTGGGGCCCAGGCCTGGGGGGCCCTTTCAAGCCCTCTTGTGGTTCAATAACTGGGTAGATGTGCTAACGATTAATGGAGAGTTGTGGAGGTGGCCTGCGACTTCCCTTTTCCTCCCCAGTTTAGAACCATTTGAGAAGGATGAAGTTAGATGAAAAGTCAGAGTATTAGGAGCTTTGCTGTTGATAAAGCTAAGATTGGAGAACGTGGTCCTCTTCTCCTTTCCCTCCAGTCTGGCCCTTCATGCCTGTATTAGTTACCTAGGGCTAATGTAACTAATTATCACAAACTGGGATGGTTTAAAACAAGAGACGTCTATCCTGTCACAGTTCTGGAGGCTAAAGGCCAAAATCAAGGTGTTGGCAGGACCGTGTTTTCTCTGAAGGATTTAGGCAGGAATCTGCTTACAGCCTTTGTTGTAGTTTCTTGTGTTTGCCAGGAGTCCTTGGCATTCCTTGGCTTGCAGCTGCATGACTCTAGTCCCTGCCTCCATCTTCACATGGCACTCTTTCCTGTGTCTGTCTCTTCTCCTCTTCCTCTTTTTTTTTTTTTGAGATGGAGTCTCACTCTGTCACACAGGCTGGAGTGCAGTGGTGCGATCTTGGCTCACTGCAAACTCTGCCTCCCGGGTTCAAGCGATTCTTCTGCCTCAGCCTCCCCAGTAGCTGGGATTACAGGCACCCGCCACCATGCCTGGCTAATTTTTTTGTATTTTTAGTAGAGACAGGGTTTTGCCGTATTGGCCAGGCTGGTCTTGAACTCCTGACCTGGTGATCTGCCCACCTTGGCCTCCCAAAGTGCTGGGATTACAGGCATGAGCCACTGCGCCTGGCTTCTTCTCTTCCTAAAAGGACACCAGTCATAGTGGATCAGGGCCGACCCTAATCAAATATGACCTCATGTTAACTTGATTACATTTGCAAAAACTTTATTTCCAAATAAGGCCACATTCACAGGTGTTGGGGGTTAGGTTTCAGCGTGTCTTTTGGGGGGACACAAGTCAATCCCTAACAATGCCCAGCCAAAGCAGTGTGCAGAGCAGAAGCTTGCTTGGCTCCTGTGAGGCCACACCCAGTGTGCTGAGTGTTGGGATTGAAAGGCCAGACTCCATCACCTCAGGTAGGGCCCAGAATCCTTCTTTTTCTAGCCAGAGACATAGTCTGCTAACTGTGAGTGCTTAGGTTCCTAGAGGGCTGTGTTTTAAAGTAGATACTGAACTGTTCTCTTCAGAGGCAGCAGTGCACATCAGTTCTGTGGCAGGCTTTGTTGGAGAAACTAATACACAATGAGAGCTGTCAGTTTTTACTCCTCCCACAGAAGTTGTTTAAGAGAATACAAGTCAGAAACACAGGTGTAGACAGGGAAGGAAGGCAATGTTGGATAGAGTATTACATTTGGCCGGAAAGCATCAGACTTGGTTTCTTTTTTATTACCAAATAAAGACACGTTCTCATTAGAACAAGGAGAGTAGATGTTTGTCCTTTATCATAATGTAAAAATTTTCAGAAACAAACATGGGTTGTTATATGAGTTAGTGCTGGACTTTATTCAATGGAAAGGTCTTTAGCTTATTAAAAAAATTCTTAGGGTACTTGCTATAAATATCGTTTTTGCTGTAGGTGGTCTCAGAAACATTGAAGACCAGCTCTGTGGAAGCAAGATAACAGTTGCCTTCAGAGATAGTATTGTCATTCACTTTGTGGACTCAGTCAAAAGAAGGGTAGCATTTAAAAAAATGATTATCACCTTCAGCTAAAAATCATAGTGGTGCTTGTTTTAAGATATACCTATTTTCCTGTGACTTGGAAACATTACTGGAAGAACATTTTAAACTTCTGTTTCTTCTTGGTTCAGAAAAATAAAGGTAAAAGAGAAACAAGAGGGACTGGGGATTTAATTGTAGCATGATTAAGTTTAGTAATGATAAATATAGATTAGGAAGAACTCAAGGAACAGAACATTTATTAATATAAATACCTTTTAAATGTAATGAATGTAAGTAGGCACCTCCCAGAAAAAGAAATGCAAATGGCTATGTGTGTTCAAAAATGATCACTGTCACTAAGAATCAAATAAATGAAACTTAACCATACTTTTTTGCCCATCATATTGGCAAAGATCTGGGTGGTGTAGTGAAAGTTAACTTTTTAGATTATTTAACATATTTAAAATTTTATGATTATCCTATATTAACTTCCAAGATTGAAAAAGGTCTAAAACCTAAGCTATCTAGGTCTTTAATCTATGTATCTGATTTGTAGGTAGAAATAGTTTTGTGTAATCAAGGGAGTAGTGATGCTAGAAACTGGCAGAGTATATTTCCTAGACCAGTTAGCAAACTAGGTCAAGGTCTAGGTTTAATTCTAGTAGCCACTAATTTGCTGCATGTCTTAACAATTTCTGTGCCTCAATTTCTTGTCAGAGCCATTTTTCATTTGTTTGTTTTTTGAGACGGAGTCTTTATCTGTTGCCCAGGCTAGAGTGCAGTGGCACCGTCTTGGCTCACTGCAACCTCCGCCCCCGGGGTTCAAGTGAGTCTTGTGCCTCAGCCTCCCTAGTAGCTCGGATCACAGGCACGCACCACCACACCTGGCTAATTTTTGTATTTTTAGTAGAGACAGGGTTTTGCCATGTTGGCCAGGCTGGTCTCAAATTCCTGACCTCAGGTCATCTGCCTGCCTAGGCCTCCCAAGGTGCTGGGATTACAGGCGTGAGCCACCACGCCCAGGCCCAGAGCCATTCTTCTGTTGCTTAGACCAGAAATCTTGATTCGTATTTCTCTTACTTCTGTCAAGAAATTTTGTTCAGAATGTATTTGCAATCTACAATCTGAGCATTTCCCTCTGCCCATCATGGTCCAAGCTGCCGTCTTAACTTGCCTGGGTTAGTGTAAATTGCCTCCTTGTCGACCTCCCTGCTTCCAGCCTTGTCCTTTTTGACACAAGAGCCAGAATGTGATTTACAATATGTGAGCCAGCTCATTTCTCTGCTTCAGATGGTCCAGAAAAGTTTCTTTAGAGACAGCCATTATCTCCTTAAAGGGGAATGGATGTTTGAGTACCAAGAACTGGATAACTAAGAGGGGGAGGAACCCCAGGATCAGTTCCCATCTCATGCAGAGTAAATGCCAAACTCCTTTTCTCCCCAGTTTCATTTCTCACCATTCTCCTCCTTGCTTACTGAGTTCCAGCCACACGCATCTCTTTGCTGTTCCTTGAAGAGTCCGATAGTCTCTTTCCTTGTTGTTCCTTCAGCCTAAAATGTTCTTCTTCCAGATATCTGTATGATTAATTCCCTCCTTCAGCCCTTTGTTCCTCCGAAGTACCTTCCCTTGCCTACCCTGTATAAAATAGCCACCCCTCCCCTTTGCAGTCTATCCCCTTACCCTTGGTTCTTCTTCATAGCATGTACTTTTTATTGTCTGTTTCATTCCATTAGTGTCAGGACTTTGTTCCCTGGTGAATGACTGCCCAGCAGTTAGGCATACAATAACTATTTGTTGAATGACTCAGTGATTTCCTTTTTCCTATTGGCTTTTTCCTCTGCCTAGGGAAATGCTCGGGCCACCCTTGTTCTTTAGCCTGTCGAAGATGAACACTGCCTTCTGTGTACCAAATGTTTCTACAAAGGTGATCTGTGGGCTTCTACCCTGTTCTCACTGCCCAGATTTTTCTGTTGCATTATTCTTTACCAGTCATGCAAGTGAATCTGTTTTCTAAGTAACTTTTCTGTGTTTGGGACTACTGCTTTCCTTTTCCTGAATTTGGTATCATTATGTAAATATGTTAACAATTTGGCACTTACTCCTTCATTCAGCTGGCAAATAATTATTGCAGCAGATACTGTGAGCCAGGCTGGGGTGCCAGACTGTATGCTAGGGCTTAAAGAGGTGGCGAGCCGGCATTTCCCTGGAGGAGCTGATGGCTCAGTGGGTGGTTGGAAGTGCCAGCAGTTGGGACAGGCAACTGCTATAATGAACGCAGAGGGGGAGTTGGGAACACGGTGATGGGTCAGGCAGGCCTGTTCCAGAGGATTAGGAATCTCAGGGGTGTGCAGGAGTTTGTCAGGTGAGGAAGCAGGCAGAGGCTGCTGTGAGGGGAAGGAATACCGTGCAGAAACACAGAAAGCTTTGCTTGTTTACAGAAGCACAAGTCAGTGAGTATTGTTGGAGTGTAAAGTACAGTGCAGACAGTGATGATGGACGAGGCCATAGTAGTTAGGTGAGGGCCAGATCCAGATTTTTGTTTTTTTTTTTTTTTGAAACAGGGTCCCACTCTTTCACCCAGGCTGGAGTGGGAGTGCAGTGGCACAGTCTTGGCTCACTGCACCCTCTGCCCCCCGGGGTGGTAAAGCAGTCCTCCCGTCTCAGCCTCCGAGTAGCTGGGACTATAGGCGCTCACCATCACGCCTGGCTAATTTTTTTTTTTTTTTTTTTGAGATGGCGTTTTGCTCTTGTTGCCCAGGCTGGAGTGCAATGGCGTGATCTCAGCTCACTGCAACCTCCGCCTCCTGGGTTCAAGCAATTCTCCCGCCTCAGCCTCCCGAATAGCTTGGCTTATAGACATGTGCCACCACGCCTGGCTAATTTTTGTATTTTTAGTAGAGACGGGGTTTCTCCATGTTGGTCAGGCTGTCTCGAACTCCTGACCTCAGGTGATCCACCCACCTCAGCCTCCCAAAGTGTTGGGATTACAGGCGTGAGCCACTGTGCCCGGCCACGCCCAGCAAATTTTTATATTTTTTTTTAGAGACAGGGTTTCGCCATGTTGCCCAGGCTGGTCTCCAACTCCTGGACTCGAGTGATCTGCCTGCCTCGACCTCTCAAAGTGCTGGGATTACAGGTGTGAGCCACCGTGCCTGGACCAGATCCAGATGCTTCTAAAGGACTGTGTGTATACTATATAGAGTGAGGCTGCTATCCTGAAGCCCATGAATTTGGGGGTATGTACCTGTCTACACGTGAACAGAGGCAGGTAGGAATGTAGCCTGGAAGGTTTTTCCCTGTTGCAGGCCCCCTCCCTGAGGCAGGGAGAATTCAGAATATTTTCTACCATGTGTTAATATATTTTTGTGCAGATTATTTTCTCCTTTGGATTGTAAGTTCCTAAAGGGTGGTGAGGTTTAAATTTTATGTATCTCCTACTTCCTCATGTGTGCATTGTGAGATAGATGCTCATTTAAACTTTCTAGGCTGGGTGCGGTGGCTCACGCCTGTAATCCCAGCACTTTGGGAGGCCGAGGCGGGTGGGATCGCCTGAGGTCAGGAGTTTGAGATCAGCCTGGCCAACATGGCGAAACCCATCCCTAAAAATACAAAAATTGGCCGGGTGTGGTGGTGTGATCCGCTCGCCTTGGCCTCCTGAAGTGCTGGGATTACAGGCGTGAGCCACCGCGCCTGGCCAAACTTTCTTTAAACAAATAATGACTACATCACTATCTGTAGCCCTGCTCTGTTTTTTTTGTTTTTTTGTTTTTGTTTTTGAGATGGAGTGCAGTGGCGTGATCTGGGCTCACTCACTGCAAGCTCCGCCTCCTGGATTCATGCCATTCTCCTGCCTCAGCCTCCTGAGTAACTTGGACTACAGGTGCCTGCCACCACACCTGGCTAATTTTTTTTTTTTTGTATTTTTTAGTAGAGATGGGGTTTCACCGTGTTAGCCAGGATGGTCTCCATCTCCTGACCTCAACTGATCCGCCCGCCTCGGCCTCCCAGAGTGCGGGGATTATAGGCATGAGCCCTAGCCCTGGCCAGCCCTGCTCTGTTTTAACCTGTTACTATCTCATGACGTTTCACCCTTTTATCTGCCCCATCCCTCATTTCTAATTTTTCTGTCAGGCAGATTAAATTCAGCAAAAAAAAAAAAAAAAAAAAAAAAAAAAGAGGAAAACTTTTTTCCAGGAGGATTTGTTGTTTGTGCTGTCAGATGCCAGGTCCTAATGGATTTAGAAGAAGGTTGGGGTGGGACTCCTTCCTGAGGCAGCCACTTTAGTGCTTCTTACTTACCTTTGCATTCTGTGTGCCTGTCTCATGATAGGTGCTCAATAAATGTTTGCTGAAGGAATCATCCTGTTTATTGACAGCGAGATTAAGCCTGTGTTTTCATAGTAAAACCTGCCTACTTTCCTACTTTGATCTCCTATAGTCTTTCCTTTCTATGCTCCAGACACATTATTAAACTCCTGTCCGTTCCAGCGGTACTTCCAGATATTTCTGCTGCCTAGAGTGCCCTTTCTCTTGTCTGGCCAACTCCCATACCTTCTTATAAGACTTAACTCTCCCCCTTTCTGGGAAAATGATTGCTCATTAACCCAGGTGGAGTTAGTTACTTCTTCCTGTGTCACTCCATCACCCAGGCTGGAGTGCAGTGGCATGATCTCGGCTTACTGCAACTTCTACCTCCCAGGTTCAAGTGATTTTCCTGCCTCAGTCTCCCTAGTAGCTGGGACTACAGGCGTGTGCCACCACGCCCGGCTAATTTTTTATATTTTTAGTAGAGATGGCGTTTTACCGTGTTGCCCGGGGTGGTCTTGAACTCCTGGCCTCAAGTGATATGCCCGCCTCCAAAGTGTTGGGATTACAGGTGTGA
The DNA here is from genome assembly GCF_000001405.40 of Homo sapiens. Taxonomy (NCBI): domain Eukaryota; kingdom Metazoa; phylum Chordata; class Mammalia; order Primates; family Hominidae; genus Homo; species Homo sapiens. Next base: position 6,791,390 of record NC_000009.12, read on the forward strand.
ACTATCACTCCCAGCCCTTGTGTACATTTTTATATTGAAGTTTGTTCAGCCTCTAGACAGTTTGGAAGGTGAAGACAGACCTCATCCCTTTCTGTCTCCATCGTCATTCTTTTCCGTGTTTTGCCTGGTGCTTGGCGATTTTGCTGAATGGATGGCTTGTTAATTACTGTAGGAAGGCATGATATGACAATCTGTAAGCACACCTGAGTAAACTAACGATTTTTAACATTCTCTACTCAGCCTAGACTAGGCCTTTGTACAGGTACGTATGTGAGTGAGAGTCTGTTTCAGAACTGGTATATAGAAGCAACATCTTTTGTAAACTTGCAAGGTTAGAAAATTCATTTTTACGGCCAGACACAGTGGCTCATGCCTGTAATCCCAGCACTTTGGGAGGCCAAGGCGGGTGGATCACCTGAGGTCGGGAGTTCGAGACCGGCCTGACCAACATGGAGAAACCCCATTTTTACTAAAAATACAAAATTACCTGGGTGTGGTAGACCATGCCTGTAATCCGAGCTACCCGGAAGGCTGAGGCAGGAGAATCACTGGAACCCGGGAGGTCGAGGCTGTGGTGTGCCGAGATTGCGCCATTTCACTCCAGCCTGGGCAACAGGAGTAAAACTCCGTCTCAAAAAGAAAAAGAGAAAAGGAAAATTTATTTTTACGTCTGGGCTCGGTAGCTCACATCTGTAAATCCCAGCACTTTGGGAGGCAGAGGCTGGCGGATTGGCTGAGGTCAGGAGTTCTAGATCAGCCTGGCTAACATGGTGAAACTCCATCTCTACTAAAAATACAAAAAAGGTAGCCCGGCATGGTGGCGGGTGCCTGTAATCCCAGCTACTGGGGAGGCTGAGGCAGGAAAATCGCTTGAACCTGGGAGGTGGAGGTTGCAGTGAGCCGAGATTGCGCCGCTGCACTCCTGCCTAGGCAATATAGCGAGACTGTCTCAAAAAAAAAATTTTTATTTATTTTTTATTTATTTATTTTTTGAGACGGAGTCTTACTCTGTCGCTCAGACCAGAGTCTCACCCTGTCACCCAGGCTGGAGTGCAGTGGCGAGATCTTGGCTCACTGCAACTTCAGCCTCCCAGGTTCAAGCAATTTTGCTGCCTCAGCCTCCTGAGTAACTGGGATTACAGGCATGTACCACCACACCCGGCTAAGTTTTGTATTTTTAGTAGAGGTGGGGTTTCACCATGTTGGCTAGTCTGGTCTCGAACTCCTGACCTTGTGATCTGCCCGTCTTGGCCCCCCAAAGTGCTGAGATTACAGGCGTGAGCCACCGCACCCGGCCTAGAAAATTTATTTTTACTTGGAAGGGTTTTGAGGAGGCTAACAGTATAGTCAGATCAGTGGTTCTCTACCTGGCATAGGGAACTTGGCAAGAGGAATGACTAGAGGCCCTTGTTTGTTCAGGGGTTCAGGCAGAGATGAGGGAGTCTCCCTGAGACTGGTAGAAGGGAATGGGAAGTGACTGAAAGAGAAGGGTTCCTGCTGGGGGAGCTGACATACTATTTGTTAAAAATGACCTAAAGCATATAATAATTCAGTTCTGTTGACCCTACTGTCTTCTCTCCAGACACTGCCCTAACCATCATGGAGGTGGCCGAGGTGGAAAGTCCTCTGAACCCCAGCTGTAAGATAATGACCTTCAGACCCTCCATGGAGGAGTTCCGGGAGTTCAACAAATACCTTGCATACATGGAGTCTAAAGGAGCCCATCGTGCGGGTCTTGCAAAGGTGATTATCCTTCGATGCTTTAAATGAAAAACAATCACTTGGCCTTTAATTTATGTTCTTAGTTTTCACGATTTGGGACATTGTTTCTGAAGGAAGAAATTTGCAAAATCTTTGTTCTCGTTAATCCATGTGAAACATTTGATTTCTTCAAATAGTAATTGTCTTATTTTTCCTTCAAGTATAACTATTCATACTAGGTTGTCTTCTAAGGCTTAAAAAAAAAAAATCAAAACCAACCAAGGGTGGCTGATGGAAACCAAGGAGATCCATGTATGGGTTTCAGAGGTGTGAGAGTATTCATAGTTTTTGTCAGTTTTTTTGTAGACAACAATTATTAACCTGAAGGTTAACCACAATTTCTCTCTCCTATCCTTTTTCTTTCCTTCTATGTTTTTTCTTTTCTTTCTTTCTTTTTTTTTTTTTTGAGACAGAGTTTTGCTCTTGCCGCCCAGGCTGGAGTGCAATGGCGTGATCTCGGCTCACTGCAATCTCCACCTCCCGGGTTCCAGTGATTCTCCTGCCTCAGCCTCCCGAAGTAGCTGGGATTACAGGCACCCACCACCATGCCCCGCTAATTTTTTTGTATTTTTAGTTGAGACGGGGTTTCACCATGTTGGCCAGGCTGGTCTTGAACTCCTGACCTCAGGTGATCCATCCGCCTCGGCTTCCCAAAGTGCGGGGATTAAAGGCGTGAGCCACTGTGCCCGGCCTCTTTTTTTTTATATAACACTTATTGATATATTTTATCATATAATAATATTGTATAATGCATCCATTTAAAGTGTGCAATTCAGTGATTTTGAGTATATTCACAGAATTGTGCAATCATTACCGCTATAGAATTCTGTAACATTTTCATCATCCCCCAAAGAAACTTCATATGCATTAAGCAGTCATTCTCCATTCCCTGCTATCACCCCCAGCCCATAGGCAACCACAAACTGACTTATTCTCTCTCTACATTTGCCTATTCTCTTTTCTTTCTGGTTATTTGTTCAACAAATGTGGAGATTGCCTGCTATGTGCCAGACACTATGCCAGGTGCTAGAGGTAGGGATATGGGGGAGCAGAACAGACGATGTTCCTGCCCCCATGGAGCTTACATTCTAGTTGTAGCATCTTAGAATGATGAAATAAGGACATTTAAGCACAGATCCAAAGGATAAAAATAAACCAGTCTTTTCAAGATATGGGGACAGAAAGAATAGCAAGTCCAGCGGCCTGGAGGCTGACCTGTACTTTGTGGCTGGGAGGAATAGGAAGGTGGTCAGTGGACTTGTCTGGCTATGGTAAGGCATTTGGGATTTTAAGTGTAGAGGGAAGCACTGACAGGCTTAAAGTGGGAGAGGAAGATATGGTGGCTGTTTGTTTCTTTCTTTTGCTATTTTTGGGACATTATTTTGAAAAGATCACACTGGCTCCTACATGAAGAATGAATTGGTGTTGTGGGGGCAGAGCACAAATAAAGCACCTTGTCTGGGATAGTTATATTTATCTAGTGAAGAGCCAATGGTGACCCAGACCAGTGAAGATGGGAGAAGTTGTCTTTGGTCTGGATATGTTTGAAAATATCATCTTATCTTATTCTTACGGGTGCCAGATAATATTCTTAAAAAAAAATGGTAGTGACTTAAGCCTTGTGGGTGTAAGTGACATGCCCCGAGTCATAGGGGTGGTCAGTGAGGTGCTGAGAACTCATTGCACATTTGGATGCATAGGTCCAAAGTAAGATCTTTGAAAGAGAGATCCACTATATGATATAATTCATCGTCCAACTTGAGATGGTTTGTGTGTCCCTTCTATAATGTAAGTCTATTTTAATTAAAAAATTTCCCATGGAAGAATATATTTCATTGCACTTGTTTCAATTTATTATTGTTCTAAATGTTAAATTTATAATCTGGGTTTCTGTAGACTTGTCAATATCACTGCATAAATCCCTGAGTCCTGACAGAGTCTGCTGCCAGGCCGAACCACTCAGTTGCACTTATGTAAAGGGTTCTCCTTGAAATCCCCAGCTATGGAGGTCAGATAGCATGGAAAACAGAAGATAGTTGAGGAGAGAGCTTCCAGAACTATTGGGATTGGTGTTCAACTCCTCCTGCAAATGGACCTGATGCTACTTGTAACCCACTACTTTACTGTTTCTGGTATCTGTACCCTGAGGCCTGTAATTAGGTTGTATATATATATATTTTTTGTTGTTGTTTCTTTTTGAGACGGGAGTCTCGCTCTGTTGCCCAGGCAGGAGTGCAGAGGCACGATCTCAGCTCACTGCAACCTCTGCCTCCTGGTTTCAAGCTATTCTCCTGCCTCAGCCTCCTGAATAGCTGGGATTACAGGCATGTACCACCATGCCTGGATAATTTTTGTGTTTTTAGTAGAGACAGGGTTTCACCATGTTGGCTAGGCTGGTCTCAAACTCCTGACCTCAAATGACCTGCCTTCCTTGGCCTCCCAAAATGCTGGGATTATAGGCATGAGCCACCGTGCCCGGACATGTATCTTGTTAAAGTTCATGCCCTTCCTAGAAAATTTTTTTTTTTTCTTTTTTTTTGAGACAGTGTCTCATTTTGTCACCCAAGCTGGAGTGCAGTGGCATGATATTGGCTCACTGCAGTCTGGACCTTCCAGGTTCAAGCGATCCCCCTCCCTCAGCCCCGCAATTAGCTGGGATTACAGGTATGCAGCACCATGCCTGGCTAAGTTTTGTATTTTTTGTAGAGCCAAGGTTTCACCATGTTGCCTAGGCTGGTCTCGAACACCAGGACTCAAGTGGTCTGCCCGCTTTGGCCTCCCAAATTGCTGGAATTATAAGCATCAGCCACTGCCCCTGGCCCCTTCCTAGAAAAGTTTTAAAATTTGGGAATATTAAGTTGAGTGAAAATTAATTAGGGGTGGGTGAGAGAGAGAGGAAACAAGATAAAGAGAAAACAAACAGAAACTAAAGCTTCGTAATGACTTTCTCAGATGAGCTATCCTTAGTTTAACTTCTTTATTGGGTTAGCTCATCAAAAAAAAATCTCATTTGGGCTGGGTGTGGGGCTCACGCCTGCAATCCCAGCACTCTGGGAGGCCGAGGTGGGTGGATCACTTGAGGTCAGGAGTTCGAGACCAGCCTGGCCAACATGGTGAAACCCCATCTCTACCAAAAATACAAATTTTAGCCGGGCTTGGAGGTGGGCGCCTGTAGTCCCAGCTAATCGGGAGGCTGAGCCAGGATAATCACTTGAACCCGGGAGGTGGAGGGCAGAGGTTGGGGATAACCATCTCTTCTCTTCTCTGGGCTCTGAATGCAGCCCTTTGTCCTGTTCTCTCCCACTTTTGTTTCCGGAAAACATGTACTGTGTTCCACTGAAATTAGTGGAGTGTCTTGTGAGGTAGGGTGGCACGTTCAGTAACTTTAGAAGAGGAAACAGCAGCTACCCTCACAAGGGAGCTGCATGCACACAGAGCACACCTGCGTCGCTGTCTGCATTATGTAACTGAATAAAGTTAATGAGAACTATGATTACAAAACACACCTGAGTCCAGACCGTGCCTCATTTTTAAAATTGAGACTCATTGACAAAGTTGGAGACATTAATTTACTCAATCCTGTGATAATTTCCTATTACTCATTATTAGGAATACAACGAACTGTTTCAAATCATTTTTGCCATCTTTGACGTCAAGTCACATAAGCTCAGTTTTACTTACTTTCCCTCTTGTTCTGGAAGTTGCAGTAGTAGCATATGTATAAAACTGTACCGAATCAAATCATATTATAAAAATCAAGACTGCATTAATGAAGCTGGTTTGCTTTGGGGGCTAGTCCTGGGGAACCGAGCCACCCATGATGTTCTTTGTTAATGCACTATTTTTTTTTTTTTTTGAGACAGGGTCTTGCCCTGTTAGGCTGGGTGGTGTGATCGTGGCTCACTGCAGCCTTGACCTCCCAGGCTCAAGCAAGTAGCCTCCCAAGTAGCTGGGACTCAGCCTCCCAAGTAGCTGGGACTACCCACGCCTGGGTAATTTTTTTTATTTTTTGTTTTTTGTAGAGATGGGGTCTGCTGTGTTACCCAGAGTGGTCTTGAACTCCTGAGCTCAAGTGCTTCTCCCACCTTGGCCTCCCAAAGTGCTGGGATTACAGGCATGAGCCACTGTGCCTGGCCCGTTAATCCACTATTGACAAGATTTAATGAATTGGTCTTAATTTATGATTTGAAGAAATTGGTCGAGTAGGTGCAACAGTAGTGACTTTAGCTTCAGATGACAGTCTGTCTTGGTTTTTCTCTTTCCCATTTTTTAGATTCATGCTTTAAATTTAACATTTATTTTTTGAGTGGAAGGTTTGACACTTTGACTGTCTACAAAGTTGATGGTCAGGTTGCGAAAGTGAAAAGAGTGGCAGTCTCTTCACATGTAAAACTTGTACTGTTTTTGTGGAAGGAGATTATGATGAACTTTTTTTATATATGAAGTGGGTGAAATTGGTCCCCAACAGAAATCTGAACATAGATTGTCCTGGACTGTAGCTTATGCACATCATGTAGTTTTATGAACAGCCTAGAGAGTGCAAATAGCTATCTTTGCTCACAAGGTGAAGAAAGATTATAAGAAGCACCACTCTTTCTCTTCCTCCTCCTTGCTCACTAGGTAGATGGTAGAAATTGCAATTTATTTCAAGGCAAGTAGTGCAAATGCACATTTTAGCAGAAAGTTTCCCACAGGGAATAGGGGCCAGGCTGGGTTTGTGGGGTTGTTGATAAAAGAAGGTATATTCTGTTTTGATATAATCAGGAAGGTGAACTTCAGAAGGAATGGCTTTCCCTCATTTAGATTCACTAAACATAAAGATTTAACTTTGGAATCTTTTAAAGATCTCAGTATGTTGTGTTTCCCTATGCAAGAAAATCTGATGTCTTAGGATTTCAAATTATAGTTAAAATAAGATTTTTGTTATAGAGCTGAACTTCTGAAAATATATTCCATTTGAACTCTTTAATTTAAATGAACTTGTACACAAAAAGCACAAGGTAATATTTGGATTTTTGTAAGTTTATTGTGTGCCTTGCTTCTCTGTCTTTAGAAAATTGCTGCAAAATATTTTATAGGCAAGCAACTTCCTTTTTTCTTTCTTTCTTTTTTTTTTTTTTATTGATCATTCTTGGATGTTTCTCGCAGAGGGGGATTTGGCAGGGTCATAGGACAATAGTGGAGGGAAGGAGGGAAGGTCAGCAGATAAACAAGTGAACAAAGGTCTCTGGTTTTCCTAGGCAGAGTGTTTGTGTCCCTGGGTACTTGAGATTATGGAGTGGTGATGACTCTTAACGAGCATGCTGCCTTCAAGCATCTGTTTAACAAAGCACATCTTGCACCGCCCTTAATCCATTTAACCCTGAGTGGACACAGCACATGTTTCAGAGAGCACAGGGTTGGGGGTAAGGTCATAGATCAACAGGATCCCAAGGCAGAAGAATTTTTCTTAGTATAGAACAAAATGAAAAGTCTCCCATGTCTACTTCTTTCCACACAGACACAGCAACCATCCGATTTCTCAGTCTTTTCCCCACCTTTCCCCCTTTTCTATTCCACAAAACCGCCATTGTCATCATGGCCCGTTCTCAATGAGCTGTTGGGTACACCTCCCAGACGGGGTGGTGGCCGGGCAGAGGGGCTCCTCACTTCCCCGTAGGGGCGGCCGGGCAGAGGCGCCCCTCACTTCTCAGACGGGGCGGCTGCCGGGCGGAGGGTCTCCTCACTTCTCAGACGGGGCGGCCGGGCAGAGACGTTCCTCACCTCCCAGACGGGGTCGCGGTCGGGTCGAGGCGCTCCTCACATCCCAGACGATGGGTGGCCGGGCAGAGACGCTCCTCACTTCCTAGATGGGATGGCGGCCGGGAAGAGGCGCTCCTCACTTCCTAGGTGGGATGGCGGCCGGGCAGAGACGCTCCTCACTTTCCAGACTGGGCATCCAGGCAGAGGGGCTCCTCACGTCCCAGACGATGGGCGGCCAGGCAGAGACACTCCTCACTTCCCAGACGGGGTGGCGGCCGGGCAGAGGCTGCAATCTCGGCACTTTGGGAGGCCAAGGCAGGCGGCTGGGAGGTGGAGGTTGTAGCGACGCGAGATCACGCCACTGCACTCCAGCCTGGGCACCATTGAGCACTGAGTTAAGGAGACTCTGTCTGCAATCCCGGCATCTTGGGAGGCCGAGGCTGGCGGATCACTCGCGGTTAGGAGCTGGAGACCAGCCCGGCCAACACAGCGAAACCCCGTCTCCACCAAAAAAATACGAAAACCAGTCAGGAGTGGCGGCGCGCGTCTGCAATCGCAGGCACTCTGCAGGCTGAGGCAGGAGAATCAGGCAGGGAGGTTGCAGTGAGCCAAGATGGCAGCAGCACAGTCCAACTTCGGCTTGGCATGAGAGGGAGACCGTGGAAAGGGGAGACAGGAGAGGGATGAGAGGGAGACCGTGGAAAGGGGAGACGGGAGACGGGAGACGGGAGAGGGCTCTTTTTTCTTTTCTTTTTTTTTTTTTTTTTTACAAAACAGAAAAACATTTAATTCTACACATAATATTAATTTTGATTGTGGATATCTTTATTGCTAATGAAGAGCCTGAATAAATCTGTGTTCCATTTTTTTATTATTCTGGCTTATTTCCGAGGAAAAAAGTTAGTTTTTATAACATTCTTAAATATAGTGCCCCTCCCCTTTCAATATGTCATCAAAATAGTAAGGTTATTCATATTCATATGAATGTAGTAAGGTTATTCATATTCATATAGTCTGATTGTTCATATTCTTTTCAAATATTGAGTGTGGCTGGGCATGGTGGCTCACGCCTGTAGTCCCAGCACTTTGGGAGGCCAAGGTGGGAGGATTGCTTGAGCCCATGAGTTCGAGACCAGCCCTGGCAACATAGCGAGACCACATCTTTTCCAAAAAAAAAATAAATAAATAAAAAAGGCCAGGCACAGTGACTCACGCCTGTAATCCCAGCACTTTGGAAGGCTGAGGTGGGTGGATCACTTGAGGCCAGGAGTTTGAGACCAACCTGGACAAATGGTGAAATGCTGTCTCTACTAAAAATACAAAAATTAGTCGGGTGTGGTGGTGCACATCTGTAATCCCAGCTCCTTGGGAGGCTGGGACACGAGAATCACTTGAACCTGAGAGGCTGAGGTTGCAGTGAGCCGAGATTGCTCCACTGCACTCTAGCCTGGGCAACAGTGAGACTCCATCTCAAAAAGCAAACAAACAAACAAAAAATTAACTGAGCGTAGGAGCATGTGCCTGTAGTCCTAGCTGCTTGGGAGGCTGAGGTGGGAGGATTTCTTGAGCCTGAGAGGTCCAGGCTGCTGTGAGCTGCGATCATGCCACTATATTCAAGCCTGGGCAACAGAGTCCCTGTCTCAAAAAAAAAGTTAAATAAAATAATGAGGGTGTGATTTCAGTAACATATACTATGAATGTATATCTATCTATTTTATTTTATTTTTTAATTTATTTTTATTTAGTTCTTTTGAGACAGGGTCTTGCTCTGTCACCCAGGCTGGAGCGCAGTGGTGTGATCTTGGCTCACTGCAGCCTTGTCCTCCCGGGCTCAAGCAGTCGCCCCACCTCAGCCTCCCGAGTAGCTAGGACTATAGGCGTGTGCCACCACACCTGGCTAATTTTTGTATTTTTTTGTAGAGCTGAGCTTTCGCCATGTTGCCTAGGCTTGTCTCGAATTCCTGAGCTCTAGTTATCCTCCAGCCTCGGCCTCCTGAAGTGTTGGGATTACAGGCGTGAGCCACCGTTCCTGGACAGTATTCTCATTTTAAACAAACATACGTTGGAGGATATAAAATATGTAGTATCCTTATATTGCTAATGAAAATTAAGGTAAAATTGACAGCTCACTGTGAGGTGGTTTTATTTTTTTTGAGCTAACAACTCTCACTTATAAGCTGTATAGCACTGGCCAAGTTACTCATCTCCTGACCCCAAGTTTCTTTATCTGATGACGCTTGACTTGAGTTTCAGAGTTATAGGTACATGTAGACCTAAATGTGAAAGACAAGACTTTAACACTCTTAGAATATAAAGTAGACCATTTTTATGTCCTTGAGTAGGGAAATTTTTTTTTTTTTTTTTTTTTTTTTTTTTTTTGAGATGGAGTCTCGCTCTGTCCCCAGGCTGGAGTGCAGTGGCGTGATCTTGGCTCACTGCAAGCTCTGCCTCCTGCCTCAGCCTCCAGAGTAGCTGGGACTACAGGTGCCTGCCACCATGCCCGGCTAATTTTCTGTATTTTTTTTTAGTGGAGACGGGGTTTCACTGTGTTAGCCAGGATAGTCTGGATCTCCTGACATCGTGATCCACCCGCCTTGGCCTCCCAAAGTGCTGGGATTACAGGCGTGAGCTACCGTGCCCAGCCTGACCTTGTCTCTTAAAAAAAAAAGATTGGAGGGCAAGTTACAGGATAAGAGAATATATTTACATGCTCTTGTGCAGATATGCTCTCTCTCTCTCTCTCTCTCTGTCTCTCTCTCTCTCTCTCTGTATATGCCTCCATATACACATACACATCGAAGAGTATTCTCCTTGGATATATAAAAGAATATATAAAAGACTTCTATACATTAATAAGGAAAAACCCAACAATGCAATAGTAAAATGATAAAGAGACTTGAATAAGTACTTTATAAAAGAGAGTATCAGTGAGCTGGGCGCGGTGGCTCATGCCTGTAATCCCAGCACTTTGGGAGGCTGAGGCGGGTGGATCACCTGAGGTCAGGAGTTCGAGACCAGCCTGGCCAACATAGTGAAACCCTGTCTCTACAAAAATACAAAAAATTATCTGGGCATGGTGGCAGGCACCTGTAATCCCAGCCACTAGGGAGGCTGAGATAGGAGAATTGCTTGAACCCAGGAGGTGGAGGTTCCAGTGAGCTGACATCGCGCCATTGCACTCCAGCCTGGGGAACAAAAGAGAAACTTTGTCTCAAAAAAAAAAAAAAAGTATCAGTAAGGTCAGTAAACATATGGATGAAAAGGTTTCTTTCTTCATTTATTCGGAAAATACAAATAAAATTCACACTTGAGTACCATTGTACACTTAACAGAAAGACTAAGAGTTAAATGATGGACAGTATTAGGTGATGATGAAGGTGTGGAGGAATGGGAACTCTCGTATATTGCAGTTGGGAGTGCAAATTGGTACAACCACTTTGCAACAGTTGGCAATATCTATGAAATTTGAACTACACGTATCCTATGTGTCAGTAATTTGACTCTTAGAAGTGTCTGTGTATGCATGGATGTTTTAGAGACCCATGTGCATATATGCACTAGAATATCTGTACAAAAATATTAATAGCATTATTTGCAATAGCCAATAATTAGAAAAAGCCACATGCCCATCAATGGTTATCAGTTTATAAATACATAAATATTTATAAGACAAAATACTGAGTAGGAATGAAAATCAAAGAACTTCAGCTACATAGGCTGTTACATTTGCTTATTTATTTATTTATTTATTTTGAGACAGAGTCTCACTCTGTCACTCAGGCTGTAGTGCAGTGGTGTGATCTCAGCTCACTGCAACAATTCACCTGCCTCAGCCTCCGGAGGAGCTTGGACTACAGGCATTGACCACCACGTTTGGCTAATTTTTGTATTTTTAGTAGAGATGGGGTTTCACCATGTTGGCCAAGCTGATCTTAAACTTCTGACCTCAGGTGGTCTGTCCACCTTGGCCTCCCAAAGTGCTGGGATTACAGGAGTGAGTCACCGTGTCTGGCCTAGGCCGTTATATTTAAATCTCACAAAATATGAGTGAAGTATAAAAGATAAACCTCAAGTAGTATATACTGTAGGGTTACATTTTTATACATTTGCAAAACTGGTGTATAGGTATGCATATAGAAGCATAAAACTAAAGCCCAGCAATGAAGTCATTGCCATAAACACCGTAATTGTGGTTACCTCTTGGGCAATAGGGAAGATGAGGCTGGAAAAGGGCGCTTGGAGGGCCTGTATCGTGCCAGCAATATCTTGCCTCTTACACCTGGGCAGTAGGTCATTTGGTGTTTGCTTTGTAATAATTCACAGAGCTGTGTGCTTGTGATTATGCATTTTCTACATGTGTGCTGTTTTTCAATAAAAAACCTTAAAAAGATTGTTTTAGGCCAGGCACGGTGGCTCATGCTTGTAATCCCAACACTTTGGGAGGCAGAGGTGGTCGGATCACGCTGTCAAGAGATCGAGACCATCCTGGCCAACATGGTGAAAACTCGTCCTATTAAAAATGCAAAAATTAGCCGGGCATGGTGGTGCGCACCTGTAGTCCCAGCTACTTGGGAGGCTGAGGCAGGAGAATCGCTTGACCCCGGGAGGTGGAGGTTGCGGTGAGCCGAGATTGGGCCATTGGAGTCCAGCCTGGGCAACAAGAGCAAAACTCGGTCTCAAAAAAAAAAAAAAAGTTTGTTTTAAAAAAATTAAAAAAACTTCTAAAGGTGGTAAAGTGGCCAGGTGCAGTGACTATTGCCTGTAATTCCAGCACTTTGGGAGGCCAAGGCAGATCAGTTGAGCTCAGGAATTTGAGACCAGCCTGGGCAACATGGCGAAACCCCATCTGTAACAAAAAGAAAAAAAAAAAAAAAAGAAAAGTTCCAGCAATAGATCATGAATTGCTTCATGACGTTGTACGTTCTATTTTAATTTAATTTAATTTATTTGTTTATGAGATGGACTGTCACCCAGACTGGAGTGCAGTGGTGTGATCTTGGCTCACTGCAGCCTCCACCTCCTGGGTTCAAAGTGATTCTCCTGCCTCAGCCTCTCGAGTACCTGGGATTACAGGTGCCTGTCACCACGCCCGGATAATTTTTGTATTTTTAGTGGAGATCAGGTTTTACCATACTGGCTAGGCTGGTCTAGAACTCCTGGCCTCAAGTGATTTACCCATCTTGGCCTCCCAAAGTGCTAAGGTTACAGGTGTGAGCCACTACGGCTGGCTGTTACCTTCTACTTTTAAATCCTATCAATATGTATTTTTGGTCTTAATGTTTTCTGTATCTTTTCACTCTTAGTAATTAAGTACTTAAATACTGCAGGCAAACACTGGTGTGCTGAGGCACCTTATACTGGCATTTGAGAGTTGATAGTGCACATCTCTTCCCAGCTGCTTATGTAGTGATGTCACGTTGGTAGGTTCAGATTGGCCATGGTGGGAGTACTATGCCATGGACACAGGTAAAAGCTACAAATCAAGGTTTCCTCCACCTTTCTGGAAAGCTGGTTATTAAAGATCTACTAGCATACCGCTGTGCTATCGCCATATTGTGTGAGAAGTCTATAAAGAATATAATGTTGGCCGGGCGTGGTGGCTCACGCCTGTAATCCCAACAATTTGGGAGGCCGAGACGGGTGGATCATGAGGTCAGGAGTTCAAGACCATCCTGGCCAAGATGGTGAAACCCTGTCTCTACTAAAAATACAAAAATTAGCTGGGCGTGGTGGCAGGCGCCTGTAATCCTGGCTACTTGGGAGCCTGAGGTGGGAGAATCGCTTGAACCCAGGGAAGCGGAGGTTGCAGTGAGCTGAGATCGTGCCACTGCTCCCCAGCCGAGTAACAGAGTGAGACTCCGTCTCAAAAAAAAAAAAAAGAATATAATGTTGACTATGTATTTACTTATTTTTCTCATAATAATATAAACAGCACATAGGTACTTAGATCATATTCAATAAAGATGAACTTCTTTGGGGAAGAAATTATTTATGTAAACATAATTTCGTCTTTTTTTGTTTTTCCTGAGACAGAGTCTCACTCTGTCACCCAGGCTGGAGTGCAGTGGCGCGATCTCAGCTCACTGCAACCCCTGCCTCTTGGGTTCAAGCGATTCTCCTGCCTCAGCCTCCCGGGTAGCTGGGACTACAGGTGCGTGCCACCACGCCCGGCTAATTTTTGTATTTTTAGTAGAGGCGGGGTTTCACCATGTTATCCAGGTTGGTGTTGAACTCCTGACGTGGTGATCCGCCTGCCTCGGCCTCCCAAAGTGCTGGAATTACAGGTGTGTGCCACTGCGCCCTGCCAATTTCATCTATTGAGAGGCAGGTTAACATAATCGCTCAGTGTGAATTCAAACTGTTTTAATTAGAATTTCAGCTCAAGTAGTCTTTAGCCATTTTAACTTCAAATTATTTTACTTCTGTGTGTCTTTCAATTTTATCTTTAAAATCAAGATGTTAATAGTACCTACTCAAAATGAGTTTAATACAAGTACAGTGTTTGGGATAGTGAGTACTCAATAAATTTTGCTATTGAATAACATCATATTGCTTTATTGCAAATATTCATCTTTTTTTTTTTTTTTTACACATTTGTCATAGAGATACTGAGAAATTCTTCAGTTGTAGTTTATCAGAATACTTAAAAGCTAAATTACTTGGAGTATTTTCAAGATGATATTTTATTTCATTATTTTATTTTTAGGTGATTCCTCCTAAGGAGTGGAAGCCAAGACAGTGCTATGATGACATTGATAATTTGCTCATTCCAGCACCAATTCAGCAGATGGTCACAGGGCAGTCAGGACTGTTCACTCAGTACAACATCCAGAAAAAAGCGATGACTGTGAAGGAGTTCAGGCAGCTGGCCAACAGTGGCAAGTGAGTAGAATCAGTTTGCTATTTCTGTTTCCTTCAAAGATTTATGTAAATATGTTAAGAAACAAAGTAGACAGAGGAGCTTATAAATGAAAAGCAGGAGTCTCCCATGCAATTTTTCACCCTTCATTGAACTGTTTCTGTTTTCTGTTCTTTAGGTGGTTGCTGAACATTTGACTTAAAGAAATTGCTCTTTATTTTATTATCTCGTTCCTAGCAGTTATAAGTGGAACTTCTTATCCTATAGTTGCCATGAGTTTTCGTTTCTACACATGATTCATGTTTGTTGGGCAGTTTTTTTGGTGTGTGTTTGATAATGTTTAAGCCTTAAATGATTTATATGTATTAGAAGATTAGTACTTTTAAAAGCAAACCTTGAATGACTTGAAAGGCCACCATTGCATTAGTTATTTATTGCTGTGTAACAAATTATCCCAAATTGGCCAGGCATGGTGGCTCATGCCTGTAATCCCAGTACTTTGGGAGGCCAACGTGGGCGGATCACCTGAGGTCGGGAGTTCAAGACCAGTCTGATCAACATGGAGAAACCTTGTCTCCACTAAAACTACAAAATTAACCATGCGTGGTGGCACGTGCCTGTAATCCCAGCTACTCAGGAGGCTGAGGCAGGAGAATTGCTTGAACCTGGGAGACAGAGGTTGCAGTGAGCCGAGATCACGCCATTGCACTCCAGCCTGGGCAACAAGAGTGAAACTCCGTCTCGAAAAAATAAATAAATAAATAAATAAATAAATAAATAAATAATCCCAAATCTTAGCTGCTTAAACCAACCCATAATTTCTGAAGGTCAGGAATCTGACCTTCAGATTCTGCCTCAGGGTCTCATGAGGTTGCAGTTAGCATGTTGGCTGGGCTACAGTCATCTGAGCATTTAATTGTGGCTGGAAGATTCTCTTACAAGAGTGCTCCCCTTTCATGGCTTTTGATGGGGTCCTCAGTTCCTTGTCATATGGACTGCTCTTCATGTCATGGCAGCTGGCTTCTCCCAGAGCAAGTGATCCGAGAGAGATCGCAAGAAGGAAGCCACATGTCTTTCCTTGCCCTGTTTCAGAAGTGACACACTGTTGCTCTCCCTCTCCGTCTCCGTCTCCCTCTCCCTCTCCCTCTCCCTCTCCCTCTCCCTCTCCGTCTCCCCACGGTCTCCCTCTCATGCGGAGCGGAAGCTGGACTGTACTGCTGCCATCTCCGCTCACTGCAACCTCCCTGCCTGATTCTCCTGCCTCAGTCTGCCGAATGCCTGCGATTGCAGGCACGCGCCGCCACGCCTGACTGGTTTTGGTGGAGACGGGGTTTCGCTGTGTTGGCCGGGCCGGTCTCCAGCCCCTAACCGCGAGTGATCCGCCAGCCTCGGCCTCCCGAGGTGCCGGGATTGCAGACGGAGTCTCGTTCACTCAGTGCTCAATGGTGCCCAGGCTGGAGTGCAGTGGCGTGATCTCGGCTCACTATAACCTCCCAGCCGCCTGCCTTGGCCTCCCAAAGTGCCGAGATTGCAGCCTCTGCCCAGCCGCCAACCCGTCTGGGAAGTGAGGAGTGTCTCTGCCTGGCCGCCCATCGTCTGGGATGTGAGGAGCCCCTCTGCCTGGCTGCCCAGTCTGGAAAGTGAGGAGCGTCTCCGCCCGGCCGCCATCCCATCTAGGAAGTGAGGAGCGCCTCTTCCCAGCCGCCATCACATCTAGGAAGTGAGGAGCGTCTCTGCCCGGCCGCCCATCGTCTGAGATGTGGGGAGCGCCTCTGCCCCGCCGCCCCATCTGGGATGTGAGGAGCGCCTCTGCCCGGCCGAGACCCCGTCTGGGAGGTGAGGAGCGTTTCTGCCCAGCCGCCCCGTCTGAGAAGTGAGGATACCCTCTGCCTGGCAACCACCCCGTCTGAGAAGTGAGGAGCCCATCCGCCCGGCAGCTGCCCCGTCTGAGAAGTGAGGAGCCTCTCCGCCCGGCAGCCACCCCATCTGGGAAGTGAGGAGCGTCTCCGCCCGGCAGCCACCCCGTCTGGGAGGGAGGTGGGGGGGGGGTCAGCCCCCCGCCCGGCCAGCCGCCCCATCCGGGAGGGAGGTTGGGGGTCAGCCCCCCAACCTGGCCAGCCGCCCCGTCCGGGAGGGAGGTGGGGGTGTCAGCCCCCAGCCCGGCCAGCCACCCCCTCCGGGAGGGAGGTGGGGGGGTCAGCCCCCCGCCCGGCCAGCCGCCCCGTCCGGGAGGGAGGTGGGGGGGGTCAGCCCCCCTGCCCGGCCAGCCGCCCCGTCCGGGAGGTGAGGGGCGCCTCTGCCCGGCCGCCCCTGCTGGGAAGTGAGGAGCCCCTCTGCCCGGCCAGCCGCCCCGTCCGGGAGGTGAGGGGCGCCTCTGCCCGGCCGCCCCTACTGGGAAGTGAGGAGCTCCTCTGCCCGGCCACCACCCCGTCTGGGAGGTGTGCCCAACAGCTCATTGAGAACGGGCCAGGATGACAATGGCGGCTTTGTGGAATAGAAAGGCGGGAAAGGTGGGGAAAAGATTGAGAAATCGGATGGTTGCCGTGTCTGTGTAGAAAGAAGTAGACATGGGAGACTTTTCATTTTGTTCTGCACTAAGAAAAATTCCTCTGCCTTGGGATCCTGTTGATCTGTGACCTTACCCCCAACCCGGTGCTCTCTGAAACATGTGCTGTGTCCACTCAGGGTTAAATGGATTAAGGGCGGTGCAAGATGTGCTTTGTTAAACAGATGCTTGAAGGCAGCATGCTCGTTAAGAGTCATTACCAATCCCTAATCTCAAGTAATCAGGGACACAAACACTGCGGAAGGCCTCAGGGTCCTCTGCCTAGGAAAACCAGAGACCTTTGTTCACTTGTTTATCTGCTGACCTTCCCTCCACTATTGTCCCATGACCCTGCCAAATCCCCCTCTGTGAGAAACACCCAAGAATTATCAATAAAAAAAAAAAAAAAAAAAAGAAGTGGCACACTGTTACATCTGCCATATTCTGTTTGTTACAAGCCAGTTGTTAAGTGTAGCTAGCCTACACTCAAGGGGAGGAGAATGAAGCTCTACTTCTTGAAGGGAGGAGTGTCAATGAATTTGTGGGCATATTTAAATGTTGTCACAATTATTATTATTAAACTTCTTTTAAAAAATTCTGATATGATAATTAAGGCCCCAGATGAAAGCATAAATCTTACAAAAACAAAATAAAAAAACCTGAAAGACCAACAAAAAATCATAGTTTCCAAATTCCCTGGATGGGTGTGAATGAGATTAAGACTTTGAATGAATTTAGGTATCTTCCTTTAAAAAAATTATATTTGACATTGTAAGCACATGATGCTACTTGAAGACTCTTATTTCTGCATGTTAAATTCCTACTGTGGAACATTCTGGCTATTCCAAAGAAATTGAAAATTTTATATTTGATATAATTTGAATCATTTCTTTTGAATTTTTTGGGTTGGTATTAATAGAGTTTTATTCTTTCAGATCTTATTAATCGAGAACATGAAACTTTCAACAAAGATTGGAAGCATTTTCTTTCAGACTCTTCCAGAATTCTTTTATAAGTGCAATGCTGTTGAAACAAGATTGCAGAGGCAATTAAACCTGTTTACAAGTATAAACTATTGACTGTTTTCTGTTACTGTGTTTTAGTACCCATTTCCAGTGTCTCTCTTAAAGTGTTAATTGAATAGGTTAGGTCATTGAGTAGTAACTCTGCTTGGCTCCTTTGATATTTCAAGGGATACTTACTAAAAACTATTGTTAATACTCTTGATAATTGTCATAACTGCCATAGGAAAGGTACAAAGTGCTATGAGGTTTCAAAGGAATACAAGGCTTCTGTGGTTGTTCATAAGGAATGGGTAATTTCATTTTGTAGGCACTATTGAGATGGATTTTGAAGGATGGTCAGAAACATTTCTACCAGTTACAAAAGTAATATGTGCTTATTTAAAATTTCAAAAATAGGCTGGTTGTGGTGGCTCACACTTGTAATCCCAGCACTTTGGGAAGCCGAGGTAGGTGGAATGCTTGAACCCAGGAGTTCGAGACCAGCTGGATAACATGGCAAAATCCAGTCTCTACAATAAATACAAAAATTAGCCAGGCAGGTGGTATGTGCCTGTAGTCTCAGGTACTCAGGAGGCTGAGGATTGCTTGTGCCTGGGAGGTTGATGCTACCGTGAGTCGTGATTGCACCGTTGTACTCCAGCCTGGGTGACAGAGCGAGACCCTGTCTTGAAAAAAATAAATAAAATTTCAAATATAGCCATATATAACTTTAACTCTAAGAGGCAATCATTGTTAGTATTACTTGGCAATTCAAAATATTATTAAGACTTGAGCCTTGAAGTTCTTTCTTCTCTTGTTATAAAGAAACTTTGATCATCCTCTCTAGCCCATTTGATTATTTCAGCATGGTATCGGTTTTCTACTTCAAGATAATTTTACTGAGTACACATTTTATACATATCTCTGTTAAATTATTACTCTACTGACTTGGTTGTAGATTTACTCTTTCTGAAGATAGCCATTCAGGTGACATTGTTTTGTGTATCACTGTGTACACAGTGCTTGGTATAGTATCTGGGATATGGTAGGTGCTTTTTCAAATGAATAAATAGTGTTATAAAAACTAAAATCCACTTAAAATGGTATAAATTTTTAGGCAAATTGTAAAGATTTACTTATTAACAGAATATACATTTCTTGACATTCTGGGGTTTAGAGATGGTTTAAAAAATTTTTGGTTTTTTTTAAGTTGTAAAATGTAACCATTATGGGAAATTATTTGAAAAATTATTTCTAGCTTTAATTTTATTTCTTTTGAAGTTAATTTACGCTGGGTACAGTGGTTCACGCTTGTAGTCCCAACACTTTGGGAGGCTGAGGTTGGAGAATTGCTTGAGCCAGGAGTTTCAAGACCAGCCTGGTCAACAAAGTGAGACCCTGTCTCTACAAAAAATAAAAAATTAGCCATGCATGGTGGCATGTGTCTGTAGTCCCAGCTACTCGGGAGGCTGAGGCAGGAGGATTACTTGAGCCTGGGAGGCTGAGGCTTCAGTGAGTTGTGATTGCACCATTGCCCCCGAGCCTGGGTGACAAGAGCAAGACCCTGTCTCCAAAAAAATAAATAAATAAATAAATAAAGTTAATTGGTCTTTTGATTTGGACTAGTTTCATTATAATTGTTGTAATGTTAAACAACTTTTGAAATTCATATTTTTTGTATTTCTTCTGCCAGTTTCATGTAGAAATTTATTTCAAATGCCAAGGAAATGGATTTCTAAGCCTCAAGAACCAATGCTCTTACTTGTCAACACAGAGCTGTGCCAGGATCACCTGGTTGTGGAATGGTCATGTTAGGAGATTAATTTTTGTTGGAGACAAGAGGTTTTCTGCTGGGCTGTCTTTTTTTTTCTGAGACAGAGTCTCGCTCTGTTGCCCAGGATGGAGTGCAGTGGCGTGATCTCGGCTCACTGCAACCTCCGCCTGCTGGGTTCAAGTGATTCTCCTGCCTCAGCCTCCCGAGCAGCTGGGACCACAGGTGCGTGCCACCATGCCTGGCTAAGTTTTTTGTATTTTAATGGAGATGGGGTTTCAACATGTTGGCCAGGCTGGTCTCTAACTCCTGACCTCTGATCCGCCCACCTCGGCTTCCCAAAGTGCTGGGATCTTTCCATTCATCTGTTTTTCTTTAGCACCTGACCTGGCATTGGTGCACCGTCTGTAATGTACTCAGTCTTAGCAGTAGAGACGATGACATGCTCATTTGGTTGATAATGCAATGTAGTCCAAAGAAAACCTAGAGATTTCCGATATAACTCTAATATAAAAATTTATAATGGTAGGTAATATGAATCACATTACTGATGTGTACTTTCCTCTAGGCACAGAGCCAAGTGCTTTCCATAATTATCTGATGGAGCCCTCACAACAAGCTTCCTGTTTTTATCCCTATTTTTTAGAAGAATAACTGAGTTCCAGAGAAATTCAGCCCCGTGTCTAGGGTTTTGTGGCTTATGAATGGAAGCCTGAGTTTAAACATGTGTAGCCTGGCCCTGGAGCTCACCTCTTAAGAACTGTACTGCAATGAGTGAGAGGTTCTGGGTAAGAAGATATGGTTGAATCAGTATCGGGCAAATTTACACTGGATTTGTGGAATAGCTGTGATTGTCCATTAGGAAGGACAGTCCATTAGGAAGGACTCTGATCAGTTACTAGCCAAGTCATTTATTTTGTTTAGAATTAATATTTGTTTAATATATTTAAGGATTTTAGAATTTAACTTCAATGGACAATACCAAACTTTATCTTTCTCTCTTAGAGTTATGAGTTTTAAAAAATTGATACTGCACATGCCTGTAATTCCAGCTACTCGGGAGGCTGAGGCAGGAGAATCCCTTGAACCCAGGAGGCGGAGGTTGCATTGAGCCGAGATCATGCCACCGCACTCCAGCCTGGGTGACAGAACAAGACTCTCAAAAAAAAAAAAAAAAGTTGTTACTGATTGAGTACATAGTGATAGATTGGTCTTGGTATAGGTGTAAAGCAGATTAGGGCTTCAGTTTCCAACAATCTTGGAGGTTTCTGTAGAAGTCCTAATAAACAGCATCTCTGCTATCTTCTCCTTTCTGATCATTCTGTGTTTTGGGGCAGTGGTCCCCAACCTTTTTGGCAAGGGACTGGTTTTGTGGAAGATAATTTTTCTATGGATGGGAGTGGTGGGATGGTTTCGGGATGAAACGGTCCTACCTCAGATCATCAGACATTAGGTTCTCATAAGGAGTGTGCAACCTAGACCCCTCACATGCACAGTTCACAACAGGGTTCATACTCCTATGAGAATCTAATGCCACTGATCTGACAGGAGGTGGAACTCAGGCAGTAATGCTCACCTGCCACTGACCTCCTATGCATCCCTGTTCCTAACAGGCCGCGGACCCCTACTGGGGATTGGGGACCCATTCTCCGGGAAATAGGGATGTACACCTGTCTCTGTCACCTGACTCTGATCTTTAGTTAGCTTGCTTAGCTTGTGCCTGGAATTCCCGATACTACTGGAACCTACTAGCAGAAGTGGTGGAATGATGACAGATTAATAGTGCTTTCATGCTAATCCTTTTTATTAAAAACATTTTTAAGGCTGGGTGCGGTGGCTCTCGCCTGTAAATCCCAGGAGTTGGGAGGCCGATGCAGGCGGATCACCTGAGGTCGGGAGTTCGAGACCAGCCTGACCAACATGGAGAAACCCCGTCTCTACTAAAAATACAAAATTAGCCAGGCATGGTGGTGCATGCTTGTAATCCCAGCTACTGGGGAGGCTGAGGCAGGAGAATCCCTTGAACCTGGGAGGCGGAGGTTTCAGTGAGCCGAGATCGTGCCGCTGTACTCCAGCCTGGGCAACAAGAGTGAGACCGTCTCAAAACAAAACAGAAGAAAAACATTAAAAAAAAAATTTTTAATTCTTTAGAAAATAGAGGGTCTCACTACCTAGGCAGACCTTGAACTCCTGAGCTCAAATGATCTTCCTGCTTTGGGCTCCCAAAATGCTGGGATTATAGCCACCATGCCCATCCCATGCCCATCCTTTTTATTTTTGACTGTGCTTTATATTCTAGTGTTCTGGGTAAATTCAAATTGTTCTATGTTTTAAATACAGTTGTTAAATTAAGTTGTTTGGTATTTTGAATACAGTTGTTCCATTATTTGGTATTCTTGTTACACAGATAACTAGTTTGGGGTCCCCAGTATAGTGAGTGTAGATGTCGGTTATTCTGTAGTCAATCTAAAATGTCCAGTATGCTTTATAGGGATTCTACTACTGCTAAATACCTTTTTAACTTTGCTTCATTATATTCTCATTTGTTTCTTTCTTTGCTTATTTTCTTCCTGAAGAAACATTGGTATTCCTTTTATGTGGTGAGATTATTGTTCAAATTCCTAATAATACAGAGAAGTAAGTGCTTTTCTGTAATTTCTATGTGAGAGATAACCATTAATAATTTGGTGTACATTTCTTTCTAATGACTTAATATACAATTACAGGTTTTTTAAACTGTAAATAGGATATAGTATACACACTATTATGTAACCTGATTTATTCACTGTGGATAGAATTTGATGTCAGTATCTTGAAAGAGCTATCTTGTTTTATATTCTGTATTTTTTTTAGCTAATTACTAGTTGATGGATATAAACTTGTATTTTCAATTAATGCTGCAGCAAACATCCTGGGTCAACTGTTATTGTACACATCTCTCTGTTGTTAGGGTGAATTTCTACTTTTAGATTTTGGGTCAGATATGTCAATTTTTAAAAAGCTTTTTATATGTTTAGAAAAATTATATGCTGGAATGGTTTTGCCAGCTTATATTCCCACTCTAGTTGTCTAAGAGGTGTCATTATTTTCTTGCCATTAATATATTCAGCATTTACCAATATAATAACTGCAAAATATCTTATTTTAACTTTACTTTCTTGGATTTTTAGTGAGATTATTGTTTGTCAGTGTTTCTCTAAGTGTTATGTCATTTTTATATAAATATGTAAAATTTCTTAGCATAGTATAGTTGATTAAAGATTTTAAAAATACTTTAAAGCTGAAATAATGACTTTTAAACTGCTTTTCTGCTTCTATTGTTGTTTTCGTGAAAGTAGTTTTCTAATAAAATGTAAAGTAATATTGAGTATTCAGCAATCTTAAGACTATTCAGATAGCTATGTAAATCAGTTTGTATGTTTACTTGTTAGAATTGACAACATGCAGTATTTTCGTTTTGGTAGGATTTTGTTTTAGAAAGTGATTTAAATCAATTTGGTGGGAAAAACCCTAAAACTGACTTACTGGTTTGTACATTTTTGTCATCTACCTTTTACAGATATTGTACTCCAAGATACTTGGATTACGAAGATTTGGAGCGCAAGTACTGGAAGAACTTAACTTTTGTGGCACCTATCTATGGTGCAGATATTAATGGGAGCATATATGATGAGGTACATTCATATTTACAGTGAGTTTTGTAAAGATCATTGGATGTGACAGTTTTGTTACCATTTAAGCAGTTTAGAAGTGTTCTTTTGTTGTGCTTTTGGGTGATCCATAATTCCTCAAAGGACAACAGGAAATATTCATCAGTAGGATTTCTGCTGCTGGTATTTTTCAAACTGAAGCTAGATAATCGTACAAATACCTGAAATTGTTCAGTAGTAACATGGTATGTGGTTATCTGGCTGATCTTTTCATTACATTAAAACTTTTTAAAGCAAAAATACATTATAAAAATGTTTGGAAAACAGGAAATATGATGCATCATACTGACACCTTAAAGCAGAAGCAGTATTTTAGATATATTTTTCCAGTACTTTCCCTCAATCATTAAAAAAATGTTATATTTGAACAGGCTTATATTGTCCTTTTTTTCACAGACAAATTGTAATATATATATATATTTTTAAAAAGTACATGTTATTACAGTCTAGCCATTTTAATGGTGGCGTAATTCATTGGTTATATTCTAATTCTTTTTGCCTTTTCCTGATATTTTAAAACCCTAATTCTAAAAGTTCTTTGTCTTTTGAAACCTTCTATGCCCTCTCTCATTATTTTCTTTTTTAATTTATTATTTCTTGAAATATTTATTTCAAAACATACAGGGTCTCAGTATATTGCCCTGGCTGGTCTTGAACTCCTGAGCTCAAGAGATCTAACTGCCTCGGCCTCCTAAAGTGCTGGGATTAGAGGTGTGAACCACCAGGCCTGGCCCATTATTTTCTTTCGAAAAATTTCTTATCTACTGAAAGGTGGAACTAGTGCAATACACACCTGGATACCATTCACTTAGGTTCACTAGTACAGGTTAAGCATCCTTCATCCAGAAATCCAAAATCTAAATGCTCCAGTGAGCATTTCCTTTGAGCATGACCTTTGAGCATCGTGTTGAAACTCAGAAAGTTTGGGATTTTGGAGCATTTTGGAAGGGATGCTCAACCTGTAAGTATAATGCAAATACTCCAAAATGGGGAAAAATCTGACATCTGAAATACCTCTGGGCCCAAGCATTATGGGTAAGGGATACTTGATCTATAGTTAATATTTTGCCACATT
This sequence comes from Homo sapiens, assembly GCF_000001405.40. Taxonomy (NCBI): domain Eukaryota; kingdom Metazoa; phylum Chordata; class Mammalia; order Primates; family Hominidae; genus Homo; species Homo sapiens. Next base: position 6,815,857 of record NC_000009.12, read on the forward strand.
TGCTTAATGTTTCTTTGTGTCTCTTTATCTCTGTTTCTATCTGTCTGTCTTTCTGTCTTTGATGTATGATGCAGGCATCACGATAGTTCACCCTGAATTATATAAGCATGTATCTTTTAATGACAAGAGAGTTTAACATTTATATAATATTATCTAGTGTATAGACCATATTCAAATTTTCCCAGTAATGTTATAACTGTCCCCCCGCCCTCCTTTAAGGATTCAGTCAAGGATTCCCCTTTGTAACTAATAAGTGATCTATGGGGTATACTCAAATATTAGCTGACTATCTGTCCCCAACAGCCTTTCATTCAGTGGATTTGGCATCTATGGCATTCATTCATAATCCTTGCCTTAATTCCATTATTATATTATTTTAAAACCTTTTTTATTTTGAAATATAAAACAAGCTAGAAAGTGCATAGAACATAAACCTAGAGCTTTATGAATTATTGTAAAGTGAACACCTGTGTACCATTTCTGACACTGAGGAAAACATTACCAGCACCGTAGAATTCCCTTACCTGCCCTATTACCTACTATAGGCTCCCCTTTTCCTCCAAAGGTAACTAGATCTTCTGACTTGAAGGTAATCATTTTCTTCTTTTGTTTAACAGTACAGCTCAGTGTGGCCTGTTTCTGAATTTTATATAACTAGAATCATTCAGTGTGCATTCTTTTATGTCTGGCTTCTTATACTTCATACCTTATACCTTCTTATATACCTTATATATACATGGTTAGCTTTAGAAGAAAACATTTTTTCCAGCTTACACTTCCTATAGCAATGTTTTCAAGTTTCCTTTGCCCCACATCCTCCCTAACACTCGATATTGTCATTTCTTTAATTTTAGCCACTCTGTTGGTGTGTGTAGTCGTATCTTTTGGTTTTAAGTTGCATTATGATTTTTTCCCCTTATGTTCACTGAATGTTTGGATTTCCCCTTTAGTGAAGTCTCTTATACACTTCTTTTTTGTCATGCTTTTCTTTTTCTTTTTTTTTTGGCTTAAGTTCCCTTTTCTGTGGTTTTAGTGATTCTTACTGGTTTATACTTCTTTATATATCCTGCGTATGAGGTAGTAGCACAATTTCAAATATGAATTTTTAATTGCTGAACACTTATTTCAAAGACGATTCTTATTTTTGAAGATATATGATATTGTAGAATTGTCATATTGGATGGAATGATGGCTATGTAATTTTCTTAATTTATCAATTAAAGATGCATATTGAAGGATATATGATTGAAATAACACGAGGGTTGGGATTTGTTTTTCAGTTACTTAAGAAAATAAAGTTGAATGGATATAGATGAAAGAAGATTGGCCCCTCCCCCTGCCCCCCCCCCCACTTTTTTTTTTTTTGAGACAGTCTTGTTCTGTCACCCAGGTTGGCATGCAATGGCATGATCACGGCTCACTGCAGCCTTGACCTCCTGGGTTCAAGCAGTCTTCCTGCCTCCACCTCCTATGTAGCTGGGACTACCTGCAGGCGCCACCATGCCTAGCTAATTTTTAAAATGTTTTTTGTAAAGACAGGGTCTTCCTATGTTGCCCACGCTGGTCTCAAACTCCTGGGCTCAAGCGATCCTCCCTCTTCAGCTTCCCAAAGTGTTGGGATTACAGGTGTGAGCCACTGTGCCCAGCCCAGCAAAATATTTATAATTGAAGCTAGTTGACAGACTGGTGTTTTAAATACGTATATGTTTGAAATAGTAAAAATAAAAGTTAAAAAAATAGCCTTTCCTCATTCTGCATCTGAATTTTTACTAGTATAAGTAATCTCTATGTTGAGAATGTATTGTTTATTAAAGTAGTATATGTACATGTAGGAAAATGGAAAAATACAGAAAAACGTGAAGAAGAGAATAAAAAATTGCTCATAAGGTTATCAAACAGGAATAACCTTTTTTTTTTTTTTTTTTTTTGAGACAGAGTCTCACTCTGTAGCCCAGGCTGGAGTGCAGTGGCGCTATCTTGGCTCACTGCAACCTGTGACTCCTTGGTTTAAGCTATTCTCCTGCCACAGCCTCCCAAGTAGCTGGGATTACAGGCACGTGACACCATGCCCAGCGAATTTTTGTATTTTTAGTAGAGACGGGGTTTCACCATCTTGGCCAGGTTGGTCTCAATCTCCTGACCTTGTGATCTGCCTACCTCAGCCTTCCAAAGTGCTGGGATTACAGGTGTGAGCCACCGCACCCTGCCCAGGAATATCCTTTTTATGATTTCCTTTTGGTCTTTCTGTTTTATGTGAGTGTATGTATATATGCATGCCTGTGATTGCATGCGTGTTCATGTTTACCACCAAAGAGTTGAGAAGGTTTTTACAGTTTTTTGACTTTTGAAACATTTCCAATATTGCTTTCCAGAAGGATCATTTCAGTTTCTTTTAGCACAAGCCACATCTAGACTACCAATTTCAAATCGTACCTTGTATTACATGGTGGATTTTTGTTCGTTTCAGTTTCAAGTGTATTGTTTGCTGATTTATTCTTTAGCAATAATAAATTTCTTATGAGCTAAATGTAAGTTTAGCTGTTGTGGGCAAGTCATTAGATGTTGCCCATAGGCAGGGGCAAGTTATGCACATGTGTGATAAAGGTGAGGGCTCAGAGAGAGGCCAAGAGCAGGTTCTAGTGCTTAGAGCAATTGTCTGGGAAGGGTGTGGCAGCAAGTAGGACATGTAGGAAATTGATGGTGAGGGATGTGGGCAGATGGGAGTGGGCATATTGAAAACATTTGTGTGGGTCCCGTATCTTTATGCTCTTACCAGTAGGCTTCCTTAAGGAATGTGGCATCTTGCCTTGTTAAACCAGCTTCTGTGCGATTTCCATTGGAATGGGTGAGGCAGCTTAAGTACTGTTGGCCTTTTACACTTAACAAAACATGGGGCCCAGAGAGGGTCAAGTGCTTTTCCAAAGTTGGGAGGCTAGTAAAAGGGCCATGACACGCTCTTATCCCCCACACCAGTATTAGAGAAGTCATTATGCATAGTCAGTCTCATAGTTGTGGAAATATGTAAAACTAGGTCTTTGTCAACTAGATATTGCCCCTGAGCTGATGGGTATATTTTGTACTTTCTCCATAGTTTCTTCCTGTGCGTTGTAACCTGGCAAATGTTCAGGCTTCTGAGAAGAAGGTTGAGCTGATGGGTCATCCAGATCCTGGCCTGAAAGTTGCATGTCTGAGTGCTTGAAAATAAAATAAAACTCAATCTTAAGTTTTTTTTCTTTTAAGATAATTAACCTTTTTGTTCCCTTATTTTTGTATATATGATTAAGAGTTAGAAGCAGCATGTTTGGGAACATTTTCAGAAAAATTGATACAAAAATGTCCTGAATTAGCTGTATGTATTTGGTAGTGAAATAGCATAAGCATTGACTGTAAAGATGAGGTTGATGGACTTTGGTTTGCAGTGCTTATCAATTTACTGCTTGTGTTTGAAAGCCATTTACTCATTGGCATTTCTTCAAGGGAACATTGACTTTAGACTTCAGATTTGTGTAACTTTTGTTATTAAAATCCAATGAACAAAATCCACTGGTTTGTAAACACGCAGTTTTAAAACATCCTCATCGTTTACAGGTTTTAGAGCTGGGAATGTATCATTTTGGTAGGACCTACAAGGCAGTATTTTATAGAATTTCTGCAGGCTGTGTGGAAGCATTTAGCAGCTCCTGAGTTGGACTGACATTTTCATGCTTTTGTAGCATAAGGAAAGACATGAGAGGAGTGTTGTAAACTGCTTCTGGTAAACAAAACCAATCACACTCAAGACACCTAAATTCAACAAATGAGAAATAACTTGTATTTACCCGCCTTGAGGTAGACAAAGAATAACAAAAGAAAAGAGTGCATTAAAGGGCATGATGTAGAGTGAGTGTAATAATTGCTTACTGTCAGGAATGTTTGAATTCATTGTAATGAATGTGCATTTAAAAAGCCCATGGATTGTTTTGCTGTTGACTGTCTTATCTTTATATTGTTTAATTCTTTAGTTCAGTATTTAAATTGTACCAAGAACTGGTTTCTCGTGGTTCATGGCATTATTTTGAAACGAATTATAGAGTCATCAAATTGCAGTTTCCTTTTTCCTTGAATTTCTAGTGGTAGCTATTTACCTTAATCTTAAAAGAATGGTAAGAAAATCGTAGCCGTTTTTTGGTGGGGGTGGGAGTTCTTGGAGAGGGTATGGGGAGATAAGAGAAGTAATTTGTGCAAGGTGCAAAGATGGATACGAATCCTGCTTCTCAAGTAGTTCATAGACTTTGTGGGGTGGAGGGACAGTTGGTGCAGTGGGCTTGACTCTTTGCAGCCTGCGGGAGAGGCAGTATGAGCAGGCCTGCATTCAAGTAAGACTTTCTGGAGTGGGGACGACATCTGAACTTGGCTTTGATGACTAAGTTCCAGTGAAAGGAGAGAGAGTGAAAGGTGGGACCAGAGCTAGGTAAATTGAAGGGTGAGACCACACCTAACAGTGTCAGTATTTTTGCTGAAATTGCAGGTTGTTTGCTGAGCAGGAGCATAGGAGGGTGAGGAAAAACTCGAATAGCAGCTGTGGGATATGGGAGAGGGGCCTGAGACAGGGCTGTGGTCCTGGGTCGTGGATCTGACCCATGGCCCCACAGCAGCCCCACCTGCTTTGTTCCAGAGTCTGAATTTTGTCTCTTAGCCCCAGGCAAATCTTTTAAGGAGCAGAGAAGGTGCCATGGTAGTTTTCATCCAGCTGGGATATAGCATAGGAATTAGGGGTGAGGGTGTTTTTAAAGGACTAGATCAGAATAGTCATCCTCGACAGAAGAGGGAGAGGGCCTGGAAATCCCCTGGCTTGTGTCTTGATCTCTCTCTCTCTCTCTTTTTTTTTTTTTTTTTTTTGATAATACTTCAAGTTCTAGGATACATGTGCAACGTGCAGGTTTGATACATAGGTATACATGTGCCATGTTGGTTTGCTGCACCCATCAACTCATCATTCACAGTAGATATTTCTCCTAATGCTATCCCTCCCCCAGCCCCCCAACCCCCGACAGGCCCCAGTGTGTGATGTTCCCTGCCCTGTGTCCAAGTGATCTCATTGTTCAATTCCCACCTATGAGTAAGAACATGCATTGTTTGGTTTTCTGTCCTTGTGATAGTTTGCTGGTAATGATGGTTTATAGCTCCATCCATGTCCCTGCAAAGGACATGAACTCATCCTTTTTTATGGCTACATAGTATTCCATGGTGTATATGTGCCACATTTTCTTAATCCAGTCTATCATTGATGGACATTTGGGTTGGTTCCAAGTCTTTGCTGTTGTGAATAGTGCAGCAGTAAACATATGTGTGCATGTGTCTTTATAGTAGCATGATTTATAATCCTTTGGGTATATACCCAGTAATGAGATGGCTGGGTCAAATGATAATTCTAGTTCTAGATCCTTGAGGAATCACCACACTGTCTTCCACAGTGGTTGAACTAATTTACGCTCCCACCAACAGTGTAAAAGCGTTCCTATTTTTCCACATCCTCTCCAGCATCTGTTGTTTCCTGACTTTTTAATGATCACCATTCTAACTGGTGTGAGATGGTATCTCATTGTGGTTTTGATTTGCATTTTTCTGATGACCAGTGATGATGAGCATTTTTTCTTGTGTCTGTTGGCTGCATAGATGTCTTCTTTTGAGAAGCGCCTGTTCATATCCTTTGCCCACTTTTTGATGGGGTTGTTTGTTTTTTCCTTGTAAATTTGTTTGAGTTCTTTGTAGATTCTGGATATTAGCCCTTTGTCAGGTCTTAGCCTCTCTTTCATTCTTTTTTTTTTTGAGATGGAGTATGCTCTGTCATACAGGGTGGAGTGCAGTGGCGCGGTCTCAACCTTCACCCCCGGGTTCAAGCAGTTCTCCTGCCTTAGCCTCCCGAGTAGCTGGGATTACAGGTGCATGCCACCACACCTGTCTAATTTTTGTATTTTTAGCAGAGACCGTGATTCGCCATGTTGGCCAGACTGGTTTCTAACTCCTGGCCTCAAGTGATCTGCCTGTCTTGGCCTCCCAAAGTGCTGGGATTATAGGCGTGAGCTGCTGTGCCCGGCTGGCCCCTCTTTTATTCTGCTGCTGCTTTCAGAGCTTGATTTCCTTAGGTTATACTAAAAAATCTGAACACCATGGACAGTAACCTATGGCAACAGTAACACAACTTAAGCAAGTTATTATTTTTAAAACCAAAAAACCAAGACTCTCAAAGGCATGGGGCGAATCCAGCCTTTGGGTATATATTGAAGAGCAGGGTTTGGCTGTCAAGTTCTGCCTTTTGCTGGTTTTTGTAATAAAGCTTTCTTGGAGCCCAGTCTTTTTCATTTGCATATTATATATTTGTGCACTACCGTGGCAGAGGTGCTTTAGTTGTGACAGATTATATGGCCTTCAAAGCCTAATATATTTACTGTTTCTTTGCAGAAAATGTTTGTCAGCCCCTTATATGGAGGATAATTATTTGTTCTTGGGGAAGACTGTACAAATCCTTTTTGAGATAGATGGGATATAAATAAAATTGGAATGTTCTCAGGAGGATGAGATTAATATAATTGACTACATTGATTCATTGCAAGAAAGAAATTGGAGTGTTTGGTAATTTCAGGAACCTTCTGTAGTTAAAACAAGATCTTAGAAATAGAGCCATCTTTGGTCCTGAGTAAGTCCTAGATGATTCTTTGGAAACAGTACATACACATAAGGAACTTAAGATCTGGATTTTTTTTTGTTATGTTTCACTAAGGGCTGGTCTGCCGATGAAGTTTTAATTAGCCTTTGTTAACAAGCCTTTACATTAAAATACTCAGCCTTCTGTTAGACGCAGCACAGGAGTTTCTTCGGGAAACAAAACAAACACACAAAGATAAAGATAAAAGAGGGACTGAGAGAAAATAAGATTTGGCTAAAGGACCTGCAAGTCAGCAGATGTCTGTAGAAAAGACAGAAGGTATAACATTGCTGAGATGGCCAGTAGCCATGTACACCTGCATCGACCTTTGAAGGCAAAGCTACATCTCTTTTTTTCTGTGTGTGAGAGCTAAGAATAGACATCAGCATTACCTATGTTAGTACAGTGACAAAGGATCATCAGGTTTGTGTTCTGTCCTATTTTGGGCTGCATTTCTAGCAATACCTATTGTGTAGCATAATGATGATTCTTCTCGTGGTAATGCTTCATTAAATAGAGGTATAAAATGAAGTTCTACATGTTTTGCTCATGCTATTACCTTCATAATCTATAACCCTAGATGGACCTTCCAGTGTATTGTGTGTATTCAAGTCGTCTTTGCAAGATTTTCCCTTTGCTGAGCGGTGACACATAGCTCCTCCTCTCATCCTCATCTCTATTCTCCATCGTGCTGGCTTTCCAGTTTAAATGCCTCATAGCATAACATGCAGGTCAGTCTTCAGTGGCCCCTTGGAACCAATGTTTTGCACCAAAAGGGGGTAGCTTATCCTCACTGTCAGAGTACCCATGGAGCAATTTAGCCTTTGGATTCTGTAATAAACCTATGGGATAGCATTTCATAAAGACTGAGAATTTCCTGTGTGTGTAACCATCTTTGATGATAGTTTTCTGCAGGTCACTGGAGGAAGGTAGCCACACTTCACTGTGAGGGGATGGTGCCCTACCTGTCACCTTCAACTTCTGCTATCTCACACTGTTGTTGGATGTTTCAGACCATTTTGCACTTGCTTTGAAACTTAGCTCCTTCACTGAATCACGTTGCTCCTTCGTTGCTGCTGCCTCCAGATCTCCAAAGGTGTCCCCTACCCTCTCCTGTACCAGCCAGATAATCATTGGTCTCCTACCCTGAGAATGGCTATGAGTCCACTGCAAAAGGAATTTCTCTAGTTTTTCAAAATCTTGAGTCACATGGTGAAGCTCTTCAGGAGCAACTCTGCTATGTTGAAGAGATTGGGACATGTCAAGTTAATATCTGATGGGCCTCCTTCCTTCAGTACGCACCATCACTTCCAACTCTTCGTAGGCTTCTGTAGGTCTCATATGCTCACTTACTTTCTCCTCGGGTTTTTCTACTTTTTCAGGAGACATTTTCACTCATACTGATGGGAAGATGACAGCAGTAATGCCAATACACTTAATGTGGGCGCTAGAAATAATCCTTTTGGGAAAACATCTGAGATACAACTTAGCTGCAGACTATATTCTCTGACCTAGATTTGTATACAACTGAAACAGTTCTGTTGGTGGACACCATCATAGAGAGTCTTTGATTTGGACAGTGAATATTGGGTAAAAAAATTATTGTAGCAAATAGTTGGAAAATGATAACAGAGGATGAAGGTTACTTGTATTTGTTTTTGTGGTATTTCTTTTCGTGGCTATTTCTTCTGCAGTAGACTCTGAGTTCATTGGTGACAGGTGTCATTTCTCATGTATTCTCTAGCTCCAGTCTCTAGCATAGGGTCTGATGAGTGCATGGCATTGGAAAAATAGCTGTGAAAAATATTGTGATCTGATAACAGACTGCAGCAAGATGGTCTAGTTACAGCAAGAGGCTTGGGGAGGGCTTCGGATGAGAAGGGTGAAGAGGGTTCAGGTGAGCTTCCCCAGTGTGCATTTTTCTGAACTCTTTTACTCCAAGACAGTAGTTCTCAAACTTTCATCTTAAGGCCCTGTTACAATTGTAATAATTATTGTGAACCTCAAATAACTTTCATTTAAGGAGGTTATATCTATTGTTTTTTATTGTATTAGAAATTAAGGCCGGGCGTGGTGGCTCACGCAAGACTCCGTCTCAAAAAAAAAAAAAAATTAAGAGAATATTTAAAAAATATTTAATTCATTAAAACAGTCCATTATATATCAACATACATTATTTTATACAAGGTGACCATAGGGTAGAGAGGAGCAGACAGAAAAAGAAAAGGTGACTGTATTTCCCCAATTAAAAAATTAGTAGGAAGAGTCACATTATTTTACATTTTTCAAATCTCTTATGTCTAGCTCAATAGAAGATTGTGGCCAGGTACGGTGGCTCACACCCATAATCCCAGCACTTGGGGAGGCCGAGGCGGGTGGATCACCTGAGGTCAAGAGTTCGAGACCAGCCTGGCCAACATGGTGAAACCCCATCTCTACTAAAAATACAAAAAAATTAGCCGGGTGTGGTGACATGCACCTGTAGTCCCAGCTACCCGAGAGGCAGAGTCAAGAGAATTGCTCAAACCCAAGAGGCAGAGGTTGCAGTGAGCTGAGATAGTGCCATTGCACTCCAGCCTGGGCAACCAGAGTGAAACTCGGTCTCAAAAAAAAAAAAAAAAAAAAAAGATAGCTGGATTTTTATATCAGCTTCTACATTTAATCTGTTATAAAGTCATATGTCCTATAGCTTCTGGAAAACTCTATACTCATGAGAGTGAAAAAGGCAAATACTAATTAATGTTCTGGTATAATTTTGAAAATAGTTTTGATGTCACAGACCCTCTGACAAGGTCTGCGTGTCTTCCTGTGGTCCTCGGAAAACACCTTGACAACTGCTTCGGTAAGATACATAGCAAAAGATGACTTATCTATTGCACATAGATGATGCAGAGATCTTAGGGCAAGGTAACTGTGTTCTATCTTTATTTATTGGCCTTCAGGTAACTGCATTCCTGATATGTTTCTGAAAGAACGAATCACCTTCAGAGACAGTGATTCTCAAACTGGAAGCCATGGAGTTCTTTGGGGTACATCATGTCCTGTGTTTTGTCTTATAAACCAGGCAAAATTTTACAAGTGGACAGCATGTGAACTCATGTCTCTGCATCTCAAAATATAGAAAATATTTTAAATTGTACCTCCAAGATTTTTCTTCAATATTAATTTGCTGGCCTATTGCTTTTGTTATCTTCAGGTATTTATTAATGGAAAAGTGATAGAAAATTTAAAACAGTTTGAAAAATATTGTGGCAAATCTTTTTTTTATTTATTTCTCTGTCTCTCTTAAGACAAGGTCTCACTCCATTGCACAGCCTGCAGTGCAGTGTCACAATCACAGCTCACAGCAGCCTCCACCTCCCAGGCTCAGGTGATCCTTCCACCTCAGCCTACTGAGTAGCTGGGACTACGTGTGTGCGCCACCATGCCCAGCTAATTTTTTGTAGTTTTTGTAGAGACGGGATTTCACTATATTGCCCAGGCTGATCTCAAACTCCTGGCTTCAAGTGATCTTCCTGCCTCCGCCTCTCAAAGTTACGGGATTACTGGCATGAGCTACTGTGCCTGGCCTTGTGGAGAATCTTAATACAAAAAAATATAAATGTTTTATATATTTCTTCTTGAGCTGGGGAAAAGTTTTTTTTTTTTTGCTATGCTCGTACTAGGTGGATGGGTGGTTGGTGTCCTATTCTTTCCATTTTGTTTTTAGTTTTCTTGATAATCTATAAGTATAAATTACACCACTTTAAGGTAAAAGTTACCTTTTTGTTAATATAAACATTACATATGAAAAATATGGGAAGGTATTACATAGAGAAAATGAAAATCATTCATAATCCTGGCATTCAGAGAAAACAGCTGTCAAAACTGTTTTGTATATTTCCTTCCATTTTTTCTCTATGAATGCTCCATAATTGCATATAAAAAAAATTTTTGTGGTACAATGAACATAGTTTTATCCCCCTTCTGTTTGACCCATTGTGAATGCTTTCCCATGATGATAGATGTTCTTCAACAAGATGATTGAAAATTTATCTTATTTGGCCGGGCGCGGTGGCTTATGCCTGTGATCCCAGCACTTTGGGAGGCCAAGGTGGGTGGATCACCTGAGGTCAGCAGTTCAAGACCAGCCTGGTCAACATTGTGAAACCCTGTCTCTACTAAAAATACAAAAAATTAGCCAGGCATGGTGGCAGGGACCTGTAGTGCCAGCTATTGGGGAAGCTGAGGCAGGAGAATCGCTTGAACCTGGGAGGTAGAGGTTGCAATGAGCTGAGATCGCGCCACTGCACTCCAGCCTGGGCGACAGAGTGAAACTCCATCTCAAAAAAAAAAAAAAGAAAATGTATCTTATTTTTATTGTTTTTATTGGCAGGATGGTTTTCACAGGTAGAGGAAAGCAGATAAATCTAATATGAAGGATGTGGGTGGGTGGAGGCGGGAGAGTATGACAGCTCCTGATCTTGTGTTGGTCAGTGTGGGGCAGGGCACAGTCCACAGTGGGTGGCCAGATCGCTGCTAACCTGAGAGAGTGGCACCTTGCACAGACACCCACTGCCCCATTTTCTGCCATTCTTCTGCAGCTTCTTGAGATTGAAGACTTTATTAAACATCACAGAATATTTGACCTGTTTTCGTTTATAATCAATGTCTGCCATTCCTAGCTGTGACTTTCAGGAAAGCTCTGTGTTTTTCTCAGAGTCTTCATCTACAAGGGGAAGAAATTGAATTAACTGCTCTCTCTCGTTCCTTCCAGCTCAGAAATGTTTACTTTATGATAAGCAATATTTAAGATGAACTAAATTCAATGATAGTGAATTTTTGTCAGTTCCAGATTTCTCTTGTATTAGAATTTTGTCAAATCAAGAGCTCCTTTATAAGAAACCTGTTGGTGAGGCATGGGAATCTTTTCACACCAAGGTGTTAGACATAGTGGCATTTAACCTATAGACTTTTTTTCCCTCTCCCTCAATGGGGTAGCTTAAATACCTTCATCCAGCAGATGGTGCTCTTGGACAGCAAATTTATTTGAGGCTGTGGGTTTCCAAATGAGGTAAAACAGTTTAAACGGTTTGAGTCACCAGGAGAGTTCCTTTCCATTTTTTATTTTTATCATGTCAGGATATCATTTACTTTGAAATAACAAATCGTTCAAAGCCAGAACACTAACTGCCTAAATTTCACATCCAAGGCAAAGATGTCATCCTAGACAGGTTTTGACGCAGAGAGAGAGCTATTGGCTTGTAGGATTGTGACTTTCAGGTTTTAGTTCTGTGAAATAAGGCTTCTAGGTAATCACAGCTCATTTATCTGCTAGCATGTTATGGCTGCTCTTTAGTGAAGCAGGTCAGCTTGCATGACCCCAAAAGTTATCATCCAGACAGGGGAGGTGATGGACAGCTTTATTGGTCACATTGCATCCAGAATGTTTCCGTTAGTTCTAGAAGCTGTGTTTTCAGAGGGGTGTTGCCAGAGCAGCACAGCTGGGATGGTGCAGGAATTGTTGGAAGAGCAGTTAAAGCCCATGTGGTTGTTGCCCCTGAGAATGGTGCAAGTAGGAAGGTTAGGTGGGATCACTGTGGGAAAATTCAGTCTGTCTCTGGAATAAGTTTCTTTTTTTTTTTGAGACGGAGCCTCGCACTGTCGCCCAGGCTGGAGTGCAGTGGCGTGATCTCAGCTCACTGCAAGCTCCGCCTCCCAGGTTCAGGCCATTCTCCTGTCTCAGCCTCCCGAATAGCTGGGACTACAGGAGCCCACCACAACGCCCGGCTAATTTTTTGTATTTTTAGTAGAGACGGGGTTTCACCATGTCAGACAGGCTGGTCTCAATCTCCTGACCTTGTGATCTGCCTGCCTCGGCCTCCCAAAGTGCTGGGATTACAGGTGTGAGCCACCGTGCCCGGCCATCTCTGGAATAAGTTTCTAAGGAATACATCTGCCCCAGAGCAGGTTGGGCTGCCACTTGAGGTAAGGAAATACTGACCTTGGAATGTTCACGTAGAGACCGTCTGATCTTCTGTCAGACATAGTTTAAAAATTTGGGGTGGGGCCAGGTGCGGTGGCTCACGCCTGTAATCCCAGTACTTTGGGAGGCTGAGGTGGGTGGATCACCTGAGGTTGGGAGTTCGAGACCAACCTGGCCAAAGTGGAGAAACCTCGTCTCTACTAAAAAATATAAAATTAGCCGGGCGTGGTGACACATGCCTGTAATCCCAGCTACTCAGGAGGCTGAGGCAGGAGAATTGTTTGAACCTGGGAGGTAGAGGTTGGCATGAGCCGAGATGGCGCCATTGCACTCCAGCCTGGGCAACAAGATCGAAACTCCGTCTCAAGAAAAAAAAAATTGGGTTGGATAGGATGTGAGTAGAATTGGCCGTTTCTCTTTTCACTCTTCTCTTTACCTCTCAACTGTTAAACTTCACAGTTGAAACATACTTAAATGTTTAATAACCTGGTAAATTGATAAATCAACAAATATGTGTGGAGAATCACTCTGAGTGATCGATGATTGTGAGACGTGTCAGCAATGGTGGGTGTTGGCCAGTGCAAGGAGCTTACTGGTTAGCTTGAGAGTCATGAATGGTTTCCCTGAGGGATAAACAACACACACTATACAGGCAGAAGCCTGGTGGATGGCATGAATACTACACACAGTAGGAGTGTAAAGAGGTGAAGATTACTGGGCACTGGCAAAGTCCACAAGACTGTACTGAGAATCCAGGGCATTATGGACATTAGGCATGGTGAGCAATGTGAGGGATGAGGAAGCTGAGCCTGTTTTGTGAGTTCTGGATGATTGGCATGCCTAGAGGGGCAGATTTCTGTGGGAAAGTATTAGGGACACAGCAGTGAGAATTCAGTGAGAATTACTAAAGGAGAAAGAACATGAAACTCAGAGGTGAAAAGTGAGAGTTTTAGTGCTGAATTTGGCTGGTGAACATAAAGTCATTGACAATTTCAGCTGGAAAAAACTTTGGAGATCATCTGGTATAATAGTCAACACATTGATAGATAAGGAAGCTCAGACTGAATGTTAGGGTTTATCCTAGATGACTCCTACTTAGTGGCAGAGCTGGGAGACCCCCCTTTCCTATTCTGTCTCTACTCTTTCAGACAGTCACCAGGAAGGATGGTTAGAGCTTGAACACTGTGTATACTCTGGAGCTCTTCTTGTCTTGGATTGGTGTCTGTTGAGGCCTCTGCTGGTCAGAAGGGCATTTCCCCTGCAACCCAGCCTTGCCTGCAGGTTTACAGAAGGGCTTTGATAAGGTATATCTATTGGAAGCCCAGTTCCTGCTTTGGGCCTGCTGTTTTCCATTTCACAAAAAGGAATATAAAGATAATCTAGATTTCATCTTTATTATAATTTTGTAAGATATAAAAGCCTGTGTTTTTTTTCTGGGGTGAATTTATAAATAGAGTAGAAAGATTCAAGTAATTCTTGTCAGAAAGGAACCATTCATCTACAACTTCTCCTAGAATCTGTTTTACAGATGATCAAAAATATGGGGCAGTGTTTCTGTACCAAAATTTTTTTTAGTGTTTTCCTTATTACAGCAAAAAATGTAAAACAACTTACATGTTACAAAGGAGAAATACGGATACAAATTGTTAAAGCCATGAAGTAATATGTACAATAAAATGTTAAGAAAATGTTTGTAACACAGTGGTATGTGAGGAAACCAGGATAACCGTGTATAGATATATCTCCAAGATTTTGGAATGCCCACTCTGGATTTCCAGTATTGCTTACAATCTCCCTCATAATTCATTCACTTGCCCAAGGGTAGAGAGCAGCAGGTCTGGCTGAGATGAGGGAGGTCGTGGAGCTGCTTCCCACACCCCAGCATCCTAGTATGGTTTCTTCAAAATAAGTCACCAGCTGTCAGTGGGCTTTTGGGGGGTCACTGGTGCAGAGTTAGAGTCATGAATGCCAGGAGTCTGATTCTAAATATATGCTAGTTACAACAAGTTTTTAAGAGAAAGATGTCACTAAAATGATAAAATGGTTTTCTCTTCTTTGCAGATTTATATATTTGATATTTTAAAGTTTACTTTCCAAATGTCCTATAATGATGAAGTATAGTTTAATATTTAGGAGAATTATTGTTAGTTTTCCTTTTCCATTGAAGGAATAATGTGCCTATGTGTATGATCCAGAATTTTATTCTGTGAAGAATGAAGAATGAAAATGAGGCCACTGGAAGTACCTTAGGCTGTTTTTCTTTATGAAGAATAAAAGGGAAACTCAGTAGCACCAGCCCTCTGCCATGTGTTATGAGAGTGTGTTAAATCTGACATTGCTTTAAGAAATAGCAGCTGTAGAGAAAATGAAGCAAGGTGGAAAAAACCAACAACTGGGAGAAACTGAAGGAAAAATCACAGAGTGGTATAGAGGAATTGGGAAGAACAGGTATATTCTTTATTTAAACTGGGATTTTCCAGGTATTAGTGGTTAAGAAAAGGCTCAAGTACAGCCCATACTTTGCTACCATTCAAGAATTAAGTGGTACTCACTTTTCCTTTTGTTAGATCACGTTAGTGTCATAGACTCTGTTATTTTTTTTCTTATTTTAATCCACTAGTCAGTGGGGGAAGCGGGGATCTGTGGATTTTACTATCGAAGAAATATATCAGTCAGACAATATTCTGCTGCCAGTAATAAAGACCTCAGAATCAGTGGCTGAAACAAATTGGGCATTTAGTTTTCTTTCATGTAAAAATTTGAGGTAAGTAGCCTGGGGCCAGTGTGTTGGTTCCATGATGTCATTATAGACCCATACTCCTCCCAATTCTTCTGCTTTCTTTATGATGAGATCTTTTTTATTTTTATTTATTTTTTTTGAGACAGAGCCTCACTCTGTCGGCCAGGCTCACTGCAACCTCCGTCTCCCTGGATCAAGTAATTCTCCTGCCATAGCCTTCCCAGTAACTGGGATTACAGGTGTGTGCCACCACGCCCAGCTAATTTTTGTATTTTTAGTAGAGATGGGGTTTCACCATGTTGGCCAGGCTGGTCTCGAACTGCTGACCTCAGGTAATCCAGCCAACTCGGCCTCTAAAGTGCTGGGATTACAGGTGTAAGCCAGCGCACCCGGCCTATGATGAGATCTTTACCCTCATGTTTTCCTGGTAGATGCCTGAGCCTAATAATCATGTCTGAATGTCTCATGGAAGGAAGAGGGAGGAAGAGTGAAGGGCACAAAGGGCTTGTGCCTGCTGAGGTAGTCCTTCAAAGCTCTATTCTGGAAGCTCTACTCAGTGATGACCGCTGACCTTTCGTTGGCCAGAAAGAACCCTGTACTGTGACCATCCTTAGCTGCAAGAGAAGCTGGAAATGCAGTTTTCATTCAGCTATATTGCTCTTTCAATTAAATGAGGTCCATTAGTAAGGAAGGTGAAACTAGATCCTGAGTACTTAGGCAGTCTCTGCCATAAAAGCTTATTATAAGACATGATGACTTTGAGATGCTGTGTTATACTGTATTATATACAGTTTAAATAGTTGAATTTGTCGGCTGGGTGCGGTGGTCATGCCTGTAATCCCAGCACTCTGGGAGTCTGAGGCGGGTGGATCACAAGGTCAGGAGATCGAGAGCATCCTGGCTAACACGGTGAAACCCCGTCTCTCCTAAAAAAATACAAAAAATTAGCCGGGCGTGGTGGTGGGAGCCTGTAGTCCCAGCTACTCGGGAGGCTGAGGCAGGAGAATGGTGTGAACCCGGGAGGCGGAGCTTGCAGTGAGCTGAGATTGCGCCACTGCACTCCAGCCTGGGCGACAGAGTGAGACTCCGTCTCAAAAAAAAAAAAAGTTGAATTTGTCAAGGGGCTTAATAGTCTAGAAAATATGAATAAAGTAGTATAGATTATTCTTTTTCTTTTTTTTCTTTTTTTTTTTTTTTGAGGTGGAGTCTCGCTCTGTCACCCAGGCTGGAGTGCAGTGGTGCAATCTCAGCTCACTGCAAGCTCCGCCTCCTGGGTTCACGCCATTCTCCTGCCTCAGCCTCCCGAGTAGCTGGGACTACAGGCGCCCGCCACCATGCCCAGCTAATTTTTTGTATTTTTAGTAGAGATGGGGTTTCACCATGTTAGCCAGGATGGTCTCGATCTCCTGACCACGTAATCCACCCGCCTCGGCCTCCCAAAGTGCTGGGATTATAGGCGTGAGCCACTGTGCCCGGCCTTTTTTTTTTTTTTTTTACGGAGATGGAGTTTTGCTCTTGTTGCCCAAGCTAGAGTGCAATGGTGCAATCTCAGCTCACTGCAACCTCTGCCTCCTGAGTTCAAGGGATTCTCCTGCCTCAGACTCTGTAGTAGCTGGGATTATAGGCACCCACCACCTTGCCTGGCTAATTTTTGTATTTTTTTTTTTTTAGTAGAGATGGGGTTTCACCATGTTGGCCAGGCTGGTCTTGAACTCCTGACCTTAGGTGATCTGCTTGCCTCGGCCTCCCAAAGTGCTAGCATTATAGGTGTGAGCCACTGTGCCTGGTCGTAAAGTAGTATAGATTATTGTGTTTTAAATTTTTCATATGTAAAGGTACCTTGATGGTTCTGAGCATGGGATATGGCTGTTTTAGTATATGTTGAGATAATTGATCTCCTTTAAAGGGGGGCTTCATATGGTTTGGGCCCCTTTAGGATTTTCTACAAGAGCCATCTGTAGATATGTAAAATAAAATTAATATTTCTATTTAGCCTATTTTTTTTAAAAAACAGAATGCATATCTGTGAGTATATCCTGCACTTCCTCTATGCCAGTATTTTTAAAAACATCTTCTTGACAGGGAGTCTTTTAAAAAAAATAGAAAATGTAGTTACCAAAGTACTGACTTTCCTAGATATTGGGAGATAGAGGGAAGTTTCTCCCTCCCTGATGATATAAAAAGTGTGTAGTCAGAGTTGACTTACTGGTTTATCGTTTGGCCACGTGGCTTCAGAAACAATAGAGCCAGCATGGGTTAGAATTTTCATTCTCACCCTTGAACCCCGGCCCTGTGATTATGAACTGTGAGGTCTTGGCAAGTTATCTGTCTTTGCTGCAGTCCCCTCATTTATAAAACAGTGTTGATAATAGTTGATGGTAGTGTTTAGCTGGCAGGACAAAATGAGGTGACATAAATAAAACACCTCGTACAGGGCCTGCTCCCTGGTATGTACTGAATCAGTGTTAGCTGCTGCAGGTGGCAGTACTAAAGCAAAGCAAGACAGAAGTCTCCAGGCCTTAACGAGATAGTTATTCACTAGCTGATTCTGACCAAGAGAATTGTGAAGAGTTCTGTTCTGCGGTTGCCATTTTAAGTTTGTCCAATCCGCAGCCCAGTGATTTATACTTTTTGACATCTGTCAGAGCCGTGAAGAATGTTTGTTTAGGAGTCACTGCTTAAGAAAATGCCTCTGTCGTTTTTGAGAAATATACCACTATCTTCTTGTCAGTAAGATCCTGCCGTGTGTGGTGCCAGGACAGAAGTGGCCTCATGGGATATGACTCAAGAGATAGTCTTTTTTTTTTTTTTTAAGATAGTCTTGCTCTGTCACCTAGGCTGGGGTGCAGTGATGCAATCTTGGCTCACTGCAACCTCCGTCTTCTGGGTTCAAGCGGTTCTGGTGCCCCAGTCTCCCAAAAAGCTGGGACTACAGGCGTGCGCCACCATGCCCAGTTAATTGTATTTTTAGTAGAGGCAGGGTTTTGCCATGTTGCCCAGGCTGATTTCGGAACTCCTGAGCTCAAGCAATCTGCTCGCCTTGGCCTCCCAAAGTGCTGAGATTACAGCATGAGCCACCCCATCTGGCCGATAGTCTCTTTGTCATGATTTTAAAAATCATCTTGTTGGCCAAGACCACGTCCGCCCCGTGAGCACAGACCCTGGCCCTCACTGCTCTGCTGCCTGTCCACACCCGCTACCAGCTCACCATAGATGATGATATTGCTACGCCCGTCGTCGACAACGGCTCCGGCATGTGGAAGGCTGGCTTCGCAGGTGACGATGACCCCCGGCCGTCTTCCCCTTCATCGTGTGGCACCCCAAGCACCAGGGCATGATGGTGGGCATGGGTCGGAAGGACTCCCATGTGGGCGACGAGGCCTAGAGCAAGAGAGGCATCCTGACCCTGAAGTGCCTCATCGAGCATGGCATCATTACCAACTGGGACAACATGGAGAAGATCTGGCACCACACCTTCTAAAGGGAGCTGCATGTGGTTCCCGAGGAGCATCCCATGCTGCTGACCGAGGCCCCCCTGAACCCCAAGGCCAGCCGCGAGAAGATGACCCAGATCATGTTTGAGACCTTCATCACCCCAGCCATGTACATGGCCATCCAGCCCGTGCTGTCCCTGTACTTCTTTGGCTGTACCACTGGTACCGTGATGGACTCCGGTGACGGGGTCACCCACAGTGTGCCCATCTGCGAGGGATATGCCCTCCCCCACACCATCCTGCATCTGGACCTGGCTGGCCGGGACCTGACTACCTCATGAAGATCCTTACCGAGCGTGGCTACAGCTTCACCACCACGGCTGAGTGGGATATCGTGCGTGACATCAAGGAGAAGCTGTGCTATGTTGCTCTGGCCTTCGAGCAGGAGATGGCCATGGCGGCTTCCAGCTCCTCCCTGGAGAAGAGCTATGAGCTGACTGACGGCCAGGTCATCACCATCGGCAACGAGCAGTTCTGCTGCCCTGAGGCACTCTTCCAGCTTTCCTTCCTGGGCATGGAATCCTGTGGCATCCATGAAACTACCTTGAACTCCATTATGAAGTGTGATGTGGACATCCACAAAGACCTTTACGCCAACACATTGCTGTCTGGCGGCACCACCATGTACCCTAGCGTTGCCAACAGGATGCAGAAGGAGATCACCGCCCTGGCGCCCAGCACGATGAAGATCAAGATCATTGCTCCTCCTGAGCTCAAGCACTCTGTGTGGATTGGCGGCTCCATCCTGGCCTCGCTGTCCACCTTCCAGCAGATGTGGATCAGCAAGCAGGAGTATGATGAGTCCGGCTCCATCATCCATCCTTCAAATGCTTCTAGGCGGACTGTGACTTAGTTGTGTTACACCCTTTCTTGACAAAACCTGACTTGTGCAGAAAACAAGATGAGATTGGCATGGCTTTATTTTTTGTTTTGTTTTGTTTTTGTTTTTGTTTTTGTTTTGGCTTGACTCAGGATTTAAAAACTGGAACGGTGAAGGTGACAGCAGTCGGTTGGAGTGAACATCCCCCAAATTTCTGCAGTGTGGCTGAGGACTCTATTTCTTGTTTGTACATTGTTCTTTTTTTTAATAGTCATTCCAAATATCGTGAGATGCATTGTTACAGGAAGTTGTTTGCCCTCCTAAAAGCCACCCGACTTGTGTCTAAGGAGAATGGCCTAGTCCTCCTCCGAGTCCACATAGGGGAGGTTTCTTGTAAATTAGGTAATGCAAATTTTTTTAAATTTTTGCCTTAATACTTTTTAAGTTTGTTTTATTTTGAATGATCAGCCTTCGTGGCCCCCCTCTTTTGTCCCCCAGCTTGAGATGTATGAAGGCTTTTGGTCTCCCTGGGAGTGGGTACAGGCAGCCAGGGCTTACCTGTACACTGACTTGAGACCAGTTGAATAAAAGTGCACAACTTAAAAAAATCACTGGGTGTGGTGGCTCACGCCTGTAATCCCAACACTTTGGGAGGCTGAGGCGGGCGGATCACCTGAGGTCAGGAGTTCAAGACCAGCCTGGCCAACACGGTGAAAGCTCATCTCTACAAAAAAATGGGAGGCGGAGGTTGCGGTGCGCCAAGATCATGCCATTGCACTCCAGCCTGGGGGACAGAGCAAGACTCTGTCTCAAAAAAATAAATAAATAAATCAGCTTGTTGAAATCTTAATATTTGATTTATATATGTACAATATATTTAAGTTTTAAAGCATAATGATTTTGAATATCCCAAACTCACCATGCAGTCAACAACTACAACATTAACAGCACTGCTCAGGGACCAACCACTCTTTTTTAGTCCTTTCCTGCTATGCCACCCCCATCACTCTGGGGTGGCCTGAATTTTGTGTTTGATTTCTTGCCTTGTAAAAAATAGTTTTCTCATGCATGCACGTATTTTAACACAATATGTTTAGTTTGGCTTATTTTTGACCTTATTAAAAATAGTATCACTTTGTGTAGTTTTCTGGGTCTTTGATATTTTTCACCTAACAGTATTTCCCAGTTGATCCATATTATTTTGTAAGCTATTGTAATGTTCATTCATTTTCTTTGCTGTATAATATTCTACTTTGTGAATTTACAACTTTTTTTTTATTCTGCTGCCAGTGAACATTTTCTTTCTTTTTTTTTAAAAATAAATATTGTTGCTGTGAACACATCCCATACATGGTACCTGATGTACATGTGTAAAAGTTTCTCAAAGGTATTTACGTAGGAATGGAAATGCTGGCTCATAGAGTATTTAACTTTACCAGATACTGTTGAATTGCTTTTCTAAGAGTTTGTATCACTTTATATTCCTTTAGCACTGTATATCATTTTTGTTTTTTTAAGACAGGGTCTTGCCCTGTCAACCAGGCTGGAGTGCAGTGGTACGATCTTGGCTGACTGTAACCTCAGATTCTTGGGCTCAAGTGATCGTCCCACCTCAGCCTCCTGAGTAGCAGGGACCACAAGCTTGCACCATCATACCCAACTAATTTTTGTATTTTTTGTCGAGATGGGGTTTCGCCATGGTGCCCAGGCTTATCCCAAACTCCTGGACTCAAGTGATCGCCTGCCTCAGCCTTCCAAAGTATTACGATTACAGGCGTGTGCTACTCTGCCCAGCTTATAATCATTATTAAGACAGCTTTATTGAGCTATAATTTATACAATACAAAATTCACCCATTTTAAGTGTATACTTCAGTGATTTTCGTGCAGCCATCACCAGTCTAGTCGCAGAACATTTCCATCAGCTTTAAAAGCTTCTTCATGCTGATCCAGTCTTCACGCTTAATATCTTACTACTTGATGTCATTCTTGTGCCTGTAAAATATGTTATGTGAATTTGCACCTCTCTGATTAAAAATGGCTTAGAATATCTTTTCATGTCTTTATCGGCCATTCATATTCCTGTCTTTATGAACTGTCCTCTATTTTTCTATTAGATCTTTTGGCTTTTTCTTTATTTGGAATTCTTTATTCTGGATACCAAAACTATCCCAGTTATATTTGTTGAATTATTTGCTCTAGTTGTGGCTATTCTTTTCACTATTTTGTTTGTCTTATTTACAATGTCTTTTAATGAACAAATGTCTTAATTTTAATTTTAATAGATTTTTACTATTTTATTTAGTTTTTTTGTATTTCTCATTGTTCCTGGACTGATTAGATTCTGTCTTATAATGTTGCATATTCTATCCTCAGTATTGCTTAACTTACCTTTCAGACTTTCAATCTCATTGTATTTCTGTACTGTACTATGTTAATGTCCTAAATATTATATTCTGGTTAACTACTTTTTTTGCTTGTTAATACTGGTTAACTGTTTCTCTTATTTAACTCTTTCACTGAGTTTTTAGTTTAATAATGATATATTTCTTTTCTAGGAGTTCACCTCTCCTTCAGGTTGGACTGGACATTCCAAATATTTTATTTTTCTTTGCTTGTCTTAGCAATTCCGTCTTTTATTTCTTTAAACATTTCTTATTCCTTGACGACAGAATAAGACAACTCAATATTAGTGGTCCTGCTTGAGGGGCTGGTCTGAACAATTTGTTCATTATTTGCGCTATCTCTCTGCAGTGTTGGCTTTCTTCCCGGTATGCACAGTGATCTTTGCTTGTATGCGTAGACTTGATGTTAATTTGTGGAATAATTCTGGATCTAAATGTATGATTCTTTTCTCCCAAGAGGATTGGAGTTATTTCTGCCTGGAACCAGGAAACTCCATTAACTTCACACTATCAGTAGTCTAGACTCAAGGTGGGAGTCTCAAGCTCACTGCAGTCTTTTATTTGACTGGACGTTTTCCCCATTTTTTCTCTGTCCTTTTTGTACTCATATTTGCCTTTATCTTTTTATGTGGCACTTTCACTGCAGAATTATTTTTCTTTCAAAACTTGCTATATGATGGTTGTTGTTGAGAATTCTAAAACAGAAAGCAGTGCTGTAAAATCGTAGGTATTTGGTGTATAAAAATGCAAAAGGGAAAATAGTTTTGTTTTAAAATAAAGATTTAAGGAGTACATTTTTAGAAAGAAGCAGCAAAAAAGCTATCATGTCAAACATTATGATTAACTATAAGCAAAATGTACTGCATACGGATCTATTCTCATTGTGTAAAGATCCAGGGAAATCCTCAGTCTATATTAAAGTGTAGACCAGAACTTTCAATTTAGTTATTAGAAGGCACTGTTTTCTTTTATGGAGAAAAGACTATACACTATGGTGTGAAATGGATTGAATTTTGAAATCTTTAAAGAACTAACCAAATTTTATGTTATTTTTTCTCCATGCGTGTTACCTTTGAAACTTCAAGGGCTTGTTCCAGCTGTATGAATTTGTGGCAGTATTTTACATTAGCCTAGCTTTAAGTTGCCAGCACAGTAGTGGAGTTTGGTGGATGGTCTTTTCTTTAAAGACAAAGTCTTCTAATGTGGGCTTGGATAAGAGTCCTAAAACGGGATGATACAAGTCAAATGAGGAAAGGCATAAATTTGTCTGTTGTTTTCCCTTTGACACAGGGTCTCACTCGGTTACCCAGGCTAGAGTGCAGTAGCGCCATCATTGCTCCCTGCAGCCGTGACCTCCTGGGCTCAAACCATTCCCCCACGTCAACTTTCCTAGTAGCTGGGACTACAGGCGCTTGCCACCACACCTGGCCAGTTTTTTTTTTTTTTTTTTTTTCTGGTAGAGATAGGGTCCCACTGTGTTACCCAGGCTGGTTTTAAAGTCTCAGACTCAAGCAATCCTCCCGCCTCGGCCTCCCAAAATGCTGGGATTACAGGTGTGAGCCACCACGCCTGGCCAAATTTGTCTTTTTAAAATTCTTAAAAATGAGTGTTTTTTACTTAAAATTTTAAAGTGTTTTTACACTTAAAAATTAAGACATGTGGCTGGGCATGGTGGCTCGTGCCTATAATCTCAGCACTTTTGGAGGCCGAGGCAGGAGGATCACTTGAGGTCAGGAGACCAGCCTGGCCAACATGGTGAAACCCTGTCTCTACTAAAACAAATAAAAATTAGCTGGGTGTGGTGGCATGTGCCTGTAATCCCAGCTACTCAGGAGACTGAGGTCAGGAGAATCGCTTGAACCTGGGAGGTGGAGGTTGCAGTGAGCAGAGATCGCGTCACTGCACTGCAGCCTGGGTGACAGAGTGAGACTCCATCTCAAAAAAATAAAAAGCTTCACATTAATGGGTTAATGAGAAACACCATGTCACAATGCTGAAATATAAAAATGAGACCAATTCCAGTATTTATGAGGGGATTGTTTACAAAGAGCTATGATATACTGGACAGATGATACATTTGCTGTTGAGGAGACTAACTGTTCTGTTATAATTTCCTCTTTTTTTTTGGAGACAGGTCTCACTCTGTCACCCAGGCTGG
Organism: Homo sapiens; assembly: GCF_000001405.40. Taxonomy (NCBI): domain Eukaryota; kingdom Metazoa; phylum Chordata; class Mammalia; order Primates; family Hominidae; genus Homo; species Homo sapiens. The sequence continues at coordinate 6,840,123 of NC_000009.12, forward strand.
AGTGCAGTGCCACAATCATGGCTCACTGCAGCCTTGACCTCCCAGGCTAAGGTGCTCTTTCTACCTCAGCCTCCTGAGTAGCTAGGGCTACAGGCGGGTGCCACCATGCCCAGCTAATTATTGTGTATTTTATAGAAATGGGGTTTTGCTATGTTGTCCTGGCTAGTCTTGAACTCCTGGGCTCAAGCTATCTGCCTGCCTTGGCCTCCTGAAATGCTAGGATTACAGGCACGAGCCACTGAACCTGGCCTTTGTTCTAATTTTCTCTTTTTCTTTTTTTTGTCTTTTTTTTGAGACAGAGTCTCACTCTGTCGCCCAGGCTGGAGTGCAGTGGTGGGATCTTGGCTCACTGTAACCTCTGCCTCCCAGGTTCCAGTGATTCTCCTGCCTCAGCCTCCCGAGTAGCTGGGACTACAGGCGTCTGCCACCACGCCTGGCTAATTTTTGTATTTTTAGTAGAGGCGGGGTTTCACCATATTGGCCAGGCTGGTCTCAAACTTCTGACCTTGTGATCCGCCCCCACTTCGGCCTCCCAAAGCATTGGGATTACAGGCATGAGCCACCGCATCCAGCCCTCTGTTCTAATTTTCAAATAAGGAGTCCTGTAAGTTACTGACTGGGCACCTTCCTTTCATCTGTAAAATGAAATGATGTTTTGCTTTTGTTTTCCTAGCATGGGGGTTATCCCACCTCTTGTTTCTTTCCAATTCTATGTGAGATGGTGGTGCATGCCATGTTGTTAGGTAGAAGACATGTCCCCAGCTCTACAGTTAGCAAGCTTTGAGAGAGGCAATTTAAATGGGTGCTAGCTATGTCAGCCCTTGGAAAGACCAAGAGCACATCTAAATGTAACTTGGTGATGGCATTTTTGTGGTGGAAGAAAGACTGTAGTCCTGCCCATCTGTATATTCTTTTTGATGACTTCGTTAAGTTACGGGGTAGACCTGGAAACTTGAGAATCTTTAACAGGTTCTTTCAGTATTTTCTCAGATTCTTACAGAATCTAGGTGGCAGATCTTTTTTTAATAATTGGATTTTCTAATGAAGTGGTAGTTCCCCCTGTGAATTCTTGAATTTCAAAAATTTTTATTGGTCATTATTGGCCCAGTTTGGAGTTGGCTCTGTGGCACTGAAACTCAGGAGAAAGATGGGGGCTCATAGCTTTGTTTGGAAATCAGCCACATGAGGATAATATTGAAGGTGCTGAGGGTGACAGCAGGAAATGGGAAGGATGTTGTTGAGGATGGAATATAGAGTGATAACTGTGAAGATATGGAAAGACTTAGCGAGAGAGTGACAGGTTAGTGGTTTTGACCTAATTTTGGGGAACAAGGTTCATATAGACTTTTCCTCTTCTATTATATGGAAAGTACCATAAAAATATGATTAGTAATAATCGTGTGTATCAGTTTATCAATTTTTCTGTAGCCAACTCTGCTTTTATGTACAACAAATGAGAAAGCAGCCCCTAAAATATGCCAGAGTGAAGAACATCTTCACGTTTTGTGTGTTCAGTTGGAAGTGTTTCAGTAATCATCCAGGGCTGCTTCCACAGTCTCCGTGTTGATATTGTAGCAGTTTCTCAGGTTTGTGGGCAAGTGACTATAGCTATTCCACTTGGTGGACAAAGCAGAATGCATGATCAGGCCGTCTTTGGTGCAGTTCACAGAATCATCACCTGTGCCTGGCAAATGGCTAAGTTCTAGCAGACCTTCCCTGCCATTCTGCTGCCTCACAGAGACTTCTCTTAAGAAGTTACACAGTTTTGTTCAGGGCTGTGCTAGATCCTACTTATCCTGGAGCTGGTTATCAGTTTTCTTAATTGCTCAGGCTTTGTGTTTTGCCATTTTACTTTGTTTTTCTTTGGCCATTTGCATATTGATCATGGAACAGAGAGATAAAACATGCTCATAGAGTGGATTCCTGTTAGGTTCCTACCACTTGTATAGTCTCACTCCAGTTACTGGACACATTTATGGAGTAACTGATAGAGCTATTTAGTGTTGGACAAATATATGATTCATTTTAAAGCAGTAAGCTCACAACCACTAACTTCATATTTATAGCCTGTCTCCAAAACTCCTCCTTCCTTTATTCTTTTAAAATTACTGTAATAAGTATGGACTCTTTAATGCCTGCTACATTTTTTGCAGATTTGGCCACAGATTTATTTTCTTTTATCCACATTTCTTTTTTTTTTTTTTTTTTTTTTGAGACGGAGTCTTGCTCTGTCACCTAGGCTGGAATGCAGTGGCATGCGATCATGGCTCACTGCAACCTCGGCTCACTGCAACCTCCGCCTCCTGGGTTCACGTGATTCTCTTGTCTCAGTCTCTTGAGTAGCTGGGATTACAGGCCCACACCACCACGCCTGGCTAATTTTTTTTTGTATTTTTAGTAGAGATGGAGTTTCACCATGTTGACCAGGGTAGTCTAGAACTGACCCCAGGTGATCCGTCTGCCTTGGGCTCCCAAAGTGCTGGGATTACGGACGTGAGCTACTGCACCAGGACTGATCCACATGTTTTTAAAAGTTGGTTAATGTCACATAAAATTGGGATTTGTGGCTTAAAAAAAATCAGAAAATCTGGCAGCATTCCCAGTGACTGAGTAATGGCTGTCTCCTTTAGACAGGATAGTAGGTTGTCTCCAAATACACATCACCCCCAATACCCACGTTTTTTGACATATACCTGGCTGCCTTCACTAATTGCTGTTACCTGCCTGGCTCTTTGGGCACCTGAGTTTGTAAGTCCTGCTTTATTACTCAGCTCTCCACTTCCTGCTGTGTTCTTGTACTCTTTGTTTTTTGTTTTCTTTTTTCTGAGACAGAGTCTCGCTCTGTTGCCCGGGCTGGAGTATAGTGGTGCAGTCTTGGCTTACTGTAACTTCCACCGCCAGGGTTCAAGTGATTCTCGTGCCTCAGCCTCCCGAGTAGCTGGGATTATAGGCATGTGCCACCATGCCTGGCTAATTTTTATATTTTTATAGAGATGGGGTTTCACCATATTGGCCAGGCTGGCCTTGAACTCCTGACCTCAGGTGATCCTCCCATCTCTGCCTCCCAAAGTGCTGGGATTACAGGCATGAGCCACTGTGCCCGGCCTGCTGCCATGCTGTTTGGAACAGGATGCTGACAGCCCTCTTTGAAGTGGAATGGGCTGTGAATCCGTCGAGGTGCCCCTCTAAAAAGCTGTGGTCTGAACCCTCTCCCCATCTTTGAAAATGAAAAATTTAAGCAATTTTTCAAAATATTTTCACTTGTGTTTTGTAATCCTTTCTTTACAACTGTCCTATAAGGTAGGCATGTGTGGATTTATGTACTATTGGGAAGCCTTAGGGCTTTCTCCACTTCTGCTAGGAATAATGTATTTTCTTGAAAACAGTTTCAGTGAAAGACTGGACTTTTCCTGTGGTCCTTTCAAGGTAGCCACAGTCTTCTTGTGGCCCAATTTGCAGCACTGAACCCTGGGCGTAGCTCTGCCATGAAAGGCGATTGAGAAACCATCAGATCCTATAATTGGTGAGTGGTGGAGCCAGCATTTGGTTGGAGAACTTTTGATTCCAGTGCAGCATGGTGCTATTCTGATACTCGGTTACTCTTTCAGATTGAAATTCTTCATTCCATTTTACTGTTTGCTGGGTGAGTGCAGCAGTGACACAGTTTTCAAAAGTTTACTAATAATCTATTTTTTGTCTAAAAAAATCTTTTTTGTAATATTTGATGGACATGCCATCTTTTTCTTTTTGAGACATCTCACTCTGTTGCCTAGGCTGGAGTGCAGTGGCACAATCATGACTCACTGCAACCTCAACTCCCTCCTCAGCCGCCTCCTGAGTAGCTGGGACCTGTGGCATGTGTCACCATACCCGGCTATTTTTTAAAATTTTTGGTAGAGATGAGGTCTCTCTCTTTATTGCCCAGGATCGTCTCAAACTCCTGGGCTCAAGTGTTCATCCTGCCTCAGCCTCCTAAAGTGCTGGTATTACAGGCATAAACCATCATTTTTACGTACTTTTAAAAAAGCTTTTTCTCTGTTTTTCAGTACATTTTATAGTTTTATAACGTTGGATTGAGTCTTCTCTTTTCCTAGTTTTAATCCTTTGGACTATCTTCATTTACAAATATCTTTTGTTTTAAGTTTTTCTAATTTACACTATTTTATTTTTAGTGACATAATCAAATTAAATATGTGTATTTTGACAATAAATGTGACCATTCTCTAGCCACCCCTTCACACACCCCGGGTTCTGAAGTGCATCTCTGATGTGGTCACAGTAATTTTTTGTTTTACTGACTTAAACATTTGCACTACAGTGTTTAGGGAACCGCCTATCATAAGGCTTCCTTTAATATGTTGTCCCACACAGCACTGTTTTACATGATGTAAATGTGTTATACAAACAAGCTTCCGTGGTCAAATGATTTTTGGGAAATGCAGAGTTAAACGAAGTTACACAGGTTTCCTTATGAGTGCTTTTGGGGGTGCCTGTCAGCACTGTGACTGTCTTAAGAGCTAGAGTTAAAGAGGACAAAGTTTTTCGACCTTGGCATCTGATAGGACTGATATTTCTTTTTTTTTGAGATGGAGTCTCGCTTTGTTGCCCAGGCTGAAGTGCAGTGGCATGATCTCTGCTCACCACAACCTCTGCCTCCCGGGTTCAAGTGATTCTCCTACCTCAGCCTCCTGAATAGCTGGGATTACAGGTGTGTGCCACCACACCCGGCTAATTTTTGTATTTTTAGTAGAGATGGGGTTTCACCATGTTGGTCAGCCTGGTCTTGAACTCCTGACCTCAGGTGATCCGCCTGCCTCGGCCTCCCAAAGTGCTGGGATTACAGGCGTGTGCCACTGCGCCCAGCCTAGGACCCATATTTCTAATGTTGCATTGGAAATATTTTGGGAAAAATTGAGCTACTATGATTTTCACATTATTTCTTTCTGTAGGTGGAAATGGCTCATTATTTCTCAAGGTTTCTAACATGGCATGTTGCTGTGTTGTTCCCTTCAGTTTTGCAGAGACTGAGTGCAGTTACTGTGGAGAGAGTCCAGGATGGCCTAGTTGAGACATTGAAGATTTAGGAATGCATTGATTGATTGACTGATTGAGACAGGGTCTTGCTCTGTCATGCAGGCAGGAGTGCAGTGGCGCAATCACTGGCTCACTCTAGCCTTGACCTTCTGGGCTCAATTGATCCTCCCATCTCAGCCTTCCATGTAGCAGGGATTACAGGCGTGAGGCACCACACCTGGCTAATTTTAAAATTTTTTGTAGAGACGGGGTCTCACTGTGTTGCCCAGGGTGATCTTGAACTCCTGGCCTCAAGTGATTCTCCTTCCTTGGCCTCTGAAAGTATTGGGATTACAGGCATGAGCCACTGTGCCTGGCCTACGAGTGCTTTTAAACTGCTGTCTGATTCCTGATAGGAGGAAGATACTATCACTGATTGAAAGGGAATATCCCTAATAAAGTTCTCAGTTACACCTGTGTGCAAAAATCGTGGTCCAATTGTGAGTTGTTTCAGAAAACAGATGCAGGATACGTAAAGGAATGGGGCAGGACAGGCTCCAACTGGGTAATTGGCATGAAAGGAGAAAGGGGCCGGGGCACGTAGACTCCCAGGCTTAGGACTCCAGTTAGTCCATTGGAAGTCAGGTGAGTTATGAATATTGCTCATGTGCCTGCTGAACATGTGTGGGAGAGTTTTGTTCGAGGGAGACAGAATCCAGGAGGAGACTTTTGTCTGTGAACTTGGGCTGGTGTGCAGCCTTTCTGCTGAAACCTGATGGAATTAAGTTTTAAACAGTTCGGCAGATTCTAACTTGTCATTGTGGGGCTTGTGTGTAGCTGGGGTTTGGAGACTGCTTTTACACTAAATCATTCCTGTCACCTGCTCTCAAGTGAAGCAGTCTGCAGTGTAAGCCTTGCTGGTATTTGTGTAGAGTGGCACTGCCTCTGGTGGGAAGAATGCAGCAGCTTCACGTGTTTGCTGCTCCTGAACCTCAGATCTTTGTTGACAATGATGCTGAGAGAAGAGGATGATATGTTGTGTTTTGAAAGGATCAGGACTAGAAGCATAAACCTTTAAAAGGGAAGGTCCAGGAGTCAGATAGATTTAGGTTAATCATTACCATCTACTTCTAGCTAGGAGTGTTAATTTTTTCATTTGTTCATTTGGGAATAACATTACCTATTTTATAGGATTGTTTAGAATAAATGTAAGATACAAGTGTGTATAGTGTAATGAGGTAGTATATTGTATAACACTTCACTTTAATGATAACTAGGTGCATTTTTGGTCTAAGTATATGAGACAGACCTGGTACTGTTCAGAAGAGCCTTTGTGGAGCCTGTTTTTGGAGTCAGATAGCTAGTTTAATAGTAGAGAACAAAAATTGGAGAAAGAATTTTGAAACAATAAGATTTATCTCTGTTGGTTATTCTTAATATTTGCACAACTGCTTAATTGAAATTATATGACTTTTTATTTTAGCAAAATAAATTACTTTTTAGCAACCTTGCCTTGCTGAGAAGAAACTGCTGCAAATATGTTATTTGCCCATTAACGGGGAGAAATTCAGTAGTGAATTTAAACACATTTTATTAAATAATCACTTCTCACATGCTTGACTTGTTTTTTGGGAGGCTTTCCAGTAAGATTTGCTAGAGAATAGTGGTGATATTTATTATATCAGTTCTAATAATTAAATTTTATTTTATTAAAGTTTATTTTCATTAGCTTATTTAGTGCTCCGAGCAACTCTAGGAGGGTACAAGAACCCTTGTGTTTCCATGAAGAAAGACTTGACGCTCAGAAAAGCTCCGTGATTTTCCCCTCAGTGACCTGCAGAGCTGGGGTTATAATCTAGGTCTTTTTGTCCAGCACTATTTGATCTCTACCCTCTTCCCCTCATACCATGGGTCTAGGATGTCAAGGGATTCAACCCTGGTTATTTTTAAAAGATAGTGTCAGTCAGAAATAAAACTTAGATGTCTCCATATGTAGGAATTTTAGAGAAATAGTTTGTGTCTAAATTTGCAAGCTCATTCAGTTTAAAAATGGTTCCTATAATATGGTGCTCATTTATTACTTCAGATTCATTGCTTCACTAATGACTTTTAAATAGGACTCTATTATTAGAGTGATTGGACTGAAGTCTGATTGGACTAGAGTTAAGAGATTGCATCGCTATAAATAGAATGAGATAAAATATTTTACATAATGTGATTGAACTTCTATGAGGTCTGAAAAGTTGGAACCTAGGATCTTCTCTTTTTTTGTTTTTTTTTTGAGACGGAGTCTTGCTCTGTCGCCCAGGCTGGAGTGCAGTGGCACGATCTCGGCTCACTGCAAACACCTCCCGGGGCCGTTCTCCTGCCTCAGCCTCCCGAGTGGCTGGGACTACAGACGCCCGCCACCAGGCCTGGCTAATTTTTTGTATTTTTAGTAGAGACAGGGTTTCACCGTGTTAGCCAGGATGGTCTCGATCTCCTGACCTCATGATCCACCCGCCTCGGCCTCCCAAAGTGCTGGGATTACAGGCGTGAGTCTCCGCGCCCGGCCGGATCTTCTCTAAACGGATACTTTGACCAGTTTCCAAATAACAAGCTTCTCAGCGTGTGGCCTAAGTTGTAGATAGAGTGGCTACTTAAGAGAATTTGGGAATTAAATTATGTCCTTTGGCATGTTCAGTTATGTTACCTGAGTCAGAGTTTCATTAGCTGCTTCATCAATAGTTTTTTAACCCCAAAGCTTTAGACAGTAAGATTAACACACTGATTAGAAAATCATTTAAAGACCAAAATGAAAACAGAACAACTCTAAAAGCTTTTAGTGTGTTCAGGAAATGTTAGAAGTGGTTGTATGTGAAGCCATTGGTATAGTTATTGGAGAGGACAATTTTGGTAGACATAGATGAATTTAATACCCTCAATTTTTTATTTTTAAAATAGACATGGGGTCTTGCCATGTTTCCCAGGCTGGTCTTGAGCTCCTGGGCTCAAGTGATCTGCTTTCCTCAGCCTCCCAAAGTGCTGGGATTACAGGCGTGAGCCACTGCACCTGGCCAATGCGCTTCTCTAATAGTGCATTAGCACGAAAAGGTTGGAATGGCTTTAAAGGCATTTCAGTTTCCCCATGATTACACAGGAACATGCCTAGTCTCTGATATTTAGAATTTGATAAAAATATATGGTAAAAATGCATAGTTTGTAAAAATTTCTAAGCAGTTGTGAACTGTAGTCAATTCATGAGTGATTGGCCGGGTGTGGTGGCTCACGCTTGTAATCTCAGCACTTTGGGAGGCCGAGGTGGGCAGGTCACTTGAGGCCAGGAGTTCGAGACCAGCCTAGGCAACATGGCGAAACTCCTGTCTCTACTCAAAATACGAAACATTAGGTGGGTGCGGTGGCCTACGCCTGTAGGTCCAGCTGTGTGGAAGGCTGAGGCATAAGAATTGCTCGAACCTGGGAGGTAGAGGTTGCGGTGAGCTGAGATTGCACCACTGCACTCCAGCCTGGGCGACAGAGTGAGACTGTCTCAGGGGAAAAAAAAAAAATGATTGTTAAGTTCTAATCAAACCAGAATCTTTTCCTATCACCTTAACTCTTATAGTAGTGACTCTAACCTTCCCTCGCTCTGCCATCACCATCCATATTGTTATACTGTTATAAAACTACATTATTCCAGCAGTTTTACCAAAGTTGGGATAAGTATTTTTAATAGGCATTATGTGTTTAAATTTTTCCATTAACATAAGAGGTAAATATTTATTTGAAGCATCAGTAGAAGCACAGTGATCAGTGGATACTGCCAAGAGTTTTTCCAATAATTAGAGTGGAACTTTAAGGAAACAATGTATTACATGCTAAGATTGAATGGATAGGGATGGGAGAGAGATAGCAGAAGATATATTTTGCTGTTGGTTTCTTGATGTGATATGTGATGGTGAATATTACCTCTAAACTAATGTGCAAAAAAATCCCAAGAAAACCCAAATCTCAAAACCCCAAAAACAAAAAGGTGTGCCAAGGAGGGAGAGCACATGCCGGATCATCTACTTTGAATCAGTAATTTTTTGCTGACAGCCAAGTTGGGAGTGGGTCTGTAACTTTCATTTCCATTTGGCATCAGGAAGCTATTTGGTATAAATTTCTACCAGATAGTTGTATGGAACCACATTATGCTGGTAGTAATCTTTGACCAATAATAATGGACATATGTATGTGGCTCTTGAATAAGAGTTGTTTTATTTTTCAGTTTTCAGTTAGTTAGAATATACAATGTAATAATTTTGGTGGATAGTGGTTTGATTAGTAAATGCTATCTTTCATGGTTTAGTAAGATTTGATTTCTCTCTCTTTTTTTCTCTCTCATTCCAGGGTGTGGATGAATGGAACATAGCTCGCCTCAATACAGTCTTGGATGTGGTTGAAGAAGAGTGTGGCATTTCTATTGAGGGTGTAAATACCCCATATCTCTATTTTGGCATGTGGAAGACCACGTTTGCATGGCACACCGAAGACATGGACCTCTATAGCATTAATTATCTCCACTTTGGAGAGCCCAAGTCTTGGCAAGTTACTTGTTTAATATTCATTTACTTTGGAGTTTTGAAATTTGGGCATCAGGCACATATTGAAGAGGATTTTGTTCTTTGATTTGGTGGATTCAGATTTATGTGAGCTGTAAGGAAGTTTTTGACTGTAATAGTTAATTGTCTTCTATTCTGTCTGGGATTGTGCTTGGAAACCATAAACCCCATGGTAACTCGTACAGTCATGCACTGTATAACAATGTTTAGATCAATGATGGACCACAGATACAACGGTCATCCTGAGTTTATAATGCAATTGAAAAATTCTTTTTCCATGTTTAGATATGTTTAGCTAAATGAATACTTTGTAGCTAAATACTTTGTGTTAAAATTGCCTACAATATTTAGTTCAGTACAGGTTTGTAGCCTAGAAGCAATAAGCTATGCCATATAGCCTAGGTCTGTAGTAGATCCACTATCTAGATTTGTGTAAGTCCACTCCATGATGTTCACACAATGGCGAAATTGCCTAACAACATATTTCTCAGAAACTATCACTGTTATTAAGTGATGCATGACTGTATATGTAAAGTTGCCTGTAGTCCATTTTGTGAACCATGAATTGATAAATATTTTAGGCTTCAAGAATTTATTGGGCATCTTTACTTTGAGCATTTGTTGGATGGTATGTAGGAGGTAGTTAGGAGTGAAGAGCTGACTTCCTGGGTGTAGTTTCAAACCATCTTCATGATCTTCTGGTTCATCCTCCTCTAATTATTTTTATTTTATTTTATTTTTTTTTGAGATGAAGTCTTGCTCTGTCGCCCAAGCTGGAGTGCAGTGGCGCGATCTTGGCTCACTGCAACCTCCGCTTCCTGGGTTCAAGCAATTCTGCTGCCTTAGCCACCCAAGTATCTGGGATTAGAGGCCCAGCTAATTTTTTGTATTTTAGTAGAGACAGGGTTTCACCATGTTGCCCAGGCTGGTCTTGAACTCCTGAGCTCAGGCAGTCTGCCCACCTTGGCCTCTCAAAGTGGTAGGATTACAGGCATGAGCCACCACACCCAGCCAATGTATTTTTTATTTTTTATTTCTATTTATTTATTTTTTCGAGACAGGGTCTCACTCTGTTGCCCAGGCTGGAGTGCAGTGGTGCGATCTCGGCTCACTGCAACCTCCACCTCCTAGGTTCAAGCGATTCTCCTGCCTCAGCCTCCCGAGTAGCTGGGATGACAGGCGTGTGCCACCACGCCTGGCTAATTTTTGTATTTTTAGTAGAGATGGGGTTTCACCATGTTGGCCAGGCTGGTCTCGAACTCTTGACCTCAGGTGAGCCACCCTCCTTGGCCTCCCAAAGTGCTGAAATTACAGGCGTGAGCCACCACGCCTGGCCAAATGAAACTTTTTAATAGGTGGTCTAGGACTCATACAGGCTCCAGTGACAAGAGAATGTGATCGGATTATTCATTACTCAGATGTTTATTTGTTATTACTTTTTGTAGAGATGGAGTCTTAGTGTGTTGTCCAGGCCGGTGCTGACCTCCTGGGCTCAAGTGATCCTGCTGCCTCAACCTCCCAAAGTGCTGGGATTACAGGTGTGAGCCACTGCACCCAGCACTCAGGTGTTATTTGTGGGCCTGGTTTGAGCACATGCTTAAGGACAGGGATCTCTGTTGTGTTTGTACAGCATTACTGTAAAGTTTGTTGGAATGTCATCTTTTAGTTTTTTCAGAACTTAGCTTGGAGAGACTAGGAGAAATATTTTCAACAATGGTTAGGCTCCTGGACAGTTTCTCAGCTGCTTTGTTATCTTGATGCTCTTTCTGACATTCACTTAAAGTGTGGATAAAATTGAATGAAATGGGTGAATTCAACATGTTAATAAAATCTAGTATGTAGGCAACTACATACTATGTCTTGCTTAAGAAATCTGAAAAGTTAGTAGCAAAACTTTTCTGGGGATTTGTTAAGGAATTAATAAATGAGGATGCCTGGGACGTTAATTTGAGTTTTCAGTATTAGGAAAGTTTAAATGAAGTGTCTGCTTTCTAATTAAGAAAGATGGCTGTCTTGTCTTCTCCTGGGAACAGGTTGATGTTGTCTCCTAATGATCACTTCAGGAAGAATATTCTGGTCAGGGCTAAGATGGATTCTGGTGTCTTGTGTCTTTGGGAAAGAGCATCACTAATCATGAGTGAGAATAATTATGCCCATTTTCAAAGTATTTCTTTCTTGCAGCTTGTATATGTGCAGTAGTTAATTACTCTATTAGTTATTAAGTATACAGCCTCCATCAGACGCATTAAGAGTAGATTTATACTGTCACTATTATCCTTAACCTTGGCCATTGTTTATAATGATAAAATAATAAAATGTAGTAGTGAGTTGTAACACTGATTCTACATACTATTTCCTAAGATAACTACTGTAGGAAGAGAGTGTTATAAATGCCCCTACAGATATTTTCTAGTAGATGTATGAAATATTACATTTCCTCAGCATAAATAATTTTGAGGTAAACTTTGTCATTATTAAAATTCATTTTAGCAATCCTTATAATATATTTGAGGTGAGCTTTGAAAGATGTTAGAAGCAACACAAATTCATGGAAGTATTTGGAGGCAGGCGGTTTGGCAGAGCTTAGGACACGAGGGCCCAGTAATCAGGGCTGTAGTCTTTATTATGCACTAGTGCATGTGGCTTTGGGCAAATAACTCTGCTTGTCTGGACTCCAGTTCCTTCACTCCCCCAAGTCACAAGGTTAGCCAGAATGACCTCCAGTCATTCTGATTCTGTGACTCATGATCAGAGTCACAGGAATATTTTTATTGAGTTGACAAAACGAGAGGATGAAGGGCTGCAAGGTTCTGTATGCACATGTGGGTGCGTGTGCACCAGCGTCCTCTTCTGCCTGTCCTCTCCTTGTTGAGCTGTATCTCCCCTTCAGTATGGGATGGTTGCCTTTACTTTTCTCTAGTGGGTGGCCTCTCCTGTGCTTGACATATCTGTCACTATATTGTTTTCTCTTCTGTCTCTGACCTTATAGGTTGGCATTTCAAGTCTACTCCTTCCTCTTGAATTCTACCTCCAGGTACCAGGCTCTGGATGGGATTATTGCAAAGACTGCCTACGATTCCCTCCTTACTTACGGGCCCATGCTGCTCTCATCTGTCCATGTTTCACTTAGGGTTTGCTTAAAGACTCTCTGGACTATGTGCTGCCCCTACTTTAGACATTGTTTTGGCATCTTACAACTGGTTGTGGCCACCCCTCCTGCCATCTCCCTCATTTTCCCACCTCCTTTCTCCCCGACCATCCTCCAGCTTGCCTGTGTGTGCCTTGAAGTTAAGGTCCATGGTTTTGTTTTTTTTGTGTGTGTTTTTTTTTCACCTTTGAATCATCAGCACTTAACACACAGGGCCTGGCTATAGGAGCGATGCCCTGTAAAGAATTGTTGTATTGAATTAGAAGAGTGTTAAATTATTTTAGATCCATCTCTTTAAGGGCAGGCATGGAAACTTTTAATAAAAAAGATTCTTTTCTAGCCCAGGTGCGGTTGCTCATGCCTATAATCCCAGCACTTTGGGAGGCCAAGGTAGGCGGATCACTTGAGCCCAGGAGTTCAAGACCAGCCTGGGCAACATGGCAAAACTGTTTCTACAAAAAAAAAAAATAAGAAAATTAGCCGGTCATAGTGGCTCACGCCTGTAGCCCCAGCTGATCGGAAGGCTGAGGTGAGAGGATGACCTGAGCCCGGGGAGGTCAAGGCTGCAGTGATCCGAGGTGGTGCCACTGCATTCCAGCCTGGACAACGGAGGGAGACACTGTCTCAAAGAATAAAAAAATAAATAAAAATAAAAGCCTAAAAGGTAACTATTAAGAATACTAAGTTTCCTGAGTTGCTATACATAGGAGACATACATTTCTAGCTACCGTGTGTGGCAGGTTTGCGGAGTAAGTGTTCATGAACACAGGTTTGTACTGAAGAGACTTCAAAGCAGCTGATGATTTATTTGAACATTTCTGGTTGAAGGTTTAGGGGGAAAAGTATCCTTAGAGTAAGCAGATAGAAAACTGCTTTGACAGTCAGTGGTAAAGTATTATTTTCTTGGAATGAATATTGACTTTGGAGCCAGAAGTCCTGTTTTAAAACCCCAATCTGTCACTTACTGGGAATGACTTAGGGCAAATCACTACACTCCTTTCATCATGAGTTTCTTTCACTGCCAAATGGAGGCATGATTTATTCTCTGTCTACTTAAGGGATATCTAGGAGGGTCCAGGTATATACTGTGTATAAATGCTTTGTAAACTGTAAAGTATTATACAAATACTCATAATTACTATTATTTTAATAACCATGAAAATAATTTTTTTTTAGTCATAGTAGTTACTTAAAGTCTGAACTTGGCCATAATGTATGTATTTATAATAGAATAGGAGTTTCAGTGATTAAAAAAAAATGTGATTCTCCCTTCCAAGCCTCTTGTGTGAGTGCTTAACTGCTAGAGGATATAGAATTCAGATGGTATCTTGAGTCTTTCTTTCCCAGACTGGGTACAAACAAAATGAATAAGAAACTTTCGACTGGGTGCGGTGGCTCACGCCTGTAATCCCAGCACTTTGGGAGGCCGAGGCGGGCGGATCACCTGAGGTCAGGAGCTCGAGACCAGCCTCAACATGAAGAAACCCCGTCTCTACTAAAAATACAAAATTAGCCGGGTGTGGTGGTACATGCCTGTAATCCCAGCTACTCGGGAGACTGAGGAAGGAGAATTGCTTGAATCTGGGAGGCGGAGGTTGAGGTGAGCTGAGATCGCGCCATTGCACTCCAGCCTGGGCAACAAGAGCGAAACTCCGTCTCAAAAAAAAAAAAAAAAAAAACAAAAAAAAAACTAACTTTCAAATTTACTCTGTAGAGAACAAGGGAGATAAGGTGTAAGAGGATGTGTTTTAAGCTGTGAAAAGGTCTAAAATCAGGAAAGGTTTTCCTGAAGGTTTTTAGAAAATTAAGAATGGGTTGTAGCATTTTGGACATTGTTAAATTTCATTCAGTAAACTGAGATTTTGTTAAAATACTGTGTAGCAGTTAAGAAGTATCCAATTATTCAGGATAGATACACATTAGTTCAATGCTTTCTCATTAGAACTTTTGATCAGTGTTGTGTAGTACTTACCAGCACAGGTTTTTGTGTCAGTCTTGAGTTTTGCAAAACTCTTTACTCTTTACTGAGCATGTGACCTTGGGCAATTATTAAATAACCTCCATGCCTCAATTTTCTCTCCTAAAATACTCAGATGGTTTTGGCACCCACCTTGTAAGGCAATTGTGTGGATTAAATAACATGCTATGTACAAAGTACATATCACAGCTGGAGATGTAACACAGTGCTCAATAGATGTTAACGTTTCATACATTCATTTAGCAAATATATGTTGTATGTATACATGGCATGAAGTGTTTTAAACATGAACTTCATAAATTTGTATTAATAAGTGTTCTTGGTTATAAATGACAGCCAGGCGCTGAGGCTCATGCCTGTAATCCCAGCACTTTGGGAGGCTGAGGCGGGCAGATCACGAGGTCAGGAGTTCGAGACTAGCCTGGCCAACATAGTGAAACCGCATCTGTACTAAAAATACAAAAATTAGCTGGGCATGGTGGTGCATGACTGTAGTCCCAGCTACTCGGGAGGCTGAGGCAGGAGAATCACTTGAACCCAGGAGGCAGAGGTTGTGGTGAGCCGAGATTGCGTCACTGCACTCCAGCCTGGGGAACACAGTGAGACTCCGTCTCAAAAAAAAAAAAAAAAAAAAAAAAAAAGGAACCCAATTTAAGTATAACGGATTTTTCCCAGTGTTTGTAGTTGGGATAAACCAGAGGCATGGCTCAGTCTAGGAAATCAGATGCTCCCATTGGATGTCTGTCTCAGCCTTTCCCTTTATTTCTCCCTCCCTCCACTCTCTTCTATTCACCTTACCCCTATCTCTTCCTGTCCTTTCTCCTCTCCATTCCTTCTTTCTCCCTTTGGTCTAGAAGAGAGAAGCTGCTTACTTACAACTAATTACTTGATTATTGTTGAATTATATAATTCAAGTCTTACTTTTTAAAAGAATGAGCAAGTTATATGGTGCCAAATTGATCTAAGCTTGTTTAATGTACATCTCCATTAAAATGTGAGCTCTGGGAGTTGGGGAGCCCCACTATTCATTCATTCATTCGTTCATTCATTTATTATGTGGTTTAAATTTTCTTTTTTATAGAGATGGGGTCTCGCTGGGTTGCCCAGGCTGGCCATGAACTCCTGGGTTCAAGTGGTCCTATTGTGTCTGCCTCCCAAAGTGCTGGGATTATAGGCGTGAGTCACCATTCCTGGCCCCACCAGTCTTTTAACTAGCATGCCTCTAGTGCCTGGCACAGCATTTGGCATGAGCCTGGCACTTGGTAGGTACTCAGTAAACATTTGCTCAGTGAACAGTCTTACTGAAGGAACTCTTTATTTGAAGATCAAAAAAAAAAAAATCTAAGAACATTAGGGATTAGGCAGCTTGATAGTATTTAGTGATCCATTGAATTAGCAGCCCATGGTAATAACTCATACTTGTTAATTTTTCTATTTAGTAACTTTAGACCCAGTAATATGTTCTAATTTCAAATGTTAAGACTTACTGGATGGTGTAAAGCTGCATTATTTTGCTATTTTGTCTAGAAAAAATGCACTTAGAATTAACCATGGTTCATTTTGGTTTTAATTGCTTTTTCTAGAGAAATTTGCCCTTTACATAAGAAAATACTTTTAGAAATACTCTTAAGTTGAAGTAATAAAATTAACCGCATAGGTTATTGATTAGTTTTAGGCATATCTCTCTCTGTGTGCGTGTGTGTGTGTGTGTGTGTGTGTGTGTGTGTGTGTGTGTGTATTTTTTTTTGAGACAGAGTCTCACTCTGTTTCCCGGGCTGAATGCGGTGTTGCGATGATGGCTAACTGCAGCCACAACCTCCTGGGCTCAAGTGATCCTCCCACTTCAGCCTCCCAGGTAGCTGGGACTACAGGTGTGTGCCACTATGCCAGGCTAATTTTTGTATTTTTTTTTTTTTTTTTTTTTGAGACGGAGTCTCGCTCTGTCGCCCAGGCCGGACTGCGGACTGCAGTGGCGCAATCTCGGCTCACTGCAAGCTCCGCTTCCCGGGTTCACGCCATTCTCCTGCCTCAGCCTCCCGAGTAGCTGGGACTACAGGCGCCCGCCACCGCGCCCGGCTAATTTTTTGTATTTTTAGTAGAGACGGGGTTTCACCGTGTTAGCCAGGATGGTCTCGATCTCCTGACCTCATGATCCATCCGCCTCGGCCTCCCATAATTTTTGTATTTTTGTAGAGATGGGATCTTCCTATGTTGAGCCTTCCTAGGCTGGTTTTACACTCCAGGGCTCAATCAATCCTCCTGCCTTGGCCCCCCGAAGTCCTGGGATTATAGGCATGAGCCACCATGCCTGGCCATTGTATGTTTCAAAGATAGTATTGTTACTTTGGGAGGCCAAGGCAGAAGGATTGCTCAAGCCCAGGGGTTCGAAACCAACCTGGTTAACATAGGGACACCCTGTATCTACCAAAAACAAAACAAACAAAAACAAACCCCAAAACAGAAAAGATAATATTGCTAATAAAATTTAAAAAGTGTTGGAAATATACCAAAAAGTATGGTATTAGCTTTGTACATAGCTGCTAGCTATATTTGTAAGAAGAAGAGAATACAGTGCTAACTGGTAGTAAAATATTTATTGATCAAGTGGATCACATACCACTCTAGCACACACCCACTTGCTTGCAGCCCCAAAACATTGATCTCTGTGGACCACTGCTCAGCACAGAATTCCCTAAAGGAACCATCCAGGATATCTAGTGTTTGTGAGTTGGAAAGTCTCACTCTTTTTTCCTGAAGTGTTGAGATTTTACTAATTAATTGATTGGTAACTGGATTGTTACCGATCAAGTTTAACGTTGGTACTTTGATGATGAAATTATGAACTGGAACTAATCCTAATAATGTCAGTCAACGTGCAAAGCAAATAGTTTTCCAGAGTAGCCAGCTGTACTTTTTTTTTTTTTTTTTAAGACAGGGTCTCGCTCTGTTGCTCAGATTGGAGTGCAGTGGTGCAATCTTGGCTCACTGCAACCTCTGCCTCCCGGGCTCAAGCGATCCTCCCACCTCAGCCTCCTGAGTAGCTAGGACTACAGGTGCATGTTAACACATCTGGCTAAGTTTTTTTTTTTTTTTTTTTTTTTTAGAGATGGGGTTTTGCTATGTTGCCCAGGCTGGCCTGGAACTCCTGAGCTAAGGCAGTCTACCCACGCAGTCAGTCATAGCTCATTGTAGCCTCAAACTCCTAAGCTCAAGCACTCTTCCTGCCTTGGCTTCCCAAAGTCCTGGATTACAGGTTTGAGCCACTATGCCTGGCAGTAACCTGCTATATTGATGGTAGATTTAAAGGAATGAATTGAAGAAACAGAAGACTCAGGGCAAAATCTTACCCATTGTGAGAATCCCTTTTCTACCTGCTTTTGCTTATTTTGTTATTAGCAATGTTCCAAATTTGCATATTAATGAATTACTGCTCAGTAAGGGCGTGTAAATTCCCCTTAGGATGCTTGCTGAATCTTTTTTGCTACTCTTTTAGTTACACCACCACCACCACCACGACCACCACCACCTACAACATTGACATCCCTTCAAATGAAAAGAAATTGTTAAATCCATAACTCTAGGGAAAAACCAGAATGTTTACCCAACTTTCTTTATTGTGTACTTCATGGAAAGCAAGCATTAATGCTGTTCACCTCGCAAATTACTGTGTTAGGGCTGGGCATGGTTGGGAGGCCTAGGTGGGCGGATCATTTGAGACCAGGAGTTCAAGACCATCTTGGCCAACATAGCAAAACCCTCTGTCTACTAAATATGAAAAGTTAGCCGGGTGTGGTGACGTGCGCCTGTAATCCCAGCTACTCAAGAGGCTGTAGCATGAGAATCGCTTCACCTGGGAGGTGGAGGTTTCAGTGAGCCAACATCGTGTCACTGCACTCCAGCCTGGGTGACAGAGTGATTTTGTCTCCCCCCCCGGCAAAAAAAAAAAATTACTATGTTAGTAGTTAACAAGTTATTTTACCCAGCTTTATCATTTTTTTGGTATCTCTTTTTTTTTTTGTTTTCACACACTACTTAATGTCATTGTTTAGATTGGAGTTGGTAGAAAATGCATGCAATTTAATATTTGTTATGCAAAAATTGTTATTTGCCCATAGTATATAGGAAAGTGGCTTTTTTCATGATTGCATTTCTAAAGCTAGGATTACAAATAGATTTATAAATGTTCCGTTGTTACTGCACATGTGTTCATTTTTTATAAGCTTGCTTTTTAGTTAGTAGGGTTTGAACAAGGTTGTAAAGTGTGTTGTCTTTGGTGACTCCATTTCATTTAGTGAAGTCCTTTGATGTTTGCCAGGAACCATACTAATCACTGTTAGAAATCATCTCTGGTGGCCGGGTACGGTGGTTCATGCCTATAATCCCAGCACTTTGGGAGGCCGAGGCAGGCAGATCACGAGGTCAAGAGATCAAGACCATCCTGGCCAACGTGGTGAAACCCTGTCTCTGCTAAAACACAAAAATTAGTTCGACGTAGTGGCCCACGCCTGTAGTCCCAGCTACTCGGGAGGCTGAGGCAGGAGAATCACTTGAACCAGGAAGGTGGAGGTTACAGTGAGCTGATATCACGCCACTGCACTCCAGCCTGGCGACAGAGCGGGACTCTGTCTCAAAAAAAAAAAAAAAAAAAAAAAAGAAATCGTCTCTGGTAACACAGACGACAGATGTCTCAAGTAGGTGGATTTTTTTTTTTTTTGCCCCATTTTAAAACTGAGGACTGGCTGGGCGCGGTGGCTCACGCCTGTAATCCAGCACTTTGGGAGGCCCAGGCGGGCAGATCGCGAGATCCGGAGATCGAAACCATCCTGGGTAACATGGTGAAACCCCGTCTCTACTAAGAATAATAAAAAAAATTTAGCCGGGCGTGGTTGCAGGCGCCTGTAGTCCTAGCTACTCGGGAGGTGGGGCAAGAGAATGGCGTGAACCTGAGATGCGGAGCTTGTAGCAAGCCGAGATCGTGCCACTGCACTCCAGCCTGGGCGACACAGCGAGACTCCGTCTCAAAAAAAAAAAAAAAAAGACTCAGAATTATTTAGAGTCTTAAAGGTTTATCTAGTTATTAATAAGTCTTGCAGTTGGGATTCAGACTATTAACTGATTTTTCCTATAGCTTTAAGGAGAAAAGAAAAGAGTAAAGATGAAGGAGTAGGCAAGAAGAAAGCCTCCCTGTGTTTCTTTTTACACCATCAACTTTCTTTTAATTAGATTTTATGCAGAACTAAAAGAGAAACGTGCTCCTCATTTTGGGGGGCCAGACTGTGGCATAAGAAAGATTTTCAGAGGGCTGTAATGTGGCTAGATTCTAATCTTGTGATAATTGACAGGTGATGGGGATGGGGGGGCGTTTGGAGGTGTAGGTAGGAGAAATGTCTGAACCAACACCGTTTGTTTGCCACCTAAGGTTCTTTCTTTAGATGTGTTACTTGGAAACATTCTTGAAGTCAGAAAGAAAACCCCACATTTGAAGGATTGAGTTATGTCTTGACGGAGGGTTTTGTTTCTCTCTAGGGAATAGTTGGTGATTTTTAATTAGACTATACTTAGATTCTGACCCCTTTGGCAAAGTACATTGACAGAAGCTAGTCAGTCCTTGTCAGGAGTTAAGTGTACTTTATCTGTCTAACCTATCAGATAAATAACTACTGGGTACTAGGCTTAATACCTGGGTGATGAAATTATCCCTACAACCAACCCCCATGACATGAGTTTACCTGTATAACAAACCTTCACATATGCCTGCAATCCTAAAATAAAAGTAAACAAACAAAAAAAGATTTGCTAGGACTGTGAGAAGAGACATAGAGTCTGAGCCCAGCTTCTGAAGGCTGTAACACAGTCCTCTTTAGTCTTGCAGTAGTACAGAGCAAATAGTTTTTACATTAAAGTTAGTGTGTTTTTCCATGTGTTACTTGGAATGTATTTTAATTCATGTTAAAATGATCTCAACATTGTGTTTCTCTAGATTGAGAATACTTTTTTGAGATTGTCTGGGCTCCTTGCTTAAAATCTTATGAAGGTTGATTAACTTACCCCAACTAACTCCTTTTTTGTAAAAGTGTCAAAAATGAAAAACTGAGGATATTTAAGATGGAATATATCTATATATAATATTACAGTTATTAAAAATGTATGTTTGCTTAAGTTATTGTAAAAGCATTTCCAGCAAGTGATTGATAACTTTTACCCAAGGCACAGGCAGTAGGTGGAAATAAATCCCTGCACTGGACTTGAAACTAACACATCTATAATTTGTAAGTTTTTTTGGTCACTACTTGAACCAACATTGGTCTTTTTTCTTGTGATTTATATAGCTCTAATGGTCAGTTTTACTACTTTATTATGTTCTGTTCTCATAGAACTCTTCATTAATTTGTGTATTTTGGTCTTGTCTCTCCCATGAGATATTCAACTTCCTGAGAGCAGTGGTACATGTATCCTATTTTTGTGTGTTGACCAGGTATCACAACTTGTATGTCATAGATATGTGCAGTTTCATGCTTCTTTCAGCTGTTGTTAATCTAACATACTTTTAGCTTCTTAGGGATAAATATTACAAAGTCAGCCTATAGAATAGTACAGTCATGCATCCTGTGTGATGCCTTGATTAGAACTAGTCTGATATATAGGAAATTTTAGAATTATAGAAAACTGCTTATTAGAAATGTTCAGCCACTCTACCATATTTTGATTGTCAGTGATAATCACAGATTTATATTTGTTGCATAAGAGAAATCTACAGACAACATACCTCAAACTTAATATAGCCAATTGTCATGAATCTATCCCCTCCTCTCTTCCTCCCAGTGACTTATTATTTGTGTGGGCTTCATAGAGGATTTACTTATTTGAGGAATCATGCATAAAGTTTCTTGAACTCATGCATAAAGTTACTTTACAATATATATTTCTTTCTTTCTTTTTTTTTTTTCTCGAGATGGAGTCTTGCTCTGTTGCCCAGGCTGCAGTGCAATGGTGTGATCTCGGCTGTAACTGCTGCCTCCCAGGTCCAAGCGATTCTCCTGCCTCAGCCTTCCGAGTAGCTGGGACTACAGGCATGTGCCACCATGCCTGGCTAATTTTTGTATTTTTAGTAGAGATGGGGTTTTGCCGCGTTGGCCAGGCTGGTCTTGAACTCCTGACCTCAGGTGATTCACCTGCTTTGGCCTCCCAAAGTGCTGGGATTACAGGTGTGAGCCAACGCGCCTGACCTACAATATGTATTTCTGAGAGGACATAGCAGTCAATTGTATGATCTCTAATATAATTTTCTAATCAGAGACAGAAAACTTATTTAACAATTTTCCTTTAAGTGTGGTTAAAAAACTGAGTGGTTTTTGGGAAGATATTATACTTGAGAAAGGACTTGAATTAGTTGGGTTGCCTTTGTTGTCTTCATGTCTGATAAGTTATCTTACTGTGCCTACCTAATGAAGATTAACATTACTTATGAAATGTTTGATTTTAACAGAAACATTTGACCATTTACTGTTTATTTTTATTTTAATATTTCAGGCTTTGTGTATTTTTTTCAGTTTGCATGTTACTTGTAGTTTGGTTGCTTTGAATAAAGTGCACTTTTGAAAGCCTCTTAATTCTCAAGGAGATTTCCAACTGTAAAGAAGCTGTACAGGTAGTTTTCCCTTAAAGGCTAAACTTCAGGCTGGGTGTGGTGGCTCACAGCTGTAATCCCAGCACTTTAGGAGGTTGAGGTTGGTGGATCACCGGAGGTCAGGAGTTCGAGACCAGCCTGGCCAACATGGTGAAACCCCATCTCTACTAAAAATACAAAAACACATTAGCCAGGTGTGGAGGCACGTGCCTGTAATCCCAGCTACTCAGGAGGCTGAGGTGGGAGAATTGCTTGATCCCGGGAGGAGGAGGATGCAGTGAGCCGAGATCACGCCACTGTACTCCAGCATGGGTGACAGAGCGAGACTTTGTCTCAAAACAAACAAACAAACAAACAAACAAACAAACAAAAAACAAAAAAAAATTCAATCATAGGAAATCTTGAAAATGCTTCAGTACTTTGTTGGAGTTCATTGTGGTGGAACTTTATAAGCCAATTTTTATGGACCCCTTTAAGCCACTTTATCTTATTCATGGATGGTGTAATTATCATTTATTTATTTGTTTTCATTGATACATAATAGTTATACCTATTTTGGGGTACACATTTATATAATATATAAAGATCAAATCAGGGTAACTGGGATATCTGTTACCTTAAATATTTAAAGAGGTGACAACGTATACAGAAAAGAATAGAAACAAAATAAAAACAAAAAAACCCTGTGCTTTAACTCCCCCCCACCCCATGTTTTGATTTTTTGTTTTCTTAATTTACATGTTTTAATATTGCCTGCTTTTTAGTAGGTTGCTGTAGTTATTGTTTTTGAGATGTTTTTCTTTGGGGCTTCATACTGGAGTTATGTGTGGATTCCATCTGACTTTCCTTGTGTAGCTATGAAGGAATACCTGAGGCAGGGTAATTTATAAAGAAAAAAGATTTATTTGGCTCACAATTCTGATGTTTAGAAAAGTTCTGGATTAGGCTTCTGCATCTGGTGAGGGTCACATGTTGCTTCCATTCATGGTGGAAGTTGAAGGGAAGCCAGCATGTACAGAGATCACATGGTAAGAGAGAGAAGGGGCTGGGCACCATGGCTCACGGCTGTAATCCCAGCACTTTGGGAGGCGGAGGTGGGCGGATCACGAGGTCAGGAGATCGAGACCATCCTGGCTAACACGGTGAAACCTTGTCTCTACTAAAAATACAAAAAATTAGCCAGGCGTGGTGGCGGGCGCCTGTAGTTCCAGCTACTCAGAGGCTGAGGCAGGAGAATGGCGTGAACCTGGGAGGCAGAGCTTGCAGTGAGCCGAGATCTTGCCACTGCCTCCAGCCTGGGCGACACAGCGAGACTCCATCTCAAAAAAAAAAAAAAAAAAAGAGAGAGAGAAGGAAGGGAGGGCCAGGCTCTTTTTAACAGCCAGCTCATGGGAACTAATGGAGTGAGAACTCACCCATTACCGTGAAGATGGCACCAAGCTATTCATGAGTGATCCACCCCCATGATGGAAACACCTCCCATTAGGCCCCACCTCCAACATTGAGGATCAGCTTTCAACGTGAGGTTTAGAGGGGTCAAATATCAAACCATATCAATACCACTATTACAGTAATAGAGTATTCTGAATTTGTTCATGTACTTAATTTTAGTGGGTTTTGCATCTTTAAATGTTTTCTTCTTGCATGTTAGTGGGTTTTTTCCCCTCCCTGCTTCGTATTGAAGAATTCCCTTTAAGATTTCTTGTAAGATGGGTCTGGTGATGGCAAATTCTCTCAGCTTTCATTTATCTGGGAAGGACTTTATCACTCCTTTATGTTTGAAGGACAGCTTTGCTGGTTTCAGTATTCTTGGATGACAATCCCCATTTTTCAGCACTTTGAAAATGCCATCTCACTACTTCTTGGCCTATATGATTTCATTGAGAGATCTGTTGCCAGGCCAGTTAGATAGAGTTCCTTTATATGTCATTGCTTCTTTTCTCTTCCTGTTTTTAAGATCCTTTCTTTATCTTTGACCTTTGAGAAATTTATTATATGCCTTGGGGTAATCTTATTTGGGTCATATCTGTTTGGTGATCTCTAACTTTTCTATACCTGGTGTGATCTCGGCTCACAGTAACCTCTGCCTCCCAGTTTCAAGCAATTCTGCTGCCTCAGCCCTCCATAGCTGGGATTACAGGCATGTGCCAACATGCCCAGCTAATTTTTTTTTTTAAATTTATTTTATTTATTTATCTTTTTCTAGTTTTGGAAAGTTTTCTGTTGTTATTTCTTTGAGTAAGCTTTCTACTCCTTGCTCTTGCTCAGTTCCCCCTTGAACAGAAGTAATTCTTAGATTTGGTCTTTAGTGGTAATTTTCTATATCTTGTTGGCAATCTTTTTTTTTAATTTATTTTTTTTCTCCTGTGTCTATGTATGTGCCTGTCTTCAAGCTTACTGTTTCTTTCCTCTGCTTGATCAATTCTGCTGTTGAGAGCCTCTGATTAATTTTTTAGTTCAGCAAATGTATTTCTTAGTCCCAAGATTTCTGTTTGATTTTTTAAAAATTATTTCAATCTCTTTGTTAAATTTCTTTCTTTTTTTTTTTTTTTTGTGAGATAGAGTCTTGCTCTATTGCCCAAGCTGGAGTGCAGTGACGCGATCTCGGCTCACTGCAAGCTCTGCCTCCCGGGTTCAAGCAATTCTCCTGCTTCAGCCTCCCGAGTAGCTGGGACTGCAGGTGCCCGCCACCACACCTGGCTAATTTTTTGTATTTTTAGTAGAGACGGGGTTTCACCGTGTTTGCCAGGATGGTCTCGATCTCCTGACCTCGTGATCCGACCGCCTTGGCCTCCCAAAGTTTTGGGATTACAAGCGTGAGCCAAAGTGCCCCGTCTTTGTTAAATTTCTTTGATAAATTCTTGAACTCCTTTTCTGTGTTATCTTGGAGATTACTGGTTTCCTTGAAAGTGCTATCTTGAATTCCTGATCAGAGAGCTTACATATAGCTATGTTATTAGGGCCAGTCAGTCACAGGTTTCTTGCTTTGTCCATTTGAGAAGGTCATGGTTCCCTGTTTGCTATTGTTTCTTGTGGATGTATGTCTATGACTTTGCGTTATTGTAGGCTTAGTTATTTATCTCAGTCTTCTCTCTTCTTTTTTCTTTCTTTTTGAGACAGAGTCTTGGTCTATCACCTGGGCTGGAGTTCAGTGGCGTGATCTCAGCTCACTGTAACCTCCGCCTCCCAGTTTCAAGCAATTCTGCTGCCTCAGCCCTCCGTAGCTGGGATTACAGGCATGTGCCACCATGCCTAGCTAATTTTTTTTTAATTTATTTTATTTATTTTTTTTTTTGTGCGACGGAGTCTCGCTCTGTCGCCCAGGCTGGAGTGCAGTGGCGCAATCTCTGCTCACTGCAAGCTCTGCTTCCCGGGTTCACGCCATTCTCCTGCCTCAGCCTCCCGAGTAGCTGGGACTACAGGCGCCCGCCACCACCATGCCTGGCTAATTTTTTGTATTTTTAGTAGAGACAGGGTTTCCCCGTGTTAGCCAGGATGGTCTCGATCTCCTGACCTTGTGATCCGCCCGCCTCGGCCTCCCAGAGTGCTGGGATTCACCGTGCCTGGCCACCCAGCTAATTTTTGTATTTTTAGTTAGAGACAGGGTTTCACCATGTTGAACAGGCTGGTCTCGGACTCCTGACCTCAGGTGATCCACCTGCCTTGGCCTCCCAACGTGCTGGGACTACAGGCATGAGCCACTGCACCCATCCTTTTTTTTTTTTGGTTACTATTAAATATGTCTACTTAGAGATTCTTATAATTTACCTTGGATTTATTTACCAAGGATATTCTTGACCCTTCTTTCTTTCTTTTCTTTTCTTTTTCTGCTAGGTTACTGTTTCCTTTTTGGTTCCAGATGGTGCCTTCAGCCCAGGTTTTCCTTAGCTCTAGTAAAGGATCAGAGTGCCCCCTGTCCTGAATGGGGTATTTTCCAAAGGGTGTGAGAGGGCTAGCTAGGGGTTCATTCCCAGGAGACCTGTGGGACAGACCTCCTACAGTGTAGCACTGCTGAGCTGCCACTCTGATTTGGCATCTCCGTTGGCTGAATTGCTGAGTTTCCAGGGCTGGGAATGGTATTCCTGCCATCGCTCTTTGTGTCTGGCTGTCTTGAGGGATATTTCTTTCTTCAGGTACTCCCAGTGCTTCCTACAGATTGAAGAAGGGACAGTGTCCTCCTAGGAAACCCACAATGGTGGGAAAGCTGGTTGTCCACCCTGATCTCTATTCTAGTGTAGAAACCGTGAGTGGGGGGTTTATTTTCTGCACACTTGACTTCAGGCAGATCAAAGGAAGGGGTGCTGAGGATATAGAAGTCTCTTATTCTCTTACTATTTGCTTGGAAGTTTTTTACTTCTCTGGGATCTGACTCCTCCTCATATTTGAGTTCTAGGAAATTGCTGGTGATGACTTGGTGCTGTATATATATATACATATATATATATATATATAGAAAAATGTATGTAAAAATGTATATATGTGTATATAAAAATATATGTTTGTGTGTGTGTGTGTGTGTGTGTGTGTGTATATATATATATATATATTTTTTTTTTTTTTTGGAAGATGGAATCTTGCTCTGTCACCAGGCTGGAGTGCAGTGGTGTGATCTCAGCTCACTGCAACCTCCGCCTGCCGGGTTCAAGCAATTCCCCTGCCTCAACCTCCCAAGTAGCTGGGATTACAGGCACACACCTACACACCCAGCTAATTTTTTGTATTTTAGTAGAGACGGGGTTTCACCATGTTGGCTAAGATGGTCTTGATCTCCTGACCTCGTGATCCGCCCACCTCGGCCTCTGAAAGTGCTGGGATTACAGGCGTGAGCCGCTGCGCCCGGCCAGTGCTGCATATTTGTTTTTGGTTTTCTGTGAAGGTTGTGGGAGGAGTGAATCCAGCTTGCTTCTATAGCACCATTTTGGTATCAGAAACCACAATTGATATTTGAATAAATGATCATTTGGAAAGAGTAATGTTCTCAGAAGATTCCTATATAAGGTAAGATTATTTTTTGTTGGGAAAAGTTTGCTTCAGAAAATTTTTGATATGGGCAGACAGCTTTATATGGGCATGTTTTTCATTTATCGTCAACTTCTTGTGTTCTTACATTTTAGAATCTTCTCGAAATGGCATCTTTCCCTGTTTTATTAATGCTTGATGCTGTTACAAAACATTGCATCTATGTTTGGTAATTTATGATTTTATATGTTTTTCCAATTTCTTCATTACTTACTGAGCACACACCTGTGTCAGGTATTGAGCTAGGTGTCAATAATACCATGAACATGTGAACTTGACAGAATGGCTTCTACTTATGAAACTTACTAACAGTTGACACACAAAGCTTTTAGCCCCTCCCCTGCACTTCCCCACTGTCTTTTATTGCAGTAGCAGAACGCTTGTGGGCAAAATTTCAGTGGAATTAAAATCTTACATGGAATCCAAATCTTACACAGAACCCTTATGTATCAACCAGAAAGAATGTTTTCTGTGATAGGTCCCTACTTTGGAAAAGCTTTAACACAGAGATTTTCAAAACTTTCTATACATGAAAGTTTCTGCAGAATCTCAATATTTAAAGCAGAAAACATAAGGCAGAGCTGATATGGATGAAATGTGTGGTGAGAAGCTTTCTCGCACCAAACCCTCCCTGGAGGCACCTTGTAGAGCTGAGGCCCTATGAAGACACCAGATAAAAAGCCCCCCGAGAGAAAGAACTCAGCTCGAGCTTTGCCTCTCCCTTACGCCACTGGTGGCCCATTTCCTGACAGAACGTTTAGGTGAACTAGAGACACTCTAGCAACCATACGTGCAGGCAGTCCTACGTGAGGAAACTTGAGGAAAATATCCTCACGTGAAGAGAGTTTCCGTAGGTAACATAGCATTCATCCCAGGAAACCCTGGGAACTTTGAGGTGTGCCATAAAAAGCAGTTTGAAAATCGGTTAACTGGATCACCGATTTGAGCCACCCCTCAGTATCCATGAACTGTTGGTTCCAGGTTCCATTCACAATACCAAAACCTGTGGCTGCTCACGTCCCTGATATAAAGTGCGTGGTAGTTACCCATGCACATCCTCCCCTATACTTTACATCATTTCTAGATTACTTGTAAGCCCTAATACAATGTTAATGCTATGTAAATAGTTGTTATCCCGAATTGTTTAGGGAATACTGACCAGAGAAACAGTTTGTACATGTTCAGTACAGACACGACCGTTTCCCCTCCACGTATTTTTGATCTGTGATTGGTTGACTCCATGGATGTGGGACTCTCGGTGTGGAGGGCTGACTGTACTAGAAAAGTCGCTTTACTACTGCATGTATTATATGTTGAGTATTTTGGAGAGGTCAGGAAAGCTTTTTAAAAGTTGTTCAGAGTTGATATCAACTAATTTAGAATACCTTTTTTCTCACGAAAAATAGTGTGTAAAACACTAAATTATTTTCTACTTAGAAAATATTCAGTAGACTAGGTAATATAAAATATATTATTTCTTGAAAGTCAAGTTTTGTGCCATTGTCTTACTAGATTTTATAACAATGATGTTAGGTAATGGTAACTTACTAATTTTTCTGATCGCTCGGGGAATTAATTTACATGTATATGGTTATCGAATTGTATTTGAAATTCCAGATTAAAAAGAACTGCCCAACTTTCCAAAGCTTAGTTATTCCCTTCTTGTAAGGATTTTTTCTCACTGTGGCTTCCACAGTTATGACTGCCTGCACATATGGTTGCTAGGGTTTCTGGTTTTCATCTGAATGTTATGTCAGGAAATGGGCCATGAATGGCATTAAGGGTGCGGCTGAGCTCTAGCTGAGTTCCTTTTCTCAGGGGCTTTTAATCTCAGGTTCTGTAGGGCCTCATTTCAGGCACCTCATTCTCCAGGCCGTACTCTTAGATGCCTAGCTTACAAGGCAAGAGGACTGGCATTTAAGTGACACCTCTTTACAAACATGTTTATTGTTACTGTTTTAGCTTAGATTACTTGGGGAGTTCACTCTGAGATTGTGTGCCAGGGCTTTCTTGTATAGTGCTCCAGGAATAATACTGCTCACAGTGGGGGAGGCAGAACTGGGCAGAAGGGGAAGGTGAACTCCAGCAGAGTCCTGGCAGATCCTAAGGGCAGTGCTGGAGCTGACATTGCCCTTCAGAATTGCCCCAAATTCAGGCAAGATGGCCAAGCCTTTATACTCAAGCCTGGACCATCCCTTGCATGTGGGCCGCCATTCCCTCCCTCTTCAAGGGGTATGTTCTTGGGGGAGGGAACCTGAACTCATGAAGGCAGCAAGGGCCTTGCCAGGAGTGGGACTTGGCAGCCTGCCTGCAGCATCCCCTATAGCCATGCTTTCTGTTCCTCACGTTCATCTGTTTTTAAGAACTGAAAATTAAGTATGCAATGTTCTACTTTCCACAGTTAACTAACAAGACTTCATAATTTAAAACTTAATGCTTAATCTTTAATAAATGCACAAGTATTAAAACTTGTTAGCACCATAAGTAATGTGAAAATGTAACATAGTCGCATCTATAAAATCCATAGTGGTTCAATCTTTTTGACAATTGGTTATGAGTATGCTTTGATTAAAAAGTGTATTATAAATTAACTACTTCAGGAATTTTGAGTTTTGTGAAATATACTTTACTTTTTGATTCATAAAGTGTTTTTGTAACAAGAACTCCCTTGCATCCCCCCTGAAAAAAACAACCACTTCAGGTAGTGGTTTGCTGGTCTTGTTCTTTGTATCTGCGGTTTATTTAAAATGCCATTGTCTTTTGCTTGTTCATTGTAAGGGGGGTTTTTCCCTTGGAGGACAGATGGGCCCTGTCACTTCTTTCCTTTTGACATCTTCATAGTGATTGTTGGGGAAACAGTGTTGGAAAATGGGTTTGGAGAGTAGATCTTGTACTTTGGAGTTAAGATAGGTCTGGGGTTAGGTGCCAGCTCTGTCATCACTTTGCTTGAGTGAAGAGATGCCTGTAAGGAAGCTTTGGCTTCCTCATTAGTTAAATGGAGGTAGTAGTAGAACTTGTATTATAACATCTTAGCATAAGCTCTGGTGTGTTATCAGTGCTCAATAAATGATGGCTGTGATGAGCTGTAATCATATTATTGGTCAGTTCTTCTTTTTCACTGTGTTTTTGAACACTTTAGTGAAGGTAGAGGGCAAGTCAGGCATACAAGCTTATGCGAGGAATGGGGCCGGGGGATCATTTTGGGGTTGTTATCTGTTAAAAAATTGTCCTTGAGGTACTGGGCTTTCTTCTTCACAGGGGATGATTGTGAGCAAAACAGCAACAACAAGCAGAAACATAAATAAGGGAGGAAATGACTACTTCACACGGCCTTAGTTAGGCGCAGGGAGTATAGGGCAGGCTTGTTTTAGGACTGACCTGCCTGAGCATGACGTGGGCCTGGAAGGAATTCTCCCCTCTGTGGTCCTGGATGTCACAAGGTGAGTGGAAGCTGGGACATCTGTAGGTGCTGCAGCCCCTGTTGGTGACAGTGACAGAGGGACCTATGGCAGCTGCCTGTGACAGCCCTGTGACAGACGTCTGGGCAGTGGGACAACAGAAACCATTTGTTCCTAAACACACAGCCCCAGGGCTCCCAAAAAACAATAGGGAATTTTGAGGGAGTGATC
Source organism: Homo sapiens (assembly GCF_000001405.40). Classification (NCBI taxonomy): domain Eukaryota; kingdom Metazoa; phylum Chordata; class Mammalia; order Primates; family Hominidae; genus Homo; species Homo sapiens. The sequence goes on from NC_000009.12 coordinate 6,871,120, forward strand.
TGAGAAGTAGGAGTTAGTCTTTGAGAAGTACTGGTAAACAAGTAAGTGGACTGAGCATATTTTGAAAGAAGTACGAAGAGGGCAGTTCCTAGAGAAAACTTGAACTAGAGAAAGTAGATTTTCATAAGTATAGATTTACTTACTATTATTGTGAAATGTTGGCCTAATCTCATTCAGTTCAAGGTAGTGTTTGTTTCACAACTGCAGGGCTATATCTGTTTATGTTTAATTTTTGAGTAAATCACCTGAAGATATGTTTAAAGGAATTTTGTTTTCCTTGGCCTTCAAAATAAATCTTAAAAAAAATTTATAAAAGACTTCAGTTTTAAATGCAACATAATCCTGTAAATATCTAATTAGTGTGTTCATAGTTCATTAGTGACTCAGTTTTTTAGTGTTAGCAGTACTTGAGCAATATGCAGAATAGCTCAAGAAAAACCCTACTGTCCCAAAGCTTAAATGAATAATTATTAATTTTAACAAACCAGTATGTACTTGAGGATATACAATGGTAGGCATTTTATTTGATGGTTTTCAAAGTATACAAAAAAGGTGCAAAGTACATTCTTATCCTCAAAGAATTTGGAATTAGCTACATAACTGAGCAATTGTGTCCCATAATTTAGGGCCTGGCTGTGGAGCAGGCACTCTACAAGGTAGATGAAAATGGATAGTTTATGTTAAAATGTCTGGGTGGTGGTAGGCTTTTTCTACCTCATAGAACTCAAGACCTATCAAGACAAAAATGATGTGTGCACATTGAGCAGCATCTTGCTTTGGGAAGTAGTATATAATACTACATAATATACAATTGAAGGGCTCTGGGAGGAAGAAAAGGGATGAGATGGCTGAAATTTATAATGGTCAAAGAAGGCTTCAAAGTGGTGGAATCTGGGTGGGGTTTGAGAGGTGAATTGAAACACGGAGAGGGGTATTTTGAGGGGAGGAGTGAGGTTGACACCTATGTGAGTGATAGAATAATTCTTAGTCCAGCCTATAGGGAGTGGAATGTTCATATTTAAGAAGGTTGGAGTTAAATTGTGGAGGTCTTGAAAGCCAGGCAGTGAGGTATGAAGGTTTTTAAACTGTAATAGTGACAATAGTCTAGCTGAAGGCTGATAAAGGTTGAAATTGGAGTGATACTGCTGGGAGATAGACACAAGGTTTTGAGGTGGTAGAGTGGTTAGGACTTGTTATTGGCGGAGAAGATGAGAAATAAAGAGGTATTGATTTGGGGTGGAGAGTTCTGTAAATGTCTATTAGGTCCACTTGGTCCAGAGCTGAGTTTAAGTCCTGAATATCCTTGTTAATTTTCTGTCTCGTTTATCTGTCTAATATTAATAGTGGGGTGTTAAAGTCTCCCACTATTATTGTGTGGAAGTCTAAGTCTCTTTGTAGGTCTCTAAGAACTTGCCTTATGAATCCAGGTGCTCCTGTATTGGGTGCATATATATTTAGGAGTTCGCTCTTCTTGTTGCATTGATCCCTTTACCATTATGTAATGCCTTCTTTGTCTTTTTTGGTCTTTGTTGGTTTAAAGTCTGTTTTACCAGAGACTAGGATGGCAATCCCTGGCTTTTCTTTTGCTTTCCATTTGCTTGGTAAAATATTCCTCCATCCCTTTATTTTGAGCCTGTGTGGGTCTTTGCACGTGAGATGAGTCTCCTGAATACAGCACAGGCAAAGTAGGTTTAGTATAATTCTTAAGGGTCCTATGATTTTTAGAATGGTAAATGAACATTGGATGTAATTTAAAGTCACCAGCCATATTCGCCTTTAACAATAGAGTTCTACCTGTCCTTTGAAGCTTTTTATTTTTTCTTTAAGACAGAGTTTCGCTCTTGTGGCCCAGGCTGGAGTGCAATGGTGCAATCTCGTCTCATTGCAACCTCCGCCTCCTGGGTTCAAGCAATTGTCCTGCCTCAGCCTTCTGAGTAGTTGGGATTACAGGCGCGCACCACTCCACCTCTTGGGTTCAAGTGATTCCCCTGCCCAGACTCCCGATTAGCTGAGATTATAGGCATGCACCACCATGCCTGGCTAATTTTTGTATTTTTAGTAGAGACGGGGTTTCACCATGTTGGCCAGGCTGGTCTTGAACTCCTGACCTCAGGTGATCCACCCGCCTCGGCCTGGGATTACAGGTGTGCTGGGATTACAGGAGTGAGCTACCATGCCCGTCCCTTTGAAGCTTTGAAGCCAGGCATTGACTCCTCTATCTGTGAAAGTCCTAGATGGCATCATCTTCTAGTAGGTATAAGGAGGTTTCCTCCACATTGAAAATCTGTTGTTTAATGTAGCCACCTTCATTAATGATCTTAGCTAGATTTTCATAATTTGCTGCAATGTCTATTAATACATCAGCAGCACTTGCTGTTTCACCTTGTACTTCTCTCTTATGGATACAATGGCTTTCCTGAAACGTCATGGTGCTAGAGTCCAGCTTTTATTCTGCAGCTTCTTCACCTCTCTCAGTCTTCATAGAATTGAAGAGAATTGAAGCCTTGCTCTGGATTAGGATTTGGTTTAAGGAAATGTTGCTGGTTTGATCTTATGTCCAGACATGCCAACATTCTCCATATCAGCAATGTTTTTTGTTTTCTTATCATCATTGTGTTCATTGTTGTAGCACTTTTAATTTCCTTCAGTAACTTTTTCTTTGCATTCCTAAGTTTCAGCTTATCTTAGCTTTCAAAATGCCCTCCTTACTAAGCTAAATCATTTCTAGCTTTTGATTTAAAATGAGAGGCATGGAGCTCTTCTTTTTCTTGAACACTTAGAGGCGAGAGAGAGAGCGAGAGAGAGAGAGAGTGAGAGAGAGCGAGAGAGAGAGAGAGAGAGAGAGAGAGAGAGGATCAGCTAGCCGACGGAGCAGTCAGAACACACACATTTATTATGTTCACGCTCTTATGTGGGCATGGTTTGTGGTGCCCCCAAACAATAGCAGTGGCAACATCAAAGGTCACTGATGACACATCACCATAACAGATATAATAATGAAAAAGATTGAAATGTGAGAATTACCAAAATGTGACACACACATTCAAAGCGAGCACATGCTGTTGGAAAAATGCCACAGATAGGCTTGGTTAGCACTGCATTGCCATAGACCTTCAGTTTGTAAAAATGCAGCATCTTTAAAGCACAACAAAGTGCAATAAAATGAGGTATGTCCATAGTACTATGTTAAACAACAATTAGTAAACACTTGGATGTTATCAGAGCAGCAGGATTTAAAACTTCTTAAAAGCCCCGGGTTTTTTTAAAGGGCTTTTTACCTCCTATCATTTGCTCTCATTCAGGGCATTCTGTTTCAGCTATTGTCTGACAGTGACTTTTACTGATTTTCAAAACTTGTTTAGATAAAGACTATTAGCATATTTTAATAAAGTACAAACATGTTGCTGTTTAACTTTATTACTCATTTTTCATTTTATAACGGAATTAGATGACTTTTTTTGTGGCAGCTGCTACAATTCATGGAGCTAAATTTTTAGGGCAGTTCTTCTGGGAAAGTGGTTTATGTGGAATTTCGGAGCCCCAAGTCTGCCCAATCTATCTTGAGCACATGTTGTCTGTCACAGCCTGTGGACTTCGTAGGCAACATAGCTCTGGGTAAGACCCAGGAGGAATGAAGAGAAGGCAAGGATGAAGCATGGGGAGACCATGCTATAATGAAAATGTGGACTGGCACAGTGGCCTGTGGTGGCCTGTAATCCCAGCACTTTGGGAGGCAGAGGTGGGAGGATCACTTGAGCCCAGGAGTTTGAGACCAGCTTGGGCAACATAGTGAAACCCTCATCTCTACAGTTAAAAAAAAAAAAAAAAAAGTTGCTAGGGAGTCCTGGGAGACATTTAGGTCTTGGGAGTTTGACTGAAGTAGACGTTTGATTGAGGATGCAGTTGCTGGTCCTGAGCACACCAGACTGACCCTAAAGTCAGGAAATGAGGTTTGCTGACATAGCCTTCCTTCCCATTTTCTGCTTTCGTGATTTTTTCATCTTCCCGTTTCCTTCCTCTTCTCCAGGACTTCCATCTTGGAGGAGCAGGAATATGGTTTATCATTTGAGAGTGATATAAGTCAGCAAATACAGAATATCTGTTCTTCTGGTGCTGTATTCCGGGAGAAAGCCATAGACCCTTCCTCTTAGGGAGCTGAGATAGGATAGTAGGGAGGCAGGAAGGTAGAAATACACATGTATTCTGAGTGCCAGGGTGGACACCTGCATGTGAGATTGTTGATACAACAAGAGAGGGAGTGGGAGTTCTCCTGGGCGGGTCTTGAGCTGAGATTTGAAAGAGGAGTGGGTGTTTTGTTGTATCTTATTCCTGTTTAGGACAGGAAGACTAATTTTGTCCTGGTGCCTGGTAGGTAGAACTATGAAGTAATCTTAGAAATGTAAGTGGGTAATGATACTTATTTCAGATGTAAGATAAGTATCCCAGAGTTGAGGCATTAGAGTTCATCTCTAGTGGCGATAACTTTGGGTGTTTTGAGAAGTCAGAGGTCTTCCCTTCTCTTTTATCCTCTTCTTATTCACACTAACTGCCATATGATAGTAGATGTGCCTGAGCACTTGATGTTGCTGAGATCCATGTGTCAGAATCTAGGCTTCATTCTGATAGGTCTTAGCAATATCTGTATGTATTTCTACCCCCGCTACTTACATGGAAAATGCCTTGAGTTCTTCCTGCAGTGCTTTATATGTGGCAGGTGCTCAGCACCTATCTCCTGAATTGAATTAGATTGTTTTAAAGTGATTCTTACTAGCAGCACATCTATTATAAAGGAAAATTTTGGGACAGTAACCCAAATGACTCAACCACCTGGTGATTTGAGTATCCTGCGTTTGCTCGGGCCTGTGATGGTGCAGTAGAGAAAGAGAACATAGGGCCTGATCATCAGGCTGCTGGAGAGTTGAGTTTTGGATATTCCGATGGGTTGCAAAAAGGTACTGTGCTTTCCTGGGTTCTTTCAAATTGTAATCAGCCTTTTATGTGCCTGTCTGACCCTTGATGTTAGGATTGTTTGAACTGATACTTTTTGAACATTTTCTCAAGTTTACTGGATGTGGGGGGCAGCAAGTCAGGCTCACCTCATTGCCTTGTAGCCATCATTTACCCTTGATCTTAGCCAAAAGGCCGAGAAGTGATTTAGCCATCTTTTAATAATGAGCTCCTAAATATGACTCAGTTGCTGCATTCCGTGTTGTTCTGTGAGGTAGATGAGGTCTGACAGTGTATAATGAGCTCCTAAATATGACTCAGTCGATCTGTTCCGTGTTGTTCTGTGAGGTAGACTAGGTCTGACCGTGGTGAAGTGGCTTGTGCAATGTCTCTTAGATGGTGCTTTCCAGTTCTTGTTTAACGTGCGTTCCCCTCTACCGAGGAAGCTGGTTGCTGGAAAACACATGAAAATATATGCACCTTGCTGTTTTGTTGTCTTTTCTTTCTTTCTCTCTCTTCTCATGGCATGCTTTGAAACAGATTAGAGTTGTGTTTGGCTTCAAATTGCTGCAGTTGCCCATCAAAGTAGTGCCGTGGTGTAGGGTTAGCAGGGGTGCTGTTGCAGAGAAGTCAGTGAGTCTAGTGTTCAAATGCAATGTGACTGAGTGCCCCTGAAGCCAGGTGCTCACCTTCTTACAGGCAAGGGCTGTCTGTCAGCCTACACACATAGACTGCAGGTTTGAAAGTGCTATGTGAAGCTTTTGTTTAGCATTCTGACTTGGGCCATTGTGGTATTACCGGAAAAAAAAATCTGAAGGAAAAACATAAAAAAGCTTCGCATACACAAATCTATCATCCGACATCAGGGAGGTTGTGGGGAGTCAGGACCAAGCAGAGGTTCTTAGATATGGTAATTAGAAATCACCCCATTCTTTCGTTCATTCATTATAATGTACTACCCTGTCAGAATCAGCTAGGGAGCTTTTTTCAGGGTATGCTGGGTACTTCATCCCTGAGGGATGTATGTTTCTGCTGTCCTTCATTCTCCCAGGTGCCAGTTATTGCTGGTAATTAGAGGTGTTAGTGATTCTGCCTCTGTAATGGTATGGAAACAGGAAAAAGGCTTAGAAAGTGCTAAGCAAGATTTTTTTTGAGATGGAGTCTTGCTCTGTCACCCAGGCTGGAGTGCAGTGGCGCCATCTCAGCTCACTGCAAGCTCCACCTCCTGGCTTCACGCCATTCTTCTGCGTCAGCCTCCCAAGTAGCTGAGACTACAGGCGCCCGCCACCACACCCGGATAATTTTTTGTATTTTTAGTAGAAATGGGGTTTCACCTTGTTAGCCAGGGTGGTCTCGGTCTCCTGACCTCATGATCTGCCCGCCTCGACCTCCCAAAGTGCTGGGATTACAGGCGTGAGCCACCACACCTGGCCTAACAAGATTATTTTTAAGGGCCCTTCCAGCCCTGCAACTTGTATTTAGAGAACAGAATTGTTCTTTGATCCCCTAGGGCTTTATTGACAGAGTGAGATAATTGATTAAAAGAATAGTAGTATCTTTTGAGCAAGATTTTGGGGTTGTCAAGATGGTACATGGAGGCATATTGCTTCTTGACTGCTGAGTGGGGTAGTGCTCTGATTTTATTGTTCATGGCAAGAACAATGATTTGGCTCTTGGTTGAATTTCTAAAACATTAAAATTAGTCTTTCCTAGTTCCTTTGTTATGTGGAAACATTAAAAACAGAAAAATCTGATGGTGACATTCCAGTTTTATTAGCATTATTACTTATCTTCAGACTGTCCTTTGTCAGACCCTCGGGCAGGGTTTTGGGCTCATTCAGGGAACTTTCAAAGTTATTTGTATAGGAAACATTACATAGCTTTGTCATTATTTAAATACTGTGTAACAAAGCATAGCATTGATAACAGAAGAGAGAAGCATGTAAAATATTTCACAGGGATAAGCATGGAGATGAGTGGGTTCACTTTGAGCAAGATAATGACTAAGGCAGGGAAGGAGAGTGACCTCTGCTTGAAGGCATTTTTGCCCAGTTGTGCTTCACTGGATATTACCACAGTATGGCTTTCAGTTTGAGGATTTAGTTCTACTTGGGAAATATTACATGTCTTCCGTGTACGGGGCTGTGATTGGAAGGAAGTTTTCATCCTTTGATTATTTCTGAAGCTATTAAACTATAGCAATAGTTGGTTAACCATAAGAATTTTATTAATAATTAGTTATGATTTTAAAATGAACTTGATATTTATAGAATTTGAAAAGAAATTGAGACACTGTCTTCCATCTAAAAGAAGAAAAGTAGAACTAATTAAATCATTTGGCTAAGATAGGAATAGCTGCACCTGGGAAATACTTGTAGAAAATAATAGGCCAGTAAGCCTACCTAGGAGGAGAGGAATGAGGAGATTGAATTGGTATGATTCAGATCCTAGGAGTAAACTGAGGATCAGAGTAGGAGTAGAGCCATCTTGCCTTACTTTTTCCTCCTTTCTGCAGATAAGGATAGCTAAATTTTCTGTGAGCATATGGTTGAACTTTAGATTGAGGAGCTTTAACTTTACCAATTTTTCAGAAAAATGAATCTGCATATATAAATATCTCCATATCCTACCTTTTTGTTGGCAGGCATATTCATATTACATGTATGTGTGTGTGTGTATGTATGTGTGTGATGAGGAAGGCTGACCCTCTTGTTTGGAAGGGACATACCCCCACACCCACACCCACACCCACACCCACACCCACACCCCTTTTCTGGGTATATTTGTGATGTAAGCCAGGAATTAAGAACTGGTAAGAAGTGGCCATAAATATACATTGGGTGATAGTCATTTAGTTATGCTAAAATTTTGTCTTCCCATTTCGGTTGGAACAATTTCATTAGCAGTGCCTTAAGCAACAGGATATATGATTGAATTTTCTTTTAGTGAATTGCATAGTTATATTGGATCCAATTAAGTTTTGCATATGTTATCAGTAGCATTAAATGAAACCAAGTGTGGTGTTAAGTAAAATTAGTTAAGTTACTTTAGTAAGAAGTAACTTGTACTAAGTATATATTGAGCTAGTAAGTACAGCAAATAGAGGTCTTCAAAAGTATAGTTTATATGTAAAACATGGAATGATTATTCAAATTTATTGTTAATATCCTCATTAAATTTCCTCATTAAAATGCCTTTACAATTTAGTATTTGTATAGGATATTATGAGATTGTTGTTTTAAAATTTCTTAGCAAGTCCATAGTAAAAATAACTATGGAACTAGAAATGAGTATTTCTGTTCTTTAAGGGTGAAAATTTTTTGCTGTAATCAAGATTTTGAAAGTCACATAATTATGAAATAAATAAAACTTTTTTTAAGGCTGATAATCTTTTGCTTATTAAAGTCTGTTTGAAAATTACGGTGTTCTTAGTAAGATTTGGTGGAAATATAAATGTTGGTGTAATAATTTTGTGTTCTGTTCTGCTTGTCAATAAAAATATTTTAAAATTTAGAAAGAGAGCAACCCAGATTTTCTTAAAAACAAAAGCCAAAATCAACCAACCACAAAACGAAAAACATACAACCAAAACAACCCTAGAGTGCTGGGGTGCTATGAGAGCTGGCACAGAGGGTCTCTAGGCTGTGACTAGCTGTCTTGTTGCTGAGCAGTTTACCTGCCTTGGGCCTTTGTTCCCTAATTTGTAAAATGTGGTTGGCATGATGAGTTGTGACATTGAAATTGGTAATTTATAGGCATATTTTTTTTCTGTTCATTGTCTAAGGAATATGACTCTGTGATTGGCTTTCTAATCTCTACTCAGTTCATCTAAGTGGAGTTTGGTGTTGAATTTCTTTTATGTGACATTATTTAGGAATAGATGTCCTTAGGCTACTAGCTGAAAAATTATAAACCTAAAATTTTTACTTATGTTTAAAATTTTAGGTATGCTATACCTCCGGAGCATGGAAAACGACTTGAAAGACTAGCTCAAGGTAAAACTTGCTTTTTAAATTTGTTTTCTGTGTTTTATATGTTTCTGTGTTTTGTAGGTTCTTTGTTTTTGAGGTACTTTTTACAATATAGACCGTTACTCTGTTGGTTTTATTCTATTCAAGTTATTGACTTTTACATGTTTTTTTAATTGAACAATTTTAAATTTTTTCACCTTAGTTTGTGAATATTATTTTTTCCCTATTGCATAATCGTCATGGTTATTTTAGTTGACTGTTTAGTATTTCATCAAGTGATTGCCCTTAATCTGTTTTGGTAGTTTCTAAAAAAATTGTTTTTAATGTAATGCATTCAACGTCATTGTGCCAATAATTTTTTTTTAAATTAAGTTACATTCTTCCAGACGGTATTGTTGCTGCATCTTGGGGTATGGTTTTTTCATGACTACTTTTTCTGTTGATCTGCTGTTTCCCCCAAGGGTTATGTCACTGCCGACGCCCAGTTCTTCTGTGGCCCACTGGGACTGGAGGTGTGCCCTTAGGGAAGTGTGAAGGTGAATGGCTCTGAGTAACAATACACATGAGATTTTGGGCCTTCTTGGACTGGCAAAATTAAACTTACTTTACTGCAGGTTGCATTTTTATTTTTCATGGCCTGCTGCTTCTTCTTTAGGGCCAGAATAAAGAACTTTTCTGGACCTCTATTGATGATCCTGTGCCTGCTTTTGTGTGTGTAGACAATGCCAATGCAAGCAGCCACCTTCCTCCTTCCTCCTTTTTTTTAAAGATAAGCCAGGCGGCCTTGCCCTCATCTACTTACGTATGGGAAGCAGAGTCACATTCACCCCCTGCCATCCTTATCTTCTGTTTTGCTAGCCACCCTTCCAGAAAGAAGATGTAGGCTGGTAGTGACTTATTTCCAGGGAAAAGTGGAGTTCCATTTGAGTGACAACTGAGGAGCAAGGCCTTCTGCCTTTATCCAGGATTGAGTCCTCAGTGAGCAGTGCTCTTTTAGTCCAGTGCAGATCTAAGTTTCATTGGTGTGTTAGGTTTGCCTTCTATTAGGAAAAGAATTTTGTTCCTGCCTTATATGTGCTTTCAATTAATAATGAAATGGGGACACTGAGAAACCTCATTGCTTGACTTGACAGTTTTTAACAGAAACTGTTAATGGCACCTAAAGGTTACTTTTCCCTAAATTACAGAAGAGTATTAGAAGGAACAGTTATAGTATTACATTTTAAGAAGCATTATTATAATTTTGTCAGGCTAATAACTATAAAGTGTCTTTTTAAAAATGTAATACATAATAGTAATAATAGCGATTGATGTAATTGTAATCTTGAACTTTGTTAGGGACTGTTTTCATGAATAAGTTTTGGATAATAGATTAGAGTAGAGCTTATAAGATGATTACTGTAACACTTAACTACGTAGGAAGTGAACTTTGTGTTAAGACTATATTCTCAACTGTCTTCTTCTCTGTAATAAAATTTTTCCACCATTTTCTATTAATCTTGCTACCAGAGAACTTTTAAAATGAAGCCGATGTAAACCTTACAATATTGAGTCACAGACTAAAATTTCTGATATAAACTTCTAATGCTTTGACGTAAACTGTCTGAAAATGACATTCCAGAAAATGGTTACCGTTTGTTTAATCAGTAAGAGGTTAATGAACTTGAAGGATGAACAAGAACTTGAAATCAGTTGCCTGTTTATTCAAAACTCTTTTGCAGCAATATTTTGAGGAATAAAGCAGGGAAAAGACCCTGCAAGATAGTGAAGGATTTGTATCTGATGACCAGATGCCAGCCAAAATAATTGAATTCTGCTAAATAATTAAAATGATAAAATAATGCAGTGCGAATGATGGAGCATTTTAGAATGTCTAGCTGATAGCAACACTTGATTCATAAAATGAAAAGTAGGCTCAGATATTTTCCATTATCTTGTCTGCGCATCATAATTATCACACTTGCCTTTTATGCATGAATGCTTTCATCTTTGGTTTCTATTGAAATCTTGATTGACTGTGGCACCTACAAATATTTTATCCAAAAGACATTAGGCCTGCATCTAATAAAGCCAGGAGTTTGATTTCGCCCTTCAGCTGCTTTCTTATTTATACAGGTTTTCCCCATATTATATAGACATAAATGTAATAAAAATCTCAAGTGAATTGTTACAATTTTTATACTTGTTATATTCGTCTGTAATGCCATTGCATTCTTTCTAATTTTTGGTTTGATACAATTGGATTGCAAATATGGAGGAGAAGAGAGTTATAATGTTAAATCATGAATGACAGTTTGGAAGATTTTCAGTTTTTAAAATGTCTAAATCTCACCTATTTTAGAAAAAAGATAATATTGCTGTTATATTAAGTTAGGTAAATTGAGAAAGTGTACAGATTTTTGTGAAAAGTAGTATTTCATATTTCATTTGTCCTTTATTGGGAATAAAATGCTATTATTTTAAAAAACTGAAAAGGATTTACTTTGAAAATTTTGGTTACTCGTCCAAAATATGTGATTTAGGACTTTGTGCAGCCAGTTTTGAAAGTGTGAACAATTAGGAGGAAACTTATTTCAAAGGACAGTGTAGTGGAAGTGAGTCAATTCTTTTAGATCCTTATATTTACTTGAAACAAATGTTGGTTTTGTTACCTTATTAAAAAAGCAGTATTTAGCAAAAGGGAATAGAAGAAACATTGCTACCAAGGGTTAGTTTAGTTCATGCTTTTAAGCATTTGTGTGTGTGTGTGTGTGTGTGTGTGTGTGTGTGCGCGTGTGCACGTGCACGCACATTGTGGAATTTTTTTAATGGCTAGTAATCTTGATTTTAATCCTGTGGAGTAAGAGGTCATAGCCCGATTTGCAGAGATCCCTGTGCCAGGGGGTAGATAAAGGTCAATGGGTGGGATGCAGACAGGCATTCAGTGGACTCTTTGAAATTATATTCAAAGTTGGGCATATACGTAGATTTCTGGGAACGCCATCATCAAATCCCCTGAGATCGTTTGGTCCGAAAAGGATTATGAGCCACTGCTGTCAAGAGAATAGAAGAGCAGCAATAAATAAATCATTTTAATTTTATGAACAGATTCTAAATTAACCTGCTCTCATACCTCTCTCTTGGAAATTAGGGAAATGTACTTTTATTAGCTCTCAAAATGGTAAATATTATTCCCTTAAGCATTCACTTAGCTGATAGTCTGAAATATTATATTGAAATGTCTAGTTTTGAAAGGCTTATAAATAAAATACCTCTGATTATAAATAATCAATTTTAAAGTACCCTGTAAGCCATAAAAAATGCAAAAGACCAGTGATATATCCTCTGCCTTCATGCCTAACTCATGCCTTAGGCATGGAGATCAATGTGTGGTGCGTCAGGGTATGTTTATTTTCGTCTATCAGCTGGATTTCACTAAGAGTGAAGAAACGGTTGGTAAACTTAATTTCTTAACAATTTGATGTCAGTGATATCACTGTCTGTATTTAAATGTAATTGGATATTTTATATCCAGCCATGTTCCTAGTGGGATTTTAGACATCGGGCAATAATACATGAAATACACCCAAATAACATAATTCATTTGTGAGTGAAAGACTTTTAGTTCCCTTCTCTTAACCGAGAATGGAGAGGAAGAATTCAGGAAATGAATGTCAACTAGTAGGGAGGAATTATGGGGAAGTGAAGATTTCTTTGATTTGAGGGTGCCAATGGGGCTGGGCAGAGGCAGAGCCAGAAGAATCCTGGTTAGTTTAACTCTGACCAGTTTGATCCCAATGTTCTTGGCTTGGGGAGTCCTTGGTGACTTGTGCGTAGATTATCCATGGATATTTCAAGGGGGTGGGAAGTGAGAGCTGAAATTAAGTGGTCTCAGGAATGCAGTAAAAAAAACCCCATGCGTGTAATGACACACACACCAGTTAAACTGGGTGGAAATTTTAAATCTCGGTTTTCTGCTAATTATCTTGAAATGGAAAAAACTTGCCCATTACACAACGCGCACCATGTCTAGGAGATTAAAACAAGCCACTTGTTTAGGAGAAGCGCCATTCTCCATTCCAGGATCAGTATGAAGTTCTCCTGGCACTCCTCCTGGAGCGCTCTGCTGGTAGAGATGTTGATGGATTATGGGACGTTAGGGTCAAGTGAGGCCTGCGAAAGGATAATTTTCTATCCATTCCTGAGTAACCACTCCGTGAACGTTAGCAAGCACCAAGAGGCCAAATGTAATATGTGCCTCTCATGTCAACCTCTCAAGTAGAGCTGTGGGTAAATGTTACTAGGTTTCTCTGCATACAATGTAGGTCATTGGTTCTTTTCATAAATAAGCTTGCCAAGAAATTTCATGTGTAAATCAAATACAGTACATCTGTTTCTGAAAGCATTTTTCACTGAACCAATTTTCTATACCTTTTTCTTGTATTCTTTTCCTTAGCTTTTGTTTATATGGTTGCTATATTTTTCAAGCCTCATACCAGTCATATAAAACCACGATAAAACTTCATCAAAGCATACTTGGGCAAATTTCAATTATCAAGTAAAATTGTAAAGAAAAATTTTTTACTAGTTTGGAAATAGATCTACATGTTTGATTTTCTTTCCTTCCTCCCTCCTTTGTTTCTTGTCTTTCTCTCCCCTTTCCTAAAAAGTTAATGGCTATCATTATCTTCACCAAATTAGTGTTTGTATACCCATAAAAATGTCACTAAGCTTTGATCTTAAACTCTTTTCTCAAGGCTGAAATTTTTGGTGATTTAATACTATAGCGTGTGTTTGTATTTGAATCATAAAAGATTGGGATTTAAAAATAATTTCTTAGCAATAGCTAATATATTATAAACTATAAACCAGTTGACAGTATAGAGAACTTCTCATTTGAAGGAAGGAACACACCTGTTCCATATTTTTAGACACATCCACTCTATTTCAAAAATAGTTTCAAAAGATTTAATGATTTTTTTGAGTCAGTTTTATTCAGGTAAAATCTACAGTAAAATTCACTTATTTTAAGAATAGAGCTCATTGAGTTTTGACAAATGTTTACAGTGGTGTAATTAATAAACCACATGATAAGCCACTGTTATCAACATGTAACACATTTCCAATACCCCAAAAAAGTTCCCTCACACCTCTTTGTACTTAACCACTCTCCCCTTCCCTGTCACCCACTAATCTGGTTTCTGTCCCTATCGTTTTACCTTTTCTAAAGTGTCATATAAGTGGAATCATACTATGTGTAGACTTGTTTTTTGCTTTTTTCACTTAGAATAATGCTTTTCACACATGCTCACTTTTACATTGTATGTGAAACATCCTTTGGATGGGTATAGCACGTGATCCTTGAGAGAGCTTATGAGATCCTACACACTTCTCTGTGTTGCAAAACTCTCAGCAGCACTTTGGTGTTCTTAGGAAAGGTTATTGTGGATTGCTTTTAGGGTTTTAGGGCTCTGTTGGGGTCTCTGGAATACAAGCTTTTTATTATCCTAGCCTTCCATCCCTCTAACTTATTATTTGGATTGGAAGAATGATTCCAAAGACCATCTTTGCTTGCTTGATCCTGTATAATATCTTAAAAAAGACAAAAAAAAAAAAAAGGCAGTTGACTTTAGTATGGCAAGGAATTGACTGTGTTTTATAGACTATGGAGTGAGAGTGAGTATGAACCATGTAGCCCTGCAGGTATTTTGAGGTAAAATTCATTTTAAGGCACATACTTTGTACATAAGATGCGTTGTTTATGAAGTGTTTTTCAGGACTATGTAAAATATAATTCTGATAGCATATTGTAAATATAAATTCTGAACCAATGTGAAATTCTTAATATACTGCAAATTACCTTCCTTCAGTGGTTTTCCAATTTAGGTTAACTTATGACCAGTCACCACATTGTTCAGGTCCTGATTACAAATCTATATTGAAAGAAAATGGAATAGACTCTTCTTTCTTCACTGATTTTAATTTAAAACTTAATTCATCAGTGTTGCAGAAAGTTACAGATTTGAGAAGTTTGATGGATCCATTTGAATTGTTTATAAAAACGTTCCCATGGATTGTGCATTTGGGGACTGCCCCTTGGTGCCCTTCTCTGTGTGTAGGACTTAGGACATCTTGTTGTGTGGACATGGCCATTATATTAGTGTCTTACTTTCCCTCCACTCACCAGTGTTTTATTTTGTGTTTATGTATTATGAATATTAACCATAAGCAGAGGGCTGCATTATTAAGAGACATTGTAAAGAATTAACATTTCTCATGTTTTATTGAACTTCCTTCCTTCCTATCTTTTTTTTTTTTTTGGAGTCTCTCTCGTTGCCCAGGCTGGAGTACAGTGGTGCAATCTCAGTTCACTGCAACCCTTGCCTCCTGGGTTCAAGTGAATCTCATGCCTTAGCCTCCTGAGCAGCTAGGACTACAGGCACGCACCACCATGCCCGCCTAATTTTTTTTTTTCTTTTTTCCTTTTTTTTTTTTTGAGGAGTCTTACTCTGTCATCCAGGCTGGAGTACAGTGGCACGATCTTGGCTCACTGCAACCTCTACCTCCCGGGTTCAAGCAATTCTCCTGCCTCAGTGTCCTGAGTAGCTGGGACCACAGGTGTGCGTCACCATGCCTCGCTAATTTTTTTGTATTTGTAGTAGAGACGGGGTTTTACCATGTTGGCCAGGCTGGTCTCGAACTCCTGACCTTGTGGACCACCCGCCTCAGCCTCCCAAAGTGTTGGGATTACAGGCGTGAACCACCGCACTTGGCCTGTATTTTTTAGTAGAACCCGGGTTTTGCTGTGTTAGGCTTGTCCCAAACTCCTGGCCTCAAGTGATCCACCTGCCTTGGCTTCCCAAAGTGGTGGGATTACAGGCGTGAGTCACCGTACCTGGCCAAATTGGTCACGTTCTTGAGTTATCTGCATAGAGAGATCCACAGAGTTAGATGTCACATTTCCAGCAGTTTCCCCCCTCATTCTGGTGGTGGAGGAGTCAGACAGCATCTACGCCTCATCCTGTCACACATATGCATTGCATGTGCCTTCCTGGTGCCTTCTCTCTTCCTTTTGTGTTCTCCCTCCATGATTCTCTGTCTTTTCCTTGTTTCTTGTTTTTCCAATCCCTTCAGCATGGCTGCCTTCCCTCTGAGTGAGGAAGGTGTGGAGCAGTACATCAGACATGTTCATTTTCTTCCAGCTTGCATCACTGAGTTAATGAGAGTCTGCCTCAGACAGAACTGCAGGTTTGAAGTCAGCGATGGAGAAAACTGACTCTGTCTTGGCGTATAATATACTGTTGAATGAAAGGGTTGTTGTATGTTTAACTTCCTCATTTAAAAGCCTCCTCAAAACACTTCTCCCATTCAGGCTGTTCAGGCAGGTTCTCAGACAGTTGATGGGTGATGGCTGGGAAGTTCATTCAGGAGATTAGTAGCAATTAGTTTCAGATTAATCAGAAAAGAAACAGAAAGGTGGGGGAACTACTCTGTCTGCTGTATGCCGAGGATTGGGATGAGTGCTTCAGGAATGCATACTTATCTTTCCTTTTTTTCCCCTGTATTTTTAGCTATAGATCCAGCATCCCACGTATTTATCTTTCCTAACTTCCCTAAATATTTTCTCCATTTATCAGATAATAGATTGAATCCACATTTGTTTCAAATTGAAATTTATTCCTAAAGTTGAGTAATTTTACAGGTTACAAAAACAACTTATGGTAAATCTGTTTGTAAAGAAGATCAACCTTTGGTGATGTATCCTTTAATTTTTAAGAATTCTAACTCTGACTCTGAGTTTTAGTACAAGGGCTTTTTGGCAGAAGAGGTCCATACTTGCATAAGTCAAACAGTAAGAACACTAGAACTTACACATTAAAAAACCTATTTGATATTTTCTCTTAATCGACACAGTGCCACTTACATTTATTGTTTCTTTTTAGGTTTTTTCCCAAGCAGCTCCCAAGGGTGTGATGCATTTCTTCGCCACAAGATGACATTGATTTCTCCATCAGTATTGAAGAAATATGGTATTCCCTTTGACAAGGTATGTTAGTATTCATCTTACACAAATTAATTTTGTTTGTGTAGGATTTGTATTTAAGAAGTAATGTATCTTTAACTTCCAGTAGAATTTTTAGGATGTGGGTAGAGAAATTCAAATTTATGTTTTATAGCATATCAATTATTTATCTAAATCCTAATTAGAAATTAATTTTATTTCAAATATATTTACTAGAGATTTCATGTTGCTATAGTTCACTTATAATTGTACTGAAAATAAAATGTAGCACATTCTATAAAATAAGAGGAAGCACTTCTATATTAAAATCTTTTTTATGAGTAACATAATTTATGTATATGTGATCTATTTTCTAAAAATTTCAGAGCAATTATTAGCAATGGGTTGCTTAGAATCAATGATTATGGTAGCACTATGTTGCTTGTAAACACATTTAGACATAATACAATCGAGATTTCATTATGGATAAAATTGCCTGATGATTTAATAATCTGATATTGCTTCTGCGAGTTTTCTGAAGATTAGGTTCTATAAAACTCAGTAGATGCTGGATCCCACATTCTTTGTGTCTGTGGGTGGTTATTGGGTCAGAATTATTGCAGAGCTCAAACATTTTTATGTGAAGCAGCTGATATGAAAAAAGGTTTTGACCAGATAAATAAAATCTCCCTCTCAGTCTCAGGAGGATTAAGTACTTAGCTGCTTGCAGAAACATTAAAAAATAGCTCTTCCTTCTTCTGTGTTTTTTTTTTTTTTTTTTTTTTTTGAGACGGAGTCTCGCTCTGTCGCCCAGGCTGGAGTGCAGTGGCGGGATCTCGGCTCACTGCAAGCTCCGCCTCCCGGGTTCACGCCATTCTCCTGCCTCAGCCTCCCAAGTAGCTGGGACTACAGGCGCCCGCCACTACGCCCGGCTAATTTTTTTGTATTTTTAGTAGAGACGGGGTTTCACCGTTTTAGCCGGGATGGCCTCGATCTCCCGACCTCGTGATCCGCCCGCCTCGGCCTCCCAAAGTGCTGGGATTACAGGCGTGAGCCACCGCGCCCGGCCCTTCTGTGTTTTTTATTTGACTTTTCTTCTCATAATCCTTGCTGCTTTCCATCTTGGAAGCTTTTTGCTTGTGACTAAATCTTTACATTTTCTTCACTTTAGGTTCTTACTGTGGCCTTCTTTTTGTGTGTGTGTGTGTGTGTGTGTGTGTGTGTGTGTGTGTGGGAGGGTGGGGGGGATTTGTTCAAAGTAGAAGTTTTTCAAGTGCCAGGGTTCATTCTTCAGCTTGAGGTGATTCCCTGCTCCCTCATAAACTGTCTATGCAGCAGTCACGCACAAGATATGCTTGCTTTTGTGAATGTGCCCTCATCACTGGTTTACTCGCACGTTTTTACCATGAAAAAATCGTGCCTCCGAGATGTGCACCGTGGGGGCTGCCTGCGGGTGTAGGGAGGCACTATGGATGGGCTGCAGAACTGCTGGGTACAGAGGGCACAGGCTGTGCCACTCAGAGGGGCTGCTGTGGCTGTGGGGCTTTGTCCCATCTGCAGACACCTCTGGGCACCAGGCTTTTGTGAGTCTCAGACACATCATCATCCAGTGCTTCTTTTAAGTAGTTGGCATCAGCTTCATTAGGTACTTTTACTTAAGTTGGACTGTTACAAGGTAGACGTGAAGGAATGCAACAGTATCCCCAAGACACAAAATCCTTCTCTGTTCCTTTGGGGCTGGTGTTAGGTGTTGGTGGTAGCTTAAGGCTGATACGTGAAGAGAAGTTATGTGAGGCAGCAGGGCTGTGGGATTGGCTCCCTTTCCCCAGGAGGGAGGCCTCTGGAGCTTGGAGCTCTTTTCTAGAGGTGCCTGGCACCCTCTTTCTAGGCTGCAGCTCTCTACCAGTACTACATGGTAGATCGCTGGAGGCATTGGGCTCTCATCTGGTGTTTTGTGGATGGCTTCTGTGGAAAGTGGCGAGATGAATTTAAGTCCTGAAATGGTGAAACACCAGTGACTTTGAGGGTTGATTGGCAGTGGCACTTCCTCATATTTAATACTGTCACTTCCCCTTTCCACCTCAACACAGGGCCTGTCATGACACTGTATTCCTCAAGAACCACATTTACCTGGTGATGATAGCGTAACATATGATAGGGCAGCACAATGGTAGCACAGGCTGCAGGATTAAACCTCCTGAGTTCATTCCTGATTCAGTCGCATAATCTTTCCGAGCTTTAGTTTCTTCGACTGTAAAATGGGATAAAAATAGTGACTACTTAATAGGGTTACTGTGACGAGAAAGATAATCTATAGACAGAGTTTTGAATAGTATATGTTGCATAGTAACGTACTCTTCCTCTTCAACTCAGCCCTCTTCCTGTAGGTAATAATGTCTCAGTTGGAATACATTTTTTCCTTCTTTCATTGTATTTGCCATATTCATACATATGTATGAAAACATAAGTGTAATAAACAGCTGATGTCTGCATTTAGATTATATCCACTCTCTTCTCTAGCTTCTTTTATGGTATGAGATTGGGACTGACCTGTTTTTGGAAATGACAGGGGCCTAAAATTCAGAGTTGCATTCTGTGTAACAGGTGCTCTTTTTTTTTTTTAAATCATGGCATGAGCTGGATTTTCTAGGTAGGGTAGAGAAGGTTTGTAGGTAGGATTCCATGGAGCGGGAAAAGTAGTTTTCTTGTTCCAGTGGCAGCAGTCCTCCCTCTCCTCTCACCTTTATGTGGGAGCAGGGTGAGTTTTGTTTCATTACGTAGGATAAGAAAGAAGCACCTAGATAATTAATTAGATTCAGTGAGACCAGGAAAGGAGAGAGTTGGGCTATGTTCTCACGTGGCTCAGATAATGGAGCTTGAACCGTGCTGGGCACTGGTAAGCCTGTCTCTGCTGCCAGGTGACAACTGAGCTCATTGCAGCAGAACATCTTCTGGGGTTTCTTTGGCACGGGACAGTGGTGTTATGAGTTACATTTCAGAATTGTTGGGAAAAATAATACTTTCCCCATCTCCAATACCATTTTAGCATCCATAACATGGCAAAGCTAATCAGTGGTGAAAGGTATCAGAAGAGTGATTATTACTGAGGTGGGAGTAGGGGATGGGCAGGGGATGGTCTAGGTTAGGGATGAGGGAGCGCTCTTGGGTGATGAAATAATAGGGGCATGGACAATTATCCATAGCACCATTATTCCTAGTGCCCAAATTGGAAATGACCAAATGTCTGTTGGCTGATGAATAAATAAGCAAGTGTGATATATTTTATGTAATGGAAGATTATTCAGCCATAAAAGGAAGTGAAGTACTGGCACATGCTACAACCTGGGTGAACTTTGAAAAGTTTATGCTAAGTGGAAGAATTCAGTAACAAAAGATCATACTTTATATGATTCTATTAATATTAAATATCCATTATAACAAATCTGTAGAGACAGAAGATAAATCAGGGGTTTTCTTAGGGCTGGGATGAATGAGGGGCTTGGGGATGACAGCTAAAGGGTGAGGGGGTTTCTTTTTGAGGTGATAAAATGTTCTAAAATTAATTGTGATAGTTGCATAACTTTGTGATATACTAAAAACCAACAAATTGTACACTTTAAATGAGTGAATTTTATGGTATGTGAATTACATTTCAATAAAGTTGTTACTGAAAATAAAATACTTTAAAAAACACTATATGTATATACAGATATTTGTCCAAAGAAACAAAATACTACAAATGTAGCTATTACTGTTTCAGTCTCTTCTCCCTCCCAGAGATAAGTAATTTTCTGAGGTTGATATATTTAATAAATATATTTCTTCCTTAGATTTTTATCATAAAAAAAGAAAATAGGGGCATGGGATATACAGGTATATGCATTTGTCAAAACAGATCAAACTGTACATTTATTATCTGAGCATTTTATTATATGTACATTATATCTCAAAGAAAATATAAGTTGTATTAGGGTCAGTAGGATAATTAAAAATGTGGTTTTACAACTTTTATTATCAGAGCTAGCAGAGAATACAGGCTCTGAATGTGAACATACAGCATTTGCTAAATACTTTGGCAATATGTGTCAAGGAGAAACATTGCTTCAGTGGCCAAATCCTATGAGTATTTTTATATTACTTTGCAGCAACTGAAAGAATTTAAAGATATAAGGGGTCTATCCTATTGGGTGCTGCTGGGTTAGAAACATTTTAAGATCAGATAATCCAAAACAAATATATTATATTATTCCATTTGAAGGAGTGAGCAATAAGTTTTATAATTTTTGTATCGGATAGATACTTTTTTAAAAAAGAAACAACACTACATTTTTCTTCACTTTTTCTGTAGACCATGGGATATTTTGTGTTGCTTTGGTGATTGTAAAAAAAAAGTCTTTAATCTAAAAAATAGAAACAGGGTAAATACATTTAAAATTCTTTTTTAAAGGCTCAGGCTTATTTATGCGAGTTATTTTAATTATACTTAAAAATGCACTCACTCTAACATACATATATTTGAATAATTCTTTTAACAGAAGTTTTACTGTGAAATGGACTGTGCTTAATTGAATGTTTTCTAGGTGCTAGGAAAAAATAATTTGATGAATATCACCAACTCTTTACCAACAAGAATTCATGATATAGCCTGCCAAGCATGTATTATCAAAGTTTCTGTAGCTGTAGCTTTAACAATGTCAGTTATTATATGATTTTTATATGTAACTCCAGTAATGCAAGTTATTAAAATATAAGAATATATAGCTTGATAGCTAATATGAACAAATTTACTTGAATAACCTGAAGATACCTTCAATTAAAATGTAATAGCTTTGAGTATGGATTGTTTGATTTAATTCAAGTGCCAGCAAGCCACATCCTATTTAGGAAAGTCTTTTAAACGTTTCCTGAAAAAGCACTATTAAAGGATTAAGTAATGAATCTGGTGGAACTCTTTTTGGTAGTGCTCTGATATCAAGACTTTTTTTCTTTGTTTTTTAATGGGAAATATATTTTAATTGTATTCATAATTTAGGAAGTCTTATTTTTACAAAATATTATATGTTTCCTACCTTGCAGATAACCCAGGAGGCTGGAGAATTCATGATCACTTTCCCATATGGCTACCATGCTGGTTTTAATCATGGTTTCAACTGTGCAGAATCTACAAATTTTGCTACTGTCAGATGGATTGACTATGGAAAAGTTGCCAAATTGGTAAGCTATGCCTCAAAAATAAAGCAAAAATTAAATGTGTATTCTGGTTATTTTAGTAGGAACCCTACGATCCTGTGCAGCATTTATTTATTCTTCCTCACTGGCGCCATGTGCCTCTCACCACAGCAATTCACTTCAGGCTCGATACATTTATTTTACATAGCCAATATTACCAATTTTAGCTGAATTTGTCTGTTTTGAGATTAATGTGGAGCAATTTACCCTGATAGGTAATTTGATGCGACGTGTGTTTGCTTTTTATCTTGAGGCCTCCAGTTGGTGTTTTGCAAGATTTTCCAGTGGCATCATGTGGCTCCATGTTAGGTAGACTCAGATCTCTCCCTGTTTGCGATCAGTTTGTGGCTTAGAAAACAGCACTTTACAGAAGGGAGTGTCTGATAAAATTGTAGCAAGAGATGGAGGGAGGTTGGTAGGAGGAAATGATTAAAACTGCCCTTAGTGCAGAAATGAAATTCTTGAAAGTAATCATGTAGAACACATTTTAACAGGAAATACATATTCATGTTAAATTTGGTATAAAATTTTGCATCTCCTGCCCAGTGTATTTAATTTAGCTCACATAGTGGGTATTTTCTTTCACAGGCAATAACTTCTATTAAATTTAATTACTTTCCCCCTGTGGTGTTAAATAGAAGACATCTTCAAAGTGATGGTGGTTTCTATTAGGTTTGCTTCCTTTCCTGTGGCTTTTAAGGGAAAGGTGCAGGCTGGCAGAGGGCAGCTTCTAAATAAAACTGTGTGTTTTACAGAGGATGTAAAGTTGACGTAGATTTAGCAGAAAATGATAAATAAAGCGTATGTGGTCTTATTTTGGCCATTGCATGGCTCAACTGAATATCATTCATTCTACACTGATAAAACTTACATGTGGAGCCATCAGGTGAACGTAGACAGAAGTATATTTAGGGGAGACAACTCTTAGTTTAATTTACCTGTGTATTTAGAAAATTGCATAATATATTAAAAGATAAATAAAATATAGCCCTTTGGCAGCCCAGGAGTCATTCGAATACATTCTTGACATAAAGGAAAGCCCCTGGTATTAGAAGACTTTTTCTGTTCTAAGTAATTTCTGTTTATGCTGAGTAATTCAGAAAGGAACAGAACTGTACTACTACTTCACATTGTACATCCTGTGTATTCTAAGAACTCAGTGTGTGTACTTTGGCCAACCACTGCATTGCTTTTGTGGAAATGTAATGCTTGCATCTGCCTTGAAGCAGTGTCTTGGCCACGAGGTTATAACAAGGTCTGTTATTTTATAGTTTGCACCTTTACTTACAGATATAAGTCAGCTATTACAGCTGTTCAGAGTCACCACAAATATTGATTCTTGTTTAATACAGGTCTCAGAAGTAGCCTATGATATTGGCCAGAATAGGACATTCCAGCCTTGGGGAGAAGCTAAACTACCATGTACATTGGAGTTGCATTTCCACATTTCCATGTGGAAGTAGAGTGGGTGTGGAGTGGAAGGAAGAGAGGCTGGTAGTGCTCCTCTCTGAAATCCCAGCTGACAGAGCCCATCACAGTTGTGGGAATGTGAAGTGTTGCACTGTGGTGGAGGAGGCTGGATCTGACAACCAAGTTTTCTTCTCTGGCTAGCCATGTAACATTAGGAAAGTCATTTATTCTTCATATATAAATTAGAAATACCTCTCTACCCTATGGGTTAGAGAAAAGAACTTAGGTATGTGACTATCTGTTTATTCAGTTTAGTAAGGGCTATGACTGTTTTGTTTGGTTCTGGGTACAAAATATTCAGTGCTACAATGCAGTTTTGGCCAGCTAATTAAAAATTGCTCTAACTGAATGTATTTGAGATTTTTTCAGTGTTATGGCCACCCCTTACTTCCTTTGGCCAGGTGATGTCATCTGAGAATATATTAGTTGTCTCTTGCTGCTGTAGCAAATTACCACAAACTTTGTGTTTAGAACAATAGCCATTTATTATCTCATGGTTCTGTAGGTAATAGGCCTAGCATTGGTCTCACCAGTTAAATGTCAAGATGTTTGCAGGATTGCATTTCTTACTGAGACTCTGGGGAAGAATTCATTTCCTTGCTCCTTTGGGTTGTTGGCTGAATTCACTTCCTCACAGTTGTAAGACTAAACGTTCATATTTGTTGCTGACTGTGAACCAGAGGCTGGACTTTTCTCCTAGAAGCCTCTCTCTAGTCCTCCTGTGTAGTTCCTGCATTTCAGAGCAGGCAATCCGCAAAATCCCACGTGTCATGCAAGATAGCGCATTCAAAGATCTCTGGGATTAGGATGAGGACATCTTTGTTGGGGGTGCAGGAGGGGAAGCATCTGCCTACTACTACAGGGGGTACCAATTTATCATTGACATATTTAGAATCTGCTTTGGGCTGGGGCAGTAGCTCATGCCTATAACTAGCACTTTGGGAGGCTGAGGCAGGAGGATTGCTAGAGGCCAGGAATTCAAGACTAGTCTTAGCAACAGAGTGAGATCTTGTCTCTACAAAAAATAAAAACAAAAATTAAGAAAAAAGAATATTTTGAGTTATGTAACCAATTTTAGTTATTTTGCATAAAAACAGGAAAATAACTTTATAAAGAGATAGTTTCGAATGTTTCACTAAAATATCATGTGCTTTCTTAATTTATACCATCAATACTAATATTTTCATGTCTATTCTTGGATAATAAATTACCTTACATTATAGTAAGCTGAGTTAGCATTTTTTTTACCCAGATTTTGGTATCTTTAATCAGTTATTTGACACATATTTTTGATCTCCAAGTCTGATTCTTTAGGTAACCTTATGAATTTACTGTGTTGCATGTATATGTAGTTTCTAATCCCTGGCAAATTTGTGCACTGGGCATACATTTATGTGTTTTCCTGGAAACTGATGTGTAGTGAATTGCACTAAAAAGACTTTTAGCATTGAGGATGCCCATATTTGTCTTAATTCTTTGTCTTCATCAGTTTGTTCTAAATGGTAACTATAAAAAAGTCATTGTTCATAAGTGATTATGAACAATACTTTTATAATTACTATGAAAATATGAGCACTTTTTCATAATGAGGCATTGGTGGTGATGCCACCTGCTTTACCTGTCACATGGGGTTTATTGAATGTGTATAAGTATCTGATAAATTATTTGTTGTACAGCATTAAATAAGCAAAATAGTGCAGAGTGTGGGGTCTGCATACATTATATGTGCATATATGTAATCACAAACACTATGAAATATATATATATATATAAAAATATAATTTTGTGTAATACAAACCAGTATTTTTAATTAGGTGACTCAGAAAAGAGCTGTTAGAGAAGGCAATTTGTTTTTTAATTAAAAAAAAAAAGTAGGTTTTGAAAAGATAACCTCATGTTCCCCAGTAGGGACCTTTTGATCATAAGTCAACAGGCTTTGTCATTAGGGACCTTTTCAGATGTCTCAGATGGCTGGTAGAAGGGGGAGAAGTTCTACTTATGGAGACTAGGCTTATCTGCTGTGTGCCAGGCATCATGTATGTTTCTATGAATTCATCACTCGTGAGTCATTGTTCTATGAGAACAGGGGTGAGAGTAGAGTTGACACTGGGAGGGGTTCAAGGTCTGCTTCCTTTGCTGTTGGCTACTTGACTTCTTCTGGTGTCCCTGGAGCAGGACTGGAGAGGGGGCTCCTGTGGCTTTCATCGGAATCTGTTACTGACCTATTGATATGTGATAGTTGTTCAATAAATCTTCCTGGCTCTTAAGATTTGGGTACATTTGATTAGAAATTTCATTATTTGTGTAAAGCTCAGATACACTTCCAAATTTTAGCAAATTCCTGGATGTTTGATATTCTCAGCTGAATTATTGTATTTAGGAGAGGTGTCTGTCCCTGTGCGTAAATTCTCTGTTTTTTCAGTCCTTCAGTCCAGATGGTCTTTTTTCACAGTATCCATCCAAACTGCCTCATCTCTCAAACAGACTTTTTTTGTGTGTGTATGGATTGTGTAGAAGATCTGGGGAAAATAGGCAGAGGAGAGAGTGAAGGGACATTTACCTTTTAGTTTTGGTAGCTGCTTAGTTTGACCATCCCTGTTTCTAATATTCTCTGATAATGGCCCAGGCCTTACCATTCTCCTCTCATTTCTGTCTTTGCTTGTGTTTTCCCTCAATGAGGATCATTCTGCTCTCTTGTCTTAACTTGCAAAATATAGCATAGCCAAATCCTGTAAGATGCTCCAGAACAAAAGGGCCTTGCATTTAGCAGGAACAACTGACCTAAGAAGGCAGTTGTGTAATTTTCCCCCATTTCTCTAATCAAAGACAAGATCATTACTGAAAAAAATTGAGAGTGATGTTTCAGGTAGTCACATGTTCATTTGCTGCTGATGGGCAGAGGTCAGATTTGGTGAGTGCCCAGTGAGTTCCTCCTGTGCTACATGTGTGTACAAAGAAGAAAAACATATATATTGTCTTCAAGGAGCTTTCAGAAAGAACAGAGGGGCTTTTAATAAAACTCCACTTGCAAAGTTGTAGTATTAATGGAACGTAACATCTAGTTCTTTGTTTTAGGAATCTTTGTAGCTTTGAATGTTGGCATAACAGAGTGAAATGCAATTATTTTTTCTTGATAGAGATTTAAAAATACTTCAACAGCTCGTTTAGCAGTTGAAATAAGACATTTGTGCATATTTGAGCTGACTGTTTTCTGTTTCTGGAGCATTCTTTCCTTCTGTGGTGGAATGAAGTCCGTGATTACTCTGTGCAGCTGCTGCCGTGACACTCACAGGTCTGCTTCCTGGCCAGGTTGGATCAAAGCGCCGGCCGGCAGGTTGTATTTCATTTTTCCGTTTGCTGGGATGAAGTGCAGTTGTTTGATGTTAGGTTTGATGGATTTGTTTGCCACTGCATTCATTAGCTTCACATCAAAAAACTGACAGGCTGTTAAATGAAACTTTGGCTTAGATTTTCAGCTTGACTGTTTGGAGACATTTGTGAAGATATTTTGTGTTTGTGTTTCAGCAGCCTCAAGCACTATGATTGTCTCGAAGGGAAGAAAAGTTATTTACTGTACTGATTTTCTTGAGTAAAAAAGAATCATTGTCTTGGGGACAGTCATATCTCGTTTATACCGTCTGAAGCAGTGTATTTATTACAGTGTGTGCAGTGAAAGAGACTTACTGTGTCAGAATAAATATTATCTTATTGGAAGGAAAGGTAATAGTTGGTGACACAAAAATGATATCTTTTATTTTAATTTTAAGTGATCATATTAACATGATATGTCAGAAAGTTGAAAAACTGTACTGCAGAGCTGGGAATGTTCTCTTATAAACTCCAGGAGTACTACCTTACTATCTAATTTTAAGACATTTTGATACTTGAATCCTCAAATGTTTGAACAAGTTTAAAAAGAGATGATAGAATTTTAAAACTGATTTCCCTTTAATCTGGCAGGGGTTTCAACTATTAAATTGTCTAGCATGTAAGTGCCATGATGTGGGTTCATTCTATTTTATATTTCAATTCTCTAAAATTAAGTTAGATATTTCTTAAATCTGGTAGCATCCTTCCAGAAAATCTTTAATCTTGGGCAGTCTTTATTAAAACAATCAGGGATCATTTTTGTGGTGAGTCTCTAGGTTATATTTTAATATGCTTTTGATCACAAAATACTAGTATAGTGATATTTCTCTGTTCCTGTGACATGTGAAGGAAAGAAAATGTAGACTGCTTTGAGTATTGTTCATTTTAACAGTTCTTGGCATTTCAATTTTAAGTGTCTGACATGACATATATAATATGAACTTAGTGAGTATGGGGATTTTATGTTCTGCATTTTTTTTTTTTTTACCTCTACTTTTTGCTGTTTCTGATTCCTAGGTTCTGATGGTACAGTGTAACAGAGCTGATGAGTAGTTTTGCTGCGCTCTTTTATTTTTTTGCTTTACTTTTAAGAGCATCTATAGGTTCACAGCAAAATTCAGAGGAAAGTATAGAGATTCCCCATATTCCCCTTCTCCCCACATGTGCATAGCCCCCCACATTATCAATATCCTTAACCAGAGAGGTGCATTTGTTACAAATAAAGAACCTACAATGATGCATCATTATCCCCCAATGTCCATAGTTTTTTTTAAACTTTTATTTTTTAAGGAAACCCAGGCAACCAGACCAAAGTCCGTAGTTTACATTAGGGCTCACTCTGGGTGTTGTACATTCAGTGGGTTTGAACAAATATACAATGACAGGCATCTGACATTGTAGTATCATACAGAGTGGTTTCACTGCCCTATGAGTCCTCTGTGCCTTTTCCATGGGGGTGTGTGTGTGTGTGTGTGTGTGTGTGTTTAACTTGCTAGCTCATGAGAAACCTCTACCTCTGGAGAGAGTGTTCACACATCTGGAAGAAGTATTAAGAGATATGAAGAACATAGTCACATTATGTCCTCTTTTTATACTGAAAAAATATTGAGTTGTGGGATTCAGGATATCTGAAACTTCAAGAAGTCTGAGACTTCAGGTATGATGGTATCAAACCAGTTGGTTAGTATATATTGCTGAAGTCTGGAGCTAGGGAGCCTGATTTCATTTGTTGTTAACTTGCATTTGCTGCATTATGGGATTTGAAAGGAAGTGATAAGCCTCATGATGCTGATGTTTAGTTCTTAACCTGAAATCAAGGCATTATCTGCTTTTGAGTCTATAGTTTGTCAGTACCTTAAAAGAAAGTAAATTTGCCTTTTGAATAACTTCTATACTCTATTGAGAATTAGTTTGTTTTTAATTCAGTCTAGTTTCTTGTAGTTAAATACAATAGTAATAATATTTGACATTGTCTCCAATATGTCAGATCGAGCTCTGGGCACTAGACACATCTTATTTTTCTTGATCAGTGATGATGCACATTCAGAGATAATTGCTTTCTGTCCTATACTGGCCCCCTTTTTACAATGTGTCATTTTCAGGGTGGTCCTATATCTTACGTTGAATTGGAGGGAGTTTGGGATGAAGAAGAAAATAGGGCAGTGAGGCCCGGCTTAGATGTAGGTTTGCCCCCAATGTCCTGTACCCTTCTGGACTCATTTTTCTAGGTGTAATGGCTTAAATAAGCGCCAGCCACGTGTGTGATTTGTGGGATCACTCTCAAGATTCTTGAAGATTCAGAATGGTCTTGTCCCATGAAAGCTGTAGCTGATGTCACCACCAAGTGGCTTTGGACTCTATCTCACAATTGGTTGAGTTTGGATTCCTAAAGTCAGTGGAGCCAGGGGCATGGTGGCATACGCCTGTCATCCCAGCACTTTGGGAGGGTGAGGTGGGAGGACTGCTTGAGCCCAGGAGTTCAAGGTTACAGTGAGCCGTGATCACACCACTGCACTCCAGCCTGGGCAACAATGCAAGACCTGTCTCAAAACACAAAGAGAAGCCAATGGACATGTTATTTTGGATTCGTCTTCTCTGTCGATAAACCTACATGTGAATTCCTTTTTAGTCTGTAGTGCAACCGTCGTTAACTCTGAGGCTTTGACTTTGCTCTTTGATTAAGGCGGTAGGGGTGAGAGCAAAGGTTTTCTACCTTCTCTTTCATTTTATCAAGTGTGTGTGGGGAAGTTCTGAGGCATCTGTCTGGATAAAAGGACTTGTGTATAGAGAATGAGGTCAAAGTTAAGGGCCACCTATCTCAATGTATGTTTGTATGATTATCAGGGGCCAAATTTTAGTGTAGCACTTTTGAAGCTTTAGGATTCTTTTTTTTTTTAATGCCTTAGTTTGGACTTTTCCATATTTTTTCAGTGTTTATAATAGTAAACACATAGGAAAAATTTTTACTAAAGGCTCTATTCTAGACATGGTGACTGCAGAAGAAGGCAAAAGTTGGTAGTGTGTTTTCTGGCTCATGATTACCCAGAAGAGAAAGCAGTGGGCAGAACATGAGGTGACGTTTGAGAGAAGCAGGCTGGCCAACCCCTGGAGGGAAGGAGGGACTGGTGGGAGAGTCAGCAGGGCCCTGGGCACCCCCCAGAGTTTGCCATAGTCAGATGCCCTGGCTTCCCACAGCTTCTCATCCATGCAGGCTTTCCTGCACTTCCACCCCTGCAGGTTCTGCTGAGGTGACACACAGTGGTTTATCTCAAAAGGGCTCTTACCTCACATAAGGGATTGTCAGATATGTGCTCCTAGGGTTGGTGTAGCAGCTCAGCAACCTCATGAGGTCTCATGCAGTTCCTGTCCTTCAGATTCACTGTCTCTGGGCAGGCTTGTCTTGATAGCTGTGCTTACTTCAGACATCTTGCTGCCAAGGGCAGGAAGCGAGACAGTGTGAGAACTAGGCTCATCTACCCCCATTTGCGAGGAAAATCTTTCCTTGAAACACACTTGAAAACATCCTTTTATGTCCTGTGGCCAACTGTTAGAAAGGCTGGAAAGGTAACTGGCGAGTAACTGGTGTTTTTAGGGAAAGGGGCTCTGCCTGTGGAGAAGAAAGAAAAAGATGGAAGAAAGAAGGAAAAAGATTCATTGACAGAATCTGCCACAATATGTGCTTCTGATACCTCATTTCGTGACACATATTTACTTTTAGCACCTATTATTTGGTGGGCCCTGTGCTGTGGCTAAAAAACTAAGTAAGACATGTAGTTTCTGTATAGTGGCGCTTACAGACTTCAGTCTATGTTCTCAGCTCTGTGGAACATTATAAGTATGGACCCCTGGCCCCACCAAAATCAGTAGGATTAGAATATCTGAGGATAAGGGACAAACATTTGCATTTCTGAAATCTTCCTGTGACTCTGGTGGATGCTGTGGGTTGAGAGCCATGGGTTTTTAGGGAGTTAAATTAGGCCTTTGTTGTTTGGGTTGGGGTTCTTCTGCATCTTCTATTTTTTTCCACCAGTATGAATTTTGAGTTCCAAAACATTAACTTAATATCTATTTATAAATTGGAGATGTGTAATGTTTTGTACATATATCATTTACAGTCTCTTTTCTCCAAGAATTAATAGGTGTTGTGAACACATATAGAATTGTGCCCACATATTTCATGATCAAGTAAACATGCCCAGTAGTACTTTTAAGGGGAGGAAGGGAGAGTGTTGGAAAAGAAATAGAGTAGATGTTAAAGATAGGAATGCACTGTATATACCTCTTTCTGAAGAGCTTAGTAAATGTCCTGATGGCTGTCAGGAGTGCACGTAAAAAACCCAACATAATCACCTGGGACTGTGTTGGAATTGTCGTTCTGTGTGGAATAGTTGTGTGACCTGGGGCAAATGACATGTTTCTGTGAGGCTTAGTTTTCCTACCTGTAAAGAGGGCGTTCACTTGTGCCTCACAGGTTGTGAGGATGCGGGTGGTGATGGGAGAACTCGCCTGGCACCATGTCCCTCTCCCCAAGTACATATTTAGGAAGTGACTCATTGTGGGTCATTTTTATGTCAGGGAACTCCCTGAATATTAATTTGGGGGAAGACTGGTGGAGTTCAGGCCTGAGGTGCTGAGAAACAGTGTCTGTGGGGACAGTGTTTGCAGGGTAAGTGTCAACAGCAGGCTGGGCAGATGGATATTAGATAGTTTTACTGACTTCTCACTCGCATTCAGGTGTACTTTTTTGCTAAAATGAAGGCAGTATGAAAAGAAGTGCCAATAACTAACAGTGGGTTTTTGTGGACCAGATTGCTGAGAGAAGGAATTTGAAGGAGCTGTTGCTTATATCTTCAGAAACACAGTGTAGCTCTTGTGCCCCTTGTTGAATTTGAAAGGCCGTGTTTTGTAATCCCTTGGAAAAAACACCATCCTGGATGGTAGAGATTACTGCTAAGCTTTGACTGTATTTCCCACATCAGTTTCATATACTTCAGGTTTTTTGATTCGATTAAAAAAACCCAATTAGTTTCTATTAACTGTTTAAAATTTTCGTAAAAGGTATTTTTGTAAGGCCTGATAATCATTTTCATTGATTTTTGGCAGCATATTCCCAGTTCTTAGGAATGCATATTCAGGGTTGTCCTTTGATTTTGAGTGTTAATTTTTTAAAAAGATGACTGTTTTGTTGATTATTGAAATAGCATGAAAACTTGTTTCTTTGAAGGTAAATAAAATTGAAACAGTTTTCAAACTTATATAATGATTTCTTTTCTTTTTTTAAATCATATTAGTAAAGATAATAAGAAAATGCCCAGTCCCCAGGAGAATGTAGTTGGTAGAGTGGGCACTGTGTTCTCTTGGCAGGAATATGATTGGAGTAAGCATCCTGAAGAGAAGGTGGGCAGTGTGCATCAGTCTTGGTAAACATCTTCTTGCGCTTTTACCATTTTCTCACACTCTTAGGAAATGAGCAGAAATGTAGGCAAAAGGTGATTGTTGTAGTGCCAGTTTTATCAGTGAAAATAGAATTGTAACTAAAATGTCCAATGATATAGGAATCATTGAATAACCAATTGTGTCCATACACTGTAATTTTTAAAAATTTTACAGAAAAGCATTGGAAAGGAAATCACTATGGCTAATAATATTACTACCCAAATATCCATTGTTGAAATTTGTAAAAATAAAAATATTTAATGGCACCCTTTCTAGTTTATTAAAGGTAAAAAACTGTTAACAGTTCATTGTATATCTCTTAAAATATCAGCATATATCTGTATCTTTTCGAAAATCTACACAATGTTATTCAAGATCCTATAGATTATTTTGCCATGTCTTTAATATATCATTCTGTTCAATATATCTTTCATTAGCCGGGCGCGGTGGCTCACGTCTGTAATCCCAGCACTTTGAGAGGCTGAGGTGGGCAGATCACTTGAGATCAGGAGTTCAGGACCAGCCTGGCTGACATGGAGAAACCTCATGTCTGCGAAAAATACAAAAATTAGCTGGCATGGTGGTGGGTACATGTAATCCCAGCTACTTGGGAGGCTGAGGCAGGAGAATTGCTTGAATTTGGGAGGCAGAGGTTGTGGTGAGCTGACATTGTGCCACTGCACTCCAGCCTGGGCAACAGAGTGAGACTCCATCTCAAAAAAAAGAAAAAAAAATCTGTATCTATGTCTATCTATATATTTATACCTATATCTATATATGTCTTTCATTTACAGCAAGTAAAACATTTCTGGGTTATAGATACTTACTACAAGAAAATTGTTGTAGCGTATCCCAAAAGAATGTGACAGGTGGTTTGCAGTGGATTTTTTTTTTTTTTTTGAGGGGCATCACAGAACCACAGTAGTACATAAGAGTTCATTGCACAGATCTTGTTAACAAATCAGAATGTTGAAAATGAACACCTTAGCTCATGGCTCTGTTTGCATTCCCTGGGTGCAGAGCAGATGGTAGGTGGGCTTGTGCTTGGTGCACGGGTCCAGTCTTGTCTTTGTTGATGGGCTGTGTCCACACCTGTCACCTCGGCTTATTCCACTACAGTTAATACTGGAAGAGATTTATAATGCCTTTGCAGTTTCTGTTTTACTGAATGACAGCATTTATAACTGGGTCTGTATATTTGAAGGAATGTATTTTTAAGAAAAACTTTAATAAATTCCTTTAGTAATGCCTTTCTCTGGCATCATAAAGGAGTATTCCAGTGAATTTGGAAGATACGAGAGGAAAAAGTAACTAAACGGCGTTAGTCAACAGTTTTGTGGCAATGGGAAATTAAACTGGGAATAACACAAAAGAAAAAAAAACCTAGCTTGGTTTCTAAGTACGAGCCTAGGCAAGGAGGGCTACATTAAACAAAAAACAAACAAACAAAAAAATCCTCAGCACAACAAAATGCTAACTGCAATAACCATAAAGGATACTATAGATTTAAAACATTATTGTCCATTGTTGCAGAGAGCAGATGGTGCTTAAAATATCCTTTAATTTGATGTGCTTCTTAAAAGAGCAAACAGCCAAAGAGTATATATCATCTATATTAAAAAATTAAATGCAAGCTTTTCTATTTTTGAGGATGCCATAGTATATATAGTTAACGAGGAACAAATGTAACATCAGTATGCCAACAGGGATACACATTGGAGGCCGTCTTGGCAGGAGATTGAGGGATAGATGAGGGAAAAGACTATGAAGAAACACTTCTAAACCCTGATTAGCCCTTGTATGAAACTCTTCTCGGTTGTATAATTTCCCCTCAAACTGACTCTACCAAGTGTTGATTGTCCTGAAATGTCTAGATTGCCTTACAACTACAGCCATTAGTTTGGGGGAACATACTTAGGTATATGGTCATAATTTTCAGAAAACATGGTTTCCTCCTTTAGTCTTTGACATTTGTTTAGAATATCAGAGAGGTTCTTCTGAATTTGGGTGCTGTATACACTTATGACCTTCAGAATTAATGCTGAATCCTAAGCCCTAAAATGATTCTTTTGAGAAAGCATGACCAAGACTTCGTAACAGATAACTGCCGTTCTCAGATTTGTAGGTGGGTTTAACTATAGCAGGGTATCTTAAATGGCATTTCTATAGTGTAGGGTCCTTGTGATCAATTTATGTTGCTTTTTGATCCAGTTACTATACAGACATGTTTGCTGGTGTTATTGAGATGGAAGGTGTCTGGGGCAAAGCTAAATCAGCCTGTGACTTCATTCAGCCCCTCAGACTGAAAAATGTGCTGAGCACAGATTCTCCTTCAATTCCTATTACCCTTTATTTTATGTTCACATTGAGGATCCTGCCAGTTAGAGTGGCCTCTGTGTAAACGAAGAAAATGATTTGGAGTTCAGATCCATATTTCTGAAAGTATCCAGGCTTTGAGTTGTGGAGAATCTGGAGCCCAGATTCAAATGACTGAGTAAGTGACGCATAGCTACTTACCGAGAAAATTGGGAAGATGCAACACACTCTGTTTTCAAAGAAACATTTTGAGGTTGGAAAGTATACAGACATAGAATTTCAAAGGGCACATGTCAAGTTTAGTTGTAGATTAACATGATGCTGTGTGTGTTGATTTCATGATGAGAGAGCACTTTTCCCTTGTTTTTTTTCTCCGTTTGCTTTCTGGAACTGATGGACATGATTGCAGATGGTGTCAGATTTGTTTTCTTAGAAGTAATTATTATTAAGCATTGAAGTAAATGGTACTTCTCGTTTGTGGAAACTCCACAGGGTAAACCTCTCCAGGCAACACTATGGAAGGAATTCTCAGCATCGTGGTATACCGTTCCTAAGTACCTGTTGTTGTCTCAATAGAGTCTATGGGCGAATTGGGAGATTAGTGACTCCAAGTCTTCTGCCTCAATGGTTTTGTCTCTGAGGCAAAGGGCTGGTACACTGACCAGAGCCTCCCACCTCAGCCTCCCTAGTAGCTGGGACTACAGGTGCTCCCACCTCAGCCTCCTGAGTTGCTAGGACAACTACAGGCACATGCCGCCATGACTGGCTAATTTTTACATTTTTTGTAGAGATGAAGTCTTGCTTTTTTGCCCGGGCTGGTCTCGAACTCCTGGGCTCAAGTGATCCTCTCGTTTCAGCCTCCCCAAGTGCTGGAATTATAGGTGTCAGCCACTGTGCCAGGCAGGTTTGGTTTTTAAAAATTTCTCTTTGGGTTACTAAAAGTGTTTGGCATTACATGATTTTTGTAGTTATTTGTGCACAGTTGTAGACTCAAGTGAATTTTAAAATGAAATTGCCTTTAAATATTAGTATGGCAAAAATGAAAACAGCATTGCATAGTATTGTTTATTTATATGGGTGACGTAGATAGGTATTTTATTTCATGGGAACAATCTAAGATTTATGATATGGATCAAGGATTCTAGAAACTATTCTCGTAACCAGTTTTAAACAAGGTCATTTATAACACCTCTGCCCAATTTTACTATTGTGAAAATATGCTTACAAGCATTAAAGGATTGACTCAATAGATTTTTAGAAAAATCTCTGCTATACAGCTGTTAAAAACAGCAGGGTGTATGTATTGATGTGATAATGATCTTCAAAATATATTGTTATGTGACAAAGAGTAGTTAAGGAATACTTCTTTAGCATGAAGCTGTATTTTTAAAAAGCAATCTTAAAAATATGTAAATTGAATGAAAAATAAATGAAAGATAAACATGGTTAATGCTATGGCCAGAGGAATGAACTTGAGATACAGACAGGCAAACCCTCATCTTTTATGCGGTCTACTTCTGTGAGGTTGACATTCATTTATTTATTTTTTTTGCAAGTCTATTTTCATGTATTATTTAAAATTCAGTAAAATTATTGTTAAAGTTTTCAGTAGTATCTGTACATGTAGAGCTCTGGACCAATGTCTAAATGCATCTTATAGACACATAGCAGAGATGTTTTAAAATTTGTTTCCTCCAGAATATTTAACTTGTAGCCAAAACTTTAGGGGAAGAGGGTAGTATAAATATGTGTCTTTACTCATAGGACTTTTTCAGCATTTAAAGCATTACTCTATAATTAATAATTGATATCTAATTAAGGGACATTTCACGTTGATTCTAAAATGGAAGTAAACAGCACTAATACAATTACTAACTCAAAATGCTGTTGAAAGAAGTAAAGTGGAATTCTGTGTTGAAACTATATTCAGATAAAATGGCGTTCTTTATTCCTTGTTGTAAAAACAGCCTGAAATTTTGTATTGGCTTTGGCTATGTATTTGTTTAACATTTTCATACAATTAAAAGTCACTATTAGACTGTAAATTGTATCATGGACTATGGTACTTAAATATTAACATATTAAATTTTCTACTCAAAGATTCATAGACAGTGTGGAAAATTCACCAGCAGAGGACAGTGTCGCTTCATACATTTTTTTTCCTGCAAAGTCCTTTGTAAGGAATGGATTTTCCTTATAACCTTGACCTAGAGTCTTAGAAGATATTTATTGGTTACACATTTGTAATCGGTATGTTTTATATTGAAGAGAAGATGATAAAAATGGATGTAACTTAATGTAGTAAGGGCTATTTATACTATTGTTTATATTCCCTTTACATTAGTTGTTTCTTAAATGAAGTGCCCATTTTATGTGTAGGAAGTTTGTGCATTTAACCTAAAATACCATCAAGTTGAAGTGCTGTCTTTTGTGAAATGAGGTTATAATTTTCTTCCAAATCTATTGCAAACTGTTAATGTGTTTAATCTCTACATGTTACTTAGTGTAGCTGCTGTGCGAAGTGGGTACAGACAGGCACACACAGTACAAAAATGAAATAGAATGTATTGGGAGGGCCTTACAAGCTGACAAGTAGCAGTGTGTGCAGGTCCCCCACCACTCATTCTTTCACTGAGAGAATGAGGCTTGAGTGGGGCACAGGTGGGAACGGGCGTCCACGGAAGGACCCCACCTGGCCCAACATGCTCCATTTAGCCACGGAGAATCAGGGCAGAACACATCCCTGTGGGACCAGGTGTGACAAGATCTTCTTGGGGGGAGGATGTAGTCTTTGTAGCACTGACTTAGCAAAGAGGCCTCTTTTTGCTAAGTTTCTGAGGTGGGGGGTGGGGAGGTACCTAGCTTAATTGGGGACATTAAGTAGATTTTAGTGGTAAAGAGAGGACATTTAGTCTGCCTGGGTTTGAATCCTAGCATTGTCATTTACAGGTAATATCATCTTGGGCAATTCATCTATAAATTGGGATAATAATACCAAATTGGAACAATAATGATAGGTTAGTTGTAATGATTAAATCAAATAATGAGAGTAAACTCCTGGAGTAGTGACTGACACATGGCATGTAATAAACATTTTTCTTTCTACGAGGTATTGATATTTATTAACCTCTTAAAAGCAATTTGGACTCCCTTTGTCTCTTATTGTCCTGTGACAGTTACCATGAGTGCATTCTCCCATTTTTGTTTACCAGATCTGCCCCAGGAACTTTTTAAAAAATTGATTTCTTTCTTTTGAAAATAAAACAAATATGTGAAACATACTGAAAATGCTAAAACCTACATGAGAGTATTAGAAAGTAAAGAATGTAATTCTATAATCAGCTACATATGGATAGGCAGAGAGAGGGGTCTGCTTCTTGTCCAGCTGTAGCTCTGTGCTAGTGGAAGCATGTCCTGGAGTTCACGATGTGGCCAAGAGAACAGATGTAGTTAGGCAATGGAGGTGGGACAGAGAGCTGCAAAGTGCTGCACTTGCCCCTCTTACTGGACCCAAAAGGCTCTCAAGTGTAACACCTTTCTGTAGTGCTGTAGATCATTAATCTGGGTGTGTGATGACCATCTGATCTAGCACATCCAGTGGCATTGTGCATATTGGGATAGGAATTTGATTTTGTGAACTCAAGCTATTCAGCAGGGCCCATGAAAAATCACCAGAAGGGTAGGTGGGTCTTTGCCACTGTCTGATGTTTCAAAGATTTCTTGTATTAAATGCTGTGTCCAAAATTATAGAATACTCTCCAGTTTGTATTTATGTAAAAAAAAAATAAAAATAAGCTTTCACTCGTATTTTTAACATGGCAGACTTTGTAAAAACATTTAATGAAACAAGTAAATATATACACTTATTTTGAAGTCTTTAGTATTTTAGAGTATATTTGACAGCAAAAGAGGGTGAGGAAAAACAAATTTGGATTTCTGTCCCGCTAAAAAATTCTTAAAAAAATATTTAATGTTAAATATATTAGAAGAAAATATAGGGGAGTATTTATTTGATCCTTGAGTGGAGCAAGACTTTTGAAGCGGCACATCATTGGTGGACACCATGAAAGAAGATTTCACGTATATCTTTGAAAATTGCAAGCTGAATAGAAAAGTATATGATAGGTAGTGGGTTAATATCCTTAATAAGGTGCATGTCCAAGTAATCCCTGGATGTCACTTAATAGCAAGTTCGTGAGAAGGAAAATATGGTAAAATTGAAATATTTTGAAGCTGAATATAAAATGTACTTGAATATTTTAAAATAAAACCATGTTTTAAGGAAATTTGATACATCTGGTATGCTGCATGGTTTTTACCTTCAGATGCCATGAGGTTATGAGTTACTCTTTTTTGCCATTAGGGGTCGTTTTTGGGCAAGTTTGAGAAGCAGCACTACATTAATATATAAAGAAATTCCCATTTGTAATTCATTAATCTTTAAATGGCTAAACTTCATTGAGTCCTTACTTTGTGTCAGGCATAAGGCTGAACTTACATTAACTTGTTTAATTTTTACAACTGTCCTATAGAATAGATAATGTTATTACCCCCATCTTATTAGAGAAAATTAAAGCACTGAGAGGCACAATTGTGGGTCCCTCCACACCAAAATTAGAAAAACTGGGCAAAAGACAGGCAGTTCACTAAAGCAGAAATATAGTCAGCAAATAACTACAAAACGTAAATATAATCTCATTAGTAGTCATAGAAATGCAAAGAGGTTAGTGCCATTTCTCACCTCTCAGATTGGTGCAGAAGACAAATGGAAATACTCAGTGCAGTTTTAAACTATGCAAATTAGTACACCCCAGAGCATGCCAAGGCACCAGCCTTAGAAATGTGTGCCCTGTGACCCTGCATCCACACCTGGGAATTTGTCCTATGGAAATAATCAGTAGTTGCCCAAGAATGTATTTATTTGGATAGTCTTCACAGTGTTGATTGTGAAACTGAAAAAATTGATAGCAAGTAAATGTTGAACGCTGCGGGATAGTTGAATAGATGATGGTACATCCAGTCATGATATGCTAATTAGCATTAAAAATGATGTGGAGGTACGTTTATTGATATGTGTAGATAGATGTTTGTAATACACGGTCATGGATTAAAGAAAGGTTATAGAATAGGATCTTTTCTTAGTTTGAATGCTTACTTGTATTACAAATTATAGAAAGATGTTTATTAAATTTTAGCGTCATCTTTGCAGGGTTTTAATTTGCTTATCTTTATTTTAAAATATTTCTATAGCAACCAGTTATCACATGTGCAGTGAAAAAAATAACAGATTATTTTTTTAAAAGGGCTGGCTTAAATTACTTAATTTACTTAAAATTATGTATAGCTCTATTAATAAAAAACTTTTATGCCATCACTTAGAGGATGAGGGAAAAAAACCTCCAACTTTTAATATGGAAGTAAAAAGACAAGAAGGTAGAAAATGATCAGCGATGAGGAATCTGAAAGATTAGAGTTTCCATAATTTGCTAGATTTGAGGCTTTGGATAAATTACCTGTTTCTAGCTTCAAACAGGAGTATAAATATCAATAATTCTTCAGTGTGCGTAATTGCATCTGATATTTGTAATGATGACTGTGGGCTGTCAAGCTAGTTAATGATTTTGATGAATTACATATCCCGATTAAGAAAATAAGCTAGTACATTAGTGAATTTTAGAATGAATAGTGTTAAATAGTTGAAATTCATGCCTGTCCTTCATGATACATTTCACTTCCTACCTCTGCTAGATAAGTCAGACCTGTTTAACAATGTTAGCACTTGTATAAAATGTTCATATTTAGTTCAAAAGGGAGAAATTTGACTAATCTCCTTGATCTCTAAAATAAGTTATTATATCTAAAAACTTAATTAAATTATTGTGGTCATGAAGCTTTTGTTGACGTATTGCAAAGGACATGTTTGTGAACGTGTGTGACCCAGCTGAATGTTTCTGGCTCTGCATAAGAACATGGGAGGAGGCTGGTGCTGGGGCTCGGGGAGGTGGCAGGGACTGGGCACTGTTGCCTGAGGGGGTAAACACCCCATGTCCTTTGGATCCTGGTTCTGGCTTCTTAGGTCATGAGGCCCTTCTGCAGGGTTGCTCCCCTACTTTTGCCCAGGACTTGGGGCAGTTTGTGAGGTTTGTGAGGAAGGTGGAAACCCAGTGCCAAAACTAGATGGTAGCCAGACCATCTGTGAAGGTTTCTCCCAGGAGGTTGGCACAGAACGGGAAGATGGCAGGTGACCTTAGGAAAGAGGTTTTCTCAAGGTGCAGGCAGAGCCAGGGAGGGGCCTTCATGGTGCCTTGCTGTTTCTGGCCAGCCTTATTTCCTGCCCACCTGCCCCTTCCTCCTTTCCTGCCATTCTATGCTTCTCTGCATTCTCCTTTAGCAGCAAGTTGAGCTGCTCCTCCCCAGACTAACGAATACTTGATACCATGCAGCTCAGCTTTGCTGTCACTTCTTGCAGTCAGGACCCTTAACCTCTCCCCTGTGTGATAAAGTACTGTCTCCTAGGGTTATTCTGAAGACTGCTGGAGAAGATGTACACACCATGCTGGCATTCCTTGACATGCTTCACATAGGCGCTGTTCTCTGAGGCAGGGTTCCAGGAAGCTCATAGTCCTGGCATTCATTGTAGAATGAATGAATACAAATGCCTCTGCCAAACACAGTGGATAAAAACAGAAATGATCATTAATGTATGTGAATGGAGTAGATTGAAAGTAAAGAAAACCCATGTACAAATTGTTCATTGTTCTATCTGAAGGGTAATAAATATACTGGGAGAGAGAGAATTTATATATTTGCAGCTTTAACTAATTTTGGTTTTGCTATAGTCCAAAGGCATTTCTGCTTAGAAATGTTTGTAAGGTTGTTTCTTTCCCCAGTAACTGGATTCTAATGAGGATAGCAGGTATTAGTGTCTGCTGAACTGATGGTTGCTCCCGGAGATGTGTTGGTATTCCCTATGTGTTACCATGTGTGTTTTTTAATCCTTTTTTTAACTACTTTTGATAAAGAAATAAGGAAAAGAATATTTTTTTTCACTATTTCTATTGTTGATATTTCAAGAATTGTGATATTCTTGGAGTTTTTCGTATGGTACCTTTTCTATATTGTTCCAAATCAGTGGGCATTTTCAGTATGTTGAGGAATTTAACAAAAAATAAAAAATAAAAAGCAAAGAAAATACTGGTCGTATCAGTCCTCCCTGGAATCAGTGGAAGTGAAAACTATGACATACTTGAGACATAACCTTGGTTAAGTAACGATGGTTTTAGTTCTGTGTTTGCAGCTAAACAAATAAAGCACTAGTACTTATTCTGGGATAAGGAATTGTCCATTTTCTTTCTAGATAATATAACTTGATTATATTTTTCAAAAAATTAGCTACCCAGGGATATGAAATGAAAAATAAAAAACCCTTTCATTAAAATGTTTCCTAGTATTAAAATTTAAATGCAAGCAAGTTGATTTAAAACAAGTAATTAGGTAATCTTGAAGGATATGGTGAAACAAACCCATTTGTTGTGATGTAGTGCAACATTTAAAGAATCTAATGCACTGTCTTAGGCTCTAGTTTGCAAAATGGGCTTTTATCATGTGTTTCCTTCTTTAGCTCATACCTTGCGCCAGCTGGTGAAGAATACGTTTCATGTACAGTGCGCTTCTCCATTGGGATTTGTGAGAGGCAGGCAAAGGGCTGTTACCTATACCTCTTCTCTGAAGGGTGGGTCAGTGGACTTCACTTGTCCTCCTGCCCTGTTGGTGGGTGTGGCAGAGCCCAAGGGGAGTCATTTCAGTGACAGCCAACCTGGCTGCCTTTCCTTCCTTCTTATCAGGAAAGCTAGCACATGGGAAAAATTGGACAGTTTCTACTCTATTATGATAATCCATATAAGCAGAATCACAAAATTCCCAGATGACAATTCAAACAGTTACTATAAAAAGTAATAAGGTGTATTTGACATCCTTTGAGGCCACACTAATGTCAGAGTTTCTGATAGTTTATGCGGTTTTAATGGACACATATTACTGTTAATGTAGATGGAAGGGATAGTATGAGAGTTGAGAGCAGGGAATGAGCTAACAGTCAGGGTTTAAGCACTCCTTTAGGAGCAACTGCACTTTCTGCGTTTCTTTTTCAATTCTGTTCCATCATCCTTGTTTGCAGTTGAAAGCCTGAGACTGTTATTTGTTTACAACATAGTACATTTTGTATTTTCCCTTTTTTTTGAGACGGAGTTTTGCGCTTATTGTCCAGGCTGGAGTGCAATGGCGTAATCTCGGCTCACCGCAACCTCTGCTTCCCAGGTTCAAGCGATTCTCCTGCCTCAGCCTCCCGAGTAGCTGGGATTACAGCCATGCGCCACCATGTTCAGTTAATATTGTATTTTTTGTAGAGACAGGGTTTCTCCGTGTTGGTCAGGCTGGTCTTGAACTCCCGACCTCAGGTGATCTGCCTGCCTCTGACTCCCAAAGTGCTGGGATTACAGGCTGGGCTTACAGGCATGAGCCACTGTGCCTGGCCCATATTTTCCCATTTTAATAAAGCATTGTCTAAGACAGTAACAGATGAGTACATCATTTCCTGGCTACTTGTAATACCGTTATGATATGCCACATGCTTTTGGTAAGATCAGTGCTTATAATGAGGGGTGCAGAGGTATTGGACCAATTCATGAGTGCCTTTTGACATTAAAAAACATTAGCATTGTTTGTATTTATTATTATGTCTGCTATGGTTTGAGTATTGGTGTCCCTCCACAATTAGTGATGAAACTTAAACCCCAATACACTAGTATTAAGCAGTGGGGCCTGTAGTAAATGATTAGGCATTGAGGGCTCCACGCCCATGAATGGGATTTGTGTTCTAACAAAAGGGCTTGAGGAAGCAAATTCGCCTTCCCCATTCCTTCTATCTCTTCTGCCATGTGAGGATACAGAAACAAGGCACCATCTTTGAAGCAGAGCATGGGCCCTCGCCAGACACCAAATCTGCTGGCACCTTGGTCTTGGACTTACTTGCCAGCCTCTAAAACTGTGAACAGTAAATTTCTATTATTTGTGAATTATCTGTAATTTGCTTTGTTAAAGCTGCCCAAATGTACTAAGACAGAGTCTTTTTGATTTTGCTGTCTACCTATCTTTCTCTATTTTAAGAATTAAGTGTTGGACTTATAAAAAGGGGCACAATTTGAAATTCTCGAGTTAGTCTTACTGAAATTAACATGATAAAACGTTCTAAATCATAGAATTTTCTGTGGGGTGCTTTTTTAGTTTGGAAAAATTTTAAACTTCCTTTACTACTTCAAAGATACTTTATTAATTTGCTAGAATGCAGCTCACCCTATATTGTCTTATTGGTAAAAATATGCAAGAAGCACGTGATCTCTTTCTACTGTTTAGGTTTTACAAAACAGGTGTTCATGCATCTACCTAAGAGAGTTTGTTTTAGGTGCTTCAGATTTCCTGTGAGGGGTTTAGGGGGTTGCATAGTAAAGCATTAGGTAACAAAAGAAAATGACCTTCCTCTGAAGCAATCATTTTTGCTGTATTGTCTTCTCACTACTACTGTGATGAACACTTGGAGATGCCTGCCACTTTGAGGTTCGGGGTTACATTCCATTTTAATTCAAAAGAGATAAAATGATTGTTACTGTCTAGTCATTAAGAAGTCATTTTCCTAATTGTATTTGACACATATTATGCTATTCTACTGGCAAAATTTGATTATTTTTAACCCTTAAGAGAGATAACAAAAATACGGGAAATAATCCACTTGACTGTCTCAAGAATAAAGAGACTGCTTTTGTTTTTCTTTCCTCGAATGCTACAACAA
This sequence comes from Homo sapiens, assembly GCF_000001405.40. NCBI lineage: Eukaryota > Metazoa > Chordata > Mammalia > Primates > Hominidae > Homo > Homo sapiens. The sequence goes on from NC_000009.12 coordinate 6,915,683, forward strand.
TTTGTATATTCCTTGGACCTTATTGGAGCCTTAGTCTTGGTGGCTATGCCCTGTATCCAAGGTATAGCCTTCGAAGAACAAGGAAAGGGCTAGTTTTACACTTCCAGCTTCCTTTGGAAGCTGCCTGTTAATAGTGATGACGTTATCAAGTGTCAGGTTGCAGTTTGCCATCATGGAAGGACCTATGCTGGGGCATGAGAAGCTCGCAAAGACTCCTTTCCAGCACTTGAATTAATGACAGGCTGGGCTTTTATCACTGACAGATGCTGTAAAATAGTACAAGGTAATCAGGGTTATAGGATGGGGGGAATTTAATTCCAACATGGCATGAATTTGGACAGCTTTGTGAGAGACATCATATTTGACCTGGTGAAGATTGGATGGTGTTTTGGAAGTATATATTTGGAAGGAGAGAGTCAGCAACCTGAGTAAAGATGGGGGCTAGATGTGGTAAGGTGTTTTTGACAGTCACTTCTGAGTGATTTGAGGTGTAGTGTGTTTAGAAGGGTGGGTGGAGCTGGGCTATGAAGTGTCTTGAAAGTTTTACAGAGTTATCCGGACCTTTTTTATTCTGAGTGATGGGGAGCCTATGAGCATTTTAAAGAAGAGGTTCAATATAAACTTCTGAAGGACAGTGGTAAAAATATAATGTGTTTGCAATTTTAATGAGAGTTTTTTTTTTTTTGAAACAGGGTCTTGCTTTATCACAAGGGCTCAAATGATCCTCCTGCCACAGCCTTCCGAGCAGCTGGGACTTCTTAATTTGTTTTTTTATAGAGACAGGCCTCACTGTGTTGCCCTGGCTGGTCTCAAGTGATCCTCCTGCATTGGCCTCCCAAAGTGCTGGGATTATAGGAGTGAGCCACTGTGCCTGGCTGATATTTTTCTTTATTGGCTAATTCGTTTGACCAGATGAAATTCTTTTTCTTTATCCAGCAAATATATATTAAGCTTTAGTTACAGGCAAGATAATTTATATGTGTGAATAAAATATGAATAAAGCCAGTTCTAACTTACAAAGAGATTTTAGCAGGATGTTTTATTTTATTTCTGTTTTAAGCATTGAATGTTGCATACTTACTAAGAGGATTATGTCTTCTAAAATGGACCTTCTTGTTTTTAGAAATTTTGATCACCTTTGAATAGGTTCTATTTTGGCTAAGCAACTTTCAAAGCAACAGCACTGTATTTTTCTGTGCTTGGTGGATGGACAAATGTTTGTAGATTAGAGTAGAAACATCCCAGTTTCATTAATTTTTCTCTCTGGTTTTGGGGAAATGATACAAAGTTGAATGAGGGAATCTGCCTATTCATATTCCACCCACGAAGATTGTTGAGGTCATTCTGTTTTTTTTGTTGTTGTTGTTCAAGAGTTAAAATATCGTTTATATAGGTATGAATTATTTTCATTGGCAGGAGTGAATTGGAGAATGTGGGAAGTTAGGCATGAATTGCAGGGCTGTGGGAGAGATGCTCAGGAAGGAAAATGGCTGTTGGGCAGCCCCTGCCTCCCTTACTCAGTCTTCTGGTCTTAATATGAGCACCATATAGGTATCCATATTCTCAGTTTCAGGCATGCCTTCCTCTGATCTACACCACCTGTCTCTCAAGCTCTTTTTCTCCACTACCCAAACTGTAGCATGCACTTGGACCCCAGTAGGGTTTAAAATCCATTGATCCTACTTTTCATGGTTGCTCACTCACCTCAACTTCTTACTTCCCCCTTTCACTGGTTTCTATTGCATGATCCATCATTGTAAAGATACCTTTGGTTTCACACCTTGCCTTTCTTTCACTTTGTTATACTCATCTGGCAAAAATCCCCATCTTGTTCAACTTAGCTATTTCTCTTGCTTGTCCCTGTGTATCTGACCATGGCTGGAGATAAGCATGCAGCCATCCCATTTCCTATCCCTAAATTCTAGGACTCCAATGAGTTGTTCACGATGCCCAGCAGTCCAGCCATGTTGCCGAGTTCGTTGGCTCTCCCTCTCTCCTCCTGTCTCCATCCTCATTCTTTGCTGATTGTCTTGCTTCTCATCTCATTGAGAAAATAGAGAACTTCTGCAGACTGCACACAGCACATTTTCCTACCTATCAGTCCCGGTGCCCATACACTTGAACTCCCATTCTTTTACCTGATTGAATTGTTTATGGGTCTAAGTGAGGCCACTTGTGCACTTGACCCCAGCCCCTCTTGCAACTTGAAGACCATTGTCCAGGCATCTCAATTCTTCATTCACTGCATCATCACGTTTTCCTTCTCCACTAGATCAGTCTCATCAGCATACAAGCTGTTATTTCTCCCATTTGAAAAATATCTTCTCTTTTTAAAAAATATAAACTTTTATTTTAGGTTCAGAGGGTAGATGTGCAGGTTTGTTACATTGGTATATTGTGTGATGCTGAGGTTTGGGGTACAATTGATCTCATCACCCAGGCAGTGAACATAGTACCCAAAAGGTAGCTTTTTTTAGCCTTTGCCGTACTCCCTCTCTCATTCTGGTAGTCCCCAGTGTCTACAGTTCCCATCTTTGTGTCAATGTGTATCCAATGTTTAGCTTCTACTTACAAGTGAGAACATGTGGTATTTGGTTTTTTGTTCTTAGGTTAATTTTCTTAGGATAACGGCCTCCACCTGCATCTGTGTTGCTGCAAAGGACATGATTTTATTCTTTTTATGGCTGCATAGTATTCCATGACGTGTATGTACCATATTTTCTTCATCCAGTCTACTGTGGATGGGCACTTAGGTTTAGTCCATGTTTTTGCTATTGTGAATAGCACTGTGATGAATATAGAGTGCATGTGTCTTTTTGGTAGAATCATTTCTTTTCTTTTGGGTATATACCCATCAATAGGATTGCTGGGTCAGTTGGTAGGTCTGTTTTAAGTTCTTAGAGAAATCTCCAAACAGCTTTCCATAGTGGTTGAATTAATTTACATCCCTACCAGCAGTGTATGTGTTCCCCCTTCTCTACAGCCTCACTAGCATGTATTATTTTTTGACTTTTTAGTAATAATAGGAATTCTGACTGGTTTGAGATGGTAGCTCATTGTGGTTTTGATTTGCATTTCTCTAATGATTAGTGATGTTTAGCATTTTTTCATATCTTTGTTGGCCGCTTGTATGTATGTCTTCTTTTGAGAAGGCTCTGTTCATGTCCTTTGCTCACTTTTTTTTTTTGAGACAGAGTCTCACTCTGTTGCCCAGACTGGAGCGCAGTGGCACAGTCTTAGCTCACTGCAACCTCTGCTGCCTGGGTTCAAGCGATTCTCCTGCCTCAGCCTTCCGAGTAGCTGGGATTACAGGCAACGGCCACCATGCCTGGCTAATTTTTGTAGTTTTTAGTAGAGATGGGGTTTCACCATCTTGGCCAGACTGGTCTTGAACTCTTGACCTTGTGATCCACCTGCCTTGGCCTCCCAAAGTGCTGGGATTACAGGTGTGAGCCACCACGCCCAGCCTACTCACTTTTCATTGGGGTTGTTTTTTGCTTGTTGTTTTAAGTTTCTTACAGATTCTGAATTTTCTTTTTCCTTCTTTCTTTCTTTCTTTCTTTCTTTTCTTTCTTTCTTTCTTTCTTTCTGTCTCTCTCTCTCTCTTTCTTTCTTTCTTTCATTGAGATTTTGGATATTAGACCTTTGTCAGATGTATAGTGTGCAAATATTATCTCCCATTATGTAAGGTGTCTGTTTACTTTGTTGATAGTTCCTTTTGCTGTGCAGAAGCTTGAAAAAAAAATCTTAATCCCTCTTTCCATCTTACCTGCTATCCCTTTTCTTTGTTTTTCTATTTAACAATACTTTGAAAGAAGAATTGCCTATATTTCATCTTTCAATTTCATCTGTCTGTCTGTCTGTCTATCTATCTATCTATCTATCTATCTATCTATCTATCTATCTATCTAGGATGGAGTTTCACTCTTGTTGCCCAGGCTGGAGTGCAATGGCGCGATCTTGGCTCCCTGCAATCTCCGCCTCCCGGGTTCAAGTGATTCTCTTGCTTCAGCCTCCGGAGTAGCTGGGACTACAGGCGTGCACCACCATGCCTGGCTAATTTTGTATTTTTAGTAGAGATGGGGTTTAACCATGTTGGCCAGACTGGTCTTGAACTCCTGGCCTCAGGTGATCCACCTGCCTTGGCCCCCCAAAGTGCTAGGATTATAGGTGTGAGCCACTGCACCTGGCCATATTTATTTTTCTATTCTCTCTTTAAATACCATAGCCTTTTACCTACTCCATGCTATCAGAACTGCTTTTGTCAAAGTCAGTGGTCATTCATTGTGGAATTGCCTGACAAGTTCTTCCTGCCTGCTACAAAGGCAAAATCTGTTCACTAAGTCTGTGGCATTGCAGTAAAGAAAGAGTTTAATTGATGTGAGGCCAGCCCATGCAGAAGAACTGGAGTTGTCACTCCAAAGCCTTGGAGGTTAGGGTTTTTATGGACAATTTGGTGGGCAGGGGGCTAGGGAATGGGTGCTGGTGATTGTTTGGGGATGAAATCATAGGGGTGTGGAAAGCAGTCCTCATGTGCTGAGTCCACTCAGGATCAGTTGTGCCATGACTCATGAGTCCCATGGGGTCAGTCTGAAAAACAGTTCAAAAAAGAAAATAAAAAAACAGTCTTAGGTTTTATAATAGTGATGTTATCTGTAGAAGCAATTGGGAAGGTTCAAGACCAGCCTGGCCAACATGGTAAGACCCCATCTCTACTAAACTACAAAAAAATTAGCTGGGCTTGGTGGTGGGCACCTGTAATCCCAGCTACTCAGGAGACTGAGGCAGGAGAATCACTTGAACCGGGGAGGTGCAGGTTGCAGTGAGCCGAGATCGTTCCACTGCACTCCAGCCTCAGCAACAGAACAAGAAAAAAAAAATTAATTAATCAATATAAAGAAATAGAAACTTGTATATCATCCTGACAAAATAGGTTATTGGAGGTGGAGGGGTGAAAGCGGAATTCTTTTGAGGAAATTACCAGGGAGAGTGAATGAAATCAGGGAACAGATTAATTTGTACATTATCTTGTGAAAGGGTCTGAAGGTGTGCTTACATTCTTGGTCTTGCACAGAGGGAAAGAAAAACATTTGTTCTGCTTGGTGGGTCTGGATCTTAGGCAGGTAAAGGAACTACTTCACCTTCTTTGAAAGGGACTGGGGCCAGGAGGAAGTCAGAGAGGCCTTGAGGTTTCTTCCCCTGCAGTATGTCAAAATGGCATGTTTTGAGGTATCAGTTTTCTGAGCCCCAACACCAAATTATATTATTTAAAAATTCTCATCTTACATGACCTCCTGGCAGCACTTGATAAAGTTGTTCCTTTATTATTTTTTTAAATCGGCTTTTCTCCTTGCTTTCTGAGATGGTACACATTTCTTGTTTCCGTCTGCCTTACATGGTCTTCCCTTCTCGGTCAGTTTTGTTGGTTCCTTTTTCTTTGATACCTTCGAGAGCTTTAGGGCTTAGTCCTCAGGTTTCATTTTCTTGTCTACACGAATTACCTTATGATCAAATTCAGTCTTGCAACTTTAAATATTATCTGTATGCTGATTACTAATGACTACTAAAATTTGTATCTTTAGCCTGGACTTTTCCTTGGAACCCACAAACTCCTGCCATGAAATCAAGGCTGATTACTTCACACGTCCGCTTGGATGTTGATGGGCTTCACAAACGTTAACAAGCCCAGAAAGTGCTGTCAAAAGACTTCTCCACCTCATTTAGTGGCAACTCTGTTTCTCCAGTTGCTCAGGCCAAACACTCTGGGAGTCATCACTGCTCACTCGCTTTCTGTTTAATCACACACCCAATCAATTCTGTTGGCTCTAGAATCTCTGGGATGCCCACTGCTCACCACACTCACCACTATTACTCTGGTCCAACCACTATAAGTCATTGGCCTGGCTATGCCAGTGGGTTTCACAGTCTTACTATTTCTCTCTATTCTTTATTCGGCAGCCAGCATGACAGCTTTAAAACCATTTGTCAGATTGTGTATACTTCTGCTCAGAATCTCCCCTTCCTAGCTTCCCATCTCGCTTCCATTAAAATTTAATATGCTTACCATGGTGAGCAAATGCTACGTGATCACTCCCTGCCCCAACCCCTACCCCCCATCTTTGACTTCGAGTTTTACCTCCATGACCCTTGCCCACTCTGTACCAACACAGTAAGGCACATTAATGCCCTAGGTCCCCCAGGTTCCATGATCCTTTTCCCAGAATACCCCTCCCCAATCTGCATGGCTCGGTCCCTCCCTTCTCTGAAGTATTGTTCAAATGTCATCTTCTCACTGATATCATTTCTCAATTTGAATTGGAACCCTCTTCACAATCCCAAGCTCTGTGAAGGGGATTTTGCCTTATTCACACCTGTATGCCCAGTGCCTAGCACCATAACTTGTACATAGTACACGTTCAGCAAATATTTGCTGCATGAATGAATGAATGTATGATGACAGAATGAAGCATGCAGACTTTTAACTTACACAGTTTAGCCCAATCTTAGCTGCTGCTGCTATGTTTTTGTGAATTTCTATCTAATTCCTATCTTAATTTTTTGTTTTATGCAATGTTATAACACTGAACATTTCTAATTTCTTTTACCTTTGCCCTTATGCAGGGCATGTGCATAGTACTATCATGGTTATAGTCATAAGGAAAGCCACCCTGTTGCAAGATTTCCTATCACAGGTTTCTGATTACATTTACTGTTTTTTTCCCCCCCATTAAAAGAAGTAGAATTCCTGGAAATAGTTGGGTAACATCTTCAGCAATCTTCCAGGCTGTGCATGTTGGCTCACGCCTGTAATCCCAGCCCTTTGGGAGGCTGAGGTTGGAGGATTGCTTGAGTCCAGAAGTTTGAGATCAGTCTGGGCAACACAGGGAGAGCCCATCTCTACCAAAAATACAAAAATTAGTTGAATGTGGTGGCCCGTGCCTGTAGTCTCATCTACCTGGGAGACTGAGGTGGGAGAATCACCTGAGCCTGGGAGATTGAGGTTGCAGTGAACCATGATTGCACCACTGTACTCCAGCCTGGGTGGCGGAGCCAGACCCTGTCTCAAAACAGAGAAATAAACAGCCTTCCAACATATCCTCAAGCAGTTAACTGACAAATGTCACTAAGTTTCTTTCACTGTCACTAATAATTGAACTTCAGCCAGAAATTCAGGAAGAGATGCTTATCTCTCCCTCTCTGACTCAAGCCACTTAAACTGTGCGTTAGCTACAGAAATGGATGCACATTAGATTTGTTTCCAAAGTGATGTTTCCAAATTAACTTAAAAGGCAGTGTCACAGGGTGATGTCTCAATAAATCCTCTCATTTCTTGTTTTGTCATATGCTTTAGATTCTCCTCAGGTATGAATTTTCTCCCCTCTAAATCTATTTTATGGGTATTTATTTGGTAAAGCCTGTTTGATTTAATGTTTTTACTCTTTACGGGTTTGTAAAGCACTGCCTCCTCCCCACTTCACCTGGGGGCCGAGATTATGGTTATACAATAGCTCGTTTGTTACATATGCAAAGCATTGGAATCAGACAGATTTTTTTTTTTTTAATCTTAAAAAAATTCTGCAAAGAATGTTGCACTGTTGCTGCATGTGACCCTCTTTTCTGGCTATTGTGACTAATAATTGCACAAGTATGGTTTGTAGTTGCAGTTTCCGTTTAAATGTTTTTTTTTCCTTTGAGATACTTCATTTATACTGACTTTTTTTCTGAGTGGCTATCTTATGAGCGCAGCTTGAATTTTAAGATTAATATGAATGTGCATCACTAGTGAATTGTATTCTTGGATTTATTTGAATGAGTGAATGACTGAATGATTACAATGACAGAATGAAGGTGCAAACTTTTACTTTCCATGAATTCCAAGAATTGTATTCTTATTTGCCGAGGGATCATCAAGAGACAGAACATAGAATACCCATACATTACAGGCAAGTTCTTCAGAGTCTTGTGGGGTTTGACATCTGAACTAATGGCTTGTAATTAATGACCAAAAAATAAGTCATTAATATAATTCCATCAAATGGCTCTTTATCTTGTTTTGTATGTATGTGTGTTGTCATTATTGTTTGTTTGATTGTTTCAAATGCTTCCTGTGTCAATGACTGCAGAATCCAGTCTTCTCTTTTTGGGGGCAGAGAACCAAGGGGGACCACTGTGTCTTCAGCACATTGGATTTCATCTTTATCTGTAAGAGAAAAAAGCAGGAATCTGAGAAGAGACCGATGCTTATGGCTGCTGCAGCCTTTCAGGTGGGGCATGGGATTCTTCTTTCCCTCCTCAGATATTTAGAAATTTCTTGGTAAGTTTTTTGAACAGTTCTCAGCATGTCTTCCTCAGGTGCCTTAGGCGAGACAATGTTTACTTCTTATAAAGCTCAGATATGGTAATCCAGAATCCTTTTTCTAATAGCTGCTGGCTTTTTCTTTTTTTAAAAAAAGTTAGCTGTGGTTTTATATTTTAATACAGAATAAGAACATACTGGAGAGAGAAAGTGGTTACTGGTTGCATGTGCTTTTTTGTTTGTTTAATCCATCGTGACAGATGGTGTGGACTAGTTTAATATACTGAACAGTGTTTGTGCTTGTTAGTTGCAGTTTGTGCCTCCAAGTCCACTTTGCCCTAGTCTCTTACCTGTCTGCCCAGGGTTGCAGATCTGTATGGGCCGCCACCACAGGCCCCCTTTCCCTCTGGCTTCTGGTAGAGCCCAGGCAGGAAATTACAAGAGGAGGAGAGTGAGGGCCCAGGGCTGCAGCGCTCTGTTGGACTTGCCTCACACCATCCTCTGTTGCTCTGTCCTTAGTTTGGGGAATTACACTCTTCTCTAGTCCTTTTAGGACTAGATTATTGACACCTCAGTTGTTAGCTGGCCTGGGGCACCACTCTGTCTATCCTCTGGTTTTTCTGTACCTTGCCCACGCCAATTCAGTCCCTTAATTAGATCTTCTCTGATTATTCCAACGTTGAATGTTACACTTGTGTTCTGCTGGGGTACCGATGCATAATGTGTCATCCTGGGAAACTCCTGTGGATTTTGTCTGAGGAGTTTTTATTAAACACAAAAACTTAAAATGTTTAAAGTTATTTTCCCTGTATATTCTTTTTTTTGGTTTCTGCATTCCACTTTGCTATTAACATGAAAATAAGACAGGCTGTCCACTATATATTTTTTTCAATGAATATTTGGGGTGGTGGAGCATTTTGTTGGTCAGAGTACAGCCTTTAGTTCTAATAATAATGTGTTCTGACAGTGGTTATTTTAAAACACGTTTTGGTAGAAGTGTTGATGTTTTGTATTAGTGAATCTTAGGCTTCCTACTTCTGAAGTTCTGAAATGAACCAGGTGTATAAGAATGAACATTCAACGAAACATGCATCCTTTTTAAAATTTAGCTTTCTAGTACAGACCATGCATTTTTCCTCTTTGAACTCTTTCATGGATGCCAAGCAGTGCCTCACTGGAAGTCCTTATCATCGTGCGTAAACATCCAGGGCTGTCACTGTTGGCGATACAGCTCATGTGAGAGCTGTGGCAGAGCTTCAGACGGAATAATTATGAACAGCATTGTAGGAGGTAGTTACTATGGGAAAATATAATAATGGAGGTCAAATAAAGGAGACACAAGCTTTCATCAGTTGGGCGTCTTCATTTTCTTTTGGCGAAGAGAAGCTCAGTTCTCTTTGTAAATTAAAAGCTTTTTTTCTTTCCTTCCCTTTCCCTTTCCCCTTCCTCCTTTCCCCTTTTCCTCTTCCCCCTTCCCCCTCTCCTCCCCTCTTTTCAAATAAGGACATATTCTCACCATCTTGCTCATGCTGCTTTCAATCTCCTGGCATCAAGCAGTCCTCCCACCTTGGCCTCCCGAAGTTCTGGTACAAGTGGGAGCCACCATGCCTGGGCAGACCCTCAGTTCTAAAACCGTCTTGGCTTGTTTACCATCAGCCCTTCACCGTTTCAGAAAGATGCTGTTCGGAGAACTGTAAGGGAATTTTCCAATTAGTTCTGTTTTTCTTTCTTTTTTTCATTAGCCCTCTCAGCTGACATGTGAGTTACATAAACTTTTTAATTGAGATTCATGTGTTCAAAATCATGTTTTAATTTTGTTTTTGGTTTTGTGGTAGCTTGATATGATGTGGTACTACCTCTTGTGAAGTTTAAAGTTTGTATTTTATGAAAGGGCATTGGGACGTGAAAAAATTCTGTTTTTTATCTTGAGCCGCAGCTTAGCTTGGGATATTAGGATTAGCAGTCACTGGAGTGGAACGTTTCCAGTGGCTTCCGTAAAGTACCCTGGATTCCTCTTCCCTGGATTACTAGAGAGCGGCTTCCGAGCATAGCCGCTGCGAACTGTAAAAGCTTGTGGTCAGTGAACTCAGTTAAGAAAGTGCTGGCGATGGTGAAAGTCAAGCCCCTTTAGATGGTGGTTCTTTCGTGGACCGGGTGCCTTCTCTTTGTGAGCAGATTACCCAGTTTGGCGTCAAGGGGCTGTTAGGCATTCCTTCTTCCAGGAAAACATTTCCTGAGGCTGTAGGACTCAACTGTGAGAGGCAGTTGTGAAGGAGGAAAAATAATGTAAGAATTAACTGAGGTAATATAAGGCGTTTGTGAATAGAAACAAGTGGAGAAGCAGTTGTAGAGAGATAATTTGTAAAAAAAAAAAAAAGGACCAAAATAAAAATGAATGAAAGGGACACATGAGGTGAAAAGTGGAATCTTTGTTCTGTGAGAGCTGGTTTTCATTTTTTTGCTCTGAAAATATTTTGTGGCCATATTCAGTTTCTTTTTGCATAATTAAAATTATATGATTGGCTTATAGCAGCAAGCAGTTACAGAATAAAAATGATTATTTCCTCCTCAGTGAGAATCCGCTCTTTCTAGTCTTAACCTCAGACTCTTATTTCTGCCTCATTCTTCACTCTAGCACGAGTAAGGAAGGCCGGGTGCTAAGAACACATGGTGGGAAAACAAACAAATGCCTCCAGGCACTGCTTATCACAGCTATGGTTTAGAGAAACGGACATTCAGAAATCCAGCAACATTGGGGTGTGTTTAGTAGTTTACAGATTGTTAAAAGAAACTCTTGATGTTTTCATTGATCTGTGAGGCTCCATATTATGGGGACTTATGGCTTGTAGTTCAGCAGTGGAAATCTGGCAATTCTTGACTGCATTACTGTCCTTTAATTGTTGCTTATTTTCTTATTCATAAACATGTCGAAGCTATTGGTAGATGCAATTAAATGTATACATGTTCATTTATCTTAATTATTATTTATTAGATGGAGGGAAAATATATTGATTGGGTGACTATAGCTTTTTGGTAAAGCCAGCACAGATTTTAATCATTGTTAACAGAAGAAAATTAACCCCTTAGATTCTATCCTTTCAAAAAAAATTTTCTATCTATCTATCTATCTATCTATCTATCTATCTATCTATCTATCTATCTGTTTTTTGAGACAGAGTCTCTCTTTGTTGCCCTGGCTGTAGTGCAGTGGCATGGTCTTGGCTCACTGCAACCTCCTCTTCCCAGGCTCAAGTGATTCTTATGCCTCAGCCTCCTGAGTAGTTGGGATTACAGGCGCATGCCACCAAGCCTAGCTAATTTTTGTGTTTTTAGTAGAGATGGTGTTTTGCCGTGTTGGCCAGGCTAGTCTCGAACTTCGGGCCTCAAGTCATCCGCCTGCCTTGGCTTCCCAAAGTGCTGGGATTATAGGTGTGAGCTACTGCGCCCAGCCTCTTTTTTCTAACATTTATTCCATATAGTAACTGTAGCTTCTATATTTTATAATGCTTCTGATCATGTTGACCTGTGGTGATAATGGAATTGATAATAAGTGATGTTAATTAGAATATGAGATGTGTAGGACTTGCTCCCCAAAAGAAGACCCTTTCCTTTGAGGAGATCATCCCTCATCTACGTAGAGGCTTCCAGGGACCACACGAAACTGCTGGTCTCAGTTCTGCTCTTGGGAGAAATCACAATATGCCACTTTGTTTTTTCATCTACGTATCAACCCTCCACACAAGTGAACATGTCTCTCAGTTCCCACCCTGTTAGCCTTGTAAGAAGATTAAGTTCTTAGACTTTTAGCATTGTGTCTCACCAATTTCCTTGCCCCTTCCCACTTCCCATTCTTCTCAAGGCATTCTAATCACTATTTTGATCTGGCTGTTCCACTGAAACTGCTGTAATCATTGACCTATACATTTCCCAAAACAACCAACCAGTCTGTTCTCATTTCATTTGAACTTTTGGTATCATCCTACCACTTTGTCCTTCTTGAGAACATTCTTATCTTGGCTCCCACACCTTTACACTGTTGGAAAGAGTTGCTGTACTCACCATCTCTATTTTCTCACCACTTATTCCTTTTTTAGCCCACTCCAGTTGGGCTATCAAACAGCTTTTATCAAGGTCGTCTCTAGGCCAAAACCAGGAGTCAGTTCTTCATCCTCATGTTACTCAACCCCTCACCCTCTCCATCCTTGCAACACATTCTTCTCATAACACTATACTCACCTTGTTTTCTTCCAGCTTTCCAGCCGTTATTTCACAGCCTCCTTTACCAGGCCTTCCAGTGTTAGAGAGCCAAAGAGCTCTGTCCTGAACTCGCCCCTCTTTCTTTACCTTCTTTATGTGGTCGTTTGTCTTCCTTATACCAGAATGTAAGTCTCTTGCCAGCAGGCTTTAAGTCTGTCTTGTTTGTGCATGTATCTCTTGTCCAGAACAGGGCTGAGATATAGTAGGTGCTGCTTGCCTGGTTAGACCCTTTGTCATTCCCCTTATTACTCGGATCTGTGTATCCTACTTCCTCGTGGTTTCACCAAGATTGTAGAGGGTAGTTCTATTATCACTTCAAATGTTACGTCGGTATCCTGGACTATAGTATATCACCTATGTCCTCTTTTTTTTTTTTAATAATAATGGCATCACCTGTTTGTGGCGGATGAAAGCTGTGGTCTTTGCTTTGTTATTGTCGTGCCCGTTATTTTTTATCGCCTATGATTAGTCACTTTGCTTGCTGCATTCTTACCCACTCGTTTTTGTTCAAGCCTTCACTTTTTAACTACCTTGGAGGTTGATGGCTACCCCTTGGCTCTGTCTTCCTCTTTAGTGTCAGATTATTCTGCTAATGCAGAACTCTGAGGTTTCCCTATGGAAGTAGTGTGAGCAGGGAATCCCAGCTGCCGGCTGCATGTTTGGGACCCTCTACAGCTTATCTGTAGCCTGTTTTCTTGTTTATGGCCCCAGCACTACCCACACCCTTGTGCTTTAGTAAAACCAAGTTACCTTGCACCTCGTACCTGTGCTGCTTCATCTTCCTGCTTTCCTTATGCTGTTGCCAGGAATATCTTCTTTATCCAAACACTACACTTCAAGGCTATCCCAACTGCTTCCTCTTTTGTGAAGATTTATCTCCTCACCCTCAGCTAGAAGTAATCTCTCTCTACAGTGAAATTCTTAGTTATCTTTACCTTAATTTTAGGGCTTAGACCTTTCTTTCTTGTATTTGCTTATGTCTAATATCTGTTATAGGTCATTGAAGACACATGTTTAGCTATAGCCTTTTGTTCAATAAATCTTGAAGGAATGAAAGAGACTTGAAGTCATTTAAAGAAACTGAGTGCCCTTTTACTATTTACTCAACTATCCTGGGTGTCATTCCTCTTTTAATTGTGTTTATTCTTCCATTTCCAAATTAATATCAGCTAACATTTGAGAGTAATGCTTTACTTTTCACAAAGCAGTGTACACTTTATCCTGTTTGACTTTTTCTTTTTTTTTTTTTTTTTTTGGCAACAATTCAGTAAGGAAGGACAGTGTATGTAAATGATAAAATAAGGTAGAAATTGTGGTGCAGAGGCTGGTTGGTTAGGTAAGTGCTACTCTTCCCCAGTCACTGGTCTGTCCTAATGGGTAGACTCTTTTTAGCAGCCCAGTTTTATTGAGGAGGAAACTGAAACTCATGAATTGTCTGGTTGAGGTCACTCTGCTGGAGTCCCAGTCAGGATTGCAATCCGGGTGTATTTGACCCCAACTTCTTGGTATGTGCAAGCAGAAAGGATACTTTTGTGGGTGCCAAAATAGAATATTAAAAAGTTCATCTTCCCTGTTTTGAAAAAAGTTTGAAGGCTTCTTTCAAATGTTTTCTCTAGTTTTTGAGGATCAAAATAGACGATTTCTACAACCCTCTGCCAATTCTTTCTTTTATGGCTCATAAGAAGTCTCATTACTAAAATGTCATTAATTTTATTGATCCCTTAAGGATGTTACTCACTGTTGATGAGTCCTGAGGGTCTTTGGGATATTAGTCTCATTTTAACTCTTACTGGTGTAATTGGATGAATGTGATGCATTTGATTTAATTGGTTTTAGTTTGGCAGAGGAGAAAGACACACTCCTTGGTGCTATGCTAAGTGTCTCTATCGCCTAAGATTCCCTGCAGAAATTAAATTATTAGCAGTCAGCAGTTCTCAAGATCTACTAGAGGTCAGATTCAGCCACTGATGGGAACTACTCCAGGGTGGCCACAGGTAGGTTTTTTGGATATGTATGTTGAATTTTCACATTCTCAGAATAACGCTGCCCCATTCTGACACTATTTCACTGACTTGTCAACATGAGTTGTTTCTGTAAGTTTCTCTAGAATCTTTTTATAGAACTCCACTTATTTTGTAATGAGCACCTAATACAGTGAATATGTGGAAAATAAAGCACGCGTTGAATTTAGTGGCAGTTATTTAAAAATGTCTTTTGAAAAAATCTGCATACCTTATACATAATATACAAAATATATAACATATGTATCATAAATATGTACATATATAATATGAATATATGTGTTATATATAACAACAGTATGTTATATATGTTATCTATAACATGTTATATATTCATATGTATATAATAAAACATGTTATAATATATAACATATTCATATGTAATATGAATACATACTACATATAATAGTACAATTAATATATAATATATTAATTATTAACATATCATATGATTATACTATTATTATAATATAATAATTATATTATTATGTATCATATATATGATATTCATGTATCATTCTTTCATACCTTTTCAGCAATGAATGTTCTTTTGTTGTAAAAGAGTAACACCCCCTAATCTATTAGTTCCTTTCAATTTAGTGCACATGAGAAATACCTGGGGAATTTGCAAAAATGCAGGGGCTTGGTCCCACTCCTTTGCATCTGCAGTTTGCAGTAAGCACCTCAGAGAATTCTGATGTATGGGATCCTCTGAGTACATGCTGAAATATGCAACTGCATTCTTATGCTTCTTTGCCTGTGACTGATGTCTTCTTTTACCAGGATTCATCAGGAGAACCCTGGCATTTACACAGAGTTGCCTAACTTGTTGCCTCCATAGGCACTTGGAACCCTCTCTCTTCTCACCCCCCCCACACAAACACACTTTATGTCTTGAATTCCCTCAGTAACAAGGGCAGCATGCATTGCTGGATACTCCCCTTGTTTTTCTATCTGGAGCCCCCCAGTGTGAAACTACCATCGCCTGACTTATCAGCTAAAGGAGTGTATACTGAACAATATAATTTTAGTAATAAATAAATTGGTTAACAGTGATACACAATAAATAAACTTGCTAGAGTTAATTTTTTTTAGGTCACAGTAATTTGCTTATTACCTCTTCATTTAGATAACAAGGACATTTTATGTACTTAAAGAATGGCCATCAACTAAACACGCATGCATGAAAATTAGTCATTAGTTTTGTTGGGTCTGTGGATGTCAGTAAGCAATAGTCATATATATATATATTTTTTTTTCATAAGAAAGGGTCTTGTTCTTTCACCCAGGCTGGAGAACAGTGGTGCAATCTTGGCTCACTGTAGCCTCCATCACCCAAGCTCAATCAGTCCTTCCACCTCAGCCTCCTGAGTAGCTGGGACTACAGGCATGTGCCACCACACCCAGCTAATTTTTGTAGTTTTTGTAGAGTTGGGGTTTCACCATGTTGCCTAGGCTGGTCTTGAACTGCTGGACTCAAGTGATCCACCCGCCTTAGTCTCCCAAAGTGTTGGGATTACAGGCATGAGCCACCATCCTCAGCCAGCAATAGTCATATACATTTGGCAGTCTTATATGAGAAAAATATTTACTGTGGAGCTATATATAAAAACTATATCAACCTATTAGAGAATTGTAATTAATTGTCTAAAGGTAGCTGTCCAGTTGAAAAGATATCCTAAGCAATAATATGGTCAGTGCCCTGGCTGTGCCCTGCAGGGTAAAGAGAGGAGTGAGGACAGAAAAAGTGTCAGTGATTCATCAGAGAAGTGAGCTCATTTGGGCCGTGACTATTGTGAGTCACTTGTTATCTGCAGAGTACAAATGCTATGAGAGGCCTTGGTGTTTGGGGTGGGGCCAGAGGGAGATGATTAGAATGTCATCAGGCATGTACTTCATGAAAGAGAAAGTGGCATTTGGTGCTGGATTCCAACAGGTGTGTAGCTCCACATGAGCTGTGGTCATGTTCCCCTTCAGAACAGAGTGGAAGCCGGAGTGCAGAGGGAGGACTGTGTGTAGCATTCCAGTGACCAAGCCGACTCTCCTGTTTCTGCGGCACAGGGATTATTAGTTTCAATTAGGGTTTGGATCATATTCTTAGGGCCTTGAAATGGACTTTGAGGAAGAATCTGTAATCCATAAGCTTAGTAATGCCCCCTCCCACCTTGTTGTGGGCCCTTGAGAAAACTTTTGTTGAAAAACCATACATTTGGGTCATAGGGAGACTGAAGTTTAGAGAGATGCTACAGTGTATACAATTGAAGCAATCATAGCAGTAGCAGTAGCAGCAGCCACTATTCAAACCTTTTCTAATTTAGTCCTTACAGCTGTTATTTGGGGAAGGAGGAAACTGAGGCAAAGAGGTTAAGTGTCTCCCCCTGGTGCACAGCCAAAGCAGCAGAGCCAAACTGCAACCCGTGTGTGGCCATTTCTACTCCTTCATTGGTTCTGACCCCTGGGATGATTTTGTCTCATAAAGGACATTTGACCACGTTTAGGGGCATTTTTTTGATTGCATGATGGGGGAGGTGCCAATGGCATCAGCGGCCTCTGCCAAGGGTACTGCAAAACATCGTACAATACACAGGGCAGCCTCCACTACAAAGGATTATATGGCCCCAAAATATCAATCATGTAGAGATTGAGGAACTCTGCACTACTGCACTTTGTAACCATCTTTCATGCATTAAGTTTTCCTCTTTGGTGTAGAGCTAATTTAAGAAAAAGCTGTTTATCTTATTGCTGCTTTTTAGGTTGTACAAGCAAGTGTAGGGAGTTCATTTGTACTTCATCAGTGGTGAAATACCATCTCAAAGAATTTTAATTCCGTAAGAAGTATGTATTGCATGTATCAGATAATACTATATTTAAATGACACAAAATAGACTATAGCATAAATTGAATCAGCTTTTCTATTGGACATTCTGGAATTTTTCTATGGGAACAATAGGTATAGGATGTTAACTTTCAAAAGCCTTTAGTAGAATCTGACAGGTAATTACATCTTCAGGTTCTAAGCCCCTTGGTTTTTTAAATTCTGAAGGTGACATATTATGCCTAAGGGAAAGATAAATACCAGCATTACTTGCCTATCTGAGATAGATTTTAGCTATCTACTACATGCACTGCTTGGTGAGGGGGCATAACCATCAGTGGTTGAAATAAAACAGCATTAGGAAAGCAGTGGCTTGGACCACATTCAGGGTCAACTTTCCTTTTGGAAAATAGTGATTCTGATGATGAACAGTATTCTTCCCCTGGGAATCTGGCTCTGCAAAATTACTTTCAGGCTGAATTTGACATACAATTTAAAAAAGAATGCTGTGTAATAATTAACTTTAAAAGGACAAATAAAAGCCATTCCAGTAAAGTTTAACTTGTTGGTAATTTGATAAGTATTTACTTATGTATAGTTCTAATACACATGTAAGACAGTGTGTAAATCACAAATGGAGTAAGTATTTTAGTTAAGAACATGGAGGTTTGGCAATGAAAGATACTGTGAGGGCAAAGATTTTGGTATGGCTGTTTTTAGAGTAAATGGTTTTTTTTGAATTGCATTTTTTTCCAGGTCTTCCTGATTTTTTATTTTTATTTATTTATTTTTTTTTGAGATGGAGTCTCACTTTGTCACCCAGGCTGAAGTGCAGCGGTGTGATCTTGGCTCATGACAATCTCCACCTGCTGGGTTCAAGTGATTCTCCTGCCATAGCCTCCTGTGTAGCTGGAATTATAGGTGTGCCCCACCAAGCCTGGCTAATTTTTGTACTTTTTGTAGAGATGGGGTTTCACCATGTTGGCCAGGCTGGTCTTCTTGAACTCCTGATCTCAAGTGATCCGCCTGCCTCAGCCTCCCAAAGTGCTGGGATTACAGGTGTGAGCCATTGCGCCTGGCCCAGGTCTTCCTGATTGTAAAAAAAATCACTGTAAAAATTAAAGTTGGGGCTGGGCGCGGGGTCTCACGCCGGTAATCCTATCACTTTGGGAGGCGGAGGCAGGCTGATCATGAAGTCAGGAGATTGAGACTATCCTGGCTAACATGGTGAAAACCTGTCTCCACTAAAAAATAAAAAAATTAGCCGTTTGTGCTGGCGGTCCCTGTAGTCCCAGCTACTTGGGAGGCTGAGGCAGGAGAATGGCGTGAACCCGGGAGGCGGAGCTTGCGGTGAGCTGAGATCATGCCACCGCACTCGAGACTGGGTGACAGAGCAAGACCCCGCCAAAAAAAAAAAAAATTGGATAATTTTATCTAAAATTAAATACCAACTTATATCCTCTCTCTTTTTTTTTGAGATGGAGTCTCGCTCTGTCACCAGGCTGCCTCAGCCTCCTGAGTAGCTAGGACTACAGGCACGCGCCACCATGCCTAGCTAATTTTTGTATTTTTAGTAGAGATGGGGTTTCACCATGTTGGCCAGGATGGTCTCAATCTCTTGACCTCGTGATCCGCCCACCTCGGCCTCCCAAAGTGCTGAGATTGCAGGCGTGAGCCACTGCGCCCGGCCCACTCTAATTTTCATTGAGAACTTTAATTGGATATGAACTGATCCTTCTTTTTCCAAAAAAATAAGATTTTATTACCAAGATGAGGCAAAGTTGTTAATATTCAGGATTAAAAAATAATATTTCTTTTTTTTTTTAAATTAGGTATACCAGATTTCTTTATTCTCAACCATGTGTGCACATACACTCAGATTTTTTTCTTTCAGTAGTGATTTGGCTTTTTGTTAATAACAATGACACAAGTTTTATGTATAATTTAAATATTACAACGGCTAAACTGGTTTTGGGGAAAATTTTCCAGAAATTTATTAAATACGAAGTTCCTTAACTACTGACTTAGAAGAATGAGTATTGTTTAACCAGGGAAAAAGTTGTCAACCACCACCAGCTTTTCTTCCTACTGTTTTTTAGAATATAAAAGATAATATCTCAATTATTTTTTCCTCTCTCATCATTACTTACAAAAATCTCAATAATTTAGGCATATCCTTGGCATGTTCGTAAAATTGTTCCATTAGGCATTCTATAATTATAATCATATTATTTTTAATCCCTACTCATCTCACCTGTAATTTTCAAATGTTTGATTTTTATTCAATTTTTATATCCTGTTCACATATTTTTTAGCTACAGTAAAACATGATTTTTCATGTGTATTTTTTTTTCTTTTTTTTTGAGATGGAGTCTTGCTCTGTTGCCCAGGCTGGAGTGCAGTGGCATGATCTCAGTTCACTGCAATCTCCCATCTCCCAAGTTCAAGAGATTCTCCTGCCTTGGCCTCCCAAGTAGCTGGGATTACAGGTGCGCGCCACCACGCCCGGCTAATTTTTTTTTTTTTTGAGATGGATATTGTGCCTATATTTCTCCTTTCTAATTTCTCATTGTAATATTTCATAACCAATGTCTTTTCTTAACAGAATCATCCAAAACTTCGTTTTTATTAGGAAGTATGATACTTCAAAATAGAGATTACAAAAAGAGCCATGAGTATGTTGCTTTAATGTATGTCTTTGTAGTTTGTGTTATGTGTTGTTATTGAACAGCATTAAGTTTTTGCGGGGAATTTTTCTTGATAGAAAATAAAAGTCCTGATTTTTGTCAACAAGAAACTTATATTCCAGATTTAGGGCTTGAATTTTTTGAAGACATGAAAAGTAGATGAAAGAATAATAAACAGTAAGAGTTTTAAAATGTCATCTTCTTGTTTAGTAAAAGCTATTGAATTACATTGTCAGAAAAGTGTACTTATGTTTAATATTTCACATATTTTGCTTTGAATTTTTACAAACAATTTTTTGTAACTTATTTGGCTTTCAAATGGAAACTAGAATTATGTAGTGCCAGAAGGTAGCTTGAATATATGGAGTTTATTCAAATCCTAGAGAGAAGGGAAAAAATTCCATAAACAAACAATATAAAAAAAGATATCTTGTGATTTCAGGATATCCAGCTGTTTGTATGTTTCGTTTTTAAACTTCACTGCTTACTAAATGAGTGATTTTACATATGTTAGAAAGATACTACCCCATGCAGAACTGCATGTCTATTTTTAAAAATTATATATGCTAAAATCATGGAGATTTGTGGGCATGGGTATACATGTATACAAACAGTATTACTTTACATATATTTGATTTGCTAAAAAAAGAATGCATATATACATTTATAGGTAACAAAAACATTATTGCCATTGAATATTTCATTTTTTCACTTTTTAATATAGTGAAGTCTTAGTCACTTTTGATGGTCCAGTAAATTAGGTAATACTATTTTAAGATAAAGTGAAAATTTCCCATGAGAAATCACTCAGCCCATTTTCAGTTTTGCTTTTCCTGGTTTAGGTTGAACGCCATATCATTCTGATGAATGAGAATGAGCCTTCCCATGGCTATTCTGTTCTCTGGAAGCCAGTTTGTAGAAAGGTTCCTGTGAAAACAATATTTTGGGAGGTACATAGTGTAGTAGGTTAAGAGCACAGGCTTTTGAGTAATAGGGACCTGTTGGTAACTCCCATTTTTGCTTCCTAATAACTATGTGCCCTTAGCTAAGTAACTTATCTCCTCTGTGCTTTAGTTTCCTTAGCTAAGGTAATAAGACCTCCCCTACAGAGCTAGAGGAAGGGGAATGAAAAGATTTTAGCACAGTGCCTAGAACTTAGCATTGAGAAAATATTCATTAAATGTGTTCTTTTATTGACTTGGTTTTAGTTACAGATTCTAGACCCATATCCCTGTAGTTACATATAATATTTTGGCCATTTTATTGTGTAGATTTTATGTACATTCTTGCCACTTTTATCAGAGAAATGACAAGAAAGGAAACAAGTAAGTTATTGTAGTCAATCAGAAAGACTAAAACAATTTATAGATGATAATTAAAATTTTAATATTTATTTTTAACATAAGAACCTCCCGAAGTGCTAGGATTACAGGTGTGAGCCGCCTCACCCAGCGAGTAATTAAAAATTTACTCTCCTTGTTCGTTTTTCTTGCAGAATTGTCATTCACATTTAAAGTTTGAAATTCTGAAGACAGAAAAAGCAAATTAAAATTTAAAAATAGCCAGTGGTGAAAGGTAAATAGTTCATTGGTGCATGGCAGAGCCTTCTGCTTGTTATATATAGTAGGGTACTTCTAAGGAAGGTGTTTCTCTTGCAGAGTTACTTGTTGCAGTTAGGTTTTGTTTTGGGCATAATGCCAAGTATTTATTCTTCCTATGTGTAATATAGTAGGGTATTTTTGTGTTTAAACAACAGTTTTTATTGTAATCTTACATCTTATTGGATATTAACCTCTTTGATAGCAAACAAGCCATTCTTACCTGTTGTGCACATGCTGCTCTAGCAGGCTGGGAGTCTTCACCACAACACTAGCTACATAATAGAACATTGCTTCCTGAGGTCTGGGAACACTGTTTTTTTCTTCTCTCCTGTGGAATAAATGCTTTATATTTAATTTAATTTAATTTTTTCAGACAGAGTCTTGCTCTGTCGCCGAGGCTGGAGTGCAGTGGCATGATCTTGGCTCATTGCAACCTCTGCCTCCCGGGTTCAAGCAATTTTCCTGCCCCAGCCTCCTGAGTAGCTGGGACTACATGAGTGCGCCACTGTGGCCAGCTAATTTTTGAATTTTTGGTAGCGATGGGGATTCACCATGTTGGCCAGGCTGGTCTCGAACTCCTGACCTCAGGTGATCTGCCCTCCTTGGCCTCCCAAAGTGCTGGGATTACAGACATGAGCCACCGTGGCCGGCCAGAATAAATGTTTAAAATTAATCATTTTGTCAGTTACTTTCAATATTTTACAAATTGCTAACATATATCACATAAATGGGACAGAATAATTTAGTACTAATTAGATTTGCAAGGTATGCTCCAGATCACCTGCACTGCCCTCCTCCAGCCAATGTTTGCATGTTTGTGTGAATGAATGTGTATATAATATTTAATATATAGATATATATTATAGGATGAACATAAAACATATTTATATGTTATGTGCAATATGTATTTGTTAAATATATTTGTGTACACTTATTCCCATGGTATAAGCCCCATTTCCAGGGGATGGCTCATGATGACCCAGAGAGTGCAGCTCAGTTCTAAACTTTTTTAGGAGGATGAAAAGAAATAGTCTTTTGTTCTCCTCTACAGGAAGCTAATATTTTGCTCCTACTGTCCAAACTCTGGAATAGTAGTATAACAGTGGCAAAGAATGGGAAAATGAAAACCGACCGTATGAAGCTGTTTTTGGAAGATACTCTAAATGGGAACAATCTTCTAAGCTCAGCTGGCTTTTTAGTCGGTGAAGCCATCTGTTTGGTTTTTCAGCCAGCACTCTTTTCATTCTCCCTGATTTTTATAGCTTCCCTTGGGAAACCACAAGATTCCAAATCACTCCAGCAATGCAGAGCCTTTTGAAGAGTTGTGTGTGGCTTAGTGGTTTGTCAGTCTTCTGTTGTGTAACTTCAAATGGTTTTTACTTCTGCTATGCAAATCATGGTTTTAGGAATATTTGGAAAGAGAAGAGTCTGAGGAGAGTAGAAAGATGGTAATTTTTTTCTTATATAAATATTTATTTTTCAGATACACTAATAATAAAATATTATTGTTCTTTCATAGAGGTTAACTTACTCATGTTTCATTTATGAGGAATGCATAGACCTGTTACTCAAAGCAACATTGTATTATATTTGTTGTTCTGTCTGTAGTTTCTAACATTATTAGACAAAGTTCAGTGATGTTAAAGATTGTAAACATTCCTTAAAGCAGGGGTCCCCAACCCCTGAGCCACAGATCTCCTGCTGTGTGGCCCAGTTCCTAACAGGCCACAGACTGCTTGTGGTTAGGTTCCAGTGGCCTGTTAGGAACTGGGCTGCACCATAGGAGGTGAGCTAGCAAGGGCAGCAGGTACAGCTGCTCCCCATCGCTGGCATTACTGCCTGAGCTCCACCTCCTGTCAGATCAGCGGTGGTATTAGATTCTCATAGAGTGTGAACCCTGTTGTGAACTGCACATGGGAGGGATCTAGGTTGCATGCTCCTCATGAGAATCTAATGCCTGATGATCTGTCACTGTCTCCCATCCCCCCGTGAGGGCATGGCCTAGTTGCAGGAAAACAAGCTCAGGGCCGCCACTGATTCTACATTATGGTGAGTTGTGTGATTATTTCATTATATATTACAGTGTAATAATAATAGAAATAAAGTCCACAATAAATGTAACATGCTTAAATCATCCCCAAACCACCCCACACCAGATTTGTCAGTCCCTGGTGCCAGAAAGAATGGGGACCACTGCCTTAAAGCATGCTGGGATTATGATTGGATGTAGAGTTGGGTGTTGATGTTAAAGGTACTTATACTTTGTTACAGTGGTTATGGTTACTTAGAGCTATCACATAGTTACTTTAGAATGGATATTTTAAAATTGAAGAATAGGCAGCAGTCTGTTTCTAATTAATGATAGGGTTCCTTGTTTTAAAAGTTAAACACTTTGGTAAGGATACATTTGAAGATTATCACGTGGGTGGTCAGCAAGTGATTCCGTCCCTCTCTTGGCATTTATATATGTTATTTATATTGAATTACTCTTGGCAGAGGAAATAACTGAAAGTCTAAGTAAAAAACGTTGGCTTTATCCTGTGGGTAGAAACCACTTTTTATTTTTACTTTTACCCCATGTGCTTTAAATCCAATAACCAACCTACCTACCTACCTACCTTCCTTCCTTCCTTCCTTCCTTCCTTCCTTCCTTCCTTCCTTCCTTCCTTCCTTCTTTCCTTCCTTCCCTCCTTCCCTCCTTCCCTCCTTCTCTCTCTCTCTTTCTTTCCTTCTTTTCTTTCTTTCTTCTTTCAACAGGGTCCCACTCTGTCACCCAGGCTGGAGTGCAGTGGTGCAGTATTGGCTATTGCAACCTCTACTTCCCAGGCTCAAGTGATCCTCCTGCCTCAGCCTCCCTGGTGGCTGGGACTACAGGCATGTGCCATCATGACCAGCTAATTTTTGTATTTTTTGTAGAGAGGGAGTTTTGCCATGTTGCCCAGGCTGGTCTTGATTACAGGTGTGAGCCACTGTGCCTAGCTGAGACAATCATTCCTGACTTTCATGTTATTAGAGCTTCAAAATGTGAACAATTATTGCCCGCTGTTGTCACTACCTTGGAGAACAAGATGAGTATAGCTTTTAAAATCTTTGCGGGAATTGTGTCAACTTTCATTTAATCCACCTCTATAAAAATAAGATCTATATGCTAAAGGATTAATAACAGTGCAAATTGCTACTTGAATATTAAAAATTTAAAATCATCCACAAGGCAGAGATATTCTTGAAAGTCATTACAGCTCTAAGATGTCATAATTTTATTGAAAGTGGGAAAAAAAACGTAGCCACCATTTAAATATGTAAGTTGTCATTTTTGTTACATTTCACTAGCATTGTATTTGAACCGAATATTCATTTTTTACAGCACGTAAGTATCCATATATCATAAGACATGTAACTACCATATTCCTTTCCCAGAACTTTATTTCATTATCATTTTCATTTAATTTAGGATAATGTACCCTTGATTCTAAAATATATGCTCTCTGATAAAGTCTAATATACAGCATCTATAAGAAACTTAAATTTACAAGAAAAAAACGTATCATTCTTTTTGGCTGCTCTACATTGGGTGAGCTTTGTGTAATATTTGTTCTTTACTTAATAATGCAACCTCAAAATATTCACCCTGTTTAGACTGATTCCCTCATGCTTGAGAGAGGAAGGCATCTCTTCCTTTTTTTTTTTTTTGGAGAAAGTCTTGCCGTGTCATCCAGGTTGGAGTGCAGTGGCACAATCTCAGCTCACTGCAACCTCTGCCTCTTGGGTTCAAGCGATTCTTGTGCCTCAGCCTCCCAAGCCACCATGCCCAGCTAATTTTTGTATTTGTGGCAGAGATAGGGTTTCACCACATTGGCTGGGCTGGTCTCAAACTCCTGACCTCAAGTGATCTGCCGGCCTCAGCCTCCCAGAGTTCTGGGATTACGGGTGTTGGGCTTTTTTTCATATGTTTATTCACTGCATGTATGTCTTTTGGAAAATGTCTGTTTACATTTGCCCACTTTTAATGGGGTTGTTCTTTTCTTGTAAATTTGTTTCTTATAGATGCTGTATATTAGACTTTATCAGAGAGCATATATTTTAGAATCAAGTGTGCATTATCCTAAATTAAATGAAAACAAATTATCAGAACATATGATAGAATAATGAAGCATAACAACTAAAAAAAACCATATTACATTTCAGGGCCAATGATCTAATTTTGCTTTTCCTCTGACTGTTACCAGGAGGGCAGGGCATGCATGCAGCCATGTGAACTGAGAGTGAGAGGGAAATGGATGAGATGCTTAATGTCAGATCTATGCCACTGCCCTCATGCTTGACGTTGTGGCAGCCAAGCCAGAGATGGCCATGCGCTCCTTACCACGGTCATTCTCAGCTGAATCTACATCACATTCACCCGGAAGCCTGGGAGTAATCTGTACCTAGGAGTCTGTAGGGCATGACCAGCCTGCAGATGTGAGCAAGTGTGTGTGTATGTTTCTGTGTCTGTGTCTCTCTCTCTCTTGTGTGTGTGTATATGTGTCTGTGTTTGTATCCTGTGGTGCCTCACAGTGTCTTAGAAATATTTGAATTACATTAATTGCCAGTGTTTGAGTATCACAAGATTTCACATAACCATATGGATTTACATGTTGTCTTGAAAACTTCAGATGATTTGAAACTCTTTTAAAAAGGGCTCTTTTAAAAAGGGTTCCAATATAAATTGGTAGAGCAGTTATTGGTAGAGCGTATACTTTCATCTTTGTTATAATGGGTTTGACCGCATTGTGTTTGGGTGAAGTAGCAGAGCAATAACTTTAAGATAAAACTGGTTTCTTGTAATTTATTAAACTTACCCATGTATTTGGCTCCCTTTTCCCTTTTATTTTATTATGTCTGTTTTAGCCTTATCTATTTCTTTCTCATGTTCTAGCCCTCAAAGTGTGTGTGTGTGTGTGTGTGTGTGTGTGTGTGTGTGTGTTTAATCCTCCAAGCTAGAAGTCACTCAAGCTTCCTGGAATCTAGGTTGTAAGGTACTGAGGCCAATGGCTGCCTCTTTGTCTTTTTTCTATTTTTTCTATTTTTTTTTTTTTAATTTTGTGTTTTGTTTCTTTCCAGTACTGTGTTGACGAGGAAGATGGCAGCCTCTTTGATATGAGATAGGGCTCATCTGCATGTTACGTGTAGTGGCATGTCACTGCTGCCACTGCTCTTCTGCTACCAGGATGGCTTGAATGCAATATAGGCTGTTCCATGTGTGCTTTCCCTCCGTTATGAAACTTCTTCCTGTGGGGTTTGTGAGCTAACTGCAAGTCTTTCTTTGTTTTAGGGCTGTGGATTCTGTAATTATTACAATTGTGTACTTCCTTAAATTAAGGCTTTCACGTAGTAGTGATCTGCCTTTCCTTTGACAGTTTTACCTTGATGTTTTATATAATGAAGCAAAACTCAAGGAATATAGAAGGAAGCATAGGGGGAGTAAAGGATAGTCTTAAATGCTGAGCAGTGGTTACCTCTGTGATCAAATTTATTATTATTATTTTTTGAGACGGCTTTACTCTGTCACCTCGGCTGAGTGCAGTGGCATGATCACGGCCCCTTGTAGCCCCAACCTCCTGGTTTCAAATGACCCTCCCACCTTAGCCTCCTGAGTAGCTACGACTACAGCCATGTGCCACCTTGCCCGCATAATTTTTTTTAAGTTTTTTGTAGAGACGAGGTCTTGCCATGGTTCCCTGGCTGTCTGGAACTCCTGGAGTCAAGCAATCCTCCTGCCTCAGCCTCCCAAAGTTTTGGGATTGTAAAGGATTTGTGAGGTACTGAGCCTGGCCTCTGATTGAATTTTAACTGATTTTTATTCTTTTTTTTCTTACCTCTGTTATTCAAGTTGGAAACAATTGAATGTGATTTCCTGTTAACTACAAAAATATTTATAGTCATTTTTAGAGCATAGATGTTAAGTAGTTAATTTATTTTCTGTAAAGATTTGTAAGTCTTTTGAAGTCATTATCATTTGAGGAAAATTATTTTACAAACTTCGCATTTCTCTTTGGATAAAACACCACTTTAAAATTGCACAAATAAGGGCCAGGTGTAGTGGCTCTTGCCTGTAATCCTGGCACTTCAGGACGCCTAGTGGGGAGGATCGCCTGAGCCCAGGAGTTCTAGATCAGCCTGGGTAACGTTAGCTGAGCATGGTGGCGTGTGCCTCTGGTCCTGGCTACTTGGGAGGCTGAGGTGGGAAGATTGCTTGAGCCCAGGAGGTCAAAACTGCAGTGAGCCATAATTGCCCCACTGCACTCCAGTCTGGGCGACATAGGGAAATCTTGTCTCAAAAAAAAAAAAAAAGGTTGCACAAATAATTATCTGCCCCAGTGGAAACACTTTAGTCTGCTGCTATAGAATACTTTACTGCATTGTGTAGAAGTGGGAATGGAAGGCCTTCTGTGTCAGAACAACTGAAATGTTTGTCAAGAATGCAGATTTCTGGGCCTCACTTGAATAATCATTAAGCCAGAATCTTTTTTTACAGGGTCCCCAGATGTTTCTCATGCTTGCTAAATTCTGAGATTCACTTTGCTATGCCTTGCTGCCAGGAGATCAGTGTCAAACTCCAGACAGACTTTTACCTGGATCCTTGCTAATTTTCAGTCATGTCGGGCCTATTTAAATGTAAAAATGTCATAATGTATTCCTTCTGGTTAGCTTAAATTTATATATCTTAAATGGGTTACATTAGCTTCATAATTTAAAAGATAGATTTTGTCGAATTATGTGTTGGGTTAGGAAATCCTCTTAAATGAAATTAAATTATCTGCAAGCAGAGGGTGCTGTTGAATTGGCATCTGAATTTATTATCTTTATTGATTGAACATCCTTGCATTTGAACTTATGCCAGATTCAGAAGGCCTAGGCAGTGCAGGAAGTGCTTAATATTACAGTGGTAGTTTATCCTTTAATTGTCTGGAAGCTGGGGTGTTAAACTCTGTTCTCCAAATTGCTTTTCATTTGCAGGATTTCATGCACATCAGTTCTGGAATGGCACTTCCTTTTAATAGTTTGAGTACATTGTTCAAAAGAGCTGCAGCATGTCTTTTGGTGACTCATTAGATTTTGGCTCACATCTTTTTGCTTTCATCACCTAAATTAGGGTATGATCAAATACATGAAAACTGCTGTGTATTTTGGCACTCATTTTCATTGTGAAAGTTAAATATATAGGTTACTTAGGGATAAAAATTTAACTTGAATATTCTTTCTGTAAATGTCCTCTAAAATCCACCAGCAACACACTTTTTGTCAAGGTAGAGGTTTTTTTTTTTTTTTTTTTTTTGCCTCTGTGCAACAGGGGAAACAGCACAGCATAGGGAACCATTGATCTTAGGAAGAGCTTGTTAGTAGATTTCGGCTTGCTTAGGTATTGTTAGGGGAAGGGTTCAAAGAAGAGTGGTTTTGGTTTGGATTGGATGCTGGCAGAATGTGGGGGCAATTGTATGATCTGGTATCTTCATTTTAGCTATACAACAAGGGGACTGGAGCAAGCTAAAAGTGTAATTAGCAAAAACATGGGAGTTACTCAAATTAGCTGGAACTAGAGGTGTTGGGTTATTCCTGTGGTTTGTATAGTGTTCTTATTTTTGCATGTGTTTCAATGATTATGCAGTGATCTTGTTTTTGTCTTGCTCTACATTGTGATCATCCAGGGACCTTATGTGATCTCCTTCTCACTCTCTTTCTTGCTCTACACAGCCACAGACATACCTTCCACCTCTTACTCACTGCACGAACCCGTGGACCCGCACACATACTCACGAAAATGCTCACATGCTCATAAAAATGCTTACACACAAGGAAGCTTGTTTTCTCTCTCATTTTTTCCTTGTTAGTCAATTGATCTTAGGTAAACAATAATATAACATGAATATAATTTATCTTTTTTCTGTTACCACCAGTTTCATCCTTCCTTTGAAACAATTAACTAAACCAATTTTACCTGTCACCCTGGTTGTGAAAATGTATATATAAATATTATTTTGGGTAGCATAAATTCAGAGCAATTTGTGGATTATAAAGCATTTAGTAGTAGCATTGATGTATTTTTTGTTGATATTTATTTGCCTAAATGTTTGTATCTTGAACTCATGATTAGGGAGAAAGTGTTGTAAGCTTAAATTAATTAATTTTGACAAAATCATCTTTTAAGTAGGATCTACTTGAGAAAATTAAAGATGGGGCTACTAAATTTATAATCTGAGAATTTATCAAAATAGATGGAATTTACTACTTAGAGATAATATTTGTGTGAATTTAACTATATTTTAGATTTTAAATATCATTTAAAACCAGGATTTTACTACATATAGACAATAGTAACTGATTGAGCTTGGCTTTTAATCTAAGGTACTTATTAATATTTTTCAAGATAGTGGAAATAATCTTAACATGTTAAGGTCTTGAATCTTATGCAAAATGTGTTTTTAATGTTTGCTTAAACTTTTCCTGGTCATGGAAGGGACTGGGCTGTCTGTACTTAATTCCATAGAAATCAGAAGCAGCACAGTTGGAACTCACAGATTTTATGATATTTTATTTGGTCCAGATGTCTTTTCTATTGGTATTTTATGGCAAAATTTATACCATTCAAATGAGAATTCAGTTGTGGTAAATGAATGTAAATTTGCATGAATTCCTTGGTATGAAAAATTGAATGAGTTATGTCCAGTCACTTCATTTGTCATTAGATGAGAATGATCCTATGGTATTGCTTGTGTAATCAAGGGGGTTAGTGGATCATATGGATTGGAGATGAAGTAGTTGCAATTGATACTATACATGGAGAGATTTTGACAATCTATATTTAAAGAAATTATGCTTACTGCATTTTCTGACTTCGAAAGTAAGATATGTAAAGTGGGGTTCTGCTAATATATCAATACCATATTTTAATTTTATTTTTTATTAATTATATAGAGATGTACCTGACACACCTCCGTGACATTTTTCTTTACTTTTTGTTCCTACCTATTATTGATCTCCTCTTCACATCGCAGTAATTTTGTAATATTTCTGAAGAGAATATGGCAAGGTGATTCAGTTTTTGATTTATTTAACATATTTTTGGAGAGCATTACTTATAGTTTTAAAACATTTCTTTTATTGTCACAACTTGGTATTTGT
Organism: Homo sapiens; assembly: GCF_000001405.40. Taxonomy (NCBI): domain Eukaryota; kingdom Metazoa; phylum Chordata; class Mammalia; order Primates; family Hominidae; genus Homo; species Homo sapiens. Next base: position 6,946,519 of record NC_000009.12, read on the forward strand.
ATGCCATGCAGATTTTTAGGATTGTTATCCACATTTAGGGTAAATCTCTACCAAGTTTCTGTGATATGTGAGTTGTAATATTTTGAGACTTTTCAAGGTGTTTGTTTATGTGCGTGTGTTTATGTTGTCTGTGTGCATACACAGTGAATAATATTTGAATATATTGAATATACTCTGAGTTTATAATCAGTATGTCACTCATGTTCTTTCTATAGTTCATTATGAATTTTCTTTTACATTTTTTAATGCCATTTTATGTTCAATCAGCAGAAAACTTGTCTTTTTCACTCTTTAATTGAATTATTAAATAATTCTAAAACATTATTTTTTGTTTCCTTTTTTCTTTTGTTTTTGCCTTTTTATTATTTATAAATTAAAATTTATCTCTAAACTCAAAATAAATGCATCTCACTTCATTTGCTTCTTGGCCAGATCCCAAATATTCCAGCAGCTCCTCTGATCCCAACTGGTCTAAGTCATAGTGAAGGGAAGGATTATTATGGAAGAGGTCAGGGGGTGTTTAACAGAATCAAATGAAAATGTCGTACTTTTGTAAATTAACAAAAACAAATATAGCCATGTGAATACATTTCTAGGTCCTTCCCAGTGTAATCTCTGGGAGGTGTTTACATTCACTTGCGCCAAATTTCTCTGAAGAATGTCACCTTAGAGTTTCTACAACCGTACTTCTGTTCTGATTTTTTGTACTCTAAATAGCTCTAGATGTGAAAGCTATTTTTTTCTAATTTTATTGGTAAAGAATGGAAATTTTTCAATACATTTATTTACATGAGAAACTGAACATTTCTCATCTTTAGTAGTCATTTTATGTTTTTAAAATTCTTTCCTTTTTGTCCTTTATATTTCATTTTCCTGTTAGCATTAATGCTTTCTTAATGCCTATAAGAAGAGCTGTTTGTTTAGATAAGGTTAATCATAACTACCAGTCTTCTTTCTTATTGTCTTTATTCAGCATTTTGTTTTATGCTCAGAAAGGCTTTGTATATTACAATGTTATAGTCATGGTCATTTAGATTTTTAAAAATTTTATAATTTTTTTGTAAACCCATCTAGTATTGTTTTCATTGTATGGTATGAGGCCGAGACCAACTTAGTTTTCCTCTAGGTCCTTGAATTTCAAATTGTTTACTTGAAATTGTTTCAAATAACCTGAATCCAGTTTATCCCTAATCTATTTGTCATTTTCTAATATGGCTGTGCTTTAGAATCATCTAGGGAGTTTTTAATCAGTATTGGGGCCCATCCTGGTGTAAGTCAGAATCTTGGGTGTGTGGCTTGTTCCTTGATATTTTTTTTTTACCAGCTTGTTAGGAGATTATAATGTGTATGAAAACTGAGAACCATTGCTGTACACTTTTATAACCATTTGCATTTTTGTCTGGGTTTTCATTTCTTTTTTATTGGTTTGTCAGTCTCGTATATGTCCCTTATTCAAAACAGATATACTTCTCCTTATTCTTCTAAGTGTAATTTGATTTCCTGTTTTTTTCTAGGTGAGATGCTGCAGTGTGTGTCACTTTATTCACTTGAATCAGAATTCAGCTTTGTATATTGAATCCCAATTTTTATGGTTACATCTGAAGAGATAATCACCTATTTGATATTAACTGTAGAATCAGTCTTTGAAATTTATAATCTGAAGCATTACTAACTGCATTAAAGAACATTAACTGTTTTGTGACTTACACAGTTATTTCTTATTAATATGAATAAATTTGCAAAACTACTTGAATCATCCTGCCATTCCTTTGGTGGCATTTGTTAGTTTCAAATAACTCTTAAGCAGAAATGCAGTACCTTTTCTTATAGTAGATATTTATCTGAACAGTAGGATTTCGTTCTAAATATACGTACTTATAAAAGTGACCTTGTAGAAAGGCAAATAGTATTGACATGGTGATGATATGACACTTTCCTCATTTTTTTTTTTTTTTTAGTGTGCTGTTTGCATTTTTTTTTTTTTAATTGATCATTCTTGGGTGTTTCTCGCAGAGGGGGATTTGGCAGGGTCATAGGACAATAGTGGAGGGAAGGTCAGTAGATAAACAAGTGAACAAAGGTCTCTGGTTTTCCTATGCAGAGGACCCTGCGGCCTTCCGCAGTGTTTGTGTCCCTGGGTACTTGAGATTAGGGAGTGGTGATGACTCTTAACGAGCATGCTGCCTTCAAGCATCTTTTTAACAAAGCACATCTTGCACCGCCCTTAATCCATTTAACCCTGAGTGGACACAGCACATGTTTCAGAGAGCACCGGGTTGGGGGTAAGGTCATAGATCAACAGGATCCCAAGGCAGAAGAATTTTTCTTAGTACAGAACAAAATGGAGTCTCCTATGTCTACTTCTTTCTACACAGATGCAGCAACAATCTGATTTCTCTATCTTTTCCCCACATTTCCCCCTTCTCTATTCGACGAAACCGCCATCGTCATCATGGCCCGTTCTCATTGAGCTGTTGGGTACACCTCCCAGACGGGGTGGCGGCCGGGCAGAGGGGCTCCTCACTTCCCAGAAGGGGCGGCTGGGCAGAGGCGCCCCCCATCTCCCGGACGGGGCGGCTGGCCGGGTGGAGACGCTCCTCACTTCCCAGACGGGGCGGCTGCTGGGCGGAGGGGCTCCTCACTTCTTAGACGGGGTGGCTGCCGGGCGGAGGGGCTCCTCACTTCTCAGACGGGGCGGCCGGGCAGAGACGCTCCTCACCTCCCAGACGGGGTTGCGGCCGGGCAGAGGCGCTCCTCACATCCCAGATGATGGGTGGCCGGGCAGAGACGCTCCTCATTTCCTAGACGGGATGGCGGCCGGGAAGAGGCGCTCCTCACTTCCCAGACTGGGCAGAGGGGCTCCTCACATCCCAGACGATGAGTGGCCAGGCAGAGACGTTCCTCACTTCCCAGACGGGGTGGCGGCTGGGCAGAGGCTGTAATCTCGGCACTTTGGGAGGCCAAGGCAGGCGGCTGGGAGGTGGAGGTTGTAGCGAGCCAAGATCACGCCACTGCCCTCCAGCCTGGGCACCATTGAGCACTGAGTGAACGAGACTCCATCTGCAATCCCGGCACCTCGGGAGGCCGAGGCTGGCAGATCACTCGCGGTTAGGAGCTGGAGACCAGCCCGGCCAACACAGCGAAACCCCGTCTCCACCAAAAAAAATACGAAAACCAGTCAGGCGTGGCGGCGCGCGCCTGCAATCGCAGGCACTCAGCAGGCTGAGGCAGGAGAATCAGGCAGGGAGGTTGCAGTGAGCGGAGATGGCAGCAGTACAGTCCAGCTTCGGCTCGGCATCAGAGGGAGACCGTGGAGGGAGAGGGAGACCGTGGGGAGAGGGAGAGGGACCATTTTTTTTGTTAATGAAGCCAAAGAATCAGAGATAAATTGATGTTCTTTCTGGATTTTTGAGATCCCTGCATTAATTGATTTAAGGCTCAAGTATAACTAGCTTATTTAGCCCAAGGAGTCACATTTCTTCATAGTTAACTTTTGAAACTTCTCTGGCCACCCATGTGGCTGGTTTTTTTTTTTTTTTTGGTGGAGTATCTTTTCTTGTTTTTTTTTTTCCTCAAGCTTTATTGAGATATAGTGGACAAATAAAAATGGTATGTATTTACAGCATACAATGTGATGTTTTGAGATGCATAAATATTTTGAAATGATTAGCAAATTTTATTATAGAAGGTTGTCTTGAACCTTAAATTCTCCTTTCCAGAGGTTTTATTGATGTGAACTATTCTTTCTATAGTTCATTATGATTTTTCCCTTGTGTTTGTTAATGTTGGCATTTTAAATAATCATGGTAAGTAGAAATCTATGTTTAGAATGAAGAAAATTACACTGATCTAGGCTTTTTTGTTTTTGGTTTTATTTTTCCCTGTCTTTGAGAGTGCAGCCTCTAGGTATGGGGTAAATTCATCCATACAGATTTTAGAGTGTTGATAGATTTGAGGGGAAGTATTTATGTGAAAACCTGTACTGGACAGTTGTTAATATGGATCCCTACTAAATTCAAAGCAAATTTAAGCTGCCTCATTGTCCCTTAGCAATTAGATGATCATCAAATGCTGGTTTAAGTGAGATTATCTCTGTATTCTGTTTATTAATACTGATTAAACTCAAAACTAGCTCTTCTAGCTAGCCAATGTTCCCTCCTGATAACGTTTATTGTAGCTGCTTATTATCATTTACATAAAAGTTGAAGTTTTCAGGGAGAGAAAGCATACTTTTTTATGGTTAACTAACTAATAAATACCTTTAAGGAGGTGCATATGCCTTTTCATGGTTCATCCGGTTCAGTATCTTTTCTTTGACTGCTCTACCAAAAAGCTGTGGCTGAGTTAAAATCTCAGATCCTTAGTAGTCATGCCATGAACCTTTCCTTAAATGTTTCAGATAACAGAAAATACTTGAATTTTGGGGGGAGGAGGAATAGCTTTACAGTACTTATTCTTTGCCATCTCTGAAGGGAGGCATTCATTTATTCATTCTTTAACATTTTTAAATTTTATTTTATTAATTTTTTTTTAACTTGACAATAATTGTACATATTCATTGGGTACATAGTGATGTTTTAATACATACAATTTATAGTGATCAGTCAGGGTAATTCACATACCCATCATCTCAAACACTTATCATTTCTTGGTGTTGGGAACATTCAATGTCTTCTTTCTTAGCTATTTGAAATTATATATTTCTATTAACTATAGTCATCCTACAGTGGTATGGAACACTAGAACTTATTGCTTCTATCTAGCTGTAACTTTGTATCCTTTAACACATCTCTCCCTGTCCTTATATGCTTTTGAGTTATAAATTAAAACCTGATAATAAACTCTGTCTTCTGGACTCTGAAGCCCAGTATCAGTTTCTTCTAGTCATGATCTGATTACATTCTGGTGCCCTTATGGAGACTGATACATCCCATGAGATTATGGGCACCACTAGTTGCATTTTGTTTTTTGTTGGGAGTCGGCTTTCTATGAAAAAGAGGAATGTCTTGGGAACAGGAGTTAAGAGTGTGTATTTATGGTGGGGGCTATTGAGTATCTCTTGTAACCAGAACTGACCATTTAAGCCGAGTGTTAAACTCTGTGCAATCTACAGATAATTATAACAGGACAATTACCCATGGTATACAGTTTAGACATAACTTTGGGAAAACACTTAACTGTATTGAGAATTTGACTGTCATTGTCCTATTTCATGCATTTAATCATGTAGCATAGAGATGCCCAAATTCATTTATAATTAAAAGAGAAAAATTTGTATGATTTACTTCACTTAGTACTTTGTATGTGAATTGGGTATGAAGTCATGAAAACAATAGCAATATTATTTAAATGACACGTTATAAATATATGATTATGATAATTGATCTTTTGTCATTTTAAGTTTTAAATTTTTTTTTCTCTTTATGCCTTTAATATTGGGGTATGGCAGTGTGATTTTTGAAAATTGACCCTGCTGTTACTTAGCTCATATTTAAAAAATATAATAACCAGAGTTTATAAGGCTGAACTTAAATGGGCTTAAAAAATACATTGTTGATGATACTGTAAACTGATTTAATCTTTATGAAAGGAAATTTGAGGAAAATGTGTGAAAAATTACAAAATGCACCCCCTACAACCTGACATTTTATTTCTGAAAAGTTGATCTAAGGATTTAGAAATAGTTATTGGTATATGTAAAGATGTTTAACATAGAGTTATTTAAAACAGCAAAGCAAAGCAACCTGATGGTACGCCTATGTCCAAGAGTAAAGGGTTAGATAAATAAATCAATCGTGGTACAGTTTTATAGGAAAAGAGTATGAAACCATTCAGTAATGTTGTTAGGCCAATACTTACTGATATGGGAAATTGTTCACAGTGTGTATGTGTGTATATATATATATATATATAATAATAATTATTATTATATGTTTTTTTGAGATGGAGTCTCACTTTGTTGCCCAGGCTGGAGTGCAGTGGCACGATCTCGGCTCACTGCAACCTCTGCCTCCTGGGTTCAAGTTATTCTCCTGCCTCAGGCTCCCAAGTAGCTGGGATTACAGGCACCCACAACCACGCCTGGCTGATTTTTGTGTTTTTAGTAGAGACGGGGTTTCACTATGTTGGCCAGGCTGATCTCAAACTCCTGACCTCAGTTGATTCACCTGCCTTGGCCTCCCAAACTGATGGGATTACAGGTGTGAGCCACTGTGCCCGGCCCCAGAGTATGTTTTAAAAGAAAGATCATGTGCAGTATTTGTTCCAGTGACATAAGTGCTCTTAGAAAGATGAACGTAAGATAAATAGGTTAAATGTGGTTCTCTATAAGTGGTTGTTATTTTCTTTATGATAGTCCTTGTTACTCAACATTTGTACAGTGAGCACGGTTTGCAGTCGGGGGAGGGAGATCTAATATTTTTAAAGATTTTACTTCTTTAAATGACTGGTACTTGCATTTTTATGTGATGTCATTTTAAAAATGGTTTAAGGCAGCAGAATGAATATGATAAAATGTAATGCATTATCTGAGCCATTTTCATGATTAATTGATACTTTACTATTTTAGATGTTAGAAAATTCCTTGCCAACGTTTCTCTGTAAAATAGCTGGAGTAGGCAGTAGATCTTTTTTGTTCATTTTAGCTTATTTTATGAATGGATATTTATTATGAAAAGCATCAGACATCTCCCTTTCACTCAAACAAGACAGCCTGAGTGTTCTCACTTGAAATATAGAGTGGTCTGTGTATTTAATCACCAGCTTATTCAGCAGTTTTGATTCTCATGGAGTAAAGGCTTTCCCGCCTTTATTTTTTGAAGATGAAATTGAGAGATTTAAACATAATTTATTCTGCTTTGACCTATGGTTTGAATTAACTTGGCTGTTTGCATTTATTTTCAAAAGAAACATTTAATACTTGCAATGCAATAATCTGATCAATCTCTTTGTCTTTCAAATTGCTCTGGAGGCTGTTCTAAGCTGCCTAGACTATAAAGCTTTCTTTTATTAGAATATGAAATATAAAATTGATTTTGATAGCTCATTTTGAAAATAATGTGTATTTAAGGGAGTAATATTTTGTTTCAAATAAAAGTCTCAGTGTACCATGTTATACAAATATTTTACCAATTCATGTGGACCTTTTCTTGCTGATCCTCAGATATGATTTGTGACCTTTGAGAGAACGGAGGATTTTTAAAAACGTCAACTATAGAATTAGTTATGAGTAATAGTGAATACACTGATTTTCCTAATATGCCACCATATCATCCCTATTTTCTTCTCCCAAACTTGAATGGTATTCTCTGCTTCCTGCTGCCTCATCATCATTACATATTCACTTCTTGACCCTTGGAAATCTGGTTCCTCTTCCAACCATTTAGCTGAATTTGCTCTCCAAAGTCACCACATACCTAGTTTTTATATTAAAGTCTTCATCTTGAATTTACCTTTTCAGCCTCTCTGAGGTTTCAGAAGTAGCTGTCGGGGGTCAGCAAACCTTGCGCATAGGACTTCTTTGCTTTCTCTTCCTTCACTGCATTCATGGATACTTCACCTCATTCTATGCTCACATCAAACCAGTCAGGCAGTATACATTCTCAGGTGAATTGTCTCCTCCATGTCTTCTGTCCCTTCGTACACAGATACATAGGATTCTGATCCTATATATCTTTCAGTGTCTAGTTCAAACAGCAGGGCTGCCTTTCCCATGCAATATGACTTTCTCCTCTTTTCTCCTGAGACTCTTGGAATGTCTGCTTAGTACTCGGTCACGTCAATGTCTTCATAGTATGTTTGTTTTTATGTTCCTGGAAGAGTGGGGCTATGGTATAATTAATTATGTCTGTATTTTCGTAGAACTCTGCACAATTCCTGCACCCATCAGCTCATAATTGTTTGTTATATTGAATAAAATGAAGGATTTTATTGACAATGAACTATTCTGGTAGCTACTCTTGACAAGTCTCAGACATGATCTTTTTATTTGTCTGTTCACGATGTGTTAGCCTGGGGACCAAGGAGAGGCCTTATTGATCTATCTATAAAATTATATGAAAAATTCTTATATATGTTAATAATGTGCAGGTTTCTGGAGTTTGGATTCATAGCTTTGAGGAAATTGTGAAAGGCAGCTTTTACAAGGCTAAGATATTCTAATTTAAATGATTTAGCATTCTATGTAACTTCTTAAAAGTACCTAGCCCAACAATGGAGAGTGAAAGCCAGTAACTATTGTCAGGTCAGTTGAGAATCTCTGAATGGGCAGACTTCATGTACCCACTCCCTATTTCATGGGTTTTAGTATTTGGCAAATTCAGAAAATTCTTGTTTAGTTCCATTTAGGGTTAAGTAATTTGACCAGGAACAGAATATTGCAAATTGGGAATTAAAGGCCAGAATCCGATACTAATTATTTTGCTTCAGTCTCTAGTACTGCAGGAGGCATCAGGGACTTTCTGTTGGAAGAGTGGGAACTCTTTATTAGTTTGCTAACGTGAACAATGATGTACTAAAGGAATTTTGTGGCTAGACCCCTCTTCCTCCCCTTCAGGAACAGGTGCATCTCCTGGGAGCATAAAAGGTCCATTGCTGGTTACTGGATGGTGAAAGCCTTTGGGCTTCCAGACTAGAGCCAAGATCTGAATGCCTCTCTATATTTTAGCAGAAATTCTTCTACTGTGGGGTGGTAGGAGTGGACAGAGTTTTAATAGTATCAGTTTTTGGTCAGTGATAGGAGAAAGAGGTAATCAGTTCCTTAGGTGGGGTAAGGCACAGAGAGATGAAATGCCCAATGCACAGTTGTGTCAGTAGGTTTTGGTTTTACCTTTGAATAGAGACAAAGCTGTTTGCTGTTTTGTTTCTTGTCCTTGGTTCACCCTTTGTTTTTCATGCAGTGCAGTGGACCATGACTCAGGCCCTGCAGAGCTGAGTATAGAGGCCCCTTTTCCAAGAGCAGAGAAGGATGCCTTTGATCTGGATTCACATAATCATTCAGCCCTCTTATTGTGTTGCCTGCATATTTGCATGGAATCTGTGCCGCAGCTTTATCGAAGTATGACTCTAGAAAAGGAAAACGTGACCAGCCTCTGATTAATGGCATGATGGCTTTTAACGTTTGGCGCTTGAAATTTTTTCAGCTTTTCCCTTTCTTCTTATGTAAAATAGTTATAATCTTTTGGCTCCTTGCCACATTTGCCTTATGAGCAGTACCAAGTCAGTTAACTCAGTTGTGGAGAAAAATACACACTCTGTATCAAAGTGTCTCAGAATTTGATGTATTAACTTTAATTTCCAGAGCAAGTCACTAACCGCAGATGGAACACAGTGACGCTTTGTCTAGTACAAAATTGTTCTCAATCTTTATAATGCTAGTAAAAGAGCACAATACAACCAGTTGTCTTTAGCTAGGGTTGGAAATACAACAGAACTGTGCCACCTCTGCCTCTGCCTCATTTCCAGAGTGTGTTTTAGTTCCTTCAGAAACTGCAGTGTGCACATGTTCTCACTTATTTATGAGATCTAAAAATCAAAAGAATTGAACTCATGGACATGGTAGAAGGATGGTTACCAGAGGCTGAGGAGGGTAGTTGGGGGTGGTGATGGGGAGGTGGGGATGGTTAATGGGTACAAAAAAATAGATTTAATAAGATCTACTAGTTGATACCACAATGTGGTGACTATAGTCGATAATAACTTAATTGTACATTTAAAAATCTACTTCAAGAGTGTAATTGGATTGTTTGTAACTCAAAGGATAAATGCTTGAGGGGATGGATACTCCATTCCCCATGATGTGCTTATTTCACATTGCATGCTTGTATCAAAACACCTTATGTACTCCACAAATATACACACCTACTAAGTACCCATAAAAATTTAAAAAATTAAAAAAAATTGTAATGTGGGTGCGGACGAAGGCTATCTTGTAATTGGTGTTTGTTGCCCACTAAAAGGGTCAAATGTCACCTCACCTGTTTTTCTGAAACTCCATTTCTAAGTTGGGTTGGCACACTATACCCCCCTGCCTGTATTTGTAAATAACATTATTTTGGGACACAGCCATGCTCATTTGTTTATGTATTATCTAAGGTTGCGTTTGTACTACAATGGCTGACTTGAGTGGTTGTGACAAAAGATCATATAATACACAGAGCCTAAAATATTTTTACAGAAAGATATCACCAATCCCTTCTTTATGAGGTCTGACCAGGCCCAGGGACCTCATGTATTTAGATGTTGTCTGTGCAGCTTAGGTGATTAACCAGCTGGCATGCTTTATGTTTTTTGGTAGCAGAATCTTTCTTTTATCAAGGCATAGTAGGGTATCCATTTCTTTGGCTTCAGAGCTCAGCTGGAGCGCTATAGTTTCTGGTAGTGTCTCTGGTACTGAAGCCTTCTCTGCCATCCTCTGGCTTGGTTCTGTTTCTGAAATAGTGTCTTACTGGTCAGGCAGTGTTAAGTTGCAGTCTTTCTCACAGTTGCAGCTCTTACATTTGGTTACGATGGACAAGGGACCAGCTGGCTTTGCTGACCCACTTCATAGTGGGGCTGATTAATATGAGCCATTATCTTCTGTTTGTGATATTTTTCAAGCTGCATTATCTAGAGGTAGAAAATAATGACTCTGGCATAAGCTGTTTTATTTGTAATGCCTTGCAAACACATGTGCAAATTCTCCCTGGCACACAGCTGCTTAGGAAGATTATGTTCTGCATAATGCTGCCTGTTGTCACTTTTGATACTTATTTTTATCACAAGTCCTTTTCTATGTTTCATTATAAATATTGTGCACTAACCCTACCATCTATTTTCTTTACAAGATGACTAGTTGCAAGAAGGAAAGCTGTGTCCTGCCTTTTATGAGGGTTTTTGGCATTCGCTTTCCATTGAAACTCTCTTATGGGACCCTGTTCTTTCCAGGGAAAAGAAACCTGCCTTTTGGCCACTTTTAGAGCTTGTTAATACCACCATGATATTAGGTAATTTTTTTTTTTCTGCAGTAATAGCAGCCACAGTGGTAGTGGCAGCGACATTGTCGGAGAATACTGGTAGGTCACCACCACCACCATAAGAGATCAAACGTGGAGGCTGCTGTTTCTCTGTGTTGTGACTGATATTTTCTATTGGTTGCACAATTGTGTTGTTTGTGAAATGGAACCAGGAGTGGGTCTGGGTGTTCATGTTATAGCAGGAGCCATGTCAAGCCAGGGTGGTGGGGAGGGGGTGAAAACATGGCATGCACTCAGCTCCAGAATCAGAGAGCTGGGTCTGCATACTGGCCCTCTTGCTTCTTGGCTAGAAACCCTTGTGCAAACTGCCTAACCCTCCTGAACCTCATGTTCATGGACAATAAAACACAATTCGAGTACATATATTTTTAATTGATGATGGTAATAATAAACAGTGTTATCGAAAGCCTGTAGAATCCGTGTTTGAGGGCCATGGAGAAGTTGGGTGGTGAGACGGTGTGACCTCCAAGTATATTGCTTCTCCGAGGGAGAGAACAATTGTAGACATATAAACATTAGTTATAACAACTGAGGGTTTGCTTCAGCAAAGTAGCTTTTTTTTTTTTTTAATAATTGCTTGTAGATACTCTTTTTATTGCAGGGACAGAAAGTTTTTCTCCAACCAGGTGTTTCCAAAAGTGACTCACAATGCCGTCTTTCACCTGTTAACTCTGCAGTCTTGTCAAACAATTAATAATAATACAATAGTATTTTTACTAGAAATTATTTAACTACTGTGACAGCAGCTAAGGATAAGAATTATATCACATTGAGGCCGGTGCGGTGGCTCACGCTTGTAATACCAGCACTTTGGGAGGCCAAGATGAGTGGATTATCTGAGACCAGAAGTTCGAGACCAGCCTGACCAACATGGTGAAACCCTGTCTCTACTAAAAATACAAAAAAATTAGCTGGGCATGGTGGCATGCACCTGTAATCTCAGCTACTTGGGAGGCTGAGGCAGGATAATTGCTCCAACCAGGGAGGCAGAGGTTGTGGTGAGCCGAGATCGCGCCATTGCATTCCAGCCTGGGCAACAGAGCAAGACTCTGTCTGAAAAAAAAAAAATCGTATCACACTGAGTAAGGAATATTTACTTTTTCCCCCTAGTAGTTTGGCTATAATGTTAAAAATACATTATGCCTTTCTTTATATGATTTTTTTTTTTTTTTGGGACAGGGTCTCACTCTGTTACCCAGGCTAGAGTGCAGTGGCATGTTCATGGCTCACTGCAACCTCCATCTCCTTCCACCTCCGCCTCCCATGTGGTTGGGACCACAGGTGCGCACCACCACACTGGCTAATTTTTGTGTTTTTCATAGATGCAAGCTGGTCTCGAACTCCTGGGCTCAAGCGATCCACCTGCCTTGGCCTCCCGAAGTGTTGGGATTACAGGCGTGAGCCACCATGCCCAGCCTATGTGTAATGTTATGATAATATTATTAGAGCACAGATGATAGGTTCAATAGAAGGAAATCATAAAGTTCCTTTTATGCCTCCTTTTTAAAGCCTGGAGCCTAGAATAAAACATTTATAGTCCTGCCCAAGTTTTCTCTTCCTTTTTCAGAGATATCCAGGAACCCAGTGAACAAATGACTTAGCTTGATGTAGATTTACCCCCAAACACTACTTTTAAAAGAAGTAGGTGAGAAGAGGAGCACTAGAGAGCCCAGTTTTCTTCATGGTTTTATCGTCTGTTTGAAATCCCCATGCTGGTCCCACCATGTAGTCCCAGATGTTACTTTTTATTTGACCATAGTTAGAGGAGTGGATGTCAGAGTCCCCTCACTCTTGAAAGTGTTGGTCTGTTTCTTTGCCTCCCTGTCCTTTTCTTCAGATACTAGACTGTGGTACCTGTCAGAGGCTCTTGGAGAATATGCCTTGAAGAATGATTTCTGAACTTTGGTCTGCCTATTGTATTTTAAGTGTACTCACTCTGTCTTGCTTGTCGTTATCTTAGCATAGTGCCACCTGATACACAGAAGCTACATATTTACTCTGAGCAACTGCAAGAGCCAGCTGGTAGGTTTTTACACTGGTAAAATTTACTGAGGAAGTTTGTATCTACTGTCATTCTATAGATTTGTTTCAATTTAAGAGTTTATATTATAGTTAATAAGACAACTTCAAGAAGAGTATGTGAATTGTAGTATATAGTCATGGCATGTTAATTCTGTGAAATTGTAGTCTAGTTAGGCTACACGAATTATGACTACTCATAAGTTGTTTACACCAAATAACATGACGGATATATATGTCTTCCTTTCAGTTGTAATAAAAGGAAATGCCTGTCAACTTAATTTATCACCAGGCATGTTCTTATTTAAAGCCTCTTAAAATGAAATAAAAGCCTGACCTAAGATTATGGTTACTACGAAAGTGACAACAGCTGTGGTATAAAATACTGTAGGGGCCTCTGCTGCCATACTAACAACTGTGTAGCCCGTATGAAAAGCTGTTACATCCAGTGAATGCTTGTAGATACAGAAACGATTAAAGTAATCCTCCCAAGCAGAAGTCTGAGAGGCCATCTGATCCAAGTCCCTGAGAGATTCCTTAGGGGTCAAGACCTTCCCAAAGTCACAATGGAGAAAAAGCTTGGCCAATATTCCTTTCCCCATTCCCTCTCTACTCCAGGGCAGAACTGCTGCAGTCCTGATATTTATTACAGATGCATATACTGTTTCATTCCACAAAGACTGTGAAGCAGTTGAAAGAAGGATAAATGGAAGCTCTTTTAAAATGTTTTTAATTTTTTTTTTTTTTTTTTAAATACAGGGTCTCTGTCACCCAGGCTGAAGTACAGTGGCATAATCATAGCTCACTGCAGCCTGGACCTCCTGGGCTCAAGGGATCCTCTCTCCTCAGTCTCCTGAGTAGCTGGAACTATAAGCTTGCATCACCACACTCATCTAGGGGTCACTCTCTTTGTTTCCCAGGATGGTCTAAAACTCCTGGGCTCAAGCAGTCCTCCTACCTCGGCCTTCCAAAATGCTGGAATTACAGGCATGAGTCACTGTGCGTGGCCTATAAAAAGGAAGCTCTTTAAAGATTGTCATAGAAAGTAGGAAAAAAGGAAGTTCTTTAAAGAGTGTCGTAGGGAGAAAGATGGTTTAAAGATGATTTCACACTGACACAAATTTTCATGTACATGTGTATCCATTTGTCCCATATCTGAATGCCCACCCTTTGTAGGCAGTAAACAGTCTCTTTCTCCAAGTTGCTTAGACCCAGTGCAGACATTCTCAGCTTCAGCAATATTGTCATTTTTAGCAGCATCCTGGCCTTTAGAAATGCCTTCAGGCATTCTCAAATATCCCCTAGGAAGCAAAAATCACCTCAGTTGAGAACCACTAGGCTAGTGAGCACTACAGTCTAGTGTGGGAAACGGACAACCACACAGAAAAATGACATCCATACACGCATTGTGAAACAGTAGACTACTTATGAGCGACATGGGGTTCAGTGATGGAGAACAGCAAGAGGTGGCTTCTAGGACACTCTCAAATTCACTTTCTTTTTCTTAGGCTGACACTTAAACACCATGTAGTGCCTCTTGAATAGCCACACAAGTTTGTTTATATTATGTCAGCATTGTGAGTTTGCAAACATTTGACAAAATTTATTTACTAAAGGTAATATCTAAAATTAGTTGTCCTTTATTTTAAAAGTTAAATATTGCTATAGCCTAATAGTCATGAAATAGAAAAGGATGGCTTGATAATTATCCAGTGGTAATTATGGAGGACAGTCTTGTCATCATGTTACTAGATGTGTGCAGCACTAAACGTGGGGTGGTGAATAGAAGAACCATATTACATCCAGATGGCTTGCATGCATATATAGTGTTTTGTGTTTATGTTACTGCCTTACTAGATGCAGGTACTGAAAGGTATCCACCTACTTTCTGAACAGAGATAGTCGTGGTTGTATAAACTGTCAGAAAATGAGTGCATAAACTTTCTGTTTGTAAAGAAGGTAACATTGTAACTATTTCTCATCAGACAGAATATAGTATTTATACATAGCATAATTCATTAGTAAGGTATAAATTGTCTTTTTAAATATCTAATGTCTTAAATTATGACTTAACTAAATTCAAAATTATTTATCATAGTAATCCTTGTTATCAAAATTCAAATAGGTGAGTGTAATATACAAGGTAAGGGTCTGTGGCCCTGTCAAACAAAAACAAAAATAAAAACATGGTGACCTCTTTGATGGTATTTAGCTTTATTACTTTTCTGTCATCCGTTCATTGTCATGATTATTTTTCCATATTATTGCATCTTCTCAATAGAAATTGCCATCATTTTAAAGCTTTTTTCCCTTCTAGCTTATGGTGTTTTAAGGATGTTGTGAATGCAGTTTCTGTGTACTACTGAATGAGTGCATGTATAAATCAAAGACTGTAGGGAATGCCTGCTGGCCTTCACAAGTTCATTTATAAATCAGCTACTGGGTCGGTTATGCTTGGTAACATTAACTTCGTTATGTACTTATGTCAGAGTCGTGAGGAACCCTAGAGTCACAGTGGGATACAAGAGGAGCACCAGGGGGCTCTATTGGCTGTGATTTTGAAGAAAATGAATTAAATTGATTGATTGAAAAAAGCAATAGGAGTGAATTTGATTAGGCATGTATGTACACATTTAAATATATCTTGTACTTTGTATGCTCAACAGCCTGGATGAACACACAGCATACATTATAGCTTAAGCTCCCTTCCTGTAGCAGTGTTTAATCTAGCTAGCAGTAATTCAAGAAAAAATTATATCCAAATGCATTTGAAGATGAAATGTAGATAAGTTATCCAGTCTTCTAGTGTTCAGAAACGCAAACTGACCTTTGGACAGTGAATCCATTAATGTTCAGATGAGTTAAGGATAATTGCAATTTTCAGCTTCTGAGATAATCACATAATCAGACCGTATGAAGTCAACACTTTATGGTTTCATTTTTAAACAAAGTATGAGCAATGATCTTTTTAATCAGTATGATTTTATTAAAGGAACAAGAAATCCTATAAATGTTTTCAGCATTTACATTTTCACATAGTAAATTTTTTATAGTCAACATGATAGATTCTGTAAAATAAGATACATTTCTTTGTTCCATTAGTAGAGAAAAAAAAAGACATCAGCTGTAATGACTGTCACAACCCTGACTCAGATTTATTTCTTCTTAATTCAGCAGTTCTTCTGGGCATTTAGATTATAATACTTAAATGCATTTAGGTAACATGAAAACTTTAAATTGTGTATTTATTTTTAAAATCTCATGTAATTACTCAATTACTAAAAAAAGAAATCAACATCAAGAATCAAGTACTAATGTTTTCTGTAATTCATTATGCATGTGAGAATTATCTAGCTAAAATGTTAAATCTCAGACCTATAAATATTTTACAAGATACATATAAGCTGTTTATGGACATGATATAGTTGGTTTAAAATTAAAATTTGAGCCAGTAATGTCTTGTGGAATCAGGCTTCTTGGGTTTGAATCTTGTGTCCACCATGAACTTTATGCAAATTACTTAATCTTTCTGTGCATTGGTTTTCTCATCTGTTATGTGGGGATAATAATTATGCCAACCTCTGAGGATTGAGTTGTTAAATGCAGTGTACTTAGAATGGTGCTCAGTACTTAGTAAACTGTAAAGTGATTAAAAAAGTGATTCTTAGCAAGTAGTTTTTAGTAAGCAAATAAAAAAATACTAGACAAATGCTTTTAGTAGTATTAATAATTGTTGGAAATATATTCATGGACACATTTTTTATTCAGTTATTAATTCATGCAGTAAATATTTATTGACCACTCTGGTTGGGAGTTGCAGTGATGCAGGATAAGCACAATCTTTGTCCTCTTACAGGAAGCCCAGAGGCTGACATTATGAAATAATGATACAACTAATTATGACCAGTAGTATCGTGCCGCATATTCATGGCATTGAGTTGTTTGTGGTAGGGGAGCTGACCTAGTCTATGGGCATTTAAGGTGAAATATGAAGCATGTTAGCTAGATAAATACAGTTGGTGCAACAAGGTAACAATACAGAGAAAGATTCAGGATGTAGCAGAGGGGTAACAGTGGAGAGACAGGACATCTGAGTTGATACTGATGGTTTCATTGCTGTTTAAATTTATGAGATCCATTCCTTCTCTTGCAATGTGTCCTGTCCTGTGTCTTCCGCACATTCTTCCAGAGAAGCATCATTTTCCTGCCTCTCAGTCTTCTTAGACTACCTCAAGGCCCCTAACAGCTACCTATATGTTTTTCTACTTGATGGTGTTTCCGCCACCCTGACAGTTCCCTCTCACATTTCATTTTTAATCCTTCTGTTTCTTGCTATCACTTTTTTAGCTATTCCTAGATTAACTATTCAGTGCAGAGGAGTATTTGAATGTTTGAAAAATGGTTAGAAAGCAGCTTCATTTGCAAGCTGTTGGAGCTAATAATTTTGACTGTTAGAAAGCTAAGAACATAACTCTGATGTTAATATTTTACTATTATTATTATTTTTCTGTAATCTTTGCTTTCTTTATTGTCATTTTATTTTATTTATTTCAGTTATACTTTAAGTTCTAGGCTACATGTGCACAACGTGCAGGTTTGTTACACATGTATACATATGCCACGTTGGTGTGCTGCACCCATTAACTCATCATTTACATTAGGTATATCTTCTATTGCTATCCCTCCCCCCTCCCCTGACCCCCCAACAGGCCCAGGTGTGTGATATTCCCCATCCTGTGTCCAAGCGTTCTCATTGTTCAATTCCCACCTATGAGTGAGAACATGCGGGGTTTGGTTTTCTGTCCTTGGGATAGTTTGCTGAGAATGATGGTTTCCAGCTTCATCCGTGTCGCTACAAAGGACATGAACTCATCCTTTTTTTATGGCTGCATAGTATTCCATAGTGTATATGTGCCACATTTTCTTAATCCAGTCTATCATTGATGGACATTTGGATTGGTTCCAAGTCTTTGCTATTGTGAATAGTGCCACAGTAAACATACATGTGCATGTGTCTTTATAGAGTTCAAGACCAGCCTGGGCAACACGGTGAAACCCCATCTCTACTAAAAAATACAAAAAATTAGCCGGGTGTGGTGGTGGGCGCCTGTAGTCCCAGCTACTCGTGAGGCTGAGGCAGGAGAATGGCGTGAACCCGGGAGGTGGAGCTTGCAGTGAGCCGAGATCACGCCACTGCACTCCAGCCTGGGGGACAGAGTGAGACTCCGTCTCAAAAAAAAAAAAAAAAAAAACCACAGACTGGGCGCAGTAGCACATGCCTGTAATCCCAGCTACTCGGGAGGCTGAGGCAGGAGAATCACTTGAGCCCAGGAGGCGGAGGTTGCAGTGAGCCGAGATCGCGCCATTGCACTCCAGCCTGGGCTACAGAGTGAGACTTCGTCGGGAAAAAAAAAAAGCAAAGTGAACGTATGCCTAGATTTTTCTCCTACATAACCTTTTTACACCCATTTACATTTTTTATTCTTAAACTTCTCTTTCTTGAATGCGAAAGTTTAGAAAAATGGAAATTTCCAGGAGGGTGCTTTATAATGGCTTTGTTTCCCATTACTCTTTCTTGCATGTTATTTATTTTTAATGAGAGAAAAATTATATGTAGGAAATAAAAGAGAAACGTGGCTCTGGCTGTGTAAGCATAGGAAGCCTTGAGCTTAACACAAGGCAAATTGCAAAGAAAAAAAAAGTCTAAAACCACATATCAATTTTATGTTCTCTAATACATGATATATATATATATATTTGGATATATTAGGTATATTTATGACTAAATTATAAATTTATATATAGAGAGATATATATGACTAAATTATATAAAGTGAGGACAGTAGTGCTAATTGATATTATGTGACATTTATCTCCAGAACACAAGTTTGTTAGGGTTCTCCAGACTAACAATACCAGCAGGATATGTGTGTGTGTATATATGTGTGTCTGTTTATGGATATGTCAGCATACTTAATTATGGAAGCTGAGAAACCTCAAGACTCTGCAGTCAATAAGTTGAATACTCAGAACTGATGATGTACTTTTCTGTCTGAGAGCTGGCATTCTTGAGACCCAAGCAAAACCTGTGTTTCAGGTGTGGTCTGAAGGCAGAAGCAAACTGATGTTCCAGTTCATGCAGTCAGACAAACAGGTCCTACTCCAGGGAGAGGCAGGGTCTCATTCCAAGGCCCTTTCAGCTTGTTAGATGGAGCCTACCCACTTGAGGGAGAGACATCTGCTTTACTCACTCTACTGATTCACAGTAATCGGATTATCCAAGTATCTAGAAACACCCTTACAGAAACACTCAGAATAATATCTTACTACATTTCTGGGTACCTCATGTTCCAGTCAAATTGACACATAAAATTAACCATCACAATAAGTTTGGTTTAACATTTAAAAGTCTATCAGTTTCATACACCATGTTAACAGAATAAAGGATAAAAAGCATATGACCATTTTATTAAATGCAGAGAAAGCAGCATGCTTTTTTTATTAAAAACTTTCAGAGTTAACTTTGCATTTAGATGGAAGTAAGTCTGAAAAACCTAAAGCAAATACCATACTAAATGGTGAAAATTTAGACACCTTAAGATTAAGATTTGGAACAAAGTAAGAATTTCCACTCCTAATACTTTTTTTTTTTAGACGGAGTCTCGCTCTGTCTCCCAGGCTGGAGTGCAGTGGCGGGATCTCGGCTCACTGCAAGCTCCGCCTTCCAGGTTCACGCCATTCTCCTGCCTCAGCCTCCTGAATAGCTGGGAATACAGGCGCCCGCCACTGCGCCCAGCTAATTTTTTGTATTTTTAGTAGAGACGGGGTTTCACTGTGGTCTTGATCTCCTGACCTCGTGATCCGCCCGCCTCTGCCTCCCAAAGTGCTGGGATTACAGGCGTGAGCCACCGCGCCGGGCCTCACTCTTAATACTTTTATGTAACATTTTACTGAAGGCCACAGCCACTGCAGTAAGCCAAGGCATGAAGATCAGAAACAAATAAGTAAAAATATCTCTGTTTGTAGATATGATTGTTTATGAAGAATAAATCTGTATGTAGATCTAGTTCTTGGTTTACGTCTAGATCTTCCTTAATAGAAGAGTTAATCCACATCAGATCCATATTTATATATGGTATTTAGTTTTTTGTCAAAGGCATCCAACCATCCAGTAGGGAAAAAAAGTCTTCATTATTTAGGACAAAATAAACCTTGAACCTCACCATACACAACTACTAATTCAAGATTTATCTTAGACCTGACAGAGAAAATTAATATAGGAAGCTATTAGATGAAAATATAGGGGACAGAGCTATCTTTATAACTTGAGGATAGGCAAAGACTGCTTAAATCACAGAATGCAATAATCATAAAAAAATTGATGATTTAGGGTCTCGTTAAAGTTAAAAACTGCTGCTCACCAAATATATCACTAAAAAATTGAATTAGCAAGACCCAGAGGAGGATAAAACATTTGCAAAACGTGTCTGATAAGGACTGGTAGTTGGGACATACAAAGAACCTGAAAAACTCAATCATGAAGTGACTAAAGCATCTCCCTGAAAAATGGGCCAAAAATTATACAGACTCCTGGCCGGGCATGGTGGCTCACACCTGTAATCCCAGCACTTGGGGAGGCCAAGGCAGGCGGATCACTTGAGGTCAGGAGTTCAAGACCAACCTTGCCAACATGGTGAAACCTCGTCTCTATTAAAAATACAAATATTAGCCGGGCTTGGTGGCAGGCGCCTGTAATCCCAGCTACTCGGGGGGCTGAAGCAGGAAGATCACTTGAGCCCAGGAGGCGGAGGTTGCAGTGAGCCAAGATTGTGCCGCTGCACTCCTGCCTGGGTGACAGAGCAAGCTTCCACTAAAAAAAAAAAAAAAAAAAATTGTACAGACTCTTGAGAAAGGAAGATATGCAAGATTAAAACGTTCACAGAAAGACTTGCACATGAATGTACAGTTGTTCCTAGTAAGTCTGGGTGCAAAAGGAACTAGGCTGTGAAATTGTTGGAAGGACTGGAGGAGTGAAACGGGCTTGTAGGGAAGATGCTGTTATCTGGAGATCATGACAGGCAGGGGGCTCACCTGCACCTGTATGCCTTCTGTTGCAATCTCTTTTTACTTTCTCTGCCTTATAATCTCTGTAAGTTTTCTCAATATGAGAACCATACCAGAGCCCTATTATCCTCGAGTTCAGAGTTCAGAAGATCCGGGATGATACACATTATTAGTACTCCATATCCTGGATTCTCATTATATTGTGAGTTTTTAGCAGTACAGATACTGATGCCAAAAAGATATGAGGCTGTGTCTTTACCACTTGCATATTCTATGGCTTTTCATAAGTAAATGGTTCTTTGATTCCAACATTAGTAAAGTAGGGATATTAATAGTTTCTCATGGGATACGAAGATTAATTGAGACAATATCTATAATGACTGAATGAGAAAATGCTTTACATTTATCATTGTACCTGGTACTTAGTATGCACACAGTAAGTGGTAGATGTTTGCTATCACTATCAGCGTGAATTTTTAAAAATTATGATCTATTAATTATGTTTTAAAATTTTTCAAAAGTAAGAACTAAGATAGGCCTCCTTCACCTTATGAACTTAGAAAACTAAACATGAATGAACAATGCCCTGGGTGCACTCATGCCTATAATCCTAGCATTTTGGGAGGCTGAAGTGGGAGATTCACTTGAGATCAGGATTTTGAGACCAGCCTGGGTAACATAGTTCAGTCCCTGTCTCTACAAAAGTTATTTTTAATAAATGAAGAAATGCCATCAATTACTTGCCATTGAGGAAAGGAGACCAAGATTACCATTTATGTGTATGCTGGGTAGTTCTTGGTGAAGCAGTTTTTTATGCAGCCTCTGTTGTAGGAACTTTGTGTTCTGCTTAGTCAGGTCTTCTCAGAGAGAGGACGTCTGCTCTCTCTGATGTTGCTGTGGTTAAACAATAATTAAGTTAAACTGTTTCCACATATTTTATGGTTTCATAAAGAATGTAAAAGAAAAAGTAGTTGAATTCTGCCCTTCTGCGTTATAAGTTTACTTTGTTGGAACTGCTAGAATAATTCCAAAGTGAGGGTTCGTTGAAAATAGGCTTCCAAAAACCTTTGTAGTTCAATGCCAGTTACTTAACATTATCTTTGGACCTATGTTATTCATTTTCAGGTACTTCATAATTTTATATCTCTGTGGTTATTGGATGTCATATTTTTGACATTTTATTAAAATTACTGTTTGGATCTATGTATTAAAGTGAGATGGTATTTTATATTGGGCTTTTACAATAATCTGTTTTAGTTTGAGTGTTTAAAATTTTTATATTGGTTCTGGGATATTGGAATATGTAACTTCTGTTGGGTTAATTGTGTGTGTGTGTGTTTTGAGACAGAGTCTTGCTCTGTCACCCAAGCTGGAGTGCAGTGGCATGATATTGGCTCACTGCAACCTCCAACTCCTGGTTCAAATGATTCTTGTGCCTCGGCTTTCTGAGTACCTGGGACCACAGGCACGGATCACCACACCTGGCTAATTTTTGTATTTGTAGCAGAGATGGGGTTTCACCATATTGGCCAGGCTGGTCTCGAACTCCTGACCTCAAGTGATCTGCCTGCGTCTGCCTCCCAAAGTGCTGGGATTATAGGCTTGAGCCACCGTGCTCGGCCTGGGTTGTTAATTACTATTTTGATATTTATTTCTTAATGCTATAGAGCCAGAATTGCATTTTTATATGTATAAACTTTTCATATTAAGGCCTTTTTGTATGTTCTGATTGACATTTAAAATCTTGGCTGGTTTAAACAGCAATCTAAAAATCAAGCCTCCACATTAAGAACATAGGGTTTTTTTTATCTGCTGATAGGCTTGATATTCCAAGCATATTAACTGACTTGAATTGTTTTGAACACATGTAAAAATGGAAATGTAAACAGTCTCTTTTGGCAGATCCTTATATATACTGTTCCATTACTGATTGTCTTATTCGTTTAACTTTTACATCCGTGCCTGGATCACATCACATGACTGTCTTACCTGATAACGCATTCCATCCCATGCTGACTATCAAATCATTTTTTCATATGTCAAATACAAATTGTTACGCTCTGGTTTCAACCGTAGATGCATTTCCAGTCTGGAGGACCGTTTTTATTTAAAATTTTTTTTCTATGTTCAGAGGTGATTTTAACATTTCTTTTGAGTGTTATATACTTAGAGATTAATATTAAGTGCATCGATTCTGCCTAAGCTGGTCCTATGGGTAAACATTCTCTGGATGCAGGACTACCTACTTGACATTTCTTGTCATACTTTCTGCTCTGTTGATTTCTTTCTCAGGCAGTTGTTTCCCATGTTGTGGCAGAGATGACTGTTAGCTTCTGTAGGATAACAAGCTACCGACACATTCCCACTGTACCTCATTGGTGTTGCTTGGGCCATGTGCCCATCTCTGAACCAATCACTGTTGCCATTGGGGTGGAATGTTTGGCCAGTCTAGCTTCCCTAAATTACATGCCTGAGTTTGGGGGACAATCAAGGTGCTCTTTTTAGTCAGAAAGCATCCTAACGAAGAGAAATCTTAGGAACAAATCATGCGGTGCAATTTTGTCATTTAATTCAGCCACATCAGTTCCAGTAAAATTTTTTAAAAAGATTAAATAATGAGTAATGGTTTCTTATGAATAAAATAGCCCTGTTAAGTTTCCCAAAACTTAACCAGTGATGAACATTGAAAACTTTTTATACTTCTGCCCTCCCTCTTGTAGTTTACTTACTTATGAACCTTGGTCACTGTAATTGTACCTGTTGGGACACATTAGGCACCAAAATATTTGTAGAGTGAATGCTTCATAGCTGGTTACTGTGGACATATTGCTGTAGCACAAGTATTAAATTTGAACCAAAGATGGATGTAATTTAATATTTGATTAAAGTGCTGGACTTCCTGTTAGTTTTCTTTCCAATATACATTTCATAGAGAGGGGAAATTAGAGCTTGTGGTGGCATAGGCTTCATGATTTTGCACTGTGAAGGAAAGGCTTGTAATTTAGTCTTGGGCCAGAGATTATATGGATCAGGTGTGATAACTTTGTGGCTAAAATGACTTAGAATAGTTGAGAAGCCATTTTCAACTTATGTCCTGTTCTTGGACAAAGGGAAGGAGAAAGTATGAGCAGAATTGGTATGTGATAATTGTTTATTGCTATTTAAAAAACAGTATTCCCACCCCCCGCCCCTAACCCCCACCCCGGTCTCACCCCCAGGGTACCTCCTCTTAGGAACAACTCATGGAATGTAGGATGAACCAAAACCGAAATGATGCACTCATACACTAACCCCATCATTCCCTCGGCTCTACCGTCTTCTCCCTTTTAATTTGGTCTTTCAGACCCCATGAGGAAAGGGTTTTGCATTTTGATTTAATGGATAGCTGCTGCAGCTTATATTTATGCACTGGTGATGACAGCGCATTCCTTTTTTTTAAAAAGAAAAGATTTAAAAAAATTTTTGTGCCAGTGGATGGATTGTAATAGGCAGCCACATCTGAAGAAATAAGTGAAACTATAGCCATGTAGTGATTTCTTATTACACATATAGATGAGTAATCTTTGCTGTGATTATTATATAAGTTATACAAATGTGGAGCTTTTTTTTGGCTCTAGAAATATGGATGGATAGTTGGAATTGTTTTAAAGTGGTCTTTACTGCTTGGCAGAACATGGGGCTGATTTCAGCTGCATTTATGATTCCTTTTTGGATTTATTCCAGTTTGGATTTAAATATATTAAAAGTGCCTGTGAATATGAGGAAATGTAGATCATTAAAACTGCATTTATTATGTAGCCTGTTTTAAAATTTGGACTGATCAATGAATCTCTGTAGAGTAAAAATACACCTGATCGTACCAAATCACTTTCTAGATTTTATCAGCGGTCTGTGCCCCTCGGGTAGTCAAGGAATTCTTTTGTCCAGAGCTTGTTAATGATTCATTACATCAATGATGATTCTACATTTTATTTGAATTAACCAATTTCTTAACAAGTGTATGCATAGTTAGAAATCTGTATTGTAGTTTGTAGATGAATGTCATTTCCTGGGCAAAGAAAGCTCCTTAATATTTATGACATGTTTCATATTAATTAAGGCAGACTTCCCCCATGTAGTAATGCAATACTTTAAGGTTATCTAATCAAGGGTTCTACACAATGATCAGGTAATTTAATTTTAAAATAACTTACATAAATAGAAATGAGGGAAGTTATTGAATAATTCAAATATGGTGAGTCAACATTCGATTTTAATTTTCATTTTTGACTTGTTTCTAACATTGCTGGCATTACTCTAGTGGGCTAGCCATCATTCAACTAATATTTATGGAGCATATACTATGTAATGATGACAGATATTCAGTGGTAAAACAGACCTGATGCCTGTCTTCACCGAGTGTAGGTTTTAGTGTTGAAAACAACTGAGAACTAAAAAAATACACAAAATATGATTACACGTGGCAAGTGATTTGAAGGGAAAATAACAATGGGTACGAAATAAAACACCTTTGGTTTAAGATAAATATAGAAAGATCAAGAGAGTGAGAGATCAAGAGAGAGACCTTGATCTCTTACTCACTCCATCTATTTAGGGGGGAGCCATTTCCTATTTTGTGAAAATAGGGGTGTGTGTGTGTGTGTATATATATATACACACATATGTATATAAATATCTGTGTATGTGAAAATAGAAAAAGAAAACACACACACACCTATTTTCTCTACCTAATGGTAATGCATTTCCATATGATTATATTTTCTCCCATAAAATCAGTTTACATGGTTATACCATAATTTTTTAAAGGAGTATTAGAAAATTTTTTTCTAATTTTAAGATATTTGGTAAACACAGATGAGCTGTGCGTTGTTAAAATTAAGTTGGTGTATTAATTCAAAATTATCTGCTTAGGAAAATGCCACCAGTTGTGGTCATAGGTTATTCATATTTTAAAAGACTGTTAAATATTTTAAACATTCTGGTATGTGTTGCCAAATTGTTGCCATGCTTTATTCTTACCATGTCACAGACTGGTTTAATGCAGCTTTGTTTTGCTATTCATGAGTTTCATGTTAGGCAGCTAATGGTAACAGTCATGGGAGTTAGTTCTGCGTGTTGGATACCTGTTGGGTTTAAACTGATTTAAATCCAGTTCTTCTCATTTTGATTTATTAGAATAATAATGAATCTTCTTTCAAGAAATGTTTCCCCATATTCTTCCTGATTGATTATGTTTAAATTTGGCTAGAGAGAAATTGTAAGAACACTGAAATCCATTGTGTGTTTTTCTATCTTCTGTTTGCTTTTTTTCTGATTCGAGTTTAATACATCTGTCTTTTGTCCACTTTAAATCATTTCATGAAACTAATAACAGAGAAAATATAATAGTGGGGCCAGACATAGTCTCATACTTGAGAGGGAAGGCAGGGATTGCTAGGTAAAGTGAATCTGAGATGGTGAATTATTTACTTATAGTACTACTGTTTTTATGGAGAAGTTTGGCTGAAAAAGTATGTTTTGTCATTGAATTGTCAAACTTTTATTTCAAAAACATGAGTTGTTTTCATTTTCTTATTTAGTGTTAAATTTCTGCTGCTGCTTTTTTTCTCCCCAGATATGGGGTCTTGCTGTGTTGCCCAGGCTGCTCTTGAACTTCTGGCCTCAAGCAATCTTCCTGTGTCAGCCTTCCAAAGTGCTAGGATTACAGGCGTGAGCCCCACTGCACCCAGCCCCTGACCATATTGTTAACATTAGAAAATCAAATAGACTAAAAGCATTACTCTCTTGGTCTAGTTAGCTTTCTTTAGGTATTTTCCCACTTTAGAAACAATGTCAAAGAGTTTTCACGTGGCAGGAGACATGTAATCAGAGTACATGGAGTGCAGGTTATTGTTTTCGACATGGCTGCTAAATAAATCAAGGTTTCATTTTTTCCAGAGACTCACACTCAAAATTAGTATGACATATAGCATTTAAAAATATGGTAACCTAGAATTTATTTGAAAATTGTTATTTTTGTTTCTCTCAAGTGAGAGCACCCTTGATATACTATTTAGAGCTTCTATTCTGGGAATTTTATTATGCATGCATAGCTAGTTTTAAAATTTTTCTCCTTATTGATTTGTTAATCAATCCTCATCCCTTCCCTTCTTTTAAAACATTATTTCCTCATTAATATTTACCTACATTCATACTGCTGTTTGACTTGTGCAGAAAAGATGGAGGAGGACAGGAGATGCTGTGTTTATCTCATATTCAGCAGAAGTAGAAAAAGGTAAATGTCTTCAACATCGCTCAGATGGTACTTACTGTGGCCAGCATTGTGAAACCTGTGAGACAGCTAGTTCTGTATTCAGACCCTTCAATTACTCATTATGTTCCTGTGTACTCAGTGGTTACGAAATTGAAAAACCCAAAGAGGCTGGTGGGCAGGATACTGAATCTCACATCACTTAAACCCCCTTTTCCCCCAGTTACTATCCTTGTGACATCCAACAAGTCAGTTAGCATTTTTGTGCCTCAGTTTCTTATCCATAAATTAGGATATGATGATTCAAGTGGATGACTTACTTCCTAAGGTTCAGGATGCGTTCTAATTGTGTTAACTTCGTCATTGAAAAAGAAATACCTGAAAGACTCTCTAACAAGGAAATCAGTATACCTGAACATTTTAATAAAAACATTTTAGGAGAAGGATTATATATAACGTTATATTCAACAATATGCATCCATGCTATTTCTGTCTGCTTTTTTGTCTTTCTTTTGAGACGGAGTCTTACTCTGTCGTCCAGGCTGGAGTGCAGTTGTGCGACCGCGGCTCACTGCAACCTACGCCTCTTGGGTTCAAGCAGTTCTCCTGCCTGTTTCCCGAGTAGCTGAGATTACAGGCATGTGCCACCATGCCTGAGTAATTTTTGTATTTTTAGTAGAGACGGAGTTTCACCATGATGGCCAGGCTGGTCTCAAACTCCTGACCTCAGGTGCTCTGCCCGCTTCGGCCTCTGAAAGTGCTGGGATTCCAGGCGTGACCCACCGCACCCTGCCTGTCTGTTTTCATATGTGATCATATAGACTCATACAAATATTTATGTTTACAAGGAATTTAGATCTCTAAGAGTGTGCAGAGCCCTATTTTTATCTGATCTTCCTCAGATTTATCATCCATATAAACTGTGACATGGAGTGCATGAATTCAGAACAAAACAACTTTATCTACCCCCGAATACTAAAGAGTTCAATTTCATGCTGTTTTACATGGCACAGCAGGAGTGGATTGTTTAATATCTCTAACTCTGAACTTCCACAACCTTTCTATCAGATATTCAGGTAAGTGCTGAGAAGCAGAAATTCTAAAAATAATTTCTACTGAATCTTTTGGAGACCCCGGAGCAAACTATTTGAATCCATTCCCCTTCTTTTTGCATAGTTTTTCTTTGTCTATTTGAACAGTGCTCTCATGGGTCAGAAAGATTGAGTTTCTAGTCCCATACCTTAAATTGCTTTATAATTGCCTTACTTTATAAGGGAGACATATCCTGGCACAGTGAAGCCTGCAAATATTCCAGAGAAATTAATCTGAACCTATTAGAAGTGGGAGGAGGGAAAGAAACTTATTTTGGAAAATTGTTAGCTAGGCTGGTTAAACTCTATCAACACAGCATGATATCATGCATAGAAAGCAAATATAATGAGTCCCGGACATTTATTTGCAGCTACAATTTCAGTTTGGTTATGGGTCATAGATAAAGAAGATTGAGATGGAAAAATGTGGCCATTTAAATGATAAAGCATGTTGTATGTATTAAATGTGGTTTTGTTTTGGAATTTCCACAGTAGATTGGGTAAGAGTGTAGAAGTGCTAGATTTGAATCTAGCAAAGTCTCTGTTACTTATTAGGTATGTGACCTTGGACTAATTAATGTGAGTCCTCTGCGCCTGTCTCTGTTTCTTCATATATTTTTTTAAGGTTATTTAACAAACATTTTTAAGGGACTCTTATTCTCTAGGCACCTAGAATATACTTCTCTATAAGACAGACACTGTGTGTAGCTCATGGTTAAGTATAGAGTGGTGTAGGAAGGTCAGATGGGGCAAAGTATCTGAGATAATTCACTAATGGTTCATTAAAATTAGAATAAGAAATTCAGGGCCTGTGTGGTGGCTCACACCTGTAATCCCACCGCTTTGGGCGAGGTGGGTGGATCACCCGAGGTCAGGAGTTTGAGACCAGCTTGGCTAACATAGCAAAACCCCGTCTCTACTAAAAATACAAAAATTAGCCGAGCGTGGTGGCACATGCCTGTGATCCCAGCTACTCGGGAGGCTGAGGCAGGAGAATCGCTTCAACCAGGGAGGGAGAGGTTGCAGTGAGCCGAGATTGCGCCACTGTACTCCAGCCTGGGTGACAAAGTGAGACCTTGTCTCAAAAATAAAATAAAAAATCAGTTAGGGGATTATACCTTTTTTGTTTTTTGTTTTTGAGACTAACGTATCTGAACTTGCACAGATCTATGTGATTATGAGAGTGTAGTCTGAGGAGTTAGAATAAAATTATGTGTCAGGCCTAATTAATGATTTTGGCCCTGTTAGTTACCACCACCAGACATATTCTTGGTTAAATAAGAGGTTACTTTGATGCTAACACTTAGCAGTGCTTTGTTACTTCTTACTATAGAAATAATGAGCAATTATGAATTATGAAGTCATAATACAAGTTAGAAATAACTGTTAATAATAGATTCTTAATTCTTACTGTCTTCACTAACATTAGGGTTATTAGAAAACAATGAGATATAGAATGTCTTCCATTTGTCCATAATATTATATATATAGTACTATTCAGAGGGCAATTTGTATTAATAACATATAAACTGTTGGGTTCTTAAAGCCATTGAACATTTTGCATTTTAAAGTTTTATACACAGTCCCATGTTTTTATACCTTATATATTGGGGGATGTTAGGCACTTTCGCTTTGTGTTGGATAGAATATAGAACAGATGCCTTTTTCATGCTGTAGTTCTGATCTAATGTGATTTGATTGTGCCTCAAAGATAATTAGCTGATAGCCTTCAAGAGCAATAACATTTTTGGGAAAGGAGAGGCTAGAGTTTGATTTAAAAATTTAGGGTGTTTAAAACTAACTTTTGCTTTTTAAATTATCCATTCCCATTTCTTAAGGAAATAGCAATAAATATGTTGTTTGATTTTTTTTTTGGCATAAGTCATTTTTATCGGTAAATACATTTTTGGTGGCTACTGTAAAGGGCAGTATTTTAGATCTAAAGGATAAGATAGGACAGCATAGGTCTAGAGATATGATATCTACTCAGGCATCACCAGAAGACAACAATTTGTGTTTCATTTGGGCTTATTTGTTTTGAGACTGGATTATGAGATTAATTTTTGTATTTTTGGTAGAAACGGGGTTTTGACATGTTTCCCAGGCTGGTCTAGAACTCCTGGGATCAAGCCATCCACCTGCCTCGGCCTCCCAAAGTTCTGGGACTACAGGTTATAGCCATGTGCCTCGTGTCATTTGGACATATTTAAATCTTCAAAATAAGAGTTTGCCATCGGCTCCTCCCTTCTTTATGATTGTCCTGTTCAAAAATCTAATTGATCTTCTACATTGGGTTCTTTTCATAATTGTTGGAAAATTAGTAATTTTCTATGAAAGACAGTAATTCTTTTTAAATTTTAAATATTATCCTCTTTAGGTTATAATATGATATGTTCGAAATTCACTAGAGTTTTATTTTATGTAAGCAAGAAATCAACTTTTTCCCAGTATGTTCTGAAAGTTATTCTTCAATCCTGAGATTCAAGTGGATATTATTTCATGTCTCCCAAAACCACATACATGTTGCCATGTAATACCAAGCTCTTATGTTAAAAGGAGGCCTATTTTGTTTTTTAAATACAGTGGAGAATGAAGAAGTCACATAAGTCGAACCCCTGCCTCCATCTTATTTTACTTTACAGCATCCTACCTTGGACACCTGGGCAGTATTAATTCATGTTATGGACATTTCCTTTCATTAATGCCTGTCATCTGCTGGGCCTCCAGTTTCAGTTGTTTGCTCTAGATGTGAAGCCATGGAGTTGAGTCTGGTTGCAACATATGATCCAAACAGGAGCTTGATGTACACTGCTGTCACCTCTCCTGTGACAATGGCCCAGTCCTCTAGGGTTTTTTCAATCCCCCACAAGTCTGGGATTGCTCCTCCTGTTTGATTCTTCAGAACCACTATGCACTTACTTCCCCTTGACCCTTAAGACCATTTGTTAGATGCAGTATTCTGATTCTTATTTCTTTTGTTGCTTCCACTTTTTCAGTAAGGCAAAATAAGATAACACTAGAAACCTCAATGTTCTTGTGGTCAGGTTACCAAAAAGCAATTTGTATAAGCCATATTCGGCCTTTTAAAAATAGGCACTTATCTAGCATTTTCAGCAACATTCTACAAGAACAAAAAGTTTAATTCTATTGTCAGCCCCATGAGGATAGTTACCACTGTTACTCTCAGTTTTTCAGATGGAGAAACTGAGGCACAGAGAGGTTAAACAAGCTGTTCAAGATTTCATAGCTTGTCAGTGTTGAAGCTGGGGTTTGAATTTAGTCTTTTAAACACTATTTGCATTGTGGGTCTTACAGTTTCTCAGCAAATTGATATGATGTAATCTTTTTCACATCTTCCATTGCATAATAATTCCAAATAAACTTTAAAGGTGTAATCTTTTTATATTATCTTTTATACCATTACTGAGATTGTAATTGTTGGTGGGTTTAGGTTATTTAGAAAAATTTAGTATAGGTGGGTTTTCTGGTTGATTTAATCCTCAAGTAACAAATCTTACGACACATGGTGGCATGTTTCTGTACCTCCTGAAGGGTAGTTTGTTAGGGCTGTTGTAATAGCCCAGTGAGGTTCTGTCCACTCAGTCGTTCTGCATCTGTGGCTTGTCCTTGGAGTCATTCCTTTCTTTTTTTCTGTCTCTGTTCCTTTCAGTTCAGGCTGGCAGCATTTCTGCTGGTATAAAAGTCTCAAAATCCTTGTCAGTCTTCTGTGTAGTTCATGGACATCCAAGCATCAAGCAAGACAGTCCTGCACAGCTCTCTCCTGGATAACCACATTCTCTCTTCCTGGCTTCTGCTGACATGGTTGATTGGATCCACGAGTCACATACTTCATCTGTTTAGCAAGTTTGTCCAGCAGTACCATCCTCCAGTCTCGGAGCACACTCCTCTTTGACCATGGCTTATCTGCTGTTTCTGTTTAGGCTTCATAGCATCATCTGAGCAAACAAGATGAATATTAATAAGGTCAAAGGTTTTTTTTTCTGAGACACTTTCCTCAGAAATAGTGTTCTGTACCTCACCAGCTTATCTGCCCTAGGGATGTTGCAATTGTAATCATGATCAGGCCTAAATCAGCTCATTAAAGTGGGGAGCATCACTTTTGTTCACTGTTTATTTTTCTTTGTGAAGCAATATTAGTAACACTTTAAGAAAGTTTCTGGTTGTAAGTCCAAGCTTTTTTCCCCCTTTTGTCAAAAGATTACATCTTAATCCAAAATATCTTTCAATTTCTCAGGATCTTCATTTTCTTTATTCCAATGGCAAGATAATTATGCAAGGTAACTTAGAAACCTCATTATATGTAACCAATAATAGAAAGCAGTGGTGCAGATAAATAGTATTAGGTTCAGAGGAACAGTTGGGACAATTTATATTCAGAGCCGAGGATGAAGTTTTGCTGGATAGCCGGCTAGTATGCAGGAAGGTGGTGTGGTAGGAGGAAAATACTGAAGTAAATGAAGCATAAGGGGCATTTGGGCTCCCATGACTTGGGTTGAAGAGGAATATACATGTTGACTTGCTGTGGGAGAGAAACCTGAAAATCTCATTGGTGGAGTAAAGTCTTGGAGCCCTTAATGCCAGGCTCATAAATTTAGACCTTATTCTAGGTCTAAGAAAAGCAGGGTGATTACACCTTATTGAACTCAGGAATGAAAGATTGTAAGAGATTTGGGGGAGACGAAAGTAACAGCTATAACGATGGATTATTGTTAGGAGAGACTACAGGCAGGGAAATTAGCCTTGTTATGCTAGGATTCAAGGCCTGGCAGTGCAGCTGCAAGGATGCTGGCAGAAGGAATTGAGACAGGAGATGCCGTAAATGGAGACAAGGCTGAATTTTTAGGGGTGAAGACATAGGGAGTGTCTAGGAATGTGGACTATGTATGTAGGAGAATAGAAGAACTGTGGTATCATTTGGTAGCGACAGAGTGTGGTTTGAAGTTGAAGACATTAATTTTAGGTATTTTGAATGTAATGGCCATTAGGATGAGAACTCTGTGGTGGGAGTTTGGGTTTGGATATATTAAGACTTTGGAGTTAATTTGCATGGAGGTGATAATTGTATCACCAAGATATCTAAAGTCTTATTGTGTCAAAACTGTTCAGTCAGTCTGTTACCGGGTATGTTAGGGATTGTCAAGGTCTATCAGTTAAATCTTGGAGATTATTTATGCACCACCATTTGAATGATAACTTCCCTGTTGCGTAGTGCTGGCCTAGACCTGATAAAACTTTGTGTGAAGTCTTTATAGAAAACTTGCTTAATAAGATGTGACTGATAACTATGTATTCATGAGAATTAAAGGCATAGTAGATTCAAAATAATTTTTTCTTTGAACTTCTCACCTTTACCCCATGTCTTCATTTTAGTGGATATGTTTGTTGTTGTTGTTGATGGTATTGGATGTTGTATGTGATGTGATGTAGAAAAGGCTGTTCATTTGCTCCTAATTTTGGGTTACCTTATGAGAGTTCGTTAATAACCATAAATATAATAAAATATATCTTAGAGTAAATTTATCTCAACTCACTGGTTAAAGTATTCTAATCACACATTCATTGGGTTATTTTATTTGTTGACAACCCAGGTTTTCAGCTTTACAGACCTTTTAGCGCTCAGTTCATTGACACATCATTGTGATGGGCAAATAATCTTTCCATTGCAGGCGTGCTTCCAAATGAGCACTCTTTCCTTTTAGTTTTTCTTAGTACATAGTTCCCTGTGAGGTCCACAAACCATTATAACCACATTATAAATGTGAATATATAGATTCTCAT
Source organism: Homo sapiens (assembly GCF_000001405.40). Taxonomy (NCBI): domain Eukaryota; kingdom Metazoa; phylum Chordata; class Mammalia; order Primates; family Hominidae; genus Homo; species Homo sapiens. Next base: position 6,980,754 of record NC_000009.12, read on the forward strand.
CTCTATTCAGAAGAAATTGGGTTTATCACCCATTGAATGTTTGATAATGTAATGCATTATCCTCCATTATGTAGTGACTAAGTATTCATGGATGATGTGTTCAAGGACCAACTCTGTGTTACTGTATAGTTAGCGAAACGTTTAACACTCTCCAACCCGGTTGTGTTTCAGTGCACTTGCAGGAAAGACATGGTGAAGATTTCAATGGATATCTTTGTGAGGAAATTTCAGCCAGACAGATATCAGCTTTGGAAACAAGGAAAGGATATATACACCATTGATCACACGAAGCCTACTCCAGCATCCACCCCTGAAGTAAAAGCATGGCTGCAGAGGAGGAGGAAAGTAAGAAAAGCATCCCGAAGGTAATGACCCCTCACCCCACTGACCTGCCTTGCCTGTCGTGTTTTCTCAGTTAAAATGGGTCATTGGATGTGGCAATTTACTTGCTTTTTCTATTTATTCATCATAACTTAATACCTTTCTGAAAATGTGAGACATTATTTTTAATTCTTAGGTGTGTAATAAATACAATATAGGAAGAGATGTATATTTATTTTGTTTGAGAATATTCCTGAAGTTGCTCGACATGGCAAATAGAACAATATAGAACTTGTTAGACCACTTACATGAATGTGTTTTATGGTTGTATTATTCCTTTCTGTGCATTTCCATATTTTAATCAATAACTTGATTTTCCACTTTTTCATTTTGCCACCATTTTGCTTTTTGGCTTTAGTGGTTATCTTCTTCATTTGTCCAACATCTGAGCTACTGCTCTCTTCTGGATGCTTATATTTTACTACATTTTATGCACATGGTTTTATTCTTTTGTAAGATGTAAAACACAGCATATAGCATTTCTGTAACATGCTTATCCTTGTGAACTTTATTCTCCATTCCATCTTTGTGGCCAGGATCATTTCAAAAGCTTTTAGATGTGCTGTGGGCATCTTGTTGTTTTAAAACCTATTGAATAGGGTGTGTGTGGTGTTGCTCAGGTCCTTAGGCTACCTTTTAAGGGTCTTATGTTTTCCAATTTTATGTTAAATTTTCCTCTTCAATATTACTCATTGTTTTTCTTTCAGATTATAAAAGTAATATTTGTGCATTGGAGGAAATTTGTAAAATAAGGAAAAGAATAATGAAGGAATCCCATATCACTCATAACCTCACTATCCAGAGATAACCAGTATTAACATTTTGTATATATCCTTTACCTATATATTTATTATATATTTTATAATATTATATATCTTTCCAAAATTGGGGCCATGCTCTGTTAATAATCTGACAATCAGTTTTGAGTGTTTTTTTCATGTAACTGATTGATTTGCTGCAACATGATTTTTAATGCCTGCATGTATTTAATCCCCTGTAGCTTGTGTCCACTTTTTTGATATTAACTAAGTAACACCATAATTTTACATCTTTGCCCAGACTTATGATGCTTATTTTCTGTCTTTTTTTTTTCCCTGATATTTATTTTCTGCTTATTTAGAGTGGTAGTGAGTGGAAGAACCTTAGGAACATGGAGTCAAACTTCGGCATCTTATAAGAGGTAGACCTGAGGTGCAGAACTAACTCAGGTGTTGATATTTCCCCCTGTAGTTTACCGCAATGATCGTCAAAGTGTTTGTTAGTAGGTCAGGACCAACATTTTAAAATGAGGTGGTAAAATAGAATAAAAAGTATTATAGTGCTTCCTCTGTGGTAAGGGCAAATATTCACTCATGACATGTGTGAGTATGTGTGTATGTGTGTATATAGTGTCACTATCTGAAATATATAACTCACTGTGGGTTACATTCAAGAAAAGTTTGAGAAATACTAATTTGGACAGTCAGTGTCTTTGATAACTGTGTTAATTCACAGCACTAAAGAAGCCAGCGCTGGAAGGAGGCAGTATCCAATCCTGAGTTCAGAATACACACCAGGAGAACATCTTGAGCATTGTTCTGTCATGGATGGAAAACACAATATTTTCATTAGGTGTATGACTTGGTTTCCAGGTATTAACCACAGTGGGCCTTTTGGGTTGATAGAGAACATGGATTTATGACACTTGAACAGATCAAAATGCTTGTCAGTAGGTTCAAATAATCAATGGAACTTGCTCACCTACTTAGAAAGCCTGACTATGGGCTTGTTTAATATGCTCAGCCTTGTGGCTTGATATTTAGAGATTATTGATCTCCCTTTGGAAATAGCCCATTTAGGGAAGTCTGATGAAGGGAATGATTCATTGATGTCTCAAGCACATGTCAGCCTTCTTTTTTTCACATATACTACACTGTTTATAATGTTGAGATTTTCCCACATCAGCCAATGCATGGATTTGCAACAAAAGCAATGATGGTGATGATCATACTACTGCAGTTACTGCCATCAGTAGCAGTGAAAGCTAATTTATATAGGTTATCGCAGGCCACCCTATTCTCTGCCCTCCCTGACTTCCTACAGTGCTTAGTCCTGTGGTGGTTTCTTGTGTGTGTATAATACATATGGGTGTGTTTTGGACACTGTTGCTTTGAGTTGATTTGTAATTGTTCCTAATTGTTAGGAATGTTTGTTTCATATGTAAAAAGCATATATGCCAAAGCTATCAAGTGACCTGCTGGAAAATACTCAGGAAGAAGATAAAAATTGTGTTCACTCTGAAAATAGTATGTTGATGTACGATGTTAAATACATAAAATTAGGCTGAATGTGGTGGCTCATGCCTGTTATCCCAGCACTTTGGGAGGCAGTGGGGGAGGATCACTTGAGGCCAGGAGTTCTAGACCACCCGGGACAATATAGTGAGACAGTGTCTTTATGACACACACACACACACACACACACACACACACACACACACCAGTTAGCCTGTGTCTGTTTTAAATCCTTTCGCTATTGATGAATTGGCATTTAATTTGAACTATTTTCATACATACCTGACAATTATACAAAACTCAATGAAAAGTAGTCAGTAGTTTACCTTGAAATATAAAAAATTTACTTTTAGCACTAGCCTAACAGGATATTCTGATTTTTATTTATTTTCTTCATTTTCTAAATATTTTATTTATTGATTTTATTTCTGTCTCATTTCAACATTTTTTACTTTATTTTTATTTTCAGACTTTTAAAATGTTGTCACAAAATTTTAGGAATGGCCCTTTTTCAAAATAATGTTTAATAATTATTTACAGTTGTGTGAATTTTAAAGTTTTATTGATTGATAAGAAAATTGTGTTTAAGATTTTGATTTCAAATTTAATCATTCAGTTGTGAACATTGACTTGGCATAGTGATTAACAATGTCAGTTGTTTCCTTCTTTAAGCAAGTGAAAATGACATTTATATTGGGATGTGTTTTTCATATCCATTGCAGACATCCCGCTCTGACCACTGCTTCTCTTGTTGACAGCTTCCAGTGTGCTAGGTCTACCTCTAAAAGGCCTAAGGCTGATGAGGAAGAGGAAGTGTCAGATGAAGTCGATGGGGCAGAGGTCCCTAACCCCGACTCAGTCACAGATGACCTCAAGGTCAGTGAAAAGTCAGAAGCAGCAGTGAAGCTGAGGAACACAGAAGCATCTTCAGAAGAAGAGTCATCTGCTAGCAGGATGCAGGTGGAGCAGAATTTATCAGATCATATCAAACTCTCAGGTGAGAAGATGGTTGATTAGGTTTCACATATAAGTAGTAGGTGGTTGATGATCAGATGTCTTAAATGGATGTTCACTATGACAAGTATCTGACTAGTCCACATAGCTTAATCAGTAATCTACCAAAGTCATGGGTAACTCAACCAATAGTCCCAGGGAATATTGTAAAAGTCAGGAGCCTCACTGCTATGTGTAGCAGAATTGTGAGACAAGCAGTCAGCAGTGCCTATTTGGTTTAATAAAAAAGAAGATTCTAAAATGAGTTTTTTTTTTTTCGTGCAACTCAATTTACAATATACGTTTTTGGAAGGCTTCTTTTGAATTCACATGAGTAGAGAAAACCAATTATAGATAATTCTTTGTAGATTCTTAGCTTTCGACTTAAGAAGAAAATAAAGATCAAGGTTTTAAGAACAACAATAATGAAAAGTCAACCTAGTGAAATGACATGTATAGTCCCCTTGCTTCTCTTTTGTACTAAAGCCATTGTCTGAAAATCTCAGCTACTTTGCCTTTTCTCCCTTTGGTAGCATATTTTTCTGAAACTGCTTTAGTGATTTGCCTCTTTCATATTTGTTGGAGTTTTTGTATTGTAATAAGCTAATTCCTGTGTTCCTCTCATACTTCTCATCCTGTAAATCCTTCCTCATGGGATTCCCCCCTCCGCCAGAATCCGACTCCCTCTGCTGCTTCCTCCTCACTCATGGCACCATAGCTGTTGCCTGGATGACTGCAGCAATTGCTTCCTTCTTATTCAGGAATGTCAGCTGTAGTCACCCCCGCTAGTCAGTTCTCCAGGTGGCCATTAGAGTGATCCTTTAAAAGAAAAAAAGCTTAGGTCTTGTGACTACCTTCTTCTTAGTATTATTCCACCTATAATAAAAGAAAAAGTCTTCACATAGTCCTAAACTGGTCCTCAGCTGCTACTCCAGCCTCATTGCCTTTGCTCTTGAAATAGCTGTGTGGATAGAGTTTAAACCACAGAACTTTTAAAAAATGAGTTCATGTTTTAGTGGAGAGCTAGGCAAATAACCACATAATTACAATCCAATGTGGTAAGTAGCATTATAGAGATTGCATAGGATGTTGCTGGTTTACCAAGGAAGGACTTCAAACACACAAGAGCTGGATAGCCAAGGTTTCTTGGCAAAGGTGATATCTGAATTGAGTTTTGATGAATGGATATAAGATAGCAAGGCAGAGAAGGTAGGGAAGGGAATTACAACAAATGCAGAATAGAGAGTTAGGCAATACATATGGATATTTCACTATAGTCCCTTTTTTTAAAATTTTTAAATTTTTTTTGAGACAGAGTCTCTCTCTGTCGCCCAGGCTGGAGTGCCGTGGCACAATCATAGCTCCCTGCAACCTCTGCCTCTCAGGTTCAAGCGATTTTTTTGCCTCAGCCTCCTGAGTATCTGGGACTAAAGGTGTGCACCACTATGCCTAACTAATTTTTATATTTTTAGTAGAGCTGGGGTTTCGCCGTGTTGGCCAGGCTGATCTTGAACTTCTGGCCTCAAGTGATCCACCTGCCTTGGCCTCCCAAAGTGCTGGGATTACACACGTGAGCCACCGTGCCCGGCTCCTCATCATGCTTTCTCTTACACTGTGTTTAATTAGCCAGTTTATGAATTGCTGGATGGTTTTGCCTAAGGGCCCTGAATTTCATTAGTTCTGTCACTACATGGTTCTTTGCACATTGATCTCCAGATTTTGAGCCCTGGCATAATACTTGAGTAGAAGAACTGGGTTGTTCAGTATCAGAGCTAGTATGTGATGGGTACAAATGAGGTTTGTTTTGTGTGTGTGCATGTATGTGCATGCGCATGCGTGTGTATGTGTGTGTAAGATACAGAATCATTTGGGAATAGTTTACCAATTCTACTTAGTAGTAATACAGTGCATGATTTATTAACAGTCTTCTGTTTTATCCTCAGGAAACAGCTGCTTAAGTACATCTGTAACAGAAGACATAAAAACTGAGGATGACAAAGCTTATGCATATAGAAGTGTACCTTCTATATCCAGTGAGGCTGATGATTCCATTCCATTGTCTAGTGGCTATGAGAAGCCCGAGAAATCAGACCCATCCGAGCTTTCATGGCCAAAGTCACCTGAGTCATGCTCATCAGTGGCAGAGAGTAATGGTGTGTTAACAGAGGGAGAAGAGAGTGATGTGGAGAGCCATGGGAATGGCCTTGAACCTGGGGAAATCCCAGCGGTCCCCAGTGGAGAGAGAAATAGCTTCAAAGTCCCCAGTGTATGTGGCAATATCCATTTTTTACCATATTCATTATATGGTGAGAGCACATTTTGAAAACAACATGCTGTGCACTGAAATCCTCCTTTAGGGCACAGATAAATAACATTTTACATTTATGGGTCTTAATCATATTCATTCAATAACTGGGAGGTAAGCCTCCTGTGAGCTGTGGCTCACATAGTGATAATTTAGCACATGGAGCTTATGGCCACGTGTCGATGCTTGATTTTCTTTTTTTTGTTAAAAAATTAAACTCTTTACTTTGAGGTAATTGTAGACTCGTATGCAGTTGTGGGAAATAGTGCACAGTGATTCTTTGTACCCTTTACTCAGTTTCTCCCAATGCTACCATCTTAGAAAACTATAGTACAAAGTCACAATCATATCGACATTGATACAGTAAAGATTACAGAATTGTTCTGTCACCTGCAGAAGAATTCATCTGCTGGGCACTGATCACTTTCTGCCAATAGTTAATACCTCCTGGTCCCAGCCTTCCCACAGCTTCTATTTCAGTGTCAGGACTCACGTGGTCATGCTTTCTTCTTACTCTTTCCTCATGGACCCTGAATCTCAGGACCAGGGTGACCTTTCTTGTCCTGCCCCCTCCTCGAAAGAGGCCCTTTGCCTCTGAGAAAAGACTCCTCTATATTATTTAGCTTCCCATTGTGACTTTTTGGAAAATTGTACAATATTGTCCTTGTACAGTATTAATATTCCATATTCAGTAGAAACTGTCCATGTAGCCATAAGAGTGGATCAGGGGAGCTAGGACTGTCTGTAGCGATTGTCAGAATTCAGTACTTTTTTTTGATGTATCCAGCCTGATTAGGGAATTCAGGTGGATCAGGAAGGAGTAATTGTTTGAGCTGATAGGTTGCGCTGGCTGCAGAACAGACACTGCTCCTGCTGGTTTCAACTCAAAATAGATCCTTGTGTCCCTGAGTAGGAGCAAGGGAGGTTGTATAAGGACAGCAGCTTTGAATACCTTGCGTCTTATCAGTCTTAAAATGTTAATTAAAATATACTTTTCTGATTTGACCCAATAGTGTTTATCTTTTTATGTAGAATTGTATATCTCATTGAATTATAAACACATCAAAAATATGAAAGATAAAAAAAATATGGTCTGGTTTCTTTGAAAAGGTGCCTAAGAGTAGTTTGAAAATAGCATTCACATACTAATAAGCAAAATTTACAACTTTGGCCAAATGTGGTGGCTTATTTCTGTAATCCCTGCACTTTGAGAGACTGTGGTGGGAGGATCCCCTCGAGCCCAGAGGTTCGAGATGAGCCTGGACAACATGGTCACACCCTGTGTCTACAAAAAAAAAATAAAAAAAAATTTAGTGGTGTGTGCCTGTGGTCCTAGCTACTAGGGAGGCTAAGGTAGGAGGATCACTCGAGCTCAGGAATTCAAGGCTGCAGTGAGCTGTGATCCCACCACTGCACTCTAGCCTGGGTGACAGAGTGAGAGACCCTGTCTCTTAAAAAAAAAAAAAAAAAAAAAAAAAAGGAAAAAAAATTTGCAACTTAATTTCATGAATGGCTTAAATGTAGCCAAGCAGATATTCATTCTTTGGACAGGTGACTGAGTCAAATGCCTGCTTTAGTTATTTTTAGCGACCTTCTTTAAAGTAGAATGGAGCTGAAAGTAATTCTCAGATTTCTTTGCTCTCAAGGAAGGTGATTATAGATCTAGTGCTGTTTATCTTCATCTTTATCATTTCCCCAAGCAAAGACTGACAGTAGAGAAACCAACATTGCTATTGAAGGCTGAGAGGCTTGGCTTGCCTGTAAGAACAACTGCATGACATCCTTTTCTTACACCATGGTGTTGGATAACTCCTAGATGTAATACAGCCCCACTTAATTTTTGTGTAGTTTTGGTCAGTTTTTTTTAGTATTCAGTGTAATGCTATGTGTATGCTGATAGCTGCTGGCATTAGCTGATCTACTCAATAAGTATTATGTTATTTTTTAAAGCCATCCATCCATCCATCCATCCATCCATCCATCCATCCATCCATCCATCCATTCATCTTGGGCTCAAAGCTGTACCTGGAACACACCGAGTATGTTCTCACTTTACGTGCTATTCTTGCTCCCCCAGATGCTCCTCCCCCAGATAATCATATGTATGCACTCAAAGTTCCCCTCAAGTATCACTGTATCAGAAAGGCCTTCTCTGATTACCCTATAAAACTGCCCCCTCCCCATCACTTTCTATTCCTTTGTCCTTCTTTATTTTCCTTCGTTACATATTTACCGAGTAGTATTTGATAAATACGACTTATTCATTTATTATGTATTCCCTTACCCCTCTATAATCTACACTTCTTGAGAGCAGAAACCTGATGTAATTTTTCCTGCTATAGCTCCAGCTATGACAACGGTATGGTGCATAGTAGTGTGTTGATATGTCTTCTTGGCTGTGTTATAATTTCCCATATTGTTTTTTAGCTATTATAAACATAGATAGCTGTCATCGTATATTGCATTTGTCATTCTTTTCTTATTCCTAGCTTTGATTACAATGGTCTTACACATTTTCTTAGAATCATGTGTTGGAGTCAGAGGCCAGAGTAGTTTCCCTATATCTGGCCACTGCTTCTTCAGCTTACCGGGAAGAAGACTAAGATTGTTTTCTTTCATAGTCAACTCTTGATGTAAGCTTGCTGGGTTCAAACTCTCTCTGATATCCTCTTTCCCTTCCCCCTGCCTTTAAAAATTTTGCGTTGTGCGAGCAAGAGAGCTTAAAAGGTGGGTCCTAGCTGGAAGGTGTAAGGATACACATGACTTTCTACCCGGGAAAGGAATATATAGTCTGTAAATCCCAGGACAAAAAAATCATTGGTAAAATTTAAGTGGTTTCAACATGGCATTAATGTATCATTAAAAAAAGAGAATACTTTTGGTTTCTTGTTTAATTGTTATTTATGTGATCTAGAAGTGGTGATTCATTTCTGAATGGAAAGAAGTGTTGCAGTATTGTCTTCTCTGTGAGGATAGAAAATAAAATTCCTTGCTAAATGTTAACATGGGAACATCTTAGAGGTGACCAAGAGCCACAGTCCTGTATTTTTATGAGAATGCAATCTTAGATTTACTTATTTATTTTTGGCGACAGGGTCTTGCCCTGTCACCCAGGCTGTTGTGCAGTGGCTTGATCTTGGCTCATTGCAGCCTCCACCTCCTGGGCTCAAGGGATCCTCCCACCTTAGCCTCCTGAGGACCTGGGACCACAGGCATATGCCTCTATACCTGGCTATTTTTTTTTTTTTAAATTATTGACACAGAGTCTCCCTATGTTGCCCAGGCTAGTCTCAAGCTCCTGGGCTCAAGGGATCCCTTCACCTTGGCCTCCCAAAATGCTGAGATTACAGGCATGAGCCACTGTGCCTGGCCTATAATCCTAAATTTACATTAGTTGTAAGAACTTTAGAAAACTTGTTAACTGCTGAGCTTATTGCAGGTTTAATAAGCCTACCCTGCCCTACAGCTTGTATTTTAATACAAAGTGGAAGAAGAATTAATTGACCTCTGGCTAAAATTACTAATAGAATTGATTCCTATTTCTTTTGACCTTAAGTTTAAATTTCTTAAAGGACTAGTTCCCCAAGAGGTAAACAACCACAAGATTTCTTCAACATTAAGTGATAAATAATTGTGAACTGTAGGGTTTTTTTTTTTTGTAGTTTGTTTTTGATAATGGTATTTCTCCACCATTTTTGTTCTATAACTAGATAGCAGAGGGAGAGAACAAAACCTCTAAGAGTTGGCGCCATCCACTTAGCAGGCCTCCAGCAAGATCTCCGATGACTCTTGTGAAGCAGCAGGCGCCAAGTGATGAAGGTGAGATGGTGACCCTTTTTGGGATTTTTTTTTTTTTTTTTGGTGTGTAAAACAAACTATTGTAAAAAAAATTGCTGAATAGAAAAAAAATTCAACAAGTAGCAAATACGTACTATTAGGAGATCATACATAATAAATAATTTACAGGTAAAAGGAATTTGGAACTTAGAGGTAAAGACGTACTTCATATAAGCTAGCCTTATTACTGGTAAAAGTCTTCCAGTTTTATGTCATGGGGTAAAATCAGTCAGCCTTGACATGTTTTAGGGTTCTACAGAAGAAGCTGAGACTCATTTCTCTAAAGGTGTTAGATTTTAGAGTTAACGTGCTGTAGGTTTCTTTACATTGTCTTTACTTTTAACTTCAACTCTTTACATTAATTTAACCACCTTCAGTAAAAGTCTATGTGCCATATCCTTTTCCATATCCTTTTGTAACTGGTGTGGGGTGAAACATCCTTTTTCCTTCACTAGATCGCTGTGATGCAGCTGGATGTAACGCAGTTTCATTTACAATCATTTACCATTCCTAGATGTAAATTTATCTTTTTCCCCCTTTTGTTCTTTTTTCAAGACAGGGTCTCGCTCTGTTATTCATGCTGGAGTGCAGTGGAGGGTGATCACGGCTCACTGCAGCCTCAACCTCCCAGGCCTAAGTGATCCTCCTACCTCAGCCTCCCAAGCAGCTGGGACCACAAGCATGCACCATCATGCTTGGTTAATTTAAAAAAAAAATTTTTTTTTGTAGAGATGGGTTTTGCTATTGCCCAGGCTAGTCTTGAACTCCTGAGCTCAAGCATTTCTCCTGCCTCAGCCCCGCAAAGTGCTGAGATTATAAGCATTAGCCACTGCATGCCTGGTTACCCTTCTCACCTTTCTTTTATAAAAAAGAAATTTTTGTTGCCTCAAATTAAAAATCAGATCCCTGATTCGTAAGTGTCTTGTATATGTCTCCTAGCATCATGAAGGCCTTATTTTTTCTGTGTTTAGAGGATTAATTCAGGCAGGTTTTCTGTTAAGAGTCCTTCTCTGAAGTATTCTCCAGTTTTACTTATGGAAATTATTACCTAAGGTCATGTGTCTGTGAGAATACTGTTAAGTGAGTAACAAGAAGCTCAAGTTTCTTGTTTAAATAAATTTATCAGAGTAGGTAGATATCTTTCACAGATTTTTTCCCCCTTTCACTCACTTTTCACTTATGTCCCATGTTTAGTTAGAAAACAAGATCATGGCAGGGCATAGTGGCTGACTCCTGCAGTCCCAGCTGCCTGGGAAGCAGAGGTGGGAGCATTGCTTGAGCTCAGGAGTTTAAGACCAGCCTGGGCAACTTGGGGAGACCCTGTATCATAAAAAAGTAAAAATATCATGAATGTAGGGATTAGGGATCATAGTAGTTTGTATGAAACCAATCCAGGGTTGAATTCTGATTCAAGTAATAGAAGTAATGAAACATATTTGCATTGATTTCCATATATCATAATGTTGAGTTCTTTTTCTTTTTTTTTTGCTACTTTATTATACCCAGTACAAACCATTTTCCCTTTAGTGTTAAGACATATGACAATTCTGTGTAAAGTAATTAATACTTAATGTATAATGCTCATGATTGTAATTTCCCTTTCCCATGGTAGACTCTCTTCAGTATAACTTTTGTGAAGGGAATAGGCTATGCTAAGGCTGTACCAACACATAGAGAAAGCTGCTTTCTCCTGTGTCCTTATTTGCCTAGGAAGTTTATTTTGATGTGGGCCATCATAAATTGGCCCAGAGTTTCTTTTTGGAAAGCAGTTCTGATTTCAGTTTGTATAGCTTGCAAGATTTATAAATGGATTGGTTTGATGAAGTCGTCTCAAGGGTTTGAGGTTACATATTTTGTAGAAACGATGATTGTAGCTTTTGCAACAGTCTTTCTTTCCTTTCTAATATGTTAAGGACCCCTGGTGACCTCTGGGGATTTTTCAGAATTGATTAGAAAAATCAGAGAAGTTTTGTGATGGCTTAAAGTTTTTACAAGCTTTCAAACTGGCAACAGAGAATATTCTGTTGCCCGAAGTAAATTATTTACATCATTGGGAACTTGAATGTTACCTTAGCCATTTGCCTCTGTGTCTATGTTGCTTGCAAAGTTGAAAGTGAATAAACATTATCATTGTTAGATTGTGATGTGCAGTGAGTGTTTTACTCACTGGGAGCATACAATTCCAAATCCAACTCCTTTGGGGGATTTTCTGTCCTAACTATTCTGCTCCTTTTGCACTCCTCATACGTAGGAGCATAACTATATTAGAGCATAGGAGAATTGCATCTTTAAACAACAATCAGTGTCTTCTGTTGGTGAACGAGCATTTCTCTATTGAAGCTGGAAAGTTTCTCCCTAACAGAAAGGCTGCACAGGGGAAAGTGACTTGGTCCAGGACCTCTGGGAGCTGCTATGCCACTGGCAGCTGAGAGATGAGCCACTTGTACGTTGCTATTCTCTTTAGGACAGTGCAGTGGCTCTTTGATACCCAAATAACCTGAAACACCATAGATCATTCTGACTGGTGGCACATCCTGTAATTACAGGATCAGGAAGGACTTCGTGACTCCTAGCCTGTTATTTTCCGGGAAAAGATTTTCCATGTTGAACAGCAAAACATGAAAGTTGGTGGTGGTGGAGAAGAGGGGGCTATGTAATAAAAGAATAATGATTAGAATGTATCTTTACATAAAAATTAGCATCTAACTTATTCTTTTTTGGTGAAAAATAATGTTAAATATATACTACATGTTTATATTTTATAACTTAAATGAAAATACTAAACTGCCTCTTTTTTTCTTTTAACTGAAATGTTTTTCAGTTGCATGTTTTTCTAAGGTTAGGCAGCTGGATAAGGTGACTGAAACTTCAATTAAAATTCTTTTTATTGCCCAGTTGTTTAAAAATTACGCAAATGTTGTGTTGAAACCTAGACTGATAAGCAAAGCTGTTTGGATTGTTTTATTCTCGAAGCATCCAGGATATGTACGTATTCTTCTGTTGCCATTTGTTGATATTATTGGCATATTCCTGCTCTTTCCTGAGTTCACTGTCCATAGAGAAGGAGGATGTGTATGAAGTGCATGGGTGAACTATGCATGCTCTGGTGCACCCGTGCACTTAGGGGAGAGGGCAATGCTCTGTCTCTGGCCATGGAACGTACTAGATGTGATGAACCCACTGAAGGGCGGCCAGCTTAGAAATCTGCGGCAGTATTTCTTTCTTTCTTTGTTTTTGGTTGGTGAGGATGCCTGCTCAGAAGCTCTCAGGTTTCCTGGAATTGTAAAATGCTTCAGTACAGGTTAAATGCTCAATTTCTTTGTGTGGCTTTGAAACCAGTTGTCATTCAATGCTGCCTGCTCTCTCTAGCTTCATTTCCCTTAACTTTGCGACGTGAGTCTTCCTTTCTGTTCAGACCATCATTCCCCTGCCTTTTTAGCACCAGGCACTGGTTTTGTAGAAGACAGTTTTTCCATGGATGGGGCAGGGGTATAGGGGTGGGGATGGTTTTGGGATAAAGCTGTTCCACCTCGGATCATCAGGCATTAGATTATCATAGGGAGTGTGCAACCTAGATCCCTTACATGCATGGTTCACAATAGGATTTGTGTTCCTATGAGAGTATAATGCCACTGCTGATCTGACAGGAGGTGGAGCTTAGGCTTCTGCTCACCCCTTGCTGTGTGGCCTGTTTACTAACAGGCCACGGACTGGTACTATTCTATATCCTGGGAGTTGGGGACCCCTGATTTAGACAACTTCTCCTTACCCTCCCCCTGCTGCTTTTCTTCCATGTATTTGCCCAGGCTGTTACATTATGTGTGGCACTCTTTTCCTTCTTGGAATGTTTCAATCCCTTGTCACCACTCACCTCTCCTCTTCCACCTCTACCGCCCATAGACTCCATATGTGCTTGGTTCTCTTGCACCACTGATCACCTTACACTGTGGTTTGTTATTTGTCTGTCCGTGTATCTGTCTCCCCACTCTCATTCCTCTCTTTTGCTTCCCCTATCATGCTTTTGGTAGTGAACATTTCCCTGCAATCATGGTAGCTTAAATCACTTATGGATTCAAGAGTGGGAATGCCCTGGATAAGGCAATCAGTAATACTTGAAATCAGCCATTAAAAAGTTAAGTACCTCAACGTGTTACATACTGTCATATTAAAAGAAAAATGTAAATCCTTGTCCAGGAAATAGTCTCCCTATATATGTGTATAGAAAAACATGTTGTTTTAATTACCAATATAAATGTGATAAATTATATATTTAATATGTCAGCTCTTTCAGTTTTGTATCTTGACAGAATTGAAAATCTCTCTACCACTGTGCCAACTTCTAGAATTACCTCAAAGTTAAAATGCAGCTGACCCATTGTAGATGCGGCTGGTGCCTTGGAGTTTGAGGGCTTTTGGAGCTGTGACATTACGTTGGGTCAGTAAGTGACTCCTTTTTAAGGACTAGCTTATTTAGGCTATGGTGGTTGTACAGGCTACGGTGGTCCTGAGAGTGGTTTTTTTTTTCCCCACCCACAACAAAGGAATGATGCATACTGTTGTCTTCAGCACATTAATTAGAGAATGGGTTTTTTCCTAGGATTTTTTTTTTTTTTGGATTGCTGAGAAAGGAGTGTTGTGTGAGGAAGAAAAGAAGAAAGATCAAGACTAAGTCAGTTCAGGAGAAGTCACTAGTGAACTTAAATTTCCTGATCTTTGCAGTTTGTATTTCTGTTGCTTTATAAAACCATTCTTTGAAACATAAATGTGTGTACATACACCTGTATGGACACACACAGACACACAGGCACAGACACACACACACACACAATGTGGTATTTCCACACAGAGAATAGTTGCCATGGAGATGAAAGCCTACCTTGAATAAGGTAAATGTCTCATAAAAGGGAATTGTTCAAGGGAAGCATGGTCATGGTGTAGCAATTCACTGAAACATTATGCAGCTATATAGAATGTTTTCAAAGTATCATCTTTAGCACTCTTGGGATAATGCCTCCAATATAAGGTTAAGTGGTAAAATACAGTTCAGCTAGGTTTGTTTACATTGGAAATATTTTGAGGCAAGTAATTATCTTTTGATGGTTTCAGAAAGTACTTACACCTTTGCAGGTTTTAAATTTTTTTTTTTTGAGATGGCGTCTCGCACTGTCGCCCAGGCTGGAGTGCAGTGGCGCAGTCTCAGCTCACTGCAAGCTCTGCCTGCTGGGTTCACACCATTCTCCTACCTCAGCCTCCCAAGTAGCTGGGACTACAGGCGCCTGCCACCACGCCCGGCTAATTTTTTGTATTTTTGGTAGAGATGGGGTTTCACTGTGTTAGCCAGGATGGTCTCGATCTGACCTCGTGATCTGCCCACCTCGGCCTCCCAAAGTGCTGGGATTACAGGCGTGAGCCACCGCGCCCGGCCCTGCAGGTTTTAAGTTTTAAAAATATATTTAGGGGGTACAAGTTCAGATTTATTACATGGATATACTGCATAGTGGTGAAGTCTGGACTTTAGTCTAACCATCACCTGAATAGTGTACATTGTACCCATGAGGTAATTAATTTCTCATCCCTCACCCACTTTGGTATCTCTGTTTGTTGCCTTGCTGCCCATTTTGATGTGATTCACACTCACAAATGTTTTAAGCCATGGCAAGCTTCTTCTCACTAGCATTCTTATCAGCAGCACTTTAATCGTGCTGACGCCAACTCCAGAACTTCCCTTGAAGTGACGTTGGGCTAATAATCATCCTGCATTGACATCAGTATCTGAACATGTGCTTTATCACACCCCCTTCCCCCTTCTTCTGGCCTCATGGTGCATTGTTTGTTCTTTGAAGCTTTCATCCTGCACATGTGTGCATTTGTTTCCCAACATTTCTTATTTTACTATATTGTTTTCAATTAAAAATGGAAAAATTGTTTTCAATAAAAAATTTCCAGCTTTTCCTACTGTTACTTCTAGTCTGCTCACTGCTTTTGTGCTTATTGTGCTTCCAATCCCCTTGGTTAAGAGATGAGGTTAATGATGTTTCTAATGCAATTGTAAACTAAGGACAAGCCGTGCTAGTGTACAGAGGACGTCGTGAGCATGGCATTTGCTGACACAGTGATACTCCTCTGCTCAGCGATTCCCACCATGTGCTAGTGGTGAGTATAGCTAACATACTTGTGCTGACAGTGAAGTTTTGTTGGAGTCTGTGAAAGTTAACTGGAAATTTATAAGAAAATTGCAAGACTGTTATTAGGTGATTTTAGTTTTCTTTTTTATGCTGATAATTTTTCATATTTTCTGTGACAAACATTTCTTTTATATTTGGCCAAACAAGTGTTTTTTACAGAGTGTCAATATGATGGAGTGGGTTATCTGATAATACCCTAGGTATAAAACAACTAGAAATAATGGCTAATATAAAATAAACAACTTTTATACTTGCATAGAGAGGCAAAAATAGCACAAAGGATAATATCTCTCCATGCCTACAAATGAGGGTCAGTCGGCTCCAGCACTCTACTGTGTGATGCCTCGGTGCCTGCGTTTACAAAGTAGTGATGGTAGCAGCACCTGCCGCATGGAGGAATTGTTTTGAGGGTTAAAAAAGTGTTTGGCACATAATGACTGTTTGTTGTTGCTGTTGTAAGGAGAGGGGGAAAGTGACAGCTGATTGGTAAGGGGGAGCCAAGTTGTGGCCGTTGAGGAGAAATTTTCCAGGACCAGAATGGGCGCAGAGCGATCAGAACTAGGAAACTAAAGGGCCCCTCAGACATGCGGAGCTGGAGCCTTAAAAGCCTACACCTTTACTTAAGTGCACACTTGAGAAAAAGAAAAAGTGGAAAACAAAATCCAGAAACAAACAAAAACAAGAGAGCTTGCTTGCCTGAAACTTAGGCTTGGATGGTGAAGGGCAATATGATAGAAGAGAAAGTTATTCTAAGAATTCCTACCCATGTGGTCAAGTTTATACCTCTTCTTCTAAGTGAGAAATTTAAAATGCAACTTAGGCTGGCGATTCATGCCTCTGGGGCATCTGGCACAAGCAGTTGCAAAATCTTTGAACACCCACTGAATAAAAGTCTGGTTGACTAACAGTCAATAGATTTTGGAGTCTTGACTTTGTGCTTTATATGTTTTTTGACTTTGGGTAAGCCCTCTCTCTGGCCTCTTTCCTCCTGTGTAAAATGTGAGGCTTGGTCATGAATGATAAGTGTTCCTAACCTGTAAGTTCATATATGGATTTTGGGCATTTTGAATCCCCTGAAATAGCATGTGGTGACAGGTTGAAGGCTGCTTTTCCAAAGAGCTGATTGCCATTAATCTAAACTTTTACTTATAACTCTTCAACTATAATTTTATGTTTTCTAGAATAATCAACACAGAAAGTTGGAAAGATGCAGATAACCAAGTGTACTGTGTTTAGTCAAGTGCAGAGGCAGCCTCATCTGTTAATACAAGTTTGGATATTGGCAATATTCAGATTAAAGCCCTGGTTTTGGGTCTGATTTTCTCTAATCTGAATTTTCCAAATAACTTTTCATCAGTCATCAGTTCAGCAAGTGCACTACTGTAATGAGCTGTTAAGCATCTTTTTGAAATTAAAGACAGCTTACACCCTGATCCCTATCTCTGTAATGTCTGCATGCCTTGAGGATTAGATTAAGAGTGTATTTCAGGCAATGTTACAGTAATTTATTTCTTGGGACGTCTGTATATATATAATATTTTATTCAGTAATGGATTGAGTGTTTAAATATACAGACAGAAGAGGTGGAATTGGAGATCTTTCTTGGTGTTTAACCATCATTTAACCCATCTAACCCAGGTTTTCTGTTGTTTTGAAGAATAAAATGTATACATTTATTCACTTTTAAGTAAGTGAAATCTCAGGAAGTCCCGTTTGACTAAATTTGATTACTTCCTTAAATGGTTTTCTCTAGTTCACATTTCTTTTATTAGAACAATTGTTTATAGGCTGGGTTTGGTGGCTCACGCCTGTAATCCCAGCACTTTGGGAGGCCGAGGCAGGCGGATCACCTGAGGTCAGGAGTTCGAGACCAGCCTGGTTAACATCGCAAAACCCTGCCTCTACTAAAAATACAAAAATTAGCTGAGTGTGGTGGCACACACCTGTAATCCCAGCTACTTGGGAGGCTGAGGCAAGAGAATCGCTGGAACCTGGGAGGTGGAGGCTGCAGTGCGCTGAGATCATGCTATTGCACTCCAGCCTGGGCAACACAGCAGGACTCTGGTTCCAAAAAAACAAACCAACCAACAAACAAACAACAACAACAACAACAAAAAATTGTTTATAACAATTGAATACTAAAGTGGTCCTATGTGTGTTTTCCCAGGACTAGAGCTGCCCACTGATTGCACTTCATTCTAGGTTGTTTTTTTTTCTGGCATCGCCTGGGATTTCCCGTGGTATTTTCTGAGTACTTCACCCCGTGTCTTGTAGTCATTGTCCTGCTGGTACTTTTACTACACAAGCTGGCTCTCAGACACTTTGCAATTGTCCCTCAAACAAAAGGACATTAGTTAGAAGTGGAATTTAGAAATAGAACTAGAAATCAAAGAGTTAGAATTTAGAATTGGCTGTTGCCCTTTACCTTTTGTAGATAGGTGTTTGGGGAAAATTATGCCCTCCTGCTCCTGGCAAGCTGTTACTCTCTGTTTTAACTGTATTGATGTAGATTTGCCAGTCTTAATTTTGTGTCTCTTATTTTAAGGATTTATTAAGTGAATATGTTGACCAAATATAATGATGATGTCTTTTTGATTCAGAAATTACAAATTTTTTTAAAGTATTAAATATAAATGTTATTTTAAATATTAAAAACAGGCCGGGCGCGGTGGCTCACGCCTGTAATCCCAGCACTTTGGGAGGCAGAGGCGGGCGGATCATGAGGTCAGGAGATCGAGACCATCCTGGCTAACGCGGTGAAACCCCGCCTCTACTAAAAATACAAAAAATTAGCCGGGCGTGGTGGCGGGCGCCTGTGGTCCCGGCTACTCGGGAGGCTGAGGCAGGAGAATGGCGTGAACCCGGGAGGCGGAGCTTGCAGTGAGCCGAGGTCGCGCCACTGCACTCCAGCCTGGGCGACAGAGCGAGACTCCGTCTCAAAAAAAAAAAAAAAAAAAAAAAACAATCTTTTGTTTTCCAGATGCTACTGGGTACATGACTGTCTGCTTTAGGGTAGGCAGGCTGCGACTTGGCTTACGAATAGGTACATCTCCCATTGAAAGTCTTTCCCCTGCGTAAAAAGTTCTTTTCCCTGCCAGTTTTGAAAAATAAATGCTGTGTGATGGCTGCTGCATGTCATGCTCCAAATGTTATTAATTTTTACATAATGATCTCTTTGTTCCATCAATTCTTTTTAGCTTGAGGTATTACTATACTTTCATAATAAGCACATTTATAGTTCTGTCTGTTTAAGCAATAAAACAGCAAATTCAGCAGATTACTAAGTAGATTGGCTTGGAATGTTTGTTGATAGGTCACAGCCAGTGTTTTCCTGCGTTATGTGGACACAAAACATTAGATGTTGTTGGCATTCAGATAAAATGGATATTTTATCTAGTGCTTAAGGTTTGTAATAATAATTTGGTGTTCTCAGTTTAGCCTTATTTCTGTCAGTAAATTCCACTGGAAGTCCCAGTGGCGTTGATTTTTACTGTAGTATGGTGAATAAAAAAATCAAAACCACCTCACTTTTATTATGCTAGTGGCTTGGTCAGGTTTTGATTAAATTAGAGACAAAAATGCTGGCTTTATAATTTATGTGATGCTGTTGCTTTCTGTATTTCTTACTTTCAATTTTGAAACTTTTCTAAACAATGATTAGCATGAAATCTTATGATCAGGTTTCTGAATGTGCTAAAAGCATGGAGATTGTAAGATGATAAGAAAGAGTTTGAGTCTTTGGGTTCATGTATGCCTTGTTATTTTTTTAAAATTAACTTATAAATAAATTCAACCATAACCTTGTTACTCTTAAAGTCCTGTAGAAAACTACCCAGGAACAGATTTTGATAGCACAGTTTCATGGTGCATTCAATTCTTTAGAAAAATAATGATTGTATTAGGTTATAATATATATGAAATTGTCAATATTTGAAATTTTTTTTACTCTATGAAAACTGCAATTTCATACAACTCAAGTGTGTTACTTTACATTTTTTTCAACCTGAACGCCAGTTTCTTTTTCTTGGAGATAGAATGTCTCAGCCTTATAGACCACCGAATTAGCACATATTTTGGTACACTTTGTTTTCATTGTTACTTTCACCTTTTCTTTGGTTGTAAAATTAGC
Organism: Homo sapiens; assembly: GCF_000001405.40. Taxonomy (NCBI): domain Eukaryota; kingdom Metazoa; phylum Chordata; class Mammalia; order Primates; family Hominidae; genus Homo; species Homo sapiens. The sequence goes on from NC_000009.12 coordinate 7,000,857, forward strand.
TCTGAAGATGTAGAATCAGCATGGAAAGTTTATGTATATTTCAAATTTTAATATTGTGGTGACTTTATGTCTTCATATTCTTTGTTTTGCCGCTGGCCAATGAAAACTTAGTCCTGGCTGGCAACATTCTACAGGTTGGCATTTGTGCACGTTGGTCATGGAAGTTAAGTAACATGTCCAAGACTTCCAGCTAGTGAATGGTTAGAAGGTGGCTCTCTTTATCAGCATTTTAATTTTCATAGAGTTGTTTTAGTCCTTTTCCCTTTTGGAGGTGTTAGGTTCCCAGGCTTCAGAGAAATGGTGAGATGAGTATATCTTTATACCTGTCAAGTGAACCTATAAATTCTGGATTGATATTCCATTGTTTTAGTGTTTATGTTCTTTGTTTTGTTTTACAGAGATTTTTGTTGTGCTTTAAAAACTAGAAACTTAAGGAGGAATGATTGGCTATGATATGTATATGTGTTTGAGTGTTACATAAATATTTCCATAGTTGTTGATGAAGTCTTTTCTTGAGGAGTAAACTTGATAATGCCTTCAAGTGAGTGAACCATGGATCTGGGTTAAGAATCTTCTTGGGGACCCCCAGGAGAAGATTGAATCTTTCATGAGGTAGAGCTGACAGGACCATGTAATGTATTTTGAAGGGAAATGAGAGGAAGAAGATGTATAGCCTTGTTCTCTCCTTATTTCTGTATGCTCCCCTGAATAGTCCATGTCTTTATCTTCCTTAGTTGGTGTGATGGCCACCCTACTTGAAGTTCTCTCCCTAGCAGCTGTTTTGTGTGATCTGCCACGTGATAACTCCTATTAGTTGTTGGGTCAAAATATCTGTGATTCCTGCTGTCATTTACATAGATGACCAAAGCTGACATCTTTTTTTTTTTGGTATGGGGAGCTTCTTTTTCATGTAGATTGCATCATGCTAGTGTTAATAGTTTCTTGCTTGGAGATCTTGTTTTGCCATCTTTTGACTTTGTATTGTATATGCTGTTAATGAAATAGCTTATGAATCTGGAGGTTTTTCCCATGAGTGGTTTTTGTTTGTTTGTTTGAGACAGAGTCTTACTCTGTTGCCTACACTGGTGTGCAGTGGCACAATCTTGGCTCACTGCAGCATCCGCCTCCTGGGTTCAAGTGATTCTCCTGCCTTAGCCTCCCGAGTATCTAGGACTACAGGCACGTACCACCACACCTGGCTAGTTTTTCTATTTTTAGTAGAGACAGGGTTTCTCCATGTTGGCCAGGCTGGTCTCGAACTCCTGGCCTCAAGTGATCCTCCTGCCTTGGCCTCCCAAAATGCTGGGATTACAGGCATGAGCCACCGCACTTGCCTCCCATGGGTAGTTTTGAACTCCATAAAGGGAAAGGGCTGTTGCTTTTAATTTCTTATTTCCAGAATCTTTTATATTACCTAGCATATGGTGAATTTCATATGCTTAGTACCTATCTTTGTTTTTTAATTGTAAATTGACAATTTATAATTGTATAAATTTATGGGGTACAAAATGGTGTTACGTTTTATTAGTACAATGTGGAATAAGTTAGTTGACTTATGTGTCACCTTAAATACATAATATTTTGTGGTGAGAACATGAGACTTTTACTGTGTTAGCAATTTTAAAATGTATTAATACTATTATTTCTCTTCAGATCATGTGGCTCTTTCTCCTTTTTCACCTATCTTTGATTTGATGCTCAGAATATGTTCCTTCTGGTGCCATGTTGACAGCTAAGTTTCCCAAGGATATGCCAGCTTTCTTTAGGAGTTTTCTTCTTCTCATTCCTACCATGATGTGAGAATTGACTGAGCTGGTTTCCTCCTATTTGTTGTACACATTACTAGTAACCATTACTTATAATTATTTTAGATGATGCTAGCATCATTTTTACTGGTAAGGCAATCGAAGCTCATAGACATGAATTCACTTGTCCTAGATCACAAAGCTAGTAAGTGGTAGATAACAGGCTTTAAATACTGTCTGTTCAATTCCAAAGTTTACACTCTACACTCTTGTGTTTTAGATAGACTATTGCTATGTCTGCCAGGCTGGAGTGCGGTGGCACGATCTCGGCTCACTGCAGCCTCCATCTCCCAGGTTCAAGTGATTCTCCTGTCTCAGCCTCCCGAGTAACTGGGACTGCAGGCGCCTGCCACCATTCTCGGCTAATGTTTGTATTGTATTTTTGGTAGAGACTGGATTTCACCATGTTTGTCAGGCTGGTCTCGAACTCCTGACCTCAAGTGATCCATCTGCCTCGCCCTCCCAAAGTGCCAGGATTACAGACGTGAGCCACTGTGTCCAGCCTACTCTTTCAACACTAACAACCTCCCAAAATAGCTAGAATACTGGTAAAAGAAGTTGAAGTGGACACATATAAATGTCTGATTATAGCCAGATACCTTTGTTAATAGTGTAGATAAACTTCCCAGCATTCCTTGTTTTTGTTCATGCGTGTTATAAAATATATATAAAATATGAGCTAATGTTCTGTAAGAAACTTCAGCCACGCTGGTAATGCCATAGTTCCTGGTGAAACCCATCTCCTCAGAGGTAGCATAATTATCATGGGTGTTTTTTTTTTTTTTGGTAATAGGAATTTTGAAGTTGTGTCCTTTGGAATGTTTCTTATTTAAAGTGTATATAGAGTCATTTGGAATGTATCCTTCTGAAATACTTTTGTATCAGTGTTATTGAGAGGTGATACATAAAGAACAAAACTATATACATCCATTTAATTTCTTAAGTGCTTTAGACTTTAAACTGTAGAATTCTCTGCTATCCATTATTACATTAGCATTTTGGGGGAACTGTAATGCAGAATTTGATTTTTCCTCAATGTCATCACTTCTTAGTAAAATCATACCTAAAGTCCTGTAATTTTTTTCTCTTTTGTACTTTTGAACACAGCTTTATAAATGTTTGAAGGTCAGCATTTCAAAAAAATCACTTAAATATAGTTTCATACATTATTCAGTACAGAAATTATAAAGTTCCCAAGTTTGAATCTTTGCCTTTTTGAGTATCTCACTTCTGCACTTATCCCACCCCACTACACCCCCCATTCCCTGCAGGATGTTTGAAACCATATATAAATGCCTCCCAGGACTGAGATTTTGCTCAAGTACCTGAAACGTAACAGATGCTGCTGTGCTTTTCATAGTAGAGAATGGTGCTGTACCAGCCAAAACACCTCACTGGAGCATCACCCCAAGCAGCAGAATGAGTGTGATGACTGGCAAAGGGAAATTATACTGTAGTGGAGCTGATAGCTTTTCTCATCTGCTGAGTTCCATCCACAAGTCCTGGCAGCAGCCCTTTCACAAATGGCCTGAATAATTTTCCTTAGGGACGTCACTTACATGTAACAAAATTTGTTCAAAGATACTGTCCTGAGTGAGTGAACGAATCTGGCAAAAATCTGTTCTTAAGGCAAGGTTTCCCCCAGTTCATAGTTCTCACCTAATATTATTTTGACAGCAGTTTTTAAAAAACTTTTAAGATGACATATTTTTATAACTATGAAAACTTAAAAAGCCTCTTTATTCCAGACATTTAACCTTTTAAATAGAATTGGCAATGTTCCCTATACATGGTTTTGTGCTCCCATTTTTTATTGATTATATTATATTCAACTAATATGTTGTGTAATATATATAGTCATACTGTATATTTCATTAATCCTCAAAAGCATTTCTTCTAATGTATGCATTATATAGCTATGCCATAATTTATTTGCATATTTTAAAAAAGATTCTTTTAGATACTTTTGTAAAAGACATTAATTTCTTTATTACCATCAATTATATTCAATGATGTTTTTGAGTGAATGGGAGAATAAAGGCTTTTATTTTCCCTACAAGGCTAAACCTTTTGATGGAAATACTTATATATAGGAGATAACTTGGCGTCTGTCTAGATTGGCTCTGTTCTAATCTGTGTTGTCATCTTAAACACATTACAGTGTTTAAGCATACATTTACAGCATACATTTTCAGAAATTTTCTGGATGGCTGCTGCGGGGTTCTGTCCTGCAGACCCTGACCCAATGACTGATGAATAAAGTACACTGACACACAGATAGTCTGCTTTGCCAGTTCTACTGAGTGTCCGGGCTACTTAGTCACAGCCATGGCCCCGACCAGCCAGCGAGACTCACATTTATTCAGTAAAGATTAATTGACAAAGGCTTGAGTCAACACCACTAGAAGGTAGTTGACATTGTGGGCTTCCTGAGTAGAAAGCAATTAAGCACCCATGGTAGAACAAAGGTTAGCATTAAGACCCCATGAGTAGGCTGGGTGCAGTGGCTCACACCTGTAATCCCAGCACTTTGGGAGGCTGAGGTGGGCAGATCATCTGAGGTCAGGAGTTCAAGACCAGCCTGGCCAACATGGTGAAACCCCATCTCTACTAAAAATACAAAGTTAGCCGGGCGTGGTGGCGCATGCCTGTAATCCCAGCTACTCGGGAGGCTGAGGCAGGAGAATCGCTTGAACCCAGGAGGCGGAGGTTTCAGTGAGTCGAGATCAAGCCGTTGCACTCCAGCCTGGGCAACAAAAGTGAAACTCTGTCTCAAAAAAAAAAAAAAAAAGACCACATGAGTAAAGAAGTGAGTTAGATAAACGCCCCACATTCCTTTGTTTCTACTCTAATTTATTTAACTAAAGGTAAGGGGACTAGGCTGCCTTCAGCCAGATTTATTACCGAAATTTTGCAAACTCTCAAGGCTTCCAAGAGGGTTTGTGGCTATTATAACTAAAATTTTTCCCACCAGCCTGACTGAACCCCCACAGACCTTTGCAGAGATTATGTTGGAGGCCTAGAGGGGAAGGATCATCATGTCCTGAAGTACTAGGTTGCGCATACCAGCAAATAGCAGCTTTATGGCTATCTCATATAACTTGTTGGAAAACCCTGACATTTAACTAATCTTGTACTCATTTTACAGATTGAGAAATAGGTTTAGAATCATCACCCAACCAAGACTGTATAGACTGCATGAATGAAGCATTATTTTAATTTATTCTGATAGGTTGGAGCAGAGCTCTACACTTAAAGCCATGCTTATCTTAGAATAATTTGGTGTCACTTGGACTAATGTTTTCAAATATATATTTTCTAGTGTGACTTTTTACTTTACATAAAAGTCGTTTACACTTTTGTATGAAAAGTGATACAAATTAATGTGTATAAAAAGCAACGAAAAATAATCATTGAAATAAACACTGTATGTTTACACCGTTGCTAACAACATCTCAGTGTGACCCTCACCTTGGGAAGTTTTATTAATCTGCAGGAATACTGCAAATTAGTATAAGTAGAAAACTTTTGGAGTTTCTCTGAATGTCTTAAGATACTCAAAGTGAATTTCAGCAAGCCTGACTTTCTTATTAGAACCAGAAAGTTTTTAGAATTTCCTGTGCTTCAAATTAATGGGGCCTCCCCTTCTCATAACATGTCCTGTGGGGTTGAGTCTCTTCCAGGCAGACCTCTCTGACTGTTGGGGAATCATTGCTTGAGCATCAGAGGTGATACTGATTGTCTATTTAATGATCAATGACAAGACAGAAATCTAGCTATCCCTTTGAGGTGTTTGAAAAACAGAATTGTTTATGGTCCTGAGGAGTGGGCGGTGTGATTTGAATGGCAAGCAGGGAGAATAGCTTTGGAGATGCATTTAAGACACCTTGGAAAGGCTGAGAAGGGAGGGTTGTAAGCAGGCTGTGAATGGCTAATTACTGTGATTTTACCTATAGGTAATTGTACAAGCAGAAGTTGTGGTCAGTTTCTTAATACCCAGCTGGCACACATATAAATCACATATTTTTGTTTTAACTCATATTTCTTTTTGAGGACTATTTTTAGGCCCTGCTTGCATAGCTATTTCTACTACCTTTGTCCTCGAGTTTTTAATTCTGCCAGAAATATTCAGAGTAAGAGGTGATGATTGGTTTCCTGGGTCTAAGTGAGAATGAATACTTTTAATACTACTATAAAAAAAATTTCAGTCTATTGTGTATATGATCCAGGAGTTTCATCTATAGGCAAGTTCGTTTATAAAATGAAACAGTTTATAAAATAAATTTTTATTTTTATTGACATGGCGATTAAAAAATTTGAAAACAGCTATTGAAGGTATTGTTGCCAAGGTGGCAATATTTTCAACAGGTTTCTTCAGTACATTGATCCAAGTTAGTATCTGGTTTCCCCATTTCCACCTCACAGTAGTGTTTGTTTAGGCGCTAGCCCTCTTACATAGGATGGCCCTTTTAGCCACTGCTTATGTTTCCTTATTTAGGACAAAGTTCCACATACCTTGGTGCCTGGTATACTGGGCTTCTGTAAATTTAGAAAGGCTTACATAGATTTGAGGAACTGCTTTGTATTTAGGCTCATGGTTTTCTTGACTGCATGTTACTTGCTACAAGGAATGACAATGTTTTTGTAAAAATCTTAGTCTAGGAGTACGGGTTTCCACCATGAAGTAAGAGGCTCACTGACTGAGGAAGAAAAAAATGAAGTGCTCTTGGCATAAAATCTTTGTTTTCTTCAATTTCTGGCAAACCTTGCAGACATTCTTGAAAGAACCTAGGGAGAAAAGGAGGCCTTTTTGCTGTGTTGACTCTTGTTTTCTTTTTGCTTAAGTATTTCAAGTTGATTAAGGCAAGCTGATTATGAAGTTACTGCTTGGCTTTAAGATTGAAGCCTACATCAGGTGTTTTTAAGACCTGTATTGTTTAGCAGTGACTCTTTGATACTAACACTTTTAGAAAAATGTACACATGTATATGGCAGTGGTTCTCAGTCTTTTTGGTCTCAGGAAGCCTTATGTTCTTATCTCTTCTGAGGACCTGAAAGAAGATTCTTTTATTTCCTTTTTTGTGGGTTCATTTTATTGATATTTACTTACTGGAAATCACACCAGGGAAAATTTAAATTATATTAATTCATTTAAAAATAGCAATAAAAACAACATTTACATAAAGTTACATTTATTTTCATAAAAAATAATGATTTTCCCAACCCATAAAAAATAATTAGAAACATCAGCAAGACAGTGGAATAGGACTTCACAGCGCTTGTCCCCTGGCAGAAACATCGATTTAACAACTATCAATGCTCAAAAATGCCTTCAAAAGAGATACAGGAACCAGATGAGAGATGATGGCACCTGAGTATAGCACAGACATGAAAAAAGATGCATTGAAGAGATAGGAAGGACAGTTTTGCATTACCTGTATTACCACTCCCCTAATCCCAGGCGGTACAGTGAGGAGAGGGATAGGGATACCTGTGTGGGAAGGAGAGTGATGTGAGAAACAGATTTTGCCTCAGATCCCAATCTAAGGTCCGTTGCAGTGAAACCCAGCACCACACAGTCCCACCGCCCTGGATTCCTGGCTGGTACCTGCAGACTGAGCCTCCAGGATTGCTCCAGTGTCAGGCCATCTCTCAGCCTCAAGACTAGCTCAAGTGTCAGGTCAGTACCCACATCCTTAGACTCCAGACCAGCACCCACGGAGCCAGCCTCCAAGTCTGCCTCAACAGTAGCCAGCATTTGCAGTCCCAGACTCCAGGCTCACTCCAGAGCCAAGACAACCCCCACAGACCCAGGCTCCAAGCTGGTCCCCTGGTCTAGGATGTAGAGCAGCACTTGTGGACCTGGGTTTCATGCCTGCCCTAGTGAACCCTGGGTACAGGTCTACCATAGAAGACCCTGGCATTGGGCCAACTCCCACAGACCAAACATCCAGGAACATCCCTGTGGATGCAGTTGACAGGACCACACCAGTGGAATGTTGGTGCCAAGCTGGCCCCCGTGAACCCAAGATCCTGGCCTAACTCAGTAGACCCAAGCTTCAGTTCTTACATGGTGGACTTAGGCTCCAGATCCAACCCCATGAACCCAGGTACCAGGCCAGCTCACATACTGACGCAGACACAAGGCCGGAGGATTCCAGGAGCAAGCCTACCCTTGGACCATGCCAGATGGCCTGCCTAGAAAATTTGGATGGACTGACTGGTGAAGGGTTGTCCAAGCCAAAGCCAGTCTACAAAGGTTGGAATAAGTCACTAGTTCTTCAAATGCATGGATACCAACTCATGGTCACAAGAATCATGAATAATCAGGGAAACATGACACCACTGAGGGAACAAAATAAAACCTCAGTAACCAACAATAAAGAAATATAGATTTACAAACTGCCTAAAAGTAATTCAAAATAATAATCTTAAAGAAGCTCAATGAGCTGCAAGTGAATACAGATAGACAACTAAATGAAATCAGGAAGACAATGCACAAACAAGTTGAGAATTTCAACAAAGAGATAGAAGCCATAAAAGAGAACCAAACATATTCTGGAGGTAAAGAACACAATAACTGAACTGAAAAGTTCCACAGAGGGCTTCACATTTCTGCCAGCCACCCAAGTCTGAATGACTGTAGTTTGTCTGCTAATAATTTTTTTCATGGAAAAAGTGGCGTTCCATGAAAATGGCAGGTAATTCAACCTGCAATTCAATTAATTGCTCAAGTGCTTTTTTAAAGAACACTCTTGAACTTTAGTGTGTACAGAAATATTTTATGCATACATTCTTTTTTTTTCACAGATTTAATAAAATTGATGCTTTTTTCCCCCCATCAAAGGTGTTATTAAGAGAAACTGCCTTTTTGTTACCTCTGTAAGTATGAGGTAGTCAATATAATGATTCCTTTGGTGCCACTGCCTTGATTCATGCTGAGACACCAACAATTTTACTCTCTACTACTTTCGTATCACCGTTACAAATCTCAAATGGTTAATAGTCAAATCATGGGTGTTATTATGAAAGTAGTTTTGACTATGTAGATGCCATGCAACAGGGTTGTGTATCCCCTGGAGTTCACAGATCATATTTTGAGAACTGTGGTTATCTTTCAATTCCACTTGACTCCTTGAACATCATTGGTTTGAATTGTTTGACTCTACTTACATGCAATTTTTTTCAATAAATACATTAGAACATTTCTCATAGACTCAGAACAATTTGAAAAAACTCACAAATGAATCATGTAGCCTAGAAATATTTAAAAAATTAAGAAAAAGATATGTCATGAAGGCATAAAATATATGCAGATACAAGACTTTTATCATTTACTACTATAAACATAAATCTATTATAAAAAGTTAAAATTTGTCACAACATATGCACACAAACATGGATGTAACCAAATATAAAGGTGCAGTATTAAATCATAAATGCATAAAATTAGCTGTAGTATATCCTATGCTATAATAATTTTTTAGCCATCTCCTTTTGCTATTATGGTGAGGCCAAGTGCTGCGAGAAACAGGTTACATTTAGAGTCAGATTACTTCATTGCAAATATAGGCAAAGACTCTTATCTTTTGTTTTCAAATACTCTACCCATGGGTGAATACCAAGTGTTTTCCATTGTAAAAATAATAACAACAACAACCATGATAACGTGATTATTATGATAATAATGCCACCCTTTGTGCTACAGTTGGCATTTGACATATTTTGAGTTATTTTCAGCCTCATTCAGTCCTTCCCATTTTGCCATCAGTGCAAATCTAATTTGACTTTTTCTAAAACAGGTAAGTCAACATGGGAAGGGCTGGAACACACTTACTCACCAGTGATTTGTAGTTAAGCACATTGCTCTACAGTATTTATTGATCAGACTTTGAAAGCTACTTATGCAGATATTTAGAATGTGTCACAGCCCTAGACACTGGGTGCAGCTTTTATTCTGGCCACTTGCTCTGATGTACTGCCCTCTGCTATAGGCATTGAAGAGTATTTTTCTAACATGTTTGTCTTTCTGTATTTTTCTGGTGCTCTGTAAGATTTTATAAAGTGCTGTTCTTGTGGAGTAAAGAAATATACATTTTAGACCAGGCTCAGTGGTTCATGCCTGTAATTCCAGCACTTTGGGAGGCTGAGGTGGGTGGATCACCTGAGGTCAGGAGTTCTAGACCAGCCTGGCCATCATGGTGAAACTCCACTACTAAAAATACAAAAAAAATTCGCTAGGCATGGTGGTGGGTGGCTGTAATCCTAACTACTCAGAAGGCTGAGGCGGTACAATGGCTTGAACCCTGGAGGCGGTGGTTGCAGTGAGCTGAGATTGCACCATTGTACTCCAGCCTGGGCACGAAGAGCAAAACTCCATCTTAAAAAAGAAAAAAAGAAAGAAAAAGAAATATACATTTTAAAGACTTGACTCTCTAGGGGTATTTTATGAGAAGATCTGACTAGGGATTTTCTTTTATATCCATGTAATGCCAGTATATTGCTTGGTACTTTATAGCTGCTCTGTAAATGTTAATTGTAATAAATTCTTGAACCCAGAATTTAATTCAATGAAGTTCAGTTAAACTTTTATTGAGCCATGTACTATGTTAGATGAAGAAAGTAAAAATATTGGCAAAGTAGTTTCTGGACTGTGAATTCCTCTCATAACTAGAAGATAATCTCATACACATAAACCTGTTTTAGTATTGGAGCTTTTACCGTAGCAGTAGAGACACGGAAGAAGTAATGTGGGAAGGAGGGAACAGTGTAATTATTTCTGGTAGGGATAGGGAGGGTTACAAAATGAGGGTGGTTGTCTGGCCGTGGGATCTGATCTAGTCTTTGAGGCTTGAGGAGGATTATAAGGCAACTTCCCTTATCCTGGCTCTCTCAGGATGTATTTGAAAGACAAAGTAGGTTTGGTTTCCGGCCTTAATATCACAGATTCTGTGGAATGTTTATTTCTTTTGTACTCAGGGTGATTGTTTTCCCTGGTTCCCATGCTCATGGTATTTTCCTGCCTTCTCCCTTAAGAATTGCCTGAGGTTCTGTCCATTGAGGAGGAAGTGGAAGAAACAGAGTCTTGGGCGAAACCTCTCATCCACCTTTGGCAGACGAAGTCCCCTAACTTCGCAGCTGAGCAAGAGTATAATGCAACAGTGGCCAGGATGAAGCCACACTGTGCCATCTGCACTCTGCTCATGCCGTACCACAAGGTAAAGGAGCCTGCTATCATAGTTCCCTTCACTGCTCTGCCTTCCATGTGACCACATACCACAAGATCACTGTAAATTGTTGTGGGCTTCCTTTGCACATAAGAAGGAAGACGTCCTTAGGTAGCTGATGGCTTTCATAGAACCACAAACAGTTTCTACATGATCCTTGAGAGACACTTTTCTGAAAGTACTTTATCTTTTCCTTTTGAGATAGGGTCATGCTCTGTTGCCCAGGCTGAAGTGCAGTGGCACAATCATGACTCCGTGCAGGCTTGTACTCTGGCTCAGGCGATCCCTCTGCCTCAGCTTCCACAGTAGCTACGACTATAGGTGTGAGCCACCATACCTGCCTAATTTTTTAAATTTATTTTTTAATTTTTGTAGCGACTGGGTCTTACTATGTTGCCTAGGCTAGTCTTGAGCTCCTGGCCTCAAGCAATCCTTCCGCTTTGGTCTCCCAAATCTTTTTTGAGTATCTTATTTTATTTCATGGGTGGGTTACTTTCAACTTTTCTATCTCTTTTACTAAGAAACACAGAACTTAAAGCTTACAAATAGTAGAAGCTTTCAAAGAGAGAACTTAAACTTAATCTCTGTTTTTTTTTGTTTGAAAACGTCATTCTCAAATAATAGAAATGTCAGCCCTAGGTCCAAATTTTAAGTGTCTCTTTTCACCTTCCCATGTGGAACATGCAAAAGACACAGCCAAGACTCACTACAAACTAAATTTTCCAGTTCATCCTCATCAGCTGGCTGTGCGTGATGTTGTTTTCAGCGTCATTCCATAGATATTATACTGATAGCACCTCAGCTAATGGAGGGTCACAGTCCTCAGCACTCAAACAGTTGAAATATTTTTAGGAATCTCGTAAGGGTGGAACTATGTGGTTCATTTTAAGGTACAATATATTATGAAGTATATTGACATGAACATTGTGTTTTGGGTTATATTTTTATTTATAGAAACAAATATTTTATTCAAGATTATGTCTGTCTTAGAGTTCCTTATAAAAATAAACTGTTCTGTTCAGACATTTCAGAGCAAGAAAATGTGTGATATCTCACATTTTCAGACCTTTGTAACAGAGGAAATAATTTATTCCCTTCATGTTTTTTAATGTGGCACTGGTGAGTGACAAACATTATTTTTCTCTTCCTTTAGTCATTAAATTTCTGGGTTTTAACTACTTATTGATTCTTATTTCTATATTATAATCTGTATATTTCTCAATAATTAAAAAATTCAAACTAAAATAATAAGATTTGTGGAGATTTAATATAAAGTAATACAGTATAAAACATAAAGTAATATAAAATCTGTAAGGTAATTCATTACTTATACTTTCAAGTAAGTACTAAACTTTTTAAAATCTTTTGGTGTGAGGTGATAATTTTGTTTGATACATTATCCTTTCTTATTTAGTGACATGTGCCAGTTCTCTCTCACTTGCTTTCAAATACTGCAAGTGATGAGGCAAAAATTCTTAAAGCCTCTCTTAATACTGCTGCACAGATTAAAACTGGGGTCTTTGTACACTCCTTCAAGTGTAGCAAGGTATGATTCTTCAGTAAATGAAAACAGATCTGTTAACTCTAGTGCATATGAAGAAGCAAAAGAATTGATGCTTTCCACGAACTAATTTTGGAAAGACACAGTTTTAGTAGCCAGTTGCTTTCTTATATGAACAGACATATAGAATATTGTCCTTTTCCTGCAGATTAACATTTGGGTGGGAGTCTGAGGTGGAATATTGATTTAAAAAAAACTAGTAGTTTGGTCAAGGAGAACAACAGGAAGAACAAAAGTTAGAAGTTAGTGTCTGGAACAGGAGTTAGTGGATTTGAGTGACTAGAATGATGAGCTCTTTTCCATGTTTTTCACTCATGTGGAAACGTTATGTTTTTCAGCCAGATAGCAGCAATGAAGAAAATGATGCTAGATGGGAGACAAAATTAGATGAAGTCGTTACATCGGAGGGAAAGACTAAGCCCCTCATACCAGAGATGTGTTTTATTTATAGTGAAGAAAATATAGAATATTCTCCACCCAATGCCTTCCTTGAAGAGGATGGAACAAGTCTCCTTATTTCCTGTGCAAAGTGCTGCGTACGGGTTCATGCAAGTAAATGGATCTATAATTCATCAATCACTGGCTTTTCAGCATTTCACATCATCTTTATTTCTCACTTTTTTGGAACCTGTCAGATCTGTTGCATGGACTATTGGCATTCTTAATGGTTATATCATTCTTTTTCATATTTCTGCTGGTAAAAGTATGAGTTGGTATATTCATCCTTTTTTCACCACTTTCATGTAGTATCCGTGGAGAGCAGGTCTGGTTTTTTTTGTTGGTTTGTTTGTTTGGGGTCCAGTTGAGGAGTCATGATGGGGTTCCTTTCACATGTTTGGATTTTACTTACTTTAAGATCTAGTTTATAAAAACTTAATTTGAAAGTCTGATACTGATTGATGACTGCTTTTCTTTGTGACTTTTAAAAGAGAAATGAATGTTCCTTTGGTTGTTCTGAGAATTGTTGTACTGAGTTAACTTTTTTTCATTCGTGAGGATAGGAATCTCTATTGTATTCCAGGGGAGAACAGTCATTACAGTTGTTTTACCCCTGCACTGGGATAGTCTCCACACCTATCTCAATTTATTATTTTTAACAATTGGATAAGTGGTAAATATTTATTGGTCTGCCATGTAAATCCTATGAACTATGTAAAAGGGATCTCATATAATACAACTCTATTTTAAGGCATTTTAATATTCCAGATCTTACCAAATCACACATTCTAGTAACACACTTAGGTATGGCCTGTACTTTGTCAATGTAGTTTGAATGGTTTATAATATAGATATTATCTTCTGTATTTACCTCAGAGTAATAATTCCTTTGTATTAGGGTTGAAACAGCTTCCTCATCTATCATTTATTAATTAATTAGAGACTACCTACTTCCTCAAGGGATTTAAATGCTATCTGCTTGAAATATAATCGTAGCCATCTTCTTTTTGTATTGAAGGCAATTTGTAACACACACACACACACACACACACACACACACACACACCTTACATTATTATGTGTATACAATAGGTAAAGCACCAGGACACAAAATAATTGGGATATAATCTGATTCCTGAATGTAGCAGCTATGCAGTGTAGCCATACTATTTTATACACATATGCTTTAACTCATTATTTCATGGACATGGTTAACTGTGATAGGTTTTTTCCTTGGGAAATTACATTTCTGTTATTTTGTTTTCATCTCAAATGTTACAGAAATTTTCAAAAATTACTCATTAAATCTTAACCCTCTTATACGGAGGGGTTTTTAATATTGGAAATATTAAAAATTACTCATTTAAATATTTCAGAATTCTCTTATCTCAAGAAGTCAGAGTGACATGTGTTCCTTGATGCCATATAATTGCTATGTATATTTGCATCATCAGCCATCACCTTAGATAGTTATTTTGGGTCAGGCGTGAACTGAATAGACAAATCGAATTGAAAATACTCCTTCATTGCTAACTCTGAATTTGCAGCATTTGCCCTATCATTGAGGTTAAAGGTAGTTAGACTTAATTTTTGAAGCAATTTTAAATTATATTAATTTAAAAATATTAGGTTAAAATGTATTTATTATATTATTTTTGACATTTCCTTAAACTTTGCCCCATGGATTGCAACTTATTTTAAGATGTCTGTGTGTGAACAAATTAGTAGACTTGACAGTTTAAAATTTTATTACCCATTCAAGATGTTCCATAAGTATTCACTGTAACTGTTGTGTTAGTTATCAGTAAGACTCACATTCACCTTGCTTATGTTTTGTTCTATACAGTGAGAATCAAGACAGTATGGTAGGCTAGTGTCCCATTTTTATTTATTTCAGTACTGAGATCTGCAATATTTTAAAGGTGAAAAAGACCTAACGCATGGATACATACTATTATTTTATAGGTTGTTATGGTATTCCTTCTCATGAGATCTGTGATGGATGGCTGTGTGCCCGGTGCAAAAGAAATGCGTGGACAGCAGTAAGTAGCTTATTTTAGTATTGCTTAACCTTTCTTCCCACCCTACCCACTGTGGACACATTTAAGTCTAGGGAAAAGATAAGATTGCTCAGGTGCTTATATGTGCAGTTCTGCACTTCCTTGTGTTTCTAGTCTTCCCTCTCAAAAGCATCTTACCTGCTGGTTCTATATCCATTATAGAAATATTAGGTAAATTTATTTTCTTTTTTTTTTTTTGAGACGGAGTCTCTCTCTGTCGCCCAGGCTAGAGTGCAGTGGCAAGATCTTGGCTCACTGCAAGCTCCACCTTCCAGGTTCACACCATTCTCCTGCCTCAGCCTCCCAAGTAGCTGGGACTACAGGCACCCGCCACCACGCCTGGCTAATTTTTTGTATTTTTAGTAGAGACGGGGTTTCAACGTGTTAACCAGGATGGTCTCGATCTCCTGACCTTGTGATCTGCTCGCCTCGGCCTCCCAAAGTGCTGGGATTACAGGCGGGAGCCACTGTTCCTGGCTTTTTTTTTTTTTTTTTTTGAGATGGAGTCTCACTCCATTGCCCAGGCTGGAATGCAGTGGCGTGAGCTCAGCTCATTGCAACCTCCGCCTCCCAGGTTAAGCAATTCTCCAGTCTCAGCCTCCTGAGTATCTGGGACTACGGGCGCCTGCCACCATGCCTGGCTGATTTTTGTATTTTTAGTAGAGACGGGGTTTCACCTTGCTAGTCAGGCTGGTCTTGAACTCCTGACCTCATTTGATCCACCTGCCTCGGCCTCCCAAAATGCTAGGATTACAGCCGTGAGCCACTGTGCCCGACTATTAGGTAAATTTCTGGTGGCAGTCCTCTACTTAGGAAGCTGCAGGGACTGTCAATTTATCGTGTCCACATTTACATTTTCAAGGCTTCAGAATTTTTCTTCATTTTCTTGTCCATCCCTATTTTGCAATACTTGAAAATAAGTATTTCAAGTAACAGTCAAGGTGGGGGATCCTCAGTGACCCCTGAAGAAACTGTGTTCATATCCAGTGTTTATTTTTCTCTTTTTGAGACAGGGTCTCACTCTGTCATCCAGACTGGAGTGCAGTGGTGCAATCATGGCTCACCACAGTCTCGAACTCCTGGGCTCAAGTGATCTTCCCACTTCACCCTCCTGGGTAGCTGGGACTACAGGCATGCGCCACCATGCCTGGGTAATTTTTAAATTCTTTTGTAGAGACAAGGTCTCACTATGTTGCCCAGGCTGTTCTCAAACTCCTGAGCTCAAGTGATCCTCTCACCTTGGCCTCCTGAAGTGCTGGGGTTATAGGTATCAGCCCCTGTGCCTGACATCATATCTAACTTTTCAACTAGCATGAGGTCTTTCCCCACTTACTCATCCTTACATTTATACTTTAATACATTTTAGAGTTTCTGGTCTGTACTAGGCATTGCTGTGAATTTTAGGCAGAATATTTAATAACAAATGATCCCCTATTTAGAGACCAAGAATTGACTTGACCTAAATTGTTTTTCTAAAGACCTTGTTAAAAATTTACCTTACTACTTTCCTGCAGATTTTTTTGGGGGCAGAAGAAAATAATAATAATAATAATGTTATAAAAGTTTAGCTTACTTCAAATCTTTGTTTTCCATTCTAACAATCTATGTCAACTTTGTTGCCATTTGATTAAGTTTTACCTTAATTTTTCTTAAAAATTGTCTTTCAAGAGGAATCAGAACATTCTTGAAAGTGACGAACAATCAGACCTCAGCAGTGTATGCCTCACTCATGATCTCAGAGCAGGTGCTCAGCTCGATGATTTCAGCTGTAATAGCAGCATTTACTTTATTCCTCAATGATCTCTAATGACAGAGAATTACACTTCCTTGCAACTGAAGTTAAAAACCTGAATGACAATATAAAGAATACGCCTTATATGATGAAAATTTTTGTCATGACTGTGTATATTTAGTTCTCAGTAAGTCTGAGAGTGGTGTCTTTCTGGATGATTTTATTGCTGGCATTCACTTTGGGGAGTGAAAGAAGGGATAAAAATATGGACACTCTTTATGGTCTGAATAATCTGGTATATTTAATGTTAGAGGTTTTACCTCCCATTTAAGAAGTCCCTGCATCAGTGGGCCCAGAAAGCATTTTGGTACAGGTATGCATTACTTAATGACAGGGATACATTCTGAGAAATGCATCGTTAGGCAATTTTGTCATTGTGTGAACATAATACAGTGTACTGACACAAACCTGGATGGTATAGCCTGCTACACACCTAGGCTGTACGATGTAGCCCATTGCTACTAATGTCCTGAGTAGTGTAGGCAATTTTAACACAATGGTAAGTGTTCGTGTACCTAAACATAGAAAAGGTACAAAAGACATAACAGCCTTACAATCTTATGGGACTACTGTCATGTGTGCAGTCCATCTTTGACCAAAATGTCTTTATGTGACACATGACCATATTTCCTTTCATGTGATTATTATGTTAATAAATGTAAAGCATATTTAACACAGCCAGGAAGTCCTGCTTCTAATCTTGACCATACAAATATATCAAGCTCTTATTTATTATATAGGTCCTATTCCTAGTATATGAGCCAACATAAAGTATTGCAGAATCAGTTTGGTCAGTGATGTTATCTCCTTCGCCCTGAATCATAAATTTAGAAGTTAGAGATTATCTGATCAGCTCACCAAGGCATTAAGAGTTCTCTGTTCCATCCACAGTTACTGCCTGGCTCCTGTGCTCACACACTGAGCAGTCCTGTTGTCCAAGGTACCATTGTCTTTGCATGGCAACCTAGGGCCAGGCCTAGGCCACTCACCCTGATTCTAAAGCTGGTTCTGATTGATTATGCTGTTTTCATGTAGCATGTTTCATACAGAAAATGCTATGATTAATCACTCTTTGGAATAGACTTAAAGCATCTTTCTATTAATTTTAACTCCTTGCCCCCTCAGAAAATACAATCTTGCTATTTGTATTTTAATATTGAAACTATGTAAATCTCTGTCAATTTACAGTTGAACTGGGAACTCTTGAATATAACATTACAATGATTTTTAGACCTACATAATTTATTTCTACCTGTAAGTGATCTGAATTCACAGTGGATTCCACTTGTTTTTTCAGCGTATCCATTTGAGTGTACTTTTTCTATGAAGCTCCCTTCCTATTTCTGTTGAAAAAATAATTGAATGAAGTTTAAATATTGTAGAAAAGTAACTGACAGTATTGATATTCTGACTTTAACCCTCTGATTTAGTGTCGTGGTGAGTGTTACAATATTAATTTTTACTAAACACTTAAGTATGATTTCTTTAAATTTTGTGGCTGCAATGATTGCATTTTTAAAGTATCCTTAAAACTGACTTCTTCAGCAATCAATCTCATATCTTCAGTTTTACACTCCAGAGGAGCCCTAGCCTCCTTGTAAATAAAGGGCTCTAAAGGAGCTCATGGAAATCAAATAGTGCAGCTGAAGTCAGATGATATTTCATTGGTGGCTTGTAGTTCACTAACTCTCATTCCTAATTCCCTGGAATTTTTTTTTTAAAAAACCTGCCTTGTGAAGGTAAGGTTATTCATCAGGAACGTAAAATATTCCTATAGCATATTCAGTTTGAGACACGTGATTATACAACAAATTTAATTGTTCTGTTGGTGTTTCCTTTCATGGTAAGTGCTTTTCAACGCCTCGTGTTCATTTTTTATGAGGTATATGAGAATTGTATGTGGTGGTTCTATTTTTTAAAGATTCTCTTTAAAAAGAGAGACTATATTATAAAAATATAATATTTTTATATATAAAAATATAATATTTTTATATATAAAAATATAATATTTTTATATATAAAAATATAATATTTTTATATATAAAAATATTTTAGAAGCAAAGACATCTTATTATTTCACCCATTCCCAGACATAAATAAATAAATTCATACTAAAATGGAGTAATTTTTTCGGCTTCAGCCTGGGCAAAACAGAAAGTGGAGGGTGTACGCATGGCTGGAGTCAATAATCATAGATCAGCTCTCTTTTTATTTTCCAATTCTAAAGAGTAGATGTCGCTCTAGACTCAAATTAGGAAGATAGAGATCATAGTGATGTGGGCTGGATCTTTATCTGTGACTTTCTGTGTCCTCATCATTTCTAAAGATTAGCTTCAGACGTCACTCTGATTCATTGTGTTCCCATTTTCTTACTTTTCCATTCACGTCCATTAAAATAAAAACCAAAATATATATTGCAGCTTCAATTGCATATGCTTGAGGAGAGATTAGTTACAATTTTTTATTGTACCCTAATTTGGATTCTAGAATTATGGCCCTATGCCCAACTTCAACTGAAATGAAATGATACAAAGAACTCCACAAATAACTGTCAATCCTTGGATACAGTTTATATATTTCATAATTCCAATTAGATATCATCGCTTTGAGTCCCTGCCTTACCCTATTTCAGTATTACCCAAATAAATAGGCACAACTATCTGACAGCTATAGCGTTTGACTTATGGCTTATAAATCAGCTTTATTATTTCATTTTCAGCTCTGTTTGATTGAAACCCTTTTTGGTCAATTTATATAATTCTTTTTGGAGCAATTTTTCCTCCTTTGTTATATAATCATTTTAGAGCACGTTCCAAACATTACCAAATCCAGATTTTAGGTATCAAAAGTCAATACTCTTGATATTAGTATCTGTGTCTCATTATGTTGACTCTTCATGTACATCTCACTACTTTTTAAAAAATATTTTTATTTGTAATTTTTTTGGTATGTTGTAAGTGTATATATTTATGGGTTACATGAGATACTTTGATACAGACATGCAGTACATAATAACCACATCAGGTTAAATGGGGTGTACGTCATTTCAAGCATTTATGCTTTGTGTTACAAACAATCCAGTTATACTCATTGCGTTACTTTAAAATGTACAATTAAATTATTTTTGACTGTAGTCACCTTGCTGTGTAGCAAATACTGTTTTATTCATTTTCCTTTTTTTTTTTTTGTACCCATTAACCATTCCCATTCCCCTCACCCCCACCACCCTTCCTAGCCTCTGGTTACCTCCTAGCCTCTGGTAACCATCCTCCTAGTCTCTGGCTTCATGTGTTCAATTAGTTTTTTCTGATTTTGTGAAGAGTGTCAATGGTTGAGCACCTTTTCATACACCTGTTTGTCATTTGTACATACATATATATATGTGTGTGTGTGTGTGTGTGTATATATATATATGTATTTTTTTTTTTTTGAGATGGGGTCTTGCTCTGTGGCCCAGGCTGCAGTGCAGTGGCACAATCTCGGCTCACTGCAACCTCTGCCTCCCAGGTTCCAGCAATTCTCAGCCTCCTGGGTAGCTGGGATTACAGGCGCATGCCACCATGCCCGGCTAATTTTTGTGTTTTTAGTAGAGATGGGGTTTCACCATGTTGGCCAGGCTGGTCTCGAACTCCTGACCTCAGGTGATCTGCCTTCGTCGGCCTCCCAAAGTGCTGGGATTACAGGCGTGAGCCACTGGGCCTGGCCTGTCGTTTGCATATTTTCTTTTGAGGAAGTTCAATTCAGATCTTTTGCCCATTTTTTAATCAGATTATTAGATATTTTTCCTATAGTGTTTGAGTTCCTTTTATATTCTAGTTATTACTCCTTTGTCAGATGGGTAGTTTGCAAATGTTTTCTCCCTTTCTGTGGGTTGTCTCTTCACTGTGTTTTTCTTTGCTGTGCAGAAGCTTTTAAACTTGATGTGATCCCATTTATCCATTTTTACTTCGTTGCCTGTGTTTATGGGGTATTACTCAAGAAATTTTTGCCCAGACCAGTATTCTGGAGAGTTTCCCAATATTTTCTGTTAGTAGTTTCATAGTTTCAGGTCTTAGATTTAAGTCTGCAGTCCATTTTGATTTGATTTTTGTATATGGGAAGAGATAGGGGTCAAGTTTCATTCATTTCCATTTAAGTATCTAGTTTTCCCAGCATCATTTATTGAAGAGACTGTCCTGTTCCCAATGTATATTCTTGTCATCTTTGTTGAAAATGAGTTTACTGTAGATGTATGGATTTACCTCTGGGTTCTCTATTCTCTTCCACTGATCTAAGTGTCTGTTTTTATGCCATTACCATGTCATTTTGGTTACTACAGCTCTGTATTATAATTTTAAGTTAGGCAATATGATTCTTCCATTTTGTTCTTTTTGCTTAGGATAGTTTTGGCTGTTCTGGGTCTTTTGTGATTCCATATAAATTTTAGGATTTTTTTTCTATTTCTGTGAAGAATGTCTTTAGTATTTTGATAGGGATTGCATTGAATCTTTAGATAGCTTTGGATAGTGTGGACATTTCAACAGTATTGATTCTTCCAGTTCATGAACATGGATTATCTTTCCATTTTTTTGTTTCCTCTTCAATTTTTTGCATCAGTGTTTTATAGTTTTCATTGTAGAGATCTTTCACTTCTCTGGTAAGTTAAATCCTAGGTATTTACTTTTCTTTGTAGCTACTGTAAATGGGATTACTTTCTTGATTTCTTTTTTAGATTGTTCACTGTTGGTATATAGAAATGCTTCTGATTTTTATGTGTTGATTTTCTGCACCTTTACTGAATTTATCAGTTCTAGTAGTTTTTTGGTGGAGTCTTCCAGTTTTTTCAAGTACAAGATTATATCATCTGCAAACAACAATAATTTGAATTCTTCCTTTCCAATTTGCAAACCCTTTATTTCTTTTTTTTTTTTTTGTCTGATTACGCTGGCTAGGATTTCCAGTACTGTGTTGAAGAACAGTGTTGAAAATAGGAATCCTTGTTGTGTTACAGGTCTTAGAGAAAAGGCTTTCAGTTTTTCACCACTTAAAATAATACTAGCTGTGAGTTGGTCATATATGGCTTTTATTGTGTTGTGGTATGTACCTTCTGTACCCAGTTTTTTGAGGGTTTTCATGAAGGGATGTTGGACTTTATCAAATGCTTTTTCAGCATCAATTGCAGTGATCATACGGTTTTTGTTCTTCATTCTAATGATATGATGTATCACATTGATTGATTTGCATATGTTGAATCATCCTTGCATTCCTGGGATAAATCCCACTTGGTCATGATGAATGATCTTTTTAATGTGTTGTTGAATTTGGTTTGCTAGTATTTTGTTGAAGATTTCTGCATCAGTGTTCATCAGGGCTATTGGCTGTGGTTTTCTTTTTGATGTTTCCTTTGATTTTGGTATCAGGGTAATACTGGCCTCACGGAGTGAGCTTGGAAGTGTTCCCTCATCCTCTACTTTTTGGAAGAGTTTAAGTAGGATTGGTGTTCTTATTTAAATGTTTGGTAGAATTCAGCACTGAAGCCATTGGGTCCTAGGCTTTTCTTTACTGGGAGACCTTTTTATTATGGCTTTGATCTCATTACTTGTTATTGGTCTGTTTGGGTTTTGGATTTCTTTATGATTCAATCTTAGTAGGTTGAATATTTCTAGGAATTTACCCATTTGTTTTAGATTTTCCTATTTATTGGCATATAGTTGCTCCTAGTAGCTACTAGTGATCCTTTGAATTTCTGTAATATCAGCTATAATGTCTCCTTTTTCATCTCTGATTTTATTTATTTTGATCTTCTCTCCTTTTTTCTTACTCTGGGTAGAGGTTTGTCAGTTTTGTTTTTCTTTCTTTTTAAAAAACATCTTTTTGTTTTATTGATCTGTTGTGTTCTCATTTCAAATTCACTTATTTCTACTCTGATCTTCATTATTGTTTTTCGTCTAATTTTGTGTTTCGTTTGCTCTTGCTTTTGTAGTTTTTTAAGATGCATTGTTAGGTTGTTTATTTGAAGTTTTTCTTCTTTTTTTATATAAGCACTTACAGCTGTAAACATTCCTCTTAGTATTGCTTTTGCTGTATCCCATAGATTTTGGTGTGTTGTGTTTCTGTTATCATTTGTTTCAAGAAATGTTTCAATTTCCTTCTTAGTTTCTACATGGACCCACTGGTCATTCAGGAGCATATTGTTTCATTTCCATGTGTTTGTACATCTTCCAAAATTCTTTTTGTTATTGATTTCTATTTTTATTCCATTGTGGTCAAAGAAGATGCTTGATATTATTGCACTTTTTTTGAACGTTTGAAGACAAGTTTTGTGACCTAACATGACCTATCTTTGAGAATGATCTGTGTGCAGAGGAAAAGAATGTGTATCCTGTGACCTTCGTATGAAATGTTCTGTAAATATCTGTTAGGTCGATTTGGTCTGTAGTGTAGATTACGTGTGATATTTCTTTGTTACTTTTCTATCTGGAGGATCTGTCCATTGCTGAGTGTGGTGTGTTGATGTCTCCAGCTGTTATTGTATTGGAGTCTATCTCTCTTTTTATCTCTAATGTTTTCGTTTTTTTTTTTTAATTTTCTTTTCAAGGTGTTTTTTTTTTGAATTTTTAAAATTATTATTATACTTTAAGTTTTAGGGTACATGTGCACAATGTGAGGTTTGTTACATATGTATACATGTGCCATGTTGGTGTGCTGCACCCATTAACCTGTCATTTAGCATTAGGTATATCACCTAATGCTATCCCTCCCCCGTCCCCCCACCCCACAACAGTCCCTGGAGTGTGATGTTCCCCTTCCTGTGTCCATGTGTTCTCATTGTTCAATTCCCACCTGTGAGTGAGAACATGTGGTGTTTGGTTTTCTGTTCTTGCAATACTTTGCTGAGAATGATGGTTTCCAGCTTCATCCATGTCCCTGCAAAGGGCATGAACTCATCATTTTTTATGGCTGCATAGTATTCCATGGTGTATATGTGCCACATTTTCTTAATCCAGTCTACCATTGTTGGACATTTGGGTTGATTCCAAGTCTTTGCTATTGTGAATAGTGCTGCAATAAACATACGTGTGCATGTGTCTTTATAGCAGCATGATTTATAATCCTTTGGGTATATATCCAGTAATGGGATGGCTGGGTCAAATGGTATTTGTAGTTCTAGATCCCTGAGGAATCGCCACACCAACTTCCACAGTGGTTGAACTAGTTTACAGTCCCACCAACAGTGTAAAAGTGTTCCTATTTCTCCACATCCTCTCCAGCACCTGTTGTTTCGTGACTTTTAATGTTTTCTTCATATATCTAGGTGCTCCACTGTTGAATGCATATATATTTATGATTGTTATATTCTCTTGCTCAGTTGACCTCTTTATTATTATATAGTGACCTTATTTTTCTCTTCTTACAGTTTTTGTCTTGAAATCTATTTTGACTGATACAAGTGTAGCTACTCCAGCTCTTTTTTGCTTTTGTCGCCATGGAATATCTTTTTTTCATCTGCTTATTTTCAGCCTATGTGTGTCTTTATAAGTGAAATGTGTTTCTTGTAGACAACAGATAATTGGGTCTTGTTTTTTTATCCATTCAGAGCCACTCTGTGTCTTTTGATTTGAGAGTTTAGTGCGTTTCCATTGTTATTAAGAAGTAAGGATATGTTCTGCCATTGTATTGTTTGTCTTTTGCTTGTTTTGTGGTCTTCTCTTCCTTTCTTCATTCCTTCATTTCTTTTATTGAAGGTGATTTTGTCTTGTGGTATGATTTAATTTCTTCCTTTTTATTTTTTAGGTATATGTTATATGGTTTTTGATTTGAGGTTATGATGAGTCTTGCAAATATTATCTTACAACCTATTATTTTAAGCTGACAACCACTTAACATTGCATAGGCAAAAACACACAGAGGCAAAAAGAAAACCAATAAAAGCTCTACACTTTAGCCTCTTGCTTTTTAACTTTTTGTTGTCTCTGTTTATATCTCATTATAATTTCTATGTCTTGAAAAGTTGTCATTATTAGTTTTGGTTGGTTCATCTTTTAGTCTTTCTCCTTAAGATCAGAGTATTTTATATATCACATTTACAGTGTTATAATATGCTGCATTTTTTTGTGTACTTACTATTACCAGTGAGTTTTGGACCTTCAGTTGATTTCTTATTACTCATCAACTTCCTTTTCTTTCTGATTGAAAAACTCCCAGGCTGGACACGGTGGCCCATGCCTGTAATCCCAGCACTCTGGGAGGCTGAGGTGGGCTGATCCCTTGAGGTCAGGAGTTCGAGACCATCCTGGAAAATGTGGCAAAGCTCCATCTGTACTAAAAATATAAAAAATTAGTTGGGTGTTGTGGCGAGCACCTGTAATCCCAGCTACCTGTGAGGCTGAGGCAGGAGATCGCTTGAACCCGGGAGACGAAGGTTGCAGTGAGCCGAGATCGCACCGCTGTACTCCAGCCTGGGTGACAGAGCGAGACGCCATCTCAAGAAAAAAAAAAAAAAGAAACAGAAAAACTCCCTTTAGCATTTATTGTAGGATAGGTATGATGTTTATGAAATCCCTCAGGTTTTGTTTGTCTGGGAAAGTCTTTTTTTCTCCTTTACGTTCAGAGGATATTTTCACCAGATATACTATTTTAGGGTAAATGTTTTTTTTTCTTTCAGCACTTTAAATATGTCATGACACTCTCTCCTGGCCTGTTAGGTTTTCACTGAAAAATCTGCTGCCAGACAGACATATTTGGAGCTCCATTGAATGTTATTTTTTTCTTTTCTCTTGCTGCTTTTAGGATCCTTTTTTTCCCCTTGACCTTTGGGAGTTTGATTATTAAATGCCTTGGGATAGTCTTCTTTGGGTTAGATCTGCTTGGTATTCTGTAATCTTCTTGTACTTTGACATTAATATCATTCCCTAGGTTTGGGAAATTCTCTATTATTCTTCCTCTTGACCAACTTTCTACCCTCATCTGTTTCTCTGCCTCTGCGTTAAGGCTAGTGACTCTCAGATTTGCCCTTTTGAGGCTTTCTTGATCCTGTAGGTGTGCTTCACTGGTTTTTATTCTTTCTTCTTTTGTCTCCTCTCATTGTGTATTTTCAAATAACCTGTCTTCGAGTTCACTAGTTCCTTCTTCTGCTTGATCAGTTCTGTCCTTACAAGACTTTGATGCATTCTTCAATGTCAGTAGCATTTTTCAACTCAGAATTTCTACTTGATTCTTTTTAATTATTTCAATCTCTTCGTTAAGTTTATCTGATATAATTTTGAATTCCTTCCTTGTGGTATGTTGAATTTCTTTGAGTTTACTCTGAGCAGTTACTTTGAATTCTTTGAGAGGTCACATATCTGTGTTTCTCCAGGACTGGCCCCTGGTGCCTTATTTAGTTTACTTGGTGAGATCATGTTTTCCTGGATTGTCTTGATGCTTATGGATGTTCATCTGTCTAGGCATTAAAGAGTTAGGTATTTACTGTAGTCTTCCAAGCCTAGGCTGGTTTTTACCCATTCTCCTTGGGAAGGCTTTCCAGGTATTTGGAAGGACTTGAGCATTGTGATCTAAGCTGTATCTGCATTAGCAGACACCCCAAGCTCAGTAACACTGTGGTTCTTGCAGACTTGCAGAGGTACTGTCTTCATGTTCTTGGATAAAATCCAGAGGAATTTTCTGGATTACTAGGCAGGGACTCTTGTTCTCTTCCCTTACTTTCTTCCAAACAAAGGGAGTCTCTCTGTTTGTTCTGAGCCATGTGGAGCTGTAGGTAGTGTGACAGAAGACTCTCTGTTGTTACCACCTCTAGGACTGTGCTGGTTCAGAACTGAAGCAAGCACAGCATTAGATCTCACCTAACGCTGGCCCACTGTAACCACTACTTGGCTACCAGATACTATGTTTGCTCAGGCCTTGGGACACTACAGTCAGCAGATGGTGAAGCTAGCTAGGCTTGTGTCCTGCCCTTCATGATGGTGAGTTGTTGTGGGCCCAGGTGCGTACTGAGGTACCATCCAGGAGCTAGGGACTGGAGTGAGAAACCTTAGAAGTCTTTCTGGTGTTCTGCTGTCCTGCAGCTGTGCTGGCACTCAAACCAGAAGACACAGTACTTCTCACCTTTCTTTCCCATTTCTACTGGCAGAGGAGCCTCAGCCCATGACCGCCACTACTACAGGCTCATGGAGAATACTGCTGGGCTACCACCAATATTCAGTTAAGGCCCTAGGGCTCTTAAGTCAGTTTGTGGTGAATAGTGCCAGCCTGGGACTCACCCTTCGGGACACTGGGCTCCCCGCTGGCCCAGAACTGGTAAAGAAATGCTAAGAGCCAAGGCCTGGAATTGAGGACCCCAAGATCCTGCTTGGTACTCCAATTCCTGTGGCCAAGCTGGTACCTAAGGTGCAAGAGAAAGTCACCTTTACTTTCCCCCCTACTTTTCTTATCAGAAAGAATCTCTCCTTGTGGCCACCATTACCTAGGAATGTGCTGACTTGCAACTAAAGTTAGCAAGTCTCGGAGTCTCACCCAAGGCTCACGGGGTACCATCTGGGTATCACTGCTGGTTATTCAGGGCTCAAGGGCTGTTTAGTCAGCAGATGATGGGTCTTGCCAATACTGGGTCCATTGTTTCAAGGCAGTGAGTTCCCTTCCGGCCAAGGGTGTGTCTAGAAATGTCCAGGAGCTAGGCCCTGCAATGGAGCCTTCATGACTCTGCCCAGTGCCATGTCCTACAGTGGGTGAGCTGGTATCCAAGATGCAAGGCAAAGTCCTTTTTACTCTCTCTTCTCCTCTCCTCAAGCAGAAGGAAGGGATCTCTTTAATTGAGCTCTGCTGCCTGAAATTGAGGTCGGAGGTGGCACAAGTACTTCCTCAGCTGCCTCGACTGGTGTCTCAGTAAGTTGAATGTCCAGTGGCTCTGAGCCCAGTCCAGCACCATGACTCGCCTAGGAGTTGCAGTTCTTGTGGCCTAGACTGCCTTTCATGTTTATTTCGCACCCCAGAGTACTCTAGCCCGTGGTGGCAAGGCTTGCTGGAACTGGGATGTGTGATCTCCCTCTGACGTGGACTGGTTAAATATTCCCTCTGTGGGCAGGCGCCAGGTCAGCTCAGCCAGGTTTGCTTTCTCTTGTAACTGGGCAGCACGGAATTCAGTGCATTCTCTTACAATTTCTGTGCTCTCCTGTGCCATGTGACCGTTGCCAGGGGATAAGGGAGGGGCGGCGTTGGTGATTCAAGACTGTTTCTCCTACCGTCTTCAGTGCCTCTTTCAGTGATAGGAAGTTAAAAACCAGGTACTGTGGGTGCTCACCTGATTTTTGGTTCTTATGAAGGTACTTTTTTATACAGATGGTTGTTAAATTTGGTGTTCCTCCAGAGGGGATGATTCGTGGAGCCTTCTATTTGGCCATCTTGTTCTGCCCTGTCTCCAAAATCCTCTCATTACTTTTGACTTAAGTTTCTACAGTTTGTGTCTAATCTGTGCATCAGTTTCTCCTGCAGGCTATTGCTAATTTAAAATTTAATGCCAATATGCTCACCATAAAAATGTAGAATTTGGAGAGCTTTCTTTCTGGGTTTCCCCCCACCGTTTTTTTTTTTTTTTTTTGCCTATACTGAAAATTGTTAAGGCTAAGTATTTCTGTGAAATACATCAACACTACTTTAGGGATATACTTTTAATTATGAAGGAGGATGTTAGTTAAATGCCTGGAATATGTTGATAACCTAAATGTTTACCTCTATTCCAATAAATTATAATCCAAGTCCTTAATCTTCTGTAGAGTATTACAAGGTAATTGCTAATAAGTAATAGGAGAATTTTTTGTGTGATCTTCTGAAGAATTTAAATTATAAAATTCTAAAGAGTAAATATAAAAATAAAATTAATATAAGAATAAATTAATAAACAAAAAGGAATGTGTGTAAGATTATTTTTTAATTTGGGGGACAGTATAGCATTTGGTAGATGTTTCTCTCCAGGAAATTTGGATGTTTCTTCCAGGACCTTTCGGGGACTGAGGGCTGTGGGATTTTGTTAGAGTGCCACAAATATGAATGAGAACTGCATGTGAAGATTGATAATGTAACATCATAGAAAGTCACAGAATGTAACATCCAACTCCCTTTTATGACTTTGACCAATCATGAGTTGCCTGGAATCTGTACATGGCAGCATTAAGCCTATGGTGTCATTGTTTATTGCCAGTTTGAAAAACTCCAAATAAAGTATCAGTTGTGCTATGTCCTTCTAGGGAGCTTTTTTGTTACCTTAAAGAATTCTTGGAGGTCAGGCAGGGTAAATACAGTAGCCAGTATACCTATAATCTAGATATTAAATCAAAATTGAAGGAAGATGTAAAAGTAATATAATGAGAAGATTTGGCTTTATTAAAGATCTTCAGCCAAGGTTCTTTTTGGCCCTAGAATTTGTTTATTCTGGCTTGCTTTGTATTTCCATTTTGCTTTAATTAGTTTGTCTTAAAAATTAGGGACCTTAAATAAAACTGAATTTACTTACTCATTGCATTTTTTAACCTAGAGGTGGTGGGTAAGAGAAATATAGAAGAATAACATGTGACACTGATAAATACTGACCAGATGACTAATTACATGTCATTATATATTTTCATCATTATACATCATTCATCTATGAAAATGCTGTGTTTGATAGTATAATGGTAAATATATGTCATTATACTTTTGTCCAACCCATAGAATGTACAACACCAAGAGTGAATCCTAAACTAAACTGTGGATTCTGGGTGATGATGTGTCAGTGTAGGTTCATCAGTTGTAACAAATGTGCTGCTCTGGTGGGGGATGTTGATAATGATGGAAGCTATGTATGTGTGCAGGCAAGAGATAATTGGGAAGTTTCTGTACCCTTCAATTATGCTATGAACTTAAAGTTGCTATAAAAAATAAAGTCTAATAAAAAAGTTATTTTAAGGCCTTACTGTAACCCTGTCTGCTTTGATGCAAAGTACATTGTATTTTAAATTCCATTTTATTTCAATATATGCCTTACAGTTAATTCAGGAGAATTTGAATATTTATGCTTGATAGTAATATAGTACAACAAAAAAAGCAGCTATCCATTATACCATTATAGTTTTGGATGACTATTGCCATGCTATCAAAAACTAGATTTTGTAATGAAAAATGTAAGAGCACTTTATAGGTTGGAATTCTCATTCCATATAATGGAATGCATAAACTAGGTAATTATGCACATTTATTATTTACTGAAAAGCATTTATTTTACTCTGCAGAATCATAAAGAAAGTTGTATTTATTATGTACATATAATAAACATAACATTCTTTTTCTTTTTCCCAAAATGGTTTTAAGAAATCAAAACCCAAACATGAAATGGGTTTCCAACTTAGCCATACATGTATTCATTGTGTCCTTTATTTTACTTGTTTATTTATTTATTTATTTATTTATTTATTTATTTATTTATGTATGTTTTGAGATGGAGTCTGGCTCTGTTGCCCAGGCTGGAGTGCAGTGGTGTGATCTTGGTTCACTGCAACCTCTGCCTCCTGGGTTCAAGTGGTTCTCTTGCCTCAGCCTCCTGAGTAGCTGGGATTACAGGTGCACACCCCCATGCCCAGGTTTTTTGTATTTTTAGTAGAGACAGGGTTTCACCGTGTTGGCCAGGCTGGTGTCAAACTCCTGACCTCTGGTGGTCTGCCTGCCTTGGCCTCCCAAAGTGCTGGGATTACAGGCGTGAGCCATTGCACCTGGCCAGTTTTTTTAAAAATTGTAGTAACAATTAGATATAAGCAAACTATATCTTGATGATCACTTGGAATTAGCTTTCCTTTTCCACTTACAAAGAATGGAATATACAATTGGAGTGATTTTAAAAAAAACTATTTTGGTGGCTGTTTATGTGTACATATATACACACACAGATACATATATATGTATATATAAACAGCCACCAATATTTTATATATATATGTGTGTGTGTATGTGTGTGTGTGTGTATAAAATATTGCTTGGTTATAAGTAAGTGGCATCTGCATATTAAGTAATGGTTGCCACTAATGCCCTTCAGTGCTGCACGTGGCCATTTTATTTGTCTTCTGAACCAAAGTGAAGTCATTTGTCTGCATAAATCATAGTTATAGAATTAACTTCCAGAACTATCTGAGGTGTAATGGTCTTCATAAATCCCACTCCCCTAGTACTGCTAAATTTTGTGAGCTAGAGATTGTAAGTGACTTGTTGAAAAATATTTATCAGACCTCTGGAACTTTGGAGTATACCTTAGTCTACTTTCCAACCTTAAGTTTCAGGTAAAGACAATTCATGTCTTAGAAAACTGGTAACTCTTGACATCTTTGTGAACCACGAAGCTCCAACCCCTGTAACTCTGTATTTACTTTTCCATAATATTAGGCAGGTGGTGAAAGAATGTTAGGTAGAATCTTTGACTCCCAACACTGTTTGAAGCTGAGTCCAATAAATTGAGCGTAATTCCTGTAGATGGAGGCACATCTCGTAAGAAGCAACCTAACTCCATTCAGTTGAATCTGAAGGCAACTTTCTGTCCTGTCTACAGCAAGAGTTAGCTTAGGGTAGAGATTATTAAAGAAAATTTGTATGGTTGAGGATTATGTTACTTTTATTCCAGAACACAACCTTTATTACCCCTGTCCAACCTCCCAAATAAAAATAATGATGCTGATAATTGATGTTAGAAATTACCAAGCATTTGTCTCTTGGAATCTTCTGCTTTAGAGAAAGTAGTTTCATTTTCGAACTTTGGACCTATGTGTTCAGAATAACTATGGATTTTCATGTAAGCTAATATAACTAGCAGGGATAGACTTTTCTTTATTTCCACAGAACTTGATACCGATAAAGGCTAAGGAATTCTTCGTCTATCTCAGAAGCCTCGTTTTACAACTAATGAACCGGAGGGTGTTAGAGTTGTGATTCCTTTGCCCAGGATCACTCTTGTGTGTCCTAAGAGAACCAGGATGCCAGACCATCTCATTCCCAGGCCTTGCCTCCTCTGCTCAGCTTTTGTTTTTGGAGGGGAAAGAAGGCCAAGCCACTGACCTAATCCTGAACAATGTATTTGACTAGTTTTTGTTTGTTTACATTGAAAATAAAGCCAGCACTAACTTCTGGCGTTACTGGTTTTCTACTTAACGTAGAATAATTAGCATTATTGGTTGGATGAGCAGGTTCTTTTCCCTTTCATATGTACTCTAGGTTCTGCCTAGAGGACCTTTCCCAGAACTGGATAACGTCTTGAATTCAATTTCCCAACTGACAACAGCATTGGCATTTTTCTTTTTCGAAGAGCTCTGAAGCGGCTTTGTAGATCAGAGCGATTGATTTTGAGATCAGATTGGCTTATGGCCTTGAGAGTTCATGGTGGCATTGCTGTTCCCTCTGATCTGTTTTATGCTGGATTTTTTTTTTTTTTTTTAATTCCACGGGATACTGTCAAGACCAGGTGATGAGAGGCTGTCAGCCTGCAAGGCCGACTTTGATCTTTATACAAAGTAAAACTAGTGGAAAAAGAAAGGCCCGGTTCTTGTCAAAGGCAGGACATTCACCATTGGGCGGGTAGCCAAGTGGTTGCTTTTGCTATCTTATTCTTCCCTACTGTGGTGTCTCTTAAAACACTGGACAGGACTCTCCTCTCTCATTTGAGGTAATAGATTTGGCTTCAAAATCACCTCTTGCCTCCTGAGGTGGCAGATTATTCTGAATTGCTGCAGACTTAAACCTTGGCCTGCAAAGGCCATGGTGGTAATAATTATTTCACTTTAACCAAACAGAAGAGCACATAAGAGGATATCAGTTATCCTGACAGCATAGCTATGATGTGGAAGCCGTCCTGTTAGGGAACTGCTGAGTGGCTAAAAAGTCACAAATCATTTTTCTCTGTTCTTTCCTCTTTCTTTTGCTCAATAACACCCCCCACCTCTGCTCTGTAATGGAGAGAAATAAAAAGAAGTTTAGATAGCTTACTGTAAGTGGAACTGTATTCATAAATAGCTTCTTGATTGAGAACAAATGCCTCATTAATCTTTAGTGCTTCAACTAGAAAGCACAAGTAAAGTCAAGAAGAATAATGAGTGACATTACAGGGAGCCTAACATACTGTACTACACACCAGGCTGTGCTTGCCTGGAGGTCACTGGGCTGCAAGGCACATCTCTTTTGCAATGAGGAGAGAGATCCCCAGGAAGAGTGTGGAAAAACTGCAGTGCAGGCATTTCTCTTGAGTGGCAAAAATTAATTCAGTGACATGATGAAGAAATCATGTACTTTTTTTTTTTTTGGTGGTGGTGGTGGGGCATCAGTTGGTCTCTCAATCTGATTGTTGCTTTTCTTAAAAAATTGTTTTTTAAATTGACATAATTGTACATATTCATGGGGTACACAGTGGTGTTTCAGTACATACAATGTATAGTGATCAGGGCAATTAACATATCCGTCATCTCAAACATTTATCATTTCTTGATGTTGGGAACATGCAATACCTCCTCTAGCTATTTGAAATTGTATGTTATTGTTAGCTATAGTCATCCTACACTGGTATAGACCACAGAAATATAGAACTTAGTCCTATCTAGCTGTAATTTTTTATCTTTTAACACATCTCTCCCAATTCCTCCTTTCTGTCTATCCTTCTCAGCCTCTAGTATCGTTTTACTTTTTACTTCTATGGGATCAACTTGTTTCAGCATCCACATATGAGTGAGAATGTGCAGTGTTTAATTTTCTGTTCCTGGCTTATTTCGCTTAATGTCCTCCAGTTCCTTCCATGTTGTTGCAAATGACAAGATTTCATTCCATGGTGTATACATGCCACATTTTCTTTATTCATCTTTCATTGGATACCTAGGTTGATTCCATATCTTAGCTATTTTCAACAGTGCTACAGTAAACATAGAGGGGGCATATATGTCTCTTTGATATAATGATTTCTTTTCCTTTGCATAAATTCCCAGTAGTGGTATTGCTGTATCATGTGGTAGTTCTATTTGTAGTTTTTTGAAGAAACTTCATATTGTTCTCCATGGTGGCTTTACTAGTTTACATTCCCACCAACAGTGATAAGAGTTCCTTTTTCTCCACGTCCTTACCAGTATTTGTTACTTTTTGTCATTTAATAATACACATTCTCACTGGGGTGAAAGGATAACTCATTGTAGTTTTGATTTACATTTCCCTGGTGATGTTTACCCTTTCTTTTTGTATATTTGTTTTCCATTTGTATGTATTTTGTGAAATGTATGTTCAGATCATTTGCCCATTCTTTGTTTCTTTTTGTTTGTTTGTTTTTGAGACAGGGTCTCACTTCCATTGCCCAGGCTGGAGTTTAGTGGTGCTCTCTCAGCTCACTGTATTCTCTACTTCCTGAGCTCATGTGATCCTCCCACCTTTGCCTCCCAAGTAGCTGGGACTACAGGCACATGCCACCACACCCAGCTGAGTTTTTGTATTTTTAGTAGAGATGAGGTTTTGCCATGTTGCCCAGGCTGGTCTTGAACTCTTGGGCTCAAGTGATCCTCCCGCCTTGGCCTCTCAAAGTGCTAGGATTATAGGCATGAGCTACCATGCCTGGCCATTTGCCCATTCTTAAATCAGATTTTTTTTTTTTCTGTTGAGATGTTTGAGTTCCTTGTGTATTCCAGATAGTAATCCTCTTTTTCAGATGAGTAGTTTGCAAATATTTTTTCCCATTCTGTAGTTCTTCTTTTCACTCTATTATTTCCTTTGCTGTGCAGAAGCTTTTTCGCTTGATATATCCCATTTGTTTATTTTTGCTTTTGTTGCCCTTGCTTTTGAGGTTTTATTCATAAAATCATTTCCCAGACCAATGTCCTGAAGTGTTTCCCTTATGTTTTCTTCTCATAGTTTTATTGTTTCAGATCTTAGGTTTAGGTCTTTGATTCATTTTAAGTTGATTTTTGTATAGGGTGAGAAGTGGGAGTCTACTTTCATTCTTCTGCATGTGGATATCCAATTTTTCCGGCACTGTTCATTGAAGAGACTGTCAATTCCCTAACGAGTGTTCATGGCACCTTTGTCCAAATCGTATGACTGTAGATATGTGGGGTAATTTCTGGGCTCTCTATTCTGTTCCCTTGATGTATGTGTCTGTTTTTATGCCAGTTCCATGCTGTTGTTGGTTACTACAGCTTTGTAGTATATTTTGATGTCTAGTAGTGTGATGCCTCTAGCTTTGATATTTGCTTAAGCTTGCTTTGGCTATTTGGGATCATTTGTGGTTCCATACAAATGTTAGGGTTATTTTTTTCTGTTTCTGTGAAGAGTGTCATTGGTGTTTTGATAGGGATTGCATTGAATCTGTAGATTGCCTTGGGTAATACTGTCATTGTAACAATGTTAATTCTTCCAATCTATGAGCTTGGGATGTTTTCCCATTTATTTGTATCTCCTTCAGTTTCTTTCTTCATTTTTTTATAGTTTCTCTTATAGTGGTCTTTCACCTTCTTGGTTAAATTTATTTCTAGGTATTTGAAATCAAGTACTTTGCTGTTTGTTGTCAGTGGTCATGCTGGGAAGAAAGAATAAGCCAGCTGGGTTTTTATTTGAAAACCAAATGTTGTATAACGTTAACAAAGTAAAGATGTATGTTCATCTTGGAGTCTTTGCTCAGGA
This sequence comes from Homo sapiens, assembly GCF_000001405.40. Taxonomy (NCBI): domain Eukaryota; kingdom Metazoa; phylum Chordata; class Mammalia; order Primates; family Hominidae; genus Homo; species Homo sapiens. The sequence goes on from NC_000009.12 coordinate 7,036,373, forward strand.
CCCTGGAAATACTATTATGTAAATGTTGTAAGCTCCATGTAGAGTACTTCTGACCAGTCTTACATGTTTCTTGCCACTTAATATGTGCCTGGCTTGTAACATAGCTACCAGAGCGGTGCTCTGAACACCTCAAATTAATTTTCATAGCATTGTAAACAAACAGAACATGATTTTCTGTTCTTCTGTTCTCTTTTATGTAAATTGTCGTCTGCTGATATTTAAATAGATAAAATATAGTAAGTTTACTTGGTTAGTGTTGTAAATTAGATGAAGAAAAACTAAATTTCTGTAATGCAAAAAATACTGAATGAAAATTCAGTTTGTATATTATGACTTTCTCAATATTTTCAGTTGGTTAGAATTCAAGCCTACTTCACTTAAAAGATTTGTCTGCACCACCCCCCGATATAAGTCAACTGTGAGGGCAGGATCTTTGTCATTCACTGTGTTGCTCAGGGTCTAGAGCACATCATGGTGATTAATAGTTGTTGAATTAATGAATGAATGTTTTCACTAAGTGAGAGAACTTACTTGCCAGTACAGAATTCATTACAGGTGAATTTTGGATTTGCAAATTTGTGGAATTTCCATTTAAAAGGTACTGCAGGACACTTGTCATTCAATTATATAATCACTCAGAACTCATACCAGCTCTGTCCTTCGGTGAGAGATCCTGTCTTCTCTCCAGCCCTGATAATGAGCCACATATCCAGAAATGGTTCTCCCATGTCTTGCTGATCAGCACGGGTTTTCTGTTAATGTGATTAATTACTCTTTGTTTTCCCAGCTCAGAGAGCCCTATTTTACGGTTTTGTGTTTCTGTTATGAACGTGTCAGATAAATGAGGGTGTGTTTGTGGGGGTACTTCAATCTAATTATTTTTCTATGACACTGAAAATTGGCTTTAGTGGCACTTATGGATATGCTACTAAAATGAGAGCTTCCTACAATGCAGCTTGAGAATGTTGGTATTGGCATTTCTTTAACTGATGTTTTATAGAAGAGACATTGGAACATGATTTCCCTCGGCTGCAAATAATGAACAACTGTGACAGCCATATTACAACAATGCTGTTCTCACCACTGTCAATGTTGTGTCAGCATTTTGATTATAAATACTCTTTTCCATGGTTTAATAACTGAGGCATAAAGAAATCATTCCATGTTATGAATTGCTATGCTAACTTTTCATCTCAGTGGTGATTTTTTATGAAACCAAATTTTAAAAATAGCTGGCATTGTTAAAAGGGGATTTTGTCAGTGGTATTAGGTGAGCGAAAGGGACCTCATCAGGAAAAGTACAAAACTGTTCAGAATATGATCAGATTTTATATTTTTTCATTTATCTTTTAACCACCCTGAGGAAAAAAATATACAGCAGAATGGTTTTTTAAATGCTGTTCTTTGGAGACAGAAATAACAGCTGCCTTATAGAGTAATCATGTTACAACAGGCATTTTAGTATATATATTTTCTGTTTTGTTTTGGGGAACATTGGCTGACTAGCAGTATAGCCAGATCTTTGTAATAGTGAATCATTTTATGCTGGGTGTTATTGTTCCTGGAAAAGCCATGCTCATTAAACATAAAACAAGGCTGGCAATGAGCACAGACTGTTTGATTTTATTTATTTATTTTGTTCTGTAAGGATGAACAGTTTTGATATCACCGTAGGTTAGATTGGAAAGAAGTTATAGTACACTGAAAGAGTCTGGAAGAGATCATAGGTGCCGTTTTAAATTTTCATCTAATTAAAAGAAAATAGAAAAAAGATATAAATACCCACAGTCACATTAATTTTAAATTGTACGTTTCTTGTAAAAAGGTTTAATTTCTTTATGTGTGTGTCTGTGAGTTTGCTTTCTTTAATACAAAGGAACTAGATATTATCAAGAAAGTCTCCCATTTCCAACACTCTCAAAATCTCAAATTTCATTTTTTACAGAAAACTACTTAAGCTGTTTTGTCAGTTGGCCTTTCAGCTCTTTTCTATGTATTATAATCTGGTGTTATGGCTTGCTGTATGGGACCCAAATGATATCACAATTTATTTAACTTTCCTTAGTGTTTTCCCTTCATACTACTTGTTTTAATTCTTAGTATCCCAGTGGCTGTGGATTTACCATGTCGTTTTCATTACTGTTTGAAATTTTAAGCTTTGTTATAAAAATTTTGACATTACAAATAAAATTTTGGCTTCTGATAATTCCAGTTCCCACCAGAGGTAACTATTTTCTCCATTATAAACAGAAATGAAATTATAGTCGTTATATAGTCCTTCTCCATAGATTCAAATATTTAGGTTAGATTATAAGAAGTCAGCCTGCTGAGTCATTATTTCTGTGCATTTAAATTTTAATGGACAATGTTAAATTCTTCTCCGTAACCATCATAACAGCTTACATGACCCCCAAACTAGATATATTCTGATTTAAAATGTAAGGTTAGATCTCATTCTTTTCCTTTTTCATTTTCTTTATTCTTGAGGTTGGTTTTCTTTTCATGTGCTTACTGGCAATGAAGAGCCATTGAACTTTTTACATATTTTTTGTAACTGTGGGCTTTAAAAAATATTTTCCAGAAAACAATTTTTGATATATGTATTGGGAGTATTTTTGTGTTATTTTATGTTAATTATGTTGTATTTTATTCTTTATGATTTTTAAATTTTGATATGTATCTTTTGTCTTTTAAATGTCTTCTTAAGGAGCCGTATTTGTCCTAACTTCATCAGTATATTTTCCTATATTTTCTTATAATACTTTTATAGGTCTGTTCTGTTTTTAAGTTTAGGTCTGTAAATCAATTGGAGTATATTTTTTATGAGTGAGGGACATAACACATAAACACACACTCCATTCAGTTGGATCTGGACATTTTGAATACTGTTACTGAATAGTTTTTGGTGTGAGGTTTTGGTTATTTATTCAGCTCTGTCTTTCTCCTCTCTAATTCTGTTCTTAGGAGTAATCTGCTATTCAACATATTATTTATAAGTCTAATTTCAATTTTTTTGTAGAATTCTGTATGGTTGATTTCTAAAAATATAATTTGTCATTTAGAGTCTCTTTTTTATATTTTTAATATACTTATTTTTAAAAACTTATTAAAATACAGCTGACCCTTGACCAACATGGAAGTCAGAGGTGCTGACCCCCAGTTCAGCTAAAAATCTGCATATAACTTTGGACTCCCCCAATACCTAACTAGTAATAGCTTACTGTTTACTGGAAGCCTTATTGATATAACACAATTAACACACAGTTTATATGTTATATTTATTATATGCTGTATTTTTACAATAACTTATGCTAGGGAAAAGAAAATGTTATTAAGAAAATCATAAGGAAGAGAAAATATATTTATTCATTGAGTGGATCATCATAAAGGTCTTCATCCTTGTTATCTTCATGTTGAGTAGGCTGAAAAGGAAGAGGATGAGGGGTTGGCCCAGCTGACTCAGGGGTGGCAGAGTCTATATATAAATGGCCCCATGCAGTTCAAGCTTACATTGTTCATGGGTTAGCTCTATGTATTTTGCATTTTGTGGCTCATATCATTTTGCATCTAATTCCACTACTAATTTTTGCTGATAGAACCATGTTTCTTGTGTTTTATTGAGTTTTGATTGTGAGCTTATGTTTCTTAGAATTCAATACTGGGAAATTTTTAGAGGCCTTTGTTATAAGTGGTTGCCAAAAATTACAATTTACATTTTTGAATGAGCACACTCTGCCTTCAAATAATATCCTACTTCATGAACAGTGTAAGACTCTTAAAACAGTATAACTTCATTAGCACTTCCCTTTGATTTGTGGTCTTATCTTACATTTTACTTCTTCATATACTATACTCCACAGTGTTATTATTTTTGTTTTAAGCATTTGTCTTTTAATGAAATTTGTTCATTCTCTCTTTCCCTTTCCTTCCCTCCCTCCCTCTGTCTCTCTTTCCCTCCCTCCCTCCCTTCCTCTTTCCCTCTCTCTCTACCCCACTCTGTGTGTGTGTGTGTGTGTGTGTGTGTGTGTGTGTGCGTGTGTATGTGTCTGTGTGTCTGTTTGTTGAAGATACTAAAAAATGATTTTATATTTACCCAGGTATTTTTGGAGTTCTTCATTCCTTCCTGCTGATCCTTGGTAACGTGTGATTTCATTTTCCTCATTCTGAAGAACTTTATTTTGGCATTTGTTATGATGTGGATCTCCTGGGGACAAATTCTGTTAGATTTTTATCACACTGAGAGTGTTTCTATTTTTCCTTTTTTTTTAAAAGGTTGTTTTCTTGGGAGGTAGACTTTTAGGCTGGCTGCTTTTTCTTGTAGTATTTAATAGATATTATTCCATTACCTATTTGCCTTCACAATTTCAGGTTAGATGTCACTTGTAACTCATATAATTGTTTACTAAATGTGGCTTTTTTTTTCTCTGATTTTAAGATATGTTCTTTTTATTTGGTTTCCAGAATTTTGATTGCTATGTAGCCAGGTATGTTTTATTTATATTTATCTGTTTAGAGTTTGCTGCAATTTTTTGATCTGTAGGTTGATATCTTTTATCAGTTGTGGAAAATTTTCTGTCAATATCTCTTCCAATATTATCACCCCTTTTCTCTTTTTTCACCTTTTAGTACTCCAATTATACATAAACTGAGTAGTTTTTTTTTTTCCCTAGATCTGTATTGGTTTTTAAAATTCTCTTTTTGTCTTTCAATTCTATACATATGGCCCTCTGTATCCATGGGTGGATATGTGGATTCAACCAACTGTGGATCAGAAATACATTTAGGCCTATAATGGTTGTGTCTGTACTCAACATGTACAGACTTTTTTTCCTTGTCATTATTCCCTAATTGATACAGTATAACAATTTACATATCTTTTACATTGTATTAAGTATTATAAGTAATCTAGAGATGATTTAAAGTATACAGGAGGATATGCATGGTTTATATGCAGATACTAAGCTGTTTTATATAAAGGACTTCAGCATCTCTGGATTTTGGTATCTGTGAGGGGTCTTGGAACCAATCTCCCTTGGATACTGAGGGTCGACTGTACTTCCTATTCATTTGTCTCTATAGTCATTAAACTTTTACTCTGCCAATTCCAGTTTGCTTCTCAATCTGTTGAATGAAATCAACATTTTGTTTTTTCCTATCTTGATCATAAATGATTTTTTTTTGCTTTTTATTATATCTTGTACTTTTTTGATTGTGTGCTAGACATTTTGTCTATGATGACTGAAATGAGTATTATTATTTCCAGAAAGGGTGTGCTGCTTTTTCTCTTAGGTTCCTACAGTGGGGTGAAGTCAATCTGATTTATATTTGAGCTGGGCATGTGCTTTATTGCAGCTTTAGTTTGATTAAGTCCACTCAGGTTTCAGGTGTTTTGAGGGTGGGATTAGGACTTTCCCTTCTGCAGGGTCTGTTATCTGGGCGCTGAGGAGATTCTGAAGATCTGCCTGCCTTTCATAGTTGAGCTGGCAGCTTTTAAGAACTATGGAATATCTTTTGCTGTTTAGACCACAGTTGCCTGGACTTTGAGTTCCTGGAGAGTTTTCTTTTCTCTCCACTTCTATTTCTTGCTTTTTGCACCTCAAGAGGATTATTCATCACAGATCCATATTTTTTTGTTTCCCGCTAAACAGCTACACTGAGATTATGGACTGACAATGTTATATTTATGTTATCTAGAACCACAGTTAATCTTGTGCATGTTTAACTACTGTACCTTTCGTATTTAGTATGTGCTTAGGGAATGTTTTACATACATTAATTTAGGGAAGTACTAATTTTTTCCTCTACAGATAAAGTATCTGAGGCACAGAGGTTGAGTAACTGATCACAGTCATAAGAGTAATAAATGGCAGAACTTTTATTTGAACCTGGCCATCTGCATTATATTAAACATTGTGATATGTCATGGCTCTCCAGTTTCACTGTTGTTCCTCTCAGTTAAATTTGATTCATTTAGCCTGAGGTTATATTGCGTAACATAACTAAAATCTTGGTTTGTTTTAAATGGTATCATTACTTCGAAGGATAAAGTAGGGAAAACTTAATGATGTTATACCAATGAGATGTTTTATTAGCTAGATTAATGAAACAAATAGGAACACAAATTGTTATATGCTGTCGGGTAACACAATTTTTTATGATATGGGTTCTTTTGCAGGGATTGTGTTTTGAAAAGGAGTTCTTGATTATTTATGGAAATGAGCAAATGGAGACTTAGTAATGCCTCTACCAGTATCATCTTCGTGGTTTGTTTAAGTACATACAGGAACTTTCTTCTTGTCAGTTGTGAACTTCACAGGGCAGGCATTGCTTCTTGTTTATTTTTGCACTCTACTTTGATACCTTATGCCTTGCCTTATGCTTTGGGGCAGAAGATGTTAGAGAAAAGGTGCATGGACATTTGGATTAGGCAGACATAAGTTTGAATCTCAATTGTTCTCCTTGCTGATTGGATCAGATTTTGGAATGCTTTAACCCATGGTCCTGATCTAGCCCACTGCCTATTTTGTAAATAACAATGTTGTTGGCATATAGGCACAACCAGTAGCTTAAATATTTTCCTCCAGAGGCAGAGTTGAGTGATTACAACTACTCTATAGTTGTGCAAAGTCTAAACTAGTAAATATCTAGTCATTTACAGAAAAAGTTTGATAACCATTGGGTTGGATGATTTTAGGAATATCACTTAATCTTTTGAATCTGAGTTTCTTTATCTATTAAGTGAAATAATAAATTACTTAATAAGTTTGTGATAAAGAAGGGAGGTGAAGTATATGAAATTTTTGGCATGGTACGTGGAATGCATTAGGCTTTCAATACATGTCTCTGTTCTTCTAATTTTTATTCTTGATATCAAGTTTAATGACTCAGTGTCTTGATGGATACTCTAGCACTTTCCTACCTTCTCCTTAAATTCTTTCATTGAAAGATTTGGAGGAAAATGATACAGGTACAATTACTGTTTTGTGTAGTGCCTTACATGTATCAGACATTGTAGATTCTTAAGAAAACTTGGGCTGCTTTTTGAGTGAGAGTTAACCTGTTAATTTTTAGAGTTATCAATTCTGTTCTCTGACAGTAAAGTACTATTTAAAAAAGGAAAGAAAGGTTAAAAATTGTCTTATCTGTTATGTTTTCTACTGGGCTTTAATCATAGGCATGTAATGAAACTACAAATGAATGAATGGACAGGTTGGCATCTTTATGTTTTTACCAGATCAACTAGTTTGACCCTCTGAGGGCCATTGAGTCAAACAAATGATGTAACTTGACATGACTTTGGTTGTTTCCTACTTTTTTTTTTTCAAAATTGGGAGAATAGAACAGAAACTGTGATATCATATAAATAACTTATGAGTGTACCTGGCCATGAATATTTTTGTTCTTCACAAAGAAATAAGATTTCTTAAGTAAATCATGGCAAAAATAACTTTGTCAACTCACTAAAGCTTGCAGCATACTTTACTTAGAAAGTCCCAGTATGTGAAAATGGTCTTTGCATTTTATTAATCCTTTGCTAATTTTCAAGATTTTCACTCTTCCCTGTTTTGCCATGTTTTGTTATTTATTTAACAAACTCATATTAAGGGTATACTCTCTATTGGATATCATAATAGAGTAAGAGCAATTAACCTGACAGATATTCCAATAGCACTCAGTGAGTTTACAGTTTAGTGAGGGCAGCAGATAGCATGCAACAAATAGTTGCAAGAGTAATAAAGCTAATAAAAGGGGAGTATCAGTGAAAGTGTCAGTGGGAATGCCTGAGATAGAAGTACCTGAGCCAGGGGATTGGGGATTCTTGTTTGAGGGAGTAACATTTAGGTTGAGATTTCAAGAATGTGTTTAGTTTAATTATTGATGAATGGCGCAGGCTGGCTCTAAAGTGTTCAGGACAGAAGGAACCTCAGGGAGGTCCTTGAGGTGTCTAAACACAGTGAGGCTGGCCAAGACCAAGACCTGATGATTCTAGCCCTCTGAGGCCATATTAGGTACTGAGAAGCATTAAAAACCTTCTCTCATGGGGTTCAGAGTAGCTCTGGGTGGCTATTGCAATAGTTTAGGTCTGGTGAAGGATACTGGGACTATCAGCGAAAGTGATGGCAGTGATGATGGAGAGAACAGGGTGGATTTGGAGGTGGGATTGACAGAACTCAGTTGATTGGATCTAAAGGATGAGAGGAAAAATGTGTCCTCCAATATGAGCTAGAATGGATGGTAGGCACCAATGATGGAAAACAGTCGGGGAGTACAGGCTTGAGAAGAAGATATGAGTTCAGTTTTGCATGTGTGTTTGAGATACCTGTGGCACTGTTAGTCAGACACCTCAGGGAATTAAGGTGTGAGCCATTGGCCTATAGAGAGTGATCGGAATCAGGGTAGTGGATCAGATGCTCAGCAGGCATGTGTGGAGAGAGAAGTAATAGGGCCTATTACAGAAATTCCAGTGTGTGAGGATAGTGAAAGAGAAGCCTGTTAAAGGAAACTGAGGGTCAGCTAGAGGTGCAGGAGGACAATGAGGAGTCTAAGGGTCATGGAAACCACAGGGAGAAAATCTTTCAGGAAGGATCAACAGTGTTGTATGGTGCTAAGAGGTCAGGTGAACCAAGGACTTGGAATTGTCTATTAGATACTGTGACTTGGAGGGGAGGCTAGGAAGAGTGAATATCTTCTTGTGATGGTGGAGAATCTTAAAATCCATTTAAAATCTTGAGCCTACACATTGTATTTTAGAAGACTTTTTCCTCTTGTTAGATTAGTGCTCTAGAACATGTGTACCTGTTAATGATCCTAATCAGGTGCTTTTGAGCAGCTTCCATGCTGCTGCGCTGTATTTGACTTTCCTAACTTGTCCCTTTAGGCTTCTTCTCACTGCTACTTTCATTAATCAGACATCTAATTCTCTTAGAGCCTGAGTGCTTCACAGTCCACAACTCTTTGCTGCATTCCCACTTTGAAACTAACATCTTCATGTATACAACGAAAGTACTTGACCTCAAGTTTTGTTTCCTTTTTCATTCATTCATTTTCTTTCTCACCTCCTCTTTCTCTGTAGAAAGTGTGTTAAATTACTGGAAAAATACCTAAAATTGAGAACTTATAAAATGAACTACCAGAGTTCTCATTTTCAGTATTTGGATTGTGAAATTTTGCTTGTTGTGATTCATCAAAACCAGTTATTCCAAAGGCCTCTAGGATATGGCTTTGTGGTATGGATAGAGAAAATTCTTCATTGAGTTGTTAACTCCTTGAGCTGGGTTTATAATGGATTCAAATCAATATACACAGTGTATCTTTTACTACTCTGAATCCAGGAATTTTCATATAGATTTACAGAGACTTTTCAGACACACAAACCTGTTGGACATTTCTAGTTGTTTGCATTTATTACTGCCTAACAAAAGTTATACAGATACATGATTCTTTCCAGTTGTTTTGGTATCGTTTTCCTCAGAAAAGTAAAAGCTATGAAGTTTCACACCTCATTAATAGTAGATCAGTTAGATGGATTCCTTGTAAAGCTAGGAAAAATTGTCAAAATTTGTTAAGGAACATCACTTTAGTGGACAGGGTAAAGAGGTTTCGTATATAAACTTTGGAGGAAAAAACTCCAAATAACTTCTACCAATTTAAAAAATGTATTAATGCAGAAAATTGAGAGGACAAGCTTGAAACAATTTAGGTCAAGAGAAGGCAGTGCACTGCTCTCTGGTCCTCCTTTTCCTGGTCTTTTTCATGAGAGTGTAGTGAGAAATAACTAATAAAATCTATATTTGTAGCAATTGGAGTCATCTTGGAGTAGAAAATTACATTCTAAGCTAAGACACATAAGAGTGCTGAAAGGTTAAGCTTATGTGGGAAGGATAAAGCAAAACGTTTCTTGGTGCTGTTTTCTCGGGCCGGATAGCTGGGGTTGATCAGGACACTTTTTATAACACTATTTGCCCACAGAAAGAGTGAGGCGCAAGTGTTACTTTGGTGAAAAGAGTATCGTTTAAAAATAGCCTCTTGCTTATCCTTGTAGTAGAAAAAAGCCTGCCCAGACTCCATTCATTAGCCACCCTGTATCCAGGAGTGAATTCCCAGAGCACAAGGCTACACCGTCGTGTGTGCATTCTCTGCTCTAGAATTCTTGCATATACTAGGTGTGTGGACTAGGTTCTCTGGACTGCTAGGTTCTCTGTGTCACAGCTTTCCTTTGATGACAGTGTCAATTTAAAATTATACCAGGTTCATTTCATGATGGTTCCCTCTGGGAGAATTTTATACCCTGAAATTTGAGGGGTGTACCTCTACCATTTCCCCCTCCGCTGTCTTTCTTTTTGAACTTCTCAGAGATAGACCTTCATGTAATTCCTGATGGTTTTAATTTTAGAATGAAAAATCAGGATCTCTGAGAATATTTAGATGAATGGTAATGACTTTTGTTATGTGGGTCTGGTCATCATGTGGTATTTTCTTTTCCCCCCAGGAATGCTGTCTCTGCAATTTGAGAGGAGGTGCTCTTAAGCAAACGAAGAACAATAAGTAAGTAATACATTAATTGTGTTGAATTTCATTATTTTTCTTTCTCCATTCTAGAACCTTTGGATGACAGTTCGCTTTACCTCTCATTGTACACGTGGTTTCAAAGCTTTTGCTGCTCAGATCTGAGGTTGGAATTCTGTGCTTCAGAGACTTCTACTGTTTGCACTCTCATCTCGGCAGGGCAAGAGCAGTCCAAGTTATGCTTCTCTTCTTTGTATTTGACACCATGAAAAATAACCCCTCTTTTACTCACAGAGTTTTGAAAATGGAGTTAGCCCATATCATCCAGGTGCCATTAGAATCCTGGTGTTTAATATGATGAATGCTATTGGTCTGTTAAAACAGGGCATACCTGAGAAAGTGAAACCGTGATCTTCAGATAAATCAGTCATAGCAATGATAATAAAACAAAACCATTTACTTTTTACATTAGCAAATTTATGAGAATGTAAGTGTACTAAATTAGAAAAGATAGGGAGAAAACATTGATGTTAAGATTTAAAGGGATCAGGTGGAGAATATGAAGAGAGTCTTGAAAGAGAGTCATAAGTGAACATAAAAGGAAGGCAGTCTAGTTTTTATGACTGTTCTGCATGGATTTTATTTTTTTTTCATGACCAGGTTTTAATATTGAAAATGGGGCCAAAGCATATTACAGGGTCCGCTGGAATAGAGACATGTCAAAATAACCTGGGCGGATTTTGCAGGCTGGCACTTGAGGGCCAGATTCATGTCTAAGATATGTTTTGTTGGACCCAGGCACCATTTTATAAATTGCATCTAAAATTTAAAATTGAGAGATTTTTACATAAAAATCCAGATTTTCATCTTTAATTGAAAATGATTGTATATCCCTATAAGGCAGTAATAACAAGTTGGGATAGAACCCAGTGTCAGTGGGGCAGGTACTCCTCAGTTCACCATGACTTCCTAGTATATGTGTATTTGCTTACATTCCGCCTGGCCCCCTGGGCACTGGAGTTAGGACTCCTGGTGTAATGTAATGGTGGATTTAGCATAATTCTTTACATGTGCACATGTTTCTGATTGCTGGGAAGGAGGAGTGAAGGTATTTATCATTATTACATTAATAAAATTTGTTGTAAGGAACTGTAGGGTTTGCTTAATTTTTGAAAGAAGATGTTCTTCCACAGTCCTGGTTGATATGATTCGCACTATACTGAAAGTCTTCACTAGTTCTTGGATATTGCACTGGATGCCATACTGTGAGATGGTTTAGGTGGTTCCTGTAAAAACACGGGTGATAAGACGTTCTCTTCCTATGCTTGGACCACAACAAAAAGAAATAGTGTTTTCTGTGGAATGATAGTATTTATTTCGATGTGGAAGAATGCCCTGGTGGGATCGATACTTGTTCTCTCTTCCTGTGGTCTTGAAAGACAGGATAGAGTCTGATACTGTTTGAGTGAAGTAAATATGCTTTGGCTTAAAAATAGGTTGATGGATTTGACAATTCTTTCAAGATCTCTTCAAACCTCATGATTCTTTATATTTATTTTGGGATATAACATTTATGAGACATTTAATAGTATTAACGGGAAAGTTGTCATTTTTCAGAAAGTGAAAAAAGTAGGAAACTAGGGTATGAGATAAACTTCATTTCTTTTTGTCTCTGGGTTTCATTGATTATAGTAAGATTGCAGCAAGAAACAATTTAATTAAAGATTAGCATTAATTCTTTTGGAAAACTTTTGCTACTTAAACAAGTTTGCTTCATGACATTTGTATTATTTTAAAAGGTTGTGTGCTATACCCAGTTCATACCTTTTATTAATTGAACTAATCTTTTGCCACATATTGATTAGCTTAAGTACTTTAAGCACATACATGCATATTCCAGCATCAAATGAAATAAGAAACCCACATTTCAGTATTTTGCAGATCAAGTGTAGAAAAATATGTGCACGTTAATAGGATAGAGTCGTGGGCCTTTATCAGCTCTTCATGGCACAATGTTGTTGGGCAGCTGTGGTACTGAGTCTGTCCAGGTATCATTCAGGAGGTTTACAGTTCAGAATCTGTTTGTGATGGATTTAGGCTTTTGGCTTTCTTGCTCATCTGTGTATTTCCCATCTGTGAGAACTGGCATCACCAAGTTGAAGTATGTAAGTTTAGGGAACTTTTGTTTATGTTTAATGTCTCCTTTCCTGTAGGTGGGCCCATGTCATGTGCGCCGTTGCGGTCCCAGAAGTTCGATTCACTAATGTCCCAGAAAGGACACAAATAGATGTAGGCAGAATACCTTTACAGAGGTTAAAATTGGTGAGTGGCAAAGCTTCTTTTTTACCTCATAAATTAGTGTTAATTTCAAGTTCTGAATTTTTCCATTAATGCACACATTCCCAAGGTATATTTTCTCCTAGCTTTCTTTTATTTTTCTACCCTTATTTTCCTTTAGCCTAAATTTATTTATTCTTACAAATTCTTTTCCTGTTATATTGTAAGTTTGCATATAACCTTCCTCAATTTCTGTCTGAAATGAGGAAAAAGATAGTAATACATTTCCTGAATTAATGTGAACTTTCAAACTATAGGTTATCTGGTAAGATTTGTCAGTACTGGAGCTGAGCCATCTAACTCTATTTAAATTGTTTAGATTTTTCTCTCTTGACTCTCTTTGGTTGGTCTTAACCTAGCAAAATGTATCTAACCTAATTTCATTATCTCTTCACCAAGAAGAGACACACAGAGAAATAAAGAAGCTTTTATTTTTACGAAGATATTTTCTCACTCTTGAATAGGTACAAGTCACTTAATATGCCAAACTCTCTGGCTTGTTCAGAAACTGTGTAAAAATCTTCCCATTGGTTTCTGTTAAGAGCATTTTTCATTGAAAATATAGGCCTTTATTGTCTTTAACATTGAAGTAACTTTGTAGTTTTATTCAATTATGAGCCAGCAGATCCTTAGTTTAGGCCCTTATATTGCATACCTAATTAGAACTTTCCCCAAAGTTCAACTGCATGACCTTAATGTATTGGAGCACGTCTTACAGGTGGACTTAAAACTCTAGAATTTCCTGAGTCGTTGTTATTTTCCACTGAAGGTCTTTCCACTGTACAGCATTTCAGGCATCATCACTATGACTCTTTTTTCTTGACTGTTGCTTGTTTTCCCACTGCTCTTTTCCCCAATGGCGAGCTGGGTGTGCCGTCTCTGGGGCTCTCTTATAGGAACTCACAGTCTAGCCTACTGTATTTTGTTTTCGGAGAAGTGAAAGTGAACACTGTTATTTGCCATCATACCTCCATCAAGAATTTCACTTCACTAGGAAATATATGGGCCTTTCATGGAACTGATGATTACTGTGGCTGATGTGAGTGTTGGGCTTAGGATGCTCAGCATGTGGTAGTTGGAAGTTTTGTAATCTAAGATGGAAATGAGTGGGCCATTTAAATGGCCCTCTAAAGGTCACAGTGACTGTCAGAAGAAGTAAGAAGAGAGTATAATTCTTCAGCTCCTGGACTTCCATAGGAAAGCTTGAAATCTTATACCCAGATTACCAAAAAAAAAAAAAGACACCAAAAAACAAACAAAACGTTTGTAAGAATTAGGACTATAAGATATGATATCCAAAAAAAAGTTGAACTACCACATGTTAAATAATTTAATGTTTGGTGTGACAAATATTAACAAATGTTAACATTTTAATATTTTTTTCTGATTATAAAAGTAATAGATATTTGTCAAAATTCTACACCACCTTTTAAAATCACCTTTGTTTCTGTGTTATTACCAGTGCAGTGCCCCTCAGAAGGAGTAGTCACTGCTCTTGAGGCTGCCTCCACAGGCCTATGTCTTGGCTTCTCTAGTCCATAAGTGCTTCCTTAAAGATTTAACGTTACCCACATCAGTCCCAAAGGGTTTTTGAGAGAACAGCAGGGAAGGGCAGCAGGATTATTTCATCCACATTCAGGGTGTTATATCTAGAAATATCATAATTGCAAGTAAAGATGGTGAAGCTTGTCGCTTTCCTCACAGTGCTGTGCTTCATCTTGATAGTGCATATCACATTTCTCATGGAACATTTCCTTCCTTAAGCAGTCGGTACCTTTAAAAGAGCATGTCTTAACTGAATGTCATTATCACCAAAAGTCTATTCAAATGATAACATAGAGCTATGGTTACAGATGTAAACTGAGATCTGTGAAATATTTTTGGATGAAAATAGCAGCCTCTTGACCAGATTATTTTTCATATAATGTTATATTTATGGAAAGTTTCTTAGAATGATCCTCATCAAAATGCTTGTAGTAGTTATCTTTAGTGGAATAATAATACGAGGAGCAACTTCATTTGGGGGGAAGAATGTCTAAGTTTGTAATAGTTTGACAGGGGCAATGACTGAAAGTCTGGATTCTTTTTCACCAAGAGTCCTCAGGAAGGAATCATCACCCTTGTGAGTCCACTGCAGTCCAGTGTCTGTGCCCCAGTCTTCATTGATGTTCCATGGTGATCAGACTCAGAGAGGATGGCTTTGAATAATACAATTTACTTATGTGGGGAATGAAACGCACCTTTCCAGGGAATAGGATGCTCTGCCTGTATGTCGTGTTAAGGGTACACTTTCCTGACATAGGCATTCTTCTGAAGTTTAAATGGTAACCTAACAAGTTCATGGCCGGCAGGAAAGCAGAGTAGTTTTGTGTGGTATTTCATCCAGGCAAAAGTAAGTCCAGGTAAGCTATTTTATTCTGCCTATTTCATAAATATATATGTGTCTGCCAGTGTCAGTTTCAATATTTTTTTCTGGAGCTGTGGGCATTCCTTTTCTGAACTCTAGACTGTCCATTCTGCCTTCCTCTTCATACAACTGGAAAATAATAAGAATTATTTAGATGTCATAATCAATTTATTTCACCAAACAATTATCACTTGTCTTGCCATGTAGTATACATTTTTGAATCAGACACAGTTTTTGTTCTGTCAACCTTGGCATTACTGACATTTTAGAGCAGATAATTCTTCGTTGTGGAGGACTGTCATGTGCATCATAGGATTCCAGCAGCCTTCACCAAACAGGCATTGCCAGCTATCCCCTGGGAGGCAAAATCACCCTCATTTAAGAATCCACGGGTCTACAGCGAAGATATAGACAGAAAGAGAACATTTTCAATATTTGTCATTTTTAGAGAATATCTTGGTTGGAAGAACTGAATTCAAGACTGACAGAACAGAAATTGTTAAATGTTTTTAAAAACAAACCTGGATTTTTTTCTTTTTTCAAATCCAAATTTCTTTTTTGTTAGCAAAGCAATAAAGTCTGGTAACATGTGCATATCAGCTACTATATACTTATTAATTATATAATCTCATTTAACAATTTAACATTACCTGTTCTTATGGAAATTGAACAACCAAATTGAATACTAATCAAGTTTCACCTAAGATTAAAATTCTGTGATGTATGTGTATATGCACATAGTAGTCACTGAGTAAATATTTATGAAATGAATAAAAGGCAGCAAATCATTATTCATTATTTGCACGTCAGGCTTATAATGACTGTGGCTGGAGGAGTGCGATCAGACAATAACAAATGGCCTTTGCCTTTCCACGGTTTCTCCTTTAAATGTAACAGATCTAATTCACACACATGTCTGCATATTGCTCTAAAGCAAGGCATTACTTTACTTATCTGCATCACAGGAGACATATGATTAAATTGTAGAGCCCAGCAGTACTCCAGAGAGCCTATGAAACATGCATGCAGTACTCATCTTGTTGGTTGAAAATTCTGATCTTGGAACTTCTGGTCAGCTGGGGATTGAAAATGAGTGGACAAGTGGTTCATCCCTGAAGCAGCAGCAAGGGCTGCATCTCTTCAGTACCCACGAGGTGGTGCTGCTGCACCAGTTTCTTATGTTGCTCTTAAACTACCACCTCCCTTCTCTAGTGCCTAACCAGAGCTCTGGCCACACCTGCAGAGAGAGAGAGAGAGAGAGAGAGAGAGAGAGAGAGAGCGAGCGAGTGCCCAAGGGATGACAATAGAGCATCGAAAGTACTGCTCGTGATGCATTCAAAGTGTTGAATTCCAAAGGACAGTTTTTTAGTTTAGTTTTTCATTTAACTGTAGAAAAAGAGCTGCTGTCCCTTGGGGCAAGTTAGAGTTTTTCTGAATAAGTAATAAACAACACTAGTATAAAGCTAGTAACTGCAAGAGGCTAATAGAATGACTGGTGGGCAAGCATAAGTTTAAAATGTCTTCCATTATATGAAGGCTGTTTATTTTTAAAATGCTCATTATTAGCAGTCTTTCTAGAATATGAAATACTGGAATTTATGCAGAGGTATTTGAATATTTTGGTAACACTATTGTTAGTCGTTTATTTATTCAGAGCTTCAACCTACAGCTTTTGAAAAGCTCCTCTGGTAAATTATTCGTGCAAGGAGAATTTTGTGGCGGATACAGGAAAGGATTTGTTTACTTGAGCAGATTTTTTCCTCTTATGTATAATGGCCAGTTTTTAAAAAATGACAACTAATGGAAAACAAGCCTTTTGGTGCTCTTCTGTGGATTTATTGATCCTAAAATGGTGTGTGCTTCATGGAGATCCTTTAGCTCATCCAGCCACCTTGCTTGGTAATGTCACAGGTGTGGCCTTTGTTCATCATACAATTAAATGGACAACAATGATGACATTAGACTTATTTTCAAGACATTATATTTTCTTTTATTTCTGTGTCCAATTTTAAATACTTTAATAATTAACTTTTAAAAACCTAAAACATTTTAATGAAAAATAAGTTTGGCTGTAGTGGTCTCCATCCAGTTAAATTTGTTCTTTCTTTCGTTTTCTTTAACAATATTTCACTTTTGTGTAATTATTAAAGTAATTGCTGCCCCAGCTAAAAAAATGCTACAGGTTGCTATCCAAAACTACCGGGTTATTAAGTAGAGTCATCCTGTTACAGGGCAGAAATGAAAATGCTAACAAATCTTAAGAAATGAAAAGTTAGCTGAATGGGCTAAAGACTTCATATCCAAAAGGGAGAACCAGTTTCCCTGTCAGCTTCAGCATTCTTCTGATATTTAATGCAGGTTTTATATTATGTAGTATTTTTATTACCTGTCCATTAGAATAAATTGCTTTGCTTCTGAATGACTTTACTGTATGGGAAAAGTTATCCTTGTGGCAAGTCCTATTACTGCAAACCCCTTCCCTGTGCCCTGCAGCACCTTCTCTGTTCACCAAAAGAATATGTGAGGATTGGCACTTTGTAGGATAATAGGAGGCTACTGAGGACGTTTCCTTCTCCCCGTAGCCCATCTAGGGGGTTGTGTGAAGTCACAGGTGATTGGTGTGCCTGAGGACTGAAAGAAAAAGAATTGACCCCAAGTGGTATAGATTTAGAATTTATTCAGAATTTTTTCCTTTTCTTCTTTCTTTCTTATTTTCTCTACTAGTATGATTGATTGGCCGTAGTCATAAGTGAATCTCTGGAAGAAGAACAAAATTGTGCACAGACAAAAACAAGGGAACATAGAGATATATAAAACACACATTAAGACAGAATGGCCTATTTTGTTTTTACAATATAAAAATGATCAGGAAGAAGGATTAAGGATGGGACTTTAGAGATAACAAATGATGTTTTTATGGTATCACACAGAAGGAAGAAGGCGGTAGGGTTTGGAGACAGATCACTGTAAAAATCTTAGATTTGATTATAAAATTTAAGAGAAGGACATTTTAAAAATCTAGCAAAAGGAGTTAAAAAGAAGTATGGATTTCTGGTAGTTGCTGTATGTTTACCATGAATGTTTATTGTATACATTGATCACTTCCTGCAGCTTAAATTAATTAAAGATCTGTGGTATTTTTGTAAATAAGCCAGCAGAGCAGGTTTGTGGGTTTTAAGAAATCTTAGGAAGTTGTAGCAGATCCTAAATGCAACTATTAGTTTTAAATACTCTATTTGGAGATAAAGTTTTCAAATAGGACTGTTGTATGAATATTTAAATATTAAATCACATCTTTCAATGCAGCGGATGTCTGTTCTGATTGCTGTCATTGCATAACAAACTTAGCATTGAGACCATCCTGGCCAACATGGTGAAACCCCATCTCTACTAAAAATACAAAAATTAGCCGGGTGTGGGTGGTGCATGCTTGTAGTACCAGCTGCTCGGGAGCCTATCGCAGGAGAATTGCTTGAACCTGGGAGGCGGAAGTTGCAGTGAACCGAGATGGCGCCACTGCACTCCATCCTGGCGACAGAGCAAGGCTACGTCTCAAAAAACAAACAAACACAAAAAATTTGGCATTGTTCATGGGTCACAAATGCATCCGTCCTCACAGTGGTGTAGCACAGTGCCTTTGGTTTCTATGTCTTTAGACCTTTCTAGGACTTTTACATTTGAAATCCTATTTCTGCAACCAAATAGAGGGAGAAATGAATTTTGGAATAGCAGGATTTGCCCCTGGGCATTCGATGACCTCTGATTTGTGTTTGACAAGTGAACAAAGCCCAGGCACAAGTGTTCTCTGAGTGAAGAACATTATTTTGAAAAGGAATTTACACTACAATGATGACTGAGCTACAAGCCTTTCCGTGTCTGGCTGAGACCATACTATTCTGCTTAGAAGCCTCTGTACACTTTAAAATTTGTACCTGAAGGCAAATAATAGTGAACCTGCAAGCCAAAGATTATAGTTTTGAAAGGTATATCAATTCTGAAAATAGAGTGGTTTCACTGTGGTATTCCATCTCAAGAGTTGAATCAAGGGGGAGAAAATACAATCACACTTCCTATTTCTTAGACGAAGGCGCATGTTCTCTTGCCAACTGACTCATGTTATCAGATATACTGAATACTAAAAATAGAATTATTGAGAGGTAGAGATAGGGTCTGCCTCTTGTGCTGTAAGATCACTCAGAGTTCTATTTAGTTAATGTTACAGCAATGTTCGTGAGCAACTTGGCTTTCTTTCTGAAAGAATCAAGGTTGTATTTGACAGGGCCTCTGTTAATGCATTTTAGGAAATGTAAAGACATATTGATTATCTTTCATCATGCTAAAAGAAAAGAAGTAGTGTCGTAAAGGCAATCAGAAAAAGTCAGTATGTTCCACATTAACTCATGTACCGATTTATTCATAGGCTCAGGTATTTTTAAAGACAGAGAAGTTCTAAGAAAATAATAAACATTGACAATGATGAGAAAACTTATTGCTTAAACAGTAATCAGTAGTGTTAATGTGCACAAAAAGTGCTTTGAATAGTGAACTATTCTAAAGGAGGAGTAAGAGGTACTATACTACAGATGACACGGTTGTGGTATGGTATGTGGTGTCTTATTATTTAACACGGCCAGTATAAAATTATATAACATCATTAAGATAATGTTCTTCAGGATTTCAACATACATATGTCTCCAGCTTTGTAAGGTTTTTAAATAAGTGTAGTGCAAAAAAAAAAAAGTACATTAGTAGCTGTATAGTACTTAACTGTCAGAATGATTTGCTACAGGGACTAGATCCTATTGCAAGCTGTCAAATTTGTATATTGCTGTAATACCAAACCATAAAATCTTTTGAGTAAAATGGAAAATGTCAGATGGGCATGGCTACAAATAATATACTTTCTGAAGGCTGTAGATGTCTATAGGAGAAAATGTGTAAATGCATGAAATGTTATCTTGTTACTATGGATTTTTCTTTATCTGTTGAGAGAAAAACTGTGAGACAAAAGGAAATTGACTGGAGCCTTTAAATTTTCAGTTTTGAAGTCATTTTTTCCTGAGGGCTAATTTTAAAAACATTATTAGACAGGTGGGACTTCAGATAATTCATGATTAAAGAGTATTGTGAAAAAGTAATCTTATTTTCTAGCTTGCATTGACGAATGCTCCATTTTTTTCTGATCTTGTCTGTGTGAGTAGTGATTACTGACAGATCTTTTAATTGAGTGAGTGAGCCAGGTTGGAGTTTCAGAGACAGGGTCATTCCTTTCACTCTAGTACTGCCTGGGTCAATACCAACAAACACATGCCAAACCGAGGCAGCTGTTAGACAGCTCTAAACAATCTGTAGGGTTTTGCTTGGTCAACAGTGATTGAAAGCAAGAGAGGTTATAGTTTTGGAAAGGTACGGTCATTATTGTGTAACAATGAATTCATTATTCTTTGTTTTTCTGAGAAGAAGGGGGTCAGGAATTAGTTACTTTTCTTTGTTTCATATTTTAATATAAATTAGGTTATTCATTTCCTCAGAAGGGTGGGTTTTAAAAATCCACAAAGAAAGCTTTTTGTGTAAAGTGAGAACATTTTCATACTTGGAGTTAGAATTTCACTGTGGTATATTTTAGGTGTGGTCCCACAATTAAGTGAAGTCTTTATCTAACATGAGCTCCTGGTTAGACACAGATACTAGGACTGTTTTAGCCAGCCATGGGCTGGATTTATTGATCTCAATATCAAAGTTTCTCTGCATTCATCTATATCATGCTTTAGATCACATAATTATAAGAAGCCTCCCTTAGGTTGAGATGGAGAGTACAGGCTCTGGGTTAAGACTGCCTGAGCCCTGTATCCTCCACTTGGGCAACCTTGGCTATGCAGATTAACCCTCTGAAGCTCATCTGTAAATTATGGTGATTGTGAGGATGAAATGAAAAAGTTAACAGTCTGACACAGAGTTTGCACTCAAAGAACGTTAGCAATATTAGCTGTTATTCTCTTAAGTGATTTTTCCCCCTTTATTTTTATAACACTGTTAAGAACATAACTGTATTTTAAACAGCCTCTGGGCAATTTGTAAGCAACAGGAATTTTCTTTGAATGGAGGCCTGTTAAACTGGCGTGTTCTGTCATCTCCGAGGGAGCAGGGCATAGAAGGGCTCTTCTGCAAACGTCTGAGATTCCACCAACTTCCCCTGCAGTTATTGCTGAAAACCGTAAGATGAATAGGTTGATGTTCTCTAAAACAGAAGTTCAGAGATACAGCTCTTGCTTCATTTTGAGCACGGACATCGCATGTTGAAAAGCGATCTTGTTCAGGACGGTTTTGCTAAAAATGCCATTTCCTTGCATGGTACAGCTGGGAGTCTTCAGCAGTTTGGGGCCTAGAGAATGACTATGACCCATGAGTACTGTTATTTACCAGGATACCCTCTCATCTATTTCTGGCTTTTTCTCCACCTTCTTGTAGAGGAAATGAATTCGACAATCTCTCAGAAGGCATTGGGATTCTTTCAAAGCACAGGGGCCAGCAGTCAGAAGAGTTCAGTCTCTGCTATGGTGTCTTTTGGCTGAGCCATTTTGCCTTTGGGGGATAAATCACTGTTTGGAACAGAGCTGTGGTTCTCAAAATGTGATCAGCATACTGTTTCCAACCCTTTTCAGACATCCTAAGGCATTGAATTTTAGACTAACGATGCAAGTGCAACGGCTGGTAAAGCTACTGATGTGGCAGTAAATAAGAAGCAGCTCTCCTAGGAAAGGGGAAAAAAGCCCCTCATTTGTTGTGTTTGCACATTTCATTGGTTGAAATATTCTCACCGTGTCCAGTTTCAAACTACCAATATAATGTGAACCAACTCTCAAAATTCTTGAAGATCTAGCAGTCGCTCTCAGGAGCTTGTACAAGCTTGCTGCAGCTCACTGTTGAAAATGGCTGGCACTTACCATACATCAAACCAAGGCATCAAATTGCACTAGTAACCATTGTATTCTCCAATGCCAGGCATCTGGCATTAAAAAAAAAGCCAGTTTCACTTAAGAAGGTCCTTGAAATTTAAAATGGTTAATTATATTAAGTCTGGATTCTTGAACATGTGCCTTGTTTACATTCCGTGTGATACGATAGGAAATACTTAGAAAGCACTTCCACTGCCTGCTATAATACATCATGGCCTTGAGGTAAAACATTTTAGTGATAGTTTGAGTTGCATGCTGTACTACCAGTTTTTTCATGCAACCTTTTTTTTTTTCTATAATGAATGCCAAGCAATCATTACTTTGATTTGTGTAT
Source organism: Homo sapiens (assembly GCF_000001405.40). Classification (NCBI taxonomy): domain Eukaryota; kingdom Metazoa; phylum Chordata; class Mammalia; order Primates; family Hominidae; genus Homo; species Homo sapiens. Next base: position 7,058,913 of record NC_000009.12, read on the forward strand.
TTGGCAGACATTTTCTAAAAAGTGAATGACAAGATTTGTTGCCTGTGAAAGAATTTGAGCTTTCTACATGAAAACTGGAATTTTAGAAAACTTGTATCCATCAGTGTGATAATTTCCCAGTACTTACAGGCTTTTTAAATGAGATTAGTGGTGATATTAATTAATGTAGACTTTGATATTTTGTAATAAAATGTGCCAACATTTGGAAGATTGGTGTAACTCAGTGACAGTATTTTGTATTTTTTGTTTGTTTTTGGAGCAGGGTCTTGCTCTGTCACCCAGGTGGGAGTGCAGTGGCGCCATCATGGCTCATTGCAGCCTGTATCTCCTGGGCTTAAGCGATCCTCCCACCTCATTTTTAAATTTTTTTGGTAAAGATGAGGTCTGATTGTGTTGCCCAGGGTGGTCTCGGGCTTCTGGGTTCAAGCAGTCCTCCCGCCTCGACCTCCCGAGTAGCTGGGATTACAGGACTAAGCCACCGCGCCTAGCCCTCGAGAGTATTTTCGAAATGATGAATGCATGATGTTACCAAATTATGCCTGGGCAAACTATCTGTTACAAATGCCTGATAGACTAGTGGATTTTAAGCTACTGCAGTACATGGTATGAAAAGTTCATTACCTTTAGGAACTACCATTGAAGTTTTGGTGAAGTATCATGAAGAATGTCCATGATTATCTGGAAAGGTTATTAAAATACATCTCCTTTTCCAAGTATTTATGTGTGTCAAACCACATAGTCTTCATATACTTCAACCAAACAACATATTACAACAGACCAAATGCTAAAGCAGATATGAGACTCTAACTCTCTTTTATTAAACTGGGCAGAGATTGGCAAAAATTTAAAACAACGCCACTCTTCAAGCTGTTTTCTTTTTGTTTTAGAAAATATGGTTATTTTCATAAAAATATTTTACTATGTAATGGGTTTGTTATTTTTAAATGAATTCATAAATATATATTTTTAAAAATTTCCATTTTTAATTTCTAATGTAAAAAATATTGTTAGATAAAACCCACATAAATAGAAGTTTTTTGTGATCCTTAATAACGTTTAAGAGTATAAAAGAGTCCGGATACCAAAAAGTTTGAAAACCACTGGAATAGAGAGAGGATCCCCTCATAATATAGTATCCTTTCTTCTTCAATCCAGTGTTCTCACATTCCTTGCAATGATTTTGTTTGTTTATTATTTATGATATCCTGTAACTTATCAGGTGGAAGGGAATAGTTCTGTCCTCCACCATTTTAGGCACATGGCCTTTGCTTTCTCTTGTTCCTTATTTTATGTCATTGTCATGTTTTTTTTTTTTTCTTCTTCTTACTGGCAAGAACGTGGAGAACAGAGGAGAGGGACAGCTATTGCATACTGTCTGTGTACCTTGTTACATATTTGAGTTTATTGATTTCTAACTGCTTCCTATGAATTTAATTTGAAACTGTTAACTGTTCTTCTCCCTCTCCCTTGACCCAGTAGCTCCTAGGATAGTAGTGTTAATACTAATTCTAAATCAGGGATGACTTTTTAGCAGTATTGTTGTTATTATTATTATTATTATTATTATTATTATTATTATTATTATTTTGAGATGGAGTCTTGGTCTGTCACCAGGCTGGAGTGCAGTGGTGCGATCTCGGTTCACTGCAACCTCCGCGTCCCGGGTTCAAGTGATTCTCCTGCCTCAGCCTCCTGAGTAGCTGGGACTACAGGTGCATGCCACCATGCCCAGCTAATTTTTGTGTTTTTAGTAGAGACAGGGTTTCACCATGTTGGCCAGGATGGTCTCAAACTCCTGACCTCGTGATCCGCCTGCCTCGGCCTCCCAAAGTGCTGGGATCATAGGTGTGAGCCACTGTGCCTGGCCAGGATTTTATTTCTTAAAGGAGTAGACTTTTGATGTAGCAGTTGCGTGGGCATGCATATTTGTTTTAGATTGTTTAGAGATGGTTTACATTGTCAAGTCCTTCTGCAGGTTATAATGTGAAAGACAGCTGTTCCTCTTCCCCTACTGTCCTTACTTCCCTTTCCTCAAAGGAAACCAAATTCAACCATCTTTGTCTGTCTGTATCTCTCAATCTGTCCGCCCATCCATCTCTTTATTGTCATTTGCCTCTAAAGAGCTAAATAATATGCCTGTATTTACTTTGTTTTTTAGTCTCAAGCATGACCTATGACACCTTATTTTGGAGAGGGGAAGATTTAGCTCAATTTGCTTCGGTCAGTTGCACTATACAGATGTGTCCTTCTTCTCCCTCCAGTAGTGTTCCATGTATTTTACATACAGTGGTTGGATAGGTAATTGAGGGTTTATGTTATTATTGCTTTGTAAACACAATTTATTCATAGTTGAGCCATGCTTACATCTCCTCAAGATATTCAGATACACCAGGATGCATATCAATTTCATGTCCTTTGAGAAACCTGTCCCGGAATCTTCTGTCCCGTTACAGTTTTTGACTGCCTGTCATCTACCTGATTTGGTGTTTACCTTCCATGAGGCTGTCCTTGGATGTCTGATAATCCTTGGTTGCTTGCCCATTTTTAATAACGGGAGCTGAGCAGAAGCCTGGTGCTGGTGGGTTGGGTCGGATAGTTAACTTGAAATATTATGATCTGGCTGGGCATTTTATTGGGAAGAGATACTGGTCAGGTTCTCTAGAGAAGACTCGTCCAGTCTCCAGACTGAAGGGTAAAAGCCTGGCTGTGGGCTCCTCAGAGCCCAATGAGGCAGGAGGGCAGGTGGTCTCAGTGCTCCTTAGGGAAAAGGTCAGTAAGTCCACTTTTTTCCCAATATCGACTCTACCCTCAGCAATGGCTAGTGTTCCAGAGACCCTCTTTTACTGGCTCTGAGAGTAAACCTTCAGGTTTTTTTCTTATTTTGTGGCAGTGGAGTTGCCTAATTTCATAGACTGAAGAAGGAGTCTGGGAAACTAACCTCTTGTTCAGCGGCTTTCAGCCAGTTCTCCGTACATTACCCCTCACCCTAATTTCAGCACTTCCAGAGACACCTGGTATCACCAGTATCTTTGGCAAGTCCTGGAGTATGAATGGTCTGGTTCTGGCTTTTCTTGAGACAGAGTCTGTCTCTGTTGCCCAGGCTGGAGTGCAGTGTTGCGATCTTGGCTCACTGCAAGCTCCGCCTCCCAGGTTCACGCCATTCTCCTACCTCAGCGTCCCAAGTAGCTGGGACTACAGGTGCCTGCCACCACACACTGGCCAATTTTTTGTATTTTTAGTAGAGACGGGGTGTCACCGTGTTAGCCAGGATGGTCTCGACCTCCTGACCTTGTGATCTGCCTGCCTTGGCCTCCCAAAGTGCTGGGATTACAGGTGTGAACCACTGTGCCCGGCCACTTTTGGCTTTTTTATTTTGCCTTCTTAGGATGCAGCTTTCTCAGTTTTGCTGAAGTTGTCACTTGTCTTACTTTCTAGCTTCCAAAATTTTCTTTACTTTGTGTTTTCTTTCCTTTCTTTTTACTTGTTTATTTTTGAGACAGGGCCTTGCTCTGTTGCCCAGGCTGGAGTGCAGTGGTGCAGTCATGGCTCACTGCAGCCTTTACTTCCTGGGCTTAAGTGATCTTCCCACTTCAGCCTTCTGAGTAGCTGGGAATACAGGTTTGCACTACTATTTCCAGCTAATTTTTTTTTTGTCAGGGTGGGGTCTTTCCTTCTTGTCTAAGCTGGTCTCAAACTCCTGGGCTGAAGTGATCCTCCTACCTTAGCCTCCCAAAGTGCTGGGATTATAGGCATGCGCCACCGTGCCCAGCCCCCTTTTTTTTTTCCCCACCATTTGAACTTACAGAATTATTCCCTTTACTGTTTTAAGGGAATCTGTGGAAGGGGTGAAATTAGATTTGTGTGTTTAGTTTTGCCTTTTAACCCAGAAATTCCATGAAGTGACCATTGATGTTTTTGATACGGGGACACAATGCTATTGACTTCTTTTTTTCCACTTTGAGGAGGAATTGACTTCTGAAACTATTAGAAATATAAACTAATTTTTCCCTTATTTTAGGAGTAATTACAGAATATATATGAAAATTATGGAAAACTAGACCTAAGAAGCACAAACTTTATGAAACTCTTAATTAAATTTTTGTATAAATACACTTTAATTTCTTAAAACTAGAGAAAATGTTTCTGTTTATGGATATAAATAATTATGGAAATGAAATAGCATTAGCAAAAAATAGAATTTGCCACATATCTTTAGTAAAATAATGTATCATAACCATGAGATTTTGGTACCGTATGTAAGAGATAGTTTTGGGGACCAAAGTAGACAAAAAAATTCTAATTGCTTTCAGTTCTGGATTTAGTAAATTAAATATTTTAAATTAAATTAACTGAAAATATTGCTTGCGAGTGAACATTTTTGCTGTCTCAACATTTTGATGTCTAACAATTTATGGAAGATACCAGCTTGACTGTGACTGTCACTTCCCCATAAGAACAAAGAGGTAAATTCATTGCCGATGGCTAATGACCAACAGTTCTTTGCAGCATAAATTCCTATAAGCTCTTGTTTGGTCTGTCAGGATCAGAGCAGATTAATGTTTTTAAGGAGGGAGCAGAATTCCTGGTGGTCTCTCACTTGTTTATTCATTTATTCAATAAATATTTATTGAGGACTTAATATGTAGTTAGGTGATAAAGTTACTTGCTTTCTGGTCTTAACGATATTACAGGGTAATGGAAGTTATTGAAATTTAAACAGACAATTGCACAGCAGTGTGAAAAGTTTTATTATTGTAAAAATGCAAAATGTAGTGAAGGACCTTACTAGATTTGGGCATGAGACTTAGCAGTGTGGGACAGTAGAAAAACTTTCTGGAAGAAACAGTGCCTAATAATGCCTAATCTGAGCCCTGGAGAGCTAGCTGGGAGGGAGGGTTCAGAAGAATGAACAGCATGCTCTGTGGCCTGGCAGTGGAGAGAACTGTAAGGTCTAGGAACTGAAATTTCAGTAGAGCTGGAGCGTGAAGCATGAAGAGGGAGCTCTGAGTCTCAAGAAGTTCTAGGTTCTAGGAAGCCTCCCGTCTTTTGGAGCTGTGCTGTCTGTGTGGTGACTGCTGGCTGCTTACAGCTACCCTGCGCTTGGAATGTGTCAGTGTTACTGAAGAACTGAATTTCAAATTGTATTTAACTTTAAATTTGCTATGTGTAAAATCTGAAGCAGCTACATTTAAAAACTGAAGCACTTTAGATACAACTATAGTTTTGGTAGGCCTACCTTTCACATGTAACCACCCTTAAACATTTAGTATCCGAACTGAGATACGTTATAAGTGTAAATACACAGCAGATTTCAAAGACTTAGTATGAAAAAGGATGTAAAATATCTCACTGATTATTTTTATATTGTCAATATGATATTTTAGATTTATAAGATTAAAGTAAAATGTATTACTAAAATCAATTTTGCCCTTTTCTTTAAAGTTTTAAAATGAGCCTCCTAGAAAAATTTTAAAAGATGCATAATGTGGAGTATGGTGGCTCACCATGTTGGCAGCAAGGTCAGTTTCAATAGTCAGGTGAAAGATGATTTTAGCATGAACCTAGGTTGGAGAGAAATGAATTGATACGAGGCAGGGTTGGTCAGGCTTGGTGAATACTCAGTCACGTTATGGAGCACGACAGAATAAAGCCAAGGTCCTGGCATAAACAGCTGGGTGATTGGTCCTGCAACGTGCAAGGCTCCTCAATACTGGGAGAGGCATAGGGTTTAGTGGGAGGAAGTATATATTGGACTTTCTTAATTTGAGGTCCTTGTAGACCATCTGGGTGTGGCTCAGAAGAGCGATATGCTAGGGGGTTAGAATCTTACTGCTCCTAGGTATGTAGTTGTTTAACAGAGTGCTCTTAGGTTAATAGTGACTGAAGGTATGTGATGTTCAGTTATTATTATCAGGGGACAGTGAACAACTGTCTTCTTCTAGGTGTCCATTTGGCCAGTGATGATAATGTATCTATCACCCCATTCCCCTTTTGAAGTATAATAATCAAGTGAGACGACGTAAGTTCTTGAAGTCTCTTGTATATTCTCTCTTAGAATAAAGAGACTTAAATAAATTGAAAACAAACACAAGACCAGAAGGAAGTCCAGTGTTCTAGTGAAAGATAAATGTGTCCTACAGTCAATCAAAACATAATCTAACACCGGGATTTTGTTGCCAAGATGTGTGGCCACCTATCAAAGGGAATTTGCATTAAGAACTACACAGAATTTTGTCAAACCCATGAAAATGAGTTTATTTCGGAATCCCTTTTAGTTTTAAATTGAAGTCTTCTTTTCACTAATAGTTTTCTGAAATGAAACTTCCTTAAAACAAAATTTTAAACTATGGACTTTTTTTTTCTGTTGGGAATATAAAATATATTCCATCTTTCTTTAATAATAAAATGTTTTACTTAAATAAATGGAAAAAGTAGTCAAATAAATTGACTACTTTTCATTACAGGAATAGCGCTTAAGGTTAATTAAAACTTTCAAATTTTTTTTCCTAGAGCCATCTGTTGCTTATAATTGAATTTAGAAAGTCATCAGTTTTAAACATTTATTTGCTTTGGACAAAGCAAAAAAGTATGGTCATGAAATATTTTTACTAAATAGCAGACATATTTCCGCAAAAAGAATCATGACATTCTGGCAAAGGTATAATTTTAATAGACTAATGAGCTTTCTGACCAGAGCTGACTGAGCTTCATCTGATTTTTACAATGATGAATTGACCGTGTCAAAATTTGCAGTGTAGTCCAGTGAAATATTTTACTATGAAAGTTTAATTCTCATTTTTTATTTATGAAAGCAGTGGTAGTGTCAGAGCAGCTTATAATATGCTGGCCATTTGGTATGATTTATTTTAATAAGTGTCACTTGTTGATGCATTTAGTGATTGTTGACCCATATTTAATTCTAAAAACTCTAAATAGTGTGAAATGTAATAAGTCAGTGACTGTAGTTTGAAAAAGCAAAAGACAAAAAATTGTGATCCGCAGGTCTTTTCCTAGCTTTCACGATGTCACAGTTCTATATTTGACACCTGTTGCTTTGCGGACAATGGAGGGGTAACAGCTTTAAAAAAAAAAAAAAAACTGTAATTGAGATCCGCATAAAAATATTTCTGTCACAAAGCATATATTTGAAATATAATAAAATCATCTTCATTACATCAGTTGGGGATTCCAGCTTGTCATCATTTTAATGGTTTTGAGAAAAATTATAGAATAAAGGTCACTTTTTTCTTTCATTCATTTATCAGTTTTTTATTTAATAAATACATACAGAGCTGATCATGGTGGCTTGCATTCAATGACAGGGGCATAAGATGGACAGGTCATCCCTCTCATGGGATTTACATTCCAGAAGGATGTATGGTATCCCCCTCTCCACCCCGCAAAGGATTTAGATGAAGATTTTACAGAACTTTCAAGGATGTCATTTGTTCTTTTGGTAGTTTTGGAAGGCACAAGAGAAGGGCTAGAATAAAGCCCTTTTTCTCAGGTATTTCTTTACAGAGATATAATAAGCATTTCTGTTTCCTAATGTCAGGATATTTACATAGTATAGATCATTTAAACAAATATACTCTTCCAAATAGCAATAGTGTATGTTTTTCAGATATGATGGAATTATTTTAAGATCATTTTAGAAATGACAATAAACATGTTAAATCAAAATTTTAATTTTTATAGTGGTATTTGTTAACATAAAATTTTAAATTATTCAGAGCTCAGAGGAAAATGAAATATCTGTGAGTCATGAAACACTATGCATTGTAGTACTGCTCCAAATACTATGATGTCTTGGAGTTGTTTTTTGTAAATAATGCAGGGATTATATTGTTGTTACTTGTTTTAATGTACACAGTAAAAGGCATAAACTGAGTAGTGCTGCAGATATTTGCTTTAAAGTTTCTCTAGGAAGAAGCCATCCAGAGATAATTATCTTTTGATATTATCCTCTTCTTACGTTTCTCAAAGCAATTCATAAATATTTTTTGTATAAGAATATGAACATTACAGAGCTGTTTATTTGGCAGGTCAACTTAAAAACAAGAGGGAATCAGTGGCCCAGATATTTTTGGAAACAACAAGGAAATTTATATATTTCTCTAAGAATCCTATTTTTCATAATTAGAAAATGAAGGAACCAGCAACACAAAATCACTCCTTTTCCTGGCAGTCCTAGCACTGAATATATGTGCATTTTCAGGCTTCTCAATTTAGCTGGGCAATCACCATTTAATTTCAAAACTCCATTTATCTTAGTGATAGCCTTTGAACTATTGACTCTCTTTTTCCTGTGTATGACAGTAGTATCACTTTTGTGCTTTTAGCCTCAGGCTGATATGGGGGACCCCTTCTTCCTATAGCTGTGGTGCATAACATAACCACAACGTACGTTCTGCATAGATAAAGCACAACAGTTTTTGTAACTTCAGCTTGCTGTACATGTGGCGGGTGGCAGCCCACCTGCATTGGGGAAAGCAAACGAGCAAGCAAGATGTGTTTGTCCTTGATTACATTCTATTTCTCTGAGAAATGTTCCACTTAAATGACAGACCAAGCTCAGAGTTTAGGTTATCAGCCTGAGACATACAAGGTGCAGGGCAACTCCAAAGGAGGTAAGGCTCAGTTGCACTGTTAACTGTGACTTGCTTATTTGAGGTTAGAATTCAAATATATAGATCATGTTAAGACTCTTGGTCTTTATTTTTATATTTTATTTTCAAAGGCCTGTTGTTTTAGTTACAAAAGTAACATGCTTATCTTCAAAATATTTTTAAAAACCGAAGTGTATAAAATCCAAAATGAAAGTCGTCTTTAGCTCCATGCCACTTCACAGAAGTAATCATTGTTAACATATTGGAGTAATGATTTTTGACTTTTTTTTTTGAGATGAAGTCTTGCCCTGTTGCCCAGGATGGAGTGCAGTGGTGCGATCTTGGCTCACTGCAAGCTCCGTCTCCCGGGTTCATGCCATTCTGCTGCCTCAGCCTCCCGAGTAGCTGGGACTACAGGCGGCCACCACCACGCATGGCTAATTTTTTTGTATTTTTAGTAGAGACGGGGTTTCACCATTTTAGTCAGGATGGTCTCGATCTCCTGACCTCGTGATCCACCCGCCTCGGCCTCCCAAAGTGCTGGGATTACAGGCGTGAGCCACCGCACCCAGCTGATTTTTGACTTTTTTCTATGGAGAAAATAACTTGGGAGGATGCAGCATTTTACCATGCTGTGTTAGATTTAGGAGTCTTTAAATAGCATACTATATTGGTCTGATATGCTGACACATATATGTGAATCTGTTTTATAAAAATAATCAACTTTTTCTTAAGGGTAGTTGTATTTTTCCTCCTTTGGTCTTACTATAAACCCACTAGCATCATGACATTTTACATACATTTGCTTATTTTCCGCACTTAGAAGTTTTCCAGGCTGCATTTCAAAGCTTTTATGTATACAATTTGATCACCTCAATTTTACTAAAGGTAGTGCCAACGGTTTCTCAGGTGTATGATTTGCTGCAAAGTATGAAAATATGAATGTAATAATAATGGTTGTAAGCTTTGGAGTCAGACAACCTGGGTTCACCTGTCAACTCTGCCACATGCTAATTATTTCAGAACGTGCCAGCTGCCTTGAAACTTTGTCCCTGATTTTCCTGACAGTTCCATGTTGTGTTCTTTTTCTTTGGCTACCTGGTTTTGGTTTCTTTGCTGGCTCCTTTTCTTCTGTCTATTTCATACATGTTTATGATGCCCTTTCTTTTTTTTTTTTTTTTTTTTTTTTTTTGAAACAGAATTTTGCTCTTGTCGCCCAGGCTGGAGTGCAATGGTGCAATCTTGGCTCACTGCATCCTCCTTCTCCCAGGTTCAAGCAAGTCTCCTGCCTCAGCCTTCTGAGTAGCTGGGATTACAGGTGTGCACCACCACGCCCAGCTAGTTTTTGTATTTTTAGTAGAGACGGAGTTTCATCGTGTTGGCCAGACTGGTCTCGAACTCCTGACCTCAGGTGATCCACCTGCCTCAGCCTCCCAAAGTGCTGGGATTACAGGCGTGAGCCACCGCGCCTGGCCTATGATGCCCTACTTTCTATCCGAACCTTTCTTCTCACTCTACATTCTCAGTGGAGCATTCGTAGAATCAAAATCACCATAATAGTAGCTTTTAACATTGTTCTGAGTGGCAAGTAAGATTCAGCATAGAGTACTCCACCAGGGCCTGGCTGTATAAGTGCTCAATAAATATTCCTTCTTATTGTTATTATGATGTATTACACTACTAATACCATTACAACAGTGAAATGATGTTAAAATAATGATGAATATGTAGTCTACATTTTAAAATAAATGATATTAGGGTTGTTTTAAAGTTAACTTTTATCACGTGGAACACATTTTCTCATACATAGAATATTACGCATATTTAATTGCCAGGAAAGTTTATACATGTTTATTTAACTTTTTAAACAAACTTTAAATTTTAGGCCAGGTGTGTGGGAGGATTGCTTGAGCCTAGGAGCTCTAGGTTACAGTGAGCCATGATTGCACCACTGCACTCCACCCTAGGCTACAGAGCAAGACCCTGTTTCTAAAAGCAAAACAAAACAAAACAAAAAACTTTAAATTTTAAAATAATTACAGATTCGTGGGAAGTTGTGACAGTTCTAAAGTTTTGTCTCTCAATTTCCTCTATTGGTTACTTCTTATGTAATTATAGTATAATATTAAAACCAGGAAAGTAACATTGATACAACAGGTGTATATAGTTTTATGTAATTTTATCACATGGAAATGTGGCTGTCATTTTTTTCACAAGGAAATGTGACTCCCTAAATGGGTAAAGGGAAGGTAAAGTCAAAATAGTAGTAATGTATTGTGGTTTATAGGACATGTGAAAATAAAGTGTGTGACAATTACAATGTGAGACATGAGGTGGACTAATTGAGAATATATTAAGGTTCTCACACCAGATTTGAAGTGCTACAATATTATTTGAAGATAGATTGTAATTGGGTATTATAAAGTGTAGTGTGACTAAGAATATTTTTAAAAGAGAGGTACAGATTTAAGTCATTAGTGGAGATAAATGAAATAAAAATAAATTTAGCTAAATCAAAAGCAGGCAGAACAGGGGGAAAAGGGAACAACAAACAGACTGACAAAATCAAACAAGTAGTTGTTACAGTTTGGAAACCTAGGTGACATGGACAAATTTCTTATAAGAAACAAAACATCAAAACTCACCCAACAAGAAATAGCTAAATAAGAAATAGTGTTTTATTTATTAATGGAGTTGAATTTGTAAACAAAAATCTTTCTAGAATAAAACTGCAGGCCCAGATGCTGTCATTGGTGTATTGTAAATTTCAGTATTATGATGTAAAATGTTAAAGGAAGAAATTATAGCAGTTCTACCTAAACACTTTTAAAAAATTAGAAGTGAAGGGAACACCTCCCAATTCATTGCATAGGGCCAGCATAACCCTGATACTCAACTCTTGCAAAGGAAAACTGTAGACCCATATTCATCATGAATATACATTTCAAAAAATCCCATCATAATAATTAACAAACTGAATCAGCAGTATATAAAAAACTTAATTGGGTTTATCCTGAGAACATAAGGCTTATTTAACTTTTTAAAATCAATCAATGTAATTAGCTATAGTAACAGACTAAAGAAAAGCCATATGATTAATATACTGGAGAAAAAAACATTTAACTGGATTTAACATTGATTCCCAATAAAAACTCACAGCAGACTATCCACAGAAAGAACTTCCTCATTCTAATAAAGCATACTTACAAAAAAACCTACTGCGAACATTAGACATAATGGTGATACACTGAATTCTTTCCTGTGACTGTGAACAAGGTAATGAATTCAGTTCCCATCACTCCTATTCAACCTCATACTGAGTGCAGATCCTAGCTGGTGCTGTAAGGCAAGAAAAATGAATTCAAATCATACTGATTGGAGGAGGACATGATTATTTCCATAAAGTCCCAAAGGTTTACAAAAAAAGCTAATAAAACCTATGAATGAGTGTGTCAAGTTTTCAGGGGTACAAGGTTAAAAAATTTCATTGTATTTATGTATGCTAGCAATGAAAAATTTGAAAGTTAATAAAAATCCATTTCCATTAATGCCAAAATAATGAAATGCGTAGATATAACATGAAAGCATATATGCAAAATCTGTATGTTGAAAACTATAAAACGCTAATAAAGGAAATCAAAGAATAGCTAAATAAGTAGAAAGTTACACCTGATTGGAAGACACATTGTTGTTAAAATATTAATTCTCCACCAAATTGATCATAGATTCAGTGTAATTCTAATGAAATTTCCAGCAGGATTTACTATAGAAAATGATAATCGAATTCTAAAATTTATGTGGAAAGGGAAAGCCAAAATAATTTGGAAAAGAACAACAAAATTGGATGAATCTCACTACCTGATTTCAATGCTTATTATAAAGCTACAATTAGCAAGTTAATGTGGTGAAGGGATAGACATATGTAACAATAGAAAAGAATAGAAATTTCAGGACTAGACACATACACCTATGGTCATGTGTTTTTCAGTAAAAGTTCCAAGGCAATTAGTTTGTTATTTAAGTGATGTTGGAAAAATTTGGAAAATAAATACATAAAATTGAATCTTGATCCATACTCATTTTATGTACAAAAATGAACTGAAATTGGATCATAAACAAACATCAAACCAGAAACTATAAAACTTATAGAAGAAAATCTTTGTGATCATGGGTTTTACGTCACAAAAGCCCTATGAGATTTCTTAGATAAATAGATCAAAATTTTGACCCATTAAAACAATTGAAAAATTGAGCCCCATAAAAATAATACACTTCTGCTCTTTGAAAAACACTTTTTGAGTCTACGGCCATACCACCCTGAACACACCTGATCTCATCTGAAAGACACTGTTTGAGAAGCCACAGACTGGGACAGAATATTTGCACAACACACACTTGATAAGGAACTTGTCTCCAGGATATATAAAGAACTCTTGACACTCAACAATAAAAGAACCTTATAAAAAACTGCAAAATTTTATCTTACACTTCACTAGAGGACATACATAGACAGCACATAAGTACATGACAAAATGCTTAATGTCATTATCTGTTAGGTAAAGCAAGTAGAACCACAATGATATGTCACTACATATCAATGGAATAGTCAGTGTTAAGATAACTGACAGTGTCAAGTAGTGATGCTGACGTTTAGCAACTGGAATGCTTATAAATTGCTTGTGGTAATGCAAAATGGTATAGCCATCTTGGAAAACAGCCTGGCAGTTTCTTATAAAATTAAACTTACAATTTAGCATACCATCCAGCAATCCCACTTCTAGGAATTTACTTAAGAGAAATGAAAATTTATGTTTACATATATCATAATCACCCAAAAAATGGAAGCAACTCAGTGTTTTTCAACTGGGGAATGAATTCTCAAAACATGGTACCTTCATACAATATAATGCTACTCAGCACTAAAAAGGAACAAACTAGAGATTTCATCAACCATGGATGAATCTCAGATTCATTACCCTAAGTGAAAGATGCCTGACTCAAAAGGCTCCGTACTGTTGAATTCAATTTATGTCACATTCTGTAAAAGCAAAACACACAAGGACAGAAAATGGATTAGTGCTGGGCCTTATGCATGGGTGGAGTCACTGACTACAAAGGGGCACAAAGAATTTTTGTGCTGATGGCACTGTGGTGTATCTTGATTGTGGTGGAGGTACACAACTGTATTGTTTTGTGGAAACTTACAGAAGTATACACACTAAAGGATGAACTTTATGTTATTTACGTTGCACTTTGAAAATTAAATATAAAACCCTATATGTTTTTAAAGATTTCATTTACATTTGATGTACAATCATTGTACATACTTATGGGGTACAATGTGATCTTTTGATACATGTATACATTGTGTAATCATCAAAACCACATTTTTAATGTTAGTAGATTGACTGTGGAAATGACTGATACTAATGATAGCTCAGTGATGTAGGGAGAAGGACAAAGTGGTGAAGAAAAGTAGTAGGAGAAGTAGTGAGAGGAAAGAATGTAGATGATCAGAGAAGGGGAAGTGTTTTGGGAGATGAGAGCTACAGTCCATGACAGCAACATTCCACCCCATGCTCAGTGTTTACTCTCCTCTGGACGACATGGGACTCTCAGGGGTGGAATCTTCTTCTTAGAATGCTTTTGGCATAGATCTACCTCCATTTAGAATGTTCCGATCTAACATAGCTATTTCTGTAGCTAAAATCCTACTGCCAGAATCATTAATTAGATATTACAGTTTCTATTGCTTTTTCATTGTGATAATTTTCTCATTGCAGATTAAATGAGATATATGCGATGTTAGCACAATGGTTGGCACTGAGTAAGTTTCAGTAATTTACTCATGAAGTAATTATGACAACTCTTATTTTATATGTTATATAGATAATAGTTGAAGAGCTGTGTAAATCCTGGACTCCTGACCCAACTCCCATGTTCTCTCCCACTAAGCTATACTCACCTTTGTGGTGGTAGCTTCCCGATATTCTCAGAGGCTGAAAACAAACATGGAGATGCAGAAATTAATTGTTTCCAGTATTTTCCAAGAAAACGATTATCTCAGTTCAGTTATACTCCCTGTTTTTTGTTTGTTTTACTTTTCATTTCAGAGTACTTTAAATGTGTGCAGTGTGATAAAACTATATCTGCATTATTTCAGCCCTTGGGAGATATAGGCTGCAGGTGAATGGGAGAAATATTCTTAAATTAAGTTTGAACATATCCTCACATGGTACCATTAGCCTTGCAGGGCCCATCAAATTGTAGTTCACTCTTGCCTGGTGTCAGATCTGTTGGAAAGCTTTGACAAACAGTTGGTCTGTCAGAGACAGCTAAAAGCCTCAGAGAGGTGCAGAGAGACGCATACATCTATCATCTAATAAACTCCACTTGTGGCAGGTGTCTCGGAAACCTAACTCATAGTGATGTGGGCACATGGGTTTTGTTAACCAGAAATAACATTTTAGCATTGACAGCTTTTAAAAAAGACAGTTCTAGACAGGAATTTGCTATCTAAAGAACAGCAAACTAATCTTCCCTTCAAATAAAAAGATTGTAGTGCATCTTACTTTATAGAGAAAAAGGATGTCAGTATTGAGCTTATTTCCTAACATCTGAATCTTTTAAGTGCTGAGCAAATTTTTTTTTTTTCTTTCTGAGTTGGAGTTTCGCTCTGTCACCCAGGCTGGAGTGCAGTGGCGCGATCTCAGCTCACTGCAACCGCTGTCTCTTGGGTTCAAACAATTCTCCTGCCTCAGCTTCCCAGGTAGCTAGGATTACAGGCATGTGCCAACTTGCATGGCTAATTTTTTTGTATATTTTAGTAGAAATGAGGTTTCACCATGTTGGCCAGGGTGATCTCGAACTCCTGACCTCAAATGATCCACCCACCTTGGTCTGCCAAAGTCCTGGGATTACGGGTATGAGCCACTGTGCCCAGCATTGCTGAGCAATTTTTATATAATCTATTCTTGAATCTCAATCAGAATGAAAACTTTTGTTTAGAAAGTCACGTATAAATGATGTTTGACCACGTTATTTTTCAGCTTATAAGTAAGTTTTGATCAAGTCCACGTGACTGTCTTTATATTATAAAGGAATGCATATATTTTTGCAATATTCCAGGCATCTTATTAAATTCAGATTTAGCAATTTACCTATATACTATTTGCAGTTTTCATTACTTGCTATTAACCCTAAAGGACTAGATCATTGAATTAGTTGTTTTGCTGAGCCTTTTTGGCTGCTGTATAGGGTATCACTAAGATAATGAGTGAGCCTACCTACCCATCCAGCATGGACATGCTGATACGTTTTTATTTCTGTATATCTGAATGCACATTTTACATGAAAAGGTATGTATTCTATTTGAATACATCATGAATTTAGGAGTTTACAAAGGTCTCAGGATGTCTGACAAGATCTCCTGCCATACCCAGCGAATGGATGATTTTCATCCTTGAGAATGATGAACTCATTAATTTGTATATGAAGAGCAATAAACAGAGTCTCCTCTTTCTTGAACAAAAGTAGGGATATGAAACAACTTTCTCCCCAACTGGACCCCAGCAGAAAGCATCCCAGCTGTGATGGTGGGCATGATATGCAGTCAGTCAGACAATTCTGCAGTCAGGTGTTTTGTTCAGCATCCCCCAGAACGGATCCCAGCGCATAATACCTCTTTACATGTAGTAAAATGACTGGTAATCCATTCTGTCTATGCTCGGTTAATGGTTTGTTTTTGGTTTTGTGTTTTGAAGTTCAACTGTCCTGTTTCATCTTCTATGGTTTCATCACATGTGTTTTGTCTCTGCCAAAATTCATGTTGAAACTCGATCCCAGTGTGGCAGTGTTGGGGGGTGCGACCTAGTGGAGGTTTTTGAGTCTCTGGGGTGCTTCCCTCATGAATGGATGAATGCCCTTCTGTATGGGTTAAGTCCTCACTGACGGAATAAGTTAGCTCCTGAGAGAGTTTGTTGTAAAAAAGAGTCTGGCTTCCTCGGTTTCTCTCTCATACCCTCTTTCACCATGTGATCTCTTTGCACTCCCACCCCACTTCTGCTTTCCACAGTGAGTTGAAGCAGCCTGAGGTCCTCACCACATGCAGATGCCCAATCTTGAACCTTCCAGCCAGCAAAATCTTGAGCCAAATAAACCTCTTTTCTTTATAAACTACCCAATCTCAGGTATTCTGTTACAGCAACACTGCTTATCAGGAAGGACAAGCTGGTGAAGAAAAGAGGGAGACTCCATCTCCTGGGCATACTCTTTAATCATTCTGAGGATTTTTTTTTTTTCTTTTTTTGAGACAGAGTTTCACTCCTGTCACCCAGGCTGGAGTGCAGTGGTGTGATCCATTCTGAGGATTTTTATTTGGGTGAAAATTTAAATCTTGGGTGTGATAATTTGTTAGTTTATTCTCAAAGTAGGTCAACCCTCCCTTTTCCTCAGTCATAGAAAAGAACAGCAACACAGCTTATGGGATAGAACGAACATTTATGGCATGTGAGCCTTGCACTGAGTGCTGTACCTGGTGCCATCACATGTGTTATCTTTGTGATCCTCCACACTACTGTATATATTTGGTATTTCAGTCTCTTCTTTGCCAGGCCCAGTTCTGGCCATCCTACTGTAATAAACCAACAGCAAGAACAACAGAAGAAAAAAAAACCCAAAATCTTCCTCTTGCGATACTTTATGCTAAGCATAATTTCAAACCATTTTTACTGGAAACTTAGATGATTTTTAAGGAAACATAAATGGTAAACAGTTTATTCAAGGAATACATATGGGAAGTGTCTGAGCTGGGATTAAATTAGTTTGTCTCATGCTAAAGCCCATGCTATTTTCACTATAATTTATTAAAATCTGGCATATTGGACTTTTAAAATTTGCATTGTGTTTTTCAGGGAAGGCTGGGAATCTAGACACAGCAACAGTAACAACAACAACAATAACAATGAAGGCTCACTGTGAAAACATCAATTCATTAGGAAAGTTACATCCCCTCCGCCACTGTTTCAGATGCTGTTTCTCATTCTCCATGGGAGCAGCCAGCATCGTGTTTAGGATGGGGATACAATAGCCTGAGCTCCTGATTGAGTCAGACCCTGGACTTTCCCTTTTGTATCTGTCATTTTCCTCTGGATCCTCACACCTTTGTGTTTAATTTTTTTAAATTTCATTTGTTGACTTCCTATGTGGGGTAAAATGACTTCCTTTGATTAATGTACTTTCTGTATCCTAGAGTTTCCCTTTCCCTTTGTGATTTAGTCCAACGTGTCCTACTACAGCCTCAAAAATTGTCATTGGAATCAAAAGCTTTCCAAGGTGCATCAGGTTAATGATTTGGATGCATCCTGAGGTTGTCTCCTGTAGCATGGAGGCATTATAATAGGAGTCTCAGAAGTTACACCATTTTTCTACAGCACATCACAGGCCCAGAGGCTTGAATCTAAGAGAATCCACTCTATGTCTGTCAGCCTGAATCCTTCCTTCTTGCTGCACAACAAAGCAACTGAACGTATTTTGAGTTTAGGTGAAAACTATCACTCATTCATCAAAGTTCTATCTGGGTGATATATGCTATCGAAACAGATGTGGACACTGGGCTGACAGATGTTGAGAACGGACCTGTTGCTGAAGCTCATGTTATCACACATGCTGTGGGAAGAGAGGTCATTGGCATTCAAGATGCAACACCTACAATATGGTGAATTAAAGATGCCATTTGCATGGATCTTGGATTAGTGCTTGTAATTTGATTTGCGTATTTACATTGCTTTGGACATATAGTTGTCATCCTATGCCCCTCCCCTCAACTACGGCTGAAAAAAAAGTAAATATGAAATAGAATAGCATGCTATTTAGCATTTATCTGTAAGCTATACTAATGTTTTTGTGTTGAATATTCTTTTTCATTTTGGCAGCTCTGCACTAGGCCAGACATTGTCTAGTAATCTTCCAACAACTCTTTCATATTGATATCTTTATTCCCATTTTATATTTTGTAAAACTGGGGCTAAGAAGAGTTCAATAATTTGAGCTCATACAGCCACTAAGTGACAGAACTGCTCAACCATTTTGCTGGCTGTACTGCCTCTGGAATATGGTGGAGTCAAGAGAAGTGGGAGGTCTATGACTCCCAGGAACACCTTTAAGCTGCCTCATCAATCCTGAGTCTCATCATCATTGCCTGGACTTCACAATGTAAGTCAGCCCATCAAGGCAACACAGTGCATGCACCACATTTTCAACTTGCAGACCAGTCAGTCTACAGAGAAAGATGTCTATCTAATTTCTGTATATTTGTCAAATAATGGCATGTCTGAGCCATGGCAGGAAACACATGGTCACCCTCTTACCTTGGGTTTCTCAGGTGTTTTGGCCAGCAGATATTTAGGCTCTGGGATCAAAGACCTCCAGGTTCCACATGTGAGGATCTCCAGCACAATTAAAGGAAAGTTGATCAACATGTCTGTTTAATTAATGTTTCTAATATTTCTTTAAAAATCAAGTTTTGATGAGAAAAAAATTAAAGACAAATTATATCCAGAATGTTCCCATTTATTTATTTATTTTTTAATGCATTGGGAGAAGACTCAAGGAATATGCCATATTGTCGTTGTCTCTGGATGACAGGATATTGGGTGCTTTTTAAAAAAATAATTTATACATGCTGTGGTGTAATTTGCAGCTTTTCTGTAGGAACTTTTTTATAGCTTGTAAAATCAATGGGAAAAAAGTAAAATATTAAATCAGATAAAATGTTATTTAAACACCATAGTTTTTTATATAACTTTGCCTAGTGACCCCAGTAGGAAGGACATGGACACAGCTTTTAGCAGAGAAATTGTTCCTAGGTTTCCTTTTTTTTTTTGTCTTCAACACAGAGCCTCTGGGTTTTCTTTTCTTTTTCTTTCTTTAAAATGCTGGACACATTTTTCTTATTAATGTTCACAATTCCATATTCATGTTCTCCTTAATGGTTCTCTTCAACATGGAAGGTTCTCTTCTGATATCTTTAGTAGTAATTTTCAGAGAATCCTTGTTTTACTTGCTAGCCAAGCCCAAGGTCTGTATTTTACATGTTTTCCATTATTGTCTTGCATTTTAAAGGTCCATAGTTTAATTAGCTTGAGTATAAATTACCTTCATCCTTTTCTAGAGGTCCCATAGCCAAAACAATAACTTAAATACAAATATGCTGAAATATCTATATTTACAATGTTCTTAAATATCTTGAAATCAATCTATACTTATCTGTTGGATGTAACTTACATGTACACTGGAGGTGTCCATGAGCAACCCCATGATTGGATGATTGACTGGGAGAATTCACAGGATGTAACATGTAGTTGTACTCACAGCTAAGATTTATTGCAGTGAAAGGATACAAAGCAAAGTTTGCTTATACATCAGTGCCCAGGTTTTTATTGAGGGCTGATCACATAGGCACCCTCTGCCTAGCATGTACCAAAATTTCAGACTCCCAGAAGAAAAGCAGGTTTACAGATTCAGCATAAACCATATTGTTAGTACATTTTTGGTACAGTGAGCCATTCTTATCAATGAATGGTGGCAAGCTTCCTGAAATTCAAGTTCCTGTATGTCTGCCAGGGGCCAACCTTGGAAGCAGAACTTTCAAGGCATAACAGTTTCAGGCCTGTTGTATTAACTCTTCTATTCAACATGTAATAAAAAGCCAGAAATATTCTTTAGTGCCAAAGGCCAAAATGAGTTTGTTGAAGTAAAGAATAGCCCCATTATATACATTAATCTCTACAAGAGTGACTTTGTTTTTTGTTTGTTTGTTTTGAGATGGAGTCTCGCTGTGTTGCCCAGGCTGGAATGTAGTAGTACGATCTTGGCTCACTACAACCCCTGCCTCCTGGTTCAAGCGATTCTCCTGCCTCAACCTCCCAAGTAGCTAGTACTACAGGTGCATGCCACCACTCCCAGCTAATATTTTATTTTTAGTGGAGACAGTGTTTCGCCATGTTGGCCAGGCTGGTCTTGAACTCCTGACCTCAAGTGATCTGCCCATCTAAGCCTCCCAAAGTGCTGGGATTAGAGGCGTGAGCCACGGCACCCAGCCTGAGAGTGACTTTGAACAAACTACCCTTTACCTCACTTTTCACCTCTATAAATGGCACTTACACTCTGCATAGTCGAATTCTGTGATTCTATGTGTTTTGTAATACTTTATATAATAGAGATTCCTAAACTGGGATCCGTGTATTCCAGGGTTAAATGAAGACTTTCCTAGAAGTACAATGCACTGATATCTCTTAGAGAATTAATTTTCTGGCCCTCAACTTTTAACATGTACTCTTTCCCAAGCTTGATCTGCATGAGAGTGAACCTTGGAAGGGGCTGCTGGTTCTCCTTTCCCACAACTTCTTTTGCTTTACAGAATAAATGCATCACTCCCAGGTAAACAGATAAAGGTACAGGCTTTGAGGGCAAGTCTCAAAAGAGCAAAGTAGAGATAGATTAGGTAATAAATACTGAAAAAAAAAAATGGCACTTCATCTAGGCCATGGATTTATTGCAGAATTTATGTACCTTATCCACTAGGCATTCCCTCAAACCCATGGTGTCTTCTTGGTCCACAACTAGTCCACATAACCCAGCCTCCCTTACTGGTAGGAGCACAGCCACAGGTATTGGAGCAGAAGTGAAATATATTACTCTCAGGTTTGGCTCCTAAATAACCCCCATGTATTCTCCTCCTTACTGTTTTCTGAAATGGAGTTGACCTGCAAAGAGACCCTAGAGCCCAAATGTTGAGATCACAGCACTTTGTCAGCCTAGGCCCCTAAATGGCTGTGGAGGAGAGCTACCCCACTGAACTATTTGCCAGCCCAGTACTGTTATCTGAGCAAGAAGTGAGGTTCTGTTGTGTTAAGGCCATTGTATAGTTGGGACTGTCTTTTACTCACTGTTGATTGTTTCTCTTAGAATTCAGAAGTGAAATGCTTGATATGGGAATGTGTATTAATACAATTTATTTGAATTGCAAAAGGAATTCAGACTTTTTCAGATAAAAAACAAGTCTGTTTTGGCAGATTGCTTTGATAATGAGGACTGCCTTTGTCTATTGGGTTTTATATTTGGGGCAGACATTTTACATAAATTGGAATCTGCTGTCTCAAAATTTGACAAAAAATATAATTTAAGCGCACATATAATTATATTCTGGAATTCTATGCTGGGAAATAATGTCCTTTTGCATCTATTTCACCTTAAAGTTAAAAACAGTACAACCCCATAAATCTCAACTTTAACATTCAAGGCGCGTTATAGTCTTCCAGAATTCTTCTGGGGAATTGTAAGCAAAAACGTTCACTGACCACTAGTTTATAAAAGAGGGCTGTTAGCTAGTAGTTTAAATAAGTCTTGGTTGACCTGATTAATAAACAGGCCCTTAGTGATTCACTTGTGTAAATGAGCTAAATGTGTGGGCAAACCTAAGGCACACGACAGAGACTAATGCTACAGCTTGAACAACTTCTGCTATTGTAAGTCTTTTTACAAATTACCCTCTTAAAATATTTGTAGATTCACATCAGGCAGGTGAATGGGAAGGCTGAGTAACTGATCTTCCTGTAAGAAAAGTATGTGGAGGGGGATTACTTCACTTAATGTTGTCAGTAAACCTGAAGTTTTATTGTTCCATCTTCTTCCCTGAATCTCTTTTATGTGCCACGTAGACACGTAGATATGGGGTGGACTTCAGGACCTGGGCCAAGTGTTTGTGGGAAAGAAATTGAAGAATAACTAGGTGCCTAAAGCGCTAAGGGAAGAACTTAGTCTGACTGAATGCAATTTCCTAATTTTATGATTTGGCAAGGCTGGCGTGCACAGAGCTTTAAATAACTTTAGGGAAGTATTCCTACCAGTGCCCCATCCAGCATACCAAACTCACCGTGTGTGAGGAACAGCAGAGGGAAGCCTGTGCTGTTGTCCTGCAGGTGAATGAGTGAAAATCATCTGATCTCACAGGTAGTGCTGCCCCATTGACTGAAAATGTCTCCAGTAGTGTGTTCCTGGCATTCCACTTTGAAGATGTTGGCAATCATAAATGCCAGAATCACACCTGGCATTTCTTTGGAAAAACATTAAACACCTCACGAGCCCAGAGCCTACAGGGATAATGGGGAAATCTGGAAGTACGATAATTACGCTGCATGAGGAAATGTTCGTGTTGATGAATCCTTGGGATTTCCACTATTTGCAAAGCATGTGTCTAAAGCCTTGGAGATGAGTTCAGAGGGGCTAATGGTAGAAGATAGACCAGGTGCTGGTACGGAAAGGCATGTATTACCTCCGAAATTCAAGGGACAGGATGAACATTATATATCTCTTGTGCTTGCTCCTTTAGAAATTGAATCAGAGCAGGAACCCAGAGAGCTAGTTGCCGGCTAATGGACTTTTTAGAAAGGTGTTTTGGTGGTCGATATCTAGATATCAGGTGTTTTCCACTTAGCCTGGCCTTTGCCCCTGTGAAAAGCATCATGGTGGCCCTGAGAACAAAGGCATCAAATAAATGCTTCTGAAACCACCTTCTCTAGAGATTCTGCCGTGCCTCCAGGACAAAGACTCTGACTTGTTTGTGTCACTACAGCCTCACATGGGGCCTGAGTTTATACTCAGGAAAGGCTTAAATTATGAATGAATCCTCCTGGAATGGGCATTAGAAGGTTTCTTTCCACCTTAGCCCACCAGAATGGTACAGAGAGACTCAGACCAGAAGGCCCATTAGGAATAATGTGTGTTCCACCTGAGTTTCGTTTCAGAATCTTTAGCAAGTGGGATTCAGCGGGAGTTACACAGAGAGCCCAAGCAGGCATAATACTGTGACCAAGGTAAGGCACTAGGGGTGAAGGCACCCCGTTAAGAATGATGCCACAAACCATCACTGGATTTTCCAGAGCCTTTCAGTTTGGGTCCTCACCAGGGCTGATGGTGGAAGGGATATGGCTTTTTCAGTAGCCTTATGCAGATACAGAGCTCTGATTGCTTCCCATCCGTGAGTCTCAGGGTGCCTTCATGGGGCTGCGGGCAGTCCTTTTCCTGTGAGAGTCTTGCTTTGTTCCCTCAGCTGGCATTTGTCTGCTGACTTGACACTTCATCTCAAGCCTACTGTGTTGTCACGCGTGGCTCCAAATCCCACACTGCTTTAGAGCTGCTTCCTTGAAGGCAGGAAGATCTACAGGGAATAAACAATGAAGCAGACAATTTTGTCAAGCATTTGCAGTAGCAAAACACAGAGCTGACAAAAGGGACTTATGCCTTTTGTTCAGTAGAATTAATAATCAAGTTGTATGCAAAAAAAAATTGTCAGATTTAGGAGAAATGATAAAATATAGTACCAAACATTAAGGACTTTTTCTTTGTTTACTATTGATATTAATAGCCATTGTTTATAGTTCAGCCTCCAGCAGGGATGGACCTGCAGTTTCTCTATTATCTATTTTTATGAAGTGCTTGCATTTTTTAAATTATTTATCGAATAAGTAGAGTTCTCTGTGTTCATAAGCCTGGATATACTCAACAGTTCAGGAACATTTCCTCCCCATTCTGAGTCAGTATTTCAAGTCACACACATAGACCCATATACACATTGAGGTTGAGTATCTCTTATCCAAAATTCTTGTTACCAGAAGTGTTTCAGATTTTGGATTTTGTAATACTTGCATTATATACTTACTGGTTGATTGTTCCTAATCTGTAAATCTAAGATCTGAAATACTCCAATGGGCATTTCTGTTGAGTGTTTTGTTGGCATTCAAAAATTTCAAACTTTGGAACATTTTGGACTTTGAACTTTTGGATTAGATATATTCAGTGTGCATTGCTTAACAATGGGGATGCATTCTGAGAAGTGCATCATTACGCAGTTTTGTCTGTGTGCAAACATAGAGTGTGCCTATGCAAACCTTGATGGCATAGACTACTACACATCTAGGCTATATGGTATAGCCTATTGCTCCTAGCCTTCATGGGGCTGCTACAGCATGCTATTGTACTGAGTATGGTAGGCAGTTATAACACAATGCTAAGTACTTGTATATCTAAACATAGAAAAGATATAGCCAAAATTAGGTATTACAATCTTATGGGACCACCATGGGATATGCCATTTGTCATTGACTGAAACGTCCCATGTAGCACATGACTGATGTGTGTGTGTGTGTGTGTGTGTGTGTGTGTGTGTGTCAAGGTGATTGCATTGTTTAAACAGTAAAATTGTTGGATAGATTATGTTCCTTCCCTATCATCACTTCTTTCAAAGGTAAGATAGAAGAGGTTGTGTCCACTGTAACTCTGTGAGAATTTGATTTGAATTCCTCAACGGGGATTTTTCATTTGGGCAAAGATCCTATGAGTAAAAACATTATATAGAGAGAGGACAAAAAAGCTATGGAGAATTATAGTGTGCAGGGCAGAGTTACTCAAATTATCATCTTTGGATCCTTGTAATCAAATGCTGAGGGCAGTCAAGGCTCTGGGTAACCTAGTGTTTGCTGTCTTAGAACATTTTAGTGAAAATAAGGAATTTAATGGCGTTAGTTTCTTGCTTCTAACTGTGCTGGGGAGCTTAGGAAGAAAAGATCATGAGCTCTGGGCTTCTAACTTAACACAGGTGTTGACGACCTGTGCCACTACTCAGCTGAAGCTTTCGGAGCCACTACATGGTGCCACCATCTCTCTTTGTTTTCCCATTTGTGAGAATGGCATAGTTCATATAGGGGCTGCTCTCTCAGCCTGGGTCCTAGCTTAAGCAAGACCTGGAGCAGAGCCACAACCAAGATTCAACATGAGCAAGACAAACGTTTTGTTAGCCACTGTGGTGTTAGAGATGATTGTTACTGGAACATGAATGATAGATAGTCTATTATGAAGTGCTTTTAGAAAATGCCCACATAGTGCCCTAGAATAGGGTCCATTATGTTAATAGGCCTTCTCCTTAATAACTTTCAAAGCATTGATTATGGCTTTGTGTAGGTCTGCATGACTATTCATAAGGCTGCTATCATCAATGATTCCCAGTGCTACATTGTATATATTTTAAACAATCCGTCCATTTAGGAGCTGCATGATCTTAGTGTAGTTTTTGAACTGCTCTGTGGCTCAGTTTCTTCATCTGTAACACAGTAATAATACTATTGCTTACCTCAATGAATGGAACATGTAATACCCTCAAAGCAATATCTGACATGTAGTTGATTATTTTCATTAAGTTTATCTACAAATATTGAATGGGCACTTACCATGTTCCAGTTCCTGAGCAGTTCCTTATAAAGATGAACAAGAACATATGGGTTCAAGTGTTCTTGGGCCTCATAGATCTATGAAGAGAGATACGTTAAACAAATGATTAGTTATGAAGAAGTGTTGTGCCATGAGAGTGCCCATCAGGGGGCCTGGCCTAATTTGGAGGGTCAAGAGTGGATGGCTCTGAAGGAATGACATTTAAGAACTAAAAGATCAGTAGGTGTGGCCAAGATGAAGGTAAGGTTGGGAAAACAGTTACCCAGGTAAAGGAAGGGTGTATTCGAGGACCCTGAGGTGGAAAGGCACTCAGCACAGCAGAGTACTGAGAGATGGCCAGAGTGGCAAGGCAGAATGAAACCAGGAAGGGGCATTGGAGCCCTGTGGCAGAGGAGGAGCACACTGGGCTTTGAAGGGGCATATTTGGCTCAGGGCCATTGTTGTGTGGCAGTGAGTAAACACTTCTTCGGACCTCAGTTTCTTCATCTCTAAAACAAATGATTTTTTTTCAGTTGCAGAATTCCCATTCTAAGATTTTTCTTGCTTTTTCTTTTTCCTTGTTTCAAAGAGCCAGTGTGCTGTGCCAAAAGTTGTTTCTAATAAAATCTAATTGTTTAGAGAGAACTATGAGGAACAACAAAGAGGGAGAAAAACAGGCTTTTTTCAGGTCTGTTGGTTAACCTGACTTTTACACTGTAAAATACGGGGTCATGATGGCTGACCCTGGAACAGCTCTGGTCTAGGATGACATTTAATTTTGCTTGAGGATGGCATCATATTGAAACCTGTGAGAGGAAGGCTGGTGTTTAGGTTTATGGTTCCTGCCACTCCTTCCCTGCTCATAGGAGCGAGAGGGTTTTTTTATATTTTAATTTATTTTTTCTGTTGTTATGTTTATCTTCTCAGACTGCGTGGTGGGATAATCTGAGCATTTATAGAAAACGGAGCTCCCCACTGGGCCTATGCGTTAACCCCTCCTGAAGTGAATGGAGCATGCAGTCTCAGAGGAACTTAGATATTTTTTCCCTTTTTCTTTCTTTTTTATTTTTCATTAAAAAAAAAATTATTGGGCCAGGTGCGGTGGCTCATGCCTGTAATCCCAGCACTTTGGGAGGCCGAGGCAGGTGGATCGCCTGAAGTCAGGAGTTCGAGACCAGCCTGGCCAACATGGCAAAATCCCGTGTCTACTAAAAATGCAAAAACATTAGCCAGGCATAGTGGCATGCGCCTGTAGTCCCAGCTACTCGGGAGGCTGAGGCAGGAGAATTGCTTGAACCCAGGAGGCGGAGGTTGCAGTGAGCCGAGATCATGCCACTGCACTCCAGCCTGAGCGACAGAGCCAGACCCCGTCTCAAAAAAAACAAAAACAGTTATTCTTTTCCAGCATATTTGATCCTAGAGCAAACAGGAATTTTTTAATATCATCTAAAATTGGTAGATATTTCTGTATTTTATAACTCCACTGGCCCTAATTATGAATTTCTGAGTTAGGCCAAACAGCATTTTTGTGTGTCCCCTCTCATATACAGTGATTGCCGCAACACCAGCATCGGAATAGTTATTACTCTGTTGAGTAAATATGCCGTCTGTCACAGAGGCAAGTAATCATCCACACTTTATGCTGTGTTTCTCAATGGGATCTTTTTTAGAAAGGTGAGGCTTGTGAGAAATGGGTGAGTCCACATTGGAATAGGCTTGCTCTAAGAGAGACGCCCACCCTCATTCTCAGTTCCAGTCCATCTGCTCCTCCTACCACACTGCCCTTAGGTAAGTGCTGTGCTGGGCACCACCCTGTTCAGCCTTTGATCCTGTCTGGATTGCCTTGAGTGTGTTCTCTGGCCTTTGATTTTCTCCTCAGATAACTGCTACGGGGTTACCAGCAGATTCCTGAGATCATGGACTATGCATGCAGGATCATCTGGCCGGGGTCTTCCAGCTGATACATACACACACCCATGTACCCTTTATAAAGACAGTTACAAGGACAGTTCTTTTCTATATCCCAACTCTCAAACATACTTTTTTCTAAAGTTGATCTGCCTGAGAGCCAGCCTGCAGTCTGCAGGGTCTCCTGTCCCCTCTCCTTCACAGAGTGGGGCAGACAGTTGGTCTTTCTGCCATCTATCTGTGATCCTCCATGCGTCTCTGAGCTCACCGTTGTACTCTGCCCTGTGGTTGAAGACCTCTGGCATGCCAGATGCAAAATACTGGCTCTCATAAAGCTGGAAAAGGGAATGAATCAAGTAGGTGGACAACAAGACTTTTTATTGCAACTTACGTGGCTCTTTTTTTTTTTTTCACTTTTGACAGAATTAAAGGAGTACCCAAATGATGTCAGCTGATACACAGTGATGGGTTCTGACCAGCGTGCGTTTAGGCATATAACTCAGAAAGAGTTCGCATATAACTCAGAAAGAGACATTACTGCAACAAAACCCCTCAAATCCCATTTAGTTTTTAATATGAAGGCTTTTTTTTTTGAAAAAAGAAAAATATAATTAAAATGACACAGAAACATGCCTTAACTCCAGCAGTCTGTAACATACATTCATAAAATAATTTTTAAAGGCTTCATCTATCTGAGATACATTTCCAATAAAAATATACTTTTTTCTTTAATAATTACCAATGTTATAGTACATGTGTAGCTTTGATCAGTTATAAACTGAAAATAAGTATAATAGCCAAACTAGAGGTTTTTTAAAACTTAGAGTCTTGTCATAGGAAATTTTTTAAAAAAATTAAACTTCAATTAATATGCATATTTTTGTTAAAGAGGATTATGGTACAGTGATAACTAAAAGAGTTTCAGGCATAAAATTATCTTACATTCAGTTAAAATTCTGGAGGGAAAGTGGAATAGGAGTAATATAAATTTAAAGGGAATAAGGAATGCTACAAAACGTGAAAGAAGAGCCTGTTCTTTTATTTGTTAAATGGATGATGGAGTTATCAAATGACAATGGTATTTAGAGATACATGTTTTATTTCTAAATGTCAATATTTAATCCACAAGAAGTATAGCTTCTACAATTATTTAAACTTATGATGAGAAATTTTGTGTCCACTTAAAATTGTGTGAGAGGGCACGTAGTTTTTCAAAATTCTATCTACATCCAGTTTATGGAGAACGCCGATTTGTAATCTTACAGTGATTTTTAAATGTGGCTTTGCACTAGAATTGCTTTGAGGTACTACTTATCAAAAATACAGATTTCTGGGCTCCCACTTAGATCTATGAATCAGAACTTCTGGTGGCGGGGCAGAGATGGACAGTGTCTTTAGCAGGATTCTCTGATTCCTCGTGATTTTGGTGCAACCAATCCTGAGAGCAGTGTTTGGCTCCCCCGTATCCACTTGCTTCTTCCTCCAGGCCTGGAGGCCCTGCTTTGTCTGCCTCGGAAGGACCCTTAAAGTGGGCAGGAGCCATGGGGCCAAAAGTACTCGTTGATATGAACCCTGGAATGGGACCTAGGAGAAATGCTGTTTTGTTCATTCACATTTAAGGGAGCATCACATTCTCTCTTTAATCCAGCTCTTGTTGTCTTATCCTAAAATGTGGCATTTTTAAACTCTCCTTTAAGAAATTACAGTTCTTTATTACATTTTTCTATACTAGTATTGACCCACAATCTGCTTAGGATCACTCAAAAACATTGATTTCAAAACTATTTGACTTCTAAAATTTGAGTCTGTTAAAATTCAGAAGTAGTCCATGATTTGTAGCCAGCTTTCTGGATCTTTTAATGATAAAATATTCCTTCAACATATGAGGGGTGGCTATTATTAGATAATATGCAATCGTCTGAAAGGTTTGTCTTAATGGATTACATTTGCTACATATTACAGGAGGTGCATTGTCTTCCTGTATTCCGTATGTGAGAGATTTGTCGCCATTTCCTGTGTCTCAACAAGATAAATGAACTAATTTAAAATATTTTCCATGCCTCATCTGTCCACTCCACAAGCTGTCAATGGGCTTGGATTGGAAGCTTGCATGCCAGCAGTCCTGAGCCAGGAGTACTGTTATTTTGGAAAAAAAAGAAAAAGAAAAAAAAAAGCTGTTTCCATAGCAGCTTGGAACTCCTTTGCAAGTGTGCTTTCACATTTTTGTAGGATCTGGTAAGAAAGCCGATATTTTGTCCAGCTTTCTTAAAGCACATTTGCCTGACTTAAATGAAATCATTACTTTTTAAAAATTGAAGTGGTGGGGGAAAATTTTCAAGAATTGATGAGAAAAAAAATCGAGATGAGTTAAAAAACAAAACAGGAAGGAAAAAGAAAAATATTAGAGCTGCTAAAATTTGGAATTATAAAAATCAAAATTGGAAAGTGCCATTTTTTTCTAGGTAAATGTTTCTAATTTACCATGTTTTAATGTATTTTGTGGGTTGAATAACGTAAAAAAATCAAATTGTAGAATCCTCACAGGTGTATTTTATTTTATTTTTTTTGCAGTCACTTGAAGTCATCATATGTTCCTCCATAGCACATGTAAGGGAAAAATTATATACAGAGCACCATAGTGGCACACAACTTTGAGGCATTTTCATCTTTTGCAGCAGGATCGAGTTCTTCACAGTATTGACTCAGTGGTATTTGTAGGGAGGCAGAGCAAAGGAAATAATAAGTTGGAAAGCATTTTTACTGTTAGACGGGTTCCTTTTGGATTTTCTGAATTTTTCTACTTAATAATACATTTTAATGAGTCTTTGGGGGAAGTCATAACTTCACTTCACTGCTTATCGCTGCAGCCTGCTCACATGACACAATACTCTTGTGAGGTATAATATGAAAATCATCTCTGGTTAAAAGTGGATTTTGGCTTTTAGCCTAATACCGAGCAAATAACCTTTCCAGTCCAAGTTACATGTTCCCATAAACTCCTTAAAACCAAATTTTCCTTGCTTAAAAAAAGTCACTGCATGTAATTCCCAAAGGGTGGGGGTATGGAAGCACTTTAAATTAGACTTAAAAAAACCCAGAAAAACAAAACCTTGCCATATTTTGCTGGCTCGGCCTTTCCTTTGCTCAGATTTGGTGGGTGCTGCTTTGCTAGAGTCATGAGAGGTCAGAGTTCTCATGAGGGATTTTGAATGGCCGTCAGCTGGGTTCCATTCCTAAGCTTGAACTGTGGCTTAAAGCAGAATGCAGCTGCCTGCCTGCCCATGCCAGTGCATCTTCCCTGGGGAATCACTGCAGAATCCCCCAAGCCTCCTCTTTGTACTTGATTGTGACCTTGTTGCTGTCCAATGCTTGAAACCCCCAGCCCTTCCAGCTCCCTCATTACACAGAGCTAGGCTTTCTGTGGTTTCCCCAGTAGGTCAGCCTTAAGGTAGATGAAAATTTGATAGATGCACTTATAACCTCTTCAGAGCTTCCTGTTGGAACTTGACAAGCAGATTCTTTCTCCTAAATATTTTGACACACAGCCTTTAAAATGACATTTACCTCTTCTAGGACCATTTTTGACAGTAGCTTGTAGTAGATTTATTTTTATTTTATTTGAAAACATCATTTGGGGTTTTGTAGAAAAAAATAAAATATTTATCTCCACAGCTTGTTATCAGCAGGGAGGGTAGGCATTCTTGGAGGGATGGGAGGTTTATTGGTAGAAAGATTCAAGAAGCTATTTTGTGATAAAGGATTTCTTTGCACTTTTTCCTCTAGTCAAGTAAATTGCTTGTGGGTTCTTGCTAAAAAAAAATAATTCCTCTGGTGCTACTTTTAATTTGGTCAGGTTTAAAATGTTTTCAGAAGGGTTAAGCTTCCTTTGCATTAGTGCCTGGTGTGGTCAAATGAAGGAATGACTTTGGAATGGACTGCTTGTGTTTATAAATGACCTCCCCATAGAAGGTTCAGAACTGCAGAATAGTCAAAACCGTAACACTATTTCTACATGTCTGTTAGATGTGTGGTGTCTCCTCCTTCCCTCAGCAGGTATAGTTTTCTAGGCATGTTTATCTTTGACTCACGTTGTAAGAATATATGTTTCCTGTGATATGTCCAGTGTGTCCAGCTGTCACTTTCAAAAATAGGCACACACCAGAATATCAATCCATTGTTATGATTTCTCATATGTGACTACTGAGAACTGTACTTTTCTTGCAAGGGGAAGAATGAATTGTACATCCTATTCATGTCCATTATGTGTTTACAAGTGAAACTATTAATACTAGTGGAGCATGGATGCATTTTATGGGCAGGTGGGCCAGGTTGTGAAAACACCATTATAAAGCCTAAAATTTGAGGAAAACCCCCCCAAAACCTCCATTGCTTGGGGGCTCTATTTTTAATCTGATCTTCTGTTGAGTTCATGAATATTTCAAATGAACCTGACCAGGTGACTCTTTCTTTCGAGGCTCTCAGATGGTTTTCAATGGAAACTTTCTTTTGTCACTGTCATGAGATTGGCTTTAACCCAGTACAAGTCTAGAGTGGAGGTCTGAATTCACTTGGGAGAGAGGTAAAAACTGTGGAAGATTTTGGCAAACTGGATAAACATAGGCAATAAAAGAAAAAAAAAAAGATTTCGGCAAACTTCACACAAGTCTAGTAATAGAGTACAATACTTTTTCCACTCCACTACTATAGAATTTTTTTTCACTAAAACACTTTATACTTAAAATCATTTAAAGAAAGAGTTTTTCCCTCTAGGAAAAGGCAGAAATACACATCCCCTATACTTTAAGAAATATATTTGGGCACAGATGTCTAGTTTCTTATCTTTTGTTGAGAGTTAGACAGATGTGTGATTTTAGTGAATGTATTTATAAAAAAATAATTTACTAAACATGGCTACAAGAACAAAATACTTCAAAGTCCTGGCTGAAAACCCTGAATCTGACAAGGATTTTTTTTCTTTCCATAAAAATAAATCTGAGAAACATAGACTGAGAATATTGAGTTAAGCCTTGGCCATCACACTTGCCATGAAAATGGGAAGCAAGGGTTGAAGAACGAGCACATCAGCCTGCGACTGGGAAGACATGGGCAGGAAAAGTCACATGGTGCTGAGGCAGGCCTGACCAGGGAACCTGGTAGAGATTAGATTGAGAAGAAGGAAGAAGAGTTGGTGATGCTTGTCCTGACACAGGTCTCAGACCCTGGGCTCAGCACATGCTTCTCTGCGCTGTTTCCTGAAGTGTTATTTGTTTAACGTCCCTTACTTTTTGTCTCTTTTTCATATATACCCCTGATAACTGGGGTGATCTGATTTTTTTGTCCCATGTGGATCTTATACCCAAGCTCTTTGGCCTTTTGCATTGGCAAACTGAAAAGAACTGATGTATTATTACATTCTGCTGTTTCTTTTTTCTTCTTCTTCTTCATCCTTGAAAGAAAATAGTAGGAATGACCGTGTTTGTGATGCCTCTTTTTGTTTATAGAGCACTTCTGTATCCATTATTCCATTAATCACCACAGTAATCCTCTGAAGTACAGCTGTGGAACCTGAGGCTCAGAGGGACATGGTAACCTGCATCTTAGTGGGAGAGCTGGGACTCCTATGCACTCTCCTTTACTCTGCCAGGTGGGGGTAAGGGTATTGAGTTAGCCTGAAAATCTGCTTTGATGGCAGTATCATGAACCGCAAGTGTTACCTTTATTACAAAAAACTAGAGGCCTTGAACTCTTCTTTCTCTGTCCTCATTTTGCATTAATCTGACCAGGGCTGTTTGGATAGGATTCCAGAGAAATATGTTTCTCTTCATAATTTATCATTGAAAACTACCACTTTGGCCTCACAGTTGAAGCAGTAAAATATATATGTAGCTACACTTAGAGGCACTTTGTCTTTTACTGCCGTGAAGCTTGCTGGGCACTTCTTCTGTGGGCTTCTTATTGATACATAGGCACCCATAGAGAAATGGAGGTGCAGGAATTCCAGGATGGACTGGGTAATCTTCATCTTTCACAAAAGTCCTGGAGGTGATAGAAGACCACACTTTAGTTGTATGATTGCCAGTGAGCCAGAACATAAGCGGTACACGTCTTTTAGAGTATGAACGTGTTCTTGCACACATCTGCTTGGGTAACTGACTGTTCTGTTTGAAGAGATCTCACAGAAATGGAATTTTTAAATATTGAGAAGATTCCATTAAGAAATAGAGGGAGAATGGAAAGTGCATTATAAAAGCCATGCCAAGAATAGGTAAAGTGTGGCCTAGCATCCACAAAATATTTACTTTTAATTGAACTTTTAGAAGTTAACGTTCTCACTCTTTGGCTAAAGAGTTAATTGCTGGGCTTGTCCAATATCTGTTTGGAGTCAGTCATCCAATTTTTCATGACAGAAAAAGAACATTTTAGGTAATGTAGATGGGGTGGTGTTACTTCCATGAAGAAAATGTGCATGTTTGAATTTACCTTACTCCTCTGTTGTGGCCACCCCTCTTTTGAGGACCTGTTAATGGCTAACAGGAAACACAGGAAAATGAAGGGTGGAGCATGGTGTTGTTGATTCATTGTGAGAGTGAATCTGCCAGTTCTGAGTCTGAAACAATACGACGAATAAAATAGCTCTAAAGATAATCAGGGTTTATGCTCCATCTTTTTTCATTATTATTATAAAAATAATAAAATAACAACACGAAAAAAGAAAACGGAAAACTCAAGCCTCCCCTAATTACACCATGATGTTCTTCATTTTTGCTTATTCATTTTATCTCTGTTCACATGTGTGCGTGGTTATTGTTACTGTATTCATGTAACTTATAATCCAGGCTTCTCACTTGGCATTGGATGGTCCGCATTTTTCATTGTTCTTCATCTGGGTTTTTTTGTGTGTGTGTCCTGGACTCCTTTGGCAGTTTTTGGTAAAGCGTATGGACCTCTTGTCAGAAAAATACTTTTTAGTATTTAAAATATACAGGATTACAGAGGAGACAATTTTGTTAAAGTACAGTTATTAAAATACTATAAACATCAGTTTGTACTATAGCAATCTATTAATGCATTAAGTACTTAGTTGTATAATGTCTAAGTAATTATAAGCATAAATATTTTGAAACTGTCTCTGGATCTGAAGGTAGAGGGGAGGGAAGTTGAGGAATTTCATTCCCCGTGACTGGTATTATCTAGGTGAAGGAAGAGGCACGACTGTCTTTAGAATGTGAGGACTTTGGTTCTGGTTGAAGAGAGGTAATGTTTTAAAACAGATTTATTGAAGGATAAGGGTAGCATTATTTACCTTTTACTGTGTATCAGGTACTGTGCTAAACCTCTTACGTATGCTATCTTTTTAAGGGCAGCTTCATGAGGAATAGGTGCTGTTACCATCTTTACCTATCCAGTGAAGCAACTAAGCTTGGAGAAGTGACCCATTGTTCTAATCACAAATAGATCACTGCAGAAATATTGACCATTTACTTGTCCTCAAAGGAAGTCGGCCTGAATAATCCGGAAGCAGTATCCTGATGAGTAATACAGTGCAAAGCCACATGGTGGCAGGGTTAGGATTCAGGCTTTAACAGTGCCTGTTTTACTACCTTTTGTCCATTCCTTAAGTTGGGAAAGGTAAAAGGAATTTCTTTTTTTTTATTTTATTTTATTATTATTATACTTTAAGTTTTAGGGTACATGTGCACAACAATGAGAACACATGGACACAGGAAGGGTAAAAGGAATTTCTAAGTGACCTTAAGGGCCACTTGAGATTGGAAACCCCAAATTTATCTCATCTAGAAGACGAATCTACAAACTCACTGCTGCGTGATTTTTCTCTTGTAGCAACCATCTGAGATACTTACGTAGGGGAAGGTGGTGGTTGGGGGCTACAGGAGAAGGGATGGGCTCTGGACTGGACAGCCAGTGTCCATGCGGAGGAACCCTATACTGAGTTAACTCTTCTCACAGCTGCAGTTGTCTCCCCTGAAAAGGTGCTTCCTCTGAAAGGTCACCCGGGACATGTCTGCACTGCATTGACTTTATAGCTTTTCATCACTGTTTCCTCAGTTTTATTTGGAGACACAGTGTGTGGGTATTTCAACTCAATCATAAATTTCCTCAATGTGGGCTGCTGCTAGCATAATTGAAAGACAAGAGGCAAAGAGGTTGTGGCAGGTCACAGACAGAACAATTCATGGGTGACAGTTTCTAATAAGGGTCAGATGCACTCAGGGGCCTTGGGATAGCTTCTGGTGTTCAGAAAAGGAAGACTACCCCAGCGTAGCAGCTTGTGTAGTTATCAAAGGAAAATGATGAGATCTTTTTATTGTTCCGTTTCCCAACCACTCTAACCAAGGTAAGTATATATAGCAGGAATATCTACAAAGGTTCATCTAAACTGTTAAAAAATGCCTGGGGGAAGTTGGACAGGATAGAGGTGCTTGAAACTCACTTGTGGGACACAATTTCTTCATTGCACATCCGTGAATCAGAGATACCTTTACTGTTCCACCCCGGTCCTCATAAATGCATGTGTTTCAGTAAACATACATGAAACAGAGATTTGAGGAACTATACACTACTCTCTGAAAAAACGTCAGCAAACCACAGCTGCAACCTTTCATGCTGTTGGATATTTGTACTGCCCAAGAACAAATCTTGCTAAGGATAATTAGTTCTTATTTTTGATTTATCCTGTTGTTTTTTTTCTCAGATACCTTTAGGCCTTCAGGCCCAAGGCCAAAAATGAATAGAAAATGTGTACTAGTCCTTGCTTCCATAATGCCAATAGCAAATCATACCTGATATTCATAATAAACAAAGATCTTTTTTTTTTTTTGCTTGTTCTTGGAGCAATAGAGAGCTTGTAAGCCAGCCTTCCTAAATTGTGCCATATGGGAAAATTATGTGTCCTTTAATTTAACTAATGTGAATTC
This sequence comes from Homo sapiens, assembly GCF_000001405.40. Classification (NCBI taxonomy): domain Eukaryota; kingdom Metazoa; phylum Chordata; class Mammalia; order Primates; family Hominidae; genus Homo; species Homo sapiens. The sequence goes on from NC_000009.12 coordinate 7,095,628, forward strand.
AATCATTAAAATATTATAGTTTCCAACATTAATTCAGAGAGATCTAAAACTGGGTAAGTTGAATAGAGTTAAGGAGTTCTTCTAAGTAATAAGTAATTAAACGAATCTGGGTAGATTTTTATAGGGTGGAGAGCATACACATCAGTGACTCTAGCAGGGTACAGTTGTATCAGAAGGGACGGTGACTTTTGTTAACCAAATAATTCAGTAATTCTGAGTTCAACTAATAAATGCTTTATCCAATGAGAGTAAGGATTTGTGTAAACAGTAATTTCAAATAATGGAATTTCCTTTAGGAAATAGGTGCTCTTTAATACGAACATAAAAAGAAATAAAAATGCAAATACAGAAGTACTTAGAAAACACCTATTTTGTGGTTTAGGAGGCTTTCTTTCCCCACCCATCAGCTGAAAGATGTTTGGTGGCACTTAATAAGTATTCAGAATAAAGCTCTCTGTATGTTATAATTGTGTGCCCCTTTTGCCCTTTAAATTTGAAATAAAGGATGGAACCCAAACAGGCTATGAGAGAAATAAAAATGGTAAGTGATTGATTTTTTTTCAACATACATAACAATTGCTTATTTTGTGATTCATCAGCAAATGCTGCTGTGTGCTATCAGCGAAGTGCTTCTTTCAACATGAGATTGTAATGTTGCCTTTAATATTTAATTTCTTTGTAAATGCTGCTTTTATGTGTGCGTTTTCTGCACAGCACAGGTAGTTAAGTGCAGAGGGGAAGCACTATTTTCTGCTAAGAGGGGTCTAGGAAAAAAGGGCAGGAAGCATCCAGAGGCTGGCTTGTTTCACCCACAGCCTTCTCACCCGTTCACTTCTATCTGTTTGGGCCATGTTAGTTTTGCAGTTTCAGTGACTTGCCCTTATTCCTGTGCCAAGCTAGAATTCCCAACCAGGTCAGACTGTGAAGTCAGACAGACAACTATGAAATACTACATATTCCCTACCTGGGAGACTAGAGGAGTATGGCAGTTGGTCAAGGTACTCCCCAGACACTTAGCTCGTATACTGTGACAGGTGCCTTTAATAAAAAGGCAGCTTAGAATTCGTCCAACTGTAAAGGAGCAAAAGATGGACAAAGAGATGTGCCTGACCAACAGGCATTTCCACTAAAGATCATGCTGATTTTCTGGGTGGTCTGGTCTGTAGAATTGCTTGATTGCCTGAGGTTTAACCCAGAGCCCCTCAGAGAATTGTAATAAAATGGTAGTCCTAATTTCCACCTAAAAATTAGCTGCTACTACTAAGCGATCGTGAGTCTCTCACCTGGGCAAGTGAAGTTTGTGCCAGAGTACAGTCCAAGGCCTTTCAGGATCCCACCTTTTCAGCCTGCCATCCCTTGGCTGTGCTCCTACTTCCTGACTCCATTTTGCTCATGTTTTTTCACCTCTGAGCTTTATTACTTCCATCTAGAATGTTTTTCCTCCTTCTTCATCCCACTCCCACATGCAGTGGCTGAAGCCTGCTAGTCCTTCAGGGTAAGCTCACAGTCTACTTCTTCTTAGTGGCTTTCTTATTCCTTTAAAACCCTGCTGGGTAGCTTCTCTGAGCCATGAGGCAGGCCCTGGGTCCCTGTGGCTGCAGGCTCAGCCAGCGTGCAGCATGTCTGCCAATAAGCCTCCAGTGCAGAGTCTGATCTGGTGCTGACGCACTGCACATAGCATCTAAACTCCGAGAAATTAATTACAGAAAACTTTGAGAGAAACCCTGTTTTTGCTTTATTGTGCATTCTTGGGAGCCATCAGGTTGGAACTCATCCAGCTGTGTCTGGTCTCGGTAACTCTTGGCCTTCAGTTCAGAGTGGTGCAGAGGTGAGCTGCCTACACTCTCCTGCCACATCATGGGCTCCTCCATGACCTGAGTCATCAAAGTAGAGTCATACCTGCTTCCTTGTCCTGTATTTGGTGCCCCGCAGGTAGCTGTCATGAAGTTCATCCTCTCCTGCCCCTCTTCTAGATCTGCTCAGTAGAATGGTTTGAGGGCTGGGTGGAGGTAGGTAACCAGGTCAGGCTCACATGCTGCCTCGCCTTGCCCTGCCAGTCCAATCGTCTCTTAAATCTAGTAGTGCTTTATCTTTCCTATTGTGATTATGGCTGTAAAGCTTTTGTTATAGCTGTTTTTTATACCAAATTAAGTTCCTTAAATACAAGGATTGTATATCTTTTTCATTTTTTCATCTGCCTTTGCATTTTGCAAAATGATCTTACATAGAAGATATTTAGTAAGTATTGAAATGGGTGAAAGAATGAATTAATACATTATACGCATTAAGGGAACATTCATATGGTTAATGGCTGTTTATGTGTTCAGTCAGTGTTCTGCTACTTGGCTTAAAAGGTGCTTCCGCAAGGATTCTTACTTGATCTTCCTTGTAATGTATCTGTTGATCCAAAATAAAACAAAGTATGACTGTGCTGTTGGTGTAGTACTTTTCACAAATCATTTGTTAATTTGTCTGTTTGTGTCTGAAATGCCTTGGCCTTTCCAGTTCTAGAATTCTTTTGTGATTTTTATTTAACATTTTATCAGTGCCAACAGTGACTCATTAGCCTTATTTTGAATACATGTAACCTTATATCTGATCCCTGGCCACCTCTGTCCATTTTTTTTAGCTCTGTCTCTTGACCTAGCTGAGCTCATCCCACTGGCCTTTCCCTGCTACTTGACTTTTCTTAGCTTTCTCACCTTTTGCAGGGTGAATCTCACCAAACAAAAAGCCATGAGATAAATGGCTTCTGATACCTTATTTATGATAAGGATTTAATTCAACACACTTGGCATTATGAGCCATTTATTTTAATGCTCTGAACTTGGAGTGCATAAGAAATAACTTTTGGGGAAGAGAGACAGAGGACTTATCATGTTATGACCAGTTGCCCAAGTAAACAGGATTTGTTTTATCGTATCACTCATATGTGGGTGAGGCTGCATATTAATTGCTGCCTCTCACAAAACAGCCCAAACCCTGTGGTGTCAGTGCACTGGGGACTTTGCTTTTCAGTGTCCTCCATTTCCTTCCCTCCCCAGCCACTCTTTAGCTGACTAGATAAATTGATTTCTCTTTATTAATCTACTCTCTCTTCTCCTTCTGAATCTCACTCTCAAATGGCAGTTGTTCCATTCTGCATTTTATTGTGGCTAGACTATCCTCTTTACTGTAGAACTCAGACTTCCCCCAGTGCTAGCCAGTATTGACACATGAGTGATTGACTTAATGAATAATAATGAGCAGAACATAAATCTTACAGGTAGGGTTAAAAATCAAAGGATTCTATTACGAACCCTGTATTTAAGGACTTGGAGCAAACTGAAGGTTTTAGCCTCGATCCTCTGACTTGCCTGCAGCAATAGTGATGTCCGTTGAGCCAAACATTGTTCCCTGTTTGAGCTGGGAGTGTTAACTTGCTGTGTGGTGCTTAGAAAAAGTGTCCTTAGGGGGCAAAAGGAGAAAGAAATTAGCTAATGTATCATTATCATTAGCCTGTGACTTAATCAGGAAACAACAATTAAAAAGCATTCACACCTATTTTGGAATACCTGCCTGTTTGTGGAAGAAAAAAACATCATAAAACTAGCAAAACAAAACAATAAAAAATCAGAAATCATATTAACAGGAAAAAGGGGGAAGGAGATGTGCTTTGAACCTCCAGCTCCTTCACAGTTCATCATTTCTTGATGCCCTTTGCCAGGCTGGATGCTCAAGGAAATCTAATGATATACAAAGCCTCATTGCCAGATACTTCATTACTTCCTCAATCCATTAGTAGCCTTAATGGCCTATGCCACTGGAATAAGTATGGAAATCCAGTCCCCCAAGAAAGTACAGTGCTCTATAAATCACACCTGCCTGAGGATTCTCTCAGCCCTTGACACTGAAGAATAGGTGAAAAAAAATCATTGCACTTCCTTAACTCCCTTGTACTAGAAGCTGTCGGCATGAGTGACACCTTTTCACTTTTTAACCCTGTAGCCTCTTGGTTCTCAAAGTGTGAGCTGTGGATCAACAGTATCAGTATCACTGGGAACTTGTTAGAAATGCAAATTCAGTGGCCCCGCCAAGATGTGCTGGAATCCTGGGGCGGAAGAGAGCCACTTCTGTTCTTGTCATCAGCCTTGCCAGAACTGTCCTGTCAGAGATACCCACTAACAGCTTTTGGCTGGGTGATCAGCTCCCTGGAGTCCAGTGCTCTCTAACCTTCTTTCATTCCCCTCCCTGCAGAACATACACTTTTCAATTTTCAATTTTTTCAATTTTATTTTTTAATTTAATTTAATTTTTTATTTTTTAATATATATTTTTATACAGAAACTCCATTTATCTTGAGGAGTTTGGGGGTTGATTCAAGGTTTTTTCTACTTCCCTCTCTAGCCTTGACTCTCAGATGAGACAGGAGCTCTGCCCTGGCATATTATTTACTTTAATTTTCTAGTAATTCTCATGGCTTTATTCTGAAGGCAAAATCAAGGCCGGTTGTGGCGTGATGGCTCATGCCTGTAATCCCAACACTTTGGAAGGCCAAAGCAGGCAAATTGCTTGAGCTCAGGATTTTGAGCCTAGGCAGCATGGCAAAACCCTGTCTCTAATATAAAATTTACAAAGAATTGTCAGTGTCTCAGTAGGTTAGGGATACAGAAAACATTAACTAGCCTACCTAACCTACAGTAGTGTTTATCAAATCTCAGTATGCATAAAGATTTTTTTTTCCTTTTTTTGAGACAGAGTCTCACTCTGTTACCCAGGCTGGAGTGCAATGCCGTGATTTTGGCTTACTGCAACCTCTGCCTCCTGGGTTCAAGCGACTCTCCTGCCTCAGCCGCCCGAGTAGCTGGGATTACAGGTGCTCACCACAACTCCTGGCTAATTTTTGTATTTTTAGTAGAGATGGGGTTTTGCCGTGTTGGCCAGGCTGGTCTTGAACTCCTGACCTCAGGTGATCCACCTGCCTCAGCCTCCCAAAGTACTGGGATTATAGGCATGAGCCACCACTCTCAGCCTAAAGATCTTTAGAAACATCATGTTAAAAACATTCTGAGTGGCACTGTTTTTAAAATAATTACCTCATGTTGACCCAGGGTTTCTGCTGCTTTTAATTATGGATTCTTCCTTTTTTTCTTTCTTTTTTCTTTTCTTTTCTTTTCTTTTTTTTATTGTGGATACTTGGTTTGGGGTGGCTCTGAGGCTTTGGGGCTGAGAATTATTCTTACTCCTTTGGTATCCTTTGCCTAAAGGATATTCTTTGCCAAACACTTATTTTGCATTAGTTCTTATCTACTTTGGTTTCTCTGTTCGTTTAGTTCCACCTGTTTCCCATGGTCTAGGAATTCCATACATGTTCTGGTCCTCTGATGGCACTGTCTCTTGTTTGTCATTGCTGTTTTGGCTTCATCCTTTTTCCTATATAGTTACGTAGGGGTTGGGCCTGGATAGATGGTAGCAGGGATTGATCTTGATCCAGTTCGTCTTTGCTTTTCTTAAAGCTTTCTTCCCTCTGTTGTCCCCAGGCATGATTCATTAATTGTAGCATGCCTATTCATGTTATTCTAGTGCCAGGTAGCATTTCGTTCACTTCTTTCATAGCATGTATTTCGTTGTAACATTCTTAAGTGCACATAGATGTCTTTAACCTACTAGATTCCATTCTGTAGCCCAGGTATCTTTAGGCATCAAATTCCAGAGATTTTTCTGCCAGGGAGGAAAAAAAACCATTTTAGCAACAAACAAATGAAAATGGGGGTCTGAAATACTGCGTTAACTGTCTTACAGGATGCATTCGCAATGGCTCCCCTCATAGGTTTTATGGGGTTCTCTGTCTCTGCAAGAACCTGTGTGATGTTTAAGTGTTCTCAACTCTGAATAAACATCTTGCAAAGCATTGAGTTATAATAGTTTACTGTTAGGTTTACTTCCTAAGGAAACTGTGATTCTGTCCTTAGAAGTCCCCACTTCTGGTCCTCCTGGAATAGGGCAAGTCCCTCCTTAGGTTCCAAAGATTGAATCCTCTCTGGGCTTGAGTGTATTCTGTCTTCTTACGCCTTTTTAGTGAGTCTCAGTTTAATGAAGTTAATGGTGATGGAGGTTGGGAGATACCAATGCTTTAATTAGCTAAGTCACAACACTGTCCTACTCTTAAAAGATCTTAAGAAAATAAGACATAATTTCACCTTTCATATACCTGTCAATATCTTAACTTATTCAAACACTGACCTCTATGTTGTATAATTAGATTCTTGAAAGATTGAAAATGCCCGGGGCTCCTGATAGGAGTTTTTGCTTTTGTATCTGCCATCACATTTCAAATAATTGGAACTGACAAAAAGATACCAAAATACTAAAAATTACAAAAAATGTAATGAAACTGATAGCATGGATTGTCAAAGAGATACCAAGACAGAATATTAAATAATGCTCTTAGGCAGATTATGATGTCTTTTTAGTTTTATGGTTCTGTGTATTTGTGTGTGTATATATGTGTGTGATTTTTTAATCAGTTAAGCCACATCCTCAACCTCCACTTAAAAATGCTTAATTGTACATTGAATCTAGATGTATAAGGAAATCACATAAGTACCTAATGTATAGGGTCCTTATGGGGACTAGTGAGAAGTAACACTTAGACCATGAAGGGCCTTTTACAAACTTGGCTCTTGCACCTCATGGTTTTCCCTTTTTTTTTTTTTTTTTTTTTTTTGGAGTGACTTGGAGATAAAGAGAAACCTTTAATTATATGAAGGATATTAAGTACGATGGTGGTGACATGAGATTCGTGTTGTAAAGAATCACTCGGGCAGCTTTGGGGAAGACAAATGGAGATAGAATGAAATAAAGGATGGAGATACACATTGGGAATCCATTATGATGCTGGGCAAGACACCGTGGGCGGAGGCAGTGGCAGTTGGTATAGATGGTAGGCAGAGATCAGAGTAAGACTGAGGGACAGAATCTAAAAGATTAAGTCACCGATCAGATGTGAGGACACGAAGAGTTAGAAGTTAAATGCACATTGATTCTTGCACGTCTCTGATAAAATATTAGTCTTCAAAAGGGCTTGAGTTTAAGTACCTTTATTGTCCCAGAAAAGAAAATCTACCTATAAAAGAAGAGCACCAACATTTGATCAGATTTCAGATCCTTTTTACTCTTCAGAATGAAAATTTGAGCTTTTGATCATTGTTTCTTCTGCTTTCCAGACCTAACCCTATGTTTTTCCACAACCATTTTTTCCTAACCCTCAAGTATTAGTTCACAACTTACATTTAGTGAAGTTGTTTTTCTCTATCTCTCATAACAAATGTACTGATAATGTTTAGGGCTAATTGTATGCAATTTACTTTTCGAATTGTGGTAATCATTATTGCTGTTTTTATTTTCATCTTCTCTTCCCCAGGCATCATCAGCTATAGATATTCAACCAAATTATGCCCTTTGGGGTGATTTTCAATTTTCTCACTTTGGGAGGCATATTTTTTTTGTCAGTCATGAAGGGTTCAGATTTGGATTATTAAACGCTAGTTTCCACATTGGACCATTTAACACTTTACATTTCCTTGTCTTTGGAAAACTTAACTTGCCCCTATGCTGTTTGGGTGTTTTTGAAGACCACATCTAATTTAGGAAAGAATGACCTGTCCTCCAAACCCATATTCTACTTCTTGATGCACAGAAAGACCTGTCATGCAGGAGGGCAAAACAGAAGTAGCTTCAACATTCATGGATTATTTATAGGAGCACCTCTGGGGTCTTTTCCCGAGCTCTGTGCCTGCAGGAGTATGTGCGAAAGTGTTTGGCTTTCCTTGCTACAAGAAATAGTTAAACATATGTCTGGCAGTCTGTGACCGTAGCAGTGTGTTTCCTTTAAAGAAAGTAGATTACATTGCCACAGATGCTGTCACCACTAGGGCCCCTGGAGGGGTCAGGACTTGTTGATGTAATCAGTTGTTTTTTTTTTTTTTTCTTCTCTAGTAGCTATTGTTCTGTAAATTGTGGGAACTGACTGGGTTACAGAATGTGAATTGATGTTCTTCTCTGTTTTAACCTTCCAGAAATGCATCTTCTGCAGACACCGGGTTAAGAGGGTCTCTGGAGCCTGCATCCAGTGTTCCTACGGTCGCTGCCCGGCCTCCTTCCATGTCACTTGTGCCCATGCTGCTGGGGTACTGATGGAGCCTGATGACTGGCCTTATGTGGTGAACATTACATGCTTTCGACATAAGGTCAACCCCAACGTGGTAAGATGTGCCCTCCCTTCCTCAGTGCTAAGACCGTGTCTGGATTTTCTCCTGTTTTAGACTACCTCCCAGACATAATGTGCTTTATTCTGTAATATGACTCATTGTTGACATGTCTAGACCGTGAGTTCCTTGAGGGCAGGGATTGCGCACTGTTATTTCCTGGTATTTGCCTAGGACCTGTCAAGTGCCTGGTGCACGCTAGGCACAATAAATCTGTCTGAGTTGAATGAGTGAATGAACAGATGCATGCAGAAAACTCTCCATGCCTGTTCTGGTGTTGGATCTGTACACAGGGCTGCTGAGCTTGGTTGTACACATTGTGCACTGCACATATCCAGGATGAGAGTGAGACCATTTCTGCGAGGGGATCACCACCTGAGATTATGTAGTGAACAGTCTATGAAACTGTACACTGTGGTCTTGGGCTGTTATTTTATCTCCTTTAGAAGAAACAAAGAGCAGCAGCACAGTAAAGGAAGAGGTAGGATGGCCAGGAGCTTTTGGGACTTTGCTGCCTAAAATGGCATATGTGAGGGACAGCCTGGGGCCCTGGAAGGAGTGAGGATAATCTCATAGAAAAAAATAGAAAAGTAGAGGAGAAATATAGAGAACAATTTTTTTGAGCTTATTTCTGGGAAAAGTGTTTGCAACCAAATAATATGAATTTAGCCATATTTCTGTTGACCTGTCCTTGTCAAATGAAATCTTTCCTGTGTTTTAAATGCTTAGAAATATTATGACAGCGTAGAGATAGTTGATATGTCTTTGTTAGCTTTCCAGTTCACCATGATTGTTTCTGGCTACCAAATAGGAGGCTAAAGCATTGTCTAGATGCTCAGCTCTGCTAACTTGCCGCACTTTGTTTTCCCTGAGAGACTTGGCCACAGGCTATTAGCAGCCTAACATGCTTCTCCTATGTCCCTAATAACCTCTTGTGAGCAGCCTGCCAAGTCGTCAGCATTGGCTTGTGGAGTCACACACAGCAAATCTCCCAGCTCTTTGTAATGCTTTCAGCAATTTCCATTGACATCTTGAGAGATATTTGATGTTTGTGGGCTGGGGATCTGGGCAGATGTGAGTGAATGCTTAAATGTACAAAATGATGTCACCAACTGTCACATCTATTTTATTTGTCTTATTTTTTCATTGTTTCAGGTTCCAAGTTGCATATTCATTCATGCCTTTTCCATAGTTTCTTGAGTTGATGTCCTTTTGCTAAGAATAGTATTATGTATCCAGTAGAAAATACATTTTAGCAACTTTTAAAAATACCTAGTAATAACACCTTACATGACTGTGGTGCCTTGCCCTTAACAGTGTGCAGTCAATAGGATTACCTCATTAGAGGATGTATATGAATGCGTTTTGAGATGTGAACAAGGTCGTGACCTCTGAAGTCAGAGTAGTTGGTGTTCACACTTAGATTCTGCCAGTAACAGATTGTGCAACCCTGTGCAAGTTCTTATTTCTGAGCCTCAGCTTCCTCATCTATAAAACATGGTATCCCACCTCACCATGTTGTTTTCAGTTCACAGCACAGAGTAAGCACTCAAAAAATGAAAGTTGTATTGCTACTACTACTTCTGCTGCTGCTGCTGGTGCTACAATCTTATGTGAACTGGGCCACGTGAGTAGTGTTTTTCCTGTTTCGAGGATAAGAAACCTAAGTTCAGAGAGGTTTAATTCCTTGCCCAAATAGATGCAGATAATGAGTGGCAGGTGCTGGAATGTAAATGCCTTTTTAGCTCATACTCTATTATTTGGTGAATTCCAAACCCCAAACCTCAAATGGTGCTAGAGGTGTTCATCTGAAGCTTTGCTTGGGATCATACATTACCGTTTTAATATTCCAAAGCCCTGTGGTTACTGATGACTATATTGAAGTTGCTATTAAAGAGATCCAGGTGTTTAATCAGGACCTCATTCCTCTTAACTCTCATGTGTGGTTCAGTCAAGTTTAGGTTACTAATGTGTTTCCTAAATGATGATGAAAAAGAAAATAGATGAGTTTGAGGTGATTTAGAAACTACTGTCTCCTACAGATCCACTTTCAGCTTGGTATACTTTGTAAAGACTGGGGAAAAGATCATATAATTTACAACATCACGTGAGGCAGCTTTTCCTGATGAGGGAACAATTTTAGTGTTCTTAAATTGCCTTTGCTACATTTTCTAGGTGGAAGCACTGTTAGCACTGTATTTCCCAAGTATATTTCTAGTAGCTGTTACTTATCCATTCTTCTTCCATTCGACTCCAAGTACGGATTCCTCCCCAAAGTGTTTGGGAACTAACCAGTAGGAATTTATAGAATCTGGCAACTTTGGTTAAGAACATTGTGATTTGCCCCTATTGCTTTAAATGTTCTTTCCTTATCAAGCATAGAAAAGTTCAGATTCAATCAAATATTTCTCTTTGTGTAAACTATCAATGCTAAGAGGTATGCTTCTTAGAGCAGAAACTGTAGTTTGTCTGTGTTCTCAACCATGCATTGATTATTTGAAAGTAATAGGCAATTGCCGAATCATAGCAGTGAAAACTGTAAAATAAAGTTCAGGCTAACTTGGCAGCCTGGCCCAGTTGTTTTACAGAATAATGGAGGATGCCTGTATGATTTAGGTGAAATGAAGTATAAACCTACTGTTGCTTCAATAGAGTCTCCATTTTTACTCACTTTAGGGTTTTTGATTCCCTTATTTTTTTATTTCTCCCAATTATTTGCTATAAAGCATCCAAAAGGACCATTTTAAGGAAAATTCAACTATTCCATTAGTGTCATAAATTATTATTTTGTAATTAATATATTTTTAAAATAGTTCTCATTATGTTGTACAGGCTGGTCTCAAACTCTTGAGCTCAAGAGATCCTTTAGCCTCAGCCTCCCAAAGTGCCGGAGTTGTAGGTGTGATCCACCGTGCCCAGCTAATTATTTTAAATATATGAGCTTATTCATTGTTTGTTGAGCTTTGGATGTAAAATTATTTTGAATAATTGTATAAAATTCATCTGATTTGTTAATACATTATTCCATCAAGCAGTAAGCAGAGTTTATAATTAGAATAGGCAGTGCTTGAAAAAAATAGGGTAAAACTTCCTAAAGATGGAAAAAAGTGTGTCACAGGAAGTACACAGCTGATCCCTGTTATTTCAACCTAAATTTTTAGCATGTGTTTGCCAGCGTTTTTGTTGAACACCTTTGTTGAATGTCACTGCTGTGTTTCAGATGTAAGGTCTCCTTCATGTGTGCACATGAGTGTGTGCTCATCTGTCGGTGTGTGTAGTCATGCTGTCCGCTTCACCACCCTGTGCCATGATTCATTATAACCTAGTTTCTGGCTGTATTTCCAAAGGTTCCACTTGGATATATTCCTAACCCAGTTATCTGAATGTTGCACAGATGTTTGTAAGGAAAAGACAACACAATAAATAGTAGTTATGAAACTGGAAGTCTTGGAAATGTATTTTTTCTTCAAACAAATAGTCAGCTACCTATACACTATATACTTCTGCAAAATATAGCACCACAGGGCCATCTCACACTTGAGTAAACTAGACAGATGCCCTGTGGAAGGGATGCCTGAATAACAGAGGTGAGAAAATGGCATGCAATGTTTTTTCCTGGCAAGTTACTTAGTAAACTTTCATATTAGGTTAGAATAATCTGCATATTTAGTGTAGCAGCACCAGAATCACTTGCACTTTGTTAATTCACTGCAATGAACATGGCCTCTTTATACATCTTATATGAGGTACATAGTGTTTTTTCTTAATATTCTTTCCTCTAGAAAAGTGTGACATTTAAGTTGTATTCATAGCTTTAGAAACCTTAGAAGTCGTGGCTGTTAACATGGAGACAGATACCTATTTAAAAGAGAGGAAGAACTTTTATAGAGAAAACGCTGTATTGGTTAATTTATGTGATTTTGTGTATTTTTCCTTTAGTATTATTGTAGCTAGGTCATAAGGACAGAAAGTATTTGTTGTTGTTGTTGTTGTTGTTGTCTTTTTATTTCTATCAACTAGCACTTGGCTATCCATAGGAGCAGCTTGGTATAAATTTGTTAAAATAATTATCCGATGCTAGGGAGTGGGATTAGTGGAGAAGAACGAGAACTTGTATTTATTGAGCATCTTTTATGTCAAGTGTGTGTTAGGTATTTCACATATGCACCTTATTCAGAGCAGTGTTTTTTGTGTGCATAATGGAAAGCAGGGTGGGTAGGGTGGCTTCTGTTTTGGCAGCTCCCGTTCTAGAAACTTGTCTAGGATCTTGTTATTCCACCATCTGGCCCTCTTCCATGTGTCTTCTAACTCTCATCTCAGTAATACAACTGAGTCCTTGCTCAGCACTTACTGAATGCTTTTTTGTTTTTTATTTTTTTTTGGGACAGGGTCTTACTCTGTTACCCAGGCTGGAGCGCAGTGGCATGATCTCGACTCACTGCAACCTCTGCTTCCTGGGCTCAAGTGATCCTCCCACCTTTGCCTCCCAAGTAGCTGGGACTACAGGTGTGCGCCCCCATGTCCTGCTAATTTTTGTATTATTTATAGAGACTGGGTTGTACCATGTTGCCCAGGCTGGTCTTGAACTTTTGGACTCGAGCGATCCAACTGCCTTGGCCTCCCAAAGTGCTGGGATTACAGGCATGAGCCACTGCGCCCAGCCTGAATGCTTTTTCCAGCCTCTGGGTCTTTAGGCCAGCTCCCAGGCCAGTTTTATTGCAACTCCTTCCTGTCCTCATGAGGCATGGGCTTAGGACAGGAGAGGACACCACAATACACAGAATCTGGTGAAGGGCTCAAAGCAAGGGCTCTGTGGGTTAACCTATGACTATATAACTAATCTTGGGGTGATGATGGAATGGGCTACCTCTCATTGCTAACAACAGTGAAACATTCTAGGCCTCAACAATGTGGAAAGATGGATGTTTGAGGCTCCCAAATTCTATACCCTAGAATAGTAGTTCTTATCCTGTATTGTATTGTATAGCATATTATTCTTTTAGTGTCTGTTATTGAGAAAATACTTAATGAAAAAAATAAGAATCAGTACACTTTTATGTGAATTTATTAATTGTAAAAGGGCAGGCAGTATTTCAGGTTGATTATGGATTGACAGGGAGAGACTCCAAAACATTCACTCCCACTGTAACATTCTCTTTTAATTAGCCAAGGATGCAGAATTGTAGTAGAAGTGGATTTGGTAAATAGGGTAGAAGTGAATGCAGCCTATCATAACAAAACTTCCCCCTGGGTCCTGTTTCCCTAATGGGCATATGCAGTGGTATGTGTGTAGGCTGTTGCCAGATCTGAAACTAAAGATATATTTTTGCTGTACCACAGGATTTTATACTTGGGTCTCATTCAGGAAAACTGATTATCCATGCTTCTCATTTTAATAAAATTTTTATAAACATGAAGATGCCCTAGTTCTTAAACCAAAATCAAGGTCAACAGTACTATATAATCAACTAGGGGAAAAAAGTAGTTCTGTTCCCAGATGGGGACCTGAACAATATCTCTCTCCAACTTTCTAGAATTTTTAGAAAGCCTGTTTCCTCCAGAGCCTACCCCTGATTCTGGTTTATACATTTCAATCCAATTCGTTCCAACAGGATTTTTATTTGGAAGGCCAGAATTACATTTCAGCATATACGCATTTCACTATATTGTTGTGCCCCTTGGATGTAAGACGGGTGGTCAGATGATTGTGTTTTTGTAATTAAGCAGCATTCAGCTAATTTATATCAGTGGGTAGGACTTCGCTTAGCTTACTTTATGTTACTTGACTCTTTTAAACATCATCATGGTTTGTAGCTTTTTATGAGCCCATTGCGTACCAGTTGACCAAAATTTTCTTCTTGATGTTCTTGCTCCCCTTGGACCTTTTGGAGCCTCTTCTAGGTGACTGCTTTATTTCTAATTTTAAACCACTTTTAAATGGTTTGGCTGTGTCCCCACCCAAAATCTCATCTTGAATTATAACCCCCATGTGTCAAGGGCAGTCCAGGTAGAGGTAATTGGATCATGGTGGCAGTTTGTCTCACAAGATCTGATGGCTTTATAAAGGGCTTTCCCCTTCACTCAGCACTCATTCTCTCTCCTGCTGTCCTGTGAGGAGGTGCCTTCTGCCTGAGGCCTCCCCAGCCATGTGGAACTATGAGGCAATTAAACCTCTTTCCTTTGTAAATTACCTAGTCTCAGGCGGTTCTTTATAGCAGCATGAGAATGGACTAATCCACACTTCTAGACATCTTTGAAACTATCTTTGTTTTTTTCGCAGTGGGAAATGCCAAAGTTATCTTGGTTTCTATTGTACCAAACTGGGAATCAGTGATTCATCAAAGAGCCCTGGTTCTTTTTTATGGGAGCTCTACTAGAGACCAAATTTGCCATGAAAGGTGCACATTACCATGTTTTGTTTCATTTGAGTGCTGGCTAATTTAGGACTAGAGCCACTTTAGTGACAGAGCAGATAAATAGCATTTTTTTTCAAATGGTTCAGGGTTCATGTTGATATATCCAATTCTCCTGGCTTTAATAAATTTATTTTTATATTGTTCTAACTTGAGGGCTTATTAATGCAATTTCTCCTTTCCTAAGTGATGCCTAAAGATTTGGACCTGTTTTTCTAAAATTCTCTTAACTCTTCCTAGGTTTGTATGGTTTAGTGGGTGGGAATGAGGTATGGGTTGGGCCTACCACCTCCTCATCCTCTACGCGCTTGGATCCACAGCCTGATTATGGTGCACATACTCTTCCACAGGGGGCCTCTGCTTTTCTGGTCTCTTTCTTTAAGAGCAAAGTTTACAGTTCCTTTGAAGACAGTTTCCCGCATTTGAAAATATTTTAAACCTATTGAAGAAGGGATGAAAGTGGGGTAGAAATCTCAGAAACTGACTTCATCCCAAGATTTTTAAACCGACCTGAAACCAAGGAAAATACAGCCACTTTTCTAAGACTTGCAGTATTGGAGAGAAACTGATAACTAATATGGCAACTATACTGCTTGCTTTCCCTTTCTTATCCCAGCACTTGTTTAGCCAGATCATCAAAAATATGGCTTAGCACAAAAGTTAGTTATGGAGAACTTTAGACTGCCTTAAAACTGTTCAGTTCAATATATGTAGGGACCATGAAGCATCCTGGAAGTAAACGTAACCTTTTTTCTTTAAACTTCTCCATCCGACTTCATTCTTGCTGACCAGACCTCATTCACACAAGTGTGTCAAGCAAACATTTTTGTTTTTTTTTTGATGAGACAGTGGTGGGAAACATTTATTTAATACAATGTGATAAGCTGCGTTCTAAAGGCTTTTCAGATATTAACTTATTTAATCTTCAGTGTCCCATTCATGGTAGGTATAGGTTGAGCATCCAAATCCAAAATGCTCCAAAATCTGAAACTTTTTGAGTACCAACATGACACACAAAGGAAATGCTCATTTAAGCATTTCAGAATTCACAATTTAAGATTTGGGAAACTAAATCAGTGAGTATAATGCAGACACTCTGAAATTCGAAAAATTCTGAAATAATTCTGCTCCCAAGCATTTTGGATGAGAGATGTGCAACCTGTACTATTATTATCTTTTTATTTTTTTTTAACAGATGAGGAAATGGAAACAGAGTGAGTTTACGTTTATATAACTTGCTGTAAGTTATACAGGTAGTAGGTGGAAGAGCCAGGATACAAAGCCAGGCAATCTGACTCAGAGTCCAGGGTGTTCTAAGCACAGGGAATAGTGTGTGCACAAACTTCCTCAAAGGCCTGGTATATCTGAGGAAGGCTGAAGAGTTCAGTGTTACTGGCTCTAAGACATGTCAGGTTTACGGGGGAGTCAGGATGGAGTGGTGAGTGGGAAGTTGAAGCTGGTGAAGTAGATTGGGTGATCAGAATGTGAAGACTGTCTTTCATAAAAAGTGAAACCCCGTTTTTATATATCCCTGAATTAAAATTTTAAAAATCTCTCATCTTCAAGTTAGGGAAATGTTCTTGGCTAAACAAGGATCTGTTTTTAGGGACGAGGTGAGGGACAGGAAGGATTATCCTTTCTAGAGGAGATGGGTCATGGTGAGGAGAAGATTGTTTTGGGGAGGCTTCCTGGGAGCAAGACCCACAGGTACTCAGTTCACCCCTTGGTGGGGTGCAAACGTGTTACCCAATAGCTGTCTCTCACATGCGCCCACATGCACAAAGTGGGTCATGCTGAGATCAGGCAGGAGAGGCTATTATTTATCTTGTTTCAAGAGTTCCTCAAAGTAGGGAAGATTAAAAAGAAAGAAGAGTTTCTCATTTAGGCATTACTCTTGCGACTTTCCTTCATCCATGTTCCCCGGGGGATTCCTTGAACTCCTTTGCCACTGCTTCAGGCAAATTTAGGGGAGTTCTGCTTTATTCTACAGTGGATGGTCCCATGCGAGGTTTATGTGTGGGGCAGTATTAGGAAGCTCAATCTTGAGGCCAAGTGGGAGTGGATTAGAGAGTAGAAGGGATTGATTAGAGACAGGAAGCTGATGCTCCAGAGAGGGTGAGAAGAAACAGAGACCTGGATTTCCACCATGGCCATGTCCCAGGATGAGGAGAAGGGTCTTGATTATGAGGACACTTTGGAGGTGGAATTATAGGCCTTGGTAAATCAGATGTAGTGGGGAAGGGAGAGAGAAGACCCCAAGGGACAACTAGTTAATTTAGAACTGATTATGAGGAAGAATTTTGCCTACTGTCACTTTCAGTGTGCCCATCTAATGCCAGTGAGCTTGCCCTGGCCCCCACAGGGCTGATACATCATATGTAGCTATGGGTTGAATCTATCCTTTCAGTTTCCTTTTTATTTTCCCTCACTTCGTCTGGAGCTCACTTCCATGGCTTGATACTGTCTTCCTTTAGTTTCTGCTTTCTCCTTTTCATAAAGTGAACCAGAATTTAGCTAACACTTATCTCACAGTGATCTGAATGGTGTCATTTCCACAAATCCTCATAGTGTCTCTAAGATCCTGGGTGTCTTTATGTTTTGCCGATGATAGAATTGTTTTTCCTTTAACAATTTGGATATTGCAAACTAAAATTCTGTTTAACAAAGTTTGTTTTGACCAGCTATACTCTTTTTTTTTCCTTAGACTTCTACATAATCATCTTGTTTTTGTATATGATTTGTTTCTTCTACATAAGCTTTTTAACAAATGGCCTGCTGAATTTGCAGTGTTATTATTGACAAAGAGAGATTTCTGACCAAAGCAAAGGGATGGAGTAATGAGAATTCTTAGCAAGGATTTAAAAAAATACTATAGCGATTCAAACCTGAATCTGATCGATATTCCTAAATCTAACACACATTTTTTAAAAGAAATCCCTCACCTTTCTATCAATAGAAGGGTTTTGTTGAGCTCTCTCTCCACTTATCCCAGATGATAGAAAGTGAAGGTTAGATTTGCCTGGAAGGAGGAATATTTAGCACAGACCTTTTAGAATATTGACATTCAGAACCTATCTTTCTCTTATTCACATTATCAGGTAAAGCCAGAGAAGATAAAATTTTTCTTAATTTTGCTAGGAAATTTAAATATATCCCATTAAACATTTTTGAACCCTATTCAGAACCCCCTAATTTGTTTTCCCACTGCTGATCTTTTGCCATTTCCATAGGAAGGGCTGGGTCAGTGAGCATCATGCTTCTCTCCCTGTGCTTTCTGTTGATAGAGCAAGGGCTTGAGGAGAGCCACTGCAAACTCCCATGCTCACAACAGCCTCAGCATACTCTACGAAAGAAGGCAAGAGAGTTTAACGTGATCTTGGAAAGATTACTCTAAAAATGGTTGAACTCTAGGCTATTCTTCGTGCTAATGAAAAATAATTTCTCGAGCATTTGATGAGCTCCTATTATGTTGATCAATCTTCAAAGTCTGGGAAATGAGCTTCAGAGGACTGGTACTTCTCAGAATTCTGGATTCATGAAGGCTCGTGCTGGAGAGCATCAGGAGTTGCCAGCATCTAGGAGTGTGGTGTATTCAAAACAATCTTGACTCCAGGCAGTCCTGCATTCAGGTTCCTGCTCTGCTTCTTTACTGCTTGCCACTTAGAACCATGCTGAAGTCCCGTTGAGAGACTTACCCATATCTTAAAGCCCTGATAAAAATACTGATGTGAGGCCAAATGGTACATCCCAGGATGAACATATGAAATTGCTGTTTTATAGGTTAAAACTGGTTTAATACCAGCAATTTCATATTATTTGATGTAAAACATATTCAGAGGAGAGGGGCTGCTACCATACTACTCCTTATTCTGTTTTCTGGGGAGAGATCCTTTAGGCCTGGTTCATGGTAGTTAACATCTTGTAGTTTGGGAAGCACCTGTAAAATCTCTCTGCAGCTATACTACTCGGCTTTATTCTGGAAATAGCTGACATTGTGCCTGTCAGCTAGGAATTCATGTTCCTGAGTCTAGTCACCCTCAGGGACAAAAACACAAAATTTTATCTGTTCTGATATGTATATGGGTACATTGAGAAATTAATAACAATTGATAACATTTTAAACTTAATTAGAATGAAGGGAATTAGCACCTATTTAGTTATGAATAATCACAGCAATGTATTCGCATTTTCATTAGTAAAACTTAATAGCTTTCATCTCTCTCAAAATACGGTTTTAGTTCTGTGTGGAATAATGTGGTTTCAGGAGAAATATTTACCTAAATTTTTTATTCTGTCCTTATAAAACTGCAAATTGACCCTGATTTTTAAAAAATTCAAGACAAAGGCATTTTGGTGTAGGTGTTTGGTTTTTATCACAAAAGCAGACCCATCAGAATGCTTAGGTGAAACTTGTCAGTGCTCTGTTTTATGCTTGGCTCTGTCATTTCCACCACAGAGTGCACCGTGGAACCAGGGAGCCCCTTAGCAGACCTAGACCCCACGGTGGGGGCACCTGCATTCAGAAATACTTACATGGGGCTAGGTGCAGTGGCTCCCACCTGTAGTCCCAGCACTTTGGGAGGCCGAGGCGATATCAGCCTGGGCAACACAACAAAAACCCATCTCTACCAAAAATACTAAAATTAGCTGGTCGTGGTGGTGTGCGCCTATGGTCCCAGCTACTTGGGAGGCTGAGGCTATAGGATCACTTGAGCCCAGGAGGTAAAGATTGCAGTGAGCCAAGATTGCGCCACTGCACTGCAATACAGCCTGGGTGACAGAGCAAGACCTCCATCTCAAAAAAACAAAACAAACAGACAAAAAGAAATAATTTACATGGGACACTTGATACTTGACAACTTCAAGGGCCAACTTACTGAGGAAAATCAACTCTTCCATTCCAAGGACCATTTATTTGGTTATTTATTTATTTTTTTCGTAGATAAGGTGTATTTTCATGCAAAATGCTTGCTTGCTTTTTGCACAGAATTAATATTTCTCCGTTCCCAGGAAATTTTAAGCTTTTCAACAATTTGTACTTTTTTAAAAAAATAATTAAGGCACGCAGAATCGTCTGATAGCTTGTTAAGAAAATTAAGTAGTGACACTAATCTCATATTTTAATATTGGTATTAGAGTCAAGCATCATAGATACAGTAGAAAAATATAAATGGAATGTGTCAACAGACACACAACAGCAAAGGGTATTTGACATTCCAACATCTTGTAACACATAAGAGGTAGGATATTCAATTCCTTCATGTAGAAAACAGTAATTAGATGCCATAGCCGTAATGAAAACCTTAGATACTGACAAAATGTAATGAAAGTATATTTTTAAGACTATTAACTGCAAGCAATAGAAAAGGCAATTAAATGAAATAACTTCCAATATTTCTAACTAAAAGGCTACTCTCCAAGCCTTGATTGTATGTCCACTTTCAACAAATATGATACACAAAAGTCTGGATTAGCTCAAAAGGCCTCCTGAAGCCTCTTGGCAGGAAGCCAGTGATTCCAGAGGAATGCCTTATCTTCTTTGTCATGTCCTTCCATGGAATATTGGAGCATCCTGGGCTCTGCACATTTCTCACATACAAGTCAATACGTCTTTTCTTTCCAGGGAAAATGGGTAGTTTCTTCACCATTGCCAGTCAGAAGTTGGCATCTTTTCATCTTGAAGTGTCACATGTCCTTTCTTGTCTTCTCATCCTACACTGGTGTAGTGGGTCACTGAAATTATAATGTCTGAAGAAACGTAAGAAATTCCTGTTTCTTCTGAAATGATGTTCTGAAATATCATTTTGGCTCTCTTAGCCATTCCTGGGCAGACCTGGCACTCGGACGCTTTTGCTTGGAGCAGGAGACATGGAGAAGTGAAACTTTCTTCTTTGCAAGCATCAGATACCTTAATGAGTTATTTTCCATTTTGTTTGTCCCTCGAGTGGGCCTTTTAGTTAAGTTTGTTCACCTTTCCCCATACATTTCTCAGGAATTAGAAGAAAATGCAAAATTTGGAAATCCTTAAATTCAACAACTTTTAATTATACCTTAAAAATGTCATGTTTATTACATATTTGGAGAACAGAGCAGTGTCCTTACTGTATCTGAGAAAGTAACTTTAATTGAGGTTATATGGACCTTAGGTGATCAAGAACAGGAGGGCCACAGGCAGGAAACTAGGAAGGATGCAGTTACCATTAGAGCACCCCAGTTCTTTCCCATCCTGCCCCCACGTGAACCCCATAACATACCTCTCTTTCATGCACAGTGCTGGGTACGTGGGTCCACTCAGTTAACACTAGACAATCTGACAGATGGATTTAGTTTGCTGATTAATACTGGACTTTAAACAGTTTGTGGATTTATCCCTTTTGAGTAACATTGGCGAGGTAGGCAGAATCTGCACTCCTGCCGTGGATGTGATGGACATTAGAAAGCTTTTGGCTGACTTCCCTTTCACCGTACCTTTAGTTGCTTCTCCTGAAGTCCAGAGAAACCTAGGAAGTTTGTGTTTTCTCTTTCTCTGTCATTCTCTCCTCATGTAAGCAGTGTGTCTTTATAGGCACAGTTACCTCTTCCTCTCTAATTTTGTCTCCCGCTCAAAATGACCACCCATCTTTGTTGGGGACAGTGTATCAATGTAGATAAGAGTTACAAAAGTATAATAATAACTAACATTTGTATAGTGTCTTTTATAGTTACACGTAGTACATTATGTCATTTGATGTTCATAGTAAACTTGTGTGTGGTACATATTATGATTATACCCATGTGACAGGTTATGAAATTGAATTTCAGAGAGGTTCAACAGTCTTCAAAAGTTATAGAACATTCAGGTTGTCAGAATCAGAGCACATGGCATTTCATTTGGATTGTGCTGTTTTAGTAGTCATTTTTCTAATTTGAGACTATGACTTGGATTTGTTTACATGGTATTAAGATTTACCTGGACTTCCTTCTTGGTGGTACAGAAAATCTGTTAAACTATTTAATTAGTCTGTTTTGCTTTGGGTTACCTTGTTCAATAACAAAATATTTGCATCTGTTTTAGTGTGTTTAACCCATTCACCAACTGTAATTGAGAGTCAGAAATCGTTATAGGCAGGAGTTACCACTGAGTGATACCCTGTGTCGCTTGCTTCTCTCATTTGAAAGTGTCCCATCAGACGTCATTTAAAGGAAATATTACCTTATTGTTGAGTAAATGCTTTCCTTCTCATTTTATTCTCTCCAAATTGTAATTCCTCCAACTTTGTTATTTTATTTTCAACATTGCTTTGAGTATTTTCGGTTCTTCACATTTTTGTATACATTTTAGAATCATCTTGTTAATTTCTACACACACACACACACACACACACACACACACACACACACACTGCTGTTAATGATTGAGATTGTGGGAATATATTGCTCTTCCTAAATTATATTGTTGGCACCCAAGAAGCCTGAAGAACTCCTGAAATAAAAAAGCCCAAGGCAGAGCTTCTAGGGTCTAGCATCTGGGAACTCACTGATTCTCTAGCAACAGTAATGAAATTGGATGTGACTGTAGGCGAAGCTCATGCCAGGTTTTAGCTTAGCAGTGGCCCACTACCAGCTCCACCTGTCTAACTAATGTGAACTCTCATCTCTGTTCTTTATGAATTAAATTGCTTACTCTTTAGAATACGTAGCAAGCAGGTGGTATGTTCCTGTTGAGAGGTTTACACATTAACACAGTGAGGCAAAGATTCTGCTATAGCTAAAGATGGTTCTCTCTTCCCAGTTCTCTTCACTTACCAAACAGGGCCACTACCTCCGAGGTGAGCTCATGATTCAGATGGAAAAAAATTAGTTTTTTCTCAGCATCTAATGCAGCCTGTTGTTTGTGCTTCTACAGACATTAAAGTGAATAAGACCTTAAATCTGCTGGGAAACTGCTTACCACCATTTCCCACTGTATTATATGTTTGTAATTAAAAACCCATGAGAAATAAAAGTACACGTGAACATACACACATGTGGAAAATTAAATACTTGTGACGTTTTGATGAGTCATATGTGTATTTGTGCTGTAAGAACAAGTATTTCTTCATGAAGCCCCAGGGATTTAGGTTTTTCTGGGCAGAGGATTTTTACCTAGCTCTTGTAATTTACAAAGAAAGCTTTCACTATGACAAGGCAAGTTTAGATGAGTGGTTCCTGCTGCATACCTTTGGTAAACGAAGAATAGTTTGTATTGATTTATTTATTGCAATCCTTGTAGAAATTTTTATCAGATGGATACTTTGAAAAAATACAATAATAATATTTCACAGGTTATTAATTCATAGAAATTAAGGATAAATAACAAAGTTGAGATGGTGAAAGGGTCATTGCGTACAAATGGAAACCTGCTCTTTGGCCTGTACGTCGGCTAAGTTACTTACTTTGGTTTCTTCACCTGTTCAGCCTTGCTGGTGCTGTGGGTTTCTACATACATTATTGCATTTGGATTTACGCCCTTTATTAACATCATATGTAGATAGAGAACCCAGTTGGGGATTTTCCCAAGGTGACATCTCCGCCCATGACTCATCCTGCTAGATGATGGGTGACCCTCCTTCCAGATGTAAACACAGGTCAGCCTTGCCAGGTCTGATAAGAGACTACCTATACGGCCAAAGCAAAGAATCTTCCCTCATTCTACCTCACAAAAGCCCTTCCCCCTGTGCTCTTGCCCTAGAGATTAACTGTTTTCTCTCTGGTCTCTGTCAAAAACTCAGTGGGGAGAAATGATATTTAAGAATGCAGTGCATATGTCCACTTGAGTATTTAAGTTAGATTCCCGTGTCAGGTTAGGCCACCAAGAAATTACCTATTTTAGCTTCCATAACTTAACCCTTTATAAGGTGCCTTCATTGAGTTTCATTTCATTACTGTGTCTTTTTAGTGACAGTATATACAAGCACCATTATATAAATAGCATTGTTGCCATTTTCCCAAGTCTACTGTTAAAAGATTGGCTGCTGCGTCATTAAATATCCCAGGTGATAAAATCTTTTTAATAATTATGAAGAAAAATTTGTGTCTTAGAAAATGGGAAAAGATACTATTTTCTTTCATTAATTCTAGCACAAATTTAACAGTTCTGTCAATCTTGAGCATAGGCAGAGACTGCATTAACAGTTTTTGTAACTGTCTACAATGGAAATCATATTACCATTTTAACAGAAATTTAAAAAATATTATTTATGCTCATCAACAACTTTGTAATCAGGATATTAATAGTTGTTAGACCTACCTTTAGATATTAGTATTTAATGCATTATTTTAAAAGCATATTTGTTTTTCCTTTCCGGTCAGGGAACCAAAAAGGAAAAAGAAAAAAAAAAAGAAAGAAAAACAAGTTTATTTTTCTAATATAATTATTTGTTTGTAATCTTCTGTGTTTATTTTATGCATTTGAAAACATAGTTCTGAGTAGGGCTTCACAAAGTAGCCAGAGAGGTCCCTGGCACATACTCCAACAGCCTTCCTGGGGCATGTGTACTTCCTGGCAGCCTCCCTCCTGGTTCAGATGTTTACCTGCATTTTCTTTTCTGGAGGGCCTCTTCCTTCCCTGATCTGAGCTCTCTTAATACCTTGCATTATGATCAGCCATGTCTGTCTCTCTTACTAGTATGTGAGCTATTTGAGAGAAGGGACTCTCTCATTATTTTATTTTTATTCTTAGCACCTAGGAATGTGCCTTATTTTTAGTGAGCCATTAGTAATTAAATGCCACTTTTTTTAAACCCCATCCCATTCTAGTATTGCTCTTCCTCGTGGCATTGATTGACAGGTTGTTCTTGGCATTTTGGCTCAGAGTTCACTGCTGTAGAATGCTCATCAGGCAAGGAATGATGATTTTTTTTTTTCATTGGATTTTCTCAATGCTAACTTTAAATTTTTTTAAGTCAGCCTTTTGGATGTTGTTGTGCCTTTGATGAAGCAGTCCAGGTATTAGGAACATACTTTCCTCCTTCTTCAGGTTGTAATCATTGGTAGTTAGCTGTCTTTTGTTTGAAATTTGGCTATTTATTTCAACATTGGTAGTCTTAGGAAAGCTAGAGAGTTTTCTTATAAGGGCCTGTATAATTTCCAAGTTCACACTTGATTGAAGGCAGCATGGTATCAGTGGAGAGAAAACTCTTCTACATTTGAACAATTGGATCTTATTATTAGTGCTGTCCCTTAGAGGTGGCTTAGTATGATGGGAAGGACAGGAATAGTAATGAATTCCAAAAAGACCTGATTAGTTTTTTTCTTAATACAGCCCCAAACCTGAGAATGAAATTATTTATTTGATTGAAACAACATGTCTTTGGAATCAGTGGTGATTATTAAAAACAGTAAAAGTGCAATTTTTTTCTTATATCACATTTGCCTTAAATATGAGATGTAGGTAAGTCAGATGAAATTTTATGACCAAATTTTTATCATTTCACTTTACAAAGTGTTCGTTCTCTCAAGTCTTTCTTACATCATATTTACTGAACTGAAGAATAAATGTTGGAGATGGTGTTTTCTTCCTAACTCACTTGGTCAGCTGTTTTTCATTTTTGTTTTCAGCATATCAGTTGAATAGTTCTGACTATACATGGGCTGGCTGATATTTAAGGAATTTTTAAAAATTGGAAGGACTCTTAGTTTTTTATATGTAGTATTTCAGAAATTATTAAATATATAATCCATGAAAAATACAGAGAAACACATAAAGAAGTACTAAATAAATCCCATTACCCAGAGTTATACATCACTAACATTTTAGTATGTATTTTCTCAGTGTTCCTTTTTTCTAGGCATACATATCTGTGTGAGTGACACATCATCACAAGATTTAGCGGTTTAAACCAGTGATAACTATTTAGCTCATGATTCTGTGGGTTATCAATTTAGGCTAGGCTTGGCTGAGGGGTTCTTCTGGTCTAAGCTATGCTGCCTCATGCATCTGTGGTCAGCTGCAGAATAGCTTGTCTGATCTTGGCTGGGTTCTCTCACAGGTTTATGGCCTGTGGTCAGTGTGATCTCTCATCTCCAACAGGGTAACTTGGGCTTGTTCACACCCCAGAGTCTGAGGTTCTTAGAGAGAAAGCAGAAGTGTTCAAGCCCTCTTGAACGAAGGACTATGAATCTGTGTACCATTACTTCTGCTATATTCTTTTGGCCAGTGCAAGCTAAGCCACAGTCTAGGCCAGATTCAAAGGGTGGGAAATAAACTTCAGTCCTTGATAGGAGGATCTACAAAGTCGTATGCACAGGATGTGGAAACGGGGAGGAGTGAAGATTTTTGGGCAGTTTGGAAATTTACCACAGTGTACACGTGTGTTTACATATGTGTACGTAGATGAAAAGTGAGAGCATATACATTCTGCATTTTTATCACCAGACATGCTCCAAATCCAAGTTACTAATCCAACCCTGTGGATATATTGGGGAAAGTAAGTAAATCTTAAATGGGAAGTGCCTCAACAAGTATCTAGAACAATACCTTCCATTCAATCAATGGAAGGCTTAAAAAAAAAAAAGGAAATGTAATTTCTTTAGGCCACTGCTTGAATTCTATTGGTGTTACTTCCTGGTTGGCTTTATTTCCTTGCTCATGTTTTTCTATGTTTACTTCCTGGTTGGTTTTATTTCTTCACTCATTTTTTCCCATGCTTATTTTCTGGTTGGTTTTATTTCCTTTTCTTTCCATGTTTATTCTTTTGGTTGATGGTCTGGAGCACCTATGTTGTGTTAGTCTATTTTCGCATTGCTATGAAGAACTACCTGAGACTGGGTAATTTATAAAGAGAAGAGGTTTAATTGACTTATGGTTCTGCAGGCTGTATAGGAAGCATGGATGGGGAGGCCTCAGAAAACCTACAATCATGGCAGAAGGCAAAGGGGAAGCAGCTCATCTTATATGGTCTGAGCAGGAGGAAGAGATAGCAGTGGGAGATGCCACACACACACACACACACACACACACTCTCTCTCTCTCTCTCTCTTAAACAGCCAGATCCTGTGAGAACTCTATCACAAGACAGCACTAGGGAGATGGTGCTAAACCATTAGAAACCACCCCCGTGATCCAGTCACCTCCCACCAGGCCCCACCTCCAATATTGGGGATTCCAATTCAACATGAGCTTTGGGTGGGGACACAGAGCCAAACCATATCACCTGTCATGGGAGAGCACTGCTCTAGACTACTTCTAAACTGTTCTGAGATCTTGGAAAAGTCACTTGACTTTGTCAAGAGTATCAGTAGATGTTACATCATCTATTTAGTCAAAATAAAAACTACCTCACAAAATTATTGGGAGAATTTAATTACCTCATGAATATGGACATATGCTGGAAACTAGATGTGTTATCGTTCCTAGGAATTATTTATGCTTTTATGGAATGTCTGTAACGTTTTTTTACTTAACATTTTGGCCATGTCCCCAGCATCTCTAACTGGCCCTACCATTTTTTAAAATGACGTGTATATTTTTTTAAGCCACTGTTGGTTCATTTCTGCTTAGTTCATATTAAAGAAAATTCAAGTTTTACAGCCTTAGCTTACACACTAATCTTCAGAACACCATAGCCATTTCTTTAATCTGATGGATGCCCTCGCATGATGCCTGTCTTCTCTGATCAGAAATGACATTCTTAACATCAATAGATTCTTAGACTTTTCTGACAGGAAATATTTTTGAGGATATGTAATCAGTTATGGGGTATGCTTGTCAATACATTTTTCCTGCAAAAATAAATCAGAAATCCTATCAAAATAGCATTATGAAAGAATCCATTTCCCTTAATACTCCTCATGAAATGGTCATGCCTGAAGTTTCTGAGAATTTTTATTTAGATGAAGGTTGTGTATTTAATTTATATACTGGCCATTTTTCTAACCAGCCAATCTGCATAAATTTCATATCCTAAGCAGGAAGAAAATGGTTGTGATCTGGAGCCAGCCTCTTCCTTATAAAGCCTGCATCACCTTCCTTTTCCCTTGGCTAGCCTCTTCTACTTTCCAGACCCTGTGAGTTTCACCATAAACCTTCTTTATTCCCTTCCGCTACCCACATACATGCACACCTAGCCAAAGAAAGAGAAACCAAAGAAACAGAACCTGTAGGGATAAATAGGGATATCACTCTACAGTGCCCCTTTGCTTCTCTTTGCCCTTTTCTGGACAGGAGCAGATAGAATTCATTCCTCTTCCATTTTGAAAGTTTGTCTGTGCCTATTCACTTACCCACTCATTTATCCATCCATTCATTCATTCACTGTTCATCTGTCAGGAACAGTGTTACAGACACCGTGCTGGGTTCTGTGGATAAAAAGACAAGTTCTGGCACTGATTCGTAGAGTTTACCCTGTCATTAAAGGGATGGTAACTGAAAGAGTCATGTGGCCAGGGTCTTAAGAGAGTTGTTAACAAAGGCTTTGGGAGCCCTGGGGATGGAGAGGAGACCACATTATGCCTTCCTTCCTGGGGACAATAGCCATGTGCCTGAATTTGACAAGAGTAGAGTCGGAGGCTACTGGAGCGGGTGAGGTGAAGGGTGGGTGCCTGGATTGTTTTCCTGGCAGTGATTTGGGGCTGGACTGATCCTTGTCAGTGAGAAGTCAGGGTGCTGCCCACTCATCCATGCCAATGACTCAGATACCATAGGAAAGTGGTTGACTCACCTGAGCTGAAGGTCTCAGTATGTTCTTCATTTCCTAGATGAAGCCGGTTAGGATTTGCTGAGAGTCTGCTCCCAATGAGGCTGGGCCTCCTTTGTGCTTCATCCTGTTTCATAGCACCCCTTTGATTTAGGTGTAATTTCTTCCACAGATGACCAAACTGAGGCTGACGAGGGTTATGTAACACCCCCAAGATCATCCAGCTAGTAAGAGTAATCAGCTTATAATGCAAATCCCCACACATTGTCCCCTTGGAGGGCAAACAATTTTTATTCAACTTCCAATTTTAACAAAATATACACTAAATAACTAATATCATAATAAAATACAATGCTTGTAATGCTGACAATGACTGTTTTTCAGTTTGACAGAGAGGGCAACATCTGCAAGAAAGTTCTGCCAAGATGAAGCTGTGTGTGTCCCTAATCCACATCACTCAGGGCCACTGTCTGTGGCCACACAGGTTGTGAATGTGGCCTCCTAGAGTTAGTTGTAACCTGTAAGAAGTAGCTGTCACAGGCCCAATCTTGGAGTCAACATCAGTCTGCATGCTGTGCCTCCACTCATATTAATTACTACATCCAAGTCACTCTCTTACTTTAAAAGGTTGGATATATTTAAAGGGGATGAATGGGGGTAAAGTCGTAAACTGCGTAATTATTTCAGTATATGTTATATACTGTCACCTAGCTGTTAAAGATTTCTACTTCAAGTATAGTGCAATTAAATCGGGCTTCTTACTGTTGTGCTTTGTCAAATGTTTACATACCTACCGACACCTAAAGGTACAGAAAATTTTCCCAAGCAACCCAGTAATCACTGGGGAATGATTTCAGGAAGGAAAGAAGGGAAATATCCTTTTGTTCTGTCAGGTGTGTGGGACACTAGATGACAGAGATGGTTAGAGACCCTTACGAAGATGTTTGCTGGGAGGGGGCTTTCCCCTTTGTCCAAATCATGAGCATTCTTGTCCGCAGTTCCTTTCTTCAGACCCTCATCTCCCACTATACTGTCGCACTAAGCTCCACCAGCCCCTTGTCTATGGCCATACAGACCTGGATCACCTGTCTTCTACATCTAAACCCCTCAGTGGCTTCCTAGGTTCACAGAATAACATTTAGATTCCCTAGGATGGCATAAGAACTGTTCTCCCCCACCCCCAGTGCCCTGACCCCTGCTCCCCGGGCCATTTCTCTAGTTTCTCCTACTTTGCACACCATAGCAAGACCTCTTGCATTCCCCACAACAGAATGGCTGTTTCCTGCTTCTGGGCCTTTGGTCATGCCTGTCACTCTGTCTGTCCTTGATTGTGTTCTTCCCCTAATTCTGACTGCTGCAAGCCCAGGAATGAGGAGTCCTGCTGTAGATGGCATGCTAGAATGTGTTCCATCAGTCTTCTCTCACGCCACCTGTGAGATGGCTTCATGGCACATACCTGTGTAGGCCTGTTCCAGGAAACAGTAATATAGCCTTAGTGGTTTTGTGTATTTGACTCTCCAACATCAGATGTGGTGCCCACTGGCTAGCTACAAATGACTGTTGAGGAAATTAGTGAATGAATGACTCTCTGGGAATGTCTTTGTTTGGTTTCTAGAAGAAAAAGATAAGCATAACACTCTGTACACTACAAGGTGTTTTAGCTTTTTTGAAATTCACGGGGGAAACAAAAGCAAAGCCTCTGATTGACTAGTGATTCTGGATGATGATAAACTGTATTTCCCAGGAGTGTTCTAAATATCCATGCAAGAAAAGACTGGGGTTTAATGAGTCCCTGCTTTCTGTAGGTACAGATGACATGTCAGGCTAATTTTGGTCCCTTGGGGATTATGAAGGCCTGGACCTTCCCATGAGCTTGGTTCAGGGCCTTCCCAGCAGGTCAGAGCTCATGACATCAAACAAATCAGAGTTGATACCTGAGCTTTTGAGGCTGGTATAAAGAAGATCCAGTCTTGAGAGCAGACTTTGGCATTAGATGTTGGCTGCAGTCTCTTCCTAGTAGGTACAGGCTTTGTAGGAGTTCCTGAAAGGGGAACGGGGACTATAGCCTTATCTTGAAAATCAAAACAAACAACCCAAATGACAACAAACTAACATTTCTAGAGCACTTAATATGTGCCAATCACTCTGCAGAGTATTTCTGAGAGAAGTCATTTATTCTTAAGTCTTGTTTCCTTAGCATGATGTATATACCCTGAGGCCTACACATGGTTTTTTAGGATGCCAGGAATATGTGTGGAAGGAGAAGAGGGGGAGGGAGAAAATGAAATAAAGATGGAGTCTACAATTCATGCCCATATTCTTAGGTAAGGACTGCAACCCAGCTGTTGTCAGTATGAGCTGGTAATTGAACTTGAGTCTTAATTCTTAATTTAAAAATAAAATGAATTGTCATTTGTGTTAGTTTTTCTAGTCTAAAACTATTAATACAGCTCTTCTACAGGTCTTAAAAATTACTTGGGTGTATTTAGGGATTGAGCAAATGAGTAAATGGGTTTATATTGTAGAAGCCAAGGTTTTCACTGAAAAAGGATGAAGATACAAATATGGAATAGAGGGAGGCAAGAAAGAACCTGCAGGGATGAATAGGGATATCACTCTGAACTGGTGATTTCCAATATATGTGTGTTTGTGGCAAATTGATATACGCATGTGTGTATTTATGCACATATATGTGCACATGTTAAATGCATGTATTTCATTGTTCCATCTACTGGAAAGGTTGAGAATCAAAGATACTCCTCTAATAAGAGCATACCTAAGCACCTGTATCTGAGTTTCTAATGTCACTGCCCCTCTAAACTGAACCATACTCCTGGAATGGCTAATTTCAGGACTGGTGCAAGATGATCCTGAAACATCTTATCAGACAAGATAGTAAAGAACTGCTGTTAAAAAAAAAAGAAAAGAAAAAGAAAGAAAGAAAGATCACAAGAACCAGTACGAAGGGGCTCTTATTGGTCAAATCTGGGACAGTTTGAACACCAAAATAATAAAGTAAAGTATGAACTATAAACAACTGGGGAGGAGGAATTCATCAGCCCATAATGACAATGGGTGGATAGAAGGAAAGATGGATGGATGGATTGATGGATGGATGGTTGGATGGATGGATGGGTGCAGGGAAATATGGAAGACTCCTGCTTACCAAATGTCAACTAAGTAATAAATGTGGATGGGTGATAGAGCAGGAAAAATCAGCATACACCACCATTGCAGTAAAGATTATGCACAAAACTCAACGGACACTAATTCCAAACAGAGATTTAAGAGGAACAGGACATTTACATACTGATGAAATTGTCTTTCACAGATTGCTTTAGTATAATAGAAAAATAGTAATTAAGTGGAGAAATTGAACTATACTTTGATCAGGATCAAAATTAACATTATCATTGAGGGGTAAGCAAACATCATGTGCCTTCAGAATATCCTGAGAACAAGAGAACATCACCTATTTGGGATTCTGGCCAAAAATGTATAACCTGAATCTAATCATGAGGAAACTTAAGACACATGCTTTATTAAAAAGCAGGAAGAGGAAGAATTGTATCCTTCCAAAGTAGCACTACCATAAACAAAGACAGAGGAAATGGTCCTGATTAAAGAAGCCTAAAGAGGTGTGGCAACTAAATGCAATACTTGACTCTAGACTGGATTCTGTGCTTGGGAGTTTGAGGGTAGGGAAGGTGAATACCATAATGGCCATTATTGGATCATTTGACCAACTGGAGTATAGATGGAGATTAAAGTATCCTATCAGTGTTCAGTGTCCTGAAGTTGATATATTTGCATATACACATACACGTGTGTATATATATACATACATATTGTTTTCTCTCTCTCTTTGTATATGCATACACACACAAAACCAATGGATGAACCTGGGTAAAGAGTGTTAGTATAAACAAGTAGTGTTTATACTATTTGTCTTCTTGCAACTTTTCTGTAAGTTTGAAATTATTCTTCAATATTAAGTTAAAAATTTTTTTTTTAAATCTTGGCCAAATAAATGATTGTTTTTCAAATGAATATTTTTTATTTTACGTCCTTTCTTTTCCTGTTCTCTTACTTCTTTTCTTCCTTTTTTGTGTCCCTTCTTTTAGAAGTCCAAGGCTTGCGAGAAGGTCATTTCCGTGGGTCAAACGGTCATCACGAAGCATCGGAACACCCGGTATTACAGTTGCAGAGTGATGGCTGTGACATCGCAGACCTTCTATGAGGTCATGTTTGATGATGGCTCCTTTAGCAGAGACACATTTCCTGAGGATATCGTGGTAAGTAGGCTTCCTTGAGTGCCTGCTACCCAGAGTAATTTAAAAAAAAAAACCAAAGTAACTGAGCCCTTCAGAATTTTTCTTTTGGCTTTTTGAGTAGCTCATTCACTTGGTTCATAGACTTTATCATTCTAAATAATATCCAGGTGAACTTAGACTGATCTTCCCACATTCTTTTTTTGGCCAAACGTTATTTGGCCAAGAAATAAGGGAGCAGCCCTCACGACCTAATCACCTCTTAAAGGTCCACCTGTTAATACTATCACATTGGCAACACCTGAATTTTGGATGGGACCTATTCAAACCATAGCAGATATGAATCCACCTATTCTTTCCTGTTACAAGATGTGAACAAATTTGAATTCTTTTATGACTTTCTTTTCTTTATGCTTAACTAGAGAATGTGGCTTTGATTAATCTGACTCGACAGTGTATTTAAATCTTTGGATATTCCACATGGGAGTAACAAAAGTCACACAGAAGAAAGGCTGTGGCATTTAAGTAGTTTCGTTACTGTGGCGGAGACTAGAACTCTGTGTGTGTGTGTGCGTGCGCGTGTGTGTGTGTCTGGCTGTCTTGTTGGTCTGTCTCCATCTCCTCCTTCCTCTGTCCCCTCAGCAAACACCTTGGGGCTCATTCTGAGGAACTAGTGAACGTGTGCCAGGGTAATGACTGACTTTGTTTCAGGGCTTGCTTTTTAGAAGGGTGTTTTCACAAGAAGAGCACTTTCCACAGAGGGTTTTTTTTGACACCGAAATCAAATCTCGTGACTGAGAGGAGAGTGAGTTAGTCTGGTGCTGATCCTGTTATCCCTTCTCCTTTCGGGGGGTGTGTGAGTTTGGGGAGCTGACCCTTAATAATGTAGTCATCACTTCTGCCTCATTCTGGGTCTCTGTTGATGCTTTGCTTTTGTTTGTATTTGGAAAGATATTTTCAGCGACTTTTTAATAGTCATAATTGTGTATTATGTGCACTTGAAAATTAAATGTAACCTTTTGAAATTGCTAAAGACAGTTTCTAGGATTTTGGTCTCCAGGTGTTGAAGAAACATTGATTCAGTTAGTTTTGTTATACTTACCTCTCTCTATGCTGGTAAGAATGGCAAGTATATAAACAAAAGTGACCTTATTTGAAAGATTTTAAAGCAAATGAATGTAAGTTATTTAAAAATCCCAGAACAGTGAATTGTGTTTCTTACCAGGGTTCTAGCTGGAGTTTCCCTTTACTGCATTGCCACTGTTATTCATAAACAGCATCCCTTAGGTGACATACTCCCCTTGTTAGAATTAGTCATCCCTTCAAGCACTCAATCTGCATTCACTGAATACCTGCTGTGTGTCACTTACTTACCACACTAGGTGCTGGAAACATAAAGAGAAAGAAGATGTAATCCTTGCTCAGTCTTGGTGGGAGGTAGGCGGGTAAATGGATGCTTTCTCTACCGTGGACCCATGTCTAGAACCCATGTGGTTCTATACTTGAACTACAAGCAATCTACCACCTGTTGGGGCTGGAAGAATAAGTAACACTTACTGACATTTACCATGTTCCAGGCACTGCTCCAAGAACTGGAACCATGAACTCAGTTCATCCTCATAACCCTACACACTAGGCACTATAATTTTTCACATTTTGCTGTTGAGGAAACTGAGGCACAACATGGTGAATAATTGTCTCAAGGTCACACATAATTAAGAAGTTTCAGAAACAGTATTTGATTACATGTAATCCGTCTCTAGAACTTCCACTCTTAACCCTGGGGAAGAAAGGACATTTAAAGCAATAGGAGAAGGGATATGCAGGAGCAAGAGAGGCATGAAAAGCCATTGGTAGAATGAGGCCCCTGGACTTTCACCAGCCCTGTGCAGGCTACATAGTTGTTTCAGAATTAGCCTTCTCTTGTGAAGACTGTGAATATTGAGCTGGCAAAAGACAGAAGACCTTTTGGTGAGGAACACTGTGGTGGTGGGATGAAAGACTTCTGAGCACTAATTTCAAAACCTGAGCACAGTTAAACAGGTAAAACAGTGAGGTCTTTAGCCATGATAGGAATTAATGAACCCTAAATTCTCTTTTACATCATAAGCCTATACACACCATGCCAGTTTGAGGCTTTCCTGGAATGTCTTTACATTGGAAAAGAATGTCTGTGATCCTGTAATGTTTGAAATCCTGCAAGTCTTTCCTTTGACACCCTCCATTTCCTTCCTCTGTGAACCAGAACAAATATGATTTTAAGTACACTTGAGTGTTGTGAGAAGAACACAGAAGCTAACCCGCAGAAGAGTTTTCTGGAGCGCATGCCATTTAAATCAATGAGAATGAAAAAGCAAAACTCTTTACAGCTTGGTTAGCTGTCACTTAGCATTTTTGATAAGGATTTGAGGCTTAACAGCAGTTGCATATGCCCATGTGGCCACAACTGTTGCCCTGGAGGGGGGCAGGTACCATGGAGTGGCATGAATTCACATAGATTGGAAAGGACGCATCTATCTAAATGTGGGTGAATAGTAATGTCTTTTTTTTCTTTTTTCTTTTTTGAGACAGGGCCTCATTTTGTCGCCTAGGCTGGAGGGCAGTGGTGTGATCACAGCTCACTGCAGCCTTGTGCTCCTGGGCTCCGGTGATCCTCTCGCCTCAGCCTCTTGAGTAGCTGGGACCACAGCCCTGTGCCACCATGCCTGGCTAATTTTTTTTTTTTTTTAATTTTTTTGTAGAGATGGTGTCGAACTGCGTTGCCCGGGCTGGTCTCAAACTCTTGGGCTCAAGTGATCCTCCCGCCTCGGCATCCCAAAGTGCTGGGATTACAGTTGTGAGCCACTGCCATTGGCCTAATAACTTCTTCAGGAAAAAAACAAAACAAAAACTGAATTCATCTTTGTGCAGGTCTTCTCTATTTTGTCTGATCTTTCCTCCTTTTGTGCTCCCCACTGCAATATCCTAATCTCTTGCCTTCTTGGTTCCCCGTTCCAGGCTCCTAGTAGGAATAATTCAATCGTGTTGTGTTTCAAGTTCCATATACTTTCTAACAGTGTCACCGTTGTTAGCTGCTGTAGCCTCTTCCCTCTCTTACTTTGGTGATGAATGAGGCTTCCTCAGCTCACTATTGCTGACTCTATAGGGGAAGTTTTTTTCCCCTTATAATATTGTATTAGGCAGGGTTCTCCAGAGAAGCGGAACCAATAGGAGATACACTTGTAGAAAGAGATGATAAGGAATTGGCTCTGTGATTATGGAGGCTGAGAAGTCCCAAGATATTTTTGTAGAGATGGGGTCTCACCATGTTGCCCAGGCTGGTCTTGAACTCCCGGGCTCAACTTAATCTTCTGCCTCAGCCTCCCAAAGTGCTGGGATTACAGGCATGAGCCACGGTGCCCAGCCCCACACACCATTATTTAAGTCATGGATTTAATTGCTAAGATCATCCCACTTCCACTTTTGATAATTCATCTACATCAGAACTGTTGTCTGGGAGATGGGTACCCTGCTCAGTACCCTAATGGAAAGTTTCATCAGGACGTAAAAAAAAAATGTAATCAGGTTTGTTTCTGTCTCAGTATCTTGAAGATCGTGGCAGAATAATTATATGGTGAAAACACTAACTACATTTCACATTCCTCAGAGAAATCTTGTTTTCATTAGGTGATATACCTGTAGCATGAGCAACTGGTGGTAGAAAATGATGTTTTTCTTCTGTTTGTCCAAAAACTCTCTAATCCACACAATGTGCATATCAGATGTGAGTGCCACTGGGAAGAATTATTCATCAAATTATTCATCAAATGTAGTGTGACCCCAATGTTACTGGCTACTGAAGAACTAGTTCTCTAAGCCTCAGGTACTGGTTAACTAGAACTGCTTTAAGGGTACAGTGCAATTTCAGTTTCCTATGAAAATCAAATTTAGGATATCAAGTTTAATCATCCCAAGCTATTTATCTATGTATGACACAAATAGAGTCCCTTATGGAGCCTGATGCTTTAGTAAAGAAAGTTACATTCCCATATTTATAGAGTTGATGATTACAAATCATTTCATAAACCCAACAGATGAGAATCCTTTAATGCAGGCTGGCCTATCCATGTTTGAGAATTTTGGCAGGCGTTAAAAATGCTTACGTTAGCGTTATGTGACTGGAGAGAGCATTTGGAGCAGTAAGGAGAAACGCTCTTTGAACTATCAGGAAATGTCTTTCCCTACCTAGGTACTTTATTTCTGTGCTAGCCAGAAAAAATGTGCAAAAAATTCTTTCTCAACAATGCACCTGCAAAATGTGTGTATCAGCCCAGTTAAACTCCACATGCAATCTGTAGCTGTCAAGGGAAGTAATAAAAGGTGTATTATTACACACCTCCATCTGTCAGTCTATGAAATTGGGACACACTTCTGATGAATTTTTTTGCCTTCCACTATTTTGATGGGCATGAAAGTTGCCCACCTGAAAGTACTCAATGAGCATAAAGATTCCAGGGTCTCTGTTAGCCTCTGCCAAAACCTGGGATCCTCTAGCATGCACCTGTTTACAGTAGAGTGATGACTGCTTCCTTTCCTCTGAACTTTGAGCTCACTTTGAGGGAGGAGAATGGTACGGTGGACACTTGAGTTCTCACTTAACATTCACCACTGGGCATGAGAAGAGAAACAGGACCATTTAGAAATTTGATAGCAGGAGTCCATCACTGAAATTTCCATGAGGACTGGCTACATTTTTCAGCTTTGGTTGAAATGTGAAAGAAGCATGAAAACAATACTCTTCAAGATTCTGGGGGTGAGTAGTTATGGCCTTTAGTTTTGAGGGCTGTGCAATGCAAACTGAGGTTCTTGCAGCCAATGTTTTTTTCTCACATAAAGGCAGTTTGCTTAAATTTTCCAGCCCCAGTTTTTTTCCCCTACTAATTTGAAAGGAGCAAATAAACTAAATGCCTGACATATAGTAGGAAAAGTCCAATTTTTTAGAATATTAACTTTAGTATGTAGAACTTTTTTTTTCTTTTTCCTTCCCATCTAGTTTATACTAACCTTTTCTGGTCTTGAAATTTGGAGTTAGAAGATGTGTCCTCAGAACTTCATGCCTACTTGTCAGATTAGATGAGAACCTGTACTTGTGAGATTTTGCTGGGTCCATTTATCATTCCCACTTGCTATAAGGTAGTCCCAGCATCTTTTAGACTTTATAATAGCCTAGTTCCCTACATTTATGCTTGTGTTTTCTGAGTGTATTTTTTCAGTGTTATTTCAGTGGCTTTCTGTAACAAACCCTGCTCCAGAGTAAGTTCACACTCATTTCACAGACGTGTTACTTGCCAAGTCGCACAAAAGCTCCTCAAAATACACGGTGACAGAGGTAGGTCCTGATTGCAGGTTAGTCCCCTTGTTCCATTGCTTATTGCCTTAGAAGTTCTGCTCTTTGTGGCTTAGTGCAGCTGAGGTAGAAGACGCTGTGCCTGCTCTAAGGGAAAACACAGATCCAGTAGGACATGGTGTAAAACCCGTTTCAGTGTTGAGCCCCGCACAAGCCCTCGCTTGGCAAGCATAGGTGTAGGAGAGATCTGGGTATTCCAGAGGCAAAAGAAAATATCCAAGTGGGTTTGAGAAACTAGAACAGAGTTGTTCCCAGAAACGTTCTCTACTGTGGGATCCCGGGAAACATTGTTGGATCCCTCTTGCCTCCTAGATTTTGAGGTGTCCTAGATGTTCAGGTCAGGTAGCCATGCATATATGGCATTGGCAGATACCCCTTGTCAGTGAGCTCACCTCAGCTTTGGAAGCCCTGTCCCATCCCAGACCATTTGTGTTATGTGTGCTCCAGAGGGCTGCCCTTCTCCTCTTCCCTCTCCCCCTCCCTGCCAGGAAGTTCTGGTTCTTTTGGAATCAGTGGACATTTGCCAGAGAAGGCTTTGGAAACTTTCTTTGGTTTAGAGGTCTGCAGGCATGGCCCACATGGCCTTTCACTCTTTAGGGTTCTCTCGCTTTTCTATCTTGACTGTGGAGTTGGGAATCCGTGAGATGAAAGGCTTCACCAAATTCCAGTTAATTTTTAGTTACGAGGGAAACCTTTTATACATGTAAAAGAGTGTCTAAATTTACTTTTCTAAATGTTTAAATTTATCTGACAAATTTTATTTATAAATCTAATATTTGCATAAAAAAAGAACAAACTCATTTGTTCCTTGATTAATGTTCACATGATGCATAAATCAAATCCTAACCGTTATGTTTATGTAGCCAAATTTCCTTGGACATTTTAACTATGATTATAAATTTAATATATACATTTCTCACAAATGTCACAATTTTTCTAGGCATTTAATGCCCATAACTTTAATAAATCAGACATTAGTTAGCTTGAATTCTCCTATTTCAGACATTTTCAAAAACAGTATGTAAACCAGTATAATATTTACAGAACACAGATGCACCTTTATAAACACAATTTACATAAGATCGATAGATAAGTAGATAGACTTTGCCCAATCAAGGGGAAACAATATTACCATATTGGCTAGGAGTCTACTAAGAAGAAATAATCATAGAATCTGAAGGCCATTTTAGAGGCATAGAATCTGGTTATGCCTTTGAAGAATAAACCTGCAGTTATTGGGCAGGGGCTCCTAATTAAGGTCAGGTTTCATTTGATTCATCAACTCTGTAAACCTTGTGCCTTTCACTGGGGTCCTGACTAGTCTTACAAGTTTCGTGAACTGTCTCTGAAGTCCATGGAGGTGGTACTTCCCAGGTCCTAGAATTTTATTTCCTTTTGTGTAACTCATATGACTTTTTACATTACAGCCTTGGACATAGGAATGAAATGTTGAAGCCTTTACTCAAGTTGCAGTTGCATCTTGTTCCTTTGTTTTACGAATTGTGTGTGTCTCACTGACCCCAATTCTGTAGGCATCATAGCGACAGTTTCCACTCATCACTGGGGATCCTCTGGAGAAAGTATGTCGTTGCCCTGATGTCCCATGCAGGAGATTCAGTAGTTGCCACAAAGACAGACTGACAGTTACGTTTTTCTTCAAATATATACCTCCCTCACTTGAGGGTATTTCTCTTATTTTCTGTGCTGGCAGTTATCTCAAGGTGATTGGCATTGGGAACTTATTCCCAAAGGACAGGTTCCTGGCACTTCCTTCCCACTTTTTTCTTTCCAGGAGAGACTCAGGTATAGCATTTCATCTTCAGCCTAAAGAATCAAAATAACTACCTTGAACTTGAGAGCAGTGTTATTAATTTCCAGGACTTCATCATCTTTTCTCAGTGCTGAATATTCATGGGTGAGCCTGCTTAAACCCATGGGCAGCGGGCACCATGAGCCAAATCCACTCCATGTTTGGGAGTATCCAGTGATGTTGTCCGTTCTGAGCTATGTGTTGAACACTGTGTTAGGCATCATGGGGGATTCAGAGATGTGTAAACACAGATGTAGGAGGAGTGACATGGATGTTCTGGAGGCAAAATACAATACCCAAGGAAGTTGGAAAGACTAAGAAAAAAGCCATTCCCAGAAACTTTTTCAGCTATGGGATCTTGGGAAGCAATTTTGGATCTTCGTCGGTGTCTACACTTTGAGGTGCTCTGGAGTTTTGGGCCAAGTGGCCAAGACAGTGGCAGACATCTCTCATCAGTGAGCCCATCTCAGCTTTGGGAAGTCACATCCCATCCCAGCCCACTGATGTATTATGCTGCTCCACACTGATGCAGTTATACTCCCTCACCACCACCAGGAGCTCATCTGAAATATTTTACAAGAAAAACACCCAGTGGAGGTTATTGACAGTAAATTCGGGGAATGAAGCAATTGTGATGGGCCAGAGTGTTTAAAGAAGTCACGTTGAGGAAGAGAGATGTCAACTGGGTTACTGACTTAGAAGAGTTTTTTGTGTATTCTAGATACAAGTCCTTTTTCAGACGCTTTGCAATGTTTACTCCCTGTCTGCATAATGTCCCATTTTATAGTATGAATATAACACATTTTGTTTATCCATTCACCAGTTGATGGACATTTGGATTATTTCCTGTTTGGGGCTATTATAAATAATTCTGCCGTGAAATTTGCTTTCAAGGCTTTGTATGGACATGTGTTTTCATTTCTCTTGGGTAAAGACTTAGGAGTGAGATTACTAAGTTATATGGTAAGTGTGTGTTCAACTTTATAGGAAACTGCCAAACTGTTTTCCAAAGTGGCTGTGCCATTTTATCTTCCCACCAGCAACATTTGAGGTTACAGTTTCTTCACATCCTCACCAACACCTGTGTTGTCAGTCTTTTGGACAATAACCATTGTAGTGGATGTATAGTGTTATTTCACGGTATTGTAATTTATGTTTCCCTATTGACTAATGATTTGAGCATCTTTTCAAGTGCTTATTAGCCATTCATCTGTCTTCTACGATGAAAAGCCTATTCAAACCAGTAATATATTTTACATTTTATTGAGTTTTCTTATATTGAGTTGTGGGAATTTTTTAAATAGTCTGTACATATCCTTTATCAGATCTTTGATTTA
Organism: Homo sapiens; assembly: GCF_000001405.40. NCBI lineage: Eukaryota > Metazoa > Chordata > Mammalia > Primates > Hominidae > Homo > Homo sapiens. The sequence continues at coordinate 7,136,746 of NC_000009.12, forward strand.
CAAACACTTTCTCCTGGTTCGTGTCTTGTTTTGTCACTTTCTTAATAGTGTATAAAGAGCAAAAGTTATACATTTTGATGAAGCCCAATTTGTCAACTTTTTCTTAATGGATCATGTGCTTTAAAATTTGAGTTCATGAAGTTTCATGTCCTTTCTAGGTAAAGAATATTTTTTCCTCAGAGCTCTAGCAAGCAGCTCCAGGGAAAACTCAAGCCTTCAATGTTTTAGCTTTCTTGTGAGATTTATTTATTTTTTAAATAAATCAGAAACCTCTCTTTCTATAGATATGTGAACTTTCTTTAAACGAGGAGATCTCTGGCCCTGAAAAACTTTGAAACCACTGGTTCAGGTGAAGTCGATCATTACCTGCTATTTCACTGCCATGAGAGTGAGAAGTCTGTCGTGAGAGAGGGTTAAGGGAGTCAGGGCATTGGCGCACCTGCTGGTCCCCTGTGCCAGCCTGAGAGCAGAACTGTTGGGAAATGTCTCCAGTGGCCTTGGCAGGCTTACCCATGAATGTTCAGCACCAAATTATGAATATCCATGACATCATATCTAAATGTTAGGGTAGGGCTGAATCAACTTCCATTTAATACAAAATATAAACATTATGAAAATTCTTTGTTTCTTCTAATAACTAACGTGGCCAGATGTCACTATCACTTCACATCGTAATATCAGATTGTCACCATTCATTATTGACCCTTCGATTACTCTTTAAATGAAAATGGTACGTTAGCTGCCTATGATGCAAAATTTTACACTTTTAAATCGTTTCTTGCTGTAATTTTATTTTTATCTCAAATCTAGATACCATGACTAAGTGTAGTATAATCAGGTTGCTATATGCATGTTTCAGAAATGTCTGAAATTTTCCAGAGCTGACCTTTCCTGTAGCGCATTTGTAAGCACAGCTTTCTGCATACAATTTCTGAAATATATGGCGAATGGCAAGAGCTTCCTGAGGCGAGTTGTCAACAGGGAGCTGCCTGTTTACAAGCCATTATCTTTCACCTCTATCCAACCCCAGGTGCTAACACCCCAGGATATAGCACATAAATTGGTGACACATCCCAGAAGATATGAGGCCCATAAATCAATGAAGAGTTTATGTTCCTTTTCGACCATGGGATTTAAATTATTTTGGCAATAGAGTGAACTTAGATTCTTATTCGATAGATATATCCAGAAGAAGTCAGTACTATCTACTTATTGATGAGCAACATTACCTTCATTTTATTATTTCCTTTTTGTACCTTATTTAAAAGAAGTTAGTTAATTTTCATGGGTGAGAAAGAACCAGTAATAAATCTTGCCTTTTGCATTATTAAATAAATTATAATTTTGAGGTCAGAGTATGTGGGCAAATGGAGAAGAGGAATGATAGAAGAAAAGGCAGAGAGAATGGAGTGAGTGTATTTTTGTCCTTCAGTTTCTAATCTTCCCTACAGAGAGTGTTCTATGCTAAGAAGTGAGTGAAATGCTTGGAAGCTATTGCCTGCTATAATGCTTGTTGGTTGTGTGTGTTTCTGCAAATCAATTTCCCTCTATCATCTAATTTTTTGCCTTTTATAAAATGGAGGATATATTTGAAAGTCTTCTGTGCTTTAGATGTTTTATCCAATACCATTATAGAATTTTATATTTGTATAATGTTTAATTTCTTCTAAAGGTTAAAATAGTACAATATGTTGAATAATGTTATATGCATAGTTTTCAGATCAAAGTAGATTTTTCCACGAGTAATTAAAGCTGGTGTGATCTGTGCCTGAAAAAGATCTCTTTTGGGCCAGGCACGGTGGCTCACACCTGAAATCCCAGCGCTTTGGGGCACCAAAGCAGGAGGATTATTTGAGTCCAGGAGTTTGAGACCAGCCTGGGCAACATAGAAAGACCTCTTCTTTACAAAAAAATTTAAAAAAATTTAGCCAGGCATGGTGACGTGTACCTGTAGTCCTAGCTCCTTGGGAGACTGAGGCAGGAGGAACCCTTAAGCCCAGGAAGTTTGAGGTTACAGTGGGCTATGATCACACCATTGCATTCCTGCCTGGGTGACAGAGCCAAACCCTGTCTCTAAAAAAAATAAAATAAAAGATGCCTTTTGTAGATTTATGACTAACAAATCAGCAAAAAGGGAAGGGGTAGTTAAATTATGCATACTTCCAGTAGCATAGTTATATTTGTAGGTTATGTTTTTAAAACATGCTAGATATTTACTCTTTCTAGCCTTTAATTAATAATCTAGGCCAGGCGCAGTGGCTGACACCTGGAATCCCAGCACCTTGGGAGTTCGAGGCAGGCAGATGGCTTGAGCTCAAGAGTTTGATACCAGCCTGGGCAACATGGCAAAAACCCATCTCTACAAAAAAATTTCAAAAAATTAGCCAGGCATGGTGGTATGCATCTTTAGTCCCAGGTACTCAGGAGGCTGAGGTGGGAGGATCACTTGAGCCTGGGAGGCCGAGGTTGCAATGAGCTGAGATTCTGCCGCTGCTCTCCAGTCTGGGTGACAGGACCAGACCCTGTCTTAAAAGAAAACAAAAAAATAAATAATCTGACCCAATGATTGCCTTATGTGTTATATTATCATTCTTTTCCCCTGAGTAACAGATAATATTGAATCATCTAAAGCAGCTTCTTTGATTTACACCATAAAAGAAAGTGACTGGCACAAAACAAGCCAGGCTTTAGTCCTTATGTTCTAAGCAGCCAACACCTGAAGTCATGTTGAAATACAGACTATAAGAGAACTATGGAAAGAATGTGGATGTGAGTGCCATTGATATTAAGTGAGACTCTAAAATTATATGTATATATATTGTAAAGACTGTCTCATCACACTATAACCCTTAGACCAGGCTGCAAGTGGCCACACTAGACCCTGTAACTTTTCCTATTTTGTTCCCTACATGAATTTTGAAATAATTTATGTATCGCATATGAATTTAATATTTTCCTTACAGTTTTAAAATGTATTTCAATACTAGTAAAACCTTTTTTCTATATTATTTATGCTGGAACTTTATCTCATATCATTATGTAAGCAGTGGTAGTTGTCTGTATGAGTCTGCAGCAACCTCAATTCTTGCTGCCTCAGAAGACAATAATTTGACTCAGGGGCATAAGGCAGAAGGAGAGACTGAGGCAAGTTTTAGAGCAAGAGTTAAAGTTAATTAAAAAGCTTTAGAGCAGTAATGAAAGGAAGGAAAGGACACTTGGAAGAGGGCCAAGCAGGTGACTTGAGAGACCACATGGGCAGCTTCACCTCTTGACTTGGGATCTTATACACTGACATACTTCTGGGGCATTGCATTCCTTCTCGTCACTCCTGAGATCTTATCCAGAAGCTGCTGCTCACCAGTTTCAGGTGTTTCCCATGTATTAGGAGACAGCCTTTCCCTGGTGCCAGCTGTGACCAATTATTAGTTTAGCGAGACAGTTAACAACCTGACCATCACCTGATGGTCGCCCTACACTCCTGGTGTATGTGGCAGGGGCTGAGGAGGCCTCTTCCGCCCTGCTCATACCTGACTGACTATGTACTGTAACAACTAGTTGTGTTTGTACAGGGCTTTATGTTTGTTTTGCTTTTTTGTTGTTGGGTTTTTTTGTTTTTGTTTTTTGTTTTGCATGAAATTAAAAGGGCAAAAATGTAACCAGTGTCTAAGAGTAGGTTCCCTCCAGGAGAAATCTAATGAGGATGAGGAAATAGTATGTGTGGTGCTCAAGTCCTCTTTCTTCTTAGAGTTGGGGACTCATAAAGATGGGGAAGGCTAATGCTTCCCATGAAGGCCCTTCTTTTGGTAGATAGGGAATTCCTGCAGGGCTGGCCTTGATAAGCCGCATCTGGGTACCTGCATATGGTCATACATGGATTCTCTAGTCAAGAAATACCTTATCCTTCCATGATGGTAGCCTTATGCCCCCAAGTTTTCTTACAGTGAGCACCTACTACATGCCACCCATCATGCTGGGTTCTGGGAAAATGATAGCAGTAAAATTCGAATGGTTTTTGATCTCATGGAGTTTACAATCTAGTGGGAGAGAGTGACATACGCAGCATGTATAAAAGATGTGCTTCGAATTGAGAGAAGTCCTGGGATGACAGGAATATGATCCAGTAAGAGCATGTAACTAGAAATAAACATCTTATCTAGATGGGTGATCAGTGCGACCTGAATGAAGATCTGTAAGGTGAGTTCACTAAACACAGGGCAGAGGGAAGGCAAGTGCAGCTGCTGGAGGAGGTAAATCATGAGCCTGGAGAAGAAGGAAAGGGCCAGACTGGGTGGGGCCTTGAGGCCATCTTATAGGGTTGGGGTTTTATTCTAAAAGCAGGAGGAAGCCCCCTTGGACTATCTTGAGCAGAAGTCAAAGAGATTTGTTATGAAGTAGGTTTTTTTTGGCTCTAGTGAAAAAGAATTGGAAAGTCCACAGGGGTGTCCAAAGAAGAGAATACAGTCATGGGTTCTTAGTTTCTATTTCTGGTTAGGCCAGTAGAACCCCTTTCTCATCCCTCTTTTCCCATTATCACTAGAGAGAAACTAAAAAGGATGGCTTCAGGCTGCTAAAATACAGACTATAAGAGACTATAAAAGCCTAAAAACAAAACAAAACAGAACAACAACAACAACAACATAAGGTGGGTTGGACAAGCTTGCCTGAATACTGGGAGGCCAGTTAGGAGAATGTTGCAGTAAATCAGAGGAGAAATGATGGTAATTTGGACTAATTTAGGATCTGAAATATATTTAGAAGGTAAAATCAAGAGTACCAGGTGATGGATTGATAATGGGGGCCAAGGAAGAAAGATGTGTCAAATATAACTCCCAGGATTCTGGCTTGCTCAGCCAAGTGGAAGGTGACACCTGTCATTGAGATAGGGAACTTCGGAAGAAGCCCAGACTTCCAGGCCCAGGATGATGAGTTCAGACTTGGTTGTGTTGGAGTTTCTTCCCTTCTGCTCTGTTTTATACACCTAGAGCAGTTACCATAATTTAGGGCCATTCCAAGCCCCCTGGTTTGCAAAGCATAGTTTTTGTTGTTATTAGGTTTTTTTTTTTTCTTTTTCTTTTACATAGAATGTAAGGGATGCTGAGTGAAAAGTCCCATGCCTCAATGTGAGAAGAGACATCTCATGTTTTAGAAGTGACGTGACCAGGCACTTCATCTCTAAATGGATGTGTCATCACACACACATAAACCCCATTAACTAACTTTCACCCATTTGATAAAATAGTCATTTTGCCCAAGAAATTCTTCAGTATGAAAATATATTTACCCTTTATGGGGCTTCCATCTTGACACACGAACATTTAAATTGAGCATTTATCCCTCTTGAATTTGGCTGTTTTAAAAATAAATAAATAAATTGAGCATATGATTACACATATGTAGACTTGGCCTCACTATATAGCTGATTCTAACGTCTCTTAATCCTTAGCTCTCTTCAGTACTCATTTGTGTTGTTTTGTTTCCAACCCTTTATTCTGTGCATGCAGCCTTGTGTGCTCTACCCCGGAACTTTTAATCCCCCTGTTTCCTTTTTAAAATTTTCATAGAGATGGGGTCTTTCGCTATCCAAGCTGTTCTGGAACTCCTAAAGCAATCCTTCCACTTTGGCCTCCCAAAATGCTGGGATTACAGGTGTGAGCCACCACAACCAGCCTAGTTTCCCTTTCTATTCAGTGGCTTTGCCTCCCCTCCCCTGGGCTCCCTCATCATGAACCAGTGTAGAGGCTGATGCATCTGCTATGTTGCCCTGAGAAGAGCTGTCATTTTCTGAAGGAGATGGACTACATGACTTACCGAGTCTTGAACATCTCTCATTTTGAGATTCATTTACCTTTTTTAAAGGGAAAGAATAGATGACTAACTTTGGTAGATAAAATGTGTGTGGTTAGTGGTAATAATAATAATTAGCAACTAATATTTAATAATTGTAGATGTACAATGTTTTGCATAACATACCCATGGCTGGCTAAAGTCCCAAGAAATACAGAAGGATTTAAGATGAAAAGTGCATTCCTGCACCTCCCACATCTGGAAATCACCGTCTCACCTGCTTCTCATATATCCTCCCAGGATTTTAAAAATGCTCATACAGGCTGTGTGTGTGTGTGTGTGTGTACACACAATGTATTCATTTGAATGCACCTGGCATCATATTAACATGCTAAAAGCTAGGAATTACATCCTGTATATTGTTAATGTCATAGTTACTGTTAATTGGATGATGTTTAAAGTTTGCAAGCAGGCCCATCTCCTTTTATCCTTTATCTTCCTCTACCTCCTTACCTACTTGTTTTATCACTGAAGTCCCACTCCCTCCCCTCCCAGCTTACTCTATAAAAGCTAGTCTCAGCTGTTCCAGTACCAGCATCGCTTATACTGACCCCACTTTCAGGTGCCCACTTACCCTGGGAGCCCCAACACTTTGGCATGTTTTGGTTTCCAGTTGCCTCTATACGCAGATCTATATCAGTGGGTGTCTGTTTCAAGGAAAGTAACTGAGGATGCTAACTAACCTTGTTACTTTTTTAGTAGATTGAAAAAAGATATCACAATTGAAATATTAATTGACCAACTATTCAGTGTTCATTAAGCAAATCAGATGTTAGCAAGAATCAGCCTTCAAATGAAGACTAATATCTGGTGTGAAAAGAATAGAAAAGCTCTTACTTCAGAGGTTCATTAACTGTCAGAAAAAGGGCATGACATAATCCTTGATGTGATTCTGAACCGGGCATTCCACAGTTGCGTGCATCAGTAAAGCGAAATTTACCACCCTCCTTTTATGTGTTTTTAAGCCTTGGTGGATTAAAAGCTCTTGTTTGGATAAATCTAACAATGGTGTGTTATCTACATATTATTTTCATTCTCCTTGCCTGGGAATCTACAAACAGCAAAATTCTTCTTAATTTCACATTAAGAATATTTTGATTTGACAGGTTTTCAACAACACAAGAATCATTTGGGGGAGTTTCTGACTTCCCTTTAAGCATAATAATGTTGACTAAATAGATTGATTCATTATCCACTCCTTAACCATCTTAGCTATCTGTCTGTCATTTTTGACAGAGTAGTCTCTGTTGAAATGCTGGTAGTAATTACACATATCCCTGTCTGCATAAGTCAGTGTATAATGAGCATGATTGGTTAACTTTATGCATTTACATTTAATCTAAAAGGAAGGACATGTTAAACTCACAGAGATAGAAGCTGTAGCTTATGTGAAAAGTATTTCTAGAATGGCATTGCTCACATTTTTTTACTGTGCTCAGGAACACATTTCCAGCTTTGAGGATATCCTGAATTACTTCATTTTTGCATGTATACTCATTACTCCTCTTTTTGTTTTTTTTTTGTTTTTGTTTTTGTTTTTTTTGTGTGACTAGGTCTTGCTGTGTTGTCCAGACTGGTCTCAAACTATTGGGCTCAAGCGATACGCTCACCTCGGCCTCCCAAACTCAAACTTTGGGAGGCCAAGGTGAGAGAGATTACAGGCATGAGCTACCATGCCCGGCCACTCCTCAGTTTCTGAATACCATGAGCTGATATTTTCTGACAAATCATATTCTTACAGGTTCTTTGGTTGGTCGTCACCTGGCTCTGCTTTTTAATCCCCTAGTTAAAATTCTCCCCAAGTGTTACCCATTTGCTCAAAACCTTGCACTGCTGGGCTGTGAAATGCAAGGTTAAATTATAGGCAGCTCTTGGGGACTTGTGACTGTGCAAGTCATTTCATTATTCAGCCCTTCCCTTTCAACTGGGGACATTGGCCTAGGGGATCTCTCAGGTCTCTTCCCATTCTCGTAGGGGAGAACAGCCATAGGTGATCTCTAGTCATCTCTGACTATAAACATTGGAATGTGGCCCCTGGCCCCACCATTCCACTCATCCGCATATACATTTCTTTCCCCTTTCCCGGATTCCTGGCGTGGAGCACCACCTGTGTGGTGAATGTGACAGGAGTACATGCTCAGTCAGCTTGGGTGAAGTGGAGAGTGAAAATGCTGTTCATGTGGACACAGCCTCCACACTGTAAGACGTGGCATGCCACTTGTATCAGAATATTACATGGAGTCAAAGGGAGCTAAGCTATTCTTAGGTCTCAGCCCAGGAGTGAGCAATCTTTGACGTATTTTTAGGCACCGTGATGTCTTTGCAGTTGTAGCTTTACCACAGAAGCTTTGTGAAAGCTTTTTCTACCACAGTGGCTGAGACCCACACACCTGTTGCCTTCATCCTTTCTATGCATTTTGCTTCACCCCTTTGCGCATCACCTGGCTGATTGAGTTAAACCAGCCTCCCTCTGGGCCCACCAGAGAATAAGGTGGTGCTGCATTAACAGGCCTCCTCCTCGGGTGTTGATCCTCAAAGGATGCTCCTCTCCTTTGACCAAAGAGGAAGCTGACATTATAGAGTTAAAGGTGCGTGGCCAGAGGGTGGCGGGGGAGAAAGCTAACTACGTGTCTGCGTTTGATTTTTTTCCTGCCATCCTTTTGCATATTCTCTATGCTTTGGTGAAGGAGGAGGATCACTAGAATGGGACTTGAAAATTTAGAAACCGTAGTCTCAGCCTTGCCCATACTTCTAATGAGAGTTGGACAGGCCATTGAATGGCTGGAAGTTCTGAGTCGCTGTGTCTCAGTTCAGGGGTGCTGCGTAGGTGAGACAGGCTGATGGGGGGCGCACTCCCCTCTCACCTCATCCCTTAACTGTTCATTCTTACCCCCACTCTGCTGTGCTCTATTTTTCCCCCAACTCCTCCAGAACTCCCACCCACAGCCAGACATCTCCTCTGCCATACCTCTGGTGAGGAGTTTTCAGATCCATTCTGGAACGCTGCAAATGACAGGAGCTCACTCTCAATTTTTGCTGCAATTGTTAGGAAGCAAGGGCTTCTTTCTGTGAAGTCTAACTGCTGCCTCTTCGGAACACCCAGGAGCCTTCCTAGTTCTCGATCTCTAGAGCAAAACTGAATAAACACACTCTCTTTCGCTTAAGTTTCTTAACATGTTTGTGGAGAGGTCTCAAGTCCCTGCTAAGTCTTCTCAAATCCAAACAATACAGTCCTCATTTCTCAGTCATGGGGCAGGAATGAAGGATTTAATAAACAGAAAGTGGTTCCTGAATGCTCTTCCTCCAGGACACTCTGAGGATGAAATTTTCTTGGACAGTGTCCCACTGAAGATGTTGCTCTCAGGTGTGGAAACACAGTGCCCCAAACACAATCTGGCTAGTGCAAGCATGACGGCTCTTTGTTCCTTTGATCTGGACATTGAACACTTACCAGTGCAGCCAGGAGGAAGGTTAAATGAATTATTTATGCAGCCATTAAAATCATGTTTTCAAAGGATATTTAATGATGCAATATAATAAATGGAAAAATCAGGCACAAAATTGTATGTACAGTAAGATCCCAATTATGTATAAAAATATAAATATGCAAGGGAAAAATCCTCAAAGGAAATACATCAAAATGTTACTGATTATCTTTGGAGAGTGTAATCATAGGTGATTATGATTTTCAACTTTATCACCTTCTTATAGTTTCCATATGAACGTGTTTTATTTTTATAATCAGAAAAAGTTTTTTTAAAAAAGATCTTAACCCTTCTGAGAACTACTTATATCCTTACTCTTTTCCCCTAATTTTCCTTATCTAGATCTTTACAGATTGCTTTGTCAAAATTTCATTTTTGATCTCTAGCTCTTGTGGCATCTTGAAGCTCTCTGGAATATAGGAACCATATAGTTGCCAATAATCTGTCAAATGCTTCTGCTTTACACTGTTATTCCTTATGTAGGAGTTCTTATACTTAATTTTTTTTAAGTCAATGCCTGCATTTTCCAATGAAGCAGTTTCTATGAAGTAAAAAACTATATCTGTTTAACTCACTACTCATTCCTTTGTTCCCTAAAACACGAGATGCTTGAAAATTCCCAGGTAAGTGAGTGACAGCCCCACCCATCTACTTATTAGCCCTGTGGCCTCAGGCGAGTCACTCTTCTCTACCAGTGCTGGAGGATGTTGACGCTTGCCTGCCTACCCTACCAGGCTGTTTCAGATTCCAATGAGGATAACAAACACGATTGTCCTCTGTAGTTCTGTGTTCTGTTGTAGCCTCCTTTCTCTCGTAGTCAGGGTTCTTGGCTTCTCAGTGTTTCCTTCACTATTTTTAATCCCAAAGGTGGCCTCCCAAGGGTTTTGTCTCCTCCCTATCCTCTAGGTATATTCCTGTTGATGGGAATTAAATCTAGATGTGATTCACTCAATATTCACTAGCTGCCAGGAATTGGGTTTTGCTTTTCTGTTCTCTTCTCTCATTCTCCCTGCAAGATTGCATTAATATCGCCATTTGATTAATGAGAAAACCAGGACATAAGGTTTATTAATGAGAAAACCAGGACATAAGGTGGTTGAGTAGCTTATGCACAGTAATGGGTTTTCTTTGACTGTGAGTGGCCTGACCCCAGATCTTGGAAGCAGTACATGCATCACTTCAGTGTGAAGCGTCCTGGGTAGGTCAAGCTGTGCTCCCAGAAGTAGAACAAACATTGCAGAGCAGAGCCAGAGCCTTGGAAAGCCGGACATATAAACACAGGGCAGCCTTCTCTCCCCTGCGTGCCTATCCTTAGCTTTCCTTTCATCTTTCTTTTTTTAGCTTTTGGAACTGACATGTATTTTTAGAAACCACTACAGAGAAATTCACCCCAAGCCTGTCTTTCTCCATTTTGCAACATAAATTTTTATTGACATAGTAAAATATTTTATTCCCCTCATACATTTTAGTCCCTGCCAACAACAATAAAAAAGGGGAGAAAATCTTTCCTATATAGATGGAGCTTTTTTCCCCGTGTTTGGGGGTGAGAAGTTAAAGTCCTGGGGTGTTCTACAGGAGGACACAGTGAGCCCTGGGGCAGTCATCAGGGCCGATGTTGGCTCTCTTACCCAGGTAGGAAGAGCTACATGTGTGGCAGGCAGACCCAGGGTGCTCCTTGCTCTGCTAATTAGCTGTGCAACCAGGCAAGGGAGTTGACACCAGTTACCTTATCTGTAAATTGGAGATAGTAATGTCACAGGAGCCTTAGGGTGTTGCTTTGCCAGCTGGAAACCTCTGTGGCTGGTGGCGCCTCTGCTTGAGTTTTGCTCATGCCCGCTAGGCTCGTTCCGTCCACTCAGCCCAGCAGGCTGTGCTCGGCTCATGCTACTGGCCCGGATCCCGTGCCTGCCAAGGGCAAGCCAGGCTTGGAGCGGCGAGGTTGTGTGTGAGCACAGGGCCAGGCCACTGCACACAGCAAGGCATGCCAGCTGTTGTGGTGGGGTGGGCAGCTCCAGGTGCCGGCTCCATGTGAGGCTGTGGCTGGACCAGATATACGACAAGCAGCTTCTGCTGTGGATATCAGCATCCGGACAAGGGGAACATGGTGGCGCCCAAAAGCTTGGAGACGCCAGGAAGTGCAGAGCCCCAGAGAGGATGTTACAGTGTGTTACAGCCCTGGCTTGGGGAACCTGAAGGTCTGGGCTCCCAGAAGAGCTGCAGCTTTTCTCTCCTCCTTGCCCACAGTGCGGTGAGCCGGGGGGCCATGTTTCAGCCCATTTGTGTTACAGCTCTTTCAGTACCACCACCCCACTTCAGCTTGCAGCTCATGGGCTGGCCTGGCCCCACAGCTCTTTCCCGTTGTGTGGGGCAGCTGCCCAGTAGCAGTGGAGAACAGGAGGGCTGTAGTGTTACGGCAGCTCTGGCTCAGGGAATTCCAAGGTCTGGGCACCCAGAAGGGTTGGCACTCTTCACTGCCACTGTCTGGGAGTGTATCACTGCCTACAGCTTGGTGAGGCAGCCAGGAACGTGTTACAACCCATTTCACTCCCACCATTTGGCAGGTCCCAAGTTCTTGTCCTGCGTCCAGGAAGAATGAGATTATGTGGACAATTGGAGGGTGAGCAAGACAGAGAAAGGCTTTATTGGATGACCGAACACCTCTTAGTGGAGAGGAGACCTGAAGTGGGTAGCTCCTATCCACAGGCAGGTAGTCCCAAGGAGTGTCTGAGTCCAGCTGAGTCTGGGGTTTTTATGGGGTCAGAATGGAGGAAGTGCTTGCTGATTGGTCCATGGATGGGCCTGGAAAAAGCACCACTTGATTGGCTAAAACTTCATCAAGGAAGTTCTCACTCCCTGTTGCAGACTTCACCCGGAATTGGCAGCCCAGCCCCAGGCTTCAGGCCATCCCTGGCTTGAAGGTGGGGTTTCACCAGGGATCCCTCCCATCCCTCCTAATAACCTGTCTGCCTTTTGCCGTCATCAACTGCCACTTATGGCACCCAGGTTTTCTGCACCAAGGGGCACTTGCATGCCCATGCCGAGCCGCCCTCAGGCCCCTTGGCCTCACTCCCGTGCTCCTCAGCACCCAAAATGTCAGCCTCAGAACTAGTTTCTGGAGGTGCTGAGACAGTCTGGGGTCTGGTGTGTTAGTGCCATCCTGAGCATGCACACGCCCGGCTGGGTCGCTACAGTGCCTGGGCTCAGCTATCAAGACACGATGGCAACTTTGTTCCACTGCAGAGTGCATACCAGGAGCGGGGAGAAGCCAGGGAGTGGAAGCAGGCACTTCCGAGCCTGCCGGGGCAGGGGCCTTCCTGGGACCCTGAGAGCACAGGGATGCCCGGGTCCAGAGCCACGGCTGGGCAGCTGCAGCTGCACCTGGGAGCATGGGCTCCCGCCCTGCCAGCTCAGTAGGGCACGGGGCTCCCACTGGGATCACCTGTTCCCAGCCCCCATGTGCAGCCTTGGCCATGCCTCCCTCGCTGCAGCTGGCATCCTCACAGTGGCTGCTTCAGACAGGCCGCCGCCACCAGTAGTAATGAATACTGGAATTTGTGTTGGGATTATTGAAACGTAATGCATAAAGCAGTTAGTGTGGTGCCCAGCACATAGTAAACAAATGCAGGTAGTGTTTGTGGCTGTGGTGGCAGTGGTGATTATGGTCGATGGTGGCAGCCAGTAATTTTTGGTCAGCTCATTGGTCAGAGAGTCCCTAAGCACAAGATTTCTAGAAACATTTTTTCACCCTACATCTTCCATACCTTTAAATAAAGAAGAGGTTACTGAAAGAAGGATCTAAGAGGAAGTGTCAGAAAGCTTTACACGTATAAATTCCTTATTTAAGTAGTTTTTATATTTGGAGCTTTCAGGAGTTGAACTTGGAAGATTTCCTATTTTGGCTCCTGGTATGGTGGGGCACAGCCCTGAGATCACGAGTGGGATCATTCCAGAATACTGTAGAAAGGGAGAGGAAGGGGTCAGGGCTACAACTCTGTCTCCTGTTTGGCTACACCACTCAACACGGTCAGTGGGATAGACTGACCAGCTATGCGAGCCCAAACGAAATCAGGTTGACAATGCCGGAGCCCCAAACAGTGGTCCCCACAGAGTGCCGCAGGAGCCGCCCTCTGGCTTCTCCCTTTCACCTCTTTCTTTAAGGCCTGTATTATTGCTCTCACCACAACTTGTCCTGAGAGAGGTGTCTATAATTAGCTCAGTTTGTGTGCAGGGTGGCTTAACGTGGAGGAAGTGGCATGAGGAACTTTGGTTAATCTTAAGAGGAAAGTCCTGAACACAGTTGATGTCCTGGGAGGGCGGGTCACAGACACAGAGTTCCCACCTCTTTGCCTAACTACCTACAGTCACACACAGTGCCTTGTATTGCAGATATTCATGTGTGTATTTGAGTCCCCAGCTGGATCTGAATCCTTGGAGAGAAATGTCTCCGAGAGGGCTGGGTCTTTTTTGTCTCTGTTTTCTCAGTGCTGAGCTCAGTCCCTGGCCCAGAGGACACACTCAGAGGGAAGGAGAAGGCAGGAATGCAGAGAATCTCTTACCAGTGGGTTAGAACTGCTGCTCTTGTGCCCACATTGCCTTCCTGGTCCCTCCCCTGCAGGCCCTTTTGGGTGTGGTCAACCCCGCAGTGTCAACCCTGTTTCTAGTTATTGGCGTTTGTTATGCTTCCTCACTTCAAAGGAACCAGAAAAATAATTTCCAAAAACAGCTGCCTTTGTACTTTCTAGGCCTTTTAAGGTTTTTGCATGCCAGAATCTCACCTATTTCTAATATCATAAAGATGTGGCTGCTTTGGAAAATATACCTCTGAGGCTTAATGCTATAATAACTTCCAGAATAATAAAACAACCTCCGTCTCTGGGACCTCAGTACCTTAACCAAGCATCGTGTCCACTTTGGGCTCATCATTGGAGGGAAAGTACGTACTAACAAAGCAGCGGACCAGGCACTGTGGCTCACACCTGTAATCCCAGCACTTTGGGAGGCTGAAGCAGGAGGACCTTTTGAGGGCAGGAGTTCAAGACCAGCCTTGCCAACATAGTGAGACCTTGTCTCTATAAAAAGCAACAACCACAAAAAACTAGATGGCCTTCAGGAATTCACCAAATAAGTTTTAGTGCTTTTATTTTTGTGAAAATAACAGACCTATCTTTTAGAAAATAGGTATAGCTGTGTATGAGGACATTGGCCAAGTGTGACTGGTGGAAAAAAAAAAATTGGCTGTTTGAGTAAGCAAGATGGGCTTCATTTCAGCTTAAGGGACAACCACAGCATCTTGGAGTTCAGAAAGGGTGTGTATGTGTCCTTTAGAAACAAACAAGGCCAGGCGTGCTGGCTCACACCTGTAATCCCAGCACTTCGGGAGGCGGAAGTGGTTGTGCCCAGCTATGTTGCTGGGCAACATAGCAAGACCTCATCTCTACTTTTAAAAAAAAATTAGCCAAGCATGGTGGCACGCACCTGTATTCTCAGCTATTTGGGAGGCTGAGGTGGGAGAATCACCTGAGCCCGGGAAGCCAAGGCTGCAGTGAGCTGTGATAGTGCCACTGCAGTCACTCCGGCCTGGGCGACAGGAGTGAGACCCTGTGTCAAAACTATTAAAAAGGGAAAGTGGACAGTAGACTTGGATAGACTTGGAGTTTCCCAGAATGATTAGTGTCAGTATAGAAGCAGCTTGGCTTGAATCGATTAACCCAGAGCCTGAAATTACAGGGGTCTAGAACCAGCACAGAACACGCTTAGATACAGATACCTCAGTGTGGAAGCATTCCACATTTTCTTCTAAGCATGTTAGAAAGCTCTCACTCTGAAAAAGACGCAGTCAGAAGAAGGGGCACAGAATTGGTTCTTTCGTTATACACAGAATGTATAGTTTAGGCTGCGAGATAACCTCCTAGAACAGCAGTTCCCACCCTGCTGAGCATGAGATTGCCTGGAAAGGCATTTGGCTTGGACCAGCTGAATCAGAAATTTCTCTGGTGGTTAACATTAGATTTATTTACTGCACTAGAGAAATGAGTCTGATGTTGAATTTTTCAAAGCTGATGAAACTAAGTTTATAAATAGTTTATATGCCTTTTTACCAAGTAACTCTTATTCTAGGAGTCTAAGAATAGAGTCAGTAATTCAGACAAAGATTTATGATAACAAATATACAATAGCATTATGTATGATAGGGGAAAATTGCAGTGACCTAAATATTTAATAAAGGAGTGGCTAAATTAGTTGTGGTTCATCTATACTGTTGCATATATTTGGCAAGTAAAACAGAGTTTTTAAAAGATAATTAATAGCTAACAAAATGCTCATGATGTAATCGTAGGTGGCAAATAGCAAGGTACAAAATTATATATGTCCACGAAAGAAATATTGTAGGATTTCGCTTACATGAGGTACCTAGAATAGTCAAATTCTCAGAGACAGAAAGGAGAATGGTGATTGCCAGGGGCTGATGAGAGAGAGAATGAGGAGTTAGTGTTTAATGAGTGCAGAGTTTCTGTTTGGGAAGATAAAGTTCTGAAGATGGAGAGTGGTGATGAAGTCACAACACTTTGAACTTAATGTCACTGAAATTTACAATTGAATGTGGTTAAAATGGTAAATTTAGTGTTATGGGTATTTTACCCCAATAAAAAAGAAAGGGCCTCCACCCCAAAATGCTGTGGAAGGAGGCGAAGGAACATGGCATGAACTCAGTTCCAAGCTCTTGACAAATAGCTTTAGAGACAGATCAGCTGTATTCTAACATGAAAGAAAATAAAGGCTGGACCGGCTGCAGGGGAAAGATTGTGCATGTATAGGATGTCCTAATTCTTAAAGAAAAGAGCACAGAGAAAAATTCTTTAAATTAGTTTTAAAAATTAGAAGTACAGGGAAAAAACTCCAAATGTGGTGACAGTGATCACTTGTGATAGAAATATGAGGTTTTAAAATTTTTTCCTATCTTTAAGAAATTTTACAGTTTCTCCCTAATGAATATATAGAAGCTCAGAATTACTCATAAAAATACTTTTTCTTCTTTTTTGTTTTATAGAGATGGGGTCTTGCTATGTTGCCCAGGCTGGTCTTGAACTCCTGAGCTCAAGTGATCCTTCCACCTTGGCCGCCCAAAGTGCTGGGATTACACTTTGGGTGAGCCACCATGCCCAGCCTTAAAAATAATTTTTAAGTGTTTGCATTCTTTGCTAATCTCTACATGAAGGGTGCTTATGACATGTTTAACAAGCAGTCCAAAGTGGTGTATCCCCATCAGAGTAGCCCCCTTGAGAGGCCATTGCTAAGAGCTGGCCATTCCTCCGGTGCTTGGTGACTTTATTGTCTGGAATACATTCTTGTGGATATCCTCAGAGAGCGCACATCCTTACACTGGGGGGTATTGAAAACTTGGGAGACTGCTGCCGGTCATCTAGGACCAAGCCTTGTGAACAGGTAGATGCTTCCATCAATATGCTCCCTTCTTTTTGAGGAGGATGGTTTTGCAGCTGGGCCTTTGCATGGTGTGGGAAGTCCTCCAGTTTTATATTCCATTGTTAAGTGAGAGGTTTCTTTCCATTTTGTGGGAGGAGGGATCTGTCATCATGCAAACTAGCGGTTACTTATCAGGGTTGTTAATGGCAACCAACAGAAACTGACATTGATTTAGCCTGTACAGAAATTTAGTGAAAGGTTATTGGGGAGCTTCCAGAATCTCCAGGAATGCAGAAGAACAAAGGTCAGAAAATAGGCAAGAACAAAAAGGAGGCTGTTCAGCTGCAGCTATGGGCAAGACCAGACCACAGATGCCATCCAGGAAGGACACACTGCCTCCCCTTATGTGGTGAGACTGGACCTAACCTCTGCTGTAGGCCTGTGGGTGCTGCTGCTGCTGCTGCTGTCTGAGAGAATTCTCTCTTCTACTTGTTTCTCTGCATCTCTGATCACAGGTTCTAAATCCTGGGCTGGTGCAGCCCACTGGCCAGGCCGCTGTAGTTGTCTTTGCTGTGAGGGAAGCTGGGGAAGGGAGTGTCTGGCAGTGTTCAGTGACTGTGATGTCAGGCCAGCTCAGCCCCCATTAGACTGGGGAGAAGGGGGTTCCAAAGCTGGGCAGCCGAACAGATGACAGATAGCCACTATGATACTTACGTGGCTGTCTGTCAGTCTTGTTAATCCCTGCCAGGGTCCAGTAATGAGCAGGTGATTATCTCTGGAAACGATAGCAGCTGTTGGCATTTCGCCCCAGGTCACCTAAGCATTCTCCCCAAGGGGGACTGCCAGAGGAGCCAAACTATATGCCGATTAACTACTGGGAACACATGTGCCACGTCTTCATCTGGTGCAACTCTGCTCACAGATGGGGCTACCTGCTCTGTGGTTTATACACGTAAGGAGTAGTGATGGGGGTGGGGATAGGGCTAAGGCAACATTTGAGGACAGCAGCTTCTAGGGATCCCTTTAGAAGGGTCTCGTAAGAGTTCCAAGAACTCAGTGACTTCAGAATTCAGGTAATCAGACTGGCAGATGAATTTTTCCTTTTAGTTGATGGAGCAAGTATAGGAGTTTGGCCCTGACTTTGGCAGGAATGTAATGACACCATCCTCTTGCCCTAGGTTGAGTACTCCTATCAGTCCTTGAAGTAACTGATCACAGCCAAAAGGCCACTCTTCACCGTGATTATGATTTCTGTCTTTAATTTTCACATCATCTATTTAGTACTGCAGCTACGGGCTTACTGGCAGCTCCAGACACCAGTGTCCTTGTGAACAAGGCTCTGGTAGATTTCAGGCGAGTTTACACATCCCTAGAGGCAGTACAGCAAACGGCAAACAGCTATTTATGTTAGGTGAAGATGGACTGCTTCAAAGAGTCTGGACAGCAACTGAGAAAAATGCATTTGTCAAGGTTTTAATGCATATAATTTTCCAGCAAAGGTGTTTACTTACTCCAGTAACATACTAAGTAAACTGCATTAGGAAAAGCCTCTTTAGTATTTTACATCCTTTTCTATAATTGACCTTAGATTCTAGATTGCTTAAAAGAAGTCGCCCAAGTCAGAGAGAGCTTTGGGGATACCTGGAATTCTCATTTTTAATGTGTGCCCCAGGGTTGGGAACACGCTTTGAGAAGCTGTGCTCTAGTGCCTGGTTCCTGGTGCTGAACCCAAGGATATGTGAACCAGCTGGAGACCTGTAAGAGGGAGGGCAGACCACTCAAGTTGTTGCATTTCATAAATTAAATCCCTTCATTTTTAGACCTTTTGATATACTTAATTTTTTTCAGACCTTTTATTTATTATTTTTTTTTAAATTATACTTTAAGTTCTAGGGTACATGTGCACAATGTGCAGGTTTGATACATAGGTATACATGTGCCATGTTGGTTTGCTGCACCCATCAACTCGTCATTTACATTACGTATTTCTCCTAAGGCTATCCCTCCCGCATCCCCCCACCCCTCAACAGGCCCCGGTGTGTGATGTTCCCTGCCCTGTGTCCGTGTGATCTCATTGTTCAGTTCCCACCTATGAGTGAGAACATGCAGTGTTTGGGTTTCTGTCCTTGCGATAGTTTGCTGAGAATGATGGTTTCTAGCTTCATCCATGTCCCTTCAAAGGACATGAACTCATCCTTTTTTATGGCTGACATGGTATTCCATGGTGTATATGTGCCACATTTTCTTAATCCAGTCTAACATTGATGGACATTTGTGTTGGTTCCAAGTCTTTGCTATTGTGAATAGTGTGGCAATAAACATACATGTGCATGTGTCTTTATAGTAGCATGATTTATAATCCTTTGGGAATATACCCAGTAATGGGGTTGCTGAGTCAAATGGTATTTCTAGTTCTAGATCCGTGAGCAATCGCCATACTGTCTTCCACAATGGTTGAACTAATTTACACTCCCACCAACAGTGTAAAAGCGTTCCTATTTCTCCACATCCTCTCCAGCATCTGTTGTTTCCTGACTTTTTAATGATCACCATTCTAACTGGTGTGAGATGGTATCTTGTGGTTTTGATTTGCATTTCTCTGATGACCAGTCATGATGAGCATTTTTTCATGTGTCTGTTGGCTGCATAAGTGTCTTCTTTTGAGAAGGGTCTGTTCATATCCCTTGCCCACTTTTTGATGAGGTTGTTTGTTCTTTTTCTTGTAAATTTGAGTTCTTTGTAGATTCTGGATATCAGCCCTTTGTCAGGTGGGTAGATTGCAAAAATTTTCTCCCATTCTGTAGGTTGCCTGTTCACTCTAATGGTAGTTTCTTTTGCTGTGCAGAAGCTCTTTAGTTTAATTTCATGCCATTTGTCAATTTTGGCTTTTGTTGCCATTGATTTTGGTGCTTTAGTCATGAAGTCCTTGGCCATGCCTGTGTCCTGAATGGTATTGCCTAGGTTTTCTTCTAGGGTTTTTATGGTTTTAGGTCTAACATTTAAGTCTTAATCCATCTTGAGTTAATTTTTATATAAGGTGTAAGGAAGGGATCCAGTTTCAGCTTTCTACATATGGCTAGCCAGTTTTCCCAGCACCATTTATTAAATAGGGAATCCTTTCCCCATTTCTTGTTTTTGTCAGGTTTGTCAAAGATCAGATGGTTTTAGATGTGTGGTGTTATTTCTGAGGCCTGTGTTCTGTTCCATTGGTCTATATCTCTGTTTTGGTACCAGTACCATGCTGTTTTGGTTACTGTAGCCTTGTAGTATAGTTTGAAGTCAGATAGCGTGATGTCTCCAGCTTTGTTCTTTTGGCTTAGGATTGTCTTGGCAATGTGGGTTCTTTTTTGGTTCCATATGAACTTTAAAGTAGTTTTTTCCAATTCTGTGAAGAAAGTCATTGGTAGCTTGATGGGGATGGCATTGAATCTATAAATTACCTTGGGCAGTGTAGCCATTTGCACAATATTGATTCTTCCTATCCATGAGCATGGAATGTTCTTCCATTTGTTTGCGTCCTCTTTTATTTTGTTGAGCAGTGGTTTGTAGTTCTCCTTGAAGAGGTCCTTCACATCCCTTGTAAGTTGGATTCCTAGGTATTTTATTTTCTTTGTAGCAGTTGTGAATGGGAGTTCACCCATGATTTGGCTCTCTGTTTGTCTGTTCTTGGTGTATAGGAATGCTTGTGATTTTTGCACATTGATTTTGTATCCTGAGACTTTGCTGAAGTTGCTTATCAGCTTAAGGAGATTTTGGGCTGAGATGATAGGTTTTTCTAAATATACAATTATGTCATGTGCAGACAGGGACAATTTGACTTCCTCTTTTCCTAATTGAATACCCATTATTTCTTTCTCTTGCCTGATTGCCCTGGCCAGAACTTCCAATACTATCTTGAATAGGAGTGGTGAGGGAGGGCATCCTTGTCTTGTGCCGCTTTTTAAAGGGAATGCTTCCAGTTTTTGTCCATTCATTATGATATTGGCTGTGGGTTTGTCATAGATAGCTCTTATTATTTTGAGATACATGCCATCAGTACCTAGTTTATTGAGAGTTTTTAGCATGAAGTGCTGTTGAATTTTGTCGAAGGCCTTTTCTGCATCTATTGAGATAATCGTGTGGTTTTTGTCATTGGTTCTGTTTATGTGATGGATTACATTTATTGATTTGCGTATGTTGAACCAGCCTTGCATCCCAGGGATGAAGCCAACTTGATCATGGTGGGTAAGCTTTTTGATGAGCTGCTGGATTCGGTTTGCCAGTATTTTATTGAGGATTTTTGCATCAGTGCTCATCAGGGATATTGGTCAAAAATTCTCTTTTTTTTGTTGTGTCTCTGCCAGGCTTTGGTATCAGGATGATGCTGGCCTCATAAAATGAGTTAGGGAGGAGTCCCTCTTTTTCTGTTGATTGGAATAGTTTCAGAAAGAATGGGACCAGCTCCACTTTGTACCTCTGATAGAATTCGGCTGTGAATCCGTCTGGTCCTGGACTTTTTTTGGTTGGTAGGCTATTAATTATTGCCCCAATTTCAGAGCCTGTTATTGGTCTATTCAGTGATTTAACTTCTTCCTGGTTTAGTCTTAGGAGAATCTTTGTGTCCAGGAATTTATCCATTTCTTCTAGATTTTCTAGTTTATTTGCATAGAGGTGTTTATATTATTCTCTGATGGTAGTATTCTCTGTGGGATCAGTGGTGATATCCCCTTTTTCATTTTTTATTGCATCTATGTGATTCTTCTCTCTTTTCTTCTTTACTATTCTTGCTAGCGGTCTATCAATTTTGTTGATCTTTTCAAAAAACCAGCTCCTGGATTCATTGATTTTTTTTTTTTTAAGGGTTTTTTGTGTCTCTATCTCTTTCAGTTCTGCTCTGGTCTTAGTTATTTCTTGTCTTCCAGTAGCTCTTGCTTCTCTAGTTCTTTTAATTGTGATGTTAGGGTGTCGATTTTTAGATCTTTCCTGCTTTCTCTTGTGGGCATTTAGTGCTATAAATTACCCTCTACACACTGCTTAAATGTGTCCCAGAGATTCTGGTATGTTGTCTTTGTTCTCACTGGTTTCAGAGAACATCTTTATGTCTGCCTTCATTTCGTTGTTTACCCAGTAGTCATTCAGGAGCAGGTTGTTCAGTTTCCATGTAGTTGAGCGGTTTTGAGTGAGTTTCTTTATCCTGAGTTCTAATTTGATTGCACTGTGGTCTGAGAGACAGTTTACAGTGATTTCTGTGCTTTTACATTTGCTGAGGAGTGCTTTACTTCCAACTATGTGGTCAATTTTAGAATAAGTGCAATGTGGTGTTGGGAAGAGTGTATATTCTGTTGATTTGGGGTGGAGAGTCCTGTAGATGTCTTTTAGGTCTGCTTGGTGCAGAGCTGAGTTCAAGTCCTGGATATCCTTGTTAACCTTCTGTCTCGTTGATCTGTCTAATATTGACAGTGGGGTGTTAAAGTCTCCCATTATTATTGTGTGGGAGTCTAAGTCTCTTTGTAGTCTCTAAGGACTTGCTTTATGAATCTGGGTGCTCCTGTATTGGGTGCATATATATTTAGGAGAGTTAGCTCTTTTTGTTGAATTGATCCCTTTACCATTATGTAATGGCCTTCTTTGTCTCTTTTGATTTTGTTGGTTTGAAGTCTGTTTAACCAGGATTGCAATCCCTGCTTTTTTTGCTTTCCATTTGCTTGGTAGATCTTCCTCCATTCCTTTATTTTGTACCTGTGTGTGTCTCTGCACATGAGCTGGGTCTTCCGAATACAGCACACTGATGGGTCTTGATTCTTTATCCAGTTTGCCAGTCTGTGTCTTTCAATTGGGGCATTTAGCCCATTTACATTTAAGGTTAATATTGTTATGTGTGAATTTGATCCTGTCATTATGTTGTTAGCTGGTTATTTTGCCTGTTAGTTGATGCAGTTTCTTCATAGCATTGGTGGTCTTTACAATTTCTCATGTTTTTGCAGTGGCTGCTACCGGTTGTTTCTTTCCATGTGTGGTGCTTCCCTCAGGAGCTCTTGTAAGGCAGGCCTGGTGGTGACAAAATCTCTCAGCATTTGCTTGTCTGTAAAGGATTTTATTTCTCCTTCATTTATGAAGCTTAGTTTGGCTGGATATGAAATTCTGGCTTGAAAATTCTTTTCTTTAGGAATGTTGAATATTGGCCCCCACTTTCTTCTGGCTTGTAGGGTTTCTGCTGAGAGATCTGCTGTTAGTCTGATGGGCTTCCCTTTGTGGGTAACCCTATCTTTCTCTTGGCTGCCCTTAACACTTTTTCCTTCATTTCAACCTTGGTGAATCTGCCAATTATGTGTCTTGGGGTTGCTCTTCTCAAGGAGTATCTTTGTGGTGTTCTCTGTATTTCCTGAATTTGAATGTTGGACTCGCTTGCTAGGTTGGGGACGTTCTCCTGGATACTATCCTGACGAGTGTTTTCCAACTTGGTTCTATTCTCCCCATCACTTTCAGGTACACCAATCAAATGCAGATTTGGTCTTTTCACATAGACCCATATTTCTTGGGGCTTTGTTCGTTTCTTTTCACTCTTTTTTCTCTGACCTTGTCTTCTCACTTAATTTCATTATTTTGATCTTCAATCACTGATACCCTTTCTTCCACTTGATCGAGTTGGCTGTTGAAGCTTGTGCGTGCGTCACAAAGTTCTCGTGCCATGGTTTTCAGCTCTGTCAGGTCATTTAAGGTCTTCTCCACACTGTTTATTCTAGTTAGCCATTTGTCTAATCTTTTTTCAAGGTTTTTAGCTTCCTTGCGATGGGTTTGAACATGCCTCTTTAGCTTGGAGAAGTTTGTTATTACCGACCTTCTGAAGCCTATTCTGTCAACTCGTCAAAGTCATTCTCCCTCCAGCTTTGTTCCGTTGCTGGCGAGGAGCTGTGATCCTTTGGAGAAGAGGTGCTCTGATTTTTAGAATTTTCAGCTTTTCTGCTCTGGTTTCTCCACATCTTTGTGGTTTTATCTACCTTTGGTCTTTGATGTTGGTGACCTACAGATCGGGTTTTGGCGTGGATGTCTTTTTTGTCGATGTTGATGCTATTCCCTTCCGGTTGTTAGTTTTCCTTCTAACAGTCAGGTCATTCAGCTGCAGGTCTGTTGGAGTTTGCTGGAGGTCCACTCCAGACCCTGTTTGCCTGGGGATCACCATTGGAGGCAGAACAGCAAATATTGCTGCCTGATCCTTCCTCTGGAAGCTTCGTCCCAGAAGGGGAGCCACCTATATGAGGTGTCTGTTTACCTCTACTGGGAGTTGTCTCCCAGTTAGGCTACATGGGAGTCAGGGACCCACCTGAGGAGGCAGTGTGCCCTTCCTCAGAGATTAAATGCCTCACTGGGAGAACCACTGCTGTCTTCAGAGCTGTCAGACAGGGAAGTTTAAGTCTGCAGAAGTTGTCTGCTGTCTTTTGTTCAGCTATGCCCTGCCCACAGAGCTGGAGTCTAGAGGCAGTGGGCCTTGTTGAGCTGCGGTGGGCTCCACCCAGTTCAAGCTTCCCAGCCGCTTTGTTTACCTACTCAAGCCTCAGCAATGGCAGACGCCTCTCCCCCAACCAGGCTGCCACCTCGCACTTCAGTCTCAGACTGCTGCGCTAGCAGTGAGCAAGGCTCCATGGCCACGGGACCCACCGAGCCAGGCACGGGAGAGAATCTCCTTTCTGCTGGTTGCTAAGACCTTGAGAAAAGTGCAGTATTGGGGCAGGCGTGTCCCATTTTTCCAAGTACAGTCTGTCAAGGCTTCCCTTGGCTAGGAATTGGAAATCCCCTGACTCCTTGTACTTCCCAGCTGAGGTGATGCCCCACCCTGCTTCAGCTTGCCCTCTGTGGGCTGCACCCACTGTCCAACCAGTCCCAATGAGATGAACCAGGTATCTCAGTTGGAAATGCAGAGATCACCCGTCTTTTGCATCAATCACGCTGAGAGCTGCAGACGGGAGCTGTTCCTATTTGGCCATCTTCCAGACCTTTTATTTTTAAAAGAAACTTCTCTACCCCGAATGAAATCTTACTCAGAAACCTTATTTGTAAATAAAATCAAAGTTCTACTCTGAAGCCCTCATAGATCTCCCCCCTTGCAAGGACCCTGAAGACCTGCACCCCACAGAGCCATGGGGTTTAGTGTGACAGGCCTCACGTGTGGGTGCAATGCCCTCTGTCTGTCCCTGGCTTGGGCTGCTGGGCTTTATTGCCTCCTAGTGTCTCACACACATTAGGTGGTCAGTAAATAGGTTTTGAATTAGTGATTGAAACAATTTTGGGGACACCCACCAGCTTCTACTTTGGAGAGATCAGAGAAGCCTAAATATCAAACCTTTCAACTTCTTTTCATCAGCTCACATGCTTCTAGTCTCATTCTTGTTTAAATTTATACCCCACATAGTCATAGGAAGTTGCTGGCAAACTCAAAATGTGAAACAGCTGATGAATTGACACTATTTCTTTATGGATGAAAGTAGATGTTACAGAAATAAGCTCTTTTATGTTTTACTCCGAGCTACCTTAACTTCATTTGGAAAGTAGCTAAGGAGTAAATACTGAATTTTACATACTAAATAAAGTTATATGCTAATCAAAATATATGTCCTTCCAGCTGAATGACCTGGTGCAGGGTGAGAAAGGAGCTGTTATGGATGAGAATCGTGCCCCCTGGTTTTGGAGGTGGGGGAGGCACAGAATAACTTATCTTGTTACATAGTTGGTTTGTTATTTTTCTTCTTCTATAAGTAAAGAAAAAGAGTTCTGAAAGCAAGAAGATTGAGAAAGCAAACTGAAATGTCTTCTTGAGTTTGGCATGAAAGATTATGAATTTTATCTTTGTGGCTGATAGAGAGCAACATTAGGATACAGAGCAACGTTAGGAGGAGGCTGAGCAGTAAGTGGTTAGTTGAGGTCAGGCACTGCCAATGCTGGATTAAGATTTCCTGTGAGTGAAAGGTGAATTTACAATTAGTAATAAAAGATATCTAACTATCTCAGGCATTGTTTCCAAAAGGTTTTTGAAAAAAGAATTGTCACTTAGTAAAGTTCATCTATTCAGTTTGTTAATAAAACTATGTTTTTAGGATTAAACTGCTCGAATGCAATTTATGCTTGTCCAGTCCACGTTTCCATGTCCCTCAGCTCTCCTTGGTGATATGGTACCTAAAATTGCAAGTCAGGATTTATTTTGAGGGATTTTATTTTAAAGGTTAATAAAGTTCTGCTGAAGGGCAAATCTGTAAAATTAAGGACCTAAATGATAAAGAAGGGGAGGCCGTAACTCTCCTGCTTGAAAGTTGTTTGTGGTGGGTAAGAAAGTGCAGGGTACAGCCTCATGTATTTCCTGAGGCGTTGACTTGCCTCTGTTGGGATTCGAGAAGGACCCAATAAATAGCATGTCTCGCCCTGCCTGAGGAAAAGCGAGACAAAGGAGTCAGGATTTGGAGATGTAAAGTATCACCTTTATGAGTGATAAAGCAGATATTGAGGAGTGTGGCTTATATCTGTTGGCAAACAGGTTTCAAATACTGGACCCTGGAATTAGACAGGCTTACCTAGTGATGGGCCGTGCAGGAAAGTGCAGGCTCCTCTCCGTGGAAGGAGCAGAGCAGAGTGCAGGTTCTCTGTCTGCATGATGGCTCCAGAGAGAAAGGGAAGGAGCTGAGCTAGAGGTCACCAAACTTTCTTGGCTTGCAGGCACCCTTAGTACCTCAGCATGCTTTTTATAGTGCCTCTCAGTCAAAAGAAGTACCTAACAGTTCTATGTGTTAAGTAAATTAGGTCCAAATAACTCATCAGTATTAGTAAGCTAGGTGCCTCACAAGTGTCACCGTGCTTCTCTTGAATGTATCCCACAGGGTCCCTGTGAGTTTGCTGTAGCACTGCAGAGCACCATGGCACATAGTTTGGGAAATACAGTCTCCTTCAGAATTCAAAAATAAAATTAAGTCGTAACTAATCCTCTTGTAAAAGGCTAAGAGGGGGTGAAGATGAGCCAGATGTATTACCCAAGTGGAGATCCCTCCACATGGGAGACATCTTTAGCAGCAGGAGAAGCATATGCCACCTCCTGCCGCCACACTTACCCCAGCACCTGGGCTTCAGCTCAGAGGAATCCAGAGCTGATGCGACTCTCTAACCTCGGAGACTGACGCATGTAATCAGTTTGTACTCAGAAGCTATACCTTCCAGTGTTCTCGGTACCGCATAAATCTTGGGAAGGGAAATGGAGAGAAAGGTGATAACCCCATGGGAATACATTGAGTACATCTCCACAGCCTACCCTTTCAATTCCACATGCCCTGAGGTCAAGTCCTATGAGGGCCAAGGATAGACTTACTTTCATTTGGCTAAGTTAGATGCATATTGTCAGTTCTGTAGAGCCTCCGAGCAAACTATTTTTTTCTTTGCTTTAGCTCCAATGGAAGCATAGCCTGCAGTTAGAAAAATGAACAGCCGGGCCTTCCATGTATACTCCTAACCCAGCAATCAAATGGCCACTCCTTTATAAGGCACAATTTCTATTAGTAATAAGAAATAGTACATGGTAGATTTCCAATCATAAACAACTAAATACTTCCTGTGTATGCCTCTCATTTAAACCACAGAATATGCCCAGTCTGCATTTATAGCTTGATTGGTCAAGTGTGCATTTCATTCAGATTGTCCTCATCAGTAAAATACCAGTATTAGCAAATCATGAATTGCTAAATGTGCAAAAATAAAAATTACCATAGTCAAGTATTTAATTCCCTTGTATTAAAATTGTATTGTGTCCTACTCAATACATACAAATTTAAAAGTTTGCAAACTATGTCTGAACAAATGTTTAAATGTTTTACTAACTTCCCTGTCCCCCTGCCACGCCTTAAAAAAACAAAAAGCACCTTTCAGGATTAATCACCTGGGGAGTTTGCTCTGAATTACTGCCTTGGGAGGTGGCAATATGAAACAGAAGATCTGAAATGAAAAGATTCTGGTTATGGGTGCCACCATGATTACCTGCAGAAAAAGGTGGGCTCGTCAATTAACAGGAGATGCTGGCAGAAGCACATTTATGTAGGGGGGTCCAGGGTGTCTTTAGAAGGGCCGTGCTAAACAGGACACACCCACCCAGCTCCACCCGCCGTGCTGCAGGTGCTCCTGTTTTCCCTTCTCTGCTTTATTGGCAAGTCCTACCGGCTTCAATCGCACGCCATTTGTCCCCTGCTCCACTTCCACCTGGGTGTCTTTTAGTCTCCCATAGCTTCACTCCTCCAGAGATCCTGGCAACTTAAAGCCTCGCAGGAGTCTCAGTTTCCTTGTCAGTAAAATGGGGATAATTAATAGTCTCTTTCTATGTCATGGGGTGATTATAAGATCACATGAGATGTATGCTGAAGCATTTTGTTAACTGCAAAATGCTATATAAATGTCAGGTGTTATAAATCATTAGCTGGTCTATTCCTCAGCTAAAGCGGTTTCTATGCATATTTTAGTTACCCCCTAAACAATTCTTTTTCAAATAGCAAATGTAAATGCTGCTGTTTTTTTCTGCTTGGATTATGGTGGCTCCTTTGCAACTTTATGATGTAGGCTGAATCTTTAAATACTCCTTTGGCTCATATCTCTTCCCCTGAACACCCATGCGAGATCATAATCCATAAAACACAGAGGCAATAACTCCTTTTAATTGCCAGGAGTTCATCATTTGCTAAGTTCTAAATGCAGTCACTTAGGCACTCCTTTTGAAAAGCCTGTCTCTGTTTATTCTGCAGAGCCGAGACTGTCTGAAGCTGGGCCCACCTGCTGAGGGAGAAGTCGTCCAAGTCAAGTGGCCCGATGGCAAACTCTATGGAGCAAAATATTTTGGATCAAATATTGCCCACATGTACCAGGTGGGTTCTTCCTTCTCTGTGATGCTTGCTAAGATTGACATGATAAGTCAGAAGGAGATAGTATCTCAAGTGTGCTGCTGAACAATAAGCCACATGAATTTGGGACACCTCTTATTTTATGCAGGAGGCAAAGATTCAATGTGTAATGACCCAGGTCGAAACCCTGGAGTTTTATTACCAAGTTGGACACTGGGAAACTCTTAACAGCATTTGATGAATGGTTTAATTGTAAGGAATATGGTTCTGCCAGAAAGATAAGTGACTAGAAGACAGGCTGCCTCCCACTGTTTCTGTTGTATGGGGAACGACTAGTTGGCCGATTCATCTAACCTTCAGCCAAGACAGCGATGGCCACTCTTCAACCAGCAGCCCCTGAAGTGGTGGCTTTTGCTGAGAGACATAGTCTCCCCACTCCCCGCTATCTCAGCAAAGCTAGACAACAGTGCATTGACATAGATGTGGCCAGTTAATGTCACAAGGAGCTGATGGTTATCATCCACCCAAGCTTAAAGGAATGCTTGTTTAAATGAAAAGTACAGCTATCAGTTGGACGTTCTGTTCACCAGGGAACCCTACGTAGTATTAAAGAGTATATATACAATTTTAAAATGAATTACTTTTATTTCACCCAGAAATGAGAATGAGTTAAGCTTTAATAAGGGAAACAACATGGATAGCACGTGCACATTTATATTCCTTCAGAAAGGTTTTAAAAGGGGACATTTAGAGCCAATACATTGTAGAATTTTCAGTAACACTGTGTCAGAAATCAAGATTCTCAGGCTAAACTGTAGAGTGAAAACAAGAAGGTTGAAGTAAAAGGAGAAAAAGCAAGAAGGTTCAGGCCTGTTGAAAAACAGCTTGAGAATGATAAGACTGTCAGTTTCAACAGAGAAATTGTTCAAAGACTGATAAGGAGCAAGAGCTTAAATGGAAGAGTGCATTGTAAGATACTGCGTCAGGACCTGGAGCACAGTGTAATTAAAGGTGTTCAAAGAAGTTTGAAAAACTTAGGAGAGAGTGTTTTTCATGGTCTAGAAAAACCTAAGGGGAATGGATAGGGGAGGATGTATACACATACATTGTGTGTGTATGTGTGTATGTGTGTCTGTGTGTGTAAAGGCCATTTCCCCCTTTGCATATGGTATTGGTGACAGTCTCAAGATACAAATTCAAGTTATTTATAATAGTAAAGGTACTGGAGCTTCATTGCATTAGAATGACCAGAATTAGGCAAAAATTGCAAGACAGGCTATAATACCGGAGGATCCTGGAAAAGAAGCATTACTACATAATGCAAAATAAAATAATTACATTTAATTAAATAATAAGTGCAAAAGCAAAGCTTCTTACATGTAGCAAAGCCATTTGCTACATGAAAAGAATCACATAATGAGAATATGTTGAAATTCAGGCTAATTAGTAATCAGTGTGTTAACTTCAGTTGAATTTATGATGGTCTATCAACATAAAACTATGAGCATATTTATAGACTCAATGAAAAAGTTAAGACTAATATTAAAATTGTCTCTCAAGCACAAGTAGTTTAAAATTCCTCATTAAGCCAAGTGGCCTTTTGAGATCTTTTTGTGTTTTGTGTCTAATTATTCAACTTCACCATCAAATAAACAAAGACAGTTTTAAAAATAGATATGACAGATAAATAAATACCTGCTGCACAGTGCTTAATATCCTAGGCATATGCGTTTTTTGACCCTCAGAGTAGTCCTACAAAATAGATGTTATTGACTCCTGTCTTACAAATGAGGGAAGAAAGGCTGTGAACAAAATTTTTAATGATTTAAGAATAATTTTTTAATAATTTGTCCGAGAGCACGCAGCTGGTAAAGAGAGGGCCAAAATTCTCTCTCAGCTCTGCCCTAACTAGGGTGGACAACCATCCCTGCTTGCCTGGGACCATCCCTGATTTTAGTACTGAAAATAACTACATCCCAAGGGACCCTTGAGTCCCAGGCGAACTAGGACGGTTGGTTACCCTAGTCCTAGCACAGCATACTCCCTTCTAGGTTTGTAATTGCCTTTTTGTCTTTTCGATGTTTTAAGTGGTCTAAAACAAATGAAAGTAGGCACAGGTGGTTCTAGCTATGCTATCAACTAAGTTGGGTAAATCAGATGACACTATGGCCTAGTTCAATGTTAAAGAAATGTTTCTGCTCAAACAAGGCCAGGAAGAAAACCCTTCCCATTGTTAGCCCTCCCGGAAGTGACAGCAAGGGTTCTCATGTGACTGGCACCTAATTCCACTGTATTGTTTAGCTTATTCAAAATGCTAACAGTACGTGGATAATAATACGTTCAATTGTATGTTTGATCTTTATTAAGACCGTGGTGGATGTTCATCAACCAGAATTGGTAACTTGTGCCTGAGAGACATACCCACCTGGGTGTCTCAGCAAAGCTAGACCAATGCATTGGCACAGATGTGGCCAGTTAATATTATCATCCACTCAAGAGAGTGTTTGCTTAGTGCAAAGTGCAGCGATATATCAGTTGGACATTCTGTGAATTAAACAATAAGTGTAGCTGGGCACAGTGGCTCATGCCTGTAATCCCAGCACTTTGGAAGGCCGAGGCAGGCAGATCATCTGAGGTCAGGAGTTCGAGACCAGCCTCGCCAACGTGGTGCAACCCCGTCTCTACTAAAAAAATGTATAAAAATTAGCCAGGCATGGTTGGCGGCATGCTTATAATTACAGCTACTTGAGAGGCTGAGGCAGAAGAATCACTTGAACCCAGGAGGCAGAGGTTGCAGTGAGCCGAGATCGCGCCGTTGCACTCCAGCCTAGGCAACAAGAGCGAAACTCCGTCTCAAGAGAAAACCAAAAACCAAAAAAAAATTAGTGTAAATTTTTTTCAAACTCTAGATTTTTTTTTTATTAACATGGCACAGCTGTGTGGTTTAACTTACCTTTTGACTAGAAGTATAAGCATATTTTCATTTCTTTAAAAAATTCAGACAAAATTTAGGGACTTCAAAAATACCATGTGGTTCAGAGTTAGAACATATTAAGTATTCTACCTGATTACATCCGTTTTGTTTCCTGCTAGATTAGTTCATGTTGTATTAAACCTAAACCAATCTAAACCTAGGTGCTCTAGGTTTCTGTTAGCTGGTGTTATTTACCTTTTCTTTGACAAAATCTTTTAAAATGTTAAAAACAATTGGTTATGAAATTATTTGCTTCCATTTGGTTAGTGCGAGAAAAGTTTTAAACATTTTGTTTTAGATGATGATGTATTTTCACACATTGATGAGGTTTACATGTTAGGAGGTTGAGAAACAGATTTTCCCAGCTCCTTTGATGGCATTTGATTGAATTTGACACGTGAATTTTGAAAGTTCAAGCTCTGTAAGAAATGCATAAATTATTTTATCTGGGAGGATTATTATATAAGAGTAAACAGGCCGGGCATGGTGGCTGACACCTGTAATCCCAACACTTTGGGAGGCCAAGGTGGGAGAATTGCTTGAGTCTAGTCAGACCTTATCTCTACTAAAAAACTACAATAAAATAAAATAGCTGGGCGTTGTGGCACACAGCTATGGTTCCAGCTTCTCAGGAGGCAGAGGTGGGAGGATTGCTTGAGCCTGGGAGGTTGAGGTTGCAGTGAGCTGAGATCAGGCCACTGCACTCTAGCCTGAGCAACAGGGCAAGGCCCTGTCTCAATTTAAAAAAAAAAAAAAAAAAAGGAAATATATTATCTTTTCTTTCACAGAGAGAAACAATTCTCCTTGTTACGTTGTCAGAGCCTCTTAAAGAAATGAACCGTGCTGACAGACCCAACCCATTTTAATGCTGAATTTCCCACAGTCTCATGTTTTGTGATTTCCATTTGATCAGCAGCTACTTTTCTTTGTTGTTGCTTCGCCAGATAAAGTTTTCATATCCTGTATTCCAAGACACTCATTTCCAAGAATTTTGGCCTGTTTTGAAATGTATTTTGTATTTAGTTTATTTATTTATTTTTTTGTTTTGAGACGGAGTCTTACTCTGTCACCAGGCTGGAGTGCAGTGGTGCGATCTCAGCTCACTACAACCTCTGCCTCCCAGCTTCAAGCGGGTCTCCTGCCTCAGCCTCCTGAGTAGCTGGGACTACAGGCATGCGCCACCATGCCTGGCTAATTTTTGTATTTTTGTTAGACAGGGTTTCACCATGTTGGCCAGGATGGTCTCGATCTCCTGACCTTGGGATCTGCCTGCCTCAGCCTCCCAAAGTGCTGGGATTACAGGCGTGAGCCACCATGCCCGGCCTCTACTTAATAAGGGAAATAACTCTTCTTACTTCCTTGGTTGTTGGCTGGTTCCCTTGTTTGTTCTGTTTGAGTCCTTTTCATCTTTTCATGTAGTTAATTGGAGCCTTTAAAAATGGTCAGTGCTGTTTTTTTAATATGTATCATGTTATATTATCTTTCATTAGGTTGAGTTTGAAGATGGATCCCAGATAGCAATGAAGAGAGAGGACATCTACACTTTAGATGAAGAGTTACCCAAGAGAGTGAAAGCTCGATTTGTAAGTGCTGGCAGATGCCACTTGGGGACCTGCCAAGTGAATTCCTTGTCCTCACCTCATGTTTCCCAAGCCCAGCAGGAAACATACTTGGGCTTTTGGATTAATTCTAAAAAAAGCCAATGCAACATTTTCCTTAGTGGAACCTATTGAATGCAAACTTCAAATTCAACCAAAATCGGGGAAATTAATGCATGTGCTTTACTTTTCTTCTAATGAAGTCACATGATGCTTCTTTGTGTTGACATTTATTGGTGCACAAAAATACTTACTGAATGTGTGCTCTGTGTAAAACACCAGGAGCAAACAAAGATACCATCAAGGCATTTGCAATCTTGTTAGTAGAAGCAACATTAAAAGTATTCAGGAGTAGATCAAAGGGGACTCGGCATAATTGAATGTCTGTCTATTCTTTTATAGGTTTTTCATGGATTGACTACCTTCTGTCTCAGAAAGTTACTGATGTTTGTGTCAGTTCATCATTAAGCTAAACTCTGACTTTCATAATAAAAGGGATAAACAAAGCCTAAATGCTAGTTGTGGGAATACTAAAGCAGTTTTTTAAAAAGGAAATAGTAGTTTCATGCCCTCACATACCATTAAAAGATGAACAAACATGGACAAATATTCAAAACTGCAGTCATTGAAAAATATAATTCACAATAATTTAGACTTCATATTATTGTATCATAAAATATTCAGTGGACCCTGAAATGAAGTCAGTTTTATTCATTTAGAATTATATCTATTGTGTCTGTGAAATGATAAATCCTAAATAGAGAAATTTGAATGGATGGGGTTTTTCTGACTAAAATGAAATTTTTTTTCTGAATAATTCAGTTTAGTGAGTGCTTATGATATACTTGTCTGCAGTGATAGAGTCACTATAGATTATTTGGTTATTTTGGAAAAACCAAGGGTTTTCTTAAATCAGGGATGTCCAATCTTTTTGCATCCCTGGGCCATACTTGAAGAAGAAGAATTGTCTTTGGCCTCACATAAACTACACTAACAATAGCTGATGAGCTACTAAAAAAAAAAAAAAAAAAAGCAAAAAAAAACTCATAATGTTTTAAGCAAGTTTACAGATTTGTGTTTGGCCGCGTTAAAGCCATCCTGGGTAGCATGCAGCCGGCGGGCCATGGGTTGGACACGCTTGCCTTAAACGTTCAGTTGTGTATGCAGCTTTTTTCCAGTCAGATGGGATCCTGACAGCAGAGTAACTGCATCAGGTGGGAACTGACTTTCCTCTCAGCTGCATCCTTCAGAGGAAGGTCCTTCAAAGTGAAATCGTCAAGAGGAGTGGTGGTATTGCTGCCCACTCGATGGGAAATGTGGCTCAGAGGGGACCCACACACCTGTAAATAGAGTAACTACTAGATAATGACAGCAAGCAAAGAAAAAATTAAATATTCCTGTTGTAAAGATACCAGCCAAATCTTACCAAGACCGAAAAACCTTAGATGACTTGTCGCTGTTCTGAGACCTGAAATTTCTTGAGAAAAACTTTCCTTTTCGAGATGTTAGAGATAGCTTCGTCTCGTTCTGTATTCCTGTCTTCCTTGGACTCCCCTCTTCCCTGCCTTATTCCCAGCTCCTCCCGCTCCTTTCTTTTCCTTTTTCAGCACCTAGAGATTTAGAGGATGGGGAGTGGAGTAGGTAGCCTCTCAAAGTCTCTTGGGTCTTTCATTTTCTAATCGATGTATGACTAAGCATCCTACCAGCTGAGTCTTGTAGATTTCAAATACTGTTTCTTAATCACATGAGAAGAAAGCTCATTGCTTTCATACTCTGATCACAATCTCTTTGTTTCACAGTAGATTTCGCTCAGATACCAGGATGCCTTCCCCTGTGGCTGTCTCGGAACACAGGTCCTGGATTTTCTAAGGTCTATTTCACTGAACAAGCTCACCAACATTCAATTTTTTTTTTATTCTCTGAAAAAATTTTTAATTAAAAAAAAAGTGAAAATATGTAAATCACATCCATACACTCTGAATGCAGCCTGCTATTCTGAGCGGCTAAGCCAAGTAGAAAATATCTTAGGGAACAAAGGCTCACGGTCACTAAGTCCTGTTGGCCACCTTTATTGAATCAAAGACATACACAGTCTTGTCGTAGCCAGCCTGTTTCTCCCCTGGGTTGGTACATAGCCCTCAGACCCTTGGTTAGTCTGTCCATGATTATTACTATTTTTTTTCCAGTTGGCAAAACAAATCTAATTGGAAAACTCATTGATGGAAGATGTTTTATGGTTAGAAAAGTCTTTTTTGTTTTTTAAGGATGGAGGTTAGCCGCCCTTGTCAGGAGGCCTTGTATTTTAATGACTTCGGCTCACCCAGACACACGCTGACTGGGGGAGAAACTGTTCAAAAGAGCCAGCAGTCCACCTCAGTGATTGTGTGGGGTTCTTTTCCACTCACTTCAGAAGCAGCCCCGTTACCTTTTATTGTCTCACAGAATAACCATAGCAACGGTGCATAATTAGCTAGAGCTCCTGGTAAATCGGTTTTATTATTGTATTTGAGAGGCCGACTTTTGCTGTTTCTGCACAGTGGCAACACTTTCATAGATGTTTTATTTTCTTCTTTGATAACTTTAGCACTTACACAAGTGAAAGATTACTCAGAGGAAGTATTTTGCCAAGAATGAATGAAACAAAAGTGTTTTCTCCTAATGGCAGAGGGAACCCAACCAGCCCATAATGATTTAGTTTTCTTCTCTAGTGAAACTAGGTGGTATGTGGGGGAAGCCGTGGAGGTGGCCTGTTACCCTGAGTAACTGTCCCATGAACTGGCTGGAAACATGAACAGCTTTACGCTTCGGTACATTTTTTGTTTTCAGGCTTCCTTGTGGCTGTTTTCTTGTTTTTCTCTTCTTTACTATGGACCGTGTGTTTTCAAGTCCTAAAGTGTCTTTCACCTCTGCCTCTGCCAGCAGCCAGGGGAAGCAGTCTCAGCACAGTGAAATGTGCTGTGTGTTGATGTCATCAGAAGTCATCCACCTCAGTGAAAACAGCTGCCAGTGCATTTTAGGAGGCAAGATAGTAGGGAATTGGGAAGCAAAAATAGTGCCTACCATAGACTTTAGGCTTTATCTGATTATCACAGAAAAAGCCACATGCCCTCACTCAGCAAACACTTACTGAACAGCAGCCAAATACTAGCCACATTGTTTGCTGTGGGGAACACATGTAAAATTGGGTACACAGTCCCTAATATCCTCACCTTTATGGGGTTCCCCTGATGGGGAGAAACTTACTTGCCCCTTACCTCTACCACTGCCCTCCTCTTACTGAGTGGATGTGTCAGGGCCACAGGAGTCCCAAAGAAGGACCCTTAAGCTTGCCGAGGGCAGAGACAGTAGAATAGAATAACTTTCACAGAAATGAAACAGTGTGTCCAAAGACAGAGAAGCATGGGGCCCTGAGCCAGGCAAGTATGACCAGGCCCTGCAACTGATGCCGTCTGAGCAGAGCACGGGGCAGGCTTCTGGCCAGGTTATGTAGGTCTAGCCTGGGGAGTGGGGATGTCATCTTGAAGGCAGTAGGTTGCTGGAAAATTACAAGCAAGGGCATATGATCATGTAGAGTCTTATAATAAGAGGGCTTTTAGAGAGCTTTCTTCCAGTGGTACTGTGGGAAATAGGTTGGAGGTACAGCATTTATTGCAGTGCTTTGCAGAGGTGAGGGCCTGCCCCATAGGGTAAGGATCAAGAAGAAAGGCTGAAGGGCTTCAAGGTACATGCAGGAGGAATCCTGGACACGGTGGGGAAATGTCTACAGTGCCTTTAGGTTTCTGGCCAATGTAACTGGGTGCATGGGCATGGTGGTGCCTTTTATGGAATGTAGGAAGGACAGCAATGAAGAAGGAAGGCTTTCAGTTCAATTTAGGACAGGTTGATTTGAAGGGCCTCTGAGACAGGGACTTTGTGATGCCTGCTGGGGAAATGCACTTACAGGCCTGAGCTGGAGCAGATGTGAGCATCTCCTGCAGACACTGAAGCCAGGGGTGTGGGCACAAAGGCCCAGGGAACAGGAGTGGAGAGGAGAAGGCCCAGTGCCAAACCTTAGGGCATCGTAGTTGAGCAGATAGTTAAGAAAGGGAACCCCTGAGACATCAAAAGTGAGCAGCCAGAGAAGGAGAAGCAGGAGAGTGGGTTTACAAAATGACAGAGAAGAGAGCTTTAAGCAGTAATTAGTTGGCAGACTAGTCAAGTCAGTTTAGGGATAGGAAGGTGTCACAGGAATTAGCAACTAGGACTTCATTCAGCAAGAACAGTTTCAGGGAAGGGGTGGGGCAGAGGCCCAAAGCTAAGTAGGAGTAAAGGTAACTTAGAGATGACTGTTGACATTTGTCAAAAACAGAGGGGAGATGAAAAATGAGGGAAGTTTAAAACGAGAAGACTTTAATCTTGCTTTTGTTTGGGGAAGGTCCCTGGGGTTGGAGGGTGGGGAGATCCTGGAGAAAGTAGGGCTAAATGGAGCCCCCCACTTTGGGTGGGAGAGGCGAGGGAAAGCCCAAAGCCATGCCTGGGGCCCTTTTAGCCTGAGCTGGTGACCTGGGCATCTGCACCCTAACCCCAGCTGACCGAGTCAGATCTTTGTCCAGTGTTCTGAAGATCAAATGCCGTGCCCTTTTGCAATATAACACCAGCTGCTTTTAGTCCACAGCCTCTGACATGCGATTTGAAGACACGTTTTATGGAGCAGACATTATCCAAGGGGAGAGAAAGAGACAAAGAGTGCTGAGCTCCAGGTTTAAGAATGAATATGTGGCCGACCCTGTATACCGCACTTTTTTGAAGAGCTCTTTCCAGAAGAAGTGCCAGAAGAGACAGTAGTCTGCATACATCGCTGCAGGCCACAGAGCAGCTTGGGTTGGAAGAGAGAAGATGAAGGGACATCCTTGGGGCTGTGCCGTGAGTTTTGCTGGCATAGGTGACAGGGTGTGTCTCTGACAGTGGTAAATCGGGTTTCCAGAGTTTGGTCACCAAAAATACAAAATACACCCAATGAATTGGACGCAGCAATCTGAAATCATCTCTAGTCTTGCTTTCACTTGTGAGCAGTTGTCTTCTATGATCCCAAAGAAGTTTTCTAAGTGAAAGGAAATACTAGTGAATCACCCACAAGGAAAAGCCACTGCCACAGAGGAGGCGGGTCCCCTTGTGCGGCTTAGGGCCCTGTCAGGAAACACACGGGGACCTCTCTCTCTAGCTCCAGCAGGTGGCACCTCGGTACCCAGCGGGTAGGGCGATAATTTATATATTTTCCACAGTCAGGGAAGGACTCTCACTTATTTGTTTCAAATTGCAGTTTTTATAAAACATTTTTAAAACACAAATGGCATGTATGCTAATGAGATTTACCCGTGTGCTATCTGTATTTCCCTTGTACAGAACTTTTACATTTTTGAATATTCCTATTACTTTTGATTGTGTCTGATGGGAACTGAGTTGTTGGCCTTTGTGAAATGAAATTTTTGGCTCTTGAGAAAGAATTCTTATGAATTGTTATGCGAATTTTATATATTTAAAGAGGGAGATCTGGGGCTGTTATTTTTAAACACTTTTTTTCATAATACATATTCCGAGTAGATATTTATAAAATATATGTTTCTTTCATTATGTGTTTGTAAAATTAGAGTTTAAATAAATATGCTTTGATGCATAGTTTTGAACTAATGTAACATGATTTTTCTTTTTTAAAACAGCCTGAAAATGTACTAGTGTTTAAAAATAAAGATTTCCATTTTCTCCAGTCCTGTCTCTGACTTGCTTATTTGTCTGGGTTTAAACCAGTAGAAAAACAAGTTTATTGGAGAGCTGGCTATCAGGACATACTGCGGCCCAGGTTTTTCAGACCCTCCTTCTGTCGCTGACTTTTTCCATGGTTGTGGCACATGCATGGCGATATTTTTGGAGACAAAGTCCCCTGCCTGCCTACTTCAGTACCAATGGAAGTGTTTTCTTCAACTTCTTCTAGGCCCTGAATACATCTCAGACCCTTGAGTCTGGATCACTTTTCGTTCCAGGATTCCTGGTCCGCAGCTGTCATTAGTAGGAATTAGAGGTCCTCCAGTCCCTCCTTCATTGTATAAATGAGACCCGGAGGATAGACAGGAAAAGGGATGCCCAAGG
Source organism: Homo sapiens (assembly GCF_000001405.40). Classification (NCBI taxonomy): domain Eukaryota; kingdom Metazoa; phylum Chordata; class Mammalia; order Primates; family Hominidae; genus Homo; species Homo sapiens. The sequence goes on from NC_000009.12 coordinate 7,176,029, forward strand.
GCAGGCAGTTTTGGTGACTGCTTCAGTTAACTGGGGCCACCATTTTGCCGCATTGCAAACAATTGCAAAATTGCAAAATCTTAGTGGCCTGCAGCAAAAAGCATTTATTTCTCTCATCTAGGCAGGGCTTGGCTGGACAGCCGTGCTGACCTTGGCTTGGACTAGCTCACACACCTGCTCCGTGGGTCTCCCATCATTCTAGTGGACCCAGTGGGCAGCCCGGATATGTTCTTCTCATGTCAATGGCAGAGGCAGGAGAGCAAGGAAGCCCAGCCAAGTAAGCACATTTCAGTCCTCTATGGGGCACTGGTTAACATCCTATGGGCAAAAGCCCAGAGCCAGGGACTGGGATGGCATTTCAGACTTTTATGGCAAAGGGTATGGGTGTATCCTGGTCCTGAATAGAGAGTGAAGACCAAAACAGTAAGGAAAGAGCCACAGCTAAAACCCAGTTCCCTAGACTGCTCCCTGGCTAGGTGCTCATATTCCAGAGTACCTTGTGGCTGAACTCTGAGCTGGGGTAGAGCCCAGCAGCCTTCTTTTTACAGAGACTAAGCACTCCACATTCTCTACCAGTGTAGTCATATATTTTATCAACTAATCAAGCTTGAATTTTCTATCTCTAGGTTTTGAATGGAACTGACCTGCTCTCTCTATAATATGCCAGGAAAGTAGGCCTGGTTAAGGCATTAAGAGGAATTAATCTAAATAGGATCATTTGTTCTGTACAAGTTTGCCTGTCAGCAAGATTTCTGATTGGCTGCCACAGGGAGAAAATGTGCAGAGGTCTATGCGATCTCAAATACAGCTGTTTTTTATAGTCTCACTTAACATATGTGCCTATAACCAAGTACAGCTGTATATGGCCTTAGTAAAATAGTGCTGGCCACAAATGCACTCTGGCTATTGAGAAAGGCACCTTTGTTTCACTGCATTCTGCATAAAGTGGTTATTAGCTCTATGACCAGACAGACCGTTAAACCATTTTCACTTACTGTGTGGCACCTCAATTGTGATTTTAATTTTTTTGCGTTACACTAGCTGCATGTTTAGTGTATACGTGTAGCATAAAATCAGCTGAAGTCCTTCTAGTATTAAAAAAAAATTGCTTAGCTGTGACAATTCTAATGTAACACTAATTGCAAGCCCTTTCTCTGGAGGTTAAGGGATTAGTAAACACGGCCTGGCATATTTCATAACATTTTAATTCCTTTTTGTGTGTTTGAAATGAGAACAATGTGATTCTTGTCAGTTAACTTTTATTAAAGGACTTTTTTTTTTTTTTTTAGTTCAACTAGAGAGAAATTGAGAAGAAGCATCCACTGAAGTATCACATGGCTTCTTAGAATTTATTACACATTGTTATTGGGTCACAGTATGTGAAAACATGGAGACCGAGAATACAGAACTGTGTAGAAGTGAATGAGTCTGCCACCTCTCCTTGTACCTATCCACTGTGAAACAAGGGCGTTCATGCACACGTTACTGTAAATGCCCTGGAGGCCTTATGAATAATCATTGGAGCAGTATCTGCTGCAAGATAACATTGTGCTTTATTTTTGCCTTTAAGTAAAAGGAATCTGAAATGAAACAATCTTCATTTCAGATATAAATCAGCCCCATAAACTTGAAGCTAACCAGAGATCCTGAGGCATTCTCATTACATGAAGTAATTGGTTGGTTGCAAGACTCAATTGTACTGCAAAGTCTTCCTGAGAATTCAGATGAGCAGTTATCTGAAGAGTTACACATCCTCTCACCCGACATGTTGTAGGAACACATAGCATTGGCCAGTGGGGCGAATGATTTCTAGTCTCTGATGAGGCCGGAACTCTCCAGCAAGTGGGCCTATGACTGAGAAACCCCGGGCAACTTTGAGGTCCCTTTGAGGAAATGAAACTTCATCAAAAGCAGCCAATATTAATGATATATTGAGCATCTATTGTGTACATCCAGTCTTCTAGTCTCCTTGGTGACATTCATCTTATTTAACCTTCCCAGTAAATCAGCAAAATAAGTACCATTACCCTCTTTTATGGAATAAAACTAAAACTCACAGAGGTTGAGTAACTTTTGAATCACTCAACCTTCTCAACGCATGAAGAAAAAATCCGACCCAAACAAGAGACATTGGAGAGGTGAGTCTGAAGCTCAAAAGAAAGGTTAACGTTAGAGATATGAGAGATATGAATGTGAAGGCATTATCTTTATTGGTGGATGTAAAAGTGTACAGGAAAATTATCTCCTGGCAAAGGCAAAACTATAGGCACAGAAAACAGATCAAGTGGTTGCCAAGGACGAGATAGGGGAAGGGATGACAACAAAGAATGTAAGGGAACATTTTGGGGGTGATGGAGATGTTCTTTATCTTGATTATGATGGTGGTAACAAGACTGTATATATTTGTCAAAATTCATAGAAAACACTCAAATGAGTGAACTGTATGTAAATTACACTTCAATGAACATGACTTTTTTTTTTTCCCCATTTTCCAGGCTTATTCTTCTTTTTTCGACTTTTTTAAGTAAGTAAAAATCTAGGGGAATGGAGGGCAGGCTACTTAGAAAACATATCACATGAAAAAAGAAATGAGCAGAGATCAGAATCCTGGAGAACGGCAAAACATAGTTGGGTAGGAAAAGAGGATCCTGTGCGTGAGGGCTGAGAAACTCAGTGAGGTGGGAAACCCAGGATGCTATGGTTTCCTGGACAGCAAGGGAAGAGCATGTTTCAAGAAGAAGCAGTGGTCAAAGCAAAAAGAAAACGTTACCAACTCCAAGGAAGATTATGTAATTGGGAGAAAGGAGTGCAGAACCCCACACGCAGTCCAGCAACACAATGCTGGGAGGTGGGGAGGGAAGCCTCGTCCTGGGTCACTTGCTGCCACCAAGTGTGGAGGGGAATCCCAGACTTCCTGTTTGGTCTTTACTGACACTGTGGAAGCAGGGGCCATGCCTTGCGTTTGATAGGGGTAGGAGGAGTATTGTCAACGTTTTTGTTTTGCGAGATTGCGCCTTTCCCTGTTCTTTGACTAGACAGAATAGACTTTTCCTAGGGCTTTTTTTCTTTTTAAGTTGTGTTTGCTTGTTGGTAGTTGCCATTTACAGGATTTTCCGGTTCCAAGTCCAGGAAATATGGGAGATAAAAGGAAAACGCAGAGAACTGAACCCTGTTCACACAGATTCCTTAAATCCTGAAGTCCTTGTTAGTCTGCTTTCCTCCTTCAACACTTTGTAGTTCTCTTAAGTTTATTTGTTGTACTATGTCTAGGATTTTAAATTATACTTAGCCAGGGAGAAACAAGCCCAGAACAAGAAGTCCTCATTTTTTCTTTTTTTGTTTTCTTTGTTGTTGTTGTTTTGAGATGGAGTCTGGGTCTATCGCCCAGGCTGGAGTGCAGTGGTGTGATCAGCTCACTGCAACCTCTGCCTCCTGGGTTCAAGCGATTCTCCTGTCTCAGCCTCTCGAGTAGCTGGGACTACAGGCATGCACCACCATGCTTGACTAATTTTTGTATTTTAGTAGAGACAGGGTTTCACCATGTTGGCCAGGCTGGTCTCGAACCCCTGACCTCAACTGATCCGCCCACCTCAGCCTCCCAAAGTGCTGGTATTACAGGATTGAGCCACTGCACCCGGCCACTTTTTCTTTTTGATAGGAGAAAATATTTATTTCTGAGGGAAAGGATCTAGTTGAAGGGCAGAGATGGAGAATCTAAACAATAATTTCTGGAGAAATCCCAAAGGGAGGGAAAGGGATTAGGAGCAGAGATGGAGTTGCAGGTTTTACACAGGAAAGGGGAGATTTTATCCGAGAAGACCAATTTCCTGATTATAAGAACAGAGAAGGCAGATTATAGAATTGTTCCAGAAGGGGGTATCCAGGTGGGTTTGATGTAAAGAAAAGAGTGTGAGAGAATTGAAGATGCTGGAAAGAGAACAGTTTCTTTCAACTCATTTTTGGGTTGAATAAGAAAGGTAGTTGATGTCAAGAGGGGACTCACTGGGAGGAGAGAGAAGAATCTCTAGGGAGTGGAAGGCCGTGGGAGACTGGATCATGGCTCCTAAAGATGTCCACAGCCTCATCCCAGAACTTGTGAATGTTACCTTACATGGCAAAGAGAGACTTTGTAGATGTTACTAAGTTAAAGGCTTGAGACAAGGAGATTATCCTGGATTATCTGGGTGGGCTCAGTGTGAAGCACATTCTTCCTAAGAGGGAATCAGGCGGGTCAGTGACAAAGAAGGCCATGGGATGGAAGGGATCTGCCTTGAAGATAGAGGAAAGGGCCAGAAACAAGGAATGTGGGTGGCTTCTAGAAGCTGGAAAGGCAAGGGGACAGTTTGTCCCCAGAAGCCTCTGTCCGGAACCAGCCCTGCTGACTTGTTGACAGGAGCTCAGTGAAACTGATTTCAGACGTCTGGCCTCCAGAACTGTAAGAGAATACATGTGTGTTGTTTTAAGCCACTAAATTTATTCATTACAGCACCAATAGAAAACGAAGACAGCTGTTCAGCAGATATAGCAAGAGGGAGGCTGAGAGGTCTTTCATCAGGAGGCACGGTGTGAGGTAGGGGCATTGGTTTCAGATTTCTACATTTGAGATTCCAGTGGTGATAGGTCTCAGGGTGTGGTCATAGGACTGCAGTGGAGCTGAAAGTCATTTCACAGTTAACTTTCAACTGTTTAGGTTTTTTTTTTTTAATTGATAATCCATATACCATAAAATTGATCCTTTTAAAATGTAAAATCCAGTGGTTTTTAGTATGTTTACAAGGTCGTACAGCCACCGTTGCTAATTCCACAATTAGCTACTTAGTTTTCATTGAATAGTATTCATTCTGTCTCCGTATATTACAATATTTTATTTTTTATATTTCAGACAAGGTCTTGCTTTGTCACCCAGGCTGGAGTGCAGTGGAGTGATCTTGGCTCACTGTAACCTCTGCCTCCAAGGCTCAAGTGATCCTCCCACCTCAGCCTCCTAAGTAGGCACATGCTACCATACCCAGCTAATTTTTGTAGAAACGGCTTTGCCATTTTGCCCAGGCTGGTCATGAACTCCTGGGCTCAAGTGATCTGCCTACCTTGGCCTCCCAAAGTGTTAGGATTGCAGGTGTGAACCACTGTGCCAGGCCTATTACAGCATTTAAAAAAAAAAAATCATGCAAAGTTAAAAAAAATATTAAATGTGTTCCTATCACAGCTCCTGGAGACTAAGAGGCATTAGGTGAATATTTTCATAAGAATATATATTCTTACATATGAAGATTTATTTTGAATATATTATTTAGTATACTCACCCATTTGCAAAGGCTATATAGTTAGCCAACTGTGGACTTGCCTTCTGTTGATTGGGCCAGGTGTGTGATTTTGCCAGTGGGGGTGGTGAGTCTTTTCAATGGAAGACAGGCTACAAAGAGGGAAGGCACACACGGCCACAGAGCTGCCCTGGAAGGCTGAGCCTGGGAGACTGGGGGAGTCTGATCCTCAGCTCCAGCAGCCCCAGGAACACTGGACACAGACTTCTTGCAGCAGCTCTTTGGAGAAAGGCAAATCCCTTGGCCCCACACTCAGAAATGGGCCTTTCATACTCTACCTGTAGGAGTCCAAGGGTTTCAGTAAGATTAACACCTCTCAGTTCACTACACCTGTGTTCCTTCCAGGGTGCAAGGGTCTCCAGTGGGTGGTGTCAGATGGATCCAGTCATTCATCATATTTCAGATAGAACCCCTTTTTCTTCCCCTCCTAGGTAGGTCTTCCTTTGCTCCCAGGAAAATTTTCATAACTCGTAACTCATTTAGAAGCAAAATGACCTGATCTGAACTGATATGAAACTGTTTACATTCTTTATTCATTCATTTAGTGTGAATATTCACACACATCACCTCAAAATATTCACGTGGGGTGTTAGGTAATATATGATATTCGGTAGGCCTTTCTAGAATCCGAACAGTTCTGAATTCACACAAAACAAACCTAGCTCCAAGTGTTTTGGATAAAGGATTATGGACCTGCATTCTTATTTTATGTGCTCTATTCATGCTATGCTCCACAGGCCTGATTTTTCTCCATATTTTCTGCAACACCCTGCACATATCAGATGCTCCCTAAGCTTGGTTGAATACCAGACACTTGCCTGATTGAATGCCACTTGGCCAGACTTATGCCCTCACTGGTGTGATGGTTGATTTTAGGTGTCAACTTGACCGGATTAAGGGCTAACCAGATAGCTGGTAAAGCAGTATTTCTTGCTGTGTCTGTCAGAGTGTTCCAGAAAAGACTGGCATTTGAATCAGTGAGCTAAGAGGAATCCCTCTCATATGGTTTGGCTGTGTCCCCACCCAAATCTCATCTTGAGTTGTAGCTCCTATAATTTCCACATGTCGTGGGAGGGACCTGGTGAGAGGTAATTGAATCATGGGTATGGGTCTTTCCCATACTTTTCTCCTGACAGTGAATAAGACTCACGAGATCTGATGGTTTTATAAAGGGCAGTTCCCCTGCACACACTCTCTTGTCTGCCACCATGTAAGACATACCTTTGCTCCTTCTTTGCCTTCCACCATGATTGTGAGGCCTCAGCCATGTAGAACTGTGAGTCCATTAAACCTCTTTCATTTATAAATTACTGAGTCTTGGGTATGTATTTATTAGCAGCATGGGAACAAACTAATACACCCCCTCACTCCATGTGAATGGGCATCATCCAATTGGCTAAGGGCTCAGATAGAATGAAAAGGCAGAGGAAAGATGAATTGGCTCTCTCTGTCTTCTGGAGTTGGGACACCCAGCTTCTCCTGCTCTTGGACATCAGAACTGCAGGTTCTCTGGCCTTCAGACACCAGGACATGTACCAGTGGCTCTTCAGTTCTCAGTCCTCAAACTCAAACTTGGACTGAGCCACGCTTCTGGTTTGGTTTCCCTGGTTCTCTGGCTTGCAAGCAGCATATCATGGGACTTAGCCTCCCTACTCACACGACCAATTCGCCTAATAAATCCCCTCTCATATATCTATATATCTCTCTATCTCTAATCATCTTTATCTATATCATCTATATTTATCTATATCTATATACCTTATCAGTTCTGTTTTTATGTACAGCTGTGACTAATACACTGGGCTAGGGGCTGACAGTGAGAGACAGGACTAGCTGGATTTCCTAGGCCAACTAAGAATCCCTAAGCCTAGCTGGGAAGGTGACCGCATCCACCTTTAAATACGGGGCTTGCTACTTAGCTCACACCCGACCAATCAGGTAGTGAAGAGAGCTCACTAAAATGCTGATTAGGCAAAAACAGGAGGTAAAGAAATAGCCAATCATCTATTGCCTGAGAGCACAGCAGGAGGGACAATGATCGGGATATAAACCCAGGCATTCCGGCTGGCATCGGCTACCTTCTTTGGGTCCCCTCCCTTTGTATGAGAGCTCTGTTTTCACTCTGTTAAATCTTGCCACTGCACTCTTTTATGTTCCATGTTTGTTACAGCTCGAGCTGAGCTTTTGCTTGCCGTCTACCATTGCTGTTTGCTACCGTCGCAGACCCACCACTGACTTCCATCCCTCTGGATCAGGCAGGGTGTCCGCTGTGCTCCTGATCCAGCGAGGTGCCCATTGCTGCTCCTGATCGGGATAAAGGCTTGCCATTGTTCCTGCAAGGCTAAGTGCCTGGGTTCGTCCTAATCGAGCTGAACACTAGTCACTGGGTTCCATGGTTCTTTTCCGTGACTCATGGCTTCTAATAGAGCTATAACACTCACCGCATGGCCCAAGATTCCATTCCTTGGAATCCGTGAGGCCAAGAACCCCAGGTCAGAGAACACGAGGCTTGCCACCATCTTGGAAGTGGACCACCACCATTTTGGAAACAGCCTGCCACCATGTTGGGAGCCCTGGGAGCAAGGACCCCCTGGTAACATTAGCATTTGCCTTAACTTTGGGCGCTAGATTAACATCTCTGGGCTAGAGAGTGGCAGTACGGCTGACAGGCACAGGCACTCTGCCAGGTGAGGTTAGCTGTGAACACAGCAAGGCCCTGAGGAGGGGCATGGCAGTCTCCTGCCATCCTGATGGCTGCCCATAGAAGAGACTAGGTGTGCCAGAGGCTGACAAGTCTGTCTGCCAAGGCAGACTCACACTAGACAGACTCTTTCTTGACTCTAGAGAGCAAACAGGTTGTTTCCTGAGGTTATAAAAATATAGGGGTATGGGCCACCTAGGTAGGGAGAAGCATTTCTTGTTTGCCCTGAAACAAAGAGATTTAGACTCTAGGGGAGGGATTGTCTGAGACCTGAAAGGCTGGAAATTGAAATGTCTGCTCAGCCCATAGAATGCCCTGCATCAAGGCTGTGAGGCCACCCGCTATGGACTTTCAATGTGTGACTTTACCGTGATATGATTATGCAGCTATTCATTTCATATTTTTCCCCCAAAATCAAAGCCATAATGAGAAAAAAGTTCTCGTAATCATTTCTGTGTATTTTGGTAACAAAGGAAATGGCTGTTGATGATGATAATAAAAAAACTGCTCTTCAAAAACTGGCACCCTTTGTTGCCATTTATAAACGAAGCCTGGTATTGTGGGCTCATTAGCAGCTGAACTTTATTTTGTCAAAGGAAATGGAGTCAAGAGAGATTATGTTTCATCTTTAATATGGCTGTTCAACAACAATGCCATTATCCTGAGTTTCAGATGAATTTAATTGGACCTTAATGAGCAAAATTAGTTGTTTTATGCAATTAGAATTCCATTTAAATGGGTTAGAAAATGAATAGGATTGTGAATGTGGTTGACTTGATTTTCCTCAAGACTGACTCTCTAGGCTCTTTTTGCCCCTAGGTTTTCTTTCCCCACTGAATAATATTTTCCTAATTTAAGAAGATTTCTGACTTCCTCAGTTTTCCTACCAATCTATAGAAAATGCCTGGGACCTCTAAGAAGGTAGGAGGCAGATGGACCTGGCCATTGGGAACCAGTTACAGAGAACGAAGGTAGAAATGGCCTTCTAGGGCAGTATGTTCAGCCTCCTGCACACCTGATCTCCCTTTCCTTCCTGAAATGAGAAGGTAGATGTTGAATCGCATCTAACAAGAGATGAGGAGAGATGAGCTTCAGAGTCAGGCAGATATGGGTACAAATCTTCCCTTTACTACTTAATAAGTTGGCAACTTGGAGTGTATATCTTGACTTTTGAACCTCAGTGTCTCTATTGGTACTTTGAGAATAATACTTATTTCTGAAGAGTGGTGAACATTCAGTGAGGGAATGTATATAAAGTATTTAGTATAGTGCCCAGCTCAAAAAGTGGATGTTGCTACTGTCATTATTGCTGTTCATCATCATCACCATCATCAATCTTGCAACTTCTTGGGACCTTGCCATGCTGAAGACCAGATAGCTCATTAAGTTAGGCTGGAATTTCTGGTCAAAAATAAGCTTTCCCAAGTATTGCCCCGAACATACTAGTGAAGGAAAGGGATGAGAGGAGAAAGCCAGTTTGTTTAGGGCACTGGGAAGGTTGGCCCTCTTCTTGGGGAGAGTAGCAGGAGCTGGTAAATATTGATATGGGGGAAGGGTATGATTGTGTGAAATTCCTGCAATGGACACATGAGATCTCATCAGTTCCCTTGTCTGTGATGTGAGGGAAAGCCAATTCCTGTGGAAGTTTCCAGTTCTGATGGTCTTATGATTCTGACCATGGCCAACTCCCCTGCCTAATGGACCACATTCCAATGAGCCAGCCCTTGCCAAATACTCTTTCTGACTTGCACTGGAATTGCTGAAGCTCCCTGCTGAGTGTTCCCTACCAGCATCAAGTTGACTCACTGATCTGGAATGTGGCTTCCTGAGACACAGCAGAGGTGAGAATGAGGATCAGTGTGATTTGGCTCAGCTTTAATAACACAGCCTTCCCCATGCAGCACAGCATCAACTGAGGTGAGACAAAGGAAAATCAAAGAATTATTCATGTTCACCCACAGCACATCAATCTGAAGGTTTAAATGGGTTCTCAGGGAAAACACAAACCATTATTTTTGTTTTAACTACAAGATGCTATTGCAGTATGTCCAGTCTCCTATCAAATGCTTCCAGATTGTTTCTGAGAGTTCCCATGGGGCATCTCAGATGTGCTCATAAAACCCTCAGTTTCCACATGTGACTGCCATTTTGCTCTGTTTCTTCCCCAATGTCACTTCACAAATGTCAGCTTTCTCAGCTGTTGATGTCCTCCAGGTGGAGGGAGAGGGCCTTTCTTTTCAGCCCTGTTGATGATGCTGAAGCTACCCCATGTTACACCCAGAAACCAATGTAACAAGGCCACTGTTTAATGCATATGTTGCAGTGATGTGCTGCTGCACCGCCTGCTGGTTGAAGTGGAAAATTGCAGGTCTAGAACTTCTGCCACTGTTTCTGTTGAGTTGGTGTTAACTGAGGCTGATTCCCAAGGGCATTATCTGCAAGAAGCCCTGCACTTCTCTGAAGCAGGAGTGATTGTCATCCCACCTTTGTGCCTCTCTCCATGGTCATGCTTATCCCAAAACAGTGCAATTTCATGCTTTTAACCTTTCAAGGAGATTTTTTGTGCATGCTGGCTTTTAGGGTTTGTCTTTGTGCAGTTCTTAGTTTCATAAGGGATTAGGGCACCAGAGGACTGAATGTTGGAGGCTCTTAAGAATACGAAGAACAAAAATTACTCATATTCAGTACTGGTGGTCTTATTGTAAGAATAAGAGGATAAAAAACTCGGCTGCATACCTGGACCTTAGGGGCTCTAGGAAGAATCTGGGCCTCATGAACATGACATTGCTGGCAACAGGCAGGTCTTCATGTGACTTGCTTCTCCTACTGGGCCCTCACCCTCAGTTCACTGGCCTTTAACTTTTCTATCATCTGCAGTCACCTCCCTCACCTTCCTTTTGAACACTCTGCTGCCACATGGCCTCCCTGTCAGCTTTCACATTGGTTTTTTTTTTTTTTTTTTTTTTTTAGCTTCTGCTCCCAGTGCCACTCAACTGACTCTCTCTTTAAACATTCAAACCAAAAATTATCAGTATGAGGAGGGCACAGAGTTTTGTCTCTTTTGCTTATTGATCTATCCCTAATACATAAAAGTGTGTCTCTACCACTCAATAATTAATTGATTAATTGATACACCTTGGGGCAAGTTACTTAGGCTCTCTGCACCTTTAGTTTTCTTTACCTTAAAAAGATATAATAATAGTAGTTAACTTACAGAGCTGTTATGAGAATTAAATGAATTAATATTCATAAAGCACATGAATTAGTGTCTGGCACAGAGTACATGCAGTAGAAGCATTTATTAAATAAGATTTTTTAAATGTCTAAACATAGTTGGTGCTCAATAAATATTTTTTAAATAAGTTAATTTATTTAGGAATCAGATTGGCTTGCTTAGTTGGCCTCCCCTATTTGAGACCTCTTTTTTTTTTTTTTCCTACAAGGTTTTACTCTGTTGCCCAGGCTGGAGTGCACTGGTATGATCATGGCTCACTGCAGACTCTAGTGATCCACCTGCCTCAGCCACCCAAGTAGCTGGGATTACAGGTGCATGCCACCATGCTTGGCTAATTTTGACTTTTTATTTTTAGTAGAGATGAGGTCTTGCTATGTTGCCCAGGCTGGTGTTGAACTCTTGAGCTCAGGCTATTCTTACCTCAGCCTCCCAAAGTGCTGAGATTACAGGCATGAGCCACTGCTGGTTGTCTAAGAATTCCTGTTCCAGGCTACCTCACATTCTGCTTTAGCCTCTATTGACTACCCTTGGATTACATTCCTACTCCAGGCCATTTTCTGGGCTAGGGGCTTGGGGTCTTGTGTTAAGAGCAAGATGACTTATGTGGAAGAGACACCTTAAAAGAGGACTCTGGAAGTGGTAGCTACCCTGGGCGTGTTAGTCTTTTTTCACGCTGCTGATAAAGTCACACCCAAGACTGGACAATTTCCAAAAGAAAGAGGTTTAATGGACTTACAGTTCCACATGGCTGGGGAAGCCTCACAATCATGGTGGAAGGCAAGGAGGAGCAAGTCACGTCTTACACGGATGGCAGCAGGCAAAGAGAGAGCTTGTGCAGGGAAACTCCCCTGTATTAAACCATCAGATCTCATGAGACTTATTCACTATCATGAGAACAGCATGAGAAAGACCCACCCCCATGATTCGATTACCTCCCACCAGGTCCCTCCCACAACACATGGGAATTCAAGATGCGATTTGAGTAGGAACGCAGCTAGACCATATCACTGGGGCACACCTTAGGGTTCAAGGGTAAGGACATTAGAGAATATGCAAAATCATCCCTCTTCTCCAATGGCTGAGTTACTGTGTATAAGCTCAGGCACCAGCCCCTGCCTTACAGAAATTCTTTCCTGGAGGTTTTCTGTATCTTTTGCTAAGTTACTGTGGTGGTTGTTCCCATTGGTTCTCCGAATAGGCTCAGTCTTCTCATACTCTCATTGGTAAATAAAGCACTGAAACTCTTGTTGTACAGCCCTCTTCTCTTTCTCTCTGTCATTCTTTGAGCTTCTTCAGCTCAGGGACCTTCAGGTTCTAGAAAATTGGCTTCCTCCACTGTGTACCATGAGGCCTTCATATGTAGTTACTTGCATTTTGATGCCAAGGTGCTCCATCTCTGACCTAAAGCTATTTGGATTTTATATTTCCCAGCTAGGAGACCACCTGAGAGCCTGGGATAACATTTCTGTGGCCACCAGTCAGAGACTGAGCAGAGTGCTTTCTTACTCTTCCCTTCTGGCTCCTTAGAGAACTAAGTTCCATAAGAGGTCCTAAGTTATTAGGGAGGGAATGTTTCACTTTAGTATTTTCAGGAAGCTGAGTCCCTGAAGTCTTACAAGCTAAAATAGAGGAGCCGAGGGAGCTGGCAAGGGAGTCTCCATTGTGTGAGTGGGCAGGGCCGGGAAATGAGGGCAGAAGTGAGGTCTGATGAGGTCCTTGGGAAGGAGTGGAAGAGATGAAGCTGTTAGCTTAGACTGTGGCAGGCTGGGATGGCTGCTGTCTGAAAGGTTAAATGGTTACATTCTGGGAACTGCCATTCACTTACCCATGCCTTGAAGCCTGTGGGACCCTCCAGACCACTTCCAGGCCTTTTAGGGGGGCAGTTTTCAATCAAGCTACATTCTAATATCACCTAGAAAGCTATTTAAAAATAGATATTCTTGGCCAGGTACGGTGGCTCACACCTGTAATCCCAGCAATTTGGGAGGCTGAGGCGGGTGGGTCACCTGAGGTCAGGAGTTTGAGACCAGCCTGACCAACATGGTGAAACCCCATCTCTACTAACAATACAAAATTAGCTGGGTGGAGTGGTGCATGCCTGTAATCCCAGCTACTTGGGAGGCTGAGGCAGGAGAATTGCTTGAACGCGGGAGGCAGAGGTTGCAGTGAGCCGAGATCGTGCAATTGCAGTCCAGCCTGGGAAACAAGAGCAAAACTCCATCTCAAAAAACAAACAAACAAAAAACAGAATAGATATTCTTGGTCTGCACTTCAGACCTTATAAATCAGAATCTCTTACAGTTGGAGTCGAGAGATCTTATGATTCTTTAGTCTTCCACAGATGGTCCAAATACTGTCATGAGCCAATGTGGGCACTCTGTGGAAAATGAATCCAAAACCACTTTGATTGCCATTCTGAGTGGTTTATAAAAACATAAATATCGCCTTTGCAGAAAGCATGGACCATAGGAAAGGCACCAACCTTGGCATTCAAGACCTAGGTTTGAGCCTTGTCTCTGCCACTAAGTTGGATAAATGATTCAACCTCTTTGAGCTTCAGGTTATCTGTAAGTGGGATAGTAACACCTACCATGTCTACTTCATTGAGTCATTTCAAGGACAAATGAAAATAAACAGGAAAAAGTGCTTTGAGAACTGAAAATATTACTCAAATATGTAACATAAAACTCTAAGGAAAGTAATCCTTTTATTACAAAAACTCTAAGGAAAGTAGTCCTATTAGTGTTCTATTGAAACATCTGTAATGAATCCAATGAAACAGTTAACACGGTGTGAATGTCTCCTCTGATTCTGTCCCATGTAAACAAATGTGCATGAGTGAGACAAGTTTATTTAAACTGTATGCGTTTGTTTGATCCCACCCTCAAGAAGCAATTACTGGACTCTTAGATGAAGATGGAAGCAACGAATACATCCATTTACCTCTGTCTCCACCCTAAAGCTTAGTTAAAATTATAGTAAAATGATTATTTAAAAGGCATAAAAACAATGACAAAGAAATGCAAGAGAAGGCACAAGAAAATGTAGAAGATGAGTTTGCATATACAGGCAAAATTACTTCCAACCTTGAATTCTATATCCAGCCAAACTATCAATTTAGCTTGAGGTAGAAAGATATTTTTTGCATTTATAAAGACTTAAGTAATTTACCTCTTATGTGCCCTTTCTCAGAAAGTTACCAGTGAATGTGTATTCTGAAATAACAAACCAAAAATAGAAAGACATGATTTGCTAGTTATTCTTCAGTTCTAGTCTCTATCCTTCTCTGTGCTTCAGGAGACTAATATCTACGGACTACATTATCTGAGCTGCCTTGCTTGTGGATTTACCATTGGGTTTGGCCAATAGAGATGTGGGCAGGAGATCAGCAGGAAGAAACTAAGGTTGTAATATTTATTGCTCATGTTCATCCCTTCTGGACTTCAGTTTGGCAGAAGATGCATCCTACCTACGACCATGACTCCTACTGGGTGACCCTTTTCCCGCAGATACATCTCTTATCAGGTTCAGATAACAGTTTTCTCCTTTGGCTAGTAGGGCTTTTTACTGCTGCTGTGTAGTGGACTTAGAGATAAACCAGTCCATATTCAAACAGGTCAAAATGCTTTGGGAGAGATTTCATCTAGAAGAGGAAAGCAATAGAATATTTACTGTCCTTGAAGTTATTGAGAAGAGAGAGACACAACTGGAGGGCAGACTTGAGGTTAAATTAGTGGTCAGAACATAAAAGCAAGCAAATGAAAAAACAAACAGTGAAGATATTAAAAGATATTAAATTCAGGAAGGACAAAAAGTTGTTCTGGAAAAGAAATTGTAGTATACTACATGGCTCAGCTATAGCACTTTTGTAATCATAATAACATAAATATTGCTTGAATCAAAGTTTCTATATGACTTACTGAGAATAGGGGAGTTGAGAAGTGGTGTGATGGTGATGAGAGCTGGTGATTATGATGGTGGCAAACGGGATTTACATCCTTATGTTCCATAGTGGTAAGTCAATAAGTACTTCTTAAAATGAAAAGCCAAGAAATAGCTGAATATAAATAGAAATAATCTGTATGAAAATTATTTAAAGTAACACTAAAAGAATCAACTAAAACAGGTGAAAAATTGTTTCTACATTATAGTCATGTATATATTTGATAAAAATAAAACCAGTTTTTATTTAAAAAGGAGAAAAGGGAACTAACTTACCAATTCTTTCTTTTTACTCCCACCTCAAATATTAGGACTCCCTAAGTTCCCAAGCTGCATTCCAGAAAAATAGAACACAAGACAAAAAGGTCTAGGAATAAGGAGGTCTAGAGGATGGGAAGGTTTGTGTGTGTAACATCCTCCTGGGATGACTAAAGACCCACCAGTGACAGAGGCAGCAGGTTGAACCCACACCCCAGGTGGAATAATCAAAGGACCCAAGCAGACCAGGCTGAATTGTCCTAGAAATCTAGAAATCTAGAGGAAGGAGCATAAGAATTGAACAGTAAGCTAAGTTTCTTTAACAAGGCCTTCTTTAGCTTCTTGGCAGCTAAAAACCAAAACTGGGGCATGAACTGTTACATAATCCTCATGATCAGAGAGAATTATGGAACATTCCTCAGGGGAGAAGGAAGAGCTTTTCTAAGCAGTAAATTCTCAAAGAAATGTCTCACATGGGTGGCTTTTATAGCAGACATTCAATGGTCTAGATGACAGGGCCCTCAATGATTTTGCTACAGCAAGTATAAGGGTGGGTGGGTTTCCTGTGGTTTCCTTTGATGAAAGCCCAAGGCAGAGAGCTTTGCAGGGGTTAACGTTGAGAGCCAGTAGCCTGCATGGGGGGCATGATCAGAGAAGTGCCCAAGGATGTCTGGCTAGTATCAAAGATAGAGAATATGTTTTTAAAATCTGAGAAACATGAAGACTTGCGTGAACAGCAAAATGAAGCAGATATTGGGAACGTTTTAAAGCCACACAAAGCAGAAAAGTTGAGAGGAACATTCTATGAATATGAGAATAACCGGAATATCTCAAGGCTGCCAGGAAAGCAATTGATCTAAGGTTCAGACAGAGAGAGCTCTGTTTCCCCAGGGACTGAGAA
This sequence comes from Homo sapiens, assembly GCF_000001405.40. Classification (NCBI taxonomy): domain Eukaryota; kingdom Metazoa; phylum Chordata; class Mammalia; order Primates; family Hominidae; genus Homo; species Homo sapiens. The sequence goes on from NC_000009.12 coordinate 7,192,387, forward strand.
GGGACGGAGAGCCACAGGTACCTTAGAACTAGCTGCTGAAGGCAGCATGAGGCTGCTGTCTTGGGAATGGAGCGTGGCAGCTGGGGCGTTCTGGGTCTGGTGAATAAAAAGCAGGAGTGGCTTAATTGTGCCCTGTGTCCCTTCTTAGTGTATTGTTACATCCAGGGCATTCTAAACTTGGCAGAAAGTCCTTATGCCTTTGATTTGCTTGCACTTCAAAGGGGGACTTGAGAAAATACAGAGCATTCTGGAGTCACAAACCTTAAAACTGCTGTGGGAGCTAAGAGGAGGTTAAGTTTTATTCCAGTTTGGAGGCTAGGGAGACTTCCTGGAGAAAAGGGCTTTTTTTAAAAAGAAATTTTTAATTTTAAATTAATTTTATTTATTTTTGAGACAGAGTCTTACTCTGTTGCCCAAGTTGGAGTGCAGTGGTGTGATCTCAGCTCACTGCAATCTCCGCCTCCCCGGTTCAAGTGATTCTCCTGCCTCAGCCTCTCGAGTAGCAGGGATTACAGGCATGCACCACCACACCTGGCTAATTTTTGTATTTTTAATAGAGATGAGTTTTCACCATGTTGCCTAGGCTGGGCTGGTCTTGAACTCCCGACCTCAAGTGATCCACCCACCTTGGCCTCCCAAAATGCTGGAATTATAGGTGTGAGCCACTGTGCCCAGGCAAAAATGGCTTTTTAATTTAGGCTTGAGTGATCGAGAGGATGTTGACACTCGTGACAGCATAGTCAGCATAATTAGCCCACAAGGACTCAGGGACAGGAACAATAAGAGTAGGGGTAGTGATTGGGCCTGGCCAGAATGTCAGGGGTTTGAAGGAAGTGGATAAAGATGAAGATTGAAATTAAGACCAGAACATGCTTTGGAGGGTCTTGGATGCCAGGCCAGAAGAACAGCAGGGCATCCAGTGGCTGGTGCCAGCTCTTGTTGGCAATGGTAGGGTTATGGATCCGAAAGTGGGGTGTGCTGGTGGTATATATGTGTTAGGAATGCTGCTTCTCTCTCCTGTACATTGCCTGAATATCATTTCTAATGTACAGACCAGCCAGACTGGAATCTCCTTGACAACTGCTAACATTACTTGAACTCATACTGTGAGTGAGGCATTGTGCTGGGTGCCTTACATTTCTTATTCCCCAATCAATTAAATAAGTACTATTTCATTATAATTTTATGCCAAGTGAAGCCTGATAAAAAGTGGATGTTTTGATCAAAGCTACACAGCTGGTAATGGTGGAACTTAGTTCAGTCCCAAGTCCCATGCTTCTGTTCATTACCCCTTGGTTCCTCCATGAATGAGTCCTTCTTTTATAGCCTTGCTGATCCCAGGGATCAGTGCAGAGCAGGTGCTCAAAAGATTCCTCTTGGCTTCCTGACTGCTGCCAACACATCTCTAGAGTAGGACACTAGGAAGATCAGCCTGGCTTAGGTAGAGGGGGCTACTTCCCTGGAGAGAGGCTGGGGCTATGCTGCTGGGGTAGCAGTGACCCAACCTGCTTGCTTTGCCCTTCCTAAGCTCAGGGAACCCTCCTACATGCCCTTGATGTCCTGCTCCTGGGGAGAGGGCCCAGAAGGGCAGATTGGTGGCTGCCTGCCTCCTGGTGCATCTGTGGAAAGCACCCCTATCCCTGCTCTTGGCTTTCAGACATCCAGAGCGTGGGCTAGGCCTTGCTAGTGCATTTCCTTCTCCCTCCTCCCCCTTGGCCCAGGGTCTCTAGCTTGCAGATTTGCTAGTGCACTTTAACCCTTGAGAAGAGCTACTCTTGGGCACTGTGATCTCTGCATCCCCCAAGTTAGTGCCTGCCAAAGTGTCTGGCATGGCCAAAGGTGTCTATCAGTTGAGACAATAACCATGAGATGTTCTGCTCTCAGTTCCTGGGTCAAGGTAGGGGCGAAAGGAAATGATGTGGACTCCTCGTGTTAATTCCTACTCAGTCACAGGAAGCCTGGCCACAGGACCACCCTTACCAGTAAGAGAATAGGCAATTAGGCAGGTTTCTGTCCACCTCCTATCATGGTGTCTAAAATACCTTTACTAGAAACCTGTACTTTTTGCCTTTGGAGTGTCCTATTAAAATGCAGATGCTCCTGGCAAGACTATATTATAAGTGCCTATTACCTTACTTTTCAGCTAAGAGTCAGGTAATCAGGAAAAACCTAGAGTAATGTCTTTAAGCAGATGAGATGGAGCACGGTTGGAGCTTCTAGGCAACTAACAACAGGATTGGAAGAAAGACATGTATTGGGGGATTTTGAGGCACTAGGGAGAGCTCTACATAATCATGTCAGTAAGGACAGGCTCTAGAATTTAAATAAAACAAAATAAACTCATCCAAAAAAGTTATCAAGCCAGGAATAGGTAGGAAATGCATGCATCCATCCATGCATCCATCCATCCATCCATGCATCCATCCATCTATCCATCCTTCCATCCATGCATCCATCTATCCATCCTTCCATCCATGCATCCATGCATCTATCACTGCATCTATCTATCCATCCATCCATCCATCCATCCATCCATCCATCCATCTATCCATCCATCCATCCTTCCATCCATGCATCCATGCATCTATCCCTGCATCTATCTATCCATGCATCCATCCATCCATCCATCCATGCATCCATCCATCCATCCATCCATCCATCCATCCATCTATCCATCCATCCATCCTTCCATCCATGCATCCATGCATCTATCCCTACATCTATCTATCCATGCATCCATCCATTCATCCATCCATCCATCCATCCATCCATCCATCCATCCATTTATCCACCCTTCAAACGTATAACAAGGGCCTACTTTGTGCCAGGTACTGGGCCAGGTACAGGAGGCATTACTTAGATAATTTAGACATAATCCCTTTCCTCAAGTAGCTTCTAGTCTGATGAAGTTAGGGGAGAAAATATGTGATATATGTGGAAATGACCTCCAAACAAGATAGTAAGTGTTAAGCTCATGAGATGGGGACAGATAAAGTGCTGTAGGAGTTTTGAGGTGGGCAAACCCAATAACACTGGGTGAATCTTCTGGAGGAGGTGGCATATGAGCCAGAACTTGAAGAGTGAGTAGAACAAAATTTGGAGCTAAGGAAGGGCATTGGACATAGAAAGGGCAGAAGGAAAGGAAAGGAGCAGGAGATTGCAGGATACACTGGGAATGGGACTAGGAAGTGGCCTGTGTGGCTTTGCAGAGCATAGGAAGGAGACATTGGAGATAAAGCTGGAAGGGCCTACCCTGGACTCTAAGAAGCCCTGAGGCCTTGGCTCAGGGTGAACTCTGTTCCCAGGAGGGGGTTGCCTTGCTGTGCTTGGGAAGCCTGGGAAGCCTGTGCAGTGATGGAGAGCAGGGCTTTGTGAAACACAGAGTGCAATGGAAAGTGGGGAGATAAGAGTGCTTTAGCGTTAGACAGATCTGAGTGGGATTCTCAGCTTGTTTTTTTTATTTTTTTGCCGGGAAATTTAGAGCATGCTATTTGGTTTTTTGTGCTTTCAGTTTTTCTATCTCTAAAAATGTTTCTTAAAAGAAAACATTTAATATAATTAGATCTAGAACATTCTCAAACTCCAGGGCTAGAGAATATGGCCCCATGGCACTTTACAGATTTTTTTTAGCTCTTTTGAGTTGCAAAGTAGGAAGAAGCAATGTCTATTTCAACTCTCCTGTGCCCTACCCAGCACAGAGTGGGCACATCCCTCTGGCTGGTAGAGGCTGAGGTTGGAACAAGTGGCATGATTAGCAGGGGATCAAGTGATCCTTCCCATCTGTGCTCTGCGTCTTGAATGTAGATCAGGGTTCCAACCTTAGAGGGGGGATTAAGCTTGGGCAGGGGCAGCCCCATATTGACTAGCTCAGGATGACTTCTGCAAGAAGCACACAGTCAGGGTACCAGAGTCCAAGAGGCTGGCTTTTCATTCTCTGTATCAGTGAACAACTAAAAACAACCAAAATGTCCAATAAGAGGAGACTGATTAAATAAATTATGGAAGATGCATGCTCTGAAATACTGTGAGACCATGTGGTATTGATCTAACTTTATTTGTGAAGTAATATTATAATAAGATAGCCAATTAAAAAGTAGACATTAAGGTAGTATATATAGTATATGCCCATTACACATATTTATATGTTCCCTTTTATTGTAATTAATAAGTGACCATTATTCTAGCAAAGACATATTGCTCAACTTGTATACAAGACTCTACTCATTCCTCCTCCTCTTAGGGCATGGAACCATCATAATCACATCCCCCTTCTCTTCTGGATGGTTACCACCACCTTAAAAACTTGTCATAATATGACTCATTCAAAAAACTAAAATGAAATATGAAACTTCCCTTGACTCCCATCTCCTACCAGTTACCATGTCACCTTTTCTTCCCTTCACAGCAAAACTTTTGGTAACAGTTATTTGTTTTTGCCTCTATTTCCTTCCTGCGCATTTTCTCCTAAACTCACTTCGATTGTGTTTTTCTTCCTACTATTCCATCCAAACTACTCTTGTGAAGTCATCAATGCCAAACTTGGATCAACATAGCCCATTAGATGGTCAGTTTCCACGCTTCGTACTTGATCTTCCAGCAGCCTTTGTTGTAGCTAATCATTCTCTCCTGCTTATAATCCTTCCTTTGTTTGGTTTCCGGGACATCAAACCCTCCTGCTTTTCCTCTTGCTTCTTTGGCTGTCCTTTCTTAGATGGTTTTGCCGGATTCTCCTCATTTCCCTTACTTTTTAATGTAGCTTTGCTCCAGGACTCAGTCCTCAGACCTTTTCTCTTTTTTATACTCTCTGTAGGAGGTCTCATCTGGCCCATGGTTTTAAACACCTATACAGTGCAAATTCCAAAACGCTGTCTCCAGTCTCAACACATCTCTGCTTGGCTGCTTAACAGGCATCTCACACTTAAGTTCCCCAAATGGAATTTTTGTTTTTCCCCAGGCGTGCCCCTTCTGTGCTCCAAGTCTCATAACGTCCTCCTGTCCACGCGGGTCACCCCGAGTTCCCTGTTTCTCTCACATTCTACAGTGATGCGTAGGCAATTTTGCTGATACTACCTGAGATCTGCTTTGTTAGCAACAGCCTAAAACATTTCCTCCTTCTTATCACTCCACAGCTCTCAGCTTAGTCTAAGCTACCACTTGGTATCACTCTCTGATTCTACCTGGCCTCTCCACCTCCCCACTGTGTTCTCTATACAGCAGCCAGACTCATTCTGAAGATGTTCATCTCTGCTCACAACTCACCAGTGACTTCTAAGACAAAAAATAAATTCCAAAGTTCTTACCATGTCCACGAGGCCCTATGATCTGGCCCCCACTACCTCTCTGATCCCACCCTTTTCCTCTCACTCACTGCCCTCCACCCCCACTAGCTTCTTTGCTGTTCCCCAATCACGCCCGGAACATCCTTGCCTTAGGATTTTTGCATTTGCTATTTCCCCACTTGAAAGTCTCTTCTCTCAGATTCCTCTGAGTTTGCTCTCTCACTTTCTTAACTCTCGAATATTTCCTAATCAAAGAGGGATTTTCCAATCTCCTATTCATAAAATAATATTTCTCCTTATTCTGCTTTATGTCTCATATGATTACCCATTATGTGTGGTATAGGTTGTGCACTGCCCAATTCCTGGGGATCTCATTCACTTTAACTGCAGTGTGATTGGCTCTCCCTAGAGTTCTTCAGTGCACAACTGTATAGCCAGACCTGATAACATACATTATAATACAAATTTGTTTGGTTATTTGCTTATTTATTTTTTCTTTCTTTTCTTTTCCTTTCTTTCTTTCTTTCTTTCTTTCTTTCTTTCTTTCTTTCTTTCTTTCTTTCTCTTTCTTTCTTTCTTTCTTTCTCTTTCTTTCTTTCTTTCCTTTCTTTCTTTCTTTCCTTTCTCTCTTTCTTTCTCTCTCTCTCTTTCCCTCTTTCTTTTCTTTTCTTTTCTTTCTTGACAGAGTCTCGCTCTGTTGCCCAAGCTGTAGTGCAGTGGCATGATCACAGCTCACTGCAGCCTCTGCCTCCTGGGTTCAAGTGATTCTCCCACCTCAGCCTCCCAAGTAGCTGGGATTACAGGCACCCACCAACATGACTGGCTCATTTTTGTATTTTTAGAAGAGATGGGGTTTCACCATGTTGGTCAGGCTGGTCTTGAATTTCTGACCTCAAGTGATCCTCCCACCTCGGCCTCCCAAAGTGCTGGGATTACAGGCATGAGCCACTGCACCCAGCCTGGCTTATTTGCTTATTTTCTGACTTCCCCACTAGAATGTAAGCTCTTCAAGGTCGGGACTTGGAGTACTCCAGCCTGTAGGGTAGTACCCACAACATAGTATATATTCAAAAATTATTTGACATATGAATGAATATGTGCTTGGTGTATGTGTATTTCTATGTGGATGCATAGAGGGAAAAGGTCTAAAAAGAAATACCCAAATGTTGATGGTGATTATATCTGAGCAATGGAATTACATATGATTCTTCACTGTCTTCTTTATTCTTTCCTTTAGGCATGGATATTTTAATAAAATGAATATATTATTTTCACAGAGACAAAAGTATTTTGGAGTCAGATAAACCTGAGATTGAATTCTGCCTCTACTCATTGTGTAACCTTGGGCAAACTTATTACCATCTCTGTCTCTCTTTAAAATGGAGATTCTATCTAGTTCATTGGGCTGTTGTGAGGCTTAAATAAAATATGTATGTCAAAGCTTGGCATGGCACCTGTCTGAGAGCAAGCCTTCAGTAAACAGTACTCCCTCTTCTCCTCTTATTATATTTTTATTATTTATATTTTATTATTTTATTTTTATTATCACTGACATGTAAATAAAGGCCCCTAAGCCTTGAGGATGAACCTCATATTCATCCCCCGGTGTCCTTCCCTGATGGAGAAGGGAACTGCTGGGCTGGCCCAATGCCCAGGACAGTGCAGGGTAGTGAGTTAGTAAAGGAGAAGCCATCACACCTCAAGGGAGACCCATCATTAATACAATCTAAGATCTCTGAAGACATCTGAATCCCTATATGTTTGCTTGTGGATTGTGGCAGGAAAATGGGCTGGATGGGCAGGAAGAGGAGGGAGGTATCCTGTTCTTTACTTTTCACTGGGTCTGGAAATGGAGAAAACCCAGGTAAAAGAATGACTGGGGCCACCGGGAGCAAGTGAAACTGGATCTTTTGGGTCTGCTGGAAGGAAGAAAAGCTGAAGGGAGCCTGTCAGAAGCCCAGTGTGCCCACCTGGGCCAAGTGCCCAGAGCCAGGAGAACATCCTTACCTTGGGCCAGAGACCTGGGTGGCAGTGGAACAGGACAAGGCTCCAATCTCATCATGCTATCCTTTAGCTCAAACAGCAGAGGACAGATTGGCTAGTCATAGATTTATGGTGATATTTATCTTGGTCGGAAGTCATGTTCATGTCCATCACAATGATGTACTTCATTGCTCACCTGCTGGCTTCCCAGAGAGCCCACCAAGGAATGTCTCAGCCAAATGTCTCAATTTTCAATCCTGGCAATACTTCCGGCTTGAATCCTGCTACCTTCTCACCAAGGAAGGCTCAGTAATTTTAATTTAGAGTGAAATCTGAAGGTCCTGCTTCCCCTCTCTTGTTTAAAACTAGAACAATTGTTGGGCACAGTGTCTCATGCATGTAATCCCAGTGCTTTGGGAGGCTGAGGTAGGAGGATTGCTTGAGCTCAGGAGTTCTAGGCCAGCCTAAGCAACAGATTGAGACCCCCATCTCCATAAAAAATACAAAAATTAGTTGTGTGTGATGACATGTGCCTGTATTCCTAGCTTCTTGGGAGGCTGAGGTGGGAGGATCACTTGAGCCCAGGAATTGGAGGCTGCAGTGAGCTGTGATTGCACTACTGCACTCCAGCCTGAACAACAGAGCAAGACCTGTCTCTAAAAAGTGAGTAAATAAGTAAGTAAACAAATAAATGAAACTGGAGCAAGCCTCAAGCAGGCAGCTCCCTTCCCCCATCCTCTGGCCTATCTTTATTCCTTTAGGATTTCCAGAGGCATTCCAAACAGAAACATCCCTAGCCCTCCAACATGAGAGTAGCAAAAAGAAGGAAAAAGATGGTCAGTGGCCAAAGGTCTTTCATTAGTCAAGAGTCTTCAAACCCAAAAGATTATTCTTCCCAAACTTTGAACCCCAAATGTCTCTCCTTAGGAATAATTAAAGGCAGATAAAGAAGTCTTTGTTTCTGGTTCACCTGGAGGCACTCCCAGGCACTCTGTCCCTTAGCCTTTTGAATTCTCTTCCTGAAGAAAAGGCAAGAGGATCAAGGAAATGAGTTTGCCTGTCCTTAGCCTCCAAGCCACATGTACCAGAAATGTCCATCATGGTGTCTATAATATCCATGCCTTTTCTAAAACGAATTTCCCGACCTTAGCACCAGGTTTCAACCCAGCATTAATGCTCCCGCCCCGCAACAGCTGGTTGGACCAGGAGTGGGGTCCTGGTCCAAGGGCAGTGAAAACATTGGTCCTTGAGGTGGTGTTGTATAAGAGGAACTCTGCCCCATCTGAAAAGAGCAGCGCAGTGATGTTTGTGTCCTCAGGAATTTGAAATGGAGAAGATCTGAGGCTGCAAGTATGTATCTCCTAAAACAAGAAGGCTCTTTAACCAGCTGTCGTTGGGATAAACCAAAATTGTGAGAAAATAAAAAGCATGACATGGAGAAGACATACATATTAAAGGTGTTGCAGTTACCGGCAGCTTGGAAGAAGAGCGGACACAGATAGAAGCAAATGATGTTACTGAAGATGAGTTGTCCCTCGTAGAACTTCTTCTGGATTTGATTGTTTCATAGTCATAACTTTGAGCAACTCCATAAACTGACTCACAGTACAGAAACTGAAGCTAGTTTTCCAAGCTCTTTTTCTTTTCCACAGTACATAAAATAAGTAGTGTCAGTGTCACCGCGGGGCTTCAATCTTCCAGCAGACATCACCAGCACATTCTTACTATTGACAGTCAGTCTTGGCAAGCTTGCTCGTCTCCATCCATCCATAAAGCTATTTTCCATCGGGCTTCTTTAAGGCCCACGTGATGATGACATGAGAAGTAGTTTCCATTTTCCCTCTGTTTAGCTCCATGAACACATTTAGTCTATATTGAGCCACAGCTCTACAATTAGACAGGTACATTCTCCTCCCCTTGGGTGCTTCCATGTTCCTCCAGGGTGAATCCCCAGTGGATTCACAGCCTGGCCAAGCACATTTTACATTTGGTAATAGAGCCCCTGGGGATTATGTGTGAAAGGATCAACAGAGATCAAATCTCTTCAGACTCTTTGCTTTATATTGCATCTTGATTTTTGCCTTAGCTCCTCTAGTTTTTGCCTTTAATTATGTCTGCAGAATAAGCCTAGAAGTTGCAACCAAGAAGATCAAGAGAGTAATTGAAAGTCATTTTATTACCTGGAAGAGGCTTAGCTTTAATAGGGAGTAGATAAAAAGATTGTAGGAGTCCCTACAGTTCAAAGGTTTTTCAAGAATACACATAAAAACAATTTATATCCTTTGAAAGCCAAAAAATGTAAAATCCAATCAATTAATATAGTAGTGTAGGTAAGTATGGCTAATTTGCCTGGAGAGATGAAAGAATTGGGAAACAGTCCCTACTATAGACACATGGGGATCCACGTGTTCCATCCGTGTTGTGACAAAAATTCAGTCATCATCCCACAAGGAGTCTCTTTGGTAATTAATAAATCATTGCAAGAGGGGATGGTAAATACAAAAATATTTGGGAAGATATCCCAAAATTGTTTGGGATTATATAAATTAGCATCTTTCACCTCAGATTTAGAATTGAGTAGAATTTTTTAAGAAAACCAAATATAAATTATTTATGTTTTTGCATTAAGGATCTGTACATGTTTAATATTTTATCATTTCTAAAACATAAAATAATTTTAGCCTGTTAGAATAAGGGCTGGTGTAGTAATTTTAATTTCATATGCATACTTCAGTAATTATTTAAACTTGTTATTTAAGTTGAAGTCAATTTATAAATAGTATTGGAACATGTAAAAATATTAAGATTTGCTGAACTTACAAATTTAATTCATAGCTTTAAGGGTTAAGTATTAGTTTTATATGCTAAATCAGAAAATTGGTGTATAAAAAGGCTATAGGATGGTAATGATGATGGATTTGACACTCTTATAACTCCCCTCCCTCTTAAAATCCTACTAAAGCTATAGCAAAGAAATTATCTTTTTTAAAAGATAGAAATCCATAAGGATGGGAAGAAAAGGCAAAAAGACAATGGCAATACATTTTGGAAGCTGAAAAGTAGAATGACTGTTAAATTACTTTAGCAGGTGCAAGAAACCTGAATCTTAATCCTGAAATGGAGAAAGCCAAGAACGTCCTGATCTAAACTACAGAGCCCTCAGAAGACTCAGAACAACACACAAGTTCTTGGGAAGCTACTGGAGGATGTGTGTCATCAAAACAAGGGAATCAGCAGTCCTGTATCTATGAAGAAACAACTGGAAATGATAGGTTCTTGAATTCCAATTTTCTTTTAGGGTGAGAAAGTGGGCCACTCAGCTCTGCTTTATAATATTGGGCTTCCGAGAATGATTAGCATTCAAGTGAGCAGAGATACTTCTAAAGTGTTCTATTATATAAATTATACAGGGATAAGAAAATGGGAGGTTAGCACAGACAGAGGCGGAGTTAACCTCCAGGGTGAGGGTGAAGGGAGATGTCTGGTACATAGCCCAGCCCCGGGTAGGGAGGACGAGCATCCGGACCCAAGCACTGAGGCACAGGAGGTAGACAGGCTGCGGATTGTCATCACCACATCATTGGCCACCATACCTTCTTCTTCTTCTTTTTAATAAACTTCATTTTTAGAGTAGTTTTAGGGTCATAGCAAAATTGAATGGAAGATACAGAGGTTTTCCACAAACCCTCTGCCCCAACACATGCATAGCCTCCTCAATTATCCACATCCCTCACCTCAGTGGTACGTTTGTTCCAATTGGTGAATCTTCATCGACACATCATGATTACCTAAAGTCCATACTTTACATTAGCATTTACTCTTGGTACATCTAAATTCTTTGGGTTTGTATAAAAGTATAATGATGTGTCCATCATTACAGTAACATACAGAGTAGTCTCACTGCCCTGAAAGTCCTCTGTGTTCTATTTGTCCCTCCCTCCCCCTTAACCCCATGGCAATCACTGATCTTTTTACTGTCTCCATAGTTTTGCCTTTTCCAAAATGTCATACATATGAAATCATACAGTATGTAGCCTTTTCAGATTGGCTTCTTTCATTCATTAATATGCATCTAAGGTTCTTCCATGTATTTCATGGCTTGATAGCTTATTTCTTTTTAGTGCCAAATAATATTCCATTGTCTGGATGTACCACAGTTCATTTATCTACTCACCTACTGAAGGGCATCTTGGTTGCTTTCAAGTTTTGGCAATTATGAATAAAGCTGCTGCTATAAACATCCATGAGCAGGTTTTTGTGTGAATATAAGTTTTTAACTCCCTTGAGTAAATACCAAGGAGCATGATTGCTAGGTCATATAGTAAAAGTGTGCTTAGTTTTCTAAGAAACTTGAAAAGAAGGACAGCTGTTGAATTAGCCCACAACTGAGGTTGGGCACTCATTTTTAACGAGGTTTCCAGTCACTCTCAGGAACCAATTTTGTCCACATTTTATTGTCCTCCAGCCCTTCTTCAGAGTGTGAGACAAGAGGGGCTAAATTTAAACAGGTAGGATAAATCTACAGTACTGCATTGGACAGGGTGCGGTGGCTCACGCCTGTAATCCCAACAGTTTGGGAGGCCAAGGCGGGTGGATCACCTGAGGTCAGGAGTTTGAAACCAACCTGGCCAACATGGCGAAACCCTATCTCTACTAAAAAATACAAAAATTAGCCAGGTGTGGTAGTGTGGGCCTGTAATCTCAGCTACTCGGGAGGCTGAGGCAGGAAAATCCCCTGAACCCAGGAGGTGGAGGTTGCAATGAGCCGAGATCGCGCCACTGCACTCCAGCCTGGGCAACAACAACAAAAAATGACAACAACAACAAAAAAGTATTGCACTGAACAGGACTTCAGAAGGACTTCTCAGACTGGGCATCCGCAAACATTGCCTGTGTATAAAGAGCTGGATAGTAAACCTTTTAGGCTTTGTAGACCTACAGTCTCTGTCCAAGCTGTTCAGTTGTGTCATTTTTGCACAAAAGCAGCCATAGACAGTACGTAAATTGGGGAATGTGGCTGTTTCAGTAACATGTTGTAAAAACAGGTGGTGGTCCAGACTTGGCCCAAAGACTGTAGTATGCTGACCCCTGCCTTAGATGAATGTGTGAGGACGTAGAAATGCTAAGGGCTGGATCACTAATGGTAGACTTTCAGGCTGTTTGGCAAGTGGGTGAATATCAGTCAGAATATTATTTGTTGCCGTTATTGGAAGACTTTCCAAACTTGTTTAAGCCAAAGGGGAATTTATGGCTTATATAATTGAAAATCCAGAGGCAGATTGGCTTTAGGAGCAGCCGGGTGCAGGGACGTATTGACTTCTGTTTTTTCTCATCTTCAGGCTCACATTCTCCTCTGTTAAGTGCATTCCCAATCAGCTTCTTTCCTCAGGTTGGAAAGTGGCTGCCAGCAGCTACCAAGGTGCTATCCTTCCAGATTCACATCCTGCAGAAAGAGCATGAGATTCCTGGCAGAAGATTTGAGATGCACTCAAAGTATACTGGCTGAAGTCGGGCCTTAAGTCTGGATGGGATGCCCCTTTACCTGCTCCCATTGGGTCCCGTACTTCCACCTTCATAACACTAACAATGCTAGAGTGTGGCAGCTCTCAAAGTGTCATCCTCCAGCAGCATCAGTATCACCTACCTGGACATTTCACAGAAATGCAGATTCTCTGGCTCCACCCACATCCTCTGAATCAGAAACTGTTGTGTGTGTGTGTGTGGGGGGGGGGGGTTCCGCAAGATATCTGTGCTTTAACAAGCCCTCTAGAAGATTCTGATGCACTCCCAGCTTGAGAACTCTACTTGCTCTAATGCGATTGCCTGTTTACTGTTGGGATCCCACACCAGATGTAAGCACCAGGAGGCAGGGCCGCATCTGTTCCATTCAACACTGTATCTGCCAAGCCCACAGTAGGTGCTCTCCTAATTCTATGTGGTAGACTTCAAAAGACAAAGGTAAGAAAGAATGAGGGGACAAGGCTGGAGACAGCTGCCAAGTGTCACACTTCTGCCTTCCTTCTTCCACTTTCTTCCTCTCGCCTCTGGAGTCAGTCACACTAGATGCTCCCATCTTTTTGCTTGTTTGTTTTTCGCATTGCCGAGGGCTCCATTACCTTTCAAATAAAATGGCCTCTATAGAAGCAGTCCTGGGGCTCTTGGCAGGCACCATTAGCCTGAAGAAGCGCCCTGGGACAGGACATACCCTCACACAGAGCTGGGGTGAGTGGTGGGCTCTGTGTTATCGGTGGGATTTGGCTGAGCTCCTTCAAGTCTATGTCCCTCTCTGGGGGCTTCCAACAGCTTGTGGTTGGAAGGTGTGTTGACTTCTCCACAGGAATCTATAGCACAGCACAGTAAATGTGTTGAGACAGTAAGTGAGCACACACAGTAAGTGTGATAAGGGTAGAAGCCAGATGCCTGCGAGAGAACCAAGGGGACCAGCTGGGGGATAGGGAGGGTAAGAGCCAGCGACAAATGTTGCAGCAGCAAAGGAATTCTAAGGGTTCCCTCTGAATTTTTCTCTCTTCTCCTCCTCTCCCTTCTCCACACTCCATCCCTACCCCTGTCTCCTTGTTTCTTTTACTGTCCCTGTCTTGATGTATCCATCATATGTGGTCATTTTCAGATAGGACAATGAACCCAAGTAGGAACTTTTGCTTTTTTTTTTCTTTTTTTCTATGAGACAGGGTTTTGTTCTGTCTCCCAGCCTGGAGTGAAGTGGTGTAATCTTGGTTCGCTGTGACGTCTGCCTCCCAGGCTCAAGTGATTCTCCTGAGGCATGCACCACCATGCCTGGCTAGCTTTTGTATTTTTAGTAGAGATGGGGTGGGTTTCACCATGTTGGTCAGGCTGGTCTCAAACTCTTGACCTCAAGTGATCCACCTGCCTCAGCCTCCCAAAGTGCTGTGGTTACAGGCGTGAGTCACTGCACCCAGCCTCTTTTTCTTTTCTTTAAATAAAGCAGCACATTCACGCATTCACTGTTCGAGACTGTGATTTCTGAGGAGCAGGTTTTCCTGTGTGCATATAGAGGAGTGACTTTCCCCCTTCATGTCTAGACTGGCATTTGAAATGACATTCTGGTCTGTTTCTTGCGTGAATGTGAAAATTGTCATCTGTGTTCTCATAGATATACTGTGGTTGCCCATGGGGTGAGAGGGCTTCACTTTGTGACTTCTCCTAAAGGTAGTCTATATCCCTGCTGTCAGTCACTGTGAAGACAGTGGCAATGGTGCTCCAGAGTGGCAGGGGTTAAAGATAGAGCCTGCCACAGGGAAGCAGGTAGAGAGAACGTCCCTCTAAGGGACCCAAATGAATGGGGGCAAATAGGATCCCAATTATTGAAGTCAGAGGTTGGCAAACTATGGCCTTTGGGCTTGTTTTTATAAATAAAGTTATATTGGAACATGGTCATGCCCATTCACTTACAAACTCTCCAAGTCTGCTTTAGCAATACTATGGCAGTCAAGTAGTTGTGACAGAGCCTTTCTGGCCCATAAAACCTAAAATATTTACTATCTGGCCCTTTACAGACAAAAGTTTGCCATCTTCTGCTCTGATGGAAGATTTATTTCCCCTTTTTATCACCAGCTTGGTCCTAGCCTGGTTATGTTTACAGGGTCCAGCTTGATTTTGTCTATGGTAATGGGCTTCAAATATTTATTATAAACATTTTATTTTTTGAGGCAGGGTTTCACTTCTGTTGCCCCGGCAGGAGTGCAGTAGCATGATCATGGCTCATTGGAGCCTCGACCTCCTGGGCTCAGGCCATCCTCCCATCCCCTTTTTACATTTTTTGTAGAGACAAGATCTCGTTATGTTTCCCAGGCTGGCCTCGAACTCTTGGGCTGAAGCCATCCTCCTGCCTTGACCTCCCAAAGTGCTGGGATTAAAGGCATCAGCCACCTTGCCTGGCCCTAAATGTTTTATTTAGAAATAATTTTAAACATAAAAAAATTAAAAGAATAAGATAGTACCAAAAATATGTTATACTCTTTACCAGATTCACCTATTGCTAACCTTTTATGCTTTTTGCTTTATCATTTGTGCTCATTCTTTTCTTACATATGTATATAAAATATTTATATTTTATTTCATATTTATTACATGTAATGTTTTTAATCCTTTAAAGCTAAGTTACATACCTCAAAGCCTGTATTTATAAATACTTCATGTATATGTACAGGTTTTTTAACAATTGGGATATTTTCTTTCATAACCAAGTATAGTTTTCAACTTTAGTAAAGTTAATATTGATACAATACTTTTATCTATTCTACCATCCACATTCCAGTGGATGTCCTTTGTAGGATTTTTTTCTCCCATCCAGTACAGGATTCAGGGACAGGAATTGCATTTGGCTGCTGTGAACATGAACCTTTGGCTTTTGAGGTTTGATTCTAATAAAGAATGAAGCACTTCCTTTAAAGCTCATCTTTAGAAAACTGTAAGGAAAAGGCAATCTTTTCTCCAGTTCTTTAGAGCTTATACCTGGGGAGCACCTTGAACAGTCTGGGGGAAATTTCTAGATAAAAGTCCATGGAGCAGGGCTTCTAGAAAGGTAGGTTCCTATAGCTGCCTACCCTATTCTCTGAACAGAGCAGCGATGCCACACATTTGGAGACCAGCATGGTCTTCAAGTAAGATAGTACCATGCTAGTCTCCAAATGACCCCCAGGGAGATGGATTTCTAGCAGAACCTCTTCATTCTCTGGCTGCAGTGGGTCCAAAAGATTCCTTTCCATGATGCATCCCAGCCTTACAGAAGAAATGCATGTTAGATCCTTCTATCATCCTGAGAATTTGGACATGTGAAAATAAGCAAGAAACCCAGAACCAAATGTATAGATTTGGAAGCTGTTGATCTGAGAAGAATCTGAGCCTGGTAACATAATAAGGATCAACTTTTTGACATTCAAATTAATTATATCAAATAGAGCTACTCTTTAAAGAATAATTACTGATCTTTTTAAAACAAAAAGAGAAAGATAATTTTTGTTAGTATAAATGGGTTAAACAAAAATGAATGTATACTATAGGCAATGAAGTTCGATTTGATATATGTGTACTATATTCATGTAATCTTGCAGAAGTGAGTATATATACAGCATACCATTCATGTAATTGTTTACTCATTTTTTCCATCAATGATTTATTGAAGATGTATTGTGTGCTAAGTGCTGGGAATAGAGAAATGAATCACACATTCCTTGATAAGTGGGGAGGGCCA
This sequence comes from Homo sapiens, assembly GCF_000001405.40. Taxonomy (NCBI): domain Eukaryota; kingdom Metazoa; phylum Chordata; class Mammalia; order Primates; family Hominidae; genus Homo; species Homo sapiens. The sequence continues at coordinate 7,208,881 of NC_000009.12, forward strand.
TTTTGTTGTATTAAAAATTTTGGATTTATCTTTCAGAAAGTGTTATTCTCACTGGCTCTGGCCTGGACCAAGAGAATGCAGGTTTGAAAGTTTGAGATTTTTTTTGGAGGGGGGTGGTGGCAGTAATCTTTTGGAAAACATGAAGCCCAGTAACTGTCTGAGGCTAAACCGAAAGCACTGGTAAAGGGTTTAAGATTCTAACGATTCTTCCAGAACAACCAGCCTGACAATGAGTAATATGCAGTTTGATGTGAAAATTAGAAAACTGGCAGATGAACCTGCAAAAGGGAAATTGGATTTCCAGAGAGACGAATGGGAGGCCATGCGGCTGAATAGAGTTCATAAGATGCAAACGCATGCAGGGAGCTGCAGCCCCCACTCGTTCCCAGTGTGCAAAGGAAGTTCCTGCATCGCGTGCCTATTATTTATTTATTTATGGGCAAAAAGCGAGAGTTCCATGGTGTGGTGTTTATTATCAAAATGGATGGATTCAATATCAAGCAATGATGTGTTCAAAATGAAAGCCACATCATTAAGTGTCACAGGCGTTTATTAACACAGTTCCCTCCTTAGTCGAATAAAACAGCCGTTATCCCACCAGGTCCCACACTCTCGCTTGCCTTTTTTCTTTGTCTGGCTTTGGCAGAGTCTCCGTTTCTGGAGACAGCTTGGCCGACAGCAAATCTGGGCAAAGCAGAGATATCCAAGGGAAGGTAATGAGGGATGGAAGACTCCTAGACAGTAGTTTTAGCAAAGAGGAGTCCATCCTCTAAAAGTACAAGCATTACTTGTTAACTGACTGCACTCTCACAACCATCTGTGCCATTAGCTTGTCCATTTATTGTCTATCCCTTTTCTCCTCTCTCTAACCTCTTCTCTCATTGCATATTATTAAAATCAAGAAATGGCTTCCATTCTGTGAGCTGTGACTTCTAACGTGGCCACATAGCTGGTGGAGAGGTGACAACCTTCATCTCCAAGGATCCCCTGCACTGCTTGCTTTATGCCCAGAGCAACCTCATGCTGACAAGGACTGCACAGTTTTGAACACCCATGCTCCAATCAAAAGAAACCAATTTGTGAGAGACGATATAAATCCATGAATACTGCACTGAAACCTCTTTCTGCTCCAGGCAGAGAAGATAAATTACCACCCGAGTGATATAAAGTTAGTTTGAATATTTCATTGGATCAAATGCAACATGTCTCAGAACCTCTCCTCTTTTAAGTCAGAATTAAAGAATTGTTATCAGGCATAATAATAGACACTATCATTTGCATACATTTTATCTCAAGAGACTTTTGAAGTTATGCAATACGCCAGTGGTTAATTGTTCTTCACACTCCTGACATATCAAATTACAGCTCAGATGAGAGAGCAACCCATTTGTGACTGGAATGATTGGCAGGAGCCTACAAGGAGAGCATCTTCGAGGACTGAAGGAGGAGTATCTTTTCAGGCTTTTCCATGGAGACCTTGGAGACCATGGGTTCTAGATGGTTCTGTTATAACATGATGGAGACTTCATTAGTCTGGGTTCCTAGACGAGTGTGAAACACTTTCCCCACTGATTGAATTACAATTATAATGTGAAAGAAAAATAAATCTTTATTGTGTAAAACTACTGAAATATCAGAGTTACAATACTGTAGTGTAGCAAATTCTGGCAAATACTTCCCAGCATATTTTCAATTCCATTTCATTGGCCAAGCCTAGATGATATGGTCACCTATAGCTGAAGGAAGGCTGGGAAAGATGGAAGAGGATTGCTTATTTGGCTTAAAAGAATCATGGTCTGCCCCCTGAGGCTGTTCTGACCCAGAAAAAAGTTGAGGTTCTATTACACGGAAGCAAGATATTAGGTAGGCAACTTTCAGTGTCTGCCAAATCACCAGACACTATTCAGGCTAAACAAGGAAGAAGCTAAAGCCAAAAAGGCAGAGGTGAATATCCAGGTATTTCTGTAATGGCATGCCTCAGACTAAGTGTCCCAGAAACGGCTGATCCCAAGTGGCTCCTTCTCCACCGTTTGAGCTGTCAAGACGCCTGGTTAAGTGACTGTTAAACGGCTACTGCCTCCTGCCTCCCACCTCCCAAAAGGCTGCCCTTGAGGTAGGGAGGGAAGTGATCCCACTATCCCTTTGCAGAATCTCTCAGAGAGGTTATGAGGCTGAACAGATTTGTGTTTGAAAGGAGCTTTGAGGCTGTGGCTTGAAAGGTACCACAGAAGTGCAAATGCCTGCAATTCATCGGCCTGCTGAATGGAACAGGAACTGAATTGCTTTAAACTAGAATTTCAGGGCCTATGGCTGGTGTCTGGGATTTGCACAATGGTTTTTTTTGAAAGTACTTTCTTCTGTGAATGCTGCTGTCTGTTCCCTCGGTTCCTCACCCAAGTTAACCCTCAGCACTCTCCTGACCATCTCCTGCTGGAAGAGGCAAAACTGCGAATTGTCCAAAGTTTGGCTCTCAAACTTCTATCAGCTCTTTCCCTGACCTTTTCTGGTATTCAGCCCTTCCGCCATTCCATAGTCTTCCCCTGCCTCAGGCCTTTTCTGTTGGGAGGAAATGAACTCCTACCAGCCAGACCCAGGGATTGGCCCCATAGGGACAGGTGGGTGGGTTCTGAGGATCATGATGGGACCCACCAAAACAAACTACCTGGAGGGTTTGTTAAAAGTGCATATTCCCAGGCCCAGGCCCAGGCCCAGCCCAGAGCCACTGATGTAGGATCTTCATGGGTGAGTTTCAGGAGTCTGCATTTTCCCAGGCATGTGAGTGTTTGCTAGAAAGTGTTCTCAAGAAAGATTCCCTACACGATGCAGGAATTGTGAACACTTGTATTGTCCCGGGTCCTGCACTGAGTGTCTTCCCTTTAAGCTCTCATTTTATCTTCTTAGGACCCTAGGAAGTACCTGTAATTCTCTGCATTCCTCCATTTTCCAGATGGGGAAACTTGACTGAGGAGCTCAGCCAGGATAGAGACCCAGGCTCTACACTAGCACTCTAGCCTGATTGAGTTATCTGTTTCCCCTCCCTGAAAATTACCATTTTAAAAAGAATTTCAGGGTGAGAATCTAGTGTAATGGATCTGCAGTGGTGATGTCTCTGGCAGCAGAACTGGTGGGAGGCTATTACCCAATGCCACGGTGTCAGGAAGAGTTAAATCCTTTTGACAATTCAATGGCTCCCTTTAGCTTTGCCCAAATGGCACCTGTTGTTGAAGTCAATAGAGCTTACAATTTAATTTCATCTGCTTGCAAACAATCTCTTTCATTAGAGGGTGGAATGATGATAGGATTCTCCCAGCCATGCGGTTTCACTTTCTACAGGGGCAATGTATGAGTACAGTCATTGTTTTCTGCAGAGAGAGAGAAAGAGAGGGGGCAGAGAGAGAGAGAGAGACACTCACCACACTGCCTGTTACAAGGAAGTAGGTGTCTGGGTAAAGTGGGTGGGAATGAGTGAGGATGAGAAGGGATGGGAAGGGGTCAAGCTGCACGTGGAGCCCCTAAGAGACTGCTCAGTCTTTTCCCTCTGTGAGCTGTCAGCCGTGCCCTTGCAGGCTAATCAGTATGCTCAACGGAATCTGAATGCCTCCATTATCCAAATCACAAGGAGGTGGCTTTTACATCTATTATAGATGAACTCACAGCATGGGCATGAGGGACTCTTTCTGTTCAACTCTGAGCCAAATGGAAACTTTGGTTCAATAATAAAGGTGATGAAGAGAATAATAACTAAGCAATAGCAGTGCTAGTAATAGTTACCATTTACTCGCTACTGTACTAGGTGCATTGCATACATTTCTTTCTTTAATTTTCTCTACAACTCTGGGAAGTAGGACTCTCGTGCCCATTTTATAGAGGAGGAAGCTGAGACAGAGCTAGAAGAGGTAACTGTCCAATATCACATAGCCAGTAAAAAGAGCTAGGACTGGAACCCACCTTTTTCTGAATTCAAATGTATACTTTTCTACCACGCCTGTGACACTCATCCTCCAACTGAGTTTCAGTAATGAGATAAAGGGCCCATCATTCTCTGTGGATCAGAACCATTTCCATGACAACCATGAAACATTACTCATTATGTCCAGAGTATTGAAGGTATTTACAGTCCCTTCTTTTTTCCCCGGGGAATTTCTTAGAGAAATTGGCAGGAGGATACTGTTAGAGATTTCATTTTCTTTTACGAGTTATTGGTGATAGAGTGTACGTGTGTGTTTGCATGTTCTGGCAATACTGGTGTCTGGCGTGTGACCTGTTTTTTATTAAAGTTATAGTTTTTGCAGGGAGATGGGGTTATCACTGGTGCTTTGGGAAAGCAGGTGTCAATGCTGGAATGACTCTGGCATTCAGAAGGTGATTTCAAGTTCTTTGTCCGAGAGATGTACATGCTAATAGGAAAAATGCACTTTCTTCTTTGCAGGCTAAGTGCTGAAAGATTATACTAGCTCTGCAGATTGCAAAAGGCAAATAAAAGTACAGACGTGGCCCTGGGAGGCAGACTTGGAAGGGAAAGGGAAGGAAGAGAGAGCAATGTCTCTGAAGAAGGCAAAGGAAGGGCACAGTCCCTTCCTGCAGTTCTGTGGAGTGCATGTTGCATGGGGCAGGCACCTGGCCTATTTCCACAAGTGCACCTTTGTCTCTTCATCTCACCTGAACATCATCTTTTCCCAAACCTACTTCCCTTCTTCTCATCCAGAACACTCCTGTCCCCTTGAGCCAATGCTCTTATCCTTGGCCTCAGTTGGGGTTCATACTTTATTTATTCTCTGTTGCTTCCAGACTCTGGTTCTGCTACTGTGACTGGGCAACTCCTCTTCTCTTGAAAACTCAAGAGAAACCTGCTGCCTATACCCTGGTCCCTCATCTCCACTAAGTGCCTTCCAAGGCCTCCATGCTCTGCCTCTTGGTTGAGACCCCTTCTTCTCTCAGTCAGTACCAGCTCTCATCCTCAGTGTCTTCAGTATCTACATTACTGACTCCTCCAATATCTAACCTTCTCCATTGCTTAATTTTTTATAGACAGGGTCTCTCTCTGTGTTCCAGGCTAACGGGAGTGCAGAGGTGCAATCATAGCTCACTGCAGCCTTGAACTCCTGGGCTTAAGCAATCCCACCTCAGACACCCAAGTAGCTGGCACTACAGGTATACACCACCAGGCCTGGCTAATTTTTTTTTTCTTTGTAGAGACCCATCTCTACAAAAGATGGTCTTGTTATGTGCCCACCATAGTCTCAAATTCCTGGGCTGAAGTGATCCTCCCGTCTCAGCCTCCCAAAGTGCTGGGATGACAGGCGTGAGCCACCATGCCCTGTCCATCCCGAATTTCTTAACTTCTTCAATCTCAAAGACAGTCCTATTTGCTCTTTCAGTCACCCACAGGCACTCTTATTCTAGATCTTGCTACTGCTTAGGACTCTGCTGCTTCTTATTTTACCAGCTATTTTGTGAACACCTTGAGGGTAGGAATGTAGTTTAACTTGGATTTACTCATTTTTGTCCCCTGACCCATCACTGAATATGGAATTATGTACCTAATGAGTGCGATTAGGTATATAATGTACAATGAATGTACATAATGTACAATTGTACAATGTACAATGTAATGTACAATGTACAATGAATTGTACATAATGTACAATGAATGAATTGTGGCAGTGAATTCAACAGGTTACTAGAGCTTAATGCTACAAAAAAAACCAAAAAACAACAACAACAAAAACTGTCATACATAGCTTCCCATTCTCTAACTTCATGTTGAACAACTTTCTGATAGTGTGACAGAGTCAGCCGATCTCCAGGTCAGTCAGCTGATGTGCAGTGGTCATTTGTCATAATCATGGACACCCTACGTCTTTTGGGCTCCCAGCTTATATTTTGGTGATTTTTTCTCTTTGAGATTTGCACCTTTGTACCCAGGTTCCAAGCCAGCCTGAACACTAAGGCCAGACATGTGATCCAGTTTCCACCAGTGAGATGGGCCCCATGACGAAGAAGGTCACATTCAGCATCCACCTTTCCAGAGAGAATGGCAGGAAGTAACTGGGCTTTCAGGAGCAACAGAAGCAAAATACCTAGCAGTAGAATCCTGCAGCCACCACACAGTGTGTCATGCATTGTATCCACTGGGCAAGCTGTGTTGCTGCATCCACAATGACAGTGAGACTGACCTGTGAGTGATCCAGCATCTGGGTTTACTTCTTGGCTGTGGGGTCTCTGAGCCTGATTCACTGGCTCTGAATTCCTGGAAATTCTGTGAGTTTAGCATTATCTTTAATGATTTTCTTTTATGGCCTAAACTAGATAGCGTAGGTTCTATTGTTTGCAACTGAAAATCCTGGCTTATGTGAGTGGGCATTTCTGTTTCTTACTGTGAATTGAGAAGTGGCATTCTATTATACCTATAATCCCAGCACTTTGGGTGGCTGAGGTGGGAAGATTGCTTGAGCCCAGAAGCTCAAGACCAGAATGGGCAATGTAGTAAGACCCTGTCTTTATGGAAAACAAACAAACAAACAAACAAACAAACAACAGAAAAATGAAGTGGGCATTCTGGTTTCCCTGATTCTAGCCTGCTCTGGGACAGAGACAAGATCTGCATTACTGAATCTGCAAAGCAGTGAGTGTCAGGTCCTGGTCCCTGGACAGTGATGAATTTTCCAAGGTTTCGAAGTGGCAGATATTCCAATGCCATTGGAGATGTGTCTGCATGACAATCTGGCTTTCTCTAGGTAGCACTTTCAGCATTGCTGTATTTCACACTGATTTTCCATTTGCAATCACATCATATAGTTGTTAGAATTTAGAGGTCACATTTCTGTAGGAATAATAGTGGTCTTTGTTTTCTATCTTCTTGAATTTTTTTTTTTTTTGACAGAATCTCACTCTGTCACCAGGCTGGAGTGCAGTGGCACAATCTTGGCTCATTGCAACCTCCAACTCCTGGGTTCAAGCGATTCTCCTGCCTCAGCCTCCCAAGTAGCTGGGACTACAGGCATGTGCCACCACACCCAGCTAATTTTTATATTTTTAGTAGAGATAGGGTTTTTCCATGTTGGCCAGGCTAGTCTCAAACTCCTGACCTTAGGTGATCCACCTGCCTTGGCCTCCCAAATTGCTGGGATTACAGGCATGAGCCACCATGCCCAGCCTCCTCTTTGCTTTTATACTGCTTTGATGGTTTTGTTACCCCATTCAGGAACCCATAATGGCTTCCTGTTGTCTGTGGTCAAAACTCCAGACCTCAAACTCTGGTATTTGAGGCTTTCCACATCATGGCTTCACTTTCCAGCTGTATTTCCCAACAGTCTTATATCACTTCCAAAGTGCAACATTTGTTTTTCCATTTGATTAAAAAAAAAAACAATCTGGTTGCTTCCAAGATGGCCCAATAGGAACAGCTCTGGTCTGCAGCTCCCAGCAGCAAGATTGATGCAGAAGACGGGTGATTTCTGCATTTCCAACTGAGGTACCTGATTCATCTCATTGGTACTGGTTGGACAGTGGGTGCAGCCAACAGAGGGTGAGCCGAAGCAGGGCGGGGTGTTGCCTCACCCAGGAAGTGTAAGGGGTCAGGGGATTTCCCTTTCCTAGCCAAGGGAAGCCATGAGTCACTGTACCTGGAGGAGCAGTACACTGCTGCCCAAATGTTGCTCTTTTCCCATGGTCTTTGCAATGGGCAGACCAGGAGATTCCCTCTGGTGCCTGGCTCAGCAGGTCCCATACCCACGGAGCCTTGCTCGCTGCTAGAGCAGCAGTCTGAGAAAGACCTTGGATGCTGGAGCTTGGCAGGAGGAGGGGCGTCCACCATTGCTGAGGCTTGAGTAGGCAGTTCTGTGCTCACAGTGTAAACAAAGAGGCAGGGAAGCTTGAACTGGGCGGAGCCCACCACAACTCCACAAGGCCTACTGCCTCTCTAGATTCCACCTCTTGGGGCAGGGCATATCTGAACAAAAGGCAGAAGACAGCATCTGCATACTTAAATGTCCCTGCCTGACAGCTCTGAAGAGAACAGCGGTTCTCCCAGCATGGCGTTCGAGCTCCGATAATGGACAGACTGCCTCCTCAAGTGGGTCCCTGACCCCTATGTAGCCTGATTGGGAGACACCTCCCAATAGGGGCTGACAGATACCTCATACAGATGGGTGCCCCTCTGGGACGAAGCTTCCAGAGGAAGAATCAGGCAGCAACATTTGCTGCTTTGCAGCCTCTGCTGGTGATACCCAGGCAAACAGGGTCTGGATGGACCTCCAGCAAACTCCAACAAACTTCTCCAAGCTAAAGGAGCATTTTCTGACCCATCGCAAGGAAGCTAAAAACCTTCAAAAAAGGTTAGACAAATGGCTAACTAGAATAACCAGTATAGAGAAGAGCTTAAATGACCTGACAGAGCTGAAAACCACAGTACGAGAACTTCATGAAGCACACACAAGCTTCACGAGCCAATTCAATCAAGCGGAAGAAAGGATATGAGTGATTGAAGATCAAATAAATGAAATAAAGTGAGAAAACAAGATTAGAGAAAAAAGAGTAAAAAGAAATGAAGAAAGCCTCCAAAAGATATGGGACTATGTGAAAAGACCAAATCTACGTTTGACTGGTGTGCCTGAAAGTGACGGGGAGAATGGAAACAAGTTAGAAAACATTCTTCAGGATATTATCCAGGAGAACTTCCCCAACCTAGTAAGGCAGGCCAACATTAAATTTCGGGAAATACAGAGAACACCACAAAGACACTCCTCAAGAAGAGCAACCCCAAGACATATAATTGTCAGATTCACCAAGGTTGAAATGAAGGAAAACATGTTAAGGGCAGCCAGAGAGAAAGGTCGGGTTACCCACAAAGGGAAGCCCATCAGATTAACAGTGGATTTCTCGGCAGAAACCCTACAAGCCAGAAGAGAGTGGGGGCCAATATTCAACGTTCTTAAAGAAAAGAATTTTCAACCCAGAATTTCATAACCAGCCAAACAAAACTTCATAAGTGAAGGAGAAATAAAATCCTTTACAGGAAAGCAAATGCTGAGAGATTTTGTCACCACCAGGCCTGCCTTACAAGAACTCCTGATGGAAGCATTAAACATGGAAAGGAAAAACCGGTACCAGCTACTGCAAAAACATGCTAAATTGTAAAGACCATTGATGCTATGAAGAAACTGCATCAATTAACAGGTGAAATAACCAGATAGCATCGTAATGACAGGATCAGATTCACACATAACAGTATTAACCTTAAATGTAAATGGGCTAAAAGCCCCAATTAAAAGACACAGACTGGCAAATTGGATAAGGAGTCAAGGCCCATCGGTGTGCTGTATTCAGGAGACCCACCTCATGTGCAAAGACACATATAGGCTCAAAATAAAGGGATGGAGGAAGATCTACCAAGCAAATGGAAAGCAAAAAAAAAAAAAAAAAAAAAAAAAAAAAAAAAAAAAAAAGCAGGGGTTGCAATCCTAGTCTCTGATAAAACAGACTTTAAACCAACAAAGATCAGAAGAGACAAAGAAGGCCATTACATAATGGTAAAGGGATCAATTAAACAAGAAAAGCTAACTATCCTAAATATATATGCACCCAATACAGGAGCACCCGGATTCATAAAGCAAGTTCTTAGAGACCTACAAAGAGACTTAGACTCCCACACAATAATACTGGGAGACTTTAACACCCTACTGTCAATAATAGACAGATCAATGAGGCAGAAAATTCACAAGGATATCCAAGACTTGAACTCAGCTCTGGACCAAGCAGACCTAATAGACATCTACAGAACTCTCCACCCCAAATCAACAGAATATACATTCTTCTCAGCACCACATCACACTTATTCTAAAATTGACCACATAATTGGAAGTAAAACACTCCTCAGCAAATGTAAAAGCACAGAAATCACAACAAACTGTCTCTCAGACCACAGTGCAATCAAATTAGAACTCAGGATTAAGAAACTTACTCAAAACCACCCAACTACATGGAAACTGAACAACCTGCTCCTGAATGACTACTGGGTAAATAATGAAATGAAGGCAGAAATAAGGATGTTCTTTGAAACCATTGAGAACAAAGACACAACATACCACAATCTCTGGGACACATTTAAAGCAGTGTGTAGACTGAAATTTATAGCACTAAATGCCCAAAAGAGAAAGCAGGAAAGATCTAAAATCGACACCCTAACATCACAATTAAAAGAACTAGAGAAGCAAGGGCAAACACATTCAAAAGCTAGCAGAAGGCAAGAAATAACTAAGATGAGAGCAGAACTGAAAGAGATAGAGACACAAAAAACCCTTCAAAAAATCAGTGAATCCAGGAACTGGTTTTTTTTAAAAGATCAACAAAATAGACCATTAGCAAGACTAATAAGAAAGAGAGAAGAATCAAATAGATGCAATAAAAAATGATAAAGGGACTATCACCACTGATCCCACAAAAATACAAACTACCATCAGAGAATGCTATAAACACCTCTACACAAATAAACTAGAAAAACTATGGATACATTCCTGGACACATACACCCTCCCAAGTCTAAACCAGGAAGAAGTTGAATCTCTGAATAGACTACTAACAGGTTCTGAAACTGAGGCAATAATTCACAGCCTACCTACCAAAAAAAGTCCAGGACCAGATGGATTCACAGCCGAATTCTACCCGAGGTACAAAGAGGAGCTGGTACCATTCCTTCCGAAACTATTCCAATCAATAGAAAAAGAGGGACTCCTCCCTAACTCATTTTATGAGGTCAGCATCATCCTGATACCAAAGCCTAGTGGAGACAAAACAAAAAAAGAATTTTAGGCCAATATCCCTGATGAACACTGATGGGAAAATCCTCAATAAAATACTGGCAAACCAAATCCAGCATAACATCAAAAAGCTTATCCACCATGATCAAGTCGGCTTCATCCCTGGGATGCAAGGCTGGTTCAACATATGCAAATCAATAAACATAATCCATCACATAAACAGAACCAACGATAAAAACCGCATGATTATCTCAATAGATGCACAAAAGGCCTTCAACAAAATTCAACAGCCTTTCATGCTAAAAACTCTCAATAAACTAGGTGTCGATGGAACATATCTGAAAATAATAAGAGCTATTTATGACAAACCCGCAGCCAGTATAATACTGAATGGGCAAAAACTGGAAGCATTCCCTTTGAAAATTGGCGCAAGACAAGGATGTCCTTTCTCACCACTCCTATTCAATATAGTATTGGAAGTTCTGGCCAGGGCAATCAGGCAAGAGAAAGAAATAACGGGTATCCAGTTAGGAAAAGAGGAAGTCAAATTGTCTCTGTTTGCAGATGACATGATTGTATATTTAGAAAACCCCATTGTCTCAGCCCAAAATCTCCTCAAACTGATAAGCAACTTCAGCAAAGTCTCAGGATACAAAATTAATGTGTGAAAATCACAAGCATTCCTCTACACCAAGAACAGACAAACAGAGAGCCAAATCATGAGTGGACTCACATTCACAATTACTACAAAGAGAATAAAATACCTAAGAATCCAACTTATAGGGGATGTGAAGGACCTCTTCAAGGAGAACTACAAACCACTGCTCAAGGAAATAAAAGAGGACACAAACAAATGGAAGAACATTCCATGCTCATGGATAGGAAGAATCAATATCATGAAAATGGCCATACTGCCCAAGGTAATTTATAGATTCAATGCCATCCCCATCAAGCTACCAGTGACTTTCTTCACAGAATTGGAAAAAACTACTTTAAAGTTCATATGGAACCAAAAAAAGAGCCCACATTGCCAAGACAATCCTAAGCCAAAAGAACAAAGCTGGAGGCATCACGCTACCTGACTTCAAACTATACTACAAGGCTACAGTAACCAAAACAGCATGGTACTGGTACCAACACAGATATATAGAGCAATGGAACAGAACAGAGGCCCCAGAAATAATACCACACACTTACAACCATCTGATCTTTGACAAACCTGACAAAAACAAGAAATGGGGACAGGATTCCCTATTTAATAAATGGTGCTGGAAAAACTGGCTAGCCATATGTAGAAAGCTGAAACTGGATCCTTTCCTTATACCTTATACAAAAGTCAACTCAAGATGGATTAAAGACTTAAATGTAAGACCTAAAACCATAAAAACTCTAGAAGAAAACCTAGGTAATACCATTCAGGACATAGACATGGGCAAAGACTTCATGACTAAAACACCAAAAGCAATGGCAACAAAAACCCAAATAGACAAATGGGATCTAATTGAACTAAAGAGCTTCTGCACAGCAAAAGGAACTATCATCAGAGTGAACAGGCTACCTACAGAATGGGAGAAAATTTTTGCAATCTACCCATCTCACAAAGGGCTAATATCCAGAATCTACAAAGAACTTCAACAAATTTACAAGAAGAAAACAACCCCATCAAAAAGTGGGCAAAGGATATGACAAACACTTCTCAAAAGAAGACATTTATGCAGCCAACAGACATATGACAAAATGCTTATCATCACTGGTCATCAGAGAAATGCAAATCAAAACCACAATGAGATACCACCTCATACCATTTAGAATGGTAATCATTAAAAAGTCAGAAAACAACAGATGCTGGAGAGGATGTGGAGAAATAGGAACACTTTTACACTGTTGGTGGGAGTGTAAATTAGTTCAACCATTGTGGAAGACAGTGTGGCAATTCCTCAAGGATCTAGAACTAGAAATACCATTTCACCCAGCCATCCCATTACTGGGTATATACCCAAAGGATTATAAATCATGCTACTATAAAGACACATGCACACGTATGTTTATTGCGGCACTATTCACAATAGCAAAGACTTGGAACCAACCCAAATGTCCTTCAATAATAGACTGGATAAAGAAAATGTGGCACATATATACCATGGAATACTATGCAGCCATAAAAAAGGATGAATTCATGTCCTTTGCAGGGACATGGATGAAGCTGGAAATCATCATTCTCAGCAAACTATCACAAGGACAGAAAATCAAACACCGCATGTTCTCACTTATAAGTGGGAGTTGAACAATGAGAACACATGGACACAGGGAGGGGAACATCACACATCAGGGCCTTTTGGGGGGTGGGGGGCTGGGGGAGGGATAGTGTTAGGAGAAATACCTAATGTAAATGATGAGTTGATGGGTGCAGCAGACCAACATGGCACATGTATACCTAAGTAACAAACCTGCACGTTGTGCACATGTACCCTAGAACTTAAAGTATAATAAAACAAACAAACAAACAAAATCTGGCTATTGATAATGATATTCTCTCTACCTGAAGGAATCTGTCCTCCATCTCTGTCTACCAGAATCTTACTCATCGTTCAGCACGCCATTCAGATTCCACTTCTTCAATGAAGACTTATCTAGTGTCCTTCTCTAGAAATATTTGCTTTATCTTCTGAAATCTTCTCTGCCATTGAGATAATCTATTCCACTATGGCTTGTAGAATAATTAGTTTGTCTCTTTAGACATCTTCCAAAGTCGACTGTGGACTCCTTTAGGACAGGGCCATGTCTTACCACTCACTATGTTTCTTGCATCACTGAATATTGAGCCTTGGATACTTTTGGCTCCAAGAGTAGTAGATGTCATCACAGTCAATGCATAAATAAATAAATTAGTGAACCACTCACAATAGATACACTAGCTGTCAGAACAGAAAAAAAATAGTTTTTCAAAAAAAGGAGGTATCTGCAAGTTTCACTAGATCTTCAGGATTGGGGTGTTCTTGGATTGAAAGGACCACATGGGATCACAATTCTGTAGCAGCACAACTTATAAACCTTGATTATGATACATAGATTTAGAGTATTGGAGGAATCTCATGTTCAAGAATACTAGTCCAATGATAAATTGTGGGTGAGAGAAAAACTTTCTCCATCCTTTTACATATCCCTTTGCATGTAGACTTGGTAGTGGGTGGGGGTGCCTTCAGAAGAGTGAGAAGAACAGAAGTCTTAAGAGTCCGAAGTCCTAGTTTCCTTAGTTTCAAATCTGCCTCGAACTAGCTGGGTGACCTTGGGCAAGTGATTTATTTTCTCCGGTCCTCTGTTTCCTCATTTAAAAGTTGGACCATAACAATGCTTCTGTTTCATTTGATTGCTGGTAAGTACAATTAATGTATGAACACCTTGGAAGTAAAGGAGGGGAAGTTGGGGATAGAAGTCAGTGGGGAGGGCAGAGAGAAAGGAATTAATAAGAAGCAGGGAGTAAATAAGGTAGGAGAGACAATGGTACAACAGAACCAGAAATTGGCCTAGAGGCACTGGAGGTGGAGGGACTCTACTTCATCAACAAGGCATTGGGGGGCCTTCTCAGGGCTATAGCAGAGACAGCTATTTGCCCACCAAAATTTCATTCTCCTTTCTTCTTCACCATCAGACCCCTATATTGTTAGGGTTAGCCACCTTGGGAAGAGTAAAGGTTCTCAAACCTGTATCTAGGGCCTAGGAAAGCACTTGCATTTTCTAGGCATTCTGCAGACCTTGGAGAATCAGTGCTGTTCAAAGAGCCTTGTGAACTTCCTTGCAAAAAACTAGTTTGGAACAGAGCTTCAATAATAGCATGAGGCTGGGGCCTCTTTATGGCTTGGGATAGTAAAAGATCTCTTTTTACCTGTTATCTTCTGGGGAGATATTTTCCCTCCTTCCCTCCCTCCCTCCCTTCCTTCCTTCCTTCTCTCTACCTGAAGGAATCTGACCTACATCTTTGTCTACCAGAATCTTACTCATCATTCAGCACGCCATTCAGATTCCACTTCTTCAAAGAAGCCCTATCTAATGTCCTTCTCCAGAAATATTTGCTTTATCTTCTGAAACCTTCTCTGCCCTTCCCTCTTTCCTTCCTTCCTTCCTCCCTCCCTTCCTCCTTCCTCCTTCCTTTCCTCCCTTCCTCTCTCCCTCCCTTCCTTCCTCATACAGTCATGTAGTCAGTGTTAAGTAGCAGATAGCAATGCTAAGATTTTCTAAAAGATCTATCATGAAAATAACCTGAGTGTATTCAGGGAGCCCAAGCCAGCACATTTTAATTTACACTCTTATCTGTGCTCATTGCTGCTGCAGCCTCTTCCTTCTCTTTTTCATTCCGATGATGAATTTTCATCATGCTGTTTATCCCAAATGAAGAAAGATTTTAAAACACCCAGGTACAGTCTCATCCCTGTGGTCCTGCTTTGCCCCAGCCTGGCCCGGAACAGGGCAGAACATTTGCTCCTCATTATCACCTCATCACTCGGTTCCCCTTGTCTGAGTCAGGTCGGGAGGTGGGGCTTGGAGCTGAGCGCAGGAGCTGAAGTGCTAATGAGAAAGTGTTCAAGCATGAACCCTGCCCTCTCACTCAGGCCCCATGGAAAATGGTAACACCGTGAGCTCATCTTTCTTCTTACTCCTAAGTTCAAATGGATTTTAATGCAGCTTTTTTCTGGAGTAAGTAGAATGTAGAGTGCTTTAGTTATAAGCTATAAATTGTCTCTCCCAGGGGAAAGAAAATTAATCAAATATTAGATTGATACAGAAGGTTATTTTCTCTCTACCAAAAGAAAGACATCATTTACGTCGGGGGAAATATTTCAGAGAACAAAGGCATAGCAGTCAATCTGGTATATAAACCAAGTTTCTGTTAAACACACATTGGTGGGACACCTGCTATGTGACAAGCTTTAGGCTAGGTGATGAGAATATTTGTACAAATAAATATTTAATATTTATTAAATGCTTTCTTTAAAACAAGAACCATGAGGTTAGAGCCTTTGTGATGGTTTTATACTTTGTTGACTAGGCTAACCTGAAGCCCTGTTTCCCAGGTTCCTTTCCTGGGACGGTTCTGGGTTAGGAATGACTGCAAGAGAAATCTGCCTGAGACTTGGAAGGTGGGACAGAAGCCTCAGCAGGTCTGCTCTGGAGGTGGGGTAGGGCACCAAGGGCTGCTGCAGCTCGTGCAGTCCTGACTGATCTGCCACTCACCTTGTCAGCATGGGGCAGCAGTGGAACCTGCAGGTCCTCCGAATCCCACACAATCTCCCCTTTCTGCCTCCTGAACCAGATGCACGTGTGTCTCTGTGGTGAGGGAACCTGCATCTTTGAGGTAGAGGTGATGAGAGACAGATGTGGGTTGCAGTTTGCCCAGTTGGTTCAGGTTTATGAATTCTGTTTCCTCTCTGTCTTCACTTTGCATCCTGACCACTGGCCCTGCTGACCTATAGTCACTACACAGGCTCTACCAGCTCCTACTGGAGTCCCTCTTGGTGACTCTTCTCTGATGCTGCAGATATCCCCTTTGGGACTTCTACTTCACTAGTTTCTCCCACAGCTGTGCAAGGTGTAATCTGTATAATAAATCCCTTGTTCACATCACTCATATGGCATTGGTTTGGGGACTGACAGCAGCTTGAAAAGTCTCATGGAGACTAGTTGTGAAGACTTGAAGGACAGTCAGGAAGCTGATTTTGGAGGCTGGAGAAAGGGCAACTCGAGTATATGGTGGTGAAAAGTTTGGGAACACAGTTGTATTAGTCTGTTCTCAAGCTGCTAACAAAGACATACCCGAGACTGGGTAATTTATAAAGGAAAGTGGTTTAATCGAGTCACAGTTCTGCATGGCTGGGGAGGTCTCACAATCATGGTGGAAGGCACAGTGGTGCAAATCACATCATACATGGTGGCAGGGAAGAGAGAGCTTGTGCAGGGGAACTTGTCTTTATTAAACCAACGGATCTCATGAGACTTATTCACTATCATGAGAACAGCATGGGAAAGACCCACCCACCTGATTCAATTACCTTCTACTGGGTCCCTCCTATGACACGTGAAAATTGTGGGAGCTACAATTCAAGATGAGATTTGAGTGGGAACATAGCCAAACCATAGCAACAGTTAACTAGAATAATGTAAACAATAGCAAATATATCTAGTGAACTGGTAGATTTGGTTAAGAAGATTTCCAGGAAAAATATGGAAAATGCCAACTGGTTTATTTTAGCAATGTATAATAACAAGGTAGAGATAGAAAGAGATGGGCTTAAAAGGAAACTATTATATTTTCAAGCACAGTTTAGAAGCAATATAGAGGGCCCAGGCAAAAGCCAGCAAAAGGACTTCAAAGTGAAAAATGGTCTCAGGGAGAAGATCAAACTCAGGGCAGTAAAACATAGTCTTAGAGTAAAATAAAAGTCCAGGGCGTGACTGTGAAACCCGATGTTGAGAACTCCGAAGTACATAATTAATTGTGTGTCTTGTGGACATCAGGAAGAGACAATAGTGCTTCTGAGAATCGTAGTGGTATGCCTCTTACACATGTGCTTGACAGCAGAACTTCTAAGACTTTGAAGGGCTTTGTCCTGCAGTGGCCTCACACCTGGCACAAGATAGAAGATGGCCTATCTCAGAAAGAAATCTAGATGTGGCATTTGCCCAGTGGAGTGGAATATAGTTTGAAACATAAAAAAAATATATATTTTAAAAGGAATTGTATTAAATTGAAGTGAAATGAACAGAGATAATTCAAAATGAAAAGAGGCCTGTGGGTCTTTCAACTTCTGTGGGCAGGAAGTAGGCTGAGAAAGCTACTCAGCTGTAGATGCAAACCAATTCTAATTGAAAAGGAAGATGACTGGAGCGTGGAGTTGAGAGCCCAGGGGCAGAGTCAAGAGCGGCCTTGTGGGCTTACAGCTCTCCCTTGCCAGGACCATGCAGATGCTCAGCCCATTCAGGAGAGCCAGGAAGTGCTGCAGACTTAACGCACTGAAAGGCAACCCTCAAATGATAAGGAACAGGAATCAGTGATAAATATGCCAGTTTCCATTTTTCCCGGTAAGCATATTCTTCATGGTTTCTCAAGGGCTTCCCTGTGGGAATGAGCCATAGTTGTAGAAAGTAGTTACCTCCTCATGAACATACTTCACTGGCTTTTCTCACTTTACTACCTCACTTTCACTATTTCTTTATTTGTGCTTCCTGGGGACCATCCCCCAAATGGGCCACCTGCAGCCCATCCTTGTGTCAGGGCTTTCCTTTGGAGGAATCTAAATTGAAACCAGGAGGAAATGATTACCTCTGACTAGGAATGTGTGAGGATGTATCTGAAAAGGGTTATCAAAGACTAAGAAACTTTTACCATGCCAGCAGGATGGGCCGGGTGTGGTTGGCATTGGTAGCAGAGGGACAGCATGTGTCAATGCCTGGAGGTGGGAGAAGGGATGCTCAATTTGGAGAACTGCTAGCTGACTATATTGCTAGACAATATAAAGCCTTTGTGTGGAATAGAAAAATATACCCCTTTCTGGGTGAATCCAGCTTCCTGAGCATAGAGTGAATTTGTCTGAATTAGAAAAACTTGCTTAGAGAGAAATAGGCACCCCTTCCTCCAGAAGCTGCCGCCTATTACCAGAAATCAAGGCTTGGCAAGTGGAGGTGGGTGGGATTTCCACTTCCTCTTGACTCTTGGCCAAGTCCCTGTGTGTGACGTGAGGAGATGAGATATGATAGGTAGGCAGGGCTGATAATGAGATGGGCTTATGGGTCATGCCAAGAGAGGTATCCTGTAAGTAATGGGGATCTGTGGAAATGTTTTAAGGGGGTGACTGGCATCACCAGATTTGTGCATTAAGAAGATTATTATGTCTGATGAGGATAGAGGAGCTTTGGTTTGGGGTCACCATTGAAGGCAATGGTGATGAGGGCTTGAAATCAGTAATATCTTTGGGGATGGGAAGGAATGGGATGTATTTTGTAGAAAGGGGGAAGATTGAGTGAGTAGGCATTGGTGACTGACTGGTTAGGGGTAGGGAGCTAGGGGTAAAGATGAAGGGGAATGTAGCTGATGTTTTTAACAGTAGTGTTCACTTCAAATTCCACTTGATCCCTACATTTCCCAGCCCCTGGCAGTTAGGTGAGTTTCTGAGGCTAATTTTATCTTATGGGCGATAGTTAGAAGTGATGTATAAAATATTTATTAGCCTTCCACTGAACGATGATGCAAACGTAGTTAAATGAAAAATAAACCATTTCAGTAAGGCCACTGTGGTTTGCTATCACAGCATAGACTAGACTACCCTGAGTGACCAGGAGTCCTCAGGATGATGAGGCACATACAGAAGAAAGAATCAAATAATCAAGGCAAGTGAGCGGCCCAAAGTGGGAGAGAGACAGCCGCTGCTGCTGGATGCAGGGAGGGGGAGATGAGTGAGTAGAGAGCTAGGTTTAAGGTTCCTGCGGTGGCAGTAAGGAGAAGGAAGCTCACTGGGACACACTACACTCCAGCAGGAAAACCAAGCTTAACATATGCGTGGCTACAAGACTGTAGAAAGTCACCGAGAACTAAGAAATAGAGCGTAAGCCTGATACACATTTGCCCCAATAAAGACAGAATGAACATGAATCCCGTGCAAATTAGGCAAGACAGATTTGTCACGGCTAGGTCAGACATTTAAAATTTCTTCCAGGTCATCTGTCCCATATCCCCAAAGATAGGTTTCTGGATACTCAAGTGATAACTGCCTGCATAGGCTAGGGGTAGAAAGGGGTAGTAGTGCTCGGATGCAGAAAGACTGAGAATGGAGCTGTTCTTTTTAATGTACCTTTTATTCCTTCTCCCCATCACCAGTCCTCCCCTCAACATAAGCACATACACAGCACACACATACACATAATCACACTCACACACGCTCCTCTACCACTTCCTCCACCTCCCAGTCAGCAACACAGAGCTCCGGCCACAAAAGAGCACAGAGATCAATGTCTTGAATTCCTTCACTCATGTGAGTAATCACTTTATAGGAAAGCATGGAAAGGCAGGAGATTTTCCCTGGAGGGGCATGTTTGCTAATCTGATGTTAACAGAAGATTCTCCAGAATTTGTAGTCTATGTGTTTATTTAGCGCCTGGATGTATGGCTGCATCAGCGCTAACTTTCCTCACTTGGGTTGTCTCTCAGCTTCATTCCCACTCCTGTGAACATGCGAACACCCGGCTCCCCAGTACTATGGAGGCTATTAAATTAGTCTAGACAGCAGGTGGGCACTAAAGAAATTGGAAAACAACAGCTGATCTCAGTCACAGTGCACTGTGGACTCCTGTGAAGGGGATGTGAGATATTGACTCTATCATGAGAGCCCATTCAACAGGGGGCCATCTTCCCCCACTCAGCCCCAGAAACACCAGCTCCAAACCATCTTTTACAAGTGGGAGAAAGGAGTGCTTGGCTCCATTATCAATGCCTCAGCATCATCTCTACATGGAGTTGTCCAGCCTCTGAAGGCTGTCTTGGGCAGTATGTGTTTGTGTGTTTGTGTGTGTGTGTGTGTGTGTGTGTTTGGGTGTGTGTGTGTGCATATTAGGGATGGTTATAAACGGATAATTTTTTCTCCTTTTGGCATCACAATTGAGGTTCAATTTTACAAGAATGTAGGTGGGAATGAGTGAGGACAGAAGAAAAGAAATAACAAAAAGAGCTAAACTTTGTTGAGTTTCCACTTATAAGCCAGACACTGTGCATTACCTGCAATGCTTACCTGTAAAGTTTCACTTACTTTTCCTAACAGCCCCATGATGTAAGCACTATAATTTACATGCGTTTACAGAGGAGAAGGCCTGATTAGTAGTTGAACCTCAGCAATCTCACTCCAGAGCATGTACTTTTCACTTCTATGTTGGCAAGCAGCTAAAATGGCGAGGAGATCGCAGAAAATAAAGAAGTGCCTTGAGTGAGCCACTGTTAATGGGCAGGGAGAAACTAGATCCTAGTCCAGGGAAAACACCAAGCAGCACCTGGAAAGTTTAGCTGAACTGACTGAAGACAACTGCTGCAGCCTTTGGTTTTTTGACTCAGAAGAAGGATGTAGATAAGGGCTTGCTGGCTCTGCAGAAATGATTCTGCCCCTAAACTCTCTGCTTACTGAAGATAGTTTCCTTGGATTAGTTGGCTGGGGAGAGGAGATAATTTTCCAAGACTCTTCAGAATGGCTGGCTTGGAAGAAGATGAAACTGGACCAGCAGCTGTAGAAGCATGGGGAACAGTTGTAGGGGCCATGGAGAGCCTGGTCCTGTTCGCATTTTGTAGTTATTTGCTCTTATGGGCATCCAGCTCCTAGTAGTAAATACGATAATAGTAGTAAGGCTACTATGTGTATAGTGCTTTCTCAGATGCTGAGCACTAAGAATGTCCTTTTTATGGCAAGAACTATGTGTGTATTGTTGAGTGTTTCACTCATACTTAATCCTGACAATAACGCTATGAGGCAGGTATTGTTGGTATTATTTCTACACTATAGATGAGGCAACTGAGGCATAGAAAGGTTAAATGACTTGCCCAAGGTCGCCTTGCTAGAGAGAGGCAGGCTGCTAGGGTAGTCTAGCACTAGAATCCAAGCCTTTCACCACTGCAAGCCACCTTCATGGGCTTGTCTTCTGAGAGATGTCACAGATGCTAGTGGATGTGAAGTCTTTGCATCTAGCTAAAGAGCTGGGTACAGTGGCTCATGCCTGTAATTCCAGCACTTTGGGAGGCTGAGGTGGGCAGATCCCTTGAGCCCAGGAGTTCCAGACCAGCAATGGGCAACATGACAAAACCCCGTCTCTACAAAAAACAAATACCTGGGCTTGGTGGCACATACCTCAAGTCTAACTACTTGGAGGCTGAGGTGGGAGGATTGCTTGAGCCTGGGAGATCTAGGCTACAGTGAGCTATGATTGTGTGATGGCACTGCAGCCTGGGTGACAGAGTGAGACCTCATCTCAACAAACAAACAAAAAAATGGACGACAACAACAACAACAACAACAAGAGCTATTCACATGAGGAGAGGAAACATTGGTTTTGCATTTAAGTCAACAAGAATATTGCTGAAATAGGGCATGACACATGAGTGGAGCGTTGTGGCCTGAGCTCTCCATGGTTCCTGGGGATCCTCATGTGTGAGTAATCTCTGCTTTCTGGAAAAGTCTAGTTCCTTTCTTTCAAGATTCTACTCTGGTGGCTGTCAGAAGACGTAACTTCCTTTGGACCAAATGGGCAACACATATTGCCAGTTTGGAGCAATGTCATGATTCAGCTTTAAATGCACCATCCTGCTGCACTGCTCTGAGTCTCCAACCCCCATTCTCTGCCCTGCCGGGGAATTCATTCAGGCATAGAAGCCCGAGAGGCTGAATGGCTGAGTCCCATCTGATCTGTGCCATGGGAGGTATGGGGCTCACCTCCAAGGGAGAAGGTTCAGGGTAGCATTGCAGCGACCCTGGTGCACCAGGGAAGTAAAAAGGAGTGTATGAAACAAAAGGTCTCCTGTGGGAAGAGGAGCAGAGGGGCAGGGTGAGCTCCCCAGAGCTTAGGCAAGCTCACTTTAGGTGGAAAGATACCTCTATGCCACTATCCATGGAACAGGAAGGGAACTAACACTTCACTGAATGTCCTTTTTATGGCAAGAAACGTGTATGTATTGTCTCATCCAATATTCTCAACTCCTGTGTGAGGATAGTATTTTGTTGTTCTTACTATATATAAAGAAACTGGAAGTCAGAAGTTAAGAAGCATATCTAAGAATGCCCAGATAAATAAGGGAAGAGCTGGAATTTCAGATCACTTCAGCTTGCCTTGCCTTTAAATCCTACAGTTGACTGTAGATGCTAACTCAGTGCAGCCCACTGGACTGTACATGTAAACCAGCGCATCCACTTCTCTGTGCAGGTAAGCCAGGGCACCCCACCACTCTGTGCAGGTAAACCAGGGCACCCCACCACTCTGTGCAGGTAAGCCAAGGCACCCCACCACTCTGTACAGGTAAGCCAGGGGACCCCACTGCTTTGTGCAAGTAAGCCAGTGCTCCCCGCCACTCTGTGCAGGTAAGCCAGGGGACCCCGCCGCTCTGTGCGGGTAAGCTGGTCTTGAACTCCTGGCCTCAAATGATCCTCCTGCCTCAACCTCCTAAAATGCTGGGATTACAGGCATAAGCCACTGCCCCTGACCCAACTAGGTTTTCTTAACCTGGGTTTCATTGCTGTCTTCAACATCACCAGGAACCCTGTAAAATTGAAGGTAAAATTCTGTATATTTTTTTGAACAGAAGGTTCATTATAGTCAGATGTGCTGAGACACCTCTGATTAAAACAGTTTAAGAACCTCAGCAGTATATGTTTTGACAACTTTTCTGAGCTCATTTAAGATCCTTATAAGCAAAAGAGGTTGATTGATTTATAGATACATTTTTGGTTGTATGTGTGTGTTTGTATGTGTGCATATATATTGGTAGGTTTGGAGAAGTGCAAAATACTACACAAACTACTCAAGGTGTTCAAAACATTTAGCTCACATTACTTAATAAAAAATTATATCCAGTGAAAAAAAATCTAATTAGAAAAAAAGCAAAACATGAACCAACATTTCACTGAAGAAGATATACAGATGGCAATAAGCACATAAAAAGATATCCGACATCATTGGCCATTAGGGAAATGCAAATTAAAACCACAATGAGATATCACTACACACCTACCATAATGCCTAACACTAAAAGGAGTGAGACTACAGAGAGACTGGATCAGTAATTCTTTGCTGGGAAATGAAAATGGATACAGCCATTCTACAAAACTGGCATTTTCTTATGCGACTAAACATGCAGTTACCATACAACCTGGTGATTGCACTCTTGTGCACTTATCCCAGAGAAACTAAAACATATGTTCGTACAAAAACCTGTACAAGAACGTCAACAGTAGCTTCATTCATAATAGTTCCAAACTAGAAACCATCCAGATATCCTTCAATAGGTGAGTGATGAAACAAATTGTGGTACATCCTTACTATGGAATATTACTCAGCAATTGAAAATATGAAACTATTAATAAACGCAACAAGTTGGATGACTCTCCTGGAAATTTCATTGAGTGAAAAAAGGCCAATCTTAAAGGTTCCATACAGTATAGTTCCACATATATAACATTCTGGACATGACAAAAACTATAGAAATGAACGGATTAGTGGTTACCCAGGGTTAAGGATGGAGTAGGAGTGTGTGTGACTATAAAAGGGGATTATGACAATCCTTGTGGTAATGGCAGTGTTCTGTATCTTGACAGAGTCAATGTCAAGATCCTGGTTATCGTATGGTACTATTGCAAAACATCACTGTTGGGGGAAACTGAATAAAGTGTAGACAGGCTCTCTTTGTATTATTTCTTATAACTGCATGTTAATCTATAATTATCTCAAAATAAAAAGTTAAAAAAATTTTATCCACCCAAAAAGGAGAAAGTTTTACCACCCTCAGGGATATTACAAAGAATGTGCTCTGTAAGGAGAGTTACATAAGTGACGGGGGCAGGAGTGGCAATACCAGGACAGTGTACAGGCCCCCCAGGGACTCTGGGAAAGGGTCACTAATCATCTGGGTATAGCAGCTGTGATCTGCTGGTTAAGTAGTCAACCTCATCACCTAGCATGACGCTGTGTAAGAGAGAAGAATATGGGATCTCATGCACTGTTTCAACAGACTACCGTCAAGTAATGTCATTGAATACTGATAGTATTTACCTGGAGTTAGTGTCAGGTCCCACAAATTGAAGGTGCAAGGTTAGCCGAGACAAAGGAAAAATAGACCCAAAGTCAGGCAAGCAAGTTTTATTAATCTTCTCGCTGCCTCCATAAACAGTCAAGGGAAGCAGCCCCAAGCTTACAGAATGAGGGGTTTATTTTGGGGAGGAGCGTTTGAGGGAGTTCTTTGCAATGGCCGCATCCTGGGGTTGTTTGCTGGTTAATTTCGCCACATATCACCTTGTGACGTTTATTACAGGAGGGTGTAGGTGAAGTTTGTTTATGCTTCCCATGACCTCCCCGATGCGGTCCGGATGGTTTGTAATTGGGGTTTGCTTATTGCAGCAAGGTCTGATAAGTGAAGTCTGCTGGCTTTACCGGGGCACCTAGATAAGGGCTTAGAACAGCAAAGAGGCTTGAGGGAAGGGTGGGCGGCACGGAAAAGTTGCAGAGCATTAGGGGGAGGGGTGGGCAGCAGTAAGAAGCTTTTTTGGGGGCAGTTTGTCCCTAACAGAAGGGCTCAGTCCCACAAGACTGCCTCCACTTCAGATGCCAACTGCAAGTCTAAGTTTTCCATGTTTCTGACTGACTGATTATAAATCGGAGATTTCTATGATCCCCTCTTTGGGTTCAATAATGTGCTAGAATGGCTTACAGAACTCAGGAAATGCTTCAATTATGTTTACTGGTTTATTAGATACAGCTCAGGAACAGCCAGGTAGGAGAGATGCATAGGGCAAAGTATGGGGGTGGCGCACAGATGTGGAGCTTCCATGCCCCCTCTGGGCAAGCCACCCTCCCAGCATCTCTTTGTGTTCACCAACTCTCTTTGTTCAAGAGTTTTTCTAGAGCTTAATTTCCAGCTAGCCAGTTCCGAGCTCAGGTCGGTAGGTGGCGCTGAAACTGATTAACTTGGTTTTTCTGGTGACTAGCCCCATCCTGAGGCTGTCTAGGAGTCGCATTCTAAGTCACCTCATTAGCATAAAGTTAGGTGGCAGTCAAAGGGTGGTTTTTTTTTTTTTTTTTTTTTTGTAGCCCAGGCTGTAGTGAAGTGGCATGATTATAGCTCATGCCTCCAACTCCTGGGCCAAAAAATATTGGAAGTAAATATTGCCTCCAATTCCTGGGCTCAAGCTATCTTCCTACCTCAGCCTCCTGAGTAGCTGGGACTACAGGTGTAAGTCACCATCCTCAGCTCCAAAAGGGGCTCTTATGAAGAACAAAAGGCACTCTTATCTCTCAGGAAAACCCAAGGGTTTTAGGAGCTTGTGCCAGGAGTTAGCGACAAAAACCAAATGCACTTCTTATTAGACCACAAGGTCACATGGTCACACGAAACCGAAGAGACTTATTGAGTGAGTGTGAGTGTTGTGTGCGGGCATAAAAATCATACTTGAGAGTGCCCACTGGGGCCAGCCAGCTGCCCCCACATGCATTATTTTGCTAGAGCCTCATGAAGGCCCTACATTTTGAAGATGAGCAAACGAAGCCTTGGAAAGGTAAAATGACTTGTCTTAGGTCACATAACTAGAAGGTAGCCCAGGTAGTATTGAAACCAGCATTTGCTGACCTTAAAAACCAGGTATCTCCAGCTTTTTTGTGTAAATCTGCACAAGACCTCTTATGGGAAGGGGCATTTGCAGGAAGCAAGATGGGGAAGGAAAGCAATAGGCCTTTTCCTTTCTAAGCCTTAAGCTGCTGGTTTGAATGACAGTGGAATTAAAGAAAAGCTGTGGCAGAGAATCTTTCTGAGCTAAAGGAAAAAGGGGTGATTATTCAGAATCTTTAAGGGAGAGGCAGACTGATTTCTCTGGCCTTTATCTGAACCTTTCTGGGAACTAAAAAGTTAATTCTGGTTCCCCCTAAGGGCTCCCAATTGTCTGGCACTTGGGTCTATGGCCTAAGGGGAGAGTGTGTGTGGGTGCAATGAGTATTGCGCTGGCCAGTCTCATCTGCGCTCAGTCTGCTTCCCATCCTGGGCTGGCCTCTAGGGCTTCCACCAGGGGACCACAGGGGGCTTCATGCTACAGACCAGTCTGGGACAGACAGGATAGGGTGGCAACCTCGCAGCAGTAGCCTCGGGTCCCTTTACCCCACCCTTTTTCTCTTCCCTGTTGGAAAGAGAAGTTGGTTGAACAAATAAGCAAGACCAAGACATAACAATGCAGTAACTACTTAAAAACAAAAGGATAACAATGCAGCAATTATATGACAGGAAAACCAGGAACAAAAGTAAAAGCTAACAGTTAATAAAATAACAATTGATGCAAGAATAACTGTAACCGTAAATGTCATGGATTCACAATTTTATTGATTGAGCATTGTGTGCTAGTCACTATGCTAAGGATTTCATAAGAATTATGTCCTTTAGTCCACTCAACAACCCATGAGGTGGATACTGTTATTATTCCCACTTTACACATGAGAAATAAAGACACAGAGAAATTGTCACTTCTCAAAAGTCACATAGTACAGGAGGGAGCCAGAATTCAGATGCAGGTAAGTTGACTCGAAAGCCTACTCCTTTTTTTTTTAAATTTTTTTTTTTAAATTTTTTTGATATAGGGATTCACTCTGTCACCCAGGCTGGAGTGCAGTGGTGCAATCTTGGCTCACTGCAACCTCCACTTCCCAGGCTCAAGTGATCCTCCCACTTCAGCCTCCAGAGTAGCTGGGACCACAGGTGCACACCACCTGCCTGGCTAATTTTTGTATTTTTTGTAGAGATGGGGTTTTACCATGTTGGCCAGGCTGGTCTCGAACTCCTGAGCTCAAGAGATCTGCCCTCCCCACCCCCCGTCAGCTTCCCAAAGTGCTGGGATTCCAGATGTGAGCCACCACGCCGGGCTGAAAACCTACTCTCTTAACTACACTTTGCTACCAACTGAAAACCATATTTATAATGCCTGGTAACCAAACATCGTCCTTACCCATGTAGCAGTAGAAGCTTTATGATTTTTCTAAGAGTTGCATGGCAGCCACACTTCTCAGAATGCTGAGTTAGTGTGTTTCATAAACTCTAGTGATCTGCTAATTTAAATTTGTGAGTACTAAGCTTTAGTCACCCTCAGCAACTCATTCAGTGAATTATTTTTAAGGAGCTCTATCACACAGGTAAATATTGGAAGTCTCTGAAATTGAGCAACGTTCTGAGGGTCAAAATGGCTTGCATTTTGGCATTTTGAGCAGTCAAGGAAGTCCTAGGAGCCCCAGACCATACTTTGAGAAATCTTGATATATAGGACCTAGTCAGAATTGCCGGACAGATAATTTCTTCTGGTAGTCTCTCCAGTGAGATCCCTTGGGATATGGTAGATGCAACTCTCCAGAAGTTTTACTTCCACTTAGAAGTCTGTAAGAATTTGCTCAGCTTATAAAAATAAGACAGTGCAACCAAGTTGCTGGCTGCAGTGGTCAGAGGGTCCAGCCAATCTCCCTGTAATCTCTAATTCAGGACCAGGTCTTGTAAATCAGTTAGGATTACCCCTTGCAGCCTGGAATCTTCTGAATTTGCATGCCTGGAAAAGGACTGAGGACAATGTCTTACCAATAACTTAATCATATTTCCCCCAAAGCCTGGAGAGACCCTCGTGACACACAATATTTAAATATAGATAGTTTCAGGCTCTTGTTAGGAGAGGGATTCAGTGATTAAAGAAAATAGGAATTTTATTCAGATTCAACAGTTCCCATTTGTAATTATCCTCTCGAAGTCCCTTTGTAATTCTTTTTTAAAAAGGATCATCTGTGTTAGCACATTTAATCTAAAATTTTTAATTAGATGATGGTTTGCTCATATTAGAGATGAATAAGTTTCCTATGTAACCCTCAAAAAAGATTGTTTTGTGCTTGATACACTGATGGAGAGAACACTCAAAAAAGCAAGGGAGGAAGGTGTGATTGCACAGACATTGCCAGATAATAATGTAATTTCATATCCATGATTTAAACCCCTCCAGCTTCATGTTACAGGCAAACACCAAGCTGACCACTTTGCATTTTTCCATCTACCCCTAGCTAGCCTGTTCATTGATACATTAAATGCCTACAATGTGCCAGGCAACTAATAGGAGCTGGGTTGTGGTGGAGCAAAAATAGCATGTCTCATAGTTTTTATGAGCTTACAGTTTTGTGGCAAGGCAGACATTAATTGAACAATCACACAAGTGAGTGTTTACTTTCTAACTAAAATCAACACTTGGAAGCAGAGTAACAAGAGAGAGTGTGGCAAAGCAGTATTTGAAGATAATTCTGTATGGGCCTTTCTTGTTTCTGCATGTCTTTTGTCAGCTTGTTATGGACTATCTTTTCAAGAATATTTGTACAGCAAATAGCCTTAGAAGATAGAGATAGTATCTCCCTCCAGGGCAGAGGGCAGCTTTGTTTTCTGACAAGTATAACAAGATAATGTCTCTCTCTGGGGTGAAGATTGGGCAGGTTTGCTAGCAGCCTCTTTATAAGATTGAAGGTTTCCTAAGATCAGGGTTCCTTAGCTGTAATAAAAACCCACTGCATGTGTAATAACCATCTAGGCATGTGTAGTATCCATCTGGGATGGTCCATATCTCCTCATGGGACTTGTGGCTTTGTGGGGAGGAGGGCAGGGGAAATGATGCAGATACAAAGCCTATGCTGCTTGCTGTGCTGTGAGTAATAAAATCTTTTGTCTCCGATCCAGGAATCTTATGTCTTCTGCCAGCATCCATCAATGGTGGCAGGCTAACTTGTTAGCTCACAAGTAGGGTAAAATCCCAGATCTTTCACAATTCTTGACACAGCTGGGTACAGAGTATGTAGAAGACAGAAAGCACAGGTGCTAGACTGCTATCTATTGTTGTTTATACTAAGCTAAGAGATGGGAGCAGATCTCACCTCACCAGCCTTCGTCAGGAAGGGAACAAGTTCTTAGGGGCCAATGAGAGAGTTATTCACCAACAAAAGATACAGGGTCTGGGACGGCTCCCTAACTTCTGAACTCAGGGCCTGGCCACACCCAAACTGCCAGTTTCTGTTTTTGGTAAAATGTGAAGCTATTTGTCTCTTGCTCTTCCTGCAGGCTGGGTAGGACCATGTGACACCATCCTAACTTAATAGCTATATAAGGTAGTGAGGGAATAAGGTTGTGGGGGAAGGGAAGACTGGCTGAGTCAGGTATTAGGGTTGGGTCTTTGCTTGATTTTCTCACCTTGGCAATCCCTGAATGCCCCTTTTTGCAGTAGTTTTTCTTATCTTTTTAAAATGACAGTTTCACAAGATAATTATGTATTTCAAAAATAGGTCATGTTAGCAGACAGAAGTGAAGGAACCTAGAATGATCATGGGTATGCAAAACTCCTCTTAGCCTCCCTCCTCACACGTGGTCACTCTTCAGAAGCCAAAGCAGGCACTCAGAGCTGGAGCTGGCCCCTTCCTTCTCAAACCCCAAGCTCTTGGGATACCTCAAACCTGTACCCCAACTATGGCACAGACAGAATACATGACTGTCCTATTTGAAGAAAGACATTTGGGAAAAATAAATATCTTTGATTATAAAAAACAGAGACCATCCCCTCTGAAGGATGTGCAGTAAAATAATAGAGTTTCTGAAATTGTATGGAAACATTCTTTGAGCAAAATTCTCTTCTGAGGAGAAGACGAAGAAGACAATGAAACACATACCTCCAAAGATAGAAGCTAGGGGTGGAGACAGTATCCTGAAGTTGTGGCATCATTGGGCCTCTCTGATGGGTCCTGGCCTTCATCTATGAGTGAGGGGTCAGAGAGAGGATTAATGATACTGCGTAGAAAAAAAATCGATAATATTGTAATTATGACTGTACTTCCATATAGTCCTGGAGTTTGAACTTACGTCACCTGCAGTCTGAGAAACCTGTAATCCAAGAAATTAATTAGAAATGTTTTCCAGTTGGCAACTGCTTCCAAGCACCCAGCAGAAATCAAGACAAATCGTCTCAATCCAAGCCTTTTGGGATTCCCAAAGTTAAATGGTAATGGTAAGCTCAGAATAACATCAAGAAAACTTGAGGAATCAGACACATGAGCAAGAGTCAACACTAACCGCAAATTGCAGAAAAACATAGGCAAAGACTGCAGAAAGAAAATTACAAGCTATGTGTACAAAAAAAATGTGTGTTTTAAATGTTCAAAAAGTAAGGGATTGAATGTATACACAAAAGAACACAGTATCCAAAAAGACTAGGTATTTCCACTTCCAAAAAGATGGCATATAAGTACTTTTCCTTAATTCTCCTGCTAAGTACAGCTTAAAACTCTGGACATTATATGTAAACCAAACATAAGAAGACCCTGAAAGGTGGACAGAAAAAGTCAGATGGACTAAGGACCTTGGGACTTGAGGAATAATATGGCATGAGGACAGCATCAGCAGAGGCTTAATAGGGAGCCAGAACTCCCACCCTTGCACAGCAGTCATGAGGGATCTTCCCACCCACTGACTATTAACAGAGGCTGAGTGGAATCTGACCTTTCACCCAGTCAGGCTGCAATGTGGTGCCCTTTTCCTCAACCTGCCTGAGCAGTGTTAGAGAAGGCCTGCCAAAACAGGAGATTTAATTAAGATCTGGTCTCAACTTATCCCAAGAACTTGATAGGAGAAAAGCCAATCAACAGATGCCAATGCCAATATGACCCAGATGTTAAAATTACCTGAGAGGCCGGGCCTGCGGTGCTTATGCCTGTAATCCCAGTGCTTTGGAAGTCTGAGGTGGGAGGATTGCTTGAGGCCAGGAGTTTGCGAGCAGCTTGGGCAACATAGTAAGAATCTATCTTCACAGAAAATTTAAAAATTAGCCAGGTGTGGTGACATGCACCTATAGTCCTAGCTACTTGACAGGCTGGGACAGGAGGATTGCTTGAACCCAGGAGTTGGAGGCTGCAGTGAGTTATAATCATGCCACTGCCCTACAGCCTGGGTGACAGAGCAAGACTCCAGCTCTAAAAAAATACAATAAAATAATCTGAGAATGATTTTAAGGTAGCCGTCATAAAAATGCTTCAACAAGCGATTATAAACATGCTTGAAACAAATAAAATGGAAAGTCTCACCAAAAAAAGAGAAAATCACAGTACAATAAAAATAGAAGATATAAAAAAAGAATCAAATGGAAATTTTAAAACCAAAAAATACAATAACAAAACTCTCCATGGATAGGCTTAACATCAGAATCCAGGGAATAAAAGAAAGAATAAATGAACTTGAAGATAGAAAAACAGAAATTTTGAACACAGAGAAAATAGCCTGAAACAAAACAAAAAAGGGACAGTGCCTTAATGACCCATGGAACTATAACAAAAGAATGTTAATTAACATTCTTTAACATTCTTTAACATAACATTCTTCAACATTCTTTAACATAAATGAATGTTAATTCATGTCATCAAGTCTGGGAAGGAAAAGAGAATAAAGGCAAGAAGCTGAAAGGTATTCAAAGAAATAATGGCTGAAAACGTCCCAAATTTGACACACAACATAAAGCCGCAGATTAAAGAAGATGAGTAAACCCAAAACAGGATAAATTGGAGATCTATGCCAAGACACAGAATAAGCAAACTTCTGAAAACTAAAGGCAAAGTCCTAAAAGCAATGAGAGAGTTTTACTGAAAGGGGGAAACAATGGGAAAGATAGTGACTTTCTCATGGGAAATCATGAAGGCCAGGAGAAGCAGTGTCTTAAGGTCACATGCTGAATTAGTTTGTTCTTTCGAACAGTAATCTGCTCTTTAGGCAGCTTTACTCCAGATCGACACCCCATGGGAACCTCAGAACTTACCCTCAGGTGGTGGTGTCTAGCATTTGCTATGTTTGTTTTTGCCTTTAAGGAATTACGATTCTTTGATCTAGAGAAATAAAAATGATTAGAAGTTCTATTATTAGGAGACAGCTATTCATTAGCCCCTCAACTGCAAATTATCCTGCATTCTGAGAACTTCCGA
Source organism: Homo sapiens (assembly GCF_000001405.40). Taxonomy (NCBI): domain Eukaryota; kingdom Metazoa; phylum Chordata; class Mammalia; order Primates; family Hominidae; genus Homo; species Homo sapiens. The sequence goes on from NC_000009.12 coordinate 7,241,375, forward strand.
GAAGCCTCCAGAACACATTACAGCAGCACAAAAAAAGCTAAGCCAGCTGCCTTTTGGGTGTATTTCATTCTGGGCCCAATATTATTTCCTTCAGCTCACACTCTCCTTGCTCTTCCCTTTCAAACAGTTCTTAGTTTTCTGAAGGCCATACCCCTTCCTTCTCACACTTCTTTCTTTTCTATTTATTTATTTTTTTTTGAGAGAGGGTCTCACTCTGTCTGTAGTGGTGCAATCCCAGCTCACTGCAACCTCTGCCTCCTGGGTTCAAGGGATTCTTTCACCTCAGCCTCCCTAGTAGCTGGGGCTACAGGCACGCACCACCACACCTGGCTAATTTTTGTATTTTTTGTAGTCTTTAAAAATTTTTTTAACACACACATATCTCCAAAAGATTTTTTTACAAAAGGAATGGATTTTGGGAAGAGACAAACATGGGCCAAGGGAGAAGTATGAAATAGAAAATGAATATATGGCTGACCCTTGAACACCACAGGCTTTAACTGCTTAGGGCAATAAAAGTGACACCAAGTGTGCCTGCCTCCCCTTTCACCTCCTCCGTCTCCTCTGCCTCCTCTGCCTCTGGCACCCCTGAGACAACAAGACCAACCCCTCCTCTTCTTCCTCCTCCTCGGCCTACTCACTGTGAAGAAAATGAGGGTAAAGACATTTATGATGACCACTTCCACTTAATGCATAGTAAATATATTTTCTCCTCCTTATGATTTTCTTAATTTTTTCTCTAGCTTACTTTGTTGTAAGAATACAGTATATAATACATTAACATATAAAATATGTGTTTATTGATTGTCAGCTGGTAAGGCTTCCAGTCAATAGTAGGCTATTAGCAGTTAAGTTTTGGGGGAGTTGAAAGTTATATGTGGATTTTTGACTGTGTATGGCATCAGCACTCCTAATCCCTGCATTGTTCAAGGGTCAACTGTAGATGTAAGGTAGTTTGTTAATTGTTTTATCACTCAAACTAGTACAGAGAATGTCCTGTACAACACAGTGCAATAAAGATTTAAAAATGGAGGTATTTCCTTTGAAAGACTGAAGATTTCGGTCTCTGCTATTTGGGACTGAGGCTGCAGTCCTTGATTTTGGATGGATCATTGGTAGTGTGGCATCCAATTTGCTGTTGCTGTGGCTTTTTCTAAGAACAAGTGAAAAGCCCTCAGGGTCCAGTCATGGGGGAAGTCACATGATCTCCTGATGGAATTACTTCTCTTCCCTTCTTTTTTTTCTTTTTCTTTCTTTCTTTTTTTTTTTTTTTTTTTCAGATGGAGTCTGGCTCTGTCACCCAGTGCAGTGGAGTGCAGTGGCGCGATCTCAGCTCACTGAAACCTCTGACTTCCGGATTCAAGCAATTCTTCAGCCTAAGCCTCCCAAGTAGCTGGGACTACAGGCACGTGCCACCAGGCCTGGCTAAGTTTTGTATTTTTAGTAGAGATGGGGTTTCACCATGTTGTCCAGGCTGGTCTGGAACTCCTGACCTCAAGTGATCCACCTGCCTCTGCCTTCCAAAGTGCTGGGATTACAGCATGAGCCACCCCGCCCGGCCTTCTCTTCCCTTCTGAGGAGACTGCTCAGCAGGCCCATTTTTCTGATGTGCCTGGAGAAAGTTTGCTCTGGTTTCTAAAGCTTAGTTATAGAACTTTATAGTCATAATGCCTGTTCATGGCCTCTCTCCTCTTGGTAGTAGGATCCGTAAGTTTCTTTCTTATAGGGTAGAGCAGACATTTGGTCTTTGCCAGGAAGAACCTGAGTGTGGTAGCAAGACCTTTCTAGAGAGAACTTGGGGCAGGATGATAAAGAAAACTAAACTGAAATTAATCCATAGTGTCTGTAGCTGAAAGCTACTTCTAGGACCTTTTGGTTAAGTCCTTCTGGTATAAAAAGCATTGGACAGTTGGGGTCCTGGATTCAAGTCTCATAGCCTATGAAACTTTGGGAAAATCCCTTTAACTTCTCTGTGATTCAGTTTCAAAATCTATGAAGTGACCCTCTCAACAGGGGTGGATGCAATGAGCTGAAATGTACAATATTAGACACCCAACAGTAGACAGCCCCAAGTTGTTATGGCAGTGCCTCAAGGGAGTCTTGAAGGACTTGGACTCCCTGCCTTTCTGCTCTGTCTTCTTGGCATTTGGTTGCTATTTCCAACATCATCTCATGGCCTCAGATGGCTGCTGGAACTCCACTCCTCTTCTCTGACATTTTGATGTTATGAAAGAGGGAAGAACAAAAAGGTCATATCTCACTACAGAGTCAGCTTTCCTTAAGCATATTAGCTACAAGGGAGGCTGGGAAATGTAGTCTTTGGGTTAGGACCATGGCTGCATCCAGTGGTGCAGGTGTTCTGTTGTTGAGGAATGGCAGCATGGTGGGGAGGAGATGGTACTGGGTAGACGAGCAGCAGTTCCAAAGGCAACAGTTGCCCTGGATGGGGATAGGAAACAGTCATCAGGGATGAGGTGGAGGGGGAGGAAAGTTGTCCAAGAGAAGGAGAGTTTTCTTCTATAGACATTTGGTATTTTGATTTTCATTCTGTCAGTTAAGCATGAGCTTATTTTGACCCACAGAAGGGATTTTTTGAGGCTCTGTTTGGCTCAGTGTGGAGATAGGAGGTTTATATGGAAAACAAACAACTCAGCCAGCAGCTGGGCACACACAATAAATTACTGCCAGGTTGTGGGAAACAGCAAAGTTTCTCTGAGCAGTAATTCTCATCTCTCTTCCTCTTTGATGAACACAAGGCCACAAAAAGTCCTTCACAATGACAGTTGTTTTAGCATCAGGGTTCTTAGTGGCTGACTTACAGAGAATTTCAGAATAGGATGTTATTTGCCATTTTTCTTATCTGGAAGATGAAACTGGGACAAGATAGTGACATTTTAGGTGGGAAGTTTCAACTATAAGGATTCAAGATCTTTTCCGCTTCCTTTTCTTTTGTCCTTTATACCCAATCAATCAATAACTTTGGCAATTTTTTTTTCCTTTAAGTATCTCCTACTTTTATCTTTTCCTCTCTGGTCACATTGCTCATGGGTCTGGATTACTGCCCCATCTGCCTCCCAACTAATCTCCCACACTCACCTTCTCATCCTAACTAGGCTACCCATGTTGCAGAGCAGTAGCTCTTCATTAAATCTATTTCTCATTCTGTTTTCTATCTGCTCAAAACCCTTCTACTACCTCCTCTTTTTTACATGAAGTTATCCATTTCTTCATGGGCATAAAAGTGAGAATTGTTGGGGGCTAAAGGAACAGATTACTCAGGCATTGGAGGTTAGATTCCTCTGTAAGATAGCATGCCTAGGCTTTATTTTCTATGTTGATAAAACACGGTTTTATCAACATAAAACATTTGCCGCAAGATAAAATAATTTCCTGTTTTGTCTTTCTATCGCTTGTTTTGTGTATTTCATACAGTCCTATAATTTTTCTGATGTGTCTGTGGTGGATGTGTTGCTTCCTGACAGTTGGGTAAGCATCTATTTCTACTCCCTATACTATATTCATTCCCTCATTCATTTACTTATTAATTATTCTAACAACGATTTTTTGAGGATTTTCTTCTCACCAAACATTACAGTAGCTGCTGAATTTATATTTGTATTGCAGTTGCAGGGTCATTACTCAAAATGATGTGGATTTCTCTCACCTCTTCATTTCACTTATAAAAATTGTATCATCTTTCAAGTCCCGATTCTATGTCAAATGTTACCAAGAAGTAATCGCCCCACTCCTCTAGCATTCATGGATTGATTCTGAATGTCTATAGGAATGCGATGCAGCTATGTTAGTCAAAGCTCTTTGACTGTCAGTGACGGAAACCCAACTCAGATTTTGCAGATCCTCACAGCCAAATTGCAGGAGGGACAGTTGCTTACATTTTGGGTTATTTGGAAGATGGAAGTTGAGGGCTCTCAGGGCTCTTTCCTCTCTCTCTGTTTTCCTCTCTTTCCATTTCTTTGTTTCCCTTGGCCCTGCTTGTTGCCTTCCTTCACCCCTGGAGGACACTGATGGGCCGTAAGGTATAGTTGGAATGTGATCTATACAACCTTTGGGCTTATATCCTATAGCTTTGTAATCATAGAGGATTTGTAATCATAAAGGATCGCAGGAGAGGATTCGAGCTGACCCGGCTAGAATCCCAAAGCCACCTCTCTGTGGCCTGTGGCTATAAGAAAGGGATGGCACACTGGATTGGCAGAAACAGTAGCTACTACAAAGTCTGCCCTAAAAGAATTGACCTGCTCTTGTTTTGGGAAAGATAAAAAATTTTGCCTTGGCCAGTCATGATCCTTCTGTGTTCACTGTAGGCTGTGATTCAATGGGCAATCTCTGAGGACAGCAATCACATCTTGTATTCTGTTAGATCAGGTCTAGTCCTAATTAACATGAGGAAGGGTGAGGGTAGGGCTCATTAGACACCCATTTTGAGGAAAGAGACAGATCATGAAGACCACTGGGGCATCTTTCATGTGACAGTCCCAGAGCTTTTGAGAGGCCAAGGTACAAGGTCTTCCAACACTTTCGAGAGCAGCATGTACCTGAGGCACATGGAAATTGCTGCCTGTCCACTCTGAGTTAAGTTGCTGTTGGTAAACTTGTATTCTAATCCGCTGTATTAGTCCATTTTCACACTGCTATAAAGATACTATCTAAGACTGGGTAATTTATAAAGAAAGGAAGTTTAATTGACTCACAGTGCTGCATGGCTGTGGGGGCCTCAGGAAACTCACAATCATGGTGGAAAGGGAAGCAGGCACCTTCTTTACAAGGTGGCAGGAGAGAGTGAAAGCGAGTACAGGAAAAACTGCCACTTTTAAAACCATCAGATCTCATGAGAGTCACTCCCTATCATGAGAACAGGATGGGGGAAACGGCCTCCATAATCCAATCACTTCCCTCCCTCCACGCGTGGGGATTACAATTCGAGATGAGATTTGGGCGGGGACACAGAGCCAAACAATATCATCCTCCCAGCTCTGACCTGCAGCCTGAGCTGGGGATGTGGCACACTGAACCCAGACTGATAGTGGTTGTTATATCCCAGTGTTTCTGCCCTGAGGGCTAGGTGAGGAGACTGTTTACTCAGTGTCCCTCGTGGGGGCTTCCTTCTGGTTACAGTCACCCAAAGGCCAGTATGTGTTAGGACAGTTCACAGAGCTGGTCACCAGGGCTGGTCAAGGCAGACCAGGAGGACAATCTGGGATGAGCCTCACGTTCAGAATTTTGATGTTGAGACGGTGGATATAGTGGTTATGTATGAGGTCAGAATACTGAATTCAAATCTTGTTTCTATAGCTTATGAGCTTTGAGATCTCTGATAAATTACTTTGTGTCTCTTAGTTTCAGAAGTAAATCAGGGATAATCAGGCATGCTGTTAAACTGTAATAATCTTCACAGATACCCAGTTAGACCAATCACAGTGGACTTGGGTGCTGGTCCTGGGGCAAGGAGCCAGGGGCCCTCTCTAGTTCTTTAGTTGATGAACATGGAGAGATGCAGAGGGTCCTAAGGGAAGTGCCCGGATGACTGCAGTGGCTGAGTTTTGACCACAGGGAGCTTGAGTTTTGATTTTTTCCCACCTGTAAATATTTCAATATTTTAAACCACTGCTATACGTGTAGGACTGGCCAAACATTACCCTGGGGATAGTAACTGTACTTCACAGGCCTTTTGTCAGGGCTATCAGTTAATGCGCAAGCCATGCATTGCTCAACCCCAGCAGTGTCATTTACTTCTGAGCCATGTAGAAGTGTGGAGTTACAATGACAATTTTCCAGCAGACAGTAGTAAAGTGTCTCAAGGAAAGAGTGTACTCTAATTTGCAGTATATTGCCATATGGATTAGTGGAGGGTCTGGCTGCTGTGAAGATTAAATGAGATAACCCATCCCAAGTGCTTAGAACAATGCAGGAGGGTAGTAAGACCTCAGTGTAAGTTAGTTATGACTCTCTATAAATGAAGTAATGTTGACTCATCAACAGCATGCTAAGAAGTAATTATTCATCATTAAACTTCAAACTTGTTATACCACGCTGCATGCTGTGTAAAATATATTCACTTTAAAAAATTAGTTCTGCCTTTTTCTTTTTCCCCCAACATGCAAAATTTCAAACATTCAGAAAAATGGAAAGAATTATGCATTGAACATCCACATATCCATGGTCTAGATTTTAAAATTAACATTTTTTTCTGTATTTGCTTTGTCACACATCTCTGCGTCTACCTATCCCTTTGTTTAGCCATCAATTTATTTTTAAGTGAATTTCAAAGTTTGTTGAAGGTATCAGTATACTTAATTATTGAACTTCAGCATACATATTATATTTAATATTGAACTTCAGCATACATATCATTAACTAGAGTTCAATATTTGTATGTATTTTTTAAGGTAAAGTTTACATGTAGTGAAATGTACAAAGTTTAAGTGTATCACTTGAGGCTGGGTGCAGTGGCTCACACCTGTAATCCCAGCACTTTGGGAGGCCTAGGTGGGCAGATAACCCGAGGTCAGGAGTTCAAGAGCAGCCTGGCCAACATGGTGAAACCCTGTCTCTATTAAAAATATAAAAATTAGCCAGGGGTGGTGGCGCACCCCCGTAATCCCAGCTACTTGGGAGAGTGAGGCAGGAGAATCACTTGAACTCGGAAGGCGGAGGTTGCAGTGAGCTGAAATCGCACCACTGCACTCCAGCCTGGGCAACAGAGTGAGACTCCATCTCAAAAAAAAAAAAAGTGTATCATTTGATAAATATTTATTCATACATCTGTGTAACCCAAACCCCTATCAAGATATAGAACATTGGCCGGGTGTGGTGGCTCATGCGTGTAATCCCAGCATTTTGGGAGGCCTAGGTGGGTGGATAACCTGAGGTCAGGAGTTCAAGAGCAGCCTGGCCAACATGGTGAAACCCCATCTCTACTAAAAATACAAAAATTAGCCAGGGGTGGTGGCAGACACCTGTAGTCCCAGCTACTTGGGAGGCTGAGGCAGGAGAATGGCATGAACCTGGGAGACCAAGCTTGTAGTGAGCCAGATCGCGCCTCTGCACTCCAGCCCTGGTGACAGAGCCAAGGTTCCATCTCAAAAAAAAAAAAAAAAAAAAAAAAAAAAAGATATAGAACATCATCATGGCCTAGAAAGTTCCCTTAGGCCACCATGTAGTCAGTGACCACTGCCACAACTCCTAGGCAACCACTCTTCTGATTTTTTTCACTCTATATTACTTTTTCCTGTGCTAAAACTTTATATGAATGGACTGTTACAGTACTTGTTCTTTTATGTAAGACTTCTTTCACTCAACATAATATTTTTGAGATATATCCACATCATTGAGTGTATTAGTAGGTCTATTCCTTTCAATTGATGAGTGGTATTACACTGTATGAGTATAACACGGTTTCTTTAGCTATTCTCCTGCTAATGGACACCTGCAATGTTTCCCATTTAGGTCTATTATGAATAAAACTGCTGTCATCATTCTAGTACAGGTCTTTTTGTGGACATATGTTTTCATTTTGGGGGATAAATATGTAGGAGTAAAATTAGTAGAGTGGGTATATGTTTCATTTTATTAAAAACTGTGAGACCTTTCCCCAAAGTGATCATATCATTTTATGTTCTCACCAACAAGGTATGAGTGTTACAGTTGTTCTGCATCCTTTTCACTATTTGATATTATCACTCTTTTTCATTTTAACTGCTCTATGGGAGTATACTGGAATTGTGTTTTTAATTTGTATTTCTCTAATGACTAGTTACTTGAGCACTTTTCATGTGCTATTGGCCATTCATATATATCTATTTCCAAATTGTCTGTTCAAATCTTCCCCATTTAAAAAACCTTTTTATTTTGAATTAATTTTAAGCTTACAAAAAAAGTTTCAAAAATGATGCAAAGTTTCTGTATATGCCTCATCTGGTTTCTTCTAATGTTAACATCACATATAGCCATAGTACAATAGTCAAAACAGGGACATTAACACTGGCACAATACTATTCACTAAATTAGACTTGATTCAAATGCACCAGTTTCCCATAGTTTTGGTGTTCCAAGATTCTATCTAGGATCTCATATTGCATTTAAATTAAAAATTTTTTTTTTTTTTTTTTTGAGACAGAATCTCACTCTGTCACCTCGGCTCACTGCAACCTCCCCCTCTGGGGTTCAAGTGATTCTTGTGCTTCAGCCTCCCAAGTAGCTGGGATTACAGGCGCGCACCATGATGCCTGGCTAATTTTTGTATTTTTAGAAGAGATGGGATTCCACTATGTTGGCCAGGCTGTTTTTGAATTTCTGACCTCAAGTGATCGGCCTGCTGTGGTCTCCCAAGGTGCTGAGATTACAGGCGTGAGCCGCTGTGCCCAGCTCATACTGAATTTAATTGTTATTTCTTATGCTCCCTTCCCTTTTAAAAATTGAGTTGTTCTTTTTGTCATTAAGTTCCAGGGGTACTTTATATATTCTGAACACAAGTTCTTTTAGTCTTTTGCTTTGAAATTATTTTTTCCAGTGTTTGACTTGCCTATTCATTTTTGAAATGTTGAATTTGAGGAGCAGACATTTTTAATTTTGATGGTCTTATTTATTAAATTTTTCTTTTATGGTTTGCTTTCTGTGTTCTACTTCAGAAAATTTTGTCTCTCCTTAACTTGGGAAGATATTTTCCTGTTTTCTTACAGAGAAAATTTAAAGTTTTAGCTTCTGTATTTAGATTTATAGTTCATCTCAAAGTAATTTTTATGGTGTATAGCAGTGGTTGAGACTAATTTTCTTTTCCTCATATGGATTTTCAACTGCTCTAGGACCATTTGTTAAAAAAGAATTTTCCTTCTCCATTGGGTTTTTTTGGTTCCTTGGTTGAAAACCAAGTTATTTTATAAGTGTCTGGCATTGGTCTATTTTTCTGTTTTGCCAGTATTGCAGTGTCTTCATGACTATAGCTTTAGGGTAAATCTTGAAGTTGGTTAGTGTAAGTTCTCTAAAGTTATTTCTATTTTAGGTTCTTTGCATTTCCACATAAATTTTAGAATCAGCTTGTTGATTTCTACAACAAAGACTGTGGCATTTTTGCTGGGATTTGGGAAGAAATGGTATAAAAATGTAGTCTTCCAACTCATGAATATGATAACATTTTCAACATTATTTCTAAATGTTTCCAAAATTTCCAAAAGACCTTGTCAGTTTTTTTTTTCTTAGTTTCTCTGGGCAATGTTTTGTAGTTTTTAGTCTTGTACATCTTTTGAGGCATTCATTTCTGACTATATTATGTCTTTTGAAGCTATTGCAAATGGAATTTTAAAACATTTTATTTTCCAATTTGTTTGCTACCAATGTACAAAAATGCAGTTGGCTTTTATATGTTGACCTTGCAAAATTCTCTTAGTAGTTCTAATAGATTTGTAGATCCTTAGAATTTTCTAAGTAAACAATTATGTCATCTGTGAATAGAGATGGACTGGTTTTACTTCTTCCTTTTTGACCTTTATGCCTATTTTCTTGCCCACTGCATGAGATAGGATCTTCAGTACAATACTGAGAAGAAGTAAAAAAAGTGCTTTTTAAAAAATTTTATAGGGAAAGTATTCAATATTTTACCATGGAGTTTAATAATAGGATTTTTTCTCAGAAGCTGTTTATCAGATTGATGTAGTTCCTTTCTGTTTCTAATTTGCCAAGAGATTCTAGCATAATGGGCATTGCATTTTATCAAATGTGTCTTGTGTATCTATTGAAATGCTTGAATAGCTTTTCTCCCTTCATCTGCTAATATGATGAATTACATTTATTTTCCAATGTTAGAACAACCTTATATTTCTGGGATAAACTCCTATTGGAGTGTGTATATATATATATATATATATATATGTATAATAGATATATAAATTTTTATATATTTCTATATTTGATTTATTAATATTTCTTTGAGGATTTTTTAATCTGTATCCATGAGGGATATTCTATAATTTTTTAATTTTTTGTAATTTCCTTATCAAGCTTTATATCAAGGTTACATTAGCTTCATAAATGAGTTGGAAAGCAGTCTCTTACTTTCTATTTTCTGAAAGAATTTGTGTTAACATTCATATTAGTTCTATAACTTTTAGCCAGAAGCCACCAGTAAAATCAGCTGGGCTTGAAGTTTTCTTTGTAGGGAAGTTTTTGATACTGGATTCAATTTCTTTAATAGATATGAGAATTTTCATATTTCTATTTTATTTTACTGCATTTTGGTAAGTTGTATTTCTCAAGGAATTTATACTTAAGCTGCAAAAATTATTTCCATAAGGCTGTTCATAATATTTTTTTGTCCTTTTAATGTCTATAGGTTCAGTAGTAGTGATAGTCCCTCCTTCACCTTCATTCTTGATATTAGCAATTTGTGGTCTCTGTATCTCTGTTTTTAAAAGACTTCATTTTTTGGAGAAGTTTTAGGTTCACAGAAAAATTGGGAGGAAGATACAGATTTCCCTTATATTCCCTGCCCCAACACATGCAGGGCCTCCTCCATGATCAACATCAACCACCGGAGTGGTGCGTTTGTTAAGACTGATGAACCTACATTGACACATCATCATCACCCCAAATCCATAGTTTACAGTAGGGTTCACTCTTGGCATTGTACATTCTATGAATTTGGACAAATGCCTAATGACATACATCTATCATTTTAGTGTCATAGAGAGTATTTTCACTGCCCTAAAAATCCACTATGCTTCACCTATTCATTTCTCCTCCTACCCTCAACCCCTGGCAACTACACCTCTTTTTACTGTTTTCATAGTTTTTTTGTTTTTTAGAATGTCATATAGTTGGAATCTTATAGTATGTAGCCTTTTGAGATTGTCTTCCTCCACTTAATAATATGCATTTAACCTTTCTCCATGTCTTTTCATTGCTTGATAGCACATTTCGTTTTAGTACTGAGTAGTATTTCATTGCCTGGATGTACCACAGTCTATCCGTTCACCTACTGAAGAAGCAACTTGGTTGCTTGCAAGTTTTGTCAATTATGCATAAAGCTGCTATAAACATTCTTGTGTAACTTTTTGTGTGGACATGTTTTCAACTCCTTTGGGTAATACTAACGGGCATGACTGCTGGATCATATGGCAATAGTATATTTAGTTTTATGAGAAACTGCCAAACTGTCTTCCAAAATGGCCGTACAATTTTACATTTCTACTAGCAATGAATGAGAGTTTCTGTTACTCCACAGACTTGCCAGCATTTGGTGTTGTCAACGTTTTGGATTTTGGCCATTTCTATAGGCGTGTTGTGGTATCTCATTATTGTGTTTTTATTTATTTATTTATTTATTTATTGTTTTTTTTTTTGAGACGGAGTCTTGCTCTGTCGCCCAGGCTGGAGTGCAGTGGCACGATCTCGGCTCACTGCAAGTTCCGCCTCCCAGGTTCAGGCCATTCTCCTGCCTCAGCCTCCCAAGTAGCTGGTACTACAGGCACCTGCCACCACGCCTGGCCAATTTTTTTGTATTTTTAGTAGAGACGGGGTTTCACCGTGTTAGCCAGGATGGTCTAGATCTCATTATTGTTTTAATTTGCATTTTCCTGAAGACATATGACATGGTGCACCTTTTCTTTTCTTTTTTTAATTATACTTTAAGTTCTAGGGTACATGTGCACAACGTGCAGGTTTGTTACATATGTATACATGTGTCATGTTGGTGTGCTGCACCCATTAACTCGTTATTTACATTAGGTATATCTCCTAATGCTATCCCTCCTCCCTCCCCCGACCCCACAACAGGCCCCGGTGTGTGATGTTGCCCACCCTGTGTCCAAATGTTCTCATTGTTCAGTTCCCACCTATGAGTGAGAACATGCGGTGTTTGTTTTTCTGTCCTTGCGATAGTTTGCTCAGAATGATGGTTTCCAGCTTCATCCATGTCCTTACAAAGGACATGAACTCATGCTTTTTTATGGCTGCATAGTATTCTGTGGTGTATATGTGCCACATTTTCTTAAACTAGTCTATCATTGTTGGACATTTGGGTTGGTCCCAAGTCTTTGCTATTGTGAACAGTGCCGCAATAAATATACGTGTGCATGTGTCTTTATAGCAGCATGATTTATAATCCTCTGGGTATATGCCCAGTAATGGGATTGCTGGGTCAAATGGTATTTTTAGTTCTAGATCCTTGAGGAATCACCACACTGTCTTCCACAATGGTTGAACTAGTTTACAGTCCCACCAACAGTGTAAAAGTGTTCCTATTTCTCCACATCCTCTCCAGCACCGGTTGTTTGGTTGTTTCCTGACTTTTTAATGACCGCCATTCTAACTGGTGTGAAATGGTATCTCACTGTGGTTTTGCTTTGCATTTCTCTGATGACCAGTTATGATGAGCATTTTTTCATGTATCTATTGGCTGCATAAATGTCTTCTTTTGAGAAGTATCTGTTCATATCCTTCACCCACTTTTGGATGGGGTTGTTTGATTTTTTCTTGTAAATTTGTTTAAGTTATTTGTAGATTCTGGATATTAGCCCTTTGTCAGATGGGTAGATTGTAAAAATTTTCTCCCATTCTGTAGGTAGCCTGTTCACTCTGACGGTAGTTTCTTTTGCTGTGCAGAAGCTCTTTAGTTTAATTAGATCCCATTTGTCAATTTTGGCTTCTGTTGCCATTGCTTTTGGTGTTTTCGTCATGAAGTCCTTGCGACATGGTGCATCTTTTCATATGCTTGTTTCCCATCAGTATATATTTTTTGGTGAGGTGTCCCTTAAGGCCTTTGGCCCACTTTTTATTCATGCTGTTGTTTTCTTACTATTGACTTTTAGGAGTTCTTTGTATATTTTGGACAACAGTTCTTTATCAGATGTCTTTTGCAAATGTTTTCTTGCAGCACATAGCTTGTTTTCTCATTCTCTTGACATTGTCTTTTGCAGGTAGAACTTTTTAATTTGACTGAAGCCCAGTTTATCAATGATTTCTTTCATGAATTGTTACTTTGGTGTTTTATCTAAAAAGACATCACCATACCCAAGATCATCTAAGTTTTCTCTACTGTTTTTTTCTAGGAATTTTATAGTTTTGCATTTTATATTTAGGTCTATGATCCATTTGTGATAATTTTTGGAAGGGTGTAAGATCTGTGTTTAGATTGATTGTTTCACATGTGGATGCCCAGTTGTACTACCACAATTTGTTAAAAAATTTTTTCCACTGACTTTACTCCTTTGTCAAAGATCATTTGACTATATTTACTTGGGTCTATCTCTGGGCTCTCTGTTCTGTTCCATTGACCTATTTGTCTGTTCTTTTACCAATACCACACTATCTTGATTACTATAGCTTTATTGTAAGTCTCAAAGTTAGATAGTGTCAGTCCTTTCACTTTATTCTTCTCATTCAATATTGTGTTGGCTATTTTAGGCCTTTTGTCTCTCATGTAAACTTTAGAATCAATTTGTTGGTATCCATAAAATAGTGTGCTAAGATTTTGAATGGGATTGCATTGAACCTGTAGGTCAATGGGAAGAACTGACATCTTGACAATGTTGAGTTTTCCTATCCATGAACATGGAATATTTTTCCATTTATTTAGTTTTTCCTTGATTTTTAAAGTCAGATTTTGTGTGGTTTTCCACATATAGATCTTATACCTATTTAATTTTTTGGGAAGTGCTAACGTAAATGTTAGAGTGTTTTAAATTTCAAATTCTACATATTCACTGCTGGTATACAGAAAAGTGATTAATTTTTTTTTTTCTTTGAGATGGAGTCTGGCTCCGAAGCTCAGGCTGGAGTGCAGTGGCGCGATCTCGGCTCACTGCAACTTCTTCCTCCTGGGTTCAAGCAATTCTCCTGCCTCAGCCTCCTGAATAACTGGGACTACAGGCACATGCCACCACGGTGGGTTAATTTTTTTTGTATTTTTAGTAGAGACACGGCTTCACCATGTTGGCCAGGATAGTCTCGATCTCCTGACCTCATGATCCACCCCCCTCGGCCTCCCGAAGTGTTGGGATTCCAGGCATGAGCCACTGAGCCCAGCCAATTAACTTTTTATATCAGCCTTGGATGCTGCAATCTTGCTATAACTATATATTAGTTCTAAAGGTTTTAAAAAAATCAATTCTTTTGGATTTTCTGCATAGATGCTCATGTCATCTGCCAAAAAAGACAGTTTTATTTCTTCCTTTCCAATCTGTGTACCTTTTATTTCCTTTTCTTGTTTTATTGCCCTAGCTAGAACTTTCAGTACAAAGTCAAAAAGGAACAGTGAGAGGAGACATTCTTGCCTTGTACCTGATCTTAGTGGTAAAGCTTCTAGTTTCTTACTGTTAAGTGTTATTTTTAGCTGGAGATGTTTTGTAGATATACTTTATTAAGTTGAGGAGGTTCTAATTTATTCTTAGTTTTTTGAGAGTTTAAAAAAAATCATGAATGGGTGTTGGATTTTGACAAATACTTTTTCTGCATCTATTGAAATGATCATGTTATTTTTCTCTCTTAGCTTGTTGATGTGATGGATTACATTAATTGAGTTTCAAATGTTAAACAAGTCTTGCATATGTGAGATAAATCCCACTTGGTCGTGGTGTATAATTTTCATACATTGTTGGATTCAATTTGCTAATATTTTGTTGAAGATTTTTGCATTTATGTTTGTGAGATATATTGGTCTACAGTTTTCTTTTCTTGTAATATCTTTGTCTGGTTTTGGTTTGAGGGTAATACTGGCTTTATAGGACAAATTAAGAAGTATTCCTTCTGCTTCTATCCTTTAGAAGAGATTGTAGAAAATGGGTATAATTTTTTCTTAAATATTTGGTAGAGTTCTTGAATAAACTCATCTGGGCCTGATGTTTTCTGTTTTAGAAAGATATTAATTATTGATTCAACTTCTTTAATAGATATAGGCCTATTCAAATTGTCTATATCTTGTGTAAGTTTTGGCAGCTTATGTCTTTCAAGAAATTCACCGTTTCATCTAAGTTATCCAATTTGTAGGCATAGAATTGTTTACAGTATTTCTTTATTATCCTTTTAATGTCCATGGAATCAGTAGTCATGTCCCTTCTTACCCCTTTGATATTAATAATTTGTGCCCTCTTTTTTTCTTAGCCTGACTAGACGCTTATCAGTGTTATTGCTCTTTTCAAAGAACCAGCTTTTGGTTTTCTCCACTGATTTTCTGTTTTCAATTTCATTGATTTCTGCCTAATTCTTATTATTTATTTTCTTCCGTTACTTTTGATTTAATTTGCTCTTCTTTTTCTAGTTTCCTCAGGTAGAAATTTAGATTATTGACTTCAGATCTTTTTCTTTTCTATAAACTTTCTTCTAAGCACTGCTTTTGCTGTATTCCACAAATGTTGATAAGTTGTGTTTTCATCGTCATTTAGTTCAAGTAGTCAATCAAAGTTTTGACTTTAAAATTTTTCTCAATGTTTATTGCTTTTTATTTACCTTTGCTTTTTATTATTTTCTTCATTTAAATTACTCTGGGTTTATTTTCTTTTTCTTTTTTAGCTTCTTATGATGGAATCTTAGGTCACTGATTTTTGTGACAGATTGCATTTTCCCTAGATGACCATAACAATATCTTTCATCCTACCTCTCTTCTAGAATTTTACCACACTCCATCAAGAGTAAAGTATAATTTTTCTCTTCTTGACTTTTAGGGGATTGTGAGTCACCTGTAACCAGTATAATGCAGCAGAAGAGATGCTGTGTGGCTTTCCAGTTAGGACATGAAAAGTGATGAAATAACCTCTGCCTTGCTAGCTGTTAAGTTTTATTCTTGGAACCTAAGTCTTCACATAAGAAGCTCAGCTACTTTCAGGCCACAGTGCTAGGAGGAAGCCAAGCTATGTGGAGAGGCATGAGTAGTGGGCAGTTCTAGCTTTTGAGTCCTCCAAGTCCAGGAGCCAGAAATATGAGTGAATGAGCATTGAGATGAATCTAGTCCCAGCCATTGACTTCTCCTCAGACTTTGGGTTGTTTCAGCAGATGCCCCTTCACTCTCCAGATACTGTAGGAGCCCAAAATGTAGGACCCTGTGTTGTGCTTCTTGAGGTCATCCTCCAGCAAAAAGACTGTACGGAAAAAAAAATATCTCATGCAAGGCAATTTCCTTCTTCCAAGTGTAAACTTTCTCCTCCAATTTCTGCTTCTTTTGGTGACTCTAGAGCCTTTGAGTGGGTAGGTCTGATAGAAGCTTCTCAGCACTTACCAGAAGTGAAACTCAGCATCTATCTTTCAAATCCATGAAATTATATTATCTATATATTAACAGAGCATTAATCTGTTTAATACAAATACTTTGTATTTGTCAAAGTTTTTGTAAATTCATTTAGGATTTTTCTCCTTTTAAAATATATAAGGAGTCTCACTTTTGAAAGTCCAGTCTCTTAGCTCCCAGAATGAGGAGAACCTGAGCTTAACTTTAGCTGCTCTCTCTGCCTCTGAGTTCACACTGGAGGTTCACATGTCCCATCTTAGATTACAGGCCTGGGAAAGCTTAGCAGAGTTACCTTTCTCTCAAGGTATAATTTTAGGATATAGCCCAATACACCCAACAAATAAACAAGGAGGAAATAAGAAAAGTGAAGGCTTCTAGGACTCAAGGAAAAATAAATCAGAAAATATCCTCAGCATCAGATTCTTTTGTTTTTTTGAGATGGAGTCTCGCTCTGTCACCCAGGCTGAAGTGCAATGGCACGATCTTGGCTCACTGCAGCCTCTGCCTCCCAGGGTTCAAGCGATTCTCCTGCTTCAGCCTCTCTAGTAGCTGGGATTATAAGCACCCACCACCATGCCCGGCTAATTTTTGTATGTTTAGTAGAGGTGGGGTTTCACCATGTTGGCCGGACTGATCTTGATCTCCTGACCTCAAGTGATCCACCTGCCTCAGCCTCCCAAAGTGCTGGGATTACAGGCATGAGCCACCAATTCCCACCACAAGAGATTCTTAAAGCTACAGATGGGAGGGGCTGGGGCGGTCAGAGAAGGCCTCACCTCTGGCCCATGCTTCTGCACCGGGGAATTTGTCTCTGCATTCTCATCCCTGTCTGGGCTGCACTGAGCTTGTTTCAGCAGCACTGAATGCCATCCACTTCTTTGTAATGTCTAGCTTTTGCTTGGAACATTTTTGCCTGTGGTGGAACATTGCATTCAGCTCTTCTCCAGGAGGTAGGGACAAAGATGGCTTTGCTGGAAACAAAAAGTGAGGCTTTTCCTCTTAAGTCAATTGGAGCTTATTATAATTTATTAAAAGTGCAATTCTGGTCTGAACCTGAAATGGTGATAATGGCTTAATGGTCACATAAATGAGTGTTGAAATATGCACAGCTGAAAAGGGACTCACAATAAAAGTGGAGAAGAGGTAATGATGCAGAAAGAGGACCAAAGTTTCTGATTAAAGTCATACCTAATCCACTGTGGAGGTTATCACCAAAAATTAGAGAAACTATTTGCTTACAGGGAGATTGGTAGTGTGGAGTGTGTGTGTGTGTGTGTGTGTGTGTGTGTGTTTAGGGGGAAGGGTGGATGTGGGAAGATGTGTAATATGAGAATGGGCTAATTAGAGAGACTGGAGGAAAATTCAGGATCTTCCCACTCACTCGTTTTCTCTTCAACTTCTATACCCATTTTTTTTTTTAACCAAAAAAGCACAGACCCAACTTATGGTGTATTGCAAATAGTCAAGATTCGGATTCAAGCAGCCCTACCACTTTCTATCTATGTGGCCTCATTTTTCTAATCTGAATAATGTGAAAATGATAAGCAAAGCTGAAGGACTGCTGTGACAACAGCAGATAAGATAAACTGAATGAGATAAACTGTCCAAACATACCTAATACAGTGCCTGGCAATAGTAGCTGCTGAAGCTGGCTTAGTTTAGTCTCCTATCACCCTTATCTCCTGCTCAGCCAGGCCAGTTTCTTTTACCCCTAATTCAAGTGGTAATTGAATTTGTTGTTACGGTTCTAGCATTTCTGTGTTGCATAAAATTACAAACTCATATAATATTTAACGTGGACCGATCATAAAGTTCAAGGGACTTACCCACCATCTTTCAATTTGTTATTGAATCAACAAGTATTTATTTAACTCTGTGTGCCAACCATGCTAAGCATTAGGATAGGGCAGTGAACGATATTGACCCATTGCTTGTTGTTTGTGGAGCTTATAAACCAGTAGAGAGAAAGAAACCTTAAGCAAACTGTTATTACAGGTGATCCATGAGAACAGTGCTCCGTGGTAAGAAGGAGAAGGGAAGAGCTCAGCAAGTGAGCACAATGGTGAACTTGATATAGACGTGGGTGTCAGGGAGGAGAGCCCCAGAGAAGTGGCTTTGGGTTGAGCCCTGGAGGATGAGGAGGAGTTAGTTTGGTGAAGAGTGGGAAGAAAGGAGAGAAGACACCTTTGAGGAGCTGAAAGGTGTCAATGTAGCTGGATAGGGATGGGATGAGTGGGGAAGGGTTGAGGGAGTTGTGAAAGTTGGCTGGCTGGGAGCTGTTGGGAGGAGAAGCTCAGGAGAAGTTGAAGAGGTGAGGTAGGCAGGGGCCAGATCATGCCATAGAGGCATGTCAAGGCATCTGACAGCACAAGACAAAAACAATGTACAGAACAGGACTTCCTTTCCTTGGGTCTTCTGGATGGTTCTCTGCTGCCCTCTATGTTAATCCAGGGCTGTGAAATTCTCTGTAGCGTAAGCATACGAAACTAGTTGAGGGTCTCAAGCTAACATTTTAAAGGAATCAAAATTAAGAAGTCATTTCTCTCCAAATGGATTAATGAAATGCCAAATAATGGATCTGAGTGCTGTTGAAATGTCGGAGTGCTCTTGCTCCTTTCTAGTTGGCAACAGGCCGGAGTTGAATGTTGACAGCAAATTGTACAGATTTTTATTTTCTTAAAAAAACAACTTACTTAACCTGCTTTTGAGAATGTTCTCGGAGAATGCTTCTTTAGAATCTCTATATACAGTGCATGTTAACGGCAGGGAATCCCTCATAGAAACTCAAATAAGCAACTCTGGAATTAAATTAGCCCCCAGCTATCTTAAGCAAATATCCTACAAGGGCAATTGTGTTATCTAACTGGCCAGTTGATTCTTGACTTTTTCAGCTTCAAGAAAGAATTTAAATGGCATCCCTGTGTGTTACTCTCATTTCAAATCCTCTGGAGCAGATAAACATTATCATGAAACTGGCCAAGGATGAAATTTAAATAAGTAGTGATTGGAAACGATGACAGTAAGAGTTTCCAACCCACAAAAACAGACAAATTAGTTTAATTAACTGCAAAATTTGGAGGACAAAGATACGGGGAAAATTATTTATGTCGATGTGTAATGCATGCTCAATATTTTTGTAAACAAACGTGTTAGGAAAAAGAAATCCTACCAGTATAATTAATCCTTAAAAATGTACCACCAAAGAGCGACTTGGAGCCAAGAACATGTTTTTGTCCTTGTAAGTTACTGTCCCTTTAAATGGCAATACAAATGGAAGACCTGTCCTCACCAAAGAGGGTCTTCCTCTGTTGTGCCATCACACTACACTGCCAGACTGTGATTCAACCATCGTGTGTATTCGTTTGGGGATCATGATGGTTTCTCATGTGGTTGAATCATTGTCTGAATAGAGAAAATAGAGGCTGACTTCATGTTGGAAGCAGCCATGTTTTACTGACGATTGGAGGGAAAAGAACTTTAAATAGATAGCAGGGCATACCATGCAGTAGTACAAAGCCATGACATTGGCCCAATAGTTAGCAAGAGATATCTGCAAAACCATGTGGATAGCTAATTCTACATCTCTCCTCCCTCATTATGAAGCCAGGGTGTTCTTTTCAAAAAATTTTTAATCTCAATAGATACAGGTGTTTTTTGGTTATATGGATAAATTGTATAGTGGTGAAATTTGAGATTTCAGTGCACCTATCACTGTAGTAATACACACTTTACCCAACATGTAGTTTTTTTAATTCCTCACCCTTCTCTCACCTTACCTCCTTCTGAGTTCCCAATATTCATTATACCACTGTGTATGGCTTTGCATACCCAGCTTGTTCTTTATGTAATTCTGTTATGCATGCACACATATGTGCACATTTAAACTCTGATTTGCTCTTCTGTTACTCTGGTTGTGTAGATGAGGACTTATCCTAATGTAATAAGTCAGAGATGAGTGTGTTTTAAATCTGGAGAACTAGGAGAACATTTTGGCAAGACCAGGGTGCAGTGTAGTTCATAGGGAAGATCTGTTGATTTTGTCTGCCCAGCAATCCTTTTCTAACTCCCCTGACTTTTCTCCCTCCTCCCCTCCCCACCTCTCCTTGCACCACCCTCCTACTAGTCCCTGTGGAACAGGTAGAGCTGCCAATCACAATGTACCCTGGTTATGGACTGTAATTCTGGCCCTGGCCAATCGTAATACCCTATTTCTCTAAACACAAGGATTAGTTCCATAGCAAATTTTATAATTTAAACAGAGACCATCAGAATTCATTCCTAGGAGTGGTATACAGATATTGGGAGAGGGAGTATCTTTCTGCTGGAGAAATAAGTTAGGAGGAAGTAACTCTAGGGCTGCTGTTTCCATCCTTTTTCAATCTGCAGGTGCCAAGCTGAGAAGAGTGAGACACACAATTTTGGCATAGTTGAATCCCAAATTTCAGGTTCTGAGGCTCAGGTCCTTACAGTTCTTTCCTCCCCTCACCTCCCCTTCCCTCCCCTTCTCTTCGCTTTCTCCCCTCCCTCCCTCCCTCCCTCTCTTCTTTCCTTCCTTCCTTCTTTTCATTCAACAATTATTATTGAGGATTTATGATGTTTCAGACAATTTTTTAAGGGTGCAGGAAATTATGGTGAGAAAGATTGACAAGGTCTTAGTTTTCTTGATCCTGATATACTAGGGAGAGGAATTTGACAACATTAGTAAACAAATAATTACAATAACTGCAAATAAGGATAAGTACTATAAGGAGAATAAGATGAAGGGTGATGTAATAAAGTCTGGCTCAGGGATGAGAGGATAGATAATTTAGCTGGAGTGTTCAGGGAAAGCTTCTGTGAGGAGGTGATAATTGAGCTGATGCCAGAAGGACAAGAAAGAACTAACCATGCAGCAATCTGGAAGGCAAGAAGATCGGCAGAAGGCATAGCCAGAACAACAGTCTCACAAGGAAAAGCTTAGGGTGTTAAGAGCAGAAAAAGTAAATGATGGCAGAAAAAAGGGAAGTAGGCAGGAGAATGTGGAATAAGATGAGTTTGGAGACTGTGTAAAACTTATAGTCCCTGGCCAGGGATGAAATTTTATTCAAGTCGCTGCAGGAAGATTTTTAAAAGAAGAAGATGCCATGATCAAATTTGAATTTGAAAAGGATTACTTTGTCTATTATATGAAAATAATTACAGGGAGGAAAAAGTGAAAGCCAGAAAGCCAAGTCAGTGTTTTGCTCTTATATTAATTAGGATGATTGTCATTATAACAAAATTAATCAGACTAGGATTGTATTATTATTAATACACAAACAGTCTCACGATGACTCTCCAGCCTCACAAATATCATTGAGGACCCATGCTCTTTCTGTCTTTTAGTGTGTTATGCTCAGCATGTTAACTTGGCTTTTAGGCCTCTACGCTCTTGTTTACAAGACGGCTGCCTCGGATGGTTCTAGGCTTCTCAGGTAGATACACAATATCTAGATGATGAAGGGACTGTCCTCTAGTGATCCTCTTTTTCCTGGCAGTGACAACCCTCTCCAAAGCCTCTTCCCAACCCAGAGATCAGGAAAGGGTCACATGCCAAAGGGGCATAGAATCACTATGTTTGTATTAGACCCATTGTGGTTCATTCCTTTCCAGGAACACATGGAAGGGTGAACATCAAACAAAATAAGGATTTATCAACAAGGAGGCAGGGATGTAACTAATAGTGTCTGCCATGATTGATTTGATTACTCTGAATAATCCAGATAACTTAAAAAATACTTAAAAAAATTCCTACCATCCCTAATCTTTTTCCATGTTAATCTCTGATAGGCAGGAGAGACCTCATGATGCTAGAATATATGATGCTACTCTAAATACCTTTATCACCGTTTATTGACCTTTGAGAACTATAATCCATAGTAGACTTCTCTGAATTGTTATTTAACAACTCTTCTTGACCAAGGAGCCTTGTTTTTGTCATCTCTGAGTTGCGTGGGGCCAAAGATGGTGACTGGCAAGTTTAGGTCACATTGTGGCTGTTTGTGGGTTGGTGCTTCTGGCAGTACTTTGAGATTGTTTTGGCTCATCACTCTCCTGGTCCATTCCCTCTTTCTTTTTATCTCTTTCACGTCACCTTCAATGCTGCTGCTGATCCTCCTTCACCGCATTGTTTATCCTCTATTTAGCTGCAAGAGAGTTATTTCTTAAGGAGCCCCCATACAGCAGTTCTGGTTTCCCTTCCAAAGCAGTACTGCTACTTCTATCCTAAGGGCGATCTCATCGTCCTTCATAACAGAGCCAGCATAGTCATTTCTTGCTGAAGTTAGTCTGACTTTGATTTCTGTCACTTGTTACCAATGTTCTGACCTAAATATATTTGTCTGTATAGATTGCATTCTAGATGGGGATAGAAAGATAAGTATAGATAAGCAAGGCTTAAAAAGGAAGATTGCTGTGTCCTAGTTAATCAGCTGAGTCAGGGACAGTGCTGGGCAGAATTTTTTTGGTTGTCAGTTTTGTGGTCTTTCCACTTTCTTGAAGCCATTTTTGTGAAATTTTCTTCTCCAGCCAGCCTCAGTCTTTATTTAAAATTACTTAAGTCAGTGTCACCAGGCTTTCCCTAGGGAAACAGGCAATGGCAAAGTCCACTCTTGCACAAAACTCTTGCAACTCTAGAGTCATGCTGTGCTGAGTCTCCAAACCAGAAATCCCCTTTAACTGGACCCTGTGTCTGACTTGATACAAAGTCAGGTAAATAGCTACTCAATTGGAGAGATTCAAGAAGTTACAAGACCTTCTTGCTTTCCATCTCTCCACAAGCAGCTGAAGTTACAATACCCCTAAAGGAAACAAAAATCCAACTGTCATCTGGGGAGGAGGGAGAAAGGATGCCCAATAACTCATTATCACGTTAGCTTGAATTTGTTCATCACATTAGCTGATAAATGTATCACTCAAAGTGGACAGTAAATGGGCCACAGATTATACGCATTTTTAAAAGGCTGATGTTTGAGTAAAACGGAGTCTGGGACAAGACGACAGCCTCTTGGGGTTAGAAGGAGTCCTCAAGTTTGTCTCGTTTTCTGTTTGAGACTTTGTAATCCAGGGATGCATAATCTGGGGTATAGGCTTTAGAAGGTTCACAAACACCCTAGAATAACATGGAAGCTTTATGTGTCTGAAAAATTTTTGTTACAGTGGGTTTGCTATGGCTCGAATGTGTCTTCCAAAGTCCCCGAGTTAGAAACTTAAGCCCCAGTGTAACAGTGTTGGGAAGTGGAGTCTAATAAGAGGTGATTAGATAATGAGGGATTAATGTCACTATTGAGGTAGTGGGTTAATTATCAAGAGTGGCTTTGTTATAAAAGTGAGTTCAAGCCTTTCTGGCTCTGTCTTGTGGGTGCTCTGCTCTTTTGCTATGTGAGTCTCTCCACTATGTTATGATTCAGCAAGAAGGTCTTCACCAGATGCAGCCCCTTGACCTTGGACTTCCCAAACTTCAGAATTGTAAAAAATACATTTCTTTTCTTTCTAAGTTACCCAGTCTGTGGCATTCAGTTATAGCAATACAAAATAGACTAAGCCAGAGTTAATGGGTTTCATTAGATTTTCAAAATGCTTCTGTGACTAAAAAGGGTTAATGTCACTGAGGCCCAACCTCAACCCCTGCTTTTTATGAATTCTTATACATCAGAGCCCAGTGCAGGAAAATTCCAGTAGCAGAGAATTCCTCCCTTCCTCTCTCCTTCCCTCCCTGTCACTTTCCTCACTCCCTCTCCCTTTCCCTTTTGGATAGCAGCCAGCCTAGTGCCAGCTTCTCAAATTGGAGTATGCAGGCCCCTAAGAAAATGTGAAGGGAGATGGGAGGCTTCAGGATAAACATGGACCATTTTCCCAGAATGATACTTTTGCTTAAAGATTTTGATGAAAACTTTATTCTAGTACTTAAGAAAAATACTAATCTAAGATAATAGAGCAAGCATGTAAAACCAACATGAATTTGAGAGCCAAAACATTATACTGACTTACACTCAGCAACTCCTCTGGGCTCTGTCTATTCACCTTGATGTATCATTTCACTCTTGCTATGGGATATTTAGGGAGACTTCAGTAGAAAATTTGCAGAGGCACTGGCTTATTAAAAAAGGCACAGTTTCAGGCTGGGTGTGGTGGCTCATGCATGTAGTCCCAGCATTTTCGGAGGCCAAGGTGGGAGGATCATTTGAGGCCAGGAGTTCAAGACCAGCCTGAGTACCATAGTGAGACTCTGTCTCCATAAAATAAATAAAAATATTAGCCAGGTGTGGTGATACATGCCTGGCTACAGGGGAGGGTGAGGTGGGAGCCTGACTTGAGCCTAGGAGGTCTAAGCTGCAGTGAGCCATGATTATACCACTGCACTCCAGCCTAATTGACAGAGCAAGACTCTATCTCAAAAAAAAAAAAAAAAAAAAAAAAAAAAAAAAAAAAAAAAAAGACAGTCTGTAGAGTAGAAGAACCTAGCTCTACCTCCTGTTAGCTCTGTGTCCTTGAGAAAATAGTTTTAGCTTCTGGGAGGCATCTTTTCCTCATCTATTAAATAAGGATAATAAAACCTCCCTTACATAAGAGTTGTGGGTTTCAAGGAAATGAGGACTGAAGGGCCCTTGGCTCACAGTAGGCCTGTTCTAAATGGCACTTTCCCCTCTATTTACATGATAAGCTGTAACCTGCCTCATGGAAACTCTCTCACTGGTCTTAGTTTTGTCTTCTGGGATCTTGGGAGTAAGTATATCCAATTCCTCCCCTTGCAACCCAATCCTTCAGTCATATTTTTGAAAATGTGCTAAAATATGCATAATATAAAATTTACTGTTTTAACCATTTTAAGGTATACAATTTGGAGACATGTTGACATTCACAATGTTGTACAACCATCACCACTATCTAGTTTTAGAACCTTTCTATCACAAACAGAACACCAGTGCCCAAACAGAAGCCCCAGACTCATGAAGCCATCACTCTCCATTCCCCCTGCCCCAGCCAGTGGCAACCAATAATCTGCTTTCTGTCTCTATGGATCTGCCTTTTCTGGCTGTTTCATATAAACAGAATCATAGAATTCATGGCTTTTAGTGTATAGTTTCTGCTTTCCTCAAGCTCTCAGAAATGCAAGACCAAGAAGAGCTCAGGCTAGAGGAAGGCAGTGTGCACTAAGAGAGGCAAAGACAAGCATATTTCACCTCACAATGTAGCCCCGGCCCCCTACCCCTGTTCCTACACCTGGTAGTCAAAGTCTAGCCATGTTGCAGCAGGCCACAGGGCCTGGCACCAGCATCTGCATCATTCATCTGAACGATGAGTCTGAGGCCAGGGGCACTGCTAGATCCAAGGTCGGCTTGGGCAGCAGGTGCCTGGGAAGCGATCGTTCAGGCTGGCAGAGTCCAGCTGGATGCTGTGCGCTGTTTATCCTTGTATGGCACAACAGAGCCTCGTTACAGGAGCAGCACTTGGGCACACATTCACAGGAAAGACAAACCAGCCTGGCCTGGCCGTGGCCTTTGGAAAGACAGAGTCTGCTAATGTGTGCAGCCAGTGAGCTGCATGGGTAATTAAATCACTCCCAAGGAAAACCTTGTTTCAGCACTAAAGGTCACAGCTATGATTTGTCTGTGATTCTTTGTCAATACGTTTTTCTAACCAAGTACCACATAAAGAGTCCATTATATGGGCTTTGGTGCTGCCTGCACGCCCAGGGATGGGAACGGAAAAATCTGTGGGCTGGCCCTGTTAAACGCACCGTTTAACACGGTACAATTGCTCTCCAGCCTCAAGTCTGCCTTTTGTTTACTCAAGACCTAATTCACGTGGGGGGCTGGGAAATTAGTGTAACTAGAAGTTTAGGGTCTCATAAAAGGCTTTAACTAGTTTCACAAAGATATTCACAGATGGCTGCACAGTAAACATTGTAAAGGACCAGAGCTGGGTGAGAAGTTGAGAGAATGGAGCCCTAAATTGTGCTTGTGTTCTCTCTCACGGTTTTGAGTTGGTAACAGTGAATCACTGGGATAGGCACCAGGATTTCTTTTTTCCCCTGGGCCCTTTCCTGTCCTTTCTCACAGAGAGGACCTGGAGAAACCGCTGCATCAAACACCAGCTCAGGGCTTGAGAGTTGCAGGCACTTTCACAACCTCCTTTAGGAAGCCAGGTGTTGAGTGATGGCTCAAGCAATTGGGCCCCATCTGTGGTAGCAGGAATGCTCCAGAATCACAGGTAGCATTGACCATGGTTATCAAAACTCCGTAGAAACCAAAGAGAGTTCCTGGTGGCTCAAGGAACAGCCCAAGTAGAGAAGAGTCTCCCTCAAGCTGATGGAAACTCTAACTCAGACCCCATCTCCTCCAGGAAGCCTTAAATAATCTAGAAGCTTTATTTTTCTCTCAAGTAATGTTAAAGCAGGGCAGCTTCATGATAGTGTCAGAGACTGAGGCCCCTTTCATCCTTTTGTTCTTCTACTTTTTAGTGCATGCTTTTTGTTTTAGCTGGGACTAGGTTTGTTGCATTTAATGTAAGAAATGAAAAAAAAATCCTTTTAATTTATCTGTTATGTGAAAGAAGTCTAGAGGAAGGCAGTACAGTTTGGTGAGTCCTTGATGTCATCAGGGACCAGATTCCTTCTAGATTATTACTCTGCTCTGCCTGGAGCTCTTATTCTCAGGTCTTGGATGGCCATCTCCTCCATTAGATCTGAGTTCCAGGCAACACACAATGAAGGAAGGAGAAGGGGACATTCCAACTTTGTTAAGGAGACTTCTCAGAAGCCTCACATTCATTGGCAGAACTTAGTTCCATGGTTACACTTTACTGAGAGAGACGCTGGAAAAAGTCTTGTAGCTGGACACATTGTTGGATCCAACAATATGTGCTCTTTGCTGAGGAAGACAGTGAGAATGGATTTGGGTAGGCAACTAGCAGTTTCTATTTCAACCCTTGCAGTCTGTCCCACTAGCTTGCCAAACCTTTTTAGACATGTCTGAATCATTAGGAGTGAGCAGTAGAAGGCTTTGGCTCAAAATATGATGCTAGCTATATGTATAACGCACAGATCGTAATGCCTGGCTCAAAGAAAGTACACAAAAAATGTAGGTTTCCTTCTTCTCCTTTTCACAGTACCTGGACCAGAGGTTAATCTTCAATGCCCTGCTTTCTGGTTGATTGATTCCCCTTATTCTAAGCAAGCTTTTAAGATAACAATTCTTCCCTGAAATACCTCCTGTGTTAGAATAGTTCTGTGTGTGTGCTGCAGACTCATGAAAAGGAGGGGAATCCAGAAGAGCACCCATTGCAAACGTGTCAGGGGCCAGAGCTGGTACTGAGATTAGGAAAAAAAACCCCACAGAGTTCGCAGACAGGGAGATAAGGATGAAGGTAGCCAATGGTTGAGATCAAACTAAGGCAAAGTGGTAATTTCATTGATTTGTCCTGAAATGCGTGTAGAAGACTGAGCCCATGATTTGGAGCCAGGATACAAGATTCAAATCTTGTTCCATCATAAACTTGACCTTTGGCTTCAGTTTCCTCATTTATGCAGCAAAGAGGTTAGACTTTCTAGCAACCAGCTCATGAGGCTGGCTCTCTTGGGTCAGGGATGTTGGGGGTTTCAGGATGATCCCATATGGTTCATCTGGCAGGGCTCACTGGCAGGTTAGGAGTCCATTGAGAGGATGAGTCTGAAGGAAAATTCTGGGTGGAATTTAGGAAATGGAGCATAAAAGCTGAAAGCCAGCAAGGCAGGACAAATAGAATGTGGAGGTGGAGAAGGTCAGCCTCAGAGGAAATGGGAGAAATAAGTTTGGAAATTGAGGTAGCCAGAAATCAAAGTACTCAGGGGTCAAATCAGCTGTAAAAATGAGTTCAAGGCAGGTGATCCATCTTCCCAACGTCTGTCTTACATCTGAGCTTCTTGGACCTGGGATATGTTCTGGAAGTGGGGAAGCTGTCAGGATAGGACTACATGTTGTTTGGGTCTCCGGTGGCTCTAAAATTGCTGTGATTCTAGGTTGAATGAAGAGCAGATACAATTCTGCAAGAACACGAGCTATTTCCTGGGAGCTGGTGCCTCTTCACTTTCTAGTGCTACCTGCTGTTGTGTTGGGCCACAAGCTTCTCTGACTCCAGAATAGGAATGGGCAGTATTAATTTCAGGATATTCAAAGAAAAACAAGGTCTCTGTCAGGTTGAGATGAATGGGTTGGTCCAAACCAAAAGATTGTGGAGAGTAGCTGTGCTCCTTTAGCTTTTAGGAGGATAAACCGTGTGTTGTGTTTCTCTGGTTTGGGGAAAGAAAATGTGGAGGTGAAGAGGTAGGAATGAGCAAAGACAAAGAAACTTGCAGAACAATTTAAGTATTAGATTTTAAAATTCTAGGTAGGCAAATCTTCTTCACTGGGAAAGGAAAGACAGATGATTATATTTCCTGAGGATAGTAAGAATTTTTCAGGTACTCTCAAATAAGCAAGCAGAATCAGGTGTGAGCTTCCAAATAGTGTTTTTTCAACTTTCCTTAGGCTAGGATTTCAAAATGCTGCTCCAAATACAGAAATCACTGGGCTCTTTATCCAAATTCTCAGGAACTCTTCTGCACAGAATCCCTCCTAGTTTCTGACGCTCTGGTGTTTGATTTGATGGATGGCATGTGTAATAGGCAGGAGCAGGAGGATAAAACCAAGGACTATATTTCTCCTGCAAGAAACAAGAGCAAGCCTCTCATGTTATGGACATTTATTCTATCATGGGAGAAGATGGGAAGACAGGGCTTTTGAAGCAAACCCGGTCCAACACCCTGCTGAACTGACCTGCGCCCAGCTCGGCCTGAAGGGATTTCTTGATATGATGAGAGAAAAACTGAGAGGAGTGTGTTTTAGACAAAACGAAAGGCATTTCTGTTTGCTTCTCTCTTGTATGTCTTGTGACGCTATCAAAAAATAGAATCAGGATGTGCTTTGGCAGTTAGACATTTATATTTCCAGCTGGACTCAAATAATTTTTAGAATCTATTTACAACAAGTATAGAGTCATACTTTTTTTTCACGTTAGGAGAAAACTACCTTGTTGGCATGGTAAATAGCAAATGAGTCAAAGGACTCTGAGAAATAATATTTTGAATGTTTAGAATAACATTTTGAAGGTTAAATCATTAACACTAATGATTTGTTATATTAATTTCACCCAAACTATAGCCTAAGATACATAGGGAAGAAATATGTCAATTTTCCATCATCTGCAAGATTTTCAAAAGTAATTTGAGAAAAATATAGCAATCTACAATTCTGGCAATATTTTCTTTAACGAAGAATAGCCAGTGAGCAGGTCAAGGAATACCTTTTGTGATGCATTTTCAGATATTACAGTGTATGTTGATTATTTCCTTTAAAGTTGCAAGGAAGATACATGGATAAGTAAATGAATAAAAAATGATCTCTTTTCAAGAAGGCAAGATATATACAGAAAAATAGAACACATAGCTGCCTACAATAAATGCCAAACAAGAAGCCTCAGAACTTCTGAACAGAAGTTCTATTAAGAGCTTCACCATCTGCCTGATAACCCAGGAATGGAATTTTGGGGTCATCTTTAACTTACCCCTTTCCCTTGGACCATGATATGTGTTCCCAACTCTAGGCTTTTATTTGTGTTGATTCCTTCCCTGGAATCCCCTCTGCTCATCCTTCACATCCCTTAAGACTCAGGTCAAATGCCAACTCTTGCATGAAGACTTCCCTGATGTCCTCTGTACAAAGTAACTTCTGAAGCTTAAACCTGCTTGCAAAATTCTAGTGATCTAGAGGAGACCACATAGAAACTATCTTTTGTCTAAGCTGGAGAAAGAAACCAGAGAGGTTTTACTTTTCCCCTGCAGGATTCACAGCTGAGCTGGCTCTGCTAACCCTCTACCATAAGCATTTTTAGGGGCAGTTCATATGTTGCTCCATGCCTTGGCTGCTTAGCAGGAAGAATAAGAAGTGGTGGTTGTGCCTCTTCTCAGAAGAGTTCTGCACCTCTGAACCACATTGCAAGCAAGAGGGGTGAGGGGAGAAGGAGAGGGGGAGAGAGAGAGAGAGAGACAGAGAGACAGAGAGAGACAGAGACTGGGCTGGGGCCTCTCCTGCGTGGGAACAGGCCCAGAACCATCCTATATCTTTAGCTTCATGACAGCAACCAATGTGGTGGTGTGATATATATTTAGATATATCAACCGCTGTGTTTTTTATTCAGCTAGTTCTTGTGATTTTTTGGCCTTTTTTTATTCAGTCAGTGGCTGCCCTTGGTTTAGGGGTGCAACAGATGGGAATCTCAAAGAACAAGAAGAGTACTTGGCTTTTTGAAACTCATGACAGAAATAAGAGTTGTGAGAGGTGGAGGTAGGGGAAATTTTATTGCTCTAGGAACCTGGGCTTTGTGTGTGCCAGAAACAAGAGGCTGGCGAGAGTGAGCTGGCTTTAACTACCCATCTAGCCCAGAGAGAGTCTCCTGGGCAGGAGGCAGCAGAGTTGTAAGGAAAGCTGGGCAGTTGGATGCGGGGCCATGACTGAAGGCTCACAGCTCAGTAGGGGTCCTAGGGGAGAGCAGGTGTGTGTCTTGCTTTTCAGGTGAAGCCCAGGAAGGTGCTTCGCTTCTCAGGTCTCTTGGCTCATCCAGTTTGGCATATGGCATGTCTCTCAGCAAAGAGAACCTGAGATGGCCCCATTGACTTTCCCATAGTCCTAGGGTAGCATGGGAGAACATTCAGAAGCCCCCGTACCACCTGAGAGAAGGCCTCTAACCTATCTGAGAGAGGACCAATGGACCAGATGAGGACTCGGATGCAGTGGCCACATAGGGACCTTGACACCTCCAGGACAGATGCAAAAAGACACAGGCTACTGGCACCGTTGGCGAGGCACATCCATCTAGGTGATGCCTCTGTGGAGAAGCGGCAGTGACGGAGGACGAGACACCTTCTCCTTATCAGAGGAGCACGACATGGCTCAGTGGGGCAAAAGCTCTAGACAAAGGCATAGACAGAACATTCTGGGTTGCCTGAGTTTTTATTCTAAAAGGTCCAAGATGGAGCTTCTGTTACCAGGCGAAAAGGGGGCTTGAGATAGAAATGATATAAAAATAGAGGCACTTTATTTATTTATCTTGTTAGCACTTCACTTAAAATTCTCCCCCCCACTCAGCTTTAATTTTAGATTCAGGGGGTACATGTGCAGGTTTGTTACCTGGATATATTGCATGATAATTAGGTTTTGGGTACAGATGATCCCATCACACAGGTATGAGCATATTGCCTAGTAGTTTTCTCAACCCTTGCCCTCCTTCCTTGCTCTCCCTGTTACAGTCCCGTTTCCATTATTGCCCTTTTTACGTCCATTAGTTCCTGATGTTTAGCTCCCACTTAAAAGTGAGACCATGTGGTATTTGGTTTTCTGTTCCTGAGTTAATTTGTTTAGGATAATGGCCTTCAGTTGCATCCATATTGCTGCAAAGGACATGATTTCATTCTTTTTTATGGCTGCATAGTATCCCATGGTGTATGTATACCGTATTTTCTTTATCTAATCTGCCATTGAGGGGCACCTAGGTTGATCCATGTCTTTGTTATTGTGAATAGTGCTGCAATACAAGTGCATGTGTCTTTTTGGTAGGACAATTTGTTTTCTTTCGGGTACATAGCCAGTAATGGGATTTCTGGGTTGAATGGTAGTTCTGTTTTAAGTTCTTTGAGAAATCTCCAAATTGCTTTCCACAGTGGCTGAACTAATTTACATTCTCACCAACAGCATATAAGCATTTGTTCTCTTTTCTCTAGCTTCTCTTGTTTTTTGACTTTTTAATAATGGCCATTCTGACTGATGTGAGATGGTATCTCATTGTGGCTTTGATTTGCATTTTAAAGATACATTTATTTCCTCACCTCAGCTTGTGGCCTAAGGAATTCCTACCTGCTACACAGGTATTGTAAGATCGATCTATCGATCTATCTATCGATCTATCTATCTATCTATCTTACCTTGACTGTTATCTTACCTCCTAACTTATTAGCAGAGTAAAGAGCCCCACCTATTAGTGTAACTGTTAATAAAAATGTTCTTAAGCCTGATCAACCTTGTTAATTGTCTTTGAATGAGAACTGGACTTGGGGGTGGGGCCTCCACTAGAGGCCAGCACACACCGCAAAGCAGCAAGCTCTGCTGTCCAATTCAACATTAGCCACTTCCCTAGCGTTCCTGCAAGCCACTTAGCAAAAAAGAACATCATACGGAGTCCTAGCCAGAACTAGCCCCCTACCCTGTGTTTGCACTAAATCTTTTGATGTGGGTGTGGGGGGACTTTGCTTTTAGAGAGCTCTGGTGAAAGATTCCCCTGAACAGAGTGAATGCTTCATTGCTGAGAACTGTTTTTTACTTCTAGTGGTAAAATAAGGACTGTTTTATTCTTCTGGTGGTAGAATAAGTTGTTCTTTTCTTTCAGAGAAGCTGATGACTTCAAAGTCACTTGGCATAGTGTCCGGTTTCTTCTGTGATCTATGGGATGGCTGAGTCCACAGTGGGAGTCCAGCAGCAGTACCTTTTGCACTGAATTCCTGATTGATTCTGTTGAACTCCTATCAGGTACCAGGAGAAGTTCCTGGATTGGGGAATGGCTGGGAAGGTGCTTTATCTTTGCCTATTTCCAGGATATGTGACCACTTTAAAAGCCATCCCTTCAGCACTTGAGGACCTAATCAGCGATCTCAATTTTGCTTTTTTGATATGGTCTCTGAGTCTTAGGTGTTAAACGCAGTGAAAGCTTGGAAATGTTCTCCTGCTGTAGTGAGCCGTCAGCTGCCCTTCTATGGCAGACACGGGCCTGACACCTTCCTCAATAGTCACCTGACGTTAAAACCAGATGAAAATCCCTTGGGAGAGCTCTGCTGAGTTTAAGACCTTAGCATGGCACCTGGGGTTTTTTTAGTCTAAGTTTTCCTTGATGTCGGCTCCCACCTTGCGTCCTGTTATAGCCCATACTCTAGCTATGGAAAATGCTTGTTGTTCACGGAGCACACTAGATTGTTCCACAGCTTTGTGCCTTCGTTTGGTGAATACCTGTTCCTATTTCAACACTCACCCCTTCCCTGAGTTTTCTGAGCTTTTGGGAAACCCCCATTGTATATCCCTCATGCCTCCACTGCACCTTGTTTTATGGCCTCTTTAGCATTTTACTGGGGGAGGTTTAATCCTGTGGCTGTCACTCTTTCTAGATTGTAGGGACTTTGAAGGCAAAGACTATGTCTCAGCTAGCTCTGTGTTCCTAATGCTCGGGGTCTAATAGCCCCTCAGGAAATGTTTTTTGAGTGGATAAAATCTACTTTGATTTCTCACAAAAATCTTGTGGTACTGACAGTTTAATAATGGTGCGAGGAAGCGCTTTTACAGTAAGCAGAATGTGGTTGTGTTGAGGTGAAAGATTCCAGCTCAGGATTGGGAGGAACATGCTATCCAATCCCGACTTCAGGTCAAAAAGACCACTGAATCACAAAAATATTTCTTAAAGCGAAGAATACATCAACCAAAAGTGGGTAAGGGATTTTATTACAGTTCATCATTTATGGTCTCTTTTAACAGAGTTTATTGCCATCAGGGATTCAGCAGACCAAGACCACACATCATGTGAGGGGCTCCAAAGAAGCTCTTGAAATTAGCTCGTGGAGAAATTTTGCTTGAACAGCAGGTTCCAAGCAAACTGTGACACAGAGAAAATTTGTCTTTACCCAGCTCTTTTCCCTTCTTCTGGTTCCCCAGATCTCTCAGATTGTAATTAAGAGATTAAAAGTGTTCCATTCACCTCCTTTTAAAGACTACCAACTGCCTGAACACCTTTGATTACTAATCCACGTCACAGTATATTATAATCTACATGCTCGTGTGGTTATAGCTCTTATAAAACCCTGGGCTTCTGGAGGTCAGGCAAGTGTATCCTACTTACCCTTACATCTTTGGGCACTGTTACGGTGTTGCAATAGTCAGCACTCAATAAATGTTGAATACATACGTAAATAAAAAACATATAGATTTTCTATGTGCTTCTATGTTTTTGAAATTTCATTGAACAGAGAAGCACATATTTCCTAGAAAAGACTATACTCTGCGAGTTTTAGACCAACTGGAAGCGTAGAAAACTTAACACACATCTCAAGATTGTTCTGATTCAGTCATGCAACCAGAAGTGTTCTTGCCCTATAGTTGTGCCATACTTTATAGTTTAAAAGGCACAGGCACTACCTTTTCTCTTATTTGACATTTCTAATGAGCTTGTGAGATAAGTGTTAATCTGCAAATTTTACCCATGAGAAGATTGGTGCTCAGAGAGATTAAGTGACATCTCAGACAATGCACAGATAGCAGTATCCCAAGTCAGCACTGGAGCTTTAGTGTTTTGAGGATAACTCAGTGTTTTTTAAATTATCATTCATAGACTGCCAGCTCTGTCACCTTTGGACCTAGTGAAGTCTCTGTTGGTAATGCAATGCCATTTTGGATGCAAACTCAATTGAAATGTTTTAAAGCACGAGACTTATGTTAGTGTCCCATTATTCTAAGAATTATGCAGTAAATAACTGGAAAAATATGCCTGTATTTCAGACTTTATGCTAATAGCACACACATTGCAAAACAGAATCACTAAAATACTGTTAACTCTCTTCTGATACAGTCTATGCAAAACATACTATACACTCTAAACTTTTCACTTAAACTCAGCGTGACATAATAGCAATAGAAAAATTCAGTAAGTGAAGATACCTGCAGCCTATTCAATTTACGTATTTGCTTTATCTATAGTACTAGGCAAATAGGAAACTTTGTCATACCTATGTAGTGTTTACAAAGAAATGCTTGGCAAACTAGCAAACCAAATGTGTGTTGTGCCATAAATTTGGAAATTTGACTTTTTATAACCTTAGGCATTGTGAGATTCTCTACAGTTCTTCTAAATCCTTTTGCTTTATGGTTTTCATATATCTGAAAAGATAAATATATACAAAATTGGATATTTTCCAAGCAATGTGTCTTTCATTTGTATTTCCTGAGGAGCTCAGCTATATGCAGTAATGTACTCATATTTTAGAATGCTGACTATGGAATAAAGTACTACATTTAAATATGCAATGTCTCTACCATGATTCCCTAAAATATTTGGGTATTGTGACTGTAATTGTGACTTGTATATAATTTATTATATTCTGTCAAGTCATGCTTATAACTTCCACTTCGTATTTCTGAAATTTGAAAACATATCTTATTCTACCACTAGAATATGGGCTTCTTGAGGGCAGCATTTGTGTCATTTAAGAATGTGTTTAGCAACAAGTAGCAGAAAACTTTGGTAAGAGGTTGAAACAAATAGGGGTTGAATTATTTCATAGAATAAGAATTCCAGAGTTAGGCAGCTTCTGGGGTTGGTTGGTTGGCTTAATGATAACAGGGCGAGTTTCTTTTCTTTTCTTTTTTTTTTTTTGAGACAGAGTCTCACTCCTTCACAAAGGCTGAAGTGCAATGGCAAGATCTCGGCTCACTGCAACCTCTGCCTCCCAGGTTCAAGAGATTCATGTGGCTCAGCCTCCCGAGTAGCTGGGATTACAGGTGAGTGCCACTACACCTGGCTAATTTTTTTGTATTTTTCGTAGAGAAAGGGTTTTGCCATGTTGGCCAGGCTGGTCTCGAACTCCTCGTCTCAAGTGATCTGCCCATCTTGGCCTCCCAAAGTGCTGGGATTACAGGCATGAGCTACCATGCCCAGCCTCAGGGTGAGTTTCATTGCAATTCTCTTGGTCTTTTCCTCATGCTTGTTGCTTCATTGTTGTAAGAGGGCTGCTGTCCCTCCAGCCATTAACATTAAGGGCAGGAAAGAAGAGGAAGGGGAGCAGCAGCCATTTCTATTCCTTTTGATTCTTAAAAACCTGCTAGTAGACTTTTGACTTACCATCTCCTTACCCAGAGCCATGTACCTGGCTATTCCCCATTGAAGCGAAGCCTGGTAAAGTGGGTATTTAACTCTTCTAGCTTTTTTTTAAATTAAATTAAATTTTATTTTATTTTTATTTTATTGTTTTTATTATACTTTAAGTTCTAGGGTACATGTGCACAACGAGCAGGTTTCTTACATATGGATGCATGTGCCATGTTGGTTTGCTGCACCCATTAACTTGTTGTTTACATTAGGTATTTCTCCTAATGCTATTCCTCCCTCATCCCCCCATCCCATGACAGGCCCTGGTATGTGATGTTCCCTGCCTCATGTCCAAGTGTTCTCATTGTTCAATTCCCATTTATGAGTGAGAACATGTGGTGTTTGGTTTTCTGTCCTTGCGACAGTTTGCTCAGAATGGTGGTTTCCAGCTTCAGCCATGTCGCTACAAAGGACATGAACTCAACCTTTTTTATGGCTGCATAGTATTCCATGGTGTATATGTGCCACATTTTCTTAATCCAGTCTATCATTGTTGGACATTTGGGTTGCTTCCAAGTCTTTGCTATTGTGTATAGTGCCGCAGTAAACATACGTGTGCATGTGTGTTTATAGTAGCATGTTTTATAATCCTTTGGGTATATACCCAGTAATGGGATGGCTGGGTCAAACGGTATTTCTAGTTCTAGATCCTTGAGGAATGGCCACACTGTCTTCCACGATGGTTGAAGTAGTTTACAGTCCCACCAACAGTGTAAAAGTGTTCCTATTTCTCCAGATCCTCTCCAGCACCTGTTGTTTCCTGACTTTTTAATGATTGCCATTCTAACTGGTGTGAGATGATATCTCGTTGTGGTTTTGCTTTGCATTTCTCTGATGACCAGTGATGATGAGCATTTTGTCATATGTCTGTTGGCTGCATAAATGTCTTCTTTTGAAAAGTGTCTTTCATATCCTTTGCTCACATTTTGATGGGGTTGTTTGATTTTTTTCTTGTAAATTTGTTTAATTTCTTTGTAGATTCTGGATATTAGCCCTTTGTTAGATGGGGAGATTGCAAAAATTTTCTCCCATTCTGTAGGTTGCCTGTTCACTCCAATGGTAGTTTCTTTTGCTGTGCAGAAGCTCTTTGGTTTAATTAGATCCCATTTGTCAATTTTGGCTTTTGTTGCCATTGCTTTTGGTGTTTTAGTCATGAAGTCCTTGCCCATGCCTATGTCCTGAATGGTATTGCCTAGGTTTTCTTCTAGGGTTTTTATGGCTTTAGGTCTAACATTTAAGTCTAATCCATCTTGAATTAATTTTTGTATAAGGTGTAAGGAAGGGATCCAGTTTCAGCTTTCTATATATGGCTAGCTAGTTTTCCCAGCACCATTTATTAAATAGGGAATCCTTTCCCCATTTCTTGTTTTTGTCAGGTTTGTCAGAGATCAGATAGCTGTAGATGTGTGGTGTTATTTCTGAGGCCTGTGTTTTGTTCCATTGGTCTGTATCTCTGTTTTGGTACCAGTACCATACTGTTTTTGTTACTGTAGCCTTGTAGTGTAGTTTGAAATAAAGCAGCATGATGCCTCCAGCTTTGTTCTTTTTGCTGAGGATTGTCTTGGCAATGTGGGCTCTTTGTGGTTCCATATGAACTTTAAAGTAGTTTTTTCCAATTCTGTGAAGAAAGTCATTGGTAGCTTGACGGGGATGGCATTGAATCTATAAATTACCTTGGGCAGTATGGCCATTTTCACAATATTGATTCTTCCTATCCATGAGTATGGAATGTTCTTCCGTTTGTTTGCGTCCTCTTTTATTTTGTTGAGCAGTGGTTTGCAGTACTCCTTGAAGAGGTCCTTCACATCCCTTGTAAGTTGGATTCCTAGGTATTTTATTCTCTTTGTAGTAATTGTGAATGGGAGTTCACTCATGATTTGGCTCTCTGTTTGTCTTTTATTGGTATACAAGAATGCTTGTGATTTTTGCACGTTGATTTTGTATCCTGAGACTTTGCTGAAGTTGCTTATCAGTTTAAGGAGATTTTGGGCTGAGACGATGGGGTATTCTAAATATACAATCATGTCATCTGCAAACAGGGACAATTTGACTTCCTCTTTTCTTAATTCAATACCCTTTAGTTCTTTCTCTTGCCTGATTGCCCTGGCCAGAACTTCCAACGCTATGTTGAATAGGAGTGGTGAGAGAGGGCATCCCTGTCTTGTGCCAGTTTTCAAAGGGAATGCTTCCAGTTTTTGCCCATTCAGTATGATATTGGCTGTGGGTTTGTCATAAATAGCTCTTATTATTTTGAGATACGTTCCATCAATATCTAGTTTATTGGGAGTTTTTAGCATGAAGTGCTGTTGAATTTTGTCGAAGGCCTTTTCTGCATCTGTTGAGATAATCATGTGGTTTTTGTCATTGGTTCTGTTTATGTGATGGATTACATTTATTGATTTGTGTATGTTGAACCAGCCTTGCATCCCAGGGATGAAGCCCACTTGATCTTGGTGGATAAGCTTTTTGATGTGCTGCTAGGTTCGGTTTGCCAGTATTTTATTGACGATTTTTGCATTGATGTTCATCAGGGATATTGGTCTAAAATTCTCTTTTTTTGTTGTGTCTCTGCTAGACTTTGGTATCAGGATGATGCTGGCCTCATAAAATGAGTTAGGGAGGAGTCCCTCTTTTTCTATTGATTGGAATAGTTTCAGAAGGAATGGTACCAGCTCCTTTTTGTACCTCTGGTAGAATTTGGCTGTGAATCCTTCTGGTCCTGGACTTTTTTTAGTTGGTAGTCTATTAATTATTCCCTCAATTTCAGAGCCTGTTATTGGTCTATTCAGTGATTTAACTTCTCTCTGGTTTAGTCCTGGGAGAGTGTATGTGTCGAGGAATTTATCCATTTCTTCTAGATTTTCTAGTTTATTTGCATAGAGGTGTTTATAGTGTTCTCTGATGGTAGTTTGTATTTCTGTGGGATCAGTGGTGATATCCTGTTTATCATTTTTTATTGCATCTATTTGGTTCTTCTCTCTTTTCTTCTTTATTAGTCTTGCTAGTGGTCTATCAATTTTGTTGACCTTTTCAAAACACCAGTTCCTGGATTCATTGATTTTTTGAAGGGTTTTTTGTGTCTCCATCTCTTTCACTTCTGCTCTGATCTTAGTTATTTCTGCCTTCTGCTAGCTTTTGAATTTGTTTGCTCTTGCTTCTCTACTTCTTTTAATTATGATGTTAGGGTGTCGATTTTAGATGTTTCCTGCTTTCTCTTGTGGGCATTTAGTGCTATGAATTTCCCTCTATACACTGCTTTAAATGTGTCCCAGAGATTCTGGTACGTTGTGTCTTTGTTCTCATTGGTTTCAAAGAGCATCTTTATTTCTGCCTTCATTTCGTTATGTACCCAGTAGTCATTCAGGAGCAGGTTGTTCATTTTCCATGTAGTTGTGCGGTTTTGAGTGAGTTTCTGAATCCTGATTTCTAGTTTGATTGTACTGTGGTCTGAGAGACAGTTCTTTGTAATTTCTATTCTTTTACATTTGCTGAGGAGTGCTTTACTTCCATCTATGAGGTCAATTTTCAAATAAGTGTGATGTGGTGCTGAGAAGACTGTATATTCTGTTGATTTGGGGTGGAGAGTTCTGTAGATGTCTATTAGGTCTGCTTGGTGCAGAGCTGAGTTCAATTCCTGGATATCCTTGTTAACCTTCTGTCTCGTTGATCTGTCTAATGTTGGCAGTGGGGTGTTAAAATCTCCCATTATTATTGTGTGGGAGTCTAAGTCTCTTTTTAGGTCTCTCAGGACTGGGTTTATGAATCTCAGTCCTCCTATATTGGGTGCATATATATTTAGGATACTTAGCTCTTCTTGTTGAATTGATCCCTTTACCATTATGTAATGGCCTTCTTTGTCTCTTTTGATCTTTGTTGGTTTAAAGTTTGTTTTATCAGAGACCAGGATTGCAACCCCTGCTTTTTTTTGCTTTCCATTTGCTTGATACATCTTCCTCCATCCCTTTATTTTGAGCCTATATGTGTCTCTGCACATGAGATGGGTCTCCTGAATACAGCACACTGATGGGTCTTGATTCTTTATCCAATTTGCCAGTCTGTGTCTTTTAATTGGGGCATTTAGCTCATTTACTTTTAAGGTTAATATTGTTATGTGTCAGTCTGATCCTGTCATGATGTTAGTTGGTTATTTTGCCTGTTAGTTGATGCAGTTTCTTCCTAGTGTCAATGGTCTTTACAATTTGGCATGTTTTTGCAGTGGCTGGTACTGGTTGTTCCTTTCCGTGTTTAGTGCTTCCTTCAGGAGCTCTTGTAAGGCAGGCCTGGTGGTGACAAAATCTCTCAGCATTTGTTTGTCTGTAAAGTATTTTATTTCTCCTTCACTTATGAAGCTTAGTTTGGCTGGATATGAAATTCTGGGTTGAAAATTCTTTTCTTTAAGAATGTTGAATATTGGCCCCCACTCTCTTCTGGCTTGTAGGGTTTCTTGCCGAGAGATCTGCTGTTAGTCTGATGGGCTTTCCTTTGTGTGTAACTCGACCTTTCTCCCTGGCTGCCCTTAGCATTTTTTCCTTCATTTCAACCTTGGTGAATCTGCCAATTATGTGTCTTGGGGTTGCTCTTCTCAAGGAGTATCTTTGTGGTGTTCTCTGTATTTCCTGAATTTAAGTGTTGACCTGCCTTGCTAGGTTGGGGAAGTTCTCCTGGATAATATCCTGCAGAGTATTTTCCAACTTGGTTCCATTCTCCCTGTCACTTTCAGGTACACCAATCAAACATATATTTGGTCTCTTCACATAATCCCATATTTCTTGGAGGCTTTGTTCATTGTACTCTTTTTTCTCTAAACTTCTCTTTTCTTTTCACTTCATTTCGTTAATTTGATCTTCAATCACTGATACCATTTCTTCCACTTGATCAAATCAGCTACTGAAGCTTCTGCATGCGTCATGTAGTTCTTGTGCCATGGTTTTCAGCTCCATCAGGTCATTTGAGGTCTTCTCTCCATTGTTTATTCTAGTTAGCCATTTGTCTAATCTTTTTTCAAGGTTTTTAGCTTCCTTGCCGTGGGTTCAAACATCCTCCTTTAGCTCAGAGAAGTTTGTTATTACCGACTTTCTGAAGCCTACTTCTGTCAACTCATCAAAGACATTCTCCGTCCTGCTTTGTTCCATTGCTGGTGAGGAGCTGTGATCCTTTGGAGGAGAAGGGATGCTCTGGTTTTTAGAATTTTCAGCTTTTCTGCTCTGGTTTCTCCCCATCTTTGTGGTTTTATCTACCTTTGGTCTTTGATGATGGTGACGTACAGATGTGGTTTTGGTGTGGATGTCCTTTTGGTTGATGTTGATGCTATTCCTTTCTGTTTGTTGGTTTTCCTTGTAACAGTCAGGTCCCTCAGCTGCAGGTCTGTTGGAGTTTGCTAGAGGTCTACTCCAGACCCTCTTTGCCTGGGTATCGACAATGGAGGCTGCAGAACAGAAAATATTGCAGAACAGCAAATATTGTTGCCTGATCCTTCCTCTGGAAGCTTCATCTCAGAGGGGCACCCGGCCATATGAGGTGTCAGTCAGCCCCTACTGGGAGGTGTCTCCAAGCTAGGCTACACGGGGGTCAGGGACCCACTTGAGGAGGCGGTCTGTCCATTCTCAGAGCTCAAACACCATGCTTGGAGAACCACTGCTCTCTTCAGAGCTGTCAGACAGAGACGTTTAAGTCTGCAGAAGTTTCGGCTGCCATTTGTTCAGCTATGCCCTGCCCCCAGAGGTGGAGTCTACAGAGGCAGGCAGGCCTCCTTGAGCTGTGGTGGGCTCCACCCATTTTGATCTTCCCAGCATCTTTGTTTACCTACTCAAGCCTCAGCAATGGCGGACGCCCCTCCCTCAGCCAGGCTTGCTGCCTCGCAGTTGGATCTTGGACTAGCAGTGAGCAAGGCTCTGTGGGTGTGGGACCTGCTGAGGCAGGCATGGGATATAACCTCCTGATTTGCTGTTTGCTAAGACCATTAGAAAAGTGAAGTGTTTAGGTGGCAGTGTCCCGATTTTCCCATTACAGTTTGTCATGGCTTCCCTTGGCTAGGAAAGGGAAATCCCCCAACCCCTTGCACTGCCCATGTGAGGCGATGCCCCACCCTGCTTCAGCTTGCCCTCCGTGAGCTGCACCCAATTCTGACCAGTCCCAATGTGAGGAACCAGGTATCTCAGTTGGAAATGCAGAGATCACTCGTCTTCTGTGTTGATCACGCTGGGAGCTGCAGACTGGAGCTGCTCCTATTTGGCCACCTTCACTCTTCTAGCTTTAACAGTGGATGGTGTCAAGGTAGAAAGTGGTTGAGAGTGACTGTCGTTGGGTCAGTCAGCCAGCAGCTTACCATGGTGTCATTTTCATGTCTAAGTCTCCTGCAGTCCTGAAACAATGCCTTGAATAGCATTGTCATTTCAAATGATGAAATCCCTTTAATGTAATCCAATTTAGAGATGATTACATTGGCCTTGTAGATGGTGGGTTTTTAAGGGATAGGAACTAATGTGAGTGCCTATGACATAAGAGTAGGTGTTTTATAGACTTTGAATCATTTTATTCCTTAGAACAATCTCCATTTTACAGGTGAGCAATTGGGAGTTCTTGTGGATTAAGTAGTTTGAGGTTGTAGCTAATGAATTAAAAAGACCATTTTCAAACACTGTTCTTTCTAATGCCCAAACTCATGCTGTTTCTACTCTACCACCCTGACTACTGAATGATTCAAATTATCCTGATATGAAGATCAGTCTAGTAGACCGGTGTGTTCTTGATACTTCTTAGAATTTCAAAATTGAAAGTCTGACTCAATACTGTCAGTGACCTTCTATGATGAATTTTTTTTTCCATGATAGGCTGTGACATCATGAATTAGGTGTTCTGAAATGCAACTGCTTTCTAAAAAGGATGTCCACTTAAAGGATGTCCACTTAAGTGGGGGTTAAGTGGGGTATCTGGGGTGGGATTGGGTGAGAATTAGGGCTTATGTCACCCTCTGCTGCATCTGAGGGTAGAGAAAGCAGACCACCTTTGACTTTCCTTGTCCAAGAAACAGTAATTTGCGTAAGCCCTCTTTGTTATGCAAGCTGCAAGTAAATAAATACTCCTTGCATACCTGGCAGCTTCAATGGGGCTGCTAAGCCTGCAGAGCTGATTCTTGTGGAGAATTTGCCTGAATCAAGAGCCTTCAGAGTAGGAGGGGTTGAGACCCCAGCCCCTGCTTCCTGAGATTTTGTTAGGGAAACCCGTTGGGTAGGTCAACTGGCAGAAGACACACAGAGATACAAAAGGAACTCCTCCAAGGAAGCCTGAGGTGGTAAGCAGAGCTGATCAGCATGTGGCCCATTCAGGAGACCTCTGGCAATATGTCCAAAGCTGGATAATAAGAGCAAATATTAGGTTGGTACAAAAGTTATTATGGTTTTTGCTATTAAAAGTAATGGCAAAAACCACAATTACTTTTGCACCAACCTTAACTGAATGTAGAGTTGGTGCTCTAATATCCCACTACAGTATGCAAAGGCATCACTACATCACTAGGCATCACTATAGCATGCAAAGCTCTGATGGAACTGTCGGGACTGGTCCTCATCTGTGATATCCTGTGGCTGTGGGAAGTGATAGCAGAAATGGACTGAACTCTTCAGTTCTCTGCTTGCCTGGAGTTTGGTCAAGACAACTTCTCTGTGGATTGAGTGGGCTTGGGGGCTTTGGGGTGGAGTATGAGAATCCAAGAGGGAAACAGCCAGTTTGCAGCTTTGTAGGACCAATATAAGGCTCTGAAGTCACGTTTAGGAGAAGGAATCAACTTTATTTTATAGTGAGTAAGTAGGTTATATTCCAAAGGTCAGTGACATAAAATCACTGCTAAGCTGAGGCTCTGCTGAGTTATTTCTGGACCTTCAGGTGGACGTAATTAAAACCATTGCTAGATGATTTGATATTAAACTGTCAGGTTGGAACCGAGAGGCACAGAAAAATATTAACGGAGATATCTCTTTAATGAGAAGTGATTCCTGACGCAGATAGACAAGACAGAAACGAAGATTAGAGAAGAACAACCTGTGGATCATAGTGTGCCTGCACACATAGAGAAACTAGAGTGACTAAATTGATGGGAAACAAGGGATGTGAGAGCTGGGAGCATAGATTAAGGGGTCTAATGAGGCAATTTCTTTGCTTTTCAATAGGCAATATATTCATACATTCAAAATGCAAAAGGTTTGAAAGTGTATAATGAAAATAAGTGTCTCCATCCCTGTCCCCATCCACTCAGTTTCCTGCCTTAGAGGCAGCCAAGGTTATGAAGTCCTTATGTTGTTTTTTGAGAGATATTTTATGCATATATAAGAAGTATGTGTGTGGGTAGCCACAGTTTTTTAATACAACTGGTATTATAGTATATACAGTCTTCTGCACTTTGCTTTTTTTAAAAAAAACCTTGACAATATGACTCGGAGATAATTTCGTATTAGTATAGAGAG
Source organism: Homo sapiens (assembly GCF_000001405.40). Taxonomy (NCBI): domain Eukaryota; kingdom Metazoa; phylum Chordata; class Mammalia; order Primates; family Hominidae; genus Homo; species Homo sapiens. The sequence goes on from NC_000009.12 coordinate 7,286,054, forward strand.
ATCTTTGTTATTTCTTTCTCCTTTTTTAACACCTATTAGAATCTCATTGCTGGTTGTACCGTACTTATTTAACCAGTCCTCTCTTTATGGACATATTAGGTTGTTTCTATTATTTTGCTGTTGCAATGGTAATACAGTGATTCATCTTTTATGTACATCACATGTGTGTGTATGAAAGAGAAAGAGAGAGAGAGAGAGAGGAAGACAAAGATTCTATTGCTGGAATAAATTCCTAGACAACCACATATTCTAATATGTGAGGACTTATTTATAAAGTATTGGCCATTTGTGCTCTATAGCTACCAAACAGACCAAGAGGGCACCAGCTTTGCTTATGAGGTTCAGTTGACTCTACCATGCTCCAGTATATTGAACAATAAGAAGTGCTGGAGAGCCATGTGTGTTTCCCATTTTGCCTCTGTGAGACTTCCTAATTTTCTCTCACGGTCTTAAACATGGATAGCATTATTTTCAGATTTCAGTAAGTCATCAGCCTAAGTAGATCCCTCTGATCTTCTAAGATTGGTATATCTTATTCTCCCATAGTCTCTGCAGACAAAGAAGGTAACCGAATGTTTGGTTTTAAATGCTCCATCTCTTTCATGCAGTTGCGCTTGGTATAAGATTGTACATAGAGGCAAAGTAGAGATTTTGGTAACTAAGGGGGTTGGGCTGGCAGAGCAGATAATCAGGGCAATGAGGAGCAGAGATTGAGATTTGTTATGGTAGATCCACTTGTAGATATTTGAGAGTTGGCTGTAATTGAACTTTTATTGTTCAAAAGGAATGCAATACAACCACTGGCCTTTTAAATTTTTAATTGAGGGGATATGTTTAAAGTTTTAAATTACTAGATCTATTTTGCTTTGACTGGCCACTATATAAAACCAGACAGAGTCCATCCATAGTAGCACCTAATAGTTCTGCACCATCAATCAAAGTGTGTTTCTCCATTTTATTTCCTGCCTCTACTATTAACTTGTCATTACCAACCTGCTTGTATACTTTCACACGGTGTGTGATGGATTAAACTAGTTAGCTGGCCAGATAGATTATACAGGGTATATTAACACTTAGTGTTTTTGATGGAGCACTGCGCAAAACAAAAGCCATTCCTTACGAAAGACAATTAAGCCTGCTGCTTGCTGTGTTTTGAACTTTGTGGTTCTCTTTCTCTGAGTGGGCAGATAATAGCCATGTAATCATTTTAGTGCAGGTGCATTTAATTAGTTTCCTTCTTAAGAGGCTTCTATTAAAGCAAAATGGTCAGTCGGTTGAGTAGCTGGTTTCCTTGCATCAGGTTTTTCTCTCCCTTTCCTCCTGTGTCTATTTCTGGCAAAATGACTGAGAAACTCCTGAGACAAACTATTTCCATAAGGTCTTTGTTTCTAAGAGAGGAGCTTTTGAGATTCTGGGCAGGTAGCTCAAGAGATCTTCTCCAATTTTCAGTGTTTAGTTGACCCAAGTTCCTGATGTTTTATTTTCTGCTATTTGGAGGCCGAATCATCCCAGCCTCATGTTCAGAGAGGCCTCCCCTGGCCAGTGTCCACTGGGTACACTGTGTGCTACCCAGACACCCTGATACTCACACGGTGGGTCTGGGGCCCGGCTTGGCTCTGCCTCACCAAATAAGACAGGTGGCCTGTGGTTGGCCCCCCAACCAATCTACCCTACTGCTTAGACTCTCACCTGTGTGCACCTGCTGCTGTTGCCTGCTTAATCTGTGTAGGATGAATTTGTAAATATCCATGGAAATGCCATAAATATTCTCTAATTCTCTCAGCACTTCCACAGGAAGGACAGAGAGCATCTCTCTCTGGTTCCCTGACATCCTGTTACTGCTCCTGAGGGATTCTAATACCTCCAGTCACCTTGACCCCATGTCTTTGGTAATGTCTGGTGTCTGGGCTCAAGGCTCAGCTGTTTTCTAGTTTTCTTATTTCCCTGTTCATTCTAAACTCCTGGGGTGGCTGTTGGGGCTTGCTGGCTCATTTGGGTCTAGGAAAAACTGGGAAAGGAACAGAACAAAAGGCTGGTTTTCTGTTTCCTTATCACCCCTGTAGCATGGGGAAGCCATCCTGCTTATGGGGCTTCATGCTGTCAACCTCCTGCTGACCCTCATTGTTGGTAGGGTGCCAATTGCTTGAATGAAAGCTGACTTCAAGCAAACTCTCCTAAAGGCTGGCTTAGTCCCCATTGGCAAGCAAGATAGGGTAAAGACTGGGAGTGGGCAATGAACCCTGGGCCTTTCTTCCTGCATGCACCTTATAAGCAAGATCTGGGCTACATCTATCTCTATTCACCCATAGAATATGTAACAATACCTGGCATAAACTGCTGCTCAGCCATCACACCACATTACTGCTATTTCTGCTGATAATACTAATAAGAGTGACAACAATAACACATAATATAGGAATCAGAATGAGGCCTCTTGCCAGGATTTTAAAAATCACCAGCTGCCCTAATCCTGCCTCAGTCTCTAACATCGTCCATAACTTCCCTGAGAAGCAAAATGATAGTATCTCATACTATTGATCTTCTACCTTGTTCAGGACTTTACATACACTATTACACTATTACTAATCCCCAGCATTAACAGCCTGCCTTCACTTGTCACCAATATGTCAGGTACTCTTTTAGGTCGTATGTATCATTCAGTCCTCACCGTAATCATGTGCTCTAGGTGCTCTTATCTCCCCATCCCAGCATGTCCAAACAACCTTTTTAGATCAAAGATGTTTGATTAACAGCAGCAGCAGCAGCAGCTGTTAACATTTGTTGAATACTTACTATACACCGGGCACTGTTCAAAGCTCTTTGCTTATATTAATTCCTCTAATCATCACAAAAACTTTATGAGCTATAATGTAGGTATTATTATTCATCTTCATTTTACAGATGAGAAAAATGAGGCACACAGATAAATATTTTTGCTAACCTTAATGATAAAGCTTTCTAGCAAATGCTATAAGATAGGTATCGTTATTCCCATTTTTAGTATTAGTAACAAGAAAACCAATGATATTTTAAGAGCTGGCTGAATTTGAGCAGATTGACCTAAGAGGAAGTCAGAGTTCCTCTTTCAGAGGCAAAATTATTCTTTTGTTTAGGAAAATGCCTTCACAAGCTTGTTTGGTGTTGAAGGTATATGGGCATCACTGGAATAGAAGTTTAAACAAACACCAGGTAACTTTTCTATGGAGTAAAATAACAGGAGGTTTGGAGTGGTCCACTAGAACCTTGATATGGCAAAAGTACCTGGGAAAGAAGAAGGTAGGTACAGTAGAGAGAGAAAGAGAGAGAGAGAGGCTCAGTAACATGGTGGGAAGTTAGGGTCCCTGAAGGAATGTAGTCGGTGGTAAATTCCATGTGGACGGAATGAGCAATGAATTCCTTGGGATAGGAATGGCTGACATTCAGCGTGAAGTTGTTTTTGCATATGTTGCTCTCTGTTAACCCCAAAACTTCAATAAAAGTTTGATACTCAGAAATTAGCACTGCTGCTTTGGAGGAGTGAAGGGAGAGGACATTTATGGCTGGGGCTTTCCAAGCAGTGACCAGCAGGGAAAGGACTTAGAAACTTGGGCCAGAACTAGGAGTGAGTCCAAGTCAAGTGGCAGCAGAGAAACAAGCTGAAGTATAGACCCATTAGAGAAGTGAGTGTAATAAGAGCCCCTGCAAACTCCCTTCCCCAAATGTACCCACGGGAAGTGAACAAAATAAGGCAAAGGGGGAAAGAGGGAGCAATTAATAACTTGTGTAATCATCAATTATTTTCTAAATTTGTGCATATGTATCTTTTAGGGACTCAGCTGCAAGCAGTGGAAAGTATCGTCTCAAATGGAACTAGGCAACAAGGAAATGTATTATTTTGCATATGAAAAGGCTCAGAAGTAGGGTATTTTCAGGGTTGGTTGATTCACTGGCTCAGCCATATCATCAAGGATGCAATTTCTTTCACTTCTCTCTGCTATCTTCTGGGTTGGTTTCATTCCTAGGGTGACAGCAAGATGGCTGCAGAAACTCCAGGAGTCACATCTATATATTTCAATATACAGAAGAAATGTTTTCTATTCCAGTGAAGTATCTTTTTCAATAAAATTCCTAGAAGACTTTTTCTGTGTCTCATTGGCTAGAAACACAATCATTTCTGAACTAATCTCTTCCAAGGGGATTGGAGTTGGCCTTAGATAACCCAGGTTTATCCTCAGAGCTGGGTATGGGGTCAGCTTCTTCTGAGGCACATGGCTACGAATGGGAGAGGTAGAAACTCTGAAGATAGCCAGGATTTGGGTTGCTGGGTAGAAATTGTCAAGTGCGTACTACACAGTGGGGACAAAGGAGGAAAAAAAATGGGGAGAAATACATTTTGAGGTTTCTGACTGCATGTTTCTGTTGTTTCTAGCCCTATAAATGAAGCTGTAGCTCTCTGGCCTTACATAACTAAAAGAATCCGCTGAGGTATGGTGCTCCTACACAATGGAATACCATGCAACTGGTAAAGCAATGAAGCATAGTTCTGCATATTGGTCTAATATGATCTTCAGGATATATTTTTAAGTGATAAAATCAAGGTGCAGGGTATTGTATGTATCTGTAAAAGGAGGAAATACAAATGTAAACATAAACCATAAACTAATAAAAGTATCTCTATGCATTGTTTTGTAGAATTGACTTTAAAATCATGTAAATTGAAACAGAAAGCAATTCTTAGAAATTAAAAAAATGACGGCCGGGCGCGGTGGCTCACGCCTGTAATCCCAGCACTCTGGGAGGCCCAGGTGGGCGGATCACGAGGTCAGGAGATAGAGACCAACCTGGCTAACATAGTGAAACCCCATCTCTACTAAAAAAAAAAAAAAAATACAAAAAATTAGCTGGGGGTAGTGGCGGGCGCCTGTAGTCCCAGCTACTCGGGAGGCTGAGGCAGGAGAATGGCGTGAACTTGGGAGGCGGAGCTTGCGGTGAGCCGAGATCGCACCACTGCACTCCAGCCTGGGCGACGGAGCCAGACTCCATCTCAAAAAAAAAAAAAAAAAAAAAAAAAAAAGGAAATTAAAAAAATGACATCAACTTAATTGTGAATTATGTAGGTGGTTTAACTGTATCAAGAAGAATTATTTAGAATGACATCAAAAACTCAGTAATTTGGATTTCTCTTGTGGGATATATCTATCCTAAAGAGAAGAAGAAATGCAATGAAATTTAAATTGTTAATGTCATTAGGAACCAAGATTTTTCAACATAAGAGAAACATATACCATGGTAAAATCAAAGAAGTTAAATTAAAGCTCTGTAATTCTAAATTTGAATTGTAAATATCAGTATAAATTTTTGATATATTTTCTAATAAATATTTCCCAGCAATTTCTACTGAAAAGGCCTAGAACAGGCCATTAATAGAGCACCCAGACTGTGGTCTGTAAATACAAATACTCAGAAAATGAAACCAGAGTTTGTGGTGAAATAGTGAATTCCATGTTTGGGAGAGCAACTGTGCAAAGTAAGCCTGGAAAATCTTGTCAGATCAGAAAGCAAGGAAAACATCGAGATGGTGGAGATTGTGTTAAAAAGATTCAGAAGCTGTTTTGAAGAACTCCCACTGGTCGAAGATGGAACACTTTGAAAATCAAAAGGAATAGAACTGTGAATGGATTGATATATATATAAGATATAAATATGCATCGATTTGTAATCATATAAAAATAATTGGTCACCTTTGAAAGATCCTAGACAACGAATCCATGGTTCTGAAGAAAGGTAAATAAGAGCACAGAATCCAGTCTTTAACTTGTTGTTCCTATATGACGTGTACCTCAGAGCAAACAAATATTTGCTGAAAATTTTTCTTTATAGAAAAATCCTAGTTAATGAAAGGAGAAGGGTAGATTTAAAATTTTAACGTTTCAATTCTTTTTTTTTTTTTTGAGATGGAGTTTTGCTCTTGTCGCCCAGGCTGGAGTGCAGAGGCGTGACCTTGGCTCACTGCAACCTCCGCCTCCCAGGTTCAAGTGATTCTTCTACCTCAGCCTCCTGAGTAGCTGGGATTACAGGTGTGCGCCACCATGCCTGGCTAATTTTTGTATTTTTAGTAGAGACGGGGTTTCACCATGTTGGCCAGGCTGGTCTTGAACTCCTGACCTCAGGTGATCCAACCACCTTGGCCTTCCAAAGTGCTGGGATTACAGGCATAAGCCACCACGCCCATCCCAACATTTCAAATCTTAATGAGATAATTGATCTAAGCAATTCATAGCAATGCCTGCTAAGACCTTTAGTTGAAAAGCTGATAGGGAACTTTATAATAGATGAGCAGGCTGGTGACACCTGAACTCCTTGATCAATATTAACATCAGGCATTAGGTACCTCCTCATGTGATGTAATAGGAAGTACACAGCACCACCTATGAAGTCTTCTTGCCAAAACAACTGAAACTAAGTATAATCACCTAAGTATAATAATTCTGTTTACAGGAAATGTTGGGACATAGAAATGAAACATAATATATGGACTTTTTTTGGATTTGAATTTAAACAAGCTGACTACTTAAAAATACATAAGACAATAAGAGACAGTTGAGCACTGACTGAATATTGGATGATACTGAGGAATTATTAACTTTTTCAAATATGGTAATGGTTATATTTTTTAAAAAACTATTTTTTTTTGTAGCTACAAATGGATATGTTTATCTATGAATTAGCATAAAGTTTGAAATTTGTTTCAAAATAATGCAGTGTATGTGTGAGGGGAGTGAATGGGGTTATGGATTGACAAGTGTGAAGCTGGGTGATGGGTAATGGAGCTCTTTGGCTTATGTTTGACAGTTTCCATAATAAAGTGTTTGAAAAGAATGAGCTATGGTCAACCACCTTTCAATCAATGCAATTTTGGCTTTTGCTGCTCTGGCTGTAGGCAGGGGCCTTGATGTGAAGGCTCTGGCAGACAAGCCATGGCTGTGTAGAAGCTGCCTTGGGAGTGAGGAATTGCATGGTCAGGGCCTTTGAAATACCTGGGACCACGGTTTTCCAGGACTCTGCTGTACTTGTGTATTGATCTTCCTCTTCCCCTTCCTCTCACTCCTGCTGGTTCCTCTCAATCACCGGAGTGGTGACAGGATTCAGTGGAATGATCTAGATGAGATGAACTCTGGAGGATTTGCTCTCAGAAATGGTGGCATTGGTTGTTAGTCACATGCCTCTTCTTGCTTACACTGTGATTCTGGGACTAACCACAGACCACATGTCAAAAACCATCCTCTTGTACTGGTGCCTGAGACTTGACATCACTTCTCCATTGCCAAACATAGAGTGTTGGATCCTATTGAAAGATAAAGTCCATGTAAAAGGGATGACTCTGTAACTGATCAGTTTTCAAGTTAAGGTGCCAAGAAAAAAACTTATGCTCAGAGGGTTCTGTTACTCATTTGGGTATGACTGTTTTCATCTACTCTAGTAAAAATGTTAAATAAAGGGATGGAATAGTATTAATCGTAAAATTTTCTCCATTCAGATCTTTTCGTGCTCTTGGTGTATGCTATTGTTTATATATATTAGAATCTAAGATGATATCTGATTTAATACAGAATTATTATTGATTTTAATTTTCATATGGTAACTTTTCATGATATTCCAAGAAGAACACTATGATTTTTAGGGGGTTCTGCTACTAGGTAAAGTTTGAGAACAGAGCACTGCAGAATGACTTATATTTTAGTGTGAGTGAAGGATTTGAGGGTGAGTTTGATGAGAGGCAGAATAGCTTTATTCTAGGTGAGAACTGAAATTGGAAAAACCTCAACCCAACCCTTGTCTTGTTTAAGAATGTGTTTCCTTGACAACACCATTTAAGCACAATAACTTAAGTGAAGGTTAAATTCTTAGGAGTAACACCCAAGCAGGGAGAGATGATATTTCAGCTTAGCTTTTTCTGGGTGTTAGTGACTGAACCTGCTGGGTCATAGGCTGTAAGGTTTATTTCTTACTCTAGAGAATATACTTGTAATGACACAAGAATAGAAATTAATCAGAGTTTTTTTTTTTTTTCATTCCTTCTCATCTTTGTTTAAGTAGTTCAAGATCTTAGCCAAGGGATGGGGACAATTGCTGGCAAGAAAGGAAGCTTTCTGAATGGGTGTGAACCTTGAAACTCAGAATAAAACCGACTGGACAGGGACACCTTGAATTTAATTCACATTTTTAATCTGAAAAATTGGAGGGAAGGGCAGGAAGCATTTAGACTATCAGCAAATTAACTATTACTGTCTCCGGCCTCTCCTTCAATTTAAGGCAGCTGGGGTACGTGTAAGCTAGATGTTACCAAAGGGAATCATGGTAAGATGTGTAACTAGAAGCTTAAAGATTGTGATTTCTAATCTTCGAAGGTTGATGTCTTCTGGGATATAGAGTGTCTACAATTATGCTCTATAGATAGAATTTGTCATTTATTGCTCAAGGATGAAAACAAGTATCCAAAAATTCTTTAAGTCTGTGTTATTCTTCCTATTCTATTTGGATCAAAATCTGTATTATCACTCTCCCCCTCTCTCTCTGTCAAATCATCTTTCTTGCTATCTCACATCTCTCATTGTATGCACCAGAGTCGTGCTGTTCACCAGCCACGTGTGGCTACTGAGCACTTGGCATGTGGCTAGTCCAAACTGAGATGTAAGTATTAAATAAACAGTGGATTAGGAAGACTAAGGATGGATAAATGAATATAAAATATCTCACCAATAGTTTTAAAATGTTGACTGCATGTAGAAATGGAAATAGATATATTCAGTTAAATAAAACATTATTAAAATTAACTTCAATATTTATTGCTTTTCTAATATGATGATTAGTATGTTCAAAATTACTGTGTAGCTCACATTATATTTCTATTGGATAGAGCCACACTAGAAAATATTCGTGACATCTTTAATTTGTCCTAGAGACCAGAGGTATGAGATCAGAAGCTGGATCCCTCAGTCTGAATTGTGGTTCTCCACTTTATACATATGTGGCCTTAGACAGTTCTAAAAATCTGCATGCCTTCGTGTCCTATTCTGTAAAATGCAGAGAGAAAGAGTTGCTCTTGCATCGGGTGATTATGAGATTGCCTGAGACAGTGGCTGGTTCAGAGCAAGTTATGAGTATTACTACTTCTGATGATATTCCTACTCTGTTGCCCTAACCCAGAGCTAATCTCTTGTGTTGCTGAAAATCAGAGACTCTGTTGCAAGAAGGGGTAGGCAGCAGCCTCCCCACTCTTCCCACTATTTACTCATTTTTACTTGCAGTCAACTTCACACCCATATGCCCTTGTGTGGTCTGAATGTGTCCCCCAAAGGAATGTGTTGGAAACTTGATCCCCAGCACAGCGGTGTTGGGAAGTGGGGTCTTTTTTTTTTTTTTTTTTTCTGAGACGGGGTTTCACTCTTGCTTCCAGGCTGGAGTGCAATGGTGTGATCTCGGCTCACTGCAACCACTGCCTCAGGTTCAAGCGATTCTCTTTTTTCAGCCTCCTAAGTAGCTGGGATTACAGGTGTGTGCCATCATGCCCAGCTAATTTTTGTATTTTTAGTAGAGATGGAGTTTTGCCATATTGGCCAGGCTGGTCTCAAACTGTGGATCTCAGGTGATCCACCCACCCCGGCTTCCCAAAGTGTGGGGATTAAAGGCATGAGCCACTTCGCCTGGCTGGAAAGTGGGGTCTTTTAGGAAGTGTTTAGGTCGTGAGGGGTCTGTCCTCATAAATTAATTAATGGTCTTATTAAAAGGGTTTGTGAGAGCGGGTTCTTTCTCTCCTGTTCTGCCATGTGAAGACACAGGGTTCGTGTGTCTTCACATGGCACACCTTCCGCCTTCCACCATGTATTCACATGGCACACCTTCCACCTTCCACCATGTATTATTAGCCCTTCCGCCTTCCACCATGTAAGGACACAGTGTCTTGGCCCACACCAGATGCTGGTGCCTTGATCTTGGACTTTCCAGCATCCTGAACTGTGAGGAAATAAATTTATTTTCTTTATAAATTACCCAGTCTGTAGTCTCCTGTTATACCAGTGCAAAACAAAGATGTGCCCCTTTAACATTTGAGGACAGGGACTGCACATTCGATTCCTTCATTTCACCCACAGAGTTCTACATATGGATGATGCACAACAAATAATTGTTTATAACAAAAAAAAGGAGAACATAGCTTATCTAGGAAATACAGATTTGGTGATTTGAACAAGTTTAAAGAATATCTTTGGAAACATGCTGAGAGCCTATGACATCACCATGTAATATGTCTTTTGTTTCTCATGGCAACCTGAAAGATTATTAAATTGACTATTGACTGCTGCTTTTAAGCAATATGCAACAAGAATTTCCTTCAGAAAAAAAGCTATGCATTTTTCAAAAAGGAAGAGAATGTGTAACGTCTGAAGATCTTCATTATAAGTCATTCTTTGTTTCAAAATTATACTTGCTTGCCTTTCTGTTTCTATTAGAAATAAAAACACACTCCTTCATGCCTCAAATGAGGTAAGATAATGGTGGTAGGATATCAGTCCTAAGCCTGTCCCAGGGAAGTAAGGGGTTATAATTAGGTGGCCCATTGAGCCTCAACCCTCACTCTGAGGAAATAATCAGAAGCGGGGAACACATCTTTTTTCTTCTGAAGTGCTGGTGGAAGCTTAGCTGGAGGTACTGGTGCCACCCTTTTTTAGCTGTCCCCAAAGGTCAAATATCCTGATCCAGTTTCAGGTTGAGGCCCATCTGGATAAATGAAGACCACAAACTACAGGTGAGAGAAGCCAAGCATGTACTATCCAGTGGCTTAACTATGCATTCTGTAGGGGATCAAAAGACAGCAAACCTCCTTGGTCAATCACTGTGTATAACACCCATCTCCCTAATATTCAATCAATCTGAATGAGTGCTGTCCCAGACCGAGGTAGCCTCTCTGATTTAGCAGCTTTTAAAACTGGCTACCATAACATCCTATAGGATGTTGTTCATCCAGTATCACAGGGTCCAAGAAATCTATCCTCAGTCATTTTACTTAGAGGCAACTTACATGAAATCCACCCGAGTGAGCCATGTGGTGGAATGTGAGAATGGTCCCAACTCCAACTCAGAGAAATCTCGCTGTAAGGAATGTTCAGGAAGAAATGTAGAGATTGAATCCAAAGATTAATTAAAAGATCTCGGCCGGGTTTGGTGGCTCATGCCTGTAATCCCAGCACTTTGGGAGGCCTAGGTGGGTGGATCACGAGGTCAAGAGATCAAGACCATCCTGGCCAACATGGTGAAACCCCGTCTCTACTAAAAATACAAAAAAAAAAAAAAAAAAAAAAAAAGCTGGGCATGGTGGCGCGCGCCTGTAGTCCCAGCTACTTGGGAGGCTGAGGCAGGAGAATCACTTGAACCCGAGAGGACGAGGTTGCAGTGAGCTGAGACTGTGCCACTGTACTCCAGCCTGGTGACAGAAGGAGACTCTATCTCAAAACCAAAACAAAAACAAAACAAAAAAGATCTCATTTATTTGTAGTGTCTGTGCTATAGGATTTATGTTTCCTGAATTATGGCGCCAGTAAAAATACTCCATCCCTCTTGGCAAAGTGCAGAGAACAAATAATTTTACACAAACCTCAGAAGCCACACTGCACAAAGGAACAGGTGACCAGAGGACACTTGCTTCTGGCAATCCCTCAGACAAATTTGTAAAACAAGTAACAGTTGATTCAACAACCACAGGCTTTGGTCTTGTTTCAAACCCTTCTTCTCTGGAACTGGCCTTTTGCCTGAAGCCAGCTTTGGACCTATCCTGTACTATCCTGTCTCTACTTTCCTCTTCTGGATGAAGGAGAACATCCATTTGTTGTTCAGATAAAAAGTACTCTTGTGAGAATGAAACTAATAATGCTTCAGTGACTTTCAGAGGCTTCCTGGTTCCCACTGTATCAATTTAAACTCCTTTGTCAAGATTTCAGGATCCTCCAGTATTGTCAAACACATCTTGTTTTTCCCAGGAGTGCATGCTAAGCCTTTATTCCTTTTGTTCATCTCATCTAAAATTGCCTTCCTGCTTCTCATGTTCTGGCTGACATTTAAGGCTCCGTTTAAGTTCTATTTCCTCTGTGAAGATTTCATTGTTTCTTTTAGCTATTCTGAGGACATTTACTCAGTACCCACACAATGAAGCCACTACCCTGCCTTGTTCACTCTCACTTCTGGTGTGTAACTCATATCTCCCAGCTAGTGGTAAACCACCGCTTGACACTTCACTTTCCATGCCCAGAACTTATCTACTGCTGAGGTTACTGGGGGCTCTTTCTACAGAGAGAGGAAGAAGTTTCTGACATCGAAACTACCTCAAATGGAATGAGGTCATTTAGGATGTAATGAGTTCCTTGTCAGTGGAAGGTATCAGCTAGAGGTCACTGGAAGGGGCCTTCCCTAATGCATAGATCTTAGTTGATTTTTTATACACATTTGATGAATGAATGAATACAGGCTGTTGGGAAAGAGATTCAGATATTCAGTTGGCATGTGACAAAATTCTCAACACCAAGTTTCTATTATTCTATAAAATGGTTGCTCATTAAAGAAAAGCATTTGTCACATTCATAAAAGTCTTTTCTCATTTGGAAACAATTTCACATTTGTTACCTCACTTGATTTTAGCAAACTTGTGAGAGGTGTGAACGTTCACCATTATCTAAGTGTTACACATGAGGAAAGTGATGGAAACATAACAAGGATGTGTAGAAGGTGCATGAGGAGATGGGGGCACAACAATATCCAGGAAACAATGGTTGCCATGCTCTGGCCTTGGGCCATTTAGTGGTGGAGGGTTTGGGAGACAAGTCAGGGATAACAATGGAAAAATAAATCATAGTTAAACTTACTTATCGAGTTTGTGCTTGGATCCACTGGACTACCTATTAAACCAGGACACTATGCAGAAGCTGCTGGTTTCCTCTTCAACAAAGAAGTTAGAATTGCAATTTGGGTGAACATTTTTAACTGAGTCATAGCTGCTCTTTTATTACCTTGTGATAGGGTCCAAAAAACACTCAGAAAATTTGAAAATTCCAAACCGTGCGGCTTCAGGAAATGTATATGAAATTTATTTCTTGCTTTAGTGGAATGGTGGATATGAAGCCATCAGATAACAAGGAATGCCTTTTTTTTTTTTTTGAGACAGGGTTTTGCTCTGTAGCCTAGGCTGGAGTGCAATGATGCGATCTCAGCTCACTGCAACCTCCACCTCCTGGGTTCAAGTGATTCTTGTGCCTTAGCCTCCTGAGTTGCTGGGACAACAGGCATGTGTCACCATGTCTGGCTAATTTTTGTATTTTCAGTAGAGACGGGGTTTCACCATGTTGTCCAGGCTGGTCTTGAACTCCTGGTCCCAATTGATCTACCTGCCTCAGCCTCCCAAAGTGTTGGCATTACAGATGTGAACCATGGTGCCTGGCCAGGAATACCTATTTTAAGAGTAGAATGTGTTAAAGCGCTGAGGTAAATCATAGTAGTATTTTCCTAATGCTCTCTTGTAAACCTTGACAGTATAATATGAATTCAGCAACACAGTTATCAATCAGATACAATGTTCAAATCATTTTGCTGAACACCTGTCAAAAGCTTTGGTTATGCTCCCTGTTGAAGAGGACATCATGAAAAGACTTGGGCAGTATTGTAAGTGTGAAGTAGGAGAATGACAAATTGATCAGGGTGTATTATATGTGGCTATATTTGTTTTCTATCACTACCTAACAAATTATCACAAATGAAGCAGGTTAAAATGACTCACAGGAGTCGTCAGGACTCAGCTAAGATGTGCCCAGTGCACATCTTAGCAGGGTCCTCTGCTTAGAATTTCACAAAGCTGCAGTCAAAGTACTGGCTGGATTGAATTGCTTTCTAGATCTCAGGATTCTCTTTTAGGTTCCCTCATGTTGTTGACAGAACTCAATTCCTTGTGTTGTAGGACTGAGGCCCCTGCTGTATTGCTGGCTTTCAGCTGGGGCTGCCCTCAGCTCCTACAGCCACTCAGTTTCTTGCCTCATGGGCCTTCTCACAACATGGCAGCTTATGATTTCAAGGCCAGGAGGAGAATCTCTGACCTCCTCGGTTTCTGACTTCTAGACCCTCTTTTAAAGGACTTTCCTTATTAGGTCAGGCTTACAAAGCACAATCTCCTTTTTGGTTAACTTGAAATCAACTGATTAAGAATTTTAATTACATATATAAAAATCCCTTCCCTTTTGCCAAATAACATAACTTAATCACTGGAGTAAAATCCTACCATATTCACAGGTCACTAAAGGAAGGGGATTATACAGGGCATGCAGATCAGAAGTGGAAGTCTTCAGATCATCTTAGAATTTTTCCTATTATACTAGTGAATCAGAAGGCAAAACATCATCCTGTTAGTGATGTTTTTCCAGTACCAACTCTCCCATACCAGTTGGGTGTCCTACAATTCAATTCTGACACTATCTGAAGTGAGCATCAGATCCTACGGGTTAAGGGTGCAGACTGTTCTCATATCAGACAGCAGATGTAAGTCCCAGGGGCCGTCTGTACTTCTGTCTCATGAACCACAAATTTGAGGGTTCCTATGACCACCTCTCAGGTTCAATAATTTGCTAGAATGACTCACAGAGCTCAGGGAAGCACTGTAATTATGGTTACTGATTTGTTATATAGTATACAAATGAACAGCCAGGTGAAGAGTTACATAGGGCAACAAGGTCTGTGAGCAGAGTTGAGGGATGGGGCACAGTGCTACATGATATTTCCAGGCACGTCACCCTCCCAGCACATCCTTGTGTTCAGCAACCCGCAAATTTCCCAAATCTTGTTGTTTTAGGGTTTTTTATATGGGACTTCATTACATAACATTCAAGTGTTATGGACTGAATATTTTTGTCCCCCGCCATGTAAATTCACCTGTTGAAGCCCTAATCCTCAATTTGATAATATTTGGAGATGGGGTATTTGGGAGGTAATTAGGATTAGATCAGGTTGTGAGAGAGGGGCCTTCTTGATGAGACTAGTTGCCTTAAAAAAGGAGGAAGAAAGATCCTTCTCTCTTTGTCTGGCTCTGTGTGTGTTGTGTGTACGTGCACTGAGGAAAGGTCACATGAGGACATAGCAAGAAGGTGGACATCTGCAAGCCAGGAAGACAGCCCTTATCAGCAACCAAATTGGCCAGCACCTTGATCTGGAAGTACCTAGCCTCCTGTGAGAATAAGTTTTTGTTGCTTAAGACATCCAGTATATGGTATGTACTTGTGACAGCCAAGCCAACTAAGACAGCAGGTGCATGTAATTAAATTATTGGCCACATGATTGACCCTGATCTCCAGCCCCTGTTCACTTCTGGGGACCTCCTTGGTAGATAGGGGCTGAAAGTTTCAACCATGTAATTAGGTAGGAGAATGTGCGTAGGTTATATGCAAATACTATACCATTTTATATAAGGGACTTGAGCATCTGTGCATTTTGGTGTCTGAGGGCGGTCCTGGAATCAATCCTCCATGGATACCAAGGGAAGTCTGTATATGTGTATGTGCATATAACACACACACACACACACGCGCGCGCGCGCGCACACACACACACACACACACACACACACACACCAAGCTACAATATATATTCAACACCAAGCTACGATACATATACATATCTAACATCAGTGTGATTTCGGTGTTAATTCTCCAAACAAGGAAATGCTTAACCAGTGTCACCAAGGGGGTATCTTTTTCCTTCTTTAATACTAGACTTTCTTTTTCTGTGCATTTATGGTTATTCCTGATCTCACCTCAGTCTACCTCTGACGTGGATCCATGGTAGATCAAAAGTCTCATTTGGGAACAAGGACTGATAAAGGACTACTGGATTCTTAATCTTCCTGGATGCATTTGCACTATGTTTTGCCTGTTTGTTTGTTTGTTTTTGGAGATGGAGTCTCACTCTGTCGCCCAGGCTGGAGTGCAGTGGTGCAATCTCGGCTCACTGCAACCTCCGACTCCCGGGTTCAAGCAATTCTCCAGCCTCAGCCTCCCGAGTAGCTGGGATTACAGGTGCACACCATCACACCCAGCTAATTTTTGTATTTTTAGTAGCGACGGGGTTTCACCATGTTGGCCAGGCTTGTCTTGAACTCCTGACATTGCCCGCCTCGGCCTCCCAAAGTGCTGGGATTATAGGCGTGAGCTACTGTGCCCGGCCTGCAGTATGTTTTTAAAATTTGTATTTTATTTTTAATTTTTCTTCTTTTTTTAAATTTGTACAAATTTATGGGGCACATGTGAAGTTTTGTTACATGTATATAATATGTAGTAATCAAGTCAGGGCATTTAGGGTGTCCATCACCTGAGTACCAAATATTTTTGTTAAGTATTGTCACCTTACTCTATGAAACACTGAATTTATTCCATTTTACTGTATGTTTGTATCCTTTAATGCACTTCTCTTATCGCCTTCACTCCTCTCTACTCACCCTTCCCAGTCTCTGCTATCTTTCCACTCTCTTCCTCTATCTGATCAAATTTTTTAGCTCCCACATATGAGTGAGAACATGTGATATCTGTCTTCTTGTGCCTGGCTTATTTCACTTATGATAATAACCTCAAGTTCCAACCATGTTGCTATAAATGACATGATTTCATCCTTTAGAATGACTAACTAGTATTCCATTGTGTACATAAAGCACATTTTCTTTATTCACTCATCCATTGATGAACACGGGTTGATTCCATATCTTTGCTATTGTGAATAGTACTGTGATAAACATGGGAGGCAGGCATACCTCTGATAATGTTGATTTCTTTTCCTGTGCATAGATAACCCATTTGTACTATGTTTAAGCTTTGCAGGGGAGTCTTCATCAGCTGAGTGTCTACAGGTGTGATTTGCCCTGTCCATATTTATAATTGCACTCCTTGTCAGTGCCAAAAGTTAGACATATTCCTATCACCTGTTGCTGCTAGAGGATAGCACTGCTTTTCCTCAGTGTTATTCTAGTAGGGTTTTGCAATCTATTCTTAAGTTGAGGACAAGAAGAACAATCTTGATGAATGCACAGAAATGCCTTCAAATGTTTTCACAATTTTCCTCTGCATATGTTCTATATTGCACTCCAAAATGTATCCCTTAGCTGGAGCTGTGCTTACTTCTCCATGTCACCATTTCATTCTCATGTGTGCTCATGCTACAGCTATAAATTGCTTTAAACTGTTCCTCAGTAACTTAACACAACTTAGAACTGACACTTGAGATTATTATAATAATAATCTCAAGTTCCAACCATGTTGCTACAAATGACATGATTTCATGTCATTTGCATGCATCCAGGAAGACTATGACACTGTGGGCAGAGCAATGAGTGTCTTCTTTATTCCTAAGTGTCACCAAGCAAATAAGAAATGCCTGTGGGTGTCAGACACAGGTTCATGTAATTGTCAGGGGTAAGGAAGGAGAGGAAGAAGGGAGAGGGAAAAGACATGGGAAGGAAACATGGAAGAAGGTAGAGCAAAAGAAGAGAAAAAGAAACAAGTCCACTTTGTAGCAGAGGACACACACACACACCAAGATTACGTCAATGATGAAACCTATTTAAAATAGTTCTAAAGGTAATTTAGGTTTTTGAAGGGTTTTCTTGCAGAAGGAGCCTATACCATACCCCAAAATGGCTAACTGAAGACCAGGAACCAAGATACAGGACCAAATGGGGCAGAGAAACCAGGAGGAGTAGAGAGGTGAAGTCTCAGTGAGCCTGGAAGAATTTCCAAAGTGGAATGCAAGACAATCAGAGTGTTTTTAACCGGGGCAATTTGTTTCAGTTCCCAGAGTTAGGGGTGACAGGTCAGTACCTAGAAGCGGGTCTCCTGACCCCACTGTGGAACACACTCGTCTCTGAGGCCCAGACCCTGCAGCAGGGCAGCACATCTGATTATATGACTCTGACGAAATGTCAGAGAAATGAAAACAAATGGCTGAGCAGTCCCTGGGGGTATAAAGAGTTCAGTTATTAAGCTCCTCGACCAGAAACATCGAGATTTAGTCATCTAGGATGATTTTATTCCATTTTCTATTATGGGCTGCACCACATAAATCTGTGTTTTATTGCTGGAGTGAGATGCCAGATAATTTCGAGATTACTTTTGGCACTGTCTGAGTTAGCTCACTGCTGTGCCGACAAGTGCTTGTGGAAAATTAGCAGCAATGATATTAATCACCTTCTTTGGGGCTTCCCCCACACCAACCCTCCTAGAGCTTTGTTTTGTCCTTCTTCCAAAAAACAAGAAAACAAAAACATTTCTTCAAAAATGCAGGTATCTCAAGTGGAATTAGAGAGTGGGGTGAGGTCAGGAAAGAGAGGTAGTAGTCGTGTCTGAGACACAGGAGAGGTGGGACGTAATGAGGCATCCATTGTGTGATGCTATTGTTATGTCATATTTCTCATGCTGGAATCCTCTGTGATGAGACTGCTGGGAAATGGAAGGAAAACAAGGAAAAGCGATATTGAAGAACATAAAAGTATAGCCAGTTTCCTCCTTTGATCAGCACATTCAACTGGTGCAATACAGGGATGGAAAGGAAGGCAAGAAATGGAGGTGGATGAATGGACAGGTGGATGAATGGACGGGTGGATGGGTGAGGGATTTAGTGCACACACAACCTCACACCCGTACACGTACACATACTCATGTAGCTCTGAAAAAGGCAGTTTATTTTGGGGCCAACTGCCTTGACAATTGATGCTTTCATTCTCTGTCTCACAATGTCCCCATTAGTCATGCTAGTGCCCTCAAACACTCTCCTATCCAAAGCTGATTTCTTTTTTTTTTTTTTTTAACTTTTATTTTAGGTTTGGGAGTACATGTGCAGGTTTGTTACGTAGGTAAACTCGTGTCACAGGGGTTTGTTGTACAGATTATTTTATCACCCAGGTATTAAGCCTAGTACCCAATAGTGATTTTTCTGTTCCTCTTCCTCCTACCCTCAAGTAGACCCCAGTGTTTCTTTCCTTCTTTGTGTTTGTAAGTTCTCATCATTTAGCTCCCACTTATAAGTGAGAACATGCAGTGTTTGGTTTTCTGCTCCTGTGTTACTTTGCTAAGGATAATCGCCTCCAGCTCCACTCCTGTTCCTGCAAAAGACATGATCTTGTTCCATTTTATAAAAAAGGTGATTTCTTGAGAATCTCTGAGCTTAGGTCAGAAATTGTATTAGTTTAAGTTACTGCATTGTCTACCCAAGGAGGTTCTGCTTTTGATAGAACAGCAACTTTGTCATTTCAGCACCTATACATATTTATTGAATTAAATGTAAGTCTCACATCCAAACTTATGTAGAGAACAAAAGGGTTTGCTTCCTACTGCAGAAATTTCTGGTATTAAGCAAACTGTTTCTGGGGGGCAGTATGGATAAGCAGACAACTGGGATTTCTTGGGAAGCCAACTTAGATGTTACCAAGCATTGCCTATGAACAAGTTTGGCTCTAATTGCTATTAATATGTACACACAAATCCACATAAACAGTCCTCATTGTGGACCAAGAGCCCCTGAGAGTTCTTTTAAGCCATTATACACAAACTCTAGCCATTCACAGGCCCTCTCTCCACTACTTTTCCATTTCTTTACTTTACCTCATGCTCCCGTTATAGCTATTCTGTCCTAAACTTTCCCTCTCATTCAGCTAGATATTTCCCTTCTGCTCACTCCCTGACTCTGGATGTTCTCTACTCAACCTACCTCCCCTGCACACCCAGTATTCACCTATTCTCTTCAGTGACTCTGGACAGCATCACCTGGTTGGGCTCATCTTCTGGTCGGGCTCAGCTGATGGAGGCATCAGTAGGAGACAAGTCTATGGGAGGAGAGTGAGGAGTTGGAGTGTTCCCAGCTACTCCTTTCCTGTGCTGCTGTGGTTCTCACAGTGGCTGCGACACTTTACAACACAGTTTCTACTGGGTGGTCCCTCTTTCATGGTTTCAGCTCTTACTAGGTTTACTAACACCACTTGTTTTCCTTGCCCCATGAAGTGTATAGGGTAATGGTTCCCCACTAATGCTGGTTGTTGGGTACGTCATCATCTATTGTTGGTACTTCGAGTATTTTGCCTATTTCTAGCTAGAACCCTGATTAATACAACCATTTTCTAATCATTTCCATTGTCTTTTAAACTTCCTTCCTTTCGTTGTCAACAAATTCCTGTGTTGTTTCCCTTTCTTCTTAAACACCCTCTATCTTTTCACTTAAGCTAAAGCCATTTTCTCCACTGCAAATATCACATGCTTTGCAACTCACTTAAATGAAAGCTTCTCTTTCTCCCATGTACCCTATGTCTTGGGACTAAGTCGGGGAGTTTATGGCTGTTTTCATTGCATCATTCTGCAGCTTCTAGAACTTTAGTCTACCTTAGACATTCTGCATCCCCTTACCCTCTGATGCCACACTTCCCCTTCATAGTGACTGGTTTCCCTGCCCTGCTCAAATCACCACTCATCCCACAAGCTAAAGACATTCTTCTCGAGGATTCTAGCTCTGGCTCATGGTCTTCCCATTCACTCATCTCTTCATCCATTCTTACATGTTGTAGGAACTCAATAAATGAGAGCAAATATCATTATTCCCTTCAATCAATCCCCCAACAGTCTGATATATTTTCCATTCTTTTAATAAAAACTTCAATCTTCACCTTTGCCACCTCATTTTTTTTTTTTGCTTTCTCTTCATTCCTTTATTTCCTAAAAATCTTACTTCTTTCCATCATTCCATTGAAAGTTCTCTCTCTTTTTTTTGAGACAGAGTCTCGCTCTGTCATTCAGGCTGGAGTGCAATGGTGTGATCTTGGCTCACTGCAACTGCTGCCTCCTGGGTTCAAGTGACTCTCTTCAGTCTCCTGAGTAGCTGGGATTACAGGCACCCACCATCATGCCTGGCTAATTTTTGTATTTGTAGTAGAGATGGGGTTTCACCATGTTGGCCAGGCTGGTCTTGAAGTCCTGACCTCAGGTGATCCACCTGCCTTGGCCTCCCAAAGTGCTGGGATTATAGGCATGAGCACCCAGCCTGAAAGTTCTCTTTAAAGTTCACCGCTGAGGTGCCAGTTACTACTACATACAATGATTTCTTTTCAGTTTTATCCTACTTTTTGCTTCACTTTAATTCAACATTGCAAATATTTTTGAATGTGTTCTAGGTGCCTGGTACTGTGCCAAGTGACCTTGTGGGCCAAAACTCCTCACATAATTTTGTAATCTGTATATATTTTGTGTGTGTAGTTATTTAGAATATTTTCTATTTATTTATTTTACTGTTATTGATACATAATATTTACATATTTATGGAGAACATATGAGTGTTTTTTACTTGCATAAAATACGTAATGATAAAGTCAGAATATTTGGGGTATCTATCATCTTAAATATTTATTATTTATAGGTGTTGACATCAAGTCCTCTCTTCTAGTTACTTGGTAGTATACAAAGTTTTCTTGCTAAGTATAGTCACACTAGTCTGATATCAAACATTAAAACTTTTTTCTTCCATATAGCTGTATGTTGGTACCCATTAACCAACTTCTTTTCATCCCCCTCCCATATACACTCATCCTTCAGAATCTCTGGTATCTATCATTCTATTCTCTATGTCCATGAGATCAAATTTTTTAGCTCCCTTATATGGGTGAGAAAATGCAGTACTTGTCTTTCTGTGCCTGGCTTATTTCACTTAACACAATGATCTCCATTTCATCCATGTTGCTGCAGATGACAAGACTCAATTTTTTATGGCTGAATAGTATTCCATTGCGTATATATACCACATTTTCTTTATCTCTTTGTCTGTTGATGAACATTTAGGTTGAATTCATATCTTTGCTATTGTGAATAGTACTGCAATAAACATGGAGGTAAGGGAACCCTTTGATATACTGATAAATACCTAGTAGTAAGATTGTTCACTGCTGAGAGATCTCAGTATTGTTTTACATAGTGGTTCTGCTAATTTACATTCCCACTGACAGTGTATAAGAGTTGCCTTTTCTCTGCATCCTCATCAGCATCTGCTATATTTTTTCTTTTTAATAGTAGCCATTCTAATTATCTATATCATATCATATATCATATGTGATAGTGTATCATGATATGATTTTCATTTTCCTGATGATTAGTGGTGTTGAGCCTTTTTTCCACGTAACTGTTGGTCATTTGTATGTGTTCTTTTGGGAAAGGTCTATTTAAGTCCTTTGCTAATTTTTAAGGGGATTATTATTACTATTTTTTAATGTTGAGTTGTTTGAGTTGCTTTTATATTCTGAATATTAGCCTCCTGTTGGATGAGCAGTTTGCAAATATTCTCTTTTCCAATTTGAATGCCTTTTATTTATTTCTCTTGTCTGATTGTTCTGGCAAGGACTTCTAGTACTATGTTGAACAGGAGTAGTAAAAATGGGCATCCTTATATTGTTCTAGTTCATGGAGAAAAGGCTTTCAACTTTTCCCCATTCAGTGTATTAGCAGTGGTTTTGTCATATGCGACCTTTATTATTTTAAGACATGTTTCTTTTACGCCTCATTTTGTTGAGAATTTTTATCATCAAGGGTGTTAAATTTTGTTTTTTTGACCTTCATTATGTTGCTGTGGTGTGTTGTGGGAAGTCAGGGACCCTGAACAGAGGGACTGGCTGAAGCCATGGCAGAAGAACATAAATTGTGAGGATTTCATGGACATTTATTAGTTCCCCAAATTAATACTTTTATAATTTCTTACGCCTGTCTTTACTGCAATCTCTGAACATAAATTGTGAAGATTTCATGGACACTTATCACTTCCCCAGTAAATACTCTTGTGATTTCCTATGCCTGTCTTTACTTTAATCTCTTAATCCTGTCATCTTCGTAAGCTGAGGATGAATGTTGCCTCAGGACCCTGTGATGATTGCATTAACTGCACAAATTGTTTAAACAATATGAAATCTGGGCATCTTGTAAAAAGAACAGGATAACGGCGATGTTCAGGGAACAAGGGAGATAACCTTAAAGTCTGGCTGCCTGTGGGCCGGGTGGAACAGAGCCATATTTCTCTTCTTTCAAAAGCATATAGGAGAAGTACAGCTGAATTCTTTTTCTCAGCAAGGAACGTCCCTGAGAAAGAGAATGTGTTCCCAAGGGGAGGTCTCTGAAATGGCTGCTTTGGGAATGTCTGTCTTTTATGGTTGTAGATAAGGGATGAAATAAGCCCTGGTCTCCTGTAGCACTCCCAGGCTTATTAGGACGAGGAAATTCCTGCCTAATACATTTGGTCAGACCAGTTATCTGCTCTCAAACCCTGTCTCCTGATAAGATGTTATCAATGACAATGCGTGCCCGAAACTTCATTAGCAATTTTAATTTCACCCCGGTCCTGTGATCTTGCCCTGCCTCCATTTGCCTTGTGATATTTTATTACCTTGTGAAGCATGTGATCTCTGTGACCACACCCTATTCATACACTCTCTCCCCTTTTGAAAATCACTAATTAAAACTTGCTGGTTTTGCAGCTTGGGGGGGCATCACGGAACCAGCTGACATGTGATGTCTGCCCCGGACACCCAGCTTTAAAATTTCCCTCTTTTGTACTCTTTCCCTTTATTTCTCAGACCGGCTGACACTTAGGGAAAATAGAAAAGAACCTACGAAGAATTATCAGGGGTGGGTTCCAGAGCAATCCAGTGATTGCTCTGGCAAGGACTTGTAGTACTATGTTGAATAGAAGTGGTAAAAATGGGCATCCTTATATCGTTCTAGTTCTTGGAGAAAAGGCTTTCAACTTTTCCCCATTCTGTATATTAGCTGTGGTTTTGTCATATGCGACCTTTATTATTTTGAGTTATGTTTCTTCTACACCTCATTTTGTTGAGAATTTTTATCATCAAGGGTGTTAAATTTTTGTTTTTTGCCCTTCATTATGTTGCTGTGGTGTATCTTGTTTATTGATGTATATATGTTGAACTATGCTTGCATCCCTGCTACAAATCCCACTTGATCATTGTGTATTATCTTTTTGGGGTGCTGTTGGATTCAGTTTGATAGTATTTTGTTGAGAATTTTTGCATCTATGTTCATCAGGGATATTGGCCTGTAGTTTCATTTTTTTGTTGTATCCTTGTCCAGTTTTGGTATCAGGGTAATGTTGGCCTCATAGAATGAGTTAGGGAGAATTCTGTTCTCTTCAACTTTTTGGAATAGTTTGAGGAGGATAGGTATTAGTTGTTGTATTAGTCCGTTCTCACACTGCTAATAAAGACATAACAAAGACTATGTAATTTATAAAGGGAAAAGGTTTAATTGGCTCACAGTTCTGCATGGCTAGGGAGGCTTCAGGAAACTTACAATCATGGTGGCAGGGGAAGCAAACATGCCCTTCTTCACATTGTAGCAGGAAGGAGAACAATGAGTGCCCAGTGAAGGGGGAAGCCCGTTATGAAACCATCAGATCTCATAAGAACGAACTCACTATCACGAGAACAGGTTCAGGGAAACTGCCTCCATGATTCAATTATCTCCACCTGGTCCCTTCCATGACACATGGGGATTATGGGAACTACAATTCAGATGAGATTTGAGTCCAGGGACACAGCTAAACCAGATCAGTTATCCTTTATACATTTGGCTGAATTCAGCAGTGAATCCATCTTGTCCTGAGCTTTTCTTTGTTGGGAGGTATTTTATTACTGATTCAATGTTGCTGCTTGTTTTTAGTCTATTCAGGTTTTCGGTTTCTTCCTCATGCAATCTTGGTAGGTTGTATTTGTGTAGGAATTTATCAATTTCCTCTAGGTTTTCCAGTTTGTTAGCATATAGTTGTTCATAAGAGCCTCTGATGATCCTTTGCATTTCTGTGGTATCAGTTGTTTATTGGGTCTTCTTTTCTTGGTTAGTCTAGCTAGAGGTTTATCAATTTTGCTTATCTTTGTGAAGAACAAACTTTTTATTTAATTGATCCTTTATATTTTTATCAGTCTCTATTTCATTTACGTTTGCTCTGATCTTTATTGTTTCTTTTCTTCTGCTGATTTTCCATTGATTTGTTCTTAGTTTTCTGGTTTCTTGAGGTACATCATTAGATTGTTTATTTGAAATATTTCTCTTTTTTTGATGTAGGCATTTATTGCTATAAACTTCCCCCTTAGCACTGCTTTTGCTTTATCTCACAGTTTTTGATATGTTGTATTTCCATTTTCATTTGTTTCCAGACATTTAATTTCTTCATTGACCCATTGGTCCTTCAGAAGCATGTTGTTCAATTTGTATGTTTTTATAATTTCCAGTGTTCCTCTTAGTTTCAATTTCTAGTTTTATTGTGGTCTAAGAAGACACATGATATAATTTTGATTTTCAAAAATTTGTTGAGACTTGCTTTGTGGCCTAACATATGGTCTATTTTGGAAAATGCTTCATGTACTGTTGAGAAAAATGTGTATTTTGCCAATGTTGGATAAAATGTTCTGTAAATGTCTATTAGGTCCATTTGCTGTAAGGTCCAATTTAAATCTAATGTTTCTTTGTTGATTTTCTGTCTAGATTATCTGTCTAATGCTGAGAGTGGGGTGTTGAAGTCCAGATATTATTGCACTGGAGTCTCTCTCTCTCTTTAGATCTAGTTAATATTTGCTTTATCAATCTGGGTGCTCTGGTGTTGGATGCATATATATTTAGAATTGTTATGGCTGGGCATGGTGACTCACTTCTGTAATCCCAGCACTTTGGGAGGCTGAGGCAGGCAGATCACTTGAGGTCAGGAGTTCAAGACCAGCCTGGCCAACATGGCAAAACCCCATGTCTACTAAAAAATAAAAAAATTAGCTGGGCATTGTGGTGCACACTTGTAGTCCCAGCTACTCAGGAGGCTGAGGCATGAGAATCACTTGAACCTAGGAGGTGGAGGTTGCAGTGAGCTAAGATTGCCCACTATATTCCAGCCTGTTATTTTTTTTGAACTCCTGGCCCCCCCGCCAACAAAAAAAAAAGAATTGTTATATCCTCTTGCTGAAATGATCCCTTTATCCTTATATAATAACTTTCTTTGTCCTTTTTTATACTGTTTTTGATTCAAAGTTTGTTTTATCTAATATAAGTAAAGCTACTTCTGCTCATTACTGGTTTTCATTTGTGTGGAATATCTTTTTCCATTCTTTTACTTTTAGTCTGTATGTGTCTTTACAGGTAAATTTTCTTTCTTGTAGGTAGCATATAGTTGGGTTGTGTGTTTTTTTTTTTTTAATTCATTCAGCTAGTCTATATCTTCTAAGTGGAGAATTTAATTCATTTGCATTCAAGGTTATTATTCCTATGTGAGGTTTTGTTCTTGTCATATTGTTTATTGGTTTCTGGTTGTTCTGTATATCATTTATTCCTTTCATTTTCTTTTATTTTTTGCCTTTGTGGTTTAGTGGTTTTCTATAGTGGTACCATTTGGATCTTTTCATCATTTGTGTTTTTGCTTTAACAGTGAGTTTTAGACTTTAATGTGTTTTCACGATGGTAACTCTTGTCCTTTCTCTGCCAGGTTCAGTACTCTCTTGAGCATTTCTTCCCTGGTCTAGTGCTAATCAATTCTCTCAAC
Source organism: Homo sapiens (assembly GCF_000001405.40). Classification (NCBI taxonomy): domain Eukaryota; kingdom Metazoa; phylum Chordata; class Mammalia; order Primates; family Hominidae; genus Homo; species Homo sapiens. Next base: position 7,312,664 of record NC_000009.12, read on the forward strand.
CTTTGTTTGTTTGAAAATACTTTATTTCTTCTTCATTTATGAAAGATTATTTTGCTGGTTATAGTATCCTTGGGTGGCAGTTTGTTTTCTTTCAGTACTTTGAATATGTAATTCTATTATCTCCTGGCTTATATAGTTTCTGCTGAGAATTCTGCTGTTAGTCTGATGGGGGTTTCTTTATAGGTGACTAGGTGCTTTTCTCTTGCTGTTTTTTTTTTCTCTCTCTCTCCTCTTTTCATTTCCCTATTGTCCCACTAGAGGATCTTGCTGTTTTTAGAATTCTCTTTTTCTTTGATTTTAGACAGTTTGACTATAATGTGCCACAGAGAAGAACTTTTTGCATTTTATCTGTTTGGGAATCACTGGGCCTTTTGTGTCTGGATGTTTAAATCTCTTGATAAACTTGGGAAGTTTTCATCTATTATTTTATTAAAAAGGCTATTGAACTCTTCTTTGGTCTCTTTGCTGTCTGGAGAAGTGATAATTTATTTATTTGGTTACTTTATGGTGAACCATGTATCACAAAGGCTTTATTCATTCTTTTTAATTCTTATTTATTTATTTATTTATTTATTTACTGAGATGGAGTTTCACTCCTGTTGCCCAGGCTGGAGTGCAATGGTGCAATCTCAGCTCACCACAACCTTCACCTCCTGGGTTCAAGCGATTCTCCTGCCTTAATCTCCCCAGTAGTTGGGATGAGAGGCATGTGCCACCATGCCTGGCTAATTTTGTATTTTTAGTAGAGACAGGGTTTCTCCATGTTTGTCAGGCTGGTCTTGAACTTCTGACCTCAGGTGGTCCACCCGCCTTGGCATCCCAAAGTGCTGGGATTACAGGTGTGAGCCACTGCCCCCAGCCCCCTTTTCTTTATTTTTGTCTGAATGAGTTATTTTAAAACACCTGTCTTCAAGTTTTGACATTCTTCAGCTTGATCTAGTCAATTGTTGAAGCTTTCAAATGTGTTTTGTATTTCATTCAATGAATTCTTCAGCTCCAATATTTCTGTTTGACTCTCTTTGATGATATTTCTTTAGTACATTTCTCATTCATATCCTGAATTATTTTTGTGATTTCTTTGTGTCACTTTTCAGAATTCTCCTGTATCTCACTGAGCTGTTTGGGTATCTAAATTTTGAGTTCTTTTCTGGGACTCCATGAATTTATTTTTGATTAGGATCTGTTGCTAGAGAATTATTGTGTTCCTTTGGAGGTGTCATATTTCCTTGCTTTTTCATGATTGTTGTGTCTTTACATTGCTATTTGTGTATCTGGTGCATTAGTCACTTCTTCCATTTTTTGGAATTTGCTTGTGTAGGGGATGATTTTTCTTGAAGATGTATCAATGATGTTGGTTGGGTGTGTGCAATAGTGTAGTCTCTGTATGATTTTTTTGATTATAAATAATATTGGTGGTATTTCCTCAGTGGCTTAGGGTGTGGTTATTAGTAGAGGCTGTGATGAAGTTTTCCTGGGGACTGGGATGACAGGCGGGCCAGTCTTCAGGCTTCAGTGGTGGCAGCAGAGGGCTGAGCATGCCAGTTCTTGGGCCCCAGGGTGGCGTATGCTGGCAATGGTGTTAGTGGGTCCAGGTGGGCCAATCTTAGGCATCCAGTGGCTTGCTCAGCTGCCAGTAGTGGCAGCGGTAGGCTGGTCATGTGGGTGCATTATTGGGCCCCTGGATAATTGGCGTGGTGTGGGTGATGTCAGTAACAGTGACAAGATGATCCTCTGGGTCCCAAGAGGTGCATGCTGGTGTTGGTGGTGGCTTCAATGGGCTGAGCAGGATGGTCCCCAGGCTCCTGGGTGGTGCATGTGGGTGGGTGAGTATTGTCAGTGTCATTGGCAGCATATTGGGTGGGCCCATCTTCACCCTGGAGGGAGTACACAGATGCCAGAGGTGGTAGAATGTGTGGAGTGTTCTCCAGGTCCTCAGGCAGTATGCTTGGGTTCTAGGGTTGGGGGGTGCCAGGCCGGGCAGGTCTGACCTCAGGTTCCTGGTGGTCTACAGGGGTGTCCTCAGCACTGTGCAGAGAAGAGAAGGGACTCTGCCCTCTGCACACAAATCTGAGCACAGAGGCCACACTACCACCACTCGTAGCCTTATATAGGCAGCCCTCCAGCTTGCCCACCCTAGCCCCGAATGGTAGCAACGGCAGCTGCAGCTGCAGCAGTGTGTAGAGTGGGGAAAGGGCTCCTAGTCTTTTTGTACAAGTCTAAGCACAGAGTGCACTTTGCCAGTGGGGGCTAGGGACTCACCTGCCTGAGCTCCTTGTGGCAGTAACTGCCATGGCAGTGTGTGGAAGAGGGCAATGGAGTCTACTCTCCAATTATGAGCCCGAGCACAGAGTCCATGTTGCTGCTGGGAAAAGACTGCTTTTCACCGCCTGACAGGGAGCTCTTGGGGTCTGGAAAGCACATGCTGTGGTTTCCCTTGCCAAGGGGCTGCCTCCTTGGTTTGTTGCACTGTTCTTTCCCTAGAGAGTAGTACTTCTTGTGGGACCCTGCAGAACCTTTGGGTCCAGCCCGCACTGTGCTGTTGTAGCCTTCCAAGTGGACACTGGAAGATGTCAATCAGGGCTCTAGAAATGTGGAGATATGGGGTCTGTGGTTTCCAGGGAAGGATGCTGTCTGGTGACAGTTACGCTCTCCCAGTGGTGCTGTGCTGCAGCTGCTTGGGTCTTGGGGTTGTGAGTGATCCAGCCAGCACAAGTCATCTGTCTGCTAGAGGGCCCTTGGGCCTCTAGACTACCTGCCCGTGCTAGTGCCAGGGTTTGTGTGGATAGAGGAGCTCTCTCTTGGTCAGGATTGCAGCAGATTGTAGTGGGAATGTGACTGCTGAACATCTCTCTCTTACACTTTTTCCACAATAAGAGTTGCTCTGTGTCCCTACCAAGCTAGCCAAGCTAGCTGCTTACCTATTTCTCCTTCTGTGCCTCAGGTGTTTCCTGTGACTTCTCTGTTGAACTCCAGTGTTCACTCCTAGGTGTTCTATTTGAGGTGTGATTATCTATTCACAATTTTGGTTCTTTCTGGAGAGGGTGAGTGTTCAATGTCTGTAGTCAGCCATCTTGAAGCTAATCTATAATTTAACAAAATCTTCCCTTCTCTGCTAGTGCTCACTAATCTTTACATAGTCCCAATTTTGCTTTTTCCTCCTAAATTATCTCCTCAAGGCTTTGCCTTGCCCTGTTAGCCTCTGTGTTTGGGCAGCTGTCTCTATTCACTTGGTTTCAAATGTCATCTGTTAACAACTTCCAAATTTATGTATCAAGCTCTGCTCTTACTCAAGCAGGATTAGATGTTGCAATTCAGCCCTGGGTGAGATAAAGGGAGTGCAGCAAAGTATAGCTAATTCTTGCCGTTGCTTACCTGGGTTTGTTGGCGGCAGGTTGCTGAGATATGTGGAGGGAACAGGCCTAAGCTTTTTCTATGTTCGAATGCTCTCTGTGCCCTAAATATGCTTGATTTGGTCTGACCAAATGAAATAAGTTTGGGGTGGCAAAGAATTGGAATAGAGGGTAGGAAAAAATCAGTTCGGTGCAGTGAGTCACATGAGCCTGGGAATCAGAATGCTTAGATGCAAGTCCTGACTGTACCAGACACTCACTGTGTGCTCTTGCTCAAACTTGGTGAATAGCTCTCTGTCTCTGGTTCCTTATATGTAAAAGGGAATAAAAATAGAATCTTTTCCCTAGAGTCACCATGAGAACTAAATGAGATAATGCATGTAAAATGCTGAGGCCTGCACATAGTAAGGACTCACTAAATCTTCGCTATCTCAAGCCCTTTGGCTTGTTTTTCTCCCAAAATAGAGAAGAATGCCTTTTCCAAGAAGTCTATGACAGAAAGCAAAAGGCATTAATGTGGAAAGCTCTGTCTTTTGTGAAGCAAAATGCTAAGCCCAGGTCTGGGGCTTTGTGGCCGGGATTCATTTATTGCTCATTATGAATAGGTTGATGAGAAGTAGGTGGGTAAAAAATGAGGGAAAAGCTTTATGATGAAGTTTATCCTGTTTTCTGGGCCTGGCTCTAGGAAAGCTGATTAAATGAGGTTGGGGCTGAACAGGGCTGCCCTACTTAAGGCTTTTGTCAGCACTTTCTTTGTAAATTCTAATTTCCAGGACCTAGAAATGGCTGTGTTGAAAATATTCTCTGAGGACTTGAGGTTGGTGTGGAATATCTTTATCAGGCACCAAATAATCCTGTCAAGTTTCAAAAGAGGAACAGAGAGAGAAAGAAAAAAAATGTTGGAAAGAGAATGAAAAATGCAGACAGGGAAAGAGAAACAAAGGAAGCAGAGAGGTGGAAAGGTTAAAGGAAAAGAGAAAAAGAGAAAAAAATTATTTTTAGGGTATCTTAGAAACTCCCCTGAAAATGGCACCTCTATCTCAGGCTTTTCTCCTTGCCCAGGCCCTCTGCTCTTATAATTAACTAGAAAGAGCTCTGCCACAGAGCTTCCTGCTGTCTGTCTGTTCCTATGGCGAGGTCCCTGCTCCCACAGGCTGACATACTCTCAGCCGCCTGCCCTTCTTCCTGTCAGTGTGTTTACTCAGCTCCTTTTCCATCAAACACTATACCAACCCGATCTCTGACTTCTTTCAAATTTTAGGCCAATGTTGGTTCCGTAAAAGGATCTTTGATGCTCTTCTTGGAGGCTACTGAGTGGGCTCAGAACTAAAGATGAGGCTTGGGCCAGAAACTACAAAGGAAAGTGAGGCCACAGTTAGTTCTATCTGAATACCAACCCCAGTAATTCCAGATTGTTAGGTTCCCTTAGCATGAGGACTCCCAATCCCTGTGGCAGAGGCTGTGGTGATGACTTGAGAGGGTTCAAGGTTGGGTTTGCCATGTCAGGGCAGGCATGTACAAAAGAGTTGTGGGTGGCCATGCCTCCACCTCTAGGAAAGGTGGAGGTTCTTACCATGCACTAAAGGGAGTCACTGCTGTCTGGCTCCCCTGCTCTGAGAACTGTGGATACAACTGTTTGTAATATATAGGGCCATATTTGGGCGCTCCCTTATTGCTTTCAATTCTTGATCTATTCCCTCAACACTGGAAGTAATACCTGTGAAAAGGCAGCCTGAAGACTGAGTGCATGTGACTAATTTTCTCTCCCTTCTCAAACCCCATGAAAACAATTATAGAGGAATAAAATATATATAAACCCATAAGCATAGAGAGAAGAGCAAAGGAGACAACTGCTAATGAAAACTTTCTATATATTTTAGGAAGATGGAATGTGGAGAGGGTGGCTGACTGAACAAGGTAGGGACAGTAACAACCTGAGTGTCCTCAGATGGGGGGAGCTTCAGTCAGTGCTGCAGAACTCCAGAACGTCCCAGGACCTGGAGGGAGGGATGAAGTGCAGAGTTGAAACCAGGGGCATTGAGTCTGAGAGCAGAGTGCCTGCAGACTTCCCAGTACTCTTCTCCCCTCACCCAGCCAGGCCATCACCGCACTGGCCATGAGGTACAGAGAGGCAGGGTGTTAGCGATAAAACACAAAGCTGAAAATGGGAAAGATTTAATAAAAATATACACATTGAATAGAACACCATTACCCTCTCACCCCCGCCTGCCCTTTCTTACAGAGCTTGTAGAAATCTTATGTATAGGCATAAGAGTAGATCCAGCAGTGGATTGGATAATTCTTCTCTGGAAGAAATTGGGGTTATACCAAATAAAAGAGCCAGTTTTTAAGATGTTCACCCAGTATTAAGAATCACAAATTGACAAGTCTAATATACATACACAGTATATCCAATCAACTTTTAATAATTTGTTTCTAAATCTAAATGACCAAGCAAGAAATACAAGATATTTGAAGAACTCTTCCAGTATATAGTAAAGGAACCAAAACAAAAAACAGGATCTATCCACCCTCCAAGAAAAAGAGGCAATGCAGAGAGGAAAAAAAAAAGAAAATTTGCATAATCATATTTTAAGAGAGATGAGGAAAATATCACAGTCTGGGTTCTCAGCCTTTAAAGCTGGTATCAAGGGACTCATGCGCAATGTCAACTTATCAGAATCTTGGAAGGAAGAGTAGTGATTGATGAGCACCTGCCTCTAACCCCTAACCTTTGGCCCTCAGGCTTAGGTATGCTCTAGAAAGCCAGATCAAAATATTAGCTTTATTAATGGGGGCCCCTTAGTTGCCAAAGGCCAGGGTAAAGGCAGGTCAGAGAATGCAATGGGGACCTACTGCTAAGGTGGAATCTGGAGAAATGCTTCCACTTGTGGGTGAGCTGGCTCTGCTGAGCAGACTGATCTGTTCCTACAGTTGATGCAGGGAGAACCACTGCTCTCCTCCCAATGTCTGCTGCTGGCAGTGTCAAGAGCTGCAGGGAAGGTAGAAAGGCTGTGGAGGACTTTCATGCACCAGATAGTGAGCTTGCCACTTCTAGAAAACCAAGAAGGAACCCTGGAAATCCTTACTGCAGCATGCAGGGGGCAGTGTAGACAGAGGAAATGGAGATGATACCTCACTTTTGTTTCTTCCCCACACCAGTGTGTGGCTTGACGGATTGGGCTCTGCAATCGCTGGTAACTCTTTTGAGGGGAGGTATGAAAGAAGGGAGGAGAAAGAAACCATAAAGTTTTTTTTTGTCTCTTACTAACTTCCATAGACAGGGACATATAAACAGAATCTATGTAGATCTACAGAGGGTGGAATAAGTGCCCCTAAACAAGAACTGTGGGGTGTTATTCCTCTCTCATCAACATATAATTACATGTGAAGGAAATTCTATGACCAATCATTGATAGAAGAGGATGCTGGGAAGAGGATGCTGTGGACATTTTGACCCAAACAATCTGGGTGAGGAGGCTAACTCCTGGTCTCTTAACAGCAGGTGACATCATTTAGGGTAATGTCAGCATTAACAGAATAAATTACCAGAGGTAGGAATTAGTGTGAATTTTAGAGTCAGAAAAACCCATTTCAATTTAAGCTCTTCCAACGTTAATAGCTTTGCGACTATGAGGAGTTCTGTGATGTCTATGGGCCTTAGTTTCCCCACGTGTAAATTGTTACTTGGAATTATTGCAAAATTTAATGGGAATTCATTCACCCCATTTATTCGACAAGTGTTATTTAAGCGTTGGATTTTTTGGCACCTATCATGTGTCAGGTGCTATGCTATGGATGTAATTAAAGAACTTGGCACTATGCAGAAGTTAACAAATGGCAGTTTCTCCTTCAGAGTATTTTAGCTCTTTTAATATTCAATAGTCCTAGTCAGGGCCGCATGAATTCAGAGTCTCAGCATAGGGGAATAGGGTTGGCTCTTTGGAAAGCAGGAGAAAGTCACTGTAGATCGTCACTCACTCTCTGACTTGCATTAAGAATGTTCTGGCAATATTTCTATCCTTCAGACCTGTCTACGTTTATTTAATTGTTCTGAACTCTGAAGCCTTCTATCAAGCAACAACCATTTCTGCCCAGCTTGCCCAGTCCTGGCACCTCTAACCAGGGCGTATATCCATCTTGGAGACACCATTTACAGTGGCAAGAGGCCCTTCAGTGTCGTGGCCTTTGCACTGTGGACCACTGGAGTTGAGGTCACCTCTTTTCCTCAGAGCAGAAATGGTCTGATGAGGTGCTCTGAGTCATGGGTTCTGCAGCTGTCTGCTTAGGACTTGACAGAACGCAGCTGAGTAAGGATGACTCGCCACTTAACGGACATTAATTACTGCTCACAGCATCCCTGTAGGTCAGAGGACAGTAGGATTCTGACGTCAGATCTGACATGCTGTGGCTGGTGGTAGGCTGGCACTTAAATTCGATTAGGGTTGTGGTAGTTTAGCACAGCCAGAGGGACCCAGATGGAAAGTCTTGCCAAACTTCCAGGACATTCACAGTTACTTTTTTTTTCAGTGACATTTACATCATGAACTTTGGTCTTTGTTTCCCCCATCCCAACTTTGTACTCCATTCCCACTCCACACCAATTTAAACATGTACTGCTGAGAGGTGCAGAGTCTAGTTTCTGAGCTCTGCCTTCTTTGATGGAATTAAAACCAGTACTTCTAGAGAGTGTGGGTTTATCTGAAGTCTTCACTTACCAAATCCCTGTATTGTAGCTTTGTGATGCTACTAAGTGTAGAGCAGATTAAAAAGCAAGAATAATTAATAGCATTACAAATTGGAGAAGCAAATGGCAGTCTTCTTAATGCTAACCTCTGGTTCCTGCAATAAAGCGGAAATTTGTAGGAGCTCCTACGCAGTGCATCATTTTCAAACATCATCTCTGAAGCACTCGTTCGTTCCATTTTAGCCTACGTGGCATATGGAAGGTGTCAGCTGTGAATATTTATCGGGATTAAAATGCACTCTTAAGAGGTGAATGCTGAGGGGAAGCATCTTGTGATATTAATAGAGCACATATATGTCATCCAGAAGATGGCTGATGGGCTGGACCTCTCTCTCTACAGTAGCTGGGTAATGATTCCTTCCGGAGGTGGTGCAGAACAATGTGGATTGGAATAGCCCTGCATCATCTTCAGCTGTTTGGACTTTAGACAGTTGAATTCAAGTGCAGGTTGGGGAAAAGTTATCTGGCAGAGAAAATAAGAGGCAGGTTTTCCCTCTTGTTAAGTGAGGAGTTTAACATTGAGAAGAGAACCTTCAGTTTTGACATTGCCAGTAAGAAATGCATGGCCTCTCTCCATTTAGGTGGTAAACCCATCAAGATAAAAGAGCGCTTGTCTCAAAAAGAAGGCTGTAGAGGTGAACACATTCAAGTCAAAGGAAGGGTTTTCGTTTTTTACTTCATAAATGCATGAAGGTGGCATTTATGCGGGTGTCTTGGTCTTTTGAGTTTAAAACAGTTGAAAGGGCCACAATGTACACGCTTATCAACAGCTAAAGCATATTGAGTATTAATTCCTATTTAACTCACTGTTGTTCACTTTGGAGATTTTCCTTTAAAAATAGTCCAAAGTTTCAGAGCAAAAATCTTACTTTTTTACCTTTTTGTTAAGATATAATTTAATACTGTTAAACCTACCCTAGTGTACAGTTCTGTGAGTTTTGATAAACGTGTACAGTCATAGAAGTAACACCCAACCAAAATATACAACAGTCCCATCCTCACCCTCCAAATGTGTGTGTCCCTTTGTATTCAATTTCTCAGTCACTGAAAACCACTGATCTGTTTTCTGTGTCTGTGGTTTTGCCTTTTCCAGAATGTCCTATAAATGGAATCATATGTAGCCTTTTGGGTCTGGCTGCTTTCACTTAACATATTGCATTTGACATTCATCTATGTTGTTGTATGTATCAGCCATTTTGTTTCTTTTTTGCTGCTAAGTATTCTATAGATGCACTAAAGTTTGTTTATTCAATTCTTATTAGGGAGATGTTTGGATTGTTTCCAGTTTTTGGCAATTATATGTAAAGTCACCTCTGTACAGGTTTTCAAGTGACCATAGTTTTCATTTCACTTGGGTCAATAACAAGTAGGAGGCCAAGCTGTGTGGTAAGTACATGCTTCACCTTCTAAGAAACTGCTGCACTGTTTTCCAAAGTAAGTTTACATTTTTAAATTTTCACCAAAAATGGATGAGATTTTCAGTACTCCACATTCTTGACAGCACTTAATATTATCGATTTTAATTTAATCATTATTATAGATGTTTATTGGTATATCATCATTGTTTTAATATGCATTTCTGTAATGACTGTTGAGGTTGAGTGTCTTTGCGTTATTTGCCATTTGATGGAGTTTCTGTACATCTTTTACCCATTTGAAAGCAAATTGTTCATTTGATGGAAAAGTGGTGTTTTGTTTTGTTTTAATTTTTTTTGGTTAGGTTGATGTTGTCAACTGTTATCTATACTCTCCTCTACCCCACAAAGCCTTTAGCCACCTAAAAGATATTGAGATCAACATTTAGTGTGAATAGAGCCACATTTTCTGTAAGTCAGACAGCAGAAAACTATATATGGAGCATTTTTCTGAATGTCTTTGGAAATAAAAAATAACTACTTCCATTCCCCTTGGAGGAGCCTACCCCATCCAGTAACATGGGGTCATTAAGCGAAGTTCTTCTTTATAGGAGAAGAAAAACCATAGGCGCTTCTTTAAGAGGGTAACTTGTTTTTCCTAGAGCTCTAAGACACCAGAGGATTATAGAATTCTGGTTTTTAAAACAGCCTGAGGATTCCCTCAGGGCAAATATTGATTATTTGTAACTTGAAATTTTAAATCATGCTTCAAGTGTCACTTTAAAGTATAAGAAATCGATGTACCTGTAAAATTGACATAGTTACTTTAGATATGATACAAATAGAAGCCACAGCAACCTTCACTATTTACCAGATTGAAGAAAAAAATAAGTAAGACCTTGCAATATTTTACTGTTTTAGTGGAATATACTTGTAGTGAACTTCTGTTAGGAATTTTTTTTTGCAGCTCCCGGTGTTTCCTTTCTTGAGGACCACCTTTCTTTTCCATGCCATTTTGCATCTTCCACTGGGATGGGCCCTCAGCAGCCATGTTTGTAGTACCTCATCCCACCCCTTGGCCAGAGGTGATGTGACGAGAGGTAGGCACCTGATTCATTCTGGGCCAATGAGATGCCCTTGACTGATGCCGAATCTGACATGATGCAAATTTGGGAGTCATATTTCTTGCCATGTAGACATGGAATTAGAGAAACTGAGTCTACAGAAAGAACAAGCAAATAAATAAATAAAAATAAGGCTGATTCTTGGAAAGACCAAGATGACAGACGCAGAAAGGCCACTACCTAGTTAAACTCACTTTCCTAGATGGCCCAGGCCTCAGTTTCTGCCCCTTTACTATACTTTTCTATGCTTGAAAACCATGAGAAGTTCAATGTGCTTCCATTTAATTCTCCCTTAGATTAAAGGCAGATTAAGTTGGTTTATAATATTACAATAAGAGAGTCTCAGGCTGGGTGTGGTGGCTCATGCCTGTAATCCCAGTACTTTGGGAGGCTGAGATAGGAGGATCACTTGAGCCCAGGAGTTCAAGATCAGCCTGGCTAACATAATGGGACCTTGTCGCTACAAAAAGTAAAAAAATTAGCCAGGTATGGTGGCACACGCCTGTAGTCTCAACTACTCAGGAGGCTGAGGTGGGAGGATCGCTGGACCCCATGACTTCAAGGCTGTAGAGAGCCATGATTGCACCACTGTACTCCAGCCCAAGTGACAGAGCAAGACCCTGTCTCAAAAAAAAAAAAAAAAAAAGAAAAGAGAGAGAGAGAGAAAGTCTCAACTGAGATAGCATTGGATGATCTTGGTTAGGAAACCCATCTGAGTTGGCATCCTGAAAGAATTCCAAGTGGCAGTTGTTGTAAATATTGAGCTTTATAATGCCAGGTGAATAACTGGAATTGAGGGTGGAGACAGTCAATCTGAAGATAGGTTTCAAGGAAGAAATGGAATTACTTCTTTGTTTTGAGCTCTAGTCAGATTCCTAGAGTCTTAGATTGGGAATGAATCTTAGAGGTTATATAGTTCATTTTGTTGAACTTTTCACACAGGGTGGAAGGCTTCTCTCTTAAATTCAGACAGTTAGCCCATCTGGCCTCTGATTATGTCAGCTGGTTTAATTCAGGCTCTACACAGGCCTAGGAAGACAAATGTTATTTTCTGTTTTAAATTTCACATTTTTCCCCACACATCTTCTTCCAAATATTTCAAGACAGTTGTTGCTCTTGGGATTCCTCCTTCTCATTCACTTTTGGGGCCATCCATAGTTAACGAAGATATTTTTGCCAGCAGCATTCCAATTTGGATTCAGAAATACTAATAAAATTTGCTTTTGGTTTCCTGTTGTCTGTTGATGAGTCATGCTCACAAACTGCCTCACTTCATATCTTTTTCAGTGCATTGTAGTCCACTGAGTGTTTGGGGCAAGGACATTTTCGACAATACCGAAAGACTTACCTCACACAGGTGCTGCTTGCATCAAAAGAGTCAGCCCTGCTAGCTGGGAGCCCACAAAGATTTTTGGTGGAGAGAAGAAAAAGTAGCATCTAGGTACCTGTACCTAATAGGTGATCAACCTATTGGGTGAAATGAGTGAATTACTTGTGATCAAGTCATAGCTGTTTTATGTAGAAAGGGTTTGTTTGTACCATTTTCCCAAACTAGAAAGAAAGTAGCCTGGAAGTTTGTAATTGTATTTCCCTCCCCTCACTTCAGAACAACAGCAAATGTACTGTCTACAAGAGAGGTGCCATTTTGCAGCTAGTTTTTAAGTGTCACAGACCAGCTGGAATTGGAAGTTCTTGGAACTTTAGAGGTGTTGGGCTGTGTCAGACTGATAAATTATGTAAAACCTCTTTCCCTGAGTATTATTAATCATCCTCAAGCAAATGAAGACGTGCTAATTAATTTGTGGTGGTTTTCACCTGCAAATGCCAAAGGAACTAAACCAAATTAAATCTTCTATTCTCTTTAAGACCAGCACCCTGTTAAATACCCTATGACTTATCTAATTCCATTTGAAAGATGTGATTCTTTGCAGACTTAGTTTACCTGTGGTTTCAAAATCTTAAAGACTTTTTCTTGAATGTGTACCCCAAGGTTTTGCACTTAGGGACTTGGAAAATGAATGGAGGGAATTCATTGCTATGGTTTATAGAGGACCCAGCATATACAAGATTCTGTATTAGATAGTTTACCTATGCTCTCTCATGGGTAGGTATTACCAAAGCCTATAGGAAGTAGGAATTATCATTCTAGTTGTATTAAGAAGGAAACAGTCTCAGAGACTTTATATAAATTTCCCAGGCCACAAAGTTTATTAATATGGAGCTAAGATGCAAATCCAGGGCTGTCCAACCTCACAGTTCATGCTCTTTCCAGTATACCATGCTCCCCCCAAGGAGACAATCTATTGTGTGTGTGAAATCTCACCAGCCAGACACCAAAGCACCATGCATTGTAGGCTTTGCATGGTATTTTAAGAATTAGGATTCCTCATTTAATTTCCTCCATTGGAGAAAAGTCTCAAAGAAAATAATTTTAGAGTCTTCTAATGATTTTCACAAGAACAGCATCATGCATGATACTACTTCATTCTCACCCTCAACTACATGTGTACTTGGCTATTTCTGAGCCAGGTCATTTATCTTTGGTAACAATTAAAATATTATCGCTCAGATGAGAGATGTCTTTCCACTCATGGCTATGGATCTTCCTTGTGAGCCATGTTTAATGTGCCTCTGAAAGCAAGTGGTCTCTGAACATCCAAGAAGGACTCTGGGGAGACTGAGAGAAAGTAGTAGACTCCCATTGGCCACAGATGGTTTGCAAAATATGGAGCCGGGCATCTTACATCCCTGTCTAGATCAATGTTCCAGAGTCTCTTCCTTATCACTGTGACTGTAAAAATTAAATTGAAGGCTCACTTGTGGGAAGTTCATTGCCATTACTAGCATTTTTCTTGGCAATTACTTGGTATACCCACAGAGGTAAGAATGCTGGCGAAAGTTCCACAAGACTGTTTAGATGTCAGAGTGGAGTCCTCTAATGTATTTCCTGACAGCAAGCCCCATCCAGATGAATGTGCTTGGCCAACATCCAGAGCTGGGCACACTCCAGGGAAGAACCTATGAAGTAGGATTCTGGCCAAGGTGTCTTGGGTCTTTTTGTGGGGGTTTGGAGCTTCCTTTTCTTCATTCATGTTTGGCTTGTTACCAGCCCTCTTTCAAGGACTCAAAGGCACTGAACTGTTAGAGGAGGAAACCCTATGGAACAGTTTGCTGAAGACAAAGATTATGTAAACGGATGTGCATTCGGCCCTCTTTTAGGAAAATGTATAATTATCTTCACTGTTACTTCTTTTGTGTATTTCATTCTCTCCCAGTTATAGAAATACTTGTGGTCTCAATAAAGATTTCAGATTTGGGCATCTCTCTTCTTCACCATTTCAAGTAACAGACATCCCTGTTTTGTCAAAGAGCTAGTGAGATGTACAAGAGCATGTACTTCTGAATATTGTGTCTGTCACTAACTGTCACGTAGGGCAAGTCACATTCTCTCTAAGCCACATTTTCCTTTCTCACCTGTCAAATGGGATGATCATGCCTGCCTCACAAGGCTGTCCTGAATGAAAATTCAATGTGAATGGAATTAGCACAGAGTCTGGCTTATGGAAGATGCTCAAAAACATTTGATTGCTAAAATGAAGACCATTGCATTTTATTTTTGAAAGTCCCCAGAGCCCTCCCTTATCACACACAACATGCTACACATGCACAATATTTCTGTGTTTTTTTTCCAGGCAAACATTTCCATATTATGTGTTATTGCTTGCAAGTTGCAGTCAGCATTAAGTCAAATTTTCCTCACATTTCTTTTCCTGCCCTGTCCTCCTCCATAGTATAGAACAAGAGAAATGTGAATTAGAATTGCATTGTGTATTGCTAATTCTTCCCTGACTCCTAGTAGAACCTCCTTTCACATGTGCACACACAGACACACACCCTTTCCATTTTGTTACCCTCCGTCTTCCTTTTCAGATGTCCTCAGTGTACATGTTTTCCATTGTTAGACATGCTTCTTCTGGAATCAGAAATAGTAAAAGTGTCCACTTGGATACAGCACAGTAATGTGCATGTTGGGTGGCATTGGCAAACCCTTATGCAAAATGAGAAAAATGCTCCCACCTTTATAGGGAGGTCAAATGAGAAAATGGGAGAGCTGTTGTGGGAGGAGCTGCTTTCCTCAGGAAGAAAGAAGGGAGAATAGGTGGCAATGGGTGAGTCTTTATTTTCCTTGAGACTGAATTGAGGATGTCAACTGTCTTAGAAAGAAAATCGAAGCAAATCCCTTTGTTCCATTGCCCTTCATAGGGAAAACATACTAAATTGGTCCTCTCTTTGCTAGGCTCTTCCAAAGGTTTATATCCTTGCTGAAATAATCTCTTTGGGAATCACTTCTAAATTTCATGACCTTGTTCACTCTTTCTTATTAGCCATTCTTACATCAGTTCTACCCTCTCCTAGTGCTAAAGCATCTGGTAAAGCCAACTAAATTTCTTGTGGATTAGTGTGGTGCTTACCCAACAACATGGGTGTGGTAGACAGCCTCCAGGATGGCCCCAAAGACCCCAGCCTCATGATATGCACACACTTGAGTAGTTCTCCTCCACAGTGTGCTGTGGTTTGTGTAACCAACAGAATATGGGAGAAGTGATGGTATGTCATTTTTAAGATTACAAAAAGATGCTGCATCTTCTATTTTGACCACATCTCTCTTGGATCACTTGCTTTAAGGGAAGCCTGCTGCCATGTCTTGAGGACCCTCCAACAGCTCTGTGGAGAAGCCCACATGGTGAGAAACTGAGGCCTTCATGCAACAGCCATGTGAAAAAGTCTTCATGGAAGTGGGTCTTCCAGCCCAATCAGATCTTCAGATGACTGCAGCCCCAGCTGACAGTTTCACAGGAAACTAATGAGAGACCCTGAACCAGAGCCACCTGGGTAAGTCAATTCCAGATTCCTGACTCTCAGAAACAGTGGGAAAGTAAGTGTTTATTGTTTGAAATCCTGTCAAAAACTGAGAAGGATCTGAGATTTTACCCTCCTTGCACACTAACAAATTTTTGTTTTCTACTCAAGACAGTTTTATGAATATCAGTAGAAGTCATGACTCCTGAGTCAGAGAAAAAAGACTTGTATTATTTACAGCACAGCAGTCAGCATGAGCTCATGTTTACATTGGTTTCTCTTGCCCCTAAACCCTAAACCCTAAAAGGGTGATGTGAGGGTGGGCACAGGTGGATGCTATACACACAGTGGGTTTGCCTCACAACTGAAGACCCTCATCTTAGGAAATCCCAATCTTCTATAAAAGTACTTCAAGAAAATCTGCTCAAACATTGTCCTGGCAGGAGACATTAACTTTATGATACTGGATGGCAAACAAATCTGGCCTCTGTCCCAAAGGGATACACTATCTCTATCTTCCAACATTGTTTGCTGTGTAAATATTCTGGAAAAGAGTCTGGGCCAAAAGCTGTCAGTGTCTCTGCTCACAACACACACAAGGCATTGAATGGAGACTTGTCTGCTGGCAGCCACTGAGTTTCAGAATGATTTTCTGTGCAGCAATAGATAAGTAATCCAATGGGAGGCCTGTATCTAGGCCTCACCTGTCAAAGTCACTGTACTGAGGGCATGTGTAGTAGAGTTGTATCTATTGACAGAGAGTGAGTGCAAGGGTTTTAGACTTAAGAAATAAGTGAAGGGACAAGTAGGTCCTCTGGTTTTAGAAGATGATAAAGAGGGAGAAAAGGAAAAAGCAACAGAGGGAAGGAGCCAAAAGGTGGAATTTACTAGAAATGACAAGTGTAGCTTTCTCTCGTAGCAAATATTTTTACCTAGAGAATAGATTTGTAAAATGAAAGAATTCACTACTTAGTATCTTGCTGTGTTTAAAAGCCTCTTCTCATCTTCACTAGCAAGTTGTCCTATGACAGGGTGGGGGTGTTGCTAGTGGATATTTTTCACATTTTTTGGTCCCTAGTGAAGGAAAATGAGGTGCAGTTAATTTTGAGCCAATCCGTAGAGAACCCAACTTGATAATTCTATTTAAAAGGCACATCAAATAAAGCACTTAAAAGATGATTTTTGTTTACATGCTTTATTCTGTGAAAATGAGGAATCAAAGACCTCTTGGGTTTTCTGCTGTCAGAAAAATATCTTCTATTCTCGTCGTGAAATCAATTGAGGGGGTAAAGAATTAAGAATGATTTTCATTTGAAATGATACTTGGTCTTATGTTTCATTTGATTTTAGAAATATTTGAACAGCCTTCCCTTAATGAAGTCATTTTTAGACACCCAGAACGAGTATAATTGACAGTTAAAAAGTAAAACCAAAAGTGTGAATGAGCTTCCATCAGCCCATAAGAAAAAGAGGACCTAAGATGCTTGATAGACGACATTACTTCAGGTTTCACTCATCTGGCATCTGTTGATAGGACAGGGCTCAGGGATACTTTATTAGTTTTCCAGTATGTAATGCCATAGCTGGTTATTGACATTTGCAGGAGCATCTCTCAGTAACAGCACCCAGGGCAAGCTATAGCCTTGATTATAGCTTGGGGAATTTAAAAGCAGGTTAAATGTGAGCGCTCTAATTTCTCTCCTAATTTCTTAAATGGGAATACTTATCTCAATGTTATTGTGAGGTTTAAATGTGCTAAAGTAGATAAAGAGTGTAGCAATGTGCATGGCGTATAATAAATGCTCAATAAGTGAAAACTTTTATTATTATTTTTATTTTTATTATTTTGAGACAGGGTCTTGCTCTATCACCCAGGCTGCAGTGCAGTGACACCACCATAGTTCACTGCACAAGGCTTGTATTGTTAATCCTCAAAGATATTAGGCATGCTCTTTCTTGGGCTACATTATGTCATTTCAAATGCAGTAGAGTTCCATTAGATGACATCTGGCTCTATCATGTTCTATTTTATTGTATTACAGGTCAATTTGTAGTTCTTATTTATACTATGTTAGCTATGTGCCTCTCTTTCCTGATGTATGGAAAAGTCTCTGAATAAATGCTGGCTCTTGGTCTTGTCATTTGATATAGCAAAATAATAAATACCACCCAATGACCAAACTTAGCAAAGCCTGGTTATTTTCAAAGCATATTGATTTCAACTTTTTCTTAAGCAGAAAGGCTGTTTATGGAAAATTTCCCTAGAGGTGGAATTCCTAACAGGTTCAAACTATTTTTTGTTTAAAAACCAGGAACCTGGTCCAAAAGGAGGCCAGGACTATGAGTTGTCCTGCAGGTGTGAGTAGAGATGTTGTGCCCACACTTTTTGCCCTTCTGGAAGGATCTTTTTATGGGGCCCCTGGTGGTGTAGTCAGTGGGCATTATCACATGTAGCATTCCCAGGGGTTGTCACCGACTGGAGAAAATCACCTTGCAGTTCAGACAACAAAAAGGTCTTTCCTATCCAAGGGGCCTCACAGTATGCTTGAGAAGGGACTGAGGTTATGGCAGATGCTTCCAGAGCCCAGCCACATCTGCTGGGCACCCACCATTCCTGTGCCTGCCTATCCTATGGCTTCTATCTGCAAGGACCTGTGACTCTTTGCTTAGAGTTTCCTCTGGCTGTGGAAGATCTCTCAGCCCAAGGGCAGGACAGGTTGGAAGTAAGGCTAAGTACAGAGGAAGTATAGCCCTTGGGACCGAGGGACTTGATGGGTAAACACCAAGCCCCCTTGCTCTCCAGGTGGGAAAAATCCAAGGTGTGTTCTACACTGCTTTCCTGTATTCCCTCAGATGATTGAGCCCCCATTTGCCCATAGTGGTATCATGCTTCATAATATTCTCTTGACTGGCTTCTTTCCCTTTCCTCTCTTAGTTCTCTACTTCCTTAATGGTGCTTCTTGGGATATCTCCCAAACAAACTACTGCAACTCGTATCCTTGTTTCAGAGTCTGCTTTGGAGGAAGCCAATCTACAACAAAGGATATGCTCCCATTGCCTCCCTTATCCCATCAGCTCTGCAGGTTCCTCAGATTCCCTCCTCTGTGTACCTGTCTCCTGTTCTTCATAGGAACGAGGGAAAGAAAGAGGGACTTGACATTCTGACTAACACTATATGGGTGATTTTAAATCCTTCATCTCATTTCAATACTACGATGTAGTATTTCCATTTTACAAATGAGAAAACTGAGACCGGAGGACTAAATATCTAGATTGAGGTAATGCAGCGTCTAGATGGAAGAGATAGGTCTTGATTTCAGGTTTTCTGACTTTGTTCTAAAATATTCTCATTCTAGTTTATCTCTGAAGGCGTGAACAGATCAGAGGAGGAATAAAGTTTATCTCCTTATTGTGCTATAAATTTTTAAAAGGCACATCAATCACATCATATTACTCCAAAGGTTTCATATAACAAGTAGAATAAGATTCCAGCTCTATCCTATGGCCTGCTCTGCCCTACATGATCTGTCTCCTGCTTAAATCTTTGATCTCACCTTCTAGCCCTTCCCCTTCTCTCACTCTGTTCTGTGCATACACCAAGCTTATTCCACTTCATGGTCAGCCTTTGTCCTTGCTGTTCCCCTGCATGGAATGCTCTTCTTCAGATCCTTTGCAGGCTACCTCCTTGTCATCATTCCAGTCTCAGTGCAAATGTGACTTCCTCAGAGGAAGTCCCTGAACATTCTAACTAAACTATCTGTCTTTGCTCCTCTCTCCCTGCCTGGCCCCAGGCATTTCTCATCCAGGTGTTCTTTTTTATTATTATTATTATATTCAATGCGCTTATTTGTTTCTGGTTTGTTCTCTCACCCCAGCCTCATATAAGCTGATTGAAGGCAGGGACTTTGCTTGTTTCATTCATTACTCTTTTCCCAGGGCCTAGAATAGTGCCTGGTGCATAGTTTTTGTCAAATGTATACCTGTATAAATGAAAGTGAGGCAGTAGAGAAGAAAAATTGTAGGCATGTATCTGATAGGACCTTAAAACATATTTGGTGTATAACTAAGATTTATTTACCCAACTCTTTGTAATCAGCAGAATTAATATAACTTGAAAGCAAATGCATCTTGCTGACATTTTGGAATCTATGTGCATGCATTAATACCAATCAAATTAAGTGTGTGTTTCACAGCCTGCCATTTGGATGAGAGATGCTGGAAAGGGAGAAGGTGGACAGCTTCTTAGCCTCTTTTTTTTCTGGCATTTTTAACGACATTCTGGTAAACTGGGCTCCGGGTTTGATTAAAGATTGTTTGGGGTATGGAGAAAGAGTATGGAGACAATCTTAACAATCATTTACATTTTGGACTTCACTCAAAAAACAAAAATGTCATTGTTAAAAGGCTTACAGCTTAAGTCCTCTGAAATCTAGTTTTGGCTTTTTTATCTCTTTTATTTTGATATTTGTATTTTTGTCCAATGGTTTTTTTTTAGGGGAAGTGAGAGATAGAAAGGGACATGCCTGTGCTGCCATATTTGTTTTAATAAAATTCCCTGATTTTCCTCATTACAAAAGTTACCTATATTCCTTAGAACATTTGGAAAGTAAAACAAAGAAGATAATAAAAATTATTGTGTCTATTTCTTAACAACTGCTAATATTTTATGCATTTCATTCCAGTTGTTTTTCTATGATTATGAATATCTACATGTGGTATAGTTCTTCAATTCTAAGGTACTATCTGTTATAAAATGGGATATTGGTTTATTTATCACTTTCCCTCCCCTCCCCTCTCCTCCCCTCCTTGTCCTTTCCTTTCCTTTCCTTTCCTTTCCTTTCCTTTCCTTTCCTTTCCTTTCCTTTCCTTTCCTTTCCTTTCCTTTCCTTTCCTTTCCTTTCCTTTCCTTTCTTTCCTCTCTCTCTCTTTCACAGGATCTCACTTTCACCCAGGCTGGAGTGGAGTGGTGCAATCCTGGCTCACTGCTGCCTTGACTTCCTGGGATCAAGTAATCCTCCTGCCTCAGTCCCCTAAGTAGCTGGGACTTCAGGCATGCACTACTATGCCCAGCTAATTTTTATATTTTTTGTAGAGATGGGGTTTTGCCATGTTGCCCAGGCTGTTCTCGAACTCATGGAGTCAAGCGATCTGCCTCGGCCTCCCAAAATTCTGGGATTACATGCATGAGCCACTGTGCCTAGCCTATTTATTACATTTCAAGAAAAACAAAGTTAAAAGTATATTTCTTTTTTTCCTAAAAAAATGGCATTTGTGTACCATTTTCTTTGCATAACACTTGAGAATGAGTTTCCTTCTCATCATGAGTTTAAAGTTTCTTCTGAATCACTTTGGGCCAGTCTTAATTCTGCATATCATCTCTGTTTTGTGCTGCTCCTATAATGTGTGCTTCAAATCTTGATCTCTTTGACATCTGTATCTATATAGCCTAATGTCAAAGTATAGTAAACAATGCAGTTGACCCTTGAACAACACAAGTTTGAACTGCATGGGGCAACTTATATGTGGATTTTTTTCAGTACAAATTACACCAAGAGTGCCTGCCTCTCCTGCCTCCCCTTCCACCTCCTTTACGTCTTCTACCTCTGCCACCCCGAGACAGTAACCCCCACATTGTTCAAGAGTCAACTGTAATGGGATTTTATCCACATTCCCTATTTTGTTAAACTCATAATTTTTTCTTCTATTGAATTACACATCACAGGCCTCTCTTCAAATTTAGCCAGAAGCTTTTACTCATGGATTTTCAGTGCCTAAATAATAGTCCTTCATAATGCATGAATCAGTCACATCAAACTCTCCAAGCTTTTAAGATTTCATGATATATTTGGAGAGACTGGGCACCGTTCCCATATGCATTGCAAGAAATGATAAGTATGTCACAACTTAATCTATTTGGCAGCTTGCAAGTTCTTTTTGATATAAATTATTAAATGCATCCTAATTTTAAAAAAATCAAGAGGTAAAAAAATGCATCATAGAATCAAAGATATATGGTATATGTGTAACAATGCAAATGCTTTTTATTTCAGCATTTTTTTTTCAACTCTGCATGCTTTTCATCCTGCACGCTAGAGTTGCATGGATGTCAAAGATAAATCTGTAACAAAGCCACACCCTCAGACCTTCTGAAGGGGCCTAGGAACTAATATTTATATAAAAAATAAGACCAAAAAACTTCTCAAATTCCAATGAGCAGGCTGATTTGAGGACCACCATTTTAATAATTGGTATACTAGATTACGCTTACAGTGGGAATTGACTTTGGGAAATACCTAGTTCAGCAGCCTAGGATAGAAGGCAGGATTTAGAGAGAACTGTTGTCCAGGAATCTCAGCTACAAAAGGGAATGTCTAGTGGCTTTGCATAGGAAAATGAGAGAATTTATTTTATTGCTCTAATGGAGGAGAGGTAGAGAAGAAAGAGAGGATGAGGAAAGATGTGCTCATGAAATATGAAACCGAGTGACTTAATGTGCAAATGGGCCACGGGAAGTTTTCCTGTGGTGAGGTAGCTAACATAATTTTTGAAAATGATAATGTTCAGTTTGTAATGATTTGCACATTGTCGTATGAAGTTTTCCTGCATCTTTCTTCCAAATGCTTGATTCTATTATACTCCTGAATTCTTTATGTAATTATTTTCTTGGTAGAAATTGAATAGTGAGGTTTGGGCTAAGAAATAAAAACCTAAAGAAATTGAGGAGGGAGCTGAGCTAACACTCTAAAATCTGAAATGATGCAGGACCAAAAAGAGGATTGTGGAGCTGAGATGACCGTGAATATATCATCCCTCAGGAAATCTTAGAAAGAGGTTTGCTTTGTCATAAGGCATGGAATTAGTAGCTTAAGCAAATTTAGTTCAACATGTAAATCCAGGGAATCTTCACTTGACATGCCATTCAACACACAAAAACATACTCCTATATTTTTGTATTCATATTTTAAAATAAATTGGGATCATACTTTGTATCCAGTTTTGTATACTAATTCCTTCACTTAGTATAATGCCACGAACATTTCCCTATATCGTTAATTATTCTTAGAGACTGATATGGTTTGGCTGTGTCCCCAGTCAAATCTCATCTTGAATTGTAGCTCCCATAATTCCCATGTGTTGTGGGAGGGAGCTCATGGGAGATAATTGAATCATGGGGGCAGTTTCCTACATGCTGTTCTCTTGGTGGGGAATAAGTCTCATGAGATCTGATGGCTTTTTAAGGGGTTTACCCCCTTTACTTAATCCTCAATTCTCTCTTACCCCCACCATGTAAGATGTGCCTTTTGTTTTCTACCATGATTTTGACGCCTCCCCAGCTACATGGAACTGTGAGTTCATTAAACCTCTTTTTCTTTATAAATTACTAAGTCCCGGTTATGTCTTTATCAGTAGCATGAAAACAGACTAATACAGAGCATGAATTTTAATAATTGTCTATTTATTAAATAGATCATACTATGATCTATTTAAACATTATCTCATGGGATAGAGTAGGATACTGCCAGTGTTCAGAATTTGAAGTCAGATGCTCTGCCTTCACTGCCCCAGCTGTGTTGCTTAGGCAGGCATTCCCACATCATCACCTTGAAGCTGACACAACGTTATCCTTTACAAAAGGATTTGCAGTTTCAATGGCTAAGAGATTGCTCTGAATTGTTTTAAATTTATGTCTCTTTGATTAGTGAGTTTGAACTCCACTTTACCTGCTATTAGCATTTTACCAATTCATTCTTCTGAAATCAGCTTTCCAGGATTGGAATGTTAATTTATTTGAATGGATATGTATCCATGTGGCTGTGCTGAAAAAAGAAGGTTATCGATCAGGGTAGAGCAAGCAGATCTGCCTCAAGGAAGTGATGTTTCATTTGCATAATCATGTAAATTACATACCTACTTCTTTGAGAGCAAATATCCCAAATTTACCTGCCAAGTGGGATCAGACTCATCTAAAGATATCCAGATGAGGCTTGGTGCGGTCGCTCATGCCTGTAATCCCAGCACTTTGGGAGGCTGGGATGCGCAGATCACGAGGTCAGGAGATCGAGACCATCCTGGCTAACACGGTGAAACCCCGTCTCTACTAAAAATACAAAAAATTAGCCGGGTGTGTTGGCAGGCGCCTGTAGTCCCAGCTACTTGGGAGGCTGAGGCAGGAGAATGGCGTGAACCTGGGAGGCGGAGCCTGCAGTGAGCTGAGATCGCGCCACTGCACTCCAGCCTGGGGGACAGAGTGAGACTCCGTCTCAAAAAAAAAAAAATATATATATATATATCCAGATGAATAAGGCAGAGAAATACTTATGAGAAAAAAAAAACAGAAGTCCAATGAGCTCCCAGTTGCTAGGAAGTTCTTATTAGGGTGGGATTTAGAATAACTGAGCATCATCATCTTCACAGTAGTGAAGAGAAAGGCACAGGAGGCCCTGGATACAAAAACCTGCCAGACAATCTGGCCATGTTTAATGGGTCATGCATGGAAACCATGGAAAACAGCCTAAGCTCAGTTCTAAAAGCCACTTGTCAGCAGACCATTTCATTCACAAAACTGACATAACAATTATAATTAACTTTTCAGTTGGAGGAATATATTGAAGAGATGGTACTCCTTGCTTTCATTCTCTAAAGGAAGCAAGATGATGTTTTCTAAGGGCTTTGAAAGGCAAGTGTCCCTCCTGACAGCTGCCACAAGATAACAAGGAAGAGAACAGACATTAAGCAACTTGTTTATCTTCAGAATCCTGAGGAAGTCACAGGTCTCTGTAGGGATTGGGTATTGGTTGACGTCATGATGTTTTCTGAGAACTACAGTAGAGCAGCTGGGGCCAGGAGGTGTAATAACTCCTGAGCCCAAGCTCTTTTTATTGGTACTGCCCTTATGTCAGTGAAACAAAGAAGGTGAATAAAGCAATTTCTAACTCTTCTAAAGTTAAACCAAGAGTTCACCCAGTGTATTTTCCCTGGGGTTGACGAACTACCACCTGTGTCCTGAGAGCAAAGATTTTTTTTTCTTTTTTACATTTTTAAGTGTAAAATGTAAAGGACTGTTAGCCTTTTGTAAGAACAGCTGCTTCATTTTGCCTTTTGGCTGCAAAGCCTAGAATATTTACTCTCTCGTCTTTTACATAAAAGGCTTGCCTATGCCTCTGTTATGCCATCCCAAGATATCTGTACCTGCGTCAGGCTGCAGGATATTCCTGTGGCTCTCTCAGGTCTCCCCACTGGAGGCTCCTGTCCACCTAGACCACACCTACAGTGATGCCCTGATGAGAAAGGATCACTTTTGGTATGTCTGTGTTCCTGAGAGAGAAAAGGCAAGAGGAAAGGAGGGGAATTCACAGCTAAATTTTAGGTGAGACAGAACAATGGAGGAGGGTAATATAAGGATGGGAAGTATATGAGATGTGAGAAGCAAAACCGTCCCTGACCCAGCTGGCTGGGTAGCAGAGGCTGTGAGCTTAATGGAGGAAAAGATGGTGAATGTCCTTCCAGTTCAACAGGGAGGGCAGAAAGCTGAATGGGGAGTTTTTAAAGGAGAAGGTAGATGGTCTTGGAGAGGCCTAAATACCACTTGACTCTGTTAAAGATACTTGGAGAATATAGATTATACTTAAAAAGAGCAAAGCTGTACAGGTCAGGCTTTGGCTCAGGGGAGAGGAACGAGAAGGGCAATGCCAGAGATCAACAGCCTTGGAAACAAATGCTTTCCAGGCAGCCGAAAGGCATGATCAGAGAATAAGAAATGAAGCAGAGAACTGCAAAGGGTAGAAACTCCTAAAACAGAACTGGAGGAAAATGGAGATGGGCCAGTGAAACCACAGCATCCAGCAAAAGGTCAGGAGATGGGGGTTGCAGGTATACATGACGAGGGTTTAACAAAATGCATTCATTTTTATTGTGAAATCGTTCAAACCCTTTCAAATCTCTTTTGAAATTTCAGAAGAGATTCCTATTTCATCTTTCTTTCTGAATATACATATTCATTTCTCTTTTGCCAAAATATCCAAAATAAGTTTGCAGACATCACCAGTTACCCATAAGTACAACCGTGCATACCTGTCAAGAACAGGGGCAGATTATGAGACTAAAGCTCATGACTGCACCTGAGAAAAAATTACTATCTCAATTGCATTATCAACAGAGTCGAAACTCAGATTTTCCCAGTTGTTCCTAAGTGGCTGGTTTTCCCCCCCTCCACTCCCAATCCAGGAATTAATCAAGGCTCATGCACAGCCTTTGGCAGTTATGTCTTCTTAGTCTGCCCTGATTTAGAAGAGACCCATTTCTTTCCTTTGTTTTGCCTTATTTTAAGGTCAATTTTATTGAGGTATAATCTACATAATTATAAAAATACTTAAAAGCTTACTCTTTAATATACAATTCTGTGAGTTTTGACAAACACATACAATTGTGTTAGTACCATCACAGATTAGAAGCCTAGATGTAGAACAGTTTCATTACCTTCCAAAAGTCCTCATGTCTTCCTGCTGTCACCGCCTCCTCTAAACTCAGTCCCTGATAACCAACATTCAATTTTCTGTTCCTATAGTTTTGCCTTTTCCAGAATATCATATAAATGAAATCATACACCCTCTGGCCTTTTGAGTCTGGCTGATTTCATGTAGCATAATGCATTTGAGATTCATCTATGTTCTTACATGTGTTAGTCATTTGTTCCCTTTTATTGTTGAGTGTTATTTCACTGCATGAATGTAGCACAATTTGCTTATCTATTCCTTAGTTGAAAGACATATGGTTTGTTTTCAGTCTAAATGATTAAGGGTAAAGCCATAATAAACATGCAGTTTAAGTTTTTTAGGTGAGCGTATGTTTTCATTTCTCTTGGGTAAATACCTAGGAGTAGATCTGATGCATGCTATGGTAAATATACGTTTGCATTCGTAAGTAACTGCCAAAGTGTTTTCCTAAGTGATCGTACCATTTTGCACCCAAACACACAGCCATTTGCTTTGTTCACTCTGCAGAGCCTCTAAGTAGTCGTTATCTGTGTGAGAGTTGATCTATCAGTTTACTCCATCATGTCAGAAGGGGAACACTGCCTTATCTTAATTAATATAATTATACTATCCTGAAAGCTAGCCTAAAAGTGTGATGCTACTGACATTTTAAAGTCTCAGAGCTGGAGATTTTTGAAGGGACCTAGTGTAACTTTCCTATTTACTAATGAGGAATTGGAGGCCCCTTGATATTAAATGTATTTATCAATTCATTTAACAAACGTTTTTTAAGCACTTACTATGTGCCATAGTCTGTGCTGGGTACTGGGACAGTAGAGATGACTGGCCCCTTAGTCTCCAGCCATTGGAAGAGCGGGCTTGGATTTTAGTTTTCCACTTTCTAGCTCATTGTTTTTCAGCTACTGCTGAGGAGAATGAGAGAGAGTGAAGGGGAGAAGAAGCCCCCACAGCCTAGACTGTGGCCATGAAAAGGACCAAATTTTGGCAGCCTGAACCAGACACTGAACTACAGCAGCCTTAAGTTTTCACAAACTTTTTCTGCTAGGATCCTGGGGAATTGAGCCATATGTATAGAAAAGCTTCTCTAGGATCACTGTTGGTAGAGTGAAAGTGTGAGAGGTCCCTAAACTACACCAACATTCATCTTGGGGAGATCTCACTGAAGATGCCCATTGAAGAATGGCAGGCTTGAGGGTGATAGAGTTAGTGCAAAGTGCAGCAAAAAAATTGCCTGGCTATACACGTTTATTTCTTGGGCCTTGCCTAAGGAGTAACTGCCAGGTTGCCTCTCCTAGGCCTGTAGATGACTTCGTGCAGCCATGAGCTGCTGATCTTCCTGAGTACTTACTGCCACATGGCTGGCTGTGGCTCCCTGCAGGCAATAAATAAACCCTCTTGGATATGGGAGTGGTTGACTTGGTTGCATTTGATTTCTTTTCTGTAGGGAGACTTAGGAATTGGCTCTGTGAAAAACGGAGAGAAAGAGAGGGGTAGAGACAGGAGAGTTTAAACCTCTTTGTCGGGCATTTTCAATTATTCATGGAAAATCTATACACTCTGTTATCAGCTCTAAGCAAAGCAACTTTGTTGTTTCTATTGATCATGCAATTTATTATCTTTATTTAAACTCTTCAGGCAATAAATAAATAAAAAGCAGTTTGAGGGAAAGAAGCTTCTCTGGAGAAAGTAATTTTCCAGGAAAGTAGTTTAATCCTTTTAAAATTAGGCTTACCGACTTAAAGATATTATCTGATTATTCCATTTGATTCCCCTTTAAAAATGATACTGGTCTAGTTCCATTTGATTCCCCTTTAAAAATGATACTGGTCTAGTTTTCTCTTTTAGCTAAAACGTTTTCAAGTTTCACTTCTTTTCTCACCAAACCCTCCATTATACTCATACATTAATCTTCAAAGAAAACATAGTAAAATATATTACAACCAGAAATAAGACAGTTTCTACAGTGTTGTTTCTCTATCACTTGCTGGTGAATATAATTTACTAAATCTCTTTAAGTCTGTCATTGGTAAAACTGGGACACCAATGTTTGCACTTTCTACTCTATGGTCAAATATGAAGATTACACAAGATGACAATGATGATGAAAACACTTTTGTGTAGTGATTCACTGTTCATTACATTATTTAACATTTATCTTTTCTCTAGATCTTCTGATACCAAATCCAGCATTCTTTACCAGGCAGCATATGTAGTATGATAAAATTAGAGCGTCGAATGAGATAATCTCTAAGTTCCTTTTCAGATTTAAAATTCTGTGATTTTATTACAGCTTTTCATAGAGAGTTGTTTTCAAGCTGGAGACTCTCAATGATTTCTCTTGGGGCTCCCCTTGAATCCTGGGTAAAATGGTCACTTCTTGGGCAAGTGAGAATTTTACCAGCTTCACAGGTTCTCGGCCTCCCTCTGTAGGTCTGCTTGGCTGCCTCCAGGTCCTCGAGTGCCTGTGTGTGTGTGGCAGACTGCTGTGCTCTTCCTCATGCACCTCATCATTCTGTCCCTGTGCTCTGCGTTGCATTCATGTGCCGCACCTGCTGCCATGTCGACATTCTTCTTGTTCATTCGTCTGTGCCTCCTGGCCTCACTCTCCATGGTTATGCTATGTTGCTGTTTCTGTTCTTACACTTACTCTTTCCTTTGCCCTTACTAGATAAGTGTTCCTAAGTTTTCTTCATCAGTGAGAAATTCTTGATTTCTGAATTGAATCCCTTTTATTTAAAAAAAGACAAAAATATGTCTCTTTCCTAATACCAACATTGGTTTGCTCCCCTAGGGTAATTCACAGGAACTTTAATAGGTTTTTGTATGGGCATGAGAAAGGCAACAGGTGAAGATCTAGTTTTCTGGGGGGATGTATGTGTAGTTACAATTACGTTCTTTACCCTTAGGAATACAACATGATACCCTCCCCCCCCAACCAATATATGCTTATGCTTAATATCCTCCTAAAAGCTTCTTTTTTATATTATTATTTTTAATTTTCTTAACTTAAAAAATGTTTGCAACAAAAGCCACATTCAAATAAAGCCTCTGTATTTTTATCTTTATTTTTCAACTGCTTTTCTTATTCTAGGGCAATATAGGTGCTTTTTAATTTAAATGTATCTTAAACCAAAATTCTCATGAAGCTTAGTAATAAGTGACAGTGCTAACCACAGGAAGGCATGGCACACTTGCATGCAAAGGCAGTATGGGGAGGTTGAAAAATCATGGGTTTTGGAGTTAGGTAGATAGATTTGAATCTTGGCTCTGCAACTTACTAGCTTTGTTAGCTTGGAAAAGTTATATTTAGCCTCTCTGTGCTTTAATGTTCTTATCTCTAAAATTGGGTGATAATAATAATAACAATCTCATCGATTCATTTTGATGGCTAAGAAACTTTGCCTGTGAGCAAGCTACTAACTTAATTCATGGTGGAGGAGAATTAGTTGCCATAGGATCAATTAGAGCTGACTGAGTATATAGTGAACAAGGACAAAAAAAAAGGAAAGGAGTGGGAAAATGAAGAACAGAAGAAGGCAGTAAAGAAACTCTTCAGCCTTCCAGAATATATCCATGATAGAAAGTCACTGAGGACAGCCCAGGAAGGACAGATTATGGTCTTTTACACTCTGAGACCTGGGCCAGTTCATCGGAAGGGAACTTTGAAAGAGAGAAAAGGGAGGGCCAAGCTGAAAGACTGGATCAAAATGGAGCAAAGCATGGGCAAAAAGAGGAGGAAGAGGGAGAGAACAATGAAAACAGATGAGCAGAGAGGAAAGAGGAACTAAGAAATTCTCTGTGGCTTTTTGGGTCCAGAAGAGGGAGCTGGAGGCAGAAAGTGAGATATTTGTTGAAATGGAAAAATTGTTTTATAGCTTTTCAGGAAGAGGCTATGCTGGACCCATGAAATATAAATGCATGAGCTGATATATTCATGTAATAAGGAATTTGGGGTGAGCTGTAATTTAACAGAGGAGCAGTTTATTTTTAGAATCTCTCACAAGAGAGATTAACTGTTGAGGGAATACTGTGAAAATGTTACTTGGGCTAATGACCTAAATAACCCATTTATTCTCTTTAAGAATAGGGGGCAGATGAAGGAGATGTGACTTGATTACTATTCTAATGAATGTAGTGCTTAAATTTAGCATTCTTTCTAAGAAGTGTGAAAGAGGACTCTGATAGTGAACAGATGAGGTTAATCGTCTGCCAAATGCCTTTCATTTATGCATAGCACAGGGTTTTAACCAGCGCAGGGGACAACCAAAAACACTTCACCCACATGGATTAAGTGATTTTCTGTACATGACATAGCTAGAGGCAACTGTTCTGTAAAGTGAACGAGAATGGCTGCTTAGGGGCACTGAGGGATAAAGGACTCCAGTTATCACCGTGAATGGACTAAAGTGGGATTGCAAAATACTCCATTGTTGTATGTACATAGGTTCCTGCTTCAGTCACAGAGTGCATAGAGTACAAAATAAAGTCTCTTTAAAACAAAAAGAAGAAAATCAGTGAATCTCATCCACGGGTTTGTGAAAAGCCCATTCTTCTCTTGTTAAGTACAAGAACTTTTAGGTATTTCTTTACTCCAGCGGGACCATAAAACTAGAAAATCTGAGCAGATTACCCAAAGTCCCCATTTTATCTTTTTGTTTCTATCTTTGCCCAGGCCCCTGAGTTTCTGGCAGTTACAGTCAGGGCCCTCTGCTGAAAGAAGCATCATGGAAACCTGGACACACATGAGAACCGGCCTTCCACGCAGGCAAGAAGCAGAAACTGAGGCTCCTCCTTCTCCATCATGAGGAATGTCTTCTGGAAGGCCCTCTGTTGACCTCTCTTGAGAGATGGCTTTGGTCTGGGTCACCCTGGGCCATCAGTCATATTCTAATAATTTGAACCTTAAAAAGAAGGGGTTCTGGTTTCTGTTTCCTCTTTTTGTGTCCCATATAAATTTCAGATGCGGACAGATGTATAGGCATGGGGCCTTGGCTAACTGCACTCACGACTCTTAGCCAAATTAATGAAGGATAATACTAAAGAGAACAAAACCCCCAGGGTATTACATATGGATTTCAAATTCCAGAATGAGTGCGAGATAAGGGAAATGATGTAGTATTTAAGACAGAATCTCAAATAAGAGCCAACCAATACTGCCCCAGCCCTTGACCCGAGTTCTAATTTCTCCTTTTGCACATGGAAAGGGAGAAAGAAGAGGAGCATGTGAGTGGTTTGAAGTACCCTGCCATTCCTTACACATCTGGGCAAAACTCATCATAATAAGGTAAATCAGTTAACGTCAAAATGCATCAAAGAGAAAATGCAGCAATTCCTACTAGATTCAATTTTTCAATTTTCATATAAGAATTAAAGCTAAATATTGACAAAGGAAATTTATTTCTTGCAAATAATTGGGGTTGAAGCTTTTATATGGGGTCAATGATTCATAGGTTACAATATGGCTGAGTTGGAAGGTATATGATCATGGATGTCAACTATGGAGGAGAAAATGTTGATTTGGGAGTTTATAGTTCCACAGAAGAAACATGAAAGAAAAAATATGTAGCCAGAAAAGGTGACATTACAAAGGGATTTTTCCACTGTAGTTCATGAAAGATAATAGACTTGGAAATACCAGAAAGTTGCTTGTGTCTTTAAACATTTAGTAAACATATAAGAATGTAAAATAATTTTCTTTAAAAAGGTACATTAATAATCTGGGTCAGAATTATAAAAATTAAAATTAAGAAAATTTACCCTTTAGAAAGAAGGGGAGTGGTGAAATGGAAAGTGAAATATTATATCTTTTGCAATGGTGCTCTCTAATTACTAAAATTAATTTCTCAGAAGTTGGGAGATCTGGCAGAAATCCATAAATATAAACAATTTTTTGTTTGAAAAGGAAGAAATGAAAATTGAGACGGAGGCTGAAGGAGGAGCCCTGATTCTGTTTTCGGCTATCCACAGGATGGGACATTTTATGAAAGGATTCAAAGGAAGCTTTCAAGGTGAGGGGTAGACTCAGTGGCTTTAAGGAGTAAAATAGGTATTCTGAATGTAGCAGAAATGAGAGGACACATAAAGAGGAGACAAACAAACCAAACAAAGACAAAGGTGAAGACAATGGAGTAGGAATAGAGGAAATTCAAGGACAGATGAGAGGAGTCTTCCAGTCTGAACCAGAGAGTTGTGTGAGACAGGTCAGGCAGCCCTCAGGGAGGGCAGGGGTGCAGCCAGGGAGGGGTGGAGGAAGGAGGGGAGGACTTACAGATGAAGGTGATGTGGAAAGAGAAATGGCTGATCATAGAACTGTGTCGAGATCCTGGGAAGTCAAGGGGGAAGGTGGAGAGAGACAGAGAGGGATGGGGGCTGTGTGATGTGATAGAGAACTGAGTGTTCACCATAAATCAATGAAGCAGCAATCTGGCAGCAGCAGGTATCACAAGGGATGGAGATAACCTGGAGGGATGGAGATAACCGAGTTATTGAGGTGCAGGATACGCGGGAGCTTCATTCTCAGAAGGTTTTGAGAATTGCCTGAACTAATCATTGACTGTTGCTGTTAATGCTACATGGGAACAGTGCATTACTGCCAATGGAGAAAAAACAAGGAATATAAAAGTTATATTGTTAAAGGGTGGAAGGAGATCAGAATTAGACATTTTTTATAAAGGTCTCTAAGATGTTATTTATTTTAATAAGCTATGAGGTGTAAATGAGATAATACATGTAAGATACTTAGAACAAGGCTGAGCACATAATAAGTGCTCAATAAATGTTACTGTTATTTGAAATGTCATTATTTTATAAAACTGTATGAGGCTTTTGTTCTTCAATGAAGTATTTTCTCTTTTAAAACTTATTTTATTTTATCTTTATTTTTTAGTAAGGCTGCCTTCATCCTTGCCATGGATGACACAGACTCCTCCAATAAAATATTTTCTTACCTTTCTCTTTTCTCTCCTCTCATGGCTTCTTGTAGATTCAATTTAATTAGATGTTTCCTTTTCCATTGCATATAATAACAGAAGAAAAAGCCCAGGAGAATTGCAAAAATCTTGTCATTAGTGAGAGTAGACCTCCATCATCATTTATTGAAATTTATTTTTGAAACAAGTTTTGCAACAATAACACAGCCCTAAGATGCACTGTAAAGAAGAAATTTAAGAAAATGAGCTGTGGTATTAGATAGATTTGGGTCTGAATCCTGGCTCTTCATTTTACTAAGTCTACATTCATTCATTAGGAGTTTGACTTTTATAAGTGTAACATTCTTCTTTACAACAGATATAACAATATAAGTTACCAAGAAAAAGTGGTACATACCTCATAGCGTTGTCTTCAAAATCAAGTGAGACCATCTGATATTGCTTTCACCATCCTCCTTTCCAGGAATGGCCTCTTCTAGCCTGCCCCCATTGCAGTCAAAGATTGGACCAATTGCAGTTTCCAGGACATCTGGCTAAAATTAATCAGTCCAAGTTTGAGCACTGGGTGTGGCCCAACCTGGGCCAATCATAGCCTTCCTCCAGGAGTTTTTGAATATTAATTGAAAAAGTGTGTGGAGGAGATCCTTTTGTAGTGAGAAAAAATAAAGCTAATACATGGAGAAAAAGACAAAACTTTGGGGGAAGAGAAGATCAAACAGAAAGTAAATGTGGTGCAGATCCGTTTTTAACTGTCTGTGATTCCTTAAATTCTACAGAACTCTGATCTGCTCACTTTTGTGATTCTCAACTTAATGAGCTCCACCCTGATGCAATTCAAAGCAATGGCCTTAGACGAAGAAGCACTGGCTCGGTTCGTATCTTTGCTCCCGGCTGTATTCTTTACAGAGAAAGTACTGTGTTCATTGAGCTGAGGCCTGAGCAGTCAAGCTTTCCTATAACTGTGATCTTTACTCCTTCTAAGGTTTAGTTTCAGTGTCTATGCGTTGGCTTGGGGTAGAGAATTTGGTTTCTTGAAATTTGAAAGGCTCAAAATTATTGGACTTTTGGGTAACTGAAAGACCCTTTATTAGCAAAGTTGTATTTTCTTTACTCTTTTATACTGGATATTAAACTTATCTCTTTCTTACAGTACCTCACCGAAAGCTGCAAGAGATTGCCAAAACATGCCAAAATCTGAAATTTTCACATTTAAAAAAATACCTTAGTTTTGGTGACTACATTTTATAAGTCCAAAGGTACACCAGGCAAACATCTAGCCACATATTTTGCATCTATGTGACAAGAGTTATAAACTAACCCTCTGGAGAGACAGGGATCCTCAGATCCTTCCATCCTCCTCCTCCATCCTCCATCCTTCAATCAGCTGATTCTACATTTAAGAGCAGACTGATGTCAGCTTCCAAGTTCCAGAAGTGAATAAGATAGGGTTCTAAAGTGGAAGTGATGAAAATCAATTCTGGCTTATTTACACAGAAAAGAGTTGCATTCAAGAGGTATTGGGGAGCTCAAACAATTGTTTCGAGGATTAGAGAGCTGCGCAAGGGAGCCTGGGAAGGTGAGTACAGTTGACCCTTGAACGACATGTTTTGAACAACGTGAGTGTGAACTCCATGGGTCCACTTACACAAGGGTTTCGTCAGCCTCTGCCACCCCCGAGACAGCAAGACCAACCTTTCCTCCTCCTCTTCCTTAGCCATCTCAATGTGAAGATGATGAGGATGAAGACCTTTATGTTGATCCACTTCCACCTAATGAACAGTAAATACATTTTCTCTTTCTTATGGTTTTCTTAATAATATTTTCTTTTCTGTAGCTGGCTTTAAGAATACTCTCTCTCTCTCTCTCTTCCGATATATATTACACATACCATAAAAATATTTGTTAATAGACTGTTTATGTTACTGGTAAGGCTTCTGGTTAACAGTAAGCTATTAGTAATTACGTTTTGGGGGAGTCAAAAGTTATATGTGGATTTTTGACTGTGGGGGGGCAGTCAGTACCCCTAAGCCTTGTGTTGTCCAAGGATCAACTGTATGTGGTATTTTAAGGCTACGGTGGAGGCAGCTTGTGTGTTCTGTTGACTCTCCATAAAAAGAAAAGTTTTCCCAATATAGGATGTGTTTCAGATGCTTGGTGGCCAAAATATGACAAATATCCAATACACAGGGCGATTGTGCTGATGAGGCACTTTCCTCTTCTTCCTTATGTTCCTATTTATTCTTGCAACAGCTTCCTTTTGTGAAGAATCTGTGTATGCCTTTTCCTTGTGACCCCAGAAACCAGACCAGCTGGATTTTACAGACGAGTAAAGCGTATTAGAGGAAAATAGGAGGGTGAAATCAGTGAAGCAAGATTCTAGGACTTTTGATTGTTTAAGAACTTGATTAACAATATCCCTTTAAATATTTCTACTAATGGAAAAAAACCTCAAAATATTTTATTTTAGTATTCTTTATGATAAAACTTTGAAGATGTAGGCAAACAGTATTTGACAACACTTTGTATTGATATATAAAGAATGCTCCTTAAAAATAAAAGTTGTAAAATAGAAAGTGTTTAAATATAGACAAGTCAGTGTAGGGAACACTATTTATCATTTAGTTTTAAATGTTTAAATAACTGCTTCCATTTCCCTAAATTCAAAGGCAACCGGTTCAATGGCTTTCATTGACTAATTTAGTTTAGTATTTCATATTATTATATGAAATATATAAAATATGGCTATTTTAATTCTTTGAAGCATACATATAGACTTCCCACTATATTAGGATGTGGCTTCCTTTCACTTTCCTTTTCTGTCACATTCCTCTGTCATCCTAATACATTGTAATTTTTGAGATTAGGTAGCCATTGCTTATATTATGACCACATAAATGCTGTCCACAGCTGAGGTGTTGGGTATTCTGTGATTTTTTAAACTTTCTTGCACAACTTTTCTTTCCTCTGAGGTTAATAATTATCTTTTATTTTATAAGTTTTTGTTATATTTATCTTTAATTCCTCCCAAACTTTTGGTGATTTGTGTAAATCTCCTCTCAATATATTTAGTTGTATTAGGCATTCTATCAATTCCATCTTTTGGAAGAAATTTCTTCTAAAGTCTTGAACCTGCTCTAATCGGGCATGGATTCCTTATCTGAGAGCTGTCTTTAGGACCACACTGTGGATTTCCTTCATCTTTCTCTTATTTGGTCCCAGATTTTGTAATGGCATTTTCTTTCTCTTTTCAACTTATGTTCTCCTTTTGGTAACACATATGCCTCAGTAGTGTTCTGAAAGATGGTGCTTAGATGAAATATTTTTGGAGAACTTATATGACTAAATGTGTCTTTTTTACTGTGAGATTAATGGATAGTTTGGCTGGGTATAGAGGCAGAGGCTGGAAATAATTTTCCCTCAGGCTACTGAATGCATTGCTCCACTGTCATCTGGCTTCCAGTGTTGCTGTTGACTAGACTGAAGTCAGCAAACTACATCCCTGTGATGCAGGGCAGGCAAGCCCCAAAGTGGAGTTTAGCCTATGAGGGTTTTTGGCTTTGCCCAGAAAATAATTCAAGGGCAAGCCAGAGGTAGAAGAAAAACAGCTTTATGCAACAGGCAGTGTTACAGCTCTGGTGGTATTACAGCTCTGGGACTGCTCTTGCAAAGCAGGGCTGACCGGTAGGCAGAGAGTAGCAGCTCAGGGCAGTTTTGCAGTCATATTTATACCCACTTTACATTGCATGCAGACTAAGGGGCAGTTTATGCAGACATTTCTAGGAAAGGGGTAGTAATTTTTGGATCATTGGGTCATTGCTATGGAAAAGGGCAGTAACGCCCAGGTGTTGCCATGGCAATGGTAAATTGACATGGCACATTGGTGGGCATGTCTGATTGAAAGCTGCTTCTGCGCTGGCTCTGTTTTAGCTAGTCTTGAATCTGGTCCAGTGTCTGAGCCCCACCTCTGGAGTTGAGTCTCACCTGCTACCTCACCTGTGGCCTATTTTTGTATGGCCTGTGAGCTAAAAATGTTTTTTACATTTATAAGGATGGTAAAAGCCAACCAACCAACCAGCCAACCAACCAACCAACCAACCAACCAACCAACCAACCAAAAAAAAAAAAAAAGTTCCGAAACAAAATAAAAAAGAAAATGCAACAGATTGTATGCAGCCTGCAAAGTCTAAACATATTACTTACTATCTGGCCCTTCACAGAAAAATTTGCTGGAGTAGTCCCGCTGGAATAGACTGACACTATTTTGATTTCTGATCTTTGTGTGATTTTTTGTCTTCCTTTCTGGGAGCTTGTAGGGTTTTCTCTTTGAACCTGATGTTTTAAAATTTTTCAATAACTGTTTATATATGGTCATGTTTTCATCCGTTTTACTGAACCCTTGCTGCGCTCTTCGAGTCTGGAAACTCAGATCCTTCTGTACTGGGCAATTTCCCTGAGCTATTTGATAATTTTCTCTCTCCTTTTTCTCTGCTTCTTTCTGGGACTCCTATTATTTGGATGTCAGACTTTCTGGATTGATATCCTAATTTTCTTATCTCTTTTCTTTCAATTTTCACTTTTCTTTTTAATTGCCAAGTGATCTTGGTTGTTCTCTGAAATTTTTTTTATGGCATCTTGTTCTCCTTTCTTAAATGAATGCATCATCTCTTATCTCTCTGAGCATTATATATATATATATATATATTTTTAAGTTTTCTTTTTCTTGTATGCATCCTGGTTCCTCAAACTTGCTTTTTTCTGCTTATTAGCTTTGATCCCTATCTTTCAGCTTAGGGCCTTTTCTCAGATGTCTGATGTCCTTGAGTTGCCTGTTCATGTTTTAGAGTGGAACACTGCAGCCTGATGGGAAGCCTCTGAGTACCCAGGTGGGGCCTGGGAGGTCTGAGAGTCCCTGCAGAGGTATCTGGCTCTTGGTTATTTTGCTGGGGAATCACCAAAAGTGACGATCTTGTCTTTTTTTGTGGGATTGCCAAGTTCTGTGGAGAAATTGCTTTCAGTGTCTTGTGTGAAGGATAACAGACTTATTACTGCCATTGTTCTAGGAACCAAGTGAGGGAAGAGGACTGTGGATTTAGCAATGCAACATATAAAAATTCTCTTAGCCCTGTTTTTATAATTAAAAAAAAATTTTTTTAGAGACAGGATCTAACTGTTTCCCAGTCTGGAGTGCAGTGGTGCCGTCATAGCTCACTGCAGCTTCAAACTCTTGAGCTCAAACAATCCTCCCACCTCAGCCTCCTGGGTTTCTAGGACTACAGGTGCATGCCATCACACCCAGCTAATTTTATTTTAAAATTTTTCTTGAGATAGGGTCTCACTATGTTGCCCAGGCTGGTCTTGAAACCCTTTACTCCTGTTTTAAATATAATTCCTCTGCTGTGCTTGGTCTCCTAGCTGAGAGACTCTCTGTTTTACATTCTTTTTATTTTTTATTTTTTTGAGTCAGGGTCTCACTCTGTCATCCAGGCTGGAGTGCAGTGGTGCAATCATAGCTCACTGAGCCTTGACCTACTGGGCTCAAGCAATCCTCTTGCCTCAGCCTCCCCGAATACTGGGATTACAGCCATGAACCACCATGCCTGGCCTGCTTTACTTTCTCCAGTGAATCAACTCACAGTTTTCAAGTGATGTGAGAAGGGCAGCCACCAAGCTGCTCTGAGAGAGGTATGAATCTGAGATTTAACTGTTTAAATAAAAAAATTAATAATCATTACTTTTTATCTGCTTCTCCCACAGCATCCTCCTGTTTTCAACCCATCCTCCTATTTTGGCCAGACTTTCACCTGTACTTCCAGTACTTTGTATTGCTAGTGTCTAAACTTTCTTAGGGGGCCTGCAGAGAAAATCAAGCTGTCTTTCTGCTTCTCTCTGGTCAGCACAGGATTTTCATTTCTCAGTTCTTCGAAGTCAGAAAATCCCATCTGCTTTCCAGCTTTTAAAATTTGTTTCTCTTGTCTCTTTTCCTATTATGTTTCTCTTTTTAGATTTTCTGCCTTAAAATTACACTTATCATTTTATTGGGGTTTGGGAGGGAGTGAAAATAAATTTGTGTTCACAATCTGTCATTATCCAGTTTAAATAAATCTTATTTTGTCATGTTTCCTTAGAATTTTTATTTCTTTAGAAATAAAATTTTACAAAACAAGGAGAAACTCTTTTTCAACCCTTTTTCAGTCTCATTTCTCTTTCTTTCTCCACCAAGATAACCAGTAGCTTGAAGTCAGTTTCTATCATTTCCTTCCATAGTGGTCTGCCTTTACATTACACGTATCTATCCATTAAAATGCATAGTTGTTCTGTATGTGTTAAACTTTAAATAAGTGATGTTATATGTGGCTTTCTCTAACATTAAACGTTTGAGATCTGTGCATGGTGACAGATTTAGCTCTAATTCATTTATTTTTACTTCTTAAGGATATTCCCTTGGATAAATATGGTCAAACTGCTCTCCTGTATTTCTACTAATTTACATCCCACACTAGCCACGTAT
The DNA here is from genome assembly GCF_000001405.40 of Homo sapiens. Lineage (NCBI taxonomy): Eukaryota > Metazoa > Chordata > Mammalia > Primates > Hominidae > Homo > Homo sapiens. The sequence continues at coordinate 7,352,030 of NC_000009.12, forward strand.
GGAAGCTGCCATTTCTCCATGTCTTCTTCCAATCCTGTACTTGGTATTGTCATATGTTCTTCAAATCTTAGGTGGTAACAACATGGGTTGTTCTACCTGTGCACTGAGTGCCACAAAATAGAACATTAGAATTCTGTCTTTTCAAAACTTACACAAACTAAAGCCAAAGGTAATATTGAGTCTGAGGACACCTAAATTTGATTAGATCTGACCTCTCATTACCTTAATTTCCTAGAATTCTCTTTGATCATGACTACTGCTATTCATGATCATGCTATGCTTTTCCTTAAATGAATAAAGTTTGAAATATGATAATTTTGGGATTTTGGTACATAATGCAGGGGAAGTGTAAAAGTAGGCTTCAGACAGATGGTGATGCTGGTTCTAGGAGTTCTACTCTTTTTCATTATCTCTCAACTTTTAGATTTTGATGCCAAGGTACTCATTAATCAGTGAAAGATGGCTAGGAGACCAGCTTTTAAGAAGAAGCTCACTGTTTGACTTATGCTTCCTGGTGTGATCACATCTTCAGAGAGACAGCACAATCTGCTGTGTATAACCTTGATTAACACAATCAGCTCACCATTGCAAAAGGGGAAATCTCTTCCTTCGTAGAGATTTCCCTCCACTTTTCTCATCTTAGGCAGAGCTTTGCTAGCACAATGTAACAGAAAGTTTCGACATGGCTCACCTACATTTCAGCCCATCCCTCGCTAAAGAAATGTAGTGTCAAGGCCTCTGGGTATTTCACTAATTTATTTTTGCTTTTTCAGCAAATGCTGAAAAACATCTTTCAAGTTTAATATATACTTGAAAACATGCAAGAAAGTGAAATATATGAAAGTTGAACAACAAACAAACTTGATAAGAGAATCTCAGTCATAAAGAGCAAAAAATATTTTAAATGTCTTGATTACATCTTGCCTTCAGTATATAATGTTCAGGATTACATTTCCAGCATGATTTAGATGTTCTTTCTTTTTTAAATTTTTCTTTACAACTGAACACACATTCAACTGACTTATGTCCAGCAGGAATTCGATTCAGACTAATGATTTTCTACTATTGGCATGCTTGATAAGTTCCTTCTTTGACTCAACTAGATTGTGTATGAAAGCTATGCATTTTATTGCCAGTGTCAGACATTTAATATTTCTTGTTTACTCTTATTTATAAAATAATAGGTAAAAGTGTAAAAAATGAGTAATTGGATAAATAGTACAGTGCACACAAATATAGTGAGGCTGCTAAAATGGAACAATTGGCTGGGAGGTGACTTTGAGCACTCATTTTTCACCTGAGATATGAACATCCAAGTTTGGAAATAGTATTACACAAACACACACACATATGAGTATGTTAGTTGTTTGAAAACTGAATGCTTGAATGTTGAGGCCATCTGGACTTCTATCTCATTCTTTTATTTTCTTTTGATTTTCTGAAGCCCTGAGTCTTTACCTTTCCAATTATTGGTGTAGCACTCCTACCTATTGTATTTCCATAATGGAACTTATTCTTGTATCTGCAATTGCAGATGCTGTTTATGTAGAAGTTTACTCGATTATCCTGTGTGTGTGTCATCCCACCAACCTCTTGTAAACTACAGAAAAAACTGATGGGATTCACAAATAAACAAGTGAGAGCATCAGAGCATATTGCATCCCAAAGGCTCAGGACAGGCTGGGGCTGTGATACTAATTTTCTTTGACTCTTGGCTATACAGTGTGAAGCTTAGAAAGCCTGAAAGATAAAATACCAAGGGTCCTAAAAGCCCAAGTAGCACAAATGGATAGCATTTCAAGTTTCTATAGGCATAATAAGACATCTTCCAACAATCTGGAAGTAAAATAAACAAGATTGCCGTGTGAGAGTTAAACATTTAAAATAAGCATGTAGGCTGAGTGTGGTGGCTCATGCCTGTAATCCCAACACTTTGGGAGGTCAAGGTAGGAGGATCAGCTTGAGCCCAGGAGTTTGAGACCAGCCTGGGCTACATAGTAGGACCTCATCTCTACAAAAAAAAAAAAAAAAAAAAAAAAAAAAATTAGCCAGGCATGGTGATGCACAGCTGTAGTCCCAGTTCTTTGGGAGGCTGAGGTGGGAGGATTGCTTGAGCCAGGGAGGTTGAGGCTGCTGTGAGCCATGATCATTTCATTGTGCTCCAGCTTGGGTGACAGAGCAGGACCCTGTCTCTCAAACAAACAAACAAAACAAGCATGCAATTAATTTTTTTCTATACAAACGAGAATATCTCACTTGTCTATAAAGTCAGACAGAAAAATTACTGAAACTGATAACAGGTCAAAAAAAGTCTACATCAATCAAAAGGGGTGTTGATCAGCAAAGAAAGCCTAGGATAGGGAGAACACAGGAGTGAAGGTGACTAAAACCTTTCTGGAAAAGAAGAGGAGAGGAGTTGAGCATGCACAAGTGTGAGTATGCACCTGTCGAAGGACAAGTTTAATAATCCTTTTGTAAAGATGAATACATTATGCAATTTCAGCCTGATGCTATTAAACATTCAACCCATAAAATTTATTCTTCTTACACCAAGTTACTTTGCAATTACCACTTGGTTCCCTGGGTAGTTAATGTACCTACCGGAAGAGAACGCCTAGACCAATGGTCTGAGTGTATGGGGCTTCTGACATTTTATCTCACTGTGAACAAATAAATGGTTATTCTGGTTTCAGAATTCTGGTTTCAGATGGTATTAGAGTTCCATCAGTATGAGTTCAGCTCTGAAAAATGGGTTCTAGAAAAGTCACTAAAGTGGTATAAAAGTAGCCCACTCTGTGAAGCTACTTCTGAAGTAGTCAGCTGGTGATGCCATCCTCTGCCCCCATCTCCTTCATACCATGTTGTAGCTGAGCAATTGCACCCATTGACCACAAGACTTCAACCCTTAAGGTGGATACCACAGCAAAGGAAACTGTCTTTGAGGTACTATTCAAATCTAGCTTTAGCTTTTTTCCCCCCACAGGGTCAAGATGTGCTGTACAAACCTAGTCTCACCATCAGAACACCACTGTTCATTTTTCTTCTGTTTTTCCTCCTCCCATTTTGATTACTTTGGCTACAGTTTCCATGTTACAGGCCATCTTGGTCCTGCCTCTTTTTCCTACCCCTCAAGCAGTTGTTAAGGCAACCGCCAATTTCCACAGAAGGACTCCTACTCAAAGGTCAAATGTCCACATCAAGGATTTTCAGTGTCCTTGTCCTAGGATTTAGGACTGTGTGTGACTCAAGAAAGTTCATAATTTTTTTCCTAAGCCAGGTCATGAAGGTCCAAGTACAGGGCAAAGTTCTTCAACTGAGAGACTTCCCTAGTACAAAGGAGAAGATGAGATGCAGTGAGAACCTCTGGCCAGCCCAAGGCAACAGCTGCTCCATTCTAGCCATTCCTCTTGGGGAAAACCATTCATGTTGAACCAGATCAGTGAGAAAAATTCTTTCTAGACAGTGAATATCTGCTGGTTTCTTCCCAACATAATTCTAATATCATTGATGTTTTTACAGATATTTAATATCCTTGAAAAAAGTTTCAAGGATGATGAAAATAATCAAGTATATCAGAAAACAATCTTTTCCAAATAATGAAATAATACAAATCATGTGTCAAAATATGCCATACATTAAAAGTAGGCATTTTTTACCTTGATTGTTTAAAATAGCCAATTTTGGCCCTATGTCTGTCACAGTTTTTTTTTTTTTTTAAATAGTTAAAGCCACAAAAGTGAAAAAGCCCAAACTGAGTGCCCCATCACATGACACACAAGTTGAATCTCAGGTGCTGTGCTGATTCTGGGGCAAATTGCTGACCATTAGCTTTGGGGACTGTAATTTCACATGCACATTTTATTCAGGCACCCCAGTTTTATTGGCAAAATCTCAGGAATTTTAGTGGAAAAACAAAAGCTTGTGTGTCTTGATTTACAAGTAATTGGAATAGCAAAAGTGCATGAAGGTTGGTCTTACAAATACCACCATTCGTTCAAAGGGTATGTGCTTAAAGGAATAGTAAAGTCTTCCAAGTTGGATGTCTGGAACTTACCATTACTGCAAGCACCATCCCTCTTCAGGAGGTCACCTAAACATGCAGTGATTTGCTGGTATCCCAAGCTGTTTTTCTGGAATGTGTGAGCTGCTGGGCAGAGAAGGTGGCTCTGAACTTAAAGAGTTTGGGAGTTCTGGAGATGGGCTTGAGGGACAGAATGCCCAGCTCGTGAGCTGCTCTCCTTTTCTTGAGAACTACATTCCCCTGTCTCATGACATTCACACGGGTGAGTCCCTGGCACCAATGCTTTATACATGGCCCAGCTTCCTCTACTCACTTCCCCTCCAAGGAATGGAGGACATTTGTCTCAGGTTAGGCAATTCAAGTCTCTTTCCTGGTAATGGGAAATTTTGAACCTAGCGAAGTAAACCCTAGAGTACTGGCCAAACCTCACCCTAGGGATGAGAAAGAAAGAAGACTGTCTTCAAGGAAAGACAAGAATTAAGAAGCTATGAAGAAAAGGGCAGAGCCAAGAAAAACAGAGAGGTTATTTCTTAAGATTCTCCAATTTTCCAGTTGTTGGCTTCTGTCTCCTTATTAAGAATTGTTTTTACCTTTGGGATTAATGAAACACCTCTGTATATCCTTATAATAAAATACTTCTTTTGGTTTAATGCTTGAATTAGTTACTTGTAACCCAAGAGTCTTAATTAATAGAAAGGAATAAACAAAAAAATGACAGACTATCAATGTTTTAGTCTTTTTCTGTAAATGTCATTTTAGTCTGGGTGGATGTTTCCAAGTAATTTATCTGGACCTCCAGTTATATATATATATATATGTGTGTGTGTGTGTATATATACACATACACACACACACACTAAATATAATACATAGTTCAACTATAATATAATATATATGTATATATAGTTCAACTTACAAGTCTTCATGGGGTTAATAAAACCTCACAAGAAAAGCTAAAATCTCCAATAAGAACTTCCAAGAAATCCCCAAATTGAGGAATGAATGTAGTTATAGTGATCGTATTTCCTTGAATCTAAGAGACTTCTTTTAAAAAATAAGTTTTATTTTCAGGAAATTGGGGGTACATCTTAAAAGCAACATGTTCATTTTAAATACATGAATAAGCTCTTTAGTGGTGATTTCTGAAATTTTGGTACACCCATCACCTGAGCAGTATACACTGTGTCCAATTTGGAGACTTTTATCCCTCACCCAACTCCCAGCCTTTCTCGAGTCCCCAGAGTCCATTGTATTATTCTTATGTCTTTGCAGCCAGAGGGGCTTTCTATGAAGACTGGCTTCTACACTAACTATGGCTGTTTCTCCACAATTTTTTGTTTTGTCTCTAAGAAGCTGTTAATAATACAATGGAGCATTTGAAAAGCCGTGACATCTCAGAATCAAGGAAATGTATCCTATTAATGTAACGTGCTTCATAAACTTCCCTTTTACATGAATATTCTTGGATTTCCAGATTCTTAAACTGTAAGAAGTGGCTGACCTTTGAGGATTCCTGTCAAAATGATTGTACTGTGGAATGGTTGGTTTTATTTCCCCAAGATATCTTATTTGACCTGGGCAAAGTTTTCTTGTTGTTAAACAGTAAATAACTTTCTTCTCACAAAATAAAGGCAATAAAAGTGGAGGCACCGGGCTTGGGGGCTGTACCCATCACAGAGCCAGTGCCATGGTGTGGCACAGGGGGTAGCAGGGGGTGGAGCGGGGTTGGGGAGAGCCGACTTCCTTTCTGAACCTTCTTTGGTGTCTTCTACTTAGTGAGTCCCTGTGTCTTCACTGTTGTCTGGCTCACGGTGAAACAAAAAACACTTCTGACTTTTTCACTCAATTTCCCTCAACATTATAAAAAAATTAAAAAACCTCAAAAAACGGTATTTTTAAACATTACCTCCACTAACAGTTGAATACTCTGGTCCTTAAATAGATGCCTCTCACCTTTCATTATATAGAATCACCTCTTAGAAAAGTTCGTAATTTAAATACGTAAAATCACTAGAATGAGTAATAGGAAAATCAATCTTTATTCTTTCAGATTAAATAAACCTGCTTGTGAGAAATGTCCTACATGAATAACAGAATATTGAGAGCTAGTTGTTTTTAGAGTCATTAGACAACAGTAGATAAATCTTTTAAAGCAGGTGATTTCTGTCTTTCTTTGGGAGAAAGTTGATCCTCAGGCACCTGGAAATTCTTAGGTCTAAGTCCACATTCCATCCCAGAGTGTGATAGGGGAAAAATGGTGTGTGTTGGAAGCAGAGGGGCTTTTTATTGATTTTTTTTTATTTCCATAATTTTTTGGGGAACAGGTAGTGTGTGGTTACATGAATAAGTTCTTTAGTGGTGATTTCTGAATTTTTGGTACACCCATCACCTGAGCAGGATACACTGTATCTAATTTGTAGGCTTTTATCCCTCACCCCACTCCCAGCATTTTTCGAGTCCCCAAAGTCCGTTGTATTATTCTTACGTCTTTGCAGCCAGAGGGGCTCTCTATGAAGACTGGCTTCTACACTAACTGTGGCTGTTTCTCCACAATTCACTTAACCTTCCTGAGCTCCAGATCTCTCCACTGTAGAGTGGTAGTAATATTACTTATCTTTCAGGATGACCATATAGAGTAGAAAACGTGTGTCCAAAAAGCAGCCCAGGTTGCCTATCTGTGCATTGATTGGCACTTACTAGGTAGCTTCTGTTGTCTTCACTCACATTGTCAGCAACTTCATCACCCGCCAGAGAACTCCCTTTGGCAGCAGCTGAGTTGGCCCATCCTAAATGAAGCAAACATGTCAGTCTTCTCCAAACAATTACTCTTCCCTTGCATAATTGGTAGGGGAGAAGCTTTAAGTGCTGCTTTAGTTCTTAGTTGCAGACAACACTATACTCTTTAGCAGGTTCAAGCAGAAATGAATTTATTCAAGAATATTAGGAAGCACAGAGGATCACTGGAAGGCTGAACAGCATCTTGGCTGAGCTTGCATTTCAGAAGCACACTGCAGAACTGGCCTGGAGAGGGAGCCTCTGCCACCATCAACCCCAGAGCCAGGTTTATCTGCTGCCATCAGGGTATTTTTGTCTTTCCCTTACCCCCAAATCATGCTGCCAGAAGCACCAGTACCTCCAGAAATTTGCCAAAAGTATCAGCAAAATAGACCTGTCATCTTCCACCTCTCCTCTCATATTGCTTCAGAATCAGTCTCATTTGGGTGGGTCTGAGTGATGGCATCTACATCACAAGTCTGTTCTCTAAATAGCAAAGAGGGTTAGAAACTAGCTTTTTTGGTGTTTTGAGTCTATGTTGAGAAGGTGGGATTCCCCATGTGGAGAATTATCAAAAGATCTTAGCAGCCGCAAATGACAGGTATCTACTACAATGTCTTAGGTGTGTTAGAAGAATCTTCCTCCTGTCTCCCCAGGTTGTCAGGGCATGAAGGCAATCATCCTTTGCCATCAAAGTGATGCCCACTGTCATCAAGATTTCCAGGGTCTATTTTCATCATGTTGCTGCCCTGGTTACCAAGAGACAAATTAAAAATATCAGTCATATTTTGTGCCTTTTATGATTTATGTAGTTCTTTTCACATTATTGCACTTTTTCCCTCACAAAACCCTGGAAGTTGGTCATTATTAGTTATATTTACATAAAGGAAATAGATGATCAAAAAAATATATTTTGCCAAAGGTCATCCAGCCTTTGTATGTATTAAAGATTTTTATCCAAATTGGTTGTTTCTAACTCAAAACTAACAAATTATCAAGAAAACAGACTTTTGAGGTCTGACAGTTGTGGGTTCAGGGTATAATTCTGCCATTTATTAGTTTGCCACTTAACCTCCTTGAGCTCAAGTTTTCTCACTGGTAATGTGAAAATGATAGTAATATCTGCCCTGTAAGGTGATTGTGATGATTAAATAAGATAATAGCTTCTAGTACAGTGTAACTGTAGGCAGCCAGTGAGTCATGTGTAATATCATTACTGTGATTGGGATAATTCTTATTTGTATTATAATACACTTAGGAGGACTGGGGACACATACCTTTTATATCCTGATGAATATGTGCTCTGAATAGCCCTAAACAGAAGAAGGTTTATCTATAGGGTGCCCAGGCAGACAGGACTTTAACTCGATTTATTGACTCTTTAATAACTTGGCCAAATGTCATTTTAAAATTATAGGCAATTTTCTTTCTTTAGAGGGCAACATTTATTCACTCCTGGGCAGTCTTATTTTGTTCTGGGAAGGACTACCAAGTGACCCCTTTAAGGCATTTACATACCTGGCAAAACCCCACTTGACTTTAGGGTCTTTCCATGAATTTACAAGGTGCCCCAGGAGCCTTTGGAAGTTCTGATGAACTGGGGTACCTAGTTACCTGACCTACGTACCTATCTAGGTCAGAGAACAGGGAAGGTCAGCAGAAGCTCTGAGAGGAAATTGCCCTAAGGGAGGAAGGTGTGTGAATGAGTGACCCCCACACAACACAAAGGCAAGTGAACTGTTTCTGGGGACGGTTTCTGGCTGATACTAGACACCCTGATCCAGGATATGGTCTGCCTTGGGGAAAACAATGGGTGAGCTGAGAGAGCTAAGAATGCAACAATTGGAACTCCAGGCTGGGATTGGTGGGGCCCTCTATCGGTGATCGTGGGGTAGGGTCCAAGGAGCTACTCAGGCAGAGGGCACTGGGGGTGCCAGCTTTGGGAGCCTCTTTGGTTTGGGTGGTGACACTGTGTCCCCCATAGAAAGGCATTAAAATGGACTGTAAATGACATAAGAATGGCGTGGAGTTTTGCTAGATATAAGCAACAGCAACAGTGGAAGCCAGTGGGCATCACTTCTCATTTCCAGGTTATTCCAGTGCCCGTTCCTATTCCCAGTGGCACCTTCCTGATTTGGTACTAGTGTCAACATTGGCCGTGAAGGAGGCACTTCTTCTGGCTTGCTCACACCATCCACATTTACCCTTAAAACGAGAACCCAGACTGAATCTGAGGACTGAGTGAGCACACTTGGGAGTTTTGATCATACCAAGGAGGGAGCTGTTTCATGTGAAAGGGGAAACCGCTCAGATTTTCTGCTAATCTGGATAAGTGGGGATTTTGTGGGAATGTAATTTGTATATGAAAGAAAAATGTAACCTTATGTTGTAAGCCCACACTGGAAAAGTCTGGGTTACTTAAGTAAATAGCTATTGCGTATGTACTATGGAAATGATCAACTGTCATTGATATTATTATAAAAATGGTGGTTTATCAAACACTAAGGAAAGGTCAAAGACTAACCCATCACTAAGTTTGCTAACACTTAGCAAACACAGGCTAAGTGTCACTCGGAATTGAGAACATGAGTAAAATGGTTTTTTAAGGCTCAGTCACCCAAAATGAAGGCTCACAAGTGGAAAAGGACCACATGGCCTCTCTGTACTCCTAGGGGAGCCCATAGCTTGAGTGGTGGAGTGGAAAGAAAGAGCCTAGGTTCTGCAGTCAATTGGAACTGGATTCCAGCTAGCCTTTCTAAGCTCCAGTTTCTCATTTGCAAAGTGGGAATAAACATACTAGCTTTTTGAGACGGAGTATCGCTCTTCTTGCCTAGGCTGGAGTGCAGTGGCACGATCTCAGCTCACCACAACCTCTGCCTCCCGAGTTCAAGCGATTCTCCTGCCTCAGCCTTCCGCATAGCTGGGATTACAGGCATGCGCAACCACGCCCGGCTAATTTTGTATTTTCAGTAGAGACGGGTTTCTCCATGTTGGTCAGGCTGGTCTCGCACTCCCGACCTCAGGTGATCCACCCACCTCGGCCTCCCAAAGTGCTGGGATTACAGGCGTGAGCCACTGTGCCTGGCCAACATACCAGCTTTTTATGGGGCTGTTCTGGCCCCGGTGTGACAGAACATAGGGAGGCACTCTAGTGTGATGCCTAGTGCATATCCACTTCCTTGGTCCCTTTACCCCTTGATATGGTTTGGCTGTGTCCTCACCCAAATCTCATCAAGAATTGTTTAATCCCACAATTCCCACGTGTCGTGGGAGGGACCGAGTGGGAGGTAATTGAATCATGAAGGCAGGTGTTTCTCATGCTGTTATTGCAATAGTGAATAAGTCTCAAGAGATCTGATGGTTTTAAAAAGAGGAGTTCTTCCCATAAGCTCTCTCTTTGCCTGCTGCCATTCGCGGAAGATGTGACTAGCTCCTCCTTGCCTTCCTCCGTGATCGTGAGGCCTCTCCAGCCATGTGGAACTGTAAGTCCATGAAACCCCTTTTTCTCCCTAGTCTTGGGTAAGTCTTTATCAGCAGCATGAAAATGGACTAATACACCCCTTTTCTGTGTTTGATGGGTGTGGGGTAAAGGAGTGGTGGCCAGAAGCCCATGAGCTCGCTCTTCACTGTTGGTGGGCCTCCAAAGATTTTTCTGTGAAGATTTGATAGTTTTCCCCAAATCCTAAAAAAAACCCACCCCTTTGGGGGCTTTATTATTTGAAGATAACTAGTAAAATTTTGATGATTTGGACTGATTTTTTGGTTTGTTATAGGACTAGGCTAATAGGGGTATGGGCTCCATTTCAATCCTGAAAATTTGCTTCTCATAAAATGAAAATCCAATGCAGGCTCTTGTCTGCCTTCATTAAGGGCACCTACAAGAGTGGGGTCAGGGGGTCCATGGGCAAGTGCACTATGGAGAATTTGCTGCAGACAATGGAATTGCCTTTACCTTGAAGGCGAGGCCTGGGGAGGGGCTAGGCCACATAGTGTGGCCTATTATGGGGCAGCCTGCCACGAGTAAGAGACAAACTGGTGGGACAGACCCTCCAAACATGCCATAAAATGCCAATCCAGGAGGAGGGATCTTTCCAGCTCTGTTTTATATGTATATATAAAAAAGCTGGAGCTCAGAGTGGTTAAATGACCTGTTGAAGAAAGGAACAGAAATACATGTGATTCCAGGGCTTTGGATTCAGAACACTCATCCACTAGGCCAGAGCCCAAGACCACCCCTTCCTTTTTTACATTAAGGCCGACTCTTTCACAGCTAAATTGGTCTTAGTTCTTTAGACTTGCACCAAAACTAATAAAGGTCTTCTTTCCTAATTGCACAATCAAAATAAATTATGTCTACAAATTAGAAGGCAAGGAAATTGCATGTGCATTTTGGGTGCCCTGATAATGTCCTGCAGTAAATTGTTTTCATATAAATTGCATGCTTAATTAATCGCTTTCAAAAATGCTCATGTATTTCTCTGCAAATACATCTCTGCCTGCAATTCATAAAATGCAAAGACAAATTAAATTGCTGATCCCCATATAAAAGTGTCACCCTTGGCGTATCTTGGCTGCGCTCAGTCATTTTGCTTTCTTTCCAACTAGCGCAATAAAGCTGGTGAGCCCCTCCCTGTTGGAGTTGCCCCTGGGTATCTGATTCAACAGATTTGAGGTCTCTCCTAAATTACAGCCCTACGAGGCTATAAAGTTAGTCTATGTGCTACAGCCAGCTGCGCTGAAAATCTGGCTGGCTCAGGTGATGCCTGAGACCCTCTCAGAATGGAAGACAAAAAGAGGCAATGAGCTTTGGGAGAGCTAGCCACACTAAAAAGAAAAATACATAAAGATTCATCCCCAAATCCAAAACAAAACACTTCCCACAAAAATGCATGCATTGTTTTGATTAAAATGTAGAAAAATACGAAAATACTGTCTTCCACAATTCCAATACCCAGATACAATCACAGATAACCATGTCCTCTTTGGACAGAAGATTAAATGTTAGAAAAGTTAATCATTGCCAATTTAGATACTTTGTTTCGAAAGTGATTTGAGCTTTGAAGATGAGTTTGGATATGCATAATTTTCATTAGGCAGAGAACTTGTCCCCTGTTTCGGGCTGCCAAATACAATATGCTTCAGGCAAAAGTTAATGTTTAGAAATGCCCCTGGTATGGTCAGCTTGCTGCAAATACATCTGCTCTGATTTCTAGAAAAGAACTGTGCTAACAGAAGGTGAAAGGAACGCAAGGCTGCTACATATTAGAGTTTATTTATCAACAAGATTTCAATGCCTGAAAGTTTTATTCTTAAAGATTTCAACAAATGTTCTTCTTACAGAATCCCCGCCCTCTGCCTTCCCCTCCAACACAGGGGGAAAAAAGTCCCCAGGTGACTCCTCTCAGCTCAGCCAGTGATATCTGGGTGAGAGGGGACACAACAGAGTAAACTCATTAGCCAGCACAGCTTGTCTTTAGCTGATAATCCTTGCAGCTGGAGCTGAAGGGCTTGCTGTTTGATAGCAAAGAAAGTACAAGTCAGTAGCACTAACTTGTGGGGTGTCTGGGCTGTGGTGCCTATTCACTCCTGTGAAGACCAGGGTGGATTTTCTGTTAAGATGAATTGTAGCAGAAAGAGTCAAGATGAGGGTTAAAATCTACTGAGGTGGTATTTCCAGTGATAACCAAAACCAAAAATCAAAACAAAACTGAATACCTTGCACTGTTGCATTTTTGCAGACGTTGTGAACTTGGCCTTGCCTTTTGACACCAATGCTAATTCAGGGTGCATAATGGGAAATTCAGCTTTAGCAGGGGCTCAGCTCCTCTCTCAAACAGCTTCACCTGAGTTGTTGCTTGGCGTTAAGAAGTTGCTATCCCCACAACATGATTTCACTGATAATTTTCTGGCTGACTCAAGCAGCTTTGGAGGTAGAGGTCCACTCAGGTACACAAAAGCCTGAAAAAGCAGTTGTCTTTAAGCAAATTCTGTGTTGGGTCCTACAGAGATACTAAAATGACAAAGTTTGACCAGAGGAAAATGCTGAGACCAAATTCTATTCTTATGTTACGTTCTCATTCTTTCTCATCTTAGCATAACAAAAACAAAAAAACTATCAGGTCAATAAATTATGATATCATAAAATGTTTAGAAACTATAAATATTTACAAGTGATGTATGCATGAGATATAATATATGCATGAGGCATATATCTGAGCACATGGTGGTATGTGTGTGTGTGCATGCGTGCATCCTGAATAGTGTTGATTCTTAATAAACTTATAAAACCAGCAAAATTTATATTTGGTACTGTTCTAAACCATTTTATTTTTTGCCATTCATTTTCTTTCCAGACTTGGTAAGCCCCAATCTGCCCGCTTTCCTTCTCCAGATATCATTTCCATTTAGGCCTGATTTTTGTTTCATGATAGTGAGTAACCTGTGGATTAAATAAATTTTTAAGGCAAATTGCTCTTCTTTGGAAGCTTAAAATTTTGTATGTCCTATGTAAAATATCCTGTACAGAACCACGGGATAAAAAAGAATTTCAGTGATCTTTAACTTGGTAGTATGGGTCCTTTTTACAATCTGGATCTTCAAGCCATATAAGAATAAAATGATGAAATTTTCTTTAGGAAAGAGGTGACTCTTCTTTAGGGTGTTTCCTTGAAAACATAATAGGTAGCCAGGCGAGGTGGCTCACGCCTCTAATCCCAGCACTTTGGGAGGCCGAGGCAGGCGGATCATGAGGTCAGGATATCGAGACCATCCTGGCTAACACGGTGAAACCCTGTCTCTACTAAAAGTACAAAAAATTAGCCGGGCGTGGTGGCGGACGCTTGTAGTCCCAGCCACTCGGGAGGCTGAGGCAGGAGAATGGCGTGAACCCAGGAGGCAGAGCTTGCAGTGAGCCCAGATCGTGCCATTGCACTCCAGCCTGGCGGGGACAGAGCAAAACTCCGTCTCAAAAAAAAAAAAAAAAAAAAAAAAAAGAGGCTCAATAAGAAGCCCGACCTTTTGATTTTATAGTGTAAGATGATAGATGATGGGCTTTCTGATTGAGAGCTGTAAATACATACCTTCTAAGTAACTTCCTCTCAAGGTACACAGGAGACAATTACAAGGTGCATCTATTTATCTCTCAAGGAGATAAGACAATTTTTCATTGTACCTTCTTTCACACCGCTGCCTAAATTTTGGTGAAATTTGATTAAGCCTTTGTAGTCATTTCTGTCCTATCTTACGTGTGTGCAAATCTGATAATGCCTGTTCTTTAATAGTAATGCCTATTCTTTTTTCTATGTTGGTGTAAAGGAGTCTTCTGTTGGCAGGATTGTTTCATTTTCCCAACTGCCTATAGAAGCTTTTTAAGTATAGCTAAGCCTGAGTACTTCTTTAGAAAAGAGATATTTGAGTGCAGAATGATTAATATTACAGGCATTCAAATGATGATAGAGTTGGAAATCCATCCGGGTACCAGTGACTGCTGGTGGTGCTTACATTTTGGCAGGAGTGGAGATGATGTAGGATTTGTCTGGGATCTAAAGAGAGCCAATGCCTTAGAAAGTTGAGGTCAGTTATTTTTGGTGCATAGCAGGCACTCAGTAAGCATCTGTTGAGTGACTGGTAGGTTTGAAGTAGTTTGCTAGAAGTCTGTTTTTATGAAGTACTGAGGACCCTCAGGAAAAGGGCACTGGTATGAGGAGCTTGGTTCAGTTGTAACTAAGTCTTGGTAGTCAGAGAGAAGGGACATCCTGGTACCATGTGCAGGCTGCCACTCACATCTATCTCTTGGGTATTTGTTCCTGGTTCTATGAAGATAAAGGGATGTAGGTTAAACATGGCAGAGCTATTCCACTGAAAACATTGGAAAGCTGAAGGGCAGAAGCGATACTGCTTTCTAGCTCCTCTGAGAGGGTCTAGCTCACATAGCAGAGGGCTGAGTGGCATCTTTTCCCCATCACTATGGACCAAGATTTGGCACCATGAGGGTTTGGGTTCAGTAGAAATAGAGGTGCCTGGTAGGAATGGACTGGTTTGCGAGCACATATAAAGTTCCTTGGGATTGCTGGAAACATATGAGAAAATAGGGGTTATTTCATGAGGGACTATGGTTGTATATTAGCATGTGAAGGCAGGAGTCTATGCCACTTCAGTTTTTATTGTCACTAACTGTTATGATACTCTCAGGTAAATAAGGCCTAGGTGAATTTATGTTTTAAAAGTAAATATTAGGCCAGGTGCGGTGGCTCATGCCTGTAATTCCAGCACTTTGGGAGGCTGAGTCGGGTGGATCACTGAGGTCAGGAGTTTGAGACCAGCCTGACCAACATAGTGAGACCCTGTCTCTACTAAAAATACAAAAATTTAGCCAGGTGTGGTGGTGCGTGCCTGCGGTCCCAGCTGCTCGGGAGGCTGAGTCGGGTGGATCACTGAGGTCAGGAGTTTGAGACCAGCCTGGCCAACATAGTGAAACCCTGTCTCTACTAAAAATACAAAAATTTAGCTGGGTGTGGTGGTGCGTGCCTGCGGTCCCAGCTGCTCAGGAGGCTGAGGCATGAGAATCACTTGAACTCCGGAGGCGCAGGCTGCAGTGAGTCGATGTTGCACCACTACACTTCAGCCTGGGTGACAGAGTAAAACTCTGTCTCAAAAAAAAAGTAAATATACTTCTGTTATATTAAAAAATTTTAGCACTTGAACCCAGATTCCCGCGTATCTGTTATGAGCAGTAATAACATGGTAAAAATTCAGGTTTCCTCAATTCCAAGCCGGACATCAGCACAATAGAGCAGTCTGCCTAGTACCAGTGAGAACTAATATTCCAGGTCCTTCAATCCCACTTCTGGGTATTTACCCAGAACATTTTAAATCAGTATATCACAGTGATATCCGCACGCCCATATTCATGACAGCACTCTTCAAGTTATGGAATCAACATTAAATATTTATCAACAGATGAATAAAGATGTGTTATGTATACACAATGGAATACCATTCAGACTTAACAAAAGGAAATTCTTTCATTTATGACAACATGGATGAACCTAGATGACATTATACTAAGTGAAAGAAGCCAGGCACAGAAAGAGAAATACTGTATGTTCTCAGTTACATGTGGAATGTAAAACAATCACACTCATAGAAGCAGACAGTAGCATGATGGTTACCGAGGTTGGGGGTTAGGGGGAGTGGGGAGATGGTGGTCAAAGGGTACAAAATCTCAGCTGGACAGGAGGAATAATTGTTTTTTTTTTTTTTTGCCATCTATTGCATGGTGTGGTTAATATAGTTATTATTAGTTTATTGTACATTTCAAAATTGCTAAGAGACTAAATTTCAAATGTTTTCAGTATGAAAAATAAGTATTTGTGGTGATGGATATGTTAACTAGCTTAATTTAATTATTCCACATTGTAATCATAAATCATATTATCACTTTGTAGCCCACAAATATATACAATTATAAATTGTCAATTGTCAATAAGATTAAAAAGGAAATAAAAAGAAAAATGTTACTCTGCATACTCCTTCTCTTAAACTTTAAAATTTTACTTCTTTTTAACAGGGACAAAAGAGTATGACATCACTACAATTCTCTAACGGTTGCTTCCAAGCCAAGATTTCAAGGGGGGCTAGTTTGTGGCTTTTCTCACTCCCATCCTTTGTTAAAGTCTTTAACTCTTCACCAGACACCATAAGAAACTGAACTTTAAGCATCTGTTTTCTGTCATCTCAGCTGACAGTATATTTTCAGAACTCTGGAATTTCTGCTGTTGCTTAATCTTATATCCGGGAGCAGAATCTGAGGCTAGAACAGGAAGCAAAGCCTGTAAACTCTCTTAAGCTCCTGTCCTAAATTTTGCCTTTCAGAGGGGTGCAGGGATGGGGGGCAGCTGTCAAGTTTCCGTCTATGACTCTGTGCCAGTCTCCTTGGGACTTCCCAGCAATAATGGCACAATGATTTCTCAGGCCTCTGAAGGTTGTTGCAAATGGGGAGCTGGGTAGAGGCTACAAAGAAGGTTCCTGTTTTTGAATGAGTCCCAGTTTGGGAACAGGATGTAGAAAATCAGAACCAGACAACAGTGGGAAATGCAGGAAGCATGGCACAAACGTAAAATTAATTGCAGAATTTTTCGTTGCTTAGTTGTATAAATCGACTTTCTGAAGCCCATAAATTATTGCTTAGAGATTATGTAAGAGAAGAAGGCAAATTATCAGGCAGGTGTACAGCTCTTCAGACACATAGTCAATTCAAATTGGATTTTCTGCACAATATATAATGCTGTCCTTTATCCTCTGAGAGAGCATTTTTTACTGGGAGTGGAATGGGATGTAGGGCAAAAAGCCCAGGCTTCAGCACCAGGAGATCCAGGTTTTGTCATAATTATGACACTTATTGGACAAAACCTTAATTTCTCATGGCCTTGGTTTTCTGATCTACAAGATGGGAATTTTCATTTGGAATGATGGGATGTTTTCACCATCATATGTCTCTCCCAGGATTGCCGTGAGGATCAAATGAAGTCTCATACGAAAGAGACATATGACAGCAAAATGGCTGGCCCAGGAGCTCTTGTTTCATTATTGTTGGGAAGACCCGGGGAGCCTGGCACATACTCCAAGAGACTGAACCTTGACAGTTCCCTATCACCTCTCCAAAAGACAAAATTTAGGACAAGATCCAAGTTTACGGACTTTGTTTCCTGCTGTAGCCTCATAGATTCTGTTCCTGGATATAAGATTATGCAACAGTATAAATATTAGTAGTAAAGTAGTGTTCTAAAGTTGGTTCTGTGACATGTTGTGCCTGTGGGTAGAGCTCAAATAGTCCATTGATGCCAGCTGAACTATCTTCCTTGCCCAGGTTGGAGAGGTTCTGCTCACTTGTCACACCAGCTGCCTCTTGAAGAATGTGCTGCTAATGATGACTATGCTTTTTCAGGCCTTTGGTCAAATGAAGAACAACTTTGTGGCATGTATCAGGTTGTCATTGAATAAATGGTTCATGAAGTTGCTTAATTTCCAGATCACTCTCCCTCTCAGAGCTCGTGTTTTCATCTGCAAAATGGGCGTGATAATGACCATATGGTAGGCTTACTGTGAGCATTAAGGGAGGAGATGTCTGGCCTATTGTTATGTTCAATAACTGTTAGTTTCAAGTTGAACACAACAAATCTCTAGGTCACTCTTTTCCTTAACATTAAATTTTGTTTTCCTTGATACAAGTTATGCTTTATTTTCATTAGTTCATGAGTATTGTGCAAATCATTATGTCTGCAGAGTAGTTCAAAGTTAGATTATAAATTAGTTGCCATAAATATACTTGGCTAAATTTTCTGCAGCAGTGATCTCTCCTCACCATGCTCTCTATTCATTCCTTATATCTTGTTCTTTTTATCCTCCTTTTAATGGTTCTATTATATGCCAAGAGGGTTAGTTTTTTCCTTAGAAGCCAATGAAGACCTTTCTGGGAGCAAGAATATGTAAGTATTAAAAAAAAAAAAAAAAAAAAAGGGAAAAACAAAGTAGGAAGGGAAGAAGGAAGGAAAGAAGAAAGGAGAAAGCAAGGTAACTGTAGATAGATAAATTGGTTGTCTGTTTGGCTCGCTGTGGTCCTGAAGCCTGAAGTTGAGTGAATGTTTACACTTAAAATCAGCTGCTATTTTCCTGAGAAACTTGTTGGAAGGGAGGCTATGGGGCCTCATCCAAAGGATTTGCACTTTCATCCTGGACAATGCCTCTCTTTCAGCCAGCGCTTCCACCCAGTCAGCCACTGTATTTTTCCATTGTCCTTTTCCTGGAACTGTCCAGCCTAGCAGCCCTGAGCTAGGCTTAACAATTCCCTCTCCCCAACTTCTTGATGGATGGGCTGAGAGATTGGTATCAATTTAGACTTGAACAAAGCCTTAATACAGACTAATATATGAGATCAGGTGTTTGCTGTGTGAAGGTGAATGCCCCCTCCTCAGTCAAGGGGCTCTCTTATTTTGTTCTTGAAGTGGAATGTCCACCCTTCTTCCAATAGAAAGGAACAACAACTGTGTGGCCTTATTGTAAGACCCTCTTGAGTTTGAGTCTTTCTCAAACTCAAGACAAGTTGAGTGCGAAGGGAAAGGTTAAAGCTTTTTTTCCTTACATGAATATATAACTCATGCTAAAGTTTGTAGATTTTGTAATCATTTCAATTACTTTTTCTCAGTGAAATATCGAATGGATGGACTTTGGCAGGAAGAGAACCAGGGCGGCAGATTTTTCTGGCTGCCAGCATCAGGCCTCTTAATGATGGAAAATGGATTGGGAGAAGGAATATCAATACACAAATGCTGAGTCTAATATAGAAACTGGAGCAAGTTGCCAGAGAGTTCTGGGTTATGTACTCTTGGAAGGAAGCAGCCAAGCCCTGAGGGGCCTCCTAAAGGAAGAGTCAGAAATAGAAGCAGACAGGCTTGCTGTTGGAAGGCTTGGAGTTCTTTGGGGAATGCTGGAAGCAGCGGGGTGACCTATTTTTTTCCTTTCTGTTTCAGGTCTTCTGATTAGGGTCCTGAAGTTTGTGTTCTAAGTCTACTTGCCATTTGATTGTGAGAGAGGGTAGGGAATGAGAGAGAGTGTGTGTGTGTGTATGTGCATAAGAGAAACATATTTGTCTTCTGTACTTCCCTAATGGCTATGTTTCACATTTTCACTTTGCCTTTAGGATACTATGTGCTTTGTAGGTGGTACTTCCATTTTCAAAGTCCTTCTTTTCTTGCTGGTCATGCTTTCAGAGGGAGGCTGACAAAGAGGGTCTTTGCCTATTAAGAGTGTATTTTGGCTGATCGGATGGTCTTGGCTGATGAATTTGATGGTGTGTGTCCACATGTACATATGTATATGCATGTATGTATTTACATATGTGATTACATAATACATATATAATATATAGTCATTGCTATTGTTAAAATTAGGGTCTATTTTTGTTTTGCATCATTGTGAAATGAAAAATAGTAGGCCGGGCGCGGTGGCTCACGCCTGTAATCCCAGCACTTTGGGAGGCCGAGGCGGGCGGATCACGAGGTCAGGAGATCGAGACCATCCTGGCTAACACAGTGAAACCCCGTCTCTACTAAAAATACAAAAAATTAGCTGGGCGAGGTGGCGGGCGCCTGTAGTCCCAGCTACTCGGGAGGCTGAGGCAGGAGAATGGCGTGAACCCCGGGGGCGGAGCCTGCAGTGAGCCGAGATCGCGCCACTGCACTCCGGCCTGGGCGACAGCGAGACTCCGTCTCAAAAAAAAAAAAAAAAAAAAAAAGAAAAATAGTGACTTCACAATGAATTGAGCTTGACTACAGCATGTCCTATTTTTCTGCCTGTGGGCTCCATCATGATTAGATTCCCCTGTAGCTGTATGATGTTCTCAATCAAGGTGGAGTCACCATGTATCCTTCACACATTCCCACATATGTGTGCACACACATGCATGCTGACCCATGCTCGTTTCCACCTGCTCATTCATGCCAGAAATTCCTTTAATAAGACACAAAGCCTACATTAGCTTCTGCCCATCTTATATGAATGTGTGAAATAAGAAGCTTCCCTGAGAGCAGTTTCTAATGAGGAGATGGCATTGAGTAGTAACAATGCCTGCCATGTGAATAGCATTTTACAATTTACAGGCAATGCTCAGTTTTCACTTATGCTCACTGCTAAGAGTGCATGTTTCTGGAGGCCTGTTCTTTCTCTGGAGTCATGGAAGCACCCCAGGAGTCATTGTGGTTCCTGGAAGGTCTTCTGTTCTTAGAAGGGAAAACTTCATTGCTTTTAACTCCACAAAGCTGCTGTAAAACTTGAGCCTTTGCCCATTGGTTGGTATTTCCTTTTGTTAGAACAGGCTAAGAAGCCCTTACAGTAACCCTTTCCACCAAAATAATGGTGAAAGTTCTCTGCCCTCTCAGGACTTAGAAGATAGACTCAGAGAAGGTCAATGTTTTGGGAAGAAGGGCAAGAATTACCTTCTTAGTTTTTTTCCAGATAAAAATGATCTCATGTCTTTTCTACCATAACTCTGAAAAGGTAGATGTGGTCCTTGGTGTGAAATTCCCTCAAGATAAATCATAACTTCAGAGGTTAATGACTAAAAGGTATGGTTCTATAAGGCTTGGGCTATAAGAAGCAAGTCGCCTGCATTATGTGGGTTCAGACAACAGTTCTGCATGCTATAGTTCTGGCCTTTACACACCCAAATCGCCTGAGAGAGAGTGCAAACCAGATTTCTTAAGAGTTGGGCCTGAATTTTCAAGTATCTTTTTGATATTGTCATATGGATGAAGGAAGGAATCCTATGTTCATCTCAAATTGAAATTCTCTCCCAAAGTTGTTTCTCTGTTGTTATGGTCTGAATATTTGTGTTCCCAAAATTTGTATGTTGAAATCTTATCCCCAGTGTGAGGGTATTTGAAGGTGGGGCTTTTGGGAAGCGATTAGGTCACAAGAGTGGGACGTTTGTAATGGATTAGTGCCCTTGTAAAAGAGGCCCCAGAGAGATTCCCTCACCCCTTCCTACATGTGAGGTTACAGTGAGAAGGTGGCTATCTGTGAGGAAGTGGGTCCTCACCAGACACCTTGATGTTGGTATTCCCAGCCTCCAGAATTGTGAGAAATAAATTTCTATCATTTGTAAGCCACCCAGTTGATGGTATTTTGTTAAGCAGCCCCACAGGACTAAGACTCACATTGCTGTAGCCTAGTTAATGGCATCACAATCTACAAAGTGACCAATATAGGAACTACAGATTAACCTCTGCCATTATTCTTTTTTTCTAATACTTCTTTCCAAACCCAACTTCAATTTCACCCCAACCATAAAGCTTTCCACTAATAAATGAAGATATTTTTATACCTCTGTTAAGAAATTTGTTAACAAATCTGCCTTGTAGGCCTTAATATCTCCTTCCCTAATTACTGTCTTTCTTCCACTTGAGCTCCTTTGGGGCAGGTATTAATGCCTTCTTCACCTTTATATTTTTCTGCCTCCAAGTACCAAATACTTGTATATGGTACAGAATCACAGAATATTTGGCGAAATTTAACCACTTATACCCCTCATACCCTAGTCTCTATTCCCCCTGTGATCTTTTGACATTTATGCTATTTCTTGATTAAGGGGTTGTAGGACTTTCTGATGTTCTAGAAGCAGATACTAAATGAAATGTCTCGTGGCATGTTGACTGCAGTTAATCATAACGTGTATATTTTTAAATTGCTGAAATAATAGATGTTTAACATTGTTGCCATGAAAAAAATCACAAGTTGGTGAGGCTCTTATTAAGTTAATTAGCTAATTTAATCTTTTTACCATTGCAGAAATATACATAGGTTAAAACATCACATTGTGCTACATAAATATATATGATTATTACCTCTCAATTAGGAAACAAATGTAAAAAATACACAAAATAATTTCAACTGTCCTTAGTATGATCTTGGCAGCATTCTCAAATTGTCCTCATTGTTAATCCAAACCCTCACAATGGAGCTGTTTTCCATGGAGTTATGTTGTGGGGATTTTCTCATAATGCCACATTCACATTGCTGCCTGTTGCATAAGTCTCTCATTTTCTTCTTGATGTTTGGAAAGCATATAGTGAAGTGAGGAGAGAGACAGGGAGGTTCTGACTGGTTAGTTGTAGCAATCATACGCTGATTCCCTGAAAGGTTTTGCAGGGCTTACTAGCTTTGCCTTTTAGGAGACAGCTTCCCTTACAGGCCACCTTCTTCAATAACCTTTTGGACCTCTTGTAGACACAGGTTTAAGGAATCATACTGTTGATTCTTAAAGCTATTTAAACAAGATGGCCTTCTGGATGCTCAAGATCCTGCTAAATGTGCCACTTTTGATCTCAGCTCAGCTGGGAAATCTTTGCTTTTGTATAAACTTGGGAAAAATCAATACAAGTGGCTGTGAGATACTGAAATTAATCCCCCTCACCCCTTCCTTTTCCTTCCATGCCATCTGATTGCTGCTGAGATAAAAATGGGGCAGCTTGGTTTCGGGGAATATTTTACAGTACTAGCTACAATGGAAATCATTGTTGTCTTTTGGAGAAAAGTGAATGCTAATTTCTGAGTTATTCAGATAATGAAGGCAAAAGCTTAGTTTCTGGAAGACCTAAGGGTTGTGTGGTTTGAGAAAAAGGATCGCATGGAGTGTATTTGTTGTGACATCTCTCCAACCTCCCTGAAATGTGAGGAGCAGGAGTGAGAGAGTTATGGGTTCCTCATGAACTAATGAGACTCTCTATGCACTGACCTCTAATACAACTCATTGAAAATATCCCTTTTCACAGCATGTTTACACAGTGACTATTTGGCAGTTAAGCAAATACAGTATTTAACGGGCTTGCAGTGGTCTGCTTACATGAGAGCCTATAATAATCAGAAGGAGACCATGCCAGAATATTAAGAAATTAATACGTGGCTTAGACAAGCAATGATCCTTGAAGAGAACAACAGTTTCTGGAAGACAAGACAAACGCCACCTGCCACAGTGACTCCAGGGGAAGATCAAGGCTGTAGTCTCCTCTGGAACAAAAGCGGTTTTCCAGTATCTTGAACAGCCAGCTGAGGTGGAACGCTGGCAAAATGAGTCAACTATCTGGTTGTTCCCTGGGTGATCATCTTCCACATCACTGGGGATGACACTGTGCAACTTACAGCAGCTGCCGTTTTCACACCACCAAGTTTACTCCCAGTTTCTGTGGCACCCTATAGATCTGTGTGGAACCTTAGAGGGCTCTGTGAGCATCATATTTGTCATTTATTGTGTGTTTATTTTGTACCAGGCCATGTATTCAAGTGCCTTATGTCACTTTAAGTGATATTATATCATATAATTCCAATGAGAGGTGTGTGTGTTTGGAATCTCCATTTTATAGAAATGGTAGCCCAGAGAGGACAAGTGACTTGTTCAAGGTCACACAGCTTTTAAAGGATGGAACTAAGATTCAAACACTGATTCTTTCTGTTCCAAAGCCATTGAATTAGAATACTCACTATACTGTGATCGGAGGAATCACATATAGTAGCTGGACAGGCAACTTTCTACAAGCAAATCATTGTGGAGGCACTAACATGATGAGATAAAGAATGTCAGCTTTGGTGACCCCCCCAGGGATGGAAGCCCTTATAAGATGACATGGATTTCCCTGATCTTTGTCACTGTCACAGTGTCCACAGAAAAAAAAGCAGATGTTTGAGAGAGTATTTGTTGATTTGAGATGTCTGATTTCTAAACCTAATCCTAGTATGATACAACTTACGTGAGACAGCGAAAATTTATAATATAACATATCACCATTCTAAAGCTGGGGATAATCATGAGGGAACAAAAATCCTTACATATAAATACTCCCAGGTAAGACACCCTTCTGTTACTTCATTCAGATCCTTGACTTCATTTTACCAATGGGATATGGGTGATGTGAAGAGACACACAACTGGTTTCCCAAATACAGCTCCAAAAGAGAATTGGAGAGGGACAGGGAAAAGTCATCTGGAGTTTTGGGGCCAGGGAGAGCAGATTTGGTGCAGCTGTGTTGATGACTAGATTGGAGCTGTGGAGAGGAAAAGAGAATCCGTTAGACATTAGTTGTGTCATAACTGTCTAAGCTTTTTCAGAGCTGATTTTTTTTTTGAGGAATGTGGCCCTCTCAGGATTTTCCCATGAGGCATCCAGATTATTTGGGCTATTGAAAAAAATGCTACACCACCGTGTGCACAGCATTTTGCAGTTGAGAAAGCTTTATCTCACTTGATCCTCACAATAACACCATGCTGTAGGGAGGAGAGCTATAATCAAGCTCATTTCACAGATGAATTCATGGAGGTTTAGAGGGTTTTCTTCAATCATATAGCTTCTAAAAAGCCACACCAACATAAGAGCACTAGAACAAAAGATACGGCATATTGGGTCAATCTAATGGTTTACCCCACGAAATATTTCATTTTAACTCTTCAGAGCCAGAGACATGACCTAAAGGAGATGGCAGCTGCCTCTGTTAACATCAAAAATTGGGAATTCATCCAAACACCCTGAACCTCTCTTTGGCAACTGGCAAAAGATTGGGCATTTGAAATTTTTTCAAACCCTTCTTGAAACTATTTACATTTCTTGGCTTGTTCAACTCTTGGAGAGTAACAAGTTCCACATGTTTACCACCTGCTGTGTGAAGGCGTACTTCCTTTGGTTATTATTCTAAATGACTGCTTTCCAGGCCTAAGTGCTCCCCTACCCAAATCTCCTTCCCAACTGGTTATCGTCCCCAGGAAGCAATGTCTGCCTGGCTCACAGCCCCTGGCCCGCACACTTCTGCTGCTGTGGAGGTGCGCCTGATGGTCGTATCTTCAGCATCACAGCATGAGGAAGTATGGGATTGCTTTTAGGTTGCAAACACTGCCTATGTGCTGGAAAAAATAAACTGGAATCCAGGCTTTTCCCCCAAATGCTCTGACAGCTTGAAAACTGAAGCAAAGATTGCCATTATGAAACTTTTGCCTTTCTTGTGGCTATGTCCTTTTGAAAACCTTCACTGTCCTAAGGAATTCCACGCTAGTCCAAATGAAAGAACTACAAAATCATACTTGCATGAATGTGCTATTCTGGTTTGAATCCTTTCTAGCGACTGACCTTGCTAATGTGAACGTGTTCATATGGTTAAGATTAATGAGTCAATTATTTTTATACAAGCTATCCCTCATGTAGGCTGTTTTCCTTCACTTGACTATATTAATTAATAAAAAGCATTCAGTCCTCTTTTTATTGGAGTTTGTGGTTAATCAGGTGCAATTATCAATAAAACTATGGTGAATGTCTATGTGCTCAGGCACCGCTAATGAAAATAGGATATATTTAGCTATGAAGAGAAATCTTAAAGTTCCTCTTCAGTGAGTGTTTCCAGAAAGAAATAAGGCTATAGATCTTGGAAGTCAGAAGCTGCCATTATAAATATAGTTGTGTTTTTAATTAAATAAATACTGAAACAAATGTGATTGAATATGAGATAATCCATTCATGTGGATATTATTTCATGCCATGCTTTAATTAATGCTTCCTGGGGCTTGGCCTGGCTCTTGCCAGTTGAAGAGTAGAGTAGGCAAATATATCTGCTATAAATACACAAAGGCTTTCATGCAATCAGTCTACCTGCACTAGAGCTCTGAAATGACAGCATTACTTTAGGAAAGTCCAAAATTTAAAAAAAAAAAAGTTACAGAAAAATTTAGGGGACAATTATTTACATCATCAATGTTTTTTTGGTTGTTGTTTTGTAGAAGGTTGTAAAGGAACGAACACATATAAAGCAGTTTGCTCCTGGTGCAGTGGCTCATGCCTGTAATCCCAAAACTTTGGGAGGCTGAGGTGGGTGGATTACCTGAGGTCAGGAGTTTGAGACCAACCTGGCCAACATGGTGAAACCCTGTCTCTACTAAAAATCTCAAAGTAGCCAGACGTGGTGGTGCGTGCCTGTAATCCCAGCTCTTTGGGAGGCTGAGGCTGGAGAATCACTTGAACCTGGGAGGCAGAGGTTGCAGTGAGCCATGACTGTGTCACTGCATTCCAGCCTAGGTGACAGAGTGAGATTACCTCTCCAAAAAAAAAAAAAAAAGACTTTGCTTAGTGACTGGCATACTGTAAATAGTTACAATGTTATTGTCTTCATTATTATTCTTACTAATGTTCCTTTAAACATGGCCTTTCTTAGAACTCTTGATATAATGACTGAATTAGATATTATTTGTCAGGGATACAACTTTTATATGAAAAAAACAAGGTTAAGGACAGTTTCATTTTTAGACTGAGACGGTTAAAACAAGAGTTTCGAGACCTCCCTTTAAAAAAGAACAAGTTGAATTGATGATTTCCTGGACTTGTGGGCTTAGTGAATGGTCAGTTTGCCTTAGTTGAGGTCCAAATATTAGAGACTTCTAGTGAGTTTTTCAGACCTTGAGTATTTATACATTTTGAAATGTCATTTTCAATACTAGTATTTCCACAACGAGGCTGTTCCTACATACATACAAAATAATTAGCTGCCCTCAAATTTTTACTCCTGCCTGCTGCCATTGAAATTATCTTAATTAAGGACAATGATTCATTGCTCAGGTAGAGCTAAATCATGGCACTGTTCTGGAAACAAGACATTTAAATTATTCAGAGATGTAAATGACTGCTACTAGAATCTTTCCTGGCTGTACTTTATGATGGGAAAGGAAAAGAGAGAGGACAACGTGAAGCCAAAAAGGAATTTGGGAAGCTGATGACAAACCTCATGAACTTTATAAGACCTGTTCACAATATCTCCGGAAAGGCAGGAATGCCAAAGAGAATGGAAAGCTTCCTGTGACTCTGCTTCCTCAACAGGTATTCACTGAGGACCACTCTGGGCCAGGGAGGGTGCCAAGTGCTGGAGATATAACAATAAAGTATTGAAGTTCCTGCCATCAAGGAGCTTAACAGTTTATCAGAGGTGGATGGGATGGACATATAACGAAATGAACACATAAGGTAGAGCAGTGCCAAGCACAGCAGGACTCCATGGGAAGGAGAGTTGATTTTACATGGTGCCACAGTGGTGTGCTGCAGTCAGGTTGCACCAGCTTGTGAGAGCTTATTGTACACATGTCTTCCGAAGTATATGTTCAGCGATATCATGGTATTAGCTTAAAATCAGCCATGGGGAGACTATGCTACAGAAATTGGCAAACACTGTTACTGAGGGCTTTTCTTCCCCCTAGAGAACCAGCCGTGAGACATTCAGTAGCATATTCCTGCCTGGGAGTGGGGAAAGACTGTAGAAGAAGAGGTATAAAGAAAGGTATTATAGAGAAAGACATTATTGGGCTGAGTCTTGTAAAGCAGTTAGAAAAAATATCCACTGTTGGATTTTTTAGGAGAGAGGAATTTGAAGGCTTTTAATTTTTTTTTTTTTTTTTTTGCAGGGAGGGTAGGATTTTTTCTGAAAAGATGGGGAACAGTGGAACTTGCATCAGATATTTCTAATAATTTTATACTCTAGCCAACGTTTTAATCATCTGTTTTCTGAGGTCAGATTCTGGGTTTTATTTATTTTTGTATATATACATCCTAACACATGATGAACACATAATGAGTGTTTATTGTATGAATGAACAAATGTTGATATTCCTCATACCTCTTTAATTACCTATCTGGACGAAGTCAACCATTTTCATGAACTATTTGCCAAGCATTGTGCTGGGCAATCTATAACTTTATACGTTTTGCAGAAGAAGAAACTAAGGCTTGGAGAGGGTAAAGAATTTGTTCAGGGTCATAGAGCTCATAGCAGTAGAAGCAATATTCAAACCACTTTGGTTCCAAACCCCACAAATTTTCAGCTGTCCCATATCTCCTTTTAAATCGGAGCCATTGTTTACATGTGAATGAGGAGTGAGCAGAGACACTATTCTGGGAGTGAGAGATTATCAGGGGCTGGGTAGATAGTCTTTAGCTTGGAAATTGCTGGTTTAGGTGACGGTACATTCTCTCTATTCGATTCCTTTGGTGACATTTACGTTGGCACGCTGGATGATCTATGAAAACCTTTTCAACTCCTAATCTGAAATGCAGTTTGATACTCTTAGGCAGTACAGCAGAAAGCTGAAGAATGAGTTTGGATTTCTTTTCCTATCCCACCCTCAATTCAGTTACCACAAAAAGATCTATCAGGTCAAAACACTTGATCTCCCTACCTCCAGGAAAAATGTTAAAAATGTTTAGAGATAATCTTGGATGTGGTGCACCTGAGTACTGCATCCAAAGACCAAATTTGACAGATGTGGAGTTTAGGATTACCTGTAAGTCAAAAATGGAATACAGTAGACTCCATTTCTTTGAAGTTTTGCTTCTGAAGTTTGTTACCTGTGATCAACTGCAGTCCAAGACTATGAAATGAAAAATTCCAGAAATAAAAAATGTATAAGTTTAAAATTGCCCGTCATTCTGAGTACTGTGGTGAAATCTCCTGCCATTCCACTTTGTCCTACCCAGGGCGTGAATCATTCCTTTGTCTGCCTTAATCTACCCTGTATAGACTACTGCCCATTAGTCACTTAGCAGCCATCTTGGTTATCATGATGACTGTTGGGCTATCTCAGTGCTTGTGTTCTAGTATTCCTTGTTTTACTTAATGGCCCCAAAGCACAAGAGTATTTAAGCTGGCATATTGTTATTCTATTTATTATATGTTGTTGCTAATCTTTTACTGTGCCCAATTTATAAATTAGACTTTATCATAGGTATGGATATGGGAAAAAACACAGTTATAGATAGGGTGCTTTCTGTGGTTTCAAGCATCCACTGGGCATCTTAGAATGTATCTCTCTGGATAAGGGGGTTCTACTGAATTAAATTTTGGCACTTTAACAACTTGCTTCATGCTACTTAACTCTTATTATGACCTCTGAGTGAGACTGTGCCCTATATTGATTTCCATTCTTCAGACTAAGACATTAACTCTTCTCAAATAATAAAGAAATGACTTATCCTTCTTGTGTCCTCAACCCAAAATTATCACCATGGTGGAGAAGAATACAGAAGTAAATCTGCTCATATGTAAATTTTTTTCAAGTGAGAGATATAAACCCTGCTGGAGAAGTGTTTGTATTTAGACAATGCCATTTTATAAATACCTGTAGGTAGAAGACCACGTAGGTATTACCAGATCACCAGTAGTTAAAGGAGCAGCGATAAGATCCCCTTATGTTACCTTGCACTAATAGAATTCTTGGTTGGAAACAACCAAAACCTACTCTGGTCAATTTAAGGGAAAAGTGAATTTCTTAGAAAGTAATGGGGCAGCTGTGGAATTGAGGAAGGCTAAACAACAGGTTTAGGAAGTAATCGAGGGAGGCAAGGCATGGATGAGGCAGAGTCCCAGGAGGGTTCTGCTGAAGACACGTTCATTGCCACCTGGAGACCCCACCCCTGCTGGCCCTGGTGAGCAGACTTGCCCCATGCTGCTGGGCTCTGTTTGCCTTGGACATTTGCTGCCCTGCCTCTGGGTCCTCTACTTCACCAAAGCTACCATGGAAAATCTCTGACCGATTCCACACACTTCCCTCAAAGATCCGTGGTCTGGGTGGGAGCATCTGAGTGGCTATGCTGTCATAGGGCCACACTCTGTCTTCTTGGGAAGAGGGAGAGGGACCATCTGTCTTTTTCTGACTCCCCCAGTAGGAATTGAACTCGGTCTCCTACCATTTCTGTGATTTGCCCAAATCGGAGGGGCATTTAGATAATGGGCAGAACTAAGTGATGGATGTTTCCTCTAGATACCTAGTTTTAGCATAGAAATGTGCCTAAAGGAAGCTGAGATAGCCTCATTCGTATGGAACACTGTTCAAACAACGCATGCTGTTACACTAATGTCAATGATTCTAATTATGACACTTTTATGTTTCAAAATCCATGGCCCTCCTGAACCTGTTATTTACACAAAGTGAATTTGTCCATGCTCTGGGTTTGTCTGACTCCAGCAAGAATGCTCACACGCAAGCTTGACTTCTTTCTCACTGTGTGGCTTGGCTATGCAATTCAGAAGACGTAAAGAGGTTTTCCCTGGCTTTCAGCCTCCCTATCTATTTTGATCATGGAGGTTAATAATGCTGAAAAGCACTCAGAGTATATAAGGCCGCTGAGGAAATGAGAGCTCTATGTTTTATGGCTGAGACATGACTGACTGGTAATGTATCTGCCAGGAAAGTCTCCATTCAGAATGCAGCAATGAATATTGGATTCCATCAATCCTTAGCCATTTCTCTCTTCCCCCACCCTATCCTGTCATCTTGCTTCTCACATGGGAAGGAGCATTTGGAGTTGAGATCTGAGCATGTTGGTAGTTTCTTTATCTGTAGGGCTCTGCCAGGGTTGGGCAGTGGCTTACCATCCTGGCTGTACATTGGAATCACCTGGGAGCTTTTAAGAAGCCCAATGCCTGGGTCACACATGAAACCAATTAAATTAGAATCTCTGGGGAGGAACCCAGGTGTCAGAATTTTTTGAAAGCTGCCCAGATGGTTCCAATGTACATGCAAGATTGAGAATCACTGTAGCTCAAGCCCCTAAACTCTACATGAACCAGCTTTGCCTCAGAACCAGAACCAGGCAGTAGAAATGGAAACTTTCCAGTACCCCTTCCCCCAGGCTTTATTATTATTATTATTATTATTATTTTTGCAGGCTTTAAGTGGTTATTCCTGAGACAAGTGTTATGTGGTACAACAAACATGGGCTTGAATTCCAGTTTCCTAGCTGCGTAGTCCTGGGGAGATTACTTTAGCACTCTGGCCTTCAGCTTCCTCACCTGTAGTAAATTCTGCCTTACAGTGTTGTTGGGAGGATTCAAGAAGCAATTTTATTTCAGTTTCTTAGTGCACTACCTGGTCCATAGTAAGGGTTTAGTAAATCCCAGCCAGTCTTATTGTTGTGCAGCCCTTAGAGCTTTCAGAGTATGTTCGTATCTACTGTTTCACTATTCTCCCCACAATCCTTTGCCATAAGCTAGTTTGGAATTTATCATCCCATTTTAGAGGTGAAGATGCTAACATCCAGAAAGGATGAATATTCTTCCCTGGGCACACAGAACTTCTCACTTGGACATTGTCTCAATGAAGAGGTAAGCAGGGAAGTTTCTTTTCTTTTCCACTGCTGCCTTGGCCAGGTCTTGGGGCCTCTGATCTTCAATATACTATCTGTTTCATGCCCAGAATCCAAGCAGCAAGTGTCCAAGGAGGATCAAAGAATGGCTAAACTGTCACAAGGGACAAGTTGATTGTCAGCTCCATCAGCCTCTACTTTGTTTTCACCTTTCCAATTCTTTACCTGGTCAAAGTCTGCTTTCAGGGAAAGTATCTGATGTCAGTCATTCACACTTTAGTATGAATTTAGATGGTATAATGTTAGAGTGTGAAGAAATCTAATCCATCCACTCATTTGGCAGGTGAGGAAGTCCAGGCCCAAAAAGGAAAATTACTTAGCACAAGTTCACTCAGCTAATTAATGGCAGAGCAGCAGTTATTCTGACTCTCCTCATCCAGTGCTCTTTTCAAATCTAAGTTTTCTCAGGGACATTCTCATCTGTTGCCTTCTCTCCAATTGTGGACAGATATTTCTCCATGTGAAGGAATTTCTAAAGAAAGATATACTAAAGGGCCTAAGATTTTTCTTAGTGTTTCTGAACCTTTTTAACTTCAAGAGGACACAGATGGGCCACATGTATTACTGGTTCTGGTTATTCATTGTTACATAACAAACTGCCCCAAACCCACAGCTTACTTCTGATCTATTTTTCTCATGAATCTGGGGGCTGACTGATGAAGCATCTATCTCTCCCTCTCTCTCTCAGGGGGTAGCTAAACTACCTCCATGGAATCCAAAGGACCCCAGAATGATTGTTGCAAGAGAAAGTATTGGAAGCTGCATGCCCCTTTCTAACCTAGATTTGGACATCATGCAGCATCACTTCCCCTGTGTTCTATTCATTGAGAAAGCTGCAGGTTCAAGGGGAGGGTCATAGCCTCTATCTAGTAATGGAAGGAGTGTCAAATTTTCAGATATGTTTTAAACTACCATATCACCCTAAGTGTCACAGCCAAGTTTCAATTTCACATTTTCTATATGCCTAGCTCTGTAATAAGGGCTTTCCATTTCAATTCTCTTGGTGAGAGATCAGAAATATTATGGTGAATAAAAAGAGGATAAAATTCATTTAACTTTTAGACCCTAACTTGATGGAAGGGTGTCAAAGCACAATGAAATGAGGCTGGGTAGTAAGACTTACGGAGTATTTTGGGTTTGATTCACACTGGGGACAGAATTCCAGCTGCAAATTGTCTTTGGAGAACTCAGCCAAGTGCCTTTGATACTCAACGACAGTCCAACATTTTCATGTCTGTGTCTTTTTCCTGGGTTGCATAAGAGTTATCTCTTACCTTTGCTTAATATACAGAGAAGAGATTGTTCTAGGAAAGCTCTTGTGTATTGGATTTAGCTTTGATGTGTTAAAGTTATAAAAAATAACAATTGTTTAATTTATTTGAGCAACTGCTGGATTCAACTTGTGCTTCATTATTGGTGGGTTTATAGAGTTTGGGAGTTGAGGGAATTAGTAGAAAGCAGTTATATGATCCACTTCTAGGAACAGGACAAGGGTGACAGTAAATCTTACTATGCTATTTTGAGTCTGAATTAGTGACTGTGATTATTTTGTGGGGGGTGTGTGTGTGGGTGTGTACATTTGTACACGTGTGTGTTATAGTCCTATATAAGCTTAAGAAAAGAGAAGAAAAAAAAAGGAAGTCTAAGGGCAGTTGTCACAGAGTGGCTAAAAGCTGAGCCTTCAGAATCAGTCAGAGGTAGATGCAAGTTGCCTAAACTCTCTGACACTTGGTTTCCTCATCTGTAAATTGGGATAACATTTAGCTCATGACATTTTATGAAGGATTAAGTAAAGTAAAATATGTTAAGTACTTTGTGCAGCAAATTGTACATGATCGACTCTCAGTAAATGTTAGTGTAATCAGTCAGTCAGTCAATCAACCAATCCATTAATCAGTCAGGAATTGGAATTCTGAGTTCGGGTACATAAGAACTCATCCCTGTGCTTCTGCTCATATAGTTTTGAGACCTCCATGATGTCAAATTAACCTACTTCTCCATCAGTTTCTCCATATATGTGACGGTGAAAATGAACTCTTTTTAAAAACCAACTTTAACTTACCTTCTCCTGAACTGCCTTTTGAAGAAAGAGAAGTTAGGGTAAGTATTTTTTGTAGGAGGCGGGAAGATCCAAAGGATTTGGGGATTTATTTAAAAATAAAACCTATAACTTTAACATAGAAAACAAAATAAAGGAAACTGTCTAACTATATAAAACACAATGACTAGTTTCTATCCATTTTAAAGCTATGGGTTTTATGACTAACTATATAAAATACAATGACTGGTTTCTGTCTGTTTTGCTAAAAAGCACACAATGTATTTAAAGTTTGCCATTTACAGAGGGACGCAAGATGAGACATGTTGACATACTGGTCATTTTCCTGCTTTACAGGTTTGTTGTTTTGTTTGCTGTATTTGAATGGCCCTTGGCCTGTGGCTTTTCCACAAAATTGCACTAATGGTCAACAACAGTCTACAGGATCAACTGCAAAACGTGCCATCTTTTATACTATCTTGCAAGACAAACAGTAAATGAGAGAGTCTTGAGAGTGGGGAAAAACTGAATTGTATGCTGCTCTCATAGAAGGTTTATTTTCAGGGGGTGGCTGGGAATCAGTATGCATGGATAAGGGGGGACATCTTGGAGTTAGTTCCCCTTGGACCTTGTTCCAACATTGTACTTCCTGGCTATGGAGACCAGACGAAGACAGTTCTCTGCAACTCAGTTTTCTCTTCTCTAATATGGGTATAATAATAGTAAAAGGCTTGTCATGAGGATTAGATGAGAAAATCTTTTAAAAATGCTTAGTAAAGCTCTTCTATATAGACAGTATTAAAAACTTGGCTAACTTTTAGTATTTCTATAATTGTTCTTTGTTTTTGTTACAGAATCAGAACAAAGAGGGAGGAATCTAACATTTACTGGCCATCTTTTAGGTGTCAGGAACTTTACATATTATTTATTCTAATATTTCCCAGAATATTATATGATGGAAATTCTTAGTCCCGTTTTATAGATGAGCAAATTAAGACTCAGAGAGGTGAAACAATTTGTTCAGAGTCAACATAATTAGTAAGCTCTGGACTCCAGAATTAAACTTGGCATATTTGACCCTAAAGCCCAAGCCTTTTCTGCTTAATTGAACAATGTACATTGAATGAGATTAGAAAAAAAAATGTAACCCATCTATTTGCTATTTTGTTGACTCCATACCAAATCCAAGACGCAACTGATGATTTTGTTGAATCAACTCGTTATATGGATGGTATAGACCCAGTAATGATTCAACCATGAAATTCTTCTACTTAAAATTAAACAGCCTGCCAAGGAATGTAGTAGAATCTCCCTCCCCTAGAATGCTCTAAAAGCTGGACAGGTAATTTGTCTCTGTCTGTTTTATCACTGGCCTTTGAGGGGGCAATGGAAGAAAAACAGGCTCTTGGAATTTCTTCCTCGCTTATTCTATCTCTGCAATTGATTATGTTGCAAAAAGCATTTCTTTCTATTGCTTAGCAAACTCTGGGAGTAACTCAGCACGTAAAACAGTGAGTATCATTGAAGGGAGTCAATAGTAATAACTAACATTTGTATAAGCCATTTTAGGGCCTCCAGGGCTCCTCCACATACATTTTCACCCAAAACTCATATCAACTATTGGAAGAAGGATGGATGAGTATTATTACTATTTGTTTTACTTTTCATGTTGAAGAAATAGAAGCTCAGAAGTTGAAGAATTTACCCAATATGTTGAGGATAATAAGTAGCTGAATTCAAGCTTGAATCTGTCCAATCCAATGCTATAGCTCTCTACCTGAGACCTTGATACTCAACGAACAATACGTGAACTAGGAGTGTGGGCTGCTATGAGGAGTCTGTCAGAAATGTAGAATCTCCTATCTCACACCATACCCACTGAATCCAAATCTATAGTTTAGCAATACTGTCATGTAATTTGAACATATATTCTTCTCTGAGAAGAGTTGATTCGTAGGTGACGT
Organism: Homo sapiens; assembly: GCF_000001405.40. Lineage (NCBI taxonomy): Eukaryota > Metazoa > Chordata > Mammalia > Primates > Hominidae > Homo > Homo sapiens. The sequence continues at coordinate 7,387,540 of NC_000009.12, forward strand.
GACCTCTCACATCTGTAACATTATATTCACCTGAAAGCACAAGGCTGCCCATAAGTAAGAATGCAGTAGCTTTCCAACTCAACACGGCCCCCTTCCCCTTTTAAGTAAATAGGAATTGACTTACTAGCAGGCATAAGGAGTTCTTGTTTTATTTTCGCTTGCTGGTGCCTTTGGGTAATGTTTTGGGGAGTCTAAAATGACTAAGTTTGGGTGAGGTGGTAGAGGCAGCTCAGCCAGTAGTGCTAAGCAGGGAGGAAAGGGGGCCCAGCCACTGGACATGGAAATAGGAAGTCACCTGGTCCTGTAAAGCACATCTTAGGTGCTACAGGATCCATAGCCTGGTTTCTCTGAGCACCTTGTCCAGGTTTCAAAGCAGTTATTTCTGGCTCACTTTGAGATGGGATGTGCTGAGTCCGGATGCCCTGAATGAGGAGAACATTTTCCACAGCATGTGTCTGGCTAGCATCATTCAACTCCAGCAAAGCCCCAAGAGAGCTCGTGCAGGCGTTTCCTGCTCAATGCCTGGGCTTTCTCTTGTTTAAAGAGCCAGCTGTGTTTCTAGCCAATGTGGGCTCTCCAGAAGGGCTTCCTCAGTTACACAACATTCCCTTCACCTCTGGAAATAGTGTCCAGAGAGGACCCAGAGGCCTGCTGGCATCGTGGCCCTGGCCAGCACGCTATCCTCTTCCTGGGATGCCTCTCCACCCTCTGCCAGTTGATCCTGGTAAGTGAGGAAGAGAACGCTTTAGAAATTTTTGCCCTGCTGTAAAAACAAGGAATTTATGAGCATGCTGGTGTGAAAAGAGGGCCTAGGGAATCATTACTGAAAGCATAAAAGACTAATTTTCCCCATAAAATGGCAGCAATAAATGTCCTGTAAATATGGGCCTCCACTGACTCCTTCTTCAAAAGCATATTTTTACCCCCAATCCAGGAGAGTCTATTTCTTATTTAACAAAGTAAATAACATAGACTGAGTGTCTATGCAAATGCACCTGAAGTGACATTGTATCCATTAAGGCAAGGGAGAGCAACTAAGGAGGATGCAGTCAGCTCTGGACGCCTCCAGTCTGGGAGAGAGAGAAGGAAGGAAAGAACATCAGGAATAGGAGGAGGACTGCAAGGGGCAGTGGAGGAGGCTGTCGTGGGTGGAAGTCCAGAAAACGAGCAATGGGGAAATAGAGGCATTATCTTCCTGAAGCTCCAGGAGCCTGGGATGATTCTTCTCCTGATTATCAAAAATTAGGAAAAACGGCATGTTCATAATATCCATTTATGAAAAGTAAGCCCAAATTTGGATATAAGCTTTGTAGATTCTCCCCCTTGCACCCCTCATTTGTGGATATGGAAAAGTATTTGATATTGAGAGTCCTGGAAAACATTTACATTTTCACTGACTTTTGCATGGTCAGCAGATCAATGAGCAGATGTTGGATTTTCAGGATGTCAGCCAGGAAGGATGACCCTTGCTTTTCTGAGATGCTGAGAGACTGTGGCAGTCCCTGGCTTGGTGGGAGTGGGAAATGAAACCTATGCCAGCTGGTGTCCAAAGAGGAGGAAGGAACATGCTCTTTCATTGTCAGTAAAAGAATCTCTATTAGCAGTAATTATGATTTCAGAGACAGAGTTGGCAGATAGAGTGTTATAGATCATTTATCTACAATAGACTAATAAGCCTATAAATATTTCTTCAAATTTTGCTTTCTGAGAGCAGAAGCATAAGGTTGATTAAGGAGTTCAAGCTGGGAGGATCTTGGGAGCTAGGCTCTGGATGAAAGGGATCGAGAGGGAGCTAGAAGACAGATGAGAAATGTCTGCTGCTGCTGCTGTCATCTCTATGTCACCTGCTCCTTAAAAGGCATGGTGGCATAGGGGTGTGGCAAGGCAGCTAAGATCATGCACCTTGAAGCCAAATACCCTGGGATCAAATCGTAACTCTACCTTAGCTGACCTTATGAAAGGGTGACCTTTGGAAAGACATTAATTTGCCTGCGACTTGAATTTCTTATTTGGGGATAATATTTAATAATAAGAGTTGATGTGAGAGTTAAGAGGCCATATTGGCAAATGACTGAAAACAGTGCTTGGCACATATTAACTTCACATGTTGAAGTTGGCTTCATATATGTGTGGGCTACTAAGTTATAATGACTTGTGTAAGTATCTCACTCCACTTGCCATGCATCACATAAAGACAGGTATTTGTTATAATACATGGACTGTATTCTTTTCCCACAACTACTTTGGAGGCATTGCTGATGCCAGATGGTGTTTATATATTGAAACTTATGGAAAGCACACATTATTCAGATGAACTCAGTGATTGCTACATGATTCTGGAAAATTTGCTGTTCACACCTGGACTCTATCACACTCTGGTGCATTTAAGGGAGTGACTTCACTTGAGATGACTGAGGATCAGACATGTTCTAGTTCATGGTTTTGCTGGTGACTGTGCTTAAATTCCTGATGCCTGAGTTGTGATCGATTCTATGTTTCCATTTTTCTGGTGTTCAAACTGTGATATCTTCTCTTTTTGAGGTGCCTTGATTCATGAGGCACTTTCTCAGCAGCCTTGCGGGCTGTCACCCTACCCTGCAGGACTCAATGCACAGTGCAAACATGTCCTTGTCTCCTTATTCTCAGTCACCATCTTTTTCCTCTTCTTCCTTCATGAGTGCCACCCTCTCCTACACACACAGGAGTCTTGCTTTGTCTCCCACGGCTCTTACCAGGAGGAATTTCTGAGAGCTTTCTCTGGTGCATCCTGACTGGAGTCAGATGCTGGGAGCTGAGGCCACACTAGGTGATGGCTAGTTTGGTAGCAGAGAAGGTTGATGCTGGGGGAAAGCTACTTCTGTTCCTGGGACTGCTGTATCAGCATTTGGGTCTGGATGCAGGATGGGAGAAATAAGTCTGCCACTTCTGAATCCTGGTAAACAGCGTCCTGAGGCCATTGGTATAGGATCTTCTTCAATCAACCAATCAGATCTAAGAGTGTCTACAAGTGTCTCAAACTGTCCTTTGGATGACAGGGGATTAAAACAAAGAGTAGGAGATGTCCCTCAGCTGCAGGAATGTAAACAATTACAATTACACAACTTTTGTTGAGATGGGTAGTTTCAAAACGACATTGAGATTCGAAACGTGAAGTAGGAAGGGGAATTTGGATAGAAAGGCAAGAACATTCCAGATGGACAGGAGAAGAAGGGTATGAGGAATGTTGTCCATGCTGTTTCAAAGGGCTCCACATGGGCCAAATAGGAATAATCCACTTACAGAAACATAATACATTTGTTTTGCAACCACATTCACATGCAATATCTGATTGGGAATGGAATTGGTTAGGTTGGAGATCACAGAGCTTTGCTAAGTGAGATTATAGAACTTGAAAAAGTGGAAAAAAAAAAAAACTGCTCTGCCTACCCCCAGTGGAGTCAGACGATCAGTTTGTCTGGCTCCTTTACTCTGAATTCATGGATTCTCTGTCTAGAAGACCAGTCCTAATTGAACTGTTACTTAGGTATCTGGGATTCCAGCCTCAGTTTACTAGCTCTATGCCTCTGTTTCTTTTACTGAATAATCCAGCCTCTCGCTCTGTGTCAGCTAATCCTCCCTTAAGTCTGAATGTCAGCCTGGGTAGCGCATGCAAAAGACCTCTACCAATGCACTTTCTACCAATGCTCTTTCTTTGCCTTGCTGAAAAAGAACACAGGTCCATTTGTTTATAGACTATTTGGGAATAAGTCACACTATTCCTTAGCTGGGAAGAGGCACTTGATCATACAGCAGTCTTTTTATAAAGAACAAAATGAGAAACGCATATATTAGTTTGACTCCTTGCTTCATTATTAGCCATCATTTTCAAGTTTTCAGAGTGCTGTCACCCACCCCCGAAGACCTTCATCGGGGCTGACATTGGCATTGATTCAGATCACATTAGTGTAAATTTGGGTTTTCCATTGCCTACTGCTTAATAATAATCTGCAGTTTTGTCCCCACAGTATCATTAGCACCTTCTTCCTCCAGGTGCTAACAAGGGGCTTCAGAAAGCCCCCAAGGCTATAGCAATTTACACCTATGACTCTCCCTGCGGCTAATTCATCTTCATAATCTGTCAGGTTCTTCACTCAACTTCTTAACTCTCTCACTCCTCTTACAGAGTTGGCCTATCCAAAGTCACTTGATTTTTGAGCCTTATAATAAGGCTAGAGAGGCGAGGAACCTTGCAGATCATCTCACTGACATCTTCTGTTTTCCAGATGAAAAAAGGTAAAGGTCAGAGAGGTTAAGCGTTGTGTCCAAAGTCACACAGGAAAGTAGAGGCAGAGCTGGGCCTAGACTCTTTACCTCCTAATCCTTATTGGGCATTCTCTCAATTGCCTGACTGTAGCTTGGGATCAAGTAGCCACCCCCATGGCCCAGCAAATGCAAGGATTGTGTGGTCTCTTGGATGGAACAGAAGCCACAGTACTGAGGGATAGTCTCTAGGCTGAACTGTCAGGTAATAATATAACTAAAAGAAGGTAAAATTGAAGGTTGCAGAAATTTTTATAACTTTGTAATGTGTTATCCTTGAAGGCTGCTTACATATTAAATTTCTAAAGGGCATATTTATTCCTTACTATAATGGGTCAGATAGTCACTTTTTACTTACTTACCTTTTCTCCCTGAATCTGGTGGGTCATCAATCCTGCTGAGCATTGCGTCTTGGAAGAGTTTCTCAAATTCTTTACCCAGTGTCTGCTCTAAAATCTCTCCTGTTTCAGATCCCAATGACTGCTGTAGCTTCTTCGCTGGTATTTCTGTGCCCTGCACTCTTGACACCCATAAATCTGTCTTCCACACTCATTCCAGGGTAATGGTGTAAAACGGATCCTCTCCTTCCTCAGCACATTTTGTAGGTAATAACTTCTCATTTACAGAATGGTCTCCAAACTGGGCTAAACACAGACTTTCTAGGGGGTACATGTGCATGGATAAATTTTAAAAAATCAATGTCCAGATCTTCAATATCTTGAATGAGCTAGCAATCACAAGATTTCTGTACCCCTTGCAAAAGAAAGGTAGGCTTTTTAACCATCCTAAATCTTACTTTGTGCATCGCCCTAAGGTATAAAAACCTCAGAGTACCAAAAGAAGGGATGCATGGAAATCTTGGTTTTATTTTATTTATTTTTTTGAGACCGAGACTCGCTCTATCACCTAGGCTGGAGCACAGTAGCGTGATCTCTGCTCACTCCACTTCCTGGGTTCTAAGTGATTGTCCTGCCTCAGTCTCCGGAGTAGCTGGGATTACAGGCATGTACCATGACACCCGGCTAATTTTGTATCTTTTGTAGAGACGGGGTTTCACCATGTTGGCCAGGCTGGTCTCGAACTCCTGACCTCAGGTGATTGGCCTGCCTCGGCCTCCCAAAGTGCTGGGATTACAGGTGTGAGCCACCACGCCTGGCCAGAAATCTTGGTTTTTAGGGAAGTTTTCTTGTTTTTGTGACACCTTGATCCCATTGGGCTTCCTGTGTTTCCTGTCTTATACATCTCTCCGTTAAGGGTAGAGCTTGGATTTGGCTGGAGTTGGGATGGTCTGAATACAAACCAGATGGAATGGTAAAGCTTAATGATTATGATTCTTTCAAATGTAACTGGAGTGTTCTGGAAGAGTATCACATTTTCAAGATAATTGTATAAAAACTAAGGATAAATAATTTATATGATTTCTCTCAGATTCAGTGTGCTTTATAGCAAGGTAGTTAAAAATTGATTTTTTGATACCTAAAATGTAATACTTGTTTCTTAAATAGTCAATTCTCATCTTATTTCATTTTATAAAATGTTTAACATTTTCTATGTCCTTTTGTCTAAAAAAAAGTAAACCTGTGATGAAAAACCTTAAATAGATGACAGGCATATAGTGTTTTCTCCCATAACATTTTTATGATGAAAAAAAGTTTAAAAATACAGAGAGGATCAAAGAATTGTATAGTGAACTTTCACATATGCACCATTGAGAGTCTATAAACTTTGCTTTTGGAAATGGAGTTTTGCTGTTGTTGCCCAGGCTGGAGTGCAATGGCACGATCTTGGCTCACTGCAACCTCTGCCTCCCAGGTTCAAGCAATTCTCCTGCCTCAGCCTCCTGAGTAGCTGAGATTACAGGCATGTACTACCATGCCAGGCTAATTTTGTATTTTTAGTAGACATGGGGTTTCTCCATGTTGGTCAGGCTGGTCTTGAACTCCCGACCTCAGGTGATCTGCCCGCCTCAGCCTCCCAAAGTGCTGGGATTACAGGCATGAGCCACCGTGCCTGGCTAAACTTTTCAATATATTTGCCTTATTGCATATCTTTTTACCTAGCTATTCATCTACGTATCCATAAACCCACGTTGTTCTTCCATGCAGTTCAAAGTAAGTTGCAGACATCAGGCAGACAGATTTTCAGTGATTTAGCGGGTAATGAACAGAGTAAATTTAAAGACTGCAGACTTACAGAAGAAAGCCCAACTCAACCAGGCTTTCAAAGGGCTCTGTGGCAGACAGGAGCAGGTCTTAGGCAGACAGTAGTTTTATTGTGCTCCCCTCTCGTGCTTTGTCCTTGGTGTTTGACGTATCCAACGCTCCAGCAACACGAAGCCACTTGAAGTTACCCAGCACCAAGCTGATTAATGCCTCTTTGTCATGGTAGCATAGACTGTTCTCTCCGCTAGGGGTTTGCTTCCCGCCTTGCAGCTTCCCTGTCCCTCTTGTACCTCTCCTTTGAGACTTTGCCCGAGGGGCAGCTTCTGTGTAGCAGAGGCTAAAAAATAAATAAGTAGAAATTAAAAGCCTGTTGAATTATATTGAGTATGATATGGTGAAAATTCCTTGGACTGCAAATCAGAAAACCTGGGAGTAAAACTCTTTCCTCAAAATCTCCGTCAAAATTTTTTGTGAACCCTCCTATTATGTACAAGCTTCCTGTGGTCTGAATCCTTTTTAATTTATATTTGTATTTAATTATATACAATTTATATCTAATATATTTACAAAATAATATAGTTATATTAATATAAACAAATATATTTAAATATATTCATATTTATATTTCTATATTTTCCATCTTTTTAGGGCAAGAAAGCCAAAAGTCAGAGTACCTTCTCTAACACCAATGTGTGGCTTTACAGAGGTCATTTAATCTCTCTGGATGTTAGTTTGCTTATCTATTAAATAAAGGCAGAAATACCTGTTTTACTACCCCCAAATGTTTTCTTGAGGATAAAATACATGTGGTACAATGTTTGTAAGTTCTTTGGAAATAGGAAGTGCCGGAGAAGTGTAAGATATTCCTGGTCTTTAGATGCCACATACAGGGAGAAGGCATTGCTGGTGCAGGTACTACAGTCTTGTTGATTAGCTTGTGTAATAACTCTGGTCATATTCCCCTCTCTTTTTCTCAAAATTATCCCATATAGTGGCTCCTTTTTGTCTAATCTCAGGGCCAGCTGAATCTAATGTGAGAGCCTGACAGGTCCCTGGCTCAATAGGCAAGCCACGCTGGGGAGCCCACAGAGATGAGTGGAGGGGCCTCTAATCAGAATCAAATCTGAGCTTCAGTGAGGAGTTTTATAGGAAGCTTTACTACATTTTTCTTCATGCACTACTCAATGGCAATGAACCATCTCCTAGGATCCATGTGTGTGTCTGTTTCCCAGCCAGAGCGGAACGAAGATATGGTATCTCCTGGTGTCAGTTAGGATTCCCTCAGCACAAGTAACAGAAACCTGAAACAGCTGGTTAAAGTAGTGAGGACATTTATTTTCTCACATGCATGAAGTGGAGAAGTAGGGGTTTCGGGGCTGGTTGGTTCAGTGGTGTAGTCATTAGGAATCAACCTTTTTCCATTTTCCCACTCTATCATCCTAACATGGTACCAGCAGCTCCAGGCACCACATCTAGACAGGAAAATATCCTGAGAGAGAAGTAAGAAAACAAAAAAACCCGGGTCTTTCCCTTGGGTTCACTTTTGAAATCAAGGAAATCTTTCCTCAAAGTCTTCCAGCATCAATGGCCAAAATTTTTTTGCATGTTCATTCCCAAACAAACCACTGGCAGGAAGAGGTTTAAGGGTACCATGATAGGCATGGCCCCCGAGGATTCACCCTTGTGGGTTAGTCTGTCTTAAAGTCAAAGGCCGTATACAGAGTAGCCACTTGAACAAAAGTAGAAGAAAAACAATGGATGTTGAAGTAACCAATAGCATCTGCTGAACTCCTGTCATCAAACTTAGCTGGGTAAACTAAGGGAAACTGGGAAGATACAAAATAAGGATGGTGCAAAAATTGGTATAAGCATATTTTGTTGATTAAATTTTCTTACCTCTTTCTTTGCTCTTTGTGGCTGGCCATTTTGACCCATTATTCCTGCTTTATTTACCAAATTACTAACCTCTGCAAATTATGCCTACTTATATTATACTTTCATGTTATTATCTTTAAATATTTCTCCTTCAGTTTGCTCTCTCAGATCTTTTTGCAGAATTAATCTCTGTTTCCCCCTGTATTTTCACAGCATGGTTTGGTACCTCTTGACGTAGAGTCCCTTCTGCAAAGCTCTTTCTGTAGGCTTTGCTAAAGGGAGTCTGTGTAGGCATTTATTTTCCAAATAGATAGTAAGCAAACAGAACTCGGGGGTTATCCATCCTCATTTCAGTACCCTGAGCACCTTTCCAGCATTTCAAACATGGAGCACTTAGTACATGTGTGTTCATTTGAAAAAAATAGCTTATTTTTATGGCCACGTGCAGATGTGGTCAGGAGGTAGATTCTTCATTCTCTTGTGAATAAGCTTATAAACCATGACACTGATTCCTTTGCTTCTAGATGATTTTGACAAAATTATTTTTCAAGTAGCCTATAACTCTTCTAAGGCTTAAAAGCCAAAAAGAAAAAAAATTAAAAGTCTCTGTGACTTTACTTGGCCTGAAGGAATATTATTTGCATTCAACCCTTTTGAATGGCAGGTTTCAACCAGATACCTTGGCAGCATTTCCATCCTTTACAATAGTAATTTCCAGTGTGGCTCTTGCCTCCAGTTTCTGAAAGAGCTTTCTTTGAGATGAAAACTACTCCTTTCTTCGGTTAGAGGTTGCTTTCCTTCTGCCACTTTATCCCCTTTTTATTCCTATTGCAGAATGGCTTTTCTTTGGCATGGTGGCCCCAAAGGCTGAGCTCCTTTAGGAAGACTGTACACTTTGCATTGTCCTGAGATGTGGGCATGAGTAGCCAGTGGTAGAACTCCCTGCAGAACTCAGGGCTGCCTTAGCTCCAGAAGGCAATGGCACACTTGTGGAAAATATCTGTTTCTATCTCTTTAAGCTTCTTTCTTCTTCAGAGTTCCTCATGTAGTGACTTTCAGTCACTGACACATTCATGTCTATTATACTCGAAGACTTTGTTTGTGATACATTAAGAGTATTGGATTTATCATGGGGTCCTAGAGTATCAGAAGGGTCTTTGAAACCAATTTATTCTCTTTTTTATTCTAAAAGTTGATCAGTGACTGTTGGGTCTTAAATGGGAAAGGGAAAGTTATTTGTGATGTGGCTTCATTTTATCCTTGGCTGGCCAACACCGTAGGTTCTATAGGAGATGAGGCAGAGTGGCTAGAGGAAGACACTAGGAGAAGCAGATGTGTTTCCCAGTGCTCTAACATAGTGTGTCCTGCATGGAAACAATGCTATAAATAATGATTAAGTTCAAAGGTTAACACAGAAAATTCTTTTTAATCAATAACGTGCCTAAAGTCTGAAAGTATCTTATATTTGCACAGAACTATAGTTATGAAATGATTTTGGGTTTAGTATCTTATTTGACCTTAATAATTTTGTATGCTAGTATTACTATCCTCATTTTACAGATGAGAAACATCCCTATCTCACAGGATCTAGCACAAAGTAAATGGTTAAAAATGTTTATTAGATGAATGAACAATCAATAGACACAGTAAACTCAGTCTCACATGGTATTTTGGTGAAGCTGGGGCTTGAATGCAGTTCTTCTGAATCTTGGGTCCAGTCCAGAGATATTTTTATGTCAGTATTTCTCAGGTTTGCTGTGGAAAGACCCCTGTGTGAGAGGAGAGTCAATGAATCAACTGTGTCTGGGGACACAGACTGAATTTACCCAGTGAGAGATTTCTTAGAGCATCTGTGCTTTATTGATTTAAAAAACAAATTTTCCCCTCAAATATAGTCATGGTTGTGGGAAAAAGACAACTCAAACAATGCAAATTTATATGAAGTGATCACAGGGTTAACTGTCATTTAGTTTCTGTACACATCTGGGTTTTATTTTAAAGATTCATGTGAATTTAGCTTTCCATTCCATACGCTCATATACAAGTTATGTTTAAAATGACTTATTAAGAACAACTGACTCCAGGAAGACACACTGTGTATATCCTGTGACTGGGGCATCTTGTGCATTATGGCTTATACCTATGTTACAGAATATCCCAGTGTCTTAGTCTGTTTGGGCTGTTAAGCAAAATATTTTAGACTGGGTAATTATAAACAACAGAAATGTATTGCTGACAGTTCCGGAGGCTGGGAAGCCCAAGATAAAGGCACCAGCAGATTCAGTGTTATGTAAAGGCCTGTTTTTCATAGGTGGTGTCTTCTATGTGTCCTCACATGGCAGAAGGGGTGAACTAGCTGCTTCCAGCTGCTTTTATAAGGACATAAATCCCATTCATGAGGGCCCTGCCCTCCCAGCCTAATCACCTGCTAAAGCCCCCACCTCTTAATACTATTGCTTTGGTGATTCAGTTTTAACATACAAATTTTGGGGGGACACAAACATTCAGATTATAGCACCCAGTTAGGGAACGATGGAGTCCTGCTGCTGTTCCTGCTTCTCAAGACAGTGTGAATTATGAGGATGGATGAGGTACCAACCATAACAATAATCCTGTTTCCATGGGGAAATACATGCTCAGTTCTCAGCAAATTAATGTTAGGAACATACCTTGGGACTAATTGTGTGCCTCTAAGGTCCTTGCTAACCTCAAAGTGGTTTAATTTCAGTCTCAAACTTTCTGTGAATCACAGGTTACCTGGGTCAGTTATAGAACGTTTCCTTCCCCCGTGGCAGCATCCCACTGACCATATCTGGAGATACTCAGAGTAAGTATGTTGGTGGTGCCTTGTATTGGTTGCCACAACATTTCAGGCTTATGGCTATGATGGCAGTACATCACTACTTCAAGCAGTGATTTTTTTTAAATCAATTCTCTCCTTTGAATCAGCTTTGGCAGTTCACCCTCATCTCCTTCTGATCACAGCTGCCCATGTTGAAAGGCTGAAGGTAAAGGTCTTTACAGAAAGCAGTGAGGGTTACACTTTGTTTTTAGTCACACTTGTGTGATCAGTGAAAATAAGCCTCGGCTCTGAATTCGGAGAGGGTAAGAATGATGTTCCCTTCACCCTCACCTTAGTTCTACCTGCTTGGTCCGTGAGTCAGCTTCTGAGGATAGAACATAAATTTCCTCGCCCTTTCTTTCCTCTCCCACATCATCTTCAAATCTGCATATGTCAGGATGGATGGCCTGACTTTTCTGCGGGAGGAAATCACTCTAATTTAGATTCTGTAGGTGGTGGGGGGAGGGAAACAAAGGATCAGTTCAGTGAGAAATAAACTGAAGACTGTCTGTCCCCTTCTTCCTGACTCAAGAAGATAAGTATTGTACACAGCGATGGAACTTTGGATAATCTCCTTGTTTGACTATTTTCTGCACGTTTCAGGGAGTAGCTCTTTGTCTAGCCATTGCCTCCCTGTTGTGTTAGGCCCATCACCCAGGCATTACTTGGATGATTACGAGCAGCACATATAATAGGTCAACAATAATATACCTTTTCTAAAAATATGTGTCTAATATGGTGTCATTGTATTGGGAGTCAGGAAAATGAACTCCACTCTCAGAAGAAATAAAATGGAAAAAGAATCCAACAGCATGATTATAACTCACTTTCCCCTTAATACCTCTCGTGCATTTTAGAGTTTCTCATAAATGTTTTTTCTTCTGTGTGTTGTCTTGGTACTATTTTCATTAAGAATAGCTGGTACCTGCTGAAATGGTGGCCCTGTGATCAGAGGACTATGATTTCCTCTCATCTGTTTTACTGGAAGCTCTGTGAAGTAGGGAGAGCTTGGATTTAAAGTAAGATGTCATTGACAAGCAAAAGAAAGTATTTAGTTAATGTAATGACCTTCTGTTAGTAGGGGAAAATAACCTGGGGTACATTGGAAAAGACAACCTACAATGGAGTGATATCAAGTAAAGGAGCTGGCTCAGAAATGACTGATCATTGTGCTTATTGCACCTGGAAAAAGGAGAATCAGGGGAAGAGAATTAACATTTATGGAGTACCCATTATGAGTGAGCCATTGAATTTATTTGAAGGACATTAAAACATTTAGATCTATAATTCATCTGGTGGGAGTTTTTTTTCCCCTCATTTTACAGACTAGGAAACTGAGGCTCAGATCAGTTCAATGATTTGCCATAGCCTGGAAGAGGGTAAAGCTGAGCTTCATACTGGGTTCTGTCTGATGGGTTACCATTATACCATATAAAAGGGCAAAGTGTTAATTTTAGTATTTGTGATAAAAGTAAACACATATAGGCAAATTTTATGTGATGTAATTTGATAATGCAGAGGAGAATCCACCCTCTAAAATAACTTCTATACCCAGTCTGTATTAGTTATTGCATTGCTATAAAGAACTGCCTAAAACTGGGTAATTTGTAAAGAAAAGAGGTTTAATTGACTCACAGTTCCCCAGGCTGTACAGGAGGCATGGCTGGGAGTCTTCAGGAAACTTACTATCATGGCAGAAGGCAAAGAAGAAGGAGGCATGCCCTACATGGCTGGAGCAGGAGGAAAAGAGAAGGGGAAGCAGATCTCCTGAGAACTCTATCACGAGACAGTATTAGGGGGATGGTGCTGAACCAGTAGAAACCACCCCCATGATCCAATCACCTTCTGCCAGGACCCACCTCCAACACTCATGATCACGCTTCAACATGGGATTTGGGTAGGGACACAGGGCCAAACCATATCACAGTTCAAAATTTTACCATTAAAGATGTATTCCTTTGGGTTAAATGTTGACTGTTTAAAATATCTGGAAGACAAAACACACAGTAAAACCCCAATGTTTTTAAGGTTTGATGCTGCAAAAGAAAAACAGAATCTCAGGATCTCAAACTCCCTATGCCAAAGGGAGACTTAAGCTTGGTAACTGAGTCATGCATAACAAACAAAAATTGCCTTCCTTTTGTTTCTAGATAGCTGCAACATAGAAGGCCACAGATCTCCCCAGGTGGCCTCCCTCACAAATTGCTCACAAGGAAAAATTCCTGTCGGACCCCAAATCTTTCAGAATACATGTGCCCCCTATGACCTAACCCTAAAATAGAATTCTGTTGAATCTTACCCTGACAGTGTAAATGAATAGCTTATCTTCACAGATACTAGACAAAAACAAGACTAGAAATCATCCTTCCTCCCACCCCAGGCAAATGCATAATTGACTTCTTCTACTCTATGTTTACTTAAGTAAGATGTAGATCTACTGAACACAAGATGAATGCATAACTGACTGTTCCTCTACTCCTTTGTTTCATATGTAAAATGTGAATTCAGTGACTGCTAATCAAAGCCTTACAAGAATACAACCAGTTGCCTCAATGCCTACCCTCCCTTTTTTTTTCCTCCTCCCCCACTCCCCTCTCTCCTCTTTAAATACAGAAGTCCTCAAACCCCTCTTTGGAAAAGGCGCACAGGCAGAAATCACACAGGCTCTTGTGATTTATTCCACCCCCCACCAGGAGTGTCTTTAATCTTGGCAAAATAAACCACAAAATTGATTGAGACTTGCCTCCACCTTTTTTGGTTTACGATGTCCAGTTCTCTTCTAAGATGAGTAAATTTCATATCCTCCAAATCTTGAGAAAATCGGTAGTCGCTATTGGGCAGAGATGGGAATATTCAGGGCAGGCTGGAAGTAGCAAGGGCAATGCTGACCAGCAGTGAGCCAGGGAGGGGACCAGCCACCATGTCACTTTTCTTAGCTACAGATAGTCTCATTAAAACAGCAAGAAATGTGAAAGTAACAGTTCTGTCACTAAACACCACAAATTGTCAGGAGCTCTGAGAACAGACCTCAAGGAAGTATCTGAAATGTTGGCAGAAAATGGGGAGAGGGAGTCTGGCTAGCAGCTTATGCTCAGAGAGTGTGTGTGTGTGTGTGTGTGTGTGTGTGTGTGTGTGTGTGTGTGCGCGCGCGCGCGCGCACACACGTGTGAGACAGACACAGAGACAGACAGAAGGAGGAGTTTAGAGATGAATGTGTCCTCACTCCCAGAGCCCCCTTTTGAATTCCTTATGTCTGTTTATGCCTCTAGAAGCCTCCCATTTACCCTCGTGTCCAGAATATTTGTCATTTTAAATTTTTATTGTTCTATCACCCATCCCCTTTCCCAACACACACACACACACACACACACACACACACACACCCTTCTTTTCCAATGACACTTGACGATCTCCTAGGATCTTGTACAATTGATAGCTAATGGCTTTCTTTAGATTTTCCAGTAAATATTTAGCACTAAAGTGTCTGTAGGTGGCACTCTTAGCTCTGATCACGGCTCTACCAACAGGAATGTGAGCTGGCTGTGGAGGAAGTATAGATGGATGCTGACTTCAGCTGGTTGGCTCTAGGATACGGAGCCCAAAGTAAGATTCAGTATCCCTTTGGCACCTGGAGGGAGTCCTTTCAACTCAGAGGTATTCCCTCAGGCTAACCCTAACTCCCTTTACCCATTGTCTGGAGGTTGGAGATTCACTCATTCACCAGTATAGCCTCTTCACTCCCAATTTCTAAGCAATCAACAGTTTATGTTCTTGTAGCCTTAGGGCCTAAGTATTAGGCTCCCCCATGGTGGGAATCCTAGGCGTTCCAATGCTCTGCACTGTGCTTTTGGCTTCCAAGGAGATCCTACTACTGGAGTGTAATCCCCTGGATACATCTCCCTGCTGAAGAAAAAAAGTTGAAAAGCACAACAGCTATGAATCCATACCCGTTAAAACCATTGGTGACTTGGTGGAGTTTCTGAAAACATGCCTTTAGTGGGTAGTTCTCTACCTCTCCTTTTACTTCTCATTAACAAATAAATAGCAAACATGAAACCTGAGACAGGAGAGGTGGGGGAGGAACCATGCAATTCTTTCAGCTGCATTTGTGGTTCAAATAGAAGCAAGGAATGCTATAAATGTTCTGACAAGGATTGAAGATATTTTTATAGTGACAGATGCACATGTGGGAGGCTGCCTGTGGTACCATTTTTGGAAGGAAGGCTCCCAGCTTCCAGGGTCATTAAAGTCAGGTGTTCTTCCTTGCTTTTGCATTAACCTCTGGTTGGAAAGAAGGCTTATGTTCTGCCCAGATCAGATTGGCCTCACTGGTGGGAACAGACTTGTGCTTAAAAAGAAAGCCCATCCTGGTAAAAACAAAACAAAAACAAAACACAAAACAGACTGGAGTTTATTGTGAGCTGATAACAATAGATTGGCTTAAACCCTCAGCTTTGTTCTCTGGGCCCAGAAGACCTGGAAAGACCTGGAAGTGGTTATAATGGTTTGTGAACTGCTAGCAGCCTGCAGCCCAGACCTAGGAGAAGTGCCTGGAATGCTGAGAGAGAAAAGGGAGAGAGTTGTACTAGGGGTTCATGTTCAAATAGGAAAAAAAATTTGCTTTTTCCCCATATGTTACCTTCCTCTAATTTCTTTTTTGTTTATGCTACCAGCATTTCTCCAAGACTAAAAATCTGAATTTTCTCCATCCTCCTTCATCTTCATCATTTATAGCCAATCATCAGTCACATTTTTCCAGTTTCACTTATTTTGTCAATTTTCCTTAAGTCTCCATGTCACATGCACACAGACACACACACACACACACTCACATCCCATGTCTTTCCATTCCATTGTCACCCACTCTAGCTCTGACCTTTATCAAAATTCAATAATTCAATTGAGTTTATTGATACCTTCCGATCTCTATCTGTTTCTGCCAGTTCTGGGCACTCACCATTATGAGATTAGGTCTGATCAGGCTCCTCACCTCCTCGTAAATCTTTAGTGGCCACTCACTAGACAATCAAGTCCATCTTTACTCAAGGACTAGATGCCTCTTGAAGGAAAAAACATATTTAATTCACATTTTTACTTTCGGGGTGCCTAGGACTCTAAAATATCATTTGAATTCAAATGAAGGGAATGGAAGGTCTTTGATGTCATCTCATAATCTGGTATTTTAGTTTTTCGCCCTGTAGCAGATGCTGTTAATGGCTCGTCTCTGAGAGTCACCTGCAGCTTCAGTAGACGGTTGTCTGTACACTTGAAAGACTTCCTGCCTCAAGTGCCTGTGTCCCTTTGCTTGCTGGCTTCCTCTAGATGAAGGTGTAGGCTCAGCTGAAAGTGCCTTGGAATTACGCCCCAGGAAGCAGCAACCCTCAACCAAAGACAGATGGGAGTTGGTGGGTAACAACCCCAGCTTCCTTGTCCCTTGGGAGGGCAATTCTGAATTGTGTTTCATGCAGTCTCTCAGTAGGTCTCTGGGGGGAATGTGTTCCACTTACCAGCAGTGGCAGCCCAACCATTAACACACCCTTCATTGGCTTTCCCTTCTTTCTCTGGATGATTTCACTACTTTCTCTACTAGTTTCCTGGAATCACTCCAAAATAAGCTATATGAGCCCGAATTCTTGCCTCAGGTCTGCTTTTAGGGGAACTCGATCTTTCCTATGCAACCCTAGCTCCACACACAGGGCTGCAGACTGTCCTCTGCACATATCCTGTGCTTTTCCGTCTCCACCAGAGTTGTTCCCTCTGCCTGGAATACTTCCTTTTATTTCTGTGGATCAAGAATCCATTTATCTTTGAAAACCTCGCAATCTATCCTTCTCTAAAGATGTAGAACATATTCTTCCTTGCATGATAATTTTTTGGGATTTGTTTTATTTTTTCTACTAGACTATGAGCTCATTGAGGGGGGGTATGTTGCCTTTTTTTTTTTTTTTTTTTTTTTTTTTTTTTTTTTTTTTTAAGACGGAGTCTCTCTCTGTCGCCCAGGCTGGAGTGCAGTGGCGCAATCTCTGCTCACTGCAAGCTCCACCTCCTGGGTTCACGCCATTCTCCTGCCTCAGCCTCCCGAGTAGCTGGGACTGCAGGCACCCGCCACCACGCCCACCTAATTTTTTGTATTTTTAATAGAGACGGGTTCACCGTATTAGCCAGGATGGTCTCGATCTCCTGACCTCGTGATCTGCCTGCCTCGGCCTCCCAAAGTGCTGGGATTACAGGCGTGAGCCACCACGCCTGGCCGGGGGTATGTTGTCTTTATCTTTGCCTTCATCACACTGACTGGTGCTAGTATATGCTGAATAAATGAATGTTGACTAATAGTTAAGTGGATGGTCAGGGATGGAAGACTTTCATTCTCCATGTGTCTGGTTCCTCATTGTCTGACGCATGAGATAAAGCATTTCTAATTCCCAGGACACTAATGGATCAAGATGTGATTTTACTTCAGTTGGTTTAAAGATTGCAAGCATTCCCTGAGTGACCCTTCTCTGCAATTCCAAAAGCAGAGCAACAGAATCAGATTATTTTTTTCAGGCTTGAAACCAAGTAGTAGTAGCACCATCTGTGGTACTCATGGCCCCTTGTGTTGTGGCTGGAGCTGACCTGTAGCAAATGTACTTTTAGTGACCTCAGAGCATATTACAACCTCATTTTTCAACTATAATTCCTTCTCACCATCCTAGGTGGAAAAAAAAAGTGATTACCAGGGGTATTGTGGAGGGAAAGCTAAACAGGGTTACACAGAAGGGGCTGATGGAATATGTGTGGCCTGTGCATGTCTCCCAAGGGATCAGCCATCACATAAACAGTCCTCCCTTCTAAATTGCATGGTTACTGAGATAGCCCAAGGCCTGCTTTCCAAGACTGCTGGGCTGCAACATTAGAGTATCTCTCTGGGAATAAATGCCTCAGCTGGGTCCTGCCTTTCAGCCTGAGCTGCATTCATCATAGATGGTTGATTGAAGGTCAGATTCTTAAGATAAACAGTCAGAATGAAGCAGCTAACTGTTGGTGGGTTGCTAGATACCTCAAGTTGGGGGTGGGGCCTGAGCCTGAATCCTAGACAGCCTGTCTCCAACAAAATGTCTTCCACATACATGAAGCTGAGATTGTGTGTGTCTATGTGCCTCTGTGTGTCTGCGTTTAATATGATATGTGACCCTAAGAATCTTGAGACATAATAGAATTTTAGATCTAAATTTCCTTGATATGGTTTGTCTCTGTGTCTCCACCCAAATCTCATCTGGAATTGTCCCCATTTATTGAGGGAGGGAAGTGATTGGATCATGCGGGCGGTTTACCAGATGCTGTTCTTGTGATAGTGAATTCTCATGAGATCTGATGGTTTTATAAGCATCTGACATTTCTCCTGCTAGCACTCATTCCCTCCTGCCACCTAATGAAGAATGTGACTGCTTCCCCTTTGCCTTCTGCCCTGATTGTAAGTTTTCTGATCCCTCCCCAGCCATGTGGAACTACGAGTCAATGAAACCTTCTTTGCTTATGGATTATCCAGTCTTTAGTATTTCTTTATAGCAGTGTGAAAATGGACTAATATATTCCTCAAAAGAAGTAAGATGAAGTCTATAATGACTTTTGTCCACACATCTACATAGCAAATTCAGATCAGAGTTTCATTTTCCCTTGACTAATTCTTTTTATTTTCACTATTGCTCACATCTGTGTGCTTCTGAGGAAGTGAAAATTTGATTCCCAGCAAGATTAAGACTTCTGTTTTCTCTCTTCCACCTAGAATTGGGACCATATAGCCTTTGTTTCACAATCATGGATCTGTGCCCATCTTGAATTTTTAGGATTTCATTTATAACATCCAGTTATCGGAATATAGTCTATCCAACCCATGTCTTGAACAAGTGTTGCTTGCAGGATGTGATCAAATGGCTTTATTTGTTATCTCCCAAAGTCCATTTAACTCACTTCTCTTGGTTTACTTCTTCTTCTGTGGATACAAACTCAGGCATCCCTACAAATTTTCTAGATACTTTAGGTATTACCAATAGTCTTGGCCAGATACTAAAATTCCTAGTTCCATGTAATCCGAATTTCTAACTTGACTTAAAGGGTAAAACTTTCCCTCTCTCTTTGGGAGACCTTGCAGCAGGACACCCACTTCTTGCGGGAGAAGGAGACAGCCTCTTTTCCCTTATCCTGCTTTCAGGCTCTGCTTCTTCCCTCCACCATCATGCTAAGCAACACTTCTAATCTCTCCAGGATTAGTGGATGGGAATAGAAAGTGTGGAGAGAGACAAGAACAGGAAAGTTTTTACTTAGTTAAGATGATTGTGACCTGATGTCATTATTTGGTTCTGGTAAGTTTTAAAAGTGGATTCTTTTGCTTAAGAGGTACTTTGTAGGTTCTTTGGGAATCTGTATTTCTGGGGTTTTCTCACCTGTAGTCTCCCTGGTGCAGGAGATGACCTCTATTCTAGCTCATTCCTTACAATTGCCTCTTCAGCCCACAGAACAGCATTTTCCCCTCAGCTCCTTGCTGTGAAGAAACATTCACTTTGTGAGATACTAGTTTTCTTTATACTAGCCATCTCTGATCCCGATGCATTTTTCACGCTTTACCTTAGTGCCTTTGGGAGTTGCAGGATGATATCCACATAGTTGTAACCCTTCCTGTGCTCCCACCATTAGGGCAGTTGGCTAACCCATCTCTTGATTTTTAGATTCTTCAATGTGAGTAACACATTAGTCAGCTTTCTGAGTGGTTTGTTGAAGCCCTTCTCAGGAGGTTTAAGATAAGAGGCAGGTACCCTTTCTTCAGGAAGGAAAAACTCATAGCATACCAACTGTCCTTTGTAAAAATCCTCTCCACAAATGCTGTCTTAATCTTCAATTTTGACTATTTGTACCCTTGACGTGGATGAAAAGCTTGAATTGTTTGACAGGTTTTTTATTATCTTCCATATCAGTCAGGGTAGGGTAGGTTGTGTTGCAGTAACAAATGATCACCATTTTTCATTGGCTCATGACAAAAAGGCTTGTTTCTCACACTACATATCTTTCAGGGTCAGCCATGTTTTGCTCCTCAATGTCTCTACCCCAAGACTCAGGCTGACGGTACAGTCTCTCTCTGAAACGTTAGTTATTGTGACATAGGGTAAAAATGAGTATGGCAAAGCACTCACTGATTTTCAAGGCTGCTGTCTGGATTCTTCTGCCTACATTTTCTTGACCAGAGCAAACTACACGGACAATCTAATGTCAGTGAGGCTGAGTATATTCCCCTCTCACCCCAGGATGGATCAGTAAATATTTGTGAACAGTAATACAGTCTATCATACCTTTAAAAACAAAAACAAACAAACAAAAAAAACTTGTACCACTGGGCGCGGTGGCTCACGCCTGTAATCCCAACACTTTGGGAGGCTGAGGTGGGTGGATCACGACATCAGGAGATAGAGACCATCCTGGCTAACACGGTGAAACCCCGTCTCTACTAAAAATACAAAAAATTAGCCGGGCGTGGTGGCGGGCGCCTGTAGTCCCAGCTACTCAGGAGGCTGAGGTAGGAGAATGGTGTGAAACCAGGAGGCGGAGCTTGCAGTGAGCCGAGATCGCGCCACTGCACTCCAGCCTGGGCGACAGAGTGAGACTCTGTCTCAAAAACAAAAACAAAAACCAAATAAAAAAACAAACAAAAAAAGACCTTGTACCTTGTATTTTGGAATGTAATCGCTCTTAAATTCTGAGGCTTCGGGGACATTTCTACTTTAATGCCCTGTTATAGGTGTGGCTTCTATAAGTGACATATCATGGGGTAGTAGAAAGAGTTCTAATTCTGGAATCCCATTTGGACACTCAACTAGTACAAGTCTTTGAGCAAGTTAATTAACTTATTTGAGCCACCGTTTGTTCATCTTTAAAATGGGCCTTATAATAATGTTTTCTTCATGGTAACCGTGGGGATTGTCATTAGTGCACATAAGGGCTTGGCATTAGTGATGCTGCCTCTATTCTATACATCTTGGGGGCAAGGGAGACAAAACTGTGATAACAGATGACTATGTTCTGAAGTCCTGATGAATTCTGAAGTCATTCTAGGATTATCATTTCTCAAAAACTTCCAAAAAATAATCCTATGGAGTCAATAATAATAAACAACTCCATATTCTGGCCAAAAACTCCATATTATGGCCTGAAATCTGGCTATTCCAGGCCATAAAACTATCAGAGAAAGAAATGTTGACATTTATAATAGAATTTTCTGATTACGCCTAAAGCCTGATATTATTTTCAAATGATGGCTAGAAGTGGAAAAGAAACGTCCATTCTGAAGGTGTCAGCAATTTTTCTGTATCTCTGGAGGTGTAGACTTGAATTCACCTTTGAGGGCAGATTTCTTCCTTGTTCTGAGGAAACACCAACAACCAAAACAACAAAGAAAGCCCTCTCCTGGAACTTGATTGTGCAAAGGTAAATCAAAGATCTTTTTCAGGTATGTGGAGGTGCCAGGCCGGCGGTCTCAGAGGGGAGGCTGCCAGCCTGATCACCCCCCATCCATATCTTTGATTCATCAATGATATTTACAAACAAGTATGCAATACATAAAAATTAGGAGCTGTCATCTAAGGCTCCACATTTTTCTTGAAAAATCAGAACAATCTGATGCATATCCTGGTGTTCTCGCATGGAAATCTGGGTGCTAAGTTAGGACTTGCTCTCTTTTGGTTGGAGTGTTCCCTTACTGGTTTTTTTATCTGGCTTGGCCTTGTAAGAATATGAGTTTGGATTCTGGTTTTAGACAGAAAGCAGCTAAACTCTTCTACACAATAATTAAAAAGTTACAGATTAGTTCTTTTGAAGCACAGCTCTGATCCTGCTGAAAACTCTCCAAATGCCTCCGTTGCCTAAAGAATGACTCCAGATTCTTTATTTTTGCCAGGCCTTTAGCATGCTCCATGGTCTGGATACAACTGGTTTGTTCCTTTCCTTTGTTCCTCTGCTAGTTGTCACTATTTATGATCCTTTCTATACAACCCTGCATATCCCTACATCTATGACTTTATTCAAGACTAACAGCAATCACAACTAGTATTACTAGGTGCTTCTGTGCCAAGCATGAGAATTGGAGCTATTAGTCCCATGTTACCAATGATAAGTTGAGATTAGAGGAGTAAGATATTTTGTCCAGGTTATACAGCATAAAGTAGTGGTGTAGGGATTTGAAGTTTGATACCACAGTTCACTCTATCTCCAAGACACCTGATTGCCTCCCTCTGCCCTTTGCTAGGACTACCTTTCCCCTAATCCACTTCATTCTTACACATCTATCAGTCTTCTAACTTAGAACAAATATCAGCTCTTCTATTAAGAGTTTTCCTGATTTCCTCCATGTTCTCCATCCCATCCCTCAACCAACTACCACTCTTCTAAAATAGTCTCTGAATAGTCTCTTATTTTTCTAAGTATCTGGAGAACATGACATTTACTTGGTGATACTAATCACATTTGATCATATATTATTTTGCTCATTGAGAACAATATGCATGCCCCTGTGCCTCCAAAATAGTCAGCATTTTGCATCAGAGATAGCAGGGCCCCAATATATATTTGCTGAAAAAATGAATCTAAAAGATGATTATTACTCTCCTTTGATGCCTAAGCTGATTTTGTCTGGTGGCTTTCCTAAGAGCCACTTACAGACAGCTCAGTTTGTCTGACACAACCTAAGGGAGGCCGCTAGAAATGACAGCCAATTCTGCTAAATGATATACACCCACACTCCAAATTGGACAGGCACAGAGTTCACCTGCTTTAAAATAAGGCAACTCTTTATGGAATATTCTGAGCTAATAACAACTATTTAATGTTGCTATAGCAATTATGATGAAAAACTCTCTTTGCCTCTCTTCCAGGAGCACCCCACTGTTATTCACCCTGGAAGTACAGGAAGCCCAGCCAGCCTCTTCACCTCCAGCAAAGCAGCTCAGCCCCTCCATTGTTGGTCCTTTGGAATTTCCATCCAGGTGTTAGGAACAGTTCATTCTGTATCCCAAATTACAAAGCCTATTTCTCTTTAGGTAGGGGAAGGTGTCCCTTATACCCTGCCCTTGGCTGCGGGTAGCAGGAATACAGCCCACCAAATTACCTCTTTAAAAAATTTTTCTGTGTGGTTTTGGTGAAGCCTTTTCCACGAGGCTTAGAGTTGGGATGCAACACTCTCTTGTATCCACCTCTCACAGACTGGGAGACAATGTGGGCCACACAGTATTGCCCTCTCTCAAAAAAACAATATCCCAAATAACTCTTTTGTCCTTCTTCCTCTGTTTCAGTCCTCCATTCACAACCCTTTTATATGTCGTAGATGTGATCAGGAGTTTCAGAATCATGAAATGAGTTTTTGTTCTATATTCTTTCTAAATCCTCTGTCATCTTCTACATATTTATCAGTTATCCTTACGTTAGTTAGATGGTTTGATATTCTCTGACAGTTCTCAGATGCTTGGTCTATTTTTTTCTACTTTCTTTTCCCCCAGAATTTCAGTTTGGATATTTTTTATTGATCTATATAAGTGCACTGATACCTCTCCTGTGTTCTATCTGCTATTTCACTCTTAGAAGAAGTTTTCATTTTGGTTTTATACTTTTTCATTTCTGACATTTTCATTGGTTGCTTTTATAATCTTAATTTCCCTTCTGAAATTCCCATTTTGAATGCATTTTTTCCACAAGTCTTTATACGTCATTTATTTTAAAGTTCTTTTCTTAATAAAATTCAACCCCCTTCAAAATCTCTCAATAAACCAGGTATTGAAGGAACACACCTCAAAATAATAGCCATCTATGACAAACCCATAGCCAACATTATACTGAATGGGCAAAAGCTGGAAGCATTCCTCTTGAAAACTGGCACAAGGTTGCCCTTTCTCACCACTTCTATTCAACATAGTATTGGAAGTCCTAGCCAGAGCAATCAGGCAAGAGAAAAAAATAAATGGCATCCAAATAGGAAGAGAGTAAGTCAAACTATCTCTGTTTGCAGACGACATGATTCTGTATCTAGAAAACCCCATAGTCTTGGCCCAAAAGCTCCTTCAGCTGATAAAACTTCAGTAAAGTTGCAGGATACAAAATCAATGTACAAATATCACTAGCATTCCTATACACCAACAACAGTCAAATCAAGAGCTAAATCAGAAAGGCAATCCCATTCACAATTGCCACAAAAAGAATAAAATACCTAGGAATATAGCTAACCAGGGAGATAAAAGATCTCTGCAATAAGAATTACAAAACATTGCTCAAAGAAATTGGAGAAGACAAACAAATGGAAAAACATCGTCTGCTAATGGATAGGAAGAATTAATATCATTAAAATGTCTATACTCCCTAAGGCAACTTAAAGGTTCAATACTATTTTTATCAAACTACCAATGACATTCTCCATAGAACTAGAAAAAGCTATTTTAAAATTTATATGGAACCAAAAAAGAGCCTGAATAGCCAAGGCAATCCTGAGCAAAAAGGACAAAACTACAGGTATCATGTTACCTGACTTCAAACTATACTAGAAGGCTACAGTAACCAAAACAGCATGGTACTGGTACAAAAATATACACATAGACCAATGGAATAGAATAGGCCAGAAATAAGGCAGTACACCTACAGCCATCTGATCTTTCACAAAGTTGACCAAGAACAAGCAATGGGGAAAAGACTCCCTATTCTATAAATGATAGATAGCTGGGATAACTGGCTAACCATATGCAGAAGATTGAATCTGGACCCCTTATTTACACCAATCACAAAAATCAACTCAAGATAGATTAAAAACATAAAAAAATCCAAAACTATAAAAACCCTGGAAGACAGCCTAGGTAATACCATCCTGAACGTAGAACAGGCAAAGTGTCATGGCAAAAACACCAAAAGCAATCGCAACAAAAGCAAAAATTGACAAGTGGGATATAATTAAACTTAAGAGCTTCTCCATAGCAAAAGAAACTATCAACAGAAAAAACAGACAACCTACAGAATGGGAGAAAATATTTGTAAACTGTGCATCTACCAAAGGTCTAATACCCAGCTTCTATAATGAACTTAAACAGATTTACAAGAGTAAAACAATCCCATTGAAAAGTGTGCAAAGGGCATGAACAGACAATTCTCAAAAGAAGACATAGAAGCAGCCAACAAGCCTATGAAAAAAGCTCAATATCATTGATCGTTAGAGAAATGCAAATTAAAACTATAATGAGATACCATCTCACACCAGTCAGAATGGCTGTTATTAAAAAGTCAAAAAAATAATAGATGCTGGTGAGGTTGTGGAGAAAAAGGAACGCTTATACATTGTTGGTGGGAGTGTGAATTAATTCAACCGTTGTGAAAAGCAGCGTGGAAATTTTTCAGAGAGCTAAAAGCAGAACCACCATTTGATCCAGCAATCCCATTACTGGGTATACACCCAGAGGAATATAAATGGTTCTATCATGAAGACACATGCATACGAATGCCTATTGCAGCACTATTCACATTAGCAAAGAAATGGAATCAACCTAAATGCCCATCAATGAATGACAGGTTGGATAAAGAGAAAGTGTGGTACATATCACTGTGGAATACTATGTAGCCATAAAAAGAATGAGATCATATCTTTTGCAGGAATATGGATGAAGCCTGGAGGCTATTATTCCTAGCAAACTAATGCAGGAACGGAAAACCAAATACCACATGTTGTCACATATAAGTGGGAGCTCAATGATAAGAACTTATGAACACAAAGACAGAAATAACAGACACTGGGGCCTACTCACAGGTGAAGGGTAGGAGGAAGGGGAGGAGCTGAAAAGATAACTATTGGGTACTGGGCTTAATACCTGAGTGATGAAATAATATGTACAACAAACTGCCATGACACATGTTTACCTGTGTAACAAAGCTTCACATGTACCCCCAGATGTAAAATAAAAAGAAAATTTTTTTTAAAAATAAAAAAGTTCTTTTACTTCCAAGTTTGAATTATCTGGGGACTTGCCTTTATTGAATATTTCTTCTCTTAAGCTTGGATCACCTTTACATATCTTCTAACCTTTAATTGTATGCTGAGATTGTGTGCCCCTCCCCCAAAAAAGTGGAGACCGAATTAAATAATTTTTACCCTTAAAAAAGAAAGGACATATTCCTTCTTCTGTCAGGTCTTTGGTATGGGATCTGGTATAAGATCTATCAGATTCTAGTAAAGGAATCTACTCAGTAGTTGTGCAAGTGGCTCTGGGTTTTGTTGCAATGTTAGATTCCGTTCCCCATCTACTTCAAATGTTTTGAGGATGGGATTAGGACTTTCCCATTAGCAGGTTATGAGGTTTGAGAGTCTGAGATTCTTGAGATTTATCTCTGTTTTAGAAGATAGTCACCAGATTTCTAAACTGTGATTGATTTCTCTGCATTCTTGCCTGGATTCTAGATTTTTGGGTCACAGAGAATTTGTTTTCTTGGCTTTCTGAACTTAGCGAGCTCTCTTTCCTTCTGCTTTGTTCCTAGCTTTAGGAGGACAGCTTCAGTGTGCTAGGTGAGGGTGTGGACTGCCTACTGGAGCAACTTGAAGGACTTCTGTCAGTTCTCTCTGTCTCTAGACTTGGACTTGAGGAACTTCCCACATGCTTCATGCGGGATTTGTCTCAGCCCTCCTGCCCTGCCTCCATCCATCAGTGTACTAAACCTTTCACTTTGAGAAGGCTAGTAGAAAAGAGGTGGTAGATGGGTATGGACTCACTGTGTGGCTGGCCGTCTTCAGGATTTTAATTTTTCATTATAGCTCATATGCAGCTATTAAACGTTTATAAAAAATACAGATTGTTTCTCCTTATTTCCATTTAAGATGGCTTCCTCTTCCTCCTACCTCTGTGCTAAGGATGAAAGCAGCTATGTGTCTCTTCTCTTCTACAAAACGCTATCATTTTCTGAAATCTGGTTCATTTAAGTTTTTTTCTATTTTCAGATCTCTGACAGGTTTTTAAAAAACTATGACTTTGTAGCTTATGTGGTTTCTTCTTGTTAGAGTGAGAACTACACTCTTCACTTTCTATATTTTAATTGGAGGCCAAATGTGAATATTATTCTGGTCTATAAGTATACCATGATTTATTTAACCTTTCCTTAAGAACTGGGCATTTATAATGTTTGTAATTTTTCACTATATTAAATAACTTTGCAATAAAAACTTTATCATCTCAGGTTATTAGTCATAGTCATTTTTCCTATATATTGGCCTAGTATTGATTCCTGTAAGTGGTAAATGAAACGGGTATGAGGGAAGCTTCTGAAGTGCTGTTAATGTTCTGTTTCTTAATCAGTGCATTGGCTACAGTGGTGTGTGTTTTTAAATTTTTTTTGGGTGAAAATTCCATGAGCTGTATGCTTGTGATTTTTTTTGACTTTTCTCGTATGTATGTTAAAACTTAAAATTTTATTGGGTTGGAAGTTTTTGTATACAACTGTGTTCCCTCTGAGAGTTGTCTATTAATATTTTATGGGTTGCTGATTTAGACCAAATAATTTAAATTTTATATTATACTTCATTTTCCTTACGTATAAAACGTGACAATGAACATCACATATTTATGTGAATAAAATGAGATTAACACTTGAAAATGCTTTGAAACTATGAAGTTGCATACAAATGTAGGACACATCTTTATATTTAACTACGAATGGGTTTGAATCACACACAAGTCTGAATATCCTGGGATATATAAGAGTGCTCCAGACTGAGTGATAGTGTGTGAACTTTGGGAAAATCCAGAGATAAATAGAATAACATTGACTTGGTACAAATTTGTGGCATCAAAATTTGCATTCAGTATCTTTTCTATCCTGGAAATTCTAACTTCAAAGTCAATGCTCTTCCTAAGCCTCCCTATTCCTCATTTCTAGGAGAGAGGAGACAGCTTGGAATAGTGGCTTCCCTGACTCCTGATTATAAAGTGCTGCCATTTTGTTCACCATGAATTTGTTAGCTCCTTCCAAAATGGTGGTTTCACTTGCCTCATGTACAGAGGCTATAGGGTCAAAATAAGTGAAAACAGCAAAAGCCTGGCACAGAGGAACTCACAGGAGTAGGTTAACTTTTCTTTTAGAGTATTTGAGTGGTCATTTGTATGGAATAAAGTTAGAATGAATAAACCCAGGTGAAAATATCAAATATTGCATGTGGCACACCTTAGACCTTCAGTCAATGGGAATTCATTTCTTTTCTCTCTTTTGCCTGGATCCTCCTTGCTTTTTGTGTCAGTGGAAATATGCCTCTTTGGAGCTTTCACCCTAGCCTCCCTGCCTTAAAAAGCATTCCTGCTGGTTAACAAACCATGGAGGGAGGGGCAAAGCAGAGAGGGCTTGGCAATACACCCTGCTAGGAAAGAACTCTTCTCTATGAGATGGTAAAGTACTTTTAGGCCCACTCTTCAGAATGCACAGTGCTGAGTATAAAAGTATCATTATTGTAAACTCGAGCAAAGTACAGCCTAATCACAGTTGATAAAGGAAAGGGGAGGAGAAGCCTGCAATTCACATTTTAAAAATCAGTGGTGTTTTCTCTGAATGGCACTTCTTTCCTGCCAGGTCTTTTCTTGACTATGCCATCTGAGGGGCTGCCAACAACCTTGTTAAACAGCAAAGAATCTTTGTAGTAGAAAAGTATTTAAAATGTCCTCTAGGCCTATTTTCTGACCACCTATCTCTAGTAATGGAGATGATGTGGTTGCTATTTGGGGGCTTGACAACATTTACCAACCTTCCAACATTGAAATTGCTTCTTGGAAAAATGCACCAGAAAAGTTCAAAAGAACCTCTGAGATGGTTTACTTCAGTGTCCTCTTTCTCTGGATTCTGCAACTGAAGCTCAGAGAGGTTAAGTTACTAATCCAATGGTTTTGAGTTAGTTAGGATCCAGGGATAGAACCGAGGTCTAAGTATTCCTGAGGGGGGCATTTTCCAGAACTGGCAAATCAAACTTTGTTGCTTTATTGGTTATTGTATCAGTCTTTTGCTTGCCATACCAAAATATTCCAGACTGGGTGCCTTAAACAATTAACATTTATTTTTCACAGTTCTGGAGGCTACAGATCTTAAGGTCAAGGTGCCATCATTGCTGGTTTATAGTGAGGGCTCTCTTTCTGGCTTGCAGATGGCCACCTTCTCACTGTGTCCTCACATGACTTTTCTATGTGACTGCGTGGAAAGAGAGAGCTGACTTGTGCTCCTTCTCCTTATGAGGGCACTAATCCCATTAGATTAGGGCCCTACCCTTATGTCCCTATGTAACCCTAATTACCTCCTAAAGGTCTCATCTCCAAATACCATTGCATTAGGGCTCGATATATGAATTTTGGGTGACACAATTCAGTCCATAACAGTGATGAAAGAAGCAGCCACTGCTTTTGTCAAAGTGGAAATCTAGATGCTACCATACACAGAAGAAGAGTCTAGGGCTCTGAAATGTCACCAGATACCCTCGAATGCCTGTTTTATTACAGGCATTTCCTCATTCTTCATTCTACTTGAAGTTTGTGCAGTTACCACATGCTTTACCTTGGAGCCTCGTCCTGGAATGCTCATCCAGCTCCTCTGACGTCAGTTGTCTTTCTCCTCCTCTGCTGGCTCAGTCACTTTCCTTATTTTAGTCAGGTTTCTTCATAGAAAGTAGATGCCACCTGAAGTTTTGTGTTTGGCCTCTTCCCATCTTTGTCTAATTCCTTACTCTCCCTGTCAAGCTCCCATTGATTCAATTCTCACCTCTCACTCAATTCTCAGACCTGAATTCTAACTACCTACTGGAAGTTTCCATACAATGCCTTAGAATTTAGAAACTAAACTCATTTCTCTCCTTAACACCTTCCAGCCAACTTCCGTTCCTGTCTTCTCAGATTTTGAGTTATTTTCAACTTTGCCTTTATTTCTCTCTTACATCACTCAAAAAGTCCCTTAGACACAGCCTCCTCAATGTTTTCTGTTACTGGAGTTTTCCCCCTATTGTCTTTATCAAATTTAGGGATTTAGTGCATTTAATATGATACATTATATTGAGAACCTAACTGACTACTTTTCACTCTAAAACATTCTGAAAATGGTTTCCAAATAAGTTGTTCTAAAGTAGTTATCTGATTATTGACCCTTCCTTGTTAAAAAAAAAAAAAAAAGCCCAACAAAACAACCAACATCATTTTTTCACAGAATTAGAAAAAACTATTCTGGAATTAATATGGAACCAAAAAGCCGACAAAAGAGCCAAAGAAATCCTAAGTAAAAAGAACAAAGCTAGAGTCATCATGTTACCTGACTTCAAACTATGCTAGAAGGCTACAGTAACCAAAACAGCATGGTACTGGTACAAAAACAGACACATAGACCAATGGAACAGAATAGAGAGCCCAGGGATAAGACCATACAACTATAGTCACCTGATCTTTCACAAAGTTGACCAAAATAAGCAATAGGAAAAGAACTCCCTATTTAATAAGTGGTGCTAGTATAACTGGCTGGCCATATGCAGAAGATTGAATTCGGATCCCTTCTTTACTTCATATACAAAAATAAACTCAAGATGGATTAAAGACTTAAATGTAAAATGTAAAACTATAAAAACCCTAGAAAATAACCTAGGAAATACCATCCTGGACATAGGCCCTGGCAAGGATTCCATGATGAAGACACCAAAAACAATTTCAACAAAAATAAAATTGACAAGTTGAAACTAACCAAATGAAAGAGTTTCTACACGGGAAGAGAAACTATCAACAGTAAACAAACAACCTACAGAATGGGAGAATATATTTGCAAACTATGCATCTGCCAAAGGTCTTATATCCAGAATCTATAAGGAGCTTAGATAAATTAAGCAAAACACACCCCCATTAAAAAGTGGGCAAAAGATGTCAACAGATACTTTTCAAAGGCAGACATACGTGCAGTCAACAAGCATATGAAAAAATGTTCAACCTCACTAATCATTAGAAAATGAAAATCAAAACCATGGTGATATACCATCTTACACCAGTCAGAATGGCTCTTATTAAAAAGTCAAAAAATAACAGATATTGACAAGGGTGTAGAGAAAAGAAAACATTCATACATTTCTGGTGGGAATGTAAGCTAGTTCAGCCATTGTAAAAAGCAGTGTGGCGATTTTTCAAAGAGCTTAAAATAGAACTACCATTCAACCCAGCAATCCTATTGTTGGGTATATACCCAAAGAAATATAAATCATTCTACCATAAAGCACTCTTCATAATAGCAAAGTCACGGAATCAACATAAATGTCCATCAATGATAGACAAGATATATAAAATTTGGTACATACACATCATGGAATATACTATGCAGCCATAA
This sequence comes from Homo sapiens, assembly GCF_000001405.40. Taxonomy (NCBI): domain Eukaryota; kingdom Metazoa; phylum Chordata; class Mammalia; order Primates; family Hominidae; genus Homo; species Homo sapiens. The sequence continues at coordinate 7,419,085 of NC_000009.12, forward strand.
AAAAGAATAAGAACGTGTCCTTTGCAGCAACATGAATGGAGCTGGAAGCCATAATCCTAAGCCAACTAACTCAGGAAGAGAAAACCAAACACTGCATGTTCTCACTTATAAGTAGGAGCTAAACATTGAGTACACATGGACATAAAGAAGAGAACAACATATATTGGGGCCCAATTGAGGGTGGAGGGTAAGAGAAGGGAAAGGATTAAAAAACTACTTATCAGGTACTATGCTGATTACCAGGGTGAGGAAATAATCTGTACACCAAATCCCGGTGACATGCAGGTTACCTACATAGCAAACCTGCACATGTACCTCTGAACCTAAAATAACGGTTTAAAAAATTTAGAATTTTTAAAATAATCCCTAATTTATTAAAAGACTAATTACTTCACCATGATGCTCAAATTTTTTGATAGTGTGGACCCAACCTATCATTATAACTTTTTCTCCCCCTCTTCTGTATATCTCCCTGTATATATTCTCAGCTTCTCTCTATTGGAATGGTCACACATCCACCTTTTTTCTTATGAAACACTATAAAAGATGCATCGTTGTTGACTCTCCAATGCCCCTTCTCCCTATTGTATAGAAACAGGGACATTTATTCAATAGGAGAGGAATAGAATGAATGGTAATTTGTTCAAGGTCCAAGGCTAACATTGACCAGGATAAGCATGATGTGACTCACACTGGCCCAATCAGAAAGCAAAACAATAATTTTGAGTCATGATTCATGCTGAAGCACTATTTTCCACTGTGAATAAGAAAGAATATAGCCCCGGGCCGGGCATTGTGGCTCACGCCTGTAATCCCAGCACTTTGGGAGGCCGAGGCGGGCGGATCACGAGGTCAGGAGATCAAGACCATCCTGGCTAACATGGAGAAACCCCGTCTCTACTAAAAATACAAAAAATTGGCCAGGCGTGGTGGTGGGTGCCTGTAGTCCCAGCTACTCGGGAGGCTAAGGCAGGAGAATAGCATGAACCCAGGAGGTGGAGCTTGCAGTGAGCCGAGGTGGCGCCACTGCACTCCAGCCTGGGTGACAGAGTGAGACTCCATCTCAAAAAAAAAAAAAAAAAAGAAGAAAAAGAAAGGATATAGCCCCATTGTTGTTGAAATAATCTGATGGTCATAAATAGAACCAACCTTAGAAGCAGATGCTAAGGATGGTGGAATAGAAATATTAGTGAATAGAGAGTGTCACTGAGTCATTGAGCCAATCAGTTTAATAGCTTGCCTTACATCTGCAGTTTTTAAAATAATTTCAACTTTTAAGTTTAGGGGGTATGTGAGCAGGTTTGTTACATGGGCATACTGTGTGATGCTGAGGTTTGGGATCTAAATGGTCCTATCACCCAGGTAGTAAGTGTAGTACCCTCATGCTTCTTTCCTGCCCCCTCTAGTAGTCCACAGTGTCTATTTTTGCCATCTTTGTCTACGACTGCCCAATGTTTAGCTCCCACTTACAAGTGAGGACATACTGTGTTTGGTTTTCTTTTTCTGCATTAATTTGCTTAGGAAAATGGCTTCCAGCTGCATCTATGTTGCTGCAAAGGACATGATTTTCTTCTTTTTTATGGCTGCATAGTATTCCATGGTGTATATATACCACATTTTCTTTATCCGATCTACCATTGATGAGCACTTTGGTTGATTCCATGTCTTTGCTATTGTGAATAGTGCTTCAATGAACACACAAGTGCATGTGTCTTTATGGTAGAGCAATTAATTTTCTTTTGGATATATACCCAGTAATGGGATTGCTGGGTCATATGGTATCTCTGTTTTAAGTTCTTTGAGAAATTTCCAAACTGCTTTCCACAGGGACTGAACTAATTCACATGCCCACCAACAGTGTGTTAAGCATTCTCTTTTCTCTGCAGCCACACTAGCTTCTGTTTTTTTTTTGACTTTTTAATAATGGCCATTCTAACTGGTGTGAGATGATATCTTACTGTGATTTGTCTTTTGCCCACTTTTTAATTTTTTTTTTTTTTTTTGAAGAGTCTCACTCTGTCCTCAGGCTGGAGTGCAGTGGTGCAATCTCAGCTCATTGAAACCTCTGCCTCCAGGATTCAAGCAATTCTCCTGCCTCAGCCTCCCAAGTAGCTGGGGTTACAGGTGTGTGCTACCACCTGGTTAATTTTTGTATTTTTAGTAGAGACAGGGTTTCACCATATTGGCCAGGCTGGTCTTGAACTCCTGACCTCAGGTGATCTGCCCGCCTTGGCCTCCCCAAGTGCTGGGATTACAGGTGTGTCACCACACCCAGCCTGGGTATTTTTTTTTTTTTTTTGCTTGTTCAATTATTTAAGTGCTTTATAGATTCTGAATATTAAACCTTTGTCAGATGCATCATTTGCGTATATTTTCTCTCATTCTGTAGGTTGCTTATTCTGTTGATAGTTTCTTTTGCTATGCGGAAGCTCTTTCATTTGGTTAGATCCAACTTGTCAATTTTTGGTTTTGTTGAAATTGTTTGAGGCCTTTGTCATAGATTCTTTCCCAAGGCTGAGGTCGGGAATGGTGTTTCCTAGTGTTTTTATTTTTTAGAATCCTTATAGTTTGAGGTCTTACATGTAAATCTTGAATCCACCTTGAGTTAATTTTTGTATGTGGTCAAAGGTAAGGGTCCAGTTTCATTCTTCTGCATATGGCTAGCCAGCCATCCTAGTACCATTTATTGAATAGGGAGTCCTTCCCACATCGCTTATTTTTGTTGACTTTGTGAAAGATCAGATGATTGTAGGTGTGCAGCTTTATTTCTAGGCTATTTGGTTCCATTTGTCTATGTGTCTGTTTTTGTACCAGTACCATGCTGTTTTGGTTATTGTAGGCTTATAGTCTGAAATCATGTATTGTGATGCCTCCAGCTTTGTTGTTTTTGGTTAGGATTGCTTTGAAGTAGCATTGAATCTGCAGATGGCTTTGGGCAGTATGGCCATTTTCACAACATTGGTTTGTGGAATCCATGAGCATGGGATGTTTTCCTATTTGTATCATCTATGATTTCTTTCAGCAATGTTTTGTAGTCTTCCCTGTAGAGATCTTTCACCTCTTTGGTTAGATGTAACCCTAAGTATATATTTGTGGCTATTTTAAATTGGATTGTATTCTTGATTTGTCTCTGAACTTGAATGTTATTGAAGTTTAGAAATGCTACTTATTTTTTCATGTTTAATTTTTGTGGGTGCATAGTAGTTATATATGTATATATTCATGAGGTTCATAAGCTATTTTGACACAGACATATAATGCATAATAATCACATAAGGGTAATTGGGATGGTCATCATCTCAAGCATTTATCCTTTCTTTGTATTATAAACAATGCAGTTGTACTCTTTTAGATATTTTTAAATGTACAATAAATTATTTTCACTGTAGTCACCCTGTTGTGCTATCAAATACTAGATCTTATTTATTCTATGTTTTTGTATTCATTAACCATCCCATTTACTCTCCTCCCCCCACTACCATTCTCAGCCTTTGGTAACTATCATTCTACTGCATATCTCCATAAATTCAATTGTTTTAATTTTTAGCCCCCACAAATAAGTTAGAACATGTGAAGTTTGTCTTTTTGTGTCTGGGTTATTTGTAATTAACATAATGTCCTGCACTTAACATAATGTCCTCCAGTTCCATCCATGTTGCTGCTAATAACAGGATCTCATTCTTTTTCAAGGCTAAGTAGTACTCAGTTATGTGTATGTACCACATTTTCATTATTCAATCATCTGTTGATGGACACTTAGGTTCCTTCCAAATCTTAACTATTGTGAATAGTGCAGCAATAAACATGAAAGTGCAGATGTCTTTGATATACTGATTTCCTTTCTTTGGGGTATATATCCAGCAGTGGAATTTCTGGATTCTATGGTAGCTCTATTTTTAGTTTTTTGAGAAATCTCCAAACTCTTCTTCAGAGTGGTTGTACTAATTTACATTTCTACCAACAGTGTATGAGGGTTCCCTTTTCTCCACATCCTCACCAGCATTTGTTATTACCTGTGTTTTGCATAAAGCTATTTTAACTGGGGTGAAATGATACCTCATTGCAGTTTCAATTTGAATTTCTCTGATGATCAATCATATTGAGCACTTTTTCATATGCCTGTTTGCCATTTGTATGTCTTGTTTTGATAAATATCTATTGAAATCTTTTGCCCATTTTAAAATCAGATTGTTAGATTTTTTTTCCTATACAGCTGTTTGAGCTCCGTATGTATTTGATTATTAATCCCTTGTCAGATGAATAGTTTGCAAATATTTTCCCCTATTCCATGGGTTGTCTATTCACGTTGTTGTTTCCTTTGCTGTGCAAAAGCTTTTCAACTTGACGTGATCCCACTTGTACAGTTTTGCTTTGGTTGCCTGTTATGCCTGTCAGTTATTACTCAAAAAATCTTTGCCCAGATACATGTCCTGAAGAGTTTCCCTAATGTTTTCTTTTAGTAGTTCAGTAGTTTGAGATCCTAGATTTAAATCTTTAATCATTTCTTTTTTTGATTTTTTTTTTTTTTGAGATGGAGTCTCACTGTGTCGCCCAGGCTGGAGTGCCAGTGGCGTGATCTCGGCTCGCTGCAAGCTCCGCCTCCGGGGTTCATGCCATTCTCCTGCCTCAGCCTCCTGAGTAGCTGGGACTACAGGCGCCTGCCACCACGCCCGGCTAATTTTTTGTCTTTTTGGTAGAGGCGGGGTTTCACTGTGTTAGCCAGGATGGTCTTGATCTCCTGACCTCGTGATCCGCCCGCCTCGGCCTCCCAAAGTGCTGGGATTACAGGCGTGAGCCACCGCGCCTGGATGATCTTTAATCATTTCTATTTGATTTTTATATATGGCAAGTGATAGAAGTCTACTTTCATTCTTTTGCATATGGATATTCAGTTTCCCCAGCACCATTTATTGAAGAGATTGTCCTTTACCCAGTGTATGTTCTTGATACCTTTGTTGAAAACAAGTGCAGTAAGGATTTATTCTGGGTCCTCTATTCTATTCTATTTGTCTATTTGTTTGTTTTTATGCCAGTATAATGTTGTTTTGGTTACTATAGCTCTGTAGTATAATTTGAAGTCAGGTAATGTGATTCCTCCAGTTGTTTTCTTTTTGCCCATGGTAGCTTTGGCTATTCTCGGTCTCTTGTGGTTCCATATAAATTTTAGGTTGTTTTTTCTATTTCTGTGAAGACTGTTATTGGTATTTTGGTTGGGATTACATTCAATCTGTAGATTGCTTTGGATAGTATGGACATTTTAACAATATCGATTCTTCAAATCCATGAGCATGGAATATATTTCCATTTTTTTCTGTCCTCTTCAATTTCTTTCATCAATGTTTCATAGTTTTCATTGTAGAGGGCTTTCATTTCTTTGGTTAATTCTAGACATTTTATTTTATGTGTTACTATTGCAAATGTGATTACTTTCTTGAATTCTTTTTCAGATTGTTCATTGTTGGCATATAGAAATGCTACTACTGATTTTTGTATGTTGATTTTGTATCCTGCAACTTTACTGAATACATCAGTTCTCATAGTTCATTGATGGAGTCTTTAGGTTTTTCCAAATATAGGATAATATCATCTGCAAACAAGGATAATTTGAATTCTTCCTTTCCAATTTGCATGCCCTTTATTTCTTTCTCTTGTCTAATTGCTTTAGCTAGGACTTCCGTTACTGTGTTTAATAACAGTGCTGAAAGTGGAAATCCTTGTTGTGTTCCAGGTCTTAGGTCAAAGGCTTTCAGTTTTTCGCTGTTCAGCATGACAGTAGCTGTGGGTTGTTCATATATGGCTTTTATTGTGCTCAGGTATGTTCCTTCTGTATCCAGTTTTTTGAGGGTTTTTTTTTTTTCATGAAGGGATGTTAAATTTTATCAAATACTTTTTGATATGAATCCTATGAAATGATCATATGGTTTATGTCCTTTATTCTGTTGATATGATGTATCACATTGACTGATTTGCATATGTTGAACCATCCCTGCATCCCTAGGATAAATCCTACTTGGTCACGATGAATGCTCTTTTTAAGCGTTGTTGAATTCAATTTGCTAGTATATTGTTGACGGTTTCAGTGTCAATACCCATCGGATATTGGCCTGTAGTTTTCTTTTTTTGACATATCTTTGTCTGGTTTTGGTATCAGGGTAATATTGGTCTCATAGAATGAGCTTGGAAGTATTCCCTGCTCTACTTATGGGAATAGTTTGAGTGGAATTGATATTAGTTCTCTTAAATGTTTGATGAAATTCAGCAGTGAAGCCATTGGGTCCTCAGCTTCTCTTTCCTAGGAGACTATTATTGCAGCTTTGATCTCATTACTTGTTGTTGATCTATTCAGGTTTTGAATTTCTTCATCGTTCAATCTTGATAACTTGTATGTATCTAGGAACTTAGTCATTTCTTCTGGGTTTTCCAATTTATTGGGATATAGCTGCTCATCATAGCCTCTAATGATCCTCTGGATTTCTATGTTATTGGTTGTAATGTTTCCATTTTCATCTCTGATTTTATTCATTTGGATCTTCTCTTTTTTTTTTTTTGGTAGTCTGGCTGAAGGTTTGTTACTTTGTTTATCTTTTCAAAAAACGACTTATTTTGTTGATCTTTTGTACTTTTAAATTTTCAATTTCATTTATTTCTGCTCTGATATTATCTTTTCTACCAATTCAATCAATTCAATCAATTGCACATTGATTTTGTATCCTGAGAATTTGCTGAAATTGCTTATCAGCTTAAGGAGTTTTGGGGATGAAATGATGGAGTTTTCTAATTATAGAATCATGTTGTCTGCAATCATGGTGTCACTCAAGGAGGCTGGAGAACAGCAAGGATGGGTGCCTGCTCCTTCTTTTGGGATCTCTGACCTCAGGGGCACCAAGCTGATGTCAGTAGGATTGCTCCTGTACAGGGTGTCTGACAGCTTCTGTTGGAGGGCCTCACCCAGTTGGGTGACACGGGGAACAGGATCTGTTTAACAAAGTACTTTGACTATTCCTTGGTGGAGGGGGTGTACTTTGCTGGGGAGAAGCCCACTTGTCTGGGCTGCTCAAATTCCTCAGAACTACTAGGAGGAAAGGCTAAGTCTGCTGGCCCACAGAGTCTGTGGACACTCCTCCCCCTAGGGGTTCAGGTCCAGGGAGATCAGCGTTCTGTTCTTGAACCTCTGGTTGGAGTTGTTGGAGTTCCTGCAGGGAGGCCCCGCCCAGTGAGGAAGGATGGGTCAAGGTCAGGCCTAAAGAGGCTCTCTGGCCACAGTCTGCCACAGCTGCTATGTTGGGCTGTGAGGGACATCTCTTGGGATTAAGCTATCCAGCCTCTCTGGCTCCAGCAGGGGAAAAGCGTGGTCTGGAGCTACAGAAATGGATGCTCCTCTTCCCACACCCAGGGAGCTTAGCGTGTTAGGCATGTATAAGTCCCAGTGCTGGCTGCTGTCTTTCCCTGCTGGCTGCTGTGGCCTGGGTTCATGAGAGGGATCTTCTGATCCACGGGTTGCACAGTTCCATGGAAAAAGTGCGATTTCCCTGGGTGGGTAGCACGCACAGCATGGGAGCTCCTGTGATCCATGTGGCTCTGAGGTGGACTGCTGCACCACACTGCTCTTCCTCCTTCTTTGTGGATCATGCCAGCCTCCTAGTCATTTCTGATGAGAGAAGCTGGATACCTTGGTTGCTGGTGCAGGATTCACACACTATTTATGATTCTTTTTGATGGAAGTCTCTGATTGCTGCTGCTTCTAGTTGGCCATCTTAGCCCCACCCTCTAAAGTGTGTTTTATGTAGGCAACAGATCATTGGGTCTTTTTTTTTTTTTTTTAAATCCATTCAGCTACTGTCTTTTGATTGGAGAGTTTAGTCCATTTACATTCAGTGTTATTAATGATAGGTGAGGCCTTACTCCGGCTATTATTATTTGGTTTCTGGTCGTTTTGTGGCCTTTTCTTCTTTTCCTCCTTTGTGTTTTCCTTGTAGTGAAGGTGATTTTTTCTGTTGGTATGAGTTACTTTGTTGCTTTTGATTTTTATTTTTGTATGTGTTTTGTTTTTTGATTTGAGATTACAGTGAGGTTTGCAAACATCTTATAACCCATTATTTTGAACTCATGACAACTTAACACTGATTGCAAAACCAAAGTAAAGAGAAAACTAATAAAAATACATTTTCACTTCATCTTTACCCTCCCTCCACTCTAACTTTTTTTTGTTTCTATTTGTATCTTGTTATAATGTCTGTTTTGAAAAGTCATTGTAGTTATTTTTGATAGGTTCATACTTTAGTCTTTCTATGCAACATATGAGTAGTTTATATGCCACAATTAGTAGTATAACATTCTTTGTCTGTATGCTTACTTTTACTAGTGGGTTGTGTACCTTCTGATGGTTTCTTATCGCACATTAATGTTCTTTTCTTTCAGATGGCAGAATTCCCTTTACTATTTCTTGTAGGACAGGTCTGATGTTGACAAAATCAACTTTTGTTTATCTGAGAGTCTTTATTTATCCTTCATGCTTGAAGGATATTTTTGCTGATATACTATTCTAGGATAAAAGCTTTTTCCCCTCAGCAGTTTAAATATGTCATGCCACTCTCTCCTGCCCTGTAAAGTTTCTACTGAGAAGTTTGCTTTCAGATGTATTGAAGCTCTGTTGTATGTTGTTTGTTTCTTTTCTCTTGCTGCTTTTAGGATTCTTTCTTTATCCTTGACCTTTGGGAATTTGATTATTAAATGTCTTGAGGTAGTCATATTTGGGTTAAATCTGCTTGGTATTCTGTAAACTTTTTGTAGTTGAACATTAACATCTTCCTCTAGATTTGAAAAGTTCTTCGTTAGTATTCCTTTGAATCAGCTTTCTACCCTGATCTATTTTCTGTTTAAGGCCAAAAATTTTTAGATTTGCCCTTTTGAGGCTATTTTCTAAAGTTTGTAGGCATGCTTCATTCCTTTTTATTCTTTCCTCTTTTGTCTCCTCTGACTGTGTATTTTCAAATAGCCTATCTTCAAACTTGTTAATTATTTCTTCCGCTTGAGCAACTATGATGCTGAAAGACTTTGTTGCATTCTTCAGTATGTCAATTGAATTTTTCAACTTCAGAATTTCTGCTTGACTTATGAAAATTATTTGAACCTCTTCATTAAATTTATCTGATAGGATTCTGAATTCCTTTTCTGTGGTATCTTGAATTTCATTGAACTTCCTCAAAACAGCTATTCTGAATTCTCTGTCTGAAAGGTTGCATATATCTCTCTCTGGGATTGGTCACTGGTGACTTATTTAGTTCATGTGGTAAGGTCATGTTTTCCTGGATGGTCTTGATATTTGGAAATGTTAATCAGTGTCTGGGTGTTGAAGATTTAGGTGCTTATTGTAGTCATTGCAGTCTGGGCTAGTTTGTATTTGTCCTTCCTGGGAATTCTTTCCAAATATTCAAAGCGACTTTAGTGTTATGATCTAAGTCTTGCCATGATAGCCATATGTGCATTAGGGGATGCCCCAAGCCCAGTAACACTGTGACTCTTGCAGACTCGTAGAGGCACCAGCTTGGTGGTCTTGTTTCACCTCTTCCCCAACTCCAGGCAGCTCAGGACAGAGAGACTCCATTTGTTTTAGAGAAAATAATGGAAGAGAAAAAGAGTCTCTGCCTGGTAATCTAGGAATTTCTTGGCTCTTAGCCAGGATGACCAAAGTAGTACCTATATGAGTCTGCAAGTGGGGTGACACAAGCACCTCTGTGGCCACTACCACTGAGACTGCACTGGGTCACACCTGAAGCCAAGGTCTCAACCAAGGCCTTCAGTGACCACTTCCTGACTCAAGGCCAAAGGGCTCTACAGTCGGCAGGTAGAAAATCCATCCAGGCTTCTGTCCTTTCCTTCAGGATGCTGAGTTACCCCTGGCCCAGGACAAGTGTAGAGATGCCATCCCAGAGCTAGGTCTTGGAGTCAGGAACCTTAGGTATCTACCTAGTGCTCTATTCTACTGCAGCTGAGCTGGGATCCAAGCCACAAGACAAAGTCTCTCCCATTCTTCCCTCCCCCTTCCTCAAGCAGAGGAGTATCTTTGTGGCCACTGCTGCCCTAGGCCTATGGAGAATATTTCCTGACTACCGCCAGTGTTCTTTCATGGCCCAAAGTCTCTTCAGTCAGCTTGTGATGAATGCTGCCAGGCCTGGGTCTCTCCCTTTAAGGCTGGAGGTTTCCTCTGGCTATGAACAGGTCCAGAAATGCTGTCCAGGAGCTCAGGCCTGGAATGGGGAACCCCAGGAATCCCAGAACCTACTTGGTTGTCTTCCTCACTGTGGCTGAGCTGTTACCTAAGCTGCAAGACAGCTGCCTTTACTCTTCTCTCTCCTTTTTTCAAGAAGGAGCCCTTCCCCATTTTTACCGTAGCTGGGAATATACTGGGTCACACCTGAAGCCAGCACAACTTTCAGTGTCATCCAAGGCCCACAACAAGTACTGCCTGTCTACCACTGCTGATTATTCAGGGGCCAGGGGCTCTTTATTCAGCAGGTAATGAATCCTGCCAGGACTGGGTTCTTTCCCTCAAGGAAAGAGGTTCTCTTCTGGCCGAGAGGGTGTCTAGAAATGTCATCTTGGAGCTAAGGCCTGGAGTGGGGGCCTCAGGAATCTGCCTCATGTCCTATTCTACTGTGGCTGAGCTGATATCAATGTTACAAGACAAAGTCTTCTTTACTCTCCTATCTCCTCTCTTGAAGCCAAAGGAAGGAGCATCTCTCAAAGCTGTGAGCTGTGCTGCCTGGGTTTGGGGGATGGTGACACAAGCACTCCGATGATTGCCTTGGCTGTTGTCTTACTAGGTCCCATGCACCTCAAGTCCACTGGCTCTGAGCCCAGCACAGCACTGGGAATTGCAGTCCTTGTGGACTAGACTACCTTTCAAGTTTATTTAGGACCTCAGAGAATTTTAGCCATTGGTGGTGGGGCCTGCTGGAACCCAGATTCTGATGACTAGGATAGATTATTTGTCTCTGGCTGAGGCTCATCTCAATTATCCCTCTGTGGGCAATGGATGAGTGCCACCCCATGTTGCTTTCTGCTGTGACAGGGTAGCACTGAGTTCCAATGCAACCTTCCACAATCACTGTACTCTGTCTCCTCCAAGCACACAGATTCTCTTTATGGACCACGCAGGCACTGCTGGGGCATGGAGGAGTGGTAGTGTAGGCAATTCAAGACTGTCTTTCCTACCTTTTTCAGCACATCTTTCTCTAATGTGATGTTAAAACCAGGTACTATATTCCTCATCTGATTTTGGGTTCTCATGAAGTGCTTTTTTGGTATGACAAGTTGTTCAATTTGTTATTCCTGTTGGGGTGAGGGAATGATCTCTGGAGGTTTCTGTTTGGCAATATTGTTCTATCTCCTCTGTCTGCTACTAATTTTTGTACATTGATTTTGCATCCTGAAGTTTTACTGAAGTAGTTTATCAGTGCAAGCAGCCTTTTGGTGAAGTCTTTTGGGTTTTCTAGGTATAGAATTATCATTAGCAAAGAGAGATAGTTTGATTTCTTCTTTTCCTATTCGGGTTCTTTTTATTTTTTTTCTTGTGCCTGATTGCTGTAGCTAGGACTTCCAGTACTATGTTGAATAGGGGTGGTGAGAGGGAGCATCCTTGTCTTGTTCCAGGTCTCAAGGGGAATGCTTCCAGCTTTTGCCCATTCAGTATGATGTTGTCTGTGGGTTTGACATACATGGTTCTTATTATTTTCAACTATGTTCCTTTGATGCCTAGTTTCTTGAGGGTTTGTGTCATGAAGGAATGTTGGATTTTTCTGCATCTATTGAGATGATATAATTTTTGTCTTAAATTCTGTTTATGTGGTGAATCACATTTATTGATTTGAGTACGTTGAACTAAACTTGCCTTCCAGGAATGAAGCCTACTTGATTGTGTTAAATTAACTATTTGATGTGCTGCTGGATTTGATTTGCTAGTATTTTGTTGAGAATTTTTTCATCTACATTCATCAGAGATATTGGCCTGTCATTTTTCTTTTTTGTTATGTCTTTGCCAGGTGATGCTGGCTTTGCCTAATGACTTAGAGAGGTATGATTTTGATTTTTTTGAATTTGTTGAAACTGGCTTTATGGCCAAGCATGTGGCCTATCTTGGAGTATTGTCTTTGTGTGTATGAGAAGAATGTGTATTCTATGGTTGATGGATGGAGTATTCTGTAGATGTCTATTAGGTCCAATTGATCACATGTCGATTTAAGTCCAGAATTTCTTCATTAGTTTTGTGCCTTGATGATCTATCTAACACTGTCAGTGGGGTGTTGAAATTCCCCACTACTATTGTGTGGCTAAGTCTTTTCAAAGGTCTAGAATTAGTTGTTTTATGAATGTAGGTTCTCTAATGTTGGGTACATATATATTTAGGATAATTAAGTCTTGTTGAATTGAATGCTTTATTATGTAATGCCCTTTGTCCTTTTTTTTACAGGTGTTGGTTCAAAGTCTGTTTTATCTAGTAGAAAAGTAGTGACTTCATGCTCTTTTTTGTTTTCTGTTGTGTGATAGGTCCTTCTTCAACCCTTTACTTTGAGCCTATGGGTGTTATTACATGTGAGATGGGTCTCTTGAAGATAGCAGATGGATGGCTCTTATTTTTTTTTAATCTAGCTTTCAACTGCTTTTTCAGTGGGGCCTTTAGACAATTTACATTCCAGGTTAATATTGATATGTAAGGTTTTGATCCTACTGTGAAGTTGTTAGCTGATCACTGTAGTTTCCATTTTGCAGTTGCTTTATAGAGTAAGTGAGCTATATACTTAAATGTGTTTTTGTAGTAGCAGGTATTTTTTCTTTTGTTTCTATGTTTAGAACTCCCTTAAATATGTCATGTAAGGCTGGTCTAGTGGTAACAAATTCCCCTCATGCTTGCTTGTCTGGAAAAGATTTTATTTCTCCTCAACCTATGAAGCTTAATTTGGCAGGATATAAAATTCTTGGTTGGAATTTCCTCTTTTAAAGAATGCTGAATATAGGCCCCCCAAATCTCCTGGCTTGTAAAGTTTCTGCTGAGAAGTCTGCTGTTAGCCTGATGGGGTTCTCTTTGTGTGTGATCTGATCTTTTTCTCCAGCTGCCTTTAAGATTTTCTCTTTAGCATTGACACTGGACACTGTGGTGACAATATGCCTTGTGATGTTCACTTTGTATAGTATCTCACAGGTGTTCTCTGGATTTCTTGTATCTGGATATTTACTTCTTTTGAAAGATTAAGAACATTTCCTTGAATTGTTTTATTAAATATGTTTTTCAGGTTGTTGACTTTTCCCCCTTCTCTCTCAGGAATGCTAATAATTCATAGGTTTGTTTGCTTTTCTTAATCCTATATTTTGTGAGGATTTTCTTTATTAAAAAAAATTTTTTTTTCTGATTTAGTTAGCTCAAAAAAAAAAAAAAACCCCTGTATTCAAGCTCTGAGATTCTTTCTTCTTGGCTCAGTCTATTGATAAATATTACAGTTATGTTTTGAAATTATTTGAGTTTTTCAATTCCAGACCTCTGATTAATTTCTTTTTAGGATGCTTATCTCTTTCTTCATTTCTTGGATTGCTTTAGAAGTTTCTTTGTATTGATTTTCAATATCGGTTTGAACCTCATTGAACTTTCCTGCAATCCGTGCTTTGAATTCTTTGTCTTTTCTGAGTTTCCTTTTTGTTTAGGGACCACTGCTGGAGAGCTAGTGTGATTTTTTTTTTTTGATGGTGTCATTATATTCAGATTCTTCATGATGTCAGAATTCTTGCACCAATTCTTTCACATCTGGAGACATGACAATTCTAATTCTTGTAATTATTTTTCATGTAGGTAAGATTTTTTCTTTTTTTTCCCCCTATGCTATTACTGTGTCTTATCTTTCCCTTTCCCCTACTTTTACTGAGTAGAGTCTTTTGGCTTTGCTTTTATATCTCTTTGTATTTCCTTTGGCAGGTTTTATATTTGGCTAAGTGGTTCAAGCTACAAGCTGGTAGATGATGCTTATGGGTAAAAGCTGGCTGCAGCCAACATGGCTGGGTATATATTTGATTCTTGATTACCAGGAGAATCTCTCTATTGCCTCAGGCAATGGACTGATTCATGGAGTGCACAATGCTCTAAGCTCCCTGGTATGTTGGGTGAAGGGGCTGTCGGGGGCAAGACGGTGGGGCAAGATGGTGGGACAAGACTGCAAAGTCTCACCTACAGGTCTGCTAATGGCAGGCACAAGCACCAGCACTGAGGAAGAATCCAGTGAGTGGCCACCAAGAGCCCTGAGGTGTGCCTAGGCATGGAACTGGGAAACTCCCCTCAGTCCCAAGTTCTCTGCACAGGGATTGGGGGCAGCCTAAACTCATCCAGGTGAGTAGGTGCTCCAGATGCTGTAGATCTGCCTGGGTGTGGAGCAGAGGGGATCCCCTATACCAAGATCTTTGCACAGAAGAGGTGGGTAATTCAGGCTGCTGAACAAGGCAAGCAAGTGACCTGAATCCCTGCAGATCTGCCTATGTAGGTAGCATAGAGGGCCCTCTTTCACTAGGATCTCTGCACAGGAAGGGTGTGGTGGCTTAGGCTCCTTATCCAGGAGACCTGGTGCTCTGAATGCCTGAAGATCTGCCTTGGCGTTGACCAGAGAGAGCCTCTCTGTGCCAGGATCTCTGCACAGGAAGGGTGGGGTGGGTCAGGCAGCTGATTTAGGTGAGTAGGAAAAGCTTGGAAATCTGCCTGCACATGGAGTGGAGAGGTGCCCCCAAAACAAGATCTGTACACAGGAAGGGTGGGGTGACTTAGGCTGCTGACCAAGGAAAGCAAACACTCTGAATGCCTGGAGATCTGCCTGAATGTGTATTGGTGAGGGCCCTCTTGCACCTGTATCTCAGCACAGGAAGGGTGGGTCAGCTTGGGCTGCTTATCCAGGTGAGTGGATGTTCTGGATGCCTGCAGATCTGCCTGGGCTGCTGTGGAGAGGGTCTCATTGCACCACGATCTGTGTCCAGAAAGAGTGAGGTGGCATGGGCTGCTGAATCAGATGAGTGGGTGCTCTAAATGCCTGGAGATCTGCCTGGGCATGAAGCAGAGACGGCTTCTCTGAACCAGGATCTTGGCACAGGATGGGTGGAGCATGTCAGGCTGTTGATCAAGCTGAGTGGGTGCTCTGAATGCCCAGAAATCTGCCTGGGGGGTAGAGCAGAAAGAGCCCTGCTATATCACAATCTATGCCAGGTAGGGCAGCTGAGGTTGCTGGTCCAGGCAACATGTATATACAAGAGCCTTCAGAATGAAGAACCCAACTCCCAATGAGGTACAGAAGCTTATATACCATTTTCAGGTTACAGAAAGAATGGAGGCTCAGAGAATGGCCACAAACAGTGGGTAAGACAGGTCATGGAATGGAGAAAGAAAGAGGCCTGGCTAGCAAATGTGGCCTTGTTATGTACGTAAAATCTCACAGGTAGCAGCCCTCAGAGAGAATAAATGATAATTTTTTTTTCCAGAACTTTAAAGATGTCAGACTCTCAGTTAATCTATTCTCAATCTGGGAAAGGCCTAGAAAGGGAAGTCTTGGTTGCATTAATGGAGATTCTTTACAGATGCAAATTTCCCCCACAAAATTTCATGGCCAATTGAGTCTGCTGGCCCTGTGGCAGTCATTTTAAAATATGTCAAAGAAATGTATTTTGGGGTAAAATATTTTGATTTTCTTCAACTCCTTATCATGCCTACAAGATACGACTAAAACAAGAATTGGTGTATGTGACACAATTCTTTTACTCGATGTATGTGGAAAACTGAGGGGGATTTTCACGCATAATTGGAGACATCTGTATGTGAAAATCAATGTTCATTGTTTCACCAGTTTATCAATTATTCCTTTCCACAAGAAATAATCACTGAAAACTTTTTTCTGTACCATCTGCTTCCTTGTCTCTGGGGTGCATCCTTCCCTGAGGACCCGTTCCTGGCTTTTTGCTTCTCTAAGACCTGTACTCGTAACCCAGCAAACCAAACAGCCCAAACCAAATCAAATAAATTTTTTTCTTTAACTTTTAAGTTTCGGGGTACATGTGCAGGATGTGCAGGTTTGTTACATAGGTAAACATATGCCATGGTGGTTTGCTGTACAGATCAACCCATCACCTAGGTATTAAGCCCAGCATCCATTAGCTATTCTTCCTGGTGCTCTCCCTCCTCCCCACACCCACTGAGAGGCTCCAGTGTGTGTTCCCCGACTACTGTGTCTGTGTGTTCTCATCATCCAGCTCCCACTTATAAGTGAGAACATGCAGTGTTTGGTTTTCTGTTCCTGCATTTGTTTGCACTGAAGATAACAGCTTCCAGCTCCATGTCCCTGCAAAGGACATATCTCATTCCTTTTTATGGCTGTGTAGTATTCCATGGTGTATATGTACCATATTTTCTTCATCCAGTCTATCACTGATGGGCATTTCAAATCGAAATTAAACACAAATTTCCTTTCACTCTTTGAAGAAATATCTGCTACCTTCTTAGGCAGAACAAAAGCATTTATTATTTTCTCTATTTATTCTTAATCCAGACTAGGCTATAGCTATACATTTCATAAACATGGCCTCTCAAATAAAAGAATGATTTGTTTCCTCAAGAGAAATTGTGTTGTTTTCTTAGAGTAATGGGCTCACACTTAGCCAGCTTTTAAAATACTATTTCCCCATGCACAACATGAGAAGGATAATTTCTATAATATGGACTCATCACAAGGATTTAGTGAGACATCATTTTTAGTCCAAGTAAGGAAGCTTGTCAGATGGCCGTGTGAACTTAGCCTATGAGCTTGTGAGGCTTTTCCTGGGACAAAGAAAGGATTCCACAAAAGAAGTACTAGTGACTCTTTGCAAGGACTCTGCATACCTACCATAAACCTTAGTAATTTTTTTGTGTGTGTGAGTACATACATGTACATGTGCAATTCACTCATTATTGATAATTTTTCATAATTATCTCCTATATCATAGAAATTTTGCTTCCCTTAGAACTGTTGTGAGGATTAAATTTATATAGAGTGTTTAGCATAATGTCTGGCATGTGGTAAATGCTCAATCAGTTGTAGTTACCTTTTCTACTATTTTTACTGCCTTTTATATGTGAAGGAAAGGGACAAATAGAAAAATTGAAATGATGGCCAATGAGATAAAAAAAAAAATAGAGCCAAAACTGTGCATAGACGCCACCCAAACAGATAATCCAGACTTAAATCTGCTCCAAGCAAAGAGAAAAAGAGGCAGAATTAGAAAAATCTGGTTTAGGATCCACTGTAGAAAATCGCAGTGGCCAAAATGCTTTATATTTGGAAATGAATTGGAAATTCTTGCTGGGTTGGGCAGATGGGTAAGCACAGCCTGAAATCAAGTAACACTGACCCAAACTAAGCAACTAATGAAGAAAACAAACTTTCCCCTTACATGGGAAAGAGTGATGTCAGTGAACATGTGTGGCTCATTTTACACTTTACAAAGCCCTTCCTTACTTTGCTTTGAGTTTTACTCAGCCTCATGAGATAAGGTAGAGAAAACATCAATATCTTCACTTTCCATGCAACAAAAGGGGCTATATAATCACCTGACAAGTTCTTCCTGCCCACTGCATAGACAAAACCAGTTCACTGAGACCATGGAATTATAGTAAAGAAACTGTTTAATTAACATGAGGCTGGCCATGTGTGGAAACTAGAGTTATCACTCACATTAGTCTCCCCTGAAAGCTCAAAGGTTAGGGTTTTTTAAGGATAGCCTGGTGGGCAGGGGGCTAGGAAATGGGGAATGTTGATTGGTTGGGGATGAAATCATAGGGGTATGGAAAAATGGTCCTTATGTGCTGAGTCAGCCTCTGGGTGGGGACCACAGGACCACTTGAGTAATGAGTTGTGGGTCTGGGTGGACTCAGTCACCAGAAATGCAAAAGTCTACAAAGACATCTCAAAAGGTCAATCTGAGATTCTGCGATAGGGATGCTACCTACAGGAGTAACTGGGGAACTTACAAGTCTTGTGACCTCCTGAACGATGGCTGGTAATAGTTTAACTATGCCTGCATCTTAGCAGTATTCAGGCCCCTCTCATAATCCCAATCTTGTAGGCTTTCATTAGTTTTACAAAGGGGGTTAAGTTTTGGGAGGGACTATTACTATCCTTGCTTTAAACTATAAACTAAATTCTTCTCATGGCTAGCCTGATCTATGCCCAGGAACGGGTGAGGACGGCCAGCCTATAAACCAGAAGCAAGATGAAGTCAGCCATGCTAGATTCCTCTCACTATCATAATCTTTGCAAAGGTGGTTTCAGCAGTGAAAGGATGAGGGAGTTGGCAATTCTCATATGCTGAGGAAGTATGTTTGATCATGAATGTCACCTTAGGATTCATCAGCAGAAGCTTTTCTTCATCAGTTTTTTCCAGGACCTTGCCTCTTTGGAAGAAAGAAAGGAGACCTAACTATTGTCCTTTTATTTCTTCTCTTTTGCTTTGACTTCCTTAAAAATTGGTTGAATTCATAATAGCCCTTAGAGGAGGAATGTATGTATGATTTAGAGACAAGATATACTACTACTTCACATAGATTCTAAACCTAATCTATGTTTTCACTTACTTATTTTTGAGCATGAGGACTCTTTTTTTCATGTCATGGTCTTTAAATCTTCAAGCAAAAGCAAAACTTTATTTTCTAAGATTATGTGCAGGAATCTTCCTAGTCATGTATAGGAGAAAATGCTTATTCTCTAATTATAGACTTTCCTTCCATGTGGAGGATCTCCTCCCTTGGTGGAGACACCTCTCTTGGAGGAGTGAAGATGGGCTGACTTAACTATAACTAGCAATATTGATTAGATAAACTGGGCATTTATAGCCCAGACCTTTCATCTCCAGAAGTGGAGCTTCCCACAGGAAGTGTACATGTCATTCTTTCTGTCAGCAGCTCTGATGTCAGGGGATGTTTTTAATAGGCTTGGATGTCCTCAGTGTGTAGACTATCACTTGAATATAAGCCACATGGGTGTAACTGAGGCCAATATTGGGAAAAATGCCTTTCTAAATACAGACTTTTTACACATTGGAAGCAGTACAGTATTTACTGCTTGTAAAGTGAAAGTCATCTGAGTTTTGTATATCCTACATAGACAGAATTAGATTGGTTGACCCAAATTCCATTATGAATTATGGGTAAGGGGTGAGGCGAGTGATGTGAGAGGGATACAGTTGGTATTCAGGGTCAAAAGTGATCAAACACCATTTTGTTTCCAGTTGACTCTAGGCTAGCTCATTATGAATAAGGGAAAACATTACCTTGGAGTTTGTTTCTTAGGTCTCAGGAATTCTTTATTAAGAGTTAGATTTTTTTTTTAAGCCACTGTGGTACAGCACTGAAAGCGACTGTTTGCAAAAGAATGTAAATGCTATGTTACTAGATAGAGCCTGTACTCAATCCAGTCTTGGGGTGCCAGAATCTAGGACCTCAAAGGAGAAAGGGAAATTAGAAGGCTTTAAATATAGCAGATGGAAAAGAAAGCTTCCTCAAATAACATCTGGTGACAGTAGTTGCTGCTTTTCAAAAAAGACTGCATTATCCTCTGAGGGAAAAGACAATGTATTTTTCCCTTTAAAATATGGTGAATATATAGAGCCAAATATATAGTACCCAAATTAACCTTTTAATGAATTTAAAGTCCAAGTGAGCTGAAGCCCATAGATCACGTATTCTGAATACCTGGCATAGATTAACCAGTACCTCAGAAAAACTGAAGCCAGTGAGGAGTGCACCATGATTAGGAGCACAGGCTCTCAGGGCACCTGCCTAGGGTTTGCCTGTTGGTGCTACCACTTACTAGTTAGCTATATGACCTTGAGCAAATTCCTTGAGGGACTGGCTTGCCTTCTAAATGTGGTGGATGTAAGACCAGTGCATAGCCTAACTACTTAAACTTTAAGAATTCAGGTGCAATAAAGACTTGCCATTGCATTAAGTTAACTTTGTAAGTTAAGTTGTAGTTTCCTAAAGAAACTACTTGCATTTCAGTGCAAGACCATTGTGCTAAAGAACATCTCTGCTAAAGAGCTCCTAACTCCACCCAGGCATTGGGAACTCTGAAATTGAATTGACCAAAAGAAGAAATTGGGGAGAAATAATTTGGACTTCAGTTTCTTAGGACTTCTAACTCATGAGAGCAAAATAACTTAATTTGACACTTTAATTACTTGAGGTTTTAACTTTCATGGGAATTTAATTTTTAGACTCTATTCCCTAAGAGTTTGGTAATGAAAGTGTACATTAAAATTTGGGTATATTATTGTTGGCATTTTTAATATTGTTTTATCATATTCATCTTATTATTACAGTATCATGTTACTTGGGCCTGGGAAACAGGGAGTGGCAAGCATTCTGGATGCTCTTGTAAGACACAGGCACACTGCTGGATGGGAGATAAATCCTACCAAATGCAGGGGCCTGCCACAAAGATGAAGTTTTTAGGGATCAGGGATCTGGATACATGTTATGATTGACTTTCCTTTGTACTTCCCACCACTAAGAAATAGACATATACTTGTTATGAAAATTTTGGATATAGCACCAACCACATTTGGGAATATATCCAACTCATTTATCCTGTGACTCATAAGGCTACCAGTTTTGAATGCAGTATAAAGAGAGGTTTCTACAGCAGTATCAGTTTTCAGTACAAGTTCAGTACAGCTGATTGGGCCATATGACTCAGCAGATCTCAAGTTATTAGAGGTATCTGTGACAGGGTCTCTGGCAAACCCCAATAGGAGAGTCACAGAACAGACCCTTGGAGCAAAGCCATGCCATCTGCAGCAGAAAAGTATTCATTGTTTGAGATGCAGTTCCTGGCATGCTCTTCAGCTTCATGGAGGACATTAAGTGATTATACAAGTGAAGCTCATTGTGATGAGTTGGATATTATCAGACCTATTAAGAGGTAAAGTTGGGAGAACACAGTAGCAATCCATTGTATGATGAAAATAGTATACTCAGGACTTAGGCCTGAGCAGGTCCCCAGGGCACAGCTGAGTGAATAGGTTGCTGAGGCTCCCATGACACCTACCTCTTTTGTACTGATGCCTTTTCTTTAGCTCACTTGCCTATGGCTTCCAGGGGTTCACAATGACCAACTGATGGAGGAGGAAGTATCCAGGCCTGGATCACAGAAGGGTTGTAGTATGAACTGTTGCTGCACTACAGCCCCAATCAAGAGTGGCCCTAGGGCCGGGCGCGGTGGCTCACGCCTGTAATCCCAGCACTTTGGGAGGCCGAGGCGGGTGGATCATGAGGTCAGGAGATCGAGACCATCCTGGCTAACAAGGTGAAACCCCGTCTCTACTAAAAATACAAAAAATTAGCCGGGCGCGGTGGCGGGCGCCTGTAGTCCCAGCTACTCGGGAGGCTGAGGCAGGAGAATGGCGTGAACCCGGGAAGCGGAGCTTGCAGTGAGCCGAGATTGCGCCACTGCAGTCCGCAGTCCGGCCTGGGCGACAGAGCGAGACTCCGTCTCAAAAAAAAAAAAAAAAGAGTGGCCCTAGGAGACAGTGATGAGGGAAAATGCTCCCGTTGTGCAAAGTTTTGCAGAGTATACCTGACTATCAACTTGAATTGATGTAGTGAAGACATGTGTAGTCAGTTCTATATGATTGTGGACAAAATTTGCAAATCTCTGTATTTGCTATTGATGCCCACCAGAGGAGGCCCTAAACAACCAGGTTACATCAATGACTTCCCCAGTAGAAGCCAGTGAAGTTTTGTCTTTGGCCACCAGTATTTGTAAAATGAACTCATCATTAAAGTAGCCACGGTGAAAGAGAGGGAGGTTATCCATGAGCCCAACAACAAGGATCTTTTTTTCACCGAGGCTGATCCAACTGCCACTGCAGACTCTCCAAAATGTCAGCAGTTGAGACCAATGCTGAGCTCTTAGTGTACTACCATTCTTTGAGGAAATCTTCTAGTTCCTTGATGGCAAGTTGATTACTTTGGACCCCTTC
Organism: Homo sapiens; assembly: GCF_000001405.40. Lineage (NCBI taxonomy): Eukaryota > Metazoa > Chordata > Mammalia > Primates > Hominidae > Homo > Homo sapiens. The sequence continues at coordinate 7,441,120 of NC_000009.12, forward strand.
CACCTGGAAGGGCTGGAATTCATTTCTTCTTATATTAATATGGGTTCTGGGCATGGGTTTGCCTTCCTTGCATACAATTGCCTTAGTTGGCACCCCTGTCAGAGGACCTAGAGTGATTATGTGCTTATTGTTTGATTTATTATCACAGAAGCCTGCATCACCTTGGATTAAGCAACCAATTTTTTCAGGAAAAAAAGGTATGACAATGAGCACCTTACCACCATGGGATCCACGGATCTTAAAATATACCACCCCATTCTGGAAGTGCTACCTGCTGGAATTGTTGCAATGGCCTCTTAAAGCACTGCAACATTTAGCTATCTTGGTGAATATACCCTTCATGGTTGGGCTACTTACTGTCTTTCATTGTGTGATATATATTTTGAACTAATGTCCATTATACAGGGTTGTATCCTCAATAGTTCTGGAAAGCAAGATATGGAAGAAGGAATGACTGCATTTCCATTATTCCCAGTGACCTATGTGGGGAATTGGTACTTCTCATCCCCACAGATTTAGTCTCTACTAAACCACAGATTCTGGTCTTCAGTGGGAGTAAGTGGAGGACATTTCTACTACGGGACACATTAATGGTTCCAGTAATCCTAAAGCTATGATTGCAGCTTGAACATTGTGGGTTCCTCATACATGTAAACAAGTAGGCCAAGAAGTGAGTTACTATACTACACTGACAAGGATAGATACCCATGATTACCATACAGAGATAAGATTATGGCTATGTAGGGGGACAGGAGGTGTGTCTAGAGCTCAGGGAATTCAATGAGCTACTCATAGGTGTGCTCAAGTCCATTATTCATTGTTAATGGGCAAGAAAGCCCAGTAACTACAATCTAGATTGAAAAAAGTGCTTGACTAAGGGCAAGGGGCATCTATTATGCATGGTATGAGGAAGGGACAAAAATATAATTTGTGGAAGTAGACACTTTAGTTTTTCCCACTGACCCTTCTGTTTTAAGTTTTTGTTTTGTAGAAATTGCAACCACCTTGGAGAAGCAGTGACAGTCTGGAGCTTATTTAAAATGTAGGGCATTTACAAGAAATATAATGTAGCAGGTGTTAATGCCCTACCCCTATCTCCTCAAACCATAACTTCAGTTGACTTCTAGCCACTAGCATCCACTGAAGGCTTTCTGTGATGATCGAAGGTCACTCTGCTGGCCTCAGCTGAGCAGCAAGCTAGAAGCACTGGAGAAGTACATGATTCTGGAAGGAGCCATCAACCAACATCTGATGAGAGTTGATGTGTTCCTGCCCTATCTCCCTCACCTCACATGTGGAATAACTCTGAGATGCCACCTCACATGTGGAATAACTCTCAGCTGGAGTTCCCCTGCAGGTTTAAACTTCATTTACTCACAATAGAACATTTGCTTGATACCTGCCCCCACCCCCCGCCCCCCCCCCCCCCCCCGCCCTGACACACACACTTAGTGGCTGCTTCCCTGACTGTGTTAGTTAGGGTTCTCTAAAGGGACAAGACTAACCGGCTAGAGGTATATATGGAGGGGAGTTTATTAAGGAGAATGGACTCACACGATCCCCCAAAACTCAAAAGTAGAGAAGCCAATAGTGCAGCCTTCAGTCTGTGGCCAAAGGCTGGAGAGCCCCTGGTAAATCACTGGTGTAAATCCAAGAGTCCAAAAGCTGAATAACTTGGAGTCTAATGTTCGAGGGCAGGAAGGATCTAGCATGGGAGAAAGATGGAGGCCAGAAGACTTAGCCAGTCTAGTCCTTCCACGTTCCTCTGCCTGCTTTTATCCTAGCCAAGCTGGCAACTGATTACATGGTGCCCACCCAGATTGAGGGCAGGTCTGCCTCTCCCAGTTCACTGACTCAAATATTAATCTCATTTGGCAACACCCTCACAGACACACCCAGGAACAATACTTTGCATCCTTCAAGCCAATGAAGTTGACACTCAGTATTAACCATCACACCGTCCTGTCTCACTTCCTCCTTTCCTATCAGTGCTTCCTGGGATTATCTCCCAAATAAAACTCTTACACTTAAATCTTTGGCTTGTGGTTTGCTTCTATGCTTCTTAGAGAACCTAAACCAAGACAATACAGAAAATGAATCACATAATCAAATGTGCAAGAGCTTTCTCTTATTTTTGTGAGTTGTTTATACCATAAGTTGTTTAAGTGAAGATGGATAGAGTTAACTGTGCTTGGAAATTTGATAAGGACCTGAACAACAGGAAGGTGTCTATTTGCCTAGATCAAGAGTCAGCTTACTTTTCTGTAAAGACCCAGATGGTAAATATTTTAGGCTTAGGGGCCTAAATTGATACCTTCAGTTTTGGATATTATTCTTTGTGCATTTTGTTTTTGTTACTTTATAATCCTTAAAAATATAAAAATGATTCTTAGCTCACAGGCTGCATAAAGCAGTCCATGAGTCTAATTTGGTCCACAGGCTATTGCTTGCTAGACAGAAACAAGTAAAAATATGGAGATGCTGGTTTCACAACATAACCTGGCCTCAAATGTGAGAAATTATGTTTTAAACAAGTTCTCATTCTTCAATATTGATTTATATTTACACAGATAGCCAAGGGTATTGGCTGTGGGACAAGATGCGCTTAAATCTTGTAATGATCTAAGTTTAAATAAGACAGAAATGTATGTTCTCCTGCAAATGTTCTCCTCCAAAACCACATGAAGGGAAAAAGTGCTTGGCACAGCCTTCTTTTGTGGGGGAGGATTATTATTTTAACAAAAACATTTGTAAAATAGTTCTGGAGACTCAACAAACCAAAGAGGTAATTGACTTTGCCCTCAGGAGTCATTCTGCACCTTCAGCCTACACCCCAAATATATTCATATTTTAGAGCAGAATTTTAGCTTTTATAACCTTCACAATGTGTTCACAGCATTAAATATATTGAGGGAGGAAAGTCCAAATGGGGTGATTTATTTGAGAAATTCCCAGATTGAGGGAAGGTGTCTCTTTGAAATGGTTGCCTCAGGGAAAGAGTATATTGTGATATATTTAGTAAATGATGTTAAGGAAAACTTCAGTGCACTATATAAATTGGGGATTGGGGAGGGAATAGAAAGAGAGAAAAATGTTTTCAATGAAGGAGATTTATGTACCAAGAAATAGTTTGGAAAAGAAATATTTTCTTTTGTTTCCTTAACCCTGATAGATTTAAAGGCTTTGGAAAGCTGAGGCAGAAAATTATTTTCACCTTTTCTGCTTTTACACTACTCCTTACTGTTTCTCCATAGTATATCACATGGCAATGTATTTTCCTGTTTCCATTTCTTGCTCATAACACAAAATAATATGAATGTCTGAACTCTGTTGCTTGAAGACAAGCATAGTTTGAAATCACATCCATTCCTCTTAGAAAGTGTTTAGGTGTATTGGTCCTCATGAGAACTAGTAGCTGTTGTCTAGAGCCTAAGAGAAGAAATTGTGTTTCTGCTTAGAAGTCCTACTTTCTGTGGCAAAAGGAGTTAAGACTCAATATCCCTTTATGAATAAGGCAGTCTGAAGCATCAGTACTTGGACTTTGAAGTGTTTAGCTGACTCAATTCATCCTTAGTAATGGGGGATCAGAAGAATATGATGGTTAAAATTATCAGAAAATGTGGAAATCACTGAGTCTGATATACCTCAGTTTCTGTCTCAAAGCTATTAATGTGTAGCCAAGTGGATGTGCTGGATACCTGGCTCCTACCTGAGTTTCTGATGGAGATAACATGATCATGGAATAAGACAAAAAGAAATCAAAGAGGAAAGAGAGAACTGCAAAGAATATGAATTTCTTATTACTAGATAATCAACCTCTGAGCAATTGAAGGTTAGCTGTGTGTGACTTTGGGAAGGGAATTTCATGATTTCCAAACTTTCTTTTCTTCCTAATTGAGGAACCTTGTTTACGTCATGGTAAGCCTAAGTGAATCAAGGGTTTTGGGCTTTATAGAGATTATGATAATTCCTACAGATCACTAAGGAAAAGTATTTACTATTTATCTCATATCCTTGAACCTCACAACATGTCAAAGCTATTTATAGAGGGTCTTCTATGCTCAGCCTAGGATAAAATGCACTAAAAAGACAGAATATGTAGGCCCGCTGCGGTGGCTCATGCCTGTAATCCCAGCACTTTTGGAGGCCGAGGTGGGCGGATCACGAGGTCAGGAGATGGAGACCATCCTGGCTAACACGGTGAAACCCCGTCTCTACTAAAAATACAAAAATTAGCCGGGTGTGGTGGCGGGCGCCTGTAGTCCCAGCTACTCGGGAGGGTGAGGCAGGAGAATGGTGGGAACCCGGGAGGCGGAGCTTGCAGTGAGCCGAGATCGCGCCACCACACTCCAGCCTGGGCAACAGAGCGAGACTCCATCTCAAAAAAAAAAAAAAAAAAAAAAAAAAAAAAAAAAATATATATATATATATATATATTGCCCTGATGGAGTTGATGATCTTCTTAGAGAGGGATACTTTCACATTTCTGAGCCTTATAAATGGCGTTCACTTTGCCTGTTCCTGTTTCTAGCTGTTAACCTGGAAAATGCTTACTCATTCTTCTAGATGGAACTCACATGTCACTTCCTCTTTGAAGCTTTCCATAAACCCAGTGATGCAGGGCAGCTGAGCCCCAAAATTGGGGATTAGCCCAGGAGAGTTCTTGGTTTTGCTCAGGAAAGAATTCAGTGGAATTCTGCTGACAGTAGAAGAAAGCAGGTTCACTGAAGCAGCAGTGTACAGCAGAGTGACTGCTCCTTGTGGAGCAGGGTAACCTGTAGGCAGTGCACGCAGACTAGCAGTGTTTGAGCTGTTCGCTAGCAGTATTTATAACCATTTTTAATTACATGCAAATTAAAAAGTGGGTCATTCAGAAATTTCTAGAAGAGAGGCAGTAACTTCAGGTTGTTGCCATGGCATTTGTAAACTGTCATGGTGCTGACGGAAGTGTCTGATGCTGATGAGCAGTAAGGGCAACTAGAGGTTGCCTTTGGAGCCTTTGCTAGCTTCGGCCTGTTTCTTTATTTCATCATGTCAGGACTGGGAAATACGTCCTGCTGGTCTCTTCCCATTCAGCAGTGAGTTTTCTTTCCTTTGTACTCTCATAGTTTTGTGAGACTCTGGCTATATGACACAGTCATCGTCCATTTTCTCGTCAATTTTCTCTGGACCATAGGCACTTTGCAGGCAACAAAATTGTTGTGTGTATTCTAGCACCTCACACAGAGCCTGAAATAGTGTGGATTCAGTTAATGACTAACAGTCCAGAGGCCAAATGTGATCTGCACACATGTTTGGTTTTGCCTGAGCACTGTGGGACTACATAGTTCTTTAAATTGTTTTAAATTAATTGCCAGAAAATTCAAATGTATGGTATCTCTTGAGAAAATGGAAGATCCAGCTTTATTAGTCTTTTTCTCTTATATGGGATGGTTGGCTGGAGTTGGGAAGTGGTTATTCCACATAAAAAAGGGTAAGTGTTTTCCAACCTGCCCTAATTCCCAGCACTCCCTAACATCAACTTGACCTAGATTGACCTAATTTACTTATTTATATTACCTGCCTGCTCCCTGTAGATATTGGAGATCACACTCCTGTGTCACAGAACTACCCAGTACTAAACTTGTCCCTTCTTTCTCAAAGGCATCCTAATTTTTACTGCCCGCATCCAGGAAGTAATCTTTACATCTTTTGAACTCCTCCTAGTTCAGTGGCCCTTAAAGAGGGGAGATGTGCATATCAGAATCACTTAGGATGTTCTTTTGAAATACCATTTGAAAATTTTTTTTGAGATGGAGTCTCACTCTGTCATCCAGGCTGGAGTGCAGTGGCACAATCTTGGCTCACTGCAACTTCTGCCTCCCGGGGTCAAGCAATTCTCCCACCTCAGCCTCCCCAGTAGCTGGGATTACAGGTGCCCACCACCACGCCCAGCTAATTTTTGTATTTTTAGTAGAGACAGGGTTTCGCCATGATGGCCAGGCTGGTCTCGAACTCCTGACCTCAAGTTATCTGCCTGCCTTGGCCTCCCAAAATGCTGGGATTACAGGCATGAGCCACCACACCTGGCCTTGAAATATCATTTTTAAATCTTAAAAGAAACATATGTTTAAAAATCCCCTGCATATATCACTTGTACTCACTTTAAGAACCACTGAATTTGGTCGTTTATTTATCATTTTCTTTATTGTTATTAGGTAGATCATTTATCTCCATTACTAGATTGTAAGCCCCTTGAAGGCAGGATCGTGTTTCATTTTATTTCTACCCTGAAAAGTGTATTGAACATGGCAGACAGACTCTCTCTCTCTCTATATATATATATGTATATATATATATATGTGTGTGTGTGTTTGTGTGTGTGTGTGTGTGTATAAAATTTCCATTTTTATTTTAGATTCAGGGAGTACATGTGGAGGTTTGTTACAAGGATATATTGTGTGATCCTAAGTTTTGAGCTTCTATTGATCCCATCACCCAGAGATGAGATGGTGAACATAGTGCCCGACGGGAAGTTTTACAGCTGTTGCCTCCCTCCCTCTCTCCCACCCTTCTTTTGGAGTCCCCAGTGTCTATTGTTCCCATCTTTATGTCCATGTGTACCCAATAATAAATACGTTTGAATAAAAACCTTAAGTACACTAGATAAATTCAGAGAAAGAAGACCCTGAATTGTCAGAGGTGATTATACATGATTTCATGACGTCTGGTGGACTCGACCATTACCAAAACAACAATACTCCTATGGTCAATTCTAAAGGACCATCTGTTTTAGATGCAACTCCCATGTAATGGTCTATCTAAAAGGACTAACTTCCAAAGAGAGTATTTAAGGCACTGAAAGAATCTAATGTATTCAAAGAAAAATGCTCTATTAAAGAATCTGAATCTTCACATTATGAAATATTTGACATTCACCCTGCATCTTCATTGGAATATCTGTCTTTACTGAAAAAGAAGAAAAAATCAAGTACCGGATGTCACTGAGAAGAAAGGACCCACTGGAATATTTTATATACAGTTGTCCCTCGGTGTCTGTAAGGGATTGGTTCTAGGACCATTTGCATACCCGAATCCAGTCATTCCCAAATCCCGTCATACTCAGGCCTGGGGGAAACCATATAAATGAAAAGTTGGCACGGTTTCAAGGTTTTGCATCCTGTGAATACTGTATTTTCCTGCTTTGTGTCAAAAAATCTACTTAATCCACTTATAAGTGGACCTGTACAGTTCAGACTTGTGGTGTTCAAGGGCCAACTGTATATTCTTCTTGTCTACGTTGTTCATGACTAGGACCTTAAGGATACATAGATAGCTGAAACTGGATTTATGTACCTCAAATCACATGAATATTGCAGTTTTTTAAAAAATGAAGAGTGCCTTGTTTCTATTAAATTCTAATTATGACTACCATAACAGTAAATGAAGGCTCTCTAATTACCACAAGAGGGAGATATATAAATAACAGGTAGGCACTTAACTTGCTTCTGTTCGGTACTTCAGCTTGATGAGTTCCATATTCTAGACTCCTCTGAGGAAAGAGAGCAAGAGAGAGGTTTTATACTTTACGTTATTCCCTTATTATGAGATACCAACTATCTTTTCTGCTCTATAATTACTTCATTCTGCTCTAATGGATTCAACATTCATACCCTGTTTGTACGTTTACTAGTATTTATGAGTTTCCCTCACTTTACGAGCAAGTCTGATAGGAGAGAATTGTAGCTCTGCTCAACAGATTCATTTTGTCAACATACATTTGTTGTGTATGTTAGACCCTGAGCTAGGCAGAGGGGCTATAAAAAGAACGATAAAATTTTTTCATCATGGACGTCTTAGTCTAATGGGGGTGTGCCAACACCAAGACACGTGATGAATAGGTTTTTACACACTAAGTCATTAAAGAATACGGAGGGAAGGAGGTGATTGCCTCTGACTGGGAATGTCAGAGGGGGTAATGTTTAAACTGGGCCATGAAAGATGAATGGTAGTTCCACAGATTTAAAATGAAGGAAAAGGTATTTCTGGGATATTGTTGGCAAAAGTAGAGGAACTCCAAAGTGGAGCCTGCTTGGAAAAATGCAAGTCACCACCCATGGCTGGACTGAAGGATGCACAGAAGGAATAATGGGAGAATGATAGAGGAGATTTGAAAAATAGTTTCAATACCCATAAAGAGCAGGAAATTAGGCCCTGGGGTTGCACCATAAGCATAGTGGTGATGACTACATGTTCACGCTGTCTAATCTCCAGCTCTTTGTGGGTATTAAGACTATCAAGAGGTAAATATGGGGCTTTGCCTTATCCAGTTCTAGCCTCCATTGATAAAACCTAAAAATTTAACTTCTCTGACTCTCTTGCAGTAGATAGACTCCCCTAATCAGATGTTCTTTCATGAGATTTGGAAAGCGGAAATGCTTTCCAATTTCCACTTTTAGCTATGTCTGTTGGCAAGCATTTCCTGGTGTCTAATCTTTAGCTCTGTGTGAGTATTGAGAGGCTGTTGTGGTGGACATTCTATTATTACTGACTTGAAATTATTAGTATTTTTTATCTTTGAGTTTGTGTTTTGTGAGTGAAGTCTGATGTGGGTTGGGCACAGGGAGCGATCAAAGCCTCAGCTCAATCTAGGTGTCTTGAATCTCTGGGAGGATTCCTTGGATACCTGTTCTTCCTGCCGCCTGGGACACCAGATCTTATCCTTTCCTTTCCCATCTTTGCCTAAGCTACTGCTGCCGTGCCTTATTCCCACCCAGGCAGGTGCATGCAGTGCCATGGCAGCACAGTGGGCGACTTTGTGGGATGGGCCTCCTGGACACCCCGTTCAGGTACTGAGTGTGTCCTGGCATAGATGACGCACTCCACTGGGAGTTACCCATCTCTGTGTGTTGGAGACATTGGCCTGTGGGAAAGCAAGTGTGGATTCTTTGTCCCCATCCAAGAAGGTCAGCCCAGTGACTGGCGGGAAGGGGGTCCAGCAGATGGTGAGCTGTGCACTGAGTCACTGCACAGGGCCCCTGGAAACCTCTGAGGATCTGCAAACAACCAGCAAGTATCACTGTATTTAAAGGAGCGAAACAGCAAATAACAAATAAAAGACACCATGACACGTTGACAGACCCCTGAACAAAGGACAAAGGTTAGTATGTTGCTACTTTTAGTGGCACTTTTCCCCCACCTTTCAAATGAGACACCACATTTTCCTTTTGCACTGGGCCCTACATGTGATGGAGCAGACCTTGCCTCTAGATAGAGCACCTACAACAAAATCAGATCGTTAGTGCTACAAAGAATAATTACTTGCTCCTAAAGGACATGTGGCTTATTATGCTAAAAGAATGGTTGTCTCCTCTCCAGATTTGAATTACATTATACTAGGATTTATTCTATTCCCAGAAAGAGTGGGAGAAGGGGAAAATCAAAATGCCTTCTATCTGTAGGCTCTGTGTATGTGTGTGGTTGGGGGGGAGCCACTATAGAGAGAAGGAATGTGAAAGACAGGAGGAGAGAAAAAGAAATAGAGGGAGAGAACATCAAGGGGAGAGAGAAAGAGGATTATTACCAGGGCAAAGTCATCAAGAAGAAGGGCATTTCTGGAGAGTGTGGGGAAAAGGTTTGAATCTGGCAACTATAGAAATATCTCTTCAGAGAAGCAAGAAAAGGAAGTAGTGATGGATGGAAATAAAGTGCTTTTAGAGTTGCCAGGGGTGTATGTCTTCTATTTTTTCATTCTGGTTGCCTGAAATTGAATAAGGTTAAACATTAGTGAATGGAAGAAAAATAAAAAGTTTAGCTGTGGCAGGTGGTAAAAGGAACAAAGTAGAGATGAGTAAAATGATTGGAAAGGATGATTTACTGTTTGAAATAATTCTGTAATTTTAAAGAAGGGGGCCGTTGTAGGCTTACTACAAAGAACAAGCATCATCCATGCATTAAAAATGATTTTCAACAGATTCCATGTGACACCACCTCCTCGGGCATGTCTATTGCTATTCCTTGCAAGGAATACTTTTACTTTAAGAGTTTCTTTTTAAATTTCACATGCCTTCGGTGGATTCCTAGTTTGCTCTCTTGGACCTTGGCTTTTCATTCTTGGTTTTTGCTTTATCTGTTTTCCTGGCTTAGATTTCTAGGGAGTGTAGGAAATAGCAACTGCTGACAGCTTCCTTTGCCTCATGGGGCCTGCTTGTTAAGAACAAGCTTCAAGGGCAAGTTCCAGTTGTTGTAAGTGGGTAGAAACTTACCTTGGTTTGGCCATGCTGGGAACCACATCCTGGTATTTACTTGTTTGTCAACATTGCGGTGTTGACCCTTCTCACAGAGGCACTATTCCTGGGTGACTCTTATAGATTGTTTCTGTGACAAAACAGCCTTTAGCATGTTCCATGAAGTTCTTTAAGCTTTGCCGTGGAAGAGGGCAAGCCCCTGTCCCTTGTGACCACTTAGTGCTTCCCTTGGGTCCATAGTTCTATAGTTTTTGACTTTAAAGAAGAGAGAGTCTACATTAGGCAAAAAATTTATTTCAGCTCCCAGCCGTCAACATGGAACCATTTTTACACTGTTAGGCGCACTATCACCATTGTCTTTAAAAGCAAATACATATTTACTTGTTAAAATTTGAACTTTCATTTTAGGTTCAGGGGGTACAAATGCTGATTTGTTACATGAATATATGGTGTGATGCTGAGGTTTGGGGTAAGGATGATCATGTCACCCAGGTAGTGAGCATAGTACCCAATAGGTAGTTTTTCAGCCCACGTCCCCTTTTCCCTTCCCCCTCTAGTAGTTCCCAGTGTCTGTTGCGCCCATCTTTATGTCAATGTGTACTCAATGTTTAGCTCTCCCTTATAAGTGAAAACGTGCAGTTTTTTGTTTTCTTTTCTTGAGTTAATTTGCTTAGGATAATGGCCTCCAGCTGCATCCATGTTGCTGCAAAGGAACATGATTTTGTTCTTTTTCCTGCCTGCGTAGTTTCCATGGTGTATATGTACCAGATTTTCTTTGTCCAATCCACTGTTGATGTGCACCTAGGTTTATTCCGTGTTGTTATGTAGTAGTAGAAACCAGGTTGGTTGATTTTTCCTTGGTTGGAGGGGTGAGTGATGGCAAAGAAGATATCATTACAGTCTGTGCTTCTGTGTCAGTATTGCCATATCTTTGTAGAGGGTAGCATGGTGTCTCAGTTGGGACTCTGTTTGCAAGCATATAACTCTCCAGTGGCTAACTTCAGGGGAAAAAGGGATTTATGAAGCAAGGAGACTGGGTAGATCCCAGACTCTAAGGCAAAATTGAACAATTGGATCTTGTCAAGGGCAGGAACTAGGAGAGTTCTCTGGAGTCTGGTATGAGGAACTTAAGGACTGATATACTCTTATTTCAGAAACTCCCATTAGAAAGACTCATCTCTTGCAATTATTCATTGTTAAAGACTCACACATGTTTTAGATTCCCAGGAGACAGAGTGTGTGATTGGCCTCCCACTGCATACACAGTCATCCCTTGGCCAGGCTGACGGGGCAGTTTTATTGACAATTCCATCATGATTACACTGTTAGGAAGGGGACATACCCAACTGAAAATAAGCACCAATTATGTGCCAGACACTTTTACATATGTTGTCTTGTTTAACCCTTATGGTCAGCCTACAACCTATGGGATTTGTATTATTATCATTGCTTTCCAAACAAAGAAGCTAACACTCTAAGAAACAAGTTACCTGCTTATGATGACAAAAATTAAGAGGAATTGAACCAGGATTCAAATCTATGGTGAATGGCTACACTTATTAGGAATTCATTATCTCATGTTACTAATTATTAGTTAATAGAGATGATGATGATGGCTATTATTTTAGGGCCTTTTTGAGATTCTTTTCTCCCTTCGGTTTGGTTAGTTTATTCATAGGACGTGGTAACAAAGGTTTACCCTGTCCAAATGACCCTTTTCCCTCTCAACCATCTTCACAAATCCTTTATTCCTAGGAGACACCATCAAAGCCCTACTCTAAGTCCTTTTATTTTTGGCAAAATTCTAAAAGAGCCAAATTTTAAGTTCAGAAGTGGACTTAATATAATCAATCATACCAAAACCCAATAGGAATAACAACTTCTAGCCTAGCAGAAAAATTGATCCAAGCAGACACCAGAACTAGACTCAAAAAACACAGTAAGAGGGTTAGAAACATTAAGCCTTGCCCAGGCACAGTGGCAAATGCCTGTAATCCCAGCATTTTGGGAGGCCAAGGCAGGCGGATCACTTGAGTTCAGGGGTTCCAGACCAACCTGACCAACATGGTGAACTGTCCTCTCTGCTAAAAATACAACAATTAGCCAGGCATGGTGGCAGGTGTCTGTAATCCCAGCTGCTCAGAAGGCTGAGGCAGGAGAATTACTTGAACCTGGGAAGTGGAGGTTGCAGTGAGCTGAGATTGAGCCACTGCACTTCAGCCTGGGTGATAGAGCAAGACTCTGTCTCAAAAAAAAAAAAAAAAAATTAAGCCTAAGAGCAAATGTTGTATGTCGATCAGTGGTCCCATAGGTCTTCACTATATTAAACCACAGGCCAATCAACATTGTTTAAAAGAAAGTTATGCTCAATGTCCTTCATTTAAAATGCATGGAAGGACAATGTTTAAGTGGAGGTGACACTGCAGGTCCACAGTGTGCTTTTCTGAGCTGAGCTTCTATATGGAACTTCTGGGCACAGAGCCTTTCCATAAAGATGACCCTTTCATAAGCTGTGCCCGTTTGTCCTCGTCTGCCATAGGAGAAGGGCATCTGGGGCTAAGACCATAATATACTGTGGTTTCTGTAAACACACAACGGATTTTTAAAACATGCATCTTTCTTCTTTAGTGTTGAAAGTAATCCATACACAAACTATGAATTTATCTTGACTTCAGTGGAACTGGAAATGAGGTTTCAAACCTTACTTCCTACTATTTGAACTCACTGGACTCCCTATATATCCTTTTTAGTAGTTCGTCCTATCTTTTAGTAAAATCCCCAAGCACATGCACTGGCTGTCTTTACTGCATTCCTTCTAGACTGTAAAGTTACTTGTAGAAAGAGAACACATTTGGCCATCTTTCATTTTTTTTTTTCTTGCCTGCTTTTCTCTGACATACTTCTTTCTCTGACTATTGCCATCTTAAGTGCTTTTAAATACTATCAGGGCTTTGGGGTCAGGATAAGGGTTCCATTGTCACACAGATGCATTCTGTGTATACTCGAGCCTCATACTTCAAAGGGATCAAATGATTCCATTAAGGAAGGAATGATGCTCTGGCATGGGTGAAGGGAGCTGAGTAGACAGGAAGGAAAGAGTGATAATGGAAAACACTGACCATGAGGAAAAGAAAAGAAAATGGGCTGGAGGATCCTGAAAGGAATTGTGGCAGAGGCAGAGGAGAAGGAACAGGAAAAGAAAAGGCTTCTGAGACAAAAACATATCAAAGGGACACAAGGTTAGTTGGTGAGAGAAATTATTACGCCAACAGCAATAATGACAAGCACAGAGTAGATCAAAGTCTTTTTATGGCTTTCTGAGTTGGGGTAGGCTAAACTACTGTAATAAATGGATGCAAACACAAATTGGCACAAAGTTGGAGCTTATTTCTTCCTTATGTAACAGTCTAAAGTAGATCCTTGGGTATTGAAAGAGCTCTCCTCCATTTGGCAGTTCAGAGACCTGGACTGCTTCCATTTGGTAGCTCTGCCATCCTCTAGAACTTAGTCATTGTCTGCAGCCGTATGGTGAAAGGGAAGGGGAGAATGGAGAGCCACCTGCTCAGTTAGAAACCCCAGCCCAGAAGAGACACGCATGACTCCACTGGACACAACTCAGCCAGCAGGCCTGCATTTGTAAGGGAGGCAGGGAAATGTCATTCAGCCATAAGCTCAGATAAAGTCCAGGTTCTGTGGAAGATGAGGAGAATAGGTTTTGCTGGACTGCTTGTAGTTTCAGTCCTAGTGGCTCAGTGAGCAACCACAGAGCCATAGGGTTCAACAGATCTGTCTTACATTCTGTAGCTGGTGAGATTGCTCAGTTGCATAGGCTCTCTGAGGCTAATATTAACGCCTATCAGAGGATCCTTATGAGCATTAAATGAGATGATTAGTATAAAGTATTTAGCACAGCATCTGGAAAACTACAAACAGTAAATGTTTGCTATTATTCTTCACAGCTATAGAACAAATAAGGGAAAGCAACAAATATCTATTTGTAATACTGTTATAAGAGTTACTTTAAACCTATACTAATTTAGAAAATAAGAAAATTATTTAAATATATTTTAAATACTACTTGCGTGTAACAAAGTATGTGGGACACATCTCACCACTGACTACTAAACATTTGCATGCTATAACATCACTTTTTAAACCTCTGATAGGAAGAGTCACCCGATAGATTTTGCTTTTCAGATTATCCTTGTAGATGAAGATCCCAGATAGTCTAGACCAGGGGTTGGTGAACTTTTTCTGCGAAGAGCCTGGTAGTAAATATTTTTGGCTTTGCTGGCCATATGGATCTCTGCTAAAACTACTGAACCCTGCTTTTGTAACATGAAAGCAGCCATGGTCTGTAACTAGTGAGCATGGCTGTGTTCCAATAAAATTTTATTTACAAAAATAGACAGTAGACTGAATTTGATCTGTGAACTTTTTGGTTACCCTTTCCCTAATCCACCATTTTTTTTCTCTTACCACGTCACATTCACTAGCTTTTATTTGAGAAAATGATTCCCACTTGACAGACAAGGAATTTAAATCTCAGATAAGTAAAGTTACTTGTCCACAGCCAAGTGACAGGTGAGCTGAGATTCAACCTGAGTTCTGGCTGGCTCCAAAACCTGCGGTCATCCCTAGCATGCTGTCACTCCACCTTATTTAAGACCTTCTTTGTTTTTACTGCGTGTCAGAGCCAGGACCATGTTGGAGCTGGAAGTCCCCTTTGGTGGCACAACAGGGACACTTAAAGGGCTCCTTGCAAAGACTGAAATTGCAATCAGACAATTGAAAATTGGAAGAGCTGGGCTTTTCCTCCATCTAGGATTTATTCTCAGTTGATGTCTAAGAATAAGAGGGCTGTCTTTTCTCTCACCTTGGGCCAAGCTGGCTGGTATCTTTGTAGGTTTGTCAAATGCTGACATGGGCTTTGCCTTTGAGTCCCAGCCTAAAAAATCCCAGCTGTCCTTGCATGCTAACAAGACAACATTTTTCTTGGATCATTTGTTCTCCAACCTGGGCTACCTCTGAGCCCATTTCTGTCAAAGACTCTCCTCCCCACAGGCCAACTCCTCTCCTACAAACTCTGAAAGGGCCTCTGAAGCCAACACTGTTTACCAATTTGTTCTTAAAAGTGTCAGAACTGCAATCAGATGAGGTCAAGCAACAATTCTCACAGCTGTTGTAAAACATTGCTAATTGCTCTACAGGCTTAATAGAAAACACAGTGCTGTAGCCTGGAAATGGTAATTATTGTGACTCAGGTTTCTTGGCCTAAATTCCCCAGTCGCATGTTCTTTCACAGTCAAAGGGGTGGGGTGGGGGGACGGGAAGAAAAAGAAAAGCAAAACATAACATACTACAACTTTCATAATAAAAATACTATAAACAATTTCTAAAATGAAGGGTCTTCCTGACTAATAAAATTGGAGTCCTTTGTCCAGAAAGCAGTGTAGATCTCACTAGAACAAAGGAACTCTGAAGATATGGATTCTCTACCTCATGCTAGGAAATATTGATTGCAGCCTATGAGAAGACTTTCACTTAATCACATTTTAAAAAGCTTTCATAAATATTGCAATAAAGTGAAATTCATTGCTAGTTAAACGCTAACACCAGCATGAGCTTATTTATCATCCAGATGACTGAGCTGCTGGTGAGAGGAAACAGAGGGACAGTAGGGGATTTATATAGCACATCTTGAAATATCTTCCTGCAAGGTAATAAAGGCCATGCTCCACATTTGGATCTAATGGCCAATAAACAATTTTCTGAAAAAGAAAAATAAAAGTGGTGGAAGTAGGCTGCATTGTGAAGTTCTATTTACACTGCAGTCAATTATTGCAGTGTTAAGCTTTATTACAAACTTTTTTTTTCCTGTTAAACATAGCTTGTCAGAAATCTTATAACAAGGGAATAAAATGTCAGGATGGTGTCCAGATCATTATAGCATGTTCCTCATAACAGATTCTTACTTCTAGAAACTCTAAATGATTTGTGACAGTGTTCATGGCATTTGAAAGTAAAATTAGTCAAGTGAGATTTTTTAATGAAGAATGTTTGATAAGAAGAATTGTCTGAGTTAAGCCTGGTGACACATGCAACTGACTTTTTTTCCTGCCATTCTTTCATTCACAAAGTGAAAAGTCCTGTCTAAATCTGTGCTTACATAGGCATCTTTGAATATAATGCTGCCTTAATAAAGTTTACATCTCTATAGTCATCAAAATAAGACAATAGTTTAAAAAAGAGAAGTAAATTTTTTGGTAAAGAGCTAGATGGGATTCTCATTTCATTAAAAGTGCCTTTAACTTTAAAGGTGAAATAAAATAGAGACAGGTGAGATAATCTGGTTAGAGGGAAAATGAGGAAAGAATAATAAGAGGAGTTTATATGCAAAATATATGTAACGTACATTTCCTAGAGGCCACAAATTTTATTTTGAGCTTTCTAGTTTGCAAAACAAAAGGCATATAGGCTCGTGATTCTGGGTCCATAAAATAAACATAATGTAAAGCAATTGTTCAGGATAGACATAAGTTTTTGGTATTAAGACCAAATTGTGAGAAATTTCTCCTGTGAGTATTTATAAAGAAGAAACTGTAATGAACTATGTCCTCAAAAACATGATAGTAAGTGTAGTAAAGCTTTTTACACATAAAGCTTTTTCTTCATAAAGCTTATTCTCATAATATCTGTCAGCTTAACTTGGTGGCAAATTGACAGAGCACAATTCAGCCAAGTCAAGTATACCAGAGGAGTGCTAAGCTGCTACCCTAACCGTAGGGCCTATGGTTTCCCCTTGTTCCTCTCCCTCTTTGTTTCTGTCTGCCCCTGTTAATTGGTATCTCATTTTGCATACTTGTTTTCTTCTACATCTCTTTAGTCTTGTCAAACAAGACCTACCCTAGGAAACATGCCTAGGTAACTCACTTCCCTTATGAAGTTATGGTCATGATGGCACCTAATTTGTGTATATATGTATACACTATACATATATATACACATACATATACATATATATGTGTATATGCCTTTAACTTTATACATGTATATGTATAAAGTTATGTATATACATGTATATATATGTATACACACATATAACTATATACATATGTGTGTATATATATAGTGTGTGTGTGTGTTTGTGTGTGTGTGAGTGTGCATATCTGTAACTTTATAAGGTCAAAGCAAGCAGTGATGGTTTCTACATACATAAGGACCTGAAAATAGGGTAGTTTGTTCAGTGCAGTCCTGGCTTATTCCTTCCTGTTAAAATTACAGAAGTGCCCCTTTTCATGCTCAAAAGTATCTCTGTTTGGAAGCTAAGTAACATGGTCACCCTACCTCTAAACACACTGGAATCAAAGAAGGGAGGCTAATAATGTTGCCTCTTACTTTCCTTCAGGCCAATTACTGGGGAACATGAAAGGAATTCCATGGCAGAGGAAATAGTCAACCTGTATGATCAAGGCTAACTTTTGAATAAACTTAAGGGACTGGAACCACCAGGCAGCTAAATGATCTATCTTATATTCAGAGGATAAGTCCCTTTCTACTGGAAACAGAAAGAGCTCTGACTCTGATGGAGCTATAAGAACTTAGATCCAGCAGCTGATTAGGAACTGCAGCACCATTTATGCATTGTTAACACAAAGGGATATGATGGTATTGACAGGTGGCTAAGATAAGGGCAGTAGTACTTAGTACTGTCTGAAAGTAGGATCAGAAATGGCATGAGCCTTGGAAGAAGGGGAAAGGAGTCTCTTCTATGAAATGAACATACATCCTTAATTACTACTTAAAGGAAGAAATACAACTGGCACACTTGTGAACTTGTGTATGAGAAAAAATGAGAATGAGATAGAGTACAAAAATGAATAAGGAGAATCGGGGATAGAAACAAGAAAAATTTGCTGGTGATTAGAGACCAAGTAACAAGACAGAGTCAAATATTGCTGTGACTGGCAACCAGACTAAAGGGAAGCAAGTGCTAAAAATAGACTTCACTTTAAAATCAATTTAGCAAATGTTAAGGCTTAAGAAGAAATGTTGTTATTCTATTTAGAATCCTGTGTTAAAATCCTATTTGTTAAGGTGTAACTTTACAGCCTTTGAATAACTATCAGAAAGAAAGAAAAGCTATTAACAAAGCAGCCCCACCTGGTGACAACTGACTTGACCTTGACCTAGATAAGGTGAGAAAGATGGATTTGTGTTCCATGTATAAGGATCAGAGCCTTGAAAAACTACCCATTGGTAGTGGGTGTTTTCTGGGTTTTTTTGTAATATTATTGTGTAAAACAGGAGCTTTATTGTGTAAAAACAGTCATCCACAAGTAATCAAAACCCAGTACCTCCAGCGTGGGTGAGGAAAACAGTGTTTACACAGCTCATATGGTGTAGGAATTCTGGACAAGAAATTAAAATAAAATACATTCAAGATCATTAATAATTTAGAGATCCTGGCAGAAGAAAATGAGAATTGTTCTGTGATACAATCTCAAAATGCAATGCTTATAGGACTCCCAAAGATAAACAAGACTCAGTGAGTTTGAGTCCATTATACCAAAATTATAAACATGTGAGTTTATGTGCAAGAAAGAGGAGAATTAATACTCTAAATAGAGGACATAACCAAACATATCAGGAAAGATTATACATTAATATGTTTAACATGAATTAATGAAATAAAAGAAAGTGTATAATAAAAATAGGTCTGTAAGCAAAATATCAGTTTCAAAAAGAGCTAAATAAAAATTACAGAAATAAAAAATATAGTATTTGAAATTAAGAACGCAGTTGATGAGTTAAATGGCAGATTAGATACAGCTGAAAAGGATTGATGCGATTGGAACAGCCACCTGAGGAAGTCATCCACACTATAGATCTCAGAACTGAAAGACATGAAAGAGCAGTTAAGAAACATGGGGGAGAGTGTGAAAAGGTATGAAGTGTATCCAATATGGGTTCTGGTAAAATGGAGCAGAGAGAATGAAGAAGAACCAGCATTCTAAAAGATAATAATTGAAATTTTCCATACTTGAAAAAAGAATTGAATTATCCCATTAACAAAGCACACTAAGTCCTGAATAGGATAAATAAAAAACACATGCTAGACACATTGTCAGAAACTGGAGAATATGAAAGAGGAAGATCTTAAAGTGAATCAGAGGAAAAATAAATTTTCTCAAACAGAGGAATCACAAATAGACTAGTATATTTCCCAGCAGTGGCAATGGATGGCAGAACACAATGGAACAATATCTTCTGAGATCCAAGGGAAACTATACTTCTTAATAAAGAAGGTAAAATAAATAAATTTTCAGAGGAAAAAAATGACAGTTTACTAATCATATACTTTTACAGGGAACTAGTAAAAGATGTGCTCTCATTAAAGAAAAAGGAAGATGTGGGAAGGAAGAAAAAATAGAAAGCAAAACAAGTGTAAACATATAGATATAAATATGCATTATTATTGATATGTCTATATACATTCTATGTATCTGTAATCTAAATATTCATTATTTGTGCTTCAGGGCCACCAGCATCCCTGTGTCTGCAAAGTGCCTTCAAAACTCAGCTGTTCTAGCCATTGCCAACCTGTGAACTTCCTACTGTATCCTAGAATCTGCTATTCCCCAAACCACTTCCCAGTTTCCATTCAGTAATCTTTCTGAAGGAGCCAGGACAATAGGGCCTGTTGTTTAGTGAATTTCTTTATTATTTTCAGCCTTTAAAATGTAATTTCCATCTCTTGCAGTGAATTTGTTTCCTTTTTTTGCTTCATTTTGTTTAAATGTTCAGGTATTTAGCTCCCCTTTTATATTCTTTAAAAACTTTTAAATTACCTGTTATAGGATGTTTCCCCAGAGCAAAGAGCAAAATTTTACAGTTGTTTGTAGCAGTTCTAATGATCTATAATTTCTAATTCCATCCCTTTCATCATTGTCTCTTCGTTTTAATATTTTTAATACAATGCCATTTTAAAAGAACTCCCCCAAAATAAATATACATTATTATTATAACAATAATATGGAAGGAAAAAAAGTGATTTGAATTAAAGCATTCTTAGGTACTTGTATTATTTAATACAAGTTAACGAGGGGGAAAAAGATAATGGTACTTTTAGAAATTAGTGAGTCAAATATGCATGATAGAAATTAAAGGCAGCTAGTAACAGAATAAAAATAGGATGTTTGCTTTGATACCAATAGAAGAAGTATGAAGGGGCATAAATAAAACTTCATTATTTCAACTGGAAGAATGGAAAGAGAAAAAGCAAAGAAAAAGTAAATAGAAAACACAAAATAAGATGATGGAAATAATTTCAAAATATGGGTTCTGGTAAAATGGAAAAGAGATAATGAAGTGGCAACATTCTAAAAGATAAAAATTGAAATTTTCCATACTTGAAAGTCACAGCGATGTAAATGGTATAAATTCATAGGTTAAAAGAAAATTCCTTAGGTTAGCCAATAATAAAAACTAAAAGGGAAACCAAATCAGTAGCAAGATATTCACTTGAGGCAAGCTAATGACAATGAGATTGAAACAGAAGGTAGAAAGATAAACCGGAGATGAAAAACGTTCTTGATTGCTTATTCAGCAGTCATTCTAGATGTCCTTTGCAGCCCTTTCTTTCTTGATGGCAGAACCTTATGTCACGTTAGAGGATAAAAATACCAGTTTTGCAGGTGACCAGCCTCTTTTGCAACCACAGACCTGTGCCCATCTGCTAGTCTTTGTGTATTTTGCTCTTGCCTAGACCATTTAGCAGCCTCATCCAATTGACATTACGATGCCTCCAACTCCTTCCCCCTTTTTAAAGGTAAATTTCTATGTTTACTAAATTATTTCACTGTTAGGAATTTAACACATATATTTTAATTATACTATATGTTTTGTTTCAATTGTTGCTTTCATTAATATTCTGGTTGAATATGCTCTGTTAGATGGAGCTTCCAAAAAAGTTACCGTTTTGTTGTTGTAAAGGCACAGATTCAGCAGGTAGACCTTTTCCTCTTTGGAACATAGATGCCTGGAGGGTGGGGAGGGATCTTCATTTTGGAACTGTGAGGGTGAAAGCTGAATGCTAAGGATACTAGAACAGAAAGCTAGACGGAGCCAGGATCCTTTGAATTCCTCAAGCAACTGCTCTCAGCTTTGGGCGGCCTGTCTCTGGACTTGTTTCATGGAAAAAGCAAAAATCCTATCTGGTTTAAGCAATCTTGGTTGAGCTTTTCTTATATTCAGTTGAACATAATCCTAATTGATATAAACAGTATATTCTGAAGACTATTAGGCATTCATGAATAACAATAATTTGCATTTTGAGAGTGCTCAAGGGCCTTTGCACCCCTTCTTACAACTTGATCTTCCCCAGAACTCTATGAGGTGAGTACAATAACTGGTATTATTCATATTTTCTAAATGAGTTAATTGAAGCTTTGACAGACTAAATGAGTTTCTCAGGATCACATAACCAGTCTGGCAAAGTGGGATAGGAGGCCAGGTGTCCAGGTTTCTAGAACAGCACATTCCCACAGCACCAACTGATAGGATGGTATTCACATTTGTGGTTAGGCAGAAATTCATCCAGATGCTGTCTGTCATCAACTCTCAGTTCAAACCCATGAAAAGGTACAAGACTCACAACTTTCGAGGTTGTCCTTTTATAGCTTAAGTATAATTTGCCACACTGAGTAACAGCAGGTTCCATACTGGTCGATAACTAAGAGGGTCTGTCTCTGCTTTTGTGGGCTGTTTCCAGGCTGCAGCTTTGCAGGGGCACATGTGCCAAGTAGGTGAGCTGAATGGTGGGCATCCTTCTCTCTACCCACCCCTCCCCATGGTTCTTGATCTTTATTCAGGTGGGATGATGGTCCTGCTTAATGAATATGATCTTTAAACAAACCTATACTTCCAGTGGAAGGAGAAAATGAGTCACTGGGAGGAGTGTTTTTTGAGGCAAGGTGTTTGCAAGTATAAATGTGTAACTCAGATTTTAAAATCAAATATCTTAAATGCTTTTTGGAATTGGAAAACCTTCAAGAGAGAAACACGGTTTAGAGATCTGTACTTCTCAGACTTTAGCGTGCAATGTAATTATTTGGAGGACTTATTAAGACCAAATGCTGGGGCCCATCACCAGAACTTCTGATTCTGTAAGCCTGTGGCAGGGCCCAAGCATTTGCATTTCTAAGAAGTTCCTAGGTGATGCTGCTGCTGTTGATCCAGGCAACACTGAATTAAGACTAAGAAAAATCAGCAAATACCAGAGCTGATAGAAACATTAACTCTCTTCCAGCTCACATCTCAGACATGTCAGGTGATTTTCTCGGGGTTACATGGCCAAGTTAATGGCAAATGCTAGATTTCTAGACTTCTTCATATTTAGACCAGAACCTTTCTACCTTCCTCTGCTACTGAGTCAATTCATGGATTTGCTTTGCTCTTCTAGAATATAATAATTATACATGTATAATAACATATATTTTATATAATATACATTACTATTTATATATACACATACACATACATATAGTATTCTGTGTTTGTGAGTTTCAAGGAAGACTTATGGCTTCAATTCACTTTGAACATTTGCTGTTAGCAAGGAAAACAAATAATTCAGTGGCTACAGAGATTTTCAAATTCTTTTATGCTTTGAGACTACCTTGTAAGAACAATCTGGTCCTTCACTTCTCTTACTTCCCTTGGTGTGTATCTGAATGATGCTCACCTCTGCTCAGTGACACTCTTGCACTCCTAAAGGCGAAGTGCATGAGTATCCTACACTCCTAAAGGTGAAGTGCATGAGTATCTTAGATTAGTGCATGCTCTTACTAAAGAAACTTGAGCAATCCAACCGCTTCTTACTAATCTGAACATTTCTGTACTCCCAGCAGGGGGTAAGTAATCGCTTACAACAGGGGTCACCAAACATTTTCTGTAAAAGGCCAGATGGTAAATATTTGAGGCTTCATGATCCGTAATGTCTCTATCACAACTACTGAACCCTGCTGTTGCAGTGTGAAAGTCATAGACAATACAGAAATAATTAGCATGGAACCAATAAAACTTTATGGATACAAAATAAAATTTCATATTCTCACATGTCACAAAATAATATTCTTTGGGTGTTGTTTTTAAGCATTTAAAAAGGGAACAGACATGTGGGCCACACAAAAACAGGCAGCAAGCTAGATTTGGTGCACCGTCTGTAGTTGGCTGATCTGTAAACCTGAGTTCTTCCTCTGCCACTCCCTGTCCCTCCATCCCTTCATCTCCCAGCACGGTCAAGGTGTCCATGAGCATCTCTTTTCTGCCATTAAAATTCTATTGCTGGGGGAAAAATTTTAGTGCTGGTAATTAACATATAAAAAAGATTTGACCTGAAGCACAAACTAAAACTACAAGGAGATGTCACATTAATTTGGCAAAAGTATAAGAAAGTATAATCAAAACTAGTCAGGGGCACTGAATGAGCTCTCAAATGTTGGTGGGAATTGGTACAAGGGTTCTGGAAAGCATTTCATTTGTTTGTATGTGTTAAGGTTCTTAAGATGTTCATACTTTTTTACCCAGACTACCTCAGAAAAGAATCTATTCTAAAGAAATAATCAGCAATAGGAACAAAGAATATTTGTTTCCTAATGGTCAAAGATAGGGAAAATATGTTTATTGAGGATTTATCATAATGAAAAAATAGAGTCTAAATGTTCAACCATAGGAAATAGCTAAGTACATTTTAATTTATTTGTGCAATATTAACAGTGACAATCCCTGTCTGTAGCATTAAGGGTAAGTTTTTTCTTGTTTATACTTCTCCATTTTCATCAGGCTTTCTGTAAGGTGTACACATGACTTTTAAATTAAGCAAGATTATAAGTAATTAAGAAATACAAAGAGGTGAAAAAATTTCCTGTAATGATCAATGTCTTCTTTGCCTTTACTTTTTTGTGTGTGTTGATTACAGTGTCTATCTGAAAGCCTTCAAAGCTGCTAAATTTACCCCAATTCCTTTGGTGGATATGTGACCTTCTAACTCTTTACACCTACTTTGCCTCCTTAACGTCACTTCTCCCAGCTTCACAACTCCACTCTGCCAATTCTTGTTTCATGGTAGGAGACACCTTTTCCCCACCAGTGGTACCTTTCTTCTGCAAAGAGTAAGATGTTCTCACATTCTCAGTTTCTTGCAATGTGCCTAGTGTTTTCAACTCTTTTTATTTGGATTGCTGTGTTTTTGTTGGTTTCATTTCTGATAGCCTCTGTTTCTTGAGGAAACCAAGTTCCCTGGCGCTTGGGTCAGAGGAAAATCTAAGGGTCCCCACAGTTTTGCACCCCAGTGATTTCTTCCCTCAGCAATCAAACATTCTTCCTTCACTGAACAGAGGCTCCTCAATTCACTTGTGCCATACGGCAGGATACTTGCCCAACTCAAAACCTTTCTGAGAGTTAAGTGAGAGCCTTTGCATCTCCTCTTTATTTCCTCTTTTATTGTGTTTTCATCTTTGTTTTCCACAAGAGATCTGTTAGGTTTCCATAAAAGTGAGTACCTCAAGGGAAAATGAGTCCCTTTACTTACCATGACCTTTCCCTTTCCCAGTGATGGTCTTAAGTATTAGTTCATTGGGCAATCTCTTGTTTGCTTAAAAAAACTTCAGTACCTACTATGTCTCTGCCACATATTTCTTTTCTTTTCACATTCCGCTCATTTGTTCAGGGCTGTGCATGTCATGCATTGCAAACCTCTAGGGATACCATCACACAGAACATGAAGTGCCACCTCCCCAGCAGTACTCAGTAGCCCTGCAGTGGTCACCAATGAAGTCCTACTTGAAGGAAATAAGAATTAGAATAATTGAACAACAGAACTGGAAGAGACTTTAAACCAGTGTGTTCTAACACCTTCACATCATGGCGGATACATACAGTGAAAATACTTTTATAGCACGTTGGAATAAACAGACAAAGATGCTTGCAGCTGGAAATGATTGGCTTAAGGGCTGTTGTTGTCCAACTGTGCCTAGTCATCAAGAAAGTCGATCACTATCTTGGCACACTGGTGATCCGTTTGAGATTTAGTGGAGTGCCTGGCACAGCAGCTGGGAAGCTCTGCCTTAAAGATCAGCTAGTCTATTCCACCTTCACATCTGCTGCTTTATAGATTAAAGAAATGAGACCCATTTTCTGACCTCAATGTCATCATGAGTCTGAGGCTTTAAGCTGATAATCTGGGGAAATGGAAGGGTTGGGGAATACAAGACATTTTATCTTTCCACATGCACCCATTTATTTAACCTTCTCTTTAGAATGTTTTAAAGAAGAATTCTTTTTTCCTACTCTAGCCAATACTGGTCTCATTATAAGGAGAGACTCCAAGTTGCATTCAAAAGTAACTGGGAAAAAAATGTGTAACTGAAGGCTTGTTAAATCTTATAATGTTCCTCATGCTGGTGTTTTTTAATAAGGTAAAGCTATTCTTATAGTTGTCTTATAGATTTGATTGCAGAAACTAAAGCTTTGTCTCAGCTGCAGTCCCTAGGTTCTTATAAAAATACAAATTTTATGTAAAATGCTGAAATTAATTTTTTGTGGGAAGAAAAATCTAAGAGAGCACTCAGAGTTGTCAGCCTCAGAGGGTTCATTAAAAGATACCAAGTGACCTCTGCCTCTAGTCAAAAGTACCTGCTCCTGGGAACCTGAGGGAAGGTACCCAAAGTAGCAGAGATAAACTCAATTGCAATTCTCAAATGGCTGTTAACTATTTTTCCTGCATGCTTTGAAAGAGACAGAAAGCAAAAATAAAGCTCTGACCCTCCTCTCTGGAGATCCAGTCACTGAACCAGGGACTTTGGCTTTTGTGAGCATCACTTTAGTTTTAGTTTTTTGAAGCACATTTAAGATTCCTTGCCTTTAAAAATAGACAGATGATAGGCACAGGGGCAGGGGAGGAGGTGTGAGTCTCTGGCTTCAAGTGAATGAGATCATTCTGTAGCCTTCCCATTTCCCAAATTGCAGATGTCACGAGGTGAGAATGAATCCTCAACTTGTTCTGGTTTCCAGGTTACAATCCCTCTGCTTTTTCCCTACTGCCTTGAGGGATTCTGTGGAGTCTGCAAAACCACTTGACAGACAATCATTCTTAAAGGCAGCAGATACACACATAACCCCATTGAAGCTCTTTTACCGAAGAGTTGAAAGCTCTTGTGCATAACAGGTTTAAGTATAAACACGTGTTTTTGACATTCATCATTCCTCCACCCCCTTTAAAGAAGCCATATGTGATCATATTCTGGGAGGCAACACAATCTACAGCAGGTGGGCTCCTTAATTGGCCTGCTTGGGGAGTAGCTAAAGTTAGGTTCAAAAGGTACTGACCTTATGGGTTTGGTTAGTAGGAGTTCGGGAACGAGGCTGTAAAACCTCAACAGAGCCTCTCAGACCCATAGGGAAACAATAGAAGCCGATGTGACTATTTCAGGGAAAGTGACGGAAAGAGAGAATGTGAAGAAGTTGTGATGTTGAATGCCAACCATATTTAGTTGCAAAAATACCCAAGTAATTCCTTCAACAATCCTACGTATAGTCCCATGGGCTCCACTCTGGACGTTTACATTTCTTCATTTGTCTTCTTTCCTGGAGCACATAGGGTAGAGCTGACAGTGATGAAGCACACTGAGGCTTGGGGAACGTCCACAAAGCCACCAAGGTTAATGGCAGAGCCAACACATTTCTGGTCTCATATCTTGGTTGTTCCTGCTTTGATCAGAAATTAAATCATAAGAAGATAATGTCAGAGTGGTGTCTACACAGCAATGAAATGTGGTGATATGATGATGACTGATAGGTTTTCTCAAAAGCAAAGTATATAATTCAAGCCTGAATTACCAACTTAGGTAGCTGATGTTATTAAAATGTGCTGGATAATGAGCAATTAACTTTGTTTTCTGGAGGAATCAGTTTATTTGTTGTGAATGCTTTCGAGATGGGATTTTCAAAACCTATTAATTCAGCTATTATTTATTGAGTGGCTGCTATGTGTGAGGGGCTGTGAAAAAAAACAGTGAAGCGGGCTCAGTCCCTATTCTCAGCAGCTGGTGGTCTAGAAGGAGAGAGAGATTTTTGGAAGAGGTCATCCAAATTCTCCCTGTAGCTGTGATGGGAACACATAGGAGGACCATTAAAAGTAGCCTTGGCTATGGTGGGAGGGGGTGATTAGGAAAGGTTTTCTGGAGGAATATCTAAGATTAAACACGAAAGATAGGTAAGACTTATTTGGTTGAAGAGAGGGCAGAGAGAATGTTCTAGTATTGAAAGTCTGTAAATCTCTGGGGGGTGGAATAGGGGAGCTCTCTCAGGACCTGCCAAGTGTTCAGGTGTGTGAGGCAGCAGCAGTAGGGGCAAACTCCTAAAGGCTGTGTGTCTAGTTTAGTTCCACTGTGCTTGGAATGTGACCTAATCCCATTTGGTTCAAAATACTCCATTTGGGGGTTATTACATACGATTTCTATGATGTTTCTAAAGCTCTGTCCATGATTACACTAATGCAAGAAGGTTTGGCCTTAATGGTTTGGGGAAAGGGACATCAATTAAACACTTCTCCAAGAAAGGAAATTAAGATCTAGTGGAGACTAGAAACAAAGATGGAAATAATAACTTTTGGATGTTGTAGAGTTTCTCAGCATGAAATAACAGAAAGTTCCATAATTTCCATAAGTAACCATTGTCAAGAATTTAGCCCAGCTCCTATTTTATTGTGTCAAATTTTCAGATTACATGCTGGTATTAATTTCTGGAGGAGAATGTTAAGGATAAATGATAAGCTTTCCTGATGGTTATAACTATAATTGGCATGAGTTGTATGTGAATGAACCACATTTTTGCAGTTTTTTTCTTCTGCTTTTGTTAGTACTTTGGCAACAATAATCATTGTTATCGTTGGTAGATTTCCCAGATTCCACCTTTATTTTAACAATAACAAAACCGACAACAATAATAATACTTGACAGATTACAATATACTTCCACAGGCCAACATTCTAACTTTTCCCATTTCCATGATGCATGTCATCTACATGTACATGCAATTAAAATGTAAGTTCTGGATCTAGTTCTTATAAGGTGTCTAGGCCATAGTAAAACATTTAGACATGACTTGGGCTTGAAACCAAGGTCAGTGATTTTTATTTTCTCACCTAAAGGCTCTGTTCTTGATTACAGCATATTGTTGGCTTCCTGTGTTACATCTCTGAGAGAAGTATCAGCTTCTACTGTACTGCCATTTGCAAACCCTCTGATTTGTCCAAGAGGAGTGGGAAGGAAAAGAATGCTTGAAGCTTCTGGGATATGAAATTATTCTTCCCAACAGCTTTGAATTTTCTATTCCCTGCTAGATCTACTCACATGAATCGTGGAACTGTAAACCAAAAAGTATCTGAGTCTGGTCTCAACCAATTTAGAAGTTTATTTTGCCAAGTTCAAGGATGTGTCTGGGAGACGGGTCTGTGCCTTTCTCCAAAGATGATTTTTGAGGAGTTCAATATTTAAAGACGAAAAGCTGACTGGACGAGAAAGAGGGAGGGTATGGTCACATTATCGAATTCACACGTTGCAAGAGAAAGGAAGCAGGTAGGGGGATAGTCAATTATGTATTTGCCTGGTGTCAGTAAATCAGCACTTTATGTAAGATAGGGTGAATATAGAGTAGCTACCAGTGGAGATATGTAGCTTTTATCTGTAGCTATCTGCTTAGAAACAAAAGGAAAGGCAGCTTCTTACATAACTCAGCTTTCAGCTTAATTTTTTTCCTTTTGACATAGTAAATTGGGGTTCCAAGTTTTATTTTCCTTTCACACATCAAAAGAGGAGGAAAAAAATGAATTTTGCTTTATTACTATTCTATATGGACCACTTATTGAACTACATGTTAGGCATGTGAGAGAGATGATTTCCATCATCACAATAAGCCCAAAAGTTAGGTTCCTCATTTTCATTTTTAATGAAACACTTTCAGAGAGATTAAGTAAATTGCCAACATCCACATTGCCATTATTATCAACATGTGATTTCCAAGTCAATGTTCTTTCCACCATGCCATCCTCAAAGGTTCTCCGGCTCCAAGGTGACTTGTTTCAAATCATCCACAACATGTGACGTGTTGAAATTTGTTGGAACCTGTGAATGTCAGGTTGGAGGCCACAGAACTAAAGCAAAGGGAAATGCAAAATTGCTCTGTTAAAATGACAAATATTCCAGAGGCAGCTAATTAGTATGATAACCTATGCATAAAAGAGAATTGTAAAATTAGTGAGATCAGCCTTGCAATACCATTAACCATATTATAACTCTTTATGTGATTTTTCCCCATCATGAAGTGGTCTTGAAAATGCCTGATCTCAATTTGCTTTATCATATGGTGTAGCTCATCAGTGCCACACACTACTGTGAATACTGTGGTTTTCACAGTGGGATATTTTTTATCTCTGCAAACTGGTAAATTAAAATAATTTCACCTAGGGTGATCCTGCAACAAAAATATACTGGTGACCTTGACAGCATTTCTGTATTTTTTTTCCCTTCTCATTTGCTTTCTGATAATTTTCTTTTCTTTTTGCTCTGAATCACCTACTCTAGGGTAAAAAGGCCCAGACAAAGTAAGAGGTCAGTCTTGTGTACCCGAGTCCTTTCTTCAAGAGGCAGGTTACTGGGAAAGATGAGAGCTTTATTCGATGGAACAGTGGGAAAAAAAAGATGCCAGGTTAGATAGAGCTAAGCCATTAGAGTTCTTCTAGGAACAGTACTTGTGGGCTAGCAGGTTTGGAAAAGTTGGGAGAACGTAAGCACAAATTACATCCACAAATTAGGCTGGAGACAGTTGCGACATTCAATGGTTGCCATGAAACTATCCCACAAAGGAAGGATGAGAAAAGTCGGGTACCATGATTGCAGAGAAGTGCTTGGGAAAGGTGACTAGTTTGATCAGGTTTGTTCCAGGAAGTGACAGCACAACTATGTGAACTCTGCTTCCCTTTCACTGTTCATCTCATCCCAACTTCCCTCCTCCATTTTGTAACTTTACTACCTTGAAGCCCTTTCTGGCAACTCCACATATTACAAAAGGATTTCAAATTTGAGCCAGAAAGCACACAGGGCTGGAGGCAAAAAGGCTGATTTGCGAACTTGGGCCTTATGAAGTTCATGTGGGAAGAGGAATTCATTTATATGAAATACATTGTTGACCCACAATAGCTTGTGATGTTTGTCATCATGTTACATGTTTTGTGATTTTACTTTGAGTTGAATTTGGTTTGTCACAGTTCAAAAAAACCAGAATCTGCACAGTGCCTGATATATTAAGGGCTCTCAAATGAATGAAAAAAATAACTAGATAAATTGGTGCCTGTCTGCTTATAATTGAGATATGCTAACATGAGCTGTCAAAAGAGCTTGTGTTAATCATAAGGAATAAACTAGGAACAAAACATGATTTGCAGAGGAAAGATAAGATATAAACTTTCATTCATTTACTTACTAACTCATTCAGATTATTCATTCATTTATTAATTTTACACATATTCTATAAATGAATTTTCTATTTTGTGCTAAGCAGTGTGCTAGGTTCTGAAAAAAGTGTGAAAAGTAAAACAGTAATGGGCCTTTCCCTTGAGCATTTGTATTCTAGTGGAGAGTGAATAATAAATATCAATTTATAAGTTAATAAAAGTGAAAGTAATTTTGAGGGTTCTTGGATGGATAGTACTTAGATAATGCAGTTATTAAGGAATCCTGTTCAAGGCTACTTGAAAGAAAAGGTGCTGTTCTAGGAGTCAGAGGTGGAGGGTTCCACAGAGCTGGATATTCTGGGCAAATGCCCCAACACAGCAAGGAACTTGTGGCATTCAAGGACTGAAAGAGGAGTCATGAGCTGGTAGGCTGAGCTAGAGGAGGCTGGTCTGTGATGAGGCTGGACAGTGGGACACATACCAAATTTTGCAGGGTTGTGTAGTAAAACCCCAATTAACAACAGATTGTGTTGCCAAAACTCATTTGTAAGATCACTGCAGGAAGCTTGGAAGACATTTACTCACAGAAAGAATATTATAAATGATTGTCAGCTGTCTAGCCTGCAATGATCTACTTAACTTATAATATCTCAATAGCCAAACCTCTGAAGGTGATAGTTTCAGAAGGAAAAGGCATTGGCTTACAATTTGGACAGTGAGGAGACTCCTATCTTTACCATTCCACCAGCTCCAGCACAGAGTGCCTCCCTGGCAATTCCAAGTATGAGCTGACTTTTTCAGAAGGACGTTCCTCATCATGCTTATTATGCTAAAGCGCCATTCCTATTCTACCAGGGGTAATGTTTTCCTGTTTCAAATTTTGTTTTGTTTCTAATCGTTAAGAATACATTTTTCATTTTACCAAGCGTCTTTTGTATAATTACAAAATACTACATGGGAGGAAACTTTTTGTTAAAAGAAAAAAAAAGGTGGGGTGGGGGAGGTTGTTTTGATAGCTGTGTACTAGGTTCCTTATCCCTGTACCCCTCTTGCCTTCATGATTGTGGGGCTTCATCCCCACATGTGGCACAGTCACTAGGGCTGCCAGATTTAGCAAGTAAAAATACAAGATGCCCAGTTAAATTTTAATTTCAGGTAAATAATTTTTTAGTATATTTCCCAAATAATATAAAAAATGACTAATACTAAATAAAAAAATCATTTATCTAAAACTCAGACTTAACAGGTGTTCCATTATGTGTGTGTGTGCATGTGTGTGTGTGTGTGAGAGAGAGAGAGAGAGATAGGGTCTTGCTCTATTGCCCACGCTGGAGTACAGTGGTACGATCTTGGCTCACTACAACCTCCGCCTCCCAGGCTCAATCCATCCTCCCATCTCAGCCTTTTGAGTAGCTGGGACTACAGGCACCTGCCACCGCATCCAGCTAATTTTCATATTTTTGAAGAGACAGAGTTTTGCCATGTTGCCCAGGCTGGTCTCAAACTTGTGAGTTAAAGCAATCCGCCTACCTTGGCCTGCCAAAGTGTTGGGATTTATAGGCATGAGCCATTGTGCCCGGCCGTGTTCCATCCTTTATCTGACCACTCTAGACAACTGTGCCCTCAGTTGGGATGTAAGATGCGGGCCAGGAGGTCAGTGGCTCAGCTTTACTGTGGCTCCTTTGCTGGGTTTGTCCCCAGGCTTAGTGGCTGGACTTCTGCCCTGGTCCCTTCTTTCCTGAGTGACCCTTGATTGTCTGCTTAATGTCCTAGTTCTTTGGAAGGCTTGGGTTGATTCTTCCCTACACATGCCTCAGGGACTTGTATCCTATACCCAAATAAATTCTTTGGGTGAGTCCCTACCATTTGCTTCCAGGCTTCCCTGATAAGTTTAGTGCAGAGGAAGGGAAGAACAGGCTTTGGACATAAAGATAGTAGAATTCTCTCTAATTATCTTCACCTGTGAAAACTTGTGTTTAATATCTCTGACCATTAGTGTTTTTAATCTGTACAATGGTGTAATAATAATATACTTATGGGATTGTTATGTGGATTTCTTATTGTAGTTGCTCAATAAATGTGACAGACTTTCCACCTGTCATGATTATACACAGGTTTACTGGTTGGCCACTTTATACTGTTTGCCTATTGAACCTCTTCCTGTTCACGGATGCTAGGGAGTCTCTAACACCTAATAGATTTCAGGCTCTATAAAGTCCTCTATGGGTGTGACTATATTCCTGAGTACTGAGAATAAGTATATGTTAAGTGAATGAATAAGATACCTGGCCCACTGATATTGTTTGCCTGACTGGTTTCTAGGTCCCAGCCATCTAATTTCTGTCTTCAGACATGGTATCACTCAGCCCTCTAATATTGTAGGCTCCTATGAGAGTCTTATTCCCTTTCCCATCCCCAGTCCTTAGTGGTTAGTGGGGCAGTTGGTCAGCCTGCAATAAGAATAGTGTGATTGCCTGATGGGTTCATCTTGCCTCCTGCCCAGAAAAACTAATGCATAAAAAACAGCAGGTTTTTGCAGGAAAGAGTTTAATAATCACAGGGCCAGCAAAACAGAAGGATGGGGGTTAATTCTTAAATCAAAATGCAAATCAGAATGCAAAAAGTCTAGAAAACATTAGAAAAAAACAATCTTAGGTTCTTTAGTAATGACATTATCTATAGGAGCAATTGAGGAAGTCACAAATCATGTGACCTCTAGCCACGTGACTCCCGAGTAGTAAGGGATTATAGAAATTACATCTACATTTTAGCAGAATTCAGGTCTGTCCCATAATCCTAATCTTGTGGCCTTTGATCAGTCTTACAAAGGCTGTTTCAGTCCCCTAAACAAGGAGGAGGTCAGTTTAAGGCAGGGACTACTATCATCCTTGCTTCAAAGTTAAACCATAAACTAAATTCCTCCCATGGTTCGCTTGGCCTACATCTAGGAATGAGCAAGGAGAGCCAGCCTGTGAGGCTAGAAAAAAGACAGAGTCAGCAATGCTACATTTCTTTCGCTGTCATAATCTGTAAAGAGGTGGTTTCAATCATCCGTATGGCCCTCTGCAAGTCTCTCTTCTATCCTAATACTAGGTAGATGCATATCTATCCTAATCCTGGATTTAGTTCACCTCTTACCTATGTACCATTTTGATTTCAAGGCTTTTCAGCTATCTACATGAGCACATAGTGTCTAGTCCATTTGCCACAGCTTTGAGGCCCCTGTAATTGGGTCCCCTGAGCTCCTCATTAAAGTGCCATGCTTGGTTGAGAAGGACCTGTTGTTTGCCTCTTTGTGTCTTTTGTAGATGCTGTAGGTCTTTGAAGGCTCCATACCCAATACTCTCCTAACACAAATCTGGAATGTACTTTATGACCAGCTATGCCCAATCTGTTTGATGTCCATTCTATATGAACAAACATGGGCATTCAAAAAACTTGAACTTTTAGTGTTGGCTGTGAGGCCCTACTCTTTAACGCCAAGATTTTCCACCACCCAAGATCTAGTTTTTAGTGGTGCTGGCCAAGCCTGTCACATGGGTGCTGTGTTCTAAAGCCAGGAGAGACCGAGGAACCTAAGACAGACAGCTTGGGCTGTTCATCTCACTATTAAGTCTTTCCTAGCCTCTTTCTCTTCCCAAAGAGCTGCCTGTGGGAATAGAGACTTCCCACCAGCTCTCTAGCTCTCCTCTACTTCCCACCCCTCACTAACTTTTTTAAAAAAATGTAACTGGGCGTGGTGGCACACGCCTGTAATCTCAGCTACTCAGGAGGCTGAGGCAGGAGAATCACTTGAACCTGGGAGGCAGAGGTTGCAGTGAACCGGGATCAAGCCACTGCACTCCAGCCTGGGTGAGACAGTGAGACTCGGTCTCCAAAAAAAAGTAACTGAAGCTAAAGAAAAGAAAAAGTATCACATTATAGCATTGAGGATTAGAATATGGCAATATGCATTTCTCAATTTCCTCCACAAAAACAACACAACAATCTCAAACTAAACTTCTTGGACTTATTTCTTAGTCAGAAGTAGCTAACTTCCCAATTAATGTTTAAAACAAAGTTAAAAATTCCTCCTCTAGGCAGCTCTATCCAGAGATAGCTTCTAGCTAAGAGAAGCTGGTAATTTGCATATAAAGACTTCTTTTAATTACTCTCTAAAACCTGCAGTTTTTACAAGCTATGTCTGACATAAACTGCTACTGTATCTTGTTGCAAAAGAATTCTTGTGAACCTAACTCCAGAGAGATCAGTCTTGAATGGAGAAAGAGGTTTCCACATAGTATTGAGACCTAATGGCCAAATTTCTCTCCTACTTCTAAATCTCTTGGATCATTGTCTCTAGGAGCTAGTAAGGGGCTTAACACCAAGAGCAAAACTCACTAAATAATCCTTGAATTGGATTAGGGCCTTTTACTTTTATGCATATCTAGTTTGATCATAATTTGTTCAGTTTAGGACTCTTAACCTTGACACTATTGACATTTTGGATCAGAAAACTTTTTTTTGATGGGGGCACTTTCCTGTCCACTGTAGGATGTTTAGCAGCATTCCTGACCTCCATCTACTAGATGCGAGTTATACCTACCAGTGGGACAACCAAAAATATCTCCAGTCATTGCCAAATACCCGCTGGGGGAACATCACCACCTCCATTTGAGAAACACTGCTCCAGTTAGATCCAAATTAGGCTGAGCAGAAAGAATTGCGAAGAGGGAAAGAACGAAAGGCCGTCTGTTGATACATAGATTTCCTTTATGTCCTTTGGAATTTACCTCTCCCGTCTCCTCCTTTCTGATTACCTTGAATGTCATTGTTCCTAATCTAAAAGAAGTGGCTAGAGATATTAGGATGTTTGTTCTTAAGGCACCAGGAAAATGAAATTAAACAGGTGTTTGAGAAAGGGAATTGTAAAATCTGGAATAGAAATAGAGGGTGAATACGTCCTCCCAAATTTTCTATAAGTCACAGCTTCTCAAAAAAATTCATGTTTAGAAGAGACGTATGTGTCAGTGGAGGAAGTGTAATGATAATATTCAGTAATTGAGTACGTACTATGTTCCAAGTTTTCTTGTCACATAGATTTTTGTTTGTTTGTTTGTTTCTCACTGCCTGTATAATCAGGTCTTTATTCAAAAGAAGCTGTCCACAATGATTTGACCTTTATGGAATAATCAAATTTAAGAGTTAATGCAGCAGGCTTCTTTTCCTCTACAGTAGGTTTCTTTTCTGCAGGCTTCTTTTCAGGGGCTGATTTCTTGGTAGCTGCTGCCTTTTTTCCCACCAGAGGCTTCTTCTGCTTCTTCACACCAACAGCAGCCTTCTTTCCTTTCTTACCTACCACAGGCTTCTTGCCTGCAACCGCCGCCTTCTCATCTGGTTTGGCTTCTAGTGCTGCTGCAGCAGCAGCTGCCTTATCCATCCGGAGCTTGTGATTCCTGGCCTGGCGAAGAATGGTGTTCCGGCGCATGGTCTTTGCATATGGGTTTAGCTTCAACATGATTCTCAAGTTTTTCAGTGGGTTCTTCTTTAGGACTCTGCGATGAATCTTCTTGCTTGGTGCCCGAAAGGCTCTTTGGATCTCTGGGCTTTTCAAGATTCTGCTAAGATCTGTATTAATCATCTTGTGCATGGGAAGATTGTAGTTACTCTTGAGGGAAGCGGCTTTACGCCAAGTGCCATACAATTCATCCAACTTCCGGAAAGCACTTCCAGTCCAAATGCAGAAACGTCCCACGTGCCCACCAGGAGCAAGCTTCGAAATGGTCAGCTTGCTTACATTAAGCAGAGTAATTGCAGGGATGTTTCTGAAGGCCTTGATACCATTATCCTCATTATAGATGATGCACGGGCCCCTGCGCTGGATACGGCGACGGTTTCTCATTTTGCCTTTGCCAGCTCTCATTCGCTGAGAGGCATAGACCTTTTTGATATCGTTCCTGGCTTTAAGTTTCTTAAGGAGCAAAACAGCTTCCTTGGTCTTCCTGTAGCCTTCAACTTTATCTTCGACTACCAAAGGAAGTTCAGGAACTTCCTCAATACGATGACCTTTAGACATGACCAGTGCTGGTAGGGCTGAGGCAGCCAGGGCAGAACAGATGGCATACCGTTTTTGGGTTGTGTTCACTCTACGATGCCAACGGCGCCAGGTTTTGGTTGGTGCAAACCTTCGGCCTCCACGACACATGTTTCCAAAAGCACCCTGGCCGGAGCGGTGAGTCCCACCACCTCGAACTCTGGGAATTCGAGCCACAGCTCTGCCAGTACCCCAAGACTCAGTGCTGGTCCGATGACCTGCTAATTCACTGGCAGCGTAGGGCTGTCTGTTGTTTTTGCGCAAGTTGGTGTGAACAAAGTTCACGATGTCTGGTCGAATAGGAGCCTTGAATACAGCGGGCTAA
Organism: Homo sapiens; assembly: GCF_000001405.40. Classification (NCBI taxonomy): domain Eukaryota; kingdom Metazoa; phylum Chordata; class Mammalia; order Primates; family Hominidae; genus Homo; species Homo sapiens. The sequence continues at coordinate 7,478,253 of NC_000009.12, forward strand.
GTGACATTTTTGCCAGATGACTCCCCCTTTTCGGAGTACAGCGACATCAGTGGGCGGACACACGCCATGGCGGAGAGAGTAGACAGCCACTCTCCTCTCAGCCCGGCTGCTGCCCCCAGGAAAAAGCGTCACGTAGATTTTTATCAGTTACTCTTAATAATAAACAATTTGGTAAGTTCAATATTATTATCATCCCCATTTCACAAAGAGAACGAGGAGGCTCAGAAGGAAGTAACTTGTCCCGGATCACCCAGATAGGAAGTGACGGACATGAGAGAGATTCAAATAAAGACCTTCAGATTAGCAAAACCGTGTTCTTCCTCCTTGAACATGTCCTTCATTGTGCCAGTTTTGGCACTCTCAACCCACAGGAAAAGATTTCTGTTCTTTTGGGGACTTTGTATAAGGTGGTTTTACATTAGTCAAGTCTTATTTTAATATGCCAGGAGATAATATATGCATATCTCTGTGCCAGTTCCCCCTCCCCCAATGCTTTCTGTAAAGTGATTTTTTTCTGGTTGTCTGGTTAAGGACTCTTGACCTACATAATTAAGCCATTTTTCCACAGTCCAGTCTGTTCATTATTTTCTGCACGTTGGCACCTTCCGCCTTTTGAATAAATAACACCTAATAAAGATAACTCCATACAATTTGCATAGAGGATATATATTTGACTGAGAACATATGTTTGATGAGGTGTTCCTGCTTATTACCCAAATATTTAAACAATGCTAATAAAAGAAGCTGCTGTTATGTTACATTGTTGAAGCTAATGTTTATAATGTTCATTTCCAATGGGGCATAATACAAGCTTGCATATAACGGAAGAGCATTTGCCAGTCTTTTTTCTCTGCAATATTATAATGAAATAATCATTTTCCTCTCCTTTCTGGCATAAAATTTGAAACAGAATTACGGAATCATAGACGTTCACAACTACAAGGGGAGTTGGAGACCTGGCTTGAAGTCTAGATCGGCCACCTCCACGCTGTACCACTTTAGACTCATCATTTAACTTTGTGAGCTTCACTTTTTCCTCTTAAAATTGCGATAATATTATATGTCTCATAGATCCATTGGGATGACTAATAAGTAAATGTATGTGAAAATGCGATGTAAATATTAAAATGACATATGAACTTAAATTCAGTAAGTAGATAATTAGTACCTACTGTACAAATCATTTTGCTATGGACCCAAAAGGAAGTAAGAAGAAACCCTCGACTTCAAGGAATTCTCCCTCTAGTGGAAGAAACAGATCTATAAACAAGTAACAGTAATGTAAATTATACTGCAAGCCCTATAAGAGAGGACAGCAGAAACAACAGAGGAAAAAGTGACAGGGTCGGCTGTTGAAATGCTTATCAAAGAGTGGGCATTTGAACTAAGTTATGAAAGATTATTAGGGTTTGGACAGGCTAAAAGGGTAGATGGGCAATCCAGATCAAGAAAATGACCAACGCAAAATGAGACGGCATGTTTTGGGGTCGTAATTTGTCTAGAGTAGTTGAGTGAAAAGATTCGAAATGGAGATGGACAGAGGAAACTGACGGTTTAGAAACATTGTTCCTGTGACAGCAGGAAGTATGGAATAAAAAATGGCAGCTGGCACATGGATTGATCAGTTGATTGGCCCTTGTAATAATTCTATTGGAAGAAGACAGTAGAATCAGGGTTTCATGTGTCGGTGAAAAGATTGAGTAATTTTGAAAATACATTTTGGTTCTGGACTATGCTCCTCTGAACACAAATATACTTCTGAGATTGGACAACATGGCCCAGATTCACAAGGGTCATGGAAAAGTAGGAGTTACGGAGATGAAGTTATAGGAAAGAAGGTGTAGGATGTTTAGAGGATCTCCCAGGAAGAAAGGACCACATGGGTGTAGACCTCTGTTGGTAATAATGAAACAACAAAACTAGCAGCAGAATACCAAGAGAATAGAGAATGAGCGGTGAGAATGAGGCTGACATTGTAGGCAGGGGACAGATTATGTGTGGCCTTGAAAGCCAAAATGGGGCAGGGAGTTTTAGAAAGAAGGAGGGTCATGACTTCCTTTGAGGCAGAGCTCAGACCTCCAGATCACCAAATGACAGCTGTTCTTTGGACCGAAGACCTTTAGTAATAACCACTAAATTGGCCAATAAAAATTTTCTGATCTCTAAATGTAAGTCCAACAACCACTTGCCAGAGCATCACATAATTGTGCAAAATAGGTTAAATGTTTTTGTTGTGACTTCTTAGGAGTGTACATTTGGAGGTTATGTCAGAACCTCCTCTCATCTCTTCCACCTCTTCTCCACCCAAAGCTTGCACCCTCTGTGGAATGAAAGTCAGAGAGCTCGAGCCAGCTCCACAGTGGCGCCTTCCTTCCTAACTTTCTTTGTGCTGTACTGTTGTTATTTTCTAAGCGGTGAGTGAGGGCAAGACAGAGTGTCAGTCTCCCCTCAGAACACACACTGAAAATAGAAAATAAGATGCATTGTGACATTTTAGCTAAGAGACCTTTCTCTGGCTTTGGGAAAAGCCAGCTGAACAGGCACTTATTGTCACACAGCTAGAAGAAAACTACATAGCCCAAATGTCACCTCGGAGCTTATTTGCTGTTATATTTTCAGCGTACATTTGATTATTCTTCCTTTTCATTCTTAACGATAAGGGGTTAAAGCCACTCCAGCTCTACTTTTCTTCTCATAAAAGTCTCTCCCCACTTCTCATAAAAGCCACCTATGCATGAGCAAAACTCACACAGTTTTTTTCCTGTTTCATATTGGTAAGAGTACATTTACAAACACGTCTTTACCTGAAAGGTATGGATTCACTTAAACTTATTCATATTTTTTCAGATAAATTAGCCAAAATTGCCTATGAGAGAAAGCTTCATTTTGGACATTTCAAGTTCTTTGCTCTAAACAATAACTAATGCTCTCTTTCCTTAGTCTTCTTACTACTCAACTATATAAGGAGACAAGATTACATAAGTAAAAAGAACAAAAATGTTGGAAGCATTCTGATCTGTGTTTCTGCATTGGCATGCTGGCTCACTAGCTGCGTGGCTTAGGCCAACTTCCATTATGCCTCAGTTTCCTCATTTGTTAAATGATCATAATGAGAGTATGTGCCATATAAAATCATATTGAGGATTAAATGAGATAATATATGTAAAACATCTAACTCATTTGCCAGTAAATGTTAGAAGACCTAAACTAGCCCAGGGTGGTTCCATTTAGGTCAGTGGCTTCTGACAGAAAATGGGGTGCAAAGGATGGATGGAGGGCTCCTTTGTTTTTTGGTCCCAGTGTGGCCTGAGGAAGCACAGGAGAGGGTGTCAGAGTCTGAAGAGCATAACTGCACTTGAGTTCCAGGAGCAGACCCTGGGGACACAGATCAGAATGCTTCCTAGCTCACAAGGCCCATCTTCCATGTGGGCTTTTATTCTTCTGGGTCTCATGGAGGCAATGAGGAAGGTCTGTTTGACTCAGGTGCTAGGGAGGGAGGACAGTACAGAGGGCCCTGGGTGTGCCCTTTACCAGCTCTGTGCTGTTGACAATGCATTTAACCCCCTGTGCCCTGGCTACCTCATCTATAAACTGGCCAGGGTTGTTGGGAGAATAAAATGAGGTGATATCAGCTAACATTTAGCAGGAGCTAATAGTTTTTGAGGACTGATCATGTGCCAGGCCCTGGTCTAAGGACTTCACATGCATTCACTCATTTAACTCCGAACATCCTGTGAAATTGGTGTTATTCATCTAATTCTACAGATGAGGCTCAGAAATATAAAGAAACATAAACTACCCAAGGTGACTTAGCTAACAGGTGAAAGAGGCAGGATTCAAATAGGCTACTCAGCTTCAGAGCTGTGGTCTTAAAAGCCTAAGGTGAGATGGATTTACAGCTGAATTCTACCAGAGGTACAAAGAGGAGCTGGTACCATTTCTTCTGAAACTATTCCAAACAAAAATTGAAAAGGAGGGACTTCTCCCTAACTAATTTCATGAGGCCAGCATCATCCTGATACCAAAACTTGGCAGAGATACAACAAAAAAAGAAAACTCCAGGCCAATATCTCTGATGAACATCCATGTGAAAATCCTCAATAAAATACTGCAAACTGAATCCAGAAGCACATCAAAAAGCTTACGCACCATGATCAAGTTGGCTTCATCCCGGAGATGCAAGGCTGGTTCAACATATGCAAATCGATAAACATAATTAATCGCAGAAACAGAACTAAAGACAAAAACCACATGAGTATCTCAATAGTGCAGAAAAGGCCTTCGATAAAATTCAACATCCCTTCATGTTAAAATCTGTCAATAAACTAGGTATTGGTGGAACATATCTCAATAAGAGCCATTTATATCAAAGCCGCAGCCAATATCATACTGAATGGGCAAAAACTGGAAGCATTCCCCATGAAAACCAGCACAAGACAAGGTTGCCCTCTCTCCCTACTTCTATTCAACATAGTATTGGAAGTTCTGGCCAGGGCAATCAGGAAAGAGAAAGAAATAAGGGGTATTCAAATAAGAAGAGAGGAGGTCAAACTGTCTCTGCAGATGACATGATCCTATTTCTAGAAAACCCCATCATCTCAGCCCCAAAGCTCCTTAAGCTGATAAGCAACTTCAGCAAAGTCTCAGGATACAAAATCAGTGTGCAAAAATCACAAGTTTTCCTTTACACCAACAACAGACAAGCAGAGAGCCAAATCATGAGTGAATTCTCATTCACAATTGCTGCAAAGAGAATAAAATACCTAGGAATACAGCTAACAAGGGAAGCGAAGGACTTCTTCAAGGAGAACTACAAACCACTCCTCAAGAATATAAGAAACAACACAAACAAATGGAAAAACATTTCATGCTGTGGATAGGAAGAATCAATATTGTGAAAATGGCCATACTGCCCAAAGTAATTTATAGATTCACTGCTATTCCCATTAAAATTGTGACATTCTTCACACAATTAGAAAAAACTACTATGAAGTTCATACAGAACCAAAAAAGAGCCTGTGTAACCAAGACAATCCTAAGCAAAAAGAACAAAGCTGAAGGCATTTTGATACCTGACTGCAAAGTATACCACAAGGCTACAGTAACCAAAACAGCATGGTACTCATACAAAAACAGACACATAGACCAATGAAACAAAATAGAGATCTCAGAAATAAGAGCATACATCTACAACTATCTGATCTTTGACAAACTTGAGAAAAACAAGCAATGGGGAAAGGATTCCCTATTTTTTTTTTGAGTTGAGATCTTGCTCTGTTGCCCAGGCTGGAATGCAGTGATGTGATCTCAGCTGCAACCTCTGCCTCCTGGATTCAAGCAATTCTCATGCCTTAGCCTCCTGAGTAGCTGGGATTACAGGTGTGCACCACCATGCCTGGCTAATTTTCATATCTTTAATAGAGACGGGACTTCATCATGTTGTCTAGGCTGTTCTTGAACTCCTGACCTCAATCTGCCTGCCTTGGCCTCCCAAAGTGCTGAGATTCCAGGCATGAGCCACTGTGCCTGTCAAGGATTCCCTATTAATAAATAGTGCTGGAAAACTGGCTAGCCATATGCAGAAAATTGAAACTGGACCCCTTCCTTATACCTTATACAAAGTTTAACTCAAGATGGATTAAAGACTTAATGTAAAACCCAAAACTATAAAAACCCTGGAAAAAAATCTAGGCAATACCATTCAGGACTTAGGCATGGGCAAAGATTTCAAGCCAGAAACACCAAAAGCAATTGCAACAAAAGCAAAAATTGGCAAATGGGAGCTAATTAAACTAAAGAGCTTCTCCACAGCAAAAGAAACTTATTACCAGAGTAAACAGACAGACTACAGAATGGGATAAAATTTTTGCAATCTATCCATCTGACAAAAGGCTTATATCCAAAATCTACAAGGAACTTAAACAAATTTACAAGAGAAAAGCAAACAACTCCATCACAAATTGGGCAAAGGACATGTACAGACACTTCTCAAAAGAAGACATTTATGCAGCCAACAAACATATGAAAAACTCAACATCACTGATCATTAGATAAATGCAAATCAAGACCACAATGAGATATCGTGTTATGCTGGTCAGAATGGCAATTTTTAAAAAGTCAAGAAACAATAGATGCTGGTAAGGCTGTGGAGAAATAGGAATGCTTTCACACTTTCGGTGGGAATGTAAATTAGTTCAACCATTGTGGAAGACAGCGTGGCGATTCCTCAATGATCTAGAACCAGAAATACCCTTTGACCCAGCAATCCCATTACTGGGTATATACCCAAAGGAATTTAAATCATTCTATTATAAAGATACATGCACATGCATGTTCATTGCAGCACTATTCACAATAGCAAAGACATGGAATCAACCAAAATGCCTATTAATGATAGACTGGATATAGAAAATATGGTACATTTACACTATGGATACTATGTAGCCATAAAGAGGAAAGAAGTGATGTCTTTGCAGGGACATGGATGGAGCTGGAAGCCATTATCTTTAGCAAACTAATGCAGAAAGAGAAAACCAAACACCTCATGTTCTCACTCATAAGTGATAGCTGAACAGTGAGAATGCATGGACACAGGGGAACAACACACACTGAAGCCTGTTGGAGGGTAGGGTGGGAGGAAGGAGAGCATTAGGAAAAATAGTTCATGCTGGGCTTAATACCTAGGTGATAAGTCATTAGGTGCAGCAAACCACCATGGCACGCATATACCTATGTAACAAACCTGCATGTCCGGCACATGCATCCCAAAAACCTAAAAAAAAAAAAAAAAAAAAAAGGGCTACACTTTCTAGGCCAGTGGTTCTCAAAGTGTGGGAGCAGTAGCTGCAGCAGCAGCAGCAGCATCACCTGAGAAGTTATTAGAAATGCAAATTTTCTGCCTGACACCAGACCTCCTGAATCAGAAACTCTGAGGGTCCGACCCAGCAGTCTGTGCTTCAACAAGCCACCCAGTGGATTCCGACATAGTCGCAAGTTGGAGAGCCTACTGCTCTAGACTAGGGGTTGGTAAATTACAGTAGCCACCTGTTTTTGTATATAAGGTTTTTTAGGAACATAGAGATGCCTATTCATTTAGATGTTGACTGTGGGTGCTTTTAGACTACAGTGCCAGAGTTGTCAGGATGTGCAATAAATATTTGTTAATAAATATGAGTTTGATTGTAGAGACCATCCGGCTTGCAAAGCGTAAAATATTTACTATCAGCTCTTTAAGAAAAGTTTTGCAGACCATCAGTCTAGGCAATACAATGAAAGTCCCTAACACAGTGCCAGTACACAGTAGGTACCCAATAAGTGTATTATTAAGTGCTGAGAAAGCATGACCCAGTGACTTACAGAGGCCAAAGTGCTCTTATGCCATTGGGGAAGGGTGGGCAGGATCAGTGCAGAACTGGTCCACAATTAATTAATATGTCCTTACTTATGATCCAGATGCAGCTGAGCAATTTGGTCATGGTGCCACTCAGTTCTCACCAAGTGGGGAATAGGAAAGGAGTATCTTACTTTTTGGAGTCATTACCCTGCTGTGTTTTTTTTTACAAATGACCCTACTGTCCCTGGGATAGCTTGCTCAGAGGCACGGGTTTTGGAATCTGGAGTGCCTACCATAGCGCTCTGGACCTTCGGCTTCCATCTGACTCTCCAGCAGAGAGAATCCTTGATTTCCACGTATCACTGGGAAAAAAAGAGTTGATGGTTGGATTATTGTTTTTCTTCCATATTCCTTCTTCCTAGTTCACAGTCTGTTTTGAGTTTAAATATAAACTCAAACTATGTATTTAACAAATATTTATTGCACATTCTGTCATGTACCAGAGATTAATACACCTACAGTTTTTTTGGTGGACAACTGTTCATCGAGTTAGGTCCGGTATTATCCAGATGGCAAAGCCGAGGTTTCAGAAACGGTGATTGAGGTCCAAGTGTTATGAGCTAAAATGCTGTGTTGCCAGGACTTGAACCTTTATCATCTCCATAGTCCTGAACCCAGCAGGCCTCAGCCTCAGCTTGCTGCCTTCCATGATATTTTTATTTTTATTTTCTGAGACAGGGTCTTGCTTTGTTGCCCAGGCTGGAGTACAGTGACGTGATCAAAACTCACTGCAGCCTCTATCTCCCAGGTTCAAATGACCCTCCCACCTCAGCCTCTAGAGTAGCTGGGACTGTAAGTAAGCGCCACCATGCCCAGCGAATTTTCGTAGTTTTTTTTAAGAGATGGGATTTCGCCATGTTGCCCAGGCTGGTCCTGAACTCTTGGGCTCAAGTGATCCACCTTCCTCAGCCCCCTCAAAGTGCTGGGATTATAGGCATGAGCCACTGTGCCCAGCCCCATGGTCTTGATTTCAGTTTCAGCTTCAGGAGTAAACTAGCCCAGTTAGAACACCTGTGTCTTTTCCCAAGGCCTCCTTTGTTTTGGGGGAAAAGTCTTGCCTCCTACTGAGCAAATCAGCTAGCCCAGGGGTGTCCTCCTCTCTGTGTAGGAGGCTTAGGGGCCAGGGTTCTGGCAAAAAAACAGACGGCATACTTGAATGCAGTGCTTGCAGAGGGTTTAATAAAGGGTTCAGGAGCAGCTATTTAGTTTGTGGGGCCCAGTGCAAAATAAAAACGGGGGGCCAGGCCGGGAACAGTGGCTCTCACCTATAATCCTAGCACTTTGGGAGGCCAACGCAGGCAGATCGCTTGAGCCTAGAAGTTTGAGACCAGCCTAGGCAAGACTGGCAAGCCTCCATTTCTACAAAAATTACCTAGGTGTGGTGGTGCACATCTGTAGTCCCAGCTGCTTGGGAGGCTGAGGTGGGAGGATCGCCTGAGCCTGGGAAGGTTGAGGCTGCAGTGAGCTGCAGTCGTGCCACTGCACTCCAGCCTAGGCAACAGAGTGAAGCCCCATCTCAAAAAATAAAAGTAATAAAAATAAAATGGGGGCCTTTGTTCAAAAATTATTAATAATCTCAAGTATTAAAGCAAGTGTAGGCACTTCTAAGCTTGGAACTCTGTGAGACTGTGTGAGTCATACTCCTATGAAGCTATCCCTGAATGGACTGTTTGCAAGAGTATGGATAGGATTTTTGAAGACTGCTAGGAAGTGATGCCGTACCCTAGGTATAGGAGCACTGTGAAGCCATTACTACTTCTGGGATTGAAGGGACAAAAGGAAGAAATAATGACCGGAAGACTATAACCCAGAGAGAGTAGCTGTATAGAAACAGCCTTCAGTAAAGGAGATGATCTGCAGGGGCCCAGCAATGAGGGATGGGGTAAATTCTCTGACCTCATTCTCCCCTGCCCACTTTTCCCCTGCTGGGAACCCAAGGGGAAGTTAGAGAGCAGGAAGCCTGCAAGAGTCCTGAGCTCAGAACAGGGGAGAAGGTGGAGAATGAGACTGGAGTGACTAACAGAAAATGGTCAGCCTCATCAGCATTCAGGGATTCATGCCATCTGGGATTCAAGACCCTCCACCTACTCGCTCCATCCTATCTTTCCAGGTGTTTCTCCCTCTATTCCCCTCTATTGAGACCTCTCAAAAATTGTCACAGCATTCTTAAAGGTAAGCCCTCAAAACTCTCATGGTATAACCAGAAGACCCACTTTTTCCTCTTAAAACATTTTAGCAATTTATATTATAAGCCATAGAGAATTGAGTTTCTTTTGGTTTAAAAAACAATTTCTCCACCTCCCAATTTTTCAAGTAAAAGTGACTTCTATGGATTGAATTGTGTCCCTCTCCCCCACCAAATTCATACGTTAAAGTCTTAATCCCCAAAGTAAGTGTATTTGGAGGTAAGACTTTTTGGAGATAATTAAGGTTAAAGGAGGTCATAAAAGTAGAGTCCTAATCCAATAAGATTGGTGGCCTTATAAGAAGAGGAAGGAAGAGAGCTTTCTCTCTCTCCCTCTCCCTGAGTGCATGCACTAAAGAAAGACATGTGAAGCAGAATGAGAAGGTGGCTGTCTGCAAACCAGGAAGACAGCCCTCACCAATAACCCAGTTGGCCAGTGCCTTGATCTTAGTCTTCCCAGTCTCCAGAACTGTGAAAAATAAGCCACTTTGTTCATGGCCTTTCATTATGGCAGCATGAGCTGACTAAGACAGTGACATTATAGAAAGATGTGCCTTTTCTTGTACCCTGGCTTTGGTAAAACTCTATAAATCCTAGTTCAAAAGCTGAGGTTTACCTACGAAAGAGTTTTCTTGCTTTCTGCCATCCTTGGAAAAGTGGGAAATGGTGTCATGTTGGAATTGGGCTGGACTTACTTCCAATCTCTCTTCTCCCTACCTTGGATCACTTTTCTGGTCCTCAGTTTCCTTATCAGTGAGGATGCCACCTACCTGTGGAACAGCCATTTATTTGAACAGATGCCATGCTTTCCGTATGTGGAAACTCCCTTCCTCTTTTATCAAAGCAGTTGGCTTCGCTAACCTACATTTGGCACACATTGGCTGATTGCCTGTTCTTTCCTGGACCCTAAGGTGTGATTTGTCTCTGCATTCCCTAGCACCTTTTACATAGGAGATTCTCAGCAATGTTTTCCTGCTGGATTGATATTCCCTCTCCAGAAAAAGTGGAGGCTATATGATGTTCTCCCAGAACAGAAGGTCACTTCAGGCATTTTCATGGCTATGCATTGAAGTGTGGCTGGCCCCAGGTTGGAGTTTTTAACTCTTGGCTCCTTGTTTAACCTCTTACCTCTGAGAACAGATTATTCACTGATGCCTTTAGTGGAGCCTCAAGAAGACTTTTTTTTTTTTTTTTCCTGTACACAGAGCTGTGGCTTTTCTGATTTTCTCTGCTTTCATTCAGAATCTCCCCTAGCTGTCTAGGAATACTAGTTAACTAAGGGCTTGGCTTTGGATGCCTGGCCAGGGCCATTGGGCAGAGACACAGACACCTGGCAGGCGGGTTTCCGAGAATTCATTGCAACAGCTGTGTGGCCTGATTGCTCCAAGCCTATTACTCATTTTGCATAATTGTTGACCTTTCTGTCTGCACTCTCCATGGAGAATTTCAAGCCATTTTCCAGAGCACAGATGAATATCTGAAATGCACAATAGCACAGGAGGCTGTCAGCATCAGCCTTACAATTCTTCTTTGTAGCAGAGGTGGGGGAGGAGAGTGAGGCCTAGTTAGGAGAGCAACTCTGGCTTGAGTCAGGCAGCTTCAGGTGATTAGACAAGGAAAACGCACTCATGTTGCCACTTGAAGATGTCTGCATCTTTTTATTGGTTCAGGTCTTGACAGTGACATCCCTTTGTGCATAAGTCACTGATGACCAGATGTACAAAGTCCTTTAAAATTGATAAAGGATTTTACCTTTCCAGTCACATCCCTCTGCCCTTAGCTCAGGAACCCATGTGCAAAACACAACAGACTCTCAGTGGTTTCCCAGAAGAGCCATGCCAGTTCCTGGACCTTTGCACAAGCTATTTACTTCTCTTAGAATGTCCCTTCCTCACCTGCTAACGTTTTTTGTTGGCGCTCATAGGCTGAATTAGTCGCTTCATCCTGTGTCTTCTGATAGTGCCTTCCACCTCATCCATATTACATTGTATCATATGCTTATACCTCTAGCTTGTCCTATTGGAGGGTCAGGGTCTGGAGAGTATTCATTATTCTATTTCTAATGCCTGGCACATAATAGGTACTCTGTAAATGCTTTAAAAATGAGTGAGAAAATAAATATGGAATGAATTCTTATTTTAGATGCTATAAACGTACACTATGTTGTCTGGGACTCTTTATATTACAAGCGAAAGAAACACAAAGTGATTTAAGCAAAAAATAAACTTCTTGGATTATGTAACTGAAAACTCTGGGGAAGGCTAGCTTTAGGAGTGGCTTGATTCAGGGTGCAAACAATGTAGACAACAGACATCTATCAGCTCACCATCGTCTGGGGGTGGCCTTTATCCGCAGTCTGGCTCCCGCTCATAGCATTGAGGTGGCTAAAGCAATGTGAGAAGTGAGATTTTTACTCCCTCAATCTGCTAAGGCCAGAGGAAAAGAGAGGGTTTCTTTTCTTCCAGAAGGTGCAGCAAAGGTCTCATTGAGTCTGACTGGGATACGTGCTAATCTAATAATCCCTGTGGCCAAGGGGCTAGCTATGCAAATTGACTCAGGTCAATCAGGATTTACCTTTGTCAATTTCTTTCAAAACAACATTGGCAGAATGTGAGGGAAAAGGTGAAATCCACAAAAGGAAATCAAGGTACTATTGCTGCAGGAAGGGAATATGGATGCTGGCCAAGCAAACAACCTACTTTCACTCTCTGTGTCCAGTCCCACAGGCTTAATGCAAGAGAAAAAATAAATAGACAAACAAAAACCTTTCAAAGGGTTTAGCAGCCATATTCAATTTTTGTGAACTAAGTCCAAACCCTAAAGCAAAATGTACAGTCAAGTCCTTTGCTCTAGAGTTAAAAATTTCCAGAAGGGCCTCCATTTAATAAATCACACAGTTGTGTGTTTTATTGTTAAATATTACTTTTTATTACAGTAGACATCAGATGTGTCATTCTTTCCTTTGGTCTAGGTGTATTTTCTCTTGCAGTAGTTCACAATTTTATGATTTGGGAAATTGTGGTAAGGTCCATGAGTAGAGAATTACAAGTTTCCAAACACAGATCTGTGCCTTAAATTGCTGACTGAGGTTTTCATCTTTTTCTTTTTCTGCAGCAAATATTGCCAATTGGGAGGGAAAATAAATCACAGGTAACATGAAGAAATTTTTATCTTTTTAGCGGTAGTATAAAAATTCCTTCCTAGGGAAAGATTGAAGATGTCAAAAGGAAGCATTGGTAAGCGTACTCTAGGAGTACACGCAAACCCTAATGATACACAGGTCCCCAACAACCAGAAGAAGGAAACGAGTTTTAAAACATGGGTAGAAGAAAGAAGATGAGTCAAATTCAGTGCAAGAAGAGGAGACCTGAGAAAGGCGAGGAGAATTGGTCCAATGGGGATTTTATTTTTGCCTGGGAACAGAGTATACAACTAATGATGTAATATTCCTTCTCCATATATCTTTGGAAGTCTTTAGTGCAATCAGTATTGCCCCATAACACTTTGGTACAAAAAGATTTTAGGAATTCCAAGAAAAGTTGATGACTTCTTCATGGTTGATGCTGGGCAAAAAACAGAAGTTGCTATAAGGATCCTCCAATATCTAGCTTATGCATGCTATATTTTACCTCTTCTGAGATGTCAGAGATTTAAGATGCACTTTTAATTTACATATGCAGATGAAAAAAAGTTGTTGATGCAACTATGACAATGCTTTCTCATTACTTATAAATATTACATGATACCTATCAAGACCAACAGGTATGTTATACTTTACATATTATGTACAGTAATATGTATTAAACATAATACATAATATTATGTTTAATGCAAGAGGTCTTTTAGATTAACACATATGTTTTATCATTTATCACTCATATTATCTGAAAAAAAGAAAAATATAAATTGGTTTGTGAATTTCTAAGATTTCTTCACGTTTAGAGGTAGGCTCTTTTGAATTACTTTGCAACAGGCTGTCAATGATTGCGTTATCCTCCAGAATGTGGCTGGCTGTCATCAAGTATTTTGTGTCACAATGTTTCTTATGAGTGTACCACTATTGTCTCCAGGATTTTTTTCTAAACCCATTTTATGAGATTTGTTTCTGGTGCTCTCTTGATCTTACCAGAAATTGCCAATAGAAGTTACAACCAACTCTCCTATTCCTTCTTCTAATGGTCTTCAAATAATTTGTAACTAAAATGTTGAAAGCTTACAGCTGTCTTTTCTTATTCTCAAGCATAACAACCAAGCTACTACACACCAAGTTGTTGTTTAACCAAGTTTTTAGTCAATGACAACTATATGATGGCCACCTGGTCAACAGCAATTTTAAGGTGCATTTGTTGGAAAGCCTCCCAATTTAAGACATGCTAACTTGTTAAGAAATAAATGCAGTTATAAAATATCAGGGTTACAAAGGAACTTTAGGATACATTCACTGCAATCTACCATTTGCAGTTGAAATACTGGCGCCAGAGAGATTGATTTATTTCCTAAATTCATACAGATGCTTGTAGAGCATTGCGACTGCAACTCAGACTCTTTATCCGTCCTACTCTTTATCTCACATAATCTTGCTTTTATCCATAGGTTCTCATGTAAGTCAGCCATTTTTTGGTGTTTTTTTTTGTTTTAAACATGGATTATGTTCTGTGGCAGGCAATAGAGTTTGGGGACAATTCTGAATTGTTGGAGTCCATCTCTTGTTTTCTACCATAAATCTTTGTAATGGCTCTATCAATTTAGAAGTATTATATAAATACCGTTTTAATTATGGAATGTTTTGTATAAAAATTATAAAGTGTGGGCCGGGTGTGGCAGCTCATGCCTGTAATCCCAGCACTTTGGGAGGCCAAGGTGGGCGGATCACGAGGTCAGGAGGTTGAGATCATCCTGGCTAACACGGTGAAACGATGTCTCTACCAAAAAAAAAAAAACAACAAAAAAATTAGCCAGGCGTGGTGGCAGGAGCCTGTAGTCCCAGCTACTCAGGAGGCTGAGGCAGGAGAAAGGTATGAACCCAGGAGGTGGAGCTTGCATTGAGGCGAGATCGCACCACTGCACTCCAGCCTGGGCGACAGAGCAAGACTCCATCTCAAAAAAAAAATTATAAAGTGTGAAATTATCTGTATTATTGAATCTCTCTCTCTCTCTCTCTCTCTCGGGTGTGTATGAAGATAAAGACGTTAAGTATAAGTTAGGTGTTGAAAGAGAGCCCAGAGAAAAATCATCTGTAAAAGTCAATGAGAATCATTTATCTGGGCAGGGACTCTTTATGAAAAGTTAAGGGCAGACAGGACCTCCTTCCCACACAGAGTTCAACACCTGGAACTCATTGTATCAGGTTCATAGGTCAGGACCATATCCAAAAGAGGGGATAAAAACTTGGAACAAGTTTTCTCAAGGTGAACTATTTCAACTTCAGAAATGTTTATTTTACAAGCCCAGTAAAACCGTTAGGACCTGCCCAGTAAACCTTAGAAGGATTGAGCATTGAGAATATGGGACTCGTTTCTTCAGCAAGGGTAACTAAAGACATAGAGAAGTTCTTTGTTCTTTCCCTAATTGTTTTACTGTTTTCCAGATAGCTAGAAGAAAGGGAGGAAAAAAATAAAATTCATTTTATAGAAGTCACGTCTGCCTTTGAGTTACATTAATCCTTAATAACACAGGGACAAAATTATCTCTTGGTTTAAAAACAAAAACACACTTGTATCTTTAATAAAAGTTTTAGAATTCAAATTAAATTCAGTGGGCTTTCTGACTCTACCAGAGTATTTTGAAAAATCTCTCCACTGTATGAATAACTGTAACATCTTTTCATCCACTCATAACTTAATTCGTCTGCAGGTTTAAAAAGTCAATTTTTGAATCCAGAGTGCAGACCATGCCATCCTTTTCTTTGTCTATTACTAATGATGGGTTTTTACTTTGCCCGTGGAGAGAAAATACTGGCCAGGAGACAGGTGAGTTTGGTTCTTCTTGGATTCACTGTTCATTTGTTTGCTTCATTTTCTTTCAATGCCTTCAAGATGTCCCAGCTTTAGTTAGCTTTGCACAGAGCTCTGGGCTTAGAAAACAGCCTTCCCTTGGCTATACCTCCAGGTGGGTGATGAAGGCTGCTTCTGCCTTTGGATTTGGGAGACTGGGCTTAAATCTCTTCACAGACCAGTTAAGTCACTTCAAAAGAGAACTACTCTGGCAGGCTTATTCATGTTCACAATAAAGATATTTCATTTCATTAAACTCAAGACTTGACTTTCTCTCAGCAAGGTCGAGGAAAATGTTACTTGCAGCACTATTCCTTGACTTCACCAATGTCACCAATGTTTGATTTATGGCAGCTGTGCCTTTGTGAACCTCGAAAGGGCTTTGCTGAGGAATTCCTGCTTCTTCTGAAATTAAGGGGTGCAGACAAAGAGCTGGCTGACTGAGTGAGAAATGGAAACCTCTATCCATCATTCGAATAGTGACTGGGACTTCTGGGCCAAGGGAGGCTGCTTTTTTAAAAGACCAAGGAGATTTTTATAACTGTGGTCTCTTCGGCGTGTGTGTTTATATGTGCACACATGTGCATATTGTAATGGTGTCTAAGTCTGAAGCCTGAGTTTAAAAAAATATTAATAAGCTGGTTCTGAATTCTAACTCTAACTGGTCAAGAGAGAAATGAGAACAGTTGTGGGATATAGTATATTGTTCCAGGGACTTTGGATCCCAAATTGCAAGCCTATAATATACCTTTGAGGAACATGCCATTGAGGTTCCTTAGAAGTTGAGCTGTATTTTGGCCAAGGACCATGCCTGTATTTAGCATTTCCAAATTCCAGAAATAAATACATAGGTATATTTGACACGGAGTTTCTCTCTTGTTGCCCAGGTTGGAGCACAATGGCATGATCTTGGCTC
Organism: Homo sapiens; assembly: GCF_000001405.40. NCBI lineage: Eukaryota > Metazoa > Chordata > Mammalia > Primates > Hominidae > Homo > Homo sapiens. Next base: position 7,494,740 of record NC_000009.12, read on the forward strand.
ACTGCAGCCTCCGCCTTCCTGGTTCAAGTGATTCTGCTGCCTCAGCCTCCCAAGTAGCTGGGATTATAGGTACCTGCCACCACGCCCAGCTAATTTTTTTTTTTTTTTTTGTATTTTTAGTAAAGATGGGGTTTTGCCATGTTGGCCAAGCTGGTCTCAAACTTGTGTCCTCAGAGTGATCCACCCAACTCGGCCTTCCAAGGTGCTGGGATTACAGATGTCAGCCACCGTGCCTGGCCCCAGAAAGATACTAATCTTTGGAAATGAGAAATTGCAATTCTTTGGCATTTTCAGGGATGCCCCACATCATAAGTTATTTAAAAAATATATCCAACATTCTTTATACTCTTTACTTATTGTTAAAAGATATGTAATGGACAGCTTAAAAAATAAGTAATATTGGCTGGGTGCGGTGGCTCATGCCTGTAATCCCAGCACTTTGGGAGGCCGAGGCAGGCAGATCATGAGGTCAGGAGTTCAAGACGAGCATGGCCAACATAGTGAAACCCCGTCTCTACTAAAAATACAAAAAATTAGCTGGGCGTGGTGGCGGGCACCTGTAATCCCAGCTACTCGGGAGGCTGAGACTGGATAATCCCTTGAACCCGGGAGGCAGAGGTTGCAGTGAGCGGAGATCGCGCCACTGAACTCCAGCCTGGGTGACAGTAGAGGCTCCGTCTCAGAAAAAAAAAAAAATAATAATATTTTAGTAGCATTTACCAAAAAATGAAGCCTATAATGAATATTTGAACACTGGAAAACACCAGCAACATCACTGAGCAGTATTCAAATAATATAATGTTTGTATCTCTCAGCAAGGTAAATAGTGTTACAGAGAATCAGGTATCAGAATTGCCGATTAAGAACTTATTTTTCTTTGAAAATTTATTTCTCTAAAAACCACTCATAGTAGTCATATAATACTCTTCATATAAACTTGTTAATCTTTATTTTAATGTGAGCATGACTCACCATTAGCAGCTAGATCGGCTGCACATACATCCCAACAACATGGTCAATAGCTACATGCAAGACCAACAGATTGGAACTTGACCTCTTCTCTCCTGTGCATTTCTCTTCTGGTTCCTACAAATGCTGACATTGGCTTTTGATATCATGTGTGAGAATTTCCTGGTTTTGTTTTCCACCTGAAGTTAGTGGGTTCCTTAGAGCCAATAATGTCTAACTTCTTTAATCCCATTACTCGTTATTGGTCTGTTCAAGTTTCCTATTTCTTCATGTTTCAATCTTGGTAGATTGGGTGTTTCCAGGAATTTGTTCATTTCTTCTAGGTTTTCTAATTTGTTGATGTATAGTTGTTTCTAGTAGTCCCTAATGATTCTTTGTATTTTTATGGTGTCAGTTTTAATGTTTCCTTTTTTGTGTCTATTTATTTGGGTCTCTTTTCTTCTTTTCTTAGTCTAGCTAAAGATTTTCTTAGTCTAGCTAAACCAACTTTTTGTTTTGTTGTTCCAATTTTTTTTCATCTCAATTGAGTTCATTTCTGCTCTGCTTTTTATTATTTCTTTCCTTGTTCTAATTTTGGGTTTGGTTTGCTCTTGCTTTCCTAGTTCCTTGAGGTGTATCATTAGGTTGTTTGTTTGGGGTGTTTATTTATTTTATGTAAGTGTTTATTGCTATAAACTTCCATCTTAGTACTGCTTGTATTTATCCCATAGGTTCTGGTATGTTGTGTTTCCATTTTTACTTGTTTTAACAAATTTTTAGATTTTCTTCCTAATTTCTTCACTGACCCATTGTTTGTTCAGAAGCACGTTGTTTAATTTTCCTCCTGTTATTAATTTCTGGTTTTATTCCATTTTAATAAAAAAGTTTGATATAATTTCTACTTTTTTGAATTTGTGAGACTTGTTTTGTGACCTAACATATGGCCTATGTGGAGAATGTTCTGTGTACTAATGAGAGAAATGTGTATTCTGCGGCAGTTGAATGAAATTTTCTGTAAATGTTTGTTAGTTCCATTTGATGTAGAGTATAGTTTAACTACAATGTTTCTTCCTTGATTTTTTTACCTGGATGATCTGTCTATTGCCAAAAGTACAGTGTTGAAGTTCTCTACTATTAATGTTTTCCATCATATTTCTCTCTTTAGACCTATTAATATTTGTTTTGTATATTCGAGTGCTCTGGTATTGGGTGCATATATATATTTATTATTGTTACATCTTATTGTGGAATTGACCCGTTTATTACTATACAGTTACCTTCTTTGTCTTTGTATAGTTCTGACTTAACATCTATTTTATCTAAGTATAGCTGCTCCTGATCTTTTCTGATGTCCATTTTTGTGGAATAACTTTTTCCATTTCTTCACTTTTAATCTATGTATGTGTTTATAGGTGAAGGCAGCATATAGTTGAGTCTTGTTTTTTAATTCAGCTACTCTATGTCTTTTAATTGAAGAATTTAGTCCATTTACATTCAATGTTATTATTGATAGGTAAGGCCTTACTATTGCCATTTTGTTTCTTGTTTACTAGTTGTTTAACTCTTCTCTTCCTTTCTTACTGCCTTCCTTTGTGGCTGAGTGATTTTCTCTAGTAGTGTGTTTTAATTCACTGCTTTTTATTTTTAGCATATCTATTAAAGGTTTTTGCTTTGTGGTTACCATGAGGCTTATAGAGCCAGTAATGTCTTCATATTAATTGTTAAACTTTAATTCTCACCGGAGGATTATGCTTTCTCCCATTTTCCCAGTCTCTAAACTAATTTTCCTTGAGGTTTCAGATTTAGAAAAGCATAAATTTCCCCTAAAATTCTGGAAAGGAGTTATTGCATGGACACACTGCCTGGGTTATACCTGATTTTTTTCACTATGCCAAGAGCAGAACTTTGTATAGTCAGCTCTTTAATGTGTGTCACATTAGGTGTTCTAAAAATCGGTGTGCTGATCAAAATCACACAAGAAAAACCATAGGGCTTGTGCAGAAAAATGGGGTTAGAAGTAAAACAATTAAGAGCTTTATCAGTGACACATAAAAAACAGAGAATAATGAATAAAAATTGTAGCACAGTTTTATACACAGTTAAACAGTAGAGACATAGACAAATAAAAAAATAAATAGGGCACTTTGTCTTGAAAATGATATGAGGTTTGCCTATGACAGTGGGCATCAGAAGGTGGATGCTTGTGAATAACTGAAAAGCTGGAAGGAGGGTCAGCTGAAATCAGATGGGAAATTGGAATACCAGATGTCGATGGGTGTGGCTCATAACAGAAGCAGTGAACTGAGGTAGCTGATTGCTATTGAGATGTGCATGTGTGCCTGTGTGTGTGTGTTTTGTGTATTCCTTTGCTGTGTTTAGCTAGGTTCAGTTTTCACATTGGAACACAGTCCTGTTTTCAAAACAAGTATTCTAGAGGAATTGATTATATGGGTAGAGTTAATCAAAGCTGCCAAACAAAAGAATGGCTTTTTCGGGTTCTTCTCCACTTTCTCCCAATCTTTGCTTTAGTCAGTTAGAGATGCATTCTCTCAGTGGAGATATTTATACTGCGGATGCCTCATTGGATTGTGTGTGTGCTGATATTATGCCCTTTATTTCTTTTTTTCCTCCTTCTTCCTCAGTCTACAATGTCAGAGATACTCCAGTGACCCAAAAGAAGGTGTACATGTAACAAAAGGAGATGACCGCCCATGGGTATAATTTGAGGAAAGCCAAACATCCTGCTTATTTAAGAATAGCAGTCCTGCTAGCCATCCACAGTAGCCTGAGTCACCACTATTGGGAAACAAGGGACTGTATTTTTTTGTTAAAAGAGATGTGTGACACTGGAATTGGGTACATCAGTACTGCCCATAACACTTTCTAGAAATATCTACCGTAGTGTATTTAGCAGTGGCAGCAGACCTTAATGACTAAGATAAGGAATGGTAAATGTTCCTCTTTTTCTGTTTTTATAGTATACTCTATATTTTATTGGCTATAAAAATAACATATATCCAAAAGGTAACATTTTAGAAGGGACAAAATAGAATCATATCCATTCCATCTGAAAATGTTTTCACACATTTCCTTCCAGTCTAGGAGTAGTAGGTTTAGGTGGTAGAAGAGAAGAAGATGGAGCTGGTTGTGTTGTAACATTCCTTGCTGGTGTCTTTACTCTAGTATTGTCTTCACTCATGAATCTAATGTAAAGGCTAAATGACAGCTTGGGACAGCTAAACACACGGCAACTTCAAAATGACTCCTCCTACTCTCTTGGCTGGTCTTCCTAGGAGAGCTTCACTGCCCATGATGACCCAAACTTTTCAACCAGGCATCGGCCTCAACTGGCTTTGAACATACTATTGTTTTAGCAACTAAACTCCTGGATTATCTTCTTGGCTCTTAAATTCTGCTTGTGCATTGTACTCAGCTAGTTGTTGAATTTCCCTCTTGGCTTTAGGGACATGGCTTATACCAGCTTCCTGGCTTGTGGATTTAGTGTATGTGTAGACTTGGTTTTGGATCATGCCTTTGACCTGGGTGAGCTATCCGGCACCACAACCACACTTATGAGCTACTTGATTGACTAGGCATGCCCAACATCCAGTCCCACTGTGAAGGGAGCAAGATTAGCTAATGGAATCCAGTTACCAGGGAGAATATGCCTGCCTTGTGTACCGTAGCAAAGGTCCCTGAGCCACCCTCCAGATGACTTACACAGCCTCGTAAGATTGTCACTACAGGGCTACTGACCTTCAGCATTCCATGAAGACTTCTTCAGCTTCTGAATTTCATCTTAGCATCTTGGCTCACAATAGGAAAATATAGGGCAAATTTTTTTATTTTGCTGTTTGGTGACTCCACCACTTTTGCAACAGTACTTTTGGTGCCCATTAACCAAATTACTTTGATTTCTTTGTGTAAATATTATGAAGACCAGAACCTTTTGAGAGACCTGAGCCACAGAACACCTCCAAAGACGGACCAAATCAACTGGGAGCTCTGCTGATTCCTCTGCCATCTCAGCAGCCTCCTAGTCCCTAGATAGTGGCTGCCACTCTTTCCCCATCATTGTGTCTTGTCTATAAGCCATGTCTAGACAAGGCTGAGATAGACAGAGCTTTGCCTACTATGTCAGAGTTTAGTTCAAATGGGAGGATGCTGGGGGTATTTTATCATCCAAACTTGGTGAAAACATTGTAGAGTGCTGTGGTAAGTAGGCCACAATGGAAATAATGGTAATGGTGTTTATGAAGTCTTGTGTTAGTTTACAGCTTTACAGAATACAAAATGCATTCACTTTGATGATTGATTTTATGACTGCCAAACCTCTGTACAGTAGGCAAAAAGGGATATGATGCTTAGAGAGGTTAGGTGATTTGCCAGAGGTTGCACAGCTCAGGGGAGGGATCGATCCAGGATTCTGAGTCAGGTCTTTCGATTCCTAGTGCAGGACACATTCTAATTTATCATCACTGTATATTGCCATAGGCTACCTAATCAGCCCTTAATGTCAGGTCAAAATCATAAACTGAGGACCAAGGCAATATTTCTTTTAAATTAAACACTCTAATACAGCACAGAGAATCCTGTGGGGTCTACATAATTATTTATAAACTGGCTTATTCTTTTGTTTTTAAAAATCTCGTTTTTTTCCTAAGACAGATTTTTAGAAGTAGAAGGAATTATAGAGATGTAGCTTCGTCAACCCATGTTGTAGATGAAAAAATTGAGGCTCAAGAAATTTGAATCATCCAGTAAATGGAAAGGCTGGTGAACTAACTCATTTTCTGAATTCCAGTCTGGCACTTTCTCTCACCTTAATCTGTCGAGGAGACAGCAACCATCATCACTGCTTCATCTTCTCCTGCCTCCTCTACTCTGTCCATGCCACAGGCTTTAGTGTCATCTTAAAGTACCCGACATCTCTCCAGGGCTGCTTCCTGGATTTATGCCCTAGACAAGCCTAGACATTTGGATGAAAGCCAAGTAGGTGGTAAGTAACATTCTCATTTTGGATGTGCCTTGGCTTCACCTGACAGCAAAGCCATGAGTTGGCAGCAAATGGAGGCATCCTGTGGAGCTGAGTAAAGCCCGGGTCTCTGCAGCAGAGAAGGGAGGGCTTGCACACTGGCCCCAGGCAGTTTCTAAGTGTGCATCATTCCATTCCTGTCTCTCTGGCCTGCTTCTTTGGACTAAAGTGGGTTATGGAGCTCTGGATTCTTTGGAACCAGAAATTATCAGAGAATGAAAGAGCATGGAGAGGCCTTGCCATCTTTATTACCTCTCTTCATCTCCTTCAGACAGTGCAGCACTTAAACTTTTAGGAAACTTCAGAATCAGCAAAGAAATAGCAATTGCCAATAGTACAATAGTTGATACCATTCATTGAGCAGGTAGGTGTATTGGCTTACTTACGTTGTCTAACTTAATTCTCCTAGAAACCTCTTCTTTTCTCAGGTGAGGCAACTAAAATTCAGCGAGGTAAGGTACTAGCTTAAGCCTTCATTCCTTGTGAACGTCCATGTTGTGAAGATTTGTGCTGAAGCTCTACCACTCCAAGTTCTGTTTTCTTGCCACTACAGAGGGTAGTGCATAGCAGCATTGAAATTGGCAGCAGTGACTTTCTAGGTGCCCCGATGCACCTAGGGTAGAGGAGTAGCTACCTGGAGTAAGGCTGGAAAATGTGGGGTGGGATACAGAGGTGCAGATTTAAAGACTGTCATTCTCCTTCAGACTGAATTATTCTTCATCAAAGATGTTAGGCCTTTCTTTTTGGTCTATCCTAGGGCTGTTTTATGCAAGCAAGGGAACTTCCTTAGGGTACTGTAGGCATGGTTTTTTTCCTCCCACAGTCTACAGGGTGAGTTGCCTTGTACAAAATATACATTTTGTAGATTCTCCCAGGAGGGTAATCGTAGTTTATAATATTTTGATGGTGTCTTTACAGTTGTCTTTTCTGCAACAGCAGTTTCCCCTTATCCCAGGACCAAGCTCTTCTCCATCTCTTGTTCTCAGTGATCATGTCCTCAATGTGAGTTGAGACAGGTTCTCCACACTAACACATGCACATGCATTCATGATGCCATAATGATGTCTCTGATTATCAAGCAATGGCATTCAAAGGGTTCAGCCAAAATGCCTGCACACAAAATGACCTGCTCTGATGGCACATGCCTCACAGCAATAGGAAGGATCTTTGACAACCTGCATTGCTTGAGCAGTGGGGTGAGGTGAAAAAGGGCACATTTACTGTATAACTTTGGGCACGTTTTTTTTAACCCATATGAATTCCAAATAAAATATGGGTAACATGTATCACTAACTTCAGAGTTGTTAAAAGGACTAAATGAGCAATGTATAGAAAGCTGGTATAAGTCAGTTTGCACATACTAGTTAACCGATAAACACAGTTCCCTTCTTATTCTCTTCTTCTCCTTGATTCTTAAGGCCCTAAAAGGACAGTAATTTTAGGAGATTCTAACACATTCAGGAAAAGTCTTGGGCTGACTAAGTAGGCATAACATAGGCTTGATGGTCCTGCAGTCCATCCTCTTCCTGCTATCCTCAAGAGATCCAGACCCATTGGGAAATCCTCTGAGCAGCCTTTGGGTTCTCACACTCCTGCCTTGAGCTGTGGCTGTTCCTCCATTGAATGTGGAGGACTTCTTTTCCACAGGGACTCACAGATGCAGGAAGGTGGAAGGCCACCAATAGCTCTGCCCCACCGTTCCCCATAGTTCCTCCCCTTCCTCCCCTTCCTCCCTGACCATCATGGGAACAGGGAAGCTAGGACTGCTAAGACTGCTTTCTTTCAGATGAGGTCAGACATCCAAGGGGGAGGAGTGGGAGGCAGAGCATCACTGATATCATCTGCAAATAATATTTATGGAGGCCCTGTAAGACCCTGATGTGAAGTAGAATTATGAGGAAGGAAAAAAGAGAAGGCCTATCTCTATGCCCCAGGAGTGCACCTTCCCAGACTGACAATGTACAGGCATGGACTTGACATAACACTCCCCCTCCCACCTTATGCTCACATTCATCTCTACTTAGTATCTGATCAGCCGCTCAGATCTGCTTTCTCATCACCTGTTCCCTTGGAAATGGGAAACACTTTAGTCTGTGGGGAAGATGGAGCACGCAGAGGGGAAGCAGTCACTCCACTTAATGTGGTGAAGTTTGGAGCAGCACTGAGGAGCATTTTAGCATTTTAGCAAATGTGTATTGAGTGCTAAGATGTGCCAGAATGTTTCTCTCATGATTTTATCTAATTCTGACAACTTTGTTAGATAGAGCATGTTTGCCTCAAGTTCTGAATTTCGAAGGTGAGATTAGGTTATGTGAAGGGAGTTGTCCAGGGTTGTACCATCTGTCAGTGTCATCCAGTGCTGGTAGCCAAACTCAGCTCTAATACTCCATTCCTCTACCCAGAACTTCATGGCTTTCACTGGAGAGGCTGCTCTGGAATCTCCAGGAAAAAGAATTGCTGCCATTTTCATTCAATTGTGTGTTTGAAATTGAACTTGCGTTCATGGGGCCTGTAGACCTCAAGGAGCCTGTTGTAATGGGGTCATCTGTTGTTTTCCTGGTGAAGATTTCTGCGTCTGGAACATCCTAATGAACATTTCTCTTTGTTACTTGGTGGGGTCCTTCTTATGTGTTTGAAATGATGGATTTTCCCCAAATAAAGAGGTGCTCATTGAAGTCAAGAACAAATACATCCACGAACTCCTCACCTTTCCTCTCAGCTGGTGACCAGCAGAGCAGGGCTGCCACTCAAAGAAGCCCTTGTGTTTCAGATGCAGATGAAAGGCCGGTGACCAGAGAGAGAAAGCACTGGAAGGGGATAAGGTCTTGTCCACAACTCCTTCCCTACCTGGTCCTCCTGTTGTGCTCCAGTGATGGAGCCCACTGCTCCAGTGAGTGTGAGAGCCTTGTGATGAAGCCGAGTTCATGACCCCCCAAATTACCACTCCCACTTCTGATTTGGGCACTGTTTATCAGAAGCTTGCTCCTGTGACCTTGAAAGACATGTGAGAAAGAATATGCATTTTTTCCTGCTTTTTTTCCCCAACTTTCACAATCTTGCTTTCCTTCTTCCATTCTGTCTTCTCTGTCAAGTCAATAGCACAGACCTTCCAACCCATGATGCTATAGCCGAATGGCAAGAAATCAAATGCAAATGCAGTCAAGTTCATTCAACAAAATAATTATTGAGTGCTTCCTATGTGCTAAGAACATAGAAGCTGAGGTAGAACTGGGAATGAAACAACTTGACTATTGTGGAGTTTTCCCTGTGGTGAGGGATATAGGTGATAAACAAATAAACATGTAAAATGTTTCATTTTGGGTTCCCCCAAAAGCAGACCTTAGGAAAAGGATTTGGCTGCAAGTAGTTTATTTAGGAGATAACCCCATGAAGCACAGTGAGGGAGTAGAGGTGTGAGCTGCAGAAAGGAGAAAATTCAATAAAGGGCACATTAATCAGGGGGTTCCTGTGGGGCAACTGGGGCTGAATGCCCCTGAGGACCTGCTGAAGGTCAGTGCAGAAAACTAGTCAGAGACTTCCTCTTGTGGGATAAAAAGCTGGGGTATTTTTTCGCAAACTTCTTTGCTTCCTAGAGTGCTAACTTCTCAGCATTTCTGGCCAGCCTTGTCCACAGACTGAATATGTTTCCATGGCCAGAGGAAATCAATAACACCATCTATCATAGAGACAAATAAAGCCATAGGCTGTAAGGAAGGTGTCTGTGGTGAACTCCAGGGAAGGCCATGGGTATGGTCAAGGAGATATAAGTAGGATGACATCAGCGGCTGCTGAATTAGGTGGAAATAAGTACTAGAAACAAGGTTAGAAAAGGCTGTTGGGTGATCGTTGGGGGAGGGACCTCCTAACATAAGGTGGTCAGGAAATGTCTTCCTGAGGAGGTGACTTCGGAGTAAAGACCTGAAAGAAGTGAGAAAATAAGCACTGCAGACACATAGGGGAAGATGACTCCAGGCTGAGGGAGCAGTGAATGTAAAGACCTTCAAGCAGAAGTGGGCTTGGATCTGTTTTGAAGGTAGATCTATTAGGATTTGCTGATAGATTGGACATGGGGTTTGGGAGAGTGGAGTCATAAATGATTCTAGGAGTGTTGGCCAGAACATCTGGTAAAATGGAGCTGGCATTTATTGAGATTATGAAGTTCTGGGAGCATATTGGGTTGGTATTAAAAGTATTATTTCAGACATGTTAAGTTTGAGATAACTTTAGACATCCAAGTGAAGATGTTGAGCCAATAGTTACACATATTTGTTTGGAGTTCAAGGTAGAGGTTAGTTCCAGAGGTGTGAATTCAGTGGTCATCAGTGTGGAGATTGTATTTAGGACCACAGTAATGAATGAGATTACCTAGGAGATGAATGCAGATACAAAGAGAAGAGTTTTGAAGTCTAAGCCTGAAAGTACATTGTTGAGGTATCTGCGAAGAATTGGTTTTAGGACCTCCTGGAGATACCAAAATCTGCAGATATTCCAGGGGAAAGTTTTGCTTCAGAAACTTTCCCTGGAGTCATTGTATGTGCGAATTGGTGCTGAGAAGATGTCTACCTTAACAGGAGATTCAAATTTTCACTTCAGATTTAGATTAAAAAATCAAACAAAAAATAAATCTAAATGTTCAGATTTTTGTAAATGAATAAATTTAAGCTAAGAAAGACTCTACATTTTAAATGACCCTGGGGAAAAGCACTGAAGCAAAATATTCCCCTGGAGTATCTGCAGATTTTAGTATCTGCAGGTAGTCCTCAAAATATCACCCAAATCCTCTCAGTGGTAAGGTTACTTCAAACGTCTCTCCACAGATTTGGTCAGTACCCATCTGGACTGAACTATGCATTGCATGTAGCCAAAGATCTGATCTGAATGGATTTCCATCATTATTAAGATGAGTTTTTCATCACAATGGCGTTAGAACAGAAAACGATTTCTTCTACTCCTGTATTTCCTTATTCCAATCCATTATATAGACTGTTGTCAGCATAATCAAATAAGATCTTGGTAAAGAATTGACAATAGTCTCCTAATTCCTATAGAAAACTCTTGCTTTCCTTCCAAAAATCTTCATTTGGCCTAACTATCCACATTATCTTCACAAAGTAAATACCTTTATTTAAATTCATCTAATTCTGTTGTGTAACAAACATGGCTCTCTTAGTCCCACTTCGTAGATTTTCTGAAACCTTCCCCCAAAATACATATTTTTTTCTTTAATATCTAAAAATTCCATGCCTCTCCGAGTTTATGAAACAGAATTTCGTCTTTGGAATCAGAGAGACCTTGGTTTGGATTCTATGTTTGCCTTAGTTTCCCCTTCTATAAAATGAAGGTAACAATGCCACTCTGACAGAGTTGCTCTACATTGATTAGCTATAGGTCCTGGAATGTGACCTGTTACTGACGTCCTCCAATTTCATTCCAGAGAGATCCCCAGATAGGATAGAGCTTAAAAAAATAAGTATCCTCCTCAGGTCCCACTTCAGTACTGTTTGATCTTATCCAGCAGATCTCTACAGTAATTATTATCTGTAGGAAAAATTTAACAGTTATATTCCATCTTATTCTGTTTATAGTAGTTTCTTATACCAATGTGTAAAATTCAAGTATTAACTTAAATACTATTCTACTGTATACAGGATATTTATTAATTTCTTCAGAAAAATTATGTGTTTTTTGAAGGCAGGGATCATCTCATATATTTTTTTCTTAGTATAGTACACATTACTAAGTACATGGTGGCTCTAGAGATTTTCAATGACTGACTAAATAAATGTTATCAAACTGGCTCTGTTTTATTCAGACACTCCAAAGACAGTCTAATGTTAGCATGGATGGCCTCCAAGAAGAGTCCCAATATAGATGTCTTGTGTATATTAAAAAAAATGTACACATATATACATATGAGGATTTTATGTCACTACATTATATTCTGGAATATGAGTGCTATAGTGAAGGTCTTTTGCTTTTTTTTTTTTTTTTGGGTAAATTTAAAGCATTGATTGTGGTAGCAACATGGTCTAAAAAAGCATGGCTTTAGGAAGAGACTTGGATTCAAATTCCAATCCAGTTTTATAATTCCACTCACTGGCTGGGTGACTTCAGGTAAATTAGCCTCTCTGAGACCAATATTTTCCTCATTTAAAAAGGAAGTACATATACATGTGCCCTTATTTGTATAGTCCCAATAAGATGCCATGAGAAAGTACTTAGCAAGGTGTCTGGAAAGTAATAGGCATAGAGTCCAGGTTTGATTATGTTCTTCTTTCCATTTTCTTTAAACTACACCTAGTGAAGTGCAAGGATCAAAAGAAGTCATCTGTATGAAAGCACTGTGAAAATGACAGGGTTCTGAACACCTGCGAGGCATTAGCATTGTTATGGTTGTAAGCAAGGATGATAAACTCGGAGAGGAACACTGTGTTCTTCAGAGGGTCAGCCTCCCTACAAGGCTATCAGTAAAATTGCAGATCATCTTTCAGAAGATCCCTAGAATCAGAGCTTGCAGTGTTTCTGGGTAAGTCATGACCCATGGCTGACTGCCTATACCCTCACTCCAGAGGCCTCTTCTACCCCTAGAAAAAAATTCCAGAAGATAAATCACAAATGTCATAGTCATCCTGTTATTCCTCAATATAAAGACAATACAGCCCTTTGTTTTCCCCATTTTTTTTTGCTTGCTCCTACTCCCTTATTTCCCCCTATTCCCCCTTGTCTTTGACTAGAATTCAAGAAACTATTGGTAAATGTTGATTTTCCTCTTCAATCCTTGGGGATGCTGGTCTACCAGAAGGGAGTCTAAAGACAAAATTCTCATTAAGTGACATTGTTATGCTTTCTGCTGTTGTCCTCAACTTCTCCCTCTTCTAAATTGTTATAATTAAGAGAGTGCCCACTAAATAATTTCCTTTTGTCAGATGGATTATGTTTTATAATGGAGCCAAGTTCTATACTCATTACGAGTCCCGAGGCCAGTGCCAACAAAATGTCGCCACCTCTTCCCCGACAGCAGTAGAAACAGCAAAGGAAGGTCACTTAATGACAATTTGGGAGGAAACCAGTGTAGCTTTCAGCCAATGGTCTCCTATTTTTGAATGTCAATAAGGTGTTCTTTTTCATCTCAGAACCTCCATGGGTTCTTTATGCAGTAGGGATTTAGAAATGTGCTGGCATCAAAGTGTCTCGGAGCAACAAACAGCCAACAAATCTCAAACTAAAGTGATGTTGAATTGACCCACACAGACCTGAAAAATGTCCCACTCTGGGGATCCTGGTGGGTCAAGCTATCCGTCATTCTCATGCTGTGTTCTCATGCTGTGATTGCACCTCTGGGTTGCTGTGGCCAAGCTCCCTAATGAAAAGGAAATGATCCCATCAATCGCCCAGATGTTTGGCAGGGGGTAGACTAAACATCTGGTTGATTGACTGAATGGTTTTCTCTCCAGCCAGATGTTTGATATCAACAAAGCACAGTGTGTGAGTAGATCCTTTCAAAGGTCATTCTCCTGAGGCCCCCATCACTTCCAGTTTATAGGAAATTCTTCTCATCTATTAATATAATTTTTGATTCTCTGATGGGATCCTGCTTACTTTGCTTACTATATAATTTATTTTCATTTTTATCAACTACTCATCAACAACTTTCCAGCTCTGTTTGATTCCCTTTTCTACAAAGACACCCTTGGCAGATTTGCTAGTGGAGGTTGTAGTCATGCAAAAATGTACGAGCATGGGTAAAATGTTTAGATATATTTTCATAGCATAAAATATTATACAAATTATTCCTGCATTAGGTGTTCTTTGGATCACTGTTCAGGTAGCATATACCACTTATCAATACCACTAGGCATTCTGGAGGTAGATTTTGTCTTAACATCACATTACCCTTTCTACCATCTTTTCCTATTTAGCCAGGGAATTCTGTGCCTGAAAGAGTCTCTTAGTAGCATTGAGTGAAGCACTTGGGATCTGAGACAGTACGAGATGGAACTGGTTATGTGCTGTGGTGGAAAGAACACTGAATTAGGAGTCAGGATTTGAGCCCTAGACCCACTTCATTCATTGACTCTCTAAGTGACCTGGGCATCATTTCAATTCTCTAGGCTTCCATTTTCTAATTTGAAAAATGATAAATACAACTTAGCCTTTTAAGACTTATTCCAGCTCTAAGAATCTCTGATTTGCTGAAACCCAGGAGGGTGATGGATGAGATATAATCAATGTCATGACACAAAGTTTGAAGTGTTGCTTAAGAACAAAATTTTATATAGGTACAATGAATTAGTAGTCCTATTTACTTCCAAATGTTCCTAGGGTGAGCAACATATTAAATATGATATTGCCATTAATAGTTTACTATTATAAAATTCACTAGAATGAAATTGTTTGGAAGTTTAATTCTTACAAAGAAACACAAAGAAATGTGATTTGAGAATGGATCTAAGGAAACAATTGAAAGGCTTACAATAGAAAAGATGGTGTTTATCTGTTGCCATAGAAGTGGGTATCTTAGTGACGGGCATTAAGTGGAGAAGGGTAAAAAGTTAGGAAGAGAATATAAAAAGTGGATAGAAGGGGCAGAGCAAAAACTAATGTAACAGTAGTGTCAAGAACAGGCTCTCTGTCTCTCTCTTAAATTCTGCTGGATCATAGCATCTCAGGGTCAGGAGAGTCAAAGACCATAAAAGATATGAGCATTAATTAGGCATAAAAATAGCTTAAATTAGCCATTGCTTCATCTTCTGAAACTGAAGATGACTGTGCATATCTCTGAACCAATAAAATGTATATTTTAAAAAGCCATATTTGTCAGACTAGAAGGTTTTAGAGAAAGTGAATAAATCTGTGGGTCTTGGTTTGTGGTGTTTTCCACATGAAATTTTTTGTATTTCTTAGTTTTTGTTAAGCATTGTGAAAGCATTTTTACATTTGTGAAATGCTCAACGAATCATTCAGAAAGTAGGTAGTTATTGTCAGCATTAGTTTATTCTTAAGCAGCCAGAGATAAGAAAAAAAGTAAACTGCGGTCTTCCCGAAAATCGGATTGCAAAACTTAACCTCTATAGCACTAAAATATACTTAATAAAAATCACACTGCGAGCACTGGCCATGTTTTCCTTAACAAAACAAGTCTGTTTTTTTTTTTTTTTGTCTTAGTAGGAAGGTCTGGAGATTTTTCTTCAGTGAGCCTGGAATATTCTATTCAGTAGTCTTCTGGGATTTTACATCTCTCTTCATCCAGCCCTTATTTCTCTAATTTCCTCCAGAAG